>NC_000009.12:83220552-85720552 GCF_000001405.40 Homo sapiens | reverse complement strand
ATGAGAGAAGAATCAAATAGATGCAATAACAAATGATAAAGGGGATATCACCACTGATACCACAGAAATACAAGCTACCATCAGAGAATACTATAAATAGTTCTATGCAAATAAACTAGAAAATCTAGAAGAAATGGATAAATTCCTGGACACATACACCCTCCCAAGACTAAACCAGGAAGAAGTTGAATCTCTGAATAGACCAATAACAGGTTCTGAAATTGAGGCAACAATTAATGGCCTACCAACTAAAAAAAATCCGGGACCAGACGGATTCACAGCCAAATTCTACCAGAGGTACAAAGAGGAGCTGGTACCATTCCTTCTGAAACTGTTCCAATCAATAGAAAAAGAGGGAATCCTCCCTAACTCATTTTATGAGGCCAGCGTCATCCTGATACTAAAGGCTGGCAGAGACACAACAATAAAAGAGAATTTTAGACCAATATCCCTGATGAACATCGATGCAAAAATCCTCAATAAAATACTGGCAAACTGAATCCAGCAGCACAAGAAAAAGCTTATCCACCACAATCAAGTTGGCTTCATCCCTGGGATGCAAGGCTGGTTCAACATACGCAAATCAATAAACATAATCCATCACATAAACAGAACCAATGACAAAAACCACATGATTATCTCAATAGATGTAGAAAAGGCCTTTGACAAAATTCAACAGCCTTTCATGTTACAAACTGTCAATAAACTAGGTATTGATGGAATGTATCTCAAAATAATAAGAGCTATTTATGACAGACCCACAGCCAATATCATACTGGATGGGCAAAAACTGGAAGCATTCCCTTTGAAAACTGGCACAAGACAAGGATGCCCTCTCTCACCACTCCTATTCAACATAGTGTTGAAAGTTCTGGCCAGGGCAATCAGGCAAGAGAAAGAAATAGTGGGTATTCAGTTAGGAAAAGAGGAAGTCAAATTGCCCCTGTTTGCAGATGACATGATTGTATATTTAGAAAACCCCATTGTCTGAGCCCCTAATCTCTTTAAGCTGATAAGCAACTTCAGCAAAGTCTCAGGATACAAAATCAGTGTGCAAAAATCACAAGCATTCCTATACACCAATTACAGACAGAGCCAAATCATGAGTGACCTCCCATTCACAATTGCTTCAAAGAGAATAAAATACCTAGGAATCCAACATACAAGGGTTGTGAAGGACCTCTTCAAGGAGAACTACAAACCACTGCTCAACAACATAAAAGAGGACAAAAACAAATGGAAGAACATTCCATGCTTATGGATAGGAAGAATCAATATTGTGAAAATGGCCATACTGCCCAAGGTAATTTATAGATTCAGTGCCATCCCCATCAAGCTACCGATGACTTTCTTCACAGAATTGGAAAAAACTACTCTAAAGTTCATATGGAACCAAAAAGCCCGCATAGCCAAGACAATCCTAAGCCAAAAGAACAAAGCTGGAGGCATCACACTACCTGACTTCAAACTATACTGCAAGGCTACAGTAACTAAAACAGCATGGTACTGGTACCAAAACAGGGATATAGACCAATGGAACAGAACAGAGGCCTCAGATATAACACCATACATCTGCAACCATCTGATCTTTGACAAACCTGACAAAAACAAGCAATGGGGAAAGGATTCCCTATTTAATAAATGGTGTTGGGAAAACTGGCGAGCCATATGTAGAAAGCTGAAACTGGATCCCTTCCTTACCCCTTATACAAAAATTAACTCACGATGGTTTAAAGACTTAAGTGTAAGACCTAAAACCATAAAAACCTAGAAGAAAACCTAGTCAATACCATTGAGGACATAGGCATGGGCAAACATTTCATGACTAAAACACCAAAAGCAATGGCAACAAAAGCCAAAATTGACAAATGGGATCTAATTAAACTAAAGAGCATCTGCACAGCAAAAGAAACTGTAATCAGAGTGAACAGGCAACCTACAGAATGGGAGAAAATTTTTGCAATCTACCTATCTGACAAAGGGCTAATATTCAGAATCTACAAAGAACTTAAACATATTTACCAGAAAAAACCAAACAACCCCATCAAAAAGTGGGCAAAGGATATGAACATATACTTCTCAAAAGAAGACATTTATCCAGTCAACAGACACATGAAAAAATGCTCGTTATCACTGGTCATCAGAGAAATGCAAATCAAAACCACAATGAGATACCATCTCATACCAGTTAGAATAGCGATCATTAAAAAGTCAGGAAACAACAGATACTGGAGAGGATGTGGAGAAATAGGAACACTTACACTGTTGGTGGGAGTGTAAATTAGTTCAACCATTGTGGAAGACAGTGTGGCAATTCCTCAAGGATCTAGAACTAGAACTAGAACCCAGTGATCCCATTACTGGGTATATACTCAGAGTATAAATCATGCTGCTATAAAGACACATGCATACGTATGTTTATTATGGCACCATTCACAATAGCAAAGACTTGGAACCAACCCATATGTCTATCAGTGATAGACTGGATTAAGAAAATGTGGCACAGGTACACCATGGAATACTATGCAGCCATAAAAAATGATGAGTTCATGTCCTTTGCAGGGACGTGGATGAAGCTGGAAACCATCATTCTCAGCAAACTATCACAAGGACAGAAAACCAAACACTGCATGTTCTCATTCATAAGTGGGAGTTGAACAATGAGAACACATGGACACAGGGCGGGGAACATCACACTCCACGGCCTGTTAGGGGGTGGGGGGCTGTGGGAGGGATAGCATTAGGAGAAATACCTAATGTAAATGACGAGTTGATGGGTGTGGCAAACCAACATGGCAATGTATACCTATGGAACAAACCTGCACGTTGTGCACATGTACCCTAGAACTTAAAGTATATTAAAAAAAAAAAAAAAAGGATACTCATCCCATTCATGAAGCCTCCACCCTTATGACCTAATTATCTCCAAAAGGCCCTAACTTCTCATATTGTCACTTGGGGGTTAGCTTTTCAACATAAGGATTTTGGGAGGCACACGAACATTCAGACCATAGCAAAAATGTTCAGTTATTTTTATTTTATTTATTTTTTGAGACAGCGTCTTGCTCTGTCACCCAGGCTGAAGCGCAGTGGTGTGAACACAGCTCACTGCAGCATTAACCTCCCGTGCTCAAGTGGTTGTCACACCTCAGTTTCCTGAGTAGCTGGGACTACGGGTGTATGCCACCATACCTAGTTAATTTTTTTATTTTTTAGAGAAGGGCTCTTGCTATATTGCCCAGGCTGGTCTTGAACTCCTGGGCTCAAGCAGTCCTCCCACCTGGGCCTCCCAAAGTGTTGGGATTGCAGGCGTGAGTCACTGCACCCAGCCTGTTCAGTTATTTTTGAATCATCATGTTTTAGAAGGCAGTAAGTGCTTTGGAAGAAGACAAAGTAGATTCCGGCAAGGGCAATGGGTATGCTAGGGTCTGGAGGTAGTTTGCAATATTAAATAGGTTGGTTGGGATGGGTTGTATTGAAAAGGTGATACTTGAGCAATGGAAGTGGTGGAGTTAGTTATTGGGATATCTGGCAGAAGCACATTCCAGGCAAAAGAAACAGCTTATGCAAAGGCACTAAAGTGAGAGCCTGGCATGTTGGAGGAAAACATGGAGGCCCAGCCAGTGCATCCAGAGCAGAGTGACTGAGAAAAGTTGTAGGTAGGATATGAAGACAGGGAGGTAAGGACTGGGGGTATTCCTCTAGGGTCTTTTATGTCATTGAAATTGGCAGCCGCACAGGGCTTTGAGCAGAGTAGTGACAAAAATCTACTTAAGGTGTTTTTTCCTTCTTCTGTCCCCCAGTGTATTAAAAGGATCACTAAGCATGTTGTGTTGAGAATAGACTGTAGGGGGCATCAGAGGTAGAAGGGAGACTAGTGACATTGTTTACTTGACCGTGGTAGATGTGGTAAAGTGATCAGATTCTGGATATATTTTAAAAGTAGAATTATCAAGACTTTCTGATGTATTGGATGTGGGACAGGAGACAAGGATGAAGCTAAGGTTTTGAATTGAGCAACTGGAGGCATAGAATTGTCTTTAACTTAGATGGGAAAGCCAGAGTAGAGCACACTTGGAAGGGAAGGTCAGATCCGTTTTGCATATGTCGAGTTGGTAATATTATTAGAGATTCAAGTGGAAATGTTGAGTAATTACAAGACTAGATGAGATCACCAAGGAAGAGACTGTAGTTAGAAGAGGACAAGAAAGGACTAAGCCCTGGGCATTCCGTTAAAGGAAACTTAGAAGTGGTCAGTGAGGTTGGGAGAAAGCAAAGTATATAGCCAAATGAAGAAAGCATTTCCAAGAAGAGGATGTGGTCAGCTGTATCAAATGCTGCTGATAGGACAAATAAGATGAGGACTGAGAATTGACAATTGGATTTAGTAACATGGGGATCATTAGTTGTTGATAAGAATGGTGTTGGTGGAGTGGGGTGGGGAAAGTCTCATTGGAATGTGTTTAAGAGAGGATTGGAAGGGAGGACTTGTTGACAGTGTGCATAAACAAGTCTTTGCTTTCAGAAGGAGAGAAATGGGACAGTAGCTGAATTGGGAGCGAGAAAGTTTTTTTCCTAAGACACAGAAATATCATGATTTTATGGTGATGAAAATGATTCAGTAAAGAGGAAAGAGGAGATTATACCTAAATTTCGAGCTCAGTTTTTATCACTTTTTTTCATACATTCTCAGTTCCTCTGCCCTCTTGCTTTATCACACTTGCTTGGCAAAGCCACAAACTTGGTGAAATGCAACACTTCTGCTTCTAGGTGCCTGCACTTTCTGTTACACCATATTGTAATCAACACAAGCTTTCGCAAGATTTTTCATTATGTTCTGGCTTCAGGCTTCAGTAATAAAAAGTGAACTGTAAGGGATACACTGGCCTACTTTAGGATAACAGGGTTGAGAACTGACCTTTTTCCTGGGGGACTCTTAAGCCTAGAAAGCAGAATTCTTTGAGGTTGTCTGTTCCTTTAGTGAAGATTATTTGCCAGGGGTTAGATGCTTGATACTGCTGAGCATGTTCCACAGTGGTAGGGCATGGAGATATGGAGGAGGTAAGAAGTTACTATTTGCAGTTCCAAAGTTTTAGTTAGCCCTGTTTTGTAGTCTTCCTCTGTCGTCCTTGTTTCTGAGTGCTAGGTTCCTAGTTTCCTGAGTTCTTCTTAGCATAATACCTGTTCCTTCTTCCCTCTTAGTTTTCCTTTTTGTCACTAGGTTTAAACATAACCAACCTTCCTTCTTTCCTCCCTCCCTTCTTCAGAATTCTTGTTTGCTTTATTTCTTTTTTTCTTTTTTTTTTTGAGACAGAGTCTCGCTCTGTCACCCGGGCTGGAGTGCAGTGGTGCGATCTCAGCTCACAGCAACCTCCGCCTCCCAGTTCAAGTGATTCTCCTGCCTCAGCCTCCTGAGTAGCTGGGATTACAGGCTTGCACCACCAGGCCAGGCTAATTTTTGTATTTTTGATAGAGATGGAGTTTCACCATGTTTACTAGGCTGGTCCTGAACTCCCAACCTCGGGTCATCCGCCCGCCTTGGCCTCCCGAAGTGCTGGGATTACAGGTGTGAGCTACTGTGCCCGGCCCTTTATTTTTGATAAGCTGCTATTATAAGCTCCTGTTAGAAGTTTTTTAGGCATTACACCACGTTGTCTTGATATTCTGATCATATATACACACATATATATTCATTTTTTCAAGAGATGTTTAACAGATATATACCATATATTGAATTTTTGCCATCAAATATTCTTAAATATGTTATCTTGCAGCATATCACTTTCAAGTTAAAATGCCAGAAACAATACCAATATCTATAATTATTTTAAGGAATGCTATATAATGACACATTAAGGTGTAGATTCTTTTGATTTGTAATTCTTAGAATGATAATAGCAAAAATGATGCAAAAAATCTTCAGTGTGAGATTATGATGAAGCTACATTTTACAATTGTCTTTTTCAACCATAATGAAAATGGTCTTGGTGTCTAGCTGCAGACAGATTTACTCATTCTAGAGCTGCAGGCAGATTTACTCCTTCTAGCTCATTACACACAGGATACATGACTGCATAGAAGGGCATATAAAACGTGGAAATGGCCTCAGCTTCATTCTTCATCTCTTCCATTGTTATCCTCATTCAAACACCAATTACAGTAGAAAAAGCAGTGCTAAAATGCACTTCATTCACTGCAGTATTCTCCTTTTTTGCGTGATTAAAGGATAAGGCACAAAACACACACTGGCAACTGAGGCACTGACTTCACTTCCCACCTATGGACCCTCTTCAGCTCCTGGATCTGTTCACTTTGGTAACGCCAGAGGACTTGAGAGGAACCAACTTTATTTCTTTACTTTTACTGTAATCTAGTCCCAAGAGTAAGAGGAGAGAAATGCCTGTGGTTTATTTTACTGTGAACTGCAAGTTCAAATCATTTCTTATCTGTTGAAATACAGTTGGCTATGATATTAGTGCTCACCATTATTCTTTTCAACTCTATCAACTCTAGTAAAATCCACAGGGAACTTTTCATGAGATGTGCTGTTAGTGTATTAATAGTTTCTTCTGTTTGTGGCAGCAACAGTGCTTTTGAAATCACGTAAGATTTTTTTCTCCCTGTGGATATATAGTGATTTTTACTTAATTTAGAAATAGAAAAAAGTTACTTTGATTTTGTAGTTGTGTCTTAAAAAAGAGTAAAAAAAATTACAATTTAAAATTTCTCATTGACTTTAAAAACAATTCATGTAATTTTTGTACACAATTCTAAATATTTCCTTTTCTTAGTTAAGGAAAATGAAAAAAAATTATGTATGTCGTGTTGAAAAGTTCTGTTATTGAAGACAAACATCCAGAATATCTTCTACTTCATCAGAGTATCTTCCAAATGTATTAAGTTAAACAATTTGAAGTTTGCCCTTTTTGTGTGTTTGTTGTCTCTTTAAATATGACATTACTAAATATTTCATAAGTATGTGATTAACTGGTTTTTTGTTTGTTTGTTTGTTTGTTTTTTTGAGATGGAGTTTCGCTCTTGTCGCCTAGGCTGGAGTACAATGGTACGATCTTGGCTCACTGCAACCTCCACCTCCCGGGTTCAAGTGATTCTCCTGTCTCAGCCTCCTGAGTAGCTGGGATTACAGGCACCTGCCACCACACCCAGCTAATTTTTGTATTTTTAGTAGAGATGGGGTTTCACCATGTTGGCCAGGCTGGTGTCAAACTCCTGTCCTCAGGTGATCCACCTGCCTTGGCCCCCCAAAGTGCTGGGATAACAGGCATGAGCCACCATGCCCAGCCATGATTAACTTTTTGAATTCACAGTAGTTATTCTACTTTTTGGTGATGCCAAAAAATTCTGCTACAGTAAGCATTGGTATTTAAAAGATATTTAGAGTATTTTAGGGTTAATAGTTGCAAAATAAACTTGAAGATTTATAAAAATTGTGTGAATCGAGATTTAAGGTTGTTTAAACATATATAATGTCTAAAAATGAAAACTATTGTTTGAGGGAAGATGTGCATAGAAGCTTTTACTAATTTGAAAATGTTCTTATATGGAAATAACACATATTGACTAGTATTTGACTACTGTGTGAATGGTGTACAGTAAGTGCACTAATCACAGGATGCTGTGATTGGTTTATGTATTTTAAGGAGGAGTATTAGAACAGAAAGCATAATTTGAACTGTCTCAAAAGATCTTAACATTAGGTTGCAAATGACATTATGTTAGGTTTCTGCGTTTTTGTAGCTCCGGATTTTGATAAGTTTCCTGGCTGATTATAGGTATTTTTATAGTCATACATTGCATTCTGAAGCGACCCAGTAGAAGCACATAGAACTCAAATGTTCTCTTTTTGTTTCCGGTGTTATCTTGTGTTGCCCATAATGAAAACTTTCCATTGTATGGCTTCTGTGATATCTAATATATAGAAAAAAGAGTTATAAGTTTTTAATATCATTAACATTTTTCTTTTAGATTATCTGCAATTATGAAATGAAGTAACTCAAGATGAGCAAGTTAAAAGTGATACCAGAAAAAAGGTACTGTAATTCTGAATATCAGTATGCATAAGTTACAGAAATAATGTATGACAGAATTACTTGAAACTCAATACTTGACAAAGTATTATTTGTGTTTAAGTATAATATGTTATATTTATGTAATTAAAAATGTTTATTAATGTTTAACTTTTCAGTTAAAATTGGAATCAGCAAACTATGACCACCTCCTGTTTTTGTGTGGCCTGTGAGCTCAGAATGGTTTTTACTTTTTTTTTTGAGACGGAATTTCACTCTCGTTGCCCAGGCTAGAGTGCAGTGGCACGATCTCGGCTCACTACAACCTCTGCCTCTGGGTTCAAGTGATTCTCCTGCCTCAGCCTCTGGAGTAGCTGGGATTACAGGCACCCACCACCACACCCGGCTGATTTTTTGTACTTTTAGTAGAGACGGGGTTTCACTATGTTGTCCAGGCTGGTCTCGAACTCCTGACCTCAGGTGATCCACCCGCCTTGGCCTCCCAAAGTGCTGGGATTATAGGTGTGAACCTCCATGCCCGGCCGGTTTTTACATTTTTAAATGGTTAAAAAAATAGTATTTTGTGATACATGAACATTATATGTAATTTGCATTTCAGCATCTATAAATAAAGTGTTTTTTTGGAACACAGCCATGCTAATTCATTTACATATTGTCTGTGGCCACTTTTCTATTAAAATGGTGAATTCGAGTAGTTATGACAGGGACTGCATGGCCCACAATGCCTAAAATATATACTATTTGGCCCTTTACAGAAAAAGTTTAGGCTGGGCGCAGTGGCTTACGCCTGTAATCTCAGCACTTTGGGAGGTCGAGGCGGGTGGGTCATCTGAGGTCAGGAGTTCGAGACCAGTCTGGCCAACATGGTGAAACCCTGTCTTTATAAAAAATACAAAAATTAGCCAGGTGTGGTGGTAGGCGCCTGTAGTCCCAGCTACTCTGGAGGCTGAGGCTGGAGAATCGCTTGAACCCGAGAGTCAGAGGTTGCAGTGAGCCCAGATCTCGCCACTGCACTCCAGCCTGGGCAACACAGTGAGACTCTGTCTCAAAAAAAAAAAAAAAAGAAAGAAAAAAGATAAAGTTTAACTGATTGCTGAGTTAAAGCACACTGTATCATCTCTGTTAAAGTTCTTAAATATCAAGAAATTGTCTTAATGTTGGTTTTATTTCTTTCAGTTGAAAGACAATTCTGATTGTATATTGAAATTGTCTTGGCTATACAGTGATGAGCAAATTGTGTAACTTTGTGAAGCCTCAGTTTTCTCATCTGAACAATTACTTTAATGATAATGCTGTTATTATAAGGCTGTGAAGATTAAATGGTATTTGGCTTGGTAATTGACAGTGTATTAATACTGGTAATGAAAGTTTCTGCTTTGTAGCAATGTTCTTATGTTTACGTGTATATAACTTTACATTCATTGGTATGCGTTAAATCTGTTATATAATGAATAGTATACACACTGTTTAGATAAGATTTATTCCTTAAATTGCTAGGTTTTGCAGTTATTAACATGTAATACATCATACCAAATTTGATTTTAGTCACGTACTTGTGTAATTTCTATAGGAAAGGAATTAGGCATTATTTGTATTTTAAAAAGGATCTTTTTAAAAAATGCCTTACTTTTTGCATCAGGTCAAACAAATAATGCTATTTCTATTGATTAGCTAAACTATCTAAAATTACTAGATCATTGTTCATAAAAATGTGAAATTACTTTTAGTTTGAAAGCCTCTGGCTCCTAAGGTCATTTTTAATTTTTTTCTCATGAAGTATATTTTATTGGATATTTGTTTTTTTTGTTGTTGTTGTTGTTGTTGTTGTAGGGTAACTAATTTGGAATCACTGCAAATAGTCTTCGTCTAAAGGAAATTATAATTTCTAGTAAAACTTGTCATACTGCTCTGTGAAGAAAGCTGAATGCAATAAGGCAAATTGAGATAGATAGAAAAGGGTCAAAGCTCCCTTCCTATAGTATGGCATATTGAGACTGTGTTAGAGAACTTACAAGAATGTCTTCTAAGGGTCTGAAAAGGGGGGAGAAATAATACTTCCAGGCTTTGTTTTGAATTTTTTTCTTTCTTCAAATTTGATGAGAGCTCACCAATTTTCACAGAAAATCTTTTGTATACTTTCATGTCTCTAGAAGCTTCTGTAGATACTGTCTTTGATTTCTTCCTTTTTTTCTTTTCCTCTTTTTGATTTATTTCTCAATTATGAAATACTTTTACCTAGCTTGGTACTAAATCTGTGAGAGTAGAAAAGAAACATGAGTATAACACTTAATACAGTGTATTGAAGAAAATGAGTGTAGAATATGTTCTAAAAAAAAGAGCCCTATTCTCTTTTTACACAAAGCCTGTAAACTGATAAAGAATATCTGAACAAATGCAGTATGGCGACTTAACCAGTATATAGTGAAGTGTTAAATTTTGAGGTGTATAGAATTAGAAAATAAGGTACTCATAAACAGGTGTTTATTGTGTGATAGGGACTTGAAGAGTCAAGGGTGGCTTGAGGGTTGGTAGAATATTCAGAATTGCTGAATTTAAACAAAGATTCTAATTAGATAGATTAGATTGGCAGATTTAAAGACCCATGGCAGTAGGTGGCAATTTAAATCAAAGAAGCACGTCTAGTAAAATATTAAGAAGTAGAAATTTTCTCTGCACTTCACTCTTTACCATTATGGTCATGCCCTAAATCTTATCATTAGAAAAACTCTAATTTCAAAATACTAATTTATTCTTTTCATTCTCCAACTATAATCTGTTATCTTTCTAGCTCACTTGCTCAAATATCTGTTCTCTAAGAGTTCTACCTCACCCAGAGCTCTAATCTGTTAACTTTTGTTTTCTCTCATTCATCTCTTCCTCCTCCTCTTCTATACAACAGTATAGAATCTGTTGTCCATTATTACACGTTCTTGCTGATATCTGAGATGTCTTTACCTTGCTTTAAATTTTTCCATCACATCCAAGAGACAAAGTCCTTACCCTGGATAACCTTTATTGAGCAGCTGAATGACATTGGAGGATGAACTCATTTAGTAGGTATCACTAAAAAAATGGTGACAGTGGATATCCTTATCTTGTTTTCTGGTTGTAGGAGAAAAGCATTCTTTTACCTTTAAACATTTTGTTAACTGTGGGTTTCTTAAATGCTTTTTATCAGGTTGAAAAAATTCTCTTATATTCTAGTATGCTGAGAATTTTTTATCCAGTATGAATGTCTGATTTTGTGAAATACTTTTTCTGTCTGTTGAGATGGTTGCAAAGTTTTTCTCTTTTAGTTTATTAATAGGTGAATTATATTGAATGATGTTCAAATATTAAACCAACTTTGCATTCCTGTGATTGATCTTACTTGGTCATGATATATTGTTATTATCCTTTTCATATATTTTTGGATTTGATTTGCTAAAGGGTTGTTTAGAACTTCTGCATCTATGTTCATGAAGCATATTGTAATATTTTTATCTGGTTTTGGTATTAGGTACTAGCCACATAGAATTTTGGAATCAGGAAGTATTTCCTCCTTTTCAGTTTTTTGGAAGAGTTTGTATATAATTGGTATTATTTCTTTGTATGTTTGGTAATATTCATCAGTTAAGGCACCTTGTCTTGGAATTTTCTTTGTGGCAAGTTCTTAAAGTATAAATTCTTGGCCGGGCATGGTGGCTCACGCCTGTAATCCCAGCACTTTGGGAGGCCGAGGCTGGCAGATCACCTGAGGTCAGGAGTTCAAGACCAGCCTGGCCAACATGGTGAAACCCCGTCTCTACTAAAAATATAAAAACTACGGGCGTGGTGGTGGATGCCTGTAATCCCAGCTACTCGAGAGGCTGAGGCAGGAGAATTGCTTGAACCCAGGTGACAGAGGTTGCAGTGAGCCGACACAGTGCCATTGCACTCCGGCCTCGGTGAAAGAGTGATCTGTCTCAAAAAACAAACAAACAAAAAACAATAAAGTATAAATTCACTTTCTTTATTAGATATAGATAGCACTATTCAGGTTTTTCTATTTCTTATTGAGTGAGTTTTGGTAATTTGTGTCTATGGTAGGCTGAATAATGGTCCCTTAGGAGATGTCCATGCCTTAATCCCTGGAACCAGTGAATATGTTACATTACTTGGTAAAAGGGACTGTGTAGATATAAATAAATTGAGCATCTTGATGTAGAGAGATGATCCTAGATTATCTGTGTGGGCCCAGTGTAATCATAAGGGTCTTTATTAAGGGGAAGGCAAGAGGATCAGAGTCAGTAGTAGGAGATGTGATGATGGAAGCAAAAGGTTAGGGTGATGTAAAAAAGAGGCCATGAGCCAATGAATACAGGTGACCTCTAGAAACTGGAAAAGGCAAGGAAATGGATTCTCCCTCAGAGCCTCTAGAAAAACCATTTCTTCTTCTTTTTTTAAAATTATTATTATTTTTTATTATACTTTGAGTTCTGGGTTACATGTACAGAATGTGCAGTTTTGTTACATAAGTATACACGTGCCATGGTGGTTTGTTACACCCATCAACCCGTCACCTACATTAGGTATTTCTCCTAATGCTATCCCTCCCCTAGCCCCCCACCCCCGAACAGGCCTCAGTGTGTGATGTTCCCCTCCCTGTATCCATGATTTCTTATTGTTCAACTGCCACTTATGAGTGAGAACATGCCAAAAACCATTTCTTCTTACACCTTGGTTTTAGCCCATTGAAACTGGTTTTGGATTTCTGATCTCTAGCCTGTAATACAATAATAAGTTCATGTTGTTTTTAAGCAGTGAGGTTAGTGGTAATTGGTTACAGCAGCAGTAGGAAACAAATACTTTCCTGTGAAAATGTTAGGAAGCTAATGTCTTTCAAGGCATTTGTTCATTTCTTCTATGTTGTCCAATTTATAGGCATAAAGTTGTTGAAGTATTCTTTTATCTTTTTACTGTCTAGCATTTATAGTGACGTTACTTTTCCATTCCTAATATTGGGAATTAGTGTTTTGTTTTTTTTTCTCAATCAGCCTGGTTGAAAGTTTATCAGTTCTACTGATATCCTCAAAGAACAAGCTTTTGGTTTCATTGATTTTCCTATGATTTTGCATGTTTCTTTGATTTCTATTTTGATTTTTATTATTTCCTGACTTGTGCTTACTTTTGAGTTTCATGTGCTCTTTTTTTCTTATTTTTTACATTGAAAGCTAAGGTCATTGGTTTGAAAGATTTCCGTTCTACTGTGGACATTTATTGCTGTAAATTTCCCCCTAAATACTATTTTGGTGATATCCTGCTAATTCTGATATGTTGTGTTTTCATTCAGTTAGAAATACCTTCTGATTTCCCTTTTGATTTTTCTTTGATCCATGGGTTATTTAGAAGCTTGTTATTTACTTTCCAAATATTTGAGGGGTTTCTAAAGGTTTTTACTGATTTTAGTTTAGTTCCATAGTTGACTTGATTAGTATCAGCATGATGTATTTTTTCTATTCTTTTACTTTTAGCCTATTTCTATCTTTATATTTAAAGCACATTTCTTGTAGGCAACATGTATTGTGTCTGCTTTTTTTTTTAAAATATATAGTCTACCCTTCTCTGTCTTTTAATTGAGGATTTTAGATCCTATTTATTTATTTATTTTGAGATGGAGTCTTGCTCTGTCGTCCAGGCTGGAGTGCAGTGGCGCGATGTCGGCTCACTGCAAGCTCTGCCTCCCGGGTTTACGCCATTCTCCTGCCTCAGCCTCCCGAGTAGCTGGGATTGCAGGCGCCTGCCACCATGCCCGGCTAATTCTTTTTTTTTGTATTTTTAGTAGAGATGAGGTTTTACCGTGTTAGCCAGGATAGTCTCGATCTCCTGATGTCGTGATCCGCCCGCCTCAGCCTCCCATAGTGCTGGGATTACAGGCGTGAGCCACTGTGCCTGGCCCTAGATCTTCTATATTTAATGTGTTTAAAAATATGATCTTACTATTTCTTTTCTTTTCTTTCTTTTTTTTTTTTTTTTTGAGACAGAGTCCCACCATGTGGCCCAGGCTGGAGTGCAGTGGTGCAATCTTGGCTCACTGCAACTTCCGCTTCCCGGGTTCAAGCAATTCTCTGCCTCAGCTTCCTGAGTAGCTGGGATTACAGGTGCCTGCCACGATGCCTGGCTAGTTTTTTGTATTTTTAGTAGAGAAGGGGTTTCACCATCTTGGCAAGGCTGGTCTTGAACTCCTGACCTTGTGATCCACCCACCTTGGCTCCCAAAGTGCTGGGATTACAGGTGTGAGCCATTGTGCCTGGCCTATTTATTTTCTATATGTCTCATTTTTTATTCTCTTCTTCCTCCTTTTCTTCCTTCTCTTAGATTAATGAATATTTCTTCCTGTTTCCATTTCATCTTCTCGTTGGCGTAGCTCCTTATTAGCTAGAACTCCATTTTGCTTTAGTGATTTTTATAGGGTTTATACTATACATCTAGTATACTTATCATAGTCTATCTTTTAGTGATACATCACTTCCTACATAGTATAAAAACCTTCCATAGTCCAGGCGTGGTGGCTCACACCTGTAATCCCAGCACTTTGGGAGGCCGAGGCGGGCGGATCACAAGGTCAGGAGATCGAGACCATCCTGGCTAACATGGTGAAACCCCATCTCTACTAAAAATACAAAAAATTAGCTGGGTGCGGTGGTGGGCACCTGTATTCCCAGCTACTCGGGAGGCTGAGGCAGGAGAATAGCGTGAACCCGGAAGGTGGAGCTTGCAGTGAGCCGAGATCATGCCACTGCACTCCAGCCTGGGTGACAGAGCGAGACTCCGTCTCAAAAAAAACCCAAAAAAACCTTCCACTTCCCCTCTCTCTAACCTTTGTGCTGTTTGTCATACGCTTACTGTTACCTATGTTATAGACCCAGCACACTACTTTTAGTTTAGTTAATTGTCTTTTAGAGAAATTTAAATAATATATAGTATCATTGTCTTATCACTCATTTTCTACTTCTTTTTTTCTTTTTTAATGAACAGAGATATGTCTTGCTATGTTGCCCAGGCTGGTCTGGAACTGTTGGTTTCAAGCTGCCCTCTTGCCTCAGCTTCCCAAAGTGCTGGGATTACCGGTGTGAGCCACCACTCTTGGCTACCTGGCTGCCTGCTTTTTTTCTGAAGATAATTCTGTTGTCATACTTATCTTAGTTCTTCTGTGTATAGCCTGTCTTTTGTTATTTGGCTGCTTTTTCCCATTTTCTTTTAAAAATCACTGATTTTGGAAGGTTTGATTATGATGTCCCTTGATGTAGGTTTTTTGTTTTTTTTTTTAATGTTTCTTGTGCCTTTAGTTTATTGAGCTTCTTGGGTATGTAGCTTATCAAAATTGGAAAAATTTTGGTCATAATTTTATTACATATTTCTGTTCTTTTCTCTCTCTCTTGTCCTTCAGGAACTTCAATGAAATGTATATGTCTTTCCTTGAAATTGGTTCACAGTTCACTGCCCTGTCAAATTTTTTCTCCTAATTCTTTTTTCTCTCTCTTTTATTTTGGATACTTTTTATTGCGTGTCCTCAAGTTCACTCATCTTTTTTTTCTGACACATAAAATTTGCTGTTTATCTTATACAAAGTATATTTCATCTCAGACATTGTAGTCTGATTTGGGACTTTTTAATATTTTTTAAGTGACTAGTTTTGCACACACGTAATATAGTTACAACACCTATTTTAATATCCTTGTTTATTAATTATAATGTTTGTATCTATTCTTTGTTCATTTTGATTGTTCCCATTATAGATTGTACTTACCTGTTTCTGTGCATGCCTGGTAACTTTTGATAGGTGATTTTTACCTTCTGCTGTCCTGGACATTTTTGTATTCCTTAAATATTCTTGAGCCTTATTCTGGGATGCAGTTAAGTTACTTCAAAAAAGTGTGAATCTTTTGAGTCTTTCTTTTAATGTTTGTTAGATAGGACTGGAGCTATTCTCAGTCTATCTGACTAAATTATTCCTTACTACTGAGGTTAGACCCCTGTGTGTACTCTATCCAGTGTTCTGCTAATCATGAGATTTTAAAATTTTGATTGGTGGGATCAGACACAATTCCCTGTCCTGTGATTACCTAGCAGTATTACTTTGAATCCTTTCTGATGATTTTTTTTCCTAGTCTTGGGTAGTTTCCTTACACTCCTGCGCTGATCTGTATTCAGCTGTGTATTTGAGGGAGGCTTTCTGCACATCTCTGGAGTTTTCTCTGTGCAGCTCTCTCTCCTCTGGTCATCTCTTCTTGGAATTCTAGCCACGATGGTTTCCCTGGACTCTTACCTTTATCTCCTCAACTAAAGAAGACTGTTGGGCTGTCTGGGTTCTGCTTTCTTACATTACCTGAAACTGTCAAGGCTGTAAGCTAGGGCAAGTACTTGGTTTACCTCATTTATTTCCTGTCTTTCCATGTTGATAGGCTATAGAAGCCCAAGGCCACCTTTAGTTTTCAGGTGGTAACTTAGTGGATTTATTTTATTTTTGCTTCTGTCTTATTTAACTTTTAAGCAGCAGTTGACATTTCTTTTGGATGTTGTCCCTCCTATTTGAAACTTATTTCAGTTGGTGTCTGCGGTACCATTGTCTCTTGTTTTTCTTCCCACTTCATTGGCCACTGCTTCTAAACCTACTTATGGGACTTTTTCCTCTGTAGGACCTCTAAATAGTCCTCAGGACTCAGTCCTAAACTTTTTCTCCTTTTAACCTATACAGTGTCCTTGGACAATCTCATTTGAGTCCTATTGATTTAGATGTCATCTGTAGTGGAGACCAATCCCTCTGTATCTCCATGCCTATTAAGTATTGCTACCTGGAAGTTTCATAGTCATCTCCCACATTATGTGTTCCCCCAGATTGAGCCTTTGCAAATCTTTTCATCCTCTAGTGTTACTCTGACTCAGTGAAATGAGATTCTAACCACGCAGAAGTGCAAGCCATAAATCTGGGAGTCATCCTTGACAATCTTTTCATTTAGCATTCTTCATCCAGGCTACCAGTGAATACTATGTTTTGTATCTATCACTAAAAGTAAATCACTTGTCTGTGTATTTCTCCATGCCCATTGTTGCTACCTTGACCAGGCTTTTATCATCTGTTTCTAAGACCACTGTAATAGTCTCCTTACTTCTCTGCCTCTACTCTTGATTCCTTTATGTAATCCATTCACTTCACAAGAGCCAGGAGGCCTTTAAAAATTGTATATCTAAACTTCCAGTTTGAACATCATTGAATAATTCTGTCTTCCCCATCTCTTCCTGGAAATTATTTCAAATCCTCAAAAAACTAGGAGGACTAAACAGCCTCATTCTTTGAAAATTCAGTTATTGGCAAGATTAGGAAACATTAGCTGCAGACTCAGCAATACATGTAAAGGCTGCCAAATGCAACTGGGACATTGGGCAGAAGCCACTTGGGAGGAAGTGAAGATAAGTACACATAGGGACCAGAGGGCTCAGAATAGCAGATCTCAGAAAGCTCCAGCAAAAATATACTTGTTGAAGGTTTAGGGTGGACCCTAAATTGTTTTGCAACAGTTTGACAACTCACTGTAACTGGGTTGTGTAGAGATGGGAGAACAATATTTCATGGATGGAATTGGTCCAGAGAAGCAGATCAGGCAGACTATTCAACAATTATGTAAACCAATAGCATGTATCCAAAGTAGTTTGTCTCTGTGGCAGCAAAGGAGAGAGCCATTCAATTGTGAGGCCTAATTAATTTGAAATGCTACCCTGGTCTTCCTTCACCTCCCATCTTTTTATAGGAGCTTATACAAGTTACCAATCGAGGAAAATTCAGCTCATTCAATGAGTAATTAAAAGGTACTGTTAAAAAAAAAAAAGAGAGAGAGACAGAGAGTCGTTACCAGAAATAACATTTTTAGGAAGCAGGTGAAAATTCTCATAAAATATTTCACTACAAATTAAAAAAAAAAAACTGATGATGTAGTTACCTCTGTGAAGATCATAAAACAGAAACAGATAAATTGAGAGATGATATTGTGAGTCAGCAGGAAGAGATGAAATGTGAACTGGCAATACTTAAAGCAGAAGAGAAAATATCACAGAAAGGACAATTAAATTAGCAGCAGTTTGAAAGTAGATACTATAAAAGCACAGTAAAACACACAAAGAATAGTAATGGAGAAAGTGATCACAATTTAATGGATGTAAACAAATGATTAAAGAGATTGGAGATAAAAGGTTAGATGTGTAAGACTGACAAAAGAAATCCAATATACTTGTAACTGTAATTTCCAAGGAAGGAATGGAAACAGTGGAATAGAATGTATTATTTAAAAGGTATGTTTTTAGAAACGTATCAAGAAAACTTTTGGTTGAGTGCATGGAGGGAGAAGGAAGAATGATGACTTAAAACACACAGGCTGTGTCAGAGAAAACTGAGCAGAGTAGGATATACGCTAGATAGCAGAACATATTCTAGAAAAGTTTTGGACCTTAAAGATAGTCTTTTGGGTAGCTAGGTAAAAAGATAACATTATATGGGGCAAAAAGAATCAGGCTGCTTCTGACAACAAAGACTGTTCACCTTCAATTTAAAACTCTCTTGAACAACCTGAGTCAAAGAGGAGATAAAAACAGGCATTTGAGAATATCTTGACTATGGTAATGAAAGCAGACACTAACCTTTGGAAACAGGTGAAACAGTTCCCAAAAAGGAATTCACATTTTTTCCTTTCCTAATTGACCTATTGGTAAAGACAGGTAAAAGGTAGTACATCTAAGTTGATCTCATAGAAGTAGAGAGTGGAATAGTGGTTATGGGGGCTTGGAGAGGGTTGTTTTCCCTGTTTATAAAGCAATCTGTCAGAGTCTGTTTTTGTTCTCTGTTACGGTGTTTTACATTGTCTTCTGTTCATGGTGTTCCTCATGTGGACTGTTTGATCACTCCTACAATATAGTAATTGATTTAATTCTTTATAAACATCTACTTTGGTTCAGATAAAAAGTTGGCCGGGTGCAGTGGCTCATGCCTGTAATCCCAGCACTTTGGGAGACTGAGGCGGGTGGATTACCTGAGGTCAGGAGTTTAAGACCAGCCTGGCTAACATGGTGAAACCCTGTCTCTACTAGAAATACAAAAATTAGCTGGGCATGGTGGTGGGTGCCTGTAATCCTAGCTACTCGGGAGGCTGAGGCAGGAGAATCGCTTGAACCAGGGAAGCAGAGGTTGCAGTGAGCCAAGATTGCACCACTGTCCTCCAGCGTGGGTGACAGAGCAAGACTCCATCTCAAAAAAAAAATTAAAAAATAAAAATAAAAAAAAAAAGGCCAGGTGTGGTGGCTCATGTCTGTAATCCCAGCACTTTGGGAGGCCAAGATGAGTGGATCACTTGAGGCCAGGAGTTCAAGACCAGCCTGGCCAACATGGTGAAACACCATCTCTAATACAAAACTTAGCCTGGCATGGTGGCACATGCCTGTAATCCCAGCTACTCTGGAGGCTGAGGCACGAGAATCCCTTGAACCTGAGAGGTGGAGGTTGCAGTGAGCCGAGATTGCGCCACTGCACTCCAGCCTGGGCGACAGAACAAGACCCTGTCTCAAAAAAGAAAAAAAAAAGTATAGTGTGTTTAATATATATAGCTATGTATTAGTTTAGACATAGGCTAAGCTGATGTAGTAGATACCTCAGAATACAATGGCTAAATATTCAAGCTTATTTCTATTTTATTAACCTAGAGGTTGTTGTTCAAGGGTGGCAGAATGGCTCTGCTTTTCCTGAATATGTGACTTCTATCTCTGGGTCCAAGGCATTTTCTCTTGTTCTCACTATATCATAGCCAGTGGGAATGCAGAAAGGATGCACATCTTATTCTTAAAAGCAAAACTTGCGAAGTGGCTCACATCTCATCTGCCTACATCTCACTTGCCAGGACTTGGATACATGGCTATGCCTAGTGTGGTAGTCACAAGGGCTGGTCACATATATTTTAGTTCTCCTTTTGGGCACCTGGCAGGGTTGTACTGTATTTTCTTTGAGGTTAATCTGTGGCTGTGTGACTTGCTTTAGCCGGTGAAATGAGCTGAAGTGATATTTGTCATTTCCAGGTGAGAGCTTTAAGAGCTAGTGCACCATTTGCCACATCTCTCTTTTTTTCCTCTTGGTGTTGTGAACATGAAAATATCTCTGGCAGCCTAGATGGTTGAATGAGTTGAGTCTCCTGCTGACTTGCACTGTACACGTAATGTGAGCAGGAATTACACTTTCGTTGTGTTGAATAAGCCAAGGGGATTGTGGAGTTGTTCGTTTTGGTAGTATAACCTAGCCCAGAAGTTCTCAAGGTGTTAGCTGTGGACCTTAGAGGAATGAGGTCACAACCATTTTCATAGTAGTACTGAGAGATGATTTGCTTTATTCACGCTCATTTTCTCATGAGTATAAAGTGCTGTTTTCCAGAGGCCTCATGATGTGTGATACTGTAACAGGTTGAATACAGAAGTAGGTATGAGACTCTGTCTTCTACTGAGCCAGACATTAAAAGAGTTTTGTAGTAATGTAAAACACTGCCGCTCTTCTCTCTAAATCTTTACTTTTTTGGTAAAATACAGATACCATTTATAAAAATGTTATGTAATGGATTTATTATTTTAAGTGATTTAATGATTGAGTACTTTAAAATTTGTTCAGTTTTAATTTGTGTTATGGTAAAAAATAATCCATTCCACATAAATTAGAAGAAAACAGTTACGTGTTTAGTATTTGGAGAGAAACAGTAAAAATGTGATTAAAGCCAGAATAAAAGTTATAATTGAGCAGAAATTTCTGAAAGATAAGGTGCATTTTGAAAATAAAGCCATATTGTTTGAAATTGTTTTACTACCATGCATCCTGTGTAATCCTAAAACTTTTGTATGTTTTTATGGTTTTTTTTTTTGCTGTTTATTATTTTTTTTTACCGTATTTATGAGGAAGTCTTTATTGCCTGCATTTGATTTATATTTTAAGGTGAAAAAGGTAGTGTAATTTATTTATAATGTGAATATAGGTTTTATATCCCTTGCCCTTACTTAGGAAATTATTTGTTGCAAAGACAGTATCTGCATATCATTGGGACTTTTGCCATATTCAAGCAAATTTATATTTTTAGGAAAATAGCTCCAAGATTGAATATAAGCTCAAAGAATCAAAAGCAGCATGAGACCAATACAATGAAACAAATATTTGAGTGATAATGCCCTTAAAATATTTATTTGGGCTGGATGTGGTGGCATGTGCCTATGGTTTCAACTTTTTGGGAGACTCACGTGGGAGGATCGCTTGAGCCCAGAAGTTTGATCATCCTGGGCAGCATATAGTGAGACCCTTTCTCTTAAAAATAAATAAATAAATGAAATTATTTAAAAAAATATGCATTTGAAGTTAACTTGATTTGATGTGTTACACATTGATCGTTTTTTCAATTCCATAATTTTCTCACTGTTACATATATAACACTGACAGTTACAAATGGAACCTCCCAAAGTTGGTCTCAGCCTTATTTTGATGCATCTAAAAATAGGGTTAGGTGTGTAATCTCAGCGCTTTGGGAGGCCGAGGCGGGTGGATCACGAGGTCAGGAGATCGAGACCATCCTGGCTAACACAGTGAAACTCCATCTTTAATAAAAATACAAAAAAATGAGCTGGGCGTGGTTGCAGGCGCCTGTAGTCCCAGCTACTCGGGAGGCTGAGGCAGGAGAATGGCGTGAACCCAGGAGGCGGAGCTTGCAGTGAGCCAAGATCGCGCCACTGCACTCCAGCCTGGGCGACAGAGCAAGACTGCTTCTCAAAAAAAAAAAAAAAAAAAAAAAAAAAAAAAGGGTTAGGTGGGGAAGATACATTTCCTCCTCTAAGTGTCTTTATTTAACATTCCTCTGCTTTGCAGTGTAGTATCTCAAATTGCTCATATATAGCTTTTTTTCTTTCATTTGCATCCCACCGCCCTCAGATTTTCCAAAGCCAAAATGTAGTCAAATGGTAGAGCTGCCCTCTGGTGTTCACCCTCTGACTCTCAACATTAGTGTCAACCAGCAGTCTTAACAAATTTTAGAGCTGAGTTGGGAAGTGGCTTAGAATATAATTTTGTTCCGTTTTCCTTCTGTAGATGAAAATAAAAATAGATTGATTTAACTGTTTATTTCCATTTATTTGCCTTTAAAAAATTTACCCATCTATCCATCTGGCATTTGGAAAAGGATGATTCTCACAAAGGAATCACTAAGATGAAAGTTTTCTTTTGTAGTGGTAAATTTATTTTAATTGGCGTAATTAATTTTAACTAGTCAGGGTTACTGGCAAAGCAAGCTCTTAATTTTAGGACCTGTGTTCCATTCACTGTGTTTTGTATGTTTGTGAATTGCATGTTGAATTTTTTGAATAGATGTTTTATTAATTGCCAAAAAAAAAAGATGACCTTTTAAAAGAAAAATAACGAAAAACAAAATGGTCAGTTATTAAATTTTAGAATGTTGGTTTCTGTGAATGCAAATTTCTCTCAAATCTGGGTTACAGAAATTTTTAAAAAGATGTGTTTGCTCTCTAGTACACAGATTGTGGTGACTTATATATCATTTCTCACCAAAAAGAACCAGATCAAGATCACTGAATGTACAAGAGAAGCCTAAAAGAGCAGTTATCAAACTTTTTGGCTTTAGAACCTTTTTCTATTATAAGTTAATGATACTCCAAAAAACTTTTGTTCATGCGGATTATTTTATCTGTTGATATTTATCATATAACAAATTAAGGGCTGGGCGCAGTGGCTCACGCCTGTAATCCTAGCACTTTGGGAGGCTGAGGCGGGCGGATCACGAGGTCAGGAGATCGAGAACATCCTGGCTAACACAGTGAAACCCCGTTTCTACTAAAAATACAAAAAGTTAGCTGGGTGTGGTGGTGGGTGCCTGTAGTCCCAGCTACTCAGGAGGCTGAGGCAGGAGAATGGCGTGAACCCGGGAGGCGGAGCTTGCAGTGAGCCGAGATTGCGCCACTGCACTCCAGCCTGGGCGACAGAGCAAGACTCTGCCTCAAAAAAAAAAAAAAAAAAAAAAAAACAAAAAACAAATTAAGACCCATAATTTATCATATTACAAATATTAATTCATTTAAAAAATAATAAACCCACTGCATAACATATAATGTTTTTGCATTAAAAATAACTATGGTTTCCTAAACAAAATAGGTTTGGTAGGAAGAGTGGCATATTTTATTACATTTTTGCAGATCTTATTAATGTCTGGCTTAATAGAAAACAGATTCTCTTATCTGCTTCTGAGTTTACATGTTATGTGTAAATATATATACACATACATTTTTTTGTGTGTGTTGTATTGTTGAAGGGTACAAAGAAGACATATCTGGGTTCACACAGAAATATATAGTAAAGGAAGGAGTACTTTAGTAGCCTTTTTAGATTGTTGTCCTTTGATTTATGGTGGAGGAAAATAAAATCATGTGTTCACTATTTGGAGAAAAACAGTAAAAATGTGATCAAAGCAAAAGTCATAGTTAAAATGTAGAACAAACAGTATTAAATGAAAATGTGCTTTGGAAATAAAACCATATTATTTGAGATTCAAATTGAAATAGATATTCCTTGATATTACACTAAAGCTTGATAAGTGATAGTGTCGTATAGGTTAGTTACAATGTGGAATCTGAAACCATATTAGTGAACTTTTGTACTCTGTTACATTAAAATCCGTTGGTCTATCTTACACTTACTTTTATCCACATCTGATTTTGTAACACCATGCATTGGTCATTTGGAAAGTACTGATTTAATTATGCAAATCAAATCTTATAAATGTGGATTGATACTTTTTTTTTTTTTGAGACGGAGTCTTGCTCTGTCACCCAGTTTGGAGTCCAGTGGCACAACTTGGCTCACTGCAGCCTCCACCTCCCGGGTTCAAGCAATTCTCCTGCCTCAGCCTCCCAAGTAGCTGGGATTACAGATGTGCGCCACTACACCTGGCTAATTTTGGTATTTTTAGTAGAGATGGGGTTTCACCGTGTTGACCAGGCTGGTCTCGAGCTCTCGACCTCAAGCGATCTGCCCACCTCAGCCTCCCAAAGTGCTGGAATTACAGGCATGAGCCACTGCGCCCGACCGGGTTGACACATTTTTTACACAATATTAAGAAATTATATTTGTTAATATCACCATTGATTTTATGAGAAAATTCTTTAAATATTGAGACACTGTCAAGGTCATTATGGTAGATCAGTGTTTTCCAAAATTCCAATTTTTGCTTGAAAGCTCAAATTTTATCATCAGCAACAAATCTATTAGTTGTTTCCTTTGAAGTGACAGGCTCACTTTGCTTATCTCCATGAAAAGAGAATGTCTGGCAAAGGCTAGGTGTGGTGGCTTACACCTGTAATCCCAGCACTTTGGAAGGCCAAGGCAGGCAGATCACTTGAGATCACAAGTTCGAGACCAGCCTGACCAACGTGGTGAAACCCCGTCTCTACTAAAAATATAAAAATTAGCTGGGTGTAATGGCTCATGCCTGTAATCCCAGCTACTTGGGAGGCTGAGGCAGGAGAATCGCTTGAACCTGGGACATGGAGGTTTCAGTGAGCCGAGATTGCGCCACTGTACTCCAGCCTGGGCAACAGCGCGAGACTCTGTCTGAAAAAAAAAAAAAGTAAAAGAAAAGGAAAGAAAATGTCTGGCAAAATATCCCAGTCTGAATAATCATTGTTTGTCCATCGTTTTCTTGAAGTAAAAATGATGTTCTTTGGAAAAAAGTGGCTAGTTTAGCTTGTCATTCAGACAGTTGCATGTATTTTCTCCCAAGATAACCATCATATTTCAATGTGCAGCAGAAATGATTTTATGCACACAGAATATTAAGATGATGTACACTCATGGGTAAAACTGGCATTCTCTTTAAACTACAAATTCATGGTGGTGAAAAATGCACTGACTATTAGAACAGTTTGGTGTCACTGCCTTCATTTTGCTGCAATGCCAACTCTGTACCCATCATTGCCTTTGGACCATCGGTGCAAATGTCCACACAGTGTCAATGGTAAATAATGTGTTAGTATTTTTATGAAAATTGTCTTTGGCCTTGCACATTTGCTGAAAGGGTCTTAGGTACCCTTAGCATTTTTTTTTAAAGCTCAGTTTTATTTTCTGTGGTAACAAACATTTAAGAACCAGATAAAACAAGGGGCCCCTGAGCACCCAAGGGCCAGTACAGGCCGACCATGAGGCTCTCACAGGAAAGTAGCAACTGTGTCGGTTTTCCTGGTTTTGATATTGTCCTATAGTTATGTGAAATGTAACCATTGGGGAAACTGAGTGAAGGTTACAAAGCACCAGTCTACTATTTTTGCAACTTCCTGTGAATCTATAATTACTTCAAAATAAAAGTTAAAAAAAATTACTGTGTGGAAATGGGTTATTGGGCACCAAGAAGGGAAGCAGCCTAGTCACTAGGCTGTGAGAGATGATGATTGCTTGGATGTGGGTAGTCATATAGTAGATATGGAGAGAAGTGAATGGATTTGAGATGTTTTGAGATAGAACTTGTATTGGGTTGCAGTGTGGAAAAGGGAGTCTAGATATTTATGTTGAACCTTCAACTGAATTCATGTGAATTTGTAAAGGTTAAGATTGGAAGAGGACTAGGTTGAGAGGAGGAACAGAAGTTTTATATTGGGCTGGTTAGGTTGGTGAAGCTATCAGAGGTTGAGGCTGCTATTGAACATAGGAGCCAAGCTGCATACAGATAATAATTACAGCTGTGGGATTAGATGGGATCACTCAAGGCAAAAGTGTAGTGAGTGAAGAGAAGTGGGCTGGGACAGAGCTGTTGGGGGAGATGTCAGTGTCTTAGAAGTGTGTCAGAGGGGATCTCAAAGAAGGGGCAAGAGGAGGAAAATCAGGCGAGTATAGAGTCATTGAATCCCAAAGAAGAAAGTGTGTTAAGAAAAGAGGAGATAACTGGTTTGTATGGTGCAGAGATGTGAATATGTTGGGGTTAGAAGTGACCACAGGATGCTTTTGGGAGATCTCAGAGTTCAGAAGGCAACCTGGTGGTTTGAAAAGTGAACAGTCTGTGGGGAAATGGAGAGAGCAGTACATATTTCTCTTTGGAGGAATATCAGAGAAACAGCTGGTAGGAGCTCCTAGATCATACTTGTGTGCCTACAAGTCGATTAATTGAAGGGGAAAGATAGATGAGGGATCAGAGAAAGTATAATTGAAAGAGAAAGCAAGTACTTTGAGAATGAAAGGGGCTGGGAGCAAGTGTACGAGTGGATTGTTCTTTGAATCTCAATGTACCAGCCAAATAGAGCCCGTTAAAAGTGAGAACATGTAACTCTTCTGCTCAAAAATTTCCCATCTCACTCATTGTAAAAGCCAAAGTCCTTAAAATGGCCTACAAGCCTCTAAGCAATCTGCTATTTTTCTCTGTTCTCTCCCATGCCTACCCCCAACTCTGACCTTGTTCCTCACTGTCTCCTCCAGCCACACTGGCCACCTCATTGTTCATAGAACATGGCAGGTTTGCTCCTGCGCAGGGATCTAGGAGCTTGTGCCTCCGTTTTTCTGGACAGCTCTTTTTGCCAGTATTTGCACGGCTTGCTTATTTACTTGCTTCTTTCAGGCCTGTTCTTAAATGGTACCTTCTCAGTGGTCTTCTCTGACCATGCTGTCTAAAACTGTCTCTCTCCCCCTGCACTTTTTATTCCCCCAATGTGCTTTTTCTCCATAGTACTTCCCATCACCTGAAATATAAAATGTACATATTTACCTATTTGACTTGTTTCTCACCATAAGAATGTACACTCTATGCGGGGCAGGAGTTTTTGCTTGTTTTGTTTACACTATATTGACAACACCTAGATCAGTACCGTATGTACAATTTTTTTTGTTGTTGTTGAGATGAAGTCTTGCTCTGTCGCCCAGGCTGGAGTGCAATGGCATGATCTCAGCTCACTGCAACCTCCGCCTCCTGGATTCAAGCAATTCTCCTGTCTCAGCCTCCCAAGTAGCTGGGATTGCAGGCATGCGCCACATGCCTGGCTAATTTTTTTGTATTTTTAGTAAAGATGGGTTTCACCATGTTGGCCAGGCTGGTCTCAAACTGACCTCAAGTGATCCACCAGTCTTGGCCTCCCAAAGTGCTGGGTTTACAGGTGTGAGCCTCTGTGCCCGGCCTATGTACAAATATTTGTATGATAAATAGGAACAGGGAAGAAAGAACATAGGTGGAGGATAGGTAGGCTTAAGGATCTGGTGACAGGAAAGTGAGTGTATTCTTGCTGGATTTATACCAGTTATGAAGCAGGGCACTAACTGAGAATGGAGTCGGATGGGAAGAAGGATTATCAGAGTTTTGAGGAGAGCAGAGTAAGTGTAAAAAGTCTTTGAGAGTGGAAAGGTGAACTTTCCAGGTGTGATGTAAGATTACTGAACAGGGTTGAAGGGATATTTGTGATTTGTGGTTTTCTGAAATAGAATGTGTTTCTCACTTAAGTCAGTAGAATTTAAGCTATAGAACAATATTAAGCTATATTAAGCTATAGAACAGAGTAAGGAAGTGCGACGTGTAAATGCTTTCTGTTTTTAAAAGAGTAGAATTGTTTTTTAAACAGTGATCGTTATAGTATTGAATTTACACCATTGATTTAGAATGTGCCCTAACATTCTACGTTCTTTTTAGCCTTACCAATAATTCTAGGATCGTAGGACTCCTGGCTCAACTGGAGAAGATCAATGCTGAGCCTTCAGAATCAGACACTGCCCGATATGTTACATCAAAAATTCTTCATCTGGCTCAGAGTCAAGGTAAACATTGATCTCTTCTTTGTTTTTGAAATGCTTTTTTAATTCTTTAAAAGTGGATGCTAAAAATGTTCAAACTTCTAATAATGGATGATTTTCCACAAAAATTGAACTTTCAGGCCGGGTGTGGTGGCTCACACCTGTAATCCCAGCACTTTGGGAGGCCAAGGTGGGCAGATCATGAAGTCAGTAGTTTTGAGACCAGCCTGGCCAATATGGTGAAACCCCGTCTCTACTAAAAAATACAAAAATTAGCCGGGTGTGGTAGCATGCACCTATAATCCCAGTTACTCGGGAGGCTGAGGCAGGAGAATCACTGGAACCCAAGAGGTGGAGGTTGCAGTGAGCTGAGATCGTGCCACTGCACTCCAGCCTGGGCGACAGCAAGACTCCGTCTCATAAAAAAAAAAAAAAAAAAATCAAACTTTCTCAAATTGACTCGAGTGGAAAACTGAATAACTTTGGAGGAAATTGATCTTCAAAGCATGGTTTCTAATAATGATTACAATTTTACTTATATATGATTACCACCCTCCCATTTACAAATAGTACCTAATTCCAGTGCTACTTGATATAGATTTTTGGCAAAAAGATATCAAGTAGCATAGAATATTGGTTATTATGGGGTCCTCACTTTGAAATTCAGGCTCTACTATTTAGTGGTTGGGTACCTTAGGGAGGTTATTGAATTTCTAAGATGTATAATAGCTGTACCATCTCTGAAGTAGAGGTAAC
Source organism: Homo sapiens (assembly GCF_000001405.40). NCBI lineage: Eukaryota > Metazoa > Chordata > Mammalia > Primates > Hominidae > Homo > Homo sapiens. Next base: position 85,691,956 of record NC_000009.12, on the reverse strand, counting down.
GAATATCACACGGTTGTCATGAGATTTACATGAGAAGCATGTAAAAAGAATATTTAAAATGTTCTATAAATGTCAGCTGTAATTAGACTTTTTTTATATTTTGTGATGGTAATAGTACTAAATTGATATCAAAACCCCGATAGAGTACACAAATAGTATTGACTTTGTACTCAGGAACATAATGTGAAAAGGCTCAAATAAAACTTTAGGGAATTAAGTCTGTACGTGGAAATATGAATATCATTGTTAAAGAACACATTTCAGGAACGCAAGATACCAGGAAATATATCACTATAACATTATCTGAACAGGTCAAATAAAATCCATGTGATTACCTTAATAGATAGTAAAAAGGACTTTGATGAGACTAAAAACTGTGCATGATTTAAAACACACACACACACACACACACACACACACCCTCTTTTTTTTTTGGATAAGAGAAAACCAGCACTACTTTAATATTTAACAGTGCACATAAAAGGTATTTCTGTTAGAATTAAGGTCTAATAATTATAATCTTTATTTAATTTTTAAAAATTTCATTATTCTGGAGGCTTAGGTCATTCAGATAAGATGTTTGGCAGGCATTTAGTGTTTCAAGATCTCAGTGTCTATTAACCCTTCTTCTTGGTCATAGACCCTTATATTTATTTTGATAACTTCCTCCCATGTAGCCCATGCATTTGGAGGATAGTTGATACCACCCCATTGTTTCTTGCATAATTTAAAATACCTGTACCTTTTAATTAAGAAAGCCACTGTATTGGATTCCAGGCTCTGGAAATATTGTACTTATCAACTAAGGCAACTAATGAACAAGGGTGTTCGTTATATCAGTGCAAAATTAAATGTGCCAGGTATATTCACTGCATTGTCATATGAAATACCTCCTCCTCAAAAAAACCAACCAAACAAAAAACCCAACAAAAACAAAAGAAAATGAATCCTTCAGACCTATAGATAAACACTTTTGTCCATTGCTCCTACCACTGTAGACTCTTCTTTGTGTCACAACCTAGAACCCCTACTCCAGCATTACCACTGAAAATACTCCTAACCATACCGCTATCAGGGAATGACCCTCTTCCCACCACTGAAAATACTCCTGACCATACCACTATTAGAGAATGACCCTCTTACCACCACTGAAAATACTCCTGACCCTATCACTATCAGAGAATGACCCTCTTCCCACCACTGAAAATACTCCTGACCATACTGCTATCAGAGAATGATCCTCTTCCCACCACTGAAAATACTCCTGACCATACCGCTATCAGAGAATGACCCTCTTCCCACCACTGAAAATACTCCTGACCCTACCGCTGTCAGAGAATGACTTTCTTCCCACCACTGAAAGTACTCCTGACCTTACCACTATCAGAGAATGACCCTCTTTCCACCACTGAAAGTACTCCTGACCATACCACTATCAGAGAATGACCCTCTTCCCACCACTGAAAATACTCCTCACCACTGAAAATACTCCTGACCATACCACTATCAGAGAATGACCCTCTTCCCACCTTTTCAGCCACCACTGGGGTCTAACTCCTGAATACTGTCCCTTGGGGTGTATAATATAGTGACTCTGTTTATAGTGCCTAGGATTAGCCAACCAACACAGTATAAGTTGGTAGTGAAAGGCAGTTCCATCCTTTATAGGATAATCCAGTTAGCTATCCATTTGGGAGAGAAAGTTTGGAATTTATAGTTGAAAGAAGAAATGCAAACAACCAAGAAATGTACAAAAATTTTCTTTACTCCCTTACAGTTCAGGAACTGCTAATGAAAACAACAACAAAGATATCTTTCAGTAGTCAGATTGACAGAAATTAGAATGACAATGTCTGGTGCTGTTGAAGGCACGGGGAGAGGGTACTCTCATACACTGTTGGAGGTGTAGTAATTATTACAAACTTGGGGAAAATAATCTGGCAATGTGTACTAAAACAAATTGTACCTGGTATTTGACCCAGCACCTGGTATTTTATTTTTACTTTAAGATATATATATATATATATATATTTTTTTTTTTTTTTTTTTTTTTTTTTTGAGGCAGAGTCTCTCTCACTCTGTTGCCCGGGCTGTAGTGCAGTGGCACAATCTCCACTCATGGCAACCTCCACTTCCCGAGTTCAAGCCATTCTTTGTCTCAGCCCCCCGAGTAGCTGGGATTACAGGCATAGGCCACAACACCAGGCTAATTTTTTATATTTTTAGTAGAGATGGAATTTCACCATGTTGGCCAGGCTGGTCTCAAACTCTTGACCTCAGGCGATCTGCCGGTCTCGGCCTCCCACAGTGCTGGGATTACAGGCGTGAGCCACTGTGCCCGGCCAAGAAATATATTTTAACTGAAATAAAAATGCTAGTTAGAGAGAGTATAGAGATATTCATGTGGCATTATTTGTGATGTCAAAGTTCAAGAAACAACCTAAATGTCTATCACTGAGAGAATGTGTGAGTAATTTTTGATATACCAAAGTGGAAATTTATAGCCATATTATGCAGCTATTATGAATAATACATTATTTATGATGGGGACTCTTGTAACCCCTACACCCAGGCTCACCCCAAACCAATTAAATCTTAATTGTTAAGGCTTTCCAGATGGTTCCAAAATTGAAAGCTACTGCTCTAGAGCAGGGAATGGCTAGCGTTTTCTGGGAAGGGCCAGATAGACATATTTTAGGCTTTGTGGGCCATACAGTCTCTGCCCTTTAGCACACGAACAGCCATAGATGATACATAAAGAAACAGGCATGGCTGAGTTCCTATAAACTTTATTGTAGACATTGAAAAAAAAATTATAGTTGAAACATACAGTTCATATGTGTAACTATATGCACGCTCTTGGAGGCTTAAATTTAGTATATTACATACAGCAAGTTTCTTTAGTTCATATGACTGTAAAGGTGTATAGTCTCATTTTTATACAAAATATGTATAGTCTCATTTTTGTACAAAATAAACCATTATATTTGTATGTAATATTTGTATGAGCCAGGCCAAAAAATAAAAGGAAGGATACATATCAAATTGTTAGCAGTAGCTATATTGATGGAATAGGAATGGGGGAGAATAAGGTAAGCTAATTTTGTTTCAGACATTTAAATTGTTGCAACAAGCATATACTACTTATGTATTTAAATGATATAAAAAACCAACCCCTACAACACATTTTATTCACACAATAAACTTATAAATTTCCATAATTTGCCTCTCGTTAACTACTTATGTACAGTGAATTATTTCTTGCAATTTCCCCTTAGTTTTTTTCCTAGAAACATTTCTATTATCCACTTTCATGCAAATGGTTAATTTGTTGACCCATGGTTGTTGCTAATCTTTCCTTATAATCCTTTTAGTTTCTATAGAGTAGGGAGTGATGTGTCTTTCATTCCTGATTTTGATTGTGTCCTTTCTTTTTTCTTGGTCTGTCAGCTTATTAGTTCTCAACCAGGAGTGATTGTGTCTGCCCCACTTTTTCCCCCAGGGACATTGGCAATGTTTGGTGACATTTTTAGTTGTAAATTTTTTTTTAGTGAGGCTTACTGTAATTTGTTGGATAGAAGCCCGAGATGTTGCTGAACATTCTATAATATATAGATCAGCCCACCACAAGAAAGAATTATCTGTTCCAAAATGTCAAGAGTGCTGAGGTTAAGAGACCCTAGCCTAGCTAAAAGTTTGTCAATTTTGTTGATATTTTTAAAGAATTAACTTCTGGTTTAATTGACTTTCTCTGTTTTGTTTCATTGATTTCCTTCTTTTATTTATTGCTTTCTTCTTTCTGCTTGTTTTGAGTTTAATATGCTCTTTTTTTTGCCTTTTTTTTTTTTTTTTTTTTTTTTAATTTTGAGACAGAGTTTCATTCTTGTTGCCCAGGCTGGAGTGCAATGGTGTGATCTCGGCTCACTGCAACCTCTGCCTCCTGGGTTCAAGTGATTCTCCTGCCTCAGCCCCCTGAGTAGCTGGATTACAGGCATCTGCCACCACACCCGGCTAATTTTTTGTATTTTTAGTAGAGACGGGGTTTCACCGTGTTAGCCAGGCTGGTCTCAAACTCCTGACCTCAGGTGATCCACTTACCTTGGCCTCCCAAAGTCCTGGGATTACAGGCATGAGCCACCGCGCCTGGCCGCCATTTTCTTACAGTGGAAGCCTAGATTATTTATTTTGAGACCTTTATTTCTACTGGAGGCATTCAAAGCCATAGATTTTTCTGTAAACACTGCTTTAGCTACATTCTACAGATTTTGATATATTGTATTTTTGTTTTGATTCAGTTGACAATATGTTCTAATTTTCTTTGTGGTTTTTTTCTTTGACCCATTTTTTTTTTAGAAGTGTGTTGTTTAATTTCCCAATATTTCAGGAATTCCTAAATTTCCTTCTGTTGATTTCTAATGTAATTCTTTTGGCTGGAGAATATACTTTGATTGATTTCAATCCTTGGAATTGCTTGAGACTTGTTTTATGACTTAGTTTATGGTTTCTCCTGAAAAATGTTCCATGCATACTTGAAAAGAATGTATATTCTGCTGTTGTTGGGTGAAGTGTTCTATAAGTATCAATTAGGTTAGTTGATAGTGTTGTTCAGATCTCTTATACACTGTTGATTTTCTGCCCAGGTGCTCTGTTAATTATTAAGAGTTAGGTGTTAAAATATTATTAAATTGTATATCTTTTTAATTTTGGCAGGTTTTGGTTAATGTGTTTTGAGGCCCTGTTCTTAGCTGTGTATACATTTATAGTTGTTTCATTTTCCTGATAGTTTGCCTCTTCCATCATTGTGAAATATTGCTTTTTGTCTCATAATAGTTCTAGACTTAAAGTTCATTTTGTCTAATGATAATATTGCCACTCCAGCTGCCGAATGATTATTACTCTTTGCATATCGTACCTTTTTTCATTCCTTTTACTTTGAACCTGTTTGTACCTTGGAATCTAAAGTGTGTTTCTTGAAGATAACATATTGTTGGATCTTGCTTCTTAACTAGTCTGAGTGTTTTAGTGCTTCCAATTTAATGCATTTATTAATATGATTGGATTTACATCTGCCATTTTGCTAATTGTTTTGTTTCATGTCTTTTACATTCTTCTCATTCTTTCACTGCTTTTGTTGTTATCTAACTTAAAGAAATTGGAGTTCTTTTCTTAGTGGTTCCTATAGGGATTAAAATGTGCATCTTTTTACAGTGTACTTAATTCCAGTCAATATCAAAACTTCCCATATAGCTTCATTTCCTTCTCATTCTTTATGCTGTTATTGATTTACATGTTATGTTTATACATATTAGAATCCCAACAATACAATGTTGTAATTATTGCTTACACAATCTTATGCTTTATAAAGAAGTTCTGAATGAAGAGCAGGATTAAGAGCCAACAGATTGATAGTTAAAGTAATGGGGGTGGAATTAAGTTTTCTTAGAAGGAGTTGTGGAGTGAGAAAGCTGAGGTTTGTGTCCTGGGAACTGTGCACATTTAGATAGGGCTATAAGAGGGTGAAGATAATCAAGTGCATTCACATGATTTTTGTGTCTTCCTGATGATTTACCCCTTTATAATTATGGAAAGTTTCTCTTTATCTCTGGCAGTGTTCTTTGTCTGAAGTTTATTTTGTCTGATATTAGTATAACCCTTCAAGCTTTCCTACGGTTGCTGTTTGCATGATATAGTCTTTTCTATTCTTTTACTCCCAGCCTTTTTGTGTCATTGAATCCAAAGTGTGATTTCTGTAGACAGTATATAGTTGGATCTTTTTAAAAAAAAACATCCAGTTTGACAGTCTGAGTGTTTAATTTGAGCATTTGGTCTGTTAACATTTAATGTAGTTGTTGACTGGATTTAGGTCTACAATTTTATTTTCTGTTTGTCTTTTATGTTTTTTATTCCTTTTCTTCCTGTCCTACCCTATTTTGGATTATTTGAACTTTTTTTTAGAATTTCGTTTTAATTTACCTATTGGCTTTTTAGTTATACCTCTTTTCATTTTTAAGAAGTAATTTCTTTGAATATTGCACTAAATGTCATTAACTTTTCACAGTTTGCTTAGAATTATTATTGTTACTTCATGTAAATTTAGAATCTTAAATTTTTTCTACCATTCTTCAGCTGTGATTGTCATATGTATCTACATCTGTATACATTACAACACAATTTTTGCTTTATCAAGTCATGTATGTTTTAAAGACATTAAAAAGAAAAAAGGTAGTTTTTACATTTGCAGAGATATTTACCATTTTGGAAGCTCTTTATTCTTTTCTAATGATGTGAGTTTGATCTGGTGCCATTTCTCTTTAGCCTACAGAATTTTGTCACTTCCAGTAGTTCAGGTTGGCTGTGGAAGATTTTTTTTTCTTAATCTGACAGTGAATTTATTTCACCATTTTTGAAGGATATTTTTACTGGATATAGAATTCTGGTTTGGCAGTTTCATCGTCATCGTCTTTTAGCATTTTTAAAGTGTGCTTACAATTGTGTTTCCACCATTTTATGGCCTCCATAATTTCAAATGAGAACTCTGTTGTCATTTGAATCTTCATTTTCCTGAATGTTATGTGTGATTTTTTTCTAACTGATTTCAGGATTTATTTATTTATTTATTTTTTTGGATTTTGCTTTTCAAGTTTGACTGGCTATAGTTTTCTTCATAGTTATCCTGCTTGGAATTCACTGAGATTTTTGAATCTGTAAATTTATATCTTTAGTCAAATTTGGGACATTTTTGGTTGCTCAGTTTTTTTTCTCCCTTATTTTCCCTATTTGTCTTGTGGAAGTATAATTATACATGTATTAGATTTTTGATATTTTTTCAGCTGTTGTTGAGGCTTATATCTTTTAAGTTTAATTCTCTGTTATTTGGGTTGGATAATTTCTATTGTTCTATTGTCAGTTTCACTGCCTCTTTCCTATGCATCCTTCCAGTTAGCTATCTGATAATTTATTTCAGATGTTTTTTTTTTTATTCTCAAGTGTGCACTTGGTTCTTTTGCTTTTGTAGTTTCTATTTCTCTGCTGTGTTTTCCCATCTTTTCATTCATTGTGTACTTCTTTACTTTAATGTCATTTATTATAATAGCTGCTTTAAAGTTCTTGTCTGTAAATCTAATCTAACATTCAGATAATTGAAGCTGTTAAAGAAAGAATACAGCATTAAGATAACTGGGAAGGATTATATTTAAAGAAGCCAAAGGAAGATGCAGTAGTCAACAGTGCTAAGTGTTAGGAAGTTTAAAGTTCTTTTTGATTGGATTATTAACAAATTACTGATCACAACAAAAGCACTTTTCAAGTGGTAGGATTAGGTGGAAGATTGCAGTATGTTATAATGTGAATGGCAAATGAAATAATCACAGGGAATATAGAGTACTTGTTTGAGGAGCTTCACCGAGAAAGAAAAGAGGGAAATAGAGGGGGAGGCAGGGTAAAATAAGATTTGGTAAGTATGTGGAATAATAAAAAGTGTATTTATTGGTTGAGAGGGAACAACTGATATGTTGGTAGAGGTTGAAGATAAAGGTTCATAAGAAGGTAGAAAGGATGGAATTCAGAACATAGGTGAAAGGACATTTCTTCCTAACCTCCACTGTCCTGCTCCTCTCTGCCATTTACTGGCGGAAGGAATGCAAGATTGTCAAGGATTTTGGTACAGGAGCATATAGAGTTTGGTTGTTATTAGTAAAATGTTTTGTTAACTAATTACTTTGCTTCATTTTAATGAGGAAAAATGTAGGTTCTGAGAAGTCCAGAGAATGAGAGGAAAGATTGAGGGCTACTATAAATGTTGAAATAGCTATGGGCTATGGCAGGGCAGATGGTGATGGATGTGAGCTAAGATAAGTGAAAGGAGCAGTTTTGTGTTCCCAAGTGAGGTTGGAATTCATTAATTTTATGGTATTAACAGTCTTAAATTGTGGTGTTATTTTTACTCTGATGTAGGAGCAGGGAACTCAGCTTTTTGGGATTCACTTCTGTATCAGGGTTTGTGGTGGGAAAATTGGTGGGGGTGGGGGTGCTTGGAATCCAAGTTAAGTATGGAGGGGACTGATACTGTGGGAAAACAGTGCTACCTCACACTGGATAAGAAGTTTCAACAAAGGTGACAGTGAGGTTTATATAGTCTTTATAAAGGAAAGATGAATAGAAATGTTAGGAGGTTATGGGCCATAAGTAGAAGATTAGGGATTAAGATATCAGAGGCAGAGCAGTTTGAGGTCCTGAGAATGGCCATTCAGAGGGTTGATGAATTGGAGCACAGAGGGAAGGATTTTGTTATGAGGTCGAGAAACTATGGAACTAGGTATTTGAATGAATTTTCCACAATGACATTGAAGTCTCCCAAGATTGTGGCAGAATTTGGAGTAGAGTAGAAAACTGTTAGTCTAAACACCTAATTTTCATTTAGTGTGAGGTGTAAACAAAACAGTGGTGAATGTTAACAAGGGGAGGCTGCATTATACTGTCTTCAAAGGAAGATAGTTTTTTTTACCCTTCATGGAAGTGAAAATGTAATGGCTTGTTAGTAGTGATATTAATATTGAAAAATAATTTGGCTTTAATATTAAATCAGGGGCCTTTAAAATATTACATCAAGGGTACATTAGATATTTGAAACAATGTTTTATTTTGCAACTCAACATTTTTTGATGGAGGCAGCAGGGCTGGAGAAAAAGTAAAGGATAGGTTGCATTATCAGAAGGAATGACATACTTTTTAAAAAGGAGAAATTTAATTTTACTCTCATTAATGAGTTTTTCCTTTTGTTCTAGGTAAATTTTATATTCTTTTAAGCATTAACAATGTGGCAGCAAGGAACTGGTGAATATTATTTTAGGTCTTCATATCACTTACGGGAGTTTCTGTTTTGAAAGATGTAAGGTTCCTTAAGTTTAGTGAAGTCCATTAACTGAACCCGAGATGATGCATGATAGCATGAGATTGTTGTTTTAAGATAAATATGACATGTACTCTCCAGCATATTTATTTTGTAGCTAGTCATAGGTAGTTGTCATAAATAACATTATACTATGTCCCTTCTGTAGTACATTTTTCCCTCTGTTTACTCCTAATTTAGAGTAACTTAATTTTCAAGTGATGTCAGATTCATGAAGTTGAACAGGATTTGCTCAGAACAAAAGTATGATATTCTAAAGGCTTAGCCTGAGTTTGTTTTTCTCCCATCTGTGTTGATATTTTCCTTTAATCAGGGCCTCACTATCTGTTGTTCTTCTCTTAAACTCCCTTGACTATCTCCATGTGGAACATTGAATTTGGTATCAGTCCTTTGAACTTCATTGTGGAATATGTACTGTATTGAGAGTGGGTTGATTGTGTTTTTTAAAATCTCAAAATGTGAAATAAATGGCACTGTCATTCTGTATTAGAATAATTTCTGGCATTAGTATTCAGGTTTGACATTAAATAAAGTGCATTAAATGCTGGAAGACTATAAGTTTTGGGTTCAGAAACACAAGTGATGACCTGGTCTTTTCACTTGTTTGCTCAGCGACTTGTACAGATTTATTCTCCTTTCTGAACTTAAATCTTTAGATCCATGAAAAGAGTAGTTTTTTTTCCCCAGAGGGTTGAAGGGAGTTATAAATGACATAATGTAGCTATGGAATAGTAAATGTTAGTTCCTTTTCTAAATGTTGACCTAGGATGTACTTTTCTTCTTTTGCTAATCAAAGGAGAAGAATTGTGGAGAAGCTCTAGAAACCTTCACCTAATAGAAATAATCTATGCTTTTTTTTTTTTTTTTTTTTTTTTTAACCAATCCTAATGAGAGGAAAAGGATCATTTGGGTGATCTGGTCTCCAGATTGTTTCAGAAGTAGCCTTTTGTTAGTTTTGTTTGTTTTTGTGTGATACAGAATTTTAAAATAGTATTAATACAGGTCGGGCATGGTGGCTCATGCCTGTAATCCCAGCACTTTGGGAAGCCAAGGCAGGTGGATCATGAGGTCAGGAGTTCAAGACCTGCCTGACCAACAGGGTAAAACCCCGTCTCTACTAAAAATACAAAAATTAGCTGGGCATGGTGGCACACACTTGTAATCCCAGCTACTCAGGAGGCTGAGGCAGGAGAATCACTTAAACCCGGGAGGCGGAGGTTGTAGTGAGCGGAGATTGCGCCGTTGCACTCCAGCCTGGGCGACAGAATGAGACTCCGTCTCAAAAAAAAAAAAAAAAAAAAAAGATATTAATGCAATCATAGCATTGGAAAATGGTAGTAGGTTTTTGTTTTCACCCATTTTGATGAACAATTTTCTAGTTCTACTCATGAAGATGAGGTAAGACTCCTCCCTTACTCCTAGTTCTGGCACCTGTACTATATTATCGATTTTAAGATTTTAAATGGATGAATAGGAATCACCTAATTCATGACAGGAGCTGTGATGAAATGTGAAGAATGCCATGTTAACTGATATCTCGAAGTCCACATATGGTAGAATTAGCAACATCAGAGGGAAGAACGTCTGTGAACCAAGTTAGAGTGTTTACTGTACCAGTGGAGACTTGTTGAATCTTTATTAGCTATATGCAACAAAACTATACATACTTTTAAAAATTTATGTTTGAGAAAAAAATTGTTTGCTACTTTTCAGAAAAAACAAGGAGAGAAATGACAGCCAAAGGTTCTACAGGAATGGAAATTCTGCTGTCAACATTAGAGGTAAATCAGTGACACGCTTTAATTATGTAACTACTAATGCCAAGCAATACTGAAGAAGAAAAAGCGTATGTGTGTGTATAAATACACACAGAAACACATACACACGTACATATATACACACACACGTATATGTAATAATTTTTGTTTTAGAGGTAAAGCCAGTAAATGGAAATTCATTTTAGGTTTTTAAAATACTATTTGGAATGGTGGTATAAATATTTTAATATGTATTAGGTGACTATTGAAGTATATTTCCCTTATATGATTATAATGATAACTGTAAATTGTAATCCTAACATGCCATTTTAGTTGGTATAGAAAATAAAGCATTAGCTGGAAATAAATCTTTAGCTTAAAACAAATGAAAATTATCGTTTATTGTTTTAGCTGATATACATTTGTGATTTTACTACACATATTGGTTAACTATATTATATTGATGATAATTGAATTTCTACGCCAGTGTAAAGTTTTTGGTGGACCAGCAGGATGTATTCAGAATCAGGATTCTGTATTTTGTTCAGTTGCAATGTTAAGAACAAGAAATGAATTCATGTTCTTCAATAGGAAGTCTTAGCATCATAAAGATGTCATTTCTCCCTAGATTGCTCTGTTACTTTAGAGCAATCTCAATAAAAGTTACCAACAGTTTTTTTTTTCTCTCTTTTCTTTTCTTTTTTTTTTGAGACAGAGTCTCACTCTGTCGCCCAAGCTGGAGTGCAATGGTGCAATCTCGGCTCAATGCAACCTCTATCTCCCAGGTTTGAGTGATTTTCCTGCCTCAGCATCCCAAGTAGCTGGGATTATAGGTGCACACCACCATGCCTGGCTAATTTTTGTATTTTTAGTAGAGACAGGGTTTCACCATGTTGACCAGGCTGGTCTTGAACTCCTGACATCAGGTGATCCACCTGCCTCGGCCTCCCAAAGCACTGGGATTACAGGCATGAGCCACTGTGCCCGGCCTAACAGTTTTGTTTTTAAAGTCCAAATGGGGAGACATAATCAGCAAAATATAAAGCACATTTCTGAGAATGAAGATAAATGAGAAGGGACTATCCCATTAAATATCAAAGAACATTAGAAATCTTCAGTAATTAAAATAGTTTGGAAATTATGCATGAGTAATAGATAGACTACTACTATAGTGTAACAGAATAGAAAATCTAAAAATAAAATGCATATGGGAATTTAGTATTATTTATTAAAGGTAGCATTTCAGATCAGTGAGAAATAGAGTGATTGGTAGCTATGTGGAAAAAGGTAACATTGAATCATGACTTCCTGCATTCCACACCCAAATAAATTCCATATGAAGCAAAGATTTAAGCATGGAAAATGGAATCATAATACTAGAGAAAGAGAGATGAATTTTAAAATAATCTTACAACAAAGAAGGCTTTTTTAAGTATGAAGAAATAGAAACTATAAAAGATTGATAGATTCAACTATATTAACAAAAGGATGTAGAAAAAAAACACCATGGATACTTGGAAAACTGAGGAAAAGTATTTTGGCTTACATAATTTCTTTGACATGTAAAGAACTTCTTCAGTTAAAGGCTGGGTGTGGTGGCTCACGCCTGTAATCCCAGCACTTTGGGAGGCCGAGATGGGCAGATCACGAGGTCAGGAGATTGAGACCATCCTGGCTAACACGGTAAAACCCTGTCTTTACTAAAAATACAAAAAAATTAGTTGGATGTGGTGGCGGACGCCTGTAGTCCCAGCTGCTTGGGAGGCTGAGGCAGGAGAATGGCATGAACCCGGGAGGCGGAGCTTGCAGTGAGCCGAGATTGCGCCACTGCACTCCATCCTGGGTGACAGAGCGAGACTCCGTCTCAAAAAAAAAGAAAAAAAAGAACTTCTTCATTTAGGAAGGAACAACAACAAAAAAAAACACTTCAAAAACCATGTAAAGGCTATGCTCAGTTCTCAGGAAAAGAAACACAAATGTCACTTGAGATTGAGCATTACTTTTAAGAAGATAAATAAAACCAAAGTACAGTGTTTAAACATTTTCACTTATTAGATTAGTTGTCCAAACTTGGAGAAATAGTCACTCTTCTGCATTGCTGATGGGAGTATAAATTATTTCATAGAGAGCAATTTGGTAATATCTATTAAAATAAAGGCCCATATTCTTTGACCTTGGAATTGTAGGCATTTACCTTACTATACAGATGTACTTTACCACATGTAAATATATATCCTTAGTTAAATTTGAAACTTTTAATAGCAAAATATTAAAAGCAACCTAAATATTTCATGGGTAGATGACTGGTTACATAAACAATGGTGATATAGCCATATAATGGAAAATATCCTGTAGCCCTCAAAAAGAATAAAGAAGCTCTTTATCTATCGATATGTAAAATATCAAGGTGCAAAATAGTACCTATAGGGCAATACCATTTGGAGAAATAAACCTGTATGCACATGTATATTTACATGGATTTCTTTTATGTGTGCATATTATCTTTGGCAGAATGCATAAGAAATTGATAACGTGATTGCCTTCTGAGAGGGCAGCTAAGTGATTGAGTAGTCACCAGACATACATTGTAATGCCATTTACATTTTGATTCATTTACTTTTATTATCTATTTGGTAGAAAGATGAGGAATTCAAATGACAAATTGATTCTTCTTGTAATGTTGATATTTCACAAGTAATAACTCAAAATGATTTGTAAAAATTCTTAAAGGCAGAAGGAAACAGACGGAAATGATAATAGTGAAAACCTGAATACCTTTGTTCCTAGAGAAATTGGAAAGGTCATTTGTAAAATATAGGTAGTTCCCAGTGGATTCAAAAGTCTGGGAATCAAAAGTTTACAATGTTTTAATAAAACAAACTATTTATTTCAGAACACAAAAGATCTTCAAACTACACTTAATATCTTAAGCATTCTTGTTGAGCTGGTGTCAGCTGGTAAGTTTTTGTTTCTTTGGTCTAATTTCTGTTTCTAAACAGTGATCAACAATGTATCGTATTCACTTTATTTGGAATTTTCCGATACTCTTATAGAGGCTATTCTGAGTATTGGAATTAGAAACTGAAATGTCATAGTTTGTTGTTGTTGCTTTATTTTTGGTATCTTTTCAAGTATCCCTCAGACTACCCCATAGCCATGTATTTCACAGCCTTGAACCTAGAATTTCAGCGTGATTTGTGTTTACCCTTTGTGTGCTATTTTCTAAATAAATGAGATTAAACAAAATGTGTTGATGGTATTTGTTTGATATTATTGATTGATTGATTGAGATGGAGTTTTGCTCTTGTCACCGAGGCTTGAGTGCAGTGGTATGATCTCTGCCCACTGCCACCTCTGCCTCCTAGGTTCAAGAGATTCTCCTGCCTCAGACTCCCAAGTAGCTGGGATTATAGGTGTGCGCCACCATGCCTGGCTAATTTTTGTATTTTTAGTTGAGACGGGGTTTCACCATGTTGGATAGGCTGGTCTTGAACTCCTGACCTCAGGTGAATCTGCCTGCCTCGGCCTCCCTAAGTGCTGTGATTACAGGCGTGAGCTACTGCGCCCAGCCTTATTTGTTTGATTTTAGAGGTCATCAGTTTTAACCATTTCTTGAATGCTAACAAGTTATGATACCTAATATGTTTGTTTAAATTTGTTAATTTTTTTTTAATTTGTTGTTTAAATTTTTTTTTTTTTTAATTTTTAGGTGGAGGTCGAAGAGTGAGTTTCTTAGTCACCAAAGGTGGTTCACAAATATTGTTGCAGTTACTTATGAATGCCAGCAAAGAATCTCCCCCACATGAGGACTTAATGGTACAGATTCATTCTATTCTTGCAAAGATTGGACCAAAAGGTAAGGGATTTCATTTGTATGATTATTGTATCTAGAACTATTTTTGTAACAGTGATTCTCTCACCTTGTAACTACTCAGTTTTTAAAAATGTTATTTATTTTAAATTTCTATGGATACACAATAATTGTACATGTTTATGGGGGTACACATGATATTTTGATAAAAATGTATGTGTAATGATCAAATCTGGGTACATGGGGTATCCATCACCTCAAACATTCATTATTTCTTTGTGTTGGGATCATTCCATATCTTCTCTTATAGCTATTTTAAAATATATAATAAATTATTATTAGCTATACTTGCCCTATTGTGTTACCACTGGATGTTATTCCTTCTATTGAAATGTATTTTTGTATCCATTTAACAAACTCCTCCTTATCTCCCGCTCTCCATTACCCTTGCTAGCCTCTGATAACCACTATTCTATTCACTCCTTTCATGAGATCAGTTTTTTTAGCTTCTGCATATGAAAGAGAACATTGATATTTATCTTTCTGTGCCTGTCTTATTTCACTTAACATAATGTCCTCCAGTTCCATCCATGTTGCTGCAAATGACAGGATTTCATTTTTTTATGGTTGAATAGTATTCTATTGTGTAAATAAACCGCATTTTCTTTATATATTCATTCACTGATGGACACCTAGGTTGATTCCATACCTTGGCTTTTGTGAATAGTGCAGCAGTAAACATGGGAATGCAGATATTCTTCAATATACTTATTTCCTTTCGTTTGGATATATACCCAACAGTAGGACTGCTAGATCATCTGGTAATTCTATTTTTAGTTTTTTGGGGAACCCCCATACTGTTTTCCATAGTGGCTGTAGTAACTTAGATTTTTGCAGTGTGTGAGAGTTCCTTATCCTCACCAGCATTTATTATTTTCTGTCTTCTTGATAACAGCTGTTTTAACTGGGATGAGATGGTATCTCATTATGATTTTGATTTGCATTTCCCTAACGATTAGTAATGTTGAGCGTTTTTATCTATACCCATTGCCCATTTATATATTTTCTTTTGAGAATGTTTATTCAGATCTTTTGCCCATTTAAAAAATCCTTTCTCTTTTTTTTTGCTGTTGAGCTATTTGAGTTCCTTATATATTCTGGTTTTTTAATCTCTTGTCAGATGAGTAGTCTGTAAGTATTTCCTCCCATTCTGTAGGTTATCTCTTCACTTTGTTGATTGTTTCCTTTGCTGTTCAGAAGCTTTTTAGCTTGATACCATCTCATTTGTCAGTTTCTGCTTTGATTACCTATGCTTTCCAGGTCTTACTAAATTTTGCCCAGACCAATATCCGGAAGCATTTCTCCAATGTTTTCTTATGGAGAGTGCTTAATTTTTACAATCTAACATGCTACAGCTTTTTCTTAGACTTAGTAATGAAATGTTTTTTTTTATTTTTGAGACGGAGGCTCACTGTGTCACCAGGCTGGAGTGCAGTGGTGTGATCTGGGCTCACTGCAACCTCTGCCTCCTGGTTTCAAGTGATTCTCCTGCCTCAGCCTCCCGAGTAGCTGGGACTACAGGCATGTGCCACCATACCCGTCTAATTTTTTGTATTTTTAGTAGAGACGGGGTTTCACCATGTTGGCCAGGATGGTCTCAAACTCCAGACCTCATGATCCGCCCACCTTGGCCTCCCAAAGTGCTGAGATTACAGGCGTGAGCCACCGCACCCAGCCGAAATGGTTTTTTATAGTCAACTAGTGACCTGCAGTAACTGAGGATCCAAAATTTATGAGGAATTCTATTGCATGTGGTAGAAAAAAGAAAAAGTTTTGGGTCACAAGTGTGTCTTGGAGTGTGTGTGTGCCCTCTCAAGTGTGTTTGTAAAGGATACATGCAATATGGGTATTGTTGAGGCTAGAAGGAAGGAGTATGGATGAGAATGTTTTGAAAAACATGGAGGTAAAATATGTCACTGCTTTCTTTAATAGTCATATTTGTGCTGCATAGTGTGAATGCTCAGGAAACTTACAATCTTAGTTAAGAAGACAAAAATAGAAAAATTATGAGACCAGTTATTACAACAGTAAGACACGTGAAATATTAAAAAATGCAAATTGGGAAAAATAGGATATAGAACAAAGGAAGAAGCTGATTAAGGTTAGGTTAACTAAGGAAGGCACCCTTTGACTAGAACTCAAGTTCAGTTTACGGTTGTCTACTTGCACAAAGATTAAAATAATTCCTTAAATTATTAGAATTGTGTTTTAAGAGTTTTGCCTTTGGCCGGGTACGGTGTCTCATGCCTGTAATCCCAGCACTTTGAGAGGCCAAGGTGGGCAGATCACGAGGTCAGGAGTTTGAGGTCAGCCTGGCCAGCATGCTGAAACCCCATCTCTACTAAAAATACAAAAAATTAGCCAGGCATGGTGGCGCCTACCTGTAATCCCAGCTACTCAGGAGGCTGAGGCAGGAGAATTGCTTGAACCTGGGTGGTGGAGGTTGCAGTGAGCCGAGATCGTACCACTGCACTCCAGCTTGGGTGACAGAGCGAGACTCTGTCTCAAAAAGAAAAAAAAGAGTTTTGCCTTTGCCTGTGGCATACATGTGAGTTTTAAACTTTGAGTATTTGGCTAAAATGCTTATTGGAAAAAATGAGGATGCGTGTGTACATAGTTTGTGTATTTATTAACATACGTATTTCTAGCATATCTTTATGTATTGTATAAGTAATTAGTAGTTTTTATAGGTGTTGTTTTAAAGAAAGGAACCCTGAAGTGACTTTAATTTTCCAGGTATATTAGGAGCCTTAAGACTTAAAGATGTATTTAGTTTATTTAAGGAATATGTTAGCTGTCTCTTATTTTTCTTTAGCTCTTGTATTTAAGATTTAAAGACTCCCTTTTGAGATTTTTGTGGAAAATGAAAATGAAAAAATAAGAAAACCATAATTTGGCAGAAAATTCATTTAAAAAAAACCCCTTATTTATTGATGAGTATTGTTATGCTTTCTCTTCTAATTAGAACTAGGTTATCTTCTACTTTTCATGAAATTAAGATATTGATTTTAAAAATATTTATCATTCTTTAATATCCCTTTTAAGTTTTAGGTCATATTTATTTTCTCTTATATATTCTTTTAAATTTGGGCTATTTCCTTTATGGTTTGCCCTAGTTTCCCATTTTTATGTCATTCAAGGACATTATATGGTAATTTCTTGAGTGATTTTTCTATTCTTTTTATTTTTCTAGTGAGGTAAAATAATTTTTCCTCAGGAATATTGAGTTATTTTGATTTAAAATTATTTGTTTGCTGGTCCTATTTACTTTGTTTAAGTCTTTTTTTTTTTTTTTTTTAAGATGGAGTCTTGCTCAGTTGCCCAGGCTGGAGTGCAGTGGTACGATCTCGGCTCACTGCAAGCTCCTCCTCCTGGGTTCATGCCATTCTCCTGCCTCAGCCTCCAGAGTAGTTGGGACTGCAGGCGCCCGCCACCACGCCTGGCTAATTTTTTTTTGTATTTTTAATAGAGACGGGGTTTCACCATGTTAGCCAGGATGGTCTGGATCTTCTGACCTCATGATCCACCCACCTCAGCCTCCCAAAGTGCTGGGATTACAGGCGTGAGCCACCGCGCCCTGCCTTAAGTCTTTTTTAAAATTCATTTTTATTTGTAGTTTTATATAGTGGAGTACAAGTGCAGATTTCTTACATGTAGTATTGTATAGTGGGGAAGTCTGGGCATTTAATATACCCATTACCTGAATAGTGAACATTGTAGCTAACAGGTAATTTTTCAACCTTCACCCCTCACCCACCCTGCCACTTTTTGTATCTCCAATGTCTACTATAAATCTTAACATTCTTAAGTTCTTCTTATTTAAAATTTTTTTTACTGTTTTAATCTCTTCATGAGAATAAAAATTAAGAACATCTTTTCTTCCCTTCCTGTGTTAAGAATTATTTCCCTTTAGAAATTTATTTGGTAATATTTGCCAGATTATTTTCTACATAAGCTGTTAATTTTTTAAATGAATTTTTATTTTTTTACAAGTCAGAAAAGAATATGGTTCATATTAAGTATTATTGTAATGGACATTTGGATTTTGTTCCTTTTAACTCTGTGTTGGTGTTCTGGGAAGTGTGTTGAACTAGACAAATGTATATGTGTAGTGGAGCAGTTCAGTTTTTTTTAATGACAGTCTAAGTGTTGGGCTACTCTAGCCTCCATCCTCCTTCCCTATCCCCCTGTCTGTTTCTTAGTACATTCTTTCAACTAATGTTTTAAAATAAAAGGGATGTTTTATTTTAAAAATAATACAAAAAAGGATTATAATTTTATTCTTTTCAGGCCAACTTTATATTTCATAAAATTAATTCATAATGTAAATTTAAAATTTACATCACTGATTTATAATATCATCATTTCATTCAAAACTTACATGTGGGCCAGGCACAGTGACTCACACGTGTAATCTCAGCACTTTGGGAGGCCAAGGCGGGCAGATCACTTGAGGTCAGGAGTTTCAGACCAGCCTGGCCAACATGGCGAAAGCCCGTCTCCACTAAAAATCCAAAAATTAACCCAGTGTGGTGGTGGGTGCCTGTAATCCCAGCTACTCAGGAGGCAGAGGCAGGAGAATTGCTTCAACCTGGGAGCCAGAGGTTGCAGTGAGCTGAGATGGAGCCACTGCACTCCAGCCTGGATGACAGAGCAAGACTCTGTCTCAAAAAAAAAAAAAAAAAAAATTAAAAAGAAAAGTTGTATGTGCATAAATTGTCTTTTTTTTTTTTAAACAGATAAAAAATTTGGAGTAAAGGCTAGAATTAATGGGGCTCTGAATATAACCCTGAATTTGGTCAAGCAGAATTTGCAGAATCATCGCTTGGTTCTACCTTGCCTTCAGCTTTTACGAGTATATTCTGCCAACTGTGAGTATTTAGGTGGCTTTTAGTTAACTCAGTGTTGTAAAGTTACACAAAAAGAATTTTAAAGTATCCTGATTCTGTAAACCTCTGATATTTGTGAAAAAGGAAAGAGAAGATTTAATATGGCTCATTTTAACTCTTGACTCCAACCACAACAAAAGTGATGTGGGGTAAGGTTAAGTTGGTCTGTGCATGGTGGCTCATGCCTGTAATCCCAGCACTTTGGGAGGCCAAGGCGGGCGGATCACCTGAGGTCAGGAGTTTGAGACCAGCCTGACCGACATGGGGAAACTCTGTCTCTAATAAAAATACAAAAATTAGCTGGGCATGGTGGTGGGCGCCTAATCCTGACTATTTGGGAGGCTGAGGTAGGAGAATCATTTGAACCTGGGAAGTGGAGGTTGCAATGAGCTGAGATTGTGCCATTGCACTCCAGCCTGGGTGATAGAGCAAGACTCCGTCTCAACCAAAAAAAAAAAAGGTTAAGTTGGTAAAACCTTGAACATTCTAACTAATTTCTCCAATTTATAAAGGATAGGAGTGAGGAGGATGACTAGGCAGCCTGTAGAAAAGATGTGGAAGAATATGAGGGTATTGGTAGCTGGAAAAACTCCTGTGCCTCTTTAGACTGTCACAGATGAGAGGAGAAAGCCTAGAAGGAAAGGATGCAGTAGCATAGTCACCTGGAGCTAATTCTCTTCAGCAATCAATAGGGAAGTAGCAGAACTGAAAATAACTAGTATGGGAACCTCTGAGAAGCTAGAGAGAAGAGGGCTCACAGAGAGACAGACTCAGATAAAATGTCTCCCAAAACACACACTCTCACTAACACGAGGTTCCACGCATGAGGTGTGGATTTTTTTTTCTATTCTCTGATTGCAGAATTGAAGTGGTTAATGAAAGAACCTAAGATTGAATTGCAGAATATATGTTATTGCAGAATATCATTGCAAAATAATGATAGAGTGCTAGATATGTGTGTATATTGCGTATATACATATATGTAATATATAAACATACATAAGCTTATGTATATGTCTCTGTGTGTGTATATCAGTACCTTTAAAATATGGCTAAAGGTGTGCTCTGTGGAAAACAGCTTAGAACACTTAAATAACTAACATGTAATTAAAAAGAACATAAGGAAACAAATGAATTAGATATCTAACCAATGAAGTTAAGAACAGAGAAATAAACACCAGTAAAGTCAAGAAATGAAATAGTAAAGGTAAAAGGAAAAATATGCATTAGAAAATAGAAAAGCAGTTGATTTAAAAAATAAAACTGTATTGGATTAAAAATAAAATACACTGGTACAGTCGCACATGGCTGTAATCCCAGCACTTCAGAGGCTAGGCAGAAGGACCGCTTGAGGCCAGGAGTTTGCAACCAGCCTGGGCAACATAGTGAGATGCCATTTCTACAAAAAAAAAAAAGGAAAAAATTGGCTAGTTGTGGTGATGTGTGCCTGCAGTCTCAGCTACTCAGGAAGCTAAGGTGGGAGGATTTCTTGAGCCCAGGAGGTTAAGGCTGCAGTGAGCCATGACTGCACCACTGCATTCCAGCTTGGGCAACACAGCAGGACCCTGTCTCAAAAACAACAACAATGCAACAAAAACCCCCAAATGTAAAAATAAAACAGCTAAACCACCAAATACTTCAATCAAGGTCAAAGGAATACAGTATAGACATGAAATTAGAAGGGATAACGGAGTAATAAACAGAGAAAATTAAGATCATCCTACGAAATATTAGGAGCTACATTTTTGGTGGCATTTTATTGGATTAACCAATAGAAGGCTAGCAGATGGCTTATCTATAATTTAAAAATTGTTTATTAAACGATTTTCTTTTAGAGACAGGGTCTTGCTATACATCTCAGGCTGGCTTTGAACTCCTGGCCTTAAGCGATCCTCCTGCTTCAGCCTCCCAAGCAGCTAAGACTACAGGCACATGCCATTGTCCCTGGTTCTACAATATATTTAATAACATCTGTTCAGAATTAAAAATGTTTAGCACAGTTTTCTGGTTAGGTAATTATTTGTATATTCCATATTAAATACTGAAATTGTTCCATCTTTTTCCCTGCTACACTTGCTTTAATTAAAGTCCTCATTACCTGTTACCTAGACCATAGCCTCCTAATGTGTCTTTCAAAACCAGCTTCCTCAGAGTTCTTTGAATTCTGACCTATTTATTTAAAATTCACATCTGATATGTTCCTTTTGCGTGATTCCCCATAGTCAAAAGAATTAACAACTTCTAGGGCCCTTCATAATTTCTCATCTTTTTCTACCTCATCTTCCTATTTGTGTATCTTTTCTTGATACTCTGTGTTTAACATTATGTAACTGCTCACATTGTGATGTTCATTGTCTTCGTTCTGTTTGTATTATTCCTGTGTCCAGAGCCACATCTACCCCTTTACCTCTACTCCTGCCCTAACTACTACTCACTTTTAAAGACTGAGCCTAGGCATCATTTTCTCCAGAAATGTCTGTCTCACTCTGAATTAGGAACTTCTCAAT
Organism: Homo sapiens; assembly: GCF_000001405.40. NCBI lineage: Eukaryota > Metazoa > Chordata > Mammalia > Primates > Hominidae > Homo > Homo sapiens. Next base: position 85,670,024 of record NC_000009.12, on the reverse strand, counting down.
GGTGTAATCCAAATAGTCTACAACTCTTGATCTATTTTGAAAGTAATTTAGTAATTATTTGTTTATTGTTTCTGTCATTCTCTCTACACTTTGTTCTTTGAGGTCAGAGATTTTATTCTTGTTTCGGAATCCCCATAACCTGGTGTTCAGTGAGGTTCACTAAATTTATTAGAGAAATATAGAGTAACTGAAGAATTTTTTTTATAATAGTGGTTTTTTTTTTTTTTTGCATATAACTCGTTTCAGAATTTCCCTGCACTTTCCATAACAAAGCAAAAACAAAAAACACTATTTCTTCATGTGGTTAGCTTAGATGGACTTTAAGGTGACTTGAGTTGACATTTACTAAACAATTTGTATATGTTTTTGCCTATGTATCACTAAGTATACACATTTTTGGTTGTCAAACCTTAAAATAATTTTGCATCTCTTTCTCCCCCTCTCAGCTGTGAATTCAGTATCCTTAGGGAAAAATGGAGTTGTGGAACTGATGTTTAAAATCATTGGACCATTTAGTAAGAAGAATTCCAGTCTTATAAAGTGAGTAAATGTTTTGAATGTAAACATAGGTATAGCCTTTGTTACTCTGGGCCTCATTATCTTGATATGTACAATGAGCAGGTTGAATTAAATTGTCTCCAGGGTTATTTCATTTCTTAGTTCTTAAATAATGATTTTATCATGATAAAGATTTTCTTTAGTATAAAATTTAATCTTCACAAATATCTCAAAATTGGACAGTTTTGACTTCATTGAATATAATGTTTATAGTAACTTAGACTGAACATTTCTAGATACTGTAAAAGGAAAAAAGATTATCTATAGAGTATTCATTCAGAAACATTTATTGAGTGCCTACTATATTTCTCACCCAATTTTACAATCTTGTAATGACTTTTTCATTCTTATGAATACCTGAACAATCTTAAATTGATACATTTCTATTTTGTCAAAATCACATCATTCTTTTTCCCCCATCCTGAGATGTGTGTGTGTGTGTGTGTGTGTGTATGTATACACACACACACACACACACACACACACACACACACACACATGTATGTATGTATGTATTTTTATTCATTCCTAGGCCTTTCAGCCTCAGAAAATGAAAGCCATGTCTCATTTATTGGTTACAGTTTAATATTTTCTTAAGCCATTTTAGAGGTCTTTCTTTAAAATTTTTTTTTATTGTGGAATTTTTAAAACATACATAAAATAGAGTTTATATTAAACTGATTATATTGAGTTATATTAATTACTTGTTGTGTTTAACAATTCTGAACATTCCACCATTTTTGTTTCATTTGTTTCCACTCCACACTTTTGTTTGTTTGTTTTTCCTGGGGTACTTTTAAGAAATCTCAGGTATTTTATATATACATAAATGTGTGTGTATTTCTATAAGCAGATCCTAGATATTTTCTCTTGGATTATTTTCTTTGAATACTATCATTTATTTTCTAAATACCTCAGTATATAATTCTACTAAATAAGGACTTAAAAATAACCAGAATACTACAATCATAGCCAACAAAATTATTAATTTCTTTTTTTTTTTTGAAATGGAGTCTCTCTCTGTTGCCTAGGCTGGAGTGCAGTGGCATGATCATGGCACACTGTAGCCTCAAATTCCTAGGCTCAAGTGATGCTCCCACCTCTCCCTCCTGATACTTACTTAATACAATCTAAAATCTGGTCTGTTGTTTGATTTTCTCCAGTTGTCTCAAAATAGCCCCTTTTTAGTTGGTTTGTTTGAATCAGAATCCAAACAAGATGCATACATTATTCTTCATTATATTTAGGAAATTTCCAAGCCTACACAAATGTAGAGAGGATAATATAATGAACTCTGATGTACCTGTTACCCAGTTGTACTATCAAAAATCTGTCATTTTAATTTTATTTTTCTTTCTGTTTTTCTTTTTTCCTAGCGTATTTTAAAGCAGATATCAGCCATTATATTTGAGCTGTAAATTCTTTAATATGATCACTGTCAATTACAGATCTTTTCTCTTTTAGTGTTACCGCAGTTGTCTTTTCTGTGCCCAACAATATTAACGGTAATTTCTTAATATCTGATATTTTCTGATTAGGAAATGCTTTTTTTTTTTTTTTTTTACAGTTGGCTTGCTTGTTCAGGGCTTCAATTAAGTCTATACATTATATTTGATTGATATGTCTCATAATCTTTTGAAATAAAAAAAAGTTTCCCTGTTTTTTGGTTTTGTTTTATTTGTTGAAGGTCTTCAGTGATAGGTCTTTTAAAATGTCACACGTTCTGGCTTACAATGACTATATCCTGAAGTTATTTAACATATGAGTATATCCCTTACATTTTCTGTAGACTGATAAAACTGTGGCTTGATTAGATTTGGGGTTCTGGTTTGTTTTTTCTGGTCAAAAATATTTCATAGGTGGAGCTGGCAACTTTGTTTTATGTCACTTAAGATAATTGAGTTGAGGTTATCTACCCATTAGAAATGTCCCCATCCACTTTTCACTTAGTGATTTAGCAGTCATTCATGACACTGCCTGTATCTGTTATTTCATTAGTGGTTGGAAAATAATAACTTATCTAGTTTTATTTTTTTCCTGTGTTTATTAGCTGTGAATCTTTTGTAATGAAGAACTTGTCCACATGAACTATTTGATTTGACTTTACTCTTAAATAGGGTTCAGGACATTTCCAGTGTTTTCACCCTTTCTTAATAAGGGTCAAATATTTTAAAATATTTTCTGAGCTTACTTGCACATATGACTATTTATTAAATATTATTTGGTGGGATGACAACATAGTTACAGCTGTGTAAGAATTATACACAATCCCAGAGTATCTGATGAAATGTAACAAAGCAAACAAAATGTTTGTATCACAATCAGTAACACAGAATATTGGTGTCTTATGGTGGTTTAGAGTGGGCTCTGCAGGCAGACAGACTTGGATTTGCATGTTAGCTCTATCATTTACTGGCCCTAGGATACAAGTAAGTTACTTAATTTATTATGCCCCAGTTTCCTGTCTGTAAAATTGTAATAATATTTAGCATCTCTATTATAAGGTTGTAATGATATGATTCCTGTAATTAGCACAATGCCTGTATTAATGTAATACAGTTTAGATAAGCAATGTAGTAGTGTGTGTATGAATGATTCCTAGCTAACACTAAAAGTACATTAGTTATGCTTTTATTTATTTGCTGTTTCTCCCTTTAATCGGTACTGCATTTTATAATTTATTTTTTATATAATGGCCATGATCTCCTACTTAAGATGTACTTTATGCTCTATTATAACCAAGTTGTCAAATCTAATATAAAATGTTTCCAGGGGAAATGAAATGGAGCATTTCAAAAGGATCTTTATAATATACCACATGGGGTATATCCAAAACCTTATGGAAATCAGTGGATCTAAAACATCAGAGAAAAGATGAATTATGCATTATTTTTCTATTTCTACTTTAAAAAGGAAAAATAATCTTTTACTTTATTTTTACTTTAAAAAGAACAAGCCATTCATTGACCAAACTTGCTATATCTTGATCTCTTATCATTTTTAGTAATCTGAGGGTCTCTCCTCTAATTAACTAAAAACCTCAGACATCTAACGCTTTCTGTTGTATTTCTTCCTCCCTTTAAACAATGCTCCACATTTAATGGGAAGACGATTGAGGAAGAGTTGTATTTGGAGGGTTATGCTTCCTCTCCTTTTTAATTTTAGGTTTTGGATTTAAAACTGTTAATCTAGAAGGAAGCAACTCAGGAGGTTATTTTAACTGTATCTTTTTGAGTTTCCCCATAGGTTTGGAAGTCATTGCAAGGACTGACCCAGAATTGAAAGTAGATGTCACTTCATTAGTACCTGGGGACTTAAGCTTTTTTTCCTTCACATCTCCTAAATCTAAGCCACAGACTACTTTTTGAATTATTGTTGCTTGTAGTATTCTTTGTGGAAATATGAAGACTGGAAAAATATATGAGGAAGTATAAATTATTTATACTGAGAAATTTTAATTAATTAACTACAAACTATGCATTTCAATAAATCTAACATTTTAAAATTCTTTTGTAACATTAATTTACTCTGGCTTATAAGTGTTATAGAATTTCAGAAATTTCTTTGTGGTAAAGTTCTAAAAATAACTCTTAAATAACATTTGGTAAAAATTTACAAATGACTTTGCACCAAACTTGACTATATCTTTTAATCTACTGGAAATAATAAGAAACATACACAATGGGTGTTGCCATCTGAAAGAACTGGGTTCATATCCCAGCTTTCCAGTGTTGAAAAATAAACATCAACAGAAAAAAATGTTCTATTTTAGGATTAGAAACTGTCAGAAGTACTTTTATTTGGTTTAAACAGTTGTAAACAACTACCAGTAGGGAGAAAGAGTTTCTGAAAGTACTCTAAGATTTTTACAATTTTGAATAAAGAATTAGCTGTAGAAAGGAAGGTCTTATGAGTTCATTGTAAGTGATTGCATGTAAGTTATTATATTAGTTTTCTAGGGCTGTCATAACAAAGTCCAATACTGAGTGGCTCAAAACAACAGAAATTTATTGTTTTATAGTTCCAGAGGCTGGAAGTCCAAAATCAACTTGTCAGCAGGGCCATGCTCCCTCTGAAACCTGGAAGGGAGCATCCTTCCTTGCTTCTTCCTAGCTTCTGGTGGTTTGCTGGCAATCTTTGGTGTTCCTAGGCTTGCAGCCATAGCATTTCGGTTTTTGCCTCCATCATCACATGGCACTCTCCCCTTTTGTGTTTGTCTTCACATTGTCTTCTCTCTCCTTATAACAGCACCAGTCTGTTGTATTAAGGGCCCACCTACTCCAGTATGACCTTGCCTTAACTAGTTACATCTGCAATGACCATGTTTTCCAATAAGGTCATATTTGGAGGTATTGGGGGTTGGGACTTCAACATACCTTTTTGAACACAATTCAACCCATAACAGTGATTAACTGCATGTACTTAGCAGTAAGCACAATTTGTGATCTTTCAGTGTGTTCTGTGTTAGCTGTGTCTTAACTTTGCATAGTTTGCATAGTCTTTCACAAAACTTGACATCTATGTGTATACATAGAAGTTAAAGTTTTTGATGGATCATGGTAGTCTCGAATAAAAGTTGACAAAGAAGGCTTCTTAGTAATGGTAAGAAACATATTGCATTGAATGGTAAGTGGAGTCTGGTACTTTAGATAATACATGTAATGCAGTGAGTCTTGAGACCTTCTTAACATGATTAATCAGCAGATTGTTTAGTGCCTTGGGGAGTAAATATTTTGTCTCAGCTTTCTTAATCACTTTTTAAATAGAAGGGATTTATAACATGTAGAAATTAAACAGAGTAACCATAGGAAGAGGGGTTTACTTAGTTTCTGTTATATTAGATTGACTTCTGTTTTTAAAAATACGTTTCTGAGATGTAGTTGACATGATAAAATCTGTATATTCAAAGTGTACAGTTTGATGAGAATGGACATAGGCTGGGCTAAAGCCTTTAGGCTTGGGAGGCACAGTACTTCTAGGGTCCCATAAAAATGTTTTAATTTCTTTAAAAATCATATAAAAATGAACTTTAGGCTGAAGAAAATGTTTTCATTTGTGATATTAGTTCATTCATCTTTATACCAACACCAACACGGTTGTAAAATGCTATATGAATTTTAAATACTTTTTTGAAGGGAGGGGCCTATGAAGGCAAAGAAGTGTCTAGAGCCCATGAAAATCGTAATGTGGTCTTGGATATATGGCTAAACCTGTGAAAAACTATCACCACATCAAGCTAACATCTCTATCACCCCCAGAGGCTTTATTGTGCCCTTGGTAATTCTTCCCTTGCTTCTCCCCTTTGGCCCTAGCAGTCATGACAATGCCTTCTATTACTGTAGATTTGGTTACATGTAAGTTCAGGAATTTTATATGAATGGATTCATAGTGTGTGTACTCTTTTTTGTGGTGGGGTGGATCTGGCTTCTTCCATGTATCATGATTATTTATAGATTCACTTATGTTGCACATATCAAAAATTTATTCCTTTTTATTGTTGAGTAGTAGTCACAGTTATATGGCTGTATTGTCATTTGTTTATTTATTCACCTCTTAATGGACATTTGGGTTTTTAGTTTTTGACTGTTACAAATAAAGCTGCTGTGAATGTTTATTTGGGTATATAAGCATTCACACACTTTTTATGGTCATATATTTTTTTATTTCTGCTGAATAGATATCTAGGAGTAGAATGGCTGGATCAATTGGTAGCTTTTCAAAAAAACTGTCTTTCTGCAATATGTTAAATCTTCCCTCTAGAACACGTGGAATACTATTGTGATAAGTGTTTTAATGTTTTCTCATGTTTATGTCAGATCTAGGTCTGTTTCAATTGTTTTTTTTTTTTCCCCCATCATTATGGGTCTTTTTTTCCTTGCTTTTTTCATGCTTGATAATTTTTGAGTGCCAGTCATTGTGAATTCCACCTTGTTGAGTGCTGGATATTTTTGTATTTCTATAAATATTCTTGAGGTTTTTCTGGGATGTGGTTAAGTTAGTTGGAAATAGTTTGATCTGTAAATGTCTTTTCACATTTGTTAGATGGGATCAAAGCACTGTTTAGGACTGATTTTTCCCCACTACTGAGGCAGAATCCTTCCGAGCACTCTACCCCATGAGTTATGAGGATTTCCAGTGTGATTGGTGGATATAGGCACTGTTCTCAGCCCTGTGTGAATACTAGATGTGGTTCTGCAGTCCTTTTGGATGGCTTTTTCCCAGCCTTAGTAGTTACTTCACACACATGTGCTGATCACTACTTTGCTGAATATTCAAACACAACTCGCTGAAAATCCCTGTACAGCTTTCATTTTCTGGTATTCTGCCTTGTGAGCTCTAACCGACTTGGTCTGCCTGGACCCTCTATGTCCTCAATCAGGGAGTTCATGTGCTGAACTTTTGGGATCTGCCAGACTCCACCTAGGTTCTGTCTCCCTGTGCTGTGGCTTGGTCGCTTTCTCAAGGTGTAGTAAGCTGGGGCAATTGTAGGGCCCATCTCATTTTTGCCATTTCTGTGGATCTCTATCTTTCATTGCTTAATATCCAGTATCTTAAACAGCCATTCCATTTTGTCCATTTAAAAAATTACATCAAATGAGAGGGTACATCCGGTTTCTGTTACTCCATCTTGTCTGGAAGTGAAAGTTCAGATAGCCTTCTCAAAGGGAGACTGACATTTCTGATTGCATAATTTCCTTTCTCAACAAGATAATTACATTATTCATTTTCTGTTGCATTGAGATTTTATGTGGCCCTAGGCATGTTATATTTCAGTTCTGTGGAACAAAATTGTTTTAAGAAGGAAACTAGAAAACACATATATAAAGCACCTGTAACAGTGTCTGGCATTTGTCAGGTCTTGCTGAAGAGGTTTTCTTTTCCATTTTAGTTTTTATAAATCGCAGTCTCATATGGAATATTCATTTAGTTTTGTGTTTAATTTTGACCAATTTAAAAGCTATCCTTATTCTCATAGTTTTATATTCTCCTGTACATTTTATTGCATAAGTGTAAAAAGTATGGAAAGTTTCTTACTGATAATTCAATGCAATGAAAATTTAATACAAAATTTTATAATGTTTATTTTTAACTCACCAACACTTCACATTGTTTTGAGGAAGTTACAGGTATGAATTTCTTATTTTACAAATTCGTTATTATAAAAATTTACAGTTGCTTTATCTTTGTCAATAAATAAAAGTGTAGCCATTAAGAACTTCCTCTTACTGGGCATTTGTTGAGCACTTACCCTGTGCCTAGTCCTCGATTATTGTTTCAGATTTTGCTGTGAACTTTACCTACCCATCTTAAGTCTTGTAATCTGTTATGCTCTTTACCTTTACCTACACCTAGTCATGCTACTTCCCTTGTACTGCTGATGTATGCAACTTTTACTTTATTACCTCCTTTATGTTTCTAATTTCTTGAGCAGTTTTTTCATAGCTGTGCTCTTTTATTACATTATGTAGATTGTAAAATTATCTGTGGAAGAGATAAGTTTGTTTTCTAATTTTATAACCACGAAGAACTTGCTACTGTGGTTATCAAGTAGGCATTCAACAAATGCTTAATGGTGAGTGAAATGATTGTTTCATAATATACACAATTTTAATGCAAATTAATTGTAATTGTTGATGTATTACCAAGAGGTACCATAGTATGTGCCTTACATTTTAAAAATTATTGAAATTAAGTGCCATTTCTTCAGTATCTGATTAAAAATAAACGATTTGAATTACAGGTTTTCCATGGTGATATTATGTGTATTTTTACAGCTGATTAACGGCAGTTGATTTCACTATGTGTGACTGAGTATTTACGTTCAAATACAATTTAAATACTTTCAGTTTTGGGGGTGATTGCTTTGTCCTCTAAGGGACAGTAAGAGTTTTTGAGATATTAGTTAGGCTTCTTATTCATCTTGGTGCGTCATAGCTGAAAAATGTTAAGGGCTGATACTTCTCCCCAACCTTCAAGTTCCAAAATATTTTACCTTTATTATGGCCTTAAATAGGAGGATATATACCTTGATAGAATGGAAATACTTTGAAGTCAGAAAGTGACAATATCTATAGAATTTTGTTGTTATGAACTTGTGTTAAGATTTGTTTTTAATTCCTTTGCAAGTCACGGCGTATGATTTTTAATAGTGTGGTTCCTTTGTTAACTCTCAGGTCAGATACAGAGGCTGATGAATGATTCCGTTCATCTAACTTCTGACAAATACTTAGACATTGTTAATTTCCTTCTTTTTCTTTCTCAAAACATTTTTTTTGTTCCTATCTATTGATATTTCAATCTTTTTCATATCCAATTTTAAGCTGAAGAGAGAGATGCATACGGAGAAATACCATGTGTAATTATCTTAAACAAGAGTAAACTTTGGAATAGATAATAGAATAATGACTTATTGAAAAAGATTGTATGAATTTACTATTGTAGATTAATTTTACTAGTTTTGTTGTTGTTTGTGTTTTCTTGTTGTGTTGACAGGGTTGCTTTAGACACTCTTGCTGCATTGCTAAAATCAAGTAAGTTTTTAAATACTAGAAATACTAGATACTATTTTTCTGAGAATTCTATTTATTATGTTAAAGAAACTGGAAATGTAGATTTAGACTATAGTTATAAAGCTGGTTTATAATATTCTAATGTCAAAATTGATTTTTCCTTTTAGTGTAGTTGATGTGCATCATAACTAATACCATATTATGTTTATTGAGCTATAATTTATTTAGTACATTTATATAATTTAGTCAAGCACATTGATTTCTTATTTCTAAGTAATTTAGATAACATAAAAATCCATTAGTAGAGGAAAATATATAAGTATCATGTTTTGAAAGTAAAGCTAACATGGTATTGAACTTTTACTATAAGAAATATCTTTAACAACTACTGTCTCTGATTTTGTGAGTGACTTAGAACCCTACAGATTTTATTTCTACCATAAATGTAAGTTTATATAACATTTAGAAAATGTGACAATATACATTTACAGTCTAATTCATTTACAAAATAAAGCACTGTTTTCCTTATCAGAATTGAAGCATTGGAGTAGATATGTCTTATGCTTTTGGAGAGTAATCATCTGTACTTACATATATTTTTTCTCTCCAAGATACTGAGTCTCTTTATTTTAAATATTTTTTTGGGGGGCTTCAGGGGTCTGTTGGTTGATTACATAAACATTTTGTTTAATCACGGTAACATTTGGTCTTCACAATCTGTGTTGGTGGCTGGGTGGCTTTTATATGTCCCCACCCCACTCCACCCTCCACAAGGGAGACATAATTAACAGCTAGCTCATCAAGAACTGTCTGTCAGGGGTGAGACCAACTTGCCCCTACATTTTAATTGCCAGAACTCTTTTTTTTTTTAAATAATAGCAAATAATGAATTGATCAAAAATCTAATATTTGGTAATGATTTATTAAATTTTAAAAATCACCTTAGGTATTAGTAGTAAATAATAGAATTCTCATTTAACAATTTTATTTTTCGAATGAAATGTATGACACTCAGTTAGATTAGCTTTGTAGCTTTATTTTCATATATGATGTGGTAAGCTTTAGACCAAGATCACAATACGTGGATTAATTTTAGAAGATATTTTTAGGTTTGCTTTGATGGGTCCTGAGTTTGTGGTTCAAACTGTATAAAGATTAATTCTTAATATGGGCAAATACTTTTGATTTGGAGTAGATTAGAATAGCTATTGAAACTAAACTTTTATTAAAGCTTACTAATTTTCAGGATCACTGATAGTGAAGTCACTAATTCTAAGTTAGTAAAAGCCAAAATTCTCATAAGTTGCAAGTATTTTATAGAAATCAATCCATGATTACTGTAATTTAATATTTTCAGTTTTTAGTAGTAGTCTCCTTTTTACTCCCTCCCTTCTTTTTCAAATGAGGGTGGTGGGCAAACATACATGTTTATTCCATCAAAATAAAAAAAAGTAACTGACAAGTAGAATGACTTCAGTTTATATTTAATGTATTTTCAGATGACACATGGCATTAAATAGGATGAAAATTGAATGATACAAAATAAAATTTAGTAGCCTACTGCATATTTTTAAACAAATCATGGCATTTTGGAGCATTCTCATTTATTTTTCAAAATTTTTTTGGTTTTGGCAGAGAGGAGCAATCATTTTCTTTAAAAGGATAAATTAGACTTTAGAGAGGGAAGAAGAGACATAGGCTAATTGTGAGTTTGGTACACTGAATACATGAATAAAGTTCCCTTTACTAATGTTTTAATTGTGCTCAGCACAGATTGCATGTAGCTCTGTTCACTTCCTTTAAGGGGCACTCAGCACCTGTGTTTGAATTATGGGCAAGTTTCTTACTTATTTGTGAAGAATTTTAATATTTCTCATAAATTCCATTTAGGCTATTGGGAATCTTGGTGGAAACACACAAGGTTTGTAATAGGAATTAGAATGATCATAATGGCTTTTAACAAAATCACATTCACAGCTAGTAAACTAAAGGCTTATTTCCAACTGGTATAAACAAAGTGTATATTCATTTAAAATGTATGAAGCTTTTCTTGGTCAAAACAATGGAAGTGATTTTGTAAATAGCCACAGCCTTAGCACACTAGCTATTGTAGACACAATACTGGGTTTAAAGCCTTCACATAAGAAATCTTTTCCGTAGCTCTAGTGAGTGTCTTCTGCCTGTCTAATGTCAGAACATAGTTCTGAAAGGGAATTAATAAGTTTATCTCAGTGTTATGTTTTAGGTTTGTACTAGCACATTTAGAAACTGTAATAATTCAGGCAGCTAAAATCAGTGGAGGCTTACTACTGCATTATCTTAGTGTCCATACTGTGAACCTGGTGGGTATTTTATAGGTGTATTTGAGATTAAGAAGAGATTAGTATTTCCTTGTAATTAAACAACCTCAGATGGGTATTGCACATTATCTTGCACCCCTTATAATTAACCCACCAGAGCAGCATTGGGTGACTTGATATGTTGCTCTGATATGATTCCCTTGCCACTATCTTAGTAAAATGTGCCCTATGGTTAATAATTTTAAATACTAATACTTTTAAAAATAATAAAATTAGGTCAAACATGGATTTATTTGTTAATTCTACTCCAATAAAATTGAGTATTTACAAAAACCTTTAGTGTAGTTCTTATTGCAATAAAAATCTAATGACTAGAAAGCCAGAAAGCACTATTTTCTAATCATGTAATGCTCCTTAAATTTCATTTACTAAAAAAGTTACGGAAGTATTTTTTAATGAGCATTGTTATAGTATGAATATTTATATAATTGTGGAGTAATTAGAGCAATTAATTTTAGTGGAAACACAAAGTTTGCAATAGAAGCTACAATTCAATAGGGTTTATTTCAGTGGGAACATAAAGTTTGTAATAGAAATTATAAAAATGATAGCAGATCTTCTAAAAATCACATTCACAACTAGCAAGTAGAAAGCTTATACATTTCATTTGGTGTAACAAAAATCAGTATATTCATAAATTGTAAAATACCTGAAGCTTTTGTTAGTAAACAAAAGCCTTTAAAAAGATGTTCCTCTAATTTTAGTAAAGAGATTTTGATATTTATAAATCGTGAAACATTACACAGGCAGATTTTGGAAGAGGTTGTAATTTTCTCTCTGGAACTTCATATTTATTTTGTTAGAAAAAATATAAATATGTGCTTGTCATTTGTTTTGGAAAAAAGAATTATAAGTATCCATCACAATATTGAGGTAATATTTTAAATTTGATTATTCTACCACTCACTCTCGTCATTTAAAAAATATTCTTTCTCAATCTTCTTTTGTTAAAGAAACAAATGCCAGGAGAGCTGTAGACAGAGGATATGTCCAAGTGCTTTTAACAATTTATGTAGATTGGCACCGCCATGATAACCGGCATAGAAACATGCTCATTCGGAAAGGAATTTTACAGAGTTTAAAAAGTGTTACAAACATCAAGTTGGGAAGAAAAGCATTTATTGATGCCAATGGGATGAAAATTCTGTATAATACTTCGCAAGTGAGTTATTTTCTTCTTATTATTGTGATTATGTACTAATAATATGATTTGGTTGTTAAGAAAACTGAATTAGTGTGCAAATACTCAGAAACGTATACACAGGATAAATGCATTTTTCGAAAATCTTAAAAGTAAAAGACACAATTATTTCTCACATGTGACCTCAGGCTGAGTTGGAGGAAATGGTCAGTGCACAGCTCTGCAATGTGAAATTTTCTTTCTTTTTTTTTTTTTGTATTATTTTTTTTTTATTATTATACTTTTAAGTTTTAGGGTACATGTGCACATTGTGCAGGTTAGTTACATATGTATACATGTGCCATGCTGGTGCACTGCACCCACTAACTCGTCATCTAGCATTAGGTATATCTCCCAATGCTATCCCTCCCCTCTCCCCCCACCCCACAACAGTCCCCAGAGTGTGATATTCCCCTTCCTGTGTCCATGTGATCTCATTAAGGCAAAAGGAAGAAGTAGAAATTCATCCACTTAGCAAGAGGGGATTCCGTAAAGCCATGTTTTCTAGGATGTGTAGTTGGCTGTACTCGGTGTTGTTTGCTCCTCTCATGAGGTATCTGTGGATCCTTTACAGCCTGTAGAGCAGCTCTGTTGTCTGTGAGTATTCTGCACGTTTTCCTGCTGGATAGAGGCTTTTTTGAATAGAGAAGGTACAAAAATGAAACCTGGAACTGGGAATGCTATATCTGCCAGCCATTTTAAGCATAAACATTTTTGACAGTGTATTTAGTGAGATCCTTTCTAGTTGCTGTGCTGACTGTCAGCCATGGGGAATGAGGATGTTGCAATGCAACCCCCTCTCTTTTTTTTTTAAGAAAGCTATAATTATTAGAAAGAAATCTGTCTTTTTGAAAATATCAGCCAGTTATCTTGATTGTGCCCTCCTGGTCTCACACATGACAAACACAGTCTATTTTTATATGACAAGAGTTGAGATATCTGAACACATATTTTATGTTTACCTTAGTTTTTTCTTTTCTAGATCAATCATATGTACTTGTTTTTACTATTCCTAGTATAGACATTGATGGATATTTTATATATGAGAAAGAGTTAGGTCACTTGGTTTATGCCACTTAACATTTCTGAGCCTTAATTTCTCATTTGTTTTGACAGGTCAGATGTGAAAATGTATATGGAAACTTTTACAGTGTATCATAGTACCATCTAAATGTCAAATGTCACTAATAATACTGTTGTTATATGACGGTTTCATATCCCATGTCCCTTAACCCTTCTCCAGATTAGATACCAGGACAGCAAGTCAGACTCTTAAAACTTTATATTGTGGGCCAGGCGCAGTGGCTCATGCCTGTAATCCCAGCACTTTGGGAGGCCAAGGCGGGCGGATCACGAGGTCAGAAGATCGAGACCATCCTGGCTAACATGGTGAAACCTCGTCTCTACTAAAAATACAAAAAATTAGCCGGGCGTGGTGTCGGGCACCTGTAGTCCCAGCTACTCGGGAGGCTGAGGCAGGAGAATGGTATGAACCCAGGAGGCGGAGCTTGCAGTGAGCCGAGATAGCTCTACTTCACTCCAGCCTGGGTGACAGAGCGAGATTCCATCTCAAAACCAAAAACAAAGAAACAAAAAAACCTTTATATTGTGATATTCAGGCTATCCTTTTATAAGGTGAATAGCCAACTTATGAGAGGTATTATTGCATGATAACTGATACAGTTCTGAGGAAGGTTTGGTCAAATGCGTGTTTTTTTTTTTGTTTTTTAATTTCTTACACCTTTTAAATTTTCTTGCTTAATCCTTTTCCCCCTTTTCCCTTAAATTATCTTTTTTATTTTATGCCCTAGGCTTGCCAAGTGTCCCCCCAAGTCACTCCAAAGATGGTACTGATTTCTGCTTAGTGAAAATATTTAAGGAAAAGTTCTTCTGAATTTGCCACATGGGGTTCTTACTTACAGATAGATAATTCTGAATAGTAAAGCTATTTTGTAATTATTCTGTGTTAAAATATTGGTTTTTGAGATATTTGTTTCTAGAAAATTATTAATGTATGACACTTTTTGAACTAAAGTAAAATTGGTTCAGTTATTCATCAAAAACATTCTTTTTCTTTTTCTTTTTTTAAAAAACAGGAATGTCTGGCAGTCAGGACTCTGGATCCTCTTGTCAATACCTCCAGTCTGATAATGAGGAAGTGTTTCCCAAAAAATCGACTGCCACTCCCAACAATTAAAAGTTCTTTTCATTTCCAGTTGCCTGTTATTCCTGTGACTGGTCCTGTGGCTCAGCTCTACAGCTTACCTCCTGAAGGTAGGATCACAGGGTCACTGCTGCTTTTTGTGGGTTCTTAGAATTATGTGACCCTGTGATTTTCTTTTTATTTATGTCTAACTCCTCAGCAAAGGAAGGCCTTACTTAACGTGATAAACATTCACATTTTATTTTAGTTAAGCATTTCTTTAAATGTAAGAAATTGGAGGCTAATAATTAAGTGAAATGGTGTGGGATGTGTTGTATATATGCAAATGTGAATTGTGAAATAATTAAGCTTCACATAGGAATATTATTTGATAGCTTATGTACTTTTTTTTTGTTTTAATTTTTTTTTTTGAGACAGAGTCTTGCTCTGTTGCCCAGGGTGGAGTGCAGTGGTGCAATCTCGGCTCACTGCAACCTCTGCCTCCCGTGTTCAAGCAATTCTCCTGCCTCAGCCTCCTGAGTAGCCAGGATCACAGGCCTGTGCCACCATTCCCGGGTAATTTTTGTATTTTTAGTAGAGATGGGTTTTCGCCATGTTGGCCAGTCTGTTCTCAAACTCCTGACCTCAAGTGATCTGCCTGCCTCGGCCTCCCAAAGTGCTGGGATTACAGGTGTGAGCCACCACACCCGGCCCAACTTATGTATGTTTTTAAAGTGTAAAAATATAAACATTAAATGTCTAGGTAAATTATGTTCGGGTTTACATTTGTAGCTTTTCAGTGATTTTTTTTCTTAAGTTAAAAAAAAACAACCTAATCACCAAAATTACTATGGTTTTATGCTTAACAAAAACTTTCACATGACTTACTTGGATGAAAATATGAAATTATCTGAGGTAGGCTGTTTGTCATTTTCCATATAATACTGTAGGTATACAGTAGAGGAAGTAAGAGTTTATTTATATGGGGAAGAAGAATTTCTTTGACAACATCTACCAAAGTGAAAAAGAGAAAGTAGTCCTGGCTTTTAATAGAATTTCTATAGTATTTTCTTATCAGTTTATTACTTTTTTGAGAAAAAAAACGAAGATTCTTTATTTATATGTAAAATTCTTATTTGAAACAAGTGTTTTAAGAGAATTTTCAAGGAATTATATTAGTTTCATTATCCTTGATATAAATTTATTAATGGTATATGTCATAGGGTACACTATTATGATTTTATTTTTAAAATATGTAGTTATTAAAACAAGTTGACACAACATATCAAAATGGATTATTTAGAAACCTCCTTTAAAATGTTGAAAAGTCTAAGACTAAGTCTAGGACTTATGAGTAAGAAAGCTAAGTAAAAGCAGTGGTCCAATACCCTTTTCCCATTCCATTTGAAATTACCGACAGACTTTTACAGGAGAAAATCTGTACCAAATCTGAAAACTGGGTAAGAGGGGCATGGAACAAATACAGAACATTCAAGAGATGTGGTGGAGCTGTGAGTAAATGCAGGAGCAGCATCAAGCCTCCACTCCCTCTTCTAGGAATGCATTATCTTCTGCTAAAGTTGAGGTGCCATTAGCACCAGTTTGGAGGGACAATCAGGAAGCAGTTGGAATCCCTTTCTTTCCTACATCAACATAGGATTATGGGGGTTAAATGGTGGTTCTCACTGGTGGAAAGCTGGTGAGTCTTCCCTGTGCTGCGGCCAGTAGTAACACCAGGAAGGAGGTGGGATAGGCCCCAGCAAGTTCTTTATTTAGTGTCTGGATTGACGGATAGAGAAAGCCGACCTCTAGTGCAGTAAATTCACCAAACACGGGAACAAACAAGAAATTATATTTTTCTTTTAGTTCCTTTGATGCCTGCTTCTCAGACCAATGAGTCACTGGACTAGAAATGCATATTTACATTGACTGACAAGCCTTCCTGATTCAGATGGGAGAGGAGGGTTCTAATAGCAAGTGTATAGATACTAGGAAAATACTCTCATTCTGTTTTCCATTATTCCTTCCTCCTCCTCCTCCTTCCTCCCCCCATGTTTCCCAGGCTGGTCTCGAACTCCTGAGTTCAAGAGATCCCCCCCACCTCAGCCTCCCAAGTAGCTGGGACTACATGCCCTTGCCTCTGCTTTGTTTTCCATTATTTTCTCACATGTCAGGCTTCATTATATGTTTCACAGTCTTTATTATTATTTACCTTCCTCAGCTAGAATGTGAGTCCACAAGGATAGGTCTGAACTCTTTTACTCACAGCATTTCTGACCCCCAAATATGTGTCTTTTGTCCTCATACCAACCAATTCTCCATATCTCCAGACACTAGCTGGGTGTTCTGCAATTCAGTTCAATTCTGACACTGAAGACCTGGAGTTAATACAGACCCCACAGGTTAAGGGTTTAGTCCCACAGGACTGCTACCACTTCAGATAACAATTACAAGTCTGGACTACCTGTATGTCTGACCTACTGGCAATAAAGTTGATGGGGGTGGGGGTTTCCACAACCTGTTCCTGAAGTTTGATAATTTGCTAGAATGGCTCACAGAACTCAGGAACACTCTACTTATGGTTATGGGTTTATTATAAAGGATACAATTTGAGAGCTGCTAAATGGAAGCGATGCATAGAGCCAGGTATAAGAGAAGGGGTGTGGGGCTTCCATGCCCTCTCTAGGTATGCCACCCTCCCAGCACCATGATGTGTTCACCAACTCAGAAACTCTGAGTGGTGTGTTGTTTTTTTCTTTTTTTGAGATGAAGTCTCACTCTGTCTTCAGGCTGGAGTGCAGTGGTGCGATCTCAGCTCACTGCAGCGTCCGCTTCCTGGGTTCAAGCAATTCTCCTGTCTCAGCCACCCAAGTAGCTGGGACTACAGGTGTGCACCACCACGCCCAGCTAATTTTTATGTATTTTTTAGTAGAGACGGGGTTTCACCATGTTGGCTAGGATGGTCTCGATCTCTTGACCTTGTGATCCGCCTGCCTCAGCCTCCCAAAGTGCTAGGATTACAGGCGTGAGCCACTGCACCCGGCCAAAACTCTGAGCTTTTATACCATTGTTTAGGGTTTTTATGGAGGTTCCATTATGTAGGTGTGATTGCTTAATTATAAGGCTATTTTTGATAAAATCAGTCCCCAGCTCCTCTCTCCCCAGAGGTTGAGGAGTGGGGCTGAAGTTCCAACTGTCTGATCATGCCTTGATCTTTCTAGTGACCAGCCTCTATCCTGAAGTTATCAAGGGGCCCACAAAGAGTCACATCATTAGAACAAAAGATGCTCCTCTACCTAGGAAATTCCAAGGGATTTAGCAGCTGTGTGCCAGGAACCTGGGACAAAGATCAAATATATATCACAATAGGACTGTTGTTGTTTTCATTTTGTCTTCAGCATCCATTAGATTGTGTGGGACATAATAAGTGCATTTAATGTTTGTTGAATAAATGAATCGAGCTGGCCTTGATACTTATTCTTCTGAATGTTAAATGCTGCATCTATGGAGATTTGAAGGAAAGGGTTCTGACTCAAGACTTCTGGACCTTTATTAGTTGTCACCATATGTGAAGGTGACATATTCTTAGGTATGTTTGGGTACAGAAGTATATTATCCAGGTATTCCCTTCCTGAAGTAATTATGTGAAATATTACTCCAGCCAGTCAGATGATGAATTAGAGATGTCAAGAATGTAGACGTTACCTAAGAGTATTTGTATTAAACATTATAATCTGTTAACTATATAATACTAAATAGTTGTTATAGTATTATTATGAAACATGTTAGCTAATTATTGGCAAAAGATACATAATACAGTTATTATAAAGTGGGTATTTACATAAATGAGCTAAAATTTATATTGATAGATTTCCTAATATTATACTGTTCTTGCATTTCTAAAATGAAAATTATACAAATAATCCAAATGTATATTCGCCAAATGTAAAGGTAACATCTGGAACAGAGATCCTTAAACAGGAGTCCATTGACCCATAGAAATACATGGGTGGCCTTTGGAGACTATGGACACTTTGAAAATTGATATAAAATTATAGGGGTCCATCATTGCTGTGTAAAAGCAAGGAAATTTCAAAGATGCACAATATCCTGAGAGCACTAAAGGCTAAGCAAGGACAAGCAGATCAGTTTCAGTAATAAGTCTAAATGGATGAAATACTCCTGTTGAAGGAAAGAGACTCCCAGATTGGGTTAAAAAACAAAATCCGACTAGCTGGTACATATGAAGTCTCTTAAGACAGCAGGATAGAAAGCTTGAAAGTAAACAGATTAGCAAATATGTATGTGTTATTCCTTAGCCCAGAAGAGGTGAGAAGGAAAGTATTATTGTTAAACAAAACACGAATACAGAATAAAAAATGATTAAAACAAGGCAGTGAAGATTATTTTATGCAAGCTAGATAACACATGTGCCAAATACTAAAAGTCGACAAAACTATAATCATTTGAATAACAGAAAGACATTGGTAGAAACAGTGTTGGTGGTTGATTTTAATATACCTCTACATTCTTGGCAAAGTAAATAGGGGTGGTTAAATCAGTCTAAGTAGATGTTAAAGGCAACTCCTGCGAATGCATTTGAATACAGACTTGACCCTAAAACAACTTGGGGATTAGCAGTATCGACTCTGTGCAGTTGAAAATCTGCATAGAACTTTTGACTCCTCCAAAACATAACTACTAGTAACCTGTTGACCAGAAACCTTACTGATAACATAAACAGTTAATACATATTTTTTATGTTACGTGTATTCTGTACAACAAAGTAAGCTAGACAAAAGAAAATGTTATTTGAAAAGTCATAAGGAAGAGAAAACATATTTACTGTTCATTAAGTGGAGGTGGTTTTCATAAAGGTTTACATCCTTGTTGTCTACACATTGAATAGACTGAGGAGGAGGAGGGGCAGGAGGGGTTTTGCTATCTGAGGAGTGACAGAGGCAGAAGAAAATCTGTGTATTAACGAACCTGCACAGTTCAAACTTACATTTTTCAAGGGTCACTGTGTGATTGGAATGGACAATATTTTAGGAAAATATGAATAACTAATATTGACTTAAATAGTAAAAAATTTGAAATTGAATATGCAATCAAGCTTCTTTAGTGAAGACACCAAATGGTGATGACTTCATAGATTAGTTCTCCCAAACTTTCAAGAAATTGTCCTACACTTTATTTTCCAGAGCAAGAAAAAAAAAAAAAAAAAAAAAGGAAAGTTTAGAAGCTAGCATGATGCTGAAAACACAATCTGGTAAGATTAATCTGAAACAACCTACAGATCACTGTCACTCATGAAAATAAATATAAAAATCCTAAAGTATTAGCAAATTTAGTTGAGCAGTATTGTTTACGTTTAGGACACCTTGACCAAGTAAAGATGATTTTTAAGAAAGTAAGTTTATTGTAATATTAAGACTTTAATTAGTAAAATATATTATCAGTAGATCAAAGGGACAAAACCAAATGATCATCTCAGTAAATGCCATGACAAGATTTCATAAAAATCATATCAGTGTAGAAAAATTTTTAAGGAACACAGGAATATTTCCTGAACAAGCTAAGTATTATCTAGCTCAAATCAATAGCCAACATCATAAATAGTAATGAAATGTTAGAGGATGCCTCTCTCAACCATTATTATTTACCGTAGTTTTGAAAACTCTAGCTAAATCAGTAAGATAGGGAAAAGAAAGGTCTTAACCGTTAAAAGAGTGAGATAAATTTATCAGTATCTGTGGAGGATATTACTGTCTATATAGAAAATCCAAGCAAATCAATTGTAAAAAAGTGGCTTACGCAAAGGAACAGTAAAGTACTATTTACAAGAAAAATGAATAAAATTAAATAGCCTTCCTCTACGTGTGTATATGTGTATCAACAAAAAACACATAGAAAACATAAAGGGAAAGTAGATCACATTTATAGGCACAATAGCAACAACAAAATAAACTTCCCGTGATGTACTTTCCCAGTCCTTATAGAATGTGCAGACTCTTTCCTTCTAATGACTACATCATACAGTTGTAGTATAATTTATCTAACTAGTGTCCTACTGATAGACATTTAAGTTGTTTCCTATATTTCTGTTTTTACTATAAGCCAAGGACATTTTGAAAATCAGTAAGAATTTTGGTTTATATTCCCTGGTTTTAATTTGATTGGCTATAATAATTAATATTGTTAATTATTGGTACTGGTATAATGAATGGATCTTTGAAATAGCAGAGAAGGTCTCAGACGCTCTTAAGCTACATGGCATTTCACATCTGGAGTATAAACCCTAAGGAAAACATCCTACAAAGGAAAATATTTGAAAGGTTTGACTAAAAATTGAAAACATATTTTCTCTCTGATGCTGAACTGCATTTTCTCCTCTCCCTTTCTTTCCAAGCAGTCATTTTTCCTACTTGCAATAGGATTTTCTTTCTTTCTCTTTTTTTTGAGACGGAGTCTCGCACTGTTGCCCAGGCTGGAGTGCAGTGGCGCGATCTCAGCTCACTGCAAGCTCCACCTCCCGGGTTCACGCCATTCTCCTGCCTCAGCCTCCCGAGTAGCTGGGACTACACGTGCCCGCCACCACGCCCAGCTAATTTTTTGTACTTTTAGTAGAGACGGGGTTTCACTGTGTTAGCCAGGATGGTCTCGATCTCCTGACCTCGTGATCCGCCCGTCTCGGCCTCCCAGAATGCTGGGATTACAGGTGTGAACCACCGCGCCTTAATTCAATCCCTTTCTTTTTTCCTAGGAGTTATTTTCTTCCTTCTCTTCTTCCAAATGTCAGTTCTTCCCTTGTTTATCCATGACCAACTGCCGTTAGGGCATAAGTATAAATCAACCCAGGTTACCATGTGAAATATGAATATTTATTTTTTGCTATCTAAGAATTTGAGGTGATTTGTTTTTATATTTGTACCTGTATTAGTTAGGGTCGACTAAACTGCTGTTACAAAGAGACCCAGTAGCACAGTCCCTCAAGCAACAGCAGTAATAAACATTTGTGTAACACATACTCTGCCTGGCACTTTACGTATATTAACTTCTCTAATGCCCACAGAAACACTATGAGTAGATATCTCCATTTTATAGACAAAGAAACGAAGACAAAGAATTGATGTAACTTGCTCAAGGTCAAATAGCTAGTAAGTTCGGGAGCTAGGATTTGAATTCAGGTATTCTGTTTCTAGAACCCCTGTGCTATCCTGCTACAACATGGAATTTTTTTCTTTTCCTGTTTGTTGGTCACCTTCCACCCGTATGCTGTCTCTCTCACCTCTTAAAATTGAATTAAGCCATTCTTGTCTTGAAAATTCTCAGTGCCTATCTTCTTTATATTAAAAGTCAGTACTACTTGGCCTACTATGTTACATCCTTCATTTTTTAATTCTTTATTTTCCTTTCAGTACTTTCATAAGCATACTCTTCATCCTAGTCATACCTTTTGTTATTTTCTAAAGATATCATTTCACTTCCTTATTTTAGTAGTATTATTTCCTCTTCTTAGAAGCCACACTCACCCACCATTACATTCACATAGAAATCTGTTATACTTTCTACAAGATACTGCTTAAATATCACCTATTCTGTGAAGTGGTCAGCATCAAGCCCCTTGTCTCCAAGCAGTTTACAATTAGTTGTTGCATTTCTCGTTTTCCCATAGCATTTTGGAGTTTATGGCTTCATTAGCATTTATCTTTGGTATTATAATTACGTGTTTACTCCTTTCTGCTCTTTGACCTCATGAGCCACCTCATTCCTCATTTTCCCATAGTATTTTGGAGTTTATGGCTTCATTAGTGTTTATCTTTGGTATTATAATTACATGTTTACTCCTTTCTGCTCTTTAACCTCATGAGCTACCTGAAGGAAGAGACTATATTTACACCAAGCATGTCCAATATGCTGCCCATGGGCCACATACAACCCAGATTGACTTTGAATGTGGCCCAACAGAGATTCATAAACTTTCTTTTTTTTTGAGACAGAATTTTGCTCTTGTTGCCCAGGCTGGAGTGCAATGGCGCGATCTTGGCTCACCGCAACCTCCGCCTCCCAGGTTCAAGCAATTCTTCTGCCTCAGCCTCCCGAGTAGCTGGGATTACAGGCATGCACCACCATGCCCAGCTAATTTTGTATTTTTAATAGAGACAGGGTTTCTCCATGTTGGTCAGGCCAGTCTCGAACTCCCAACCTCAGCTGATCTGCCTGCCTTGGCCTCCCAAAGTGCTGGGATTACAGGCGTGAGCCACTGCGCCTGACCTCATAAATTTTCTTAAAACAATATGAGATTTGTGTGTGTGTGTGTAATTTTTTTTTTTTAAGCACACCAGCTATCGTTGGTATTAGTGTATTTTATGTGTAGCCCAAGACAGTTCTTCCTCTTCCAGTGTGGCCCAGGGAAACAAAAAGATTAGACAACCCGATTTACACATCTTTTGAAAAAATTCCCAGCATATAGCACAGTATGTGGCACATGACTGTCATTGAAACAAATAGGGGGTCAATTATAAAGGGATGAAGTGAGTCATTGAAATTTATAATAAATAGAAAACAGGATGTTTCATTCAGGCTATCGCAACATAAGACATTATTTTTAAAAACTGAGAACATTAGTAAAATTCACCTTTACAGTGCTTTCCAAATTTTGAAGCACTTTCTTATATGGTCCCATGGGTTTGTCAACAGCTGGGACAGCCTTAGAGAGATGTTAAATAAGAAATCTCATTTACTTTTTCTCTGGTGATTGAAATACTTTATATAAGTCACATTCTACCATTGGCTATGCATATTGTAGAATGCTTACCTCTGACCTACTTATAGCACATTTTGTATCATAGTGGATGACGTAGTAGATGAAAGTGATGACAACGATGATATTGATGTAGAAGCTGAAAACGAAACTGAGAATGAAGATGACCTAGATCAAAATTTTAAGGTTAGTATAAATTTCTGTAATTAGTTAGCTTTATAAATGATATACTACAGTTGTAAAACAAAAATTGGGTAAATAAATATATATGTAATTTTAGGTTTTACTTTGTCCACATCTTTTTACCATGAATGACTATGCAATTAAAGGGGTAGATGATATTGGTTTAAATCCACTGGTCTGAAAAGGACCTTAAAGTAACTTATTTTCACTCTCTCTGACCAGAAAGATTTTATCTAACCTTTCTGCCTTAGATTTTGAAATCTACAAAATTGAAGGAAAGTGATCTGAAACTCTCTTGTGGCAACTTATTTCAAAATGCATTATTATCCTTTGTCAGCAGTCTTTTGGGGATACAAAAACAGTAGGAAAATATTCTATAATGGATTTGTTTTTGTGAGAATTAGTGTTTGCATAATGATTCTTAGGTTTCAGTTAATTGAACAAGGAAGTGAAAAAAGTATTATTGAGAAAATATAAAATTATTGTCATATTACATAAGATGTTAGGTAAAGGTGGCAAGTAAGTTTTCGGAGTTTCATTGTACCTCTGGAAGCCTAGAAAGTCTGTATTTTGCTTTATTTATAGAGAGAGGACTACTCTAGCATCTGTAGAAAAATGGTCTCTTTTTTTAGCTGTTTAGCCTATTGCTGGGTTTTTTTTATGGGGGAGGAGGGATTAATTTGACTCTTTCCTGTTTGGACCAATTTTTGTCTTGCAAAACTGTATCAAAATTGGGGTACACTGAGTATTCGATTCACTTTGGAGATAGAAGTTAAGATATTGGAAGATTTCTGTCTTAATAGATACAGAACCCATTTTATAACCAGCAAATGTGATCACCAAGGTAAGCTTTGGCGAAACTGTCAAGTTAGCCAATCTAAACTACATCTATGTCCTGGCATCAGGTATTGCCCTTAATTATCTTGTCTCTTTAGTCTCCTTTAATCTGGGACATTTCTACAGATTTCTTTGTCTTATAACATTGACATCTTTGGAAAATGTAGTTGTTAGCTTGCATTATTCACTATTCACTGGGGTATCAGTGATTGCTCACGTTTTCCCTACTTTATCTTAACAGAGCAGTTATAGCAATAAGAACAAAATACATTTTATTATTGAACACTTAACTGTGGTAGTCCAAACTCTTTACATATACATAGTAACCATTAGATCCTTATAGCAACCCTATGAGGTAAATACAGGTTGTATAAGTACATAGAAAACAGAGGAAGAGAGAGGTTCTCAGTCTAGTTTATAAGAGGTGGAGCCAGGATTCAGAAAGCAGTCTAGTGGAATGTCCACTCTCTTTATCACTATACTGTACTAAAATATAATTTTTCTTCAAGAACTATGGAATTGTTGGCTTTTTGAGACTGCTGAGCTTTATTATCTTCTTTTTCTTTCCTACTGCTGCCTGCCTCTTACTCTCATTGACTTTACATTTAGACGTTACTTAATTTTTCCTTTTTTTATCTGAATCCTATTCCTTCATCCTTCAGGTGAACTGCTACATCATAGTGGGGGTATTATTTATTTGTGTTCTCTTATGGTTATAACTTTTTTTCCTGTGATTCCATTTTCTTTGTCCCAGATTTTTCAGAGTTTGGAGCATTTATAGAAACTGGTAGCTTCTAGAAGATTCATCTCCAGCTAGCCACAACTTGACCGTATATAAGTTTCAGTGCATTCTTTGTTCCTTCCTTAACTAGCAGAACTTTTAAGGAGTGGTAGCAGGTTGTTTTGTTTTTTTCTAATGAGTCTGTAAGTAGTCCTTCACTACTGTTTCTTCTTAAACCAAACACAAAATTCCCTGCTGTTGAGCTTTCGGAGTGTTGTAGTTTTCTTTCCCCATTATACCTGTTTTACAGGTAAAGCCTTTTTTTTTTTTTTCCTCTCCAAATAGCCACTATGTAAGGCCATATTTTCACAAAATAGTGTCAAATATTGAACTAGTATGTTTAGAGAAAAGAATATCTTTGTAAATTATTTTTTATTTTAGAAACATTATGTATTCTATTAGATGTTAAGAAAATTATTACATTATTGGTTCCTAAATGTATAATTTAAAGAGATTAAATTACATATTAATGTAATAATAAGTATACAATAATGATACAGTGATTAATATGATAACATTTAAATAAAATCAATCTCTATTATGCATATCAATGAGGAAAATCTTTTTCATTGGCTATGTAAATAATAGCTAAATTCCTGAATATGAAATAATAAGAAATACATAATATGTTTTTTTCTTTTAAACTAGTAGTTAATATGTGTAAGTATGGTCAGATACATGTATATAAAGTTTTTTAAGGATTGAAGCATAGTAAAATATACTTGTAAATTAGGCTGAAAAATAAGTAGCTTACTCTGGTAGTAAGTAAATACAAAATTAAAAATAAGTACCAACTGAAAATTATTAAATGGTATTATTATCTCTCTTCAGCCATAACAAAGATAATAATTAGTTTGTGTGAGGCCAGAGTCATTGAGGATCCTAGAAAATAGCTTGGGTAGTAGATAATCTGACATTTGCCCTCTTATCATGGGATTCATTAGCTCTTCTCTGAAGAGCATTTAGAACACATTGATCCTGGATACATATCTTGTTTCTCTGAGGACATACTTTTCCTTTAAATCCACCTGCTTTTTTTCCTAGAGAGACATGGAAATCATTTCTGGCTCTTGTTCCACTCCTGACTTTTTTCCCCCACTGAAAACAGAGTGAATGGTGACACTGAGTTTTTCTAAAAGAACTTTATTTCCCATGCACTCTAAGATTGTGTGATCATCATTAATCTGTATTGGGGCAGTGTGTGATGCTGGCTGACAGTGTGGTGCTTCAGAATCACTCTAACTGGTTTTTATCCTGGCTCCTGTCTTTGCAAGATGTGTAATTTTCAGCAAATGGCTTAACTTCTCCGTACCTCATTTTCCTCTTCAGTTAAATGGGGGTAACTTCATAGTGTTCTTATGCAGAATAAATTAGATAATAGATGTAAAATGCTTAGCATAGTGTTTCATTTATTTTCAGTGCTTAATGTTAGCTGTTTTATTATCACCATCATCATATATATGTATGTTTTTCATAATGGAGTCTTGATCTTTACACAAGTTTTTCTGTTTTGAGTAGCCAGAATACTCTGTTATATTAGAGTAACCATGACAAAAACAAAACAAAACTACCCAACAATAACACAACAACCCCAAAACAATAAGCAAATTTGAATTTAAGATAAAATTAATGCAGTATTTATTCAGTAATTATTCTTTAATTACATGTAATTAATAACTTGGAACATTTTAAATCTAAAATGTTTTCTGTAATTTTTAAAAATTTTGTTTTACCTGATAACATACTCTTTTTATCATTTCAGAATGATGATATTGAAACAGATATTAACAAACTAAAACCCCAGCAAGAACCGGGACGAACAATAGAAGATCTAAAAATGTATGAACACCTTTTCCCTGAGCTTGTTGATGATTTTCAGGTATAAATATAGAAAATTCAGCATCTTAACTGATTTTAATAAAAAGTTATTTTTTTTCCCTTAGGTCGATAATCACTGTTTTTATTTTCTTTCCATTTCTAAAAAGTGAAACTAGCATTGCTTTTCTGAGTGGCATTGAATAATTATGTCAATATCCTGAGCTGCAGTTAAGCAATTGTAAAATGAGGGGAGATGGGCCGGGCGTGGTGGCTCACACCTGTAATCCCAGCACTTTGGGAGGCCGAGGTATGTGGATCACGAGGTCAGGAGATCAAGATCATCCTGGCCAACAGAGTGAAACCCCGTCACTACTAAAATATAAAAAAAAAAATTAGCTGGGTGTGGTGGCACGTTCCTGCAGTCCCAGTTACTTGGGAGGCTGAGGCAGGGGAATAGCTTGAACCTGGGAGGCGGAGGTTGCAGTGAGCCGAGATCTCGCCATTACACTCCAGCCTGGTGACAGAGCAAGACTCCGTCTCAAAAAAAAAAGAGGGGAGATGGACTATTACATTTTTTGTCACTTTAGTCTTTTTGCATCACTTTAATGGACACAGTTTTTTTATTCAGCCTGGATTACAGAGCAAGTCAAGTTGATTGAATTGTTGGCAATTAGCTGGCTTTTGTGATGGTTCCTTGGATAAGTCTATGAAATCGCCCAGGATCTTAAAGTGTCTAAGAGTTTGAATTAGATAATCTCTAAGATTTGTTTAGCCCTTCCTTTGTTCCCCAAATTTCATACACTTAATTTCTAGTTGCTTAAAGAAAAATACTTTGTTGTGAGGTTATAGTTGTGAGGTTATAGGTGAGAAATTAAAAAGAAATATTTGTTGCCGGGTGTGGTGGCTCATGCCTGTAAGCCCAGCACTTTGGGAGGCCGAGGTGGGCAGATAATTTGAGGTCAGGAGTTCGAGACCAGCCTGACCAATATGGCAAAACCCTGTTTCTTCTAAAAATAAGAAAATTAGCCGGGCGTGATGAGACACACCTGTAGTTGCAGCTACTCGGAGGCTGAGGCAGGAGAATCTCTTGACCTGGGAGATGGAGGTTGCAGTGAGTCAAGATCGCACCACTGCACTCCAGCAGCCTGGGCAACAGAATGAGACTTCGTCTAAAAAAAAAAAAGAAACATTTATCACCTAGAATTTACATTTCATAGTTCTAATCATTCAGGTTTCAGCTTGGGAACTTAGGAGCCTTAGATGCCATAAAAGATGCAACAACTGTCCACCTTCTGCAGCCTTCCCTGCCACCCCCTGCTCTGGTGTCTTGGTATTCCCCCTAGATTTGAGGTACATGAGAAGGTACTTTGAAATCGGGGTAATAGAAGGAAGGCAGGAATGAAAGAGAAGGTATTTGTCAAAAGAAAAAAAAAAGAAGACAGGAAGAGGCATTTGAGAAAGGGTATAGGTTGATTCTCTTTCATTCAACCTACAGCAGTTATCCGTGAGCTCTTTTAACACATTTGTGTCTAGTTAAGAACCACTTGAAAATATCAGTAATAACAAATACTGCTAAATCAAGGCAGAAGAATACTGTGGAAAAAGTTTGAGGAGGAAATCGATTATTGTGTGAAGAAGTCACCTGTTTCTTCTGTACCTTCTACTTTTTCTGTACATATGAGAAATATATACGGTAGGCCCCCCTTATCCGTGGGAGATAGGTTCCAAGACCCCCAGTGGATGCCTGAAACCAAACCCTTTATATACCATGTTTTTTTGATCTGGTAGCAGATGGCTACTGAGTGACTAACAGGTCAGTTGCATAGATACTGTGGATACGTTGGACAAAGGAAGAGTCATGTCCTGGGTGGGATGGACCATGGTGGTATGCTACTCAGAATGGAGCACTCTTTAAAACTTATAAATTGTTTATTTCTGTACTTTTCCATTTAATACTTCAGACTGTGATTAACCTCCAGTACTGAAACCATGGAAATCAAAACCTTAGTTAAGAGGGCACTACTCTCATGTGATTACAGATTGTAGTTTTGATTTGGGAATAGAAAAAAGTAACCTGATTATAGGTATTAAGTCCAGGACTTTGATTCTTATCCTTTCACAAATGAGTTTTCTTTCTTTTAGATTGTGATGAGTTGTCTTGCATTCTATGTTTAGATTCCCTGTTTTCTAATTATAGTTTGTCACCCAGAATAGGCTAACCTTGATGATTTCCTACATGGCACTTTATGAACAGCTGGCCAACTTGTCCATTAGTTTGGCTGCTCCTAGAGCAGTTTCCTGCTTTGGGTCTGAATAGGTGTGGCCAGGGTCAGATTGTAAAGACAGATCTGAGTGAAAGAGCTTCTCACTAAGTTACTCCTTTTTATTTTCTTTAAGCGAAAGATGCTGCTTCAGATATTTCAAGTAGTACACATTTATTAATGCATTGTCTATTCTGCTGTAAAGTTTTATATAGAGTAGCTCTATTTCTGTAGCGTATGTAATAGGAAATAGCATATCGTCTTTTATTTACATAATCAGAAAATTATTTCTAAGGTAATTGTGTTGCCACTTGATTATCTTTGTCATTTTTAAGTTTCAAAGGAATGCATTATTTGATACTTTAGGCTCTGTTTTTTGAAGTGTGTATTTGAATTTTAGGCAGCAATATGTAAGTGACATGCTTTCAAGGATTAAAAAGATTGGTTGGTTCCAGATAGGATGTGTTTGAAAGAATTTTCTTCAGCTATCTTTGTATCAATTTTTTGTAGATCATGAGATAATAAACATAAATGAAGTTAGTTTCAATTATGACTTTTTCCACTTTCATTTGTATATTATTTTCAGCATCAACCATTAATGCTTAAGATTACTTTATGTGTTTGTTTCAATCTTGAACACCGCCTGCTTTGTTTCCAGCTGTGTTAAGGCCATTATTCAGTGGCCAGATGGAAGGAAAATGAATGCTGTTCGAAGGCAACGTATGGTATTATTAAAGTAATTATCAACATCCTTTGTGAAGTGACCTCACCATGCTTTTAAAGCTATGTTTATTTATTCATAGTGACAATTACAGTTTTATTTTCTCTTGTTTCTTGATGGCAGAATAATGAAAGTATCAAAATTCTGCATTTTCACAGTTCTTTTATTCATATGTCTGTGGTAGCATGATGGCATTTACTATGGACTTTTGTTATATTTTGTTTTTCTTTCTTGTTTTCCTTTTGTTAAATTTGGTTTTAAATTTTTGTCAAAGTTATTCATGGAGAAAGTTTAAAGTGTCAAATAGTTTTATATAGGTAGTCCTTTCCCACATGCTAAATCCTGAAATTACTTTTTGTATGTTTTTGAAGTTGATCCTCATATCTCTAAATAATGTTTAAAGTGCTGTGTCTTGACTTTTGCTGCTTTCATTCTTTTTTATTTTCTTTTTTTGCGTTGTCATCTAAGGGAGATGTCCAGTAATTTTCAGCCTTATTCTTTTCATATGTGTGTGTGTGTGTGTGTGTGTGTGTGTGTGCGCGTGCGCGCGCATGGGTGTGTGTATGTATGCATGCATAGATAGGCTATAAATTTTCCTCCTATAATTACTGTTTTTGCTGCATCGTATAAGCAGTAATTTTGATGTTTAGTGTTTTTATTATCTTTACTCTGAAACTTATTTTTTTTGATTCATTGGTTTTTTAAAAAAGATAATTTTTAAAATTGGCTTTCTAAAAAAGATAAAAAATTTTAAATCTTTTAAATTTATTTCTAGCATATAGTTGTAGAATAAGAAGACACAGTCTTTGTAATCATAACCTTTTAAAAATTTTGAGACTCGTTTTATGGCCTTGGATATGATCAACTTTTGTTACTCTTTCTTATGTGTTTGAAAAGAATTCTATATTCGTTAGTCACAGTTGTCTATTTGCCTATTAGGACAAGATTGTTAATTGTGTTGAGAAGTTAAGTTCTCTTTTATCCTTATGGATTTTTATTCTTATTCTATTAATCACTGTGAAAAGTATTTTAAAAATTTCTCACAATGAAAAAATTTCTCACTTGTGATTATGATTATGAGTGTGTTTCTATTTGCAGGTCTGTTAGTTTTTTGTTATATATTTTTTGAGGGTTATTATTTATTGTATATACATGTAGATTGAGTTTTCTTCCTTTTTGAGTTGGACTTTTTATCATTATGAAGTTACTATCTTTACCTCTAAGATTCTAAGACAAAAAGTACTTTAAAAAATATTAATATACTTATATTAACTTTTAACTTTTCAGTATCCTTCGATGTGTATTTTTTAAACAGCGTATAGTTGGATTTTAAAAATACCAAATCTGAGTTTTGTCATTTAACTGGAGCATTTAGATCATTTACATATAATTACTTCTATATTTGGATTTATATTTATGAAATCTTATTTTAATAGTTTTATCTCTTTATGTTTATCTCTTTTTCTTGCCTTCATTTGGATTATCTTTCTCTTACTCCACCTTTTCCCTATTACTAGTTTGAAAACTGTATATACAGTCTTTTTTTTATTTTAATCAACTTTTTTGAGGTATAGTTTACATAAACTGTATCCATTTAAAGTATTAGTTTGATTATTGACAAATACGCAAAAATTCTAGTTACTCTAGATTTTCCAACATATTTATCAAAGTCTAAAGTAAATCAGGACCTTTCTTTCCTCTTTCCCTCAGCCATAAATGGAAACTTCGAGTATTCTAACTACCATGACTTCCCAAATCAACATATATATATACACACTTTTTTTTTACTAAACATAAAAAGCAAAGCAGTAACGTCAAGTGGGTTTTCTAAAAACTAGAGTTAAGATATATAAAAAACCTATTTGACATTACTGCTTTGCTTTTTTATGTTTAGTGTAGACTTACCCACATTTTTACCACTTTAAAATTTTTCATTACCTTTTGTGTCTCAGACCTTCTGTTGGGATCACGTCGTTTAGTGGCGTGTACTTGCATGTGCACTTGTGCACATGCTGTCTTGCTCTCCCTCCCCGAAAGTGTCTTTATTTTGTAAACATTCTTAAAATTAGTCTCTTTCTCTGGTTACTTTTAAAAAATCAACTTTATTGAGTTAAAATTTGCATACAGTAAGTTTCACTTAAGTTCAGTGAGTTTTGACACATTTATACACCTATGTGACTACCACCCATTGAGACAGAAATATTTCTTGTCATTCCAGAAAGTCTCCTTGGGCCCCTTGTAGTCTCTTCATCTCCTGCGCAGATGACTGCTGATCTGCTCTCTGTCACTGTGACTAGTCTTGACTGTTTTAGAACTTCTTATAAATTGAATCATACAGCATTTACTTTTTAGGGTCAGGCTTTTGCTGAGCATATGTTTTTGAGGTTTACCCATGTTGCTGCATATAACAGTGGTTCTTTCCTTATTGCTTGATAGTATTTTATTTTGTAAATACACCACAATTTCTTTGTGGATGCGTGTTGGAATGTCTGAAGTTTTAGACTTCATTGGACTTTAATATGAGTAAAGTTGATAACATTTTGTGCACAAAATTTTTTGGGGTGGCCAGGCATGGTGGCTCATGCCTGTAATCCCAGCACTTTCAGAGGCTGAAGCGGGTGGATCACCTGAGGTCAGGAGTTCAAGACCAGTCAGGCCAACATGGTGAAACCCCTTTTCTACTAAAAATACAAAAAATTAGCTGGGCATGGTGATGGGCACCTGTAATCCCAGCTGTTTGGGAGGCTGAGGCAGGAGAATCGCTTAATCCCGGGAGCTGGAGGTTGCAGTGAGCTGAGATCATGCCATTGCACTCCAGCCTGGGCAACAAGAGCGAAACTCTGTCTAAAAAAAAAAAAAAAAAAACTTTTTGGGGAGATATGCTTTCATTTCTCTTGGGTAAATACCTATCAGTGAACTTGCTGGGTGGTATGTATGGTAAGTGTATGTTTTTATTTTATAAGAGACTATTTTTGGTGGCTTTTAACATATACTTTTTTTGCTTTAATGCTACAGTTCCTAGTAATGTTGACTAAGTGTGGATTTTCTTTTTTAAAATCCTGTTTGGGATTTATTGTATTTGGATTCTGTGAGTTGTTTTCTCATAAGATTTGGAAAAACTCTGCGTTCTCTTCTTCAGTTACTGCGTTTTGTTTTTGCCCTCCCTCTTTTGCAATTCTAATTGAACGTAGACCTTTTTACTCCCTTTCATGTCTTTTAACCTCTTTTTTCTGTTTTCCTTTTCTTTGCCTCTCTGTGCTGCCTTCAGATTATTTCATTAGAACTATCTGTCAGTTTCCTAATTCTCTTTTTGGCTTTGTCTCATCTGTCATTAGAAATATCTACTAGGGGCCAGGTGCGGTGGCTCAAGCCTGTAATCCCAGCACTTTGGGAGGCCAAGAGGGGGGATCACAAAGTCAGGAGATCGAGACCATGGCCAATATGATGAAACCCCGTCTCTACTAAAAATACAAAAAGTAGCTGGGTGTGGTGGTGCGTGCCTGTAATCCTAGCTACTCGGGAAGCTAAGGCAGAGAGAATTGCTTGAACCAGGGAGTTGGAGCTTGCAGTGAGCTGAGATTGCGCCACTGCACTCCAGCCTGGAGACAGAGCGAGACTCCCTCTCAAAAAAAAAAAAAAAAAAAAAGAAACCTTACAAAATGCATTTAATCAGTCTTTCTTGTTTTCTATATTTTATTTCTTTGAACATATTAAATATGGTCATTTCTTAGTCTGAGATTCTGGTAGGTCTTTTTCAATATCTAATGTTTCTTTTGGTTCTTTTTCCTTCTACCTTGTTGAATTGTATGTTTAGGTTTCTTTTCTTCTTTATAAGTTTGTATGTGGAAATTATGTGGAAACTCCAGGAGCTGTTGCTTTTGAGAGTCACCATTATAGATTGAATCCTCAAGGGCTTTTGGACCACCAAAATGACATGAATTCAGGCTGCGAATCCATGTGATTTGATGGCCGGTTTTTAATACCAGTTTGTGAGTGGTGCTACTTTTCACCATCTTAGAGCTAAGGTTTAAAATTTAAGACAGTTGGCTTTTCTTTTTACGTGTTTTTTTTTTTTCTTTTGTGGTGGGAGTGTTTCTAGGACCTATATACTGAAGATGTAGTACTGGAGTTTCATCTTTTTGAGAGGGAAATCACCTTAATGCCAGTTCAAGGTTTTTCTCCTGTCCTTCATCGCCTTTGAGATGGGAAAATCTGTACCCAAGGTCACCTGGTTTAGCAAATGTTTTCAAAGTGAAAGGTAGCTTCAGTCTTTAGCTTATCACATAGGGATCCCTTCTTCATTTGATACTTTGCCTTTATCCTTGCTTTCTTATCCACTTAATGACAAACTTAAAATATTTTAATATATGTAACAATTGTAAATATTTAATATATGTAAAAGTTGTAAATAGTTCTGTGGGGTGGATACTTAGCCTACCATGTTTCCTACAAAATGTGTTTTTTAATGCAAACTTACTACCCCTTTAACCCTTTTAAGGTAGATCTACCTATTTCCTCCTTATTGCTTCCACTGTCTTCTTGGCTTAGCTGTAGTACAGGGGATCCTGTGAATCATCTTTGAATCCTTGCTTTGTATACAGTGGACATTCAAGGAATAAATCACAATGGAAGATTCTTAATTTGGACTCCATAATGTATATAAGGAAATTAACCCAGATTAAAAGATCAATTGCAAATCCAGAAAAATATTTTCAAAAAATGGGTTAACTGGTGGATTCATGTATGTATGTGTATACAAATTTTTTAACATGAAAATTTATACCGTAAAAAAAGAAAACCCTGTATCCAGGAACAAAAAAGTTACCTATGAAGAATTGCGACTGATTAACAGATGTATAGAAAAGTGTTTGCTTCCCAGTAGTCAGAGAAATGCAAATTAAAATAGCAGTAAGATAATATTTCTTATCTACCACATTAGAAATTTTTTTTTAAAAAACCATAGTATCGAATGTTGGCAAAGAAGAGAGCAGTTGAAATAGATACTCTTATGTATAGTTACTGGGAATATACATTAATACAAGTGTTTTTGGAGAGTTTGGTGTTCTGGCCAGTTTGCATTATTAAAATTGATTATAATATCTGATTCTGCAGTTCCATTTCAGTGCTTAGGAAATCATTATAAACAAAGCAAAAACTCTTTGCAAAAAGATTTTTATTGCAGTTTTGTATAATAGCAAAATTTTGGAAATGACTTCAATATACACCTTATTTATCTGTTTAAATCATCCAAAAAAGAATGATCTGGCCCAAAATGTTTGCCACTGTCATTCAGAAACCCTGCACTAGGATCTGATCTTTCAAAAATAACTCGTGTCATGGCATCCCTCCCTGTCATGGCTTCCAATCTCATTCAGAGTAAAAACCCAAATTCTTATAGTGTGCAAGGCTCTCCAGTGCTTGGCATTCATCGTGGCATTCATCTTGTCCATTCTTTCCCAGCTATCCCATCCTTGCTGTTCTTTGAACACCTCAGGTGTTCTTCCACTCTGGGAGCTATGTGCTCTAGTCCTCTCTGCCTAGAATGCACCCCTTGTGTGGTGCCCTCACCGTCTTTGCTTCTATTTCATCTGCTCATGAGGCTCCTTAACAAATGGCATTTAGAGTTGCCACCTACCTCTGCTCTCTTGGTACTCCCAATCCACATTACATCCTGCCTGTCCTGTCCTCCTTTTTTTTTTTTTTTTTTTTTTTGAGAGAGAGTCTCACTTTGTCACTCAGGCTGGAGTGCAGTGGCATGATCTCGGTTCACTGCAACCTCCACCTCCTGGGTTCAAGTGATTCTCATGCCTCAGCCTCCTGAGTAGCTGGGATTACGGTGTCCACCACCACCATGCCCAGCTAATTTTTGTAGTTTTAGTAGAGACAGGGTTTCACCATGTTGGCCAGGCTGGTCTTGAACTCCTGACCTCAGGTCATCTCCCTGCCTCAGCCTCCCAAAGTGCTGGGATTACAGGTGTGAGCCACTGTGCCCGGCCTTGCCCTCCTTTTTTTTTTTTTCTGTAGAGCTTTACCCTTCTAATGTTCTATATATGAAATATATATCGTATTTATTACTTGTTGTATTGACAGTCCTCTTTTCTACCCCTATACAAATGTCAGCTACAAAAGGGAAGAGTTGTTTTTTTAAGTGTCTTAAGTGCTTGAGACAAAGCTTGGCACAAAATAGACACTTCATAAATATTGCACAAAACAGACACTGTAATGTTATTGAATGAATGAATAACAATTTAGTTGTTGTCCCTAATAGGATTTTGGAGTCTTTATGTTTTTCTGTTTAGAATTCTAAGATTTCCCACATTTCTGTGACATGTAGGCAAAGTAAAGTAGTTGTTATGAATTTTGTTGTGGTTAAAAATTTTGTCTTTTTAGTGAAATGAAAACATATCCGGTTTTATCCATCTTTAAAATTTCCAAAAATTTCTGAAGCAATATATAACATGAATGTATTAGTTTTGTTAATATGTTTTAATATTTACAGTTAAAAGATTAAACATGTTTTTATTTTCAAAGGACTATGATTTAATCTCCAAAGAACCAAAGCCTTTTGTATTTGAGGGAAAAGTACGTGGTCCTATTGTTGTTCCTACGGCAGGCGAGGAAACATCTGGGAATTCTGGCAATTTAAGAAAAGTTGTAATGAAGGAGAACATATCTTCTAAAGGAGATGAAGGTGAAAAGAAGTCTACCTTTATGGATCTAGCAAAAGAAGATATTAAAGATAATGATAGAACATTACAACAGCAGCCAGGTGATCAAAATAGAACTATTTCATCAGTCCATGGTTTAAACAATGATATTGTAAAGGCCTTGGACCGAATTACATTGCAGAATATTCCTTCTCAAACAGCCCCAGGTTTTACTGCAGAAATGAAGAAGGACTGCAGTCTTCCTCTTACTGTCCTTACCTGTGCTAAAGCATGTCCACACATGGCTACTTGTGGAAATGTTCTGTTTGAGGGAAGAACAGTTCAGCTAGGGAAGCTTTGCTGCACTGGAGTTGAAACTGAAGATGATGAAGATACTGAGTCAAATTCATCGGTAGAACAAGCATCGGTTGAAGTACCTGATGGACCAACACTCCATGACCCAGACCTCTATATTGAGATTGTGAAAAATACGAAGTCTGTCCCAGAATATTCAGAGGTGGCTTATCCCGATTATTTTGGTCACATTCCGCCTCCATTCAAAGAGCCTATTTTAGAAAGGCCTTATGGTGTACAAAGGTGAGTTGCATATTTCTTCCCTCTTCTAAATAAGGCTATTGTCAAGATATGAGGCAGTCTTAAAAAAATTACTTTGGGCATTTAGGAAGATAATTACTGTGAGTTATAAGTTACTGTATTTTTAAATTCTGCTTTGGAAATTTTGCCTTGTTTTGAAATTGTCCTTGTTGGTTTACTTTATTTCTTGAGCTTATTCCTTATTCAGATGAAGCCAGAATGATAAACCTGACCATTGGATAGTTTAGAAATTTTCTATTAATACTGAATCTCAAAATACAAAAACAGATTATTTAATAATCTTTGAATAAATATTCTTAGCAATATTTGTTAACTTAGTAATTTGTCATTTGAACTTGAGTTAAGTATAGGATTTAAAAATAGGCTATAAATCACAACAGGGCAACTACAATCAACAGTGATTTATTTTGCATTTAAAAAGTAAAAGTATAATTGGAAGAAAGGATAAATGCTTGAAGTGAGGGATACCCCTTTTACCCTGAAGTGATTATTACGCATTGTATGTCTGTATCAAAATATCTCATTTACCCCATAAATATATATATATATACCTACTATGTACTAAAAAAAAGTAAAAATTGAAAAAATAAAAATAGACTATAAATGAAACAATATAGACAGTATTATTTTGCAAAGTTTGCAATTTTAATTGGAAAACATTTTAATTGGAAATAGATAAAAGTACAGGATTCATAACATCAATAAGATTATTAAATATTGCCAAGTAAGATTAGATATTGCAAATGATATTAAATATTGCCAATGAGTGAATATTTGTCATATAAAAATACCTTTTTTGGTGCATTTGGACTGGTTTTGGTGATTATGGAGAAGGTTTTATGATAATGGCTTGTATCAGTATCTGAAAAAAATTGTATACCCTTGTTACAAGTATAGTGTGTAATAAACAAGGAAGAACTTGCTGTATTTGATTCTCTTTAGACTATAAGTTCCTTTGAGAAAATAACTGCATCTTATTTTTTTTTACCTATAGCATCTTATATAATTCATTATTTTTACTTGGCAACTTAGTGTATGTTTAGTGCCACTGGTTGGCCCCTTGATCCACAGACGTGTCATCCCGTACATCATAGCATCAGAATGGGGGACTTACCTCCCTGGGAAAGATGTGTGGGAGTGGGTCTGTGCCAGGGCATCTACCATGTTACAGATGGCACCATCCAGAGGCAGCTGGCCTCGTGGAGTGCTACAGTGGCCTTCAAAAGGCCCATGTAAAGCTCTAACTCAGGGAATGGTTGGGTTGCCATCTTGCAGCATGCAGTGCATACAGTAAATTAGAAATGTTTCCATAATTCTGTAGAAAGAATACACAAGCCTGGGAACCAGGAGGTGGGAACAGAAGTGGCCCTATTTAGTGTAGCATCCAGTATCCACCCAGGGACTTTCTGTTTTCTGTCCCTCCACCTCTGGGCTCTCCAGGGTTAGAAGTCCTCATTCCCAAAGTGGGTGCAGTCTTACCACAGGGTACAATGTAACAACAAGATGTGGTTGCCAGTGGGGTACTCTGGACTCCTTGTGTCTAAGACCAGCAGGTGAGGGGAAAAGCATACCATTTTGACAACAAGTGATTGACCCAGATCAGCTAATAGAGGTAGGGTTGTTTTTACACAGTGGCAATGGGTTGACTATGTGTGGAACATAGGCAATCCAGTGATTAGCCTGTTGCCTACTCCCTTCCTCAATTTTAACTGTGAATGGACATGTTACAGCCGGCCTGGAATGAGAATGATTACCAGGGGCTCACACTGCTCAGGAATGAGAGTTTGGATTGCTTAATCAGATAAGCTATCAAGACCTGCAGAGGTGATAGCTGAGGGTGAGAGGGATTTAAATAGATCCTGGGGCCTGGGTGCAGTAGCTCACCCCTCTAATCCCAGCACTTTGTCAGGCCAAGGTGGATGGATCATTTGAGGTCAGGAGTTTGAGACCAGTCTGGCCAGTATAGTGAAACCCCATCTCTACTAAAAACACAAAAATTAGCCAGGTGTGATGGCACACACCTGTAGTCCAAACTATTCAGGAGGCTGAGGGAGGAGCATCGCTTGAACCCAGGAGGCAGAGGCTGCAGTGAGCCGTGATCGTGCCACTGCACTCCAGCCTGGGTGACAGAGCAAGACTCTGTCTCAATCAATCAATCAATCAATCAATCAATCAATCAATCGTGCCACTGCACTCCAGCCTGGGTGACAGAGCAAGACTCTGTCTCAATAAATAAATAACTAAATAAATAAGTAAGTAAGTAAGTAAGTCAATCCTGTAAGTAAGTAAATTGATCCTGGGGGATAGAGGTGAGGGCTTGCAACCCTGAGAACAGTTGCAGTGATTGAGGATGAACTCTGTCCCACTGTTTTTCTTCCAAGTTTCCCCTTAGGAGAGGCCCACAGGAGCATATCTCATTGTGCCTTGGCATCTGCTTTTTGAAGAATCTGAACGACCCACCTGGAGTGAGTCAGAGTCAGGCAGCAACTTGATATTTCTTCTTTTCAGCATCATCTCTTAGGCTCTTTACCTCTCCAAAGTCAAAGATGTCATCTTGACTACAGAAGGCACTTCCTGAATTTTAAGTGCTCTTTAAGCCCTGAAAGCAAGTTTTGTTATTAAATTGCCTCAAACTGAAAGTATTTTCTCTTACTAGCCTGTAATATTTGAGGTAAGGTTAGAAGGAAGAAGGATTGTAGAAAAGAGGCATAATTTTATATAAGCCTCTGATTCTCAGCCTTAATTTTAACTACAAAGGAACCCTCTTATTTCCTCTCATGGACTTTATATTATGAAAGCTTTCATCGGTCAAGACACTTATTTAGATATTTTACCTGTTTATGTTAGTAAGGGACATACATCCCTCCCAAGCAGTGCTTCTGAGCAGCATTTGATAACCATTGCTAAACTCCGTTTACTTGATTGTATATATCAATATGTAAAGAAACTTAATGTTTTAATTAAGCGTAGATGTATTATAGTTAAATGCATGATGACTTTGACTAGCTGTCATATCTCTGTGAATGTCTGTATGCAGATTGAGGACTACCACCCTTAGCTCTGGTGACCTCTGTCCTCTTTGAGCAGCTATTTCTGATACTGGGTTTTGTCCTTGCCTGGCTTGCTTGACCTTTCAGGTAATATTGTTCTATCCATGGTTCCAAGCTTCACTCCCTCTCTCTCCCTGACTGAGCCTATCCTGATGATGGAGGAATTTATACATACTGGGAGTTACTGTGACTCTTCTCCAACCTTCTCTGTCTTAATATTTGTGATTAGTTTTCTCACCTTGTTTCTGAAACATGGACCTCAGAATTGTCCTGTAAATGTAATCTACAGATTAGAGTCCAGCTTCTTCCATATATTAGGGCATCTGTAGGACTTTTTCCTGAAGTAATTGACATTCTTACTGCCTGTGTACAGTCTAATATACCACTGAGTTCAAAACAAAGCTTTAAGATACATTTTTAATAGTGTGAGGTAAGTAGCATGATAAGAAATCAAAAGGTGGATGAGAGTTGGTACAGGTGTTTTAAACATAGATATGTTGGTATGCAAGTTAAAGTGCAAAGGAGATGCAGCTGAAGGAAACAAACACAAAAAACCTGGAAATTCAAAACTCTGTTGTTGGCTGGGCGTGGTGGCTCATGCCTGTAATCCCAGGACTTTGGGAGGCCGAGGTGGGTGGATCACGAGGTCAGGAGATTGAGACCATCCTGGCCAACACAGTAAAACCCTGT
The DNA here is from genome assembly GCF_000001405.40 of Homo sapiens. Taxonomy (NCBI): domain Eukaryota; kingdom Metazoa; phylum Chordata; class Mammalia; order Primates; family Hominidae; genus Homo; species Homo sapiens. The sequence goes on along the minus strand of NC_000009.12, from coordinate 85,628,903 downwards.
CTCTACTAAAAATACAAAAAATTAGCTGGGTGTGGTGGCACATGCCTGTAGTCCCAGTTACTCGGGCACCTATAGTCCCAGCTACTCACTTGAACCCAGGAGGCAGAGGTTGCGGTGAGCTGAGATCGTGCCACCGCACTCCAGCTTGGGCAACAGAGTGAGACTCCATCTCAAAAACAAAGAAACAAACAAAAAAACAAAAACAACCAACTCTGTTGTTACCTGTATTTGCTCCTAGAAAATTTGCGATGAGAAAAACAGGACTGGCTCCAAAATGCATTTGAGAATCGAGTGATCCACGTCTCTCCAGAAGTTTCAAAGATTTCTTTCCCTATAGAGATGTTTTCTCTTTGATTTTCACGACCTTGATGGAGATGTGTTCTGATTTGTTGCTGCAGAAATAAGTCATAAATTCTGAAGCAATCTAAAACCTTTGCTAGTCTCTCATCATCATATAATTGTATGATGGTGACTCTTACCAAGTTTGACTGATTTGTATACCCTGTGTTTTAAAGAACACTTTTCATCATATTTGTCGCTCCATTTTCCTGCCATATTTGCCAACATTTCTGTGGGTATTAGATAGTTGACATGCAGCAGGAGAGTATAACCATATTTCACTATGGAGTTGTAGCCCTGAGAACGATTGCATTGTTGAGGATGAAGGTTTCATATTTCAACAAAACAATATGATTCTATTCATATTACTTAGATGTATAGGACTTCCCCAATAATGTTAATCACCTTAGCCATGACTACTACAAAAAATAAAGTATTTTTATTTAAAAATGTTTACAGATTGTGTAATAGACAACAGTACTTTGGTATTTGAAAGTTATTGCCTTTCCCCTCCTAATTTTATATACTCTTTGCAAATATAGTTAACCCTTGAACAATGCAGAGGTTGGGGCACCAGCCCCTGTGTGGTCAAAAATTCAAGTATAACTTTTAATTCCCTCAAAACTTAACTACTAATAGCTTACTGTTGGCCGGAAGCCTTACCAGTAATGTAAACAGTTCACACTTATTTTGTACATTATTTGTATTATATACTGTATTCTTGCAATAAAGGTAAGTTAGAGAAAAGAAAATGTTATTAAGAAAATCATAAGGAACAGAAAATATGTTTACTAATCATTAAGTGGAGGTAGATCACCATAGAGGTCTTCATTCTTGTCAACTGGCTGAAGAGCAGGAAGAAGAAGGATAGGTTGGTCTTCCTGCCTGTCTCAGCAGGGGCAAAGGGGAAGGAAAATCCACAAATAAGTGGACCTGTGCAGTTGAAACCTGTGTTGTTCAGGGGTCAACTGAGTTTTTCAAGTGTTTACATGGGAGTTATGGTGAGCAGTGCAGTGTGGATCTTCACAGGTGCATACTCCAAAGCCTCCACTCTCCCTTTTCACCTTTTTACCCATTATTTTTGAATAATGGGTAGGAAACTCTTCAAAATTATTTGTTCCTCCAAGTAACACTAATGTGAGACTGGAAGAACATATGTGTATGGCAGAAATGCTTGGATAATTGGGTTAGACTTGATGAGAGGGGTGAGACCATATATGTGGTGAGACATCTTGTCAGGGCAGGGCAGGATGCTCTCTGAAAAGCAAGTTTTAGACTTAACTCTCCCACTCTGTGTGTGTGTGTGCGCGCACATAAATAACTTTATTTCTCTGGATAACAATTTTCTCAACTTTTTAAAAGCAAAGATTAGACCAGTGTTTATCAAATTTGGGTTGATACTCATTAGTAACCAATATTAAAATAACAGTGTGTCACATGTAGTACAGCTAAGTATTGTTTCATAATTCTTTTGATTCACCTCTCTGTTTCTCTTTTGTAGGCTTGTGATCTTTAAAATGTGTTTCTTGTTGGTCATATTAAAAAAGTTTGGTAGTCATTCACCTAGGTTAGGGTTGGCATACTGCGGTCTGTGTGCCAAATCCATCCCAAATCTGCCAAATCTGCCTGGTTATGTTCAGCCCATGAGCTAAAAATGGTTTTCACATGTTTAAGTGGTTAAAACAATTGAGAGGAAAATAAGGCTTCGTGGCACATGAAAATGATATGAAATTCATATTCGTGTCCACAAATAACACTTTGTTGGAACATAGTCATGCCTTGTTTTTTAATGCATTGTCTATGACTGTTTTTGTGCTACCATGGCAGAGTTGAATGGCTGTCATGTGGCCTGCAAAGCCTATCTGGCTCTTTGTAGGAGAAGTTTGCTGACCCCTGTAGCCACTCTGAAGGCTTTATGGTTCTATATTTGTGATAAAATATCAAATATAGTTCAGGTTAAAGGTATTTCCAAAGTACTCAGAAGTGCTTATTTTAAAAAATACATTGAGGATGGTAATTCTGGTTTGCTTATTTGCCTAGTCTTCTGCATCTTATGTTTGAGCAAATGATGACATTTTGTGAATTATTTGCCAACTTATCACATTCCCTACCTGAATGCATTGTAAATGAATGATGTCAAAATTAATGAAGAATTACTGTTTTATCACTTTCAGAAAAGGAAACATTAGACTCCTTTACATGATTTCAGTGAAAATATCCTGATTGTTATTTTGAATTTCTACTGTACAGTTTTCTTATGTGCAATCACTGTTTTAAAGAAAGTTCAGTATAAAATGAATAAAACTTGGTTAAAAATCTCTTTACCTCCAAATGAAAGAGAAACAGTCCATTATAAGTAAGATTCGTATCTCAATGTAGATAGCACACTAACATTTAAAAAATTGTATTGCAAACACACTGATGATTACTTAAACCTATATTTTTGGTTTAAGTTGGATTTAAAATTAAAATTAAATTTATCTCTTATTTTAGTATGCTTAGCATTTTTGGTGCATTTTTTTGTTTTTATAGTCCATAACATTAGAGAGTAGGAAGAAGTCACTTTTTGTCCCATCCTGCAGAGATAACCATTATTAACATTTTGATTTATTTTCTTTCCATTGTTTTTTCATATATCCTAAAAAAAAAAAAAAAAAAAACAAAACTAGGTTTTTTTTTTGAGACAGGGTCTCGCTGTGTCACCCAGGCTGGAGTGCAGTGGCACGATCTTGGCTCACTGCAACCTCTGCCTCCCAGGTTCAAGTGATTCTCTTGCCTCAGCCTCCCAAGTAGCTGGGATTACAGGCACGTGCCACCACTTCTGGCTAATTTTTTGTATTTTTAGTAGAGATGGGGTTTCACTGTGTTAGCCAGGATGGTCTCGATCTCCTGCCATCGTGTTCTGCCCACCTCAGCCTCCCAAAGTGCTGGAATTACCGGTGTGAGCCACCGTGCCCGGCAAAAAAAAAACTGTATTTTTAAAAACGTTTTATTATAAATTACACTTTTATATAATATGTGATGCCTGTTTTAAAAAACATTCAAGATATTTTTAAAAAATACGCTTATGAAAATAAAATGAAAAATAAGGGAAAGGAAACGGTGACAACCACAAAAGCATGGTTAACTTAACTCCAAATGAGAGAAATGTAAGTTAAGATGTACTGAGATATCATTTTCCACATATCAGATTGGCTAAAATCTAATTGAGCATAACATTCTATTGATGAGGTTATGGAAAAACAGCCTCTCTCATACATTAATTGAAAGAATTCATGTATGAGAGAATCTCAATTGAGGGAATGTCAGTTGAGAATACCACTGGTAGAGGGTGATCAGACAGATTCTATCAAGATTAATGTGCATGTTTCCTTTGACATGTCAGTCCCACATCTGGGAATTTGTGAGATATGTTTATTTCACAAATCTCACATGTCTGTGTGCACACATAGTTTGCATACGTGTGAAGTGGCATTCAAAGTTTTTCATTGCAGTATTGTTTTGAGATTGGATACAACTCAAGTGCCTATTTGTCAAGGACTAGTTAAATTATGGTGTAACCTTTTTATGAATAATGTGCAGTGGTTGAAAAAACAAAAAGCTGTCTATACCCTGATAGAGGTGTAAGATGTATTATAAAATGAAATAAACAAGGTGCTTGTTTTATGACGTTTTAGACTTCGTATCAGAAGGAGGGAAAAGCAGTCTACATTTATGTTTTCATCAAGTAAAATCTGGAAGAAAAGTAATAAAAGTAGTTCCTTGATTATGTGGATGGAAGATACAGGTTGTGTTAATAAGTGAGACTTTTCATTTTTTGCTTTTATATCATACTTGATTTTGTGTAATGCCAGCATATTACCTTTTCAGAAATTTTAAATTAAAAAGTAGATAAAGAATTGTGGCAAAGGCAAAATAAAGAAAACAAAACTCTGGATTTCTTATATGAAGTTTAGAATGGCTTGGAAAACACAGGTACTTCTGGAATTGAGGCAATAGTGGAAGTATTGGTAGGAATAAAAGCAGCAGATAGCTTTTATTAAAGACATTTTAGGCATTTTGTGGGCCAGACACACAATTCAGTAACAAGCATTTTATATGCAGTGTATATATGCATATAAAGTGTGCCATTTAATACTATAGCACCTCTATGAGGAAGGTGCTATTATTTTTCTTATTTTACAGAAGAGTAGGTTGAAGCTCAGGGTTGTTGAGTTACACTACTGGTAAATGGCAGAGCCAAGAGTCAAACCCTGGTCTATATCATGAGCCTATCCTGTTGATCGTATATATGTACTGATCACATATATATGTTATACTCTCTGTAAAGAAGATGATCTTGAATCTTCTTTCTAGCAGATACAGATAATATGGAACCTCAGAGCATACTGTTAATGTGATGAACATTTCCCATAATGTTCTTACAATAAATATAGCAATGAGATTTACTAAATGATTTCTTATAGTGTTGCCCTGTGGTTGAAAACCTAACAAAGTACAATTTTGCTGGTGGCCACATATCACATGTGTTTTTGAGTATGGACTGAATAGGCTATATATTTTCTAGACAGTCCTGCATAAATTATTCCTTTCCATGCCAAGTCTTTCATAAATGTTGAATGGCAGTAAGTTTGAGGTTATAGTCCCTGAGAGTACCTAGACTATTTGTTTTGACTGGAAAGCCATGTATTTCAATAGGTGGCTGGGGTAAAGGAAGGAAGAGTTGTCATTCTTCTATAAAAGTTGATCTGCTTAACACAAATACATGTCTGAATAAAAGACTGTTTCCCTCCTTTTTTTTTTTTTTTGAGACAGAGTCTCGCTCTGTCGCCCAGGCTGGAGTGCAGTGGCACAATCTCAGCTCACTGCAACCTCTGCCTTTCAGGTTCAAGCAATTCTCCTGCCTCAGCCTCTTGAGTAGCTGGGATTACAGGCACCCGCCACCACACCCAGCTAATTTTTGTATTTTTTAGTAGAGATGGGGTTTCACCATGTTGGCCAGGCTGGTCTCGAACTCCTGACCACATCGTGATCCTCCTGCCTCGGCCTCCCAGAGTGCTGAGATTACAGGCACGAGCCACCATGCCCTGCCTCTCCTCTTTATTAAAGAGAGCTTAGGGCAGGGCAAAGATTCCCCTCAAGTATTTTAGATCTAGTCTAATATAAATGGGCAATTATGTCCCCCAGAATACAGTGTTAGAGGTATACAAACAGGTATATAGGCCATTTTCAACTTGCACATGATTTGGCTTAACTTGCAGAGTGGCATTTTTTTTTTTAAACCAATTGCCAGCCTTTAAAATTTGGGAGATTCCGCATCTCCCAAACAAGTCCAAGTTTCTGGTGTTTCTTGAAGGTTGTCAACAACCTTTACCTCTGTTTCCTGCCTAGCAGCAGTCAGCTCGTTTTTAGACAGAAGCTGTGTCCTCAGTTTTTCACAGTTCCTGCCCGTCAGCCTCACTCAGTTCTCATACCTGCTGGCCCCTGTCGGGCCCGAGCTCTTTGACCCTGTTTTGCGTTATGGAACATCACTGTGGAACTGAGCTGTTAAAACTAGCTTCTCATAACATTTTGCTAAAAAAACAAAAACCAAACCTTTGTGAATATTAATTTTTACATATTTGTGGCATATATCAACCTTATTAATTAAATAAATTATTCTGACAAATAGATATATTTAGTCATTCACCCATACTTGACCACTTAAATTTTGATGTGGTATATTTTGAGTATGTGAAAGTGCCATATCCTTCACTATTGGCCATCTGGTTGATGTAAATTCTGAATTTATTTATGTGTTACTATAATCGATAGCTTTTAAAAAAGCTTGTTTCTTTATAATTGGCATTTTAAAGTTATGACATTAAACTTACATCAAGAATGTGTAGCTTAATTTTTTGATAGTAGATCTTTTTTTCCTGATAGACTACTATGTCAGTAATGAGTTATTTTTTATAGAATAAAATTAAAAGTAAATTATTCTTAACTGTTTAACTAGTAGATTAAGATTAGTTTTAGCATTATACTTTTTTTTTAGTATCCTTTGTTTATATGTTTAACTATCATACCTTCTGATATTTTCCTGGTAATTTTTAATTTTTCAATTAGGGTAGGTTCTTGGCTTATTTTAAATTTAAGGTTATACTGTGATATTGTTACATATATTTCTAAACTATGTGAGAGTTAATATCCTTTTATCATGGAAAAGTATCTTCGTGCAGGAGACTAGTTTCAGATTTGCCTGAAGTTTAAGACTGTCAGTGTTTAATGGATTCTTGAGATTTTGTTATAAACTATTTTGGTACACTTTCTCACCCTGCTCTCAATAAATCTATAAGCCACAGTTCTAATCTGCATTACTTATCTTTAGCTGAAATGAACAAACTTGAAATTTAAATCAGTGCATATAATCACCTTCCTCTTTGAGAATAAATTTTACATGAGAAGTAGCTATGTATTAACACTAGCAGGACTTTGTGGCCAGTCTACCTGGAGTTACAGGCAGTCTGGCTTTAGGAACCAAATCTGTTCTGTTTTGGCTATATTTTAGTGTCACCTGTGTTGACACAGTTTGGTGATTATTGTCTTCCTTAGCTTAAATATTGATGGGGTAAAGATTGTGGGTTCTATGGGTGACTTAGTCTTCTAGGACAGTGGTAGGGATTGGAGGAATTTTTATTTTGTTGGACTGATTCAGGGAGAGATTAAGTCTAGAGAATTTTGCATGCTCAGGGAATCATCCTCTGCTCCCTCAAACAGGTGTTTCCCTTCCCTCTACCTTTCCTTTCCCACCACAAAAGAGAGGAGAGATTCTACGAACATGCAGACTGACTGCCAATTGCATTTTAGCTAAATTCCAGCCAGGTGGGTTTAAAAAAATTATTCTTATATAATCTCTGGCTTTTCACATCTTTATACCTTCTCGTAATGCTGCTATTATGTATACAGAATTATTTGCCCAAGGGTTAGATAGCGAAACCACACCATTTCTATGTAGAAAGGCATAATAGACATTCAAGTTTTTTTTTTTTTTTTAAATGATTGGACTTGTGGCTGGCTGTATTCTACGTGGATATTTTCTAGAACTCAAATTCTGATACTGATTTTTGTCTTATTACGTATTGCTAGTTTTTTTGTATGCAAAATATATAGATAGAGGAATAATCATTTTTATTTTAAGAAATTTTTATCATGCACTTTTTTCATTCAAAATTTACTTTGGAGAAAGTTGTACATTAGTGTATAATAATATATTTTGGTTAAACCTTTATGATTTCAGGACAAAAATTGCTCAAGATATTGAAAGGCTAATACATCAGAGTGATATCATAGATCGTGTGGTATATGACTTGGATAACCCAAAGTAAGTCTTGATTTTAATGAACTTTTATTAGTTTTAAGTTTTTCTATAAAATTTTAGTATTATTTCTAAAAGATAAAAATTCTGTGAAAAATGTTGGTAGTTTTTAAAATAATAAATAAAAATATAGTTAATTTATAACTAGTTGTGACTTAATTAGGTTTTCATCCTTTGGGATGTAATGGTAATGGTAAGTCACGTTTACCTACTTAACTCTATCACGAGATTTTGTTTGTTTTTAGGTAGATTTTTAATGGGCTTGAGGTAAAGGTTACACAATGATGTTGTATTTTTGAAAAACTGAAATTACTTTCACTTAGGAGAGTGGATATTTTATATGAAATGCTGGCTTGTCTTGCAATACTGAGCCTTCATTTCATTAGGATAACAAATTACCATCCCTTTCGAAGGAGCATCTGCTTGATCCTTCTCCATAGTCCCCACCACACCCTGTTGTCTCTTACTGCTTATAATCGGCTCAGTCATTTAGGTTGCCTGCTCCATCTTTGGAATGCCTTTTTTTGTGATCCTTGATGTGTTAGTCATTTACTATTTAGGATTGTCACTGATATCATCACATTTTAGGATTTAAATATAAGTAAATAAATGAAAATTACAAATATTGAGTTTGACTATTATTTAGTCATCTGCCTTCTCATATGAGAAATTCAATTAGCCCTCAGTGGCTTTCTTCTCTCCCTCAACATACAAATATTTTTGGAAAATTTCACATCTTGCCAATCATATGTGGAGGAAAAAAACACCTTTTTTTTTTTTTTTTTTTAGATGAAGTCCCATGCACTCTGTCTCCTAGGCTGGCTGGAGTGCTTTGGTGTAATCTCGGCCCACTGTAACCTCTGCCTCTTGGGCTTAAGTGATTCTCCTGCCTCAGCCTCCTGAGTAGCTGGGACTACAGACACATGCCACCACGCCTGGCTAATTTTTCTGTATTTTTAGTAGAGACGGAGTTTTGCCATGTTGGCCAGGATGGTCTCGAACTTCCTGACCTCAGGTCATCTGACCACCTCGGCCTCTCAAAGTACCGGGATTACAAGTGTGACCCACCGTGCCTGGCTAAAACACTTTTTTTTTTCTTTTAAAGTTTTGTTAGATAAGAGTATAAGCTGTAGCAAAGCTAATGACTAAATTTGAAATAATACTGTTATAAAAAAGAGGAAACATATACCTTATTTATTTAATTATTTCAACATTGATAATTCTTTGTCAGATAAGACAGGCAGAAGTGGTAGAAACAGAAACTCAGGAACCCTGAGTGTGGCATACCAGTGCTATTTTGGACAGAATTATTGAGCATCTTAGAGTCCTAGTCTTCTCTTATTAGCGAGTAGGCTCCAGAAGAGCAAGAGTTTGCATTCAGTCGGGGAACCAAGCAGACATATGTCTCAAACAGTATCTGGCACCTAGTAGATACATGGTAAATGCTTATTTAATAATCAATATGTAAAATGATAATACGTGTGCTTCTTGATGCTAATTAAATAAGATAATAGGTAATTTAGCTCTTCAAATTGAAAATAATATTTTCTTCAGAGAACTGCATCGTTTATGAGAATTATTGCTGCTCAGTACAGGTCATAGCCGTTTTAAAAATGTTCTTTTTTGTATAAAAATAAGTATTTTAGAAATGACATGCATTCAGTGAGGCAAAAGTTCTTACTATATCAGTATAAACATAAGAATAAATCTCTTATTATAAGTTTTGTCCATAAATCTTATCCACATTTAATGTATTGATTGTGCTTGTTTTGTGCTTTAGTTTAAAAATAATGAGGAAGGTGATATGGCAGTAGTGATGTATTTTTAATTATAATTTTATTTACTTTTTGCTCATCTGTTTAAATGCAATGTATTTTAATACATTTACTTTAAAACTTTTATTTAGTTACACCATTCCAGAAGAGGGAGATATTTTGAAATTTAACTCCAAATTTGAGTCTGGGAATCTGCGCAAAGTAATTCAAATTAGAAAGTAAGTCACTTAAGATTTTCTCATTTTGTATGTGCACAGATATTTCCTAATTTTCATCAGATTTCTTTGTCTTCTATTTTCAGAAATGAATATGATCTTATTCTGAACTCAGACATAAACAGCAATCATTATCATCAGTGGTTTTACTTTGAAGTCAGTGGAATGCGACCAGGTGTTGCTTACAGGTTTAACATCATTAACTGTGAAAAGTCCAACAGTCAGTTTAATTATGGTAAGACAGTTTTCTTTCCCAATTGAAATGGCATGCAGGCATCTTAACTGTGGAAAAGAAGTTTTTTTAAAAAAATTGTCAACTTTTAAAAAATGTTTCAGTGTCTTGTTTTCTCTAGTTCTCAAAATTCAGATATTATGCAACATTTGAAATAGGTCAAGCTTTTGTTGGTGAAAAAGAGTTACTCTTATATAGGCAAGTCCTTTAAAGTGTAATGGTTGATTTCATCCAAATTGAAGGGAACTAAAGGTTTATTATGTATACTCCGATGGCGACATCTGATTGTGTAATTTTTCTTCTTTAGCCTGTTAATATGGTATATTATGTTGATTGATTTTTGAATGTTGAATGAACCTTTTTCATTTGGAATAAACCCCACTTGGGATAAACAAATCCCAAGTGGGATTTATTTATTAAAAAAAAAAAGTGTGGAATAAACCCCACTTGGTCATTGTGTATAAATTGCTAATATTTTGTTAATGATTTTTTCATTTCTACTAAAGAGGGATATTGGTCTATAGTTGTCTTTTTGTTTGTTTGTTTGGTACTGTATCTGCTTTTGGTATCATGGTATTACTTCATGAAATGAGTTGGGAAGTGTTCCCTCCTCTTAATTTGCTGGAAGCACTTGTGTAGCATTGGTGTTAATTCTTAAACTTTGGTAGAATTCTGTAATGAAACCATCTGAATCTGGAGATTTCCTTTCTTGATAGTCTTTTAAACTAGAAATGTAATTTTTTTTTTTTTTTTGAGATGGAGTTTTGCTCTGTTACCCAAGTTGGAATGCAGTGGTGTGATTGTGGCCCACTGCAACCTCCACCTCTCAGGTTCACGTGATTCCCCTGCATCAGACCCCCAAGCACTACAGGTGCGTGCCACCACGCCTGGATAATTTTTGTACTTTTAGTAGAGATGGGGTTTCACCATGTTGGCCAGGCTGGTCTCGCACTCCTGACCTCGAGTGATCTGCCCACCTTGGCTTCCCAAAGTGCTGGGATTGCAGGTGTGAGCCAGTGCGCCCAGCTAGAAATTTAATTTCTTGAATAGTTTTAGGGCTATTCAAATTACCTCTTTTATCTTGAGTGAGTTGTGGTAGTTTGTGCTTTTTAGGAATTGGTCCATTTCTTCTAAGTTGTTAAATGTATGTGCAGGGTTGTTTGTGGTATTCTCTTACTATCCTTTTGATTTCTGCAGGGTCTGTATTGATGGTCCCTAATTAATTCCTGCTAATGATAATTTCTTCTCTTTTTTTCTTTGTCAGTCTAACTCTAGAGGTTTATTAGCTTTGGGCTGTTTCGAAGAACTAGTGTTTTGTTTCACTGGTTTTCCCTACTATTTGTCTCATGAGACCGTTTTAAAAAAAACTCTTGAGTTGTACCCACAAAAATCTTAAAAATATAGGCTCATTCAATGTTTTTGTGTTTAGTACTTTAATATATACAAAACTAAGGATTATTTGTAAGACACCCAGTAGTCAAACATTATGCCTGTGGAAAATGACATACTTGTATGAACTTAATATCAACATTTTAAAATTGAAGCATCAAGTTTCAAGTATTAATGTTATAATGGCAATCTTATTGTGTAAAAGAAAAGAATTTTTTTCTGGCATACAAGAAAACTTGCACTGGGGCTTGAGAAGAAACATATGTGTGACAAGTTACAAAATCTCCAAGGTCTCAATCATTTGTTGGAAAGATTGAAAAACTTTTAACAACTGAGACATGAAATGCTGTATCATCCATTTCATTTAAATCCTCTAAGTTATTAAAAGCATGAATATGATAATGCTATTTAAGGGGACATTTCTGAAAATTAAAGCTTTCAACAGTTGAAGAGGTTGTTCCCAATTGTCATTATTTATGTGGAAGATAAGATATTGTATACTCTAGAATTACTTCACATGTATGAAAAAAAGCTTTAGTCAGATTCATTTATTTAATGCAATAATTGTGGGATGACTAGGTAGCATAATACCTGGTTTAGTTATAAACACTTTTCTAAGATTTTTAAATGGCTTAAGTAACTAATTTTTAAGTGTTTATTCTTTTAAATATGCATATTTTGACTAAAAGTTCAGCAAGTATATTGATTTATGTGAATAGTGATAGGAATATTCTTGATGCAGTCAATTTCACATTTTGTGATTTTAAACTACTAACTATGGAATGTGATATTTCTCAGAAATATGTTAACCTTAAACTTTCAATTAACTTTAAAAATTACCTTAATTGAAACTCATTCAAAGTATATTAAAATAAGTAAAGAAACCTAGTGATTTCCCTATTTAACTTGTAATGATGCTACATAATATTTTTAGAGGAGAAAAGAACAATTAATTAAATTAATTTTATTGGTATGGTGGGTGCACCTTACGAGTAAAATATAAAGGCATATTTATTCCTGATATAATAGTCAATATAATTTTCAGAAGTGCTACAAGTAGATTGCATTTTTACTAACTATATTCACTTAAAATAGAACTCTTAACACTTTAAACTTTATTAAAAACTATAACATTTTAAATTAAAAGTATACATTTTGGAGCAATGCTTCTCTGTTTCTTAAAAAAACCTATACCTTTATGTGATAGATACAATAATTTCTCTAGTGTCATTTAAAATTTTAAAATGAATAAAATTCTGTAATTAAAACTAATTCAAAGCAGTGGGACAGATGGCTGCTTTATTTTTAAATTTCCTCTCCTTCTTCCCCCTTCTCCTTTGGATATTCTTGTATGTATATCACACTTTCCAAACTCACTATGTAGTGAATTTGGAAAACAGAATGGTGTTAAGAAAAAAATAAAACCATTGACAATGCATCATCCAGAGATAATCACTTTCACATTTGTTGCTTCTTACCAGCCTTTTTTATAATGCAGTGTATGATTTCTACTTACATATAGTTATGCATTTATTTTTTAAAAAAGAAGACTCATAACCAATGCAATTTCATGTTCTGTATTTTAATCAAATTTATGTTATCAGCATTTTTTTCTGGTTATTAAATATTCCTGTGAAACATAGTTTTAAGAGACATCCAGTGGAAGTACTGTAATTTATTTATCCAAACCTTTCTTTGTAAGACAGTTGTTTCTGATTACTTTCTATTTTAAATATTGCCGAGATAAACATTATTATACATAGATATTTGTATTTATAATTCATAGAAGTATCTGTATGCCAGGTACACGTGCATGTTTTTCTGATGATAAAACAGTAGATATTTAATGTGAGAAAGTAAGTAAATTAAAAACAGTTTAAAGGAAAAACTTTAGAAAGGGAGCATCCAAAAAAAACCATTGTTTAACATTTTGTTATCTGTTCTTAAACTTATTCACATTCACATACATAATTTTAAAATTAAGTTTTACTCTTTTACAGATTTGGGATTATAGTATGAAAGCTCATGTGTAACACTACATTTTTTTAAAACTGTACAATAATTTGTAAAAAAACTTTCCCCATGCCCATTAAATATTATTCAGCAGCATCATTAGTAATGTCTGTGTAATATTCTATTGAGTAAGGTACAATAAATGAATGATAACAGATTGAAGATTTAAGTCTTTCTCCACATTTCAAAATTATAAGCTGTCTTGCAGTAGATACCCTTAATTATTTGTTTACATATATGTTTCTGATTATTGCCATGAATTCCTAGAAGTTGGATTTCTCAAAGAGAATGAACATATGTTGCTGAAGACTAGGGAAAATGGGTACTACAGTGCTGGTGAAGTATTAAATTAGTTCAGCCTTTTTGAAGTGCATTTGATAGTATGTTTTTGGTGTTTATATTTAACAGCATCCATCCGGATTTATTTTGGTATTTTCTGTGAATTGGGATTTAACTTAATCCTATTCTTAGTGGTTAAGTAGCTACAACTAAATTCATTCGTTCTCCAAAGAGTTTTAAAGTGTCGTTGATGAATTTATTGAATTGTTAGACATTTCACATTTACAACTGCATACCTGAGCCACGAATGAACGAAAGGTACGAAATACCGTTCAGAAGCCGTTAAACATTGTTGCTCTGTTTTGGCTGTTACAGACAATGGTCAGGTTAGTAAAAACAGATTAGAACCTGATTGATAAAATGCCACCATAACTTGCTTATAATTCCTCACTTTTTGAATTTGAATTCAATTATTTTGACCTCTTAGACACATGTCCCCATTGGTTTGAAACACTGCAGTTCTCATAATCTATGGTCCTACATACACACTAATTATGTTTGGGGGTTTCTTGTTGATCTAGTACCACTGTGTTTCTAATTTATTTTGACTTTAAAATATAGTCTAACATCCTGTAGTTATTTTCAAATACGATATACAGACTTTTCTACCTATTTTTTCTGAATAGTTTATTCTGAATATGATTCACAATAATTTTATCAAATACCAAAAATTTCCATTGGATTAAATTTGTGGAATAGTTTGGGAGAGGCATAATATTTTATATCCAGTCTTACTACTAAGGCACGTGATGTTTTGTTTTGTTGATTCAAGTTTTTTTATGCCTTCACCTATGTTTTTTAGTTTTCTTATTGTTTTATATTTCTGTTTACCTTTGTTTCTGTTGTGAAAGAGTACTCCTATTTTCAAACATTACTTCTATTAAGAAAGCTACTGATTTTTATATATTTACTTGAAAATCAACCTTCTTGCTGAACTTTTTATTAGTTGTTACAGTTTCTGAGTTGGTACTTTGGATTTTCTTGATACCTAGAATTTCTGTGATTCATAGCTATATTGTGTGTCTTTCATTGTTTTTGAATAGAATTTTAACAATGTTTAAATTAAAGGGGTACACTGGGCATCCTTGTATTTTATTTTAACTTCAATGGGAATGTTGCTAGTGTTTACATTAAGCATATCCTTGTTTTGAGATACATATTTTTCTATTTCTAAAAATAAAAATAAAGAATTTCTTTTTTTAAAAAATCAGATTTAAGAATTTTTTTGCATTTATCAATGAATGTAATGTGACCATATAGTCTATAACCTTTGGATGTGTTATATTATGTTAATAATATTCATGTTATTAAGCCACCCTTGGATTTTAGGAATAGGTCAGCTTGGCTGTGTGAATTGATCTTTTATGATACAGCTATTTTTGATTTGTTAAAATTTTGTTTAAAGGTTTTACATCATAAGTTAGACAAGTCAGTTTCTTTTTCGAGAACTATCTTTGTCTAGTTTTGGAAGGAGGCTGATCTTACTTTGAACACTTAAATGTAAAGGCTTTTATTTTTGCACCCTATGTTCTGGAGCAGTTTAAATAACATATGTTTTAATGAAATTTGCAAAAAATGTGCCTCTAAAACTGTCTGATTCTGTACCCTTTAATTGGGTGAGAGGGGGTGCTTTTGGACTTTTTCAGAGTTTTCTATAACTCAGTCTAGACTAGTTTTTTATTTTTTGTTGAGGGAGTCTTGATAATTTGTATTATATATTTTTATGTCAGTGACATTTAGATTTTAAAAATTCAGTAGCAGAAATTTGTGTGCTATCTGCAATATGTATATTTGCTTATTCTCTGGATTAGTTTTTTCCAATTTTTTGGTACTTAAAACTTATTTTGTTGTTTTATAATTTTAAAAAGCTGGTTTATTCATTATTTCTATTGGAATTTTTTATACTTATTAATTTCTCTCTTTACCTCTCTGCAGGCTGATTTTTTTTTCTTTTTCTAACTTCTGGTATGTTTACCTAAATTTATTTTTGTCTGTTGATCAAAGTATTTAAGTTTCAAATTTTCTCTTGATTACAACTTCTGTATTTCCCTTTCAAATTTTAATATTAAGATCTCCTTGTTATTTTTTATATTACTTGTATGTAATGTGGTATCCTTTAGATTAGAATTATTTAGGCAAGAGTTTACATTTTAGTTGGTTGTATTATTTTTGTGAAGACTTTTCTCATTCTTTCAAATTTTAATCCATTTTGTTCACTGATGTGGAATTTATGATTTGCAGTAATTTTTTGTGGCTTAATATCTGGTCAGTTTTGTGCTCATGGGCACTTGGAAAATAATATTCATTCTTTTTAGGCAACATAATGTAACATACATTGTTTAGTGAGGAGAAAAAAAAAAAACCTGTTTTTCTTCCTACTACTCACACCACTTCCCACACTTCTGTGCCCAAATGTGTGGGGATTATTTTCTCCACACATTCCAGTTCTTCTACTCTCCAGACACCAACTGGGTGTCCTTCCTACAATTCAGTTATGATACAAACTACCTGGAGTTAGTGCAGACCTCAAGGATTAAGGACTCAGTCTCCCACGACTGCCCCTCACTACAGATGCCAGTCAAAAGTAGTGGGTCCCCAGGTTACCATACTTCTCTCTGACTTGGTTACAAACAGGGGGTCCCATAACCCTCCTCACTTTGATAATTTGCTATGGCAGCTCACAGGACTCAGGGAAACACTGAATTACGATTCACAGTTCATTATAAAGGATAGATTTAAGGATTCAGATGAACAGCCCGATGAACAGGTAGGTCCAGAAGGGTCCTGGGTACAGGAGCTTTTTTCCCCATGGAGTTGGAGTGCCCCACCCTTCTGGCATGTGGATGCATTCATCACTTGGAAGCTCTCTGAATCCCGTGTTTTGGAGATTTTTATGGAGGCTTCATCACATCGATATGATTATTAACTCAGTTTACATCTCCTTTCCTTTCCCTTGAGGATGGAGTTTGGGGCTGAAAGTTCCAAGCTTCTTATCATGACTTGGTCTTTTTGGTGACCAATCCCCATCAAAGAGTACACCAAGAGCTGCCTCATTAGAATAGAAGTTGTTTCTATCACCAGGAAGTTCTAAGAGATTTAGAAGCTCTTTGTCAGGGAGTGGGGTCAAAGACCAAATATTAGAACAAAAGATGTTTCTGGCACCTCCATTGCTTGGGAAATGACAAGGGTTTTAGGAGCTCTGAGCCAGGAACTGGGGGGTAGAGACCAATATATATAGAGAGAGATTTCTTATTATTTCATATTTGGCTGGGCATGGTGGCTTATGCCTGTAATCCCAGCACTTTGGGAGGCTGAGGTGGGTAGATCACAAGGTCAGGAGTTCGAGACCAGCCTGACCAACATGGTGAAACCCCATCTCTACTAAAAATACAAAAAATTAACCAGGCTTGGTGGCACACACCTGTAATCCCAGCTGCTCAGGAGGCTGAGGCAGGGGAATAGCTTGAACTCGGGAGGTGGAGGTTGCAGTGAGCTGAGACTGTGCTATTGCACTCCAGCCTGGGTGACATAGTGAGACTCTGTCCCCCAAAAATATATTGTTTCATATTTAATATTATACATCTATTCAACTTTCTATATCCTTGTTTATTTTTTGTCTTCTCTATCTACCTAAGACTTAAAAATACTTAATAGTCTTTCAATTATGTTGTGTTTCTGTCAAGCCTTCATTTAAAAACTTTTTTTTTCTATTTTAATACAATGTTACTTGGCACACAGAATTTTGTAAGTTTTCCATTTTCCTTTTGCATATCTCTTTAATAGTATAAAATTATCACATTTATCTCATTCAGCATCTTTTGCCTTGAATTCTGTTTTTATATTGGTTTGAATTTGCTTGATGTATGTTTGCTTTTTTTTTCATAAATAAGAGGTTGGATTTTGTTGTTTGATCATTTGTCTTTTAATAGAGGAGTTTAACCTGTTTAAAATTCTTACAATTGATGTGTTTGGGTTTTTATGCTTTCTATTTTTGTACTTCTTTATTGTTTTCTTTATTTTTTATTTAGTGTGACACTTATTTTAGCTGTGGAATCCAAAATGTAAAATGCAAAAAAAAAAAAAAAAAAAGAAAAGCCCCTAAACCACAAGATACAGATCACGAGGCATATTCTGCATTGGATTTTTCAGTCTTGCTCCATCTGCCTTAAGTTTAATAGAGATTCCTTCCAGATTCTGATGATAAGTTGTCTATTGTGAGTTTTCTTCTTATTTCCATGTATTTGTAAGTATTTAACTAGGAAGTTAGTAGAAGCTATGGGAGCTGTTTAGGTAGATGTAATATTTTATTAAACTTATCTTTAGATTTGTTAGGTCAGTACAACATAAAGCAAATCTTGGTTTGTCTTAACATTAACAGAATTAAAAGAAAGGGACCAATATTTTGGTAAACTAGAATTTAACATTGTAAGCAATTATAACTAGCAATAATTCATTTTAAGGGTGGGGGCTGATGACCAAAGAAAGTATGTGCAGTGGAAACTTCTTCATCTGGAGGTATTTATTTAATTGTCAGACATGATTGAAATGAGGAAGTAGTATCAGTTAGGAGAGTAGCTTATTGTCTGTAATTTTTTTTTTGATTGGGGCGTGCCGGTTGGGGTACTATTTAAGTGTTGGATTCTAGAAAATGTGCCCAATAGAGGTCTTGTTCTTTGGCAGTGTCCCCAAAAAGGAACAGGCTGGCAGTTGCTTCTCTTTCAAGTTGTCCTTTTCTTTGAGCTTTTTAAAAGTGATTCTATTGAATACTTAGTGGTTTTCACAAGTGAATGATCTTAAAATTAAGCAGTTTAAAAATATTTATGTTTCACACTGTATTTTCAATTGTAAAGAGAATACTGCCTTTGAAATACTGAATTTGAGAATGTGTGTCACTAAATAGTGCTGTGTCTGTTTCAATCCATCACCCCCTCTTACCCCCCCATTACTTGGAAGGGATTTGCTGAAATTACCACCAGATGGCAGTCTTGCATTTTAGTGACTTGGAGCTTCAGTACCAAGCTTCTCTTTCACTTTCTCTCCATCTTTGTTTCTCTCAGATTTCTGAGGATTTTCAACTGCCTTCTTACATAAATTGAACATGTTTGGAACCAGGCAATAAAGTACAATTTTGGAGTCTAGTCTGTAGCATTCTCACCGCTTTGCCCACGTTAGTTAATTCAAGTCTCCTCTGCCTCCCTAGAATGGATTAGTCCCCCTGACAAATGTTCCTCATACATTTTTGCCTTTTGGGGTGCTCTTTACAGTTTAATATTATTTAGGTGTGTGGCTTTCCTACATTTCCTTCTTCTCTTTGTAATTAGTGTTATACATTGAGGTACTTTGAGACTATCTAAATATCTTGTTCCTTCTCAAGCTTTTAATGTATTATCAGTATAGACTGGGTTTCCTATTTGACTCAATGAGTTATAATTTGTTGCTATCATTATTTATTTTGATATTCAAATTGTCCAGGATTTGGCCAGTGGGATACCATTAATGCTGGTGTGTGTGCCCTTTTGAGATATCCCTGTCATTCCTTATGGGTGCCCTTGCTTTTTGGCACAAGGCCCATCTTGCTTTTCTCTACCCCTGAATGAAATCTGCCATTTCTTCAAAGAGTGCCATTTTACTTTAGTAGTGAATGATGTTTAAAAACCAAGATCTGGCCGGGCGCGGTGGCTCACGTCTGTAATCCCAGCACTTTGGGAGGCCAAGGCAGGCGGATCACCAGGTCAGGAGTTTGAGACTAGCCTGGTCAACATGGTGAAACCCCGTCTCTACTAAAAATACAAAAATGAGCCTGGCACCTGCATGTAATCCCAGCTACCTGGGAGGCTGAGGCAGGAGAATCGCTTGAACCTGGGAGGTGGAGGTTGCAGTGAGCCAAGATCATGCCATTGCACTCCAGCCTGGGCAACAAGAGCGAAACTCCATCTCAAAAAAAAAAAAAAAAAGATCTGTACACTTGGTATACACATTGCTATTGGGTTATTACTGTTTACAAACTATCTCAATGAACAATTAGGGAGTATATTTAATACATACATAATATTTACACAGTAATTCACATTTGTAGTGGTTTCCATATTTGTAGGTACATATTTATGTATGTGTGTATATAATCACACAAACACACATACACTCCATGAGATTATACTTATACCTTAACTTTCGAGCAAATAACACAGGCTTTATTCTTGTTTTCTTTCCATATTTACAACTTTCTTCTCCAACAGAGATAATTTTGGGCCCCACTGTCCGTAATATATTAACTTGTTTGATCAATTCCAGTTTATGTAATAATCTCCCTGTTGTCTATTTGGACAGATGCCTTCCTCCACCCTATTGAGGGTCTGATATCCCAAATTATTCTTCCTTCCATCCTCCTGCGTGGGTTCCCTCCCTGTTTGTTTTTTTCATTTTGTTTGTAATTTCTAGTTTTAGTACACTGTGACCAGAGTTTGTAATATTTCTGTTTTGTGAAATTTGGTGTTGTTTTCCCTGTGATGTAATATATTATCAGTTTTTGTGAATGTATTGTGCTATTGAGAAGATATATTACTTATATCATCTTATATTATATCTTAATATATTATCATCAAATTCCAAGCAAAGAAGATATCTTTGCTTAAAATTTGCTGATAATATATTGTCATATATATTATCAATTTTTATGAATGTATCATGTGCTGTTGAGAAGAAGATAATAAAGAATATATCTTCTTCACATAAGAAGATATATTTTTCATCTGTATCAGGATGAGACATTTGACATTTAGATGTAAAAATTGCCACATTGATTATGTCATTTGGTTCTCTATATTTTGTTTTCTTGTTCAATTGTTCTATCTTATTCTGAGAGTGGTGTTTTGAAGACTATATCAATAGTATGTCCCTGTCGATTTCTGCTTATATCTTCTGTAGTTTCTGCCTTATGTAGGAGGTTGATCTTATCAGATGCATTGATATTAAGTATTATTATATTTTCATTATGAATTGTGACTTTGTCATTATAAAATTCCTCCTTTTTCTCATTAAATATTTTTTATTCTAAAATCTACTTTAAAGATTTCAACCCCAATTCTGTTGTTCCATCCTCTATATCTTTGCTCATTTTACTATTTATAAACAATTTAAAGTTTGTTATATTCTGTCTTCTAGTAATGCTGAAGGCCTGGGTCATGTGTGGTTTTATATGTGCTACTTATTGAATTTATTTATTTCTTCTTTGGTTGGGATGAAAAATCAAATTCTGAGACTGGAGGATAATGGCAGCCACCTGAATCTGAATCTGAAATCGCAGCTGTAATACTAGACGTGTTAGAAGCATGTATTTTTTTCTACGTAGAGTCATTGGGTGTAAATAACATGCAGCTTACGATAGATGCCTTCAGGTTTATTAGAGCTCCACTTTAAACTTTTCTTGTTCTCCTCATCTGTTAAATGAGGGTGTTAACATCAACTCCAACATTTTACAAATCTGTGATTTATAGTACATTAATGATTATGACCTAAAACACCTCATCTTTCTTTGTATTTGCACATAATATTAACCATGTTCTCAATAAAACTTTGGCCTTTACTTGGATATTATTAGGGGCTAGTGCCATTGGCACTCTGGCAATTTAATATTTTGATTATCTATATTTGAGGCAAAAAATTTACAGTTTTAAGCACACTTGTTTTACATACATGAAGGTTTATCCTTTCACTAATGAATAAATCTTGCTCAGATATAGGCTTTCCATACTATATCAGGTTGAATAGACTGGTTTATTGAGTCTGAGTTTACCTCATTTGATTGATTCTTGCTGGGGCAACTTACTTTGTCCAAATGGTTTTTGTTACAGTCAGAATATCCAAATATAGCTAACTTCACTGTGACCAGCATTTAATATGATTGTTTTAAATGTGATATGAGAATACATTGTTTTAAATGTAATGTAATAATAATTGTTTTTTATAACATTAGAACACATGAGACAAATCTAAAGTGCTATTTGACCTTAACTTGAACCTTTCACTACTTTATATAGTTAACTTTTAAAAATTGATACATAATATTTGCACATATTTATGGGGTATATGTGATATTTTGTTACATGTATAGAATGTGTCACAATCAAGTCAGGGTATTTAGGATATCCATCACCTTGATGATTTATCATTTCTGTATGTTAGGAATATTTTAAGTCCTCTCATCTAGCCATTTTGAAATATACAATATATTGTTACTGATAGTCACCCAACTCTGCTATAGAACATTAAAACATTTCTTTTCTTGAACTATATATTTACACTCATTAACCAACCTCTCTTCACCCCCCTTATCCCTCCCACACACCCTTCTCAGCTTTTGTATCTATTATTTTAATTTCTACTTCCATGAGATCAACTTTTTTACCTACCACATATGAGTGAGAACATGCAATATTTGTCTTTCTATGCCTGGTTTATTTCACTTGACATAAAGACTTCCAATTCCATCCATGTTGCTGCAAAGGACATGATTTCATTTTTTATGGCCACATTGTATTTCATTGTGTATATATATCATTTTCTATATTCATTCATCCATTGATGGATGCTGAGGTTGATTCATATCTTTGCTATTGTGAATAGTGCTACAATAAACATGGGGTGGGTGTAGGTATCCTTTCAGTATACTGATTTCCTTTACTTCGGATAAATACCCAGTAGTGGGATTGCTGGATCTTATGTTGTTTTATTTTTAGTTTTTTGAGAAATTTCTGTACTGTTTTCCATAGTGACTACACTAATTTACGTTCCCACCAACAGTATGTAAGAGTTCTCTTTTCTCCACATCCTCACTAACATCTTTTTTTTTTTTTCTCTTTTTAATAATTGCCATTTTAACTGGGGTAAGATGGTATCTCATTGTAGTTTGATTTGCATTTCCCTGATGATTAGTGATGTTGAACATTTTTTCATATGCCTGTTGGCCATTTGTATATCTTCTTTTTGAGAAATATCTATGTCCTTTGCCTACTTTTTAATGAGATTATTATGATTATTTTTTACTATTGAGTTGTTTGAGTTCCTTGTATATTTTGGATACTAATCCCTTGTCAGATAAATAGATTGTAAATATTTTCTCCCATTCGACAGGTTGTTTCTTCACCCTGTTGATTGTTTCCTTTTATTGGAGAGTTTGGTCAAGTTACATTCATTGTTATTGATAGGTAAGGACTTACTCCTGCCATTTTGTTGTTTTCCAATTGTTTTGTGGTCCTCTCTTCTTTCCCTCTTTCTTTCCTATCTTCCCTTTTGTGAAGGTGATTTTCTCAGGTGATATTTTTTAATTTCTTTTTTTATTTTCTGTGTATCTGTTGTAGGTTTTTTGAGATTACTGTGAGGCTTGCAGATAACATCTTGTAACCCATTATTTTAAACTGATGACAACATGGATTGTAAAAACAAACATTAACAAACAAGTAAAAAGGAAACTAATAAAAACTCTATACTTTAATTTGATCCCTCCTCACTTTTTGACTTTTTGTTGTTTCTATTTATATCTTATTATTCTATGCCTTGAAAAGTTTTATCATTATTTTTGATAGGTTCATCTTTTTGTCTTTCTACTCAACATATGAGTAGTTTACTCACCACGATTACAGTATTATAATATTCTGTGTATTTCTGTGTAGTTATTATTACGATTGAATTTTGTACTTTCTGATGATTTCTTATTGTTCATTAATGTCCTTTTCTTTCAGAATGAACTCCCTTTAGCATCTCTTGTAGGACAAGTATTTGATGTTGATGAATTCCCTCAGCTTTTTTTTGTCTGGGGAAGTCTTTATTTCTCCTTCATGTTTGAAGGATATTTTCAATGGATGTACTTACTATTCTAGGATCAAAGGCTTTTTTCCTTCAGTGCTTTAAATATGGCATGCCACTTTCTCCTGACCTGTAAGGTTTCTACTGAGAAGTCTGCTACCAGATATATTGGAGTTCCTTTGCATGTTATTTGTTTCTTTTCTCTTGCTGCTTTTAGGATCCTTTCTTTATCCTTGACCTTTAGGAGTTTGATTATTAAATGGCTGGAAGTAGTCTTGGGGTTAAATCTGCGTGGTGTTCTATAGCCTTCTTGTACTTGAATGTTGATATCTTTCTCTAGGTTTGGAAAGTTCTCTGGTATTATCCCTTTGAATAAACTTTTTACCTTATCTCTTCCTCTATCTCCTCTTTAAGGCCAATAACTCTTAAATTTGTACTTTTGAGGATATTGAAGTATGCCTCGATATTGTAGGCATACTTCATTTTATTCTTTTTTTTCTTTTGTCTTCTCTGTGTGTTTTCAAATAGCCTGTCTTCAGGCTCACTAATTCTTTCTTCTACTTGATCAATTCTGCCGCTGAGACACTATAATGCATTCTTCAGTATGTCAGTTGAACTTTTCAGTGCCATAATTTCTGCTTGGTTTTTAAAAATTATTTCAGTCTCTTGGTTAAATGCATCTCATAGGATTCTGAAATCCTTCTCTCTGTTCTCTTCAATTTCACTGAGCTTCCTCAAAACATCTAGTTTGAATTCTCTGTCTGAAAGATCACATATTTCTGTTTCTCCAGGATTGGTCCCTGGTGCCTTTGTTCATTTGGTGAGGTCATGTTTTCCTGGATGGTCTTGATGCTTGTGGATGTTCATTGGTGTTTGGGCATTGAAGAGCTAGGTATTTATTGTAGTCTTCAGAGTCTGGGCTTATTTGTACCCATCTTTCTTGGGAAGGGTTTCCAAATATTCAAAGGGAATTGAGTGTTGTGATCTAAATCTTTGGTCACTGCAGCCATATCTGCATTAGGGGGGACCCAAGCCTGGTAACACTGTGACTCTTGCAGACTTGTAGAGATACCACCTTTGTGGCCTTCGGTGAGATACAAGATAATTTCTTGGATTATCAGGCAGAGGCTCTTGTTCTCTTCATTTACTTTCTCCCAAACAGAGTCTGTCTCTCTGTGCTGAGTTGCCTGGAGCTAGGGGAGAGATGATTCAAGCAACCCTGTGGCCACCACCGCTGGTACTATACTGGGTCAGACACAAAGCCAGCATAGCACTGGGTCCTGCCCAAGGCCCATGGCAACCACTGCCTAGCTACTGCTGATGTGTTCACTCAAGGCCCAAGGGCTTTCCAGCCGGGCTTGTGTCCTGCCCTTTAGGGCAATGAACTTCCCTCAGCCCAGGGCAGGTTCCAGAATGCTGTACAGCATTCAGGGCCTAGAGTCGGGAATGTTAGGAATCTACTTGGTGTTCTATTCTGCTGCAGCTAAGCTGGCACCCAAACTGCAAGACAAAGTTCTTCCCACTCTTCCATCTCTTTTTTTCATGCAGAAGAGTCTTTTCCCATATCCATCACCATCCCAGGCCTGCGTTTAGTACTGCCTGGCTCCTGCCGATGTTCCCTCAAAGCACAAGGTCTCTTCAGTCAGCTTGTGGTGAATGCTGTCAGGCCTGGGTCTCTCCCTTCAGGGCAGCAGGCTCCTCTCTGGCCTGGGGCAGGTCCCGAAATGCTGTCCAGAAGCCAAGGCCTGAAATTGGGGACCCTAGGGGCCCTCTTGGTACTGTTGTCAAGCTGGTGACCAAGCTGCAAGATAAAATCCCCTTTACTCTTCTCTCTCCTTTCCTTGAGCAAAAGTATTACCTCCCTGTGGCCACCCCCTGAAGCCAGCATGGCTCTATGTCTCACCCAAGGCTTGCAGTGAGAACTGCCTGGGTACCACTGATGTTTATTCAAGGCCCAAGGGCTCTTTAGCCAGCAGGTAATGAATCCTGCCAGGACTGGGTTGTTCCCTTTAAGGCAGTGGGTTCTCTTCTGGCCCAGGGTGTGTTTAGAAATGTCACCTGGGGCCTGGGGCCTGTAATGGTGGCCTCAGGACTCTGCCTGGTACCCTGTTTTACTGTGGCTGAGTTGGTATCCAAGTTACAAGACAAAGACCTTTTTACTCTCCCGTCTCCACTCTCAAGCTGAAAGAAGAAGTCTCTCCTGGACCTACAAGCTGTGCTTCCTGGGATTGGGGGAGGAGTGATGTGAGTACTCCCTTGGCTGCTCTGATTGGTGTCCCACTGGGCCACATGCACCCCACATTCACTGGCTCTGAGCCCAGCATAGCACCAGGACTTGTCCAGAATTTCAGTTCTTGTGACCTAGACTGCCTTTCAAGTTTATGTAGGACGCCAGAGTGCCTTAGCCTTCGGTGGTGGGGCTAGCCGGAACTCAGGTTCTGACAGCTGGGATGGGCAATTCCCATCTGGCTAGGTCAGTCTAAATACTCCCTTCGTGAACACCGGCTGAGTTCTGCCTAGTGTTGCCTTCTGCTGTGACATTGACAGCACTGAGTTCCAATGCAAAGTCCCACAGTCACTGCATGTTCTCTCCCTGAAGCACACAGATTCTCTGCTCCATGTGGCCACTGGGGCTGGACTGCGGGAGTGGTGTGAGCAATTCCAGATTGTCTTTCCTACCCTCTTCAGTGCATTTCCTTGGTATGATCGCTCACCTAATTTTTGGTTCTTAAAAAGGTGCTTTCTTGCGTGGATAGTTGTTCAATTTGGTGTTCCTATTGTGGGGCATGGAGTGGGGGGCGGTGATCACTGGAGGCTTCTATTTGGCCATCTTGTTCTGCCTCTCAGCTGTTTATTTTGTTAAATAGGTTTACTTTCCCTCACATCTTCTCTTTGCTTCCTGCAACACCAAAAAATTGAATATGTGTTTGCTTTATGGTGTGCCATATGTCATGTAGGCTTTGTTCATTCTTTTTTATTCTTTTTTTCTTTATTTGTGTCTGACTGGGTTATTTGAAAACACCTGTCTTTAAGTTCTGAAATTCTGTCCTCTGCTTTAGTCTATTGTCAAAGCTCTCTAATATATTTTTTTCTATCATTTAATGAATATTCTTCAGTTCCAGTATTTGTTTGCTTTTTAAAAAATGATATCTGTTTTGTTAAATTTCTCACTTATCATCTGAATTGTTTTTCTGATTTCTTTGTATTGTTTATCTGTGTTCTCTTGTATCTCACTGAGCTTCTTTGATACCATTATTTTGAATTACTTTTCCAGCATTTCATGTATTTCTTTCTCGTTGGAATCTGTTGCTGGAGAATTATTGGTTGCTTTGGAGGTGTCATATTTTCTTGTTTTTTCGTGTTTCTTGTGTCCTTATGTTATTATTGGCACATCTGGTATAACAGTCGCATCTTCCAATTTTTTTATTTACTTTCATGGGGAGGACTTTTTTCTGAAGGCAAGTCTATGATACTGGCTGGATAGGGCACTGTGGCTTTGATTCTGGGTGGATGCAGTAATGTGGCCCCTGTAATTTCTTCACTGGCTTAGGGTGTGGTTGTTAGTGGTGGCTGTGGTGAAATTTGCTGGGAATGAGGATGCCAGGTCGGCCATTCCTTGGGCACCAGTGGTGGCAACAGCAGGCCAAAGATTCCTGTCCTTAGGACCCAGCATGACTGGTGTTAGTGGGTCTAAATGGGCCAGTTCTTGGGCCCCCATGCAACTTTCTCAGATGCTGGCAGTTGCAGCTTTGGGCCAGATAGGTGGGTGGGTCCTTTGGCTCCTGAGCAGCAGGCATAGCATGAGCAATGAGAGGATCAGTGGTGGGACAACCCTCTGCCTCCTAAGCAGTCTGTGCTAGTGTTGGTGGTGGCTGTGACAGGCTGGGTGGTCCAGTCCCCAGACCCACAGATGGTATGTGTGGGTGTGTGCCAGCTGTGGTGGTAGTGGCAGATGAGGTGGCCCATCCGCAGACCCCTGGGAGGAGTGCTCAGGTGCCAGCGCTGGTTGACATGGCTGAGTGATCCCTAGGCTCCCAGGTATGCTCTGGTATTGGGGATGGTGGGGGAGCCAGGCCAGGCAGGCCTGTCCTCAAGCCCCTCACGTGATTTACAGGGGCTCTGGCTATAATGAGGACGGCTGGGTGATCCCTAGGCTCCCCTTAGAGTGTTTGAGTGAGGGCAGCAGCAGTGCTGGTGGGCTGGGGAAGTCTGCCTGCCCCCAGGGCGCTTGCAAATGCACCTCAGCCCTGCTGCTAGGGATTGCTATGCAGCTATCAGTGGCAGCAGCTGTAGGCGAGTGGCTGGGGAATGTGTGCCTCAGCCCCAGGCGACAGCTGGGGACCTGGGAGCCTGTTTGCAAGGCGTGTGTTAATATAGGGTGACCACACTGCCAAGGGCAATAAGGGCAATGGAGTTGCTACCAGGGAATTGTGCTTTGGCCCCAGTGACAGCAATCAGCAGTGGTGGTGGCTGTGGGTAGGGGACCCTGTCCTCTGGGCACGTGCAAATGCATGACAGCTTGCTGCTGGGAAGTGGGGTCTCTGCCAGTGACTGTTGCTTAGGTTTCAGTGGCAGCAGCTTGTGGCATTGGTGGCTGTGGGTTGGGGAGGCAGAGGCTGTTGGGCCTCGGGGCAGGATGCAGTTGAGTGGGGGCTGGGTTCTCAAAACTGTGCCAATGCTGCTGCTGCTTAGGTCACACCCCGTGTGAGTTCACTCTCTGGAGCAATACCTTTGTGCAGTCTCGAAGCAGCTCCCTGTGTTAGTCTTGGGACCTGTGAGGATGGAGGGCTCCCCCCTGGCTAGGATTGGAGGAGTCTGTAGTGCGGATGTGGACCACTGAGAATCTCACTTACCCTTTTCCTGTACTGGGAAGCCTCCCTGGTCTCCTGGCCAAGTAGCCTGCCTGCCTTCCCTCTCCTTCCTTGTCTTAGGTGTTCTTGTTACTTCTCTGTTGAGTTTCAGTGTTCTGTCTTAGATGATCTATTTTAAGTGTGGTTATCTACTCACTGTTTTGCTGCTGCTTTGTGGAGGACGTAAGTGCCAGATGCCTCTAGTCAGCCATCTTGAAGCCCCTCCTCTGTCTCCTGTAGTCACTGTTGAAACTATTATAATGAGTTTTGTGTTATGGTGAGTTTTATGTGAGTGGAGGGGTCAAAACTTCAGATTGAAGTGGCTCACTGAGTCCCAGGAAGGGATCAGGAAGGCAGACTTATTTTATATGTACCAGTGAAATTTCTGAGTTTCAAGTATAAAGAGAAAATTTTAACATGCTTCCACTTTAAAAGAATAGGTTACTTAAAAGGAAATAATGATAATAGTAATACCAGTAGCTAACATTCATTGAATATTTGCCGTATGCCAGGCCTTGTTCAAGTGCTAACACATGTGATATTTTCCATCCACACAACAAACAACCCAGTGAGGTTGTCACCCTCACTTTACAGAAGAGAAAATGGGGGCATAGAGTGGTTAATAGTCTGGCCAGGATCATGCATCTGGTATGTGGTGAAGTTGGAATTCAAACCCAGGAAGTTTGGTTGCAGATTGCATGCTCTTAATCACTGTATTTTTATGCATATTTAAAAAATTAAACTAGTATTGGACTGTTCATCTATAGCACTGGAAGCCAGTGGACATCCAAATGTCTTTTGAAGAATCTGTAAATTGTTTGTCACTGCCAACAAACTGCATGTCAGCGTTTATAAGAATTCAGAAAATGTACAGAGTGAAGGTCTGTCTCAAAAACAGTAATTCAGAAAATATGCTATCTGATCTCTTTCTGAACAAAATGAGTAAAAGGTCTCAAGATAGAAGTATTGGAACTTATAAAACGTGTTAACCAAAAATATTCTAAGGGGGGTAATATAGGAGAAGTGAAAATTAACTTGTGTCAGTGGGATGGCTTAGTTAGTTCATTTAATATAGTGTTAGAAAAATATCAATCATGACTATGAGGGTGGAAAAGTAGAATTGAAAAGCGTGATAGAAGGCTTCCAAATTAAGGAAGAAAAGAAAATGTGGAGCAATGCCACCAAACCAATAAAAATAAAATGGTAAGGAAGAACAATAAAAGCATTTGTTGGTATCAGAAGTAGAAAATAAGATGGAGAGAATACAATGAAATGTATATCCGTCATCACCAACTATGAATAAACCATGAAGTACCCTCAAAAGGTCAGAGATTGAAAGTAACACAGTTTAGTGGGATCTCTCTCTGCCTCTCTTCCTCTCTCCCTCTCTCCTTCTGTCCCTCTCTCTCCCTCTCTCCCTCTCTCACCTGCTCCCTACTGTGTGTGTGTGTGTGTGTGTGTGTGTGTGTGTGTGTGTGTGTGTTCAGTGACAAGGTTGAAAACGAATGGACGAAGATGAACTAGGCAAATGAAATTAAAATAAAGCAAAAGTGGTTAATATTAGTGTCAGTCGGCCGGGTACGGTGGCTCACGCCTGTAATCCCAGCACTCTGGGAGGCCGAGGCGGGCGGATGACCTGAGGTCAGGAGTTTGAGACCAGCCATGGCAACATGGTGAAACCCCATCTCCACCAAAAAATACAAAAATTAGCTGGGCACGGTGGCATGCGCCTGTAGTCCCCAGCTACTCGGGAGGCTGAGGCAGGAGAATCACTTGAACCTGGGAGGTGGAGGTCACAGTGAGCCGAGATCGCACCATTGCACTTCAGCCTGAGCAACAGAGCAAGACTCCATTTTGGAAAAAAATAATAATAATAAATAATAATGTCAGACTAAAACGTCAGGGTCAAAAACACTGACTTGCATAAAGACAGATATTTTGTATTTACAAGTTGCAATCCTTGAAGATGCTGTAAACCTTTACACAGCACAACAACCCTGGCCACATGGCACTTACATAAGCAGGGCAGAAATCTCCAGGAAATACAACTTGATTAGAAAACATTTATGAGAATTTAAAGTACTCCTTTCAGAATTTGACATATCAAGAAGACAAAAATAAGTAAGGCTATAGAGAATTTGAATAATATAATCAACAAGATTGATTGTTTGATTCACTAGGATCCCATTTGAAACCCGAGATGGAGATGTGAGATACAAGAACAAGTGGTACTAATCTGGGAGTCCAGTGAAAAGAAATAACAAGATGAAATCAGATTTCCTAGGCAGCAACTCATCCAAATTAGAATTATAAGTTAGTGGTATCCTGGAAATACACTTTAAAAAAAGTGGACTGGATTCTAAGAAATGATATAACATGATAAAGAAACTGAAAACTTAGGGACATCAGGGGAGAGAGAGAGAGAGAGAAATACCAAAAGCGATGAGGAAAAAGTGAGATTCTGAAGAAGCTATAGCTGTTGAAGGGAAATTTTTAAAAATATGTTTATTAATGCTGCCATATTGACATGGTATTCCAGCTGAATTGTATTTATCCTTTAAAAAATAGATGGTGCTTTTATTATTTATTCTAATAAGTGATGGAAAGTTTTAAAATTTAGTTTTCTGAAGCTAGTATAATCTTACCAATACTTGGTAAAAGTAAATTGAAATAAGAAAGATCATCTTAAGAACTTAGATGGAAAAATTCTAAATATTAGCTAACTTAGTCACATAGTGTTAAAAGAGTAGCATTTTCTTAGAATGCAAAGATAGTTCAACGATAGGAAACCTGTCAACATAATTTATTGCATCAGCAGTTTAAAGGAGAAAAGCCATCTGATTCTATTATTAGATGTTGAAAAGGCATTTGATGAAGTAATTAAAACTGTGAAGTATAATAAAAATTATGGTGGAACTACTCAAGTTATGGGAATAATAATAGCATTTACCACCTAAGTGTGGTTGTAAGGATTTAATTACTTAATACATGTAAAAAACGTTAGAGCAGTGTCTCACATACAGAAATTATTCATTGTTAGCTATTTTTGACTTAAACATAACAAAGTTGATTTGCAAAAAAGTGGCAAATATTACATGGAATGGCAAAACATTTTGGTTCAAGTCATGAAAAAGAATTGTTTGTTCTTACCACTATATTCGGCATAATTTTTTTGAGGTTTCATTTATCTAAATGTAGTAAGAGGAGAAAATGAAATAAATGATATAAATACTAGAAGAGGAGATAAAATATTTTAATTATATTACTAAAAAATCCATGAGACTACTAAAAACCTGTTAAAATTAGTGAGTTTATTTGATAATGTGAATATTAAGATAAATACAAAAAATAAATGAATAGTGCTTCATTGTTGGAATAACCAGTCAGAAATGGAAAGGGAAAAAAGAATCTTATAAAAATACTCACAGGTAAGTTTAATAAAATTATTCTGTACCAGGAAAAAAAAATGACTCTATCCTTAAGTTAGAATTTAAGGCAAGTCAAACCAGATCTCAATAAAAATTGTCAGCCTTTCTATAATTAACATGAATTTAATTCAGTTCCATTTAGAAACCTAATATATCATTTAGTAATTAGGTAAGGTGATTTTAAAGTTCATGTGGAAAATATATTTCTAAGAATATCCAAGAAAGTATACTTTATATTTTTGAGTCCCTCTTCGTTTTCTCTCCTACAAACACATATATGTATGGAGAACGGTGGGGAGGAAAGCAAAGATGCCATTTTGGTGGTGTTTTCCCATTAATTTTAGTGTAGATGGAAATCCACGGAGAGTTAGAGGGGTGATTGTACATTATGTCTTTACATATGTTTTGGCTGTTTCACTTTTTATAAGGAATATATTATCTTTAATTGATTTCATGTAGAAAGTTTAATAGAAAAGAGTTTAATGACTTCTCACTCTAAAGTTGTAATCCTGTATTAAACTAAAAAATAAAAGCATATCATTGATTGACTTGGGATGTTTAAGAAATGCATCAGATTTTTAAAATACATACTAAAAAACTGAAATGTAATTTACTTCTGCTTTCCTGAATGTTTGGTGCTTTCTACAAAGGCAAGATTAATTTTTAATTGAAAAATTATGAAAATAATTTTCTCTCTTTTTTTCTCTCTTTCAAAGGTATGCAACCACTCATGTATTCGGTTCAGGAAGCATTAAATGCCAGACCATGGTGGATTCGTATGGGGACTGACATTTGTTACTATAAGTAAGTATTTTAAGAATATTAATAGAATGTCAGCTTACAGAAGGCAGTATTAAGTACATCCTGTTTCAGTGTAAAAGGAAACAGTAGAGTTATTATTGCATACTTTGAATTGTGGTGCTATGCTTTAGTAATTCTAAAGAGTCCTTTTGAACTTGAGATCCACTTATGGAGTGTATGTAGTAGAAGTAAAATGTGTTGTATAGGCAGACAAACTTAGGTCCAGGCTGTGTCTCCACCACTTAGAGAGTTATGTGTCCTCAGCTTTTCCAGCTTTAAAACTCTGGAAACTTTATTGAATAAAACTGAAAATAGAAATTACGAGTAATAATTTGCAGTGGCTTTTTATTGTTCCTATGATATCAAGTATAACTCTTATCTTTTCCCTTTTTATATTAACACACAAATATTTACTTCATTTTAATTTCCAAAATGTTAACTGGAGATGTGTTCCAAATACAGTACATCAGCTTAACACAGTTCATCTTTGACTGTAAATATGTGATCTACTTATAGCAAATTAGAAATAAGTGCTAGAGGCTGGGTGTGGTGGCTCATGCCTGTAATCCCAGCACTTTGGGAGGGTGAGGTGGGCAGATCACCTGAGGTCAGGAGTTTGAGACCAGCCTGGCCAACATGGTGAAACCCTGTCTGTACCAAAAATACAAAAATTAACTGGGCATTGTGGCGCACACCTGTAATCCCAGCTACTCAGGAGGCTGAGGGAAGAGAATCGCTTGAACCCGGGAGGCGGAGGTTGCAATGAGCCGAGATCGCACCACTGCACTCCAGCCTCGGTGACAGAGCAAGACTCCGTCTCTAAATAAATAAATAAATAAAATAAATAAGTGCTAGAAATAATTTCCTACTTCTGTGGAATAGTTTGATTATTCTTCAGCTCCACCTCTAAGTACTCGAGGATTCTCATGTATCTTGCTTCTCATTTTTACTGTGTGTCTGCAAATGTTTCCAGCTAATGTTCACTGTTGATTCCACTTGGCACCCTTGTTTATTTGTTACTAAGTTCAATCCTGACATTTCTGTATGGTGAATTTTGACTTTTTAGATTGTGCTTTACTGGCACTAATGCCCTTGTTTTTTAGTTTTATCAATTAGAAGAAGGCTTCTAAAATTAAACTGTTTTGACATGGCTTTGGAAAAAACTTGGTGTTAAGTACTCCTACTTTCTGGGAAACAAAATCTTCCTTGGAATTCATCTCAGTAAGATTTCTTCCTTACTCTTATTAGCAAAATGAATAGCAAATAAATGAGAAACAGAAGTAAAGGTAATATGTAATTCATCTGCACCATAATACATCTTGTATTTCTTTTAGTGGTAGACTAATATAAAAATAGTCTTTCATCACTTGTCTCTTTCTCATAAAGTTGGGTGAAACTATCTGAGCAGTGCTTGGCTAGATTTTAGAATTATTTAGACTTTTAAAGAATGAAACAATGTTTTTCAAAAAGCATTCTTACTTTCATGCTTCTTTATGTTGTCACATTAGAAATTGTCAATCAATGAATGCTTTTTCACGTTGCAAAATGAATGATCATAGCAGGACAAGTTGTTCTATTCTGTGTAAGGGGTGATGGCAAAGATTTTTATATTTTTAATTTAGGTTCTGTCTTTTCTTTTGGCTACTACTTCCTGATCTGGAAGTAGAGTTCAATTCAACAAACATTTATTAACCACTTTCTATGTAAGACTCTATTCTAGTTGTTTTCCTGAAGCCTGAGGTATGTTTATTTATTTAAATTTTAATTTTTTTTTTTAAACACAGTCTTGCCCTGTTGCCCAGGCTGGAAAGCAATGGTGCAGTCCGACTCACTGCAGCCTCAAGAGCTTATCATCACTCCCAGGCTCAAGTGATCCTCTCACCTCAGCTTCCTGAGTAGCTGGGACTACAGTTGTGAACCGGCTAATTTTGTATTTTTTGTAGAGACTGGGTTTTCACCATGTTGCGATCCCTCTGCCTCAGCCTCCCAAAGTGCTGGGATTACAGGCATGAACAAAAGTGCCTGGCCTGAAATTTAGATGATAAAGATTAAAATCTGTTTTTGCATTGTGCCATAACTTTTCATGTCAGCTAAGTCCTATGATGCTTGTTTGTCTTCTCTATAAAATGGAATAAAACTGCTTTTCACCATTATATGAAATAATATATGTTTCACTGGTTTATAAACTAGAAACTGCCATATAGCTGTAATGTGGTAGTATAAATACCTCTCCAATTAAATGTTAAACTTTTGAGGGAAAAGAGTTGGCAAGGACTAGTTTTTGAACTTGTTTTGAATTTTTGTTAATCCTTAGCACTCTGTCATTGGGTATCTATTCAAGATAGTATGCATAAGTTAATGAAGACTATATCAATTTGAAAATACTTTGAACATTTATGTGCATGAAAAAATAACGTATAGGCCCTGGTTTTTCTTCATTTCATGGCTTAAATAATACAAGGTGATTCAGAATTTTAGAAATTAAGTTGTTAGAGCATCTTTAAGTCAGCATATGTCAGCAGTATTTCGAGTCTGGAAGGTAATGTATAGTTTTAAAAACTTTATTATGGAAATCTTCAAACATTTACAAAAACAGATAATAAGATAATGAGGCCCCATGTATTCATCACCCAGTATCAACAATTATCAACACATGGTGAGTTTTGTTTATCTATACTTTTACTCATACTTCCACAATGAATTTTTAAGTCCATTTTCGGATACCGTATTTTATCTGTACATACTTACATACGTATTTCTAAAAGACAAAGGCTGTTTAAGACAATCTTAACTACAATGCGATTATCACAACACAGAAAGATTAAGAAAATTTCTTACTGTGATGAAATATCCAATGTTCAGACTTCCCCGATTGCCTCTAAATGGTGTTTTATAGTTTTATTTAATCAGAATCCAGCCAAGGATCACACATTGCTTTTGAATTTTGTTGACATGTCCCTTAAGTCTGTGTTAATTTATAGGCTTCCCTTTTCTCTTTTTTTAAATTTCTCATTCATTCGCTAAAGAAGCTGGATTGTCATGTAGGGTTTTTCACATTTGGATTTTATTGGATTGCATCCCTGTGGTGTTAACAAGTGCTTCTGTTTCACCAATTTCCTATAAACTGTTAGTTAGATCTAGAAGCTTGATCAACTTCAGGTTTGGTTTTGGCAAGAATACTTAATAGGTGGTGCAATGAATTCCCATTGCATCACATCAGGAAACAACATCATCTCTGATTGTTTCTCTTTTTGTAATCTTAAGATTGATTAGTGAACCCAGGTCTTGTAGCCTGATCCATCCACGTAAAGGTGTCCATCAACCTTTCCTCTCTTGATTGTAGTAGCCATTGATGATCATTTTCTAGATTCAGTAACGTGTATGGATGTCAAAGAATGGGGTTCTAAAAATTTTTTTGACGTGAAGAGTATTAGCTCATTTAATTAGTAAATTCAGAAGTGAAAAGTTATGTAATGTCATTGGCTAATAATAGTTTACTGCTTTATTAGTACTAAGTTTTTTTAAAATAGGGTATTTAAGTTACACTTTTTACAGACTCGGGTTTTTCTTTTTTCCCTGAAGTTCTATTTAATAAAAGTAACAAGGAAAATCAGTTTTCATGTGGATGAAATGAACATGTTTTATGCGTTTTTATTGCAGAAATCATTTCTCAAGAAGTTCAGTTGCTGCAGGTGGGCAAAAGGGAAAATCCTACTATACAATTACATTTACTGTCAATTTTCCACATAAAGATGATGTTTGCTACTTTGCTTATCACTATCCATATACGTATTCAACTTTACAGGTAAGAACTCTAAATTAAATTGTATTATATGGATATGTATAAGATAATGGAAGAAAATTGAGTTTAGTTAAATATTCTAACATAAGGATAATGATAATAATTGAGTTTAGTTAAATATTCTAACATAAGGATAATTATACTAATTGAGTTTAGTTAAATATTCTAACATAAGGAAAATTAAGTTTAGTTAAATATAACATAAGAAAAGGGTTTAGTGTTGAAGATTTTGGAAAATACTACAGTATTTCTTGAGGAGTAAAATGGGAATGTAGCTCTTATTTTTTTTTAATAGAAATATTAAGAAACTTTGACATGATTTTTACTTCCCATCTTTTGTTGAAATCCACAGTTCTCTAAGCTAAGATTCCATGATTTACAATTTTTAACCAGGTGAGATTTCTGCATGTTTAACCAGAATCTCATAGAAAATAGAATATTAAAAAAATGTGGATGCAATTTGAGTGTTTTTGAAGGAAAAATTGAGATCTTTTTCTGAAGGAAATGGTTTTATTATGGAGACCTAGATCCAGATTTTTAAGAATCTAGGGTATAAGAGTTGTTTTGTGTGAAACCTTTTGAGATTTTGAATATAGCAAAATGAAACTAAAAACCAAAACTAAACAAACAAAGTCTAGTAATTAAATATCGACTGTGGTAGATTTATTCTCAGAACAGAATATCTATTCTAATGTCAAAGATCATGAAGATGTGATCAATTTACCAATAAAGAAATTGGAACACTCTAATTAGAAACAAGCTCCCAAATTATTAGAGAGGAGAAAATGAAAGAAAAACATAGTCTGTAGAGCAGAAGAGATATCAAACCTAAGAAGACTAAATGAGGCTGACAGCATTAAATGAGGCTTACTGTACTTTAAGAAAGGTTACAACCTACCATAAAGGTACAATGTTCATATATCTTTCTGTGCTTAGTAGTTTACTTTTGGGTAATTTATCCTAGGAAAACAAATAAGAATGCACATAAATATATATTTGCACTATTTTTATTTGCCTGGTTTTATGTTATTGTTCTTTACTGATTGTGCCTTTTAATATATTTTGAATTCTCCTGCTTTCTTTCAATCCCCCTACCATGATGTTTTCCAGGCATGACCATCGTTTCTCACCTGGGCTTCTGCCAACCTCTTTGTAACTAGTGTCCTAGGATTCAGTTTTGACCCCTTTGCTCTTCATTAGTTCCCGCTGCCACCCCACAAACCCCAGACTGTAGCCAGAGGGTTCTTTTATAGCTAATCTTATCATAAAATACCCTGCTTAAAACTCTTTAGTGATTTCCCTTGCCCTTTGTGTGAAGTCTAAAATTCTTACCGTGATTCACCCTGTCCTTTTTCTAGTACTCCCCCCCTTTTTTTTTTTTGCCATATCCACATACTATTTGAAGTATTATTTATTTATCTTTAAATAGACTTTAAAATATATTACTCTTTAAAGTGTATCCTCATCCTCAATTAATATCCATGAAATCATTTAAATTGTATCCTCATCCTCAGTTAATATCTGTGAAATGCATGAAAGATTTAATGTGCTAGACTTATTTCTGATTCACATAAAATATATACCTATAAAACTTTTAAAATGGTTATCTACATATCACTTAGTTATCTCAATTACCAGTGGTATGTATACTATGCTTTTGGAAAGACCTGTCTACCAGGCCCTTCATTCTGTGTCAGATTCTTTGTTTCTCACCTTTGTAGCTGTAATGAATCTTACTGAATTCTTTGAAATGCCCTGTTCTATCCTCTGGTCTTCCTAATATTTTTCCCTCTGCCTGCAGTACTCATCTCTGCTCTCTTGACTCATCCTTTGGAGTTTCATTTAAATGTAGTTTTCTGTAGAAGACCTTTCCTCACTGCCCAGACTTGGCTAGGCTCCCCTCCCCTTATTACAGGCTCTCACAGCACTCTCTATTTTCCCTAGGGTAGGGTTCATTTATTCATTGTTGTATCCCCAATGCCCTGTACAGTTTCTGGAAAATAGTGACCACTCAGTCAATAGTGATTTGTGAAAGAACATAGGCAAAAGTTTGAAAACCAACTGAATATCTAAAAAATGGGGGATTGAACAATTTATTTTTGGTATAACCACATAATAAGACCATTAAAACTTGTGTTTTCAAAAAATACACATTTAACATATTTAATGATGTGGTATAGTATTCATAATTAGGAATATATATGTTTATGTGTATGTATAAATTTTTAAGTGATAAAATCAAATTATAAAAGTCTGTAATCATGGTTTTGCTTACATACATTGTGTTAGTAGTAATCTAGGTGGTGCAATTGTAGATGTTTTAAATTTTTAAAACTTAAAAAAATTTTTTTCTTTGTAATTTTTTTGCTGTCTTTCAGACATTTTACAACAAACCCGTATTAATCTTGAAATCAGGAAAATAAATTGTTAAAATTGTGCTATATAATTTTTATTTTTCAAATTTTAGATTGTTGCTGTTACAGGTCTATTATCACTCACAATTTCAAAACTCAAAAGGCTTTGAAAACCAAAAGGTTTTTTGGAACTCGTTTGGAGGCAAAGCCTGACCTGAGTTTATTTAGAATATTGATTCTACTTAGGGTGATTCTTCATATGTTTTGCTGCACAAATAATGAGTGTATTACAGATTGCTACCCCGACCCTATTGGTGGTGCTGCATAATTAATGATTTAAACAATATATTGCCTGTTTCAAGTTTCCCAAACACTGATGTTTAGGCTACATCTGGCCCTGAGGGTTTTGGATAAGGGGTTAAGAATCTGATTCACTTCTAGTTATGTGGAGATCTGGATGCATTATTTCTGTATATCATAGGGACTTTTTAAGTGATTGTATATTTTGTTTTAAAATTTTTATCAAGATGCATCTTCAAAAATTGGAATCAGCACACAATCCTCAGCAAATCTATTTTCGGAAAGATGTGTTATGTGAAACCCTGTCTGGAAACAGCTGCCCCTTGGTGACTATAACAGCAATGCCAGAGTCTAATTATTATGAACATATCTGCCATTTCAGTAAGTTTGTCTTCCCAACTCACAATAGCAGTCATTCTCACCTACTTTGATTTGCTTTAACCGTATTTTATAATGGAAATGATAATAGGAACAGACATCAGAAGACTTGGGCTCTAGTCTTGGCCCTGCTATTATCTAGCTAGCCATGAGCCCACCTCTGGGCCTCAATTTCCTTATCCTGAAAATAAGGGGCTACATGAGATGTTCTCTGAGGTCTCTTTTGCTACCACTGTCGTTTAGTTCTTATCCTTAGAAATTGTATTCAAAGTAGAATACAACAAATTATTTTAAGAGGTCGTGTAATAGTATTATCAATTTAGAAATGGACTGATTTTACTTGTAAATAAAACAACCAGAAACCTATCAATTGTTTTGGTAGCTAGCACAGAATAGTTATTCATTTTTCCCTGCCATTTATATTTTTTTAAATTGCCTCAAATGTACAACTGTAGTAATAAAAATAAAACTTTCAATTTTGATAAGAAGGCGAAGTATTTCAGGAAACAGAGCTTATTGTGTATCGAAAATATGAGTGGTAAGCTGAATGATTATTTTGTAGACTTGTATATCTAAATGTATAGTGAAATTTTGGGGGCTAAATCTCTGAGCAGATAAACTTGTTTCTCTATGCTTATCAGAGCAACTGTAAGACAGGGCTAAAATTATATTTTATTTCTTTTCCCTATGATTTTATGAAAAAATAGTTTTATATTTTAAACTTCCCCCAAGTGCTTGTTCTTTATAAAATTAACATTATATTAAATAACGAATTTTACATGTTAAATTAGTCATTGGGAAATGAATAAGTGGATCAAATACTACTTACTGTTTTATGTCCTATTATGAGCTCCTTCGGGATATGGTTTTATTGATTTTATATTTGTTTATTTTATAGGGCCTAGTGCAGTGCTTGTAGGATGCACCATTGGGTTCTATTAATTTATATTAGAATTCACAATTGAGTTAGAGACATTTCTAAAGCCCCAAAGTAAAATATACAAACTTTTAGTAGCTGTTCATTTTAATTTGAGATTTTATGTGTACTTTAGGAAATCGCCCTTACGTTTTCTTGTCTGCTCGGGTACATCCTGGAGAAACTAATGCAAGTTGGGTTATGAAAGGAACGTTGGAATATCTCATGAGCAATAACCCCACTGCTCAGAGCTTACGAGAATCTTATATTTTTAAAATTGTCCCTATGTTAAATCCAGATGGTGTCATCAATGGAAAGTAAGTTAAGCAATAGTTGTAGAATATATTCAAGACCATTGTGGTTGTCCTGTATAAACTTGTTGAAATAACAATGTCCAGGTTAACAAACTTAGTGATTTTTCTAGAATAAAGAAATTTTTGGTGGGAAATTAAGATAAACTTTTAAATGAAAATACATTTTGGATACTATTAGCGATATGAAATTATTGATTTTATATTTGTTTATTTTATAGGGCCTAGTGCCCTATTCTGTATCCATGGGAATATGCTTTCATAAAATGCTTGAATTGTTTTAGAAAAATCACAATGTCAGGTTGTAAGAAAGGTTAACTCATACCTCTCATATTCCTTTATTTTTTTTTTATTAGTGGCATGAACCTAGATTGTTCTAAGATTAAGACTCTTCTGGGATCTCTTGGAATGTTAGCCCCATCTGCTAACCTCTTCTTGATATGAGGAGGTCTGGTTTTTGACAGGAGTTCTTTAGAGGGGGAATAGTGGAAGATAATTACTTTGTAAAAGGAGGCTGCATATAGTTAGTACAGTAAATTTATCCTGGTAATTTGACAAGGTCTCTGTAGTGCCACTCTGAAAGATGGGATTTAGTATAGTTGTCATGAGTATCTCCAAAGATGAGGATAACATGTCTTACTTCAGTGAAAGTAGCATGAATATTTCTCGTATTTTAGGAAATTACTGAATTTTTAAAATATAGAATTTCTTCTTAGTTAATATGTTATGGTTATGGAACTAAAATGTTGTCTATTTTTAATTGAGAAATATATTGACCAGTTAGAATTCTATTTATATTTATCATCACTTTATGATTATCTGCTTATTTGCATGATAGCTTTACTACTTAGTACCCGTAAATAAACAAAAAGGTATTTGATGTTTTACAACAGTGTATACTTTTCATATACTTGTCTTTCTCAGAAGAAGCACCTAGATAGCACTTTAATTGATGAAGTCAAGATATAGCATGCTAACATAACAAATGATTATTATGTAATCAGAATGGAAAATGTGATTATTAATACATTTTTATAAAATATGGAAGAAAACCTTGGAGTTAAGAATTTTTTCTATACTTTGAAAATTTTGATTATGAATCTGAAAACTTACCACAGTTAAATGCATGTGACACAAAATCTTGCACATAGCAAATACTCAATAAATGTTTACTTAATGAATATAGTATGCATTTGGTTGAGCTTACCATCTATACCTATTTGAAATGCTTAGTGGAATAGAAGCATAAAGTTAAATCAGATATGTATATAAGGGTTTAAGAAATGTATATAAGGGTTTATGGGTACCAGTGTTTTTCTGTCTTTGTGTTTATGTACATGTAGTCATCGCTGTTCTTTAAGTGGAGAGGATTTGAATAGGCAGTGGCAAAGTCCAAGTCCGGATTTACATCCTACAATTTACCATGCTAAGGGGCTGTTGCAATACTTGGCTGCAGTGAAGCGTTTACCCTTGGTAAGTAGCAATACTTGTTTTTACTTGGGATAGTCAAAGATAAAATATCATTTTTAATTATCAAGCACTTGTGTGATAATCATGAGGTCAAATTAATGCATTATGTTAGTTGTCTTAATTTTATAAGGTTGAATGTTTGTAATTCTCATAAGCCTTCTATTTTTTCCTTTTTCGTTATGAATATTGATAACTCTTGGTTGTAACTTTTAGATATTTAACTTCACTGTTTGAACAATACTAAGGTAACAATATGTATCTTCCAAATTCTCAAACTAGAAGCTTATTTCTGAGTTCTCTAGTCAGCTCTGAAGCTGTTAAGTCTCTACTACACACAGGGGAAATGTAGTACAGGCATGACTGGACTGGACTGTATACATACGCTCCTTCTGTTCTCACCAGCTTTTGATTAGAATGTTCCTGTTATATTAATGTGTATATTATGTAATCTTTCTTTAGGAAAGATAGAAAAACT
Organism: Homo sapiens; assembly: GCF_000001405.40. Lineage (NCBI taxonomy): Eukaryota > Metazoa > Chordata > Mammalia > Primates > Hominidae > Homo > Homo sapiens. The sequence continues at coordinate 85,586,358 of NC_000009.12, read as the reverse complement.
TTGCAGAGGAGTAAAATTGACATGTCCTTTGTTTTTATTTATTTTTAAAATGATGCACTTAAATTAAAACCATACCCTTCTTAATGGTGTTTTTTTATAGGAGCATTTTCTTGTTTGTTGTTATTCTTTGTTTTTAATTTTTTTTTTTTTTTCGAGATGGAGTTTTGCTCTTGTTGCCCAGGCTGGAGTGCAACCTCGGCTCACTGCAACCTCTGCCTCCCACGTTCAAGCAATTCTCTTGCCTCAGCCTCCCAAGTAGCTGGAATTACAGGTGCCCACAGCCACGCCCAGCTAATTTTTGTATTTTTGGTAGAGACGGGGTTTTACCATGTTGGTCAGGCTGGCGTCGAAATGCTGGCCTCTGGTGATCCACCCGCCTTGGCTTCCCAAAGTGCTGGGATTACAGGCATGAGCCACCGCTCCAGGCCAAATTAGGTAAATGTTTTTACAACCATTTGGGGCAGCAATCACCACAACTGTAGATTTGAACTATAATGGAATGTGTTATTTCTTAAATGGTGAATAGTAAATACAAAGATGATATAGGACCTTGAAAGGATTTGGCAATTCTAGAATTAATTATAGATCCTTTCCCAAATTAGTTATTATTACTTTTGTTGGTTCTAATTGTTAAATGGTGGTTCTTTTACAATAAAAAGACCAAGGAACACAGACCTACATGTTTATTGGCTTGATATTAACTACCTTTACTTAGCAACATATGAACTTGAAGTCTTTTAATTTTTAAAATATATATTTTCAAGGTTTATTGTGATTATCATGGCCATTCCCGAAAGAAGAATGTATTTATGTATGGTTGCAGCATCAAAGAGACAGTGTGGCATACCAATGATAATGCAACTTCATGTGATGTTGTGGAGGATACGGGATACAGGGTAATTATTACAGATGATTCATAAGTTTTTGAATTTCAAACATGCATAAAAGTACAGAAAAGAACATATATGAACTACTCACATTCAATAAATATTGACATTTTGCCATTTTTGTTTCAGATTTTTCATTTTAAAAGTTTTTCATGTTTATATTTTTCATCTATTTGGAATTAATTTTTGTGTGAGATGTGGGGATCTAATTCTGTTTTCTCTGTGAATACCAGTTGGCTTGCACTATTAACTCGATAGTACCTCCTTCTGTCAATTTGATGATGCCATCTGTTACATACCTTATTTTGTATATATGGATGTATTGCAAGGCTATTATTATACCCATTCTTGTTTCTATCTCTTTGCATACAACATTGTTTTCATTACTGTAGGCTTATAATTAATATTGATATCATGTAGGGCAAATTTTCCTTTCTTGTTCTTTTAAAAATTGCTTTGACTCTTTTTTTCTCTGTACTTGTGAATTTTAGGATCCATTTGTGGATAAACTTTGTTGGAGTTTGCATTAGAGCTGCCTTGAATTTAAAGTTGGAGAGAATTATTATAATAATATGTAACATTGCTATCTGTGACCATTGCCTATGTGTCTATTTAGTCAAGTCTTTTATATTTGGTAAAGTATAAAATTTCTTCACCTAGGTGTGAAATGTTTGTTAGATTTCTTCACAAATACTTTATGAAGTTTGTTGCAGTTGGGAATGGAATTTTTCCCCACATACCTTCCTGCCCCCAGTTGATCATTGATGGTAGATAGGAAAGCTATTGATTTTTTTTCAGAAAAAATTTCTACAAATTTTTCAGATTCTTCTACAAAGGATTACATGTAAGAATGGCATCACATTTCACAGTAGCAAAACTGGAAGCAAAACTTTGTGGAGCAAAGCCTTCACAATTCTCAACTAGATTTCCAACCTGTAAATTTCATACCCCATTCTAACTATCAGCAAGTGTGAGAATAAAAAAGGATGTTCTCAGACATTTAAAGTCTCAAAAATTTACCTCACAAATAGCCTTTCTGTGGAAGCTACTGGAAAACATTCTTGCCAAAATAAAGGAATACATGAAAGAGGAAGGCATGCAGAAATTAAGTTCAAGAGAGAGACAAAGCCCAGGATAAAGGTGGAGGGAGAGCCCAAGAATGTGTGTAAAATGCCCAACATGTCAACAGTCAACAAATATTTCTGCCACACGACCTTCAGAAAATAGAGTTTTATTAGGTTAGACTGCATTAAATAAAGGAAACCAAGTAGATTAGTAGAGCTCAGTGATATAGAAAAGGGGAATATTTAGTTGAGACCCACATAAAAAAAAGATAAGAAAATGAGACTAGTGAGAGGCCCAGAGAATGGGAGAAAGCTAGATGAAGAGCATATGCACAGAGCCTTCCCTAGGCTGCTCTCTGGAACAGCACCATCATTGCCACCATTGCCTCACCCAGTCGTTTCTGCTTGGATCATACTTCACTTCTCAGGGAATTCTCACTTAGTCCCCAAAACGAAATCAGATCATACATCTATAGGATTCTCTCTCCTTCATAGCACTTAAGAATTATAATTGTGAGGTTTTCTATGTTATTTGATTAATGGGTTTCTCTTTATAATAGGTAGTAAGCTCCACATGCCTAGCAAAGATGTCTGATTTGCTCATTTTGACAACATTGCCACTATATAGCACAATACTTTATTCATAATAAGTACTCAATAAATATTTGTTGTTAGGTGGGTTGATGGATGAATGGCAGACAGACATGTGGGAAGGTAAATGCAAAACAGTTTTTCCATTGTAAGAGATAAAATGAACTCTCTTTGGTCTCAGTTTTTTTCATTAAAATTATCTTGTCTCAGATTTCTTTATTTGATTAATTTTTTGAATTTTGTTGTGAAAGGAAATGTAAGATGATGCTTTAATTAGAGTAAATAAAGCACCCAAATTTCATTTCTCAAGATGTTAACAGGTGTTACACACACACCTCCCCTCACCAGTAGTTGTGTAATTAGTTACGTCAGGTAATTGCATTAGACACAGTCAACTTTGTTTCTTTTCTTTAGGAAATGTAAGCTTCTTACATTTCCAGGGTTGTAGGGCAGGTGCGCATGTGGGTGTGTGTGCATGTGTGTCAAAGTGGAGTATTTCCCATAATTTTATAATCATATTAGTTCCTATTGCTGTTATAGCAGACTACAACAAACATAGCAAAACAAATTGATGGACTTACAGTTCTGCAGATCAGAAGTCGAAGGTAGCGCTCACTGGGTTAAAATCAGTGTCATCAACTACATTAATTTTTGAGGCCGTGTGGTAGAATTGTTTCCTTGTTCTCCACACCCCTAGCATGTCTGTGTTCCTTGCATCATGGTCCCTTTCAGCCAGGAATCAAATCTGACCTCTGCTTCCATTGTCACATCTCCTTCTCTCCTTCCGCTGCCTTCCCCTTTCCCTTATGAGAGCCCTTGTGATGGTAAGGGCCACTAAGATAATCCAGGATAATCTTAGTATCTCAGATTCTTAATTGACTCAAATCTGGACAGCCCCTTTTGCCATGTAAAGTAACATTCCTAGATTCTGGTGATTAAGACATTTTTGATGGTGACTACCATACCATGGAACCTTTTTTTTTGCAGATGGCTTGGGAAAAGATGCACTAATACACATAAATGCTATGTTTCTGATGATAAATCATAGTACTGCTTTGTCCTTTTAGTGCAAGTGTTTATGTTTTTGCGGGAAAATACAACAAATTATGACATATAAATGGAGTGTCTTTTTTTTTTGAGATGGAGTCTCACTCTGTCACCCAGGCCGGAGTGTAGTGGCACGATCTCGGCTCACTGCAGCCTCCGTCTCCCTGGTTCAAATGATTGTCCTGCTTCAGCCTCCCAAGTAGCTGGGATTACAGGTGCCCACCACCACTCCTAGCTAATATTTTTTGTATTTTTAGTAGAGATGGGGTTTCACCATGTTGGCCAGGCTGGTCTCGAAATCCTGACATCAAATGATCCGCCTGCCTCGGCCTCCCAAAGTACTGGAATTATGGGTATGAGCCATCGCGCCCAGCCTAAATTGTCATTTGAAAAAATAACTAATCAATACTCTTCAAAAGTGTCAAGATGATTTAAGTTATAAGACTGAGGAACTGTTACAGACTGCAGGAAGCTAAAGAGGAACAATAACTAAATGCAATGTGAGATTCTGGATAGGATCCTGAAACCCAGCATTAGAAAAACTGATGAAATTTGAATAAGGTCTATCAATAGTATTGCATCAATTCTAATTTTTTTGTTCTGATACTGAACTATGGTTAAGATATTAACGTTAAGGGTGACAGAAAAATGAAAATTCTTTGTACTGTTTTTGCAACTTTTCTCTAAGTTTAAAATTAGCTTAAAATAAAAGGTTTACAAAACAAATCTTTATTATTACAGGTTAAGTATCCCTTATCTAAAATGCTTGGGACTAGAAGTGTTTTAGATATCAGATTTTTTTTCTTTCTTGGAATATTTGTATTATATTTGCTGGTTCGAGCATTCCTAATCCCAAAATCTGAAATCCAAAATGCTCCAACGAGCATTTCCTTTGAGCATCATGTTGACATTCAAAAAATTTTGGAATTTGGAACATAATGGATTTTTTTATTGAAGTTAAATCATGTATTTGCTTCCAATAAGGGGAACATCATAGCATCCTTCCAATAAGGTGAACGTCATAGCATATGATGCTATGGAAATATGTAATTTAGCTTCCACAAAACTATTAGGTTTTTAAGGACGTTTTAATATTGGTAAATATTGTGGATAGTAGATCATCATTCCTGAATGAGATGACTAACAATAATGTAAATGAGGACTTTTGTTTATTTGGTTGACTGAGTATCCCTGATTCTTAGTAGGCATTAAGTAAATATTTGTTGAATGGATGGATGAATTAATTATAACTATAGACCAACATCTAACAATTATGTTACCGTATTTGTATTGTGCTTATAGCTTTTAGTATTGCGCTTATAGCCTTCATATGAATTTTCTGTGCGAGCCTCACAAAGCTCTGTGATGTAGGTAGGGATTATCATTGCTACTGTACAAATAAGTCCACTAAGACATCTGAGTCAGTTGACATGCTTGAGGCCTTGGCCAAAATATGGTGTGCCTAGGACTGAAATGAGCTGTGTTGCTTTAAGTCCTGCGTGCTTTCCATTTTGTCACAGTGCCTCTCTTCCTATGGTTATGCCTAAACAAGCACCCTAGGTTATTTTCCAAAAGACATTTTCGGTAACCTACTGCAGCTCTTAGCAGAACTTCAAAGCACATCTTCTTTCTGGGTGCCCTCTCTCTTCTTCCCCTTTCCCAAATAAATAAAATGGTTAGAATTATATAAAAAATGGGGAAACACTCCAGATTTATATAAAGGGGTAAGTGAAAGTTATCTTTTCCTAGTCATTCTCTTAATACTAGACAGTTTTACCATGTGTATTGTGAGACTTGCCTCTGAGCACATCCGTATAGATATGCATGTAGCATATGCAGTTTTTGTCTTTTAATGTTTTTTAAACACTACATAGCAACTTTTTCCCATGACAATATTTATTGATCATCTTTCCAGATCATCATGTCTGAATCTGTCTCAGTCTTTTAGTCAGATAAGATTTCCATTGTGCATTTTTGTTATTTTTGTAGACTGTACCCAAATTTATTTACTTAGTAGTCTCTGTTGATAGTCATTTAATAAGTATTGCCAAATTGTCCTTCATAAAGATTGTACAAATTGATACTACCAAATACCGTGAACGATAGTACTGTTTTTCCACACCCTTATTACATTGTACTATCATCTTTGCCAGGTGAAAATAATACCTGATTGTTAACTAGCATACCTATAATTATAAATAAGGTTGAGTTTTCTTATGTTTTGGTCAATTATGATCTGTGTCTTTTAAAATAGTCTTTTCTCCTATTTTCTGCTTACTTTTGTTCAGGTCATATAATGGCTTGAACCCGGGACGCAGAGGTTGTGGTGAGCAACAGTGCGAGACTCCATCTCAAAAACAAACAAAAAAAAAACTTTAGAATGAAAAAAAATCTTTCTAAGCCTCAAAACTCCAAAAAACAATTTATGAGAAATTAACAAATATGATAAAATTTCAAATTACTACACATCATAAACAAAAAATTAGAAAATATATTTGTAATATATAGAGAGAGTTCTTTTTTTTTTTTTTTGAGATGGAGTTTCACCCTTGTTGCCCAGGCTGGAGTGCAATGGTGCAATCTCGGCTCACGCAACCTCTGCCTCCTGGGTTCAGGCGATTCTCCTTCCTTAGCCGCCTGAGTAACTGGGATTACAGCGGCCTGCCACCAAGCCTGGCTAATTTTTTGTATTTTTTAGTAAAGACGGTGTTTCACTATGTTGGCCAGGCTGGTCTCGAACTCCTGACCTCATGATCCACCTGCCTCAGACTCCCAAAGTGCTGAGATTACAGGTGTGAGCCCGACCCATTCTGAAGTTTTAAAAGTACAGTTCCATGTTTACTATTTATAGTTTCATTTAAAAATATTTATTAATTTTAAGTTTATATTCTCAATCCAGCTAGAATTTAATTTAATGAAGAGTGACTTTAGATTGTTTTTCTTAGTGACTATCTAGTAGTGCCAATATTTAATGAATGATCAATCTTTTCTCCACTAATAATAATGATAATAAGTTTAATACATTTGGTTCTAATTCTGAACTCTTTCTTTCTAGAGATGCATCTGTTCCTATATCAGTATCACAATTTAATTTACTTTAGATTTATGAGCTAGTTTGATATGTTGGATTATTTCTCTAGTCATAGCCTTACACCCCCCCCCTCGCCCCACACACACACACACACACAATTTCTCAGGGTATACTTCTATATTTATGCTTTCGGGTGAAACTGATAATAATTTCAGTTGCAGAAAACTTTGGGGGTAGTTTTGATTGTGATTGTCTTAGCTGTATTAATTAATTTAGGGATGATTGGCATTTACTGTGTTAAATATCTCAATTAGTCTTTTATGACTAAATTTCACATTTTAAACATTTTTTTCATATTTTTAGACATGGTTTTCTCAAATGATTTTATTTTGCTTATTGGTTATACCGTGAATACGATTCTTCCATTGTTTTGTAACTGGATACTATATTTGTTTAGAAAAGCAGAAAATTTAAAATTAGTTAAGAGGATTGTTTTGCTGTTTGAATGGCAAGGGATATATAATAGAACATCCACATGGCTTTGCTCTAATTACTGTGTTTTCATCAAAACTTTTTAAAATTAAAAACATTTAAAATTAAAAACTTGGTTTATTTTATCATCATCATTCTTGTTTTTAACAGACATTGCCTAAGATACTGAGCCATATCGCCCCAGCATTTTGCATGAGCAGCTGTAGCTTCGTAGTGGAAAAATCTAAAGAATCCACAGCACGTGTTGTAGTTTGGAGGGAAATAGGAGTACAAAGAAGTTATACCATGGAGAGTACTTTATGTGGCTGTGATCAGGGAAAATACAAGGTAAAACATCTTAGGTTTTCTAACCATGAAAGATATTTGAAGACTTTCCTTTCATATATATCTTGTGGTTTTTAAGTATATATTAAATGATGTTTGTTTTATTGAGTTACATGTAATATGTAATAATGGAATCATATGCAGTCTTAAGAATAGGTTTTTATTTTTTGTTTTGTTGGTTTCTTTACTTCTCTGAACTAAATAGCTTACTTGGATCCTTAAGAAATTCTTGGTTGAGTCTGTTTATATTCATAATTTTTAGGAAAGCACATTAGAGTACACATTTACTCATTAGTAATTTATAATCTGTGTAAGTGATACCTTAAAAATTTTCTATTGTTTTAATTTATTGGATATAAATTTTTTTACATTTAAAATACATTATTTTTGTTTATAAAGCAGCAGGTTTGTTATATTTAGGTTTTTGTATGTGTAGCTATTATTTATGTGTTTGTTTATATTTTGAAAAATAAAAATAGAGACAGGGTCTCACCATATTGCCCAGACTGGTCTCAAACTCCTGGCCTCAAGCAGTCCTCCTGCCTTGGCCTCTCAAAGTTCCGGGATTACAGGCATGAGCCACCACAGCCAGCCTTATGTGTGACTTTTAAATACATATCCTGTTAGTAAACTTTTTTCTTCATTAAGACTACTCATTCATGGTACTGTAGGCTTTTACTGGAGATAATTAGAATTTAAACTTTACTTTTGAAATTAAATATTAGTAAAATGTTAGGTGATTTTGGATTTATTATTTATTAATTTTACAGATTGAAAACTTAATGTGCAATGAGTTGGACTTTAGATAAGCAATGAGCAAAACTGGGCATTTCTATTTCTTGCCTTGGCACAGAAAAATTTTCAGGTGTCGTGCTAATTATTCCGCTCATTCCATTTTGTTTGTTTCTTTTGTTATGGGGAAAGAGGATCTTGAATCTGAGAATGATTTTTATATACCTCACATAAAGATGGTAATAACTTTGTGTTTGAAAAGAAACATCTAACTGGTTAGCATTTAAAATGTAAACATATTATAGTTGATATGAAATATTTTAGGAGAGCTTAAATAATGACTTTTTCAGTCTGTAACAAACTGGAAGAAAGTTACATTGATTTTGCAAGTGATGTTTAAGTAAAGTAGAACTTACTTAAATAAGTATAGTAGTAGTAAAGTAGAATTTACTTAAATAAGTATAGTAGTAGTAAAGTAGAAATTACTTAAATAAGAATAGTAGTAGTAAAGTAGAACTTACTGAAATTCCAGTACTTTCTGTTCAGTGACTCTTCCCTGAATTTTAGGTTGATCACAGTGTGATCTTCCAAAGTGTAATATGAGATCTCCCTGAATATTGTAAAAACAGTGACTTCTAGTCAGTGTAGTTTACAAGGGCATGGTGGTGGTGAGAGAGAAAATGCAGCTTTAGCACCACTCCAGCTTCCAGCCCCTGTCCCCGATCATTGCTTCAGTGGACAACTGTTGTTAAGGGTCTCATTCAGTAAGTGTGTGGGATGGGGAAAAAACTTGAGAATCACTTTTTTATAAGAATATAGGTGATTTCTAGGAAAAAACCTTGGACTATGTGATTTATGGAAATACATTGTTAATTCTTAAAGAGATGACTTATGCAGTTAGGCTCAGAAGGTGACTTAAAGCATCACTGTCTCTGAAACTAGCTTCTGGGCAGTGGGGAAAGAAGCTGTCGGGACATCTGACTTGGATGCCCCTGAAATCATCCATAGTATACAATAGTAGTGCTTTGTCACTATATTTGGATTCTACTGATAGACTTTCATTGAATTTAAAAATTTTTTTCGATTTCTATTTTGATAAATTTGGTCATTTTAAAAACACAGATTTTTAAAAAGCTAAGATATATTTTGAAACATAAAATGTTAAACCATTTTTTCTAGTTATTTTTGTTTTTAATATATAAATATATAAACTTTTACAAATAAAATGGATACCTAATAAATACTCATTTTTCTTTGATATTGTTTAGTAAATAATGTATACATTGATTTAAAACTCTTACTGAGAGAAGTGTCTTACTAAGCCAGGGCTTTCCTTTAATGTCTAAAATGCAAGGTTTTGATCATAACATATACTTCTAAAAAAGTTAATAGACTTTATTTTTTAGAGCAGTTTTAGGTTCACAGCAAAATTGAGTGGAAAGCACACAGAGCTCCCATATATTCCCAACCTCTCCACACACACTTAACATCTCTTAAACTTGTTAGCTGATAAGTGTGTGAGTCTCATAATATTTTAGTCTTTTTCACCCTCAACAATATTTTTATCTTACTGAGTTTTAGGCTGTCAGTATTCTTTATTTTTATTGTCTATGAACTAATTCAGAAACATGTATAACCTTTCTAAAACTTACAAATTAAAAGGTCAAATGAAGGTTCTAATGAAGTCAGGTCATATTTCCTAGAATATTTGGGAGTTGGCCAAACTATTTAAACCAAAAAGTTGAAAAATTTAAAAATAACTGTAAAGTCATGTGCTTCATGTAGAGTAAGTAACAGTTGTTAAAGTTCATTTTCTTCAGTTACCGTGTGCCATAGGAACTCACTTAGTCTGGTCACTGAAAAGCAGTTTTAAAATACTTTCTCTTGAATTGATATCAGCTGTAATCTACACCTACAACTTATATAGGTGCAAGAATTTTGCCTTTTTTAGGGATTTATTTGTATCTGAAAAATAAATGATAAAGAAGGAGTATATTAATTTGTAGGCCATTTTTATGGTTTTATGTGATAACATTTAACTTTTGGTAAACCTTATATTACTTACTGAGAAACTATTTTTTAAAAAAGATAGGGAGGTTAAGATAAAATACTCTTTTTGCTTTAGTAGACAAAATTTGAAATGAGCATTCTGAATTGACATGGATCATAGGAATTTATTTGACCACTACTTCATTGGCTTAGATTTGATTCTTTTTTTGACAGTTACCTTTATTTGCTTTTTACTGATCAATTTCTCTTATCATACAGTAGAAGTATCTATAAAGTAATGTTCAAATGTACATATTGGAGCCTTGATTTTAATACTATAATATTTCAACATTAGCATACGAAGTAGTGGATTACAAGAAATACTAACAAGCTCTTGTTAAAATACAGTTTGTCACATGAATTCTACAAGTAACGTCACAAAGTGTTACTGTATTTTTTCCCCCTAGTGTGATGGTGAAAATAGTTTGCATCATAGTGAAAGAGAATAGACATTTTAGAAATTGTCTTTTAGGACAGTTTCCTTTGTGACTTAAAATAATCTTGTATTGTTAAGATGTTAAACTTGTTGAGTCCTAGTTCCATACAAAGTACCAGCCTTTTAATTTTATTAATATAGTTATAAATTCTTTTTATATAATTTCATTGAGCTGTATCCAGAAGATAGCAAACTTTGTAATTATATGCATAATATTTGTTTATTTCAAGGGTTTACAGATTGGTACCCGAGAACTGGAAGAGATGGGAGCAAAATTTTGTGTTGGTCTTTTACGTTTGAAAAGACTGACCTCTCCATTGGAGTATAATCTGCCTTCCAGCCTGCTTGACTTTGAAAATGATTTAATTGAATCAAGCTGCAAAGTAACTAGGTAGGAAAAAATTGTTTTTTCTTTTATTATATTGTAGTATATTATTAGACTTCATTAAAATAGCAGAAAAGGCATGGAAATTTTGACAGGCAAGAGCATGTTTAGAATTAATATAATTAAGTTAATACATCAAATATTTGTTCCAATTTATATTGCTGATTCTTTTAATGTTGATATTTGGATGAGATTTTAATAAAAATATATTTCAAGTATTTTTAGTGGTTGTACTGGTTTACTTTTAACCCCAAAATGAACAGTGTGAGAAATATTATACTTAGCTAATATCTAAGTTAAGAGGGCTTAGACAGCTGAGTGCAGTGGCTCATGCCTGTAATCCCAGCACTTTGGGAGGCCGAGGCAGGTGGATCACCTGAGGTCAGGAGTTCGAGAACAGCCTGGCCAACATGGTGAAACCCCATCTCTCCTAAAAATGCAAGAATTAGCCGGGCATGGTGTTGGGTGCCTGTAATCCCAGCTACTTGGGAGGCTGAGGCAGGAGAATCACTTGAACCTGGGAGGTGGAGGTTGCAGCAAGCCAAGATTTCACCACTGCACTCTAGCCTGAGCAACAGAGGGAGACTCTATCTCCAAAAAAAAAAAAAAGGCTTAGAGTCAGGAATATTTCAAAAGATTTTGTTGATGTCTACACACATCAGATGGCTGTCCAGTATCCTTCTGGTTATATATATCAGAAACAGCTAATTTAGCATTCCTTTGAAAATTGAACTACATCTGCCAAATATACTTCTAAATAGGTAGTCTTTTTCTCCTAAAAGTTAGTATATACAAATTTGATAAGCTGTAGGCTCAGAGATAATTTCATGTCATAATTCTTTTTTTTTTTTTTTTTTGATCATTCTTGGGTGTTTCTCGCAGGGGGGATTTGGCAGGGTCATAGGACAATAGTGGAGGGAAGGTCAGCAGATAAACAAGTGAACAAGGGTTTCTGGTTTTCCTAGGCAGAGGACCCTGCGGCCCTCCGCAGTGTTTGTGTCCCTGGGTACTTGAGATTAGGGAGTGGTGATGACTCTTAATGAGCATGCTGCCTTCAAGCATCTGTTTAACAAAGCACATCTTGCACCGCCCTTAATCCATTTAACCCTGAGTGGACACAGCACATGTTTCAGAGAGCACAGGGTTGGGGGTAAGGTCATAGATCAACAGGATCCCAAGGCAGAAGAATTTTTCTTAGTACAGAACAAAATGAAAAGTCTCCCATGTCTACTTCTTTCTACACAGACGCAGCAACCATCCGATTTCTCAATCTTTTCCCCACCTTTCCCCCTTTTCTATTCCACAAAACCGCCATTGTCATCATGGCCCGTTCTCAGTGAGCTGCTGGGTACACCTCCCAGACGGGGTGGTGGCCGGGCAGAGGGGCTCCTCACTTCTCAGACGGGGCAGCTGCCGGGCGGAGAGGCTCCTCACTTCTCAGACGGGGTGGCTGCCAGGCGGAGGGTCTCCTCACTTCTCAGACGGGGCGGCCGGGCAGAGACGCTCCTCACCTCCCAGACGGGGTCGCTGCCGGGCAGAGGCGCTCCTCACATCCCAGACGGGGTGGTGGGGCAGAGGCGCTCCCCACATCTCAGATGATGGGCGGCCGGGCAGAGACGCTCCTTACTTCCTAGATGGGATGGCGGCCGGGAAGAGGCTCTCCTCACTTCCTAGATGGGATGGCGGGCGGGCAGAGACGCTCCTCACTTTCCAGACTGGGCAGCCGGGCAGAGGGGCTCCTCACATCCCAGACGATGGGTGGCCAGGCAGAGACGCTCCTCACTTCCCAGACGGGGTGGCGGCCAGGCAGAGGCTGCAATCTCGGCACTTTGGGAGACCAAGGCAGGCGGCTGGGAGGTGGAGGTTGTAGCGGGCCGAGATCACGCCACTGCACTCCAGCCTGGGCACCATTGAGCACTGAGTGAACGAGACTCCGTCTGCAATCCCAGCACCTCGGGAGGCCAAGGCTGGCGGATCACTCGCGGTTAGGAGCTGGAGACCAGCCCGGCCAACACAGCGAAACCCCGTCTCCACCAAAAAAATATGAAAACCAGTCAGGCGTGGTGGCGCGTGCCTGCAATGGCAGGCACTCGGCAGGCTGAGGCAGGAGAGTCAGGCAGGGAGGTTGCAGTGAGCCGAGATGGCAGCAGTACAGTCCAGCTTCGGCTCGGCATCAGAGGGAGACTGTGGAAAGAGAGGGAGAGGGAGACCGTGGGGAAGGGGAGGGGGAGGGAGAGGGAGAGGGAGAGGGAGTTCATGTCATAATTCTTAATCATAATGCCAGAGATTAGCATTTTATGGTTTTGTGTATATGGGTAACAATAGTCTCATTTTATAGAACCTTCATGATTTTTGTTGTTAGGTATTAACTTGTCATCAAATTTGTTAATTTATTGCTCTGCCCTGTTGTATATGTCAGTATAGTAGTTTTAGGTGTGACAAACATTACTTGGAACTCCATTCCTCATAAATGTGATAATTTAGACAAATAATCACCTGCATTCTCTATCCTTCAAAGTACCTCCTAAACAAGAATAGAAATGAATATAAAAATTGTCAATTCTCACTGATATTTAAGCCTCCTTTTAACTTTTAATTCGTGTATTCTTAACATGTAGTCAACAGACCGTTACTGGTGCTTTAGATATACTGAAATATCGTTTATGCTTACTAATACTTCACAACTATGGTTATGATTAGGCCCTCCACTGGTCTTATTGTTTTAAAAGGAGTATATATATTTTGAAAAGCACATATTTTAAAGAAATCACATGTACTGCTATATCACAAATATGTTTTTAACATTTTGATAATTATATTTCCATATAATCGATTTCCTTTGTAATCATATTTATTTTGTTTTATATATTTAAAAGTATTATGAGAAGGAGTTTATAGGCCTCATCAGACTCTTTAAGGGGACTGTGGCACAAAAAAGGTTAAGAACTCCTCATCCTTATCATTGCATAAATATAAAAATACAAACCAAGCCAGCCGCAGTGGCTCACACCTGTAATCCCAGCACTTTGGAAGGCCGAGGTGGGCAGATCACTTGAGGTCAGGCCAGGAGTTCCAGACCAGCCTGGCCAACATGGCGAAACCCTGTCTCTACTAAAAATACAAAAATTTAGCCAAGCATGATGGTGTGCGCTTGTAGTCCCAGCTACTCGGGAGGCTGAGGCAGGAGAATCGCTTGAACCCAAGAGGCGGAGGTTGCAGTGAGTTGAGATCCTGCCACTACACTCCATCCTGGGTGACAGAATGAAACTGTGCCTCAAAAAAAAAAAAAAAAAAAAAAAAAAAAAAAAAAAAAAAACACACACAAACAACTAATAATGGCCAATTACAAATTCAGTTTTCTTTTGAGATTTTACTGTAGCTCTTTCTCCTGTTTATTGATGTAGGCAAACTAGTCACTTCTTCCTCCATGCTATCATTCCTCTTTGTCTATCTCAAATGAATTTTTTACATACTTCTGACTTTTCCTTGACTTCTGTATCCTGATGCTTTTGAGGATTAAATGTTCTCAATCTGAGTCTGTGTGTGTTGCATGATTATATTCAGATTATGCATCTTTGGCAAGACTATCATGGATACTGTGTGCTTCTCATTGCATCTTATCGTAGAGCGCAGTTTTAATTTGTTCCATTACTCAAAATATTCCCTTTGATCATTTAATTAAGATGGTATCTGCCAAACTTCTCCATTATGAAGTAGTTTTTTCCTCTTTTGTAATTAATAAATATTTTAATGGGCACGTACTTTGAAACTGTCAGTATTCCATTTTATCATCCAACTTTTAATTTATTCATCCTTAAATTTGTATGTATGGGGCTTATGATTTATAATTTTAATTCAGTGAGTTTTAATCTATTACTGCCATTGTTTATTTTGATGCTCAAAATTTTCCTGATTTGGCCCCTTCAAACTTCTGTTATGTTTTTTTATATTTCCTCATCATTCTTTGCGGATTTCCTTGCTTTTTGGCAGAACAGGATTTCCCAGGCTATCACTGCATGTTCTTTATCTCAGGGTTGGAATCATCAATCATTTCTTCAATGCTTCCTGATTCCTTTTGGTGGAAAACGGTATTTATATGTAAGCCTCGGTGCTAGTAGTTATTTATTGCTTTTGTGATGTTACTGCTCCCAAGTTCTCTTGGTAGACAGAGCTATAGAATATATTTAAGTATTTACATACATGAATTTATATATATGTACACACATGCATATACATGCATGCTCAAATAAAGACAGACATAACCTAAAAATTCTGAGTTCACAGTGATATGTTCCATTCTGATTCTACACCTAAGGGTTAAGTCTAGTTTTTAAATTAAATGTCTAATTCCCTTCCTTAACAGTGAGAAACCTGGCTGTCATTATCTTGAATATTTTTTTCTTACTTGATCAACCTGCCTGTGTGTAACTAATCTTCTGTCTCACTGCTCTCTCTCGGATGCCTTCCTCACCCTGCTTAGGCTCCAACAATCCAAAGGGAGGGAGCTTTTTAAAAATTATTTTTGTAATCTCAGTGTCTTTCATGTAGTAGCTATTCATTGACCAATTATGTTCTATTAATGAGTCATTGTGTTTAGGTATTTATTGCAACCTATCATGGGCAGAGTGTTGAGCTAGAATCTCTGCAAAAGTAGAAGAAATGGGAAATGAGAGCTCACGTCCTGAGGGGAGTCGATAGTATGATGGAAAAAGCACAGTTTATGTTTGTGAAGTGGCATGATAGTGTTATAAAAGAGTACAAAAATAACAGTTAAAAATTACATAGACATTTGAAGAAAAAGAGTGACTGAGTGAAGGCTGGATTTATCTGAGAGAGTTTTTCCCAAATCATTAGGTTTTAGGGTAGGGCTTGAAAGATAATAGTAGATGAGGTTTGGTAAAGAAATAGCAGCTGAACGTGAAGGAAACAAAGTTAGCAATGGAAAATACAGTAGCCTCCTTATCCTTGGCTTCACTTTCTGTGGTTTCAGTTAACCGTGGTCAAATGCAGTCCAAAAACATTAAATGGAAAATTCCAGAAATAAACAATTCATAAATTTTAAATTGCATGTTGTTCTCAGTAGTCTGGTGACGTCTCCTGCCATCCCACTCCATTCCACCTGGGACATGAGTCATTGTTTTTGTCCAGCATAGCCACACTATAGACACTCTCTACCCATCCCCTTTACCCCTTAGTCACTTAGTAGCTGTCTCAGTTATCATATGGAAAAAAACAGATATATGGGGTTTGTTACTGTCCACAGTTTCAGGCATGAACAGAGGGGTCTTGGTCTTGTCCTCTGCAGGTAATAGGGGACTACTGTAGACTAGGTAAGGTGGAAAGACTTATCTGGAGCTTAGAAAAGTTAAGGCTGAAGAAAACATCAGAGGAGCAAGTGTTCAGTTCTTTGCTAATGAGTATAGATTTTATAGAAGAGGAAATAGTAATTGTATATGTCTTTAAGTATGGAATGATAAATGATCCATCCTATATGAAAAATGTATTAATTCAAAACATTTAGAAGCTTATAGTAGCCTGGGACTTCTATGATGTAAGCAACAGCTAATGTGGTACTCTGAGGAGAGTGGTGGCTGCAGAGCTATCTGGAGTTGTTTTTTGAGGTGGATACTTCCAGTGTAATATGACACGCTACTAGCGTACAGCTATTCAGCACGCTGCTTCTTAAATGTAAATTTGTTGTTATTGTTTTGTTTTTCATATAATACAGATAGAGTAAATAAGGGGAATGAGGGAGGTTCTGATTGTGGGCTGAAGATAAAACTAGCCAGCTTTATAATTTCAGATCAGATCATTAGTATATACTTGCTGCTTTTAAGCCTGCTTCCCCCCACCCAATACAGGTTGGCAAAACTTTTTTCCTTAGTTACTGCTATTTATTATTTTAATATCTTATTTTATAGTAATATAATATAGTATATTCATTCAGCTATTCTTTTTCTTGCTCTTGGAAACTTTTCAGGAATAAGTGCAAATTCTTGTCATTATTTACATTATTGGTAATGTGATGTGGGGGATGTTGTACTATTTCTTATCTTTACCTCCTTCTCTTAGCTGTTGATATTTGTCCTTTAGTTGTGCTCTGCATCAGTGATCACTAATAAAAGTTACTTTGGTAACAACAGCCATAGTTAATTAACACAGGTCACTTGGGTTTATTTGTTGAGGGGGGAAACAGGGGTGGTGTGTTCATAAACTTTCCTCTGAGCATTTTTTCCTTCATCTTCTTTTGCTTTTTCTCCTCTTCCACTTCTCAATTTACCTGCTTTCTGTGGGTGATATTCATTCCTGTGAGTTTACATTCTATCTGTATGTTGACAACTCCAAAATACTTACAATCTCCCAGACCTGTGGATCCATCTTCCAACTTGCTTATGTACACCTGGACACAAAATTAACTGGTCTAGAACTCAGTTTGTGACTGCTGCTCCCATAGCAAACCTGTTCATTCTTAGCCACCCCTGTCCACCCAGATGCTCATGTCTTATTCTTGGCATTTTCCTCTCGCTTACCCTTAACCCAATCCATCACCCAGAACTTTTTGATTTCTCTTCTGAGATATTTCTCAGAGCTTTCATTTCTCTCCATCACCTTTACCATTACAGTAGTCCAGGCTGCCATTACCCTTTGCCTGAACAACTCCAGTAACCTTCTGACTGGTCTTGCTCCATGTACTTTACTTCTGGTATCCTCCAGCTTCTTTGCATGCACTAGTCACTCGTGTGCTTAGAAACCATTATCGGTGTCCCAGGTGTGTAATGGAATATATCCATTATCAGAGTCTCTGAGGTCCAGCGTAAGTCACCTACACCTTCCTCTCCTCTTTGAGCTTGTCCTACTCTCACTTTGTATCCTTATCATTCTAACTGCACTGACCACCCTTGAATTTTCAGAACAGTGCTTCTAAACCAGTTATGGCAAAGGACCAGTTTCTGTTTTACAACTTTTTCTGTACTGATACTTGAATAAAAATATAAGAATGAAACACTATGAAAATGGGAGAGAGGACCCCAAAGAATACAAATATAAGTGCTAATTTATTATTATTAGATCACCAGACCTATAATTTCTGTGTCAGATTGTTATAAAGGTTTCTGAACACTTCATTTCAGTTTCTGTACTTTTGTCACCATGGGCCAGTAACAAAGAGTTTGTGGACCACACTGGTCAATGGACCACACCTTGAGTAGCCTTATTTTAGAACAGATCAGTCTCTTTGTCACCCTAGGGTCTTTGCATTTTTGGTTTTCTCTACCAAAATGTCTGTGCCTCCACTTCTTTAAGATTTTATTCTTATCCTCAATCTGGTTCAGTTTCAGTACATTATGTTTAGGAGTAGACTTAT
Source organism: Homo sapiens (assembly GCF_000001405.40). Lineage (NCBI taxonomy): Eukaryota > Metazoa > Chordata > Mammalia > Primates > Hominidae > Homo > Homo sapiens. Next base: position 85,567,957 of record NC_000009.12, on the reverse strand, counting down.
TTTTAGTTTATCTTGCTTGACACTTAATAGGTACTTTTAATTTGAGGACTCTTGTCTTCAGTTTTGAAGTTCTCAACCACTTTCTCTTTGAAAATTGCTTCTTTATCATTCCCTTTATTCTGTTCTTCTAGAATTCCTGTATTGGAATTTCTCAGTCTGTTCTCCATGCATATCTCTTAACTGCTTTTTCATGTTTCCTTTTCCTGCTACAGTCTAGGTAAATTCTTCAGTAGCATTTTATAATTCACCAACTACTCCCAGAACTTATCTCCTGGGAGATTTTTCTTTTAATGACTATGTATTTCTCATCTAATTTGCTCTTTTTTGTTTCTGCATTTATTTCACATTTTCTTTCTTCTTTTTTTTGAGACAGGGTCTCATTGTGTCACCCATACTTGAGTACAGTGGCGCGATCTCGACTCACTGCAACCTCTGCCTCCCAGGCTCAAGCGATTCTTCTGCCTCAGCCTCCCTAGTAGCTGGGATTACAGGCATGGACCACTACTGCCTGGCTAACTTTTGTATTTTTAGTAGATACGGGGCTTCACCATGTAGGCCAGGCTGGTCTTGAACTCCTGACCTCAAATGATTCACCTGCCTCAGCCTCCCAGAATGCTGGGATTACAGGCGTGAGCCACCACACCCAGCCCTCACATTTTCTTGTATATCCTATGGCCGTTATTCTTTCCTTCTTTGAAGACCCTAAAGACTTTTAAAGTCACTTGTGGATTGTGCTGTTTATTTTTATTGTGTTGGTAAATTCATCCACTGTTTCTCATGATCCTATAGTTTGCAGGCTCATTTTAAGTAGAGTCCCCCACTCCCAGGCCTTTCAAGCCTCTCCCCGTAACCTCTTAATGATTTTGTGATTCTTTCTACCTGGCCCTCTCAGGGCTCCAGCACAAGTTTATGGTAGCATGATACTAACATTTCAGACTTCCCATCCTTCAGTGATTGGGGATTTTCCAGGACAAGTCACTGAGTTCATGAAAGTTCTGGCTGTGATTCCCTCTGTCTTTTCTTTCTGACTTTATAATTGCAATGCTATAAAGTCTTTAGCTTTAGGCAGAAGTCTCAGCCTTATTTTCTCAGCCTCCTTTCTAAAGTGGGAAGCCTTACTCCAGCTGCTGCATTCACAAGTCTGAATTTAGTTCCCTGCCTGTAGGGCACTTTGTCAGCCTCTCTGTTGCCTTGAAGGAGCTACTGCTGCCTGCATTTGGACCTGGCGGCACACCCATGACCTGACTTCGTGATTCTGTTCTTTTTCCGGTCCAAGGAGATATATATCTTATTTCTATATGCATATGTGTCTTTTTTGTCATCCTATTTTGTATTTTACCTAATCATTGCTCTGTCTTTGGGACAGGGATAACAGGAACCTGAAAGTGTGTACTTTTCTATACCAGCCTTTTTTTTTTTTTTTTTTTTGAGACATGGTCTTGATCTGTTGCCCAGGCTGGAATGCAGTGGCATGATCATAGTTCACTGCAGCCTCAACCTCCTGGGCTCAAGCAGTCCTCCCATCTCGGCCTCCTAAGTAGCTGGGACTACAGGCACATACCACCACACCCAGCTAATTTTTTTTGTTTGTTTGTTTTTTCAGTAGAGAGGGAGCCTCCCTATGTTGCCCAGGTGGTTTTGAACTCCTGGGCTCGAGCAGTCTTCCCATCTCGGCCTCCCAAACTGCTGGGATTACAGGCATGAGCCACTGTGCCTGGCTTCAATACCAACTTTTAAGAGAAGCCTTTTGCTCACACTTTGCCTGGCTAACTCCTAGTTAACCCCAGAGACTATATCTGTGCCCTTTAGTGCAGAGACTATATCTGTGCCCTTTAGTGCTGCATAATGTGCCATTCATGGTACCTTGCAATGTGTGCCAGTCACATATTGAGTTGAATAAGAGGTAGGTAGCTATGTCAGATTTAAAAATTCAATTGAATTAGATTTCTGGGAAGAGCACTGTCTTATAGTGCCCAAATTAACCATGTAAGCACATTAGACTTTATCCTTTAGTCATTTGGGAGTTTTAAAGCCACTGGCAAAGTATGCCACTATTTTACCTGAAAGAAGTATATGCATTTTTTTGAAACTGGGAAGGTGGAGGCAAAAAAATTCTTAAGGAAGGTGTTTGGAATCATTTACATTTGAGACGAGGATGAGTGCTCCAATAAGAATAGTGAGGATAAGGGGCAATGATTGCTTGAGGAGATAGTATTAGGTAGCATTGGAGGGTCATAATGATGAATATGGAATCAGTAGGGCACAGGCATTTGGCAGCATGGAATCAGTAGGGGAAGACACATTTCCAAGTGTAAGTGAAAAGGGTAAATGACAGTGTTAGAGATGGAACTAGGAGACCACTTACCTTTTACTAAGATCACCCCCCTGTCCTTTTCTCTTTATTGTCTGTGCTCTTCTGGATCCCTTCTTTGTCCTTGTAATTTTTAATCTATTTCCTGGTCGTAATGTGAAACTGAGGTATCAAGTTAATGAATATAAATTCCCCTAACTTTTTTTTTAGTTGAGTTCACCCTTTCATAATTTTTCAAATCCATCTTTCCCTGCCAGAATTTTGCTTTATTCAACCTGTCTGCAGTGTGGATCGTGTTATTCCACAACTTAGCCCTCAATTCAGTTTTATCCTTCTTGGTTTTAACTATTTCCCGAGATACAGTATCTGTTATAAATTAATTTATTTTCATTTGTAGGCAATGTATATCAAATAAGCTTGAATACTTGCAGCAATAAGAATAAATATTTACATTAAATGTCTTTTTCAACATAAGTAGTAACTCATTGACAGATGTTGTCCTAGTCAGCTCAGGCTGCCATAATGAAATACAATAGGCTGGATGGCTTATAAATGACAGAAATTTATGTCTCACAGTTCTGGAGATTGTGAAGTCCAAGAGCAAGGCAATGGCTGATTTGGTGTTTGGTGAGGGCCTGCTTCCTCATAGGTGGCCTTCTTCTCACTGTAACCTCATGTGACATAAACATTCAGTTCATTACCCTTCATCCCTGTTCCCATCCCAAAATTCATGTCCTTCTCACAAGCAAAATACATCATTTCCATCTCAATAGTCCCAAAATGTTCGCTTATTCCAACATTAACTCAAAAGTTTAAAGTCCAAAGACTCATCTGAATATAGTCATGCATCGTTTAACAATAGGAATACATTCTGAGAAATGTGTTGTTAGGTGATTTCATCATCGTATGAATATCATATAGTGTATTTGTAGTAACCTAGATGGTATAGCCCATTACACACCTCGGCTATATGGTATAGCCTATTGCTCCTAGGCTACAAGCCTGTACAGCATGTGACCGTATGGAATACTATATATAATTGTAACACAATGGGAAGTATTTCTGTATTTGAACATATTTGAATATAGAAAAAGCACAGTAAAAATATGGTATTATAATTGGGACCACTGTCATATATGCATTACATCGTTGACTGAAACATCATTGGAGCATATGACTGTGTCATTTAAATCAGATATGGGTGAGATTCAAGGTATAATTTGTCCTGAGGCAAATTTTCCTTTAGCTGTGAGCCTGTGGAATCAACCAAGTTAGGTGCTTCTAAAATACAATGGTAGGACAAGAACAGGACAGACATTTTTATTCCAAAAAGAAAAAGAAGTGACAATTCTTGAGCATGTCCAAAACCTGAAGGCTTGAAAATGATCTTTAGCTGCATTCTCTGCTCTTCAGGCCCACTGGGGCTGCCGTTCCACCTTCTGGACACACTAGAGTGGAGGCTCCATCCCTGCAGTTTTGCTGGCCATTGGTTGGATCCCTAAGCCTCCAGGCAGTCCTGCCCCCATGGCTTTGCTGGGCCTTGCCCTAGTAGCAGCTCTTTGTGGTGGCCTTGCCCTTGTGGTGGTTCCTTACCTGGGTGTTGTGCCTGTGGCTCCATCCTTCGATATCTAGGTGGAGGTAACCATGCTTCCCAGGCTGGTGAATTCTGGGGCTCAGCAGAGACAGCACACATGGATGCTGCCAAATGCCTGTGCCCTCTGAAGTGGTGACCACTGCATGTGTACCACACCTGGGCCTTCCAGAGCCTCACCTTGTGCTGCAGAGGAGCAGGGTGCCAGACTGCAGGGAGTGGAGTGTGTGAACCTGCAGGCACAGGTGGCTCCTCTTTTGAAACCACTCTGATGATCTCTGAATTGCCTGTCAGGGAGGGTGGTCGTTCTTTTCTTGTCTTGGACAATAGCTCCTGGCTCTGTTTATTTGGCTGACTTTATGCCTTATCAGTTGGTCCTTTTGCTACACCCTTGGTATTCTCTCCTCCCAAACTGTCTTTCTCGTTTGTTACAATATAGACAGGGTGAGAGTTTTCCAAATTTTTAAGTTCTGCTTCCTCTCTCGTGAATGATTCCATCTTTAATTTCTCTTGTCTTGCATTTTACTATAAGCAATCAAGAGAAGCCAAGCCATACCTTCAACAGTTTGCTTAGAAATTTCCTTGGCCAAATATCCTCATTTTCATCTGAGACCTCATCAGAATGGCCTTTACTGTCGTATTTCTACCAACATTCTATCAGGATTATTAAGTATTCTTTAAGAAGTCTGAAGCTTTCTCTATAGCTTTCCTGTTTTCTTTCTGAGCCTCACCAGAATTGCTCTTTATGGGCCATTCACAGCCATGTATCCCTTTTGTAGCAAGCACCTCCATACTCTTACAGCTTTTACTCACTACCCACTTCCAAAACTGCTGCCACATTTTTACATGTTTGTTACAATAGCACCCCCAGTTCTTGGTGTCAGTTTCTGTCTTGGTCTGTTTGAGCTACTGTGACAAAATACCGTACACTGGATACCTTATAAACAGGAGAAATCTATTTCTTACAGTTCTGGAGACAGGGAAGTCCAAGATCAAGGCATCAGCAGATTCAGTGTCTGGGGAGGGCCTTGTTCTTTGATAGACAGTGGTCATCTCACTGTAACCTCATATGGCAGAAGGGTTGAGGGATCTTTATGGGGTCTCTTTTATAAGGGCACTAATCCCATTCAAGAGGGCTCTGCTGTTGTGACCTGATCACCTCCCAAAGGCCCGCCTCCTAATACCATCACCTTGGGAATTAGGATTTCAACATATGAATTGGGATGGGAGGGGGGATGTAAATATTCGCCCAATTTCAGATATTATATAATTACTCTTTACAATACTGTGAACCATCAGGTTTTTTGCATATAACATTTAAGTTTTGTTTAAATAAACTAAGAAAAAGGTAAGAGACTTATTCAAAGTGAATTTGTGATAATTATGAAAAATAAGTTGCCAGTCGTTCCATTTAGTTTCTACACCATTGCTTTGGTGAAAGATAAATTTAGTTTTATAAATAACAATGGAGATTTAAAGATTAGATGTAAATTAAACAGAGCTTAAAACTACTAATCTATAAAATTATTTTAATTGGAAAAGCTTGAAACTTCTGAGTGTGTGAGTTAATATTACAAATTTGACAGAATCTTAACCCTGCTGGTGTTACTATGTATGTAAGCGTAAGCTATCTTTTTGTTTAGTATTTGTTTTTAGCCTTTTGTGTCTTTATATTTAAATATGTCTTTTAAGCAGAATATAGTTATTCTTTATCAGAGCATTTAGTTCACCTACATTTATTGTAATTATTAACATATTTAGGTTTAAATCTACCAGATTATTATTTGCTTTCTATTTGTTCCATCTGTCCTGTATTTTTTTTTTTTTGGCTTTCTTTTAGATTGGTAGATTTTAGATTGATTTTAGATTTATATTGGTTTTATTCTCTTAACTGATTTTAACGGACACTTGGCATTACTTCATGCAGTCTCACTTTATCAAACTCTTAATATAAAAGTGTATTTTTGGGAGGCCAAGGTGGGTGGATTAGGAGGTGAGGAGTTCAAGAGCATCCTGGCCAAGATGGTGAAACCCCATCTCTACTAAAAATATGAAAATTAGCTGGGCGTGGTGGCAGGTGCCTGTAATCCTAGCTACTCGGGAGGCTGAAGCAGAGAACTGCTTGAACCCGGGAGGCGGAAGTTGCAGTGAGCCGAGACTGTGCCACTGCACTCCAGCTTGGGTGACAGAGTAAGACTCCTTCTCAAAAAAAAAAAAAAAAATTGTACTTTTATCTTTTTTTTTGGACAATACAGGATTCTTATAACATTTGAAGTCCATTTAACCCCCCTCAACGTATCTGTTGCTGTTGTTAGATACTTTCAGATACTATGAGTATTTTTAACTTTACAGATATTATTGTTTAATGCAGTCATTAGCTCTCACCACGCATTCCACCCCCTGCTCTTTTTTCTCTTCATTTTTTTCCCTACATTTTGGGTTTTATCTGAGATCATTTTTCTTTTTCCCAAAGAACACTGCTATCTCTTCACCTTTACTTGTTGAGGGATATTTTCAGTGGCTGGAGAATCTAGGTGACATTTACTCTCTTTCAGCACATCAAAGATATGGATTCTGTTGTCTTCTGTCCTCCACTGTTAGGATGTCAAGTTAGCTATTTGTCTTGTTGTTGCCCTTTTGAAAATGGTCTGTCTTTTTTTTTTTTTTTTGAGATGGAGCCTCACTCTGTCACCAGGCTGGAGTGCAGTGGCATGATCTTGGCTCACTGCAATCTCTGCCTCCCAGGTTCAAGTGATTCTCCTGCCTCCCAGGTTCAAGCGATTCTCCTGCCTCAGCCTCCCAAGTAGCTGGGATTACAGACATGCACCACCACACCTGGCTAATTTTTGTATTTTTAATAGAAACGGGGTTTCACCATATTAGCCAGGCTGGTCTTGAACTCCTGACCTCATGATCTGCCTGCCTCCACCTCCCAAAGTGCTGGGCGTGAGTCACCACACCCGGCCGAAAATGGTCTCTTTTAAGGCTAAGTTGCTTTTATGAATTTCTCTTAGTCTTTCATATTTAGGAGCTTTACATAGATATGATTTTCTTTTTATTTTGCTTGGGGTTCCCAAAGTTTCTTAAATTTGGAGCTTCATGTCTTCTATCAGTTTTGGGAAATTCTTAGCTATATTCTCTTCAAACATTGTTCCTGCCTTCATTATCTCTCCTTCTGGGACTCCATTTATGTTTGCGTATGATCTTTTCACTATATCCTCTGTGTCTTTTATTCTCTTATGAATAAATTTCTATCCTTTTGTCTCTCTGTGCTTTCTTCTGGATGTTTTTTCTAACCCACCTTCTAATTCACCTATTCTTTCTTTCACTGGGTGTTATCTGAACTTTCTTTAACTGGGTGTTATCTGACATTAAATTTATCTTTTTAATACTTAATGTAATTAATTAAGGGGTGGGAGTTAGGAAAAATATCTATCTACAAAGACTCCTTAGGGGATTTTTTTTTTAAGTTGAGAAGTATTGCCTTAGGGGCATAAGCCAGCATTTGGGAAGCTCAATAGGATTTACTTTCGAGCAGACTTTGACTTGCGCTCCCCACTTGCACCCTCATTTTCTGGATTGTACTTCTGCTACTTCTGCCTTTTGGTCCTATGTGAGTAGCCTCTCTGAAGCATCTTTTGAAAGCCAACTTCCCATCTTTGTGAAATAGGAGATGGGCTGAAGAAGGGAATTTGAAGGTCTAACTCCTCTTTATAAATCTTTTAGCTGGTTCTTGTTTTCAATTCCACCCTAAAACCCATTTGTTAAAAATAACCAGTGTCTCTAATTGCTGAACTTTTCTAGGGCTTTGTAATGTAAATCAGCATTTTTTTTCCCTTGATTTCCCTTCCTTCCATAGGTACTTAGCAAAGTGAAGGAAGTTGGAACTCAAGACCATTAGTTTCATCCATCTGCTTCCACCTGCCTCCATCTTCCAACATTTTGTTATTATCTCTTGTTTGCTTTTGATACTGGTGGGCTGGAGGGGGTCTCCAAATGCTGGTGGGACCTTGACCCCAGCCAGTGTCTGTGTCCCCAGGCTCTTGACACTATCACGCCAAGGAATTGAAGGATGAGTCAGAAAATAGTGAAAATACGGAGATTTATTGCAAAACAAAAGTACACACTCAAGAAAGGGGACTGCAGGCATAGTCGAGACAGTCCCACAGTGGGGTTTGGGATTTTTATCTTTATGGATTTCTTTAATCAAAAGGTGGAATATTCGTGAAGATAACTGGGAAAAGGTGGAGATTTCTCGGAACTGTTGTGCTACCCACTTTTACACCAAATATGGGTGTTCCTGGAACTGTCATGACACTGGTGGGTGTGTGACTTAGTATGTTCATGAGCATATGATGAGGTCCTAGGTGAAACCTAGGTCAATTCCAGTGCTATGTTGGGTCCAGTTGGTCAACCTGGTTTTTCAGGGTCTTATCAGTCCCTAGTTTCTGCAGCCATTTCAGCAGTTTCTTTTTTGCTGGTCATGTGAAACTGCTGCCTGGAATTTTCTATTCTCCTGTGACCACCCTGTGTTATTCCTGTCTCATCGTTACCTCCTCTTGAATTTATTTTCTCCCTATGAATTTATCCTTAAAAAAAAAAAAGATTTTTTTTTTTTTTACTGTCATCTTAGTAGTATTTGAGAAGGGATCAGAAATAAATGCTTTTGTTAGATCCTCTGTGTTTACCAGAAGTTATAGAACTTTCTTTTCAATAATGCTCACTGTCGACTATTCATTATGTTATATATTCCCAGGGCATTTATTGGTAATTGCCAAACAAAAGTCATTTTAATTTTACCCATTTGTGTTGTATAATAAAAATTCCATCTGATGCAACACTACATTTTTCCTGGGGTAGGTGTTTCTCTTTCAGGTCAAAGCTGGAAATACTGGTAGGACTCATAAAAGCAAATAGCTATGTAGTATTTTTGTGCTTAGCAAAAGTCATTTTTATTTTATCTATTATCTGAACTATTAAACAGTTTCAGTGACCTTCATTTAAATGATTTGAGAATGAGACTGATGAAACATTTAATAGTTATTTATTAGGATATTGTAGTGGTGACTAAATTTCAGGATATCAGGTCTGTGGATGAAGTATTTGAAGCTTGAGCATGTTTAAAATACTATAGGATGGCCAGGTGCAGTGGCTCACGCCTGTAATCCCAGCACTTTGGGAGGCCAAGGCAGGCAGATGTCTTGAGTCTAGGAGTTTGAGACCAGCCTGGGCAACGTGGTGAAACCCTGTCTCTACAAAAAATACAAAAATTAGCCTGGCCTGGTGACAGGTGCCTGTAGTCCCAGCTACTCGGGAGGCTGAGGTGAGAGGATTGCTTGAGCCCAGGAAGTGGAGGTTGCAGTGAGCCGAGATCATGTCGTTGTATTGTACTCCAGCCTGGGTAACAGAATGAGACCTTGGCTCAAAAAAAATTATAGGTAAGTGAAGTTGAAAGATAGCAATATCTACACAATGTTTTATCATAATTAAAAATATACCCATGTTTAAATGAAGCCTAATTACTGACATATAATCAAAAATACTATTTGGATCTAGTTTTTAATTGAGATGAAATTCACAGAGCATAAAATTAACCATTTTAAAGCAAACAATTCAGTGGCATTTAGTATGTTGACAATGGTGTGCAGCCATCAATCACCCTGTCTTGTTCCAAAACCTTTTTATCACCCCCAAAGGAGACCCTCATACCAATTAAGCAGTCACTCCTGGCCCCTGGCAACCACTGATCTCCTTTCTGTCTGTATGGATTCACCTATTCTGGATATTTCATAGAAATGGAATCATACAATATGTGACCTTCATGTGTCTGATTTCATTCACTTAGCATGCTTTTGAGGTTCATCCATATTGTAGCATGTGTCACTACTTAATTCCTTTTCATACCTACAGCATGGACATTAGAAAATTTGATGAGAAATTGTTCCTGATGCAACTAATAAATATAACTTAAGCCAAAGAAAGCCTTTAAAATACTTAGCATTAGTTATATTTTGTTTTAACATTTTTAAAAAACCTAATTTGGTATGTTTTGATATTTTTCGAATAAGGTATAGGGAACACTATGAGTCTGTGGACCAGTTACCATCATATTATTTTTCAGCTAAAGTCTGTAGTCCTGTCCCCAGCATTATGAGAGAGACTGAGTGGTAGATATTGGTAAAATAGTACAAAGATAATAGTTGCTATAGACCGTTAGCAAACACTAGAATGAAATGTTAACCTCTGTTATCTGTATTTTCCTTATGTGAAGCTAGTATTTGTTTGTTTATACATATATAGGAACTCTGTCTTCTGAGAAAATTAAATTAATATAGGTAATTCTTGGCTAAATGTTAACAGTAGTGTCTAATACTTAGCTATGTGGTAAAGTTTACTGGTATTAATGTGCCTTATTTTTAATGTATAATTTACCATTTAATTAAGCAAATTAAGAAAAAAGATTTTCCTTTCTAATAGCTGTGGTACACATAACTTGAGTCTGGTTTGCATTTCTGGGAATCATTTATTGCTACTACATAGAAAATTCTTAGCGCTGTAATTACTACTGAGATTTTTCTGGGCAGATAAGTCATGTAATTGGAGATCATATCATACCTTCTTGTACTTTGGAAATCGTAGTTGCTTATAACTAAAAGTGCTCCATTTGTATTTGTGCTGAGTAGATGAAATGCTGTTGTACCCACAAATAGAGAGATTGAAATCATCCAGATAAATAAGTTTGGGACTGATGTGAGCACCTCGGGATCCCAGACCAGATTTGATTATAATGAAAGCTTTGAGCCTTGTCATAAGTAAATGATCCTTATAATTGAGATGTAGATAGGTATCAAATTAGTGATTATTAGTCTGGAAGACTTAGCTATGTAAGGAATTTGATGATTGTATATGTTTATGGCTATTTATATTTTTGGTAGCCTCTTGGGAGAAAAAGTTATTTCTCTCACAATAAGTGTCTGAGACTTCAAAATAAGAATATATCAGCATAAGGAAGAATACATATTTAGTGTTATATTCATATTAGAGAAGAATGTATATTCTTTAATTGCTGGTTGTAGGATTCCATATATTCCTGATAAGATCAAGTTTTTAAATCTGTGGTTCAGATTTTTCACATTGTAATGGTTTTTGGATCTGTTTGTTCTATTAGGTATTAAGAGAGATGTTTTCAGGTTTCCCCTATCACTGCGAATGTGTCCACTTTTCCTTTTAAGTTCTGTCAATTTTTGCTTTATGTATTATTATAGTAGATGTGTAGAACTTTTGCTTCATTACGTCATTCTGGTGGATTGATCTCTTTATCATAAAATGTCTCTTCTTTGGTAATGCTTCTTGCTTTAAAGCCAGCTTTGTTTTACATTGGTGTAGTTGCCCTAGCTTTCGTTGGTTAGTTTTTGCATAATATCTTTTCCATCCTTCTAGTCCCAGTTTTCTCTTTATATTTAAGATAGGAATCTTGTATGTACCAGGTAATTGTATTTTATAATCCAGTTAGTCATCTTTGTCTTTTAATTGGAGTATTTACTCCATTTCCATTTAATGAATTACTAATACAACTGAGCTTGTAAGTTACTGTATTTGTTTTCTATTGGTTTCACTTGTTTTATGTTTTTTTCTCACCTTCTTTGAGATTAATTCAAAAAGTTTTATTGTTATTCCAATTTTGTCTCTCTATAAGCTTGTTCCATTCTCTTTTGCTGTTCTTTTACTGGTACTCTAGAGATGATAACATGGATATTTGGTTTATTAGAGTATAATAAAAATTACTCTTCTTGCCTCTTCACAGACAATGCTAGGATCTTCAGATGTGTTCTACTCACCTTTTCACCTTTTGTGTTATTGTCATATATTTTAATTGAACTCCATATATTTTATTATTTTTTATTAGTAGTATTTTTTAAACTTCTAGGTTCAGCGATACATATGCAGGTTTGTTACATAGGTAAACCCATGTCACGGGGGTTTGTTCTACAGATTATTTCCTCGCCTGGGTACTAAGACTAGTTCCCAATAGTTATTTTTTTCTGATCCTTTCTGTTCTCCCACCTTCCACACTAAAGTAAGCCCTAGGGTTTGTTGAACTGAACTCCATATATTTTAAATCTAATTACACATTATTAATGTTTTAGTTAGTCACATTCACTTATATTTACTTTTACATTGTTCTTCATTTCTTCCTCTATTTCTGTGTTTTGGTTTAAGATTAATTTTCTTTTAGTGCATGTCTGCTTACAACAAATTATTTCCATTTTTATTTATTTGAAAAATTTCATATTATTTCACCTTCACTTTTGAAGACTGTATCTCCAGTATAGAATTCTAAGTGGGTCTTCCCCCTAGTGCCACCTCGCCCCCCTCGCTGGCACTTTAAAGATGCCACTGCATTGAATTTGAGCTTCCATTGTTTATGTTGAGAAATCAACTATCTTTTTTTGTTTTTGAGTTGGAGTCTCATTCTGTCGCCAGGCTGGAGTGCAGTGGCACGATCTCGGCTCACTGCAATCTCTGCCTCCTGGGTTCAAGTGATTCTCCTGCCTCAGCCTCCTGAGTAACTGGGATTACAGGTGCCTGCTACCACACCCAGCTAATTTTTGTATTTTTAATAGAGACGGGGGTTTCACCATGTTCCCCAGGATGGTCTCGATTTCCTGACCTCGTGATCTACCCGCCTCGGCCTCCCAAAGTGCTGGGATTACAGGCGTGTACCACTGCACCCGGCCTACTGTCTTATTTTTTACTCCTTTGAAGGCAATGAGTCTTGTCTGGATGCTTTTAGGTTTTTCTATTTCTGGTTTTTAGCAATTTTGCTATGAGTGCTGAGAGTTGGTTTTCTTTGTATTTATCCTACTTGGGATTTGTAGCCCCTCCTAAATTTGTGATTTGAGTCTTTTGTTGTTTTTGGAAAATTCCCCACCCTTAGCTCTTCAAATGTTGCATCTGCCACATTCGTTTTTCCTCAGCAGGTTTAATTTATGTGGAGATTTAAGTTTTCTATCCTTTTTTTGCTTTCTTCCCTTCAGTTTGGACATTTTCTACTTACCTATCTCTGCTTCACTAAGTCTCTTTCCAGCTCTGTCCAAAAGACAGTTTTAAACCTATCTTTGAGTTCTTAATTTCAGTTATATATTTTTCATTTCTAGGTTTTCCATTTGATTCTCTTTAAATAGATTAATAGATGGTGAAATTCTTCATTTCATCGTCTGTTTGGACATATTAATTACAATTATTACTTAAAGTTCATGCCTGAGAACCCCCATACTGAACTACCTTTGGGTCTGTTTCTGTTGGAATATTTTTCCTGTTTCTATTTCTTATGTGTGGTAATATTTGATCAGATGCCAGGTATTATGTATAAAAACTTCAGAGGCTCTAGATATCTTCCCTCACAGAAGATTCATTTTATCTTCTGGGAGGCTTTTAGAGTAGGGCAGATTGCCTGAGTCCAGAGAGCCCCTGAGTTTCCTTAAGGTAGGGTTGCAAAATGTATGAAACCTCTTTGAACTCTTGGTTCACGCCTCCTCCTGGCTTTGTAAGCTGTAGCCCTCCAGAGGTCACAACTGAAGGCCTAGGCTCCTCCTCTCCCCAGCACCACAGGACTACCAGAAATTTCTGTTGCTCACTTGTTTATTTTTTGTTTTGGTTGTTTTGCTGCTTTATGCTTTGCTTTTTAGCCTCTTGTACTATGTAATTTAAAAATTTGTCAAATGTCTTTAAGGGAAAACTGTCAAGTGTTGAGGTCACATCTCTGCACCTCCCTTCTTTCAGGAACCTTGGCAGCTCTGAACTTCAGTTTTTGCCTCCAATCCTTTGAAATTGCTGAAAGCTCTGATGACTTCTCTGCCTCTAACAGCTGCCCTTGCTTGGCCTGGGTTCCACTGGACTTTGCCCCACGCACCTTTTTTTCTTTGCTGATTTTGCTTTGTATCCTTTCACTGTAATAAGTCATAACTGAATTCAACTGTGTGCTGAGTCCTGTGAGTCTTCCTAGCAAATCACTAACCCTATGGTGGTCTTGGGACCCCTGATAAGCATGTTCATTCTGAATTTCTGTAAAGGTTGGTTATCCCAGAGGTTCTAATGTTCTACTGAGAATGATCAGAGACAGATGGTATTATGATCCTTTTATGGATGTGTGCAGCTGAGGCTGAAAGAGAGAAATTTACCTGAGGCCATCCATCTAGAAATTCCGGTCAGAATCAGGAGTTGGATTGAGGTCTAACTCTAAAATTCACGTTCCTTTATTGTATCTTATATCCCCCAAGTATGTAATCAAAATTAATAGAATATAATGGTTTCAGTTTTTGAAATGCTCTTGTCTAATTTGGATAATTTAGTCATTTAACACTTTCATTATGTGTAAGGAATGTTTTAGTTCAATGGCAAAATAGTGACATAGTTAATTGCTGCTTCCCAAAGCCAGCTTAGTGATACAGCTAAGTGATACAGCTGCTCCTTGACTTACAGTGGGATTATGTCCCGATAAACCCATCATAAGCTGAAAATACCGTAAGTTAGAAGCCCGTTTCCTACACCTAACTACCAAACATCATAGCTTAGCCTAGCCTACATTAAACATACTCAGAACACTTAAACAGTAGCCTGCAGTCAGGCAAAATCATCTAAGGCAAAGCCTGTTTTATAATAAACTGTTGGATATCTCAAGTAATTTATTGAATATTATACTGAAATAACGGAATGGTTTTGCACCATTGTAAAGTCAAAAAATTTTACATTGAACTATTACAAGTCAGGGACTGTATTGTACTTTTCAACAAAAGTACAAATAGATTAGCAAATTTCTTTTTTTTCCAAATAGACATATTCTCTTGTTGGATATTCTGTATGCTAGTTATGTGTGTGTATGCATGTACGTCTATATGCTGTAGCCATTTAAGCCTGACAGAAATTGTTACTTGCATTTTCTATGGATAACTTTGTTTACTTTGTGATATTTTTAGGAGATGCTATATTTATCTCTCACAAGATAGGAATAAAATTTTATAAATTATATAAATGAAACATCTTCTGGTATTTGTACAAATAGAAAGATTTTCTTTCACCCTAAATCTGACATTTCAATACAAGAAAATCAGACACAATCAGCAATTCACCAATTGCCAATAATTTAGGCAATGGCATATTTTTCTGTTTCTGCATCATTTTCAAAAATTTTCCCCCATGATATTTTATTATGCTGTCTTAAAACAGGTAGGTTATTCTCAAGAGTTAAGAGTTCAGAGTTAAAGGAGGGTTCTGAGGTGCAAAGGTAGATGGAGTATTTTTCATCCTATTGGCTTGAGACAGGCCATTGCCTGGGTTCTTTAGGAATTGAGAAAGGTTGATTTACTGTTTTCTTTAACAAGGTAGGTTTTATTATTATCATCATATGAGCCCAGCAACTTTGTGAGATGGGTGAGACTGATATTGTTATCTCTGCTTTACACTGAGAAACCTGTGCTCAGAGAGAGGAAATGGCTTGTTCTGGGTCATACAACTGGTGAATACAGTAGAGGCACAACCCAGAATTTCCAACTCCATGGGCAGTGTTTTGCTTTCATCATGCCTGTTGTAGGTCATGGAGCCGAAGATGTACATTCTGGTGTCTTGGATGGCAAATCAGCTCTCATGGAAGGAGATGGCATAAATTTGAGGGAGAATGGTGAATTTTTTAGGTTTAGTTTTGTGTTACACTTAATAGCTTAATGTGAGGGTAGCCAGAAAACTTTCTGAATCTGCATAAAGTAAACATTTTTTGTTCTCTTCAGAAATCAGTTGGAATTATAAACCTTTTCTGCATCATAATGATACCATACAGCAGAGAATTTCAATGCATTCATCCTGTCAGAAAGGCTCTTTGGGTGAAAGTTTTGATGTTTTTCTTGAAGCAGCATGACAGGATTTGGTTTTGGACTAAAATTCTGTTTTCTTTAGAATGAAATATTTCTTAATTGCTTTTGGCTTAGTCTATTCAGAGTAGAAGGATAGATGTTAAGGCAGGTGTACACAGGGCAGCTGTCAGAAAAGGATGCAGGACAAGCCAAAAGGAGTAAACTTATCTGAAGAAAATGGGGGAAGCAAGGAAACAGTGGCGTTAAAACAAAGTAATCATGACAAGAAATAATTAAGTACTGGTTAGACTTTTTTTTTCTTATGATTGTAAGAATTTTTGGACTCCTATCTGCTTATTTAAAGCGATTATTTTATAAACATAGGGCAAGTGACCTTGAAGTCTTTTTTTTCAGTGAAGGTTTTGTGAGAATCATAGGAAATAATGTCTATGAAAGCATTTCCTACATTGTAAAGTGCTCAAAACATACGTTGAAATTATTAATAAAAGCAAAGATGAATTGCTGTGATTGGTCTTGTGCCTTGAAGTTTGTTCACTAAAGTAAAATCTGTGGGATAAAAACTGAGGATCTCGTCAACCTCAAGGCTTTTCATAAAGAGTTTAGCAAACATTTATTGAGGTGCCTGCAATGTGTCATGCCCTTCTGGAAACTGACAGGAGAGATCAGATGGGTAAGTCACAGTTCTTGATCTTAAAGGCACTTGTGATTTAGTACTGAGAATATAGGCACACAAATGAGTGCTTTCAATTGCATACATGAAGTGATCAGATAGAATGTGCAAGGTACAAAGGGGATATAGAGAAGGGACACATATTCCAAGATGAGCTTTAAGGATGAACATCTGAAGATGAGACTGAGCTGTGTTTTGAAAAACTAAAGAGTATTTAGGGGAAGAAAGATGTGAAGTATACCTGTATTTGTCCATTATAAAGGTATTCCTTTATAGCAACTGGGTACTTATAAACTGAGACCGGGTAATTTATGAAGAAAAGAGGTTTAATTGGCTGGTGGTTCTGCAGGCTGTACAGGAAGCATGGTGCCACCGTCTGCTTGGCTTTTGGGAAGGTCTCAGGGAGCTTTTACTCGTGGAAGGCATAGCGGGAGCAGACATGTCACATGGCGAGAGGGGGAAGTGCCACACTCTTTTAAACAACCAGATCTCGCATGAACACAGAGTGAAAACTCATTACTGTGAGAGACACCAAGCCATTCATGACCCAAACACCTCCCACCAGGCCCCACCTCTGACACTGGGCATTACATTTCAACATGAGATTTGGAGTGGCCACACATCCAAACCCTATCAATACCTTATGCAGAGGAAACAGTGCTGGTGAAGGCTTGCAGTATGAAATGTGAGGCATGGAGTGGTCAGGATATTGAGTGGCAGGACTTGCTTGTAGCGAACTTTGGTTTGCATGACTCACGGAGTGAATGTTACCGAGCATACTGGAAGAGGATTGGGCTTGGTGGGGAGAACGGTGAGTTTTCCAGATGCTACATTTGAGGTGCACGTGAGACGGTCATGGGACTATATCTGGCAAGTCCATGCATGTACGGAAGTTCCATGGAGAAGTTGGGGCTAGAAATTTGGATTTGGAAATAATGAGAATACAGAAAATAGATGAACTTGTTCAAAGAGGGCATGCTTATAAGAGCTGTTGGCTAAGAAAGCATTTTTATAAATACAGTGCCTAGGTTTGAGGAATGCATAGAGGATGAGGAGCACATGATTACCATTGAGAAGGGACAGAAAGGAATTAAGCAAACTAGAATAGAAGGGTATCAGAATTTTCACCACCAGGAAGCACAGTGGAGAGAGCTAGTAAAAATGGACTGGAAAATGGTGATTGGAATAGCAGTCTGAATGCTGGTTTTAGTGGAATGTTGGGGGATGTAATCTTCTGTTTTTCTCTTTCCCCTGTCTCAGTATTTATTCCCCTAGCTCCTTCCAGATCCCCTGATATCTTTCTCTCTCTCTCTCTCTCTCTCTCACACACACACACACTCACAAACTCTTGTACACACTTGTGTATACCTCTTTGCACCGCTAACTTACTCCTCTTTGCACACTCAGCCTGACTAATGTGCCCGAGCTAGCACTGGTGGGCCCATCACAATAGCTCGATGTGTGCTGTATACTTCAGCTCCAATGTAGACCTTAATGAAGCTGTGGCTAGGAACATGATCTTATTAGGACCTGGAGAAACAAGAGTCAAATGTTAGGGCCATTGTGGGTTATAGGAGTGGAATCAGAGGAGTGGACCAGCTCCATACTCTTACTAGAATGGGTGATTTCAAGAAATGAATGGAGTTCTTCTCATAGTCAACATGATAAATGAGCCAAGATCAAGAACTGACAGGATCAGATTATTTTCCTAAGCATTTCTTGTGAAGATGCTTCTTTTATTTTCCAGGTACTTGCCTTCCAGGTTGTGCTACTTTGTCTTAAAAGTGCACATCAACACCTGATACCAACATTGCTCTAAGATTCCTTCCTGTCAAGGAAGCTAAACTTATTTAGCTCTATCCTGGGCATCCTTCTTGCTCCTAAATCATACTTCTCTCATTCTGTTTCCTCATTGACTTCAGCTTATAAGACTAGGCTTTTTCTGTAAACCCTTTCCTTTTGTTCAAATTGATTAACTCTGCAATATTCAGTTTCCCATGGAGAATGAGATCCTTACTCTGATCCCAGTGCAGTGGCTGGGCTCCCAGCAACCAGTTTCACTTATGCCAAGTTTGTTTTCAGATAGGGGGAAAGGTGGGCTGGAATTCCGCTGTCCATAGATCTCTTGAACGATGCGTGCTTCCCTGCCCAGCTACCCAACACATGGATTTTGTGTTCTTCCTACCTGATGGGAGACACTGGCCACTTCTTGTCTATCTGTAAGCAGCCTCTGTAGTTCTGGGTGGTTTCCCCAGACCCTGTGCTGGCACAGTGCATAACTTTTTAGTATCTGTCTCTTCCTTGCATTTCCATTATCATATCTTCTTGTTATGACTGTCTCCAGGAAGAAAATAAGTATGTGGCAAGAGAAGATTTGTCTTTTCTCCCTTCCCTCTTTTCCCTTTCTTTGCTTCAGTTAGTTTTCCATTTATTCTAAGAATCACCTGGGACTCCTCTGAGAATTTGAAATACAAACTCAAGGAGGAAGAATGAATTATTATATTTCAAAAGAAACATGGTAAGTCATTTTAAAGGGCCAAATAAGGTCGGGTGTGGTGGCTCACACCTGTAATCCCAGCACTTTGGGAGGCCAAGGCAGGCGGATCACTTGAGGTCAGAAGTTAGAGACCAGCCTGGCCAACATGGTGAAACCTCGTCTCTACTAAAAATATAAAAATTAGCCAGGCATGGTGGTGGGGGCCTGTAGTCCCAGCTAGTCAGGAGGCTGAGGCAGGAGAATTGCTTGAACCCGGAGGCAGAGGTTGCAGTGTGTCGAGATCACACCACTGCACTCCAGCCTGGGCAACAGAGAAAGACTCTGTCTCAAAAAACAAAAACAAAAACAAAAAAAAACCAAAGCCAAATAATCATTTCTTTTAATCTAACTTGTTTCTCTAATGACCTAACAGATTCATACTAAATATTTTAGTTGCAAATTAAAAACTGTGAAATTGTTCTCCTGAGTGTTAGGTATGTTGTGAAGTCTCACACAATCCTCCAAGCCACTCAGCTTGATTTATTTGGACTACTCTATCATATTGCAAGCTCTGAACTTTTAAGAGGAAGTTTGCTACATTAGATCAAGGTGGTTTTGCAATGCATTTTTCCCTTTAATGAGCAAGATTAAAGCAAGTATAGGAAAAAGGTACTCTTGCTGGATGAGTCTTGCAAACTTCTCAGAAAATTAGAGCCATATAATCTATTAACTTTCCCATCCCACCTTAACTTCCAGATATCTGGACTGAATTTCATACTCAGTTGCAGGAATTCTCTCATTTTAGGTGACTAATGACATCTGCTTCTCTCTTATTTTAACAGATATTGTTCCTTTTTCATTGTCTGATTTTATAGGTTTTAATTGCATCAGTTATAGGAAATCCTTTTTGGTAGCAGGTGGGAAATAAACAAACATACATCTATATGAAATTAGGGTAGTTTTGGTCACTACCTTAGAGATTCTAAAATGTTTCTGTAGTGTTTATTTGATATTTTGTGTGGGGGGGTGTAAATCTCACAAATGGGGAGAAATCAGAATAATGTGGTATTTTTCTAGGAAAGAATACATTACAGAACCTAGTAGAAAAGTTGTCTCAGTCCCAAACAACCTACTTCATGAAATATTTAGAAGCACTTAGTGCTTTTAAGCAAATGTCTTATTCTGTGTCCTTAGGGAAAGTAATTAATCTGGGTGTAGAGTGTTCACTTGTTTTTCAGTTTTATTCTTGACCTACGGAAACTGGTGGGGTGGGTATATGGGCTGTTTTTATGGCAGCTAATCACTTTATAGACTTAGAGTGAGTGGTTTTAGTGCATTACTCGAGAAGCCAATTAAATGCTCACAGTTTCTTGTAAGGACTATTGAAATTATATTTGCCTGATACACAGTGATTTTAGTAGAATTAAAAAATAAATCTTAGCCTGCAAATTGATGAAATCATTCAAAGAAATAACCTGATGAGAGAGTTCACTGTTTTTTAAGCTATCTATCTAATTTTAGGATATATATTGATACTCTTGTAATACAATTAATGATTCACATTTCACTGCTTATTGTCAATACAAGGAACTTTCACCTATTATAAATTTCAACTTGTTCATTTGGATAAGATTTTTAAAGTTAATGCAGCTTATATTATATTGGAATCAAAGTTAGTCCAGTATGGTGAAATAATCTTATATTAGGACCTTAAGACCTCACAAAGTCTTGTATGTTCTGTGTGTTTTGGCTGCAGCCCTACCACTTATGTCTTGGATGAAGATGAACCTCGATTCCTTGAAGAAGTTGATTACAGTGCAGAAAGTAATGATGAGTTAGATATTGAGTTGGCTGAAAATGTAGGAGATTATGAACCTTCTGCTCAAGAAGAAGTACTTTCTGACTCTGAATTATCAAGAACATACCTACCTTGAGCCCGCTGCCATCTCTTGTTAACTGCAAAGAATAAATGAAATATCTTGGTTTTTATTTCCCAGGAAGCTTGAGAGAAATGAGTTTATACAGAGCTGACTCAAAAAGACAAAAAGTAACTTGGGCCAGTTTGGTTTCAAGATAATAAATGTGTTATTAATTAATGATAAAATTGGCGCTTGTTTTATTTTCGATATTCAATGCACTTTATGTAGCATTGAATGATCAAATATTGGATTTACCTTTAAAAAAAAAACCTGAGTATCATTGCATGAATTTTTATCTCCCTATGGTTATATCCTGCATCAAGTGGATAATTTTGAAGTGTGTTCAGAATATAAAATTGAAATTTTAGAGTTGTTGAAAATCCTGACTTGTTGAAAACTAATATATATGTACATGGATTTCTATAGATGTGTTTGTTTAGAAGTGGGTAGATATTGCAGATAAGACTGTTCTTCAGAATCATGTTAACTATTGGGTTGTGACTGAAGTAGTCCAGGGTTTGCCTTGAAACCATTACATTCTACATTTACCAAATTAAACAAATAAAAACTGTATTAAATGTTGCATTCATTTTGTCATCTTCTTTAACCAGCTCAGATTATTTGATGTATAGAACTTTGTGAGAATGTGATAAAAACCCAGAATTGGACACAGTGATAAAAAGTTGTTTTTAAGAAAGTTGGCTGGGCATGGTGGCTCATGCCTGTAATCCCAGCACTTTGGGAGGCTGAGGTGGGTGGGTCACTTGAGGTCAGGAGTTTGAGCCTGGTCAACATGGTGAAACCCTGTCTCTACTAAAAATACAAAAATTAACCAGGCATGGTGGTGGGTTTCTGTAATCCCAACTACTCAGGAGTCTGAGGCAGGAGAATCACTTGAACCCAGGAGGCGGAGGTTGCAGTGAGCTGAGATAGTGCCATTGCACTCCAGCCTGGGTGACAGAACGAGACTCTGTCTCAATTTAAAAAAAAAAAAAAAGCCGAATATACTACTGTTAGATTTTGTTATGATAGAGGTATACCCACACCTATCATAAGAGATATATCTGAACAGCCCATTTCTCTAATACTGTGCCTCACGGATACACCTAAAGTATATCACTGCAGTTGAACAGTTTGTTAAGAAGCTTGAAAAATGCAGTGAGGAGATGATCTGATGTTAAGTGTGCATTTGTCTATT
Source organism: Homo sapiens (assembly GCF_000001405.40). NCBI lineage: Eukaryota > Metazoa > Chordata > Mammalia > Primates > Hominidae > Homo > Homo sapiens. The sequence goes on along the minus strand of NC_000009.12, from coordinate 85,545,925 downwards.
GAGCTTATTCAGCATCTCGAGCTGTGCTGTGTTATTAGACTTACTGAAGTGAATGGACTTAGGGCATGCTGACGCTGGTATCAGAGTCCTAGATGACTGCAGTACATTTAAACCCTTTTTTTGTTTGTTTGTTTGTATGTTTGTTTTTGTTTTGAGACGGAGTCTCACTCTGTCACCCAGGCTGGAGTGCAGTGGCGCAATCTCGGCTCACTGCAACCTCTGCCTCCCGGGTTCAAGCGATTCTCCTCCCTCAGCCTCCCAAGTAGCTGGGATTACGGGCACCCGTCACCACGCCCAGCTTATTTTTGTATTTTTAGTAGAGACAGGGTTTCACCACGTTGGCCAGGATGGTCTCGATCTCTTGACCTCGTGATCCACCCGCCTTGGCCTCCCAAAGTGCTGGGATTACAGGCGTGCGCCACCGTGCCTGGCTAAATCCTTTCTTGTAATGAAACCTACCTGGGTTTTAGCCCTCTTGCTGCAAGAATGACTTTATTTTTAAATAAAATAAAGCAAATCCATTGACTTTGGATAAGTGTTTTAAGAACTAAGTTTCTGATATAATAAAACAACCTCCAAAAGATACCTCATTGCAGATTTTCGCCAGGATTCAGGTGCTTAGGTTTTGGCACATATCTTCCTCACTTTTTCCTATAGTGTTTTTAACCTGTTATAATTGGAATGATAGAGATGTATTTCAGAATTTTGCATGGTCCAAATCAATGATTTTTCTTTTTAATATGTAAAGTATTTCATTAACAGTGTAGATTCTTTCTGATGTTTGGGGAGCCATGTTTAAAAATGTAGTATGGAGCAATTGAAAAAGGGGTCTTTTTCCCTAGCCTAATTCTTACTAATCTCAGAAAACAAAGATCAAATAGACTGTGAAGTTGAACTAGTCCTCTTAGTGTAGTAACCAAATTTAGGAAAGATCAGGATAATTTAGGAAGGAAAGTAATCATTTATTTAATTATTTATAATTATAAACAATTATTTTATGTTTTGTATATTTTATGTATAAAACAATTACATGTTTTATTATAGTTATACTTCTTCAGAGAGTAGATTATGGAGCCACCATGTCCATACAGTTAGTTGTTCCTTGGTATTCTTGGATTGATTCCAGGACCCCCCACAGTTACCCAAATCCACAGATGCTGAAGTCTCTGATATAAAATGGAGTAGTATTTGCATTTAACCTATGGACATCCTCCTGTATGCTTTAAATCATCTCTAGATTACTTATAATACCTAATACAATATAAATATAAATGCTCTGTAAATAGTTTTATTGTATAGTGTGTGTGTGTGTTTTAAGAGACGAGGACTCACAATGGGACACTTTGACCAGGCTGGTCTCGAACTCCTGGGCCTACACAATCCTCCCACCTCAGCGTCGCAAGTAGCTAGGACTACAGGTACTCACCACTATGCCTGGCAGTTTTTTAAATTTGCGTTTTTAAAAATTGTTTATTATTTATTGAATATTTTCTACCTGAGATTGACTTAATCTGTGGATATGGAACCTATAGATATGGAGGGCTGGCTGTATATGAATTTGTTTTTGGCTTTTACAAAATTAGAAATTAAAAGTAACTACAGTTACTATAATGTGCAGAATGACTCAAATATTTCCATTTATTATGTTAGTGTAAAAACTCCTAACTACGTATTATAATATTTTATATTAATGAAGTACTTTAGCATACATTATGAGCCTGAATAAAGCTTTTTATTAAATATTCACAAGATTGAAGGAGAAATTCTTTATAGTTAGGAAATGATTTTTTCATAAACAATAAATAGCTTTGAAAATATAAAAAAAAATTTAGGGCTGGGTGCAGAGGCTCATGCCTGTAATCCCAGCACTCTGAGAGGCCGAGGCGGGTGGATCACTTGAGGTGAGGAGTTCAAGATCAGCATGGCCAACATGGTGAAACTCCACCTCCACGAAAAATACAAAAATTAGCCAGGCATGGTGGCATGCGCCTGTAATCCTAGCTACTTGGGTGGCTGAGGCATGAGACTCACTTGAACCTGGGAGGCAGAGGTTGCAGCAGTGAGCCGAGATCAAGCCGCTGCACTCCAGCTGGGGCGACAAAGCAAGACTGTCTCAAAAAATAAAAACAAAAAAATTAAAATAAAATCCTAACTTTCCTAGTTAGAAATATAATTAACTTTTATTGGCTATTAGTAGCTAAAATTGCCCTTATTTTTGCTTCTGTGGCCTCATTTTTTTTCTCGGTTATTCAGTATTTAAATTATGGCTTAGATGTCTTCAATGCTATAGTCCTAAAAATTAATGATCTACGTTGTGCAGCAGTGATGGGATCTGATAAACTGAGTCTGATGATGGAGTTTAGATTTATTTCCTTTACCTTGCATTTGGAACTTTGAATCTCTTAAATGTGGTTTTGGTCTAGTCCACTGGTTCTCACGTTGTAATGTGCATCAGAATCTTCTGAAGACACAGATTGCTGATTATGTAGACCTGGGGTGGAGGTCCAAGAATGTGCATTCCTTGCAAATTCCCAGGTGGTGATGCTGCAGAGCCACACTTTGAGAATCACTAGTATAATCCAGTATGCTCTTCCAGCATCACACCTTCCTTCCTGAGAATCACAGGAGTTGTGAACTGCAGATTAGCATTGGGGAGAATTTAGATCAAACTAATTTGTAGAATCAAGGAGGTCAAGTAAGGTCACAGGGGCACTTGGGTTGAGCCAGGGTTTTAGCCCAGGTCTTCTGACAACTGCCTCATGTCCTTACCACAAAGGAGCTGCTATCCTTTGCCTTTCCCCAAAGAGTGAAGACTGCTTAAAGCTCAAGGATCTTTCTTGAATTTGTGAAATTTGTTCAGGCAAGGTGAAAAGCAAAAACCTATGGTTCACATTGACTTTTTGTATTGATCATTGTCTTTTGAAGACAGGAAGTATGATCAGTCTCTGCCACTTGTGCTAGTTTTTGTGTGGTGTTTAGAAACATGGGCATTTGTCTGGATCCTAATTACAAATAAGTAACCTAGAATTCTCTTCAGATAGTGCACTAACAGCAATGAATCTATTCTAAATTTCAAATATCCAAATTAAAATGACTGTATTAGCATAAGTACTGAAATGGATAATACAATAAATGTATTAATGGAATTGTTTTTGTGCATGATACAGAAATAAATGATAGTAACGAAACTATAAGTGTATCCTTATAAATCCTTGGTTTCCTATACATACTTTACAAAATGTTCATTGAAAATTGGTGAATATTTCTCTTATGTTGGTGAAGGTTTAGCTGTAAGTAAACTCTAGTTCTTTCCATTAGGAAAAACCCGTTGAAGCAATGTTTTAATTAGAACGCTATTCTACTTTTACAATAGGATGTTAATATTAAGTATTTCTCCGATTAAACTATATTCAAATTCCTGTGACATAAAGAAAAGGAAACCTAGAAGAAAGTTTAATTTTCTTTAAGAAACTGGGTATTTTGAAGGTTTAATCCTTGAACATCACATCAGTTGTTTTCTACTATTAATAATATTTACAAAGCATTTTTACTTACCTATATTGGCTTATACGGGGCAGTTGGGAGTCTTTTATTTATACTCCGCTTTCTAGTATGCGAACAATGACTTGGCCTTTGGCCACTCCTTCTTGCCACTCTGCCTCACAAGCCTTGTTTACAACTCTTCGAATCTTGGTGCTCTCTATCAAATCCTACCATTTCTTCGAGCTTGGCTGGTTATTGGGAGGCATTGAATAATTACACATTTTCTCAGTTTTAGTTCACTAACTTTGCAGTGCCAAAATTCATGTGAATGGCCCTTTTACAGTGGAATGTAGACCTCACACAGGCCAGTCAGGGTAATATTTGGAGTCTAAGATGCGGTTGACACTCGAGTCCTACAGCATTCTTTGTGTGTGTGCATTTGCATGCATACTCAGATCCCTGTGAAGTGGAAATGGATTTGTGGTATTCTTCTGTTTGCAAACCCAGATAACCTTAAAGGGCTAAAGAGATTTTGCTCTGATTATTTAGAAAGATTGACCTTTTTAATACCCAATGTAGGACTGTCTCTTTCAAAGACATCATTGAGAAGAGTGGGGTAGGCAATAGCAAACACCTGGTCAGAGTTAATGAAGATGCATGATCTCCCGAATGTTTGTGATGTGCTTTTAAACCACGTAAAGATCTTTGATAAATGGCAAATGTGAAGAGATTGTAAAAGGCAAAAATGTTTGTTATTGAAAATTAAAATAGAAAAGACTAGTGTTTAATAAATTAATGTCTGCACCTTTGAAAGTAGCTTGGCTTCTCTCTAGATTTTTCTCTAGCTGAAAGTGTAATCAAGTAGAGGGTTTTATGACTAGAAACTTGTTTTCATGTTCAACGGTAAATATTTGCTAAAGTCAAATTACATACACATTTACAGTGTCATGACTTAAATTATTTATACATTCCCATTTTTCCCTTATGTCATCTGTATGATTGCTCTTTCTCCTGTTTTCCTCATATTTCTGGAAGTGTTTGACATTTCATCTGCTTTTTTTTTCCGTCAGAACGTGGGGTGCTTGAAATAGAGTGGGTGAATTGTATAATTTCATATAAGAAGATAAATTTCAAAATCTGAAAACATCCCCTTTAAAGGAGTCTGATTTTTATTTAATGCAGAGGGGAGTGTCCATTGTACACCTACCTTTGCTAGTCTTTCTCCCCAAAGATCCATACAAAATGAAAAAACAGGAAAAACTAAACCACCATCACTATTACATGCCAAAATTAAATATTTTGGCTAGGCAGGGTGGCTCACGCCTGTAATCCCAGCACTTTGAGAGGCCGAGGCGGGTGAGTCACCTGAGGTCAAAAGTTCAAGACCAGCCTGGCAAATACCGTGAAACCCCATCTCTACTAAAAATACAAAAAAACTTAGCTGGGCATGGTGAAGTGCACCTGTAATCCCAGCTACTCAGGAGGCTGAGGCAGGAGAATGGCTTGAATCCAGGAGGCAGAGGTTGCAGTGAGCCGAGATCATGCCACTGCACTCCAGCCTGTGTGGCAGAGTGAGACTGTGTCTCAAATAAATAAATAAATAAATAAATAAATAAATAGTCTTTTACCTGATTGAGTGGACCCTTATGTGGTTGCCTACCAAATATCCATTCTCCCCTTTGCTTCACCAGTGTTTTAGGTCTCTCACTAATTTCCCCTGCAACTTCAGGGGTGAAGAACATGACCTGAGCTGAGCCATCTGGCACATTCCACTGCTGACCATAGGGATTGAGCTGATGGCGATCCTACAATCCTCCTACAGCAAGCCATCCTACTGCAGCCAGAAACCTGTAGTGTCCATTCCAGAGGCATGGTTCCACCCAAAGCTAATGTCCTCAGAGACATTAAAAGGAAGAGATGAGTTCATAAGGGACCCTGGACAGGCAAAAGCAGCAAATGTCCACTCCAGCGTGTTGGCCAGTCCATGCGGAGTGAGCATCAAGACAGTGCTGGAGCAAGCCCCTTCCTTCGGTAAGGAAGGATACAGCCACTGACAGCCACCAGGCAAGTGTGAAAGGCGACATTCCTGAGGCAGGCCAACCCTGAAAGAATGGAGCCAAGGCACTGAGAGAAACTGGGTCCTTTATCATTTCAGCCCCGTATTAAATGGTACATGAAACCCCACATTGTGTCAGTTAAATGGACCTATAAGCCACCATCATTGTTTAAGCTACTTGAATGTTTTGTTACTAGTGAAGGTATGTCTGTTCTACAGGTGTCTGACACCTATCTGAAAAGCCAGCAACTTGTAGTCTCCGTTCTAGAAGGAGTGGCTCCACCCACAGCTAATGTCCTAAGAGAAGCTAAAAGGAAGAGATGCATTCTTTTACCCAAAAGGACCCTGGGCAGGCAAAAACAGCAGATGTCCACTCAAACATGTCCGACCGACTAATTTTTATGTTGTGTCTACCAGAAAAAAAATGCTGAGCCAGAAATGAGCCACATTTTTATCACTGCTGCTCTAAACTCGGGGAATATTTCCTCCAGTGGTGAGACTTGTCATTGTTTTCTTCAGAGATAATATTGTCCTAGGAGCTGGCTTTTCAGCATCTTCAAAGTTCTCTCTAGTAGTAATGAAGGACACAAATATTGTTGTATATTCATATTGAAATTGAGTGCCTCTTTAATGGTGCATCATGATAACAAGATGGACCCGGAGAGCAAGCTGAGGAAGAGCAGAGATCCCTTTGCTGGGTCATATCACTTAGACCAAGTATGCAATGATGGAGAGTAAAAGCTGGAAATTTCTAGCATGAACAACTATAATGGGATGAAGTCTTAGCATTAGTCATCTACCCATTTCAAAGCTGTTTCCATCCACTTGCTGAGTGGAACTGCAACCCCCTGCCTTTTCATTACACAGGATTCATAAAGAGCATTTGCATATCCCTTTCAAGTTTAGGAAGTGCTTTCCTAAAAGGTACCTCATTTCAGCATCACGAAAACACTATTAAACAGAGAGCATTAGCGCTTCCACTTTACCTGCAAGGGAACTGGGGGTCGGAGAGGCATGTGTCTCACCTCGACCTGCGAGTGGAGAACAGAGTGGGAACTCAGACCTGAGCATTGCCGGGGCTGCCGACGACCTAGTGCTTCCTCCCACAGTCAGCTAGCCCGTGGCCTGGGCCAGGCTTTGCAAGCAAGCCAGGCTAGTCAGCCTTGTATCAATAGTTTGATGATACTGGAAAAATATGGCAACTGTTTCAGCACTACAAGCCATAGTGTTCCTAAGGAGACTGGAGAGAGCTAAAACTGACAAAATATCTACTGTGGATTAAGCACTCTCCTGAGTGTCTTATGAAAACAATCTCAATGGAAACATTTTCTTTTTTAGCTCATGGGGAGATTCTCATATTTTCCAAATCACTATCTTATGGGTGGTTGAAAAGAATGTGGTACATCCAGTTTGTATTTCTAACCATTTTTTTGTTTTCAAGGAAAAGAGACCCTTGGGTCTTTTTTATTTTATGTTTAACAAAATAGGTAATGGTTTAGTACAAGCCTTTCTTCATCTGTCTTTCTGGTTTCTCTTTCTATGATTGTGAGGGAAAAGAATATTGTTTAATGTACTTACCTAATTTTGTAAGGTACCAAAATGTAGCTAACGTACATTTTGTCTAAAATTGTGTCATCTTAGAGGTCTCCATAGGAAGACAAATGGGTAGAAACCAGACATAATAGACCAAGATTTTACCTTTAGTTCTTTAATATTTAAATAGCCCCCATTCCACATCAAAACTACCTGCCTGGGAATTTGTAAGGGACAGGTGTGACACCTAAAGGTGGAAATTCATCGTAGGTCTTTCAAATGCTTGTTCTAGTCTCTAACCTCCCCGCTTATCAGCACTACCCATATGTTCTCCAGCATCCATGGTAGGTTTATTTTATTGTCCCAGCAGGAGGAATCTTAGAATCTTATTAAATGTGGATTCTGTCAATTTATCTAACTGTTCAAAGGGACAGAGCATGCTTTTTCACAGGCCTGCTTTCTAGTGTGGGATTATTTTGCATTGGGTAGAGTGTTCAATGTCCATTTAATTAAATCACCAAATATTACGGCCCCAGCCTGTGAGGTTATTGAGACCCCAGTGAATAGCAGCAACCTATTGGCTGCAGGAAAATGGTACAACTCAGGAGTTTAATCTGTTCTATTCCCACAATGTGTGCTTATAACAAGGAGAGGAAGGAAAGCAAGAGATGTTCTACCGTATCTTGATGAATATTACCTAGGAATTACTCCTTCATTTTCGATCAACAGTGTCCCTAAAACTTCATTGAAAGCATAGACATTTTAGTCAATGAGCCACCAGAAGGGCAACCTCACCAGACCCTTGGACCTGACTCATTCAGCCTTTGAGTCTTTATCAGTCCCATGTCCTCACTTGGTGATCTTCACTGGTGAAACTGGGTCGTAATATGCTTGAGAAAATGAGTGTGTCCCTTCATCAGGGAGATCACCAAGAGGGGCACAGGGCCTGGTGTGGCCTTGGAAAGTCAGGTTGTTGTGTAAGTGGAACCTATGGGAGCAGCCTTTTGAAAAGGAAAAGTTGCAACAATGTTGTAACACGAGTGCAATATGTGAGACTTTTGCATAATGAACACTTCAGTGCCTTACAAAACAACACAAAACAAAAAAAGGGAGTTGTGCTTTAGTTGAAAGAACTTGGGTGTTGGATTTAGTAGACCTGAGTTCATCTCCCACTCCCCTGTTACTTAGCCCTCTGGGTGACCTGGGGCAAGACACTGCATCTCCCTGTGCCTGAATTTCCACACCTGTCAAGGGGCAATAATGGTGCTGTTTTTGTATTGTGTGTGGATTTAATTACAATTGTAGGATGTCAGGCACAAAGCTCAGCACAAAATAACAGCTCAATAAATAGTGTGTCTCTGTGGCTGGTGGCCCATTTAGCTGTCTCATTTATTCTACTTAATATTTTTGGCTGGGCGCCATGGCTCACGCCTGTAATCCCGGTATTTTGAGGTGCTGAGGCAGGTGGATTACCTGAGGTCAAGAGTTCGAGACCAGCCTGGCCAACACGGTGAAACTCCATCTCTACTAAAAAAAAAATACAAAAATTAACCAGGTGTGGTGGCGGTTGTCTATAATCCCAGCTTGGGAGGCTCACGCAGAAGAACCACTTGAACCCGAAAAGTGAAGTTTGCAGTGAGCCGAGATTGCACCACTGCACCCCAGCCTGGGTGACAGAGGCAGACTTCATCGCTAAAAAACAAACAAACAAACAAACAAACAAATGTAGAATTTTCCTGTCCCTCCCTAGAAACTTTCAGTGCTGAAAGGACCCTCGGAGGTCATCAAGTCCCACTGTCTTTGTTAGATGAAGAAATTCAGTCCAAGGAGGTTACGTGACTTGCTCGAGGCCACTCAGCTTTCTGACCCTGCTCCTCGAACCCTCCATCAGACCTTTTGGATGTGTCTGCTCTGCGGGCACATCCTTCTAGGCTGAGCAGTGCTGACTCTAATTTCAGACTCGTTTCGTAGTCTGTTGACAATTACGTTGTCCATCATGCCATTTAGAGCTCTGACTTTATAGCTTTGGGAAGCACCTTAAAATATAATTGCAAACACTCTGCCCATCCAAATGTGTACTTCCCATGCCTAATAATGAGGCTTTTAAGTGGTGGCACAGGAGAGCGGCAAGATGATAGCTCATGCGAAATGAGAAATTGGAGCAAATGGGATTTGGTAATGGACTTTGCAGTGACACGAGTTGTCTGATAGCTGGTCTGTGGTTATCTTGGTACATTTTGTATTTTGAAAGGCACAAAATGTCAGGTCATTGCTCAAATACTGGTTAAGATTTTGATTATTTTGCAGAATTGTAGCATAGTACCTCAGGATTGACATTTTGCCCTCAAAATTTTATGTTCAATGTTCCTGTCCTTTGTTTAGAAGTTGCACTTTCTATTGTTTGTAAGTCTATCAAAAAAAAAATAGAAAGTTTTTCTTTCCTGTTGCCTAAATGATTTGATTGTTTAGTTCTTGGAGTAGAAACACCAGCTGCCCTTAGCCTGGGTGCAAGCCAGCAGAGAAGGGGAAAGGAATGCAAGAGTGAGTAAGATGTGGCCCTTATCCTCAAGGAATTCAGAGTCCCATGGGGGAGATAGGCCTGGTTTCTATAAACAATGATGCAAGACAGAACATGATGTGCCAGGAGGGACAGAGTGCCAAGGTGGGGACAAAGGAATGACGAGTCCCGAAATAGACCTGTGGGAAAGGTGTTGTGATGCTGGGAGGCTGGACTGGATCTTAAAGAAGGTGGGGATTATAACATATAGGGAAAGGGTGGCAGGCGGGGAGATGGGGGCAGAGAGAGAGTATAAGAAGGCAGGGATTCCAGGCAAAGAGAAAAAGTTGAGCAGAGGGTGGAGGCTGGTAGGCGAGGAGAGGTAAATGGGGTCCCTTCATGAAAGGACTTGGAAGCCACGCTATGGTGTTGTGTCCCTAGGTCAGTGGGGGGCTGTGGATGGGTCTTAAGCAAGTTAAGTAACAGGATTACATTTATGTTGTAGAAAGACAGGGAATGGATTGGCATGGTAGAAACCTCTGATTTTACTTCTGATTCAACAACCAGCTGGGTTTCTTGGGTTTGCCCCTCAACTCCCCTCCTTGGGGACGAGTTCATATGTGACCCCCATCTCCCTCTGTCTGATAGCTGTCCTTGGGCAACACACCCACCAGGAGCTCGCGGAAACAGGACCATTCTCTTGCAGGGCCAGAGCCCGTGGCAGCCTGTTCCCAAAGCCCAGAGGAAGGCAGACAGCTATAATCATTTGGCAAACTAAGGTTACCACTGCTTCTAAGACATAACATGCTTGAATTTAACAAACGTGTGCAAATGATAATCTTGAAATTTCAACTAAGGATTCTAGGCTGGATCAATATTGTCACAGAATCACAGTTTTTGGAAGGTAGTTAGATCTTCTATACATTGACAATTAATTTTCTTTCTCAACAGAACTGCAAACCAATTCCCAATTAATGAATTTGCTGAGTAGTTCCTCCCCAAGGAGAGTCAGTCTGGCAGAGACATTCAGCTCTAGCTGAGGCCAGGCTAGATCTGTTGGACCAGAGTCGACCTGCAGACCTGTGAACATGAGCATAAGTGTTCGCTGAGAGCCAAGGAGTTTTGGTGTGGTTTGTTACAAAGCTTTGTCCAGGCAGCAGCTGACTGATTCCTGCCCTGGCAGAAAACTGGAGCACCCATCTCTTTATGTAGAAGTGAGGGTTCATTGAAGTATGAAGTATGTAAAGTGTGCTAAGCAGGACTTTGGCTTATAATTATAATAATTGTTACTATTATTAATCTCACATTAAACTTTGCTCACTCTCTCTCTTAACCAAACCAAAGTTCTAGAAGCCTCCTAGCGGGACGGGAAAGGAAATGTTGGATCAACATACATGGATTGATTAGATGGGACCAATGAGGCCTTACAGTCTGTTTGAGGAGGGAAAGAGAGAGAGGAGAAGGAGACAGGCAGGATAGGTCAGGTTCTAGGGGCTCCCATGGTTTGTATCTTAACAATCTACCATTTTCTTTTCAGGCCAGTGTCCACATCCTGCTCACATTTGGGACATCTGTGAGGCAGGGTGCCTCCTTTTTGTCCCTCCAAGAGGACAGTTGGGGGACTTGGCCTCTGGCCGCCTCAAGTTGGGTCAGCACCTGCTGGGCCTCATCCTGGTTCATCGTGCATCAATGGGAGCGCACCTGGGTTCTGCTGACATGTGAGAGCTTCTTCACCGAGGGGTTCAGAAAAGTGTGCTCATGGCCTGTAGATCTGGATTCAAAGGGAGATGAGAAAAATAGGAACTGAGCCCGTGGCTTGCCTCACCCACTTCCTGAGCCTGCGCAAGGGACAAGACTTTCCTGTGTGGCCTTCTTACGGCAGTCCACAGGGAAGTGGCCTCATTTTCTGTGTCTGTCCTGCCCAGCGCCCCCACTCTCCTGTGCTGGTCCCAGGCCATCCCTTAGCCAGAGTGCAGAACTCCAGACCCCCAATATTCTCTCATATCCTCAGAATCTTCAGCTTCCATCCATGGATGTTGGCTGAATCCTGAGTGGGGTCGTAGAAAGATCTGGTCCTGTGAGTAGGGGGGCGAGGAGGAAGGCAGGGACTTCAGCTGGGCTGTCTACAACCTGAGTCTAAAACACCTAAAGACAAGCACAACTTGCCCCCGCTAGGACGAATTTCTTGCTCCAGACCGCCTCACTGCATCTCTAGGGCCATGTGTATTCCTGCTATTTGGCCACATTCCTTGAGAAAAATTGCCTATTAAAAGAATTTCCTTATTCACCAGTTATTTAAACAAATGGTCTTTTTTTTCTGATCCCAAAGATTTTAGCTTATCTCCTGTTGTGTACATGAGTTTGTGTGTGTCTGTATCTGTGTGTGTATATGTGTGTGCACATATGTGTGTATGTGTGCATGTGTGAGTGTATGTGTGAATATTCGTATGTGTGACAGTGTATATGTGTTTGTGTGTGTGGTGTGTATATGCATGTGTGTGCACATATGTGTGAATGTATGTATGTCTGTACATGTGTGAATGTGTATGTGTGTATGACTGCGTGTGTGTGTATGTGTATGAGTATGTCTATGTGTATGAGTGTGTGGACGTGTAGTGTGTGTGAGATTGTATGTGTATGAGTATGTGCATGTGTGAGTGTATTTATGTGTGCATGTGTGTATGAGTGTGTACATGTGTGTGAGTGTGTGTATGAGTGTGTGTGTATATGTGTGTATGTGTGTGTGTGTGTGCTGATGAGGTTTGTTGAGTGGAGGCTAAGTGGATAGAGACTCAAATGTTCGCTCCTGGCTGAGGTGGAGAAGCCCTGCTTCTGTGTATTTGATATTGAGGTGGAGAAGCCCTGCTTCTGTGTATTTGATATTGGAAGTTCTTTACGAGACTTTGCCTTTCTCTTTGAAAGAAGTTTGAGTTTCACTGATTAGTGTGAGACACTATCCTTGCACAGCATAACACTTAGGTGGTGGAGCAGCAAACATTCTCTGCTCTTCTTACAGAATTCTGGTTTTATTCAGGGTGGCAATAAATCTTAGGAGAGATCATAATTGATCCAAACCAATCACTGCCTCCTATTCCCTTTTACCAAATACTTCCCCAGCCTTCCTTACAGATAGAAGTAACCAAGGGACCAAGTTCTGGCCAATGGGCCATACAGGGAAGGTTTCCACAGAGCTTCTGGGAAATATTTCTTCCTGATAAAAAGAAAAAGACTCACTAAAAGGGCACCTTTTCAGCACCTGGCAATGCTATTGCTTCCTTCCTTTGAAAGTGGCTGTGATGCCTGGAGTTGCAGCATCCATCTTGAGAACGAGAACCAACAGGAAGCAAGTTGAGAATGGTGGAACAGAAATAGCCTGAGTCCTTGTTGCCATTGTATTGTTACCAAACCAGCTCTGGACTTCCTATTCTGTACTTTATTGTTTAGGCTACTGTTAGTGGGGATTTCTGTTACTTGCAGCCTAATGCACCCTAATACTTAAATTGATTTACTTTTTCCTTAATTTTCACACTGTTCAAAGTAGCATTGGGAGACATCTTCCATGTGTCTTTTCTGCTCCTGCATATCATGTAAGCAGAGGCACTTGCAGCTTCTGTTCTGGACTATTTTCTCAAGCAAACAGCTTTGGGAATGTAAGAATAGTGTCTTCTTTTCAAACAGAGAGCAAATTTGTTTGCTGACCAGTATAATAAAAACCACATCAATCTCTGAGGAAAAGGTTATGCAGTCTTGATAAAGGATTGGAGTTTCCTAAGTTTGGGATTTGAGTAATCTTTCGGAGCTGGAAACAAGACTTGATGATTTGTGTATGGAGGCAGAAGAAATAAAGAGAAATCAATCTTTATGCTCAATTTTGGGGACTTGAAAGCACAACTTTCAACTGAGGTGGGACACGTTGTGTAGCAGGTAGTAGGAAGGTTAAAAATAAATTAAAAAAAGAGATGTAGGGGGGATGTGTGTTGCTGATCAGCAAAGGGAGACCTAGGAATACTAATCATTAGTTTTCTTCACCTCCCAGAGAAGATACTGGTTTCTTTTGGGCTGCTTCAAAGCCCACGTCCTTGGCCTTTGATATTTGGTAGGGGCCCAGCACCCTGTCAGAGGCTGGCATTGGGACACCGAGGGGAGGGGCTGCTGTCTTTTTCAGCAGCATGTACTGTGTGCCAATTCCACATCAGAAACTGCGCTCAGTGCTGCAGAGATGGCAGTGAATAAGACATGACCCCTGCCCTGGAGGGGAAATGAGTCTAATGGGAGAAATAAATAATTATGGTAGAATTAGACAAGTGCTGTCTTAGAGGCATGCATCTCTGGGCTCCGGAGGCTCAGAGCTGAGAGGGGACATCCAGCCCTGCCTTGAGGAGTTGGAGAAGACTTCACAGGAGGAGTGATGTTTACGCTGAACCTAGTTTTTGTGTGCATGTCTGAATGTGCACACATGTGCAAAGCAGTTTAGAGTTCCAAAGAACTTCCAAATATATCACTTTGTTCAATTGCTATACACTTCTCTAAGAGATGTAGTATCATCCCTATTTCGCAACTGAGGAAACTGAGCCTCTGTCAGATATAAGAGATGTGCATGCAGGTCATTCATGTATTTGCCTGAACCAAGGCTCAAGTCCATGCCGTTGGATTGCAAATTCAGTGCTTTTTGAATGGCAGAGATGCTACCATGTAGATACCCCTCAAATCAGAACAGAAGAGTGGATATCCGTGCTAAAATTGCTTGGGTCTTTATCTATGCAAAGAAGAAAATTAAACTAAAAAATAAGTTAGTAAATGGGAGGGAAAGGAGTTTGTGGTAGGCAGAGCTCTGGAGATGTCCCCTAGTACCAGAGGCAGGGAAGGGCAGGGGATAGAAAAAGATGAAGAGGCGTTGATTAATAAGCACAAATATACAGTTAGATAGAAGAAATAAGACCTGATGTTCGATAGATCAGTAGGGTGACTATAGTTAACACTAATATATAGTACATTTCAAAATAACTAGTAGAGAATAATTTGAATGTTCTTAGCATAAAGAAAAGATAAATATTTCAGGTGATGGTTACCCTAATTACCCTGATTTGATCTTTGCACATTATATGAATATGTCCCAAAATACATACATCTATTATATATCAATAAAAAGAAAAAAATTAAAGATGTCCCTCAGGATTGCTGTCCTGGGTGATTCCATCAAACACTAACCTGGGTACTGCTGTGAAGGGGTTTTACAGCCAGAATTAAGGTTACTAATCAGATGACCTTAGAATAAATTGCCCTGGGTTATCTGGGTGGGCCCAATGTACTCACAGGAACCCTTCAATGTGGAAGACTCAGCCAGAAAGATTTGCAGATGGAAGAGGAGTCCCCAAGCCACAGAAAGCGATTAGAAGCTGAGAATGACCCTGGCCAACAGCCAGCAAGGAAATGGGACTTCAGTCCTACGTGGAAGGGAATTCTGCCAACAACTTGAATGAACTTGGAAGTCAGTTCATCCCCAGAGCCCCCGGAAAGGGGTGCAGCGCTGCCACCTTGACTCTAGCCTTATGAGACCACACAGAGAACCAGCAGAGCCATGCTATGCCCAGACGTCTGACTTAAAGAAACTGTGAGATAGTACATTTATGGTGCTAAATTTGCTAAATCTGCTAAACTTATAGGCATTTTTAGGGCTCAAAAGAACACAAATACAGTGGAGAGGAACTGGACGATAAAGAAGAGAAGAGAAAACAACCAAATACCAGTCGCCATGCTATCGTGCAATGAGTTCTACACGTCACTTATGAAACTACGACGTGACTGCTTTCATGAGCAAAACTGACCACCTTTCATATTGCTTGAGTTAAATATTTGATGTTTGGCTTCAGCTTCAGGTGATACTTTTTATATATTTTTTTGCAAGTGTATGGAAAGTTTGTTTCAATTCCCCATTGAGTATGAGAATAGGAAAATGAGAACAATATACCTTCCCCATTTAAAAAAGTCAAATTATTGAGAATGGGTTGAATTTTAAGGCTTTCCATGTGGCTAATATTCAGTGTAGAGTGATAGTTTGGTTTCAGTTTTGGAGAAAAAGAGATAAAGTATAATAAAATGAGATTGTTAAGCAGCCCAGTGCTGTCCTTGATGACTGCCAGGTGGTCTGGGAAGTTGCCCGACCCAAGGGGGACCACATAGCTCAGCCAGTTTTGGTGCCCATATTTGCATGGAGCTATTCACAATATGTGGATGTTCTCACTTCATAGCACTCCCTGCCACATATTCTCCTTTTCCTACAGTTTTGAATCCACTACAAGGTGCCATTTTGTTGGCGTGATTTTGTCCATCTTCACTTTTGAATGTCAGAAAGGTGGAATTTTCAGGCTGTTTTTACTGATTGTGTTCTCACCTGCACCTTTAGTGGATATGGGATTACTGATGATCAAAATGCCCTGAGCCGATGGGTCCTAAAGGAAAGGTGAGGCAGGCAGGAATGCAAGGGTTTCCCTGGGCCCAGGGAGGGCATCCTGTGGAAGGCAGCTGGGATTGAGATGGTTCTCCAGTGTCCCACTTGAGTTACTGCCCAACGGATGGGCCAGTGCTCCTGCAAGGCCATGGGATGCATGCAGGTGACTCCAGCCGAGGGCACTAGAGAGACTGCAAAGAATTGTGCCATCCAAAGGGCTCTGCAGGGTCTTCTGAGACTCAGACACACAGCTCTTGAAACACCTGTCCCAGGAGGTGCCAACAGCTGTGCCAACCAATAGGGAGGTTTGCAGCTGGGCCAAATCTAGTCCCCAGCTCTTAGCCTGGGAAGCAGAGGCAACCAACAGGGAGAGGACTGTGTTGGGACCCAAGTGACTAAAGAAACAGTGGTTGGTTTTCCTCTCTTAGCCCCTCACCCTGACATATACTGAAGAGTGCTGCCCTGAAGAAGAAGGACTCAGAAATAGACCATGACCCTTTCCCCGTACACATTCAGGGCCTCTCTGAAGCAAGTATTAGAGGAAGGAAGAAGATGAGGCTTAAACAGAATTTGAGCTTAAATCTGCAAAATGTCATGAAGGGAAGGAAATGGGAGAGCTGACGAGGTAGGACTGAGGAAAATCACTGGAGAAAAAGAAAACTGTTTCATGCTCATATCCGTGTAGAGTTGAGAGCAGCGTGATTGGTAGGTCCAGGTGTTCAAAGGATTGCACTGGCTCCACATGGCCCTGGAGGTCCTGGGTGAAGTATGAGGTTGAAGTAAGGAAATGGCTGGAGGTGGAATAAGCTGACCGAGGAAGAGTGAGTTCCCCATCTATGCAAGACTGCAGGCAGAGATTGCAGAGATTGCAGCAGACAGATACTCCTTAAAGTCACTTCAAACCTGGGGCTCCTCTTCCTCTCCAGGGATCGTTGGGAGAAGTGGGGGCTGGAGGTGGCACAGGAGGAGACCGCAGGCTGGTGGTGGTCTGCAGCCATGCTGCCTCTTCATTGATGGCCCTGGGGCCTGCCTGCGCATGAAGATAGGGGTGGTGGTGGGGCTACACTCCCCTGGCTGGGGTGTCCACTTGCCCTTGCACTAGACTAAGGGTAGGTTCATCTGCTGGTCACCACTTCCTGCTGGTCATGGGCCTGATGACGCTTAGAGAAAGTTGAACTA
The DNA here is from genome assembly GCF_000001405.40 of Homo sapiens. NCBI lineage: Eukaryota > Metazoa > Chordata > Mammalia > Primates > Hominidae > Homo > Homo sapiens. The sequence goes on along the minus strand of NC_000009.12, from coordinate 85,528,729 downwards.
GCTGGTACATTGGGTCTGACCAAGGATTCTGATGGGGAGTGCAGGAGTGACTGCCACCCACAGGGTATACACCTTGAACACTTAGATTCACTTTTGTTGGAGACCTTTAGGCCACTCTGCTGCTGCTCTGGTGGGAGGGCCAGTCATGACTCCTCCCTTTTTGTCCTGCCATCTCTCCTGTGGATACGGGGTAGCCATGGACATCCAGATATGGGAAGGGCTTGGGTGTGGAGCCCTTGCTGGGGGCCGCTGACAGGTGACTATGAGACTTAGTCAAGTGGCTTCATGCCCTGGTGACTGTTGAGCTGAAGATTTTGGGGGAGGGGTGGAGCAGCTGGTCTTGGCCAGAATGTTTCAGTCTAACCGAGAGGCTCTAATACTGTGAGTCTCGCAGACATAGGTCTGTTTCCTTTCCCTGCGCTCCCAAAATACGCTGCACAGCAAGTGTCCTCACTTCCTCTCCAGCAACCAGCTCTCCATCTAAAGTGCTATTATAAGGGGGAGCCCTTGTCAAGGCCCCAGGACAGAGGAGGCCTACTCACCTCACCTTTCCAGAGCCCAGAGAGGTCACCTGAGTGACAGAGTCCACAGACGGGATGTACTAAGTCCACCCAGATAGGAAAGCAGTTAGAAAATTTAAGATGGCAGTTTCTTACAATTCTGATAGGCATCTTCCTGATCTACCTGCCTAGGAGAGAGAGAATGGGGGCCTCGTGCTGAGTGTGAGATGGCTGGACCACATAAGAGCAGCGTGTGTGTGTGTTGTGTGTGTGTGTCTTCTCAGTGTAAGCCTAACAAGTGTACAGATCCTGCTGTGTGTCAGTCAGGCCCCTGGAACAGCTTGTCAGCATGGCTTATGTCACAAAGTGTTTCTTCAAAGTGGTAAACACACACACAATCCACATTGTGTTTCAGGAAGACAATGGTTCAAAGGGTCTGCCAGGCTATTTTTATCATGGAAGTCTGGAAGGAAAATGATGTCACATACCGAGAAAAGTGCCCAGCTATTCCAACAGACCACAGCTGAAAAATTCTTGTTTTTATTTGTTTCTCTCAGAATTGAGATCATTCAAAAAAGGTGAGTTTAAAACCCTTTGTTCCAGAAAGCTCTGTAGCTCACACTGTGCCTGGAGTGCCTTTCTTTCCTGTGTTTTGTCAAACAGACATGAAAGCTTCTGCAAACTAGGTGCCTGGATCAACCTGGGTGAACTTGTGGTAGGGGAGCTGAGGCCTTCTGACAGCAGATGGACTTGGCATTGGAGAGAGCAGATGGCTGGCCATGTTAAAGAGATAAAAAAGAAGAGTGATCATATTAGAGTTTTCCACCTCTGCTGTGGATCTTGGACAAATTTCTGAACCTCTCTGATTGTCATTCGTCTCATCTGTAAAGTAGGGTCATACCTACCTCAGAAGATTGTGGGTACTGATAAGATAACGACTGAAAACAGCTATTACAATACTGCACATATACTAAGTGTTAAACAAATATTATTAATTCCCTTCTCTCCTTTCCTTTGACTTTGTTTTTTTATGACCATATTTTATTTTTCCCTATTTTTTACTAGGGAAGAAATGTTACAAGGATTCCCCGAAACGAATTCTGCCCTACTGCTTTCAAGTAAGGAAAAGAACAAAGAAGAAAGAAAGTCACAGGAAGCAGAAAGAGTATAGATGTGATTTTTTTTTTCTGTTCCTTTTGGGAATGGGAGTTCTTTCTCTTCAGAAAATGGTGGTGCTACTTGCAGATGAGTGAGACCCTGATGTAGTCCATGCACTGGCAGGGGACACTGGGGATTGGGTTTTGCATTCGGGGTTGTAAATAGTCTCTTAGAGGCAGGTCCAACCTTCTTTGGCCAATATTCCCAGAATAACCCAGGCCTGCTTTTGGCATTTAGGTTTTCAGACAAAAGATATCTTTGTTTGTGCTGCTATAACAAAATACCACAGAATGGGTAATTTATAAACAATAGAAATTTATTTCTCATGGTTCTGGAGGCTGGGAAGTCCAAAATCAAGTTCAGCATGTTGGGTTTCTGGTGAGGGCTATGCTCTGCATCGAAGATGGCATCCCATCGCTGCATCCTCTGGAAGCAACAAACGCTGTGTCTTCACACAGCAGAAGGGACAGAAGGGCAAGAGAGGGCTCCCTCAAGCTGTTTTATAAGGGTGCTAATTCCATTCATGAGGGCAGAGCCCTCATAATTTAATATACCATTAAACTGGAGATTAAGTTTCAATTGGAATTTTGGAGTGGATGCCATCATTCAAACCACTGCAACCTAGGAAGCTCTAGGGAGTCCATTGGGCTCTTGGTGAGAATTGTATTCTTTAACATCTTATTTCATGTTTGCTCCTTTATCTGTGTTTCTTATTTGTTTATGATAAGGAGGCTGGAGACAGTTGATTATCATTTTAGGGGAAAAATGATGCTTTCCCAGGAAGTTCCCAGGACAGAAGAAAGGGAGGAGGCACTGAGTGGGAGAGAAGAGACACTGTTTCTAGAACATGGTGCAGGAAGCCACAGCTTCCTGTTCCAGTCAGAGGGAGCATTGGGTCAGCTTTGGGTTGGGGTAGGTGTGAAGGGGTGGATGGTAATTTCTCTATCATTATACAAAATCTGTAGATTGACCAGCTTGCTGCTGTCTTCTGCTCAGGATTCATGTAGCAACTACCACCCTGGGACCTCTTTTTTTTGAAAGAAAGAGTCTCAAAAATGGCCAATCCAGTAAGCAAGGTGCTTGGGGACAGTTATTTCACAGAAGGTGCTGTGTGGGCATGGGAGGAGTGTCCACCTCTTGCAAGAATGAGATTCTTGCCTACTGCAGTGTTAGTATTTAGACCTACTTGCTTCATCTGCTAGTCAGGATTTTGTCTGGGGTTATTGGTTTGGGGCAAGGGGACAAATAAGCTGGGGTGGACACTGGGAGACCTGGGCAAAGGGAGCTCAGAGGATGGGCATCTCACTTGGACTTGAGTGGCTAGGGAAGTCTTTCTTGGGGAAGTTATGTCTGAATTTCAGCCTCTGTAGCCAGAGAAGGGACTTCTGAACGGTAGGAACAGAATATGCAAAAGGCTAGAGAGTGACAGACACAAATATTGGATGAGCTACAGATGTTCAGTCTGGTTACTGCAGAATATGTAAGGGATAAACAAGAAGGCTAGAGACGGGGAGCAGGGTCTGGGCTGTGCTGGGGTTTTACTCAGATGTGGCTGTGCTTGCTGGATTGTAGATGCTCTTCCTGTCAGCACCTGCACACAGAGGCTCCTGCTAAGGATAGGGTGGAGAAACTAGAAGAACATGGCACCTGCTGGTGGTGCCTTGTCCATATCTTCTTGCTCTTACCTCCTCAATGCACACAGGCCAACTTTCAACACTGCCAGCACTTACATTGCTTCACCTGAAGGCTTTCTCTGTCTTCCAAACTGACTTTATTTGCTGCCAACACATCAGGCTGGAAATGCTAAAAAATTAGGAGCCACACTCAACCAATGACTCTCAGGATTTGATGAATAAAGACCCCAGCTCCCTTACCATGCTGGGTGGAGTGTGGGTTTGACACTGGCTTTCAGAGTTTCCTTTGTGAGATTAAACTCTATTTCTTCAAACTTGCACGTTCAACTATGCTCAGCACTCAAAGTTCAGGTTTCTGGTGCCCTTTTAATCACCAGGAGCCAAAACAACTTCCAAATTTGGTCCCTTAAAGATGATTATATTGGCAAGGAGATCGTTTGGTCGCTAAAGAACCACCAGTGCAGAAGCGATCGTGGTGCTATGATTTTAGGGACCCAAGACCCTTCTACCTTGTTACCTGGTGTGTTAGTCAGGAAAACCTAGGCTATGCTGCAGAAACAAACAATCCTAAACATCTAAGTGGCTGAAAACAACAAGGTTTTATTTCTCCCTTGTGCTAGCTGTCTATTGCAGATCAACAAAGAGGCATTGTCCTTTTCCGAGAGTCATGCTGAAGGAACTGCCACTATCTGTAATGTTTTTGGCAGCCACAGCAAACGCCTTACATCAGCAATAGAATGTTCAGCCTGGAAGTGATACATGCAACTCAGTGGCCAGAAACCTTCCTACAGGTGTTCCCACAGAGCAATGAGAACTGAATATGGCAAGCAGCACCAGTGACTGTCACACTCATTTACAGCAGGCTTCCATCTTGTGGGTCAGAGGACTGTTCTACCTCTGACTGGAACATCGGCATTTCAGCCAGCAGAAAAGGCAGAAGAGAGGTGGAGGCTGCACTCCTTCCCTTTGAGGTCCTGGTTCCAGACATTGCACACACCTACCTCAGTACATCTTCTATTGGTCCGAATGTGGTGCATGAGCAGCTGGGAATTAGAGTTCTCATGCAAACAGCCATATGGCCAGATGAAACTTGTGGGAAAAATTGGAGGATAGATTTTTGGATATCTTAAAGTCTCTGCCACACAGATGATGAGGAAGACACTCTGGCAGAAATTCTATTGTTTTGGGTTGATAGTGGAGTATCTGGGAAGGATGTGGTGAGGGCATCTTTTGGGGTAGTTGGCTTTCTAAGACAGCACTACCCATTCTATTCTGTTTCTGGCCTTAAAGTACAGACTTCCACAGGGGGAGACCTTCTTTATGGTGTATTTGATAAAATACTCAAAATACAGAGGCTCGGCAAATACTTGTCACAGATAATTTGAGAATTTCCCCAGGGTCTAGTTTTGAGTTGAGTGGCCACGGGAGGTTATGGCTGCTTTTATTTGTTATGAATGAATTTTGTATCTATACAGATAGCCACATATCCCTATCATATTTGAAATAGGGAGGGATCTTATGAAGTTTTGTGAAAAATTCTATATTCGATGAGTAGTCCCTAAAACACAGCCTGGAATTTCGACCTAAAGGAGGGCTTTTCCCCTTCTAATTATAATAATCTTTGTGTTTATCAGCAAAAAACTACTTTACACCTTTATCAACAATGATGAAGATTGTGGGGCTGGGGTAGGGGTGGGTGGGGTGTAGGTATCAGTCCAGAATCTGCCATTAACAGCGTGAATGACTATGGATAAGACCTTCCTGGGTCTCAGTTTCCTTATTTATGAAACAAAGTGTGGTAGATCGAAGATAGCCACAAATTCCCATTGACGAGTGGCATCTAATTCCACTCCTCCTGAAACTGGGCTAGCCTAAGTAACTTGCTTAACCCATACAATGTGGCTGGGACTTTTGCTGAGGCAAGCTCATAAGCAGCCCTCCAGCTTCAGTGTGGGCCTCTTGGTACCTTCTCTCTCATGACCCAGCCACCATGCTGTGAAAACCCCAAGCCACGTGGAGAAGCCATGTGCAAACGGACACTTCAGTCTCCAGCCCTGGAAATTTCAGCTGCCAGGCAGCACCCACACCTGCCCTGGGAGGGAGCCATCTGGCACGTCGAGGCACCCGAGCCTTCAGACGATGCACCCCATCTGACCACCGCAACCTCGTGGGAGACCCCGTGAGAACCTCCAGCTAAAGCCAGAAAACCCCTGAACCATATATGAGAGAATAAGTGATTGTTTCAAGTTACCGGTTCTGGGGTGGTTTGTTATGCAGCGACAATTGACTGGATCATTAAGGATTTGTACAGACTTCCTTTCTGGGGCTTTTAAGCTTACTAAGCATCAGTTCTCAGTAAGTACAACCCGTCCCTCAGGGCGGGTGAGGAGCCTCGGGTCTGCCAAAGCCGGGCCCTGGCGGGCTGGAGAGCGCGAGCTGGGGCGCCTGTCACTCCTGCGCGCACAGGGCGATCGCGCGGAGTCGGGGGCGGTTTCCTGCACACAGAAAGGGAGTGCTTTTAGGGGCAAAGGAAGCTCGCCGCGGCGTAGGGACGTCTTTCTAATGTCAGCAGAGAGAGGCCGATGCGGGAAGAGTTATCCACAGATGCGGGAAGGGAGAGGACGCGAGAAGGGGAACCGCGTTCTCCTGGCCTTCCGCGGACGGGGATCGGGTACCGACAGGGTTTACCCGCGGGAAGCCGCAACCCAGCACCCCGGGCCTGGCCGCGCAGGCGCTGAACGCGCCTTTGCTGTAGTCCTTTGCTGTAAGACAGTGAGAGAGGAAGGATGAAGTAGGGACAGACGAGAACGCCGGCAGGCACTCCCACTTCCCTACTCAACAGCCTGCCTTCCTTTCTTGCTGACAGAACCATGGTTAATGGGGGTGTGTGTGTGTGCGCGCGCGCGCGTGTGCATGTGTGTGTGCGCACGTGAGTGTGCGTCTGTGCGTGTGTGTGTGTGTCCAGAGGGCTGGTGGGATGCTAACGGGCCCAACTCAAAAGCTCTGTTCCCTAGTCTTCCTTGCAGTGAGTAGCGGCCATATGACACCGTTCCGGCCAAAGAGACCTAAGTAGACCTCACTGGATGAAACTTCTAGAAAGTGTGTAAATGGGTGTAAATTCACTTGACGTGAGCTCTTTGCCCTTTGTCCTTTGCCCATCCCCCTTTAGCAGCTCTGGGGCTGGGCCTAAGCATTTTCATTTTTCCCAAGTTCCCTGACGGATGCTGATGCTGATGCTGATGCTCCCAGGGACCACACCCTGAGCACCACTGCTCCAGGACTTTGGGGCTATGAAAAGCAGTTGTCCAAAGGAATGAGTTGGCAAATCACATGTGAGTGGTTTGAAATTCTTTCTAGTCCACAAAACAACCTAAGGATGTCCAGGAGATGGGACAAGTTTGAAGCATTTGAGTAATGACTGGAAGCACAAAGGGAACCGGACGCCACCACTAATTGTCACCAATGGAGTAAACAACACGTGCCTGTGTTCTTCAGGAATGGCGGGGATGCAACCAGAAAAGAGAGTTCTCCTTGATGGCACGTCCACACGCGGCTCCCACTCATCTCTCTCGGCCAGCCGCCCGCAGCCTGTTCTCCATCACTGTCCAGCCGTTCCCCACCTGCCTCGAGTCTGTGGCGTGGGCCGTGCAAGTGGTTCTCGATCGCAGGCATGTTTTATCCATCATGACTTGGTTGTTACGATACACAGTGTTTATTTTTCTTCATAAAAAGATGCAAGCTGTGCGCCTCCAAATGCTGGCAGCTCAGAATATTCCATTTGTTTGTGAAGAGACAGACTGGATGGCACAATTTCAATCAAACTATGAAATGCAGGCTGGCATGCCTGGAGAGAAAGATCATAACAGTGTGTACTCTTCTTTCTGAGAAGCCGCGGACTGCACACGTGGTTAACTCATCAGCCCCTGGAAGGCGTCCTGGTGGATGTGTTCCATCAGCCATGGCAAAGCAGGAAGGGGACTCTGTCAAAGCTGTCTGTCCTCTCCCTGGGGACAGGCGGGGCCACATGACACATGCTGTGCCACATTGATTCACTCTGGGTGGAAGGGGTTGTGTCCTTTGAATTCCCAAATGGAAATGGCTAGAGTTTTTTTTTTTCTAATTACAAAAGTAATAAATGGTCATTTACATTTTTTCCAGGAATAAAAAGACTAAAGACTAAACAACACACCAAACAAAAAAGAACTCCACGAGGACTATAATTTCTTCTTGATTTTTATCCATCTGCCTGTCTATAACTGACCTGCCTTTTGCAACCATAGGCTTCTCTCCAAGTACACATATAGAGATCTATACCTTAATTTTTATGGCTGAATGTTATTCCACCGTGTAGCTATATCAGCCCCCTATTGAGAGATGGTTGGTTACGGGTTGTTTTTTTCTTTTAAAAACTATACTATGTTGAATATCCTTATGCATCTCACTCCCTTTGTTTTCCTAATTGTTTTGGGTAAACTTCTAGCGGTGGAATTGCTGGAGAAATGCATTTGATCAACATTCCTGAACTGCCCTCCCCAAAGTCTGCGTGAATGACACCCACCCCCGTCGCTTATGAGGCTGATCCCAGCTTCACACCTGCATTATCAACGCAGGGCACAAATCTTTGTCACTTTCTGGAGTGATTTTCTCTTAGATTTCTGAATGATTAGCATACCTTGACATGGTAAACCTTTATATAATAAAGTTTTTAATTTTTCTTATTAACATGAATTGTAGCTATATGAAATATTTTATTGGTTGTCTGCTTTCTTATTTCAGCTTTCCATTATGACAATGATTAAACGTTGAAGAAAGTTGAAATAGTAGTACAATAAACATCCATATACCCTCCATCTAGATCAATTATTTACATTTTGCTATATATAATTCAGCTTTTTTTTTTTTTTGAGACAGAGTCTTGCTCTGTCACCAGGCTGGAGTGCAGTGGCGCGATCTTGGCTCACTGCAAGCTCCACCTCCCGGGGTTCACGCCATTCTCCTGCCTCAGCCTCCCGAGTAGCTGGGACTACAGGCGCCCGCCACCATGCTGGGCTAATTTTTTTGTATTTTTAGTAGAGACAGGGTTTCACCATGTTAGCCAGGATGGTTTCAATCTCCTGACCTCGTGATCCACCCGCCTTGGCCTCCCAAAGTGCTGGGATTACAGGCTTGAGCCACTGCACCCGGCCTAATTTAGCTATTCTTTCTATGCATTTAAATTTTCAGAACTCTCACAACACTTTGATTGCACCTAAGAGAATTTATCAACAATTGTATAATGTCATCTAATGTCTAGTGCATAGTCAGACTGACCCAGTATATGTAGAGTAGTATTTCCGCAGAACAGCTACTACAGAAGATGTGGAGATTCTATTCAGGGGTCTCCATCTTGGTTTATGCAACAGAACCATCTGGGACTATATTTTTAACAAGTGCTGGGGATTGAAATCAAAATTCTTCAAGGAAACCAATAAAGAAAAAGTTTTCTGGTGGGAAGGTCATAGATCCCAGGCCTTAGTGGAGGTGGGGATTGGGATTTGGGGACTAGAGGATCAGTTTAATGGCAAAACTGGGCCAATGCAGAGGCCATATTGCTTCAGGGACTGACCATGTGGGGAAAGATGGATGAGGAGAGACTTTTGCCACGAGCATTTGTATCATGGGACCCAGGGACAAGGCATGCATCCCAGAAGAGAGGGAGAGTGAAGACCCTAGCCCTCCCTCTGATGCCCACTGTTTCCTAGGGTCAGAGGAGAGGAGCGGCATGGCGGGAGGGTGAGAGTTAGATGGCCTCTCCTGGGACTGAGAAGCTTGTCATCCTGGCTCAGCCCAGCCTTTGCTGTATGTAGGATCCTACAGAAAGCAGAGAGGTGGGAGTCAGGGAGGGGGTAGAATTTTTTTAATGGGAAATTTTTCTGCAAGTTGGCAAACTTATCCAGCGAAAGGCTACTAAGGGGCCCCTGGTACACAAGCAGTAGCAGGGCAGAAAGAAGACGGGATTGGTGATTTCCAGCACGTTGTCGTTGCCACAATTTGTCCAGCACAAGGAAAGTGAGTAGTGAGCTAACAGCATTTCAGGAGATGCAATTTGGGTGTTGGGGGCTGGAGAGAGTGTGGTGATGGTGTATAAGTCCCACAGCCTCCCGATGAAGCCATCTCCTGAGTCCAGGATTGTTATGAATTTCCCGTGACCAGGGCCTGGCACGCTGATCTACTCCCTGCGCCCTGTCGCCGATGTTTCCAGGGCTTAGTCTTGTTTCTGATGCCTTGTGGAAAAAACAATGGCAGTTTAGTCTGAAGTTACCCAAATCATTCGTTGCCAGGAGAGTTCACTTCATTTAGAACTTGGAACCACCATGGTTTTCAATAGGACGCTTAATGAACTGGGCCCTACGAAATAGGCAAACTTCCTGGCCTGCTTAACCCAGTATTGTCTCTCTTGTTCTGACTGCAGTCATGTGTTTTATTTTCCCATTTTTTGTTAGCTTCCAGCTGAAGGCCAAGCTACATGAGCCCCCTGTGGCCTTCCTTTTGGGAAAGGTGGAACTCGGCTGTACATTCACCTTCTGAGCTCCTCAAATGTCTTCCAACACTGCTCCAACGGTAGACAAAATATTATTGAAAATGAGATTTCCATTGTGGCAGTGGTTTACTGTCTTCCATTTTAGAATGCAATTTTTTTTTTAATGTATTTTTGGATTTTTATTAATTTAGATTATGTAAACTAGCAGGGTGTTTTTTAATGAGATTGGTGATGCCAAACCTAAAAGAGTTAAAATCCCCTTGTAATCACATATAACTCAGAGAAAGGTAGGGAATGCCCCACAGAGAGACAGGGGATGCGTTTGTTTGATTTTTGCTCTTTTCCAAAGTGTGGCTTCCTTTTGAAATGTCTTTGCCTTCGGTTTGAAATCATCAGTCATTTGTTAATCACTGGCTAAAATTCCGTATTTGTAGCAGAGGGAAGAGAGAGGGAGAAAGAGAGAGGTGAGGTAGGTGTCAGGCATCAGAGTCTTGGGGTACCAGTCTCAATTTAGCTATTTCTGAAGCCACCCACTCTAAGGCTTGGTTTCCTCAAATCCTCTATTTTTTTCTGACCTTGGACATCTTGCTCCAGATCTGGGACTCCATCAGCACAAATGAACTCTTCAAAACCAGAATATTGCCTTTTTTATTGCATTTGCTGGGATGGTCAATGCAAATTCCATCCTCCCCCTTAGAACTATAATATGAGTTTTGTGTTTAACACCAATTAGAAGAAAACTTTGTGAATAAATGGCACCTGTAAAATACCTCTACCACAGCCAGACTATGGGAGAAAACTCTTGTTATTTCTCAAGTTTGCCTGAGAATTGTCTTATGGACAAATCCCAATTCTCTCATATTTGGAATATGTGAAAAACTAAAGCATGGAAAATTGAAGTGCTTCAGTCACTTCCCTAGATGACCTGAAACTACTAGCATATGAGCTGTCTGTCCATCCATCCATCCATCCATCCATCCATTTGGTCATTCTTTCTACTTCATTTGAATGGATGGATAGACAGATGGATGGATGGACGGACAGACAGCTCACATGCTACTGTAAGCACCTATTGTATATTTTTTCTTTTTTCTTTTTTTTGAGACGGAGTCTCGCTCTGTCCCCCAGGCTGGAGTGCAGCGGCATGACCTCGGCTCACTGCAACCTCCGCCTCCCAGGTTCGAGTGATTCTTCTGCCTCAGCTTCCTGAGTAGCCGGTACTACAGGCGTGCACCACCACACCCGGCTAATTTTTGTATTTTTAGCACAGACATGGTTTTACCATGTTGGCCAGGCTGGTCTCGAACTCCTGACTTCAGGTGATCTGCCCGCCTTGGCCTCCCAAAGTGCTAGGATTACAGGCGTGAGCCACTGCACCTGGCCAGCATCTACTGTATTAACCATACTTCCCCTTTCTGTAAACTAGATGCTTTCACATCTGCCCTGCATTCCTATGTGGTACACACCTTGTTCTGGACAACCCACTAATATGCCTGAGTCACCCTGCCTGGGCCTCCTGCCTCCCTTGTTGCCTCCTCCAGGGAGTGTGCTTTTAAAACACAAACTGGCCAATCTGGAATCCACACCTCCATCTACCTCCCTTATTGGGTTTTCACACTCAAAACAGGAGGCGAGAGCTGGCACAGGTAAACAATTTAGAGGTGGAGGGAATATTAGAACCAAATGTTTCTCTTTCCTCTGTGAATCAAGGGGCTAGTGGGGGCTGGAGGTGTAAGACAGCAATGCAGGACATGCTGAGGGCCCCATGAAGAGGGGAACACACAGCACACAGGCAAAGGAGCATGTGCCGAGTTGCATTTTGCCCTCATGGAGCTGACAGTCTGGCTGGGAGGCAGGCAGGCTCACCCCCAGCTATGAGAACAAAGCAGAATGCAGAATGTGCTCCAACAACTAACTGTGAGCATCGCTGTGGGGGACCAGGAGAAGTTTCCCAGAGGACATGGACTTTGAGTTGTCTTAATGGATGTAGGGAGGCCAACAGACTGAGAAAAAAAGAGGACCGATCCTTTGGTTGCAAATATGGCAAGCAGAAACGTCAACCCCCCTCAGCAGAAAAATAAAAGCAAATCCAAGGGATGCTGGTAGAGGGTGAGGATGGATTTAAAACGGTGCCTGCTGCTTTTTCTCCATCTTGGAGCGTGGAGAGCCTCGGCAGCTTCTGAACAGCGATGAGCGTGTTTCTAATTATCACATCAAGCCTTTGATCTGCTTTAATTGTTTGTTTCCCCCTGCAAACGCAAATTTGACTCACTGGTGCTGTGTTTAGCCAGCTGCTCCTCTTGGAGGTGCTCGGCATTGGGCCATGCCTATTTCCCAAATGAGACACAAATGCCCTGGCTTCCGTTCGGCCCTGCACATATTGAGCTCCTACTATGCGCTTGGTGATGGGGAGTGCAGAAACTAATAGAGTCTCTGTCTGAGGTTGCCTTGAATGGTTCTGAGTCTCACTCTCTTTCCACCCTGCCCCACTCCCAGCCCCCAGGAGATTCTGGAAGAAGACAGAAGACAGTAGGATAAAATTCTGATCAAATCAGAATCCGATATACAGAAATATGAACATCTTGCAGGTGGGTCAAAACTGGAGACTGCCAATTTTTAAAATAAGCTTTCTAGGTAGGTCTCGTGGGATTTACAGTTTCAGCTCTGCGTTTGAAGCTTCTGCATCTCTATTGTAAAACCTTCAGCAATCATCAGATGAAGATGTATGTGGTTCACCTGATTGGCTTACTAAAGCAGGAGACAGTCAAGCCAAAAGAAAACGGTCTTAAAATACAGGCTTGTGAATTGTAGAACTGAAAGAGGCTTTATTCAGGTATATTCTACATATCATATACTTCATCCATTTCAAGTGTATAGTTCAATGATTTTTTTTCTTTTTTTTCTTTTTTTTTTTTTGAGATGGAGTTTCACTCTTGTTGCCCAGGCTGGAGTGCAATGGTGTGATCTCGGCTCACTGCAACCTTTGCCTCCTGGGTTCAAGCGATTCTCCTGCCTCAGCCTCCGAAGTAGCTGGGATTACAGGTGCCTGCCACCACACCCAGCTAATTTTGTATTTTTAGCAGAGACAGGGTTTCACCATGTTGGCCAGGCTGGTCTCGAACTCCTGACCTCAGGTGATCCACTCGCCTCTGCCTCCCAAAGTGTTGGGATTACAGGTGTGAGCCATCTTACCTGGCCTAAATGCCTTTTCTTAAAAAGTGAAATCCAGTTCTGGTTTTTTTGTTTTGTTTTGTTTTTTTGAGACAGAGTCTCGCTCTGTCGTCAGGCTGGAGTGCAGTGGCACTGTATCAGCTCACTGCAACCTCCGCCTGCTGGGTTCAAGCCGTTCTCTTGCCTCAGCCTCCTAAGTAGCTGGGACTACAGGCACATGCCACCATGCCTGGCTAATTTTTTGTATTTTTAGTACAGACAGGGTTTCACCATGTTGGCCAGGCTGGTATTGAACTCCTGACCTCTTGATCTGCCTGCCTCAGGCTCCCAAAGTACTGGGATTACAGGCATGAGCCACGGCGCCTGGCCCGAGCCTTAGTTTTTAAAGAAACTCAACTGAGCCCTGGAGGCAGAGTATGACTAATTGAGGTTGTTTCCGAATGTCAGGTGCTTGATTCCTGGGTGTCTATTCAGTCTGGATCTTTAGTTGGCAAGTGATGAAAACCCAGCTTGGCTAAACCTCAATAAAAGAACCACAATAAAGAAGGGAGTTTATTGGCTTACATAATGAAATGCCCATGGGGTAAGTCTAGCTTCAGGTGTGGCTTGATCCAGAGGCTCAAGGGATATTGTTAGTTCTTGGTTTCTTCCCAACTTGTGTGTTAATTCAAAGGCTCTATATGCTGGTGAGATGGCTGGAACCCCTCTTCTTGGGTTCAAGTTCAGGTTCAAGTTCATTTGCCAAATGTCTCTTTCACATCTGTGTTTATGTGTGTGTTGTGATTGTGTGTTTTGTGCATATGTGTAAGAATATATGTTTGTGTATGAGTTTGTGACTGCGTGTTTGTGTCATATGTATTTATGAGTGGGTGTGTGATTGTGTATGAGTTTGTGACTTAGTATGTTAATGTGTGGGTTTTGTGTTTGTGTGTTGCGTGTGTTTATGCGGTATGAGTGTATGTTTATAACTGTGTGTGTTGTATGCATATGTGTGTGTGTTTGTGTGTGTGTGTGTGGCAGGGAAGGCATCTATGGCATAGAAATGATGCTGGGAAGCTCTGGCTGAGTCTTTGAATGCCATGGTGCTGTAGACTGAATTTCAAGTGACCCGTAGGAATTTTTAAACAGGGTGACCAGGTCATTTACGTAATTCAGAGCTCACCGCTGAGCAGTGTGGGAGGCTGATGGGAGCAGGCAGGGGCTGCAGGGAGGCCCGAGAGGAGAGAGGGTCATGGAGTTTTAGCCTTGGCCTCTCAGCAGGGAGGCAGCTGCAGTCTTGGAAACAGTGACTAGAGGGGGTGGGGCCTTGAGTCCTAAGGCTGGCGTTCAGGTTCCAGCCTGTCCCATACAGCAGGAAGGATGAGCCATACAGCGGGGAGGGCAGCAGAAGCCCTGGAAGGCCATGAGGCTGCTCACCACTCTGGCAAGGCTCTCCTGCCGCCATGACCTGCTGGAAGGATGACTGGGCAGGGCGGCAGTCTGTGGACTGATACTGCTCTGAAGAGTAAGTGGTACTCTTGGCCTGGACCTACTGATTGGTGACTGGGGCCTAACCCTGCCTACTCCAGTGGTTTCTGGAAGTTTCCATAAATGACTTTTAGGATGCCGTGGGAATAATATTTATTTTGCTACTTCCTTATGGAAACCAAATGCACATACATGTATTCATTAGCCACATGTAAGATTGGCTCCATGGCAGACAGATGACTACCCCTTAGAGTCCCAATTCTTGGAGTATGTTGCAAAGAAACCTGATGCCCACGGATGAATTAGTTCAGATAATCAGCGACTTTTTTTCAGATTATTTAAAACTTTCTTTTCTTTGGAAGGATGACTGAGAGTGAATTTGTAGGGAATTATACATGGTTAGTGGGTAGAGCAGTAAGGAGGAGAACTGACATACAAATAAATCAGATTAAAAATTGGTTTCTGATGTCTGGGAGCCTGCCAGCTTTGACTCCCCAATGGCGAATTGACTCCAACTAAAAAGATCCTTTAGATCCTTCTGTCTCAACCCTTTTCTCATATCATATATCCCATAATACAGCCAGACATAAGAGAATCGAGTCCAAATCCCTTATTGTTGCAGATGGGAAAACTGAGACCTATGCAGGTCACATGCCTCTGAAGCTTACACAGTGTTTATGGCAAAGCAAAGGCTTGAACCTGGTGGTTAGCTACTGAGTCCCAGTATTTAAACATTTTTATTTCATTGCCTCCTTATGCAAACCAGGTGCACACAGATATGTTTATGGGGCATATATAAATTTGGCTCTGTAGATGAAGGCTGATTTTGGTTTGAGGTAAGAAAGAAAGCAGGAATATAGGATTGTCCTGCCAATTTTTGTATTTCAAAATAAGTAAATCTAAGTTCAATTTACAAGTATGCCTTCTTATTCTTTATTACCTTGACAATGGAATAGAAAGGGGAAGAAATTTATATGAAGATACATGGGGGTAAATTGAGTGAGATAGGATAAAAGGGAGAAAATAGGTCTATTCCCAAGGGGTTCTGTGAGCGAATGAGACTTCCTTTGCTGCGTGTGTGATCATTGTTCATTTGTTCAAAGCCCTCATTCATCCTATGCTCCAGTCACCATAGTAAGGGCCTCATATGTATCTTTTAACCATGTGAGGTTGGGGTTATTATCCTATTTTAAAAAAAGACAACTGGGCCGGGTGTGGTGGTTCACACCTGTAATCCCAGCCCTTTGAGAGGCTGAGGCAGGTGGATCGCTTGAGCCCAACCTGGGCAACATGGCAAAACCCCATCTCTACAAAAAATACAAAAATTAGCCAGGCGTGGTGGTGCGTGCCTCCCAGCTACTTGGGAGGCTGAGGCAGGAGGACTGCTTGAGCCCAGGAGGTGTATGCTGCAGTGAGCCATGATCACGCCACTGCACTCCAGCCTGGGCAACAGAGGGAGACTCTGTCTCAAAAAATAACCAAAAAAATAAAAATAAAATAAAATAAAATAAAAAAGAAAACTAAGGCTCAGAGGATTTCAGTAATTTGCTCGAGGCCACAAAGCTGGCAAGTAATAGATTCATTCTTGGAACTTATCATGTTGAAAGTCTTATGAATTAGAACTCTGCAAGCTTCTTTCCTTAAGGACAGGGCTACACATTGGTCAACTGAGAAGGAAAAGCATCTGTCCATTTCTATGCTTGGGGTAGGATCCACATTTCTTTCCTGCAGATGGGTGAGAATAGAAGTATCACTTTGCAGAGTCACCTAGAAGGTGGTTCACTGGGGGGAAAGAGTTTACAGGTTCCCACCCCTGTCAAGGGTGTCAGCAGTGATCTGAGGTGAGAAAAGACCACAGAGAGCAAAAACCTTGTATGGTGGCCCCGAATCTCATGCTGGGACCAAGGTTTTGGGCCAGCCAGTGACTGTGCCCCAGTCTAGCTAAGGGGAGTTTGCAGGGCTATGAGCCTGGGGCAGTTCCTGTGGGCTGACTGGGCTGGACTTTCCTTACAGCAGCAGTGTGGCTCTCCATGTGGAAATGAGGCCATTCCTGAGCTTCTTGATGTCCTCTCCCTTTCGTTTCTCTGGGTCTTCCTTGACTACAATACCAATCCCAGCTCTTAGCGGATGCAGAAGAAAGGACCTTTCCCAGGAGGAGGCTGGAGAAGCAGAGGCTGGGGTGGCCTGGTGGTCCCAGGAGGAGTCTTGCTTCCTTCTGCATGTGCCTTTGACCCATTGTAACATGATTCTCTTTCTTGTGGTTTTCCTGGAGATCTTTCCTCCCTTGCTTGTCTTCCTGGGCTGTCTCAGACTGAATGGGCAGGAGGTGGGACATTCCAAGGGGGAATGTCTTGTGGAATGTCTTTCTTCCCTAACACCCATCTCTAGACTGGGGAACAGTGAGGTCATTTACAAGTGTGTAGGGCAGGGGTGGGCAATCTTTTATGGGAAGGGCCAGATAGCAAATGCTTTAGGCTTTGCAGGTGGTATGATTTCTCTGTCACACTACTGCACTCTGCCATGGTAGAGTGAAAGCAGCCATAGACAATACGTAATGAATGGGCGAGGTTGTGTTGCAATCAAACTTTATCAAGACAGGCAGGGGGCTGGATTGGGTTCCCTGAGCTGTAGTTTGTTGAACTGGGTCAAGAAGGTGGAGCAGCCACTTTTGGCAGATGAATGCCATTCATTGCCCACAGGGAAAAGATGTCTCACACAGACCCGGGACCCCACAGGACCCCAAGGCAGAATTTGTACAGCCAAGAACTGTGTGTGCCAGCCTGTCCGTCAGCCCCACACAGCCCCACAGGCGATGTCTGGACTAGAAGGCTTGGGAATCTTGTTTTAGGGCATCATATTTAAGAAGCCACGGTGGAAATATGGGCTTGGACAATATTAGTGACGATGTCAGCTCATCCAGCTCATCCTTCAGAGCTTGCCAGCTGGGGCTGGGCCAGGGCCTGGGGCCATGTTCAAAGGCTGATAAGCTTTCCAGAGACACGTTTCACTGACAGAAACATCCCCAGCACATGCTGTTCCAATTCTGCTGGCCTCTTATGGTGCACTGTGGGAAGACATGTGGGGTTTGAATATATTATGTGGCAGGGCAGTCTGAAGACACAGAGGGGCCACAGTGAGGTTTGAGGCATGTGTCCTCATGACTGGAAGGACCCAGGGCAGGCCAGATGCCCTAGGATGCAAGATGGAAGAGGGTAGGTGCCAGGAAGAACAGCTGCAGTATGGTGAGTGGGCGGAGGAGGAAGAGCTTGCTTTTGGCTGGGATGCTGGCCTTCCAGAGGAGGTGGCAATTGTGGTGGGCTCTGAAGGATGGGTCATATGTGGGAGTAATGAACATGGCCTGGGAGAGTGTGGGCATGCCTGGCTAGAGCCAGTGGTTTATTTGGCTTTGAGCTATGGGGCAGATTCTATTTTCCAAAGATGATCCCAACAATATCTCCCATGCCACACACTTTTCTCCTCATCAAGAGGTGGAGTTGAATTCCCCTCCCTCTGAATCGTGCAGCTGGTGACTTGTATGTTGCCACTGGAGTCCAGTGGAAGTGACACTGCGGGACTTGCAATGCTGGGGCAATAAAGGAGTTGCAGCTTCTGCCTTGAGAGTGGGAATACTCGCACAGAGCCCCGAGCCCCCACTTGAGAATCCCACCACCCTGCGCCAGCCATGCCCTGGGGAAGCCACACTGAGGAGCAGCCACACTGAGGGGCTCTGGAGGGCAGTCCTAGTCCTAGTCATCCCCCTAGCCCAGGAGACTCCAGCAGCGGGAACCCACTAGAAGGTCTGCTGGAGGAAATGGCTTACTTCAGGCTGTGCTTTCAGAAGAGGAATCGGCAGCAAAATCCAGGACAGAGTGGTGGCTTGTGGCTGGAGGGTGGGACGGGGAGACTGATGAAGTGCATTTTGGGCTGCTTTCCATGAGAAGCGATCTCAGGTGAGCTGTGGCTGCAGGCATGGAAAGGAAGGGCCATTGCAAGAGATGCTGCTGTGCAAGAACAGACAGGGTTCCCTCCTCACCTCTGCAGCTCCCCGCCCAAATCCCACATAACCCGTATCACATGACGTTCTTTGAAACCTGGCTGGCACAGGCTGTAAAAAGCAGGGCTTTCGGCTTCATTTAGGCCTACAGTTCCTCATGGACCATGAGGTTATGTGTGTGATAGTGGATAGAGCCCTCAGGAGCAGCTGAGTGGGTAACAAAGGTGGTCATCAGATTTTGACATGTGAAGGACACAAGGACCAACTGCTGTGATGGATCTGGGAGGACAGGCAGGCAGCAGTCTCCCTAAAAGCACTGAAGTAAGATGGGCTGCTTTATAGCCTACCCATGTGGGTGGCTACTGTGGAGTTATTTCAGGGGCAGAGACCCATCCCTGTTGTGGATATGTCTTTTCATGGGGCTTCTGCCTTTGTTTCAACAGTCAGATATGAAGTTTACTCTTTAGATGCTTTAGGGTCTTGACTTTATACTATGGTGTAAACGACTGATACATGAGCCTTTCCTTTGTGAGAATTCTGAAGCCACCGAGAACTGGGCCACATGAAGGCTTTGGGTTGTTGAAATAAATATAACAGGAGGGAGAGGAAAGGATGCAGAGGTGGAGGCTGGAAGCTGAAGTCCAAGCTCACCGACTGCAAGTCTGTGCTTAGGCCTGAGTTCACCCCCAGCTAGAGCTATTTGGCCGGTACAACAAGTAGAACCCATTGTTAATGGCCAGTGTTGGTTCTGATTGGCTGAGGATCAGTTCTAACTTGTCGGGAATCTATTCTGATTGGTTGAATGTCCACTATAATTGGCTGGGCATTTGTTCTGATTGGCAGTTGTGAAGTGCATGTAAGGAGGCTAGACTCCAGCTCCAGGAGTAATTTGTGGGCCCTGTGGGCCCCAAGTGTGGAAGCAAACACTGGGTGGCCAATCTAGTCCTGTCACTTTCACGAAGTCCACAGAAGGCATGAGTCTTAGGTCTCAACAATCCTACTGGCAAAACCTGTGAGCTTGTCATCACCCTTTCATTTTTGGAATTCTCCTCCTCTTTCTCATGGTCCTAGAAGGCATTTTTCCCTCCCTTTTCTTAGCATAACCACTGTGGCAGAGACTATGGTGCCCCACCTATGCCTTCTCAAGCCCTCATCCTTCCCAAGCCCATTGACTCAAAGCCCATTGACTCAAAGCCCACTGGAAGTCCACGTCCACCTGCAAGGCCATGTAGGCTCTTTGCCTTCCTCTGGCCACTGTAACCCTCTGGCCTGCTCAGCCAGGCTGAAGGACGGGGCAGTTGATGTCCTGCCAGGAGCAATCTCAACAAATGCTATGTGGGATTTGATGGATAAATACCCCAGGTTCTTTGCTTCTTGATTGGGATCACTCAGGGGCATCATCCACACTGTCTTCCGGAGTTCCTAACAGGCTTGAGCCCCAGTTGCCCACATTGATAACCTGCTGTCTCCCTCTAGTGGGATCTTTCCTCGTCTTCCTTCACTTCCCTACCTGCCCCAGTGATGGTCCTGACTTCACCTCCCAGATAAACTCTATGCACTGACATCCTTGTCCGGGGGCTGTTTTGGAGGTTCCCAAACTCAGAGACACCTCTTCAAGGATGCCATGTTTCAGGAACACAAGAAGCAAATGGCATACAGGCAGCCCCTGCTGTCTGCCCTATAACACAACCTTTCTCTAAAGTCAGGGACCAAGAAAAAGCTTGGCTGTTTTCCTGGTTCTCAGAGGGGGAAAATACAACGAAAACAAAGCAAACTAATAATGTAGTCGATGGCCCTGTTCCATCTGTTATTTCAGAATCACTAATGAAAGGTTAAAAAAAATCTGCCCTTCCTCAGCTCTAACAACTTTCCTCTGTGGTCACTAATTTATCCCATTTTTCAAAACATTGCTTTCTCAGCTGCTAGTGTGAGCTTCTCGGTTCTTTGCATCCTTGGACAGAAACACTTTCAAGCTCTGCTCCCTCTAAAGTTCAGATGACATTAAAACAAGATCTAAGCATCTGCTGTAAACACACCTTGGCAGGTACTGCTGCCCCCCAGTGTGGACCCCTCCCCAGCTGACATGCCTTTAACTGCGAGGAAAATGGTAAAACACTGAGCAATCGACAGGCCCTGTGGGGAGTGCTGCTCCCTGCTTTGTGGCATCTGCTTTTGATGGAGACAAAGGAGCTTATCTTCCCTTCAGTTCACCTCCCTGGCCCTTTGAAGGCAGAACTAGAAGCAGTGAGGGTGGAAAAACTCCAAAGTCTAGAAAAACATGCAGATTAGAACCATTTCCTCACTGTTCATCTGGAAGCCTTTTTAAAAACTGAATCCAACCATTTAGTAGGAATCTAATAGGACTTCCTTTGGATGCTTCCCTTGAGGGGGTACCATGTCACATTAAGAATGTAGGCGCTGGTAACACAAAGGTTGTTCCTTGTTGGGAGTCACTGGCTGCCCTGGAGGGATGACGGTTGGTGTGTGGGTAGAGCTTGTGTCTATGCGCAGCTCATTCGAGAGGCATCCCTGACAATGGTTCTAAGAAGTTTTCTCAAAGTTTTGCTCACCGTTGTATTCCTTTCACTCATTCATATAGGCAAGCTCCTCCCCAAATCCCAAGGTAAATTGAGATTGAATACTTCTCTTCTTACCTCCTCCTTCTCCTCTTATTTTTCTTTCCCTCCCCTGCCTCCTTTCCTTTTCCATTTCCCTGTGTGTTAGTTCCTGATGGCTGCCATGACAAAGTACTGCAGACTGGATGACTTGAACAACAGAAATGAATTTTCTCACGGTTCTGGAGGCTGGAAGACCATAATCAAGGTGCTGCAAATTCAATTGCTGGTGAGGGCTCTCTTTCTGCCTTGCACATGGCGGCCATCTCGCTGTGTCCTCACATGGCCTTTCCACTATGCCTGTACAGCTCTGGTGTCTCTCTGTCCAAATATCCTCTTCCTATGAGGACAACAGTCAAATTGTATTAGGGCCCACCCATATGATCTCATTTCACTTAAATTACCTCTTTAAAGGTCTCTCTATAAACACAGTTACATTCTAGGTACATGGGGTGGTGGTGGGGGGCGATAATATACACATTTTGGGAAGTGGACACGGTTTAGCCATAATACTCTCTTCTGCAAGCCTGTGCCCAGAAATGGTCTTGTTGACTCAAGTTGCATGCGTTCAAATCTTGGTTTTACCACTTCTAAGCTGAATGACCTGGATAATTTGCTTTACCTCTTTGAGCTTCAGTTTTAGTAGTTGTAAAATGGGAATACTCATGCTTGATGGCGTTGTAATGATGCTAGGGGATAATATATGTAGAGCCTGGTGCAGCAATCAGTGAGTGTGTGAAAGGTGCATGTGAAATATCCGTTCCTTCTGTTCTCCTTCCCTCTTGATGCATCCTGCTATTGTACAATTTTGTATAAAAATTACTCCCCACACTCTTTAAATGGTTGATTTATTCTTTACTCTAAGAATTAAGGCACAGTTGCCATTATAATCTAAGTTTTATTGAATAAAAATACATTTATTTTTATAATTTTAGTTTCAGTTTTCAAGATAATCTCCTAATCACCATTTACTGTGAAATTTTGATCTCTGTTTTAAATGGATTCACTTTAAGTGGCTTTTTTTCCAGTGCCAATTGTTCTTGGATAATGAAGACCTACTCTCTGAAGCATATTATTTAGAAGGATGATTATAACCAACAGTTTAAAACAGAAACAGTTGCAAGAGTGGACACCTCTGTGGAATGGGTAGATGGAGGAAGACATGATAGTACTTTTATTGATTGATTGATTGATTGAGACAAAGTCTTGTTCTGTTGCCCAGGCTGGAGTGCAGTGGTATGATTTCTGCTCACTGCAACCTCCACCTCCAGGCTCAAGTGATCACACCTCAGCCTCTCGACTAGCTGGGACTGCAGACTTGCGCCACCACACCTGGCTAATTTTTGTGTTTTTTTGTACAGATGGGGCTCACTTTGTTGCTCGGGCTGGTCTCAGACTCCTGGGCTCAAGTGATCCTTCCACCTTGGCCTCTCAAAGTGCTGGGATTATAGGCATGAGCCACTGCGCCCTGATTACACACATTTCTGTATTGTTTGAATTTATTTCATTGTATTTTATTTTGGTGAGCATCCACACTACATTCATATTTTGATTATTTGATAAAAATGTCTCAACGGTGTAACTGGTGAAAATGGCCATGATGTGAGGTCCAAAGTGGGTGCCCTGATACGAGTTTCCAGCACACACTGTTGGGGCCCCATCTGTATCCCCTGAATACCTGCCATTCCTGCCCTTCTACTATGAGCATCTGTAACTCTCTGCCTGAGCTTTCTCTGGCTGCTAGAACCATGCATGGAGCAGGCCGATGTGCAAGGCAGTCCGTGCCCTGGGAACAACCCTCAGCCATGATGGAGAGGAGCTGCACGGCCAAGATCCCACTTCCACTCCACGGATGGGCCAACTCAGCACGGTGCTCTACAGCAGCCCCCAGAAGCCCCCAGCCAGAGTGAGCCCCAGTGATCACAGAGGCAATCTCCTCACTAGCACATCCTCTTGGCATCCTTCCCTTCCCAGTCTCACTTCGCTATTCCACTAACGGTGTTTCATACTCACACAGACTCACTTGGAACAGGTTGCAATTCTTTCTCACTCACTGCCTGGAGGGGCTGGCACAGTGCACTTCTGTTTCCCTCACTTCTTTGTTGGAGGGGGCCAGTAGAATGACAACATGAGAGAAAAGGGCCAGAAGTCAGTCCCTTTTCATTCTTTCCACTCCTGGGAGGGTTTAGAATCTGCTACTGCTGGTAGCACCCAAAAGCACAGAAGCGCATGCTGGGAGACCCTGGGTCAGGGTGCAGTGTATGGGCATTTTGGCTTGTCCTCTAGAATATGAATCTACAGCAAGACTGAGAATGGGCGACCAAACCTGCCTTCTACATCAGATGCTGTTCTTGGTGGAAAGTTACCACCTAGCTTTGAAATGTTGCCCATGTTCTTTCAAAGCCCTTTTTAAATATGTGAAGAAAAGATAACATGTAAATTCAGCTACTCACACCCTGCCTTCCCAAGGAAGCATGGCTTTTAGACATGAATAGCCTGACCTTGCTTGTTACTATTTTGACCAACACAATGCAGTTGAATTAACTCTGTGCCAGTTTCTGAGTCCAGTCATTAAGAGACTGCAAGTTGATCCAGGTATGGTGGCACATGCCTTTAGTCCCAGCTACTCAGGAGGCTGAGGCAGGAGGATGGCTTCAGCCCAGGAGTTTGAGGCTGTCGTGTGCGATGATTGTACCTATGAATAACCACTGAACTCTGGTCTGGGCAACATGCAGAGATCCTGTCTCTCTTAAAAAAAAAAAAAAAAAAAAAAAGAAGGCCAGGCACGGTGGCCCATGCCTGTAATCCTAGCGCTTTGGGAGGCTGAGGCAGGTGGATCACCTGAGGTCAGGAGTTCGAGAAAAGCCTGGCCAACATGGTGAAACCCCATCTCTACTAAAAATACAAAAATTAGCCAGGCGTGGTGGTGGGCACCTGTAGTCCCAGCTACTCGGGAGGCTGAAGCAGGAGAATCACTTGAACCCTAGAGGCGGAGGTTGCAGTGAGCTGAGATTACGCCACCACACTCCAGCCTGGGCAACAGAGCGAGACTCCATCTCAGAAAAAAAAAAGACTGCAAGTTCCCACATTCTCACCGTTAGAGAACGGTCTAGTGCCTAGCTTAGTCCAGCCCAAATTCCTGACCCACAAAATTGTGAGATGTAATAAAATGGCTGCTTAAACCATGAAGTTTTGAGCCACTTTGCGATAGATAACTGAAATCAGTATGTTGGATCAGAGCCATGACATTTAGAATCCAGTTCTAATAATCTTCTTTAAATTCATGTTCTGTGTCACAAGACACCTATCTGGAACTATAATTTCCTTAAATGCAATTTTCATCGTTATATTCCTCAGCTAAAAATCTGCAGGCTTCCCATCATTTAATGAATCTAAATCAAAATTCTTAATTCTTCATTAGCACATTGATGACCTTACTGGTGCCAAATTTTCATTTCTCTCAGGCTCCATGCCCCTTGGCGTTCCTCTCCCTTAATGACTCTGAACTAGGCCATAGGCTGTGGGCTGAACTCTGTCTTCCCTCCCGCAAATTCGTGTTGAAGTTCTAACCACAGGTACCCCAGAGTGTGACTGAATTTGGAGATAGGGTCTTTAAAAAGGTAGCCAAGTTAAAATGAGGTTATTAGGGTGGGTCCTAGTCTAATATGACTGGTGTCCTTAGAAAGAGAAGTTAGGAGGCCGGGCGTGCTGGCTCACGCCTGTAATCCCAGCACTTTGGGAAGCCGAGGCGGGCAGATCACCTGAGGTCGGGAGTTCAAGACCAGCCTGACCAACAAGAAGAAACCTTGTCTCTACTAAAAAATACAAAAAATTTAGCTAGGCTTGGTGGTGCATGCCTGTAATCCCAGCTACTCGGGAGGCTGAGGTAGGAGAATTGCCTGAACCCGGGAGGCAGAGATTGCAGTGAGCGGAGATCGCACCATTGCACCCCAGCCTGGGCAACAAAAGCGAAACTCCTTCTCAAAAAAAAAAAAAAAAAAGAAAGAAAAAGAAAAGAAAAAAAGAAAGAGAAGTTAGGACACAGACAGATGGAGGAAAGGCCATCTGAAGACATAGGGAAAAGACAGCTATCTACAAGCCAAGGAGAGAGGCCTCAGAAGAAACCAATTCTGTCGACACCTTGATCTCAGACTTCCAGCCTCCAGAAGGGTGAGAAAATAAATGTCTGTTGTTTTAGCCACCATCTGTGGTACTTTGTTCTGACAGCTCTAGCAAACCAATACACTATGTGACTTACTTTTGCCAGTGAGAGTGTGGCAAACTTTATGCAAGAAGATTGAAAAAGTGCTTGTGAATTTCTGCTCTTCTCTTTCCACCACTGCTACCACCAAGAGATCAAACCCAGGTAGCCCATTAAAAGAATGTGAGAGAGACAGGGAAGAGAGCCACAGACCTCCCAGCTGAGGCCAACCCAGACCAACCAGCCCACATGCTCCTAACCACAGATGTGTGTGCAGGCCCAGCCACACCCGTGTGTCTGCTTAGATCAGCAGAACCACCCAGCTGACCACTGGTTTGTGAGAAGTAGTAGTGGTTGATGTGTGAAGCCACAGGTTTGGGGATGGTTTGTTACACAGCATTATTGTGGCTGTAACTGATATTCCCCATTCAAGGCCTTCCACAGTCCACTCAGTATCACATCCTCCTCCTCTCCACTACCCTCTAGTGACCGAACAAAAGATAAAGGAAAGCAGAGCCTCTGGGATGCTGCAGCATGTGTACCCTCCGTCCACTGCTTGCATGGTCCCCATGCCTGGGTGCTCCCACCTGTCACCCCTGTGTTGGCCTCCTGAAACTTCCTACTTAGTTTTCAAAGCCTAAATCTGATCTCTTCCGGTAATCTCTTCCTAACCCGTGTGAGTTTCCTCTAGCTGCCGTAGCAGCTTCCCACAAGTTTAGTGGCTTAAACAACACAATTGTATTCTCTCCCAGTTCTGGAGGTAGGAGCATAACCTGAAGGTGTTGGTGGGGCCATTTTCTAGGCTCTAGAGGAGAATCTTTTCCTTGCCTTTTCCAGCTTCTACAGTCCTCCTGCGTTCTTGACTTGTGGCCCCTTCCTCCATCCTCAAAACACATCACTCCAGCCTGTGCTTCCATCATCCCATTTTGATTTTCTGGCTTGTATCCTCTTGCCTCCTTCTTCTAGGACCCCTGTGATTGCCTTGGGCCCACCTGGATAATCCAGGATAACCTCCCTTTGTCAAGGTTCTTAATTTAATCCCATCTGCACAGTCTCTTTGCCATGCAAGATGACATAGCCACAGGCTTTGGGATTGTGACATGGGCATCTTTGGGGACCAGTATCCAGCCTCCTATACTTTCTGCCAGAAAGTGATGCTCTGTCTCTCCTCTGAACATTCTGCAAATCTGAGAAAATGCCTGTTGTTTTACTTGATAGGCAGGCTGAGATTGTCTAGAAGTCTGTGTCCACTACTAGCCAATAAGCTCCACAAGGAAAGGTATTTTGTGTATTATTCATTTTCACATCCATCGCACTTAGCATAGACCTTGGCACACAGGAGGAGTTCTGAGAAGATTTGTACATGTTTACTATACATGCAACCTACAGCCTCCTTATGTGTAATTGTGTAGATGAAGTATGTGTGTGTGTCTATGTAAATAGATGTACATATATTCATGCAATATATTTATGATAATGTTTTTGAGGGAGTAGGAAACACTTGTTATTGTGTTAGTGATACTGATTTATTTAATCATCAAGTGAGATCACAGGAGCCTCTTTCCTAAAGCAAGGATTTCATATTTTCTATACTTCCATTCTTATATTTTCCATTTTAGAGTGACTCAGACCACACAGCCACACACAGTGGATTCTTACATACTCTTTCCACAACATCCTTAGGGAGGGAATGAATGCTTTTATCTTCTTCACTGGAAAGACGGGAGATGAAGGCCAAGGCAGCTGAAAGGCTGGACAAGTTGTGGAGGTGTGGATGAAGTGCAGGTGGTTGGCCTTGCGCCGGCAGCATTTGCCCCCTGGGTAATAGTGAAGAGCGATCAGCATTGAGTCCAGGGGACATCGTCATCACCCCCTCTTTATTTACATCATAGTCTTGGGAGGGATTATTCCTTTGAACATTTTCCATGTTTGTTCTGCATTCAAAAGGACGGGAAAGATACAATTCAATGAAAAAATGTTTTCTGTTTTGCAGCTAGATGGGAGGATGGGTGTGTGTGTGTGTGTGTGTGTGTGTGTGTGTGTTTGTGTGTAACCTACAGAAAAGAAAAAAAGAATTTATCTTGCTCATAGATAACAGAAGAACATCTGGGAATTACAAAGTGAAATCTTCCATATGTGAAATTCTGCATGAAGAAAAATGTGCCTGTACAGTTTGAGAAAAGGAGGCACTGGTGTTTCTCAAACTTCTCAGGCCAACTACCCAAAGGTTTCATGAGCATCTCAACAACAGAGTGGGCTCTTCTGTGCTACATATTTTGATAAAATGGTGATGGGCTTCACAATAACAATGGGCAGGATGGGGAAGAAGACCAGGTCATTTCTGATTGTCTCAGGGTCGTTGAAATGAGGCTAAGGCTTGGGAGAACCAGCCTGTCCTGGAGGTAGGGGTGGAGGCTCCAGCAACATTTCCAGTCTCACTGGAGAGCTTCCCCACATCGGAAATTCCTCATCAGCCTCCTTACCGCTGAGAAGAGGGAATAGTGGGGTGGTGTTTGCAACTTAGGATCCTTGAAATTGGAACAGAGCTCTGCCCTCTCCTCAATGAATCCTAGTGGAGACCCTACAAGGTAGACTAGGTGGGAATCATTGCTCTAACTTTCTAAATGAGGAGCCAGACTGTCTCTAGACACTCTTCCCTTCTCTAGACTCATTTCCTAGTTAATCCAATCCAATCCTGAATACTGCAAGGAACCAAAGGCTTCTAAGTTCAACTACCAACTTCCTATATTCATTTGGATATCTCACCAGCAGTTGAAACTTACCTCAGCCAACATCAAATCCTT
Source organism: Homo sapiens (assembly GCF_000001405.40). NCBI lineage: Eukaryota > Metazoa > Chordata > Mammalia > Primates > Hominidae > Homo > Homo sapiens. Next base: position 85,500,665 of record NC_000009.12, on the reverse strand, counting down.
CTATCTGTTTCTCCTTTGGCCTCCTCACTTCAGTTAATGGCACCTTGTTGTTCAAGTAAACATACAAGAGCTCACTCATGATTTCTTTCTTTCCTTTATCCCTAGCCTCGTGCTTATATTCACATACCCAATTCATCAGCAAGGTGACTCAGAACCCCACTTTCCTGAATGCTCACCACTTCTGCCCATTACTGGGCCACCATTCTCTTGCTGCAGGAGTACAGCTGGAGTCCTAAGCTGGACTTAATGCTTTCACTCTGTTCTCCACACTAAAGTCACGGGGGTCTTAAAAAAAATGTAAATCAGGTGGTGTCACTTCCCCTTATGGCTTCCCCCACTATCCTTTAGAATACAGTCCCACCTGGGCCCACTCAGCCCTGATGGATGAGGACGCGTTGCTTACCTCCTGTGCCCCCTCACATCACTCCAGCAATTGTTTTACTCCTTAATCCCCTCCTTCACTCCTTGCCCACCCCAATACCCTTTGCTCTTATTTATTTATTTAACTGCTCCCTTGCTCCCTCTCACCCTGTGAAGTGCCTGCTTCCCCTCCACTATCTTCCGTGAGTAAAGACTTCCTTCTCCCCAGAAGCTGAGGAGATGCTGGTGCCATGCTTGTACAGCCTGCAGAATCATAAGCCAAATAAACCTCTTTTCTTTATAAATTAAAACATTATCATGGTAAGAATATTTAACATGAGATCCGTCCTCTTAACACATTTTTAAGTGTACAATACATTATTGTTGACTACAGGTACAACGTTGCACTTGTTTTTGTTGCCTGTGCTGTTGGTTTCATATTCATAAAATCATTGCTAAGACCAAGGTCATAAAGCTTCCCCACTATGTTTTTTCATAGGAATTCTATGGTTTCAGTTCTTATGTCTTTAATCCATTTTGAATTGATCTTTTTTCTTGAATAAACAGTGTTTCTCTCTGCCACCCAGGCTGATGTGCAGTGGTGCAGTCATAGCTCACTGTAATCTCAACTGAGCTCAAGCAATCCTCCCAACTCAGCCTCCCAATTAGCTAGGGCTACAGGTGTGCATCATCATGCCTGGCTAAATTTTAAAAATTTTGTAGAGATGGGGTCTTGTTATGTTGTCTAGGCTGGCCTCGAAATTCTTGGGCTCAAATGATCCTCCTGCCTTGCCCTCCAAAAGTTCTGAAATTACAGGCATGAGCCATCATGCCTACCCTGATCTTTGAATGTAAGGTCTTTGTGTATGGTACAATTTCTTTCTTTTTTTTTTTGCACTGGACATTCGGTTTTGTTGAAGAGACTATTCTTTTCCCATTTTCTAATCTTGGTGCCCTTGTCAAAGGGTACTTACCCAAAGGTTAGTTGACCATATATGCAAGGACTTATTTCTGGGCTTTATTCTGTTTTACTGGTTTATGTCTGTCTTATGGTAGTACCATGCTGTTTTGATTACTATAGCTTTGTAACACAGTTTGGGATCAGGAAGTGTGGTGCTTCCAATTTTGTTTTTCTTTCTCAAGATTAATTTGGCTCTTTGTGGTCTTTCCTGGCTCCATATAAATTGTAAAATTGTTTTCTCTATTTTTGTAAAAAAAATGCCATTGAGATTTTGATAGGGATTTCATTGAATCTGTAAGTTGCTTTGGGTAGTATGGACATTTTGACAATAGTAAGTCTTCCAATCTATGAACACAAGATATATTTCCATTTGTTTGTGTTTTCTTTAATTTCTTTAATCAATGTTTTATAGTTTCTAGTGTAAGTCTTTCCTCTCTTTAATTAAGTTTATTTCTAAGTATTTTGTTCTTTTTGTTGATATTGTAAATTGGATTGTTTTCCTAATTTCTTTTTCAGGTAGTTTGTTAGCGTATAGAAATAGAACTGATGTTTGTATGTTGATTTTATATCCTGCAACTTTACTGAATTTATATATGAGTTCTAACAGTTTTTTATGAAGTCTTGAGGGTTTTCTATACATAAGATCCTGTAATCTGCAAACAGGGATAATTTTACTTCTTCCTTTCTGATTTGGAAGCCTTTTATTTCTTTTTCTTGCCCAATTGGTCTGGCTAGGACTTCCAATATTACGTTGAATAGAAGTAGTGGAGACTGGGCATCCTTGCTTTTTTCCTTATCTTAAAGGAAAAACTTTCAGTTTTTTACCATTGAATGTGATATTAGCTGTGGAGTTTTCAAATATGGCTTTTATTATGTTGACATACCTTCCTTCTATTCTTAATTTGTTGAGAGATTTTATTATGAAAGAGTGTTGAATAATGTCAGATGCTTTTTCTGCATCTATTGAGATGATTATGCAAATTTTGTCATTATTCTGTTAATGTGGTGTATCACATAATCGATTTTCATATGTTAAACCATCCTTGCATCCCAGGGGAAATTTCCACTTGAGGTATGAACCTTTTAATGTGTTGCTGGATTTGGTTTGCTAGAATTTTGTTGAGGATTTTTGCATGTATGTTCTTCAGAGATATTGGTTTGTAGTTTTCTTGTGGTATCTTTGCTGGCTTTGATTTCAGGGTAATGCTGACTTCAAAAAATGAAATTGGAAGTGTTCCTTCCTTTTCAATTATTTGAAAGAGTTTGAGAAAAAATTGACATCAGTTCTTATTTAAATGTTTGGTAGAATTAACCAGTGAAAGCATCTGGTTTGGGTTTTACTTTGTTGAGAGGTTTTTGATTATTGATTCAATCTTCATACTAGATATAGTTCTATTCACACTTTCCCTTCACTATTTCTTCATGGTGTAGTCTTGGTAGGCAGTATGTTTTTAGGAATTTATTCATTTCTTCTAGGTTATCCAGTTTGTTGGTGTATGTTTGTTCATAGTAGTCTCATTATTCTTCTTATTTCTGTTGTATTAGTTGTAATGTCTCCTCTTTCATTTCTAATTTTATTTACTTCCCTTTTTTTCTGAATTAGTTTAGCTAAGGGTTTGTCAATTTTATTTTTCAAAACTCAGTTTTGTTTATCTTTTCTATTTTTTTGTTTTCTATTTTGTTTATTCTGATCTAATATTTTGTAATTTCTTGCCTTCTACTTGCTTTGAGCTTGGGTTTTTCTTTTTATAATTCTTTAGGATATAAAATTAGGTTGCTTATTTGAGATCTTCTCTTTTAACATAGGCATTTATTGCAATAAACTTCCCACTTAGTACTACTTTTGCTGTATCCTAGGTATTTTGCATCTTTGTCTTCATTTTTCTCAAGATATTTTCTAATTTCCTTTTTGATTTCTTCAGTGACTCAATGGTTACTAAATAATGATTTGTTTAATTTCTATGTATTTATGAATTTTTCAGTTTTCTTTCTGCTATTGATTTCTGGTTTCCTCCATTATGCTTAGTAAAGATACTTGGTATGATTTCAGTCTCTCCTTCTCCTTCTCCTTCTTCTCCTTCCTCCTTCTCCTTCCTCTTCTTTTTCTTCTTCCTCCTCCTCCTCTTCTTCTTCTTCCTCTTCCCCCCTCCCCCTCCCCCGCTCCTTTCTTCTTCTTCTTCTTCTTCTTCTTCTTCTTCTTCTTCTTCTTCTTCTTCTTCCTCCTCTTCCCCTTCTTCCTCTTCTTCTTCCTCTTCTCCCTCTACTTCTTCTTCTTTCTTTTTGTAGAGATGGGTTCTCACTATGTTGTCCATGCTGGTCTCCAACTCCTGGCCTCAAGTGATTCTCCTGCCTTGGCCTCCCAAAGTGCTGGGATTGCTGAGATTACAGGCATAAGCCACCATGCCTCATCTCAATTTTATTTAATTTATGAAGATTTGTTTTGTGATCTACCATGTCATCTATCCTGGAGAAACTTCTGCATGTGCTGGAAAAAGGTATATTCTGCTATTTTTGGGTGGAATATTCTGGATGTTTGTTAGGTCCATTTGGTCTGTAGTGTTCAGGTCTGCTCTTTTCTTATTGATATTCTGACTTGCTGTTCTACCAAAAATATCATTGAAAGTAGGATATTTAAATCTCCTACTATTATTGTATCTATTTCTCCCTTTAGTTCTGTCAGTGTTTGCTTTATATATTTATGTGTTCTGATTTTGGGTGCATATGTATTTATAATTGTTTTATCTTCCTGGTGGATTGATTCTTTTATCATTGTATAATGTTCTTCTTTATCTGTTGTGCCAATGTTTGACTTAAAGTCTGTTTTGTTTGACGTAAATATAGCTACCCTGCTCTTTTTTGCTTATTTGCAGCATATAATATCTTTTTTTATCCCTTCACATTCAGCCTTTGTGTCCTTACGTCCAAAGTGAATTTCTTGTAGACAACAAATAGTTGGGTCTTTAAAAAAATTCCTTCAGCCACTGTGTCTTTTGACTGGAGAGTTTAATCCATTTAGATTTAAAGTAATTATTGATAAGGATGAATTTACTATTGCCATTTTTTGATTTGTTTTCTGTCAGTCTTGTAGTTCTTTTGTCTTTCAATTAGTTTCTGGGATTCTCACGAAGGGAACTTGTCTGTGAATTTTGTTGAATCAGTGTGTTAGTAGGGGGAAGGAGGCTCCAGGACTTCCTACTTCACAATCTTGATGTCATCCAATGCTCTTTTCTCTTTCTGCTTTTCTGCCTAAACCCTCCCACCCCCAATCCTGATTTCTTTGCAGGGTTGGCACTACCAGGTCTTATTTCCAATATGATGTCTTTGGATCTTCTGTCCATCCAATTCCTGTGCTTACCTCATTACATTCACTTATTCACCTCAAGCGGGCTTCTTAACTAAAACATAAGTCAGTGTCATGAGCAGGGGTTTTGCTTGGTGATCTCTGCATTCCTAGACCCTATCATGGAGCCTGCACGTTGAAGATGCTCAATGAATACCTGTTGAAAGATGAATGTAAAGAGCCCACTGCCTTTTCTGTGATGCCATACAGAAGACATCTGTAGGCTCTACTTGATTTTGGTCAGAGAGTACTTAGGTCAGAGGTGGAGCCAGGAGTTCCCCTGGGGTAGCATGTTGGAAGAAAGACCATAGATGCATCTTAGAGCCAGAAGATCTTGGTTTAAATGCTGGCTCTACCTCTGATCTCTTGCACAAGCCACTTATTTTCTCTGAGCTGCAGTTTCTTAATCGATCCAATGGAGTTAATAATGCTTTATTTTAGCCAGTTGTTGTGTAGATTAAGGAAAGTCACACATGGGACAGTCCTGGGTCCACGTACCAAATGGCCATGGTACATCTTCTGTATCCTGCTTAGCTTCTTTGATCAGAACACAAATCAAACCACATAAAAACATCATGAATTTAATGTCCGATAAGGTGATTGCAATTGGGTTCTTGGTCTCTGACTTACCCTGGTTATCATCTTTGTTTAAAAGCCATGTGGAAGTGCATTTGTAAGATAACAGCTGTAAATAATAACATAGGTAACCAAGGTAGTAACCATGCTGTTGTTTGGATAGTGAACAAGATGGGGTTTTACCAGAGGAAAGAGACAAATGGAAGTGGCATTTATTAAGCAACTATAGCTTTCAGATGGCCTGAATACAGAATTTCAGCTGTCATAGGGAGGCATCATTGTCCTCATTTTACAGATGAGAAGACTGAGGCTAAGGATGACTGCACCAAGGATATATATGTCTTAAAGGCTTTTGGTATAAGCTGCATTACTTTTAAGAAAATTCGTTCTGATTGACATTACCATGAGCAGTGAATCTCACCACACTCTTGTAGAATTCATTGTGTGTGTGTGTGTGTGTGTGTGTGTGTGTGTGTGTGTGTGTGTGTGGCGAGTTGGGGGGAGGTCAGGGAATGAAGGACAGGGTTAATATCTGTTTTTAATTGGCTATATGTAAGTAATTTAGTACCCTCACAGACACATCCAGAAATAATGTTTAATCTGAACACTCCATGGTCAATGACCATTCAAATTGATGCATGAACTTAGCCATCACAGTGAGGAAAACTGAGCAAGTATAACTCAAAGCCTTCTCAACTGGTCCCACTGCTTTGAGGGCATCTGTCCATTAGACAGCCTTAGCCTATGATAGGTCTTGAGTTGATTCTGGCTGCAGCCTGCTGTCAAGCCCATTGGTGGCTGTGCTGTAACACCACATACAGTTCATGCTGCTTTGGAGATAAATAGCTTCCATTTTATTTTATTTTTTAAATTTAATTTTATTTATTTATTTATTTATTTTGAGATAGAGTCTTGCTCTGTCACCTAGGCTGGAGTGTAGTGGCGTGATCCCGGCTCACTGCAACCTCCTCCTCCCGGATTCAAGCAATTCTCCTGCCTCAGCCTCCTGAATAGCTGGGACTACAGGCGCCTTGCTAATTTTTTGTATTTTTAGTAGAGACAGGGTTTCACCATGTTAGCCAGGATGATCTCGAGCTCCTGATCTCGTGATTTGCTCACCTCGGCCTCCCAAAGTTCTGTGTTGGGATTACAGGCGTGAGCCGCGGTACGTAGCCATAGCTTCCATTTTAAATTGATGCAAGCAGCTACAGGGCTCAGTGGAGCTGACAGGCTCAGAATAGTCCTGTCCTTTCTTCCTTTCATCCTCTCATTTTAGCACAAGGAAGAATAGCTTGTCCTTGTACTGTTCAGCCTTGGAGGAAACCTTGAACTTGCCTTATTTGGTTCTACACAGGGCATTGCAGTTGATTTAGTAGTGCATTTGGTTGTTATTCTCTGTCTTGAAGTCACAGGGGGTTTCTCTATGTCTCCACTGAGCCCAACAGAAAGTGGTTGCTACATGTGGCCCTTATTTGCTTGTCCATATTTGCCTTCTGTCCATATTTGCCTTCTTACTGGACACAGATGATATCTTTTCACAAAAGGGCTGGTTTTCCTCTTCTTCAATTGAAGTGTTAGGACATCAGTGGCATTTCCTCGGGTTGGTAGCTTCTCAACTATCTTTGAATGAAGCAGTTGCTCTTTTTTCGACCTGCTGTGTTTTCCTCATCGGTTCCTGGGTTGTCTTTCCATTCTTAAATCATTTCTATCACATTGGTTGATCTCGCCAAAGGAAGTGTATGGCCTGCTGGCCGTTGGGCATCGAGCAGTTCCTTAGCTGTGATTCTGGGAGCAGGATCCACTTTGATAAGTCGTTTCAAAATGCTTTTAGTGCAATCACTTATAGAATCCCAAAGTGGATCTTCAAAATGTAGCTCTCTCTTTCTGTTAATTCAAAAATGTCTCTTCTGAACTTGCCATAAAGGGGGTTCCCACATAACGATATGTCCTTGTGACCTGATGGCCCCAGTGTCACATTGCTGGCTATAGCTATGGGCATTGATAACTTCAGGGGTCATGCAGACGGGAGCCCCACATGTGGTGCGCAGCATGGCTTCCTCCCTGCTAAGCCAAAATTACCTTTATGTTGAAGTTCAGTTTGTTGTTAGCATCAATAAAGCTGCTTTGAACCATTATGCTCTCCAGTTTCAGATTTCTATGTACTTTATTGTGAAGACACGCTACAGCAGATGTGAGGCTTAGGATGACCTACCTTGACTCATTCTCTGGATGTGCCCTCTCCTATTCAGAATTTCTTCAAATTCTCCCTGTTCACAGAGCCCCATCACAAGGTACATTCACTTAGGGGTCTCAAACACTTGCTCCAGATGTGTGATGTGTTCACATTTTCCATTTTTTAGCAAGTCCAACTCCTGTCCAAGTAACTTCATAGTGGAGCTTCCAGCCTTATTTTTTATTTTTTTTATTTTTTATTTTTTTTTGGTAGATGGAGTCTCGCTCTGTCAGCCAGGCTAGAGTACAGTGGCACAATCTCGGCTCACTGCAATCTCCGCCTCCCAGGTTCAAGCAATTCTCCTGCCTCAGCCTCCTGAGTAGCTGGGACTACAGATTCATGCCACAATGCCCGGCTAATTATTTTGTATTTTTAGTAGAGACAGGGTTTCCCTGTGTTGCCCAGGCTGGTTTCGAACTCCTGAGCTCAGGCAATCCTCCCGCCCGGCCTCCCAAAGTGCTAGGATTATAGGCGTGAGCCACCATGCCCAGCCCCAGCCTTATCTTTATTTGACCACTGGTTTCTGTTTCCTTCTCTGCAGCCTCAGGTAGCATTCGAATGTTCTTTGTCCCAGTGTTCTTCCAAAGGTACAGATTTCTGAAGAGCAGCTCCGTTGACCATCTTATTTTTTATAAGTAAATGCAAATACATTTTTTTGCTTTTATATTTGGAAGAATATACAAATATACCATTTTGAAATATAGTATGCATTGTTCTCTCTCTTTTTTTTTTTTTTTTTGAGACAGGATCTCACTCTGTTGCCCAAGCTGGAGTGCAGTAGCATGATCTCGGCTCACTGCAACCTCCACCTCCCGAGTTCAACTATTCTCCTGCCTCAGCCTCTGGAGTAGCTGGGATCACAGGTGCCCACCAGTAGGCCTGGCTAAGTTTTGTATTTTTAGTAGAGATGGGGTTTTACCATGCTGGCCAGGCTGGCCTTGAACTCCTGACCTCAAGTGATCCACCCATCTTGGCCTCCCAAAGTGCTGGGATTACAGGCATGAGCCACCACGCCTGGCCTGTTCTCAATTTTTGAAATGGCTGTACTTTATTTTTTATGGCTAAAAAAAGTAATATCAATGAAAAGTGAATGTAATATTTTCAAATTATCTTAACCTTAAATAGCTTAGAATTCAGAAGTATCTGACAAACACAACTATAATTCCAATGGGGCTTCTCTATATCTTTAGAGTATATTTTCCCATAGTATAGCATATGCCTGAAGTTTGCGTTTTATCTAGTTAAAAATATTACAAAGATCCTAATGAAAGTGGATTTGTTTCTCACATAAATTTTTCCTCTGTAAACTTCCTCTAAAATCATTGTTGTTGACATGTTTTTCTTTGTATTTGAGGTTTCTGAGGGCCCTTCTGTGAGGAAGAAGTGTTTCCTTTTGTTGTTGGGAGGGCAGCACATTAGCTGACAAGGTCCCATAGGATGTGTGTGAAGTTAGGGATGGGATGTCAACTTGTGCCAAGACTAGAATCTTTGATATTTACCTAATATTTCCCAGAGACAATATCTCTACTAGTAATTTTTTTCTTTCTTTTTTTTGTCTCTCTGGTAAAATTATAACTTCCGAGGCAGCAATGCTTGGTTATCTGAACTTTCCAATCCTGAAATGGAAGAAAGGCTTGTTTTTTTTTTTTTTTTTAAGACTTAGACTTCCCACATGCTTCCTGACCCCACATATGCACAGCTTCCCCCTTTATTAATGCCCCCCCACCAGAGTGTACATTTGTTACAACTGATGAACCTACATTGATTCATCATTATCACCCAGAGTCCATAGATAACATTAGACTTCACTCTTGGTGCGGTGCATTCTAGGGGTTTGAATGAATGTGTAATGACGTGTAGCCACCATTACAGTGAAACGGTAAAAGTTCCCTTGTCCCCCTCGCAGGGCATGTGATGGGGTGTGGCTCACTTCTTCGGTGCCCCGCTGCTCAGACCTCTAAGGGGAGCATGCAGATGGGGAGATTGTGGGGCTCCGACCCCATGGCAGTGTCTAGGGGTGAATGTTTACAGCTGAAGCCCCAGTGGGCGTGTGTTATCGTGTGCTCTTTTAGTTTTGCCATCTGTAGGCGGCTTGTGTTAATCAGCCCAATTAGACCCTCTGCCTTATTGCAAGGACAGAAGGCTTTCTGTATCCCAGGGTTCTTGCCTTGGTGTACCGGAAAAAATCATACCCCAGGTGGGCTTGGAGAATGAGTGCAAGGTTTTACTGAATGGTGGAGGTAGCTCTCAGCAGATGGATGGGGAGCCAGAAGGAGGATGGAGTGGGAAGGTGGTTTTTCCCTGGAGTCAGGCGCTCAGCGGCTGGACTCTCCTCCGACCGCCCCAGCCAAATTCCCCTTGATGCCCACGTCATTCCGCCAGCAGCGTCTTCCCATGCCTGTGGGTGTGTTCTTCTGCCGGTGTGTGCCTCTCGATGTCCAGCCACTTGTGCGCGTGCCCGCTAAGATCTCGGGGTTTTTACAGGCACAGGATGAAGGCGTGGTGGGCTAGGGTGGTCTTAGAAAACATAACATTCGGGTGCGAAAACAGAAATGCCTGCCCTTACCTAGGTCCGTGGGCACAGGCCCAAGGGTGGAACCCTCGCCAGGAACCCACCCTTCTCTACCCAGTATTTCCCTGCCGGACTCCTATATTATTAGTATCACATAGAGTGCTTTCACTGCTCTGAAAATCCTGTCCTCTGCCTATTCATCCCTCTTTCCCCTCACCCCTGGGAACTACTGAACATTTTTACTGAGTGCATAATTTTGCTGTTTGCATAATGTCATATGGTTGGAATTATAGAGTATGTAGCTTTCTCATATTGGCTTCTTTCATTTAGTAATATGCATTTAAGTTTCTTTCATATCTTTTAATGACTTGATAGCTCATTTCTTTTTAGCACTGAATAATAATCCATTGTCTGGATGTACTGTGGTTTATCAGAAACTCTTGTTTTGGCCAGGCAGGGTGGCTCAGGCCTGTAATCCCAGCACTTTGGCAGGTCAAGGCGGGCAGATTACCTGAAGTCAGGAGTTTGAGACCAGCCTGGCCAACAGGGTGAAACCCCGTCTCTACTAACAATACAAAAATTAGCCGGATGTGCTGGTACATGTCTGTAATCCCAGCTACTCAGGAGGCTGAGGCAGGAGAATCGTTTGAACGTGGGAGGCGGAGGCTACAGTGAGCTGAAATCACATCATTGCACTCCAGCCGGGGCAACAGAGCAAGACTCTGTCTCAAAAAACAAAAAAACCAAAAAACCTCTTGTTTTATAAGAACATAAACAAAGCCCATTTTCATAAGCTTTAGTGACACTTGGGGCATTTTGTGAATCTTCTAACCCAGCCACTATCAGGCATTTGCTTAAGTCTGAGACAAATGCAGAAAAGAAAGGTTCAACCAGAGAAGCAGGAAAACTAGGACATATACATGCACATGATTTGTTACTGGATTTGCCCTTATGCAGTGGTGGCTGCTGTTTAATCAGGCTCTGTACAGTTGCTGTCTTTGCTTCTGATGCTAGGGCTTCAAGTCCAGCAGGTGGTTGGGAAGGAGAGATGACTGTGTAGTGGGGGAGACCAGTGACAAGCTGGACCCCTCCAGTAGAAGTGGGAGCCCATGAGGACAGTTAGGAGCCTGTGTTAGTTCCTTTTGCCTTTGATCTTAGTGGCATGGGCCCTTCGTCTTGAAGCTAAACACACACCCCCGGCCCAGGAGTCAGAGAAGCTGAAGGAGGGTCCAGAGACGGATGGAGCAGTTGCAGGCCATAGAGGTTACCCAGCAGGTGAGTGAGAGGTATGGGAGCTGCAACATGGTGGCTGCTTCTTTTGGCCCTCCAAAGCTCCATAAGTGTGTCACTTGTTGCCCACCCTAACCGGAAATATGGAAGGAAGGGCATCCTGGGATGTGTGGTCCAGCCGAGCCAAGTGGACATATTGCAAAGCCACCACAGCTGGCGTGAATTTGTTTCTCAGATTCTTTTGTGAACAGGCCTAAGATTACGGAGTCTCAGGGAGAGACAGGTAGATTTCCTTGTGGGTCCTTTTCGATTCTGGCTGATTTCGTACCCATCCACCCTTTCAATGAATATGTAGCCACTTTGGGTGTCCTGGCTTTCTTTAGGGTCTTACAGCCCCCTCCCTCATTTTCAGTGACTCAAGGCCCAGTATCTTGTTGCCTGGGACATGGCTGTTCATCTCCAGAGCTCCCTGGCGTGTGTTTGCTCCCACTCCAGTGTAGCCCAGCTTCCTGCCTTCATGGAGATTATAATCCACTATGGGATGAAGGGAGAAGAAAGCAATTGTTAGAAAAAGGAAATAATTTCTGATGGGATGTGCATTATGAAGAAATTGAATAAGGGCTGAGTTAGCAAATCAGAGACACGTGAATAGATGAAGACGTGTAGGAATGTATACAAAGATACATAGCTATAAATACATGTGCAATTCTTCCTTTACACAAACACACACACACATGCACACACACACAAACATATAATACTTCCTTTCTTCCTTCTAATGAGGGGATGGAGTAGAAAAAAGTAGCATACAGGAGAGATGAAAGATGAAAACAGTTTGGAAGAATAGATTAGGTCACTTGTGCCTTGATACCTGTATTATAATGAGTCTGAGTCCTAACCTAGTGTGGCAGGGAGACCAATCTTTTCCTGAGGCCACTTCTACCCTGATTTTCTCATAATCCCCCACCGTATCCCCTGTCCCCTAATTTTCTAAGAGTCACATTTGCTAGTGGGTCAGATACCCCAGTGTTCCTCTGGTGGCCTGAGGCTTGATGCTAGTTGTTATGTTTGATGTGGCAGCCCTGACCGGCTGGTGTAACAGAGGATCCGCAGGCCCAGAAGCATGGGATTAAACAGCTGTGGCTGCGCCCCAGATCTGCTCTCACACAGTAAGAAGGATATGGTTCCTTCGGCAGTCCATTCAGTCTTTAAAAGGTATTGTAATGTGCTCCAAGGCAGAGTGACCCAGGGCCCCACCATTCTGACATTCAGGGCTACAGCGCATGCCTTCGCCACCATGGCTTTGTGCTTAACTGGCTGCCTTGGGTTCCTGAGAGCTGGATTCTCTGCAGGCTCAGTCTTGCTGATGACATGCTTGTCTTTGTGACTGTGGTCAGGAGAATGAGAGGCTGGGCTCAGGGCGGGAGTTGCCGATGCCCTGGCAGTGCTGCTGGTTCCTCAGCCTCTCTTAGAAGACACTGCTCTGTCACACTTGCAGATGTCTAACCAGCCTTGGTTATTCCACAGAGCAATGGGAGAACACTCCTTCCTTCTATGTTATGCTCAAGGGAAAGTGGTCCAGGGCCCCAGGATTTCAGCCCCATGGATTTAATATTGTTTCCTACATATGCTACATGCTAATTACAAAAAACTAACTTATTTTTTTGAGATGGCGTCTTGCTCTGTTGCCCAGGCTGGAATGCAATGGAATGATCTTCGCTCACTGCAACCTCCTCCTCCTGGGTTCAAGTGATTCTCCTGCCTCAGCCTCCCAAGTCGCTAGGATTACAAGCGTGTGCCACCACACCCAGCTAACTTTTGTATTTTTAGTAGAGGAGGAGTTTCGCCATGTTGGCCAGGCTGGTCTCGAGTGCCTGACTTCAGGTGATCTGCCCACCTTGGCCTCCCACAGTGCCACAGTGCTGGGATTACAGGAGTGAGCCACTGTGCCTAGCCAACATGGTTTTTTTAAGGTACGAAAAGAAGGCAACAAACCACGCTAAACCTAATTATCCTGAAAAACACCTGTGTTAATATTTTCTGAACATTAAAATAGACACATTTCAGCACACACGTCCATACAGAAATAATTTCAGAAGAAGAAGATTATACCATACACAGAGCTTTTAAAAAACAAAATTTATGGAATTTAATATTATTTGAAATCATTGGAAAAGGAAGCTGAAGTGAAACTGAAGGAAATACTAGACTTCAGATAAATGTTTCTCTGTTACAAGGGATTGTTACAATTCTTAAAAAATTATTATAAAGTATTTTAAGCATTCAAGGAGTAGAAATAATGTAACAAAAACCATGTTCCTGCTACCAGGAACTTCCTTTCTAGAAAGCTAGAAAGTTGAATGTTATGGTTGTTTAATTCCACCCCCAGCTCCTGCTGCTACACTCCCTGGTTTGGGACACTTTCTCATGTCAGCAATTTGCAAACCTGGAGCCCATGTCCCCCTCCAGTGTCCCCAGTGGGGTCCCAGAGACCTCAGCTGTCACGGTGAGCTTCTTTTCTTGGCTAGGGACATGGTGAGGCAGGTGTGCTGGTAGTCTTCTGGGTTACAAGGGCCCCACCTGTCTATTATGAAAGTCAGCTTTGGTGGCCCCCAGCAACCACCCCAGGTTGCTGCCACATCAGAAAGGCAATTTTAGAAATCAAAGCCAATTGTCAGCATGTAGCACCCTAAAGGCTCCTTCTCCAGGCCCTTGTTGCTGATGTGGGATTACTCAGAGGTTCTGAAGGACGAGCCTCACAAGTTTTGGATATCCCTGTTGACTTAGGGTTGATGGGTTCCTTGAGTCTGTTGAGTTTGGCATCAATTGCTCCCCTCTGCTTTATCTCCACATGGATCATTATCTGGTCTTCTGATGGCACTCCCTGGCTGATGGAAATCGCTGTAAATTTATTTTCATAATATGTATTTGTTTTATTTCATTGGGATTTGGTAGAAAGAAAAAGTAATTATTTGTATTCAGTTGGTGATCTCTAATGGCAAGTCTTGTCCTATTGTTATAGAGTATCTTCTGTATCTATGTGTATAATACATAGGAATTTTATACCTAAAATATATAACAATGAGAAGAAAAGCAAGCAAGCAATATTTAAAGAGTAGTGGATCATTTTGAATGTTTATTGATGCTCCAGTTCCCATTCATGAATCATACTTCTGATGCTACATCTTAATTGCATTTACTAAATTGTCACCCATATCTTTATGTTATTAGATGATTTATTAAGGATGCCAATTGGCATCTGATGATACACGGCTAGGGAAAAAGAGCACAGCAGCTGGGTAGGTCAGGAGGATGGTCCAATTTGGAGTAAGAATTGGCTACATCTGTTTTCTAATTATCCTGGGTCTACTGAGTTCATTTTGAAGTCGTTTTGGGGGACCCTAGGGAAGTGGATGTCGGTCTTGAGCCTCGGGCTCTGGGCTGAATGTTTTCTTTGCACTCCCACCTCTACTCTACCCTTCTCTTTATCAAGGGGCGATGGCTGAACCAAGTGAGGGGACATGGGCTTTCATGTCCTCTCACTTTCACTTGGCCTTAGCCAATGGGAAGGAGGGAGGGGAATGAGGCTGGGGTGTGTTTTCTCCTGGTCTCCCTGCAGGCTTGTGCTGGACCACTGTGCCCTCTGACAGATCACAATACCTCTCACATAACTTTCTCCCTCTGGTCATAAGCACTCCTTTCTGTCCACCTGTGAGTCCCCAGTGTCTAGTGTCAATGACACTAGCCCCAGGGATCACACAATTTCTTGTGGTTTCCCCATGCAATTTCAGAGGGTTCTTTTACTTATATTTCTTGAATTATCCTGAGTGTGTTGTCTCTTTCCTGCTGAAACCCTGACCGGTACAGATTCTAAAAAATTATCATTAATTAATTATGATATTAATAATATACTTTTAATTCTAAGAGGACAAAGGAGAACAGATAATATAGGATGGATTTCCACATTTTAATGTGTACAGTCTGGATTCTCAGAATCAGAAGGTCTGATTTCTCACAAATCTTGTGTTCCTGAACAGTCACACACAGTCTCGACTGAAGCTGCAGAAGTGAGAGATCAGCATTGCATTTTCCAGTGTGAAGTTGGAATTCCTTCTCTACATTATTCCTAAATCATCCCTAGTGTATCGTGTAATTCAGGTACTTCTAGGACACTTAAAAAAATCCTCTTTCCTTTCACTCTGGCTGGTTAACAGAGAGCCAATGGGTCTTCTCAGGGAGGGGGATAGATTTCTGGTGTTCAATGATTTGGGCTAAATCTAATGCCACTCAAAATGTCAGGTGATTCTGAGAGAATCTCAGATCAGCAGGAAGTTGTCTTAAGGGACTGACTTTCCCTTACCTGTTGGATAAACTGAGCTACAGCAGAAATGCATTGGACAACTGGATTTCACTGGCAGATGGTGAGCTCCTTAAGGGCAAGGATTCTAGTTGACATTAGTACTCTTAATATCTCACAGGTGTATGACAAACAGGGAAGCCCAGTTAGTGCTTGTTGAATGAATAGTGTAGAATCTTTTGGCTCTAGGGAGATCAGCAGGCTATATCTCCATTCTCCTGCCTCTCGTAGGCTTGCAACAAAGTAAAAACATTCCTTAGTGTGAGTGAGGATGACCTTCCAAAGTTTATTCATCCATACATTTAAAATCTTTCACTAACTAAATGTTATATAATTGTAGGTTAAGCTAATTTTATTGGATATAAATTATGGCATGACCCTTTTAATAATCCTTTTGTATTTTAACATATTCTTACCTTCTTTAGCTTCTTTCTGGATTAACTTATCACAATTTCTTAAAATTTTCTCAGGACTCAAACCCAATAGAATATGATGAAACTGGCTAAAGGCATTTGAATTTATACTGCATTTGGTTTAAAAACAATGTTTCCTAGTGTGATTTTGTCTTATAGTTTAGCATGTGTAAGAATCAAAATGATTCAGAGGCTTGTCATTGACAGTGGGTTGCCTGCTTGAAAGCACCTCATTTCCCTCTAGTAGTGTTAGGGGAGGTGGATAGAAAGAAAGTGATTCATTGAAGATAAATCTTTTAATCCAGCCCAGGCTTATGGGTTTTAGAAAGTAATCCAGAGAATTGGTGTATTGAACCACGCATGTAGGCAAAGGGGATCATATTCTGAAATCATAGGCTGGTTTGTTCAATTTCCCACAAAGGGCAAAAGAGGAAAGAGGCGCAGACAGAATAAAGTATTGAAGTGTTTTTTTTTTTTTTCCTTTTCCAGATGTGTATCAGGCAATCCTTTGAGTAAATGAGAACAGGAAAGGGCAGAGGAAAAGTAGGTAAGGCTTCCCTTTTAATCAACTCAGCTGAATCAGGAGCTCTGAACGACCATCAGCAAAAGAAGCCCAGATTCCCAAGAGAAGGGACAATGAAAGCACACCCCATGATTTTCTGGCACCTGGTTGAGTCAAGGGCTTGAACATGATCTAATGGGCATGGCAAATATCAGCTCCAAGCAGGCAGAGTTCATTCCAGGTAGGGTGCTCGTGGTGGAGCCACAAGTCTCAGGGCGAGATTCTCTTTTGAGCACCCCTCAGGGTACCACTCACCTGTTGCGTGGTGTAGGCCTTACACTAAAAGACACGCCGAATTGTGGCCTACATTTAGATTGAGATGGAAAGTAGTTTCTTTTATTAACAACAGGCTCTGCAATTATGTCTTAATTTTTGGATAGAGCCCTGGGTAGAAGGTGAAGCTCTTAGGATTTAGGTGTCTGCTGAAACTGCGGCTTTTGCTCTGCAAATGAAGGGGATAATTGTTTTGAGAGGAGAGGCAGTCTTAAACAGGAAGGCTAAAGAGAAAGAAAAGGAGAAGAAGGAGAAGGTGCAAGAAAAGAGCTAGCAAGACAGAATAAATTGACAGGCTAAGATCTACAAGGCCACGGCTGTCAACAGACATTTTAGGAATGATGATGCTTAAAACGTGAGTTGTGCGTGAAACAAATCACACATCTAAAGAGGGCAAGTCACCTTGCAGGTATGAATATTTGCACTTGAATATCCACCAGATGTCAGCAAAGGGTCTTAGTCTAACAAGATAAATATATTAAAGACATTTTCCAATGGATGAAAGTATCTCGAGGAAGGGTGCTTTAAAAAAATTTGCACAAAGGCAGAGGATGTGCTAGCAGAGCTCTGATTTTTGGCCTTCTTCCATTTACTATTTAAAACATCTTCCTCTTATATCCCTCAAAAAAAAAAAAAAGAAAAAAAAAACAGAAAGAAAAGAAATGAAAAAAAGTCAAAGCAAGGAAGAAAGGAAGGAAAGACAACGTTCCTGTGATGTCTATTCTTTATGAGCCGTCATACCCAAAATCTACCTTGGAACAATGGAAGCAAATTCAATGCAACTTTTATTGTACTCAAATGTGTTTGATCTGTTTGAAGAACTTCTTTTGTGGTGCACTCATAATACAACATCATGCTTCACTTTGGGTATTTATATTATGTGTTCTGTAATTATCTATGCTCATATTTGCATTTCCTAGAAGCCTATAAGTCTCTTTTAAATCAATAATTTATATTTTTATTTAAATTATGCAACATATAATTGAAAGTTAAGTGTTGCCATTAGGCTTATAAAGAAAAACATTCGTTAGTGTGAGTAAGGATGACCTTCCAAAGTTTATTCATTCATACATTTAAGCAGTCAACTACCTCATCCCACTCTATTCTCCCGGTTCCACTTCTCCAATGCGCCACTTTGAACTCTTTTACGTGTTTCATATGTGTGTATGTGTGTGTGTGTCTATACATACATATATACACACACACATGGATACATATTTCTAAATGATTTGCTTCAACATCTATTTCTTGATTTGTCAATTTCAGATTTTTCATTGTCTCCCTATTATAAGTGGTTGAGTATATTAGGATAAGTCATGCTAGCTGCTATAGTGAACAACCTTCCCATAATGGCAGCTTATCACAATAAAGTTTTCTTTCTCTCTCAGTGTAGGTCATTGAGGGAGGGTACAAAGTTGTTCTCCACACATTCAGAGACTCAGCCTCTTGCCATCCTTTGATGCCACCATCTTCAACACGTGACCTCCAAGTTTTCTCTGGAACAGGAAGAGCGAACAGAAGATTAAATGTGAGAGATTTTATGGCCAAGGGGTGGCACATCATCACTTCTGTCCACTTTCCCTTGTTCAGAACTCAACCACAAGATGCCAAGCTATTTGCTGAGGATCTGGACATTTAGCTGTGTGTCCAGTGAGGAAGAAAACTGGGTTTGGTGAACACATACCATTGTCTCTGCCATGGTGAGTTCCTGCTCCTTCCTGTATCCTTCCCCTATCCTAAAATCGTAACAGTTTTAGGTTGAACTTGTATTCTACGTTTGCATCTAAGTGATTATTGAACTGTTTTTCACTGCTGAGCCAACTAGTGTACTGAGGTTATGTCCCCTTTCTTGTACATCTATTTTTTGAAAAGTTTACACAGAAACAAAAGTTTTGTGTAAACTTTTGCTTTTACACAACAGTTTAAAATTCTTCCCCAAACACTCAACCATTGCTGTAGAGTGCCTATCAGTAGCACTTCCACACAACGCAGGGCAGCAGGTAACCCATCGGTTCCAACTCCCCCTTCCTAAGGAGCCTCCCATTTGTTTTCTAGCTTGATCTATCCATAGTGCCCCGCTGTTGCCCTAGCCACTCAATTTGTATTAATAATCCAGGAACTTCCCGTTATCCTTCAAGAGTTTCCTGAGAAAGGACACATGGGAGGTAAGTTTTGAGTTATTGTATGCTTGGATTTTCTTATTCTACTTTCATACTTGATAAATATTGGCTTGTTTCAAATATAGGTTGAAGATAATTTTCCCTCAGGATTCTTTAGGCATTGCTCCCTTGTCTAGTTTACTGTTTTTCTATTAAGACGTCTGAGATATGTGACACTCACTACACACTCCCCCAAGCTTTAATAGCATTTAAAATCCTCTCATCCTTGAGAATTTGAAATTATTCTAAGATTGTTTCCCTCAGCATGGATCATGTAAACATCCATTGTTTTTCTGATTATTTGGTGAATCCCTTCCATGTGGAAGTTTTTCCAAGGAAGAAGCCTCCAATCCCTGGAAGGTGGAGGAGTCCACATGCCCGTGGCTGCTGTGGGGAAAGGGATGATGGTGGAGGGAGCAAGCCCACTCACTCCTGCCCCTTTCTCTGCCTATGTCCCTCAGCTTGTGGTCACTCTCATTCATTTTATTTCCAGAGAGAAGCCTCCTGTATTATGCAGCATGGAAGGGCTGCAGGGTGGTGTTGTCACTGGACTGTTGGGAACAGGAGGTGATCGAGTGATTGAACTATTCTGTAAACAGTGAATGCCTCAGAAGTACTTGAAGCACCAACTTCTGAGCCTTTCTGGGGGCTGATGAAGTGAACTGGCTCAGTCCTTTTCACTACAGCATTCTGCAGGCACTTCGACTGCATAGCTCCTCATTCTTCATTCTTTTGTCTACTTTCTACTCCAAAATGTGTTGACATCTCTGTCCTGCCCCATTTTCCCCTTTCTCCCTCATTCCATTCTTTCCTTCCTTCTGATCTCAGTTATTTGTGGAAGGAAGGGAGAAAGGAGGAAAAAGAAAAAAAGACAATTGTTATGTTAGAATATAGATTGATGCGATAGGAAAATAGAGCAAGCAGTCAATATGGACTAGGAGGGCTGTGAAGGTGGAGTTCTAATGTGGGGGTCTGAGAGAGCCTCGTTATGAAGGTGAATCTGAGCAACATTCAGAGGAGACAGAGCAAGCCTTGGGAACATTGGGAGGAAGCGCAGTTGGGACAGAAAGGGCAGCCAGTGCAGAGGCCCTGATGTGAGGGCGGTGCCCATCAAGGCACAGTGAGGAGGCCCACGAGGGGCACAGAGAAGTGAGGCGAGAGAAGTAGGAGATGAGGCGAGCCAGGCAGCCCAGGTGGGATAGGGCCTTGCAGGGCGTTGTAGGGACTTTGTCTTTGACTATGGGAGCAATGGGGGAGGCTTTGGCAGGTTCCTGAGCAGAGGGGGGACAGGATGGGACTTGGGCTTTAGCACAGTCCTGCTGGCTGCTCAGTGGAGCAGGAGTGGAAGCAGGGAGAGTGGTTAGGAAGTGATCACAATAATCCAGGCAAGAGAGGGCATGGCTGAACCGAGGTGGGACAGTGGAGTGCTGGGAAGTGGTGGATTCTGTGTCTATGTTAAAGGTAGAGACACTGGGGTTTCCTGAACAACTGGATGTGAGTATGAGAAACAGGGAGAATTTGAAGATGACATCAACATTGTTGACCTTGGCACCTGGAAGGATGGCGTTGTCGTCAGTTTGATGGAAAGGCTGTGGAAGAACAAGTTTTGTGGGGGAAGATCAGGGGTTCAGGTTTGGACACATTAAGTGTGTGATGTCTGTCTGACATCTGAGTGAAGCTGTCAAAAGAAGCAGTTGGCTATGAGTTTGGAGCTTAGGGGAGAGGTCTACGGTAGAGACATAAATGTGGAAGTTTTAAACATAGGAAAGGCATTTGAAGCCACAGGACTAGATGAGAGCCCCAAAGGGTGGATGCGGATAGAGGAGTGAAGAGGCACAAGACTGCTGTCTAGCGGGTGGGGAGGAGAAACCTGCAAAGGAGACGGATAAAGAAGTGGTCAATGAGGCGGGGAACTCCCAGTGTGGTGTTACAGAAGTAGAGGAAGGCAAATGCATCCAGCTGGAGGAGTCATATGCTGTGTCAGGTAAGGAGGGCATTGGTTGCTGGATTTAGCACAGGGATGGCACTGCTCACCGTGCTAAGACTGTGGGCTGGAAACCTTGAATGCAGTGGGTTTAAAAGAGAAGGGGAGGGAGAGGAATTGGAATAATATAAGGTATAAGATAGTTTTGCAGTGCTTTCATGTAGAGAAATGGGACAGTGGCTGAAGGAGGAAGGAGACAAACAGCTTGTTTGTATGCTGATGGGATGACCCAGTGGAGGGGGAGATGAGGAAGCAGGAGCTGGGAGAATTGTCTGAGTTCCCTGGAGTAGCTCCCAGCATGGGGAGATACAATTAGGGGATGACCTTAGGTAATGAAGCTCAGTTCAGTTTTGAAATAGGAAGAGAGGAAGGAAGGGAAGGAGGGAAGGAGGGAGAGAGGGAGGGAGGGGAGGATGGGCACAGGCAGATGTTGGGTGGGAGAATTGTAGATGGGGTGACTGGGGGATTTTTTTCTCTGATGGCTTCAGGGTTCTCATGGAGTGGGATGTGAGGTTGTTTGCTGAGAGGGGAGGACAGTGAGCTGAGAAGGGTGAATTTAAGCTTACTTTATTCCTCCTGTTTGAAAAATTGCTTTATAGTCACTTTAGAGGGATTCAGGAAGGAAACACAGTTGTTCAGCCTTCCATGTTTTTGGGGAAGTTCAATGACGAACTACTTAAAACCCCAGCCCCACTCTCCTTTGCATCCGCCAGGCCCTGAACAAGTATATGCTCAATCAATATGTGCTCAGCAGAAGTGGATTTTCTTTGTGGTCGCATTCAGTTTTTCTGATGCTGTTCTGTTGTTTCTTTCTTACCACCTTCACAAATGAGGACATTAAACCTTTTCATGTCAAAGACAAGCTTCTCCCTCCTTTCTTGTTAGAAATGTTTGCTTTTGGATTGACCATGTTTTCAGGCATGTGCTCTGTTGGTCCACACCTTCGCAAAATATGGGGCTGGGGGGATTTGAAGCAATTAGGAAGCTAGTGGTTTTAGAACCTTGCTAATCCAGCTGTTTCAGGGATGTGTCCACAGCATCCCAGCTCCGTTTTAGAACCAGGCCTCTGGGCACCGCAGCTTCCTGCAGCATATACAAGTGATATGCTTCAGGCATTGGGTGCCAAGTAAGTGTGCTTATTCTATGATTTGGTTGAAGTGGACTGAATGTGTCACTCATATCACTGCCTTTGACTTTAGATAGAAAGCATTTACAAGATAGCAAATTCAGAAGGTGGGGAAATGAGAAGAATCTACATTTATTGAGGCTGATTTAATCCTGATGACTTATCTTCTTGGATTATTATCCCCATTTTACAAATAAAGACACTGAGGCACAGAGAAACCTAGTGACTTGCCAAGGCCCCTTACCTTGTTAGAAGGGAAGGGAAGGATTTCATGTGAGGCACGCTGGCTCCAGAGCCCAAGCTCCTAAGCCCTGTACTAACTCCCAGAACCTTTATTTTCGTATCTTTCAAATGGGAATATGAGTGTATCTTCCAGGGTATGCTGAGGATTAAATGAGATAGTGTATATAAAGCACTTGGTATGTCACAGGAACACCGTAAGGGTTTTGCTAGTATTTAAAGTTGTTTTGCTTTTCTTTTTAACAAGAACTACAAAGATGTTAATATTATTTTAGCCATTTGGTAAGAAATATATGAAAAAAGCCCACTGATTTGCATAGTGATTTTTCTTATCGTTTTTGCCATTATATAGTTTCAAGATTGGTTTTGGGGAATAAAGAAAAATTTCAATTTATCTTGCACATTTTATTATTTCAATGAAAGCTCAAAATTCAAGTTTTTAAAGGAAAGAAAAAATTAATGAATTAATGATATTCAGAACAAGTACCCACTCATTTTTTTTTCAGTTTTCATGCAGGCACTTTATTGTTACTATTATTTTTATAAATAGCTTGTTTTTTCTTTAATAATCTAGAGTATTGACAAGACCAGACCCATTTTCAGTTGAAAAATGAAAGCTCACAAAGCAAGGAAAATGTATTTTAAATAGCAATTCTAGGTTTCTTTTCACTGGGGTATTTTCTTATTAATAGTAAAGCAGGTGAGAGGGACAAGCTGTCACAGGAAGGCATGGGTTGTGGGTCAGAAGGCTGGGTACTTATCCCAGCTATGCCTCCTGCCAGCTGTGAAATATTGGGGATGTTACCCAGCTTCTCTAATGGTCAATTTCCTTATTTGAAGCTGGACATAAAGCTTCCTTAAGTATAGTCCCAGGAACACTGGTTCCATAAGATATTAGTAGATGGCAAAGGAAAAAGGGTTTCACGATCAACTATATTTGGGAAATTCCAACAAATTCTAGGGTAGGCAAAGCATATTTACTATAGGACTTCTCAGAGCCTTTTATTCGTTAAAGAGGCCATCTGCCTCCAAGGAGGGGATATAGCATTTCTTAAACTTACCTCATCACTGCTTGGTCAGAGTATCTCTCACATTTATAGAAACACTGGGTTAATATACATAAAATAGAAACCATTTTACAAATATTTAGTAAATAATATTTATTAATTATTTAGTCATTCATGTAAGATTTAAAGTAAAATATCTCCTAACTAGAAGACGTTCCCCCAGAGTTTCTACATATTAGCTGCTTCTGGGAAAGACACTATTGTAAGTTACTGGTGCAGTTCTTATTGATCATTTATCTTTGCCCATAATCACTTCTCGGTTCAAATGTTCTTACTATAGAACATAGGACTCACATATTAGCATATCTATCTATCTATCTATCTATCTATCTATCTATCTATCTATCTATCTATGTATCTATCTATCTATACACTACATATAATATATACCCACACACACTGTATATATACACACATTGTATCTATTTATATATTTATATAATTGCACAATTGCTTTCATTTGTCTCAAATCCTAGATACTTACTGTGAGAAAAATTGAAAAATTTGTAACTATAGAAGACATGAGCAGACACAAGTAAAGGCTCAAAAAAGTGTGTCAGGCTAGGAATTATGAAGATAACCTCTTATGCTTTTTTTTGAAAGCAATGGGGAGCCCATAATGTAAAGAAATGATTTATCATGTATCAAAATGTTACTTGATTTAATCATCTAATAGGGATATGGTGTGTCCTGCTCTCTTCTAAGACTGTCAGGAGAATGATAAGGTGGCACGTATTGATGAACAGCTGGCCAGGACCACTTTCCATCACTGCTTTCCATCACCTCTCCCTTTTAAGTAGGGAAGTGATGCATTAAAATATGAATATTAAATACAAATATAAATGGTAACTTGCTGAACCAAAGAAATTCACAAGATGATCCATGTATTAGCCCATTCTCATGCTGCTATAAAGAGCTGTTTGAGACTGGGTAATTTATAAAGGAAAGAGGTTTAATTGACTCACAGTTCTGGATGGCTGGGGAGGCCTCAGGAAACTTACGATCATGACAGAAGGGGAAGCAAACATGTCCTTCTTACATGATGGCAGGAAAGAGAAGTGCCAAGCAAAAGGGGGAAAGGCCCCTAATAAAACTATCAGATCTTGTGAGAACTCAATCACAGTCATGAGAATAGTTGCATAGGAGTAACTGCCCCCATGATCTAATCACCTCCCACTGGATCCCTCCTATGACACATGGGGATAATGGGAACTACAGTTCAAGATGAGATTTGGGTGGGGACACAGCCAAACCATATCATTCTGTCCCTACCCCTCCCAAAGCTCATGTCCTTACATTTCAAAACACAGTCATGTCTTCCCAACAGTCCCCCAAAGTTTAAACTCATTCCAGCATTAACCCAAAAGTCTAAGTCTAAAGCCTCATTTGAGACAAGGCAAGTTTCTTCTGCTCCTAAGCCTGTAAAATTAAAAGCAAGTTAGCTATTTCCTAGATACAATGGGGGTACAGGCATTAGGTAAATACACTTGTTCCAAATGGGAGAAATTGGCCAAACTGAAGAGTTTGCAGACTCCTTGCAAGTCCAAAATCCAGCAGGTCAGTCAAATTTTAAAGCTCTGAGATGATCTCCTTTGACTCCATGTCTCACATCCAGGTCACTACAATGGAAGAGGTGGGCTCCCACGGTCTTGGGCAGCTCCCCCACTGTGGCTTTGCAGGTTACCCCCTCCTGGCTGCTTTTACAGCTGGTGTTGACTGTCTGTGGCTTTTCTAGGTGCATGGTGTAAGTTGTCAATGGATTTACCATTCTGGGGTGTGGTGGATGTTGGCCCTCTTCTACAGCTTCACTAGGCAGTGCCCCAGTGGGGACTCTGTGTGTGGCCTCCAACCCCATGTTTTCTTTCCACACTGCCCTAGCAGAAGTTTTCCATGAGGTCTCCACCCTTGGGCAGACTTCTGTCTGGACATCCAGGCATTTCCATACATCCTCTGAAATCTAGATGGAGGCTCCCAAACCTCACTTCTTGACTTCTGTGCTCCCATAGGCTCAACACCATGTGGAAGCTGCCAAGGGTGGGGCTTGCACCCTCTGAAGTAATGGCCCAAGCTGTATGTTGGCTCATTTTAGCCATGGCTGGAGCTGAAGCAGCTGGGACACAGGATACCATGTCCCAAGGCTGCATAGGTCAGGGGGCCCTGGGCCCAGCCCATGAAACCATTTTTCCCTCTTAGGCCTCTGGGCCTGTGATGGGAGGGGCTGCCATGCAGGTCTCTGCCATGCCCTGGAGAGACATTTTCCCCATTGTCTTGGTGATTAACATTTGGTTCCTTGTTACTTATGCAAATTTCTGCATTGGGCTTGAATTTCTCCCCAGAAAATAGGTTTTTCTTTTCTACAGCATGGTTAGGCTGCAAAATTTTCAAGCTTTTATGCTTTGTTTCCTCTTGAATGCTTTGCCACTTAGAAATTCCTTCTGCCAGATACCCTACATAATCTCTCTCAAGTTTAAAGTTCCACAGATTTCTGGGGCAGGGGCAAAATGCCACCAGTCTCTTTGTATAGCAAGAATGACCTTTACTCCAGTTCCCAACACATTCCCATCTCCATGTGAGACCACCTCAGCCTGGACTTTATTGTCCATATCACTATCAGCATTTTGGTTAAAGCCATTTAACAAGTTTCTAGGAAGTTCCAAACTTTCCCACATCTTCCTGTCTTCTGAGCCCTCCAAGTCTTTAGGAAGTTGTAAAGTTTCCCACATTTTCCTGTCTTCTTCTGAGCCCTCCAAATGATTCCAACCTCTGCCTGTTACCCAGTTCCAAAATCACTTCCACATTTTTGGGTATTTTTACAGCAGCATCCCACTCATGGTACGAATTTACTGTATTAGTCCATTCTCACACTGCTATAAGGAACTGCCCGAGACTGGGTAATTTATAAAGGAAAGAGGTTTAATCAACTCGCAGTTCCACATGGCTGGGGAGGCCTCAGGAAATTTACAATCATGGTGGAAGGGGAAGCAAACACATCCTTCATATGATGGCAGGAAGGAGAAGTGCCAAGCAAAAGGGGGAAAAGCTTCTTATAAAACCATCAGATCTGGTGAGAACTCACTCACTATCATGAGAATAGCAGCATGGGGGTAACCACCACTATGATCTAATCACCCCCCACTGGGTACCTCCCATGACACATGGGGATTATGGGAACTACATTTCAAGATGAGATTTTGGCGGGGACACAGCCAAACCGTATCAATCCATTTGGGGTACAAAATGCTATTTTAAACTTTGATTCTTTAAAAAATTATATTTTTATATATGTTACTATATTTGAATATGGTAGTATAACATTAATCAATAAAAATGAATATTTTTCTGTAGTCATTTCTCACTTAACAATGGGGATACATTCTGAGAAATGCATTATTGTGTGAACATTCTAGAGTATACTTACACAAACCTATACGGTGTAGCTAACCACATGGCACTACTATGTGATATGGCTTATTGCTCCTAGGCTACAAAACTGTACAGCCTGTGACTGTACTGAATACTGTAGGCAGTTGTAACACAATGGTAAGTATTTGTGCATCTAAACATATCTAAACATAGAAAAGGTATAGTAAAAACATGGTATAATCATCTTATGGGACTACAGTCATACATGTGGTCTGCCATTGACCAAAATGTTGTTATGTGGCACATGAGAGTAATGTGGAAACTCTTTGGTCTAACTTTTGTAACTTTGCTCATTTTTCTGAAATTTTAGATCTTGAAAGTTTTCTACACAGGAGTGCTGTGTAGAAAAGTTTTTAATGACTCGAATCACATTCTGGATATGGATTGTTGGAAATCCATGTTGCCCTCAGGTCTATAGGTTTCCATGTCCTGCTACTAAAGGCCCCCAGATTATTCCAATGCCTGGTATTACTGTTTTTCTCTGTCTTCTTTCTCACTTTTACATTACCTGTTGTTTCTCTTGAACTGCTTTCCTCTGCCTGTCTCCATCAGTACTTATAATTTATTTATGGCAAGGAAACTAGATGAACAGGGGGCTAATAGTGGCACTAAGTGGACTCAATAGGCTCTAGGTAACTGGCCCTCCTTCAATTGTGGTGAGCACCCAGGTACCTACTTAGGGTCTCTGACTTTCTATGTTTCATTTTAGAATTAGTATTTTGTTTTGGTGAGAATGTTTGACCTTTGGATAAGTAACTGCAGTATTTAAAAAAGTAATTATTCTTAAAAATTATGGAAGTAAAATGTGCTCATTTTAGATAATTTAGAACATACAGAAACGTATAAGGAGACAGTTTTTAAAAATTACAATTTTACATTTAGAAGTAAACACTATAAATATCTTTTTTCTTTGCATGCACATTTCATATATTTATTTTATTCGTACTTTACAAAATTTGATTTATATTGCATTTAGAGTTTGTATTATGTTTTTTCATTTAACAGTGTTAATATACATGTCCCTGTCATTACATTTTCTTAACAATCCACACTGATTTTAGTGGCTATGTTCATCCCATGAATGTGTGAAAATTTATCTACCTCTCCCCATGTTATTGGAAGGGTTTGATAGTTTACAAAATGTTATGATGGAAAACCTTATAAATAAATATCTGTCTACAACACAGTCTGCATTAGGGTTCACTGTGTGTTTTTAAAGTGGGAGTAAGTCTTCCTGTCTTTTTCTTCTGACCATAAAAGAAATCACATACTCACCATAAAAAATATTCAGACATAGAAAAGCATGAAGAAGAAAATAAAAGTCACCCATCTTTCCATAATTAGTGTTGACATTGTGGATTCTTTGCCTACGTACACAAATATGGGCACAAAGGTGACAGACATGCATACCTACACACAGTTACCCAAATTGGGTCTATACTATACAAACTGTATTGAATACTGATATTTTATAAAAACTTTCGTTAAAGCAAAACTCCTCAACCTTTTTGGCACCAGGGACGGGTTTCATAGAAGACAATTTTTCCACAGACCAGGGCAGGGGTGTGGTTTTAGGATGATTCAAGTGCATTTCATTTATTGTGCACTTTATTCCTATTATTATTACATTATAATATATAATAACAGTTATACAACTTGCCATAATGTAAAATCAGTGGGAGCCCTGAGCTTGTTTTCCTGCAACTAGACACTCTCATCTGGGGATGATGGGAGACACTGACAGACCATCAGGCAGTAGTTTTTCATAAGGAGCTTGCAACCTAGATGCCTCCCATATTCAGTTCACAACAGGGTTCATGCTTCTGTGAAAATCTAATGCTGCCTCTGATCTGACAGGAGGCAGAGCTCAGGCAGTAACGCTTGCCTGCTGCTCCCCTCCTGCCTTATGGCCAGGTTCCTAACAGGTCACAGATCAGTACTGGTCCATGGCCTGGGGGTTGGGGACCCCTTTGTTAAAGCATGATATATTTAGAGAAATGTGTGCATGAATTTCCCCAAGATGAACACCCAGAAAGAAATAGAAACAATGTAGAACACTTGACAAGGTTGCATGTTATCTTCAACCAGGGACCATTCCAATTTTAGTATACGTGCCACTGAAAGGAACACAAAATCTTTCAAGGATAACTTTCCAAACTAACAAAGAAGATATATTGCATTGAATATAAGACATCACGGATTGTTTGTGTCCCATTATAAGAAGAGAAAGACAGAAAGAAAAAGAAAGAACAACTATCAATTAAATAATAGCACAATAATACCTCATTGATAGTCTTGTGTGATACATGAATCATCATAATCAGCTTCTTTTTTTTTTTTTTTTTTTTTTTTTGAGATGGAGTCTCGCTCTGTCTCCCAGGCTGGAGTACAGTGGCGCGATCTTGGTTCACTGCAAGCTCCGCCTCCCGGGTTTATGCCATTCTCCTGCCTCAGCCTCCCGAGTAGCTGGGACTACAGGCGCCCGCCACCACGCCCTGCTAATTTTTTTTGCATTTTTAGTAGAGACGGGGTTTCACCCTGTTAGCCAGGATGGTCTCGTTCTCCTGACCTTGGGTTCCGCCCGCCTCGGCCTCCCAAAGTGCTGGGATTATAGGCGTGAGCCGCCGCGCCCGGCCAATCAGCTTCTTGATGCTATGAAGTTTCCTTCATCTATTCTGAGATGTGCCAGTTTCTCCACCCTCCAGTTGCATTGCATGGTGTGTGAAGGCAATCTTTTTGCATTTTCTTATTTTCACTCACTTCCAGGTATCTTCTTTCTTGGGTCCCATAAAAAACTTGATTGTTTCCTTTTAAGAAAATCTGGAATTGTAGTCATTCTTTCAATGAAGATTATTTGCTTCAGTAATATTAAATTTGTGCTCTGCTGTTCTGTTTCCATGTCTTTCTACATACATTATATTATTTTATTTTAATGCTGGTTGTAGTGAAATCTTTTGGAAGAAATTTTAAGTAACAAACTCAGTGTGCATAGTACCAACGAAGTGCATAACTCTATTTGAAATGACGACATTTCAACATTGAAGGAGTTCATGCCAGCAGTTAGAAGGACAACAGAGCCCACGTGAAAAAATGTCTTGGTTTTTGTTGGATCTGATCACAAGTACTATAAGCAATCTTATGCAAGTATTAAATGAAAATGTATACAATCTTATGCAAGTATTAAGTGAGAATATATACAATTCTTATGCAAGTATTAATTGGAAAAAAAAAAAGTAGTTGCAGTCATTTTCTGAAAAATTACCCAGTCTCTTTAGTTAAAATTTGGAGGCATGGCCGGGCACAGTGGCTCAGGCCTGTAATCCCAGCAATTTGGGAGGCTGAGGCAGGCAGATCACTTGAGTTCGAGACCCGCTTGGGCAACATGGTAAAACCCTATCTCTACAAACATACAAAAATTATCCAGGTGTGGTGGTGTGTACCTATGGTCTCAGCTACTCGGGAAGCCATGGTGGAAGAATCTCCTGAGCCTGGGAGTTTGGGGCTACAGTGAGCCGAGATCGCACCATTGCACTCCAGCCTGGGTGACAGAGTGAGACTGAGACCCTGTCTCAAAAAAAAAAAAAAAAAAAAAAAAAAAAAAGAAAAAAAAAAGGAGGCAAATTGTCCTTAAAACAAGGATATCAAGTAGCAATATGAATGATAAAATATTGGGAAGCTGTTAGAGCCAAAATGCCATTGATTCATGATTTAATATCTTACAACATTCTAAAAAATTCCAATCTTTCATAGCATATTAGCAAAGCTGTAGAATAGGCTACCGTTACCAAAAATGTCAAAGAAAAGCTCTCAAATCTGACTGGGAGAGCTAAGATGAGGGAGCAGGTGTTTTTTTTTTTTTTTTTGTAAATTAATTAATTATTTTTTTTTAACTATCCTGCCAAAGAATAATATGGGTATAGAGGATAAGCAATTTAAAATGTTTGAGACACTCTAAGTGCATGATTATGACTGTAAATTGCATTTAGTTATGCTGCATATTATAGGATATTCCCCCCAACCTATGGAATGTTACATTGGCACACAAGACATCAAAGCCTTCTGTAATTCAATATGCCTCTAATTCCCAGTTGTGCAGAAAAATAAACAACATAACTGGATTTCACCTTTTAAGAAAAGGCATTTAAACTTATCTAAATATGTTAAAAACAAAACAAAATGGAATGAATTAGGTTTTCTTTCTTCTTAATTATTTCTAGAGCTTGTAAGAAACTTGCTTTTACAAAATAGCTGACCAATAGGGAGATACAAGGACCCCGGAGAAGACTTGGTACAGTGTATGACACTCATGATCAGACCCGGTTTCTTTCTTTCCTACTTCATCATTCTGCAGAGAAATCTTCAGTTTCTTTGCTACCCACTGACCTCTTCCTTTTGCTTTTGTTTCACTTGTGTTTATTCGCATTGTGAAGATTTATCCTTCTCTATTTTTCATTTTTTGACTTTGTTACTTTTGTAGGAACAGGTCTGCTGGACCATTTTGCTGGTTCCTTGAGGGTTTCTTTACTGACCCTTAGGCTGAATCCGCCTTGCTCTTGTGGATCTTGGCGGTGCCTGCGTTGGGGAAGGGGCCCCTGGCTACCTCTGGGCCGTCACCCAGCAAGTGCTTTTGCACGGGCTGCCTGCTGCTGCCGCTCCCGCCGATGAGCTGCTGGGGCCTGTGGCATCATTTTTCATGGCTGTGCAATAGCCCATGGCGTAATTGTGCTGGATGTGACAGTATTTTACCAATTCTGTAGAGATGATGGACATTTAAGCCTTTTCTAGATTTTCACTGTTCATAAAAGTAAAGCCAAAACTATTTTTGTTCATATAATTATACTTTTCGTAGAACAATTTCCTTCGAATAAATTTCTGGAAGGACTGTTAAGTCAAATATTATGAGTATTTTATAGATTTTATGTGTATTGCCAAATCACTTTAAAAAAGTTATACAGGTTTACAGCTACTGATGGTGTATGAGCATGTGCAAATCCTGAATCCTTGAGAATACCTAAAAAAGAAATCTTGGCCAAATGATCAGGGACAATTATATCTTATTTTAAAAATGCCTGCATTCTCTATTACTGTTGAAGTTGGACAATACTTCATGTTTTTATTAGCCATTTGTGACCTGTGCATGTTTCTTATTCATTTCTTTAATATTAGTTAATTATTTTATTAATTAAAAACACTTCTTCCAATGTATCAACGTTTTTGTTCTGCTTTGTGTATTGTAAATATATTTTAGCTTGTCATTTACCATTCTACTTTCTTACTTTTTCAATAATATTTTTGGTGTAAAAAGGATAGTTGTTGGGAGGTCAGATTTGTGGCAGGGCTGAATCTAGCATGGAGTTTGGCATGAAGCAAAAGCAGGATTGACATGTGGGCACACTAGTGTCTGTACCTCATTTTCTTTTTCTTAGTGCACAGACTAGAAATTGCAGAACTAGTCTGAATAATAGAGGTTGAAGCAGGCTGTCTCTTCTTGTTCTTAATTTAATGTGGATATTTTTCATCATGCTAAAAATCTGTTTTTCTAGTGTTGATTCATAAAGAGGTTTTTTAAAGAAAGATTCTGAATATTATCAAATATCTTCTCAGTACTGATTGAGATAATGGCATATTTCTGTGATTTGACCCATTTTTCTTAATATTTAATCATGCTTGCATTCCTGGACTAAAATCAACTTGGTAATAATGTGTTTTTAATATATACTTTACATTTGAATTACTTTTATGTTATGTATGATTTTCACATTTATATTCTTAAGTGAGGTTAGTCTGTTTCTTTTTCTGTCCTTGCCAGATTTTGGGTTATTAACTGGTTGTGTTTTGTCTGATCTTTTCTGTCTTATTTCACAGAGTCTGTGTTTTCAACATCTAAAAATCTCCTCTTAATTTTGTTATATTTTCAAAAGTATGCTCTTTATAAAGTTATAAAGTATAAACATAAACATAAACATACCCTGTAACTCAGCAATTCTACTATTAGGTAGAAACTCAATTTCAGTTCTTAACCAATTGCAATTCAGATTGTTATATCCTCATAATGAGGCACATGTGTATTAGAAGACATATACAAGAATGTTCATGACTGATAATAGCAAAATATTGGGAACTACTTTAATGTTATTAGTCATAAAAGGAATCAATATATTGTATATGCAGTACTATACATCATCACAAATTAATCTCAAAAACAAAATAGTATGTAAAAAAACACATAAAGAACAATATATAAAGTATCACCCAATTTATATAAAAGCTCAAAGCAAGCAAAACTAAACACCATGTTGTTTGGAAATGTATTCATATGCGTGTGTAAGGAAATTACAAAGAAAAAGAAAGGAATGCTTGTCTATGGCCATACCACCCTGAAAACACTCTATCTCTTCTGATCTTGGAAAAAGAAAGGAATGCTTCATGCAAAATTCTAGACAGTAGAGATGAAGGGAGGTGGTGTGACTAGGGAGGGGCACAGTGGGGAGCTTCGAAGTTATCAGTAACTTTTCTTCCTTAAGTTAGGTCATGGATAAACTGGTGTTTAGCTCATCGTTATTCTGAACTGTTCATTTCTGTTATATATACTCTTTCATGTCTTATCATGTTTGTTTCCCAGGGCTACCATAATAAATTGTCACAAACTGGGTGGTTTAAACCCACAGAAATTTATTCTCAAATCCTGGAGGCTAAATCAAAGTGCTGGCAGGACCTGGCTCCCTCCGAAGGCTCTAGAAAAACGTTTCCCGGCCTCTTCCAGCTTCTGGTGGCTCCGAGCAATCCTTCCCTGTGTCTGCACCCCTCCAGTCTCAGCCTCCCTCATGGCCTCTCCCCCGTGTCAGTCTCTATGTGTCTCCTCTGAGGAAGACACCAGCCATTGGGTTTACGGCCCATCCTAACTTTCATGCGCGTCCGTGTGAAGAGACCACCAAACAGGCTTTGTGTGAGCAATAAAGCTTTTAATCACCTGGGTGCAGGTGGGCTGAGTCCAAAAAGAGAGCCAGCGAAGGGAGATAAGGGTGGGGCCATTTGATAGGATTTGGGTAGGTAAAGGAAAATTACAGTCAAAGGCGGTTTGTTCTCTGGCGGGCAGGAGTGGGGGTCGCAAGGTGCTCAGTGGGGGTGCTTTTTGAGCCAGGATGAGCCAGGAAAAGGACTTTCACAAGGTAATGTCATCAGTTAAGGCAAGGACCGGCCACTTACACTTCTTTTGTGGTGGAATGTCATCAGTTAAGGTGGGGCAGGGCATATTCACTTCTTTTGTGATTCTTCAGTTACTTCAGGCCATCTGGGCATATACATGCAAGTCACAGGGGATGCGATGGCTTGGCTTGGGCTCAGAGGCCTGACATTCCTGCCCTCTTATATTAATAAGAAAAATAAAACAAAATAGTGTTGAAGTGTTGGGGCAGTGAAAATTTTTGGGGGGTGGTATGGAGAGAGAATGGGCGACGTTTCTCAGGGCTGCTTCAAGTGGGATTAGGGGCGGCGTGGGAACCTAGAGTGGGAGAGATTAAGCTGAAGGGAGGTCTTGTGGTAAGGGGTGATATTGTGGGGATGTTAGAAGAAACATTTGTTGTATAGAATGATTGGTGATGGCCTGGATACGGTTTTGGATGAATTGAGAAACTAAACAGAAGATACAAGGTCCGAATAAAAGAAGGAGAAAAATGGGTATTAAAGGACTAAGAATTGGGAGGACCCAGGACATCCGATTAGAGAGTGCCCAAGGGGGTTCAGCATAATTACTTGCTTGGTTGGCAAGTTTTTGGACTCTATCCTTGAGTTTTTTAATGTTGTCATACACCAGGCCAGATTGATTTAGGTAAAAACAACACTCCTCATTTAAGAATATGCAGAGTCCTCCTTTTTCAGAAGTGAGTAAGTCAAGGCCTCGGTGGTTTTGGAGGACAACTGCAGCTAAAGAGTCAACTTGGGCCTGGAGGACTGATAAAGTTTGTGATATGTCTGTGATGCTAGCAGAGAAGTCATTAGACAGGCTACAAAATGTCGTGACAGAGGTTGAAATGCCTGCTATTCCAGTACTGAGAGCAATAGTGGAGGCAGAAAGTCCTAAACCGACCATCAAGGGAATTAGTGGAATAACTCTTTTTTGTCATGTTGGTGTCATGAGGGGAACAGGGAGCTTTTCGGTCCCATTTGCAAATTGAATTTTGGGGGTAAGGAAGACTAGTGTACATGTGCCTGTCCAATTAGCAGGTAGACACATGTAGGTAGAGGATCCACAGAGGAAGAAGAGACCTTGTGCGAGGCAAAACTGGAGATGTAAAGTAAAAAGATGAGAAGGAGTGCTGAAAGGGGTGTCTTGTACCCAGACTCCTAGGGATCCAGCTAGGGCGGCAGCTGTCAGAGGTTGTAATGGGGACTGATGGGTAACTGCATAGAGGGGGAGGTTCAATTTTCATGGTGTATGAGAAAATGTTGAGTATCTACGAGCAACCTTTCACTGTTATTTTTGGGGCTGGGTATAAGTAAACAAGAAGAGGGCCTGGGAGGAGAGTCTAATGAGCAAGGGGAAGGTAGCCAGGGATGGAGTGAGATACAGGGCAAGTGTCTTCCTAAGCAATAATTAGTGCTAATTTTTTTTTTTTTTTTTTTACTGCTAATGTTTTTAAGTTTGTCAGTATTGATAGAGGGCTTGTCTGTAATATGGAGCTGGAAGGCTCCAATTGTTTCAGTGATGTGTGTAGTTGGGCTTTGGAGATGAAGAGTAAAGGAACATCGAGAAGGTGAAAGATTACCTAGGGGAATTCCAGTGGGTCTTTGCCGAGAGATACATAAAGGAGCGGCCACTGGAATAGTAGTTTGTGTTGTGAGAGGTCCAAATATGGGGGGAGTAGAGTTAATATAAGGAGAAAGGTTTTTTAAATAAGTGCGAAGGAGGGCGGCAGCTTGCTGATGTAAAATGTTTGGGGAAGTCTTGCTGGACCTGTCTAGAAAGTAAATGAGTTCTTCAGGAGGGTAAAGGTGAGGGCTGTTAAAGGAAGTTCGGAGGTGTAGGGAGACGGGAGATGTTGCCCAGTCTGTCTGTAAGGCGGGGACAGCTGTGTAGGCACTGGAAGAAAGGGAAATGCAAAGCCAGCAGTTGTTTGCCAAGGAGGGATTAGAAGCGGCTAGGAGAGATTGGGTAAGGTTGATAGTGTGGTGGAGATAGCTGGGGAGAGGTAGAGGGTGACATAAGAATGGGAATGAGAATAAGAGTGAGTATAAAAGTAAAGAATAGAACTTCATCAGGGTGGAAGTATTGGAGGGTGCCTTGCCAGCAAAGATCATCTATCCACTCTAAGAGGGAGTTAAGAGTGGCAGTTTGGGGATAGCACCAAGAGCTATCAGCTGTGATGGATTGAAGAAACAGTGTAAACCGGCGGTGTAAACAAGAGTAGGGCATTTATAAGTAGTTGAGAATGGAGAATAGGAGTATGACCGGACAGAAGATAGTAGGGATGACTAGTTTTTGGGGCTCGGCCTAAGTGGTGGGGGTGACTTCGTAAAGCCCTGTTGCAAAAAGTAGGGTAAGGACGAACAGACCTAATAGAATGAAGGGATGTAGTAGGCTCATAAGGGTTATTACTGTTCTTCAGAAATAAGAGTGAGTTTAAGGGAAGTGGGGGAGAGTACTTGCGACTTCCAGGAGGAAGAGGAGGGATTAGGCTGGCTGTCCGATGGCCACAGCTTTATTCTGGAAAGGTGAACCCAGTGGGGAGGATCCTGCAGGCAGACAGCAGTTGGGGTACTATAGATAAGTAGGGTCCGGTCCATCAAGGTTGTAGAGTTTGAGGGGTCAGATTCTTAACAAGAACTGATCGTCCAGCTAGGGTGTCTTCATATGGCTGGGGATCTGGAGTAGGCAAGAGAAGATTAGCAGCCTGGCAAATTTCCTGTCTAGCCTGCTGGAGGACTGGAAGATAGTCGCCTAGAGGGCTGGTGTCTGGGATGAGGTTGGGGCCAAGCAAGAAAGTGCGTCCATATAAAAGTTCAAATGGACTGTACCCTGTAACATCTCGAGGACAGGCTCTGATTCTGAGAAGAGCAAGAGGTAAAAGTACTGTCCAATCCTTTTTTAGTTGGAGGCTGAGCTTGGTGAGGTGTGCCTTTAAAAGACCATTAGTCCGTTCTAGCTTTCCTGAAGATTGAGGACGGTAAGGGATATGAAGGTTCCACTGAATACCAAAGGCCTGAGAAACTGCTTGGGTGATTTGGCTAGTAAAGACTGGTCCGTTATCAGACTGCATAGAGGTGGGAAGGCCAAACTGAGGAATTATGTCTGACAGAAGGGAAGAAATGACCGCGGTGGCCTTCTCAGACTCTGTGGGGAAGGCCTCTACCCATCCAGTGAAAGTGTCTACCCAGACTAAGAGATATTTTAGTTTTCTGACTTGAGGCATTTGAGTAAAGTCAATTTGCCAGTCCTGGGCAGGGGCAAATCCCCAAGCTTGATGTGTAGGGAAGGGAGGAGGCCTGAACAATCCCTGAGGGGTAGTAGAATAGCAGATGGAACACTGAGAAGTGATCTCCTTGAGGATAGATTTCCATGATGGAAAGGAAATGAGAGGTTCTAAGAGACGGGCTAGCGGCTTGTAACCTACATGGAAGAGCTTATGAAATAACGACAGAATAGAATGGGCCTGTGAGGCTGGAAGAAGATATTTTCCTTGGTCTAAGAACCATTTGCCTTGTGTGGGAAGAGATTGATAGGTGGAAGTTTCAGTGGGGGAGTAGGTGGGAGTGACCGAAGTGAAGGAGAAAAACTGGCCGTGAGGGACAGAAGTTGGAGAGCTAGCTGCTTGTCTAGCCACCTTATCAGCATAAGCATTGCCTAAAGCAATGGGATCTGACGCCTTTTGATGCCCCTTGCAGTGAATGACTCCAGCTTCTTTTGGAAGTAAAGCGGCCGTGAGCAGAGTTTTTATTAAAGAGGCATTAATGATGGAGGACCCTTGTGTAGTGAGGAAACCTCTTTCAGCCCATATGACCACATGGTGGTGCAGAATATGAAAGGCATATTTAGAATCAGTAGAGATATTGACGCGTAGTCCCTTTGCAAGAGTGAGGGCCCGAGTTAAGGCAATGAGTTCGGCTTGCTGAGAGGTAGTGGAGGGGGGCAGAGTGGTAGCCTCAATGATAGATGTGGAAGATACTATAAGCATAGCCTGCCTTTGCTGGTGAGTGGCGATTAGGCCTGGTGGAACTGCCATCAATAAATCAAGCGTGATCAGGGTGAGGAACAGGAAAGAAGGAAATTTGGGGAAATGGGGTGAATGTCAGGTGGATCAGAGAGATACAGTCATGGGGATCAGGTGTGGTATCAGGAATAATGTGGGAGGCCGGATTGAAGTCTCGGCCAGGAACAACGGTAATTGTGGGAGACTCAACAAAGAGTGAGTATAGCTGAAGGAGCTGGGAAGCAGAAAGTATATGCGTCAGGTATGAGGAAGAAAATAGATTTTGGAAGTTATGAGAACTGTAGAGAGTGAGTTGAGCACAGTTTGTGATTTTGAGGGCCTCTAAAAGCATTAAAGCAGCGGCAGCTGCTGCACACAGACATGAGGGCTAGGCTAAAACAGTAAGGTCAAGTTGTTTGGACAGAAAGGCTACAGGGTGTGGTTCTGGCTCTTGTGTAAGAATTCTGACCGCGCTAACCATGCCTAGGAAAGAAAGGAGTTGTTGTTTTGTAGAAGGTGCTTGGGTTTGAAAGATCAGTCGGACATGATTGGCAGGGAGAGCACGTGTGTTTTTATGAGAATTATGCTGTGATAGGTAACAGATGAGGAAGAAATTTGGGCTTGATTGAAGTAATGGGGGCTGTCTGTGAAGCTTTGCGGCAGTACAGCCTAGGTAATTTGCTGAGCTTGATGGGTGTCAGGGTCAGTCCAAGTGAAAGCGAAGAGAGGCTGGGATTAAGGGTGCAAAGGAATAGTAAAGAAAGCATGTTTGAGATCCAGAACAGAATAATGGGTTGTGGAGGGAGGTATTGAGGATAGGAGAGTATATGGGTTTGGCACCACGGGGTGGATAGGCAAAACAATTTGGTTGATAAGGCGCAGATCCTGAACTAACTTGTAAGGCTTGTCTGGTTTTAGGACAGGTAAAATGGGGGAATTGTAAGGAGAGTTTACAGGCTTTAAAAGGCCATGCTGTAGCAGGTGAGTGATAACAGGCTTTAATCTTTTTAAAGCGTGCTGCGGGATGGGATATTGGTGTTGAGTGGGGTAAGGGTGATTAGGTTTTAATGAGATGGTAAGGGGTGCATGATCGGTCGCCAAGGAGGGAGTAGAGGTGTCTTATACTTGTGGGTTAAGGTGGGGGGATACAAGAGGAGGACGCAAAGGAGGCTTTGGATTGGGAAGAAGGGAGGCAATGAGATATAGCTGTAGTCCAGGAATAGTCAGGGAAGCAGATAATTTAGTTAAAGTGTCTCAGCCTAATAAGGGAACTGGGCAGGTGGGGATAACTAAAAAGGAGTGCTTAAAAGAGTATTGTCTAAGTTGGCACCAGAGTTGGGGAGTTTTAAGAGGTTTAGAAGCCTGGCCGTCAATACCCACAACAGTTATGGAGGCAAGGGAAACAGGCCCTTGAAAAGAAGGTAATGTGGATTGAGTAGCCTCCGTATTGATTAAGAAGGGAATGGGCTTACCTTCCTCTGTGAGAGTTACCCGAAGCTCGGCGTCCGTGATGGTCTAGGGGGCTTCTGGGGCGATCGGGCAGTGTCAGTCTTCAGCAGCTAAGCCAAGAAGATCTGGGAAGGAGTCAGAGAGCCTTGGGCCAGAGTTCCAGGGGCTCTGGGAGTGGCTGCCAGGTGAGTTGAACAGTCCGATTTTCAGTGGGGTCCCACACAGATGGGACACGGCTTAGGAGGAATCCCGGGCTGCCGGCATTCCTTGGCCCAGTGGCCAGATTTCCGGCACGTGTCGCAAGCTCCTGGGGGAGGAGGTTCTGGAGGAACGCCTGGCTGCTGCGGTTCAGGCGTTTGGAAGTTCTTGTGTGCTGGAGATGTGGCTGGGGTTTGTCTCACAGTGGAGGCAAGGAATTGCAACTTTTTTCTATTATTGTACACCTTGAAGGTGAGGTTAATTAAATCCTGTTGTGGGGTTTGAGGGCCGGAATTTAATTTTTGGAGTTTTATTTAATGTTGGGAGCAGATTGGGTAATAAAATGTATTTTGAGAATAAGACGGCCTTTTGACCTTTTAGGGTCTAGGGCTGTAAAGTGTCTCAGGGTTGCTGCCAAACAAGTCATGAACTGGGCTGGATTTTTATATTTGATGAAAAAGAGCCTAAACGCTATCTGGTTTGGGATAAAGAAAAAGGAGCATTAACCTTGACTATGCCTTTAGCTCCAGCCACCTTTTTAAGAGTAAATTGCTGGGCAGGAGGGGGAGGGCTAGTCATGGAATGAAACTGTAAGCCAGACCAGGTGTGAGGAGGGGAGGTGATAAAAAGATTATAGGGTGGAGGAGCAGAGGCTGAGGAAGAATTGGGACCTAGCTCGGCCTGGCGAGGAGCAGCCTGGGGAGGAAGGGAGAGGTCAGATGGGTCTGTAGAAAAGGAAGATTAGAAAGACTCAGCGATGCTTGGGGTTGGTACTGAGGGGACAGGCGGGAGGGAAAGAAGGAAGATTTTGGACGAGTTGCACTGGGCACAGAGACTAGGAAGGGACCGATGTGTAAAAGAATGCCTGGAAGTCAGGCACCTCAGACCATTTGCCTATTTTACGACAAGAATTATTTAGATCTTGCTGGATGGAAAAATTCAAAGTGTCATTTTCTGGCTATTTGGAACTACTGTCGAGTTTGTATTGGGGTCAAGTGGCATTGCAGAAGAAAATAAGACATTTAGGTTTTAGGTCAGGTGTGAGTTGAAGAGGTTTTAAGTTTTTGAGAACACAGGCCAAGGGCGTAGAAGGAGGAATGGAGGGTGGAAGGTTACCCATAGTGAAGGAAGCAAGCCTAGAGAAAAGAGAGTAGAGAAATGGAGGGAAGAGGTTCGGGGGATCTTACCTTCCAGAAAAGTGGGAAAAAGGGTTTGGGGCATGGAAATAAGGGATTGGGGCACAGAGATAAGAGGTAGGGGTGTAGAAATAAGGGATTGGGGTGCAGATAAGAGGTTGGGGTGCAGAAATAAGGGATTGGGGCACAGAGATAAGAGGTTGGGGCATGGAAATAAGGGATTGGGGTGCAGAGATAAGAGGTTGGGGTGCAGAAATAAGGGATTGGGGCACAGAGATAAGAGGCTGGGGCATGGAAATAAGGGATTGGGGCACAGAGATAACAGGTTGGGGCATGGAAATAAGGGATTGGGGTGCAGAGATAAGAGGTTGGGGCATGGAAATAAGGGGTTGGGGTGCAGAGATAAGAGGTTGGGGTGCAGAAATAAGGGATTGGGGGTTCTTGCCCCCTAGAAAAGTGGGACTTGCCACTAAGGGTGAAGGAGAAGGGGTTGAGGGGTACTTGCCCCTCTCCCAGAAAAGCAGAGAAGGGGTAGAGACAAGGAGAGAAGGGGCTGGGGTACTTGCCCTGTCCCCAGAAAAGCAGAGAAGGGGTAGAGACAAGGAGAGAAGGGGTTGGGGTACTTGCCCCTTCCCCAGAAAAGCGGG
Organism: Homo sapiens; assembly: GCF_000001405.40. Taxonomy (NCBI): domain Eukaryota; kingdom Metazoa; phylum Chordata; class Mammalia; order Primates; family Hominidae; genus Homo; species Homo sapiens. Next base: position 85,459,233 of record NC_000009.12, on the reverse strand, counting down.
ACTTGCCGCTAAGGGTGAAGGACCAAGGCAGGCGTCCCTGTGTGGTCTGACACTCTTGAAACGTGGGTGTATAATCAGAGAGGCCTCCCTGCAATGATTAAACACCAAGGGAAGTCTGCCTTCCCAGTCTGTGACTGGCGCCGGAGTTTTAGGTCCACAGATAAAACGTGTCTCCTTTGTCTCTACCAGAAAATGAAAGGAATTGAAATTAAGAGAAGGGAGAGATTGAAGTGTGGCGCCAAGATTGAAAGGAGAAAGAGGTTGAGGGATAGTGAGGGAGGTTGGAGAAGAGAGTAAAAAGAGGCCACTTACCGGATTTGAAATTGGTGAGATGTTTCTTGGGCTGGTTGGTCTGAGGACCTGAGGTAGTAGGTGGATCTTTCTCATGGAGCAAAGAGCAGGAGGCCAGGGGATTGATCTCCCAAGGGAGGTCCCCTGATCTGAGTCATGGCACCAAATTTCATGTGCATCTGTGTGAAGAGACCTCCAAATAGGCCTTGTGTGAGCAATAAAGCTTTTAATCACCTGGGTGCAGGTGGGCTGAGTCCAAAAAGAGAGCCAGCAAAGGGAGATAAGGGTGGGGCCGTTGGATAGGATTTGGGTAGGTAAAAGAAAATTACAGTCAAAGGCGGTTTGTTCTCTGGCGGGCAGGAGTGGGGGTTGCAAGTTGCTCAGTGGGGGTGCTTTTTGAGCCAGGATGAGCCAGGAAAAGGACTTTCACAAGGTAATGTCATCAGTTAAGGCAAGGACCGGCCATTTACACTTTTTTTGTGGTGGAATGTCATCAGTTAAGGTGGGGCAGGTCATATTCACTTCTTTTGTGATTCTTCAGTTACTTCAGGCCATCTGGGCATATACATGCAAGTCACAGGGGATGTGATGGCTTGGCTTGGCTTGTGCTTAGAGGCCTGACACTAACCCGGTATGACACCATCTTAATTTAACTAATTATATCTGCAAAGACCCTATTTCCAAGTAAGGTCACATTCTGAGGTTCCTGGTAAATATACATTTATAAGGACATTATTCAACCCACCACACTAAGTATTTCATTTTTTACATAAATAATTTTTTAAAGAGATGTGTAGTTTAAAGATGTATAGAGTTTATAGAGTTTAAAGATTTAAAGAGATATATAGATATAAAGATTTTGTAGTTTAGGGATATAAGTTTTGGGAACAAATTTTCTGAAATTTTTGGAATGTTTCTCATTCTTAAAAAAATATATGTATACATGTATGTGTGTGTGTGTATATATATACATATATATATATATATATGATTTTGGTTTTTTCAAAAAAGCAGATTTTTCCTCTGTAGCCTGAGTGTACTCTTTCCTTTCTCTCTGCTCCTACATTGTTTCCCCAGGCTCCATGCTGCTTTTTTTCTGTTCTTTTGGCATGGAATCATTGGAAAGCTGGTCAGGCCTGGCTTACCTGGGCACAGGTGTGGACTGGCCATGGTTCCCCTCACTGTCTACCTGAATGCTGTCAACATCCTCCCCTCAGATCTTAAGGACAGAGAATGAGTACCGTGCACCTCACTTGGCCGAAATGGTGGCCCCATGTGAACTGTACTGGAATCTTCTCTCACTACAAGGATGGCTGAATAACTACATACAGTTATAGCGTTGGGTCATACCAATGAATCTGTCATAATTCTTGTGTCAGCAATAGTAAATATATAATTGCAGTCTTCGCAACACCCTTCTCCAATGGTCATTCCTGGCTCAGTCTCATTTCCAAATCTCTCCTCTAGGAAGTGATAATTTACACTCCAGCTGGTGATCGATCATCTCAGAATGGTGCATGAGGTGAGCTGACAACGGCAGCCAGGGGAAGGAACGCGAGGGCCCAGGATGGAAATGAGGTAGTCTAAATTTTTACTTCTTACCTATTAAAAAATTTTAAAATATTCAAATAAGAGTTATGTAAATATTTGTCTTCATCATTTCAAAATTTCTTGGCCTCAGTTTTCAGAAGGCTTCATGGTTAAAGTTGGAACATAATGGCAATTCTAAAACTGCTCTAAAGAGGTTTTCTTTAGGTCTAAGGATGTGAAAGTGTCCTTTGCATTTATTTTTTGTCTTTATTTACTTTGGATATATATATTCAAGCACACACATATTCTTTTCTAGCTATTGAATTAAAAAAATTTTCAATCTATGTCATATAGCAGTAGTTTCTCATTTTCATTGCAGTATATTATGTATATTACTCAATTTTATGTACTATGGTTTGAATGTGTCCCCAAAGTTCATGCCTTGGAACTATTTTTTTTGGTGTTCCATACAAATTTATTGAATGAATACATAAATGGTCCAGTTGGAACACGATTTTGAAATCACAGTGGATGCCATGTTGCCCTACCCTTATCTAACCCCACCCACTCCCATTTAGTATGCAGTACTTACACTCCCAACAGCTTACGGTTTTCATGGGCTTCCCGTTTCCAGGGATTGCCCATGCCTGAAGAGGGATGCCTCCCCACCAAGCTCACACTCCCTATTCAGGGCCCACATCTCCATGACTGGCCAACGCAGAGGTATAAACTGTGGCCTCTTTCCCCCAAAAGGGACAATTCAGCAGAGTTATCATAGCTCGGAAGCCCTCAGTGGGATTGGCAGAGGCCTTTGTTGTGACTGCCTCAGAGCCCACTTCTCTCGCGGCTCAATCACATTCCTTTTGCCCCCTCTGAGATGTTATTCCCAAGAGCACCAACATGAAATTCACTGAACACAACTCTCCATCTCAGAGACTTGTCCCCAGAAACTCAACCTGCCACAGGGGTGCATAGTTTCCAGACTTAACATGATTTTTCATCTAGTTTCTAGGATAAAGGTCAGACTATGAGGTAGAATTACAAAGTAGAAGGAAGTGTCCAGGCTGGGTGCAGTGGCTCATGCCTGTAATCCGAGCACTTTGGGAGGCTGAGGCAGGCGGATCACCTGAGGTCAAGAGTTCCAGACAAGCCTGGCCAATATGGAGAAACCCCGTCGCTACTAAAAATACAAAAATTAGCCGGGTGTGATGGTGGGCACTTGTAATCCCAGCTACTCGGGAGGCTGAGCTAGGAATTCAATCTGAGGGGCTCAATCACTTGAACCCCAGAGGTGGAGGTTGCAGTGAGCCAAGAGCGAAACTCCGTCTAAAAAAAAAAAGGGTCCATTGATTGGTACCATTCTATTTTTGTGCTTCTCATCCATCTACTGTCATTTTTTCACCCAACCTTCTAGAATAACGACATCTTCCTACTATCCAGAGAGTCCCAGTCCCTTGAAGCACCTAGAGTCAGTTTTCCCACAACACCACAGACTCCTATGTCACAAGTATTAAAAAGGCAATCAGATTCAACTCCTTCATGCTAACATGCTAGTGAAAACCCACTCCCTTTCATCTTCCCATGGAATCTAAGGAAGGAGGAATTGAAGGATTTCAACAGAAAGTGAAATGTCTCTCCTGATCCCCTGATAGAAACAAAGATGTTGGGTCACCTAGAATCAGGAAGATTTTAAAAGAACCTCACTATGGCCTTTCTTCCCCAACCTTCTGTGACACTGGCCAACCCATTCCTAATCTCAGCCTCTTCACCTCAGTTGTGTTCTTTTGGGTTTGGAATGATGGTAGAAACAGTGACAAGGGCAAATGTGTTCTCCAAGGTAAGACCAAACCATTCATTCCAAAAGTACTTGGGTGTATACTATGTGTCAGCCTCCACACTAAGTACTCATGAGGATATCACAGTGGCAACAATAAACAAAGCCCTAAGGAACAGATAGAGTCTGGTTGAGGACAGAATTAAGGCTGTGAGCCTCAGGAGTCATGTCCTGAAATGGGCTATCAAAGTGATAACAGGTGCTACAGGATCAGCTAGCAGGGTCACCTAATCTAGCTTTGGGTAAGAGAAATTTATCAATTAAAAAATAATTTAAGTTCTTTTTTTCATCACAATTCAGTCTTTTTTTTCTCATATGTATTTGCAAAATAATATTTACCTTTTTATGTGTGATATATGCTAATACTTTCTATTTTTTATTTAACATATATTGGTTGTGGCCAGGTGTGGTGGCTCACGCCTGTAATCCCAGCACTTTGGGAGGCCAAGGCAGGCAGATCACCAGAGGTCAGGAATTTGAGACCAGCCTGGCCAACATGGCGAAACCCCATCCCTAATAAAAATACAAAAAAATTAGCTGGGTGTGGAGTTGCACTCCTATAATCTCAGCTACTTGAGAGGCTGAGGCAGGAGAATCGCTTGAACCCAGGAGCCGGAGGTTGCAGTGAGAGATCACACCACTGCACTCCAGCCTTTGTGACAGTGACAAAGTATGACTCTGTCTCCAAATATACATATATTTGAATCACAAAATTAAGTAAATCTCAACATATATATATTAAGTAAATCTTATATATATAAGTAAATCTCTCTCTATATATATCTATATATCATATATATCATATATACATATATGATATCATATCATATCATATATACATATATGATATCATATCATATCATATATACATATATGATATCATATCATATCATATCATATCATATATATGATATCATTAATTTTGTGATTCATTAAAGGATTGCAATCCATAGTTTGAAACAGTCTTTCCTCTTTTCCAGCCTTTGGAGTGGGAAAAGGCCCTACAGGTTAACAATTCAATAAAATGTAGAGAATTGTTGAGGGCACATTCATTAGTTCTTCAGAATACTATCCTACTACACCATTTAACATTTGGAAAAAGATGAGAAATTTTTGAAAATGATTTCTGTAAAATTATGTGGCTTAATCACACTCAATGGCTCAGTTTATTAAGAGAGGTGAGACATTTTTCCTGAACTGATGATTGTTTACAAACCATACTTTCTCACATGGCAATGTGAAAAATATTTTCTGAAAATTAAGAAAAAGTGATAAATAATAGTTATATTAGTCATCTGTTGCTGTGATAATACTGTGTGACAACTCTGGAATCTTAGTGACTTACAACAACAAACATTAGTTTTCCTCCTCGGTAGATCTGCAGGGTGGCTGGAATGGTTTGGCTTTAGGCTATGGCTTAGGTTTTCTGGGGAGGTCATTAAAGGCCTCTGCTCTGTAGTAGCACACTCTTACTTCATCTGCATCCGTTGGCCAGGGCAAGTCGTGTGGCTGAGCACAACATCAATGGGTGGGGAACTAAACTTCTGCTGAGAACAATAGGAAGGGTGAGGAAGGAAGAATCCTGAGCCAATAATACATTCTATTACACTAGCCAATAGTTCCAGAACCCTGTCTCTATTGCATTCACTTATTTCTGAGTCATGACAGTCACTGCTCAAAATAGGAAACTGGGCCGGGTGCAGTGGCTCACGCCTGTAATCCCAGCACTTTGGGAGGCCGAGGCAGGCGGATCACGAGGTCAGGAGATCGAGACCATCCTGGCTAACACGGTGAAACCCCGTCTCTACTAAAAATACAAAAAAATTATCTGGGCTTGGTGGTGGGCGCCTGTAGTCCCAGCTACTAGGGAGGCTGAGGCAGGAGAATGGTGTGAACCTGGGAGGCGGAGCTTGCAGTGAGCCAAGATAGCGCCACTGCACTCCAGCCTGGGCGGCAGAGCGAGACTCCATCTCAAAAAAAAAAAAAAAAAAGAAATTGGCTTTTTCTTTCATTACAAAACATTGTTCCTTGATAAAAATAATTCTTTTTTTAAGAGGTTGCATTTGCACTGTGCAGTATATTCAGTTGAAAATTGTACAAAAAGAGACACAAAATAGTTAGGGAAATGTACCTTTTGATAATTTTGTACATTGCATATTGTGGCATCAGTGTGTGCTTCACATCTTGTAGTAAATAACCAGCTGTGGATGAACTCAGAAAAATATGACAGCACTCACTTAGGAAAAAAGCACCTCTTTCTTAATTCCTTTATGATGAAGTTCTTGCTTTGACTGTATCATTTCTTTCCCCTTGGAGTCAGCACAGTTGTTTAATTCATAGAAGTTCCAAAATTGCTGAAATTATTTTATTCTCATGTTTTGATTCCTGTTCTGAATGCAGCTGTAGAAAAATTTTTCAGAGTAATGAACAATGTGTACATGAATAAATGAAGCTGCCTGGTGAGGGAAATTAGTACAGAGTCAATTTTGTTTCCTCTTCTGTGCTCTATACCAGGGGTTGGAAAACCATGGCCCATGGCCCAACACTTAGTTTTGTAAATAAAGTTTATTTATTATCTATGATTGCTTTTGTGCTATAACAGCAGGATTGAGTGCTTTTAACAAAGATCATATGGTCCAGAAAGGCTAAAATATTTACTATGTGGTCCTTTATAGAAAAATTTGTTGTCTCGGATTCAGAGGAACATGGCAGATGGGAGGCAGGACTAGATTGAAGCTCTGGACAGAGCAGCATGCGGGGGCTCACATTGTGAATTTTAGCTCCAGATCTCTGCAAGAACAAACCAGCAATCCAGAAAGGACCCACAGACCCTCTGAAGGAAGTGGACTGCTTCTGCAGGACCGGGGAGACACCCCAAATAGTGGGAAAGGGAGACCCTCCTCTTCTGAACACACACCCCAACTGGGGAAGCTGAAGGTCTGTTTGGGGGAGAAGTTTCTGACTTTACCTGGAGCTCTGTCAAGTTAGAGAGCCGACTGAAATACAGGGGTGGAGGAAGCAGCAGAAAGGCCCTGGGAGCTCGCTGGGTTCCCATGCAGCCCATTCCTCCCTGGCACCACAGGGATCCATTGGGAGGGTGGCCAGAGGAGCAGGGGGTAAAACTCCACAGGGAGAAGGAATTCTTTAGCTGAACTTGGGGGAGGGAGCCAGTTGGTAGTGCAGACTTCATAGGCAGGGAAAGAACTAAAGCCCCTTTCTTTCACAGCTGGGAGGTGAATAGCCTCAGGCAAGTTCTCAAGCCCATCTCACCCTCCACGTGGAAATAGACTCGGGGCTGTTGGGGTGGTTGGTGGGGAGGCACTTGGTGTGGAGGCACGGTGGAAGTGAGACAGGTCCTTTGGTTTGCGTGGGAGCTGGGTGAGGCCTGTGACTGCCGGCTTTCCCACTTTCCTGACAATCTGCATGACTCAGCAAAGGCAGCCATAATCCTCCTAGGTACACAACTCCAGTGACCTGGGAATCTCATCCCCATCCCCCACAGCAGCCACAGAAAGACCTGCCCAAGGAGAATCTAAGCTCAGACACGCCTAGCCCCACTCCCACCTGATGGTCCTTCCCTATCCACCCTGGTAGTGGAAGACAAAGGACATATAATCTTGGGAGTTCTAGGGCCCCACCCACCGCCAGTCCCTCTCCACACTACTGCAGCTGATGCTTTCTGGAGAGTGCCACCTTTTGGCAGGAGGCCAACCAGCACAAAAACAGAGCATTAAACCACCAAAGCTAGGGACCTTCATGGAGTCCATTGCACCCTCCACCACCTCCACCAGATCAGGCATGGGTATCCATGGCTGAGAGACCCATAGACAGTTCACATCACAGGGCTCTGTGCAGACCTGCACTAGCCCAGAGCCAGGTAGACTCGTTGGGTAGCTAGACCCAGAAGAGAGACAATAATCACTGCAGTTCAGCTCACAGGAAGCCACATCCATAAGAAAAGGGGGAGAGTAATAAATCAAGGGAACACCCCATGGGACAACAGAATCTTAACAACAGCCTTCAGCCCTAGACCTTCCCTCTGCCAGAGCCTACCCAAATGAGAAGTAACCAGAAAACCAACTCTGGTAATATAATAAAACAAGGCTCTTCAACCTCCCCCCAAAAATCACACTAGTTCACCAGCAACAGATCTAAACCAAAAAGGACTCCCTGATTTGCCTGAAAAAGAATTCAGGAGGTTAGTTATTAAACTAATCAGGGAGGGACCAGAGAAAGGCAAAGACCAATGCAAGGAAATCCAAAAAATGATACAAGAAGTGAAGGGAGAAATATTCAATGAAATAGATAGCTTAAAGAAAAAAACAATAAAAAGTTCAGGAAACTTTGGACACACTTTTAGAAATGCGAAATACTCTGGAAAGTCTCAGCAATAGAATTGAACAAGCAGAAGAAAGAAATTCAGAGCTTGAAGACAAGGTCTTTGAATTAACCCAATCCAACAAAAGAAAAAAGAATAAGAAAATATTAACAAAGCCTCCAAGAAGTCTGGGATTATGTTAAATGACCAAACCTAAGAATAATCAGTGTACCTGAGAAAGAAGAGAATTCTAAAAGCCTGGAAAATATATTTAGGGGAATAATGGAGGAAAACTTCCCCAGCCTTGCAAGAGACCTAGACATTCAAACGCAAGAAGCACAAAGAACACTTGGGAAATTCATCATAAAAAGATCTTTGCCTAGGCACATTGTCATTAGGTTATCCAAAGTTAAGACAAAGGAAAGAAGAGCTGTGAGACAGAAGCGTTAGGTAACCTATAAAGGAAAACCTATCAGATTAACAGCAGATTTCTCAGCAGAAACTGTACAAGCTAGAAGGGATTGGGGACCTATCTTTAGCCTCCTCAAGCAAAACAATTATCAGCCAAGAATTTTGTGTCCAGTGAAACTAAGCATCATATATGAAGGAAAGGTACAGTCATTTTCAGACAAACAAATGTAGAGAGAGTTCGCCATTAACTAAACAACCACTACAAGAACTGCTGAAAGGAGCTCCAAATCTTGAAACAAGTCCTGGAAACACATCAAAACAGAACCTCTTCAAAGCACGAATCTCACAGGACCTGTACAACAAAAATACAAGTTAAAAAGCAAAAACAAAAAGCAAAAATCAAAGTACACAGGCAACAAAGAGCATGACAAAAGCAACAGTACCTCAAATTTCAATACTAATATTGAATGTAAATGGCCTAAATGCTCCACTTAAAAGATACAGAACCGCAGAATGGATAAGAACTCACCAGCCAACTATCTACTGCCTTCAAGAGATTCAACTAACACATAAGGACTCACATAAACTTAAAGTAGAGAGGTGAAAAGGGCATTTCATGCAAATGGACACCAAAAGTGAGCAGGGGTAGCTATTCTTACATCAGACAAAACAAACTTTAAAGCAACAGCTGTTACAAGAGATAAAGAGGGACATTATATAAAGGTAAAAGGCCTTGTCCAATGGAAAATATCACAATCCTAAACATATATTCACCTAATACTGGAGCTCCCAAATTTATAAAACAATTATTAATAGAGCTAAGAAATGAGATAGACAGCAACACAATAAGAATGGAGGGCTTCAATATTCCATGACAGCACTAGATAGGTCATCAAGACAGAAAGTCAACAAAGAAACAATGGATTTAAACCATAACTTGGAACAAATGGACTTAACAGATATATACAGAACATTTCATCCAGCAACTGCAGAATACACATTCTATTCAACAGCACATAGAACTTTCTCCAAGATAGACCATGTGACAGGCCATAAAATGAGCCTCAATGAATTTAAGAAAATTAAAATTATATCAAGCACTCTCTCAGACCACAGTGGAATAAAACTGCAAGTTAACTCCAAAAGGAACCTTCAAAATCATGCAAATACATGGAAATTAAATAACCTGCTCCTGAATGAACATTGGGTCAAAAATGAAATCAAGATGGAAATTAAAAAATTCTTTGAACTGAATGACAATAATGACACAGCCTATCAAAACATCTGGGATACAGCTAAGGTGGTGCTAAGAGGAAAGCTCATAGCCCTAAATACCTACATCAAAAAGTCTGAAAGAGCACAAACAGACAATCTGAGGTCACACCTCAAGGACCTAGAGAAACAAGAACAAACCAAATCCAAACCTAGCAGAAGAAAGGAGATAACCAGGATCAGAGCAGAACTAAATGAAATCAAAACAAACAAACAAATACAAAAGATAAATGAAACAAAATCTGGTTCTTTGAAGAGATAAATAAAATTGATAGACCATTAGCAAGATTAACCAAGAAAAGGAGAGAGAAAATCCATATAACCTCACCAAGAAACTAAACAGGAGATATTACAACTGACACCACTGAAATACAAAAGATCACTCAAAGCTACTAGGAACACCTTTATGCACATACACTAGAAAACCTAGAAGAGATGGATAAATTCCTGGAAAAATACAACCCTCCTAGCTTGAATCAGTAAGAATTAGATACCCTGAACAGACCAATAACAAGCAGAGAGATTGAAATGGTAATTAAAACAGTACCAACAAAAAAGTCCGGGAGCAGACGGATTCACAACAGAATTCTACCAGACATTCAACGAAGAATTGGTACCAATCCTTTTGACACTATTCCACAAGATAGAGAAGGAACCCTCCCTAATTCATTCTGTGAAGCCAGCATCACCCTAATACCAAAACCAGGAAAGGACATAACCGAAAAAGAAAGCTACAGACTGGTATCTTTTATGACCATAGATGCTAAAATCCTTAACAAAATACTAGCTAACCAAATCCAACAACATATCAAAAAGATAATTCACCATGATCAAGTGAGTTTCATACCACGGATGCAGGGATGGTTTGACATATGCAAGTCAATAAATGTAATACACCACATAAACAGAATTAAAAACAACAATCACATGATAATTTCAATAGATGCAGAAAAAGCATTTGACAAAATCCAGCATCGCTTTATGATTAAACTCTCAGCAAAATTGGCATACAAGGGATAGATACCTTAATGTAATAAAAGCCATCTATGACAAACCCACAGCCAACATAATACTGAATGGGGAAAAGTTGAAAACATTCCCCCCGAGAACTGGAACAAGACAAGGATGTCCACTTTCACCGCTCCTCTTCAACACAGTACTGGAAATCCTAGCCAGAGCAATCAGACAAGAGAAAGAAAGTGCATCCAAATTGGTAAAGAGGAAGTCAAACTGTCCCTGTTTACTGACGATATGATTGTTTACCTTGAAAACCCTAAGGACTCCTCTAGAAAGCTCCTAGAACTGATAAAATAATTCAACAAACTTTCTGGATACAAGATTAATGTACACAAATCACTAGCTCTTCTATACATCAGCAGTGACCAAGTGGAGAATCAAATCAAGAACTCAACCCCTTTTACAATAGCTGCCAATAAAATAAATACAATACAATACAATACAATACAATACAATACAATACAATACAATACAATACAATACAATACAATACAATACAATACTTTGGAATATACCTAACAAAGGAATTGAAAGACCTCTACAAGGAAAACTACAAAACAATGCTGAAAGAAATCATAGATGACACAAACAAATGGAACATGCTCATGGATGGGTAGAATCAATATTGTGAAAATGACCATACTGCCAAATGCAATCTATACATTCAATGCAATCCCCATCAGAACACCACCATCATTCTTCACAGGATTAGAAAAAAAATTCTAAAATGTATATGGAACAAAAAAAGAGCCCACATAGCCAAAGCAAGACTAAGCAAAAAGAACAAATCTGGAGGCATCACACTACCTGATTTCAAACTATACTATAAGGCCATAGTCATCAACACAGCATGGTACTGATATAAAATAGGCACATAGACCAATGGAAGAGAATAGAGAACCCAGAAATAGACTCAAATACTTACAGCCAACTGATCTTTGACAAAGCAAAGAAAAACATAAAGTGGGGAAAGGACACCCTTTTCAACAAATGGTGCTGGGATAATTGGCTAGCCACATGTAGGAGAATGAAACTGGATCCTCATCTCTCAGTTTATGCAAAAATCAACTCAAGATGGATTAAAGAGTTAAACCCAAGACCCGAAACTATAAAAATTCTAGAAGTTAACCTTGGAAAAACCCTTCTAGACATTGGCTTAGGCAAGGATTTCATGACCAAGAACCCAAAAGCAAATGCAATAAAAACAAAGATAAATAGCTGGGGCCTAATTAAACTAAAGATCTTTTGCATGGCAAAAAGAACAGTCAGCAGAGTAAACAGAAAACCCACAGAGTGGGAGAAAAATCTTCACAATCGATACATCTGACAAAAGACTAAAATCCAGAATCTACAATGAACTCAAACCAATCAATAGGAAAAAAACAAGCCCATCAAAAAGTGGGCTAAGGATGTGAACAGACAATTATCAAAAGAAGATATGTAAATGGCCAAAAAACATATGAAAAAATGCTCAACATCACTAATGATCAGGGAAATGCCAATGAAAACCACAATGTGATACCACCTTACTCCTGCAAGAATGGCCATAATAAAATATAAAAAAACAGTAGATGTTGGCGTGAATGTGGTGAACAGGGAACACTTCTACACTGCTGGTGGGAATGTAAACTAGTACAGCCACTATGGAAAACAGTGTGGAGATTCCTTAAAGAACTAAAAGTAGATCTACCATTTGATCCAGCAATCCCACTACTGACCATCTACCCAGAGGAAAAGAAGTCATTATTCAAAAAAGATACTTGCACACACATGTTTATAGCAGCACAATTCACAATTGCAAAATCATGGAACCAACCCACATGCCCATCAATCAACGAGTGGACAAACTATGTTATATATGATGGAATACTATGCAGCCATAAAAAGGAATGAACTAACAGAATTTGCAGTGATCTGGATGAGATTGGAGACTATTATTCTAAGTGACATAACTCAGGAATGGAAAACCAAACATAGTATGTTCTCACTGATATGTGGGAGCTGAGCTATGAGGATACAAAGGCAGAAGAATGATACAATATACTTTGGGGACCTGAGGGGAAGAGTGGGAGGTGGGCCAAGGATAAAAGACAACATATATGGTGCAGTGTATACTGCTCAGGTGATGGGTGCACCAAAATCTCACAAATCACCTCTAAAGAACTTAGTCATGTAAATAAATACCATCTGTACCCCAATAACTTATGGAAAAATAAAATAAAATAGAAGAAAAATTTACCATCTCTTGCTCTATGTAGTTATTATTTAACAAAAGAATTGTTTCAAAAATGCAAATGTTTTCAAATGTAAATACTTCTAATTTCTTAAAAAGTGAAATGCATATTTTCTATCCTCACATCCACTGGGGGATTATATTTTGATTGAGGAAGATCTGGCAACCCTAGCTTAGGAGATATGAATGCAAGTCAGCATGGGCTAGGTTATGCTGCAGTAACAAACAAACCCAGCTCTCAGTGCCTTAACATGATAGATTTATTTCTCACTCCTGCTGAGTGTCCATCATAGGTGAGCAAGGTCACTCCAAGACCCAGGTGGTTGGAGCAGCTGCAATCTGGAGAGCATCTGACCACTTTAGCAGAGGGAAAAGAATAAAGGTACTCATGCACTGGTGTTAAAACTTCTTTCCAGAAGTGACACATACCACTTTTATCTGGCCAAAGCAAGGTATATGGTTATACATAATCTTAAGGTGGTGAGAAGTTTAATTCTGTCATATGCTTAGGGGAGAGAGAGAGAGAGAGAGAGAAATATTTGGTAGATAGCACTAATTACTACTAAAGTAAGAAACAAACAATAGCCATTTCAGAAAGTGGCTTCATTACAGCAGGAGAGTGGCCACAGCTTTACAGGCAGCAAAGCCTGTAATGTCTCTGAAATGGAGATTTGCAGTGATGGGAAGTGGTACAGAAATCCCTTTTAACTTCCTTTCTCTGCTCTTCTGCTCCAGGGCTTCATCTGGAACAGATGCTCTGGTTGGTATAAATTCCTCCTGGAGAATGTTAGATTATTAATTTTCTGTTTACAGTGTTACTGTAACTTTGGATATTTTTGCTTTCATAGGTATTTGATTTATTGGTTGGGACCGTTAGATCTAATCACCAGCTGGTTTCCAACCTAACTTGGAAATTCTGCACTTTTTTTTTTAAGTGAACATTATGCCAAACTAAAAATATTTTAAAGTGCGTAGAAAAAGCAAACCAACAAAATCTACCATCTAGGTGCAAATTTTCAAGCTGGTACCACAAATGAAGCTTTTTACTTATTTTTTTTAATCCCAAACTATCATTCGTGGATAGAGACAGTGCATCAAAACTGCTGGAAATGGAAACTGAACACGAGTCAATCTGCTGTTTCAATTACTTGAAACCTCTGCTTTAAAAGCATTTTGTTTTGTTTTGTTTTTCTCTCTAATCTTCTAAATGGTTCTGGAGGGAGCACAGCCATGGTGGACATAATGGGTGCATCCAACATCACCACAGAGGGAAGGGGACACAGGTGAGGTTTCAGCCTAGAGGAGAGAATGGAAAGTTGCTGAGGTTACCTTGACCATTTTTGATGGTGGAAGCCAGTGAGAGTCCATGAAAGAGGCTGTGACAACTGAAATTCCTATATTTTTTGTGTTTCTGTGCCTACTTGTCATTTACTACTTTTTTCTTTTGAACCTGATTGATTTCTAGAAAGTTCTGATTGATTTCTAGAAAGTTCCATAGGCATTTATACGCAAATCTCCTTCTCTTTTCTTCCTTTTTTTTTCCCCTTTCCGAGGCAGAGTCTCTGTTGCCCAGGCTGGAGTGCAGTGGCTGCTCTCCTCTCACTGCAACTTCTGCCTCCCAGGTTTAAGCGATTCTCGTGCCTCAGCCTCGTGAGTAGCTGGGATTACAGGCGCACACCACCACACCCAGCTAATTTTTTGTATTTTTAGTAGAGAACAGGGTTTTATTTACCATGTTGGCCAGGATCGTCTTGAACTCCTTCTTGATGATGGAATTGACAGTTGAAGCTCAAACACAAAATCATGTCAGCACCAGGCTAGTCAGAACCCATCTGAGAAAAGCCAAGATTCTAACATCAGGAAATCAGGAATAAATCACACGGTGAGCTGCAGGGCGTTGGCGGGGGCAGAAATTTTTGACGGTTGTGCCTGGCACATAACAGACACTCAAAAAATACCTTCTGAATAGACAAGCATCAAAGTGCAAGGCAGGAGTGAAGTTGGAATGGAAGAGCAAGGAAATCTAGGAAAAGAGGTATGGAGGGAAGAAGGACTCCAGAGTGTTTACTGTCAATACAGAGTATTGAAAAGAAAAGAAGTCCAGAGAGGAGGTGTCTGCAGCTAGCCTGTGTGTCTTGGACTCAAAGAGTGTCAGGCAGGCTTCAAAGGCCAGAGGCAAGGCAGATAAAACAGATTTTTAAAAATTGAAGTGAAAAGAAACAGATTTTATTTTGAGAATTTATACACTGAGAGTAGGCAGCACTGATGTAAAGTGAAAAAGGATTTTTTTAATGTCATGCCTTCATTTGTACACCACCTACAGCTTCAAAATCCTTTTATATGTATCCATCTAATCCTTGAGGTGGGTATGAGCCTCTTTTGGCGGTCGGCAAGGATGGGAAAGATGACATGATTTCACGACTCATAAAGAAAGTGATGGAGCTGTAGCTTGAATTCTTTTACTTCAAATCCACAATGCCATGCCTTGCTCCAGTGAAGGACGGACTGCTGTTCTGTCTCCTAAAACCCACACAGCTCGCCTGGGTAAGTCTCCAGTGAAGTGTGCCGAAGTGAGTTCCTTGTTAGTGAGCTCTGTTTTTCTCCTGGTGCTCCGTCGATAAAGGAGCAGTTTGGGGACTGCTGTTCTGTGATCTGAGGAATAACAGCAAGGATTTTCTGGTTTTTCTAAAGGGAGCCACTTATGGGAAAGCAGAGATGGTTTAGCAACAGCTGTGAAATATGGTTTCATAATTAATACTTCGGGGATGGAATGAATATGTTTAGTATTTTTGTTTTTCTCACTGTTGAGAAGAGGTGAAGAGAGATGGTGGGAGGTGAGGTCCTAAGTGTACAGGGGATGTTGAGAACTGATCTAAAAGCCATCCTGGCCAGTATGATCTCGGTGGCAATTTGAGTGCAGTATAATCGAGACAGTAGCTACAGGGCTGGTGTTTCCTGGCAAGGGATGCATTTTAAAATTGTCGTGGGTGACTGATTTGACCTGCCTTTGCTGGTGCTTAGTTGTTGAACAGTGAGGTGGAGACGAAGATTTTCAGCAAACCTTCAGGGACTTACTCGTTCTGAAATGAGTGAGCACTCAAGTACCGTTTCCTCCTGGATAGATGTGACTGAATTTGGGCTCAATTATTAAGAGGCCTCTTTCTTATGTCTGTTTTAAAATTTATGGAGGGAGATAAAACAGGGAAAGAAACACCCCATTTTTGGTATAGAGGCTTTTCTTTATATCCCTCTTTCAATCTCCCTGCCCTCTTAATCATCCAGAAGGCAAGACTTTCGAGCCTCATGAAGCCAGCTTTATCTGACAGGATGGACAGGGAAAGGCCCTGGGCATGTTGGAGGGGATGAGGGCACAAAAGGATGGCAGCTGGTGCTTTTTTCAGAATTTTGCTTGTATCCTCTGGTCATTTTTATTCACTTTTGTCATTTTGCCATTTTTGCGCAGTGATGAGTGTAGGACAAGCAAGGAGGTGTTGCAGCCGTGTGGGCTCTGGTTGGAGCTCCGCCCCCTCAGGAGGGGAATGTCCTACTTGAAGATTAGGGAGAGGCAGGCTTCTTCTAAAGTGTGAGTCCCTTGGTCAAGAGGTCCTAGAAAATAAGGACCAATACTAGGTAAGCCTGTAGGTGTGCTTCTGGCACCCTGATACACTACCTGTAAAACACTGACAATTACACAGGGTCAGATAAACTTTTTAAAATACAAATTTAGGCCAGGTGCAGTGGTTCACACCTGTAATTCCAGCACTTTGGAAGGCTGAGGCAGGCGGATCACTTGAGGTCAGAAGTTCGAGACCAGATGGGGTTTAAAATACTAAAAATACAAAAATTAGCCAGGCATGGTGGTGTGTGCCTGTAGTCCCAACTACTCAGGATGCTGAGGCACAGAAATCGCTTCAACCCGGGAGGCAGAGGTTGCAGTGAGCTGAGATCATGCCACTGCACACCAGCATGGGTGGCAGAGGGAGACTGTCTCAAAAAAAAAAAATTAAATGTAAGTTCTTCCATATTTTATGGGCCTGCAGAGTGCATGCCATGAAACTTACTCAGGTGGAGTGGATTCTGCTCAGGAAAACAGAGACCTTTTATTTCAATTAGGATATGATGTAAAAATCGCACATATAGTAGAAAAAGCAATTACATACATATATGCTGCCATTGAAGACTTTCTTTCCCATACGTGAAGGTAATAGCTAACTCACTTTATGTCTTATTTTCCTATGTTCCCTTCCCCACCCACACTTCTATGTGCGTTACCTGAATTTTGTCTGGATATTTCTGATGACAACATCGTCTCTTCCTAATCAACCCATATTATCGCTTCCGATATCCACTATGCTTTGCATGTGTCCTAAGATGTAGGGAATTTTCTTTGTAATGAATGATTAACTTTTGTTCATTGCTTTCTGTTCATTGGAATTACATGTGGAGTATTCACAAATGAAGATCACCCTCTGTTTCTCTAGGATAACATGTGGGTCAGAGATCTTAGTTGAAAGCCCTAGAAGCCATCTCTGGCTGATGTAAGCAGAGGAATATTGGGCAGATCACAGAATTGTCTTAATTAGAGTGGGTCCATGAGCCTGACCTGAAAAAATTTAGACAGCAAGTCAAAGGGAAAGAAAGCAAAAGCTTCAGAGAGGTACAACCTGTTTTATTTTGTTTTGTTTTATTTTATTTTATCTTATTTTATTCTTTTTGAGACAGGGCCTCACTCTGTCGCCTAGGCTGGAGTGCAGTGGAGTGATCATGGCTCACTGTAGCCTTGACCTCCCAGGCTCAAGTGATCTTCCCACCTCAGCCTCCTGAGTAGCTGGGACTACAGGTGCACACCACCATGCCCCGCTAATTTTTGCATTTTTGTATTTTTTGTAGAGATGGGGTTTAGCCACGTTGGCCAGGCTGGTCAGGAACTCTTGAGCTCAAGCGATCCACACACCTCAACCTCCCAAAGTGCTGGGATTTTAGGCATAAGCACTGTGCCCGGCCTTGTGTTATTTTTTTGCAAGACCTTTCCTTCTGTCATTGGTTTATTGAGTGATTAATTTTTTAGGCATGATTTATACATGCTGGGAATCTACGTTCTCCAGAAAATGTGGGATAAATTCATTTCTGCTTGATGCCTTTGGCTTCTCTCAGTCTGATAATGAAGGGGTGAAGCTAGCTAGGGCTCCAATAATTGGTGCTCTGTGAATATTAAACTCTTCCTGATGATGTTTACCTTTTTATTCTTGTCCTCGAGTGTGTACAGGAAAGGTGAAGACTCTGCATTCATTTTTCATTGCAGCTGTAACAAATCACCAATAATTTAGCAGCTTAAACACAAATTATTTTACAATTCTGTAGGCTGGAAGTCTGACACAGATCTCAGCAGGCTACAATCAGGTGTCACAGGGCTGCGCTCCTTTCTGTAGGCTTCAGGAGATCCTGGATCTCTGTTCCCCTGCTGGCTATCAGTTGAGGTCTACTCCCAGCTTCTAGAAGCTACTTGAATTCCATGGCTTGTAGCCTTTTCCTCCGTTTTCAAAGCCGGCATTGGTGGGCTGACTCCCTCTCATGCATTGAATCTGTCTTGATTATTTTCCTCTTGTCTCTGACCAAAGCTAGGAAAGATTGTCCAATTTTAAGGACTCCTGTGATTAGACTGGGCCCACCTGGATCATCTAGGATGATCTCCCACTCCAAGATTTATGCCTTCAATTATATCTGCAAAGTCCCTCTTGCCACAGCTTCCAGAGATCAGGGTGTGACATCCTTGGGAGGGGGAAGATTATTCTGCTGGCCACAGATTCTACTGGGGTTCGTTCTGAAAATCATTGGCACGTGTATCTGTAAATCTTCTTCACCCTCGAGCAGGCAGATGCGCTGCCTTTGAAAGTGCTTAGATGTTATAGTCACCTGTCACGAGCCCCGAGCTCTCGGGAGCCGGCCTGTGCACAGCACAACGTGGAGCCAGCCTGTCCCCAAGGTCAGCTCTTGTTATCTATTAAGCAAAGGAGCCAATAACCAGGCCAGTTAGGGTGTAATCTCACTCTGGTCCACGGAGTCCCCTTTACTTTCTACGTAAAATCCAATGAGATACTTTCTTGGGTGTTTGATGCTTTGCTGATTTGAAGATGCATCCTTCTCGGGGCAAGGCCAGCATTTCTCGGAAGGGGCTCACATGTCTGTTCTTTGGAGCTGTGGGCAAAGAGCCTATCTCTTCAGGTAACGTAAGCAGTTACAGATGTTTGCTGGGGCTCTGGAAATTGAGCGAGCAGAGCCACATGAGTGAGTGCTCAGTAGTAACAGTTGATCTTTGGCTGTTTCCCAGAATATTTCTACGTGTTGTGAAAACCAGTCATTGGTGCTTGGAGAATGACTGTTGCCATGGATACCTGGTTATTCTAATCGGTCCCACGAGCTAACTGTTTGTAGGAACAGGTCTTCTCCTGCCCCAGCCATGTGGCTCTGCTGCCCTGCCCACCTGGGCACACCTGATTATCAGAGCATAAGCAGCTGATGAAACTGGACCAATGCATCTGTTCCTGTGTGTCTCCTGACTTTGCACCAGTGACAACGTTTGGCCAGTGTCTCTCTTCAGTGCTGAAACGGTCAGAGAGAAAGCCCAGAAGCTGATGGCAGTCACCTTCTATGGAAAAAGCCTGCCACAGCAAGAAGGATGCACACACAGAGGGAGAGCTTACCTGGCTTTGTGGGGCCAGATCCTAGTCCTCCTAGGACCCAGGCACATTTTCTTGTCTTACTTTTTTTTTTCTTTTGTTTTATTATACTTTAAGTTCTGGGATACATGTGCAGAACGTGCAGGTTTGTTACATAGGTACACACGTGCCATGGTGGTTCGCTGCAGCCGTCAACCCATTATCTACATTAGGTATTTTTCCTAATGCTATCCCTCCATTAACCCCCAACCCCCTGACAGGCCACGGTGTATGATGTTCCCCTCCCTGTGTCCGTGTGTTCTCATTGTTAAACTCCCACTTATGAGTGAGAACATGTGGTGTTTGGTTTTCTGTTCCTGTGTTAGTTTGCTGAGAATGATGGTTTCCAGCTTCATCCATGTCCCTGCAAAGGACACAAACTCATCCTTTTTTATGGCTGCATAGTATTCCATGGTGTATATGTGCCACATTTTCTTTATCCAGTCTATCATTGATGGGCATTTGAGTTGGTTCCAAGTCTTTGCTATTGTGAATAGTGCTGCAATAAACGTATGTGTGCATGTGTCTTTATAGTAGAATGATTTATAATCCTTTGGGTATATACCCATTGATGGATTGCTGGGTCACATGGTATTTCTGGTTCTAGATCCTTGAGGAATCACCACACTGTCTTCCACAGTGGTTGAACTAATTTACACTCCCACCAACAGTGTAAAAGCATTCCTATTTCTCCACATCCTCTCCAGCACCTGTTGTTTCCTGACTTTTTAATGATTGCCATTCTAACTAGAGTGAGATGGCATCTCACTGTGATTTGATTTGCATTTCTCTAATGACCAGTGATGATGAGCTTTTTTCTATATGTTTCTTGGCCGCATAAATGTCTTCTTTTGAAAAGTGTCTGTTTATATCCTTTGCCCACTTTTTGTTGAAGTTGTTTGTTTGTTTTTGTAAATTTGTTTAAGTTCCTTATAGATTCTGGATATTAGCCCTTTGTCAGATGGATAGCTTGCAAAATTTTTCTCCCGTTCTTTAGTATGCCTGATGATATCCTTGGGAGGGGATCACTCTGATGATAGTTTGTTTTGCTGTGCAGAAGTTCTTTAGTTTAGTTAAATCCCATTTGTCAGTTTTGGCTTTTGTTGCCATTGCTTTTGGTGTTTCATTCATGAAGTATTTGCCCATGCCTATATCCTGAATGGTATTGCCTAGGTTTTCTTCTAGGGTTTTTATGGTTTTAAATCTTACGTTTAAGTCTTTAATCCATCTTGAGTTAACTTTTGTATAAGGTGTAAGGAAGGGGTCCAGTTTCAGTTTTCTGCACATGGCTAGCCAGTTTCCCAGCACCATTTATTAAATAGAGGCTCCTTTCCCCATTGCTAGTTTTTGCCAGGTTTGTCAAAAATCAGATGGTTGTGGATGTGTGGTGTTATTTCTGAGGCCTCTGTTCTGCTCCATTGGTCTATATATCTGTTTTGGTACCACTACCATGCTGTTTTGGTCACTATAGCCTTGTGGTATAGTTTGAAGTCAGGTAACATGATGACTCCAGCTTTGTTCTTTTTGCTTAGGCTTTGCTTGGCTATACAAGCTCTTTTTTGGTTCCATATGAAATTTAAGGTAGTTTTTTCTAATTCTGTGAAGAAAGTCAATGATAGCTTGATGGGGATAGCACTGAATCTATAAATTACTTTGGGCAGTATGGCCATTTTCATGATATTGATTCTTCCTATCCATGAGCATGGAATGTCTTTCCATTTGTTTGTGTCCTCTCTTATTTCCTTTAGCAGTGGTTTATAGTTCTCCTTGAAGAGGTCCTTCACATCCCTTGTAAGTTGTATTCCTAGGTATTTTATTCTCTTTGTAGCAATTGTGAATGGGAGTTCACTCATGATTTTCTTCTGTGTTTGTCTATTATTGGTGTATAGAAATGCTTGTGATTTTGGACATTGATTTTGTATCCTGAGACTTTGCTTATCAGCTTAAGGAGATTTTGGGCTGAGACAATGGGGTTCTCTAAATATACAATCATGTCATCTGAAACAGAGGCAATTAGACTTCCTCTCTTCCTATTCGAGTACGCTTTATTTCTTTCTCTTGCCTGATTGCCCTGGCAGAAACTTCCAATACTATGTTGAATAGGAGTGGTGACAGAGGGCATCCTCGTGTGATGCCAGTTTTCAAAGGGAATGCTTCCAGCTTTTGCCCATTCAGTATAATATTGGCTGTGGGTTTGTCATGAATAGCTCTTATGATTTTGAGATACATTCCATCAATACCTAGTTTATTGAGAGTTTTTAGCATGAAGGGGTGTGGAATTTTATTGAAGGTCTTTTCTGCATCTATTGAGATAATCATGTGGTTTTTGTCATTGGTTCTGTTTATGTGATGGATTACATTTATTGATTTGCGTATGTGGAACCAGCCTTGCATCCCAGGGATGAAGCCGACCTGATCATGTTGGATAAGCTTGTTGATGTGCTGCTGGATTTGGTTTGCCAGTATTTTATTGAGGATTTTCACATCAATGTTCATCAGGGATATTGGCCTGAAATTTTCTTTTTTTGTTGTGTCTCTTCTGGGTTTTGTTATCAGGATGATGCTGGCCCCATAAAATGAGTTAGGGAGGAGTCCCTCTTTTTCTATTGTTTGGAATAGATTCAGAAGGAATGGTACCAGCTCCTCTTTGTACCTCTGGTAGAATTTGGCTGTGAATCCTTCTGGTCCCGGGCTTTTTTAGTTGGTAGGCTATTAATTACTGCCTCAACTTCAGAACTTATTGATCTATTCAGGGATTGATTTCTTTCTGGTTTAGTCTTGGGAGGGTGTATGTGTCCAGGAATTTATCAATTTTTTCTAGATTTTCTAGTTTATTTGCGTAGAGCTGTTTATAGTATCCTCTGATGGTAGTTTGTATTTCTGTGGGATCAGTGGTGGTATCCCTTTTATCATTTTTTACTGTGTCTATTTGATGCTTCTCACTTTTCTTCTTTAGTCTGGCTAGCGGTCTATTTTGTTAATCTTTTCAAAAAATCAGCTCCTGGATTCATTGATTTATTTCAAGGCTTTTTCATGTCTCTATCTCCTTTTGTTCTGCTCTGATTGTAGATATTTCTTGTCTGCTGCTAGCTTTTGAATTTGTTTGCTCTTGCTTCTCTAGTTCTTTTAATTGTGATGTTAGGGTGTCAATTTTAGATCTTCCCTGCTTTCTCCTGTGGGCATTTAGTGCTATAAACTTCCCTCTAAACACTGCTTTAGCTGTGTCCCAGAGATTCTGGTATGTTGCATTCTCATCGGTTTCAAAGAGCTTATTTATTTCTGCTTTAATTTCGTTATTTACCAGTAGCCATTCAGGTGCAGGTTGTTCAGTTTCTATATTGTTGTGTGGTTTTGAGTAAGTTTCTTAATCCTGAGTTCTAATTTTATTGCACTGTGGTCTGAGAGACTGTTTGTTATGATTTCTGTTCTTTTGCATTTGCTGGAGAGTGTTTTACTTCCAACTGTGTGGTCAATTTTAGAATAAGTGTGATGTGGTGCTGAGAAAAATGTATATTCTGTTGATCTGGGGTGCAGAGTTCTGTATCTGTTAGGTATGCTTGGTCCAGAGCTGAGTTCAAGTCCTTAATATCTTTGTTAATTTTCTGTCTTGCTGATCTGTCTAATATTGACAGTGGGGTGTTAAAGACACCCACTACTATTGTATGGGAGTCTAATTCTCTTTGTAGGTCTCTAAGAACTTGCTCTATGAATCTGGGTGCTCCTGTGTTGGGTGCATACATATTTAGGATAGTTAGCTCTTCTGGTTGCATTGATTCATTTTCCATTATGTAATGCCCTTCTTTGTCTCTTTTGATCTGTGTTGGTTTAAAGCCTGTTTTATCAGAGACTAGGATTGCCACCCTGCTTTTTTTTTGCTTTCCATTTGCTTGGTAAATATTCTTCCATCCCTTTATTTTGAGCCTATGTGTGTCTTTGCACATGAGATGGTTCTCTTGGATACAACACAGTGATGGGCTTTGACTCTTTATCCAATTTGCCAGTCTGTGTCTTTTAATTGGGGGATGTAGCCCTTTTACATTTAAGGTTAATATTGTTATGTGTGAATTTGATTCTGTCAATATTATGCTAGCTGGTTATTTTGGCTGTTAGTTGATGCAGTTTCTTCATAGTGTTGATGGTCTTTACAATTTGGTATGTTTTTGCAGTGGCTGGTGCCGGTTGTTCCTTTCCACGTTTAGTGCTTCCTGCAGGAGCTCTTGTAAGGCAGGCCTGCTGGTGACAAAATCTCTCAACATTTTCTTGTCTGTAGAGGATTTTATTTCTCCCTTGCTTATGAAGCTTAATTCAGCTGGATATGAAATTCTGGGTTGAAAATTCTTTTCTTTAAGAATGTTGAATATTGGCCCCCACTCTCTTCTGGCTTATAGAGTTTCTGCAGAGAGACCTGCTGTTAGTCTGATGGGCTTCCCTTTGTGGGTAACCTGACCTTTCTCTCTCTGGCTTCCCTTAACAATTTTTCCTTTATTTCAACCTTGGTGAATCTGACAATTATGTGTCTTGAGGTTGCTCTTCTCGAGGAGTATCTTTGTGGTGTTCTCTGTATTTCCTGAATTTGAACGTTCTTGCTAGGTTGGGGAAGTTCTCCTGGATGATATCCTGAAAAGTGTTTTCCAACTTGGTTCCATTCTCCCTGTCACTTTCAGTACACCAATCAAATGTTGGTTTGGTCTTTTCTCACAGCCTCATATTTCTTGGAGGCTTTGTTCGTTCATTTTCATTCTTTTTTCTCTAATCTTGCTTCATGCTTTATTTCATTAAGTTGATCTTTAATCTCTGATATCCTTTCTTCCACTTGATCAATTCAGCTATTGATACTTGGGTATGCTTCACGAAGTTCTTGCGTTGTGTTTTTCAGCTCCTCCAGGTCATTTATATTCTTCGTTAAACTGGTTATTCTAGTTAGCAATTCCTCTAACCTTTTTTCAAGGTTCTTAGCTATCTTGCATTGGGTTAGAACATGCTCCTTTAGCTCAGAGGAGTTTGTTATTACCCACCTTCTGAATCCTACTTCTGTCAATTCGTCAAACTCATTTTCTGTCCAGTTTTGTTCCCTTGCTGGCGAGAAGTTGTGATCCTTTGGAGAAGAGACGTTCTGGTTTTTGGAATTTTCAGCCTTTTTGTGCTGGTTTTTCCTCATCTTTGTGGTTTATCTACCTTCGGTCTTTGGTGTTGGTGACCTTTGGGTGGGATTTTTGTGTGGACGTCCTTTTTGTTGATGTTGACGCTATTCCTTTCTGTTTGTTAGTTTTCCTTCTAACAGTCAGGTCCTTCTGCTGCAGGTCTGCTGGAGTTTGCTGGAGGCCCACTCCAGTCCCTGTTTGTCTGGGTGTCACCAGCAGAGGCTGCAGAACAGCAAAGATTGCTGCCTGTTCATTCCTCTGGAAGCGTCATCCCAGAGGGGCACCCGCCAGATGCCAGCTGGAGCTCTCCTGTATGAGGTGTCTGTCAATCCCTGCTGGGAGGTGTCTCCCTGTCAGGAGGCACAGGGATCAGGGACCCATTTGAGGAGGCAGTCTGTCTCTTAGCAGAGCTCAAGCACTGTGCTGGGAGATCCACTGCTCTTTTCAGAGCTGACAGACAGGAATGTTTAAGTTTGCTGAAGCTGTGCCCATAGCCACCCTTCCTCCAGGTGCTCTGTCCCAGGGAGACAGGAGTTTTATCTATAAGCCCCTGACTGGGGCTGCTGCCTTTCTTTCAGAGATGTCCTGCCCAGAGAGGAGGAATTTAGAGAGGCAGTCTGGTTACAGTGGTTTTGTGGTGTTCCGGTTGGCTCTGCCCAGTTTGGACTTCCTGGTGGCTTTGTTTACACTGTAAGGGGAAAACTGCCTACTCAAGCCTTAGTAATGGCAGACGCCCCTGCCCCCATCAAGCTCAAGTGTCCCAGGTTGACTTCAGACTGCTGCGCCTGCATTGAGAATTTCAAACCAGTGGATCTTTGCTTGCTGGGCTCCATGGGGGTGGGATCCACTGAGCTAGAATACTTGGCTCCCTGGCTTCAGCCCCCTTTGGCTCCCTGGCTTCAGCCACCTTTCCAGGGGAGTGAATGGTTCTGTCTTGCTGGCGTTCCAGGCGCCACTGGGATATGAAAAAAACTCCTGTAGGTAGCTTGGTGTCTGCCCAAATGGCCGCCCAGTCTTGTGCTTGAAACCCAGGGCCTTGGTGGTGTAGGCACCAGAGGGAATCTCCTGGTCTGCGGGCTATGAAGACTGTGGGAAAAGCATAGTATCTGGGCCAGAATGCACCATTCCGCATGGCACAGTTCCTCATGGCTTCCCTTGGCTAGAGGAGGGAGTTCCCCGTCTCTTTGTGCTTCCCAGGTGAGACGATGCCCCACCCTGCTTTGGCTTGCCCTCTGCGAGCTGCACCCACTGTCTAACCAGTTCCAATGAGATGAGCCGGTACCTCAGTTGGAGATGCAGAAATCACCCACCTTCTGCATTGATCTCACTGGGAGCTGCAGACCGGAGCTTTTCCTATTCGGCCATCTTGCCAGCCACTCCTCTTGTCTTACATTTCCTTTAACACTCTAGTAAGTCTCTTTTTGGCCTAGTTCCTTATTTTGTTTGGATTGGGTTTCTGGCTGTTGTCAGCCCTGAGCTTTGAGCTGGTGATGTCTTCTCATGAGAAATTGAGAAGGACTACAGTAGGAGGTCAGCTCTTTGAAGGTAAGGGTAGGGTTCTAACTACTCTGTCATTCCCATAACACAGCTGTGTGTTCCACGAAAGTGAGGTGGTGTTTTTTTGGGTGGCACAGTCCAAGGTCCTCAGAATAGCTCAGGCCACAGAGAAACTTCCTGGTTTCATGTAGTTGAACCAAGACTTGGAGATGACCTCATTTGTGTCACCTGGCAAAAAGGATTGTGAAAGCAGAGTCAAAGTATGAAAGATATGGGTGGAGACTGCTGGTCGCTCCCTAGTTTGCACTTCACCTTCTTCTAGAACCCCTGACTTTAAGCTGGGAACATGGTTGCCCATTATGAAGACTTCGTTTTCCAGTCTCCCTTATTGCTAAGTTGGTCATGTTCCTATGTTCAGGTCCATGGGATATGAACAGAATTGTTGTATGGAAGCTCCTAAAAGCATTCTTTGAAAGGCAGGAAGCTTGCACTCTCCACCGTCCCCACCTCCTTGCCTTTGTCCCTTCTCCATTGTACTTGCTGGAATGCAGTTGGAAGAGCCAGTACTCTAGCTGCTGTTGGTGGACCATGAGGTTGAGCCCAGGCCATGAATGTGTCAGAGTGGTGCTGTCTACCTCTGGAATGTTACTTGATAGAGAAACACTTTTTAATTTCACTTTAGCCATTGGTTTTTCAGGTTTCTATTGCAGCCATACCTAATTTTAACTGATAGCAGACACTGGGCAGAGAACACTCTCCTGCTTCCAGAGGCTATGGGCATTCCATGGGAGCTGTAGTAGGGGAAGAGTGTAAAGGTAATATTCTTCTGCGGATGTGTCTTTGGCTTTTAAAGATTATTAACTCTGGACAGTAGGTTGATTATGGTCATGGATTAAACAAAACATTCTCTATTCTTCTCACTCACTTCCTGCTTTTTAGAGGGCAACTGGATGAACTTTTCAGATATTTGAATAGCTTTGGTGATTTTGTTGACTCAGTGCCCTTAACATACACGGCCATACTCTATGCTGCTTGGCTTCAGTTTTAATGACCATGACTCATTTTAAAAAGGGAAAGCTCTTCAGAAAAGAGGCTTCCCAAACTGCCCAGGCTTCCTTATAAGTGAATCAACACAGAAGTGCTCAGTCCATCAAAATAATGTACAACCTCAATAAAATGCAGTGAAAACAAACACTGTAAAATTCCACAAATGAAAGATATTATTGTAGTTATTATTATAATAATGACAGGACATTCCTGTTCTTTTTAATGTCTACTATGGGGTTACTGATAAAATCACTCAACCTGAAAATGGGTGGTTTGATTTTTAAATAAAGGGTGATTTTCTTCCAAAGCTGGTTTGGCTGAGTTCCTCAGATAGTCCAGCTGTGTGCAACAAACTTTACAGTTTGCCAAAGACACATTCCCTTCGTCTTTGTTACTTTTGTTTAATCCTCACAGCAATCTTTAATCACAAAAGAACAGAGGTTCAGAAAGCTTAAGAAACCTGTTCCAAGTCCTGTGGCTGAGATGGCCAGGATTCCATCCAGACTTTGAATCTGGGAATGTCAGGGAAGGAAGGAGAGGGATGGAGGAGACCTTGCGAATTTCCCTGGGGTTGGGCACTTGTGCAACCCACCTTGGACGATGGATTCAGTCCATCGGGTGCTGGGGAACGAGAAGGAGCCCATTTCAGTCTGAAGCTGTGCTTGTGCCTTGCTTGCCTGGACACACCCTCCCCTGTCAGGGTCGCAGTCCTGACCCACCTCTGACATCCTGGCACATCTGTAGAACTTGCAGGAACAGCCCCTTCAAGCAGCTGAAGTGCAGCCGCCTCTTAGCGGATGGTGGTTAATAATAGGCTTTGTTCTCTAGGTTCTTCTATTTTCAGCTACCGAATACAATTTATAAAGAAAAAAAATACACACCACCATCCCCCCACCCCTTATCAGATCTCTTATAATTATAGAATAAGGTGCCTGCGAACTCCCAGGGAGCTGGTTTCCATGGCAATGACAAGCTATTATATTCTAAAGGCCAAGCTAGAACTCCACCCCCTCGTCCTCGCCACTGCTGTGCGTCTTGTTATTGCAGTGTTCCAAAATAAACTTGCTGCCTAATCGTAAATCCCATATAATTAGAGATGAGCTAATCGTTACCCCGCTACCTTTGTGCGGCCCACTCATCATGCTAGCAGTTTCTAGAACAGCGATGCTGACGGACTGTTTGATGTCAGAATAGACCTTCCTCCTCCAGGAACTGGGTGCAGCATCTATCCATGTATGGCTCAGGACCCTTTCACCGGAAAAGGCCTGACTTACGGGACCTGCCCAGGGTGCTTCAGCAAACGAGAGGGGCTGCTTAGGTAGCGACTGACCACGAGATCTGTGGCTCTCTCCAGCTCTCCATTAAGGATGGGCAGAGAAATCTCCCTGGAGTCGCATAGAGCTCTCCCTCTCACGCTTTATGGTTACCTGCTGGGAGCAGCATCAGGGCAGCAGATGTGACACTGGGAGGAAAGGCATTTGTCACCTCCCTTCTTCTCATTTCTTTTTTACTTATTTATTTATTTTTTTGAGACAGAGTCTCACTCTGTTGCCCAGGCTGGAGTGCAGTGGCACAATCTCGGCTCACTGCAATTTCCCCTTCTAGGGCCCAAGCGATTCTCCTGCCTCAGCCTCCCGAGTAGCTGGGATTACAGGCACCCACTACCACGCCTGGCTAATTTTTTGCATTTTTAGTAGAAACGGGGTTTCACCATGTTGGCCAGGCTGGTCTTGAACTCCTGACCTCGTGATTCGCCCACCTCGGCCTCCCAAAGCGCTGGGATTACAGGCGTGAGCCACCGCACCAGTCCTCTTCCTCCCATTTCTTGCTCTGCCTCCTGCTCCTCCTCTGTAGACTGGAGGTGCGTTTTAGCACATGTTTTGTCTGGCTTGTGTAGTTTTCATCCGCCAGGGATCATTGTCCTGTTTTCAGCAGGTGGAGTCCCCAGCAGGCTTGCATTCAGTGCAGGGGTCCTTAGGAAATCCATCCTCCTGGAAACAGACGATCTGTGAAAAAGGGAACAGGATAATTTCAGATAAGCGCTGGAGGGAAACCCAAATAGGGGTGATGCTTAGAATGTGTTTGGCGTGTGAGGGGCTTGCTTCCTCTAATATCTGAGCAGAGACCTGGAAGACAAAAAGGCTGATTATAGCTTACCTGTTCAGGGGTCCCATTTGCTTCATTTCACTGAAATGCCCCTCATGCACAACCAGGTTTGCAGTGGGATTTTAATGGTGCCCTGGCTCTGGTTAATTTCATCTGTGCTGGCTCCCTTCCTTTGGCTCCTCCAGGTCCACTCTGGGCCATTCTTCTTCTGGGTCTCTACCTCAGATCTTTAGAAGCACCAGCGGGTCTCTGCTAACTGCTTGGTCTTAGCTGGTGCAAGGCACTAGCAGGAGACTGGAGAATGGTGGAGAGTGGCAAGCAGTCAGCTTATGCCTTGACTTGGCTTACTTCCTGCGGGCTCTCTGTGGAGTGGCTGCTGCCCTCTACAAAGGCCATGGGGGCTACCAGGTGGCCCTCTCTAGAGACCTACCCTCTCTGAGTCCTGGTACTCGCTCTCTCCCCTTGTCCCTTTAGGCTTAGGGGGGACAACAGCTTCTGACTGTTGCTAGCCCAAGGATGCCTTTGCCATCCCATGTGGGTGTGGTTTCGTTCCACCTGCTATCACTCTTGCAGACAGTGCCTTTATTAAACCCTGCGCTCATCCCAGGTCGAGTGTGCTCTCCTCTTCCTTCCCAGGCCCTGACTGAGTCCGTTTCCCTCCCCCACCGACACCAGCTTTCTCTGTGTCTTTTCTCTCACTGTGCACCCTCTTTGCTTTCCTTTCTTCCCTCTGCCTCATTTAATCCTACTCATTCAATGTCCAGCTTCAGTCTCATGTCCTCTCACCCACTTCCTGTCTCCACACTCCTGCTTTCCTAAGAATCAGCCCCCTATAGCTTAGCAGTCACTTCCCTGTTATCCTATAGGTTCCTGTCTGTTGATTTAATTTCCCCAGCTAGACTTTAACCTTCTGCAAGGACGGGGACCACAACAAGGTGCTCTTCTGTCTGTGACTCAAGAAGCACTGGGGGCACCTTACCTGCTGGAGAACGTCTCCCTTGTTGGCCGTGTGTCTACTGCTGTCTGGGCCCAGTCTCAAACTGCATGGGTTGCCAGGCTGTGAATATCAGGACAGGGGAACACATTTAGCTGTTTCATCTAGGTGTTCTGATGGGTGGGATCTTGGCAAAATAGCACTACACGGGGATCATATATTTTTTCCTATTTTCTAAGTCATGGTAGGTAATTCCAAAGACCTTGTTCACTTTCCTCAGAATAGTAATGGTAACAAAAGCATAAAAGCTGTTTAGGAAAATACACGGCAGATCCTGTCCACACAGAAAGGAGCAATTAATAAAGAGGAGAATGGGCGACCTGGAAATCCCCATAATGAAAGTTTGTTTAGGAACTAGATACTAAGTGCAACAGGGGCGTGAAAGCGAATAAATGCTTCCCCAAGAGATCCTAGCAACCAGCAGTGGGATCACAGGAAGGGCCGACATCCTAGATTTTTAAACTCTTTAGAATCCCAGGAGACATAAATCAAATAAGCAGATTTGTTGCTTCTTTCAACTGAGAAAAAAACATGGTTGATTTTTTTAAAGTGCTGCTAGAGAATAATGTATTGAAAAAGCAAGAATCGTAGTGTTGCCCAGGAGATTAAAATCAGGGGAGGAAAAACAAAAGGCAAAAACCCCAAAATTCAACCAGATCAACAAGGAGCATAGCTTCCCAACATGCAAATCCAGACCGATTTTTAAAAATTAATCGTCACAATTGTCTGTTAATTGTACCTTTGCCAGTTGATTACGGTATTTCTTAAACAACATCCCACTACTAAGCAGCTTTGCAACACTTGATCCTCTTCTGATACCTGTTCTGTGCTTAGGATATCGAAAGCGAAGTGGGATTAATTCTGGCCTCTGGCAGCTGGGGTAATTTAAGGCTTCACTGGAGTGGGACAGGTCACCGCAGGTTGAGCTATAAAAGCTGCCTCCAGTGTAACTTTGCTCGGGGTAACACACTGCAAAGTGCTTGGATTTTTTTTTATCGAGATTAAAAATGATCTCTTGCTGATATTTTCATTTATTACAGGAAGGCAATTTGTTAGGTGGGCTTTCAGAGGAGAAGATGTTGTTCCGATGATTTTTCTGGATTTACTTCCATGTGGTAGCGGAGAGGAAGGCAGAACTGATTTGGGACCTTCCTGATAGGGTGCAGCAACTCTCCCACTTCAGAGCAGACCAGCACTCGGTTCTGGCCTCCAGAGTCTCCCCTGTGCCAACAGAGGTCCTTGGGCGGGCAGCCATATCCAGCAGCCATGGAAGGAGCCATCAGGAGCAGAACATGGGCCAGCAAAGGATGGTGCACAGTGGGCTGGTGTTCTTAGCCAAAATGGTGCTTATATCTCAAAACTCTAGTGTTTCCACTGGAGAGGGTTGGAGCAGAGGAAGAGGTAAAAATGGCGAATGGTGTGGGTCAGCCTCAGACAATCAGAGAGCTGATAGGACATCGTCTCTGGGGTTCGCTGGAAGGACTTGGAGTTGGGGTACGTTATGAGTTGGCTGAGGCCCATGTTAGCAGATGGGGCAGGAGCCAGAGAAATATGGGTGGCAGAGTTAGGGATCTTAGAATGGGGAGACAACTTGGCTAGTGGGGCAGCACGGGATGTGGTAATACTGAGTTTCATTTTGCTTGTTGATTTTGAAGTCACTTGAACATCTAAGTGACATGTTCTTCGTGTTCTTCATCAGGAAGGGGATGGTTGAATATTTGGAGTTTAAAAATGACATAATTCCTTTGAAAGGGGAGCTGTTTAAACACTAATCAGCCCTTTACACATTAGTATAAATAAAAAGTCTGCAAGTAAGTTTTGATAGAAAGGGAAAAATAAGGAGCCATTGTCAATGCTGATGGGAAAGTGATTATCGCAGGGGAAGAAACTCAGCCACAGCAAGAGCCTGAGGGGTCCACAGTCGGCCGCATGATACAGCCTGGGCCTGCCCTGTGGTGTCTTCTCTCCATCAGATCTATCCCTAATTTCATTCCCAAGCTGATGAGGAAACAAATCTACCCACATCTATCTCCCTTAAACTCTTATATATCACTAGAGTTCTTATTATTCCTTTTGTTTAAATATGTGATTTCTTACATTGTATTTTTATTTTTTTTATTGAGGTATGCTTTACTTATCATAAACCTTACCCATTTTAAGTGTACAACTCAATGATTTTTGGTAACTTTATTGAATTGTACAGGCATTACCAGTTTTAGAACATTTTTATTACCTCAGTAAGATCCCTCATACCACCCCGCCACAAACTTTTTTTTTGTTTAAGACAAAGCCTTGCTCTGTCACCCATGCTGGAGTGCAGTGGTGCAATCTCAGCTCACTGCAACCTCTGCCTCCCGGGTTCAAGCGATTCATCTGCCTCAAACTCCCTAGTAGCTGGGACTACAAGCACGCGCGACCACGCCCAGCTAATTTTTATATTTTTAGTAGACACAGGGTTTCACCATATTGGCCAGGCTGGGCTCAAACTCCTGCCCTCGTGATCTGCCCGCCTTGGCCTCCCAAAGTGCTGGGATTACAGGTGTGAGCCACCGCGTCCAGCCCCTCATACCCTTTTAATGTTCATCGTCATTCCTGGCAGTACCTCTGTTGTGGAAAGTGGGATTACAAGACATGTTCCAGTTTCTTCAGAGAGGTGAGTATTGGAGAAGATTGTCCTTGAGTTCTGGCACTGGGAGGCTATGAGTCCTAATCCCAGCTCTGCTTAGTATTAGTGAGTTTATTCAATCACTCTGGACTTCAGTTGTTCACTTGAAAAATGTAATCAATAATATCTACCCTGCAGGGTTGTTCAGATGATTAGAGATAAGGTATGTGAAGAGCCTGCCACATAGTTCAGTGAAATTATGAAATTATTTCATTACAAATACACAGATGCTTGTAAACAATAGGAATTGATTGGATGCAGAGACTGAATTTTGAGGTCTATTATTTTACTATTTTGTAATTTAATCAGTGGAATGGGGTAGGAAGAAGGAGAAAATACAATTTATTTGTAATAGATATTGGCTGCTTTAAAAAATCAAATGCATTTAAAAAACAATTCCTTTTGATTTACACTGCTCAATTTTCCCCTCTTAAAACTACACAGAGATTTTCTTTCCAAAGAGCTTTTCCAAATGGCTTGACTCCCCTGACCTCCCCCAACCTCAACCCTGTCTTCTACAGTTTTTTTCTTGCTTTCTTCTGAAATAGATTTGAAAAAACAAGACCCTGACTGCAGCTTTTCAGAGCCCGGTAGTGATTTTCTCTTCTGGTATGAAATTTAAGACCCATAAAATGCAGTTGCCATTTCCTGTGGATGTTCCGCTTCTGTGTTCCGATTTGATATTTATTGCCACATGAGTCAAGATCACAATAAGTTGCTCCATTGCCCTGTGTTATTGATGTAGTGCCACCCGTTTACGTGGGGGAGTTCAGCTGCTGGCCGGGTGCCTGTTGCTAAGTACCTGGAAAACTAAACGTGGCCACTAGGGGGTGCCGCTCTCCCAGAGTCCTGACCCGGGTCCCCATTTGGGAAGGGAGAGAGAGCACCGGGAAGGGCTGCTCCAGCGCCCTCCATCTTCCTCCCGAGGGACCCCGCAGGTGAGGAGCACCATAGGCCCAAGCTCTTCCACCTTAGCCAATCCCCACGCTAGGGCAGCTTCCAAGCGGCCAGGGAATGAATGGGAGCTCTCTGCCACTTTGAATTGTGGGATCCCTCCATGGCTTTTTCTGGGGAAAGGCGTTTTAATCGGCTGTGCCAGAGTCACTAAACGGTGCTTGCTAAAGATATAGATTCTTGAATTTCATTCTCTAGACAAAGTGAACCAGAATCTCTGATGATGAGGTTCAGAAATCTCCATTCCCAACACTTGTTCCAGATGACCTCAGTGCACACCAAAGTTAGGACCCCGAAAAGGCAGGCCGTTTCTAAAAATGCTCCTTTTATCAGCTGCTCCCTTCTAAACCCTTCTAAACTCTTCTAAACCAAATCCAAAACCAACCAGAGGTCTTCGGAGCCACTGGAATATACCCTCCCCGGAGGTCTCTAAGTTCACCGTGAACCAATCTGTGGGGAGAGTAATGCCTCCATCTCTGCCAGCCAGCGTTCCGGGACCCTCAAGGACTACTTTGAATTTCAGAAGTGGAACTTCAGAAAAGCAGTGTTGAAAGAATCATTGGTGTTAATTAAAAGATGTAAATAATCTCTTTTAAAGAAATAGACTTGGCTGGGCGCGGTGGCTCACGCCTGTAATCCCAACACTTTGGGAGGCCGAGGCGGGTGGATCACGAGGTCAGGAGATGGAGACCATCCTGGCTAACACGGTGAAACCCCGTCTCTACTAAAAATACAAAAAAATTAGCTGGGCGTGGTGGTAAGTGCCTGTAGTCCCAGCTACTCGGGAGGCTGAGGCAGGAGAATGGCGTGAACCCAGAAGGCGGAGCTTGCAGTGAGCCGAGATCGCGCCACTGCACTCCAGCCTGGGTGACAGAGCGAGACACTGTGTCAAAAAAGCAAGCAAACAAACAAACAAAAAACTTTGTGCTGGTTTCCTAGCACTGCTGTAATAAATGCCGGCAAACTGGGTGGCCTAGAACAACAGATATTCGTTCTGTTGCAGTTGTGGAGGCCGAAAGTTGGAAATCAAGGTGTCGGTGGGACCATGCTCTCTTGAAGGCACTGGGAAAGAGTCTGCCTCATGCTTTTCTCTTAGCTTCTGGGGTTGCCCGCAATCTTGGCCTTCCTTGGTTCATGGCCGCATTTCTCTAATCTCTGCCTCCGTTGACACATGGCGTTCTTCTCCTGGGTGTCATTTTCTTCTTCTCTTTTTGTAACACAGCCATAATGACCCTAATGGCTCACCCTAATGACTCATCTTAGCGCCATTACATCTGCAAAGACCTTATTTCCAAATAAGGTGGGTGGCATATATTCTTGGGGGACAACATTGAAGCCATAACAGTCCTATCATTTCCTACAAGTGATCTATCATCCTTTTAAGTCTCCAAACCCACTGAGTAGCAAGGAAAAAATAAATTTAGTCCAGTCCAATAAACTCAGCCCAATCCAATAATTTAAATAGTCTATTCATTCTCTACAGGCATGACTAAGATACATGCTCAGTCTTTCTTATTTCCTCCCCCTTTTCTTTATATCTCCACAAAATGAGAGCTAGAGGTTTAGAGGGCTGGGTTTCTATGACTTCATGATTGTAGAGGAAGGGGCTGACTCACTCTGTCCTTGGATCCTGGCTGGTCTCTGCTGCAGGATGACAGCCCCAGTTTGTTCTGGAAATCATTTCCACTGAAGAAAGACTGGTCCCATTTAACATTTTGGGATTATATGCTAGTGTCTTCCTCTGGAGTCCCCCGGGATCTTGGCCATCAGTCCCTGAAATTTAGAAATCATTTTTTCATCCCAAAGACTGGCGTTCAGGTGATTATTTTATTAAAGGAACCAGGAAAACGGCTTTGAGGTGCAACATTGGTCAATGACCTCTTTGTTTCTGGTAGCAGTCAACCTTCCCTCCTGGAGGAAATGACCCTCATTGTATAGTTTTCTCTTTGCATGAAAACAAGATACAAGGGCAAATAAAAACCATGTGGTCTATGAGTTAGCTTCTGCTGTGTAACAAAGTATCTCAGAGCTCAATGGCTTAAGCAGAGAGTGGCAAACTGTGGCCTGCAGTATGTTTCTGTAGGACCCACAAGCTGAGAATGGTTTTACATGTTTAAAGCGTTTGGAAAACAAAATAAGATATGCAACAGAGACCATACCAAATATTTAGTAAGTCTAAAATATTTACTATTTGGCCCTTGATAGAAAAAGTTTGATTACCCTGGCTTAAAACAAAAAGCGTTTCTTATTGCGCCCAAGTCTCTGGGTTCTTCAGCTCCTGGATGGTCTCCTTCATGCATCTGAGGCTAGCTGTGGGTCAGGCAGGCAGCTTGGCTGATCTTGGCTGACTTTTCTCACATGTTTAGAGGTTGTTGGCTGTAGGTTGATCTAGGATGGCCTTGGCTGAGGCAAATGAGCTCTTGTCTCTGAGCTCTCTCCTCTTTCCCCAGGCTAGCCCAGCCTTGTTAACACAGTGGAGGTAGCATTCCAAAAAAGAGCAGAAATGAGCAAGATCTCTGAGGTCAGACTTGGATTTGACACACCTTCATTCTGCCACATTGTATTGGCCAGAGATCCCAGCCCAGATCTCAGGGTGGGGAAATAGACTCCATCTCTTGATAGGAGGAGCAGCAAAGTCACATGATAAAGAATGTGGGTGTGGGGAGTGGTGAAGAATTGAGGTCATTTTTAGTATCAGTCTGCCTCATATGGGTAATTTTCTAAACATTACCCCAGTAGCAAAAAAGAGAATTTTATTTATTAATATTTCCTCCAAATATTCCTTATGATCTTAAAATCCACATGTGTAGAAGCAATTTTGATGTGATTTAGAGCACATTAGGAACTTTTGTGCCTTATTAATAGAACTCTTAGGTTCTAAAACCCTAGGGTTAAGATTTTAAAAATTTTACACTAGGGCTGTTTTCTTTTTCTTTCTGTAACATTTTCTCTTCCCATTTCCAGATTTCCCCACCTGAAGACATGTTAGTTTTATTTTGTCAGTTTTTAAATTAACAATAGCTACTGTATTTTCCTGTCCCTTCAGTTCATAACTTCTGAAATCTGAGGTGGTTTAGGGAGTCCTTGAGAGGTGACCCCCAATACCCACCTACCACCTCCCCCATGAAGTTGCTGTTAGCATCTCTTCTCAGGAAATTTGTTTTTTTAACTTCCACATTGGTGCCCAGGAGAACCATCTCAAATTTTATCCCAGCCAACTTCAAGATGAGTTTGCCACCAAACTTCCCTTCACCCAGTCTCCAAACCCTGTGATTCATCTTTCCCTTTGTTGGGAGCCCCATGACTTTTGCTTGATGCTGTTTTAAGAGAGGGAAATGAAGACAAACCACAAAGATCCAAATCATTGACTCTTGGAGACTGAAGGAATGTCCAGCGTTTCTCTGATACGTTGCACTCTATTGTCTTTAAGAAGTGACCGGCCAACTTCTTCCTGGCTGTCTCCGATGTCAAAGAGCTCACTACATATGAAAGAAGACAGTTTTGACCAATGTAGACTCTGCGTATAGCTCCAAGATACCCTAAGAAATATCCATGCCATGGTAGCCACAGATTTTTACAGCATGACTTAGGGGCCAGCATCTAGTTGTCAAAATAAGAAAACCAAGCAAATTGAGGGCCTGCTGAGGGATTGGTGGCTGGCTCTCACTCTGTTGGAAAAATGCTCTGCCCTTGGGCCTTCTTTCCAAATTCCAGTTGTAAAAATCAAGCCCTTTTCAAAGCTCTAAGAACAAGGCCTGGAATATAAATTCCTTGGTGGTTTTCTTAAAGGGCTGGTGGCTAGTGGAAGGAAGTGGGTATGCAGAGGACAGACACCTGGGTTTGTTTAGCCTCCTGTATTCTGTTGTAGGGGGCAGGAGGGAGAAGCTGGGGCTGGGGGAAGGAGAAAGCTTTGTTCATTGAGAGGCCTGTGCACATGGAGCGGGCTATCCAAAATTGTGTGGGGCCTGGTGGGTGTGAAAAATTTTT
Source organism: Homo sapiens (assembly GCF_000001405.40). NCBI lineage: Eukaryota > Metazoa > Chordata > Mammalia > Primates > Hominidae > Homo > Homo sapiens. Next base: position 85,421,220 of record NC_000009.12, on the reverse strand, counting down.
TTCAGGGTTGTTATATGTAACAAATTGCATATTACCAATCCAACCTGCCAATGTCCAATCTCCCCTTCTTCTTTAAGAACAGAACCCCATTTTGTTGGGGGAAGCTCTGGGCCTAGCTAAGCATGATCGCTGTCTCAGACTCCCTCACAGCTGATGGTGGCCATGTAATACAGCTCAGGCTGATGAAATGTGAGAGGACATCTGCAAAATGAAAGCAAAAGCTTTCTTCTTACAGGTTCTGCCCCCTTTTCCTTTCCTCTTACTTCTTTCTGCCTGTCATGTGAATGTGAGGCCAGGGGATGCAGCGTCTCCGTCTCTATGGCAACTGCAAAGCAACAAGCATGGATGGAAGTCCATACCCTTGGGATTTACCCCCTGGGAAGCTGCACCAGCTCGGGACTGCATTCCTGGGCTTCTGCTGTGTGAAAAATAAACCCCCAGTGTTTAAGAAACATGGGTTGAGTTTTTCTGTTACTTTTGGCCCAGCATAGTTCTTACTGATTGTTGTGGTCTGTTTTGTGCTGCTATAACAGACTATCTGAGACTGGATAATTTTTAATAAGTAGGAATTTATTTGCTAACTATTCTGGAGGCTGAGAAATTTGATATCAAGGTGCTGGTATCTGGCAAGGGCCTTCTTGTCTCATGGCAGAAGGCGGGAGAGCAAAGAGAGAGAGCTGCTCTAAAATGCCTTTTAATTAAGGCGTTAAATCATTAAACGCACACTGAGGGTGGAACCCTCATGGCCTAATCACTTCTTTTTTTTTTTTTTTTTTGAGATGGAATCTTGCTCTGTGATCTCTGCTCACTGCAACCTCCGCCTCCCAGGTTCAAGCAGTTCTCCTGCCTCAGCCTCCCAAGTAGCTGGGACTACAGGTGCACACTGCCACGCCTGGCTAATTTGTTGTGTTTTAGTAGAGATGGGGTTTCACCGTGTTGTCCAGGCTAGTCGTGAACTCCTGAGCTCAGACAATCTGCCCACCTTGGCCTCCCAAAGTGCTAGGATTACAGGCGTGAGCCACCGCACCCGGCCCTAATCACTTCTTAAAGAGCCCACCTCCCCTTACTCTTACATTGCAATTAAATTTCAGCATGAGTTTTGGAGGGGTCAAATATTCAACCCATAACACTAATGTAGAGCACACACTATGCAACATGGCTTCTGTTTTTTTTTTCTTTCTGAGATAGGGTCTTACTTTGTTGCCCAGGCTGGAGTGCAGTGGTGCAATCATAGATCACTGCAGCCTCAAACTCCAAGGCTGATCCTCCCCACTCAGCCTCCTATGTAGCTGGGACTAGAGACAAGTGCCACCACATCCAGCTATTTTTTGTTGTTGCACTTGTAGAGACAGCATCTTTGTATGTTGCCCAGGCTGGTCTCAAATTCCTGGGCTCAAGTGATTCTCCCAACTTGCCTCCCAAAGTGCTGGGATTACAGACGTGAGCCACTGAATCTGACCCAATGTTGCTTCTTGAATGCTCTTGCCTCTTAGCTTGATACCTGAGACTAAAGTGTTAACATCAGGCCTGGGTGACTTGAGAGGCAGACTTTTTTCCCCAGTGCTGTTCTGTGGAAATGGCAGTTAAAACAAATGAGGGATGTTGTGTCTGTGAAGTCTCTGACCTGGGAGACTTCATCCGGGCTGGATGAGCTCTGAGTTGGCATGTGGGCCTGGGGCCTGCTGATCAGCATGGTATGAAAGATTGGTGGGAAATTGGGGTGGCTGTGCTGCTCTGTGTCGGATGACCCCCACCCTTTGGCTCTCATCCACACCAGCTGTTCATGTCCCATGTGGGTGAGGAGGTAAAAGAAGCTGCATCCTTGGGTAGCTGCTGGGCTTCTCATGAGCTGGGAATGCTACATCTGCTGTATCTCCAGTTCTGTGGCCTTCCATAAGGCTAAGTCAACATGGGAGAAGATGAAAGCTTATTTGCATCTTGTGAGCCTGCTTGCCAACTCAGACCCTTAACAACTTCTGTGCCAGACCCAAAAGATTTTATCCACACTACTTAGCAACATTTTATTCTCCCATCTGCAATAATTATTTTCTTACCCGTGTATATGGTCTCTTTGTGTTGCCTCAAATACGTATATATTTTATATACATATACATTATGGGTTCAGATGTAAATAATTTCTATAAATACAACTAAAAAGCTTTTCTCATCAGTGGCAATGGCTGCCTCTTAGAACCTCAAATGCTAGTCTCCAGGAGGAGTTGATGGTCACCCTCTCTGCAGTGGGCTGAGAGGTAGCTCTGAGGAATGAAAAGAGCATGGGCTTTGAAACCAGGGAAACCTGAAGTGAAATCCAGATGCTACCACTAGGCTTTGAGGTCTTGGGGGATTTGTTTACCTTCCTGAGCCTCAGTTCCCTTATTTGTATATTGGGAATAAGTCTCTGTGCAGAATACATGAGATAATATAGATATGATGTCAAACCTCATCCTGACCCAGGCCTAGCTACAGCCTCCCCGCATTGTTAGTTTCCTTCCTTCTTTTGAGCCTGTAACAACAGCAATAACAACATCTGTGTCATGCCTTTCTGCTTACAGTGCAGTGGGGGTTAAGTGCGTAGACTCTGAAGTCAGACCACCGGGTTCGAATCCTTGTTCTGCACTTCGGGAGCTGAGTGACTTTGGGCAATTGCTTGACCTTCTTCATGGCTCATTGGCTTCGTTTGTAGATGGGCATGGTAACAGGAATGCTTCAGAGGGTTGTTGTGAAGGTTACAGAAGGTGAAGGTAGAGTGGTTTGCATAGTACCTGGCACATAATTAGGACTCAGGTTTTGTCCCCTGGTGAGTAGCACCCGTGGTTGGCAGAGCTGGGGCTCGAAGCCAGGCCTCCAGGCATGGAACTGTTTCTATGCTCGGCACCATTCTTGGCACTAGGAATACGAAGCAAGAGTGAAACGCAGCTTCTGCTAATGATTGCAAGAAGCTCAGGGTCTGCAATGGGTGTTCGGGAAATAAGAATATTGAGGTAGATTTGTAGTTCTTTAACCAGCCACCCTTCTCCCCCATCCACTTGGATTTTACTCTCCCTAAGAGCAGGGAAGGTGCCCCTGAACCTGAGTAGGTGGCTGCCTATGGCCAGGTGGTAGAAGCCAGAGGCAAATCCCTCAGATCCGACTTGCTGTTTTCCATCTCTGTCACATCTATTATGTTCTTGTGAGGTTCTTTCCCTCACAGATTTATGTAACTTATCACCACAGTCACGTCTGTGTGTTTTGTTGATGCCATTTAAATTCTGTTACTATTTAATACCAAGAACATCTAAAAAGAACATTTTGAGGGACTTGAAAAATCCAATTGGTCTCTTGGTAATTTGATTTGTAGGAAATAGGAGAAGATAGTATTCCGAATAGAGTGCTTTTAAATGAATCATCATTGCTTTCTCGTACAGGCAATGGATGGGCTGAGATTGGGAGCCCTGTTAATCTTTCATTAGGTGGGAGATGCAGTCTGTGCTGGTTAGGAAAGGCTCAGCTGTGTGGCAGAAAATCCAAAATAACAGTGGCTTAAGCAAGATGGATTCTGTTTGTTTTTCAGGGGAAAGAAGTGTGGAGGAGAGAGTTCGTAGCTGACAGGTGGCTTTGCAGAATCCCGAGGAGCCAGTCTCCTTTCCTGTCCTTGTTCTGCCATCCTTAGAACATGGTTTCTTCCTTATGGGCCAATAAGCTACCCAAATGTCACCATATACCTGCACCACAACTGCAAGAAGGAGGGGGTGATGAGAGCATTCTTCTTTCAAGGCATTTCCCAGGAGTCCCACATCACACGTGTGCTTTCATACTATTGGCCAGCACTTAGTCACATGGCCACATTTAGCTGCAAGGCAGGCTGGGAAATTTATTCTTTATTCCAGGTTCCTAGGTACCCAGTTTAAATAGGGTTCTATTAGCAGGGAAGGAGGCGAGAATGGATACTGGAACATTATTTTGTGTTGCAGGCTTTGCAACACATTTTTTGGAGATCCAACTACATCCCCTTCTCTGCCAGGGAAAGTTGATTTGTTTGGAGGTCATGTCAGGGATCAGCAGCCGGGAAGTCCCTACTGTAGATGGGACTGCACAATAAGACACAAGAGACTAGGAAAAAAACCCACAGGATTATGAAGCACGCCTAAAGACAGAGTTGAAGAAACCTTGGAAATCATCTAGGGCTGTAGGTCAACTCTCTCATTTTATATAAGAAGCTACTGGGGGATACTGACTACCTTGCTGTGTCAAGGTAGTCAAATCCACACTTAGGTTTGATGATTCAATAGGATGATTCACAGAACTCAGAAAAAATGTTATAATCTTGGTTACAGTTTACTGGAGTGAAGGGATGCAGATTAAAGTCAGCACAAGAAAAGTGCTCATAGGGCAAAGTGCAGAAAAAAACCAAGTCTGAGCTTTTAGTTTTCCTCTCCTTATGTAGTTGGCTGACAGTGTTGAATTCACTCAGCTACAATGTGTGACAACACACACTAACTAGGGAGCTTCAGCTGAACCTTGGTGTCCAGGGCTTTCTTGGAGGTCAGGGGGCAGTCACATAAGCATGAAGTGTCTAGTGTCTCTCACTTGCCCCTCAGAGGTCAAACTGATATAGTGTGGCCCAAGAGTCCATCCATAAATCACATTGTTAGCATAAACTGTCTAACGCAGCCCAGGGCCCCAGGTATACAGAGACACTCTTATCAAGCAGGATATTCCAAGGGCTCAGAGGTGATCTCCCTGGAGCTGGTCAAGGGCCATTCCTGAAGATCTTTAGAATGTGTGGGGTTTGGGCAACTCAGGTCTGTTGAGGCAACCCTTTACTGCACACTTGCCCAAAGCCACACCTCTGTGGCAGAGCAGGTCCAGAATGTCCATCTCCCTAGAAGCCATCGAGGACAACTGGAATGAGTCACCTCACCATGGCAAAGTAAGCTCATCTCCTGACCCTCATCCAGTACAGCAACGGGATTAAGAGCATGATTTCAGACACACTCCTGCATTCAAATGGTCTCTAACACCTAGGACTGGCTGTCCCACTTAAAAAGGCTTCATAACCTCTCAACGTCTCAGGTCACTCATCTGTAACTATGACGAAGATAGTGTTATCTACTCACAGCATTGCTGTGAGGGCTATATAAGTTATAAACATAAGACTGTTAGAACAGTGCCAGGTATATTATATGTGCTCAATAAGTGAAAACTATAATTAGCGTTATGCTTCGCATGATGTTGCTGTTCCTCAAAGCCTCTTCTTATGGCTCCTGGGGAAGGTCAGCTCCCAGCAGCGAGCTGCTAAGGAAATTCTAGGACCATCTGCATCACTGAACACTGAAGTCTGATCTATACTTGGCATTGCCCATATGCAAAGTTCCCTCAACCATTTACTCTAAGCTGGTTTTCTGTAAGGTAAAGCTGCCCTGTATAAATTTCTTTTCATCTGTTTTTAAAGTAGGTGCTCTCTGATCTTTTCTCATTTCCAGAATAATCTCAGATAAGCCTTTCCTCTGGAGTGGTTCTCTGCAATGCTTCAAAGTTCTCTGTGCTCCTCCAGAGAAAGAGTTCCCAATTAGTTTTTGTTCCTTGTTTGGTCAAATTCAGCCCTAAAAGGCAGGATTGAAGGATTCCAGGATCCTTTTCCCTTATTTGTAACTATCAAGCTGTGCAGTTTTAGAAAAGTCACTTAATTTCTCTGGGCTTCAATGTCCTCATCTCTAAATTGAGAGGAAAAGGAGAGACAGTTGCTGTGAGATTCTTCCCATCTCTATGCTTGGATGCTGAATGTGGATGTTTAATTTGTGTCTCAGGCCATTTAGTTGTTGCAATTATACATCCATCGTGTGTGTGTGTGTGTGTGTGTGTGTGTGTGTGTGTGTGTGTTCCTGTGTGTGGGCTTGGGGTAGCTGGAAGATGGGAAAGCAGCAGGAATTCAGTTAATGCATTTTTCCCACAGCTTTTATGTTGCTGAGCAATCCTGAATCATAAGCGTGTCAAAGAGGAGGCTGTTTGTGTTTGGGGTAAAAAACCTTCAGCTTCCGTGCTGCCCCCTCTCACCATGCTGTAAATGCCAATGCACTTGGAAGGGCTGAAGGAGAAAACCTCTGATATTCTGGAAGCTTTGGAATTGCCTTGGGACAAAAATCTTAAAGTTGATCTCTACCAGTCTACTCTTCTGAGAATGCAAGACTGAGTTTTAACCAAGGGCCAGGACTCTGGGCTTATAAAGAATGTGCTGGGTGATGTTTATGAAGAGGCCGACTCCAGGAAGGGGAAGACTTTACCTGCCTTTGTCCCTTCCCTTCTCCTTCCTCTCTCTCAAGGCTGTTCTCTTTGGAAGTTTGCTCCCCACCCTTACCCTGATGGCTTCCTGCTGTCTCTGGTCCTAACATTCTAGAGGCAGTGTCACCCAGAACTACTGAGCGGGCAAGAAGAGCCAGCAAAAGAACTTGCTGTCTTAGTCATCCTGCTCTGTCCGCCAAGCAGGTATCTTCTCTCAATCTTCTTTTTAAAGCGATTTAAAAAAGGAAACAGACGCTCCCCATGAAGCCTGAATAGCAGCATTTCTATCATCTGTCATCATGACATGGGCTGACATGAGAGCAGCCCCAGCAATGGGGCTGACAGTTTGATGGGTTTAATTTCAGGGCAAGGAGACTCTGCAAAGAGGCAGCTGCCAGGAGTACGCCACTGGTGGCTGTGGGAGGGTGAAGGGGAAACAGGCAAGAGGAAGGGACCTAATGATGCAGCCAATCATGACAACAGCCCAACGTGGCTGTCATGATGAGTGCTTCACCCAGCATTATTGTCACTGAGCTCAGGCTGTCAGTGGACTTACTCAGCATCTGCCCAGCTCATTCCTCTCCCTCTGGAGGAGGCCACTCTTTGGTCTCTGTCTGAAAAAGGGAGGCAGAGATCAAATAAATTGTAGTGAGATGAGGAAGTTGATCAAGTTGGTAAAGGATCCTACCATCACTGTTCTTAGTCCTGGGTGGAAATCGCTCTATGAATCAGAATAAGATGGACATTCTTTTGCATCATTTTCCCCTCCACCCTTAACCCCATTTGATGTTCTCATGTGAGGTTCCAGTGCAAACAACAGAGAATTATTGCCAAGAGAAATAAAATACAAAAACAAGGCACGGATCCTTCCCCCAGGCTCCATGTTTCGGTGCCCCTGTGCCTCTCCCCACAGTGGCACGTGAGATCTAACTTGCAAGAGATGGGTTCATCCAACACCCTACCTGCCCTTCTCTGATTGCACAGGCAAGGTTCCTATTTTGTTCCCTTCTGAGCCCTGTGGATTGGGAGGCCTGTGAACAAGCATCGTTTTTTCATTCCACTGACATTAGTTGGTGCTGCATGCTAGATATGTGCTAAGTGTGTGTGTGTGTGTGTGTTCCCGTGTGTGGGCTTGGGGTAGCTGGAAGATGGGGAAGCAGCAGGGATTCAGCAAAACATTTATCCCCTGGTTTTATGTCGCTGAGCAATCCTAAATCATAAGCCCTTCAGGACTAGAACGTGATAAGAAAGACTAATAGGCAAAGAGGTGATCTTTGGAAAGGGAAATTAAAGACCATCTTGTGATGCCATTTTGCACACCCAAGATTGGTCTTAAAAAGACTGAACATATTAAGTGTTGTTGAGGATACAAAGTAACCAGATCTCTTATATACTGCTGGTGAGAGGGAAAATTGATACAAGTACTTGGAAAATCATTCTGCATTATTTAATAAAGAGGAATATGCATATATGCTATGGCAGGGCAATTCTATCATTAGGTTTACACCTAGGAGTCCTTCTTTCACATACACTCACAGCAGCAATGTTTAAACAGTAAAACACTGGAAACAATACAAATGTTCACTAAGAATGGAATGAACATTTCAGAATACTATACAGCAGTGAAAATGAATGCACTGCTATTACTACTACACACGTTGGCATGCATGAATATCACTAACAAATTATAGAACAAGAGAAGCAAGCCACAGAAGAATATGTTGAACATGATTTTGTTATATAAAGGTCAGAACTAACAAAATTAAGCTAAATAGTAAAAATTAAGCTAAATAAGCAAAATAGTAAACTTTCTGCCTGTGTGTGTGTGTGTGTGTGTGTGTGTGTGTGTGTCTGTGTGTGTGTAAGATGGAGTCTCGCTCTGTCACCCAGGCTGAAGTGCGGTGGGATGATCTTGGCTCATTGTAACTTCTACCTACCAGGTTCAAACGATTCTCCTGCCTCAGCCTCCTAAGTAGCTGGGATTACAGGCACACACCACCATGCCTGGCTAATTTTTGTGTTTTTAGTAGAGGTGGGATTTCACCATGTTGGCCAGGCAGGTTTTAAACTCCTGGCCTGAAGTGATCCTCCCATCTCAGCCTCCCAAAGTGCTGGGATTACAGGCATGAGCCACTGCACCCAGCCAGTAAACATATTTTTAAAAACAGCAATAGAATGTCAGCCACAAAACACAGGATAGTGCTTATTACTTCTAGGGGTAGCGGGGCTTCAGGAGGAGCACAGTCAGAAAGTATCTATGGCTTAGCCTTGAACCTGCTGATTCCTACTTATGGAAGGCTCATGCTGTTCAGATGTTTTCCCCTTCATTAAAAAAATTGATATATAATCAAAATAAAATAAGCTCATATACTTAGAGCACACTTTGGTAAGTTTTGACATATGCACATAATCAAGATACTGTACAGGTCACTCACAAAAATTTCTTCCTGCCTTTTGTAATCTCTTCTCTCATCCCCTCCTTGTCAACTGCACCCTTCCGGAAGGTGCCCAGTACATTGATCTAACTTCTGTCTCTATCTGTAAGTTTGCGTTTTCAGGAATTGTATATAAAAGGCAACATACAATATTTCCTTTTATCTGTTTCTTTTCATTCAGCATAGTTATTGTGAGAATTACTCATGTTGCAGCATGTATCAATAGTTCATTTGTTTTATGTTTGAGTAGTGTTCTATTATATGTTATAACACAATTTGTTTACCTGTTCACTTGCTGATGGACATATGGGTTGTTTCTAGTTTGTGGCTATTACAATAAAGCTGCTGTGAATTTCACATACAAGGCTTTGCACTGACATATGCTTTCATTTCTCCTGGGTAAATACATAGCGATGGAATGGCTGATCCTATGTTGAAATTTTTAAGCTGCTGCCTAATTTTTCCAAAATGATTGTACCATTTTTATATTCCTACAAATGGTGTATGAGAATTCTGGTTCTTTCTACATCCTCCCTAATAGTTGGTATGGTCAGACGTGTCAATTTTTAGCTATTATAATAGGTGTGTAGTGGTATTTCATTATAGTTTTGATTTGCATTTCCTGAATGAGTATTGATCTTGAGCATCTTTTTTGTCTGTCTTTTTTTTTTTTTTTTTTTTGACAAAGTCTCACTCTGTCACTCTGTCACCCAGGCTAGAGTGCAATGGCGTGATCTCGGCTCACAGCAATCCCTGCCTCCCAGGTTCAAGTGATTCTTGTGGCTCAGCCTCCCAAGTAGCTGAGATTACAGGGGTGTGCCACTATACCCCGCTAATTTTTGTATTTTTAGTAGAGATGGGGTTTCACCATGTTGGCCAGGCTGGTCTCAAATCCCTGACCTCAGGTGATCCACATGCCTCGGCCTCCCAAATTGTCTTCCTTGATGAAGCATATATTCAAATCTTCACTCAATTTTTAATATTTGTTATTTTATTGAGTTTTGAGAGTTCTTAAATACTCTAAATTTTTACATACTGCGATTTGCAAATATTTTATCTTCACAGTGTTTTATGAAGAATGGGAGTTTTAAATTATGATGACCAATTTATCAATTTGTTCTTTTATAGAGCATGTTTTTGGACACTTACCTAAGAAAAATTAACTGAAAATGCATCACAGGCCTATGTAAAATCTAAATATGAGGGTTTTAAAAATTTATTTATATTTTGTTTTGTTTTGTTTGTTTGTTTTTGCTCATATACATCCAATTAATCTAGGACCATTTGTTGAAAAGACTGTTCATTTTCCACTTTTGCAACTCTGCTGCAAATCAATTGTCTGTATGTGTGTGCGTTTACTTCTGGACTCTATTCTATTCCATTGATTTCTTTGTCTGTCATGTCAATACTACATTATGTTGTTATCTATGGCTGTAATAAATCTTGAAATCAGGCAGTGTTATTCCTCCAACTTTGTTGTTCTTTTTCAAGCTTGTTTTAGCTATTCTAGATCCTTTGTGTTCCCATATGAATTTTAGGTGTAATTTCTTTAGGGTTGAGTACAAAATGTCAAAGTTTCTTTTACAATGGTCTTCTAAGGATACTGGTTAGTGAGTGAGTGAGGAGATGGAGCGAAGGGAGTGGTAGAGACAGAAAGATTTCTAGCACCAAGTAGGTATGAGGTACATTGGCACCAGCATCTGGGACAGCCTGATGCTGTCAACTTTTGATACATTGGGGGAGGGCCAAACCCACTGCCAACCTAGGCCAGCACAGCCAGTGGTGTTCACCTGTGAAATGCTGGGAAGTTCCCCATGTGTCCGGTAACCCAGGCACTGCATGGCACCTTGTCCTGAATACTGCCCTAAATATTTTCTCTGCTGGCCCTTTGAGAGTGGGGTGGTGACAAAACACTGAGAGTCAGATAGAGCCAGAAAGGGGATCCCAATATCCACCTCCAGATTCTTGAGGGCCTTCCTCCTGGCCATGTCTCATGTGAGAACATTATGAAAAGTGAACTGGAAAGCAATCTGTCCCCAAAGCAGGAGAGACCCCTCAGGCCCACCTTCTCTCTGCCTCTATCAGCATCCTTAGAGAGCTGGATGAAGTTTAAAGCTCCTCTCTTTCCCTCAAGTGCACAGATGTAGTCACACATTGGCACTGAATGTCAAGGAGCTCAAGGAGGCAGATGTGGATGACACGTGTCCTCTTTTTGCTGTCTCACATCCAAATCCCCCTCTTCCTTGTGTGGCCTTGTCTCCTGTTGGAGCAATTTGCTATTGTGTATCATCATGGTGGGTGGGCAGTTCCTGGTGATAGCCACTCCCGGCTGCCCGCCACCATGAAAGCTGATGGAAGTCAGATCCTTTGTCCATCTATCTTGTTGGACATGTAGGCACATGTCCTAAGCTTGGCCTGGTGGACACTGGCTCCTGGCACATTGGACCTGAAGTAAAGGAAGCCAAGATGAAGGGAATAGTGGAGGTGAGAAGCAGGGCAGTGGCAGAGCCTGGACCAGGCCTATCTGTTCATGCAAGGTGACATTTTGGTATCCCTTGCTCAGTACTTGCTACATAGAGGATGCTTAGGGAATGTTCAGTGAATCAGTGCATGGATGATAATACTATCAACAGATCTCCTTTCTGCTAAAGAAAAACATTATCTAGAATCACAGACTTGTCAAGTTGGAACAGAGCTTGCCTTCCTTTCTTATCTAATTCAAACCCTTTATTTTGCTGATAAGTAAACAGAGACCCAGGAAGTCTGAGGAACTTGACCAAAGTTGCCTCCCTGCCTCTTGCCACTCCCCAGGCACAGGTCTAAATATTCAGACCTCCAGTTCACTTTCTTTCAGGTGCTCCATTCATATGCTTATAAAGTACATTTAGATATTACCCTGTTTAAGTAGACACACAGAGACATATTTATAGCAGAACCATTGAAAATGATGACAGTAGAGGGCTGCCTTGCCACCAGCCAAAATTGAGGGAAGAGTGATTCAAGGTATTAATTAATAGGGCTGTGGCTGATGTACATATGAGGAGGTCTGGCTTTTCCTACGTGAGGGCTCCACAGGGCTGACTGCAGTACTTGAGTATGTGTGGATTTTGGTGTACGAGGGGGTCCTGGGACCAATTTCCCAAGTATACCTAAAGATGACTGACTGTATTTAGAATTTTTTCGGATCTTAAAACATTCTTTTACTTTCTTCATTTTTCTGACCAGAGTTTGCTTTAAGTTGTCTTTCTCAAGTCACTTAGCTGGTACCTTGGAAACCAGCCAACACCTCAGCTCTCTGGACAGGACTACTGGGTTTGTAGATCCAGGTTGGACTTCTTCTAGAAACTAGAACTGGAACACAAGTGTGTCAGTTTTCTGAAAAAGTGTACGCTGAATGCAGATTTGCTTCAGTGAATGGAACCGGCTAGAAAAAGTCTTTATAGTTAGTTTTTTTGTTTTGTTTTGTTTTTTTGAGACAGAGTTTCGCTCTTGTCACCAAGGCTGGAGTGCAGTGGTGCAATCTCAGCTCACCACAACCTCCACCTTCTGGGTTCAAGCAATTCTCCTGCCTCAGCCTCCTGAGTAGCTGGGACTACAGGCATGCACCACCACGCCTGGCTAATTTTGTATTTTTAGTAGAGACGGGGTTTCTCCATGTTGGTCAGGCTGGTCTTGAACTCCCAACCTCAGGTGATCTGCCCGCCTTGGCCTCCCAAAGTGCTGGGACTACAGGCATGAGCCACCCTGCCTGGCCTATAGTTAGTTATTAAACAAACAGCCTAATGGCCCTCGTCCATGTTTGTTACCAGGTAAATAGAGACCATTCAGACATGCCTAAGCCTGTATTTACCCAAGGGCATTGTCGTCAGTGCTAAATAAACAAATCAGATTTTGTTACATCTCCATGAGGTTTGTTGCAGTTTCTCTGAGTTTGGTAATGATGAGGAAAAGGAGAAGCTCAATTGTTAAAGATCAGGACCTTGGAATCGGTACCTAGGAATCTTCAGTGTAAGACTCTTTATGGGTCCTTCCAAGAGCAGACCCTGAGACAAGGAATTGGGTTTAAGTGGTTTGTTTGAGAGATGGAATGAGGGAGAGGGTGACAGGAAAGAAGGAAGTGGTGTGACAGTAACCTGGGGAGGGCAGCTGGGGTTCAACCTGTCGGGGACCTTTGAGAGACGGTGGAGAGCGTACCTTGATGCACCCTGGTGGGGGAGGAACATGCAGCATCGCTCACCAACCCTTGTCCATCATTGCTTGTGGGTTGCTCCTGAAGTGTCAACTCCCTGGCATTTTTGTCTGCAGGTGACCGCTGAGGTGGGCCAAGCCATGTGGGTGGGAAACCAGTGGCAGATGCTACGCTAAGGAAATGCTATTCCAGTTCTCTGAAGAAAATAGGATCCTTTGTATAGCACTGTACAGTTCTCCCTCTTTAAATATCACCATGACAACCACGACAAAATAGAACACCTAAAGTTAGGAATAATGTAAAATTTCAGGAAATGTGGACTACGAAGATTTGTATTTCCATTTGATAAGAACATTTTACAGGAAAAATTCAATACTAAGTTTCATTCTCTAGCTCTTCATTGTCCATATATTTGCTGTTAGTATCTCTCTCTCTTCCATCTTCCTCTCTTTCTCAACATCTTACGTAATTATAGCATAATATCAAACCAGAAAATTCAGATTGATACAATCCAGTGACCTTATTTTGATTTTACTGGTTTTACACATGCTCATTTGTGTGTATGTGTATATTTAGTTCTAATAATTTTATCACCTGTGTAGACTTCTGTGACCACCACCACAGTGAAGATATGGGACATTTTCACAACGATCCCTTCTGTTATCCCTTTATAGCCACAGATACTCCCTTCCCCTCATGCCCGCCCTCAGCAACCATTAATCTATTGTCTATTATAATTTTGCATTTCAAGAATGTTGTGTAAATGCAATCATACAGCTGCAACCTTTTGAGATGTTTTTTTCTACTCAGCATAACCTTTTGAGATCCATTCAAGTTACTGTGTATAATCAATAGTTTGTTCCTTTTTACTGTTGAGTAATATTTCATGGTTTGAATGTATTACAGTTTGTTTAACCATTCACTCACTGAAGGACATTTTAGTTGGTTCTTTTTTTTTCTTTATTTTATTTTTGAGACAAGGTCTCAATCTGTCACCCGGGCTGGAGTGCAGTGGTGCAATCAGGGCTCACTGCGCCTTGACCTCCGGGTCAAGTGCTCCTTCTGCCTCAGCCCCCCTCAAGTACCTGGGATCACAGGTACATGCCACCATGCCCAGCTAATTTTCATATTTTTTGTAGAGAGGGGTTTCACTATGTTGCCTAGTTTGGTCTTGAAATCCTGGGCTTAAGCAGTCTTCCCACCTCGGCCTTCCAAAGTGCTTGGATTACAGGCATGAACCACTGCGTCCAGCTGGTTTCTGTTTGGGGTTATTATGAATAAAGCTGTGATGAACACCTGTCTACAGGTTTTTGTGTGGATGTAAGTTTCTGTTTCTCTGGCATAAATGTCCAAGAGTATAATTGTTAGGTCATATGGTAAGTGCATATTTCGTTTTACGAGAAGTTGTTACACTCTTTTTCACAGTGGCTATGCAATTGTATTTTCCCACTAGTAAACTAACGTACCAGCGATCAGGTTTCTCTGTACCCTCATCAGCATTTTGAGATAGTAATGACCTCTTTTGTCTTGGATGAGGGGGTCAGGAAGATTGTCTTTGCTTTGGATTGAGAATAGTTCTTTTGTTTGCAAACTTTACAGAAAGTTAGCCCCATTCTGGGCCACATAAAGGATATCTTTTATAATCTTTACTCTTCTGTTTTCTGACTGTTTCTTTTTTAAACTTGAAATAACAATATATGTGGTAAGTTTTAATAGATGAAAACATTTCCCATGATGAACTTCCCTCAGGTTAAAAAACAAAGGGCCAGTCCCCAGTCTGTAGAGAAATAAATGACTCACATGTAGTCTGAATCAATGCAGGAAGATGGAAGAGGGGAGAAAATGAAGGATGGAGAAAACCTGAGGAAAATGATAAAAGAAGTCCATTATTCATAAGATGTGATGAACATTGGAACAATTTGTGAAATAGATGAAATACCCCCAGAATACATAGTAACAAAAGGAAATGCATTTGTAATGACACTGGGCTATGGTCTGATTCAAGGGATGTGTTAGAGAACATAATTTGGGTTGAAAAGGATGTAAGCTACCATCGGTTTAGATGTCATTTGTAGTTTTAGAAATGAGATAATTGATGCCCGGATCAATTAAATTGCTTGTCCAAAGCCACTCTGGGGTCCAGCTGCAGACAGGGGCCAGAGCCCCATGCATTGCACAGTCTGGACATTAAAAAAAAGATTTTCAGCTTGACCTGTGCCAGGCATTCTCATGTCACACCATGCCTTGCTTTCCTGGACATGTCATCTGGTTCCAAGCTGGAAGCTTCTACATTGTTCCACTTTGCTGTCCACACCTATGCATCTTTACAGTGGACACTGGAAGGTGAGTGAAGCATCTCTGTGAAGACCCACCAGGTTCCTTGTTTCCAAATGTCCTCTTATGTCCAGACACGTACAAAGACTCAGAGGTAAAAAGAAGAGCTAGCCGTTTAAAAAAACAGATTAACCAGGGCGAGTTTTAAAATAGCAAGACTTAAAGTGATTCAATGTTAATTGAATATTGAGTAAGGAAGAGGTAGGGAGTTAATTGAATGAGTGAGCTTGGGGTTTCGAATAATTTTTTCATGATGTGAAGGAAATTATTTCAGAGTTGGACGCAGATCAGGGGAGAGAGAGGCTGCATAATCCTTGGAAGCAGTAAATGAAAGCCATTTAGTTTGGTGGGAAAAACATAAGCCTGTCGGTTTGTTTGTTTTTCCTGTAACCTTGTAAAATTCTATTTAAAATATCCAGCATTTGAAAAAATTGTTACAGAAGTTACATGTTATATAAAAAATTTAGAAACTATTGATAAGCAATAAAAATAAAATAAATATCATTCATGATCTCATTATAGATACCGCTGACATTTTAGCTTACTTCCTTTTTGTTTTTTTCTGAGAATAGTCATGCATCGCTTAAGGATAGGAATCCATTCTGAGAAATGCATTGTTAGACCACATCATCATTGTGTGAACATTGTAAGGTGGACTTGCACCAACCTAGATGGAAGAGCCTACTACACACCTAGGTTGTGTGGGACAGCCTAGTGCCCAGGCTGCAAACTGTACAGCATGTTACATACTGAATACTGTAGGCAAGTGTAACACAATGGTCTTTGTGTATTTAAACATATCTACACATAGAAAAGGTACAGTAAAAATATGATATGGTACACCTGCATAGGTCACTGACGCTGAATGGAGTTTGTGGACTGGAGGTTGCTCTGGGTGAGTCAGTGAGTGAGTGGTGAGTGAATGTGAAGGCCTAGGGCATGAGTGTACACTACTGTAGACTTCATAAACACTGGACACTTAGACTACACTAAATTTATTAAAATATTCTTTTCAATAATAAATAAACCTTAGCTTACTGCAAATTTTTAGCTTTATAAATGTTTTAATTTTTTTTTTTAGAAAACTTCTGGCTGTTTTGTAATAACAGCTTAAAACATGAACACATTGTACAGCTGTTCATGTTTTTTTCTTTATATCCTTATTCTATAAAGCTTTTTCCTATTTTTAAAATTTTTTGTTTTTAGAACTTTTTTTGTTAAAAACTAAAATGCAAACATATAAGTAGCCTAGGTGAAGATCATCAATATCACTGTCTTCCACTTCGACATCTTATCCCACTGGAAGGTCTCCAAGGGCAGTAACACATGGAACCATCATCTCCTATGATTTCAATGCCTTCTTCTGGAATACCTCCTGGAGAACCTGTCTCAGGCAGTTTTATAGTTAACATTTTGTTTTTCTGAGTAAGAGTAGGCTCTAAAACAATAATAAAAAATCTAGCATAGTAAATACATAAACCAGTAACATAGTTGTTTATTATCATTATCAAGTATTATATAAGCTCCATAAGTTGGATGTTCTAGAATTTTATACAACTGGCAGTGCAGTAGGTTTGCTTACGCCAGCATCACCACAAACACATGAGAACTGTGAAATGCAATGACATTAGGAAGGCTACGTCATCGCTAGGTGATGGGAATTTTTCAGCTCCATCATAATCTTATGGACCACAGTCAAATGTGTGGTCCATTGTTTACTGAAACATCATTACGTGGTGCATGAGTATACATGTCTTTCATATAGATATATATATGTGGTGTGTGCTCATATGTATATAATGTCTATAAATATAGGATCGTATTGTTTTGTAATCAACCTTAAAATTTAACAGTCCATGAACGCCTTTCCAATATAATTTTAACCTGTCTAGTGTTCTATTTTATAGATGTTCTTTAGTTGATTTACCCCATACAACTTCCCTTTTATAAATGCGCTGTGATAAATGTTATGGTTTCATTGTTGTGCTTATACATTATTGTTTCATTAGATTAAATGTGAAATTCCAATGTCAAATGAAATGTAAATTGTAGGGCTTCTGCTACCTCCTAGTGCTATAGGATCAACCTGGGGAAGTTTGTCTTGATTGCCACTCCTGCAGTCGGTAGGGTTTCCCACGTCCTTCCCAACAGTGGCCTTCAGTATATCTTTTTAAAAATCGCCAACTGGATAAATAAAAAAATCTATATTTAACATTTTTATTTTTTGATTATTGAGGACATTATACTTAAAAAAATAAGTTTATTGGTTATTTGAGTTTCTGTATTTGTAAATGGCCAGACTATGTCCTTTGTTTTTTTTCGATGAGGTGCTGATCTTCTTCTTAATGATTTTTTAATTCCTTTGTATATATTAAATTTACTCACTCTTTGTTTTCTATGTTGTCAAGGATTTTTTTCCTGTTGATTGTAGGCTTTCAATTTTATGTACTTTCCTATGTTAGTAATTTTTATTGCTGTTACTGTTTTTTGGATTTTTTTTTCCTGTTATTTGCCTGACTGCTTTTCGTTTTTAGGCAGTCAGATCCATCACTGTTGTGATTTCTGTCATTGGTCTCATACTTAGAAGGACGAACCCATTCTTAGATTACAGAACTACTTGTCCACATATTCTTCTAGTTCTTTTATCATTTTATCTCAAATCTGCAATTTACTTTGGTGATAGGTTTTATTTCAGGATACAATTGCAAAATATTATGTTCTAATTTATATTTGTAAAACAACTATTAGGATGGTTAATGACCAATTCTGCTGTGTTTCTATAGTGAGTACATTTGCAGTCAACCTGTCTATACTGGCTAAACACTGTTACCCACACCTGGGCCTGGGACCCTCTGTGATCATCACTATTTAATTGCTTAAAAATCAGAGTAGGACTTGGGGTTCACATATATTAAGAATGAGGACCATCACTGTAATACTGGCTGGCACGTTCAAATTTTTCTTTTTTGGTTTGGATTCTCAAACACTTGAAAGTACATTCATGTTTTGTTTTGCTGGAGTCCTATGAGAGTAAGTGTATGTGTTCCAGTCACTGGCCAAAGTCTGTAGCTTGTGAGAAAAGCTGTCCTGGGGGAATGGTGAGAACCAGTGAGTGAGTGACTCTCTCTCCAGACAGTACCTTTCAGCCTCTATCCCAAGATGCTCGCAGCTGGGTGGATTGCTGAGTCCGATACACCTCAGAGCACAAACTGCACTTCCTGCACATTGACTGTCTCTGAATGCCATCAGCTGCACAACAGGTTGCCTCCTACATTAGAGTTAAACTTCAACTTTTCTTTTTCTTTCTTTCGCAGAGCTTCAAATGTGAGAACACATTCCAGCTGCAGGATCAGAGGACTTTTCCTACAGCCCATAAGTGCCTGCAGCTCTATCGGATTTGCAAATCTACAAAAGAGAGCACATCCTATTGTTCCCGGTTTTGAGTTTTTTTAATAGTATGTCTTGTAAAATGCTGGTTGCTGGTGGACAGGGGTGTTTTACAGATAGGTGTGACTCAGGAGGGGAAATGGGTGGGCAGAGACAGCCACAAGGAATTCCACACATGAAGGAAATGCTCCCACTTGTGTTTTCTATTTGTGTTTTAAATTTGGGGAGCGACTCACAGGCACTCAGCAAAAGTAACTAATTATATTAACCTTATCAGTAGTGAGGTTTCCTGGTCTCTCATCAGACACTCAGCTCACTGGCTGGTATTTAATTGGGAGCCTGGTGGCCAGTGAAAACAGTGTGGGATGAGTCACACTTTAACAAGTTTTTATAGTACAGCAACCTTGCTGTATAATAGCCAGACATTATTAAAATTCAGATATGGTACACTGACTTGTTTGTTTTCCTTATTCACATGAAACAGATGCTCAGGACTCATTTTACTTACACACAGTAAATGAGGGTCAGCTGTGTTGAGGGAAGTGAGTACTTTGTTCTGGAAGGATAGATGTTGTAGCAATTGTCTTGCTCTGATTGTATTTGAAAAGAATGAATGTTGTTAGTACAATTTGGTATTCTTCCAATGCCTAGTTGGAGTTCAAGGGATATAAAACTGGGCGCTTGAGGAGTGGGATGGAAAAGGATGGAGAAGGAAGGTCAAATATGGCTTTGAAGGGGATCAGCAGAAGCCAGAGGCCGCAGTGGTGAACACTCCTTGTGAATGGCCCTTTGCACCCACGGCTTGGTGAACCCAGCATGGACCGTGGAGAGAGGACCTGCCTAAAAACCAGAGACGGGGTTTGCCTCTCCGCATCACCACTGGCTTGCTGCATCAAGAATCTGCCTTTCAGCTTCTTCACCTGAAACAAGGTGATTGGGATAGCTGGTTTTATTTATTTATTTTTGAGGCCATTCTAGCACTTTGTAAAGTCCAAGGGGGTGTGGTATTGTAATTCTTGGAATAATACAATGAACATCAGATGCTTTGAAGTTTTCCGTTCGGTGGATTCTGGGATTCTTTTCTGAATGAGTGATTACTAGCCAACAGGAATCTCATGGTTCAACCTCAAACTCAAAAGTTATTTCGGGGATGGAAAATGGTAAGATTGGGGAAAATCCTTCCACCTTCACCCCTGTGAATTAGGAGTCTTGTTAATTAGTATACATGATTAAATATTGAGATTTATAGGCATCAACTTGTGTGACCTGTGACAGTTGGGTATCAAAACACGTTTATCTGCATTTCCACTATCACTTTGCAATTTATTCAGTGGAGCTGTCCAATGATGACAACTGTTATCATCCTTTCTCCAAAAGGTAGCAAACGTCAATAATTTTTTGTCACAAACTGCCTTTATTCGAGTCCCTCTCCCTCTCTCTCATTGCTACAGGGTCAGGGACCCATATAGGTTTTTAAAATCACCTCGTGGGCAAATGTGGACGCTTTTGTACACTATCCATGAGTTATAAGGTTGGTGGTGGTGAGGATGTGAGGCTGGGTCTGGGAACGTGGGACTGTCTCCACACACGGTACAGTGTCATATGAAGGAAGGGAGCCAATGGAGGAGAGGATGGAATTTCAGAAATGCTGGCCAGTGCTCACAGTGTGGCCCTTGGGAGAACTGCCTTTCTTCATCAGCAGTGACATCCACACATACCTGTATGGTCTATAAATATAGTAAAGGAGGGTCTGTGGAATGAGGAATGCAGTGAATTAACTAATGTGGATATATGCTTTGTAATGCATACAAGGTGTTTGCATGTGTGATCTCACTGGCTCTCAGTACAGTTAGGCTTGGGTTCCACCATTATTTACCACCTAGTTTCCATCTACTATTTGGCAACTTAAAAAAGTGAATCAGAGGAGTTAAATGACCTGCCTTGGTCACTAAGCTCATAAGTGGCAGAGTGGAGACTTGAACCCAGGGCTTCTGACCCCTAAAATTTGTACAATTTCCTTCTTTATTATTATATATTTTTTTGAGATGGAGTTTTGCTCTTATTGCCCAGGCTGGAGTGCAGTGGCAGATCTCAACTCACTGCAACCTCTGCCTCCCGGGTTCAAGCAATTTTCCTGTCGTGGCCTCCTGAGTAGCTGGGATTACAGGCACCCACCACCACGCCAGGCTAATTTTTTGTGTGTTTTTAGTAGAGGCAGCGTTTCACCATGTTGGTCAGGTTGGTCTTGAATTCCTGACCTCAGGTGATCCACCCACCTTGGCCTCCCAGTGTGCTGGGATTACAGGTGTGAGCCACCACAGCTGGCCAATTAAAATTCCCTCCTCTTATAAGGACTAGGATAAGAAGTTCAGTGGGTTTGGATGGGGGTTTAGAAGCATGTTACATATTATTTACTTGATTTCTCTGTACTTCATTCTGATCCCCCTCATCAAGTCACTAGGCCAAGACTTCCTCATGAGCATCTGTTTACTCTCTCACTCCCTGCTGCCTTTGTTTGTGAGACATGGCTTGGCTGTGAAGGTGGGAGCAGGGGAATCCTGGTGACCCAATGACTGAAAGAACCATTGAGAAAGGAAAAGCATATTCTTCTTGAGGAAAAATTTGGTCTTTTCAAAACCAAGACCCTCTTGACTCAAGACAGTTTTTCATCTTTCCTGCCAACCTTCTTTCTTTTCAGTTCTCCCACTGGCTATTTTTCTGAGTCATCCAATGAGGGATCTGAACTGCAAAAACAAGTTCCCGCACAGCTTTTCTCAGTCAGTGGCCACCGCATGTTTAGGGAGTGATTGTTGGAAATTTTCAGGTAGAAGCTTGTTTGGGATAAAGGAGAAGGGCCTCTTCTGCAGCTTCTTTCTCTAAGTTAATCACGTTTCCAACACAAGCTGAAAATCTGAATTAAGCCCTAGTGAGGACTCCCATCATCATAGCTTGGCTTTAGCTGTCCAGAGCATGTGTTTGCTCCACACCATTGCCTGACTCAGTCCATTCATGCCTTAGGAAGAAGTGGGGCCTGAAACAGATATTGTTGGTGAGAGAGCAAAATTCAGTGATTCATCAAATGTTCATGGCTCAGTGGCCAGGCGTGGTGGCTCACGCCTGTAATCCCAGAACTTTGGGAGGCTGAGGAGGGTGGATCACGAGGTCAGGAGATCGAGACCATCCTGGCCAAAGTCGTGAAATCCTGTCTTTACTAAAAATACAGAAATTAACTGGGCAAGGTTGCGCATGCCTGTAATCCCAGCTACTCAGGAGGCTGATGCCAGAGAGTCGCTTGAACCAGGGAGTTGGAGGTTGCAATGAGCTGAGATGGCACCACTGCCCTCCAGTCTGGCAACAGAGTGAGACTCTGTCTTAAAAAAAAAAAAAAAAAAAAGACAAATTCATGGCTCAGTAAAGCTTAGTATCTTGTCTGTATTATCTTGATTATATTGTTATTTAGTTTCATTTTTGTTTAGAGAATATAATGTTAATCATCAATTAGTTAAACATTGGTTGAATGGGCCAGTTGCCATTCTTCCATTCAATCTTTGTTTAACAAATATTTATTGAGCACCTACTAAGTGCTGGCATCACATTAAGCATGGTGGATGCCATGCGAAAACAAAACAAAAAAAATCAGACAGAAATTCTGCTCTCAACAATTTACCATTAAACAAATAATCCCATTAAGGATGCGTAATTACAACCAGAAATTCCAAAAGAGCGAAGGCATTTCTGGGGCATGTTAAACAAAGGATCCTGTACTCCTGAGCTGAGTCTTGGAAAAGTTCTCTGAGGCCGAGGTGCCAGGGCTGTCTTCTGAATGAAGAACTGACCAGGAGTCAGCCAGCAAATGGTAGCGATGAGTAAGAGCTTTCCAGCCAGAGGGAGGAGTCTGTGCAAAGACCTCATGGAGGGAAGAAGTAAGGTGCTTTCTCAGAAGTGAAGGTGGGGGCAGCTGAAACTCAAAGGAAAGCTAGGGCAAACTAAGGCTGGAGAGGGGCTGGGGATGGGCCCCATGGGCCTTTTAGGCCATGTTAAATATTTAGATCATGATCACAGAGCATATGGACAGCCACAGAAGGCTTTTAAGCAGGAATGTGTGTGCGTGTGTGTGTGTGTGTGTGGTGTGTGTGTGTGTGTGTTTGAGGGGGAGTTATAATGGTTAGATTTGAAAAGGAAGCCAGCTACAGTGAGGACCTCGCCTGGTTAGCAAGACAAACAAGGAGGCTGTCTTAATCCCCCTGATGAGGAACAGTGATGTGTCTGCAGTGAGGAGTTAAGATGACAACTAGTAGAGAGACATTTAGGCAGTGATGAGTTGGATGTGGAAGTGAAGGAGGGGACAGTGTCAAGGATAATTCCCAGATTCTGGCCTGTATGCTTGGCAGAATGGAGATGTCATTTACTAAGATAGGAGCACTGAAAGAGGGCAGGTGAGAGGAGGTTTCATGAGTTCATTCTTTGTCTGTATATTGGTGGTCAGCTTCAAAGAACAGAAAGACCTACTGGAGTGGCTGAAACAGTTATGGGTGTCTGTGATTCACAACACAGGAAGTCCAGGGCTATGCAATCTAGACCTTGCAGGGTAGCTTAACAATTCAGGGATGCTGCAGGCTCTTTTCAGCCTACTGGTCTACCTACCTTCATGTGTGGACCTTCACCTTTTTGCTCATCTCCTTTTGGTTCAAGATGGTTGCTGTGTGCCTAGTACCTGCACTCCAAAATTGGAGGGAGGGCCAAGGGGTGAAGACTTTATCTTTGTTAAATTTTTCCTTTTTATTTAAGAAGAGACCTTTCCTCAGGAACTTTGCCTGTGTTATATATGCCTGAGCTAAGTTTTATGGCCACCTCTGGCTAAATGGAGGCTTGGAAACATAGTTTTTTAGCTTTCTTCCCTCTACAGGTGGAGGACAGCAAAGGAGAAGGGACATGTGAATAGCTTTTAGGACTAGAATATGTCTACCACAGTCATGTGGAATTTGAGATGCTCTCTGTCATCCAAGTAGAGATGTCAGGAGACAGATATATTGGCTCAGGGCTACTCTTTTTCTTGAGGGGAAAGGGGTAATTTGGCAGTAATTTTAAAGCATGACAACTAAGACATACATCTCAAGTCTTCTCTATTTCCTCAAACAAGAGGAAAGCAGAAACACTCTAGCCAAAATAATGACTCCTTAACTGCTGGGTTATTGAAGGCGGGTGACCAAAGGGACTTTAAAATAAGGACACAAAAACTCTGTGTAGGTTGTGCTTGAAAGTGGCAGGGAATGGGCTTCCTGACCTTGCAATGACCCAGCCAGCCTCTCTGATGGTACGTGAACCTGTAGCATCAGCTCTTAATAATGTGACCACTCTGGAGCACATCATAAACTTTAATGCACCAATTATAATGATGGTAATAACTTTTTTGCTTCATGGGCTGAATCCCATTCCTCCCCGTCCATTTTCTCCTTGAGAGAAGGCGGTAAGAACAAGGGAGCTGCCATTTCAAAGGAGATTGTTACTGATGCGGTGACAGCTGAGCTGAGACTCAAAGGAGGTGAGGGAGTGCCAAAAGAGCCTGTGCCCAGAAAACCCGGTGGTGGAGCAGTTCAGGCAGGGGCGAGGGCAGCCCTAAAGGCCGAAACTGTGCTGAGCAGTTAGGCACTGCACAGAGTGGGTTTATAGGGAAGAGAACCTATACGTTCAGGAGAAAATGGAATATTAACTCCAGAGTTTTTCACTTTTAAAGTTTTAGGTGAATTGTAAAATGATACCCACTTGAAATATAATCCCATCTAATCTTCAAAACCTTATCCTCTGGGAAACAAGTAGTGACTCCAGAAAAAGACTACAAGAAAATCTCAACACAGTGGTAACTTATGTTATGCAGATAATGATAGGCAGCATAGTGATTAAGGGCACATACTCTGGAACATTTGAAATCCTAGTTTCCCAGTTCCACCACTTAGCACCTGTGTGAGCTTGGGTAAGTTACTCAATCTCTCTGGGCTTCAAATGGGGATAGTATAGTAACCTGCTTTCTCGAATTGTTGCAGAGCCTGAATGATCAGTAGATGAGTTAATATGTGTAAGGCATTCAGAATGGTTCACATAAAATATGCTATCTGTGTTAGCCATTATTGTTCTTGTAAGGAAATTTCCAGGTGTCAGAAGTCAGAAACTGTTGGAAACTGGAACAGGAGGATGTTGGGGTTTTGAAGGAAAGGCAGGTCAAATAGGCCATGAAGGCATTTCAGGTGGTGGGCCAGGGCTTTGTTTTTTTAAAGAACAGGCTAAATGCTCATGATAAGTTTGATAAAGTATAGCTAAGAGTTGTTGACTTTTTCAGGCTACCACTCTTCTATTTTCATGTACTTATTGATTTGTTTTTTCTCTCCATCTCTTATTTTGTCCACCATTTCTGTTTCAAAGATATCAGTATCCTCTCCATTATCCAAGTCAGAAGGCTCGGCATGACCATTGTCTTCAAAGGGCGCAGTTGGCCAGGTGTCCACTTCTTCCTCCTTCCCTCACTTTTCTACCCCCACACCCACTGCCATTTTCTTCCTTTGGGTCTTATCTCCAAGGAATCCTGCAGTCTGAATAGAGCCCACCTGCAGTCTCCTTCTCAGCCATTTCTGGAGGTCTCATTAACCTCTCCCCATTTCCCCATCACTCTGTAATCTAGAGCTAAGAGCATTCCTTAATTCTTCTCAGCACTTCTTCAGCAGGGCTCAAATCACCCACCTTCCATCTGAGGCCATGTCTTGAGGAACACCCTCTCAGCTATTCTCTAGTGCATTTGTTCATTTATTTAACAAGCATGCATCTGGCATCATGAGAGGTAGTGAGAAAAAGATGTCAAGTCCAGCCAAAAGCTTTCATCGCTGTCCTCATGGAGCTTACACATTGGCAGGGATATAAATTTAACTAGAAGAACACAAGTAAATTTATGGTCATCACAGTGATGGACATTCTGAAGGAAAAGTATAGAAGAAAATATATTATGGAACTTTCTCTTTCCACGGCCACATTTGAGCCCTGTCCCCTGCACACCATCCCTCCTCATTCAGCTGGCTTCCAGAATCCCATCTGTATCAATGAGAATAAATTGAGTGCAGGTAAGAAACCTTGACTAATGTTTATCTCATATGAAGTGAGGTCTGGAGAAGGAGGGGTCAGGGTTGCTTGAGAAACTCAATGACCTTTCCTTCATGGTAATGACTACAGCAGCCCCAAACATCACTCAGTGGTGCCCCAAGCAGGCAGGAAGGGGGAGGCCAGAAAAGATGCCCTTTACTTTTCCAGCTGTCTTTGTTTATCCATGAAAAAAAGAGCTCCTCAGCTCCTCCACTTATGTCTCATGGGCTGGTACCCAGTCACATGCCCACTCCTAATGATTATCAGCAAATGGGAATGGGGTGGTTATGCTTGACTTGCATGTACTCGATTCATCCCAGGGCCTGCAGGAGGGGCTTAGCTACCTTGAATATGTTGCAGCCAAACCAAATGGGTTTCCATTGATTATAGAAGAAGGAACAATTGCTCTGAGATTGATGAGCAACAGTGCCAGCCCCATGAGCCTATCTATGAGTCCTCCCAAGACTGGTCCTAGAAGAGATGACTGTCTTCTTCTCTTTATTTTGTCTGGACATGGGTCCCCAGTGGTGCTTCTCCTAATCACATCTAGAGGATGATTTTCCCTGTCCTAATTTGGGTGTCTTCAGAAGCTGACCCTGACGCAAAGATTCATGTGCAAGGAGTTTCTTTGGGAGGTTTGGGGAACATTGGCAGGGATGGGAAGGCAGTCAATACAGGTGAATTAGTAAACCAGGTACTGCAGTGAGTGGCTGGAGCTTAAGCCCAGGGGGAAACTGGGAAGTAGTGGAAAGCACATTCCTCAGAACTATTCTACTCAAGAGATGAAGGAGCTGGAGTGTTTATATCCTAACTCCTACAGGCCACTGGGTGAGGGCTGCTCCCCAGGTGTGTGGATTCCCAGCACTCCTGGGCTGCACGTGTGGACAGAATGGCCTTCTATGGCTTTGGAAAAGCTCTCAAGCCCAGAGATGCAGGTAATCCTAGTGGAAGTCATCCAAAGTAGAAAGAGATGATGAGAGGGGCACTGATCACATTTGCTACACATTCTGCCTGTAACACGCATGAGCCCTTCTTTGACGGAATGCTTCTAACTCAAATGTGTAACTTTATCAGTGTTCGCCATCAACCGTATGCTTCTCAAAATAAGGGTGGATTAGACTTGTGTAATTTAATTGGCACAGAATCCTGCACAGTACTGTGTATAAATAACCACTTTCTCACATACATTTGATGGTGTCATATTGAGGATAAGAATAACTTCTTCCATGCCACCACATTTGGGCCAGTAGTTATCATCATGACGAATTTATAACTTCGATACAACTTTCCTAGTCAAGCCAGTGGGTTAAGTGGTAAAGTCTGTATGGAGCATAGCTCTTGTAACACAGGGGCAACCTACACTACACCAAGGGGAGTGGAGATTTGGCAGATCCTTATTAATTTGATTTGAATAGCCAACCCAGTGAAAACATTCAGTACTTCAAATTCTAGAACCTAATCATATGTTAGGTCTAGATATTTTCTTCTGTCTCCTTTGAATCTAAGTGAAAAGAAGCATAACAATTTTTAGTCTTTATAATGGAGCATAAGCTGTTTTTATAAATGTGGAATAATTCATTGAGTATATAAGTAATGTTGAGGAAGCATCCTGAGAAAACCCTGCTTTTGATGTAATGTAGTCAAATGGATTATTTTCTTTCTTCCTGCTCCTCCGCCTCCCCCCCCACCCCATTCATTTTTGTCAAAGTGAGTTTCCATATGTTTCATCTAAATGAGTCACATTCAGAGAAATCATTCAAATTATCTGTGGGCACAGATACTTTTCTTTCATTTGTGGCTGTAAGGTGGGTGGTTATAAGGAGTGGAAATGATGGTGGGCTCTTCTCCAAACCCCAAATCCTTTGGCTTGCTGTGATTCTCTGAGCTCTCTGCATCTCCAACTTTATTCTATACCAGAGGGAAATAGCCATAGTAAATTGCAGAGATTACTCAATTTCAGTCCACTTTAAGTGCCCTTAAAGGGAGACAGCACTCATGACTTCTCAGGGGATAGGCGATGCATCTTGCCACAGATAAAGTGCTGGTTGAGAGGTTTTAAATCACATTTGTAGCTTGGGAGAATAACACTGGAGGCAGTCCTCTTCCTAAAAAGTAATGTCATCTGTGTCCCAGACTGTACAGAGCACAAGCCGGGGAGATCAGAGCCTACTTATTTAAAGCATGATAGAACCACTTAAAGGGTGTCTTTCAAGGGACGTAAACACCTTCCCCAGGTTAATAAAGACTGTCACTGCATTTCGCACTTTCAGCATGAGGGATGCAATTGCTCTTTCCATCTCCCCAGGCTACCTTATATTGTTCACACAATATAGCAATATACTCAAATCTGAATTCAAATGAGGCAATGCACTTGATCCACACCAGAAAAAGAGATCTCTATTGACTGAGTTTAATGCTCTATTTGATCTTCACCCTTCTAATCAAAGGCTATGTTTGTAAGTGAACATTTACAGAACACTCACATCTGAATGGTCTAGCTGTGGAAGGTTTGCTATTGACTTTTCTCCTCATTTGGCTGATGTTTTCAAATGAATGGGTACATTGTAGATTGTTTTGTGGATGTTATTGCTACTTGGGTTCAATAATCTCTATTACTGGAAAAGACCCACTCAACTGATTTCCACACACCCTTATTGAGCACCAGTGCTGGCCTGACTCTGGGATAAGGAACTTTCCAGCCTGTTTGAAATCCTGAACAACTGCTGGGCTCTCCTGAAGACCACCCACTGCTGCATCTCACTGATATCTGGCTCTATCTTAAGAAAGGGAGAGAGGGTGAAGGGAAGGAAGGAAATAAAAAAAAAAAAAAAGAAAAGAAGGAAGGAAGCAGGGCTCTAAACTTTTTAGATCATTTCAAGAAGAAAATATGTCTGTGAAAAGAATGCAATTGAAGAGGAAAATATCTTTCCTTTTTGCATCTGTGAACATCACTCTGTTGGACACATTCCACGTTGTGGGCAGTGTGATACACTCAGACTCCGTCAACCTCAGCTCTTTAAATGTTTCTAAAATTGGTGAATCTGAAGTCCTTCTATGCAGATGAGGTGGCTCTTGTCCAACCCTGGCTGTTGCCTTTCTGCTTAAACAATGACGTGGGCTCGGGTGGGAGTCTGTGTATTTCTCTCGTTTCCTTCTCACTCATTTCTCTTGTGTCTGGGCAGGATTCCCACAGCAACCAACCAGCTAGACCATTAGGTTGACTTATTACATGGGCTCAGGTATATGGCAGCTGATTATGATCTGCATAAACAACAGAGTTGGGAAATAATGCAGGGTCAATGTGTTTGTCATTATTTGTTTTTTAAAAATGTATTTATGACTTAGTTCCTACCTATTTCTAAGGCATCTTTGAAATGGCTTAAAATAAAAGAAACATAAGCAATTAGACTACTTATGGAATAAAAAGTTAAAGCTCATGTAATGTATGAAGTGATAAGCCTAGGCTAATAATAGCTAATATAGTTTCACACTAATTTTAGTAGTGGGTTCCTACGCAATCAAAATTTAAAAACATAATGAGGGACTTAATTTTGGTTACCTGACAAAAGGAAATGTACTTGTTTGTGCATAGGTGAGATTTCTTCTTAGCTCACTGTTAATTGAAACTTATTACATAAATCCTGTATACAGGCAAAGGGTAACTAATGAACACATTTAATGATATTTGTAAAAATATTCTTCCTGTGTCTGTTTCTCACAGTGTGAAAAGAAGTTGGCTGCTTTGTATAAAAGAAATAAAGTACTTTTTAGCTTTTGAGTTTTTCTTTATCTGAACACCATCTTATCTGTGTCAGAAACACAGACATGAGCTTTTTGGCAGGAAGTGTGATCACTGGCCACTCTGTCTTTGGCCAAAGGGGTTTATACCCCAGGCTCTTAAAGGGTTCACCATGTGCTTTTCCCTCAAGGATATGTTGCCAAGCTTCCATAGCTCTGTGGTTTCAGGGTTCAGTCTGCATTAGGAATTCTTAAAATTTTTCTCTTGGCACACCCTCAGAGGTGCTTCGAATAGAAAATGGTAGACCCTTTAGTGCTTAGTTCCATCTGCAGAAATCTTGGATTATTTTCAGGGAAGATTCCAGGCCTACTGAACACCTTTTGCATTCAGTTAAATGCATGGGCCTCTGGTTTGAGAGGTCTTTTGTGATGTAAGCTAAGGCTGAGCTCTGGTGCTGTAGTTGCTCAGGCGATGAGACTCAAGCTTTTGGAGAGCCCCTCAGAACTAGGCACCATCTCATTTCAGCACTCAGTGCCACAATTAATTTCGGTAATCTTCAGTGTTTGACAAAAGTGCTCCTCATCATTAATATTTAGGGCATTTTATTTCTAAAATTCTGCCTAGTGCAATGACATCATACATGAATAATACTGCATATCCCAACTTCAAAGGCTGACAAATAGTTTGATGAAAGCAGCAAATCAAGTCTGGCTCAGAGCCATCCATGCAGCAGGCATAGAACCCAGATGTCAAATGTCAAATATCATTTAAGACTAGAAGAGCACTAAAGCAATGGAAAATTTTACCTGGATAGGCGATACTGTCCCAGTAAACAGACAACACAAGAAGGAAATGATATCAGGGATAAAAACACATGAGAAACATTTAATAACCCTAAGAACATATGGAAATTAATGATATTCAGAGCTTGTAGAATACTGAAGTTTTTCAGCTTAAAATAATCTTCCTGCTGATGCACAGTTACTGGAGGGCTCCCAAAATGCCACAGAGAAAATTAGATGCAAGCAAAAAAAAAAAAAAAAAGCAAAGCTCTGAGATTCAGGACATGGGGTAGAAATAAAGTGTAATTATTTGTGAAGATTTGAAGACATGATGATATGGAGAGAGCCCTAGATTGATACTTGGGCTCATGCCCCAGTTTTCTCCTTAACCATCCTAATTGGACACAATTCTTGTTCTTAATTTCTTTATTTATAAGGAGGGGTTTTACTTTGTTATCTTTTAAGGTACTTTACATTTTAAAAATGGTATATTCTATGCATATGATGGCAAAGGCCTAGTAGCCAGAATGACTTCTATGAGAAGAATCTCTACTGAAGTTGGTAGAGTTGCACCCCAGAATCCCCAGTGTTGGTAAATGTAATAAGAACTCATAGCAGGAAGAAGTGCTCCTCTACTTCCACCCTCAACTACCATGACACCATAACTGCCTCAAGAACAGAGGGAAAAGCTTAGGGAAAAGATGGAAGAAGAAAACAGATAGTTAATCCACCGTAGCCTATATTTGACCACATTATTCATTTATTCTCGTTTCTGCTTGAAATGGGGGCTAAATTGTGTAAAAAAATTTAGCACAACTCAAAATCCCGAGGGTGAGGTTTTTCCAATGACGGGGTTCTCTAGTTTAAAAAAAATAAAGAAAAAAGATGTCCCTAAGGTCTGGGCGGATGCACTGAACAGTGACATATCTGATTCTCTTGTACTCATTTACTATAATTGAATCAGAGCTTCAAAATCCTTGAACTCTGTCTCCCATTTAACCCCAAGACCTTGCCGGCAAGCAGGATGCCTTCTAGAGAGAGGACAAAACCAAAAAGCTTTTAGTCAATGCTAGACTCAAGAGTGACAGACTTTCTTCAAAGAGCTCTGAGGCCTGCAAAAATCACATGAGTGTTGGGAGGTCACCAGTAGATTTTTGAATTATTAACACATGTTTAACAATTAAAGAAAGGAATATTGATAGGCTATCTAGGCAATTAATTATTTAGCTGTACAAAGTAAAGAGTGGAAAAACAAAGATTAAGTGCAGTGGGTGTGAATCTCAGGCCACAAAGACAGGTATGCGTGGAAAGCCTGTCGTAAAGCTTTGTTTACCTGATATCAGATCGCATCTAGCTTCAAGGCCTATTCTACGGGGCTGGTGTGAAATTTAATCTCATGCTTTTTAGCATTCTTTTTTCACCGTTCTCCAGAATCATGCAAAAGTCCTTATCGAGAAGGGGTAGATCCTTCATAAACTCTTGCTTGGGATGTCTTTCTCTGATACTTTAGTGCAGGTTGAGGTTCTAGGGTCTCTGAAATTCTGAGGTATGTTTGGGGGCAGGACAAATTGTATTTAAGGATTGGACTTCTTGGATGTATCCCATGCCTCTCCAGGCATGTGAAGGAGCCAGCTGTGGGTGGAGCCCCAGCAACCCTCCACTGCTTTAGCAAACTCAGGCCATAGCATTTCCCCTCTGCTGTCCCTCTTTTCCAGCAAAGGCATTAACTTCTTCACCACTCCCTTTGGAATGCCTGCCACTATCCCCTCTGAACTGCCTATGTCACTCTCCTCAAGGACTCAAGATTTCATAAAAGAGAGGAGGAGAGGCTATCTTCAGGAAGCTTCTTTTTTTTCCTACCTGGCAATACAAATTTCTCTCCACACAGGAAGCACAAAACCTCAGCTACCTGCATGGAAATGGAGGTGGGAGTTGGAGAGGGAATGAATGGTCACTGCAAGGACAAACTCCAACTAACACTTCAACTCATCATTCCATCCCATTCTCCCATTCTCCCCTGAGTGAATCTTTGGGTTCCTGTAGCTGATATATCTGGGGCCTTATCCTAAGTAATTCCCACACACAAAGCTGGCTGAGTGGATGATATTTCCCCCCGACTTCTCAGGATCTGAGTAGGCAAGCCCAGGTGCCAGGCAATGTTTTTGCTTTCTGGAGTGAGGAGGCAGGTCTGTGTAACAACTCAGAACAGAAGTATTGATTGGGTTTCAGCACAGTTAGGTATTAATGTGTAAAATATGATGAGAAGAAAGAAGGCTATAGTTTAGGCTCTCATTGGCAAGGAGGAATCTTCATGAAAGAATTTGGAAATAACACACAGTATGAATTGATGTAGAATATTGTGGTGCCATGGTGGCCATCTTGGAAGTAACTAATGGCTCCCCTGGCTATTGCGTTACTGAAAATTCTGAAGAAAGCTTCAGAAAGTCCATGTGGTTATGATAATTGAAGTACAAGAAAAACTGCTTAACTAAATTCCTATGCTAGGAAACCTCCTCTCCATCCCTCTAACAAAATTCTCCTGGTCTTGGAGATTTTTTTTTAATGTGTAGCCTGTAGCAAAATAGTAATTTCAAAATTATTGCAATTATTTATTTAAGGTTTGCCTTCCCTGCTATCTCTATAAGGACCAATATTTGAGTTTTTCATCCCTGTATCCCCAGAACCCAGTACAGAGCCTAGTGCATAGTAGATGCTCAATAAATAGTTTGATTGAATGAATGATGATCCAGTTAAAGTTGCATTTTTATTCTAAAGATATTCCTAGCCATGGAACCATAAGAACACCCGCTTTCCTCCTTTAAATGCCAGAAGCACTGATCACTCCCATCTCTCAGCTGTCACTGAACATAAAATGCGTGATAGTGCCCAGTTTTTTAGGACAAATATTCCACATGCCTGCGTTGGCAGTTTGTAAAGTCTTAGAAAGGGGAGATGAAACTCACACTCCGATTCTCTCTAGCAGTAGCACGAGCTTTGGTCTCAGTAGGAACCTGATATATGGTATTTATAGACAAATGCTTTGTTTAGAAATAAATGTTTAGCACTCAGCCTTCTCTTGCAGATGATGTGCTATTCATGTAATGAAAATCCCTTAGCTGGAAAACAGCTGTAGGCACTTCTGCTATTAAAACGCTACATGCATTTCTGAAAAAAGAGCATTTTGCTAAACTGTGCATCAAACATAACAGGGCTTATGGAAAAATTAGGATTAGGTGCAGGCCACTCAAAACCTCTGAAACTCTTGTAACTACAGCCCTTATGAAAAAATAATTGGTACCTGGGGAGAGAACTGAGGCAGAGAGGTGACCGCAGATGGCCTCAGGGGATACCAAAATGCACAAAATCAGTAGAGTAGAGATGCTGGTCTGTGGACACTGAGGCCATGCAGATGGAAGAGCAGGTGCAGACTGTCACAGCAGAGAGTGCTGCAAGGCTGGTAGTGGTGGTGGTGGTGGTAGCAGTGGGAAGTGGGGTTGGCTGGCTGTAGCCACTGATTTTATTAATAAATTTTCTTAAAATTGAACTAAAAGGGCTCCTGCCTACACAGCAGCCAAGCTAAGGGCTCTTTTCTTTGCTGCTGGAGGTTCTTTCTGTTCTGTTCCCCTTGCCTGGGAAAAACTCACCTACGAGCCAACAGAACTGGCTCCTCACATGGATAGCATTCCCTCCTTTAACAGTCATGTGTGAGCTACCCATTGGTGCACAGATGGTGGCAGATAGATTGTACTTGTTTCAATCTCGATTTACTTGTCTTCCAATATTCCAGAATGTAGTTCCACTCAGAACGATTGGCTTAGGTGTTTTATTTTCACATCCTTTACTAAAAATATTAATGATGACAATACCAGTAACAATCATTCCTTTCACACCTACAGCTACTGTGATAAGCATTTTACAGATTCTATTTAGTAGCCAGAGCAACCCTGCAATGAAGATATTCGTGTGCTTTTGTTACTGATGAGTAAACTTCCCCTCGGAGCAGAGCATGCTCTCTACAAGGGTCAGTGGTCATGCCTGGATGCTAAACTGGTTTGATTGTGCCTTCTAAAGCATGATGGGTAGTGAGGAAGGTCTGGAAAAACACTCTATAAACTGACCTTTCTCCAATCTTGGCCTCAATGAGGTTATACTAAGTTTCATAGTAAAGAGTGGCTGATTGTCTTCTTTTTCATCACCCACAGGTAAATGGTTTAGCATAGTGTTGTGGCTTAACAGGCAAATAGTCAAAGTGTCTTCAGATTGGTAAGGTGAATCATCAGTTTCCAAGCCGACATTTCTTCTCCTTCAAGCTTTTTAGTATATGTGCTGCCAAAGCAAGCACATCCTTGAAGCTTTTTGATCCCTTGTTTTGTAGTCAGTCAATTCTGTTGAGAATTTTCAATAAAGATTTTTTCCTTTATTTATTCTGAAAACACTGTTATCAGTCTCTTTCCCTAAGCAATTCTGAACTCACCAGGGGCTGACAGAAATTAAACTTCTTGAAGGCAAAGTTAATTAAGTTTCTCCTCTAATGCCAAAAATATATTGGAGGATTTTAGACTGTGACTTACAGCTTTCTTTTCGGTTTACCTATCTACCTACAGTGTCTATATGAACATACCTTGTTTTTAATTAGATTATCACATGTCAGCCTTCACTTCTAATACTTTAATAGGAAAACTTGGTAAATTAATATAAGATTGTCAGCTATCCTGGCATTTACTGAAGGGTGCATTGGCAGAATAAATGTGTAAGTCAACAGCATTAATCAGAAGTAAGAAACAGTAATTTGTAAAAATCTAATGAAGTTGTATGGTTTGAATGTTTGTGTCCCTCCAAAATTTATTTGTTGAAACCTAACCATCTAGGTGGTGGTATTAAGAGGTGGGGCCTTCGGGAAGTGATTAGTTCACCCTTATACCCCTTAAGTCACTATGGGATTAGTGCCATATAAAAGAAGCTTGAACCTGGGTGTGGTGGTGCATACCTGTAATCCCAGCACTTTGGGAGGCCGAGGCAGGTGGATCACCTGAGGTCAGGAGTTTGGCACCAGCCTGGCCAACATGGTGAAACCCCATCTCCACAAAAATTACAAAAGTTAGCTGGGCATGGTGGCACATGCCTGTAATCCCAGCTACTTGGGAGGCTGAGGCAGAGAATCGCTTGAACCCATGAGGTGGAGGTTGCAGTGAGCCAAGATCACATCACTGCACTCCAGCCTGGGTGACAGAGTGAGACTCTTCTCTAAAAAAAAAAAAAAAAAAATAAGAAGAAGAGGCTTGAGAGAACTTGTTTGTCCCTTCTGCCATGTGAGAACACATAGAGGTCACCGTCTATCAGGAATGGGCTCTCACCAGACATGGAATCTGCTGGAACCGTGACCTTGGACTGCCTAGCCTCCAGAACTGTGAGCAATAAATTTCTGTTGTTTATAAATTACCTAGGCTAAGATATTTT
Source organism: Homo sapiens (assembly GCF_000001405.40). Taxonomy (NCBI): domain Eukaryota; kingdom Metazoa; phylum Chordata; class Mammalia; order Primates; family Hominidae; genus Homo; species Homo sapiens. Next base: position 85,385,511 of record NC_000009.12, on the reverse strand, counting down.
GTGTGGCAGCCTGAATGGACTAAGACATGGAGCTATTATGCATATGTCAGAGATTGGAGGAGAGGCCTCAGGAAGGAGCTCTCAAAATTACTTAAAATCAGTCTTTTGCCACTAATCTAAATCAAAATACAATAGAGAAAGAGAAGGTTGAGTTCAAGTATCATCCAATTCCTTATAACATTCTGAGCCAGTAAAAGGAGATACTTTTAGTTTCTTGCACGATAAAAAGAAGAAATTGGGGACACAGCAAAGATGAACAATGTGACCTTAGTAAATCACTGAGGTAAGAGACCAGGAGCAGAGACATGGCATGAATTTTCCTAAGTTAGTCAGCTAGCACTGGAACAAGCTAATGTTATGCACTGACATGCTTGTAGCACACACTGGGAATCTCTGTTTCTTTGGTCCAGTCTCTGAGTCCCAACAAAGATGCTAAGGCAAGTGATTTTGTTGGTTTAAACTTGAAGCTGTAGTCTTCCTTTGTGTCTTCTTGTCCTAGGTGGGTAAAAATAGTTCTTATGGACAAAGAAAAGTCTATAAGTAACTCTTCAAAAGCTCAGAATTTATGTCATCCATTCTCTTTTCAGACTGAATTTGACTCCTACTGCTCTTTTTCCATGGGTCTTTTTGGTGTTTATGATGGGGAACAGTGCACATCGCCTTCTAGGCTTTCTCACTAGAGCTGGGATGTATATTGCAGTACAGGCAGGAAGATAAAATACATTTTATGGTGGCAATATGGTGCCCTTTTGGTCTGGCTTTTGGGACAAATCAGGACACATATATGTGGCTTTATCTCTGAAAGACACCTCTAATTAGTTATATGAATTGATAAATCGTTATTTAACTTACAACACGAACCAACTACTATCAATTTTTATGGCTAAATGAGAAGCTCTGGAGTGACGTATGTCTCAAGTCTGAAAAACTGGAAGTCATTAGTTGTCAAACTGAAAATTGTAAACACGAGTTCTTGGCCCCAAGAGAGCCTGAACCCAGCGTAAGCTGTAACATTACTTTGCTCTCCTCGGCATTCGGTGTGGCAAAGGAAAATGACGCACATAATTCATGCCGCACTGTCAAAAACTCCACCTTATTGTTAAGAAGACATACCTCAAGTCAGTTTTCTCAGGTATTAAAAAAGTTGATCACTAGCGCAATTCTTCTTTATAACCGAGTAAAATATACCAAGATTTGATCTTCCACAAGTGACACGATAGCTAATGGTTAAGGATGGATTCTGGAATCAGCCAGCTGGGGTTCAAATTCCAACTCCACCAGTTTCTAGCTCTGTGACTTTGGGCAAGTTAGTTTACTTCTCTGTGTCTCAGGTTAAATGAGTTAATATAGAGACACACTTAAAACAAAATTTAGTGCATGGTAAAACTAGATGTTTGCTATTTATTTTAGAAGCAGAAGTAAAATTTCGCATATTTGCTCAGGAATTTTAGAGACTAGCTTTCAATCACTGTAGATAAATTTTTGAGAAATATCAATGATTATAAATTAAACACAAAAGACTCCTTACCCAGAAGCTAAACAATCACTGGAGATAGACTTTCCATGTCTTATTTAAGTCAGCAATTCACTTCTGATCCCTTAAGAGATTTGTTTATTCAAGACACATTTATCTTTAAGAGGAGTTAGATCTTTTCTAACTGTGGATTCATTGAAATACACTATAAAATTGTACAAACTTTGCTATAATAAGCAAATTTATCCTCTTCTCTTCCAATTGCTGCTCATATTTTCCCCCACTTCAGCAAATTAGCAGATGTTAAAATTTCATCTTGTCACTCTAACTTTGCAAACCAATAATCACTAAAAAATAAAACCATAAAACAAAAACAAAGAAAAGGTCTTTTTTCCTAGTGCTTTCCATTCACAAAACTATTTTTTTTTCTTTCTCTGTTCACTTCCTTTGTTGTGTTGAACACCTATTATTGCAATGTTGACCAAGAAGCCATTACAAATGTTCCTTGTGAGGCTTCTAATTTAGCTCTCAAGCTATGAGATCACCTTAGGCAAAGAAATATGGAATTTGATTTCCTCAAGAAGCCACCATTTCTGGAGCATATGGTAAGACACAAAACAAGCAAACACAAAACCCCTGGAGAGGCAAGACAGTGTCCAGGAAAGAGTTCTTTGTTTCTTCTTATAACATAGCACACAAAATCCAGTGCTCTTAGTGCAACAGGAACTCAGGATTGATGAAAGACCTATGAAAACAAGAAATGAATATATTTTAGATAGTTTAGTAATACTAAACTTTACAGTTTAGTATTACAGTACTAAAGTATTACTGTATACTTTATGCTAAACTGTAATACTAAACTGTAAAGTTTAGTATTACTGTCAAGCATATGTCCAAATCGATTTATGAAGTATTGACAGTTTAGTGGGATTCTGCAGAGGATGACAAGTCAAGACTGAGGTTTGGGATCTCATCACCTGAGAAAGGGTGGCAGGAAGTGGAGACATTTGGAGGAGGGGGATGTCAAAACTCTCTCCCTATATTTGAAGTGATGATTTGTAAAAGAGGAACTTGTTTTGTTACCTGGGAGGGCATAATTATTGTATAAGTGAAAGTTACAGCAATTTACATTTCAACTCAGTATAAGGAAGAACCAAGTAATGATTGGAAGCATCTAGGAAATAGATTGGGTTGTTTTAGGATATAGTTAATGTTTTTGTCAAATTAGCTCTTCTGACAGACACCATTTAATCATCTATCAGGGATTCTTTAGAAGATCACACTGGATGGAAGGTGGGTCTTGCTAATCTCTCAAGTTCCTTGCAACTGTAACATTCTGAATAGACTTTAAAAATCATATTTAAAAAATCAGCATTCTATGTCAGGAACAAATGAATTGTAGCACAAGTTCCATAAGGAAAAAAATGAATGTGATTGTCCAAAAGTAGAATAGAGAGAAATAAATGGACTATATTCTCCCAGTCTTCAATGGGATGGGGTAGACTTCCTTCACGAGCATTTATTAGGCACCTATTACATGCATAGTGATGCTAGGCTATGTGCACAAAACACTCTGCAGTTAACAAGTATTAGGCTTTTTGGGCTACCCAACATCTGAGATCTCTTCCTCTGTTTTTAGAAGTTCCCTCACATTACAAGCCTTGAAGAGGGGTAGGTACCACTTTCTTTAATAGAAACTGTTTTTAAGTAGTTAAAGCTTACCAGCAACAAATTCATGGGAATATAATCTGGAATCTACAAGTGAGAGCCATCCACTGGAGACTCGCTAAGGCTGTGAGGCTGCTCCTCAAAGGGAGTGATGGTTTTGAGAAGAGTTCCAGGAACAGCAACAGTTGCGGTGCTCAGGGTGGCATCGAGGATCCAGGCTGGAGATCTCTGTGGGAGATGATGTAGCATCGAATCTTGGGAACTGTGGCCAGGGGCATCCTCACCAGCAGTTCTGCAACATGATTTTAGGCATTGTTTCTAATTATATATCCCTAAACTTTGTTCTCCAGCCTTTTAAAAAATTCTGTGAGACATGCAGTATCTTTTAATAGTTTTCTTTTCTACCCGTATCAGTCAGAGTTAACACTGTCGCTTTCTTATCAGAATGCTGAATGATGCCTAAACTGATAACAGGAATGGTTGCAAGCAACTGGCTTTCAAAGACATAAGGGAATCCAGAATTTTTATATGCCCTGGTTGGGGCTAAAGTTCTTGCAGTTAATGATGCATAGTTGCAAAACAGCTGCAAATCACGAAATATCTATGGAAGGCACTGAAAGACTTTGCCAAATTTTAGGTCTTCGAAGTCTGAAAATTTGTGTAGGAGTGGATTTTAAGGTAGCTAGATTAAGGAAGAAACAATACAACATTAAGTAAAGTTAAATTATTTATTTATTTATTTATTTTTGAGACGGAATCTCGCTCTCGGCTCACTGCAAACTCCACCTGTCGGGTTCACGCCATTCTCCTGCCTCAGCCTCCTGAGTAGCTGGTGCTAACTTATTAATATGGGTGCTTTTAGCGAGTATTCTGGATTGAATGTACTAGCTCAAGTGATGAAGAAGTGGTTCCAATTGGTTGCTTGCTTTAGTGTCTGAAATTTGAATTAAACGATGCCCATATTAAGTGAAGTTAAGACGTTAGGATTCCCTTAGTATTCTACAGAGGAAGAAATCCAAAGTCTTTGAAGAGGAGAATGTTGGAGTGGATTTATCATGTGTAATCTGCATATACTAACTATATACTATTAATAAATAGATTGGTATGAGAAGCAGCAACACTTTTGTAAAGTCTCATGTGTCTGCTCTCCATAGGCTGAGGATTTAGTGCAACATGTTGAAGTGTAAATGGGTTCTCTATTTTTAATGTGGAAAGCAGAATGTGGTTATGCAGTTACTACACTAGACAACAAATCTGGCATCAGAAACAGAATTTTCTGATCCACAGGAATCTTTGTTGATGGTTAATTGGTCATGGGGCTATAGGGTGGAAACAGATGGACAATCCCTTAAGATATTATTTAATTTGTGTTACCGTCAAAACAGTAAACTTGGCTAACAGAGGCCTGATCTGAGTTACTAGAATAGAAGCACAGCCCTGTTTTGTGCCCAGGTCTTAATTTATAAAGATGACATCAGAGAGGCCAATGGCGTTGAAAGTAGATTTTTATTACTTATATTAATACTTCCTGAGAGAGGGGAGCATGCTATTCCTCTTAGGACACAGGGGAAGCAATGGGATTAGTCAAGAGGCAAAAGTAGGAGAAAGGGGAGAGCCCAGCCCAAGGCCTTTACTGGAGTTTCCTTGGGAAACGTGAGGTAGGAGAAACAGTTTGAATAATAACAGCAGGCTCTGGGCTGCAGGGGTGGGCCTAGTTGTCTGGCACTTGGTCCTGATTTAGGGCAGTGGAGATATTGGTTTTGTGTGTGGATTTCAAGGTGGATATACTGGATGATTGGGGGGTGGAGACTCCCCAGTTTATTGATTTGTGTAAGAAAGGCATATCAAAGGGATGAACCCTTGGCAATTTCTAAGGGCTGGCGAGCTCTGGGAAGGGCAGTCTTTCCTAGCCAGCAAAATTTTTAAGACATCAAAGTATTATAAGATACAGGAAATAAAAACATGATTAATACATATCCTCCATCCATGTGCAGACACAGAGCCTGCTGAGTAAAGGGAGGTTAGCCCTTGAGGAAGGATTGCTATAAGAGAGTGCCATGATTCTTCCCCCTAGAATTCTCCAAACAGACTGAAAGATATGTATCAGGGTAAATAGATGGTGGAAAAGAAAATACCCAAACATTGAGTATTTTCTGGATAAAGGCAATACAAATTCTTGGAACTAAGAATGCCATTGTCAGATTGCAGCTTATGGTGGTTGAAAAGTAAGTAGAGTTTTAATTGCAGGCTCATTAAGACCTTAAATACATTCTGTGGTTATTTCCGCAGTTTGTAAGGGCATACTTTTGATAGATACACGTATCAGTTGGTAGAATCCCTGCAAAGACTTTCTGTCCTGGAGTAGTGGCTGTTTATGATAGGAAGGACTAAATGGAAATCCTTAGGACTCTTTCTTTCTGCCAAAATGGTAAATACTCCACCACTAGGAGAAATGCAGAGTTAAAGGTCACCATCAAAAACTCTGAAACGTGCAGGGATGCTGATCTCACTACATACCCACCTAACTCACCAGTTTGGCTGATGCTGGAGATGGTTTGCTTGATCGGGAAGAATATCTACTTGCAGCTACTGTTTCAGATATGCTCTCCTTACTGAAGAAAATCAATGCATTCTCTAGCAAAAGGTATACAACTATTAACACAATGAAATCCCTTTTATCTCAGGAGTCAGCAAACTTTTCTTTAAGGAACTAGATTGTAAATATTTCAGGCTTGTGGAGCCACATGACCTCAACTGCAACTGCTCAACTTTGACACTGTAGTGCCAAAGTAATTGTAGTTAGCATGTGATTGAATGAGTAGAGCTGTGTTCCAATAAAAGTTTATTTACAAAGAGGGGTGGCCACCTTCTAGAGGGCAATTTTGGGAGAATTTATAAACAGGTAAAGATGCCTTTTAAATCAGCCTTCCAGTCTATGGAAATCCTCCTGAAAATTCTAGCACAGAGATGTATTAACAAAGATAAGCCTAAGTGTGCTACTAACTGTTACACTTTTTTGAAGTTTAGCCCTAGGATACGAAGAACCAATAAGATCCATGGAATAGAAGTGAATCCATAAATGGACCCAAATATATTTGGGATTTTAGTACATAATAATAATAGTGGAGGTTGAATGGAAAGTTTCCTCCCTTAAAAGAGGACATAGAGTTATTTATGTAATGGGAAACCACGTCAAAAGCAATAAAAATAAATGAGGATAATTTTGGTAATAAAAAAAGAGGGGTGAATACATGGGACTGGAAGGAGAGGTGGGTCAGAGCAAGTTTGCTTTTTCTGTCTCTCTTGGTGAGCAAACTTTCTAGCCAAATCCAGCCTACATACAACTTGTTTTTCTACTGTCTCATGAGCTAAGATTGATTTTATGTGTTTTTAATGATTGGAAAAAATCAAAAGAAGAATAATGTTTCATGACATGCAAAAATTAGTTAAAATTCAAATTTTCATGCCCATAAATAAAGTTTTATTGGAACACACACAGACACAAAACAGGTGGCCAGCCCCTGGGTACAGTTTACCAACCTCTGCTTTATCTCGATAACCAGAAAGCACACAAAATAATTTGCTTTAACCGGCATAGGACAATCACACATTTTTACCAGTGAGGCTAGGACAAGAAGCATTCTGGCAATAGATACATGCCAGGACCAGAACAAGTTTCTCCCAAGATAATTTTGGCCCCAAGTTTCCATGGCTGTCATGTACATATTTTCATTTCTTTTTCATCATATTCCAAGGGTACAAAAAGAGACGCTATGACACCCCATTTGCCTACTAAGTCAGAGTCTCAAGCTTCCACAACAAACTATAAAAGTCTAGTTACACTCTTCTTTCAGAATATTGGGTGGAAGTTGCATCACATCCATATAATTAAAAGGTTTCATTTTGGTGACTTTCCAAATGAAAAATAATCTGATATAAGGTGACTTAGTAAATTTACCATTAGAAACAAATGTCCAGCAACGTCTCCCCCTAAAAGTAGAATGATAACATTCTGCACTGTCTAGTACTCTAGCATGTCCTCAATTCCTTTTCTGTGTTTTCAATAGTGTAAACTATTTGCTACTAAGGGAATGCCCAGGCTATCACCCCATTCCTAATAAATTTCATCTTCTGAAATCTGATCTGTCTCCAGTAGAGAGGCACCATATGTTCTAAATTACTGTGTGGCAATCTTATCAGTCACTAGAAAGCTGCTAATGTGTCCCATTTAAACAGGCACATTGGATTTGAGACCAGCACAGTGATAGAAGGCAGAGCTGACAGCTGCTCTGTCAATCTTTTTTTCTAGGCCGTGCCCTGCAGCTGTTTAGTATGATCACTTATTTACTGTTTAAAATAGGCATTTTATAACAATAACTCAAAGCCAACTTGGCCACAAAGGAGAGAAAACTGACCCTTGGGGTCTGGGGAACCTTTGTGGCCAGATATATATTTAAGCTTATGTTGTTTGAATACATCTCATTACTCACTTTGATTGACCCCATATCCTGCCACATTAAAGTGATCAAGCTCACCGCAAAGTGACTAAGTGGAAATACACAGCCCACTTTGTCTTTAAGCCCTCCTCATGAAACTAAAGTGCTTAAATACCTAAGAGAGATTTCCCTGATTCCAGAACTCAATGGCTATGGCTTAACTGCCTTGGCTTTCAGTCTTGGTTTCTACAGCCTAATTAACTTTGCTGAATGTTTGAAGCTTGCATAAGAAGTGCTGTTTCAATCCAGTAAATTTTTCTCTTAAACCAGTTTGTGGCAAAATGCACCAGGTAAATTATAACAGAGAGAGGGAGAGGTAAAGACAAAGTGAAAGAGAGATGGAGTAAGAGCTGAAGATGAAGAGAGTGATGTAGGCTCTGTTTATACACAAGTTGTCCTAGAAAATGTGAGCATCTCTGTCATTGTCATGAGTGCTGTAAATCAACAGGGTTGAATAGGGTTTGGTGAGATCCATTTTGCTTATTTAAATGGCTGTGCCATAGTCCAGCATCTTGTGGATGTAAACCAGTCCTCAGATATGAATTGCTTTGAAAAGCAAATCTGCTAGCAATGTGAACCACAACTGGGCTATGGCCCCTCAAGTAAGATAGTCTAAAGATAACCTCCCATTCATTGACAAAGATAGGGCAAAGGGAAAATGTAGTGGAAGAACAATAGAAAGAAAAGCTTTTCTAATATCCATCAACAGTAGACTGGATGAAGAACATGTGGTACATATACTCCATAGAATGCTATGCAGTCATAAAAAGGAATGAGATATGTCCTTTGCAATGACACAGACGGAGCTGGAGGCCATTATCCTAAGCAAACTAATGCAGGAACAGGCAACCAAATACCACTTACAAGTGGGAGCTTGTGATGGTTAATACTGAGCGTCAACTTGATTGGATTGAAAGATGCCAAGTATTGATCTTAGGTGTGTCTGTAAGGGTGTTGCCAAAGGAGATTAACATTTGAGTCACAGGGCTGAGGAAGGCAGACCCACCCTCAATCTGGGTGGGCAACATCTAATCAGTTGCCAGTGAATATAAAGCAGGCAGAAAAATATGAAAAGGCTACACTGGTTTAGCCTCTCAGCCTACATCTTTCTCCTGTGCTGGATGCTTCCTGCCCTTGAACATCAGACTCCAAGTTCTTCAGCTTTGGCACCCGGACTGATTTCCTTGCTCCTCAGCTTGCAGAAGGCCTATTGTGAGACCTTGTGACTGTGTGAGTTAATACTACTTAATAAACTCTCATTCATATATAGGATATATATATCCTATTAGTGCTGTCCCTCTAAAAAACCTTGACTAATACAGGCTTTGGTACCAGGAGGGGTTCTAGAGGAACAGAATATTAAGGATGGAGTTCTTTCGTTGGTTTTGGGGTTTCTGGAGTTGGCTGTTGAATATGATTAGACCCAAAAATGCTAACAACTCTACTTCTAATAGTGTGGAGAACACTGATAGTCCTTGGCATGAACTGTTTAGAGAGTTATGCAAAATAAATGCATTTGACACTCCCGGTTCACAGCTCGCGAGAGGCAAGGAGTTTAATAACTCTATACATAACACCTTTGACCATATGTGGAGAACCAAGAAACATAATGAAGCTGGTTGGTTGCTCCTAAGTTCACTGGAAAAAGTGATGAAAGAAAATGATGAACTCAGTGATTCTAACTCCTGGTTTGTGAAGCAGATACTTAGCCTCAACTCATCTAAGATTGCCCTGAGTCAGTCTTATCTCCTTTAGAGAAAAAGCTGAAGCTGTGGAAAATCAGACACAAGCTCTTATCATGCGAGTAGCTGACCTGCAATGAAAGGTGCATGCACAGCCTCACCAGGTATTTTTTTTTTTTTTTTTTTGAGATGGAGTCTCGCTCTGTTGCCCAGGCTGGAGTGCAGTGGTGTGATCCGGGCTCACTGCACGCTCCGCCTCCCAGGTTCAAGTAATTCTCCTACCTCAGCCTCCTGAGTAACTGGGATTACCGGCGCCCGCCACCTCATCCAGCAAATTTTTGTATTTTTAGTAGAGATGGGGTTTCACCATTTTGGCCAGGCTGGTCTCGAACTTCTGATCTCATGATCCACCTGCCTTGGCCTCCCAAAGTGCTGGGATTACAGGCATGAGCCACCACACCCAGCCTAGGTGTCTACTGTTAAAGTGAGGGCATTGACTGGAAAAGAATGGGACCCTGCAACTGGGAATAGGGAAGTGTGGGAGGACCCTGACGAAGCTGGGGACACGGAACCTCTAAACTCTGATGAAACTTTCTTGCCAGAAGAAACAGCTTCCCCATCGCCAGTGGTGGCAAAATCCCTTTCCTGATCCATGCTGCCATCAGCCTTTCCAGCTTTATCTGAGGAGATAAACCCTGAGCTGCCTGAGGCAATTGTGATGGCCTCCTCTGAGGTAGTTACCAGGCAAGATAATATTGATTCTCCTCAGGAGCCACCCCCAACACCCCTGTTTGCTTCTAGACCTGTAACTAGACTAAAGTCCTGGCGAGCCCCTAGAGGTGAGGTTCAGAGTGTGACTCGTGAGGAGGTGCACTACACTCGAAAAGAACTGCTTGAATTTTCTAATTTATATGAACAGAAATCTGGAGAATAGGCATGGGAATGGATATTAAGTGTGTGGGATAACAGTGGAAGGAACAGAGTTGGATCAGCTGAATTTATTGATTTGGGCCGACTAAGTAGGGATTTTGCTTCTAATGTTGCAGCTCAGGTGGTCAAAAATGGTTCTAATAGTTTATTTACTTGGTTAGCTGAAATATGGATTAAAAGATGGCCCATTGTGAGCAAGCGGGAAATGCCTGATCTCCCTCGGTTTAATATAGAGGAAGGGATCCAAAGGCTTAGGGAGATTGGGATGGTGGAGTGGATTAGTCACTTTAGACCTACTCATCCCAGCTTGGGGGGTCCAGAAGATATACTCTTGACCAATGCCTCATGAAATAGATTTGTGAGGGCAGCACCTGCATTTTTGAAGAGCCCTGTAATTGCTCTTCTCTGTATGTCAGATCTAACAATGGAAATCATAGTTGCTCAACTACAACATATAAATACAATGGGGATAATTGGATCCTGAGTTGGCAGGGGCCAAGTGGTGGCACTCAACCATCAAAGGCAAGGTGGGCATAGCTACTGTAATGGACAGCAGAGGCAAAGCAGCAATCAGAATAGTCTGACTCGTGTAGAGCTCTGGCATTGGCTAATTAATCATGGTATTCCTAGAAGTGAAATTGATAGGAAGTCTGCTGAATTCCGACTTAATTTATATAAGCAGAAAACTTCCAGGTCAAATGGACAAAAGACTAATTTGAATTATAAAAACAGAGAATCATGACCCCTCATTCATTTTCCAGACTTGAGCCAGTTTACAACAGAACCCCTTGAATGAAGGAGCGGCTGGGTCCCCTTGAGGAAGGACTCCATTACACTACTGACAATTTATGCTGTTAATCTTTCTCCCATTCTTCCCCAAGGAGACTGCTGGCCTTTTACCAGGGTAACTGTGCATTAGGGAAAGGGAAATGATCAGACATTTCAGGGACTACTGGACACTGACTCTGAGCTAACATTGATTCCAGGGGACCCAAAACATTATTGTGGTTCTTCAGTTAAAGTAGGGGCTTATGGAGGTCAGGTAATTAATGGAGTTTTAGCTCAGGTCTAACTTACAGTGCGTCCAGTGGGTCCCCGGACTCATCCTGTGGTCATTTCCCCAGTGCCAGAATGCATAATTAGCATAGACATACTTCGAAGCTGGCAGAACCCCCACATTGGCACCCTGACTGGTAGGGTGAGGGCTGTTATGGTGAGAAAGGCCAAATGGAAGCCATTAGAGCTGTCTCTACCTAGAAAAATAGTAAACCAAAAACAATATTGTGTCCCTGGAGGGATTGTGGAGATTAGTGCCACCACCAAGGACTTGAAAGATGCAAAGGTGGTGATTCCCACCATATCCCTGTTCAACTCTCCTATTTGGCCTGTGCAGAAGAATGATGGATCTTGGAGAATGGCAGTGGATTATCATAAGCTTACCCAAGGGGTGACTCCAATTGCAGCTGCTGTACCAAATGTGATTTCATTGCTTGAGCAAATTAACACATCTTCTGGTACCTGGTATGCAGCCATTTACTTGGTAAATGTCTTTTTCTCCATTCCTGTCCATAAGGCCCTCAAGAAACAATTTGCCTTCAGCTGGCAAGGTCAACCATATACCTTTACCATTCTACCTTGGGGGCATATCAACTCTCCGACTTTGTGTTATAATCTCATTTGGAGAGAACTTGATCACTTTTCGCTTCCACAAGATATCACACTGGTTCATTACATTGATGACATTATGCTAATTGGATCCAGTGAGCAAGAAGTAGCAAACACACTGGACTTATTGGTGAGCCATCTGTGTGCCAGAGGATGGGAAATAAATCTGACTAAAATTCAGGGATCTTCTACCTCAGTAAAATTTCTAGGGGTCTAGTGGTGTGGGGCCTGTTGAGATATTCTTTCTAAGGTGAAGGATAACTTGCTGCATTAGGTCCCTCCCAAACCAAGAAAGAGGCACAAAGCCTAGTGGGCCTATTTGGATTTTGAAGGCAGCACATTCCTCATTTGGGTGTGTTACTCTGGCCCATTTATTGAGTGACCTGAAAGGCTGCCAGTTTTGAATGGGGTCCACAACAGGAGAAGGCTCTGCAACAGGTCCAGGCTGCTGTGCAAGCTGCTCTACCACTTGGGCCATATGACCCAGCAGATCCAGTGGTGCTTGAGGTGTCAGTGGCAGATAGGGATACTGTTTGGAGCCTCTGGTAGGCCCCCATTGGTGAATAACAGCAGAAGCCTCTAGGATTTTGGAGTAAGGCCCTGCCATCTTCAGCAGATAATTACTCTTCTTTTCAGAGACAGCTCTTGGCCTGTTACTGGGCTTTGGTGGAAACTGAAAGTTTGACTATGGATCATCAAGTCACCATGCAACCTGAACTGCCTATCATGAACTGGGTGCTTTCTGACCCATCTAGCCATAAAGTGGGTCATGCACAGCAGCATTCCATCATCAAATGGAAGTGGTATATACGTGATTGGGCTTAAGCAGATCCTGAAGGCCAAGTAAGTTACATAAGGAAGTGGCTCAAATGCCCATGATCTCCACTCCTGCCACCCTACCTTCTCTCCTCCAGCCTGCACCAATGGCCTCATAGGGAGTTCCCTATGATCAGTTGACAGAGGAAGAGAAGACTAGGGCCTGGTTCACAGATGGTTCTGCACGATATGCAGGCACCACCTGAAAGTGGACAGCTGTGGCACTACAGTCCCTTTCTAGGATATCCCTGGAGGACAGCGTGAAAGGAAATCTTCCCAGTGGGCAGAACTTCGAGCAGTACACCTTGTTGTGCACTTTGCATGGAAGGAGAAATGGCCAGATGTGCAATTACATACTGACTTATGGGCTGTAGCCAATGGTTTGGCTGGATGGTCAGGGACTTGGAAGTAGCATGATTGGAGAATTGGTGACAAAGAATGTTGGGGAAGAGGTATGTGGATGGACCTCTCTGAGTTGTTAAAAGCTGTGAAGATATTTGTATCCTATGTGAGTGCTCACTGACAGATGACCTCTGCAGAGGAGGATTTCAATAATCAAGTGGATAGGATGACCCATTTTGTGGACACCACTCAGCCTCTTTCCCCAGCTACTCCTGTCATCGCCCACTGGGCCCATGAATAAAGTGGCCATGGTGGCAGGGGTGGAGGTTATGCATGGGCTTAGCAACATGGACTTCCACTCACCAAGGCTGACCTGGCTACGGCCACTGCTGAGTGCCCAATTTGCCAGCAGCAGAGACCAACACTGAGACTTTGATATGGCACCATTCCTCGGGGTCATCAGCCAGCTACCTGGTAGCAGGTTGATTATATTGGACCTCTTCCATCATGGAAAGGGCAGAGGTTTGTCCTCACTGCAATAAACACTTACTCCAGATATGGGTTTGCCTATCCTGCATGCAGTGCTTCTGCCAAGACTACCATCCATGGACTCACAGAACGCCTTATCCACTGTCATGGTATTCCACGCAGCACTGCCTCTGAACAAGAAACTCACTTTACAGCTAAAGAAGTGTGGCAGTGAGTTCATGCTCATGGAAGTCACTTGTCTTACCATGTTCCCCATCATCCTGAAGCAGCTGGATTGATAGAATGGTGGAATGGCCATTTGAAGTTACAATTACGATCAATTACAATGCCAACTAGATGATAATACTTTGCATGGCTGCGGCAAAGTTCTCCCAAAGGTTGTGTATACTCTGAATCAGCGTCCAATATATGGTACTGAATCTGCCATAGGCAGGATTCACAGATCCAGGAATCAAGGGGTGGAAGTGGAAGTGGCACCACTCACCAACACCCCTAGTGATTCGTTAGCAAAATTTTTGCTTCCTGTTCCCTCTACATTACGTTCTGCTGGCCTAAAGGTCTTAGTTCTAGAGGGAGGAATGCTGCCACCAGGAGACATGACAATGCCATTAAACTGGAAGTTAAGATTGCCACCTGGACACTGTGGGCTCCTCCTACATTTAAGTCAACAAGCTAAGAAGGGAGTTACAGCATTGGCTGTGGTGATTGACCTGGACTGTGAAGATGAAATCAGTCTACTATTCCACAATGGAGGGAAGGAAGAGTATGTATGGAATACAGGAGATCCATTACGGTGTCTCTTAGTATTACCATGACCTGTGATTAAGGTTAATGGGAAACTACAACAGCCCAATCTGGTCAGGACTACAAATGACCCAGGCCCTTCAGGAATGAAGGTTTAGTTCACTCCACCAGGAAAAAAGCTATGACCTGCTGAGGTGCTTGCTGACAGCAAAGGGAATACAGAATGAGTAGTAGAAGAAGGTAGTCATTAATACCAGCTATAACCAGGGGACCAGCTGCAGAAATGAGGACTGTAATTGTCATGAGTATTTCCTCCTTCTTTTGTTAAAAACATGTTTGTGCATGTATACACTTGTACTAAGAAAACATCTTCATTTTATTTCCTTTTTCCTTTATCATGTGACATAAGATTTATTGACTTCACATCAGCATTTAAGTACTGTTAACTTTCTGTAATAGTATTTGGGTTGAGGATTGGTGCATTTCCGGTTGTACGAAGGATAGTTGTATTATGTTAGGTGTAATTATGACCTTATTATTGTCTTTATTTGAAGATTATGTGTGATCTCAGGAGACGTGTATGGGTTCAAGTTGACAAGGGGCAGACTTGTGATGGTTAATACTGAGTGGCAACTTGATTGGATTGAGGGATGCAAAGCATTGATCTTGGGTGTGTCTGTGAGGGTGTTGCCAAAGGAGATTAACATTTGAGTCAGTGGGCTGAGGAAGGCAGACCTACCCTTATTCTGGGTGGGCACCATCTAATCAGCTGCTAGCAAATATAAAGCAGGCAGAAAAACGTGAAAAGGCTACACTGGCCTAGCCTCCCAGCCTACATCTTTCTCCCGTGCTGGATGCTTCCTGTCCTTAAACATCGAACTCCAAGTTCTTCAGCGTTGGCACTTGGACTGGCTTCCTTGCTCCTCAGCTTGCAGATGGCCTATTGTAGGATCTTGTGATTGTATGAGTTAATACTACTTAATAAACTCCCTTTTAAATATATATCTATCCTATTAATTCTGTCCCTCTAGAGAACCACGACTAACACAGAGATAAACAATGAGAACACATGGACACATAAAGGGGAACAATGGACACTGGGGCATACTTGAGGGTTGAGAGTGGGAGGACAGAGAGGAGCAGACAGAATACCTATCAGGCACTTTGCTTATTACCTGGGTGATGAAATAATCTGTATACCAAAGCTCCATGACACATGGTTTACCAACACAGCAAACCTGCACATGTACCTAAAATAAAAGTCAAAAAAAATTTGCTCCAGGACCAAAGAACTTTCCCTGGTTTCTCTCAATGTCAGCACTAGAAACTAAAGTGCACAAAAATCATGGGAAATTCCATTGGCTTTATCAAGCAGTCAACTTTGATCAATCTATGTGAACTGTAAGAATAAAATAGGAATTTGGGGGTTTTAGATATAAAAATCAGCTGTTCATTATCTGAAAAAATATTTGTTAGTGGATCAGACAAAGATTTATGGTATCTATTATCTGTGAAAATGTTTCAAATTGCCTTTTCGAATGCAATAATTGTCTTGTTCCCCGCCCCCCCTCAGTGCATTTAGTTGCTGTCAGATTGTTTGCTTTTTCACTTTGTGGAATTGGAACTTTAAAATAATCAAAGTTTCTCAAGGAATCTTTCCAAGGTTTTGTATTTTTTTCAAATTAAATTCATGAATATTTTCAGAAATGGGAAATAATATTTTGAAAAGCCCCAAATGAAATAGATGTGTTTAAATTATACAGGGTTTGAAAACACAATTTCATTAGATGACAATCTAATATACAATTAGATAAATATTCAAGCTCTTTTGGGTGGGGACATTGGGAGACTGGACATGAGAGGGGGTCCCAGTGAATGCGGATGCACCTCACTTTCCCAAACTTTGCCAATCTTTTCCTCACATGCTTCCCATTGTCTCAGGAGTAGAACCATCAGCGGATGAGGAAGAGCATATGGTTGGCACCTCTGCACTAAACACCACCTAAAAGTGTGGGTAAGGGTGGTTAGGATTCTTGAGGGTGAGACAGGTGTTGTGTGGGAGGAAGAGAATTGCAAAATGAAGGAGTACTGGAGTTAGGTAAACAAGGGAAGTCTCTGCTCCCAAATTCAGTCCTTCCAGGGACCAAGGCCCTCACACATGAGAAGCATAGCCTTAGTGCTCCAATTAGCACTGGAGGATCACATCACACATTCAGGATTCATGGATGTCAGAACTGAGAGTCAGCTGTGGCCATGAGATCTGTGGCCACTCTGAATACAGGGCCAGGACTGCTCTGGAGTCCATCTGCCTGCCTCTTCATGGAGAGATTTTTTGTTAGGGCTTTAAAAATGGGCCCAGGAACACGTCTTTGTCCTTAAGTACATTTGGAAAGAAGCAGGATTGTCCTCATTCATAGAATTTAAGATTCAGCAAAATGCATGCAACTTGGCTTGGATTATGGGGTGCCATGGAGAAGATTATTTGGGGAGGCTAGTTCCTAACCAGAGGTGGATGGCCAGGGTGCAGGGGCACATGGGGTGGCCTAGGCTGTCTGTCGCCCCTGTATTGGTTTAGATCCTTTCCTTCCATGAACCTCAGTTTCCTTCTCTGCTGGTTGATGGGCCTGGGGGCTTTCCAAGAGCTTGTCATTCCAAGAGGCCCAAAGGAAATCATCTTAGACAAAGCCTTGTGTAAGGATTGGGTCAGCCCAGACCAGGGTTCAAACTGGCTAGCATTTTACCTCCAGATCCAACCCCAGATCTCTCCCTCCAAGCTTCTGAAAGCGACTTTGACTGCAAATGGATCTTCTGAGGTGCAAGGATGTGTGCAGTTTCCTATAGAATATACCTTTGGCTTGGGGCACGCCCTAATATTTGTGAGGTTCAAGGCAAAAGTATATGGTGGCACAACAACCAAACGTCTGAATGCTTACAATATAAACACCAAGCTACAAACTATTAAGGAAAACATGTTCTATGCTCAAATTTAAAGTAAAATAGGACCAGGAGAAGATTTGTCTTGGTCTGTTGCTCACTGGTGCTGTGCTCCTGGGAAAGACAGATCACCCCTCATTCCTGAAGTTCGTATATTAGAGCTTCTCCACCCTGATTGCAAGTAAGAATTACCTTAAGGTACTTATGCAAAATACTGTTGCCTGGGCTCCAATCTAGAACAATTAAATATAAATATTGTGGGTGATGGGGTTGGTGTAAGGCATTTAAACAAAAGATTTAGGTAACTTTAAAAAAACATTTTTTTTTTTGAGATGGAGTCTCACTTTGCTGCCCAGGCTGGAATGCAGTGGCACAAGCTCTGCTCACTGCAATCTCTGCCTCCCAGATTCAAGCAATTCTCCTGCCTCAGCCTCCTGAGTAGCTGGGATTACAGGTGCGCACCACCACGCCTATCTACTTTTTGTATTCTTTTGTGGAGGCAGGGTTTCACTATGTTGGCCAGGCTGGTCTTTAACTCCAGACCTCAAGTGATCTGCCTGCCTCGGCCTCCCAAAATGCTGGGATTACAGGCGTGAACCACCGTGCCTGGCCGGGAGACAACTTTTGATCTGTAAAAGATTGGACTTATTCTCTTAGAACCCTTTGGCTCTTAATACGTCTGATTCTAAAATAAAAATTCATTTCAGAGTTCAAAAGCTTTCTTTTTTCATATGCTTTTCCTAAATTCTAAATCATTCTATTTTTATTGGATTATATGGCCTTTGCCTGAAAAATAAAATGGTGAGCTCTTGAGAGTCGAAAGTTTCTGATTCATTTTGATATTCTTGAAGTCTGGCACCTGAGTGGCATCTCATTAAGGGCTCAATTCATTCAATATGGACCAGGTAATAGATGAGGCACTGAGAATATCAAGAAACATTCCATCAATTCCATCAAGAGGGAAGTATGTGAATATTTGGAGGCAGCCGTCTTTCTCCAGAGTAACTCGATAGGATTTCCCACACTTTCCTTGCCTTCTCTAGAATGATTTCCATACATAAATTTCCTTCTTCAAACATGTGGGACCTGAAGGCCCTTAAAGGCAGAAGGATCATTAGGGCTTATTAGTTACTTCTAGATTCTAGTGTTCAGAGCATTGCTTTATTTTCACCATTGCCCTAAAGTTACAACTTTAAGATTGAGAATAAATAAAACACAAATCTGGTTTTTAGAAGACATGGTTTTATTTGAAATAAAAGGGTTGCCATTCTCCCATGTCCCATTATTCTCCCTTCTTGTTAACCTCTAAGCCCTTCTTGATATATTACAGTTGAGAAGAAAATCTTTCTCTTCTCTCTCTTTGGAAGAAAATAGATTTATTATCTTTTATTCTATCTGGTTCTTGACTTCTTCACTTACTTGGAGTCCTAGGCAAATACTCCTAGGGGTGAGAGAGGGGATAGATGCATAAAGGAAGAGACATATTCTTTTTTTTTTTTTTTTTTTTTTTTGAGATGGAGTCTCGCTCTGTCGCCCAGGCTGGAGTGCAGCGGCGCGATCTTTGCTCACTGCGAGCTTCGCCTCCCGGGTTCACGCCATTCTCCTGCCTCAGCCTCCTGAGTAGCTAGGACTACAGGCACCCGCCACCACGCCGGGCTAATTTTTTTTTTTTTTTTTTGTATTTTTAGTAGAGACGGAGTTTCACCGTGGTCTCGATCTCCTGACCTCGTGATCCGCCCGCCTCGGCCTCCCAAAGTGCTGGGATTACAGGTGTGAGCCACTGTGCCCGGCTGAAGAGACTTATTCTTTTCAGAACTATTTGCTTCCTCATATGTCATATTCTATGAAAATTCCCTTTCACTGTTCCAAAGTTTGTTTTGTTCATATTCTTTCCCTCATTGTTAATTCATTTTGTATTTCCAGGCTACCTTCATACTCCAAAGTCCTACAACTCTTTTGAAAGAAATACTGCAGCTTAATGCTCTGTTAGTTTAGTTTCACAGTCTCTGTATACAATTTTCCTGTCAAAATTCACTGCATCTACTGAATGGATGTTAAGCTGCTCCTAAATCAATCAATATAAGTTTTCTTTGCAATGTTATTTGTCATTCTACCCTAAAATGCATCTTTCCCTCCTGTCTGGCCAGCCTCCTCCCTGTTAAACTATTGGTCAATAAGATTAATACATTTATCTGGTCATTTGTTGAACAGATATTTATATTGGGTCCCATCTATGTTTGTGTTTGTCTCTGAGGGTGGTTTAGATACTTGGTACACATACGCACACATTTCACACCTGTCATTGTAATAGCCAAGGATGTTAGTTCGCCAACCTCTGTAAGCAGGAAAATGGCTGTTATTGTCATCCCAGAGATGTAAAGGAGGTGTTCAGGCAAAAGAGTGAGAGCAGAGAAATATTATTCTTTTGGACTCTTCTGTGCTTTGGGTTAATGAAAGTTAACTTTCCAATTTCTATTCTCCTGGCTAACAATTGGAGGAACCATTTATCATAGGGCCATACAGATTAATAAGTATAAAGTCCAGGTGTCTTTGGAGGGGCAGTCCTCTGGCTCATCTGAAACCACAAAAACTGCTCCTTCCAAAGAAATGCTTGTAGCTATCAAGGTCAAGGGCAAGTCTCTGAACTCCCATCTTCATCTCAGCACTCTATTCTGAGATTCTGCTTTGGCTATGCCAAAGAAATGGTAGCTGGAGACAACAACATTTTTGGGGACTTGGTTTCTGCACTTCTTGCATCAAAAAACTCAAGACCAGATGCACTTTTGGGATGAAAACTTGTACTCTCCATATACACCATGAAATACTATGCAACCATAAAAAGGAATGAGATCATATCCTTTTGAGGGACATGGATGAAGCTGTAAGCCATCATCCTCGCAAACTAACACAGGAACAGAAAACCAAACACTGCTTATAAGTGGTAGTTCACTCATAAGTGGGAGTTGCACAGTGAGAACACATGGTCACAGGGAGGGGAACAACACACACCAGCGCAGCGCCCGTTTGGTGGGTGGTGGGGGAGCAAGGGGAGGGAACTTAAAGGATGGGTCAATAGGTGCAGCAAACCACCATGGCACACGTATACCAATGTAACAAACCTGCACGTTCTGCACACGTATCCTGGAAGTTAAAGTAAAATTAAAAACAACAAAAAAAGAAAAGTTAGAAAAAAAAGAAAACTTGTACTCTCTTGGTTTACAGAGAAAGAAGTTAACTTGTAGCTGGGAACTATCAAATCATTTACTCTGGATTTCTCTTTTCCCCTTCATATTTTTCTATTTTTAAATTTTTGTAGAAATGTCAAAAAATATTTTAACATAGGTATGTAAATATGGATTGGAAGTAGTTTGCTATGTCACTCAAATCTGAACTCCTTCTGGGTTATGTAACAAAAAATACACAATGATTTATTATCAAAAATATTTGTTATGGTCAGCTGACAACTGATTGATCTTCAATCAGTGTTGCTGAACACAAAAAAAGGAAAAAAACTTCTGATTTGTAAAATAAAGTATTAGTCCAATTATTTAAGTCAATTCACTTTCTCAACACCCATACCAATATTCTGAATTGCTTTGTTTATTGTCTCTGTGTTTTTCTCCTTTCTTTTTGTAAAATTGAGGTTTAATTTACATACAGTGAAATGTACAGATCTTGAGTGCTCTGGTTGATGAGTTGTCATGTGTCTGACAAGTGTAAACACCTTTATAACCCACAGCATGTCAAGTTATAGCATATTTTCATTATCTTGACCTTTCTTTTTGTCCCTTCCCAGTCAACCCCCACATCCTGGATCAGGCAACCTTTGTTCTGATTTTTTTGTTGTTTGTTTTTGAGACTGAGTTTAGCTCTATCGCCCACTGCAACCTCTGCCTCCCAGGTTCAAGCGATTCTCGTGCCTCAGCCTCCCAAGTAGCTGGGATTACAGGTGCCTGCCACCACGCCTGGCTAATTTTTGTATTTTTACTAGAGATGGGGTTTCACCATGTTGGCCAGGCTGGTCTTGAACTCCTGACCTCAGATGATCTGCCCGCCTTGGCCTCCCAAAGTGCTGAGATTACAGATGTCAGCCACTGCGTCTGGCCCATTGTTCTGATTTTTGTGACCCTATATTAGTTTTGCCTCTTTTAGAATTTCTATTAGGTTGATGCAAAAGTAATTGTGGTTTTGCCATTACTTTTGCAGCAACCTAAAAATAATTGGAAGCATACAATATGTAATCTTTTGTGTCTGGGATCTCTGGCTTAGCCTAATGCTTTTGAAATTCAACCATGTTTTAGCTTGTATAAACAGCTCATTCTTTAAAAAATTTTTATTTTTTTATTGATATGTAATAGTTGCACATATTTTGGGGTACATGTGATATTTTTATACATGTATAAAAGCTGTAATGATTAAATTAGGGTAATTGGAATACCCATCACTTCAAATATTTATTTTTCCTTTGTGTTAGAAACATTACAATTCTTCTAGCTATTTTGAAATGTAAAATAAATAGTTCCTTCTTTATTGCTGAATAGAATTCCTTTGTAAGAAGAGGCTATAATTTCTTTGTTTACACTCCTGTTGCTGGAGACTTGGGTTGTTTTCAGTTTAACAAAGCTGCTATGAAAATTCTTGTACATATCTTTAGTGGACATATGTACACGTTCCTCTTCAATAATAACCTGGGAGTGAAACTGCATAATTATAAAGTAGATGTATATGTAACTTTTAGAAATCACAAATATTTTTAAAATGATTGTACAATTTTAGACTCTTAAAAGAAATATGTGTAAATTCGCAACAAAAATGTCTGAAAGCTCTGTTTTTTGACAGAGTAATGCTTCTAATTTTATCGGCCTAATAAGTATGTAGAGGTATCTTATGGATTTCATTTGTATTTACCTGATAACTAATGATGTTGAACATGTTTTCATGTGTCTATTGACCATTTGTGAATATTCCTTTTGAAATGTCTGAGTCTTTTGCAATAAAAAAATTGCGTTATCTCTGTTTTTGAGTTACAGCAGTTCTTTATACAATATGTATACTTGTATGGATACATGTTCGTGTGTGTGTGTGTGTGTGTGTGTGTGTGTGTGTGTGTGTGTGTAAAGATAGCTTGTTTCCTTCCACTCTATGTTTTGTCTGATGACTTTCTTTCCTTCTTTCTTTCTTTCTTTTTTTTTTTAGACGGAGTCTTGTTCTGTCACCCAGGCTGGAGTACAGTGGTGCAATCTTTGCTCACTGCAACCTCTGCCTCCTGGGTTCAAGCAATTCTCCTGCCTTAGCCTTCCGAATAGCTGGGATTATAGTTGCGGCCACCACACCTGGTTAATTTTTTGTATTTTTAGTACATATGGAGTTTTGGCCAGGCTAGTCTCGAACTCCTGGCCTTAAGTTATCCTCCCACCTCGGCCTCCCAATGTTCTGGGACTACAGATGTGAGCCATCACACCCAGCCACGTCTGATGATTTTCTTGATGGTGTGTTTTGAAGAGCAAAATATTTTCATTTTGGTGAATTTTAATGTATAACTTTTTTGAATAATTAATACATCATGTGTTCTGCCTAAGAATTCCTTGCCTGTCCTAAGATTGAGAAAATATTATCCATCTTTCTAGAGTCTTTCTAGAATCATTTGGTGTAAACTTTC
Source organism: Homo sapiens (assembly GCF_000001405.40). NCBI lineage: Eukaryota > Metazoa > Chordata > Mammalia > Primates > Hominidae > Homo > Homo sapiens. The sequence continues at coordinate 85,362,612 of NC_000009.12, read as the reverse complement.
ACATTTAAGCCAATAATCCCTCTGAAATAAACTTTTGTGCACAGAAAGACATAGGGAAATTGAAGGTCTTTTTTTCCCATGTGGTTATTTAGTTATTCAGTACTGTTTGTTGAAAAGACACTCCTTTTCCTATCCCATTAAATTGCTTGTGTTGGTATCTTTATGGAAAACTAATTGGCTATATAAGCATGTATTTATTTCTTGATTCTCTATCCTGTTCCATTGCTCTATAAATCTAAACTTACTTCAGTGTCAGAATGTCTTAACTACTGTAGGTTTCATAGTAAGTTTTGAAATCAGTTAGTATACGTGTTCCAACTTGTTCTTTTCTAAAATTGTTTTGGCCATCTAGGTGCTTTTTTTGATATAAAATTTAAAGTCAGGTTATCAGTTTCTATAAAAACAGTCTTCTGGAAGTTTGATTGGGATAGTGATTAATCTATGAATCAACTTGTAGAGAACTGATTTCTTAACAATATTGAATCTTCTAATCTATGAACATGGCATATCTCTCACTTTATTTAGGTCTTCTTTAATTTATGTCCACAATGTTTTGTGGTTTTCATCTCACAAGTGTTATACCTATTTTGCTAAATTTATTTCGAATTATTTTTCTTTGGGATACTATTGCTGTTTTTTGTTTGTTTGTTTGTTTGTTTGTTTGTTTTTGCAAGGGAGTCTCACTCTGTTGCCCAGGCCGGAGTGCAGTGGTGCAATCTCAGGTCACTGCAACCTCTGCCTTCTGGGTTCAAACAATTCTCCTGCCTCAGTCTCTGGAGTAGCTGGGATCCAGGCTTGCCCCACTGTGCCCAGAGAATTTTTGTATTTTTAGTAGAGATGGGGTTTCACCATGTTGGCCAGGCTGGTGTTGAACTCCTGACCTCAGGTTACCTGCCCGCCTCGGCCTCCCAAAGTGCTGGGATTACAGGCATGAGCCACCATGTCCAGTGCCTTTTGGATACTATTCCAAATGTTATTTTAAAATATTGTCTTTCCAATTGCTTGTGGAAATTGCATTAGCCTTGTATCTTACAATCTCAATACATTCACTGATTAATTATATTTAAGAGCAGTTTGTAGTTTTTAAATGACTTTGTAAGTGTAACAGTCATATACTCTGAAAATAAACACATCTTTACCTCATTTCCAATCTTTATGGCCTGTATTGTCTTTTAATTGCTTTATTTTATAGGCTAAGACTTTTAGTACAAAATCGAATAGAAATGGTGAAGACGGATGTCCTTTCCTTGTTCTTGCATTCAGGAGAAAGTTTCCAGTCTTTTATCATAAATTATGATATTCGCGGAAAGGTTTTGGTAGATGGTCTTATCAGATGAAGAAAAGTCTTCTTCCCTTTTTATGTGCAGAGGTTTTTGTGTGTTTTTCATTTCATTTTTTAACAATCATAAATGTGTTCACAGTTTTTGCATCTCTTTAAATCGTCATATACTTCTTCCTTTTTTATTTTCTTTATATAGAGGATGATATTAATTGACTTTCAAAAGTTGGACCACTCTTGCATTCCTGTAATAAACACTGTCTGGTCATGATATAGTACTTTTTGAAATGTATTGCTAGATGGTAATGGCTAATTATGCTAAAAAGGTTTTGATATGAAAGTTATGTTGGCCACATTAAATGTTGAAAAGTGCCTTTTTTTATCTTCTGAAAACCTTGTACAATATTAGTTGGTGTTATTTCTTCCTTAAATGCTTGATGGGATTTGCCAATGAAGTTATCTGATCCTGAGGCTTTCTGATTGAAAAATGTTCTTTTAAATTGTAAGTTTAATTTCTTTAACAGATGTAGGGCTATCCAAATTTTACATTTTCTTATTTCATTTTAGCAAATTGTGTCTTCCAAGGAATTTGTTCATTTGAGCTAATTTGTCAAACTTATTGGCATAAAATTGTTCATAATTTTTCTTATTTTTTAAAATGTCTGTGAGATTAGAATAATGTAATCTCCTTCAAGGGTGAAACTGGCAATTGCCATTTTATCTCTTTTTAAATAACTGTAGATAGAGGTTTATTATTTTATGAATACTTCCAAGAGACCTATTCTCAATTTCATTGATTTTCTCTATTATTTGTCCACTTTCTATTTCATTGATTTCTACTTCACTTTGATTTTCATTGTTTTATTCCTTTTGTTTAATTTCCTCTTCTTTTATTATCTTCTTAAGGTGAAAGTTTAGATCTTTCCTTTTAAAAATTTCTTTTGTCCCATTTAGGGACTTCCCTCTCAATATTGCTTTAGCTGCATTTCACAAAATTTTGATATGTTTGTTTCCCTTATCATTCAATTAGAAATATTTTCTAATTTCCTTTGTGATTTATTTTTCGCCCCATGAGTTATTTAGAATACTGTTGCTTAGTTTCCAAATACTTAGAAAATTTCATATCTTTTTGTTATTCATTTGTTGTGTTGGAGATCATACTTTTAGTTGCTTTGTTATTATTGGATAATATACTTTGTATACATTCAGTTCTTTGAAATGTATTCAGACCTTTTCATGGTCCAGCATATGATTTATTTTGGTGAATGTTTCATGTACACTTGAAAATATGTGTATTCTGTGGTTGTTGAGTGCAGTATTCTATAATGTTAATAATGCTAAGTTTATTGATAATGTTGTTCAAATCTTCTATATATTTATTGATTTTCTATATATTTGTTCTACCAGTTTCTGAAAAAGAAATGTTACATTCTCCAACTTAAACTAGAGATTAATCTCTCCCTTAGCTCTGATAGTTTTTGTATCATATATTTTGAACCTGTGTCTTAGGTGCATACACATTTGGGATTGTTATGTCTTCTTAATGAATTATTTATTGCATCATTATGAAATATCATTATCTTTATTCATGTCATAGGGATGTTTGGAAGTTTGAACTTAACAGTGATGACTTAGGGTATCTGGCAGAAGAAACTTCTAAGCAGTAAAACATTCAAGAGTAGCCTGGATGATTCCAACAGCCTGTGCTCAGATGTTGGAGAAAAGAAATGACTTAACATTGGAAGTTATATTTAAAAGAAAAACGAAGCATAAAAGTTTGGAAAATTTGAAGCCTAGCCATGTGGTAGAAAATAATGCCCATTTTCACAAGAAGAATCCAAGCAGGCTGAGGTGCAACCACTTGCTAGAGATATTTGCATAACTATAATGGAGCCAAGTGGTAGTAGCCAAGACAATGGGGAAAAGTCCTTGAAGGATTTTTTTTCCAAGATGGTGGACGGGGGCAGGGTTAGCCTGCCTCTCCCAGTTGGAAGAACAGAGTCGTGTAGGGAGATTCACACTGTGAACTTTTTCAAAGAACCACCGCAGGAAACTTTACCAGGAAAACTGAAAGAATTCACGGATCGTTTGAAAGAGGCCACAGCATACTCTGCAAGACAGGTGAAAAGCTGTGAGTTTTTGGAGTATAGGAGGGGAAGAGCCTGCCTCCAAACACACATCTCCACTGGGGAATCTGAAAATCCAGATCACAGGAGAAGGCTTTAACCTTACCTAGAGCTGGAATGGATTTAGGGAGTGGCGTGAAATAAAAAAGTAGAGGTGACAGTGGAAGAGCCTTGTAGGCATTCCCAGTCTCCAGAATGAGCCCAGGGAAGCCATCCCTGATTATATCTCACAGGGTCCCTTGGGGAATCCAGACAGTGAACTCAGGGAGGGGTTGCAAGGAGAAAGAAGCACCCAACTGAGTTTTATGATATAATTTCAAGTGGGCATGACCTCCCTTGAACAGAATTCAGGGGGCAAGTGTAAACTGTGTGCAGACATGAGTGCAGGAGCTAGGCACCTGGCCTTGCAGGCAGGTGGAGAGGTGTGTGGCTTGAAAGCTGTGCATGCTTCCTCAGTGGGAAGGATTATCGCCTTGGGCAGGACTGACCTGTGTGCACAGGCTACCTGGATCTAAACCCAGTGCTGTTATCAGGGCACTGTGGGAGTGAAACTGGCCTCATCAACTGCATGGGAGCTGGGTGAGGCCTACCACTGCCAGTTATTCCCAACTCCCCTTGTGAACTCTACTGCACAGTAGAGGCAGTTATACTCCCCTCTGAAACATAGCACTACTGGCCTGAGAACCACCACCCAACCCCCACAGTGGCCATGGCAGGCCCCTCCCAAGGAAAGTCTGAGCTCAAACCTGCCTAAGCCTCTTCCACCTGATGGTATTTCTCTACCCACCATGGTAGCTTAATACAAAGGTCATAAACTCTTGGGAGCTTTATGGCCCCATCCATCACTTGAGAAACACCAGAATATTTCCCCTGGCCAACTTAGGGCAAACTCAAATTCCACTGCTACTACTACAGCTGCTCAGTCTTTCTAAATTAACTCAGACAGTCTCAGATATCTGGGGTTCATATAATTTGTAAAGGAAAACCTATCAGATTAACAGCAGATTTCTCAGCAGAAACCTTATAAGTTAGAAGGGATTGGGGCCTATCTTTAGCCTCCTTAAACAAAATAATTGTCAGCCAAAAATTTTGTATCTAGCAAAACTAAGCTTCATAAATGAAAGAGAGATAAAATATGTTTCAGGCAAACAAATGCTGAAAGAATTTGCTACTAGCAAACCTGCACTACAAGAAATGCTAAAAGGAGTTCTAGATTTTGAAACAATACCTCAATATATACACCAAAATAGAACTTCCTTAAAGCATAAATCTTACAGGTCCTATAAAACAATGACACAATGAAAAAAAACAAGGTATTTAGGCAACAACTAACATGATGAATATAATGGTATCTTACATCTCAATACTAACATTAACTGTAAATGGCCCAAATGCTCCACTTAAAAGATACAGAATGGCAGAATGGATTAAAAAAAACCCCACAAACCAAGTATCTGCTGTCTTCAAGAGACTCACCTAACACACAAGGACTCACATAAACTTAAGGTAAAGGACTGACAAAAGATATTCCACACAAATGGAAACCAAAAGTGAGCAGGAATAGCTATTCTTACATCAGACAAAACAGACTTTAAAGCAACAACAGTAAAAATAGACAAAGGACATAATATAACGATAAAAGGATTAGTCCAACAGGAAGATATTACAATCCTAAATATATATGCACCTAACACTGGAACTCCCAAATTTATAAAACAATTACCAATAGATCTAAGAAATGAGATAGGCAGCAACACAATAATAATTGAAGACTTCAATACTCCACTGACAGCACTAGACAGGTCATCAAGACAGAAAGTCCACAAAGAAACAATGGACTTAAACTATACCCTAGAACTAATGGACTTAACAGATATTTACAGAACATTCTTCCAAACAACTGCAGAATATACATTCTTCTCATCAGCACATAGAACATCCTATAACATAGACCATATGATAGGACACAAAGCAAATCTCAATAAATTTAAGAAAATCAAAATCATATCAAGTATCTTTTCAGACCACAGTAGAATAAAACTGAAAATCAACTCCAAAAAGAACCCTCAAACTTTACAAATACATGGAAATTAAATAACCTGTTCTTGAATAATATTTGAATAAACAATGAAATCAAGATGGAAATTTAAAAATTCTTTGAACTGAATGATAATATTGACACAATTTATCAAAACCTCTGGGATACAGCAAAAGTGGTGCTAAGAGGAAAGTTCATAGCATTAAATGCCTACATCAAAGAGTCTGTCAAATAGAAACAGCCTAATGTGAAACCTCAAGGAACTAGAGAAACAAGAACAAACTAAACCTAAACTCAGCAGAAGGAAAGAAATAACAAAGATCAGAGCAGAATTAAACAAAATTGAAACAAAAAATTACAAAAGATAAATTAAACAAAAATCTACTTCTTTGAAAAGATAAACAAAATTGATAGAACATTAGTGAGGTTAACCAAGAAAAGAAGAGAGATGATCCAAATAAGCTAAATTAGAAACAAAACTGGAGATATTACAACCAATACCATGGAAATACAGAAGATCATACAAGGCTACTATGAACACCTTTATGCACACAGACTAGAAAATCCAGAGTAGATGGATAAATTCCTGGGAATATACAGCCCTCCTAGATTAAATCAGGAAGAAATAGAAACTCTGAACCGACCAATAACAAGCAGCAAGATTGAATCAGTAATAAAGAAATTGGCAACAACAACAAAAAAGTCCAGGACTGAAGGGATTCAGAGCTGAATCTATCAGACGTTCAAAGAAGAATTGGTAGCAATCCTACTGAAAGTATTCTGACAGATAGAGAAAGAGGGACTCCTCCCTGAATCATTCTATGAAGCCAGTATCACCCTAATACCAAGAAGAGGGAACAAAGAAATAAAACTACAGATCAATATCCCTGATGAACACAGATGCAAAAATCCTCAACGAAATACTAGCTAACTGAATTCAACAGCATATCAAAAAGATAATATACCATGATCAAGTGGTTTTCATACCAGAGATGCAGGGATGGTTTAACATATGCATATCAATATATATGATATATCACATAAACAAAATTAAAAACACATATCATATAATCATCTCAATAGACACAGAAAAAGCATCTGATAAAATCCAGCATCTCTTTATGATTAAAAACCCTCAACAAAATTGGCATAAAAGAGACATACCTCAAAGTAATAAAAGCCATATATGACAAACCCACAGCCAATAACATACTGAATGGGGAAAATCTGAAAGCATTCCCTGTGCTAACTGAAACTGCAAATTGGAAGACAAAGATGCCCACTTTCACCACTTCTATTCTACCTAGTACTGGAAGTCCTAGCCAGAGCAATCAGACGACAGAAAGAAATAAAGAACATCCAAATCCGTAAAGAGGAAGTCAAACTGTCACTGTTCACTGATGATATGATTCTATACCTAGAAAACCCTAAGGACTCATCCAGAAAGCTCCTAGTTCTGATAAGTGAATTCAGTAAAGTCTCAGGATACAAAATCAGTGTACATAAATCAGTAGCACTGCTATACACCAACAACAACCAAGCTGAGAATCAAATCAAGACATGAATCTCTTTTACAACAGCTGCAAAAAATTTTAAATATTTAGGAATATACTTAACCAAGGAGATGAAAGACCTCTACAAGGAAAACTTAAGTCACACATGGCATAAACAAATGGAAACCCATCTCATGCTCATGGGTGGGTAGAATCAATATTATGAAAATGATCATACTGCTTAAAACAATCTATATATTCAATACAATTCCCATCAAAATAACATCATTCTTCACAGAACTAGAAAAACAATCCTAAAGTTCATATGGAACCGAAAAGGAGCCCAGATGGCCAAAGCAATACAAAACAAAAAGAACAAATCTGGAGGCATCACATTACCTGACTTCAGATTAGAACATAAGGCTATAGTTACCCAAACAGTATGGCACTGGTATAAAAATAGGCACACAGATATGTGGAATAAAATAGCCCAGAAATAAATCCAAATACGTCCAACTGATCTTCAAGAAAGTATACAAAAACATAAAGTGGGGGAAAAGATGCCCTATTCAATAAATGGTACAGGGAAAACTGGCTATCCTCATGTAGAAGAATGAAAATGGATCCTCATCTCTCACCTTATACAAAAATCAACTCAAGATAGATCAAAGACTTAAATCTAAGACCTGAAACCATAAAAACTCTAGAAGATAACATTGGAAAAACTCTTCTGGATATCGGCTTAGGCAAGGAATTCATGACTAAGACCCCAAAAGCAAATGCAACAAGAACAAAAAGAAATAAGTGGGACCTAATTAAAGAGTGTCTGAATATCAAAAGAAATAATCAGCAAAAGAAACAGGCAACCCACAGAGTGGGAGAAAATCTTAGCAAACTATGCATCCAACAAAGGACTAATATCCAGAATCTATAAGGAACTCAAACAAATCAGCAAGAAAAAATCCCATCAAAGAGTGGGCTAAGGACGTGAATAGACAATTCTCAAAAGAAGATATACAAATGACCAAAAAACATATGAAAAAAAATGCCCAACATGACTAATTATCAGGGAAATGCAAATTAAAACCACCATGCAATACCACCTTACTCCTGCAATAATGGCCATAATTAAAAAATCAAAAAAAAACCCAAAAACAAAACAAAAAAAAAAACAGCCAGGCACAGTGGCTCACGCCTGTAATACCCAGCACTTTGGGAGGCCGGCCAAGGTGGGCAGATCACGAGGTCAGGAGATTAAGACCATCCTGGCTAACATGGTGAAACCCCGTCTCTACTAAAAAAAAAAAAAAAATACAAAAACAAAATTAATCGGGCATGGTGGCAGGCGCCTGTAGTCTCAGCTACTCAGAAGGCTGAGGCGAGAGAATGGCGTGAACCCGGGAGGCGGAGCTTGCAGTGAGCCTAGATCACGCCACTGCACTCCAGCCTGAGCAACAGAACAAGACTCCGTCTCAAATAAATAAATAAATAAATAAAAATAAAAAATAATAGATTTTGGCATGGATATAGTGAAAGGGAACACTTTTATACTGCTGGTGGGAATGTAAACTAGTACAATCACTACTATGACAAACAGTATGAAGATTCCTTAAAGAACTAAAAGCAGAACTGCCATTTGATCCAGCAATCCCACTACTGGGTATCTACCCAAAGGAAAATAAGTCATTATATGGAAGAGATACATGCACACACATGTTTATAGCAGCACAATTCAAATCAGCAAAAACATTGAACCAACATAAATGCCCATCAACATACAAATGGATAAAAAATGTTACATATATACACCATGGAATACTATTCAGCCATAAAACGGAATGAAATAATGGCCTTTTTACATCAACTTGGATGGAGCTGGAGGCCATTATTCTAAGTGAAGTAACTCAGGAATGGAAAACCAAATATTGCGTGTTCTCACTTACAAGTGAGAGCTAAGCTATGAGGATGCAAAGGCATAAGAATGATATAATAGGACTTTGGGAACTCAGAGGGAAGAGTGTTGTGGGGAGGAATAAGACTACATATTGGGTACAGTGTACACTGCTTGGGTGATGGGTCCACCAAAATCTCAGAAATCACCACTAAAGAACTTATCTATGTAACCAAAACCACCTGTACCCCAAAAACTATTGAAATAATAAAATAAAATAAAAATCTAAAAAAAAGTCCTTGAAGGCATTTCAAAGACCTTCATGGCAGCCCCTCTTATCAAAGGCCCAGAGGCCCAGAAGGACTGAATGTTTTGGGGGCCAACCCCAGAATGCCACTGTCTTCCACCACCCCAGGAAGCTGCTCCTTATATTCTGGCCACTCAGGAAGCTGCTCCTTGTATTCTGGCCACTCTAGCTCTGGGCTCAGCTCAAAGGGTCTGAGATATTGCTTGGTCCTCGACTCTTGGAGCTTTCATGTGGTGTTAAGCCAGTAGGTGTGCAGACTGCAAGAATGAAGGAGGCTTGGCAGTCTCTGCCTAGATTTCAGAGGTTGTATGAGAAAGCCTGAGCACCCAGGCAGAAGCCTTCCACAGGGGCAGATCTTTCACAGATAACCTCTACTAAGGCAGTGCAGAGGGAGAATGTGGGGTTACAGCCCCCACACAGATTCTACACTGGGGTACTGCCTGGTGGAGCTGCAGGAAAGGGCTGCTGTTCCCCAGACTCTAGAATGGTAGAGCCATAGGCAGCTTGCATCCTGTGCCTGGAAAGCTGCATACACTCAACTCCAACCTGTGAGAGCAGCCACTGGAGCTGTACCATGCAAAGCTACAGCTTGGAGCTGCCCACGGTCTTGAGGGTTCACCCTTGCACCAGTGAGCCCTTGATGTGGGACATGGAGTTAAATGAAATTATTTTGGAGCTTTAAGGTTTAGTCTGTCCTGCTGGGTTTCAGACTTGTGTGGGGCCTGTAACCCCTTTCTTTTGGCCATTTTCTCCCCTTTGGGAACAGAAATGTTTACTCAATGCCTGTACCCTCATTGTATCTTGGAAATATATAAATTGTTTTGATCTCACAGGCTCATAGGTGGAAGGAACTCACCTCCAGATGAGACTTTGAACTTGGACTTGGACTTGGGACTTTGAGTAAAGCTGAAATAACCTAAGACTTTGGGGGACTATTGGGAAGGCATGACTGTATTTTGCAATGTGAGAAGGACAAGATATTTGGGTGGCCAGAGGTGGGATGATATAGTTTGGATATATGCTACCACCAAATCTCCTGTTGAAGTGTAATTCCCAGTGTTGGAGATGGGGCCTGAGGGGAGGTGTTTGAGTCATGGGGGCAGATCCCTAGCAACTTGCTGCTGTCCTCGCGATGGTGAGTGGGTACTCACAAGATGTGGTTGTTTAAAAGTGTGTGGCACCTCCTCGCTTCCCTGCTTTTACCATGCGATGTGCCTACTCCTGCTTCATCATGAGTAAAAGCTCTCTGAGGTCTCCCCAGAAGCTGAGCAGATACCAGTGCCATACTTACTTGTACAGCCTGAAGAACTGTAAGCCAATTAGACCTCTCTCTTTTTTTCTTTTTTTCTTTTTTTAGATGGGGTGTCACTCTGTCGCCAGGCTGGAGTGCAGTGGTGCGATCTTGGCTCACTGCAACCTCCGCCTCCTGGGTTCAAGTGATTCTCCTGCCTCAGCCTCCGGAGTAGCTGGGACTACAGGTGTGTGCCACCATGCCCAGCTAATTTTTGCATTTTCAGTAGAGACCGGGTTTCACCATATTGGCCAGGATGGTCTTGATTTCTTGACCTCGTGATCTGCCTGCCTTGGCCTCCCAAAGTGCTGGGATTACAGGCCTGAGCCACCACGCCCAGTTAGACCTCTTTTCTTTATTAATTACTCAGTCTCATCCATTTCTTTACAGCAAAGCAAGAATGGCCTAACATGAACTGATTTCTCTGATTTATTGCATCAGAGGATGACAGTTCTGGGTCTCCCAAGATCCACCCCTCTGTTAAGTCTCCTGCCCGGACTTTAAAAATTTCTGAATGACCTACAACAAGTCATGAGGCAATAACCTTTAGAGTTAAACTATGTGCAGCATGATTTTATCTTTATATATTAATTGAGTTGTTTTCTCCTTGGCACTTCCTTTTTACTTTCTGGCCTTTTCCTCTTCAAACTAGACCTTGGAGCATCTTACCTTGGATACAGGTTATTATAAGCAGAAGGAGGAAACGAAGTAGCCAATTTCTTGGCTTTTCAAGTTCAAAAGCTTGTTTTGATTTTTTAAGAACATGGACTTTTGAGCTATAAAGTCTGAGCCCAGATGGACTCTTGGAAGAATTTTTTTTCCAATAAAAGTCAATTATTTTTTAGATCTCCAACTCCCCAAGAAAAGATAAAGATTCCCAAGGATGTGTGGTGGAGAAGAATGTCAGAAAAGATGAGAGCTAGATGCTCATGAGATTCTGCCAGAAGGGGCCATGTGCCCTTCCACGTCCTGGTTGAGTCCTGATGAGGGGGCAGGGGATTTGAGAGCAGAAAGGACTTAATGCTAGCTTCTCTGTCAATAGTTTCTAGTTCCTCAGAACGGCAAATGTCAAAGTATAAGTTTTCTTAATTAAAAAACATGACTTCTGCTGGGCGCGGTGGCTCACGCCTGTAATCCCAGCACTTTGGGAGGCTGAGGCAGGCAGATCACGAGGTCAGGAGATCGAGACCATCCTGGCTAACACGGTGAAACCCCGTCTCTCCTAAAAAATACAAAAAAAATTAGCCGAGCTTGGTGGCTGGCGCCTGTAGTCCCAGCTACTTGAGAGGCTGAGGCAGGAGAATGGCGTGAACCCGGGAGGCAGAGCTTGCAGTGAGCGAAGATTGCTTCACTGCACTCCAGCCTAGGAGACAGAGCGAGACTCTGTCTCAAAAAACAAACAAACAAACAATCAAACAAAAAACAAAACAAACAAAAAAAATGACTTCCATAGAACTAGACAGTGAGCATATAACAAGACAGTGAGCATACAACAACAGTGGATTTAAATCATTAATGAGGGAACCAGCTGAATGGTAAAGCTAATATGAAGGGAAATATAAGAATGTGATACCTAACGGATAGATGTATTCTTATAGGCAATAAAACCATGCATTACGGGATTATCTGTCCTACTGGTTATAAATAAATTGCAAGTTTACTGATCAAAAATAATTTGCAACTTATTGATTTTTTTATAAGAAGAGTTTGATTCTTAATTAACAGTAAGTAACGAGTTGAACAAAGTTGCTTCCCTTAGACTATGATGGCTCAATTAAGGAATGATATTGCCCCGGTATTAAAAAAATTGGTTTTTGGTGGGTAAGAAAAAAATCTTAGATATTACAATGTCTGTGGCCCTCCAAAGTTCAACACTACAAGAAAAATCTTATTCCTGACTATCTACTTTATCTTACTATGGGTAAAATAAACCAATTAATCAGCCAATTGATATTTTTAACTTTAAATGGCATTTTCTCCCAAATTTTTATTGTGGTAAAATATACATAACAAAAAAATTACCAACTTAACCATTTTTAGGTGTACAGTTCCGTGGTATTAAATACATTCATAACGTTGTGCAATCATTACCATTATCTGTCTCCATAACTCTTTTCATCACATAACACTGAAGCCCTGTACCCATTAAATGATAACTCCCCATTTCCCCCTTTCTGCAGCCTGTGGCAACCACCATCCTATCATTTGTCCCTATGATTTTGATACTCTAAGTATCTCATATAAATGGAATAATACAGTCTTTGTATTTTGGTGCCTTATTTCACTTAGCACAATGTTCTCAAGGTTTATGCATGTTGTAGCATGTGTCAAAATTCCCTTCCTTTCTAAGGCTGCAAGATATTCCATTGTATATATGCACCTCATGTTGCTTATCAATTCATCCACTGATGGCCACTTGGGTTGCTTCCATGTTTGGCTATTGTGAATGATACTACTACGAACATGGGTGTGCAATCAACCAATTGACTGTTAATTACATGAAGTGGCTGAAATCAATTAACATTAAACTGGAATGCAATTAAATTTTTCTCCTGGGCAGGTTGATAATGAAAACGACAGTTGGGGAACACTGCTCTAGAGCCCCAGTGACCCCTAAGAGACCTTGTTACATGATGCTCCACAATTAATTTTAAAGAACACCCAGACATGTTTTGTCTTATTTCTAAATTGTGGATAATTCTCCTTAAACTAAGGGAGACATAGAGTACAAATTGTTGTATGGGGCATCTAGGCAGAGTGTGCCAAAGAACTCTCCAGCTTCAGAGAGTTACCCCCAAAGGCATGAGAACAGAAAAATATCTGCTTGGGATTCAAAGCCCTCAAGATTCAGCTGAGTGAGAATAGACCTGGCATGGACCAGAGTTGGAAGAATTGCTCAGAAGATGCAACAGCAGATGGATGGCATCAGGCAGCAGCCACACACCGTTCCCTGGCACCCTCGCATCCTTATGGACTGTACCTGCTCCTACCGGGGTAGGGAGAAAGCTGGCCCTGAATTGAATCAGATTACCTTTCCAATAGCCACCACAATGGGGACTCAAAATGGAAACTAAGCTCATGCAAAGAAAAATACAGCACATCGTATTTCTTATGCGCCCCCCACATGTGTGGCACGGAATTTTGCTTCCTTCCATGTTTGGAAGGAAAAGGAGGTGAGGAGCACCTAGTAATGCAGTGACTAGAATGCTGGATTCCTGAATCCTTCTTGAGAATCTGGAATAGACACTGAGCAGAGCCACTGAAGGGCCTGCCCTGGGCCTTGGTGAGCTTTTCCTGCAGGAATCTTTACAAGTGCTGGGATATGGGGGCATAGGGATTGTTAACTTTGTCAATGAAAGGTCAAACGTCCAGGATTGGATTAATTAGAAGAGATGATGGTCTTTCTCCAGAAAATTTGGCTTCCAGCTCTTCCCTTTTGCCCACTGGGCTATGACATCTTTCCAGGTGGTAAAATCATGTCTGAATTGAAGTGCTGAGCACTTTTCTTCCTGAGCTGCTTGAAGCCCAAGAAAAGAGCCCTGAGCACTGTGAAATGAAGCTCCCATGAATAATTATGGTGAGATTTTATTGCCAAATAAAACATTCAGTTCCATGGGCTAAGGTAACCAACTCTGCATAAATGAGGAGGATGGCCCAGGGCCTGTGTCAGCCACAGCTGTGCTCAGCTTCTAGCCCAGAGGAAGCTCCATCGGAGCCCCTATAGTGTAAAGGATACTTCTGAGAAAGTTGAAACCCTCATTCTCATAGACATATAGAATGAACTTGTGTTGGAGATGTATTCAACTCATTAATGAGGGAGTCAGTAAGATGGTAAGGCTGGTTTAAGGAGGATTTGAGGAACTGAGTATTGATAAGCATTTAAAAATTCATATTGAAATTATTTGCCAAGTTAGATGCAAAACTTATTAATGCCTACATGGCACATAAAACCAAAAACCTTGGAGTTATTTTATATGCTAGAGAGAAATCATTTGTGTTTCTCCTGGACAGAAGTCTGTGTTATGAAACATCACAGAATCTAATTACTAGTCAGCAAAGTCAAACACAGGTATCTTCTCCCAATTTAATACTCTCTAGGCAGGCCTATTAAGCCATGCCTGTTGAAAGAACCTCATTCTTCCCCTTTGCCTTATCTTCAAGTCTTGGAAAATATATCTTAATAGTAACTCTTTGAAAAACTGCTGACAGTGTCTAGAGCTTATCAAAGAGCTATAAACTCTGTTAAATCGGTTCTTTGGGGCCTGAATATATATGCACCATAATTGAGGAAAACACACAGACCATTGCAGAAGAGCTCTGGCTGGAGGAAGGGACCGGCTGGGAGACACAGGGAGCTAATGGCATTTTGTGTCATTGAGCCTCATGTGATTATTAGTTTGGACTCAAATAGGGATTTTGGCTCAGCTTAGGTAAAAAAAGAAAATGGAGCAAAGAGAACAGGTCGTTTGATTTCTGGTTCAGCCACTGACTGAATGGGTGACCTGGGCAGCTCACAGAAGATCTCTGTAGGTGGTGGCTTGTCTCCAAAGAGGGCTCCCCACAAATAACTCTGCCTCTAATTTTAACACCATCTTGCAGATCCCCCATCGTGATGCAGGCTGCCCCCGTGACTCGAATTTTCCAGTGGAATGTTGGGAATTGATGCTACCTATGCCCCAAGGAAGGGTTACAGCCCCTGTGTTTTGTTTTTGGAAGCAGTTAGGCACATAACTGTGACTGTCCTGCTGGAGAGGGAGGCCACAAGCAGGGGACCTGGAAGATGAGGGGCCACATGGAGAGTGAGGCCTCAGAGAGGAGTGCGGAGGTTCTGGACATGTGAATGAAGGTGCCACCTTGGACGTTCCAGACCCGTCGAGGCTCCAAGGACACCAGACCCATCCATCGTGTGATAAGAGCCAACAAGAGCCCCCAGGTGAGTGCAGCAGGACCACCCTGCCAAGCCCCTCAGCCCACAGAATTGTGAGAAAGATTAAACTGTTGTATTCCACTAAGTTTTGGGTTATGATGGATAACCGAGATGCTGCTCCCAGCAACCGCTTCTAGGATTCCCTTCCAGAATGACTATGCCTTGATTCTCAGTCTGATGGACAAGGTTGTGCATGCCTCACCCCTATGAAATCAGCACTGTTCTGTAATGACAGGCACACAATGCTTATTTGAGAAAGGGAGCCTTTGTTGCATTTGAGAGGGATGGAAATGCTAC
Organism: Homo sapiens; assembly: GCF_000001405.40. Taxonomy (NCBI): domain Eukaryota; kingdom Metazoa; phylum Chordata; class Mammalia; order Primates; family Hominidae; genus Homo; species Homo sapiens. The sequence goes on along the minus strand of NC_000009.12, from coordinate 85,346,963 downwards.
TCTGCTGAAGTGAGCACCTGGACAACAAAATGAGGGATTTTAGAAGTTTCTCTTGACCCAAAAGGAAGATTGCAGCCCAGCTGTAAAGGAACCCATGTCTGCTAAGTACCCTATTATATTTTCCTCATAGTTCTTGCCTTGATGTTTTTGTTCCACTCAGGTCTTTGTTCAGACTTCACCTCCTCACAGGGACCTCTCCTGGGCCCCTCTCTAGATTGGCCCCTCTGCCACTCCAGGTCCCTTCCTGTGCTTTATCCTGCTCTCCACCTGATGTCACATAACTCTTTTTTTTTTTTTTTTTGAGACAGAGTCTCACTCTGTCTCCAGGCTGGAGTGCAATGGTGCGATCTCGGCTCACTGCAACCTTTGCCTCCCAGGTTCAAGTGATTCTCCTGCCTCAGCCTCCCAAGTAGCTGGGACTACAGGTGTGTGCCACCACGCCCAGCTAATTTTGTTTGTATTTTTAGTAAAGACAGGGTTTTGCCATGTTGGCCAGGCTCGTCTTGAACTCCTGACCTCAAGTGATCCACCCACCTCTGCCTCCCAAAGTGCTGGGATTACAGGCGTGAGCCACCGCACCCGGCCATGTGGTCATATAACTCTTTATGTGCCATTGTCTCTCCCTAGACTGTTGGCTTCCTGAGGGCAGGCACTTTGTCTTTATATCTCCAGCCCCCCAAACATATTTGCCAGTCAAGGAATATTTGTTGAGTGAATGACTAGTGTTTCCCAACTTGGAAAAGAAAGACTAGAAATATTAAAGACCTTGAGGATCCCAAGAGGAAAATCTGATGATGTCCCAAGGAAAGAGCTGTGTGCCTATATTTGGCAGCACTGACTGAGGAACTGGGAGGGAAACATTTTTTTTTCTTCTGTGTTAATTCGGTACAATAAAGAAGAAATGCCAAGATGCTATGGAAATGCACAGGAATTTGGGGTTAACCTCTACCACAGTGAAAATGCTGAAGCTAAATGCCTTAAAAACATGCCAATGAAAGCCATTTAAAAGAACTAAAGATGTCATTGCCAAGCAAAGCCAGACTGTGTGAGAGACTCCCTAGGGTACAGTTGAGCCTGATGAGAAAACAGGGAATTTTGGGGGGCAGGGCGGGGGTGGGGTGGGAATTCAGCTTCATTGCAATGATGAAAAGTTGCAGTATCTTCTATTGAAAGAAGCCAGGGTGCACCATTTCTTGCTATTGCAAAGTTGTACAAATCACTGGAGAAGGGGCCTTAGGGAAGAATCCTGGAACAACCCCGGGTGACAGAAAGAGAAGTCTTCGATGACCAAATAGGTTTATTCCATCTCTATGTGGATGGTTTTATTGCTGCATAACTGGGAGCTCTGAGCAAACCTGAAAAAGGAAGAATTACTTGAGGATGAGATTTACTATAGCAACAAAATATTTGTCTTCTAAGGAAACCTGGTTGAAAAACACAGTTTACAAGATTTTAAACAGAAACATACTTTATTTAGAAAATAAAATTGTATCATGATTGTTTTAAACTACTTGAGCCTACCCTAAAATAAACCTTACCCTTCATAAATCTTGTCTGTGGAGTAATTTTTGAATTCAGAATAACTAACATTTGAAATTGCGTGATTCAATGTAAAATAAAACTAAGCTCCCTTTCCTTTGAACTATTTAAAATAGTGAATTTCAGTGTTTTCTGAAGATGTAAAAACTGAAGGTTTTCAAACTTCCCAATATGATATCAATAAAGAAACACCAGTATCAAATGAGTCTTAGATGTGGTTCTTGTTTTTTTCTTAAAAAATTCTAAAACATCCAACCTCAAGCTACTCCTTTCTGTCCACTGCTTGTTCTGGGTTAGTGACTCAGTTTATGTTGTCTGAGTCACCTGCAGATCCCACAGTGCTGTGTTGTGTCTCTCCTTGGAGTCTTTTCTTGAGATCTGGGAGTGGATTGCACCAGGTCTTGACACAGAGACTATTTTTGGGTCACAAAGATCTCGGAGATGGCAAGGGAAGTTCAAGGAATTGCACACGTGTGATAGCTGTGTGCAGAATACGTGTTGCAAAGAAATGCGAACACAAAACTTGATTCTGAGCTGAGTCTTGTACTCAGCTCCCAGCATTTTTCACTTGAAAGGGGCTTCAGGAATCATTCAGTCACCATTTTCACAGTCAATTACTAAGATGGAAATAATGTCAGACTTTAAAAGAAACCTTTTTAAATGGTCTAATTTTATAGATAAAGAAACTAAGGCTCATAGAAGCTCAGCAACTGGTCTAACGGCTCAGAAAGAATGAAAGGTAGAATTTGGAGAAGGATGTGAGTAATATTTGGTTAACACTTAGAAAATTATATTAGGGCAGGAAAATCACAGGCAATCTTTATATGTCATGGCCTATGTTTCTGCATGTTTGCCTAACTGCAAAGTGTTTTGTACAAAGAAACATTTAGAGACTCCTGAACTATTAGGATTTTTTGTGACTCTTAGTCAGATACTGAAGAAACTTGCATGTAAGTGGAAACTAGTATACGGGTATTTTGCTTGTAGTTAATTTTGTTAATATGATATATGCACATAGTTTAAAACACATAGTAAAAACTGTACTCTGTCTTACTTGATTATCATCATGTTATTTTTCTTCCTAAAGGAACCACTTTTCTTCTCTTTTTTTCTGGCATTTACACCCATATTTCTATATAATATGCTATTTTATAGAAATAGTAATATAGGCTAATTCTCAGTAATTTGAGACATTAGTTATTAACTTTTTATTTTGCTAGTTGACAACTTAACTCAGTCTGAATGTTACTTACAGTAGAACCTGAGATTAAATTTCTCAATTCCCGGTAAGTGGGAACTTGGGATGAGATTTATGGATTTTGAAAATGAAAACAACACGACATTTCTTGCAATGAGGTGTTGTAAGGAAAGTTCATACCTGTTTCACTACGTGTGCACAGGTCTGATGCAAAGTCACTTAAGACACAACCTTTGAGATGTGTATTATTATCATCTTTGTTTTACAGTGTTCTATGATGAGGTTCAATGATCTTAAGTCCAAGGTTATAGAATGTGTAATTGGTGCAGCCAGGATTTAAAGTCAGATCCCTTTGACACCAAAGACCAATTTTTTTCCCCAATTTTTCATACAGCCTGTATAATAAATTTTCATACAAAGAAAACTTTGTACTTTTTGGCCATAACTAGATGTTACAGCTGCTGCTACCTTCTTCTTGCATGAAGGAAAACCTTTGAAAATAGTTCTGTGGGTCTTGCGGTGAAATATAGTGTCATCTCTGTAACTTATTACATGAAGAGGTGAGTGGAATAAAAGGGACACCTGGCATCTGGTGGTGGGAGAAAGAAGGCCAGCCTTCCAAGTTAATTTTGTGAGAGTACGAGGACAAAGCTGAGTCCAGCAGGCAGCAGGACTGAAATGTTTGTTCCTGAGGTTGATGCCCTCACAAAGATCCTTTGAGCTCAGGCATACAGATGGCAGGGGGAAACTTGGGCTATGGAGGTGTTTCTCCAATATAGGACTGAGAATTTTTCTCATGTTGTCTTTACCTTGGGTAGGCAAGGTGTCTCCATTCATGAGAATGTAGTATGATCTGCTAAGGTATGGCTGAATGTAACAGGAAGAGTGAAAATGACTTCTACTCTTCTGTCACGGACTGGGGAGGAAGATGGTTCTTGCCTAAGAACAAGATTAGATTCTTAAAAGGAGTTACTAAAAGATTTTGGCAGCATCTTTAATCAGCTAGGGAAATGGCCGTTATGAGGTATCTTGCTCTGTGATGGCTGTCTCCTGCACTAGCAGGTCTGGAAGTGTGTGTGGAGTGGTGATGGTGGAGGGCCAAAGAATTTAGATAAATTCCTCGGTGCAGCAAAGCAAAGGGGAAACTCCACTGTGACACAGGTGGCCATGCAAATCACTGTGTGGGACGACAATGCTCCTGTTCTTTCTGTTGTTTTTAAATTCGACTGTCTCTTAGAATTAATATTTGTCCTTGGAAGTGGCATGTGTGTGTGTGTGTGTGTGTGTGTGTGTGTGTGTTTGTGTTTGTGTTTTGGTCTGATTGACTTAAGAGTTACTTCTTGGGCAATGAAAAGAATAGAGCAGCAAAGCCGCAGCTTATTCTGGTGGAGAGACCTCAAAAGAATGGGGCTTGGGACCCTCAACTCCCCCAAAGACCAAATGCAGATTTGATCTCTGTTCTGCTGGAACCCAAAGAGCTATGTTAGCATAACTGTTTGCACATTGGGGAAATGCAGCACCATAAAGACACTGGAGAGACTAATCTCTGAGTAGAGCATGGGATTTTCTAGAAAGGTGGCAGAAATTCACATAGGGATGAGAATTAGACAAAAGCACTTTCGCAAAAAAGGTACATAACAGCAAAGTTAGGAGCTAGGAGCATCCATGAAAGCTCTCTTTCTGAAGTTTTAACTTCTTAGTTGCTGTTTTCTTTTGCATCAATAGAAAAGCCTTAATTAGGATATAGAAAAATATAGATGTTTCTCCCTTTTGTTCTATAGTTCCCTCATTAGTTTAAATCTTCAGTAAGATTTTGTGTGTGATGTGGTGAGGACAAGAGGACCAAACAGTGAAGGTGGGTGTGTCTTACCCCTCATCAACCCCTTTGGTGGAATCTGTGCAAAGGAAGGTGTCCTGGGAACTGATCAGCCATGAGGCTGGAGGAAGCATGATAAGAGACAATGAGGACCGGCTGGGTGCAGTGACTCACGCCTGTAATCCCAACCCTTTGGGAGGCCAAGGTGGGTGGATCATGAGGTCAGGAGTTCGAGACCAGACTGACCAACATGGTGAAACCTCATCTCTACTAAAAATACAAAAATTAGCCAGGCGTGGTGGCGCGTGCCTGTAATCCCACCTACTCAGGAGAATTGCTTGAACCTGGGAGGCAGAGGTTGCAGTGAGCTGAGATCGCACCACTGCACTCCAGAGCAAGATTCCGTCTGGGAAAAAAAAAAGAGAGAGAGAGAGAGAGACAATGAGGACCAATTGCCAAGTGAACAGATCGGGAGAGAGTCACATGAATCTCTTGCCTCTCCTTTCTTACACTGTGTTAAAGGAAGGTGAATGGTGAAAGTAGGAGGTGAATGTAACTTAGGTTACATTAGCTTATTTGAGGAATAGCATAATTCTACAACAAAGACTGTCTGGGCTGTGAAAATCAGAGCTCATTTGTCTTGAAAATGTCACTAGCTGCCTCACTTTTTCATTTGACTTGTTTGTGTTTTTAGGGTATCAAGGAACAACTGATGTGAACACATGCGAACATCAGAACGTGCAAATGTGTGAAAACATCTGTGACCAAAAACTGTAAATTAAAATACACACTCTAGGAAAATACATACAGCTCTGGAAAAATGGTGGTGGTGGTAATAGTATAGCTTTTGGAACTTCTCAAATTGCCCGCAAAAAGAGGTAGGGCAACTAGACAGCAAACCCCAAACCCATGCAGAACATTAACAAAATTAGGAAACAAAATATCCCCAGGAATTTCAAAATAGAAGTGGGTGAGGGCAAACCACCAAGAGCCACAAGAGCTCTGAGCTATTGGCTTCCGCATGGGAGAAGTGAGAGGGGCCATTGATGTATATGATAGATCTGAGAACAGGAGAACCCCCACATGGCCAAACAGGGATGCACTGGGGAGCAAAGCAAGTGACAGCAGTGTCTGAAGCTGAGAGCGCTTTTCCCACTACTATCGCAGTTATGTGAGAGGGATGGCAGCAAGGTCTGAAGGCCCAACTCCTATGAACTCTTAAAGCAGAACAGCATGGCGTCCCTCCACCCCAGGGCTCACACTGGGGAGGGCCTGCTGGATGGGAGTGAGGTTAGCAGGACAGGGATAAGACAGATGAAGAAAAGAAAGGGCCCAGACACAAGTGAGGAGGGGACAAAGGGAGAGCATGTGAGACACTGAACACCATATGTCTTGACTCCTCATGGGAATAGCAGAAGAGGGAACTCTGTGAAGTTAGACAAGCTGCCAAAACCCAGACTTCTTCTCAAGGTTTAGGAAAATGAAATTCACACCAGAATGAGCAGCAGAACAATAATTAGGGAAAATTCCATGCATAATTACTAAGGAATAAAAGACAATGGAGAACATAATCATATCCTTGCAGATAATGAAAAACTGACAGAAAGATGCACTGTCTGGTGTTGTTTAACCTCTTCATTTTAAAGATGAGGACAGTGAGAACTGGAGAAATTTGGTAAATGGCCATGCTATCATAAAATCATATGGCGACAGAGCTAAGACTGCTGGGCCATAAACATTTAAACAACCTTATGAACTTTAAATCTGCTTCTCTGCTCCTCTGATGTATCACAGATAGCTTTTAATCCTTTTAAGCAATTATTCCTTATCATCCTGTGATATGTTAAGTGTGACTGGGGTATAAATTCCCTTTGGAAGTGTTACATGGCACCAACAACTGGCAAAGGAAATCGGAATACAATCCATGTCTTCCATGCTCACTTTATCTGTTGATGAGCTTTATAAAATTACATGCTAGAGAAACGAATCTTTTATAAAGGAAACTCGTAATCTTTTAGTGACAATTTAATGAATATATATTAAGTACACATATTGATATTTAATCCTGATCCTCTTAAAGATAGGTGGATTTGAGATGTTAAATGGGACTGAAGAAAACTAGCTTAAGAATAATTGAAGGTTATTTGTTATCAGAAATTTGTGTGAGTTTGAACGTGTGTCCGGAGTGTGGGATGGAGAGAAGAAAGGAGAGGGGAAAAGGGAAAAGGGAGGGGAGAAGAGAGGAGGAGGTAATAATGAGCAATGGCTTTTCCCCAAGAGCTGGAATTAGGTGAGTCTCCTTGTTCATGGTTTGCTAATGTTGAAAGAAAGTGTGTTTTCTCTTGTTCTCAGCTCAGTGGGATCTTCATATTGCTTCCTGATCATGCAGACTAGGTGCAGTAGCTGGTCTTCCCTGCATGTCATCATCACTGCCATGATCTTCATTCCCGTAGTTGCCCTCAACAGATAGAGGAGGGAGCTCCCTGGGCAAGGTTTCTTAAAGCCCAGACATACTTCATGCCCACTGGACCCTCAGTGGGGACAGGAGGCTGGCCCTGGATGGACAGCTAGGGCTGAATATATTTCCACATGGCTCCCTACTCTGCTCCAGAAAAGTATTTTCCTCAAGAATCCAAGTTTCATCATTTCCATTTTCCCTGTTACTGGGGCTCTGCCCACTTCTTCTCTTTTTTATTAGCCTTTGATGTCTTTATAGACTCTGTGAGTGAAACACCAGCTCTGGACTCTCGCTGTCTCTCATATAATCCCTGACCATTATTTATATCTTCCCAATGGGTGACTCACCTCCATTTAGTTACAGGGATGAGTGAACTTCTCATTGTACAATTGAAAACAACTTGAGGCGTATAAAATGAGGTAGAAAAACAAATTCACATTTAGAAGTATGACCTCACCACACTGACATAGAGACATCAAGGATAAGGCTGTTACATCATTTCTTTATAAGTGGGCACCATATACAATTCCCAATGGCCATCTCTAAGAGAAGGTGATGGCATTACCATGATAGAACTGAAAATGCACATAAAACACAAAGGAAGCCAAAAACATAACAAGAAAGCACGTGTGGGAAAATAAGTCTGCTATATATTCCCTGATCTTTCAAGTTTCTGGGAAAACTTGAAAGATAAATTTTCCCAGAAAAATTCTCTGCCTGGTTTTCATTTTCAAAAATTTCAACTCATGGAAGAGACTATGCTGTGTAGTGAGGGAAAGGAGAACTATTTCTTAAGTCAGAAGGGCAGGAGATACCAGTGGGTTCCAGGGAGATTCTTTTCCTTGGCAATGCCCTCAGGGGTGTTGGAGAATCTCAGAAAGGAGACATACCCGGTGTACCTAAGAGTTTTTATGTTCTTCCCACCAGAACTTGTGCCTGGACAGCAATTCCCACACCTGTGCTTAACTCAGAAGCATAGAGTTACCTGCCTCTTCATCTTCCAGGGTGAACCCTAAAAAATAACTACTGTGTTGCAAGACCGTGTGATCCTCAAGGGCAGGTTCCAAAGATGGCCATGGTATCTCCTGTCTTGAAAGCTGTTTTACAATACAACCTTGCCTCTCCCATCAAAATATGAGATCTATTTTCCCTGCCCTTGAATCCTGGCTGGCTATATAACTCTTGAAACCAACAAAATGTGGCGTAAGATGCTGCATGACATTCAGGGTTAGGGCCATGCAACTTCTGCCCGGTTCTCTTGAGACACACAATCGGTGGGAAGCCACTTGTTGGAAGTCCAGTCATCCTGAGACTGCCATCCTGGAAAAGGCACATGTAGTTGTTGAAGGTCGAGAGCCCCAGCTGAGCTCCCAGCAAACATCTAGCCTCACCAGCCCACCATGTGCTGATGCATCTTGGGCATCCCACCCAGTAGAGTCTTTGGCTGCCTGAAGCCCAAGTCAACATCTGACTGCAGCCACGTGAGAGACTGAAGCAAGAATCATCCAATCCAGCCATCGCCAAATTCCTGAATCACAAAACCATGAGCAAAAGAAAAGGGTTGTTTTAAGCCGTTATGGTTTTGGGATAATTTGTTACACAGAAATAATAGATGGAATAACCTCTCTGAATTTTCTGTTCTCTTCAAAAACCCTAGGACTTCCACACGACCCTGGGATGGAGAGAGCCACATTATAATTTAGTAGATTTTCTCACCAGCCCTGCAAGATAGAGGTCCTGAGTCAGATTGATAGGATTTTACTTTTGATCTAATAATATGACTTTTCCTGCAAACGTGAGCTTATGAAGGAGAATTAATTCTTGCCATACTTATCTACCTGACTGTCTTTTCCTTTACCATGAGTTCTTTCCTAGCAGCTCTTCAATCCTTTCTGTGAATAGGTTCCTGAGAGGTCCACCCAGAGCCTCATCAGAAATAGCAGACATGCCTGAAATTTGTGGTCAACGCTGAGACTCAAGCTAGAACCTCAGCTGCTCTTCCCACAGATGGTTGCGAATGAGCTAACAGGCACCGTTAGTCCGGCTTGTGATGCCACCAGAACCTGAGTTTCCTTTGGATCACTGACCCAGGCCACAACATGAGCCCTGGCCACCATTGCCGTGTCCACTGCTGCATCCCTAACTCCTGGCCTGTTGCTTAGCACATAGTAACTGTTCAGTAAATATTAATTGCATGCATAAACTAAGGTCGAGAAAGAGGGCAGAAACAATGGAATAAGGGATTTACATTAAATTTAAGATTTACAAGTGAGGCAGGAAAGTTAACAAATGCTATTTTATTTTTCTTGCCATTGCTTTAGCATGAAAAACTTTTTATCTTTGTGTTTTCAACCTAGAAGAACTTCAGTCTTTATCTGAAAGGGAAAAGTGAATTCAGCCTCTAGGATTGGTTCCTCAGTTGAGTGATGCATAGGTAACCTTCAGGTTTCTATTTCCTTTTTTTGTTTTTTTTGAGATGGAGTCTCGCTCTGTCGCCCAGGCTGGAGTGCAGTGGCACAATCTCGGCTCACTGCAAGCTCTGCCTCCTGGGTTCACGCCGTTCTCCTGCCTCAGCCTCCCGAGTAGCTGGGACTACAGGCGCCCACCACCATAGCTGGGACTGCAGGCGCCCACCACCATGCCTGGCTAATTTTTTTTTTTTTTTTTGTATTTTTATAGAGACGGGTTTTCACCGTGTTAGCCAGGATAGTCTCGATCTCCTGACCTCGTGATCTGCCTGCCTCAGCCTCCCTAAGTGCTGGGATTACAGGCGTGAGCCACCGCGCCCGACCTCAGGTTTCTATTTCTATTCCTGCCTCTGTAAAGTCGATTTCTTTCAAAGTTCCTTTCAACTGAGAGATCACATTTCCCTTTAGACATTACTCTAGGTCTCTATATTTATTATCAAGCTTAATTAAAAAAAATACCCCAGGCTCCTGAAGTGTTCTAGTTCTTACTTGTGTGAAGTTTAAATAAAATATTTGATTTTTCTCTCTCTAATTTTCCTACATAACTAGTAAGTCAGTGTTGGTCATAACACTGCATACAAATCAGGTCCCTTCCAAGTGTTAATTCTAGCTCTGGAAACAAAAGTAAATATGTGTACTATGGCATAATTGTCAGCCAGGTTGTCTAGAGCTTTCTAGGTAATTCTGTACAAACTTTTTACAACATGACATTCATCACTTCTGATATTGTCAAGAATAGGAGTTCAGTTTGAATTCCTATTACTGACTCTTTATTTTCCCTTTTAAAGTTAATTAAGTAAAAGTTTTTAAGATAATCTCTACAGGAACTGCCTTCTGTATTAATAGCATTTACAGGATAATATTTACATTATTGATATTTTGGGTATATTCTATGTATCAAGAATGGGGATGAAGGGTGCTGATATTTGTGTACAGAATTTCTTGGTGTTCTCTGGTCAGTGTGCCAGACAAATCATGTTTGTCTTTTGAGGTCCCTGAACTTTGCTGTCCTCATTGGCCTTATTCTATGCATTTACAGCAGCATAACACAATTAAATACAATTTTGTATACTAAATTAAATTTTGTACACTAAATTTGTACACTAAATTAAATACTATTTTGTATTGTTTGTTTTCATTTTAATTTTGTTAGCCTTGTTTAGAACTCAGAATGGCTACAACTGTGGCGAATCAATGTTAGGCCCCAATAAATACTTGCTGCTTTGTTCTATTTTTTTGTTTTCAAATCTATAGGCTTGAAATCAAAAGACATTCTTGAATTAACAAAAGAATGATTAATTCTGACCTTCTTCATTCTGATAAGCCTGGGCTAGGGTGTGCCTTGCCTCATGTCTCTTAGATACATATTAAAGAGAGGACATTTTCCAGTGGAACTATTGTTATGCTTCACAAAACAAATGGAATTTTTATTTTAGAGGGTGTTTATTAAGTGAACATGTCCCCAAGTTTTGAAGAAAGCTGGGGAGGACTGGGAGCTAATTTTTCTCATTATTAACAGGACCTATGATCCCTGAAGGGAGGACCTAGAGTCACCAGCCTGCCAAGAAGCACTGAGCATCTGCTCTGGATCAGGGAGTTAGGAAGGAAACATGTGAACCACGCAGCCAGACCTGTCTCGAGATGGCAAGACCTCTGAGGAATTCATCTGTGGTCAATGTGAGCACATGCTCCAATAATTGGTTTCAAGAGATGGAACTCACGCTTGCTGTCTGGTGGCAGGCACTGTCTCAGGAGGAATGGTCTTGGGCACAGGGTAGCAAATGGTGCAGTGTCTTTATTTTGCATCTTAGCATGGGCTCTTGTCTTGGAAATCCTAGTGGTGGCTGCAATACAGCAGGTGGTCACACCATGGTGTTTGGAGTCATATCAACTTGGGTTAGAAATTCTGTTCATCTTTTGATTGCAGTTGATAATACCTGCTTCAGAGAATTGTTGGGATGATTAAATGCAGTCATGTTTAGAAAACCTCCCTGGTGCTTCTTGACAATAAATGGTAGCTAATGGAATTCTTATGTCTGCTTAGAGGAGCCTGAGAAGGAAGACCTGCTGAGACCAAAGAAAACAAGTTGTTTCTCTGGAGAACAGAGAGATTTTCATTCTTTGTAATAAAATGTGGCTTCTATGGACCTCCCAAAATAAACCATGGTACAAAGAGGCGTCAGACTGCAAGATGTCATTAAGTGACTGTCCTGCCTGCTTTTCCATAGGGGATGGCTCTTTTATGGAAAGAGTTGAAAAGCCTTCAATTTACCATGATAAACTGCTTACAGATATGTTTTTATTTCAATTTGTCTTTCAGACTTTATTACTCAGAGCACGTGCATGGAAATAAGCATTTGGGTTTTAAAAGATGGGAGTGTCTAGTCATTGAAACATTTGGCCAATCCCACTCAGACTCTGTGGAACCACAGCTATGACTCCTTGGAGGGAAATCTTGTCTCTTCTTCTTTTTAAGGTAGTTTAAGCAAGGCAAGATGGTCCCATCCTTTGCTTTGAGTTTCAAAGAAAAAACTCATTTATTCACCCTTCAAGCTGATTCCTGAGCACATGGGCACACAGGGTGCAGGACACACTTTTCTGGGGAGATAGCTACAATTCTGCTACACATTATTCCCTTCATTTGACCAGAGAACAGAGGCATAGAGAGTTGAGGGAACTTGCTGAAGATCTCATAGCTTAAAAACTGGCAGAGCTGGGATTTCTACTCAACATCCTTACTCCACATTTTAACTATTTTGCCTCTTAGATAAGGATGATCGAACATGTTAAGTAACAGATCCAAGGTCACACAGCTGTTAATGCAATTCATACATGACAAACTTGTGTTTGAAACTATGATTACGGAGCCAAATGCCTGAACTCTGCCAGGTAACCTGCTATCTCCCAAGCACATAGCTCTAAAGGTTAACTTTATCACATCCAGTAGCTCCCTTTACTCAGAAGCAGCTTTCTCTTAAAGCCCATTGGCTCTAGCAAAATTCCTGTTTGCAATGGACAACGCCCCATATTTACTTGTACAGCCTAGGCACTTTCTCTGTGCTTAGGCAGAGAGATGGTCTGGATGGCAGGCAGAATAAACCCCAGCAAACCCAGGCACTTTCCATGGATTTATGCAGGACACTGGAAAGAAAGAAAAACAGAACCTTTGCATTTATGCAGACTCCCTGTCTCTGGTGGATATCCCCTATGGAGTTTCAGTCAGGGAAAAAGCCACTAGGATATTCCAGACATTAGCATCCTTAGAAAATGAGAATTCCATTAAAGCAGGGTGACTCCAGGGTGAGAGCTGCAGAAGGCAATAGGCCTTCTGTGTGTGCTCTGGAGGCCTGCTCAAAGCATTTCTGGACAACGCTTCATCATGCTTCGTGAAAGCATCATCAGTTATTGATTGCTGCTTTCTCTTGGATGGAGAAACCCCCCGGCTCTGCTTACATTATTCTGTTTTCAGCCTTTGCTCAAGTGCAAAGTGCCCCAGATGTCTCATTGCTCTTCCATCTCCTTCTTACTGACTCCGCAAGCCTGGGAGGCTCCTTAGACTCCTGTGATCCATCTAGGCATTAGGGTGTCAGGTGAGAAGCATTAATTGGGTGCATGGTCAGCAAGGAAACCTTGGAAAGAAAGCACTAATGAAGAAGCAGAACTTCCCCTGGACAAGGCAGGAGGAACCTGGGCTACCATGCCTGGGACATGGAGGGCTTCATCTGACCCACCCGAAGATGCTCTTCTATTCCAAACATAGTCACAGACCTATTGATTGCTGAGATGTGTTTTAAAAAGCATCTGGAATCAGGCAATTAGTTTCTGTTTAATGCAGAATGTTCAAACAGGGCCACCGATTCTCTAATTGATCAATTGGTTCCCTTGCATGGTAAGATATGGACTTAGCCAATGGGAGTAATAAAGTAGAATAAAAAGTTGAGAAACTGGAGCCAAAGATTTATTAGTCTTCCAAAGAAATACATTGTTTATCTTCTCATTTCCCAGTAATTGCTTGTTTATTAAGGTAGCCACTCAAAGAGAAAGCCAACAGCAGAGATTGTCAATAGTAAAGAGGGGTTATGTGTTTACTGTAAGTAGATGGTATTGTGTTTCAGCTATTAGAGCTCTCAGACCATAAAGAAGCACAGAGAAAGTGCCTAGGCTATACAAGTAAATATGGGGCATTGTCCATTGCAAATGGGAATTTTGCTAGAGCCAATGGGCTTTAAGAGAAAGCTGCTTCCGAGTAAAGGGAGCTACTGGATGTGATAAAGTTAATCTTTAGAGCTATGTGCTTGGGAGATAGCAGGTTATGTGGCAGAGTTCAGGCGTTTGGCTCCGTAATCATGGTTTCAAACACAAGTTTGTCATGTATGAATTGCATTAATGGCTGTGTGACCTTGGATCTGTTACTTAACATGTTCGATCATCCTTATCTAAGAGGTAAAATAGTTAAAATGTGGAGTAAGGATGTTGAGTAGAAATCCCAGCTCTGCCAGTTTTTAAGCTATGAGATCTTCAGCAAGTTCCCTCAACTCTCTATGCCTCTGTTCTCTGGTCAAATGAAGGGGATAATGTGTAGCAGAATTGATATTCAGACCTAGATGGGTCTGGCCCACCTGAATTTACTTGCAGGTGAGCTGCTAGTGTTGACAGCTTCCTATCCCACACAGCTAAATTGTCTTCTCTAGAAGCCTGATGGCTTTTTCCTGGCACCAAGAAACTTGCTTCACTGCACAGGCACGGCCTGGATGCTGGAGTTGGTGCCCCTGGTGGCAACCCTGAAGCAATGGGGATGGGAGTCCTGGGTAAATATTCTAGCTTCCCCACCCTCTAGTGGAACAGTTCTGAAAAGCATCTTACCAGGTTCCCCTGAGGGTCCCCAGTAGGATTGGGCCCATTTGCCCACAGCTGTGACGTTACCATTATCGTGCTTTCTCCCTTCGTATCTTACTGATATTGCACCCTCATTCATTAGTCCATACTCACTTCCCTACATCAACTCCCTGCATGCAAAATCCTTGTCTCAGGGGCTGATTTGAGGAGAATTCAAATTAAGATATTTACTCTAAACAAGTTAAGGCACTTAACAGCAGTGTGTGGCACATAGTAAAATTACCTGTTTGTTAGTAATTTTGTCAGCTCTACTTTGAAGATTTGGAAGAGTAAATCAATGGATAATACTTGCTACAGTGTCTAACACATCATAGGCAATAAATAAACATCAATTTCCCTCCCTGTTACATCTCTTACCCTCAAGTCCCGCCGTGCACCTAGTTCCCTGTGCGGTGCTAGGGGAACCTAATATTGAGCAACTATGGGTTCCAACATTGTTCTACTAGCTTTATGCTTGACAAAAATCATAACACAATCAAACACTGACAATGGTAAAGTACAAAATATACTAGCAAGGACAGAAAGGATGCACAGGTATTGAACTTTAATTGCCCCGTGTGCAAACAACACAGAATCACTTGCAGAAAAAGAAAAAGATCTGCATTTATACTTTGACTCCTAATGCCAAATAATGAGCTCAATAGCATTCACCCTTGATGCTTTGCTCTCATGCCTGGGCCTCTAAACTTCTCTCTCTGATAAGAGAGATAAGTTTTGCTTCCCCAAAACTTATCAGTACTCTTGCTTATCTCTACAGAGCACTGGAATCACCCATGAGTCCAAGACGGAAGGCTGATGAAGAGAAGGAACAGGGAGAGGGAATTAACTTTCCTGAGCTCAGTAAGTGCTTTGATCACATGACTTTAAAAACTGCTTCTTGCATCATGGCACTCTACTGTGGTATTATCTCTAATTCTCATGGACCCTAAACAATAGACATTTTCTATTCCATTTTACAGGTGAGCAATTCAGGGCTCAGTGAAGTGAAGTGACTTGCTTAAGTCATCCAGCAAGAATGATAGGAGCTGGAATTTGAGTTCAGCACTGTCAGTCAATGCTCATTTTACTTATTCTACTCTAGCCAAGGAAATCTCAGTGTATTGCTTGTTTTATTTTTGGCAACGAATGGATTGTGTCTGAGGGTTTACTGCTCACAACTGTTGTATGAGTATTTTTTGGTTATTCGCTTTTTATATGTCAGGAAACTGAGTCTGAATAAGATTGGATGATATATCTGAAGCCATAATGCTAGCAGTGGCAGATGTAGGATTAGTTGATCTGTTTGTCTAACTCCTGTTCTTTCCACTCTACCATGCTGTTGAAGTGGATAAAATTAGACCCTGAGAAGTGGAGTCTAATTCTCCTCCTCTATGAATCTGGCCTTGCTTTAGTGACTTGCTTGACTAATAGTATATGGTGGAAGTGATGTCCAGAGATTCCTGAAGCTGGACCATGAGAAGGCTTGCGTCTTCTGTATGGGCACCTTGGAACACTGCCTCTGGAGCTCTGAGTTACCATGCAAGAACCTGGACAACCCTGATACCACCATGTTGGAAAGGCTGCATGTGGTCATTCTGGTCAACAGTCCCAACTGATCCCAGCTTCCTAGTCGCCCTGAAAAGTCACCAAACATGTGAGTGGAGCTGTCTCGGAGCTTCCGGCAAACTCAGATGCTAATGAATAGGGTGCCTGACCTCTGTCAATGCTGCTGGAATAGAAACATCATGCAGCTGAGCTTTGCCTGAATTCCTGAACCAAAAAATCATGAGAGGTAATAAAATAATTGCTGTTTCAAGCCATTGCATTTTTAAAGACTTATTGAGGTATACTTAGTATAATAACTGCACATACTTAAAGTGTATGATTTGACAAGATTTGGCATATATATATATAACTATGAAACCATCACTATGATCAAGAGAGCAAGCATATTTATCAGCCCCAAATTTCCTCACACTGCTTCAAAATTCCACCTCCTGCTCCTCTTCTCCCACCAAGGCAATCAATCATCTGCTTTCTGTCACTAGAGATTAGTTTGCATTTTCTGAAGTTTTATATAAATGGACATAAAGAACAAATGCACTGTTTTTATGTCTGGCTTTTTTGCCTCGATGTATTTATTTGAGATTCATTCACATTGTAAGCTGTATCAGTAGTTTATTGCTTCTTATTATTGAGTTGTTTTTCATTGTGCAGGTATATCGCAGTTTGTTTATCCATTTGCCTGTTGATGGACATTTAGGTTGTTTCCCTTTTTTGGCTATTACAGATAAAGGTGCTATGGTCATTTCTGTTCTAGTTTTTGTATGGACATGTGTTTTCCTGTCTCTTGGGTAAATACCTGTAGTGGAATAGCTAGATCACATGATAGGTGTTTGTTTAACTTTTTAAAGAAACTATTAAACTATTTTATTTTATTTTTATTTCAATAGTTTTTGGGGAGCAGGTGATGCCTGGTTACATGGATAAGTTCTTTAGGTGTGATTTCTGAGATTTTGGGGCACCCATCTCCTGATCAGTATACACCATACCCAATGTGTAGTCTTTTATCCCTCATCCCCCTCCCACTCTTCCCCCCAAGTCCCCAGAGTCCATTGTATCATTCTTACCCCTTCGTGTCCTCATAGCTTAGCTTCCACCTATAAGTGAGAACATACGATGTTTGGTTTTCCATTCCTGAGTTATTTTGCTTAGAATAATGGTCTCCAATTCCATCCAGGTTCCTGTGAATGCCATTATTTCGTTCCTTTTTATGGTCAAGTAGTATTCCATGGTACATATATGCTGCATTTTTTTATCCACTCATTGATTGATGGGCATTTAGGTTGGTTTCATATTTTTGCAATTGTGAATTGTGCTGCTATAAACATGCATGTGAAAGTGTCTTTTTCATATAATGACTTCTTTTCCTCTGCGCAGATACCCAGTAGTAAGATTGCTGGATCAAATGGTAGTTCTACTTTTAGTTCTTTAAGGAATCTCCATACTGATTTCCATAGTGATTGTACTAGTTTACATTCCCACTAGCAGTGTAAAAGTGTTCCCTTTTAACCACATCCATGCCAAGCATATTATTTTTTGATTTTTAGATTATGGCCATTCTTGCAGGAGGAAGGTGGTAGTGCATGTTGGTTTTGATTTGCATTTCCCTGATAATTAGTGATGTTGAGTGTTTTTTTCATATATCTGTTGGCCATTTGTATATCTTCTTTTGAGAATTGTCTATTCATGTCCTTAGCCCACTTTTTGATGGGATTATTTGTTTTTTCCTTGCTGATTTGTTTGAGTTCCTTGTAGATTCTGGATATTAGTCCTTGTGAGATGCATAGTTTGTGAAGATATTCTCCCCCTCTGTGTGTTGTCTGTTTGCTGATTATTTCTTTTGCTGTTTAGAAGTTTTGTAGTTTGATTAAAACCCACCCATTTATACTTCTTTTTCTTGCATTTGCTTTTGGGTTCTTGGTCCTAAACTCTTTGCCTAAGGCTGTATGTTCTCACTTATAAGTGGAAGCTAATTAGAAGAGTTTTTCCAATGTTATCTTCTAAAGTTTTTGTGGTTTTAGGTCTTGGATCCACCTTGAGTTGATTTTTGTATAAGGTGAGAGATGAGGATCCAATTTAATTCTTCTACATGTGGCTTGCCAATTATTCCAGCACAATTTGTTGAACAGGAAGTCCTTTCCCTACTTTATATTTTTGTTTGCTTTGTCGAAGATCAGTTGGCTATAAGTATATAACTTTATTTCTGGGCTCTCTATTTTATTCCACTGGTCTGTGCACCTATTTTTATACCAATACCATGCTGTTTTGGTGACTACAGACTTGTAGTGTAATTTGAAGTCAGGTAATGTGAGGCCTCCAGATTTGCTCTTTTTGCTTTGTATTGCTTTGGCTATGTGGGCTCTTTTTTGGTTCTATATGAATTTTAGGATTGTTTTCTCTAGTTTTGTGAAGAATGATGATGGTATTTTCATTGGGAATTGCACTGAATTTATAGATTGCTTTTGGCAGTATGGTCAATTTCACAATATTGATTCTACCCATCTATGAGCATGGCATGTGTTTCCATTTGCTTATGTCATCTATGATTCTTTCAGCAGTGTTTTGTAGTTTTCCTTGTAGAGATCTTTCACCTCTTTGGTTAGGTATATTCCTAGGTATTTTGTTTTTATTTTTTTGCAGCTATTGTAAAGGGGGTTCAGTTCTTGATTTGATTCTCAGCTTGGTCGCTGTTGGTGTATAACAGTGCTACTGATTTATGTACATTGATTTTGTATCCAGAGACTTTACTGAATTCTTTTATCAGATCTAGGGGTTTTTTGGATGAGTCTTTAGGGTTTTCTAGGTATATGATCATATCAGCAAACAGCGACAGTTTGACTTCCTCCTTACTGTTTTGTATGCCCTTTATTTCTTTCTGTTGTCTGCTCTGGCTAGAACTTCCAATACTATGTAGAATAGAAGTGGTGAAAGTGCATATCCTTCTTTTGTTCCAGTTCTCAGCGGAAGTGCTTTCAACTTTTCCCTGTTCAGTATATTAATGTTGGCTGTGGGTTTGACATAGATGGTTTTTATTACTTTAAGGTATGTCACTTCTATGCCAGTTTTGCTGAGGGTTTTAAGCAAAAAGTGATACTGGATTTTGTCAAATGTTTTCTGCATCTATTGAGATGATCACTTGATTTTTAAAAAAAACCTGTTTATGTGGCATATCACATTTATTGACTTGTGTATGTTAATCTAACCCTGCATCCCTGGTATAAAACCCACTTGATCATGGCGTATTATTTTTTTGATATGCTGTTGGATTTGGTTAGCTAGTATTTTGTTGAGGACCATTGCATCTACGTTCATCAGGGATATTGGTCTGTATTTTCTTGTTGTTGTTGTTATGTCCTTTCCTGGTTTTGTATTAGTGTAATATTGGCTTCACAGAATGATTTAGGGAGGATTCCCTCTTTATCATTTGGAATAGTTTCAGTAGGATTGGTACCAATTCTTCTTTGAATATCTGATAGAATTTAGCTCTGAATTCATCTTGTCCAGGACTCTTTTTTGTTGGCAATTTTAAAATTACTCTTTTAATCTCACTACTTGTTATTGTTTCTCTTTCTTCCTGATTTAATCTGGGAGGGTTGTATATTTCCAGGAATTTATCCTTCTTCTCTAGGTTTTCTAGTTTGTGTGCATAAAGGTGTTCATACTAGCCTTGAATGATCTTCCGTATTTCTGTCGTATTGGTTGTAACATATCCAGTTTCATTCGTAATTGGGCACATTTGAATCTTCTCTCTTCTTTGCTTGGTTACTCTTCCTAATGGTCTATGAATTTTGTTTATCTTTTCAAAGAGCCAGCTTTTTGTTTCATTAATCTTCTGTGTTTTGTTTGTTTGTTTGTTTCAATTTCATTTAATTCTACTCTGATCTTTGTTATTTCTTTTATTCTACTAGGTTTGAGTTTGGTTTGTTCTTGTTTCTCTAGTTCCTTGAGGTGTGATCTTGTTTATTTGTGTTCTTTCAGACTTTTTGATGTAGGCATTTAATGCTGTGAACTTTCCTCTCAGCACTGCTTTTGCTGTATCATAGAGGTTTTGAAAGGTTTTTTCAGAATTATTTATTTCAAAGAATTTTTTAATTTCCATCTTGATTTTATTGTGGACTTAAGGATCACTCAGGAGAAGATTATTTAATTTCCATGTATTTGTATGGTTTTGAGGGGCCCTTTTGGAGTTAATTTTCAATTTTATTCCACTGTGGTCTGTGAGAGTACTTGATATAATTTTAATTTTCTTAAATTTATTGAGACTTGTTTTGTGGCCTATCATATAGTCTATGTTGTAGAATGTTCCATGTGCTGAGGAGAAGAATGTATATTCTGCAATTGTTAAGTAGAATGTTCTGTAAATATCTGTTAAGTGCATTTATTGTAAGGTATAGTTTAAGGTCATTGTTTCTCTGTTGACTTTCTGTCTTGGCCTGTATAGTGCTGTCAGTGGAGTATTGAAGTCCCCCACTATTATTGTGTTGCCATCTATCTCATTTCTTAGGTCTAATAGTAATTGGTTTACGGATTTGGAAGCTCCAGTGTTGGGTGCATATATATTTGGATTGTGATATTTTCCTGTTGTACATATATTTTTATCATTATATAATGTCCCTCTTTGTCTTTTTTAACTGTTATTGCTTTAAAGTTTGTTTTGTCTGATATAATAATAGCTATTCCTGCCCACTTTTGGTTTTCATTTGCATGGGATATTTTTTCCACCCCTTTACCTTAAGTTTATGTGAGTTCTTATGTGTTAGGGTGAGTCTTTTGAAGACAGCGAATATTTGGTTAGTGTTTTTTTTTTTAATCCATTCTGCCATTCTGTATCTTTTAAGTGGAATATTTAGGCCATTTTACATTCAACATTAATATTGAGATGCGAGGTATTGTTACATTCATCCTGTTAGTTGCTGCCTGAATATCTTGTTGTTTTTTTTTTTCTTTCACTGTGTAATTGTTTTATAAGTCCTGTGACATTTATGCTTTAAGGGGTTTCTGCTTAGGTGTATTTTAAGGTTTTGTTTCAATATTTAGGACTCCTTTTAGCATTTCTTGTAGTGTTGGCTTTGTAGTGGTGAATTCTCTCAGGATTTGTTTGTCTGAAAAAGACTTTATCTCTCCTTCATTTATGAAGCTTAGTTTTGCTGGATACAAAATTCTTGGCTGATAATTATTTTACTTAAGGAGGCTAAAGATAAGACCCCAGTCTCTTCTGGCTTGCAGGGTTTCTGCTGAGACATTTGCTATTAATATGATATGTTTTCCTTTATAGGTTACCTGATGCTTTTGCCTCACAGCTCTTAAGATTCTTTCCTTCATCTTGACTTTAAGTAACCTGATGACTATGTGCCTATGTAATGATCTTTTTGTGATGAGTTTCCTGGGTGCTCTTTCAGCTTCTTGTATTTGGATGTCTAAATCTCTAGCGAGACCAGGGAAGTTTTCTTCAATTATTCCTTCAAAGAAGTTTGCCAAACTTTCAGATTTCTCTTCTTGCTCAGGAACACAAATTATTCTTATGTTTGGTTGCTTAATATAATCTCAACTTTCTTGGAGGCTTTGTTCATTTTTTAAAATTCTTTTTTCCTTGTCTTTGTCAGATTGGGTTAATTCAAAAGCCTTGCTTTCAAGCTCTGAAATTCTTTCTTCTACTTGTTCAGTTATATTGTTGAAAGTTTCCAGTGTATTTTGCATTTCTCTAAGTGTGTCTTTCTTTTTCAGAAGTGATTGTCTTTTCTTTATAATGTGTATTTCTCTGGAGACTTTTTCATTTATATCCTGTTTTTTTAAAATTTATTTAAGTTGATTTTCACCTTTCTCTGGTGCCTTGAGTAGCTTAATAATCAACCTTCTGAATTGTTTATTTGGCAATTTGGAGATTTCTTCTTGGTTTGGAGTTATTGCTGGAGAGCTAGTGTGCTCTTTTGGGGGTGTTATAGAACCTTGTTTTGTTATATTACTAGAATTACTTTTCCAGTTCCTTCTCGTTTGGGTAGATTGTTTCAGTGGAAAGATCTGAAACCCAAGCATTGCTGTTCAGATTATTTTGTCCCATGGGGTGATCCCTTGATGTGGTGCCCTCCCCACTTCTCTAGGGATAGGGCTTCATGAGAGCCAGATTGCAGTGACTGTTATTGCCCTTCTGGGTCTAGCCACCTACCAGGGCTACTGGGCTCCAGGCTGGTGCTGGGGAATGTCAGCAGAGTCCTGTGATGTGATTCATCTTCAAGTCTTTCAGTCATGGATACCAGCACCTGTTCTGGTGGAGGTGGCAGGGGAGTGAAGTGGACTCTGTGGAAGTCCTTGGTTGTAGTTTTGTTTAGCACACAGGTTTTCTCAAATACTGGTTATGCTAGCAGTGAAGTTGTCACATGGACAGACTCAGGACCTCTGGTTAGCCAGGGTGTTGCAGGCAGAGAAATTAGCTGTTGTTTTCTCCTTCTTTGTAACAGCGTTGTTCTGTTATGAGTTGCTGTAATCTCAAACTTTTTATGTGAAATGGTTGTACCATTTTATATTCTCATTAGCAGTTTTTGAGAGTTCCAGTTTCTCTACCTTCTAGCTAACACCTGGCATGCCCAGTCTTTTCAGTCTTAGCCATTCTAATAGGTGTGTAGTGGTATCCCATTGTGGTATTAATTTGCAATTTTCTAGTGACTAATGATGTTGAGCATATGTACAGGTGATGATTTACCTTTCATATGTTCTTTCTGGTGGAGTGTCTGTTTAAATATTTGCCCACTTTCATTTGGGCTGCTTTCTTATTTTGAGTTTTGAACAATCTTTATATATGTTAGATACAAGTCCTTTACCAGGTAGATAATTAGCAAATATTTCTTCCCAGTCTGTGGCTAGTCTTTTTATTCTCTTCATGGTATTTTGTTTTGTTTTGTTTTTAAACCAAAGTTTATTCTGGTCAATTTACTGTATCAGTTTCTTTTCTTTTCTTTCTTTCTTTTTTTTTTTTTTTGGAGATGGAGTCTTGCTCTGTCACCCAGGCTGGAGTGCAGTGACACGATCTCAGCTCATTGCAACCTCCACCTCCCGGGTTCAAGCAATTCTCCTGTCTCACCCTCCCTAGTAGCTGGGACTAAAGGCTTATGCCACCACGCCTGGCTAATTTTTGTATTTTTAGTAGAGATGGGGTTTCACCTTATTGGTCAGGCCAGTCTCGAACTCCTGATCTCAGGTGATCTACCTGCCTCTGCCTCTCAAAGTGCTGGGATTACCGGCATGAGCCACCATCGTGCCCAGCCTACTGTATTGTTTTATAATAACAGCTCACAGATTAGAAATTGGCTTTGTTTTAAACCTTCCCATCTATATCAGACACAATGATATTGAGGTAAGAGGGGCCCTTTCTCTAAACGAAAATATAATACAGTACTTACATAGTTCTGAATGGCCCAGAGATGTGGAAATAATGTATTTGTAAGAATTATGTTAAACAATCTTTATCTGAAAAACAATACCTTACAATCCTAATGCTATCTGTCAAACTTCAATGACAGCAACTTCAGCATCAACTAATGAATAGTAGCTACATTAACGTTTTATGAGTCTGTGGGCATTCAGGACCCAGCTACAGGGAAAACAGAATCAAACCAGCAGGTGCTCTGGACCCAAGCCCTCCCATCATGACCTGCCTTCCTCTTGGGGGCCCTGGTGGCCCATGGTCCCCCTGGTACTTCTGAGCCCCTATGGGCTGTGGGCAGAGCCCCAGGAGCCAAAAAGCCTGTTGGGAAAGGCCAGAACCTGACCCCACAGTCAGTGGGCTTCTGCCTGTTTTCTTTCCAGAGTGTTACTGGTGGAAGGTATCTGAGCTACTGGTGGTGAATCTGTATGGGTCCGCAGCAACCTCAATTCTTGCCTCCTCAGAAGAAAGAATTCAACTGAGGGGCACAACGCAGAAACAGAGATTGAGGCAAGTTTCAGAGCAGGAGTGAAAGTTTATAGAAAAAGGCTTTAGAACAGGAAAGAAAGGAAAGGAAAGTACGCTTAGAAGAGACCCAAGTGGGTAACTTGAACAAGTGCAACATTTAACAGTGATCCTAGGACTTTATAGGCTGGCTCCTTTCCCAGGATACTTCCCTTAGGGTGGGCTGACCACATGCGCAGTGCCCCTCTTACCCTTGGGAAGTGAGCATGCACAGTGTGTTTATGAAGTCATACACATGCCCATCTGAGGCTTCTTCCCTTTTCCAGTGGAGTGCCCCTAGGAGGTCATACTCTGCCATTTTGTCTCTCAATGCGCATGCCCACGAAGGTGCTTCTCCCTGGCGCCCTGTGTTCAATTAACATTTTAGTGCAATGGCTGTGGACCATCAGGAAATGGCCTCTCCCTGGTGCCAGCTGCCAATTTATCACTTTTAGAGAGGCAATGTCATAATTGCTGAACCATTATCTTACATTCCTAGTGGGTGGGAGAGCCCTCTCTTGCCCAGCTTATACCTGTCTAACTACCAGTAACAAGAGCACCTGGAGTGCTCTCTCCATAGACATGGCAGCCATCCAGCCTTTCTGGGCCATTTTCTCAAGGAAGAAGATCTCCCTCTGAAAATTGGAAGTGTTTTTCCTCTATTCCTGGGCCAGGTCTTGGGCCATCTTCTTGCAGTGGTCACGAGTGTAACACACAGTTAAACTATTAGTGCACCTTGTAAAGTCTCTGGTCAAGGTCCCGGTAGTAGGTGTTCTCCTCCATGGACTCCTGATGAGGTCCCATCATGCATTCTCGGTGTAGTTCAGGCACAGCAGGAAGCCCCAGCTGCAGCTTTGTGAGCTCCCTCCCCTGCGGTGCCCTAGCACACTGCAGAGAGGCTCGCTCGCTGATCAACATTTTGAACTTGTGCTGTGCGTTCTGTACTCCTTTGGAATTCTTCCCACAATTGCATGTCTGCTACTCCAGTCTCCCCCTCAGGACATTTGAAAGATGAACTTAAGTCACCATCGTCATCCACACTCTTCAGAGGGACTTGTGGCTGGGACGCTGGGGAACCACCATGTCCTGATTTCATGTTTCCCTCCACTGCTAAGTCCTCATCCTCCATGTGGTCTCTACTGCCCTGGAGTAGATGCAGGGCACTCGGTGGGGTGTGGGTCAGGGAGGTCAGTCACCTCACTCCAACATTTGTGGTGTGTTTGATTCCTGCCTTGACCTGCTCTGGCCTTTCTGTCTCTTCTCCTTCTTTGTCTGCAAGCGTTGCTTCAGTCTCAGATTTCTTAGTCAGGCAGCTCTGCAGGTTGCTGACAGTCAGTGTGGTCATTCAGATCATTCATGCTTCACCTCCGAATATCTTCTCCATGATGCAGTGAAGGATGCAGGAAGTGCCTTGGATCAGTCACTCGAGGAAGTTCAGGAGGCCTGCTTTTTCCTGCTCTTTTCAGTTCACCTAGGTCCCGATGGGAAGAACTGCTCATTTCCTTGAGAACCCTCAAGCAGAGGGTTTGGGGTGATCAAGAACTGGCCCCCAGCCTGGGTGACATGAGGCCAGCACTGGCCTGGGGTGCTGGCTGCATTTTGGCTCTGGCCTTTTCATGGACCTCACCCTGGGCTGAATCCCTTTGTGCTGGCTCCTCCCTTCTTCTTACTGCATGTCATCTCCTGACCATAAAGGCCACCACAGCAATGCATGCCCAGACCACCCAGGGTATCCATAGGGTCGCTGGCACTAGTCCCAGGATTCTGTATATCACTAGCACTGCTGCCCACAGGGGGGCCAGCAGCAGCTGCACAGGCATTGTGTGGTGGGCAGCAGGCCCTTTGTGGCTCCCGAGGGCTCCACAGCTCTTCCTCCACTTGCCAGTGGCCTGTGGGTCACAATTGACCACTTGGAACTCTGTGGAGTGTTCTGACTGTAACACAAACAAAGGCTCACCAACCAGCATAGACCGTCTCCTGGGCCAGGGGGAGAGGAGGCATCTCGTGTTCTAGAAACCTATGTGTCTGATTTTGCTGTGCAAATAGAAATGACATTACTTATGCAGGGCCCTGGAGAGGTAGATAGAGCTCCTGGCTACCACTTCCTCAGGCCACTCCTGGCCCCACTTGGCCCTATAGCACAGCTAGAGAGTCAAGGCAAGGCCTTGCCACAGCCCTGTGTCCACACATGATCCTCTCAGGGCAGCATGGTGGCCTGTCCCTGGTGGGGCTCATTACCCTGATTGCAAGTTTCCTTCTGTGGCAGGGAAGACTGTTCCTGCCTACAAAGAGTCTGTCCCCCCTGCTAGATTGAGCTCCTTAAAGAAGGGACAGTGTTTTCATCACCTCCATAGCCCCCGTAGCTCACCAATGCCCACTATACACTAGGGGGTCCGTTGTTGTTTGTTTTCTTTTTGACTCTGACTTGGAACATGTCACTTTCCCCTCTTGACCTCCATATTCAGAACTGTGAATAGAAGTAAGTGGGTCAAAGCCCCTCTAGCATTAAAACCCCTCCAACACAGAGAGAACTCTGAAACCAGAAGCAGAAGCTGAGGACTGATAAGTTATTTTCTATTAAAGGGTAGAAGCAGATGAATAGGAAAACTCCTGCTACAACTCTTGTGCCATGGTGAATGGAACATTTTCCCTGGCATGATGGATAGGACATATGGATCTGGATATGAGGGTGGTATCTTGTTCCTGGAATGCCTCTGCAGACTCAGACTCTAGTTTGCAAATCACACTCAAGAATGATTTTTAGTGTTGATGATTTTGTGTGTGTGTGTGTTTATGGATTTTTGTTTGTTTGTTTTTGAGATTTTGTTATTGACAAAATGTGCAGGCCAAGTCTTACTAATGCAGGCCTCCATAACAACTGTTTCAGTACTGACTGAATGGCTAGGTTAAATATTAAAAGTCAGTGCCCTTATACAAAAGCTGGAATGTAACAAAAGCCCACCAAGAGTTTTGCCTAGGGCTTTCCTTGGCCTTAAAGCATAACAAAATCACAAGGGAATTATTAACAGGACCCATTTAGGATTAAACAAGTTTTATTGTGGTCTGAATAAACTCCCCAGGCCTCCACAAACAAGTTTATTGAGGTGTGAACGAACTCCCCAAACCGTCATAATATAGCAGGAGACAAGATAAGGGTAATCACCCCAGCCCTGGATCCATTTAGATTAAGCAAATTTACTGAGGCTCCAAAGGAAGGTCTTCAAGACTCAGACCCTCAGACCTTAGTTATAGATTTTAAGAAGTTAATCACTTATGTCTTTAGATGAATGCACACTTATACGTAGACATAGAACTTAGAAGGTATATAAGCTCTGGAAAACTTTGTAATTTTGAGTTAGTCTGGCTATAATTTCCAGGCCTTCTCCCTGTAAGCAGTTACAGAATTAAAAACTCTCTTCTTCCCCAGCTCATCTGCATCTCGTTATTGGGCCGAAAGAAATAGCAGCCCTATCCTCCGCTTGGTTTGGCAACAACAACAGCTTCTGGAAATTTTTTTTGTGTAGACTATGGGGGCTTCTTTGGCCAAATTGAAGGGGCGCAGGCCCCATCTGCTCTGCAGTGGCTGTCTGGACCACGGCCTGCCTGTGGTGTCTTTCTCCTCTATAGAGGTTTCTTCCAACATTATCGTGTGCCTGGCCATGCCATTTGTTGCAGCAGGTGCAGAACTGATGAGGACGAGAGCCTGAAGCTGCTGGGATGAGCACCTCCTGGGGAATCACACTCCTGCACTCAGCCCTGCTCTTTCCAAGACAGGCGTGAGGACAGCCTGGGTCCTGCTCCCTCATCCCCACAGTCTGTGTGGGCAGCAGGCCCAGAGTGGTGCCAGCCACTGTGACAGTGAGGGCCAGAGCGAGTGGATGGTCACATTAGAAAGGCAGCCTCCTAGCCTCTGGAAATGAGCAGAGTGACTTGGCCTCCATCTGCCCTTGGAGCTGCCATCTTGTCGAGTTCTTCAGCAGGAGGCGCTGGACTCCCATGGGGGTGACAGTGGCCTTTCGGGCCCTGAGGGGGACTGGGCACATGTTGGAGAGGGGCGGCTGATGGGTTTGCCGTGTCCCAGCTCTGGGCCTAATGGTATCTTTTGAAGAACAGAAGTTTTAGTATTGATGGAGTTAAAGTCATCTTTCTTTTTCTTTTATGGATCATATATTTGGTGTCATACCCAATAAGATTTTTCCTAACTCAGGGTCACACAGATTTTTTTTTCTGTGTTTTTCTCATAGAAGCTTTTGGATTTTACATTTAAGACTGTGAGCTATTTGAGTTAATTTTTGAAGATGATGAATGGTATGGATAGAAGGTTTTGGGGCTTTTTGGCCTATAGATATGTAATTTTTTAAGCATCATTTGTTCTCTGCTGAATTACCTGAACAAATTGCTGAGAACCATTAGTCAATATATGTGTGAGTCTCTGGATTCTCTATTCTGTTCCATTGATGTATTTATTGATTTTTACATCAATACCGCAATATCCCAATTGCTGTAGCTTTATAATAAGTTTTAAAATCAGATAGTGTGAGTACACTATATTTGGTCTTCTCTTTCAAAGTTGTTTTGGTTATTCCAGGTCCTTTACATTTCCATATGAGTTTTAGAATAGGTTGTCAATTTCTACAAAAATGTGAGCTGAGATTTTGATTGTATTGTATTTAATCTATAGATCAATTTGGGGATCATTGACAATAATAGTCTTGTCAGTAATCTTAAAAGCCAAAAATCGATAAAAGCCCCTATACTCTCTGTGAAAAACATTTCAGAAGCTGTTGTGTCAATAACAAAGTCTCAAAAAAGTGTTAGACTTCTGACAAATGAACATTCTGCATTTATTTATGTCTCTTAATTTCTCTCAGCAATGTTTTATAGGTCTGTATACAGGTCTTTTATGTATTTTGTCAGATTCAGATTTATCCTAATGCATTTTACATTTTCTGATACCAATGTAAGTGGTATTTCTTGTTAATTTTAATTTTAAATTACTGATTGCTGGTTACAACCCTTGGTACAATGTTTAATATAGAGATTGAGAACAGTCTTTTGCCATTAAGAAAGATATTAGTTTTAAACTTTTAATAGATGTCTTTTTATAAGTTTGAGGAAGTCCCTTCTATTTCTAGTTTAGTGAAAGTATTAACAAAGAATAGATTTTGGATTTTGCTAAATGATTTTTCTGCATCTGTTGAGATAATCATGTGGTTTTTCTTTTTAAGTTTGTAAATATGGTGAATTATATTGATTACTTTTTGTAGAATAAACTAACCTTGAATTCCTGGATAAACTTCATTTGGTCATGATTTACTATCCTTTTTAAATATTGTTGGCTGGGATTTTCTAAATTATTGTTTTAAAGTTTTGCATCTGTATTCCCAAGGAACTCTGTCAAGGCAGTAACCTGGGACAGTCCTCAGGCTCAACTCCTCTGTTTCCTGTCTCTCAGTGATTACTGGGTTTTGTCGCCTGATATTCAGGGTCTTGAGAACTGTGTGTCATATATGTTTTCCATTTTTAAAGTTAACTCAGGAAGGCAAGTAAATGCAGTCTTTTTTCCTCTATCTTGGCAAGAATTACAAGTAGAAAACAGCTTTTTTTTTTTTTTTTGAGACAGAGTCTCACTCTGTTGCTCAGGATGGAGTGCAGTGGCACAATCGCAGCTCACTGCAATCTCCACCTCCTGGGTTCAAGTGATTCTTGTGTCTCAGCCTCCTGAGTAGTTGGGATTATAGAGGTAAGCCACCATGCCTGGCTAACTTTTTGTATTTCTAGTAGAGATGGAGTTTCAGCATGTTGGCCAGGCTGGTCTCAAACTCCTGGCCTCAAGTGATCCATCCACCTCAGCCTCCCAAAGTGCTGGGATTACAGGAGTGAGCAGCCATGCTCAGCCAGAAAACGGTAATCTTAAAAGCCAAAAATTGATCAATTGAACAATGTCAAAATGAAAATCTGTGTTCAACAGATGATGCCAACAAGAACATTACTAGATTAGCCAGAGATTATAAAATTGTTTATAATAGATCTTTCAAAGGATTTTATCTAAAATACATAAAGAGGCCAGGTATGGTGGCTTATGCCTATACTTTGGGAGGCAGGTGGATTGCTTGAGTCCAGGAGTTCGAGACCAGCCTGGGCAACATAGCAAGACCCCATCCCTACCAACAATAAAAAAATTAGCCCAGTGTGGTGGCACATTCCTGTGTTCTCAGGTACTCTGGAGGCTGAGGTGGGAGGGTAGCTTGAGCCCAGGACGTTGAGGCTGCAGTGAGCTGTGATGGCACCACTGCACAGCCTGGGTGACAGAGCAAGACCCTGTCTCAAAAACAAACAAACAAAGATAAAATACATACAGAACTTTCGTACTTAAGACTAAAAAGATAAATACCCCCAGTTTAACAAATGGGCAAAAGACTTGAAAAGATTCTTCAAAAAATATACATATATAAATGACCAATAAATGAATAAAAATGTGCTCAACATACTTAGTCACCAGGAAAACTGTTGTGAAATACCGCTTCACATCTAGAGTGGCTAACAAAACAAAACAAAGCAAAGAAAACAAAAAAACAACAACAACTAATAACAGCAGCTTTCAGTGAGAGTGTAGAGAAATTAGAATTCTCATACATTGCTGATCAGAGCACTAAAATGTACATTCATGTTGGAAAGCTGGCATTTACTTAGACAATTAAACATTTACCTTATTACATAACAATTCTAGATTTTTATGTGAGACATGAAAATATAGATTCACAAATGTCCATAGTAGCTTTATTCATAATGGCTAGAAACTGTGAACAACTCAAGTATCCTTCTTTAGTAGAATAGATAAACCATTTGTGTATCTATACAATGGGATACTACAGTTATTAAAATGAAAGGAACTACTGATACATGCAACCATATGAATGAATCACAAAGATACATACTTAGCAAAATGATATAAGCACAGATTATGTTATCTATGAATCCATTTATATTGAGTTAATGAATGAGCAAAAAAACCTATATTGATAGACAACAGAATAGTGATTTCTTCTGGAAATGGGGATTGAATAGAAAAGGGCACAGGATAATTTTCTGGGATTATGGAAAATTATTTAAAAAAAACTTTCTATGTCCTCCTTAGGCAGTAGATTATTGTACTAGTCCATTCTTACACTGCTAATAAAGACATACCAGAGACTGGGTAATTTATAAAGGAAAGAGGTTTAATTGACTCACAGTTCAGCATGGCTGGGGAGGCCTCAGGAAACTTACAATCATGGCAGAAGAGGAAGCAAGCATGTCCTTCTTCACATGGTGGCAGCAAGTAGAAGTGCAGAGCAAAAGGGGGAAAAACCCTTTATAAAGCCATCAGCTCTCGTGAGAACTCACTCACTATCGTGAGAACTCATTCACTATCATGAGAACAGCATGAGGGTAACCTCCCACATGATTAAATTACTTCCACCTGCTCCCTCCCACAACACATAGGGATTATGAGCACTAAATTCAAGATGAGATTTGGGTGGGGACACAGCCAAACCATATTATTATAATGGTGTATACATTTGTAAATAGGGTAATTGACCCTGATTTCTGTGAAGAGGTAGGTTTGTGCTACACGAGGGTGGCAGGAAAGAGTATACCCAGAACCCAGAGGAGTCACAGAATCTTTCATGCTTAGTGAAAATGGTGAATGGGCAGTTGCACCAAACAGCCCAACAAGAGAAAGTCAACTCATGGCTCATATGCTTCAGGCCCGAAGGTCTGGCTCATCTATTAGGCATGCAATCCAGACCACGTGAAGGGCTACAGAGGGAAATCTAATATGCATAGCAGACGAAGGTGACAATGAATATCAGCTCTAGCCTTGGGACAAGCTGCAGCACTGTAATCAACAGTTCTAGTCTTACTACATTTAGAGGCTTCTTGCATCATGTCTTTTCTGATATTGCATTTGCCAGTAGTACCTTGATGGCTACTTTGACTGTTTTAAGCTTTTCCCTTCCTCTCATAAAAGAAGCGAGGTCCTCTTGTTCCATAAAAATGGAAAACCATATTGTAATCTTGGAGGATATGCATGGATTTGCAGTGCAAGAGATAGAATGTGTCAGGCTTGTTGTCTGCACCATTTAAGTCCTCTTGGCATCCTCTGTCTCTAGTTTCAGCCACTGATGTGGTGATTTCTTCTACATAGGCTCCTATCATCTACATACAAACGTAGCCTGAAATTGTCTGCCTTGCCCACAAACTCTCTTTCCTTCTTTGCTAGGACTTCTCTGACATTTTTCTTTTCTCTACTTTGAAATCATTTCCAATTGAAGTTTTGTTTTCAGAAAATCCCCAATGTATGTGTGTATGTGTAGTTGTGTATCAAATACACTTTTGTATATTATTATTTGCAAAAAATTAAAATCATTCAGAAAAGTTCTATGAAGTAAATAACGTCTAATCCCATGGCTCAGAGATAGATATGGTTTACATTTTGTTGAACATTCTTCCAGATATCATCTTTCTTTCTGTATCTGGATGTGTGTGTGTGTGTGTGTGTGTGTGTGTGTGTGTGTAATTTTATGTAAATGAGGTCATAATTCATGCTGCTTTCTCAACTGATTGTTTTAAACATGAAATAATGACTATCTTTTCAAGTCAATAAATTGGTCTATATCCAACATCATTTTATTGATTACTTATTTCATTGTATGTATATGCAACAATTTTTATCAGTTGTTTCCAATCAGTGGCTATGTAAGGTATTTCCATTTTTTAAGTTATTATAAACAATGCTTCAACAAACAGACTTGCGCATTATTTTCTTCAGAGCAAATTCCTAGCAGTGAATTTGAACTTTCTGGGTCAAAGAATGTACAGATTTAACAATTGTATAATTTGATATAATTGGCCAACCCTTCTGAAGAATTGTAGCATTATCCCTTTCCACTTGTCAATGTACCTTCAATATCATATCTTTATAAGCACTGGATTTTATAACTCTTTTTAAAACTTTGCCAATGTAGTTGGTGGGAAAATCCTTATTAGTTTTTAATTTGCATTTCTCTGATTGCTAGTGACACTGGAGTTACATTGTTTTCATTTCCATTGGCCATTTATTATTTTTTGAGGCGAGCTTCTTGTTAATATCATGTAGTTATTAGATATTTTTCTTCATTTTTATTTTTTTCAGTAAAATAGTTGAAATTTTTCTGTTTTTTCTTCATCCTTGTTTCTGAGTTGTTACTGATTTTTGTTTTGTTTTGTTTATACTATACAGAAGTTTAAAGTCTGTACAGACTTTATAATTTATGTAATTTTTAATAAGAAGTTAGAAAGACCCAAGGCTATACAGAACATATTTATTAATGTTTTCTTCTACTAATTTTATGGAGTCTTTTTAATGTTGAAAATTTTTAAATTCATTTGGAGTCTATTTTGCAGGAGGAATAAGGTAGGGAGGCAGCTCTTCTTCAAAAGGCGAGTCAATTTTCCATTGCTGCCCTTCCTTCCCCACATCCATCATATACTTTAGTATGGACTTTAATGAGTCTTTAGTATGGACATATCCATCATATACTTTAGTATGGACTTTAATGAGTCTTTAGTATGGACATATCCATCATATACTTTAGTATGGACTTTAATGAGTCTCTTCTGTGTTTCAAGCTCCCTTTGAAGTCTTGGGAACAATGTGTGCATAACTCAGATATTGAGGTGCGCAAGGCTTATTAGTATTAGCTAAATAGAGGCTAGAATGAGAGGTTTTCCAGAAAAATGTTAGGTAGAAGCTGGAGTACAAGAAATATTTGTAGACTAATGATGAACAGGGCAAAATAAATGTGTTGAGACTTCAGAATGTTAACAATTCTCAAGGGTTTCTTGCTTCCCTATAAAGATTTCAAAATCTGTTGGTTAATGCTTCCAGTCCTCCAGCCCACTCCCGAGCCCTCCCTCCAACAGAGGCGATGCCTGGGAGTTTGAGGCTGCCAGGTGTGAGAACCCTGCCTATACATTTGCCTTCATCTGAATTCATGTTGCCCTCATCCCATATAGAGGGAGTGCCTTTCCTCTCAATATCTTCTCTCTACTGCATCCTTTCCTGCAGGAAATATTGTCTCTTGTATGAAAAATAGTGACACACCCTTCCTCCATCCTCTCTTCTCCAGCTGTGCCGTGTCTTCTTTTTGCCTTTTTAACCGCCTCTTCCTATTTGCTCTCAGCCCGTTGCAGTTTGACTTCCAACCCCCACGCTCCCAAACCGTTCATTTTGTGGTTACTGATGGCCACAGCCAGTGGCCACTTCTCAGAGCCCAAGATGACCTATCAGGCACTTGAATCTACTCACTACTTTGTTTTTTCAAACCAATGTACTTGCTGGATTCCACAGGAGCACCCTTTCCAGTTCTCTGGATGCCCCCTGAGTATTGCTTCTCCAGCACCATCACTGTCTTCTTTTCCACTGTCTCCAGAAGTCTCTAAAAAATAGATGCTCCTTCCCTTTTCTGTTCCCCTTCCTTCTCCCTCTAGCAAGATTCTGTCCTGATTTTCATTTTTTTCTTCATGCTTGATAACGTGATCAAAGTATCAAAGGCTCGATCCTTCTTAAATTACATGTTAAAATCATAACATTTTGGGTGTATTGGGTTAAATATATTATTAAAATTAATTTTACCTATTTCTTCTTAGTTTTTTGATGTGGTTATTAAAAAAATTAAAATTATATAAGTGACTAGTAGTATTTGTGGACTGTATTATATTTCTATTGAATTGTGCTTAAAGCAGAATTGTTTATCTGGGGAAGTTGTAAGGTTTTGACATGACCGAAGCCCAGGATATGTTAAGCGGACACAGTGCAATATGAGATGTGCCTGGAACCGTGCAATCAACAAGGGGCCTATCTCAGAAAGTGGACAGGACTGGAGCTTTTGCTTGCTGGGATAAAAGACCACTGAAGGCTTTAGCAGAACACCACCAGCCACAGACTTTTGTTTTAAAATCAACCTTCTGGACAAGGATCTACACATGGACTACAGGCTGAGGCTGCATGCAAGGACACAACTGAGGAACTGAGGAGACTGTTTTGTGGGTCTTACAAAATAGATAGCCAGGGCCACACTTTGTAGTAGTAATGCTGGGAGAAACAAATGGATGGTGGAGATGGGATGAGATAGAATTCACAGGACTTGATAAGTGCATGGCGGTGGGAAGTGAGGGAGGAGAAGTAACCTAGGAATGACAGGTGTAGAGTATATAAACTGTCAACTGAGACAGGGACACAAATGTGAGGAAAATAACCAGCTTAACCGTACCTGTGTTGAGTGTGAGTTCCTGCATTAATCACCTAGAGATGCTCATTAGCAATAGAAAACACATGGACTACAGGAGCAAGATTCAGGCTGATAACATAGGTTTAGAAGTCAAAATAGATTGTTTTGAGAGTGGTGGTTTTAAGAGGAATTGATCAAAGGATTAAAGCCACGGGATTAGAAGTTATTTACTTCTTAGAACTTTTCTGAATGATTTGAATTTTTTTGCAAGTAATCATATACCAATGGGTATTTGATACACAACTACACATACACACATACATTAGGGATATTTCTGAGAACAAAACTTCAACTAGAAATGATTTCAAAGTAGAAAAAAGAAAAATGTCAGAGACGTTCTAGCAGAGAAGGAAAGAGAGAGCTTGCAGGTAAGACAGACAATTTCAGACTACGTTTGTATGAAGATGATAGAAGCCTGTGTAGAAGTGATCACCACATCAGTGGCTGAAGCTAAAGATAGAGAATGTGAGGATGCCAATGGGATCTAAGCATTATTTTCAATAGTTAATAGTGAGAAAGAGTTCCAGCCATTCCAAGAATAAACTTAAAAAATAAAAAAAAGACCATTTCCAGTTAATTATTACAGACCCATTTGTTCTTAGGCTAAGGAATTTCTTGGTAACTCACATTTATTTCTGGTTTAAGCACATTGTGATCATAGCAGCAGCTTGTTCCTGACCGGAGACCGAATGGCCATGCGGTTGCTAACAGGTGACTCTCAAAGGATAAATATCCAGAGTGTGAATAGGGAGGGGGTGATGGAGGACAAGAGGAACTGGCTGAAGCTAATTGCAGAGAAAACATTTCATCTGGCTAAGTCACGTCTGCCCTTGGTGGTTTGTAAGTAAGCTGTGGCTGCATTTGGCCTTGAGTGACACTTCTGCTTTAGTTCCCCTGAGAGCACAGCCCATGTGAATCCAAGGAAGAGATTAAGAGCAAGGATGGCACATAATCATGAAAATAGTTCTGAAGCCTGAAGGCCACACATGCTATATTTCAATGCTCTACTCACTTGTCTTGCAACACAGGCATGGTTTCCTGGCTGTTGCTGGAGATGACTAACATGTGGTTTAAGTAGCCCCCACAACCCAGTCATTTATGTCATGTTCCTTAGAAGGTTGTTATTTAACATATGGAAACACTTCCCCCCTTTGATGCTCTATGGGGTTATTGAGTTCAGTTATTTTGAAGGCAAATAACTCCAACCATGGGGTAAAAATAAACCCTCATCCATAAATGGCTTGTGAGATACTTAATTCTTAAATGGTGTGGCTTTTTTGGCAGCATGCATACTTGCAAAATAATCCTAAATTTTTTGACTTAATTATAGATGATTATGGAAATACTATTCTTAAAGTCAAGAGTTAGTTCTGTAGATAACAGATTACAGTTATTAAAGAGAGAAAAGGTGTTTTTATTCTGTGTAGCTGGTTATAATTTATTGCACTTAGGATGACCTAAACAACTATTCAGACTAAGTTTACATCTTTACAATGGATTCCATGAAATTGTAGCCATTTAAATATTTAAAAGAAAATGATATGATCCAGGGTAGTGTTCCTCAGGTATGTCTATGGTAGGCCATGAAAGTCTGCTGATGAACCATAAAATGAATCAAAGTATTATGTTTCTCATGCAATTCCATTGATATTTCTTCTTTTCAGTAAAAATTGGGAAGGGTTAGGTAAAGTAAGCCAATGAGGTCTTTGTAGTTGCTTTACTATTTTGGCTCTGTTGACAGGTGTTACCATCAAAATTGTCTAAGGATCACTAGTCTGGGTGGCAATTCCAAGCCAAAAGCACATATAAGTTTAGAAAGGCTGAATCTTGTATCCTTACTTGGAGAGGTAAAATGCACTGAGCATAATGAAGACTACAAGTGGTTGAGGCAACTGTTTATATTGTTTAACCCTTTCCCCTAATTACTTTGAATCAAAGCCACTTTTATTTCTGCTCATGAAATATATAATAATAACTTGGAGATTATCAGAATTCCAAAGAAAACATTTTGAAAACTGGTGGCTTTGGGGCAATGAAGAAAACACCATCTATATCTCTGTATAATTGTAGCCAACCAACCACAGAACCACAAACTTGGCTGCATTAATTGTAAAGTGTCAATGCACCCTTTTCAATTTGTTCTTTGGCTATTTTAAACTATGGTTATTTTGACTGTGATTATTAAAGAATGAGGATTGACAAAACTGCAATAAGATACCATCTCACCCCAGTCAGAATGGCTATTAACAAAAAGTCAAAAAAAAAAAAAAAATAGGTGCTGGCAACATTGTGGAGAAAAGGGAATGCTTATACACCGTTGGTGGGAATGTAAATTAGTTCAATCATTGTGGAAATCAGTGTGGCAATTCCTCAAAGAGCTAAAAACAGAACTACCATTTGACCCAGCAGTCCCATTGCTGGGTATGTACCCAAAGGAATATAAATTGTTAGACCAAAAAGACACATGCACACATATGTTCACTGCAGCCCTATTGACTATGGCAAAGACACAGAAACAACTTAAATGCCCATTGATGGTAGACTGGATAAAGAAAATGTGGTATACACCATGGAATACTATGCAGCCATAAAAAAGAAAGAGATCATGTCTTTTGCAGGAACATGGATGTGACTGGAGGCCATTATCCTATGCAAACTAACACAGGAACAGAAAACCAAATACTGCATGTTCTCATTTATAAGTGGGAGCTAAATGATGAGAACACGTGGACACTAAAAGGGAAACAACACACACTGGGCCCTACTTGAGGGTGAAGGGTTGGAGGAGGGAGATAAACAGAAAAAATAACTATTGGGTATTAAGTTCAGTACCCGAGTGATAAAATAATCTGTATACCAAACCCCCATGACATGAGTTTATCTATATAACAAACTTGCACACGTATCCCTGAATCTAAAATAAAAGTTAAAAAAGAGTGTGGATTGAAACTTCAGAATTACTGATGAAAGATCTACAAATGACTAAGATGCATATGACAATTTATACATGCACACCCACACAAATACAAACACGTGATTTCACAGGGGAACAATTCACATCATATTGTGTGTGAAAGGCACTCCCTGGAATAAGCCATATGTGCATATTTGCACAAGTGTATTCACGGACACACAGAATTAGGAAATCAAAGTGAATTCACTGAGTTTTTTTGTTTTTTTTTTTGTTTGTTTGTTTGTTTTTTTTTTTTTTTGAGACGGAGTCTCATTTTGTTCCCCAGGCTGGAGTGCAATGGCGCGATCTTGGCTCACCACAACCTCTGCCTCCTGGGTTCAAGCGATTCTCCTGCCTCAGCCTCCCGAGTAGCTGGGATTACAGGTGCCCGCCACTATGCCTGGCTAATTTTTTTGTATTTTTAGTAGAGACGGAGTTTTGCCATGTTGGCCAAGCTCACTGAGCACTTTTGACCATTGAAATAGAAGGACAACTTCATCTTAACCTAACAGGTGAGGGCTTAGAAAAAGCAATTTGTTTCTGCCTCCACCTATTTCAAAGCCATTTTCCATATTAATAACTGTCTTCTAGTATGTAGTGCTGCTTAAAATAATTTAATAGATGTTTTCTCTTCTTTTGGGAAATATGCCTGTAAGGTCCACTCCATTCTCAAGGCAAGGAGAAACTTCTGATAGTAATAATCAAAATTTAAGAGAGACTTGGTAAAAGATAACTTTAAAGACAGGGTTTTTGAACTTCAAGGGATCTAAATATTCTTTAAAGCTAGAGTAACCAATGTCCTTAATTTTTGTACTTACTATCATGTTTTACTTTTACCTCTTGTTTATGGAACCCTGAAAAATATAGTTTTGCCTGATTTTGAGCTTCATATGAGTGAAATAATCCTGTATAATTTCTTCATTTTTTGCTTATTGCATGGCATTGTAAGAATCACCTATGCTGTTGCATGTAGTTCTCGTTTGCTCATTTTCTTTGCTATCATTCCAAAGCATAAATATAGAATAATTTATTACTCCATTCTACTATTCATGCATATTTTTTCCCCTTTTTGGAGGAAATCTGCATCACTGAGTGGCAGCTTCAAGGATAGCCACAAGAAGATCATCCAACCTCCAGCCAAGTGTGACATGAGCAGGAAATAAACCATTTACTACAGAATAACCTATTATCTTGAGTAGTATAAATAGCAATAAAAATTCCTCTAAAAAATTTCAAGGCTCTTGTAGCTTCACTGGTAAGTTTGACCAAATATACTAAAAAGTAAAAAAATTCCAATTTAACGCAAACTATGTCAGGGTCTAGAAAACCTTCGTAAACTCCCTGGTTTACTGATTGTAGTAGGCAGATGATGGCTCCCCAAGGATGTCCATGACCTAGTTCCTGGAACCTGTGAATGCGTTACCTTCCAAGGAAAAAGGGACTTTGTAGATGTGTTAAAGTTGTCCTTGATATGGGGAGATTACCCTATTATCCAAGCGAGCCCAATCTAATCACATGACTTCAGAAAAGCAAGTAAACTTTTCTGGCTGCAATCAGAGCAAGGTATGACTGCGGAAGGAGGATGAGAGAGACGCGACAGGAGAGGGACTCAGATAGGCTGTTGCTGGCTTTGAAAACGGAGGATGGGGTTTTCAAGCAAAAGATATGGAAGCCTCTTGAAGCTGGTGATGATCCTCAGCTTACAACCAGTAAGGAATTAGGAATCATGGTACTAAAATCCCAAGGAGCTGAATTCTGCCAACAACCTAAATGAGTAGGAAACAGACTCTCCCCTAGAGCCTTGAGATCAGAATGCAGCCCTGCGGCCACCTTGATTTGATTTTAGCCCAGTGAGACCCGTGTCAGATTTCTGACCTCTAGAACTGTGAGGTAATAAATTTGTGTTGTTTAAGTCACTGAGTTTGTGGTAATTTGTTACAGCAGCAATAGAAAACTAGCATGCTGGTATAACCATACCAAACCCTGGCGAGGACGGTAAATGAAAGAAAAATAGCAGGCCAAGTTTATTCATAAACATAAATGTTATCCTATACAACATATAAGAGAACTAAATCCAACAATATATAAAAAGGAAAATACATTATAACCAAATGTGTTCATATCAGGAATGTGAGATTGCCAGAGAATTAATCAATATAATTCACCATGTTGAGAGATTTCAGGGAATGTATCATGTGATGTCCTTAGGAGGTGCAAAACAGCACCTGACAAAATTCAACATTGATTTGTAATTATTTATTTATTATTTGTAATTATCACATCCATTTATATTTTATTAATATACACAGACTCTAAGAAAATGAGAAATGGAAGGAAACTTCCTGAGCTGGGTAAACATTATCAATAAAACCATACAGCTAATATTCTATTTAATTGAGTCATCCTGAAAATTTCCTTTGAAATTGGGAATGAAACAAAGATGTCTGAGATCACCTCTTATATTTCACATTGTAGTGGAATCCCCAGCCAGTATAGGATTATAATTTTTAATTATTGAAAAGGGAGAAACAAGTCATTATTATGTGCAGATGACATATTTGAGTATATGGAAAATCCAAAAGAATGCCCAGATCAACTATTAGAATGTTAAGTAAAATTCAGCAAGTTCGTTGCATAAAAAGTGTAAAAATAAATTGTATTTCTATGTGTCAGGACCATAAAAGTGTCTAGTAACTTCATAAAAGACACAGGGAAAATTACAAAACTGTATTAAGAAACATTAAAGGCATACCATATTTATCAATTGGAAAATTCATTTTAAAGATGTTAATTTTCTCCAACTTGATTTATAGGTTCAAGGTCATCCCAGTCAAAACCTCAGTTGAGGATATTTTTTATGGAACTTGAAAAACTGATTCTAAAATTTATATAGAAATATAGAAAGCCAATAACTGAAAAATCCTCATGCAAAAAAGTGGGAGGACCTGCTCTACCAGAAAAAGGACACAATTTATTATAAAGCAATAATACAAAAAAATTATAACATTAGCATAGGAATAAAAAACAGACAATTGGAACAGAGTAGAGAATCCAGAAACAGACCATTCATATACAGTTAACTTGTGACAAAGTTAGCATAACAGAACGGGGGAAACAATGGTATTTTTGGTACACAGTGCTGAGGTAAATCAACATTTCATAAACAGAAAATTGCAATTTCATCCCTACCTCACGCTATATATGAATACCAATTCCAGATGGATTGTTCACTTAAATGTGAAACCTTATGTCCAGCTGGTAGGAGATAACATAGAAGAATATATTCATGTCCTCATAGTAGAAACGAGTTTTAAAGAAGGAAGACCCAACAAGCACTGACCATCAAGGATGTGCTATCTTGCAGTTCGCTCTCTGGCCCATTTCCTGTCCTCTGCTCTGCTCTGTACAGAAGAGGCCGACCCCTGGCATCTGTGGAGTCCATGCTCCCTTGCAGCCGGCATCTGGCTGAGTTGGTTTAACAGGACTCATTGGCTGGAGCTTGGTGGTAGGAGGAAGAAAGAAGCTTGCGAGGTGGCTCCTCTGGCAGTGACTTCATCTCCTCCCAGACAACTCCAGGTCCCTCCCAGGTCCCAGCTCCCACCAGGCAGCCCACCTCATGGGTTCAGCTCCCACAGGTAGTACCACCTCCATTCTGGTCAATCAACTTCCTCCCTCTGTCCCTGCAGCCCTTGAAAGTGGCAGTCACTTTCTGCTGTAGCTCCTCTCTGATTGCCTCAGCATCCCTTGTGTGGCTTCTCAGCAATTCCAACACTTCCGTGACAAGTTCTCCATAGTTAGTTCTCTCTATTGAACCATGTGGTGGTAGTTCTTTTTCCCTTGTTTTTTGGGCTACCTGTTCTCCTGACTTTGAATATACAGAAAAAAATAAATAAATTCAAGTTCCATTAAAATGAATAATTTCTGTCCACCAAAAGCAAGATATAGACGGGGAAAAGACTAAACATCTTTACTCAAATTATATAAACAATCCTGAAAATAATTTTTTAGAACCTCTGACAAACCAACAGAAAATATGCAAATATCTGGGATCTGCAATCAATAAGATCTTTTGTAACCCAAGAAGATTTTATCCCTTCCAGTAATAGGGAGACAAACCCATTTTCTCTCGTATTTTCTTCCCTGTTGTAGACATTGGCGGGCAAACAGTCCATAGCTCCACATCAATTTTCTGCTTGTCCACAGCATGCTTTTGCCATGTCACGTCGGGTGCTGCCACCTGGGGAGAGTATTCATGGGCGCAGCCCACAAACTTGGACCTGGGCTTTGAAGTATAAATGATTTTTCAAATTTTAAAGAATATGAACGTTTTTCTTCCTCAGAAATCTTTAGCCAAAAAGTAAAATGGCATTTTCTTTTTCTAGACACTTTGAAACTAATCTTTCAAGAGAATGGATATTTGACTTCTTATGATGTTTTTAAATGTTTCTTATCCTCAGATCTATCTATCTATCTATCTATCTATCTATCTATCTATCTATCTATCCATCCTCTATCTAATCTATGTCTGTGTGTGTGTGTGTGTGTGTGTGTGTGTGTAGAGAGAGAGAGAATTTTTTAAATGGAGAAGAGATTTTACTTAAATTTTTCTTTGAAAACGCTGCTCTCTTAAACAGGCTGCCAATATTCTATTAAGTGTAATTTAGCCATTCGTTCGCTCTTGAAAATTAAGTTTGCTTAAAAATTGTTTAACATGACAAATGCTAAAATGTGTGTAACCCACTAGTGACTGCGTTTGTGCCTAAATCTTTGACAGGTTCCCAGGGATGCTGATGCTGCTGGTTCAGGACCACTCTCTGAGAAGCTGGGCCCCAGCAGGTCTAGGAGTGGAAAGGGCTCCTCTCTAGGGAGGCTGCACCGCCCTTCTCATGCCCCCTTCACCCTGCCCACTCTTTTGTATAATAAATGTATAATCATTATGCTGTTCTCAGTTACCCTGTTTGGGTGGGCCCCAGTTCCTGCTGTGCCCTGCCTCGTCCTGTGCTTTTAACTCATTACATTTAAGACTTTATACAAATTGCCTTTTAAAACAACAAAAACAGAGAAAATAAAAGCAAAAAGCCGGCCCTCCTAACTCCTAGTGACCCAGGTCAACAAGAAGGATCCAGACAACAGCATGACACTGCTTTCTTCTTGAGAGAAATCAGAGAAAAAAAAAAAAAAAGAAAAAAAACCCCTACACTTGGGTCTGGCACTGCTCCTGACGCTATAGTCTGATCTATTTTTTGACACTGTGACACTTGGACAAAATTAGAACCCTAAGGCATTCTCCACACCAATTCAACCCAGGCCTTTTCGAGGACTGGTTTTGGGAGACAGGCAGGCCTAGCCTCCCTCAGATACTTGCACAGTGGAACTCCCTGGCCCTCTAACCTCCTTCCCCTCATCTAACCCTTCCTGTGAGTAATAAAGTTCAAGTCACTTCTTGAGAAAAATTTCTGACATAAAATGAGCATGAGCATGCTACAAAAGCAGGGAAAGTCCACAGAAAGAAAACCCCTGGGGGGTGGTCAGATGTCAGACCCCGTTTTACCCCTCAGCTTGTCCAAGGAACATTCAGCGTTTGACACTCCCCTGTCTCACACAGCACATGGAAGTCTCCGGTCATTGAGTGACTGGCGGCCAGATGACACATGGTACCTCCCAGGGGCAGAAAGTTGAAAAGCATGGAAATAAAACTTGCCTATTATTTCCATAGGCATTTAGTATTTGGTGTTTGACAATGGAGAAAAAATTCCCCAAGTGATGACTGAATACAAACATCCCCAATTCACTCTATGACAATTCATTTCCGTTTTCCTGCTACACAGTGTATTCTGTAAAGAAAAAATGGTATTATTAAGAACATGTGAAAAATTCTTCTCAGAGAGCTCAGTTTTCAGACACAGATAAAAGATGCCTACAGAATGGATGTGGATCTTTCTTCAGAATGGGGTTCCCCTCGGATATTTTATTGAATATGAATAGGCATGTGCTAAACTGAGATGTGGCTTCCCACACAAACGATACAACAAACACACTCACTATTCGTTTCATGCACCAACCAAAGGCATTATTTGTCATAAAAATACAAGGCTTCCAGCCAAGCTCTTGGACAGGTAAACTGTCAGTATTCGAACCATACATGCTTGCTACTATAGAAGTCATGCTAGAGTCTGGAATTCGTGTCTGGCTTTTCTTTCTTAAGGCTTGGAGCACGACCTAGTCACATCCTGATGGATGATTTTATTGAAAATAAATGTGGGGGAGCAGAGCAATGTCATGGGGCCATGCTGTCCATGGGGCTGACTGGAGGCGCGTAAATCGTCTTCTCCCTGTGTGCAGGGTTTTTCTCTTTGTGCCAGTTTCCCTCCTCAGAGATCCTGTCTCTCCTTCTTTCAAAGTCTGTCCTCAGAGAAATGATCTGGAACTTCTGAGGTATAATTGATGCGATCTCCTCCTAGAATTGCCTCCCTGCTGAAACGATGGAACTCTAACAATGGAATTTCACTTGGGAGAATGGGGTTATTTGGGGGGCAAGGGATTAGGAATTCCTACCACGGGTGCTCTTGAAAGCTTCTACATCAGTGACCCAGACA
Organism: Homo sapiens; assembly: GCF_000001405.40. Taxonomy (NCBI): domain Eukaryota; kingdom Metazoa; phylum Chordata; class Mammalia; order Primates; family Hominidae; genus Homo; species Homo sapiens. Next base: position 85,302,261 of record NC_000009.12, on the reverse strand, counting down.
TTTTACAACCACAAAATTTAAGAATCGGGTTCAGTACACAGCTCTCCGTTCTCCACGGTTGAAACACCATAGTGTACCCTGGAACAGACAAGACCTTTTATGAGGGCAATCTGTCGCTGACACAGGCAGCAATGTGGATTCTACACATCTTGTGGCTTTTTATCTTTCCAGAAGCCTGTGATGCCCATTTCCAGCTTTGAGTTTCTGATTTAGTCATTGTTGAGCCAACACAGTCGTCACAATTAGGAACGGTGTTAGAACATACCTCCCTCAAACTTCCATGCCATCTCCCTTGCTTGCCTTACTTAAAACAAAACAAAATGAAAAGAACCTTGCCAACTTTCATACTGTCCAGGGCCTCCTTCTGACCTATTTGCATGAGACGAAGTGGCGTCTATCTTCCCTCTTTAACAGGCATCACTGTTTCTTTGAGGACGAATAAGCAAGGAGTTGGACATCGAGTTTTTAAAAATTACACTCCATAGGGATTATATGTCATTTTTTATGTTTATGAAGGCTGCCGCTAGGCTCACAATAACATTTTTTGTACTTTACTTTCCATGGGATCAAAGGCTTCCAATTCCTAATTCTTTCCTCTTCTCTTTGTTAACAAAATAATTGATACATCACGTTTATTACTTTGTCAAAACCCTGACTAACAAGTTTTAGTGGAACTCAGGAGTAATTCCGTCTATTTTTGGAAACATTATGAAGTTTCATAAAGGTTTTGGCTCCTAGGTATTTCCAATTTTTCTTGCCTAAAATTCTTTTTTAAAAAAATTTTGAGACAGGGTCTTGCTGGAGTGCAGTGGCATGATCATAGCTCTCTGAAATCTCAAACTCCTGGGCTAAAGCTATCTCCGACCTCAGCCTCCCAAGTAGCTGGGGCTACAGGCACATGCCACCATGCCAAGTTAATTTTAAAAATTTTTTTCAGAGATGGGGTCTCGCTATGTCACCCAGGCTGGTCTCAAACTCCTAGCTTCAAGCCATCCTTCCATCTCACCCTCTCAAAGCTTTGGGATCACAGGTGTGAGCCACCTTGCTTGGCCTGGCCTAAAATTCTAAAGTTACTTATTTCTTGCATCCTTACACTTTCGATAAAAATATATCGTGCTGGGGCCCGGCGCGGTGGCTCATGCCTGTAATCCCAGCACTTTGGGAGGCTGAGGCGGGTGGATCACCTGAGGTCAGGAGTTCAAGACAGTCCTGGCCAATGTGGTAAAACCTCGCTTCTACTAAAAATACAAAAATTAGCTAGGCGTGGTGGCGAGCACCTGTACTTGCAGCTACTCAGGAAGCTGAGGCAGGAGAATCGCTTGAACCCAGGAGGCAGAGGTTGCAGTGAGTCAAGGTCGCGCCATTGCACTCCAGCCTTGGCGACAAGAGTGAAACTCTGTCTCAAAAACAAACAAAAAAAAAACTATATATATGTGTGTATACATACATACACACACACACACACACACACACACACACACACACACACATATATATATATAGTGAGAGGAAGAGGGAAGATCCTGGGAGGGGATGGCTAGCTGCCTAACTTTATTCCTTTGGTCATTAGAACCCTAATGGCTTCCTCATGCCTGGAGAGGTGGTGTGAGCATGTCCATGGTGCTGGTTTTGGAGTGCAGGGGTCAGTCTGGATCCAGTTCCAGATCTTCAACTTCCTACCTTTGTCACCTTGGTCAGGTACTTCGACTCTGTGATTCCCCAGTTGCACCACTTTTCAAATGGAGAAAATCCAACTACCTCAGAGGCAGTGCCTCCCTAAGTCTGGTCTCTGTAAATGCTTCCTTTAGTGCCTGTCCTTGGGCTGGTCACCCGAATTTCCATCCTGGCGAACTGACCATCTGCCTACGTATGGTGGATCACTTTATTTCTTCCTGGGATACATGGAGGGAGGGTTGTGCTCTCAGGAAGCCCTCTTCAGCCTTCAGGGCTCCAGGCCACACTTCCTTCCCTGCCTGGCTGTGTCTCTGACCTGTGAGTCTTTTCCCTGCACCTGCCTGTGCATCTGGTGATCTCCCGTGTAACTTCCCTCCTACCCTCAGCCCACACTCCTTCTCCTGATGTTCACACCATCCCCACTGCCTCTTCAGCGTCATCTCACCCCTTAAAGCTTTCTCTCTCTCTTTTGATTTCTCTCTTTGGTTGACATGTATATATCAGGCAGAGTTGATAGTACTGGAAAATCTGATGTTCCCCACTGTAGAGCATCATATGGGCAGCTGAGAACAACACTGCACAGTTTTCACTGGACGGTACTGACTGGAACAGGTCTCCCTTGTTGCGGCCTCCCCTCCGTGCTGGAGGTCCCTGTAGGCTTGGGCTCACCCTCGGCTCTCCCTGTTCCTAACAGCTGTCATCAGCTGCCAGTTGTCACCTCCCACATTATAGGATATAGCAATTTTGCAGTCTTCTTCCTTAGATTCCCTATTAAAATCTGGTAAAACTTCTTTTTACTTTGGCTTCTGTCTCTGGACTTTAAGATAAAATCTTGCGGTACCTTACCCTATATACTGCATGTTTTGATATTTTCCCTTATCTGTTACACAATTGAAGTCCCTTGCCCTCTCTTGGATATGCAGGAAGAAGTCTCCCATCTCTCACTGGCCATCTTTCCTTTTCTTGTCTTTTTTCCTTGTTTAGATTTATTGTAATTACCTGTATTTATGTGCTTGATTTTCAAAAGTTGCAACTTTTCAGCTACATCAAAGACAGATGGGTAGGAGTTTGTCAAGTCCACAAAGGAACGGGCATTCCAGTCCCAGACAAAGGTATCCCAGTCAGAATTGGGGGTGCATCCCTGCTGTTAATTACATATGGTTTCATCCTGGACAAGTGATTTGATTTTGGAGTTTTCATTTCCCATAAAATCTTTTTTGTGTCTATCTTGGGAAGAATAAATTAGATAACATAAAAATACAAGTCGGTAAGCTCAAATATGAATTTGAATGCAGACTATTATAATTATCACAAAGGAAATTGGAGATAGGGTGTTAGGTGCTACAGCAAAGGCTGGGGAGACCCTGAGGAATTCACTTCTAAACAACAAAGTCTAGTTACAACAGAAAACCTCCTTGCCCGAGTCTTTATTCTGGCTGCTGGACTCAACTGGTGAGTGAGGAACACTGGATGCTAGACAAAGAGCTCATGCCCACAGCTGAGACGTGGGGCTTGGCGAGTGATTGTTCCAGCTTTCTCACCCTGGGACATTTTCTTTATTCTCCTCCTGAGTTCTCCAGGGGATCTGAGCTGGGTTGCGCACCACAGTGGCTACTTTGATCACACACCTTTTCTTGGCCTCCTTCCTCTCTCTCATTTCCCCACTCCCCTGCTGGTGTTTCCTGAGATCACCTCACAAATAAATCCCAGTCAAATCCTTGCCTCCGTGACTACCAAGTCAGGGTTCTGAGTTTCCCCAAAGACATTAATTTCTGGAAAGAAAATAATCCCATGACAACCAGACTGTGAAGTGAGCAAAAGGTCCTGGCTGCTATTATTTTTTGAAAGAGCGTGAAGGCTCTTTATATTAACGTTTGCCTGTTGTTCTTTTACACAAGAGGAAGGGTTAATGGACAACTCAGAGCTCTGAGGCCTGTGAGCGGCCCATCAGAGTTCCCAGGCAGTGAGCTGGGAAAGAAAATGTGTAAGCTGAATAATGGTCCCACAAAAGATTTCCATGCTTCAATCCCTAGAACTTGTGGAAGTTACCTTATATGGTGGGGTCCCCAACCCCTGGGCCACAGACCAGTGCCAGTCCATGACCTGTTAGGAACCGAGCTGCACAGCAGGAGATGAGTGGCAGGTGAGTGAGCATGCATTTCCATCTGAGCTCCGCCTTCTGTCAGATCAGTGACAGCATTAGCTTCTCATAGGAGCCAGAGCCCTATTGTGAACCGCATATGCCAGGGATCTAGGTTGCATGCTCCTTATGAGAATCTAACTAACGTCTGATGATCTGAGGTGGAACAGTCCCCATCCTCTGGGGAGACTTTAGTGAAAGACAATTTTTTGCATTGTCTTCCATGAAACCAGTCTCTGGTGCCAAAAGTGTTGGGGACCACTGGTATATGGGACAGAGGGACTTTATAGATGTGATTAATTTAAGGGTTTTGAGATGAGGAGATTATCTTGGATTATTCAAGTGGACTCTAAATGCAATCACCTAGATCTTTATCAGAGGAAAGCAGAGAAGAAGGCAACATGTCTATGGAGGCAGAGAGTTGGTGGTGGGGCCACAAGCCAAAGAATGCAGGCAGCTCCCAGAAGTGGGAAGAGACAGGGATGGATTCCTCCCTGGAGCCTCTGGAGGGAGTGCAGCCCTATCAATACCTGCATTTCAGCCAAATAGTACTGCTTTCAGACTTGTGATCTCTATAAATGTAAGAAAATAAATTTCCGTTGTTTAAAGCCACCAAGTTTGTGGGAATTTGTGACAACAGCCACAGGAAACTAATGCAGAGGGTAAGTGAGACCAGAAAGAGGAAAGGAGCGTGGAGCTGCAGCCTGGCCTAGATGGAGCCTATTTCCTATCTCTGAGCCATCTCAAAAGCCAAGCCTCATCCCACAACTTGCATGCCTGTAAAAGTGGTAGCACACCCCCTGATATGAAGCTCATTATTTCTTTGGCCATTTCTGACCATCCCTAATCTTCTCTACATTGAGGTGAAATAGGTTTCCTAGAAACTGTTGACCATCAGTTATTGTCCCAAGGATTGTCAAAAGTCAGAACTGAAAAGGACTTTCTAGATGTCATCTTCTGATGTTTTCCAAATTGCAGAACCATTAGTGGAACATAAAAATCCATTTAGTAGGGTACAACCCACATTTTACCAAAACGAGTTAAAAAAGAGTATTAGAATGCATAACTTGTAGCAAGGAAGCATTTTGCTTTGTAAAATTTTGTTTATATATATAGAAAACAAAATTGTGTGTGTGTGTGTGTGTGTGTGTGTGTGTGTGTGTGTTGGGTTTCAAGGCCAACTTTATTTTTTGCTATGAGTAATTTTAGAAGCTTAAAAAACACTGATGTTGTTTACCTCCTCATTTTGCAGATGAGATAAATTAGATGCATAAAAGTAAAATGACTTGCTTAAGATCCCCCAGCTGGCCAAAGGAAGAGTCCAGCTGGAATTTTCTTGACCTACATTTAGTGCTCTTTGAGGTACAACATCAGCTTTGCTGAAGAAGCCTAATTCTTCTCCCATATTCAGACAGCAAATAGTACTCTTGTATCTCCACAGAGTTTTCTCTTCTTCATGAGTAACATTCCTAGTTTTTAAAATAGCGCCTCAAATAAAATGCTTTCAAAGCCCTTAAGCATCCTCATTTACCCTTGTCTCTACACACTTGAAATTGTTTGTACACATTTATAAATGTTGTACTCAGAGCTCATTTTTGTTCAATGTATTAGTGGGGTCATCATCTCCATTATTCCTGACTTTCTGCCTCTATAAAAATAATCTAAGTTTGCATTACCATTTTGGGAAGCCATATATTATTGAGTCTAATTGACTTTCTTTTCAATTCAAGCACCTAATTTTTTTACTTGTGGTGGGGAGGAAGGAAGGAAGGAAGGAAGGAAGTCAGGACCACAAGGAAGGAGGAAAAGTACCTAGCACGTGTGAAGGACCCAACCATAGCCCAGGTACTTTCACAAGTGTTAACTGTCTCAACATAATTTTGTGAACTATTTAGTAACATCATTGTATAGATGATAAACTGGAGTTCAGGAATGTCAAGAAACTTTACAAGATCAACTTAAATGGCAGAACCAGAGATTGAGAAGGTATTGACCATGAATTCCTACCACTGAGAATGTAGAAGGTTGGTGTACAGGAACAAACATGCTACCTTAATTTTCTCACTATACAAAGGTGGATGGGTGGACACTCCACCACCTGCATTCTGGTTAACTTTGGTAGAGCTCTAATTCCATGGCCGCTGACGGTCCTGATAACTCCCTGTGAGTGCTCTGCTTTCTTAGGACTGCTTTTCTTCCACTCCCGTGTTCTTACCACACTTTTCCTGGGCCTTACAGAAAAATAAATCAAATTCTTCCTTGGTTTCTACAAGGAATCCACTCACATGGTGCATTTTACCACTGTGGGAACATTAATGAATATTTTTGGTTAACAATGAGGAGGGTATACATGGTCTTCCCCATTTCATCGACTTTATTTCATCTTTCTCTGTTTCTAGCACAATTAAAATCAATTATTCCTCTTTTCCACACAGAGAGATTCTACCCACAATCAGTCCATTGGTGGCAGTGGGAAGCTCAATTTCTCTCTCATGGAATTTTTTTCAAGCAAATACAGTGAGCCTTCTATATTTGTGAGTTCCCCATCTGTGGACTCGACCAACTGAAAATTGAAAATATTTTTCAACAAAGGAGATGGTTGCATCTGTACTGAACATGTACAGACATTTGTTCTTATAATTAGTCCCTAAACAATACAGTATAACAACTATCTAGATAGCATTTACATTATAGTAGGTATCATAAGTAATCCAGACATGATTTAAAGTAGGTGGGAGGATGTGCATAGGTTATATGCAAATACTACTCCATTTTATATCAGGGACCCTAGCATCTGTTCCTTATGCCTGAATCTGAAAATACTGGTATCCTCCAGGGGTGGGTGGAAGTCCAGGAACCATTCCCCCATGGATACTGAGGGACAACTCTACAGCATCCTTCTTTCAAAGGTTTCTAGTAAATACAATTTACTCCCTCCCATTATACTATTATTACATTTCATACTATTGTACAACGTTTATTTATTTATTTATTTATTTATTTATTTATTTATTTATTTATTTATTTTTGAGACAGAGTCTCGCTTTGTTGCCCAGGCTGGAGTGCAATGGTGTGGTCTCAGCTCACTGCAACTTCCTCCCGGGTTCAAGCCATTCTCCTGCCACAGTCTCCCAAGTAGCTGGGACTACAGGCATGCGCCACCACGGCTGGGTAATTTTTGTATTTTTAGTAGAGACAGGGTTTCACCATGTTGGCCAGACTGATCTCGAACTCCTGGCCTCAGGTGATCCGCCTGCCTCGGCCTCCCAAAGTGCTGGGATTACAGGTGTGAGACGCTGCGCCTGGCCTATTGTATAATATTTAAATGGAGACCTTTCCTCCCTCAGTTTTGGCTGAGTCTACAAAAGCTATGTACAATAGAGGAGGCATCAAAGGCCCAAACATCCTAGACAGAAGGATTAGAGTGCACATGCAGATTGCTGACTATATCAGAAGGTTATAAAAGTGTGGCCAGAACTAGCCTTTCACCCAGCATGAGGTTCTGGAAGAGCCAAGGAGGGGCACGGTGTTGAAGTTCTCTCGCATTTACCTACTGTCCCCAAGGGGAGAGGAGCATTTCTCTCTCTCATTTCCAACTATGTGAGAAGAGCGTTAAGGTGACAATTTAGAGAGTTGTCTTGTGTTCCATGGAGTTTGGGAAGCATAGGGACTGGTGTTGGAGTTTTGTCAGGAAAAGTCTAAGGCAGGAGGGCATGTGCAGATGAATCAGAGGTAGCAAAGCCAGGTCTAGAGAGAGCCACAGATTCACTGAGCCAGGGCAAAGGTCCATGTTTTCCACTGCCCAGGTGTGGACCCTGCAAAATGAAACTGGCCTGGGTTGTCTTAAAAAGTACTTTGTGCAAGAAAAATTCTGGAGAGTGGGCTGAGGGACTGATGCCAGAATGCCCCAACAGTAGGGGAGGAGTCGTAAGTGATCAGCTGTGGAAAAGGCATTTTCCGGTTGAGGGACCTGTAGGTAGAATCTCCCAGCAGAGGATCCCTGAGGAACCCACAAAGGCACCCCACAAAAGAGAATTCATTGTGGACATCCATCATTCTCAGAGAGTACCAGTGGCAAGTGACCAAGTGCCAGTCAGGACAGAACTCTTCGCATCTCATCTCCCTTCTCATTCTACCTGCTCCATTCCCGGAGAGCAGAGAAACTCCAGCACCACAGCTAGTGAGTGGGAGTGGAGATAGGAAATGGTCATGAAGCCAACCTACTCCACTGCTCTCATTATTGACCTTTGAGTCTGGATATAGCTGCACCAGGTCAGGGAAGGCAGAAGCTTTGACTGGGTAAGTTCAAAGTTTTGATGATCAACCTGGAGTGAACTGGGAGTTGTGAGATCATTAGAGTGCCTTGGACATTTTAATGCTGTAGTGAAGGAATTACTTGATTCTTTTCTAAGAGTGACCCCTGAAATGCTATAGGACAGGTCCAACATGTCATACAGTGTCAGTAAAGAATGGGTCAATGGCTACCCTGAGCATGGTGGCTCATGCCTATAATCCCAGCACCTTGAGAGGTTGAGGCAGGAGGATTGCTTAAGGCCAGAAGTTCAAGACTAGCCTGGGCAACATAGTGAGACCTTCTCTCTAGAATATATAAAAAAGCTGGGCATTGTGGCATGAGCCTGTATTCTTAGCTATTCAGGAGGCTGAGGCAGGAGGATTGTTTGAGCCCAGGAGTTCAAGGCTGCAGTGAGCTATGATGGTGCCACGGCATTCTAGCCTGGGCTATACAGTGAAACTCTGTCTCTTAAAAAAAAAAAAAAAGAAAAAGAGTGGGTAAATGGAGTAAGTTTAGAAGTGGTGAAAAAAACATTTAAATTAAGTTTGCTTTGTTACACATTATCAATGCCAATTGTTCAGTTAGTAATGACCAAAATAAGACAATTGTAATAGCTAAGAAAGCTCTTTCCCTCTTTCCATGTATTTGCTCTCTCATCCAATTTATCACTCATAGATTTGATAAATCATTTCTAGTAAAGTTGCAATAAGTTATCCCATGAGGCTAACCATTGGCATTGCCATGGCATTGTATTCTGATTGGGTTGTGAGCACAGGCTGCCAGGTGACAATGAATAAATTTCAGGGGACAGATGTTAAATTTGTGTAACATATTGATTACACACAGAGGTTGCTTGCTAGAGAAGGTACTTGTTGAATTATGAGATGCTATAACGAATGTTAGTACTAATGTTACTTTTCTTGTCATCATTGCCACCATCTGAATATAGTTTGAAATTAAGTATATAATGATTACAAATCAGGACATAGTTTTACAAACTCTCCATATCTTATTGTAAAGTAATATAATAAAGTGACTAAAATATACAATCTTGACTATTATTTTAGCTATTGCTATGGGGAGTACATAGCCATTTTAAATCAATTGCAGTATGAGTATTTGAGTATTATATTTCTATCTCCTAGGCAATAACATCTACTGCGGCAAGGATCACAGCTTTTATTTAATTACATGGGCCAAGTGTTCTGGGCATTCTCTGAAGATGTGAACAGGTGTTCTGTGTTTAAATGGAGACCCTCAGCTTCCAGTCTTATTCTGGCTTACCCAGCAAGTCACTTGTGCTTGTGTTCCTGTTGTCTTTCAAACATTTCAATATTCCCTTCTAGACAAACTACAATATTTAGTATTGTTTGAAGCCCCATTAAGAAGGGGGAACATTCTTCTTTAAGAAAACAGTATTACTGAATTTCAGAAGGGTGCTATTCAAAGACCATTCTTACACAAGTATAATATCAGAAAACATGATCTGAACAAATTGCTTTATTTATTTGGAAATATTGGTATATTTTGTTAATTTTCTAGTGTTTTGTCTTAGCACAGGTTCTCTCAAAAGCAGATACCAAGACAAGGACTCAGTTGAAGGAGATTATTTGAAAGTTAATCCCAGGAAACTCCAGAAGGGGAGTCAGAGCACCTATAAAGGACGGTAACCAAGTAAGGCTGAGTTACGGAGCCAGTTACTCCTGTGAGCCACTGGGGAGCTTAGGAAATCAGTGGAACGCACCTCAGGGTTATCTCAACCAGGGGTGAGGAAGCAGGGTATCCATCCATCAGTCATGTTAGGGGCTGCTTCCTGGGGCACTAACTCTGTGCAGTTCTGTCCTGTGATGTTCCAGGCTGAGTGGGCTCTCAGTCAGAGCAAAAGACGCTTGAGTCTTTTGCAGGTGTTTGCTTTAAACTTTAAAATTGTGGAGGGTATGGCCAGGGGAAATGGGCCAGACACTGACAGGATCTGCTACACTTGGGCTAATAAAAAATTGGTGAAATGGGGCCTGGTGCCTGCTAGAAATCACAAAACCATGTTAGTTTCAAGTCAATGTATCTTTTCTCGAGGTAGGTAGAATGGGCAAAGTTTACTTACAATGATAAAAATCACTGAGTGGATAGATCAGATGGATACTTTGTGAAGGCCATTAAACCTGCCCAGTGAAACATCACACAACACCAAATAAGGGAATAAAAGTGGCACAGCCAGAATCAGGGCTAAGCCAGAGGCAAGGAGTAGTCTTCTTAGTGCCTGAGTGGGTATGGATATGTGTGCATTAGCCTTACACTCAAAAGAGCTTGAAGAGTAGGACAGGTTTGAAGTCCCGTATTGAAGAACTTAGTGAAAATACACATCTCCTAATTTTAAATATATATTCAAGAATAGGACAAATTAGAAACACTTTGGAAGTTTTATTTTCCCCTCTATGATGACCTGCGAATTTGAATCTTGACCACCTTCACAAGCTAACAACGTCCACAAGCAATTGCTTTACTTCATTGCCAAGGTAACATCTAGAAATCTCCGTTCTGTCCTCTGAACAACTGTAGCGACCCAAGAATCTAATTTGGTGCCTCATAAATGATTGTGTTCCATCTCGACAGTTATTTTTAAATTCTACAATAACACCAGCTCACAGGATGTTGGCTTTTTCCTCCAGTATTTCTGCTGTTCCCCAGCTGTTTGAAATACGTTGTGGCTTTGACTTCTTCAAACTACCTCCTGTGATGAAGATTACCTTAATTGCTTGTTTGTAGAAGATTCAGTCAGAGACGTAATATGCTGTAACAATTATTAATAGGTGAAGGCTGACATTTTACATTCCTCGTTATTCTGTTAGCAGTTTCTTATGACTACTTTTTGGCTTTTTAAAAACATTTTGCCTTGAAGACAGAAGATCCTTTGAAGGTTTGTGATCACAATGCTGTCATCCCCTAAAAGGCCACATCATGGTCAGAGAAAAGGCTTATTTATTTCTGTCAAACAATATTCAACAACCATTTATTGAGCATCTATTATGTGCCACACACTTGTCCAAGGTGTAGGGGGATACCTATGTAAACGTATCAGATTAGACTTTGCCCCCTTGGTGCCTACATTCTAATGGAGGAAACAGAAAACAAGCATGCAAACAAATCAAGTGTGTGAAATAATTTAACATAATGACAATGCTATGAAGAAAAAGCAGAAACCATAAGCAACCAATGTTTTTTTGTGTGTTTGTTTTTTCTCCCCAGAGCCATTGTATGCACGTATATAAAGTCCAAATATATCCAGTATTCCCCTTTCTTATGCAAACATTTTGGCATACTGTACCATACATCCGTTTTTACTACCATCTCTTTTCTGCTTAGCCATATATCTCAGAGATCATTCCTTATCACTACTTAATGAAATTCTTCATTATTTCTTATATGGCTACAACATATTCCATTGTGCAGGGGTACATAGCTTATTTCACCAGACTTATTTGATAGATATTTAGATCATTTCTAGTCTTTTGCTCTCTCAGTCAATGCTGTAATGAATATCATTTTGCATACATCATTTTGCACATGCAAAGGTGTACCTGTCAGATAGCTAAGGTGTAACTGTCAGAGGTTAAATTGTTAGATCAAAAGTGTGTATATTTGTAATTTTAAGTGAATGCATTTTATGCTATAACTTTTATGAATAGGTAATATTGTGTCCGGAATTGGTGGGTTCTTGGTCTCACTGACTTGAAGAATGAAGCTGCGGACGCTCGCGCTGAGTGTTACAGTTCTTAAAGGCAGCACTCCGGAATTTGTTCCTTCTGATGGTCGGATGTGTTCAGAGTTTCTTTCCTCTGGTGGGTTCGTGGTCTCCTTGGCTCAGGAGTGAAGCTGCAGACTTTCGCGGTGAGTGTTACAGCTCTTAAGGCGGCGCGTCTGGAGTTGTTCCTTCCTTCCGGTGGGTTCGTGGTCTCCATGGCTTCAAGAGTGAAGCTGCAGACATTCACGGTGAGTGTTACAGCTCATAAAGGAAGTGTCGACCCCAAGAGTGAGCAGTAGCAAGATTTACAGCAAACAGCCAAAGAACACAGCCGGGAAGCCGAGCGGTTTGCCGCTGCTGGCTCCTGCAGCCTGCTTTTATTGTCTTATCTGGCCGCCCCCACCCCCCCACCCCCCCCACCCCCCCCACCCCCACATCCCCCACATCCTGCTGATTGGTCCATTTTACAGAGAGCCGATTGGTCTGTTTTACAGAGAGCTGATTGGTCTGTTTTGACAGGGTGCTGATTGGTGCATTTACAATCCCTGAGCTAGACACAAAAGTTCTGCACGTCTTCACTAGATTAGCTGGATACAGAGTGCTGATTGGTGTATTTACAAACCCTGAGCTGGACACAGAGTGCTGCTTGGTGCATTTACAAACCGTGAGCTAGATACAGAGTACCAATTGGTGTATTCACAATCTCTTAGCTAGACATAAAGATTCTCCAAGTCCCCACCAGATTAGCTAGATACAGAGCCCCGATTGGTGCATCCACAAACCCTGAGCTAGACACAGGGTGCTGATTGGTGTGTTTACAAACCTTGCGCTAGATACAGAGTGCTGATTGGTGTATTTTCAATCCCTTAGCTAGACATAAAGGTTCTCCAAGTCCCCACTAGACTCAGGACCCCAGCTGGCTTCACCCAGTGGATCCCCCGCCGGCTGCAAGTAGAACTCTGCCAGTGGCGCGGCATGCGCCAGCACTCCTCAGCCCTTGGGAGGTCGTTGGGACCAGGTGCCATGGAGCAGGGGTGGTGCTTGTCACGGAGGCTAAGGCCATGCAGGAGCCCACGGGTGGGTGGAGGAGAGGCTCAGGCATGGCGGGCTGCAGGTCCCGAGCCCTGCCCCGTGGGGAGGCAGCTAAGGCCCAGGAAGAAATCGAGTGCAGTGCTGGCGGGCCGGCACTGCTGGGGGACCTGGCGCACCCTCCGCAGCTGCTGGCCCGGGTGCTAAGCCCCTCACTGCCCCGGGCTGGTGGGGCTGGCCAGCCGCTCCGAGTGTGGGGCGCCAAGCCCATGCCCACCCGGAACTCTAGCTGGCCGGCAAGCGCCCTGCGCAGCCCCAGTTCCCGCTCGTGCCTCTCCCTGCACACCTCCCCGCAGGCTGAGGGAGCCGGCTCTGGCCTCGGCCAGCCCAGAGAAGGGCTCCCACGGTGCAGCAGCGGGCTGAAGGGCTCCTCAAGCTTGGCGAGAGTGGGCGCCTAGGCTGAGGAGGCACCGAGAGCAAGCGAGGGCTGCAAGGGCTGCCAGCATGCTGTCACCTCTCAATATGTACACATAGCAAATCTTAGACATAAACAAAATTGCATATAATGAAAATTAGGTCCTCCTCACATCTCTTTTCTGTCAGAATCAAATTCCTTTCTCCAAACGAAACAAATGTCACTTTTTGCTTTTTTTCTTGTATATCATTCCAGACTCTCTGTCTCTCACTACACACACACACACACACACACACACGTGCACACACACACACACATAATATGGATGCATAGACTTTATTGTCTCATCATTGTATTTCTGCCATATAACATCATTGCTCTGGATGTCATTAATAAAAGTGCTGGTTCTGTTGGCTTCACCATGCCTTTCACATAGGGAAGGGCCGCTATGGGTATGAAGTCCTGTACCGTCCTTGGCCACAATTTTTTGAACCTGTTCCATAGGTCCTTGCTTCCTTTCGTCCTTGGTGCTTGTCAGTCATTCTGAGATCTTCCTTAACCATCATGCTAGAGATTCTGTGTGTCTGTCTGTGTGCGTGTGCATGGGTGTGTGCAGTGGATCTTTTATTGCCTGGGTCCTCGAATTCCTTTAGCAAGTGGCTTACTCTTAACATTAGGTGAGGTACATCCTTCAATAATGCCCTGAAAAAAAGGTTTATGGGAGGTAAATTTTCTGAGACCTTGAATGTCTGAAAATGTTTTTGTTCCATCTTCTCACGTAATAGACTGCCTGACTGGGTATAGAATTTTAAGATAGAAAATAAATTTCTTCAGCATTTTGAAGATATTCTTCAATTATCTGTGAGCTCCCAGTGTTGCTCTTGAATAAGCTGAACAATTCTGATTACAAATCCTTTGTAAGGGACCTCCTCTTTCTTCTCTGGGACTCTAAAGATCCTGTTGATGTTGATTTTTTATAATTTCCCAATGATGTACCTTATTGTTGATTTATTTTTATACGTCGTGCTGGGCACTAAGGGCACCCTCTTAACTTAAAAAAATTTGTTGTTCAGGTCCTGGTAATTTTCTCGAATTATTTCATTGACTATTTCCTCCCTCTACTTCTTCTATTCTGTCTTTCTAGACTTCCAATCATTTATATTTGCAACTTTAATACTGGTCCTCCAATTTTGTTAATTCATTGCTCTTATTTTGTATCTTTGACTTTTTACTTAAGTTCTGCGAGGTTTTCTCAATTTTACCTTCAAAGTTTTCCAGCGATATTTTTCTCCGCTGCTCTGGTGTTTAATTTCAGAAGCTTTTTAAAAAATGCCTGAATGTTTCTTTTTTATAGCATTCTGTTCTTGCTTCATAGAAGAAATATATTAATTTATCTCATGATGTGTGCATACATCCAAGTTTCTTTCTCTTTCATTCTTTAAAGACTGGGGATTAAAAGACCTGTTAATGTGCTGCCACATGAGGACAGCTATGAAATCCCAGGGTCAGAAACCTAACAGGAACAATCACCCATAGGCCAAGCCAGCCACAGAGTGACCCCAAATCAGCTTATCAGCTTCCTGTCTCCACCATATACTGTTGCCTGCAAGTGGCCAGTGCCGCTATGTCTCTGCCCTCCCTCCCTGTGGAGGGATAAAGCATGAGGCAACACAGTATTATGCATAGAAAAGAAAGCTGAATTGGGGGATTGTGATGGGAGGCTAAAAACTAAGAGGCTTGGAAATGTGATTGGTGACTAAAATTTTAATAACTAGATTAAAAAATTACTAGTCTTGATTAAGTTCACTGAACTAGAATAGAGCAAAATATCTTCTCTAGATGGGGTAGGAGTTCAAAGCCAAGAAAATAGGGGCAATCATGAAAACAATTATCAGCCTCAAGTTTATATATATATGAAGAGTGATCCTCTAGTTACACCTGTTTTTTCATATTATCTGTCTATTTTTACAGGTGCTTGAGTGATAGTCAAATCTCCATATACCAATCATGGAGCAGAGGTGCTATGAGAGATTCCTAACTCCTGAAAAACTGTGACAAAGGTAAGTATCTGACCACCAAATGTTCCTGTTTTCCCCACAAGTGGCAGCTCCGCCAGAGAATGCATATTTCATCTGGGTAGGGTTATGTGATTAATTCCCCTTAAAGACATGTAGGCCGGGCGCGGTGGCTCACGCCTGTAATCCCAGCACTTTGGGAGGCCGAGGCGGGCGGATCACGAGGTCAGGAGATCGAGACCATCCTGGCTAACACGGTGAAACCCCGTCTCTACTAAAAATACAAAAAATTAGCCGGGCGTGGTAGCGGGCGCCTGTAGTCCCAGCTACTCGGGAGGCTGAGGCAGGAGAATGGCGTGAACCCGGGAGGCGGAGCTTGCAGTGAGCCGAGATCGCGCCACTGCACTCCAGCCTGGGCGACAGAGCGAGACTCCGTCTCAAAAAAAAAAAAAAAAAAGACATGTAAACAGCAGCAACACATGCCATTTCTCACCTGAGGTTGTTGGTATGGGGTGCGTGATCCTCTGTGTATTCATTTCCTCCGCCACGGAATCTTAGCGTGGGGAGCCACAGGAAAGAAGCCATCTGGATTTCTGAGTCATTATTTGGAGGAAAACCTCATCTTGAACTGAGACATGAGCAAAAGACAAACTTCTGAAATTGTACTAAGCCATTGAGATGTGAGGTTCTTTTGTGTAATGGTCTGCCCTTATGAACACACACAGACACATTTTGTCGGCTTACTTGAGTAGCTGAAGCTACTAAGAATGCCCTTTGTGTTACTGAGCTTTCTGCTAGTGACAACATTACAAATATTCTTATATTTAGGTGCACATTACATTTTGGGGATGCATTTTACACAGTAACTATGGTAGAGCTATATCCCATTGTTAAAAACAAAAACCCACAATGTATGAAGGTGCAGACTCACATCAACAGATAAAACAGATAACTATCCTCACAGCACAAGAGGATTATTCACTTCACTGAATCATCCATCTTAGCATGAAAAAAAAAAGTATCAGGCTTCCTTAGGAAATATGACTTAACCTAATAAGATGGACATTACTTTCATGCAGAGGCCCCTCAGCTCCTGCTTTTCATAGACCATCCAGTTCACTTGAAATGTGGTGCACCTGGGAAAAGTCATTCCAGGGGCTCAGGCATGGCCCTTCTTGCTCTCTTGCACATTCCTTTTGAGCACTCATTTCATTGGCAGTTAGTACTCCTGAATACACCTCGCATGAGTGTAAACTGGGCAGGAATAGTGAGCTTTCCCAGCCCCCTGGAGCTCAGAACCCCCGTTCACCTCATGCGGACTTTCAGCTCTCCATCCCCACTTTGGATTGTTGTTGGAAGCCCCTGGTGCATGTTACTTCTCGATCTCCTAGACCTTCCAGAACATCACAGAATGTCCTCACTTCAGTTCCCTTCAAGAGTCACCCAGGACACAGCCAGTTAGCATTCCTGTAGGCTTGCCCCACAAACAGGGCATAACCCCTTAGCTTTGGAGATAAGCAAGAAACGTGTCTTAGAACCATCCCACCTCTTCTTTCCACTTGTGGACATGCCTATCTTAGGAAAGGCTGACGACGTAAAAGAGATTTCCAAATTCCCGTGGGTTGGTAGACATTCCAACTTTCCCAAAATTTAGCAACAATCCAAAGCATTTGTGGTAATGTTTGCATCTCATGATATTTCTAGAAATCTACCTATTGTAAAAATGTACAATGGTAATAGTAATAGCTGATATTTTTTGAGCAGTTACAGTGTGCTAAATATTCTTCTAATCTTTACGAGTATTAACTCTTTGCCAACAAATGTTGACTATTTTCATCCACTCTTCTTATTCAGATGTAAATAAGTAGAATGAGATTCTACTTACCTGTCATTGTGATTCTTCTGTCCTGGTGGATGCATCCCATTTTCTGGTTTCTCGGCTCATAGGCCTTGCTCATCTGACCTCTGACTAAACCAGGTTTTGATAATCAGTTGTAGTTGTTTTTATTCCTTGTCTGCAGTCTCTTCCACATTCTCTCCCACAACACTACTCTTCCACATATCTTTTCCTTCAGTTGTAATAAAAGTATATACCACACACAAGATTTGATATTTGCAGAATGATTTTTAGTATCATAGACTTATATGCTTTTGGAAGTAGAAGAAGTGGAACCTCATAAAACTTTTTGCTTTTTGAAGATATGAACACTGACCCAGCGAGATAAGTTACTTCCCTAAGATTGCAAAGTTGGCCTGTATAGCTGGTAGTAGACTTCAGAGAGGCTTCTTCCAAGTCCCCACTTATCACTCCATGCTCCATAAAAGAGAAGAAGGCTTTCATCTTAAAGCTCATTTTAAATCATGAAGTGGGTAAAAGGAAAGTCAGTCTGTGTGTGTATGTCTCTCTCTCCTTTTCTCTCCATTCATTCATCCTTCCATCATCTAAATTGCTTAGGTAAATTTTCTCGAAGTGCACCTGGGCATAAATTTCCTTGGATCATACCAGTCATATTGCCAATTTATATGGAGATATCCAGTGATCATGTGACTACCATGTCTGTTTACTTATAAATGTTATAAATGATGAAAATACAGTAACTACAAGAATTGCACATGCTTTTGTGTATTTTGTTATTCACTCACAGACTTTTCTTCACTTTTTGCATTTATTTACCTTTTGAAGGATTAGAAGTTTTAAGATATGTGAAAATGGTTGAACCATCTACAAGAACTCTAAAAATCCAAAGAAGAAATGTAGATGAGGAAAATCAAGTGGACTATTACACTGAAATAAGACTCACTATTGATGATGATAAAGATAGATAAAAAATGGAATAATGAGAAAAATAACTGGAAACACTAAGGACCGTAAAATGCAATGGATGATCCAGCAGTATACAAGTTTGGGAGCGTGATGTTAGAAATTTGTAAAAACTTGAGAATGGAAGATTTGGGGACAATCTTCAAATATATTAAATAAATTCCCTCAATGTTGTCAAGATGGAAATGTTCCTCTGGGATCACTGTCTGTAACAGCCACTGAATAACAAAATCATTGTGTATACATGTGAAGAAAATAACCTGCAGAGTGCATACTAAAGAACATAGCTTAGCAATGACTTTCACATCACAGGATACAAAGATAAAGTCACCATCTGGAAATGGTTCAAGCTACTTTCAAATATTTGGCCAGAAAAACAAATGCATCAATATTTTATTAATAGCTATTAAGCCTTGCTTAATGCATATGTTATGTAGCATATGGGCAAAGTTATTACTAATTCCCATATAAAGACATGAAAACTCTAATACGTGTTTGGCAGAGCCACTAACCTTCTAGGATCCCACATTCTGGGATCCTGACCCAGCCAGTGGTAGCCTCCGAGTAAGAAGAGCAGGAAGAGGAATAGCTGGACTTGCAGCACAAGTCATACAAAATTTTAAAATTTTTTCCTAGGGTTTTTTCCGCCCTCATTTGGCTTCAGAATCAAGACTGAGTTTGTGCATCCAGTTTTAGATGGAACATTGAAAAACTTGCAGATATATGAGGCAGTGGGGGAAGCAACAAGGATTATGGCTAATCTAGTGACTAAGTCCTAGGAGGGAAGGTTGAAGAAGCTGGATTCAACACTCAATAGAGTGATGGTACTCCTCCAATATGCCAGGGACTGAACCATGCTCTGGGGAGATGGTGGTGAGTAATGCAGTAGAATCCCCTCCTTCACAGAACTGCCTTTTAGTGGTAGAGACAGACAAGTGAATAAATGATTTTAATGTAGTGCATTAATATTTATAAAATAGATTAAGAGCAGAATGCCATGAGAGGGGTGTCTGATTCTGCTTTGTGAGGGGGATGGTGTTGGGGGGGGGCGTTGAAAGGATGAGTGGGAGGGATCCATTTGATGGGAAAAGAGGGCATTATAGGCAGAGGCTGTATATTAAGGTGCATGTGGGAGAGAAAAATGGCTTGGGAACTCAAAGTAGTTGAGAGTTTGATAGATTTTGTGTGAAAGATGAGTGATGGGCCTGGAGAAAGAAGCCAAGAAACACATAACGAAGGGCTACCGGGGATTAAAAATTGAGCTTTCTTTTGAAGGCAGTAAGAAGCTATCTGGTGTTATTTTTTTTTAAAGATGTTGATGTTGGAAATATTTTTGAGGCTAATGTATTACCAGTGGATTGAAGATTAGAAGAGGCAAGACTCGAGGTAGGAGGGTCTCACAGGGCACCAGGAAACATTCAAGGGAGAGGATTGAATGGGCGTGAGAATGCAGAAGATTGGGAAGTTACTAGATGTATTAAAGATGTATTAAGAAAGTTACTAGATGTAGGTTTGACACACTTAAGGTTGGATGGCACATAAATATTTTTGAATATTTGAAAGACTGTCATTTGGAGGTTCTTAGGGGCCAAGGAAGAAGTGGGACCATTGAGGGGAATCAAGTATTATAAGCTGGCAGAGCTTCCAAACAATGAACATGGTTTAACAATGAGATGGGAGGCCATGGGTTCTGGTAATTTCAAGTAGAAGTCGGGACAGGTTCCTGTCATGGGTGCTGTAGAGGATATGCCTGCATGGCATATGGTCCTGGTGACTTTAAATGTCTGCTTAAATCCTGAGATTCTGTTATGGTTGACATGACTCCACGTGGCTTCACCCAAAAACTGTCTCCAGGCCAGCAATAATGTACTGGTATTTACCTGAAACTCTTGGCTTGTCGGATCTGCACTTCTTGTTCTGAAATGGAGGTATTTAAGGAAACAGAGAGGAAATTAAGGCATTAAAATGTGCTTTTCTCTACCCAAATCATATCAAGTTTATGTTCTATGTCTTCCCACCATGGTGACTCTAGCATGCAGTGATGAGGTCAGGCACTGCACCCAAGTTTCTCAGCTACTGATTTAGTGTGCTGTGCTCACAGTGGTTTATTGTCTTCAAATGATAAGATCTAGGTGAAGCAGGTATTAACAGCATATAACACATGAAGTTTCTTAACTCTGGTTTCCTCCAGATGTTGCTGAAACAACATAACATAAGCCAGATGAAATACCAAAGGAAATTCTGTGACACTCAAACCACGGTATAGATATGTCACTTTAGGCAATGAGATTCTCAAGTCTCCAACTCATCAACTCATATTGGGGTTTCTTCCATATTAGAAAAATTGGATCATATTTTTCCACTTTCCCTCGTCCTAATTTATAACAGTTAGCCTCCCCAGTTCAAGCTATTTGAAGGTTTCTATGACATTTATTTTAATTAGGGCATAAATGCACACACATTTTTGATATATCAACAATCTCAATAAAATGGGAATATTCCATGGCAGAAATCTAAACTTAGGGGAATATTACAATCTCTAACAATTTTTAGGAAACAGTCACTATCTTTACTTTATGCATCTTCCTAGGAAGAAGAGTTTGCCTTCCTTGCCAGACACTACATGCTTTTCTTAGTCTCCTTTGCTGCTACCATGCAGGCACAGGGTCAAGTTCACCAATGGAAGGTGCCACAAACTCTGACATGGGAACTAGTAGAGACCAAGAAACACCGTACTTTGGTGGCAATGGCAAGGCAGGAAGACTGAATTTCCAGGGAAGTGGTGGCAGTGAGGTCACGGTTGACACTCCTGTGAGCAGGCTGGTAGTACAAGCTGTGGGAACTAGCTCAAAAACATTAGCAATGGAGACCTCACCGGTTCTTTGACCTGATCCAAGGTGTTGTTCTGTCTGCATAGTTTGTGAGTCTTGTTGTTACCCTCTTTTGGTGATTATGTGAACTACCCAGTATTCTTATAAAATATTCATATTGTGCTTCAAATTAACCGGAGTTTATATCTATTGCTTGCAACTAATAATCCTTATCAAAAGAGGACAATGCAAAGAAATACTGCACTCTTATGACCTGATTCTAGAATGGTAAACATGAAAAGGTTTCATTGATAAACGCGCTCTTTGTTCTCTGTTAAACTCTCTCTAATAAAATAATTGCTCACATAATATATGGGAAACAGGATAAAGAGACCTGAGTATAACTGAGTTGCTTACTGTTTTGTTTCTAAGTGGGCAAAGGATTCTGGAAAAAAAATTGCATGGTATGGAAACTAATTCACACTAATGTATAAATTAACCTATGACTAATTTGCATTTGAAAATAGAAACTTGTATTTTAACCAAATCTTTAATTAAGGCAGACGGAAAGATTCTTAGGACAAGTTAATTGGGCACGTTGTCTCATTCCATTCCAAATATCTTTAGCTACCCAGAAAAGTATTCCACATAGGAACAGACATGAAGAAAGAGATGGTGACGTAGGGAGGGTTCATTTCATTTCCAGAGTTTCCTTCACTAGAGCGTCCTCCCAAGAATAGAGTCCTTTGGTCTACTTTGGACTATGGAATCAGAGTCAGGTAATTAAATATTTAAATATCCTGGAGCAAAACCCTGAGATCTCCCTGGCCATAAGGGAACACTAGGAACTTTGACCTTTGTTATGGTTATTCTGTTGACACCTTGACCACTGAGTGTGAATTGGGGAGCTAAGGAAATCGTGTGACCACCATTCTTTTTCAGATGAAGGTGCTAATTTTTCACTGGTTTATTTGTTTAATTAAAATTGTCAGCATTTACTGAAAAATAATATAACAATCATTGTCATATGTTCCTAGTTAGTCTTCTGATCACAGGTGCATTATCTGTTTCATAGGGGTTTTTGCCTTTACCGGGCTGGCAGAATGGGATTCCTGGAATGAGACAAACACATTTTCAGAGTTTAACGATTCGAGTCAAGGCAGAAACCCTTAAAGTGTTAGTCTCGAGTAGAACAAATTTAATAATTATGTTTCTCTTATAGGAGTCATTAACCAAAATTTGGTCTTTAATTTCTTCTAGTGAAATAACTGAAAAGAAAATTTTGATTTCGTTCATTCATTCCTTCACTTATTCAACAAAATACATGCACTGATGGCTGTCAATATGCCAGATTCTGTGCTAGACCTTAAGGATTCAAAGATAAGATAAAATGCATCTCACATTTCCAGGAGCTCACAGCCTAATTCTGGAAAGATGTTTAGGCTCAAGTATGCTACATGGTAGTTGGTAATTTTTAGCTGCATGCACTAAAATAGCTTTACATTCTTGCTACCACTTTAGAATAGCACTGAAAGGACTTCAGGGTTTGTGTTCTCTGTGGGGGAATTACTCATCTAATTCTCATTAGTGCAAATGGGAAAGAGGTGTAAATCCACAGTGATCTAGCTGAGAAAACAAATACTCCTTATTTGACTTCTGTTGTTTGTTTATATTTGTTCCGGGTTGACTCAGGGAAATAATCAGGAAAATTACCCATGTTCAATTGCCCGGTTGCTCCAGAACCCTTGGAGTGCCTAATCACAGTTAATAATTAAAACAAAGCAAGAAGATTCAAATGTTGGATTTAAGTATTATCAAGAGGGAAAGAAACCATTTGAGGGGGAAAATATGAGGAGTCTTTTGTGGTAGGTAGATTTTATGGACAGAAACATGGGCTCTAAAGAGAGAATGATTTTTTTTTTTTTTTTTGAGACAGATTCTCACTCTGTCACCCAGACTGGAGTGCAGTGGCGCGATCTCGGCTCACTGCAACCTCCGCCTTCCAGGTTCAAGCAATTCTCCTGCCTCAGCCTCCCGAATAGGAAAGAGTGATCTTTTAAAATGGATGTGGATTATGGTAGATGGATAACTTAGTATCTATGAAGCTCCTATAGTGTCCCCAGCTCCGTGTTAGACCATATGTCTAACCTAGCCAAAATTGTGTCCACAGGATACAACTAGCAAATTATATGTGACAGAAACAAAAACTGGAACCTGCAGTTTAAAATGGTATGGAATATTTGAAATAAGAACATTGACAGAAATTTAAGACGTGGTCATAGTTTTAAGTAATATGAGTTAGGATGGGCTGAGTTATGCTGCAGTGACAAATAACCCCCAAATCGTAGTAGTTTATACGAACAAGTCCTTTTCTAGGTCTTCTTGCTCTGGGACCCAGACTGATGGAGCAGTCACTACAGGTTAGGACTCTCTAATCCTAAGTGCTTGGAACCAGAAGTGTTTATGGATTTTGGAATATTTGCATATACATAATGAGATGTCTTGAGGATGGGACTCAAGTCTAAACATGAAATTTATTTTTGTTTCGTGTACACCTTATACACACAGCTTGAAGGTAGTTTTATTTTTCCGTTGGGAACACTGAATAAACTGCCTGTTGTGTGCCTGTGTTTTGACTGAGACCTGTCACATGAGGTCAACTATGACATTTTTCACTTGGGGCTCAAGAAATTTTGGATTTTGGAGCATTTTGGATTTTAGACTTTTCAGTTTAGGAATGCTCAGCCTGTATCTCAAACCTTAGTATAAAACTCTATAAAGTCACGTGCTGACAATCAAATGCTTCCTTTTATGAATCATTGGCAAAAACCAGTCTTGTGGTCCCATTTAACCTCAAAGGAGTTACAAATATCATCCTACTCTATGCCTAGAGAGCAGACAGCTGAAAATATTATGTGAACGCTACTAATGACTCTAACTCAGACCTCGCTAAAGTGGCTGCTCAAATGTGGTCACATTAAATTTAAATTCAACTTGATACCTCTCACCTGTGTGAGATTTTACTGTCAGCCTAGTTGCCCTCAAATTGAGTGTGCATTAGAATCACCTGAAGGGCTTCTTAAACCATAGATCCCTGTGCCCCACCTCCAGAGTTCTGGGTCCAGTAAGTGGGAGGTGGGAGACTCTTAACAAGTTCCCAGGGGATTGCTTATCTGGGAACTGCACTCTGAAAACCACTTGTCTTGGAAAATCCAAAGGAAGTTTCCTGTCTTTGTCCATCTAAGCGTTCACTAAAATCATAGTAAATGCCAGAGCATGACTTGTTCTGGGGAATGGATGGAAGGACTACACACTCCAGCCAGGGGGATGGTTGCTTTCAGAACTCACAGGGTCAGGACCAGCCTCACCTTGTAACTTCAGGGCCTCTTTTCTTCACCTTTTGGTTGCTTCATTATGTCGGAGGCCACCTTCCTTTTACTGGCTGGAAGATTCTTGAAACATGTTTGTAGATTTCATGATAAAGATAGTAAGGCCCAGAAATAATTTGTTCTTCTTCCTTCTAAGGTCAGTTTTCTAAGTCCTCATTTCCTCCCTTGGAATCCTCTTCTTCCTAGATCATTGAAAATTAAATAATATCCATTTCCTTACTTGGACACGCTGACCCAAACCCACAAATGTGTGGTCCTGCAGCACAATTACAGCAGAAAGTACTAATGCCACATCCTTAAAAAAGAAACAAAAAGAAAGGCAGGAATGGGTGGGATGCTATTTCCTTTGCATCTGTCCCTCTGTGCTGCAAAGAAGTGTACTCCTTTCATTTTAAATATTCTCTTGGATCTGGGATATTTGGACTTAAGTAAAACCACATGTGGGTCATTAGCCCTTCACTCCAGGTTGAGTTCTACTAAACCCACCCAAGTTTCTTTTTGTGGTCTTCCCTCCAGATCATCCTCCATGTCCTTCCTGCAGGCTTCTGATTTTCAAGCTTGTGATTTTCTGGTGAGCATCTATTTCAATGGAGCACGCGTCATGCTCAGGACCAAGTGAGGGTCAGGCATGGCACCACCTAAGAGACATCAGATGGCCTGTAGAGATGTAGCTGCTTATAACACACACAATCACACACTACACTCAACTCTGTGGAGCCTCTGCTTGACATGTGCATGGAAACATGGTCCATTTGCTTTTACTTTCAGAAAAAGGAATATCCTGCAATGGAAATACATTCAAAGCTCTACCTCTTGCAGTTAAGAAGCCTGCAGCTTTGACATGGCCATTTCCCCAGCTTCTACCATACTAAAGTTTCAAAATTTTCAGCCTCTTTTAAGCCAGAGCTCATGCTTTCCATTTCTCAATAGTCTTGCCAAGTAAAATAAAATAAAACAAAAACAGCTTTTCTTCTAAACGTAAGTTAGATATACAAGCTCATTCCTGTGGTGTCAGCAGGAAAAGGACCACTTTTATTTTCTATCACATGACCTATTATTTCCCCCGGGATATTTGCGTTTTTAGAGAAAACTTTCTCTAGGAAATTCTTCAAGACAAGTCTTTAAGAGAGCCTCGTGTTTGTTGCTATTCTAATTTTTAAAATTAGACATTCTAATAGTTTGTTGTTGATATATAAAAATGCAATTTTCTTTCATAATTGAACTTACCTCCAGAAACTTTGCTCAATTCTCTAGCTAATTCTAATATATTTCTCTGTAGGCTTTTTTTTTGAGTTTTGTATGTAGACAATTTAATGTAAATAATGACAGTTTTGTTTGTTCCTTTCCAATTAGTATATGTTTATATTTTTCTCTTTTCCTGCTGTGCTGGCTAGGGCCTCCAAGCCAATATTGAAGAGGAAAAAGCAGCTATCTTTGTCTTGTTTCTGACAGAAAACAGAAAGATTTGGTAGATACACTTTATCAGATTAAGGATGTTTCCCTCTCTTCCCATGTTACCGTTTCTTTCATGAGTGAATGTTAATTTTTGAATGCTTTTTTTGGCATCTAGTGAGATCATACTTTAAAAAATGTTAGTGTGGAGCATTACAATAATGATGTGTATGATGTATTGTTTTATAAATTGTGGGATTTAGCTTGTTAATACTTTTGTTTAGAATTTCGTATCTTTGTTCTTAAGTGGGATTGACTTCTATTGCCCTTTCTTACATTATCCATGTTTTGTTTTGATGTAGACTATAACATGTGTCTCTGTTTACACAAGATATACACTGACTACTAACAGTGATTATGACTGATTGGCTAAATTAAAGGTGATTTTGTTTTCTGTACAATTTTCTGCATTTTCTTTTTTCTTTCTTTCTTTTTTTTTTTTTTTGAGACAGAGTCTCGCTCTGTCACCCAGGCTGGAGTGCAGTGGTGCAATCTCGGCTCGCTTCAACCTCCGCCTCCGGGTTCAAGTGATTCTCCTGTCTCAGTCTCCCAAGTAGCTGGGATTACAGACATCTGTCATCATACCCAGCTAATTTTTTTGTATTTTGAGTAGAGATGGGGTTTCACCATGTTAGCCAGGCTGGTTTTGAACTCCTGACCTCATGTGATACACCTGCCTCGGCCTCCCAAAGTGCTAAGATTACAGGCGTGAGCCATCACGCCTCGCCAGTTTTCTGCATTTTCTGTTTTCTCCACAATGAGATAGTATTATACACAATCATAAATCATTCACTCAAGCATAGACATATCATGAATACATGCATATAGCCTAACATAGGGGTCTGACTGTTGATTCCAAGACACAGGATCATTTGCTCTTGTTCTGGATTTTAGGGTGCTCTCTGGTATGAGAGATAAAGAATGGCAAGCAAAATCACTAGGGAAGTCTCAAAATGAACATGGAATACCATGATGTAATACAACAAATACCAGGGGATTTGGGGGTCCAGGTTTGGATATGTAGTAACCAGCTGTGTAAACTTGGGCCGGTTCACCTAACTCCTCTGAGCTTTAATTTTTCTCACTTGCACAATGAGGAAAATAATTCAAACTGGTGCTTACCTCATAGGATTGCTGGCTCTTTTAAAAGTATAGAGAGTGTGAAAGTGCTTTATAACTTAATTTGTCATAACACACACATCATATCTATATGTGTATATATACATCTTATTATACTTCATATATCTACAGTGTGTCTGCATACAGACAGACTGAAAAGAAAATGATTTTAAGGGACTCAAATAGAGATTAATAAAGTCTCTACTTAGCTGATTCCTTTATTCAGGGAGCATCTGAGGATCTGGTGACTCCCCAGTTGAATCAGGGTTGGAGTTTTTGGAGGAGAGGGACAGTTGAGTATCCATCTTTGCAGTTTGGGCTTAGACAGCAGTTTGCCACTTTAACTGAAACTCACAGTTGGGAGTCATCCCTGTTTTGTGCTCCTTGCTCAGTAACCATTAGAACAGTATTTTCCAAGAACTTTTTTTATGCAAGTCTTATAGTTTATTGGCTAGTCAATGTTCACGAGGTGGAAAAGGTAGTTAGTTGGCAGACAGAAAGAAAAGGGGTCAAAGGTAGAAAGCAACAGGAAACGGGGGTCTCTGTAAAATGTTTGGTTTAGTTTTTTTTCCAATAGATATAGATAGATACAGACTGATGGATAGATATAAAAAGTAAAACAAAAACAAAATTAATATAGGCATCAGTATTCACAAGCTTCCTCTTCATATAACCCCCTCTCTTCCCTCCTCCCAGCACGCACACATCTCATTATAGCTCCCAGAGAGTAGTATATGCTTCTGTGTAGCCCTTGAAGAGATGATGTGCAATGGAAAAATGAAGATAATAAAGTATCTTAGTTGATTTGTTTTTATTTTTAAGGGAGAGAGACAAGGAGACAGAGAAAAGCTATGAGAATTAGACTTGGGAGGGTTTTGATGTATAGAAGTAAACAGTGGGAAAGTTTAGGAGAACAGCTATCATTCCTGTGAATAAGATTGAGAAGGCAGAAATTGGGAGAGAAAATTACAAAAATGGTTTTCTGGGCATAAAGGCTTAACAGACTGAGTAAAGATTTGAATTACTTTTTGTCCATTGGAACCAACTATGTTTCTCTTAATATGACACCATCCTGAAGCTGGACCAAAAGGCTCCCCAGTTACATTAAGGTTATTCATAAAAATTTGCCCTGCAAATAGAAGACTTCAACTGTTTTGTTTTATGAACTTACCGATTTTTTTTTTAACCTGGGACGGTAGGCAGATATAGGTTTGTGATACAAGGAGACAAGGAGAGACAAGTCTTACTGAATTATTCCCACAAGTCATTATTATTAATCGAAGCAGAGCTATTTCGTACAAATACAAGACAAGAATTTCCCCCTAAAATTCCATTAGTTCTGCAATAACTCTCCCCTGTGGCCCAAACTTCATAAAAATAATTCTTATTCAGTTTTTTTAAAATCACCACATGCTCCAGGGCTCCCCTTTTACTCAACTTTTTCCCCATTTTCCCCCCTATAGAGGAAAAGACCTCTAACTTTAAAGTGCTGACGGAAGGAGAGAAATACGTGGAAAGAACAGGCTTTGAAAATGTTGAGTAAGACCGGGCGTGGTGGCTCACGTCTGTAATCCCTGCACTTTGGGAGGCTGAGGTGGGTGGATCACCTGAGGTTGGGAGTTCGAGACCAGCCTGACCAGCATGAGGAACCCCGTCTCTACTAAAAATACAAAATTAGTCAGGCATGGTGGCACATGCTTGTGATCCCAGCTACTAGGGAGGCTGAGGCAGGATAATTGGTTGAACCCAGGAGGTGAAGGTTGCGGTTAGCCGAGACCGCACCATTGCACTCCAGCCTTAGCAACAAGACTGAGACTCTGTCTCAAAAAAAAAAAAAAAAAAGGAAAAAGAAAAAAAAAGAAAGAAACGCTGAGTAAATAAAAGATAAGGTGGTGCAGTAGTCACTGTTGATGTCCTGCCCATATAACATTGGCCTGCGCCATTCTAGTGCGTACTCACCTCCTCCTACTGCAGGTACCTCCAACTCTCCACATGAGGGCTTTCTCTTGGCTTTGTATGGGGAGGGTCAGAAGCATTGGTAGTTCATGCCTCTGGAAACAGCTCGAAATCAATGATGGACAGGGATTGGTGGATGAATACCCCAGCTTTCTCATTTCTTGCTGGGGATAATTGCTGGGGATAACTAGAAAGGTTTTGTATTCTTTATCGGAGTCCTCATTGGAGTTGAACCCCAGTTGTCCTAGTAGTAAGTTACTTGATAATACATCCTTTATTGGTTTCCTTCCTTTCCCCTTTTTATTGTCCTATTCCCTTATCAGAGCTTTCTGAGATCACTTTTTTTTTAAAATTGAAAACTACTTGCACTGATATTCTTATCTTACGATCTTCTTCTGGAGGCAGCCATCCTGAGACAGGTGGCTATGGAAGGCATTTGAAAGGGGAGTAAGAACATCAGAAACAAACTTTCCCTACTTCGTTGTGACTTGGTTCAGATCTTCCCCTTCTCCTATATTCTTTTCCTGTGGTAAGGCTTTGCAAGAACAGCATTGTTCTATCTAAGCTAGTTAAAATAAAAAGACAAAATAACTGTATGATGAGCATCTAATGGATGGGATACCACATTTAAAAAGACAAAGACTTAGGGGGAAGTTCATGCTTTGTATGGTACTCTGAGAACAAAAATCTATTTCTGATCGATTTCTTCCTTAACATTCTACCCACCCCCAAAACCCCTCACTTCGTAAATCCGGGCAACTATACCTCAGGTTTCAGACAATATGCCTTTGACCTGGGTTGTCTTCAAGATAACCTTGACAAGAGATGAATTCTTAAAGATTTTCTTTAGTGTTCTGTATTTATATTTAATGTTCTGATAATCTGTCGAAGATTCTTCTAGGGCACTGAAGATAGCAAGTAGTCAGAAAACAAATAGTGAAGGGGCTTCCCATGGCAGTTAATGGTCAATACCTGTTGAGACCCCAGAGAAAATAAAAAATGATTCCTAATGATTGCTGGAGGTTGTGGCACTAATGGAATATATTTATATGCATAATTAAAAATGGTATCCTTTTGAAATTCACTGATTTTTGGATGTGTGATTACATTAGGCTTAAGTTTACCTTCCTTACATCTTCTAAAAAAGTGGGGGAAGTGTGTAACTATATTTCAGGGTGCACAAGCCACTATTAATTCTGCCGCCAGGTGGAATCTGAAAGTGGCACCATAATCATCATTTTCCACCTTGAAATTGAGGATGTCTATATGTGTCCTCTGAGTCCTCCTCTCTCTCCACCAGCCCCATAATCACTACCTTGTATCTTCACTTATGTCTCTATCTCCTGCTTTGGTTAGCGGGCTCCTCTAAGGACATAGCTACATTTTAGCTATCTTTAGATTTCAGGCAACAATGAACACATACTGAGTGCTCAGTAAATGGTTGTTGAGTTGAATTTTTAAGAATTTCATGCATCCATTAAATGGAAGTAATCGACTCACTAATTAAAAATGACCTTCACCTTTTATGAAAGGAATTGATCATAGATCTTGACGTTTCCAAACTTTGGTTATTAGTTTGTGCAGTTGGTTAAAAAAAAATTCTTCAGTTCTTAGTAATTATTCTGTAATGTGGAACTATTTTATATATTGTCCTCCCCCTATTGCTTTTCATGTTTAATGATATTTGTTGTATTTCCAAAGGAAAAAAGGGGTTTGGAAGGCCAAAGGGAATTAAAATATAGAATAAAGTGGTATGGAGAGTTTCAGAAAAGGAAGAAGAAAATTTCAAAGGCAAGATAATGTATTCTTGTGAAAGTCTGCGGGAAGTCAGTCTCATTTAGCCAAAATCAACTCAGCACTTACTATTAGCCAAGAACCATGACAAGTAATCTGAGGGATGTAAAGGTTAATAATAGTTCTCAAGAAGCAACCAAAAACTTTAAAAAGTGATCATATTTGCTTAGCGCAAGGATTGATGGAGGTAAGTGGGGCTGACTTTGAAAAACCTGTATTTTAAAAATTACATATACATATTATATTTGGAAAAATACAGTATACATGTATTGATGTGATATAAAAATGAAATGGGCAAAAAGAAGCTGAAGAAGGGCCCAGAAATGGGAGGTGGGATTGGGCAGGAATTTTACTTATTTATTTATTTATTTATTTTTGAGACGAAGTCTTGCAGTGTTGCCCAGGCTGAAGTGCAGTGGTGCGATCTCGGCTCACTGCAAGGTCCACCTCCCGGATTCATGCCATTCTCCTGCCTCAGCCTCCCGAGTAGCTGGGACTACAGGCGCCCACCACCACGCCTGGCTAATTTTTTGTACTTATAGTAGAGATGGGGTTTCACCAAGTTAGCACCTGAAATCTCAAAACACGGGGGTTTGAGGTCAGGAGATCGAGACCATCCTGGCTAACATGGTGAAACCCCATCTCTACTAAAAATACAAAAAATTAGCCGGGCGTGGTGGTGGGTGCCTGTAGTCCCAGCTACTCGGGAGGCTGAGGTAGGAGAATGGTGTGAATCCGGGAGGTGGAGCTTGCAGTGAGCCGAGATCGTGCCACTGCACTCCAGTCCGGGTGACAAAGCGAGACTCCGTCTTAAAAAAAAAAAAAAAAAATTAGCCGTGGTGGCAGGCGCCTGTAATCCCAGTGACTCGGGAGGCTGAGGCAGGAGAATCACTTGAACCCTGGAGGCGGAGGTTGCAGTAAGCCGAGATGGCGCCACTGCACTCCAGCTTGGGTGACAGAGTGAGACTCGGTCTAAAAAAAAAAAAAAAGAAAGAAAAAGAAAAAGGAAAGGAAAAAGAAACCATTGCGGGTTGAATTAGAATTCTCAGTCAGACGCCTCCTGGCTGTGTGGTCTTAGGCAATCTTCTTTTCTAAGCCTCCATGAAACTGGGACAATAATATCCAATTCACAGGAGACTGGCAGAGGTTGAATGCATGTAGGCAATGCTTAGCACATAGTAGGGTCTTAGTAAATATTAATTCTTACTACTCCCTTACCCATGCCTTGTGTTAATAGGAACAGAGTAGCCTTCCTATCATGCCAGGAAACAGTATGAATAGAAGGAAGGAGAATTAGCTGGAAAGAGAGGAGACCCAGAGGTCTGTTTCTGAAAATCTCACACCAGAGAACAAAGTGAAGACATATCTATGTATAGAACCTGGAAATGTTGGTCTGGGGCACTCCTAGACCCCACTTAGATTTTGTGCATCTTCCCTAACACTTCTGCCCAGGATCATATTTTTCTTAGGCTGCAAATACTTCATATTCTCCTCACCACCCCTTCCTACATCTCTCCTTCTTGGATTTGTTTCTTGTCTATTCCCAGCCACCCCGGATGTGGATGTGTGAGAAGCCAGCCCACTTCATGGATAAGCGTAGGTGTCTGCCTTCCAGAGTCCGGGGCTGCAGGCCGAAACGCCCAAACTGCTGCCAGAAGACATAATCCTGTTTGTGAATGATGGCTTCTGCATCATTTAGCTTTGTTGGGGAGATCCTAGTATAAGATCTGTTGAATAGCTGACGACAAAGGCCTGTGAATTCCCAAATACTTGCCTTTCAACGTGAGGAACCTTCTGCAGTATCTCCAGTGAGACATTGCCCAGGGGAGTCATGCACAAGTGGGCAGTCTCTTATTCTTATCAGAAATGAGGTATATAACCATACATTCATAGATATTGCTCAGGAACCCAGGCAAAAATTATAATCCCCCTTGTCATGTTAGACACTGCAAAAGCTGCGTTAGAGTTCTGGATCTTCCCTTTTGAATCTGTACAACCCCACTCTTAGTATTTGATTTTTCAAGCTTGATTTCCTTATCTGCAGAATGGAGATAATACCTACCTCACAGCACTATTGTGAGTGTTAAATGAAAAAATGTATGGAAGTTTGCCACCAGTAACAAAAGAATGTGGCGACAAGTGACTATTGCAAAGTTAAAGTATGTGCAGTACCTGGAAAGTATGGAAAGTACCTGGCACAAGGTTGGTGCTCTGCAAAACATCTGTAAGATGATGAAATGACATGTGGGTGATACTCTGTAAATACTGTCCCCCAACTTGCATGTTCAGAAAACAGAGAACAGGCAGGAGAGGGAAAGGGGAAAATCCATTTCTGCAATATTCATTGAGGCCCTGGAGACCCACACACAAAAATTTATAGGAATTAAGCAGGTCAGGTATGTGAGACTCAAATTATTTGACACATCTCACATGGAGACGTGGTGTCTATATCCCTTCCACTTGAAACTGGGTGGCTCATAAATGCTTCAGCCAACAGAGTTTAAATTTTGACACTAGATTATAAAAGACCACTCAGTTCTTCCTGGTTTTCTAAGGATGCCCTTAAGGAGGAAGCCAGCCACCATGTAAGAAGTCTGAGATGAAGACCCTCTCAGCTGTCATGCTACAGAGGCCACAAATACATGCTCCAATATATAGCCCCAGCTAATCCCCCAGCCAACATCAGCCATAGCTGTGCTGGTGTGGGCTCCCCAGCCCAGATGAAAGGTCAGATGATCACAGGCCAGCCAATATCTGATTGTAACTACAAAATCATGAGCAAAGTAAGAGAGTTGTTTTAAACTGTTGATTTTTGGAGTGATTTGTTATATAGCAATAGATGCCCCCAGAACAGCCAGGTCCCTGGGACCTTGTGGAATTGGAGAGTGTGCTTTACCTAACGTGGGCAGCCCCTCCTCATACAAGTGTTGCTTTGGAGGTATTCAGGTCTTGGTTGGCCAGATGTACAACTAAAACTTGCCAGTTCCAGAATTTTGTGAAATCTCCAAATTTTTTAGATATCGGTTACTAATTAAAAGCTTTTGGAAACCAGTATGCATCACAGCAAAGCTGCCAATAAGATCTGTGAGCTGCCAATTTGCCACATCTGTTGTCCATAGAAGTGAGGGAGTGCCTGCTTACCCCTACCCTATCCAACCTATCCAATGCTTCCTGCAAACTGGGGCTATCACCCCTAACTGGCCTCCCTTCCTGTATAACGTATTACCATCTGAAAACCAGCATTTAAGCAAGCATTTATACAATTCCACATCCAAGCCAAGCAAACTGCTTCTTGTTTTACTAGTGGCTGGAGCTTTGACCCATTTAAGCCTGACAGCAAAATAGTGATTAGGGGGATGTTGTTCCTGGTGTTTTGATTGGGAGGAAATGAAAGGAGTAGAAGGGGTCAGGGTGGGAGGAGGGGTGATAAAGGGGAACTTCTTGGAGGACAAAAGTTCACCAGTTTTCCCTTGAAGTCAGTTTAAGAACAACAGAATGACATCAACACATATTTCAGTGAATTGAAAAAAAATTTTTTTAAACAGCTCCTCATTATTTTCAGCTTTTGTTGAGAATGTTTTGCTCTGGGGCCTTAACGAATTCACCTTTAAAACTGTAGAGGAAAAAGTTGCATATCATTCTGTGTCATTTTCCTGTGTACTTTCTTCAGGGCATGAATGAGGCAGAAAACAGAGCTGCTGATCCCACCACTGAGGACCAAAGAGCCATTGCAGCCTCTGAGCGTGGGATGCAGAAGGACAAAGTGTTACAGTGGGTAGCTAGTCAGGCATGAGCAGGGCAGGACAGGGCTCCCCCAACCCCACCAGGGATGTCAGGCAGCCATCAGGTGATGGTCAGGCAGTTGTCACACTGTCTCTCTAAAATAATAATTGATCGCAGCCCACGCCAAGGATAGGCAGTCTCCCAGAAGATAGAAACACCTGAAATTGGTGATCAGCAGCTTCCCGATAAGATCTCAGGAGTGGGGCCAATGGGCTCAAGCATGAGCATTAGGGGGCAAAATGGCAGAGTTCTACTGGTATATGGCCTTTCAGGGACATTTGAGTGGTAAGGGAAGAATGCCTCAAGTGAGCACGCGCACAACTCCAGTAAACACACTGTGCATGCTCACCTCCCAAGTGCTAGCAGGACACTGAGCATGCAGACAGGCCACGCTAAGAGAAGACTCAGAGGAGAAGGGATGCAAGACAGTGGAAGTATGCCAACATATAAAACCCTAAGTCAAAGGTCAAACAGGGCACTTGTCTTTCAAGTCATTTGCTTGGGCATCTTCCAAGTACCTGCTCTAAAGCTTTTTAATAAGCTTTCACTCCTGCTCTAGAACTTGCCTCTCACTCTGCCTTATGCCTCCCCAGTCAAATTCTTTTTTCTGAGGAGGCAAGAATTGAGGTTGCTCCAAACCCATACGGATTTGCCACAAGTAGCAAAAGAAGGAGGGGACTGGTGACTGTTGCAAAGTTAAAGTATATGCAGTCATAGAGGGAGAAGGGGACAACTTTGTAAAGAGTGACAGAAGTGTCCTTGACCACAAGCCAGGCATTAGGAGTGTCTGTGAACACAGTCTTTTTGCTACATAAACAGAATGAATAAATATGTGAATATTACTGAGGTATTCCTCAAAAAAGTTTTTTGTAAAGTGTGTTTAAAGATTGTTAATGTTTTCATCTTTTATATTGAAATTATTTTTGAAATGATACAAAGGGAAAATGATGAAATGTCTCTTCCTAACCCAGTACCCTCACACTACCTTATTCCCGCATGTCACCAATATAATCCAGTTCTTGTCCATTTTCTAGAGGTATGTATGCATGTACAAAACAGATGAATTCTTGTTTTCTTACTCAAGTGGAGGCATGCTATACAGAATGCCCTGTGCTTATCCATTTTCATGTGACTATATAACCTAAAGAGTGTTCCACATTTCCATAGCTATTCATGTGTGAGCCCTCATTCTTTCCTAAAGCTATGTAGTATTTTGTTTTATTGGTACATCATAATTTATTTAGTCTCCAATTGATGGACAAGTTTATTGCCTCCATAGTAATTTTCTTTTGAAATAATTTCGAGTACATTCTGTGATATGTGCCTGAGTGAAATTTGATCTGGGCCTTGGGAGTGATTAAACAGCATTTGAAGTAGTCTGATCAACAATCAACACTTTAAGGATGATTACTTAGACTTCAAGTATCCTCATTGAAATCTACATCAGAAGCTTTGTTAATTAGCGTAAGGATGAAATGAGTGGAGGTCAAAATAGGTGGTTGGTTAAGAAGATTATATATACCTCATAGTCTTTGAATGAGCAGAGTAAAGAAATCCCTTGAGCAAGCCATCCATTGCCAATGGTGTAACTCAAAATATAGAGGTGGCTCACTAATTCTGTGTCCTTCATCTCACAGAGCACCTTGTTGCCTAACCTAATCAGTATGCTGGCCAGGACTTCTCTGTGAATATCTTGGCTTCTGTTGTTCGAAGTACCTAGAGCAGAAAATGAACATCACCAGCTATAGAACATATCATATGCCTGCATTTTGACTTGCTTACTAGTAAATGTTTGTATACTTGGCAAAATTTGGTCTGATAGTTGCTTTCACAGCACCTGGAATTTGGTCTGGAGTTGCAACATAGCACTTGAAAGCGAAATTCTAAGGTAGAGGACATGTAAGCCCCCTAATAGCCAGAGACTATCAACAGTTATCAAAAGAAACTAATATTTCCTGAAGAGCCAAATTGCCTTAGGATAATTTGAAACAGGGACATTTAGATTGTTTCTAATCTTATACTATTATAAGTAATGCTGTAATGAATAACCATGTACATAGATCACTGTGCATGTGTGAATAATTTAAATTGATGATATTAATTTGTGAAGCCTTTTGTTGGACACGGAGTCTCAAATTGAGTCATCACATATGCTGTCATATGTATGCCATATAATTTGAAGAAAGAAAAGAGAACGGTTTTATCATTTTAACTAATCCCAATTGTATTATTTGTGCTTACTGTACACAGTCCTCAAACTTGTTTTGCAGCCATTCTAGGTGAAAATTCAGCTGAGAAAAGGCTATGTTGGATGACCTCACTTTATAAGTCCTTTTACTTTTTCAGACCAATTAACTCCTCTGAAAAACAAAACAAAACAAACAAAATACCCTGTCTTAGTCTGCTCTGGCTGCTATAACAAAACACCATAAACTGGCTGGCTTATGAACACAGAAGTTAATTTCTCACAGTTCTGGAGGCTGGGAAGGGGAAAACATTTAAACTATAGTACATCTTGATATACAATATAAGCATAATCTTAAATGTTCAACTGACTGACTGACTGACTATCTGACTGACTGGCTGACTGGCTGACTGACTATCTTACTGACTGACTATATATGACTGACTGGCTGGCTGGCTGACTGACTGGCTGACTGACTGACTCTCTGACTGACTGGCTGACTGGCTGACTGGCTGACTGACTGACTCTCTGACTGACTGACTATCTTACTGACTGGCTGATTGACTCTCTGACTGGCTGACTGACTGACTGACTGACTGTCTTACTGACTGGCTGACTGACTGGCTGACTTTCTTAGTGACTGGCTGACTGACTGACTGATGATCTGACTGACTAGCTGACTGGCTGGCTGACTGACTAACTGACTATTTGAATGATTGACTGACTGGCTGACTATCTGACTGGCTTACTATCTGAGTGACTGACTGACTGGCTGACTGACTGACTAACTGACTATCCAGCTGACTGACTAACTATTTGAGTGACTGACTGGCTGGCTGACTGACTGACTGACTGACTGACTATCTGACTGGCTGACTATCTGTATGACTGACTGACTATCTGACTGGCTGGCTGACTGACTGACTGAGTGACTGACTGACTGACTTTCTGACTATCTGACTGACAAACTGACTGACTGATGGACCGGCTGACTGACTGGCTAACTGGGTGACTGACTGACTGACCAGTGACTATCTGGCTGGCTGACTGACTGACTGACTATCTTATTGACTGTCTGACTGACTGACTGGCTGACCAAATGTCTCACTGGCTGACTGACTGTCTGTCTGATGGACTGGCTGATGGGCCTGGGTCACCCTGGAAGAAATATATTAAAGTGGGAGTTGTGGCATCTGTTGCAGGTTGGACTCTTCCTTTCAGCACCCAAGTTATCAATTTATCAGAAGCTCTTTTTTTTTTCAGTAAGAAGCCAACCGTCCCCATGAAAAATAAACAACACCAAAGGAAAAGCAGCTTATAAATTATTGCTAACAGATTTATGGTATTTACAGAGGGCTGATTAAACAAAAACTAAAAGAAAACAAAAGATTAAAAAAACCTCAAAACTTTCCCAAGCAAATCTCTGAGTTTAGGCAGCTTCTGTTGCACCCTCTCAGCTGCAAACAGGACCTACCTGAGGTGAACCTGTGATATAAACTAACTTTTTTTCTACAAATTTTCCCTCTGGTAGTGACCCTTTCTCTCCTTTCAGGTGTCTGGGACCTTGCCCTCTTCACCTCTTTCTTCTATCAAAACAGAGAGAGAGATCTGATAACCAACCATTGACATTTGTTGACTGATGTTGACTGATTATATTTTGACTGGAACTCAAATTCATCAGCACCCTGTCTGAAACAGCCTTGTGAAGTTTAAGCCTTTTAGCTATAATTATGGGATGAAAGGTGTTCCATTCTAGTTAAAAGAATTTCAGGCATCAGCAGATGGGAAGGTAGAGGTGAAGGTCCACTCAGCCACCTCTGAATGTGATCCTGACTTTTTTCGGGGGGGGTATTTTTTCCTACAATAAATCCCTAGCTCCATTGTGGAGAATAATGCAGGGGCTGGCAGAGATAAAGCCAGACCAAGGATTGTTTAGATAAGAACAGGCAGTGACTTCTAGAACCTTCTAGATCTTGCTCCCACCTTCCCTGCTTGATCATAGTCAAATCTTGTTCCTCACTACTTCAATGAAATCCCTGACTTGAACTCTTTCGTTTCAAGTTTTCATGACATGTACTTTACCCATTCTGAGGGTATTCTGGTAGTTTAGTGATTACTTAATACTTTTTTCCTATCTTAAGCTCCTGTTTCTGTCATACTGAAAGCACATTTGGCCATTATCTCTACCTCAGGTGAAGTAAAAAACAGAAAATATGTCATGAATACGTAGCTCATTAATTAGAATTTAAAGGCATAGTTACCAAGAAAGCTTGGGAATTAAGAATCTGGGTTTTCAGTGTCCCTTTGGGATATATATGTTTGAAAGAAGTGTTTCCTTTGAGTCCTAATATCCAAAGTAAGTGTTATCCCTGTCTCACCTATGAGGAAATTCATACTTGGCTGTCTAGTCATTTGCCTAAGAACACCTAGCTGGTTAAGTTGTGGAGTGAAGATTTGAGCTCAGTTATGCCTCGCTTCCAAGTCATGCTCTTCCCACTATGGCATAAGAGTAAAAAATGGTTTTATTCCCCAGGGCTTCTGTATCTTTAGCTATACCAAGAAAGAGATAGTCATCATTTCTAACACTGGGCTGAAATATGCAGGACTTATTTAAAGGTAGCCAATGAGTATCACTATTTTTAATATCTGATTGCTGTCTTCCAAATTTTTTGGTCCAAAATTTTCTGAGAGAAGTTTCATTAATTTCCTGATTATAATGGTCCTGATTCTTGCCAGAAGCTGGCAAAAATAAATGCAAAGCGGACAGAGTAGGCTGTATTACTTTTCAAGCAATAATTATTAATGTAAAAACAAATGAGAGAGAGGTATTTTATGAGACAAAAAGCATGAACGCTTGTTTCTGTCTCGGTGGACATATGTCTTAGTGAGTAGGTTAAAAGTTTACCCAAATACATTTTGGTTATCTGTACAATTTCAAACCTGAAATCGATAAGTCTTATCAGAACATTTTTATGACTTCAGGGAGGTTATCACCATCTTAATATAGTGATGAAGACAAAAGCCAGACCTCAGGAGAGGTCAGAACTGAGTAATCAAATTAACATCTGTTAGGACTGACTCAGTCCAGTCTTCAAGGTCAACATATTCACAAATGTCAAAATGTCTGAATGAAGAGATGGTAATCATTGACCCTGAAACCTTCTGGGGCTTGGCAGGAAGCTGTGGGGGAGATAAATAGCTTTTTGTTGAGATAGCAAATGCATGTTTGGATACATACTTCCTTATTTCTCTCTTTTGAAATAAGAGGAAATGCCAAAGCCAAGTCTCCATTAACCACGGTCCTACTGGATGGTGATAAACAGATCCTTGAGGTCCTGCTTTCCCACAACCATCTTCTCTGGAATTATAATTCAGAGCTCTTGACAGATATTATTTACCTGTTCTTTCTTTTACTTATTAACCCTGAAGAGAAATGGGAAAGAGGTGGGCATTCCGAAAAAGAAAAGGGGAGAGAGGCATGGCTACTCAATAGAGGGATACAGGTCCAATTTTGCACTGAAAAGCTTTATATTTCATACAGTTTTGCTATACCATCGTTAACCTGTTAATCTCTCTTTTTTTTTTTTTTTTTGAGACGAAGTTTTGCCCTGTCACCCAGGCTGGAGTGCAGTGGTGCGATCTCGGCTCACTGCAAGCTCTGCCTCCCGGGTTCATGCCATTCTCCTACCTCAGCCTCCCTAGTAGCTGGGACTACAGGCGCCCGCCACCACACCCAGCTCATTTTGGTTTTGTATTTTTAATAGAGACGGGGTTTCAC
Source organism: Homo sapiens (assembly GCF_000001405.40). NCBI lineage: Eukaryota > Metazoa > Chordata > Mammalia > Primates > Hominidae > Homo > Homo sapiens. The sequence goes on along the minus strand of NC_000009.12, from coordinate 85,261,868 downwards.
CGTGTTAACCAGGATGGTCTTGATCTCCTGACCTTGTGATCTGCCTGCCTCGGCCTCCCATTAACCTGTTAATCTCTTAACAAAGTCTATAAACTGAAAGCTTTTTGCACTGTAGATTAGAAATTGAATTTCTACTTGTAATAGAAATCTGGACTTGGATTTTTATTTTTTTAAACCCAAAACCTTAGTAGAACTGACAAGGGTACTCTTTACAGTCTACAATTTAGGGGCCTAAATGAAAATTGAGGTGGTGTAAATTCCTGAGGACGTAAACTTTATCTGTTTTTCCAGAATGTATTGCTAATGCCCAGAGAAGTGGAGAAGTAGGTCATCTCTGTCACCAGCTTAAAGTCTCCAGGTACATTTTCTCTCAAAAAGTGAAGCAAACCAGTTCACTGTAATGTGATGAACATAGTGATGGTAAGTTTACTGTGATAAGGGAGATAAACTGCGCTGGAGGTTTGAGTTCTCGTGTTAAATCTTTTAAAGAAGCTCTGATTTTTTTGGGAGTGAGAGTTAGGGCCTATGAAACCCCCTTTTTTTTTAATGGAAGAATCAACAAGTACCTTACTCATTTGTCAAATGTTGGTGCCAATCATGGCTGACTGGCAACTTGTTTTTGTGCCCATTGAGATTGACTTGACTTTTAACTGGGATATATGGGCAAAGATCATGTGGTGATGGCCACTTCTCTATACTGGCCACAAAACAATGACAATTATGGAATATAGTTAAACGGACATTATAGCTCAGCTACATGGCTGGTAGGAGAAAAGAGTTTTGCTGCTGCCTACAGATTAAAATAACCCATAGAAAATCACACAAAATAATTGTAATCAGCAGATAGTAATTGGCTATGTCCATGAGACTTGGCCGTAGTCTAGCTGGTTTACCTGGGTATGTAGCATGCAGTAGTGAAAAAAGCAGTAGGACTGGGATGAGAAACCTGAATTGAAGTGCGAACTCTGGCACTTATTAACTGGGTTTACCTTGAGGAACTTACTTGACCTGTCTGGTTCCTGGTTATTTACCTCCTTAACAACATTGTCAGGGGTCCTGCAGGATTTTTCTGAAGGAAAATGTTGCCCTTCAAAATAAGACCCTTAAAGAAAAGATGCGTCTCTCAGATTTCATCCTATAAATTATCCATAAGGTAGATTTCCTACTATGCTTTTCAATCCTAAATTGGCTTCTGCTGCTATTGGGACATTTCCAAGCAAACTCCCCCTGCCAAACAGCCAGTATGTTTATGGGAATAAATAGCTGAATTCTCATGCTCTCACTCTTCAAGGAGAAAAAGCACACCTTCCAAGCCATATGCGGAGAAAATCTCCAGTGGCCTCTCTTATCTTATCCTGATGTTAAACATTCCTGGTCCTACATAAATCCATTAAAGGTCTCCTCCTGCCAACATATATCATCACAGCCTGCAGCAATATTGAGGATAATAATAACAAGTGGTAAGTGTGACATGGCCTTTGACATTCCAGCAACCTCAGATTCTTGATTTTATATGGAGTTGCTGGATTCCCTTAGCCCCATTTTTAAAGATTGTATGCAAGGCATGAGCTGCTGGATTAATGAGATGGATGTCTGTTTCACAATGAGGTTAGGAAGTAACCTAAATTTTGATAAAAGTGAGCAATGTTGTTAGCAAACGTGCTTATAAGAAAAGTCTCAGACAGGCATAGTGGCTCACACCTGTTAACCCCAGCACTTTAAGAAGCTGAGGTGGGTGGATCACTTGAGCTCTGGAGTTCGAGGCTAGCCTGGGCAACATGGTGAAACCCTATCTTTAAAAAATATATATATATATATGTAAAAATTAGCCAGGCACGGTGGTGTATGCCTGTGGTCCTAGCTAGTCTGGTGGCTGAGGTGGGAGGATTGCATTGAGCCCAGGAAATCTAGGCTGCAGTGAGCCATGATTGTATCACTGCACACCAGCTGGGAGTGACAGAGAAAAACCCTGTCTCAAAAAAAAAAAAAAAAAAGAAAGGAAAGAAAGAAAGAAAGAAAGAAAGAAAGAAAGAAAGAAAAAACTTTGTAAACTTTCACTTACAGAAAAATATGACGATTCTTGGTGTAGATGTCTTTTGTTTAGAAATCTGTGATTATTTTCTTAAATTGTCAAATTAAAAAGAAATGGCATAAGAATCGTATTAAACTCAGGAAATGGTAGTATTTGGTTATATTTTCCTTTCTACTTTTCCCATCATGCATTTCCATATCAGTAGGCATTAAAAGACAGTGACCACATTTTTGCAGATTTCCTCTTAGAACAGCGGCTGCACCGTGTGAACTAGCAGAGTAAAGAAGGGACTAATGCGTTGAACTTCAGCCGTATGCCAAGTTCTGTGGTGTCAGACTTGATTTCCTCATCTGTAAAATGTATCAGGATAATAATAATGCATGCATTTTTCAGTCATTGGGAGCGTTGATGAGAAAAATATAGATGAGTCTAGTAAGGCAAGATTGTCTTTGAGGCAGGTTCTCACTTCTTGAAACATCTCGGTATTCTGAGTAGATCAATGTCCCTGAAGTCCTGGGGTCAAAGTTTTCTATTAAGGAAGAACTACGTAATCATGCTTAGTAACTGGTAGATGACTCATAACTTCTGAAAGTGAATTGTCCTAAGATGTATGTTTGGTTGAGATGGAAGTTTAAGAATCGATCCTTAAAGATGATGGTTCCAGAAGTGAGACACCGGCAGGGGCAGATTCTTTTGGGGCATGGGTGGCAATGGAGAGGGTGGGCAGAGTCAGCTTCTTCCGACAGCACACCACGATCTTCCCCATCCCTGGAGGATGGCAGTGGCTGAGAGGTGTTGTGCGTTTCCAGCTTCGTCATAGAGCCAGCTGGGGTACGCACGTTCCCTTGAAGATGCTTCATGGCTTGTCCATGAGAGGGCACTGGTGCTCTAGCTTGCCCTTGCCAGAGTCTGTCTGAAGATAGATCAGGAGTGCTTGGCCACTTGTACCACAGCTGTGGCTATGTGCATTGGAAATTATATAGAGGGAAACTCAGGGGCTCTGTCCTTTTGCCCAGCTTAGTATATCTGTGGTCTTCAGACTCTGGCTGCCAACTGATAAACCTACTGCCCATATGTGGAAGAGCAAGTGCCAGGTGTAATGGGTATTTATACAATTAGTGCAACAAGTCTGTAATTCAGTATTATACTTGAAAGAGGCACCAGGACCCCACTGCCCCACCCCCCGCTCCTGCAGAAGCCCTCCAAAGGAAGGAAAAGGGACTCTCGGCGGCTGGCAAGATGGCAGAATAACAGCTCTGGTCTGCAGTTCCCAGCAAGATCATCACAGAACGTGAGTGATTTCTGCATTTTCAACTGAGGTACCCAGCTCATCTCATTGGGACTGCTTAGACAGTGGGTGCAGCCCACACATGGCAAACAGAAGCAGGGTGGGGCATTGCCTCGCCCAGGAAGTGCAAAGGGTCAGGGAACTCCCTCCAATACTCAAGGGAAGCCATAGCGGACTGTGGCATGAGGAACGGTGCATTCTGGCACAGATACTATGCTTTTCCCAAGGTCTTCGCAAACCACAGGCCAGCAGATTCCTCAGGTGCCTACACCACCAGGGCCCTGGGTTTCAAGCACAAAACTGGGTGGCTATTTGGGCAGACTCTGAGCTAGCTGCAGGAGTTTTCTTTTTCATACCCCAGTGGTGCCTGGAAAACCAGTGAGACAGAACCATTCACTCCCATGGAATGGGGGCTGAAGCCAGGGAGCCAAGTGGTCTAGCTCGGTGGATTCCAACCCCATGGAGTCCAGAAAGCTAAGATCCACTGGCTTGAAATTCTTGCTGCCAACACAGCAGTCTGAAGTTGACCTGAGGCACTGGAGCTTGGTGGGGGGAGGGGCATTCACCATTACTGAGGCTTGAGTAGGCCGATTTCCCCTCACAGTGTGAACAAAGCTGCCAGGAAGTTCGAACTGGGCAGAGCCCAGTGCAGCTCGGCAAAGCCACTGTAGCCAGACTGCCTCTCTAGATTCCTCCTCTCTAGGCAGAGCATCTCTGAAAGAAAGGCAGCAGCCCCAATTAGGGGCTTATGGATAAAACTCCTGTCTCCCTGGGACAGAGCACCTGGGGGAAGGGGCAGCTGTGGGTGCAGCTTCAGCAGACTTAAACATTCCTGTGTGTCAGTTCTGAAGACAGCAGTGGATCTCCCAGCACAGCACTCAAGCTCTGCTAAGGGACAGGCTGCCTCTTCAAGTGGGTCCCTGACCCCTGTGCCTCCTGACTGGGAGACATCTCCCAACAGGGGTCGACAGATACCTCGTACAGGAGAGCTCTAGCTGACATCTGGCGGGTCCCCCTCTGGACGAAGCTTCCAGAGGGGTGAACGGGCAGCAATCTTTGCTATTCTGCAGCCTCTGCTGTTGATATTCAGGCAAACAGGGTCTGGAGTGGACCTCCAGCAAACTCCAGCAGACCTGCAGCAGAAGGACCTGACTGTTAGGAGGAAAACTAACAAACAGAAAGGAATAGCGTCAACATCAACAAAAAGGACGTCCACACAAAAATCCCACCCAAAGGTCACCAACACCAAAGACCGAAGGTAGATAAACCACGAAGATGAGGAAAAACCAGCACAACAAGGCTGAAAATTCCAAAAACCAGAACGTCTCTTCTCCAAAGGATCACAACTTCTCGCCAGCAAGGGAACAAAACTGGACAGATAATGAGTTTGACGAATTGACAGAAGTAGGCTTCAGAAGGTGGGTAATAACAAACTCCTCTGAGCTAAAGGAGCATGTTCTAACCCAATGCAAGATAGCTAAGAACCTTGAAAAAAGGTTAGAGGAATTGCTAACTAGAATAATCAGTTTAGACAAGAACACAAATGACCTGATGGAGCTGAAAAACACAGCAAGAGAACTTACTGAAGCATACCCAAGTATCAATAGCCAAATTGGTCAAGCAGAAGAAAGGATATCAGAGATTAAAGATCAACTTAATGAAATAAAGTGTGAAGACAAGATTGGAGAAAAAAGAATGAAAAGGAATGAACAAAGCCTTCAAGAAATATGGGACTATGTGAAAAGACCAAACCGTTGTTTGATTGGTGTACCTGAAAGTGATGGGGAGAATGGAACCAAGTTGGAAAACACTCTTCAGGATATTATCCAGGAGAACTTCCCCAACCTAGCAAGGCAGGTCAACATTCCAATTCAAGAAATACAGAGAACACCACAGATACTTCTTGAGAAGAGCAACCCCAAGACACATATTCATCAGATTCACCAAGGTTAAAATGAAGGAAAAAATGTTAAGGGCAGCCAGAGAGACAGGTTGGGTTACCCACAAAGGGAAGCCCATCAGACTAACAGTGGATCTCTCGGCAGAAACCCTACAAGCCAGAAGAGAGTGGGGGCCAATATTCAACATTCTTAAAGAAAAGAATTTTCAACTCAGAATTTCATATCCAGCCAAATGAACCTTCACAAGGGAAGGAGAAATAAAATCTTTTATGGACAAACAAATGCTGAGAGGTTTTGTCACCACCAGGCCTGCTTTACAAGAGCTCCTGAAAGAAGCACTAAATATGGAAAGGAAAAAGCGGTATTAGCCACTGCAAAAACATAACAAATTGTAAAGACCATCGACACTATGAAGAAACTGCATCAACTAATGGGCAAAATTATCAGCTAGCATCGTAATGACAGGATCAAATTCATACATAACAATATTAACCTTAAATGTAAATGAGCTAAATGCCCCAATTAAAAGACACAGACTGGCAAATTGGATAAAGAGTCAAGTTCCATCGCTGTGCTATATTCAGGAGACCAATTTCATGTGCAAAGACACACATAGGCCCAAAATAAAGAGATGGAGGAATATTTACCAAGCAAATGGAAAGCAAAAAAAGGCAGAGGTTGCAATCCTAGTCTCTGATAAAACAGATTTTAAACCAACAAAGATCAATAAAGACAAAGAAGGGCATTACATAATGGTAAAGGGATCAATGCAACAAGAAGAGCTAACTATCCTAAATATATATGCACTCAATACAGGAGCACCCAGATTCATAAAGCAAGTTCTTAGAGACCTACAAAGAGACTTAGACTCTCACAAAATAATAGTGGGAGATTTTAACACCCCACTGTCCATATTAGACAGATCAACAAGACAGAAAATTAACAAGGATACTCAGGACTTGAACTCAGCTCTGGACCAAGTGGACCTAATAGACATCTACAGAACTCTCCACCGCAAATCAACAGAATATACATTCTTCTCAGCACCACATCACACTTATTCTAAAATTGACCACATACTTGGAAGTAAAGCACTCCTCAGCAAATGCAGAATAAGGGAAATCATAATAAACAGTCTCTCAGACCATAGTGCAAACAAATTAGAACTCAGGATTAAGAAACTCACTCAAAATCACTCAACTACATGGAAACTGAACAACCTGCTCCTGAGTGACTACTGGGTAAACAAGAAAATTAAGGCAGAAATAAATAAATTCTTTGGAACCAATGAGAACAAATACACAAAGTAACAGAATCTTTGTGACACAGCTAAAGCAGTGTTTAGAGGGAAATTTATAGCACTAAATGCCCACAGGAGAAAGCAGGAAAGATCTAAAATCGACACCCTAATATCACAATTAAAAGAACTAGAGAAACAAGAGCAAACAAATTCAAAAGCTAGCAGAAGAAAAGAAATAACTAAGATCAGAGCAGAACTGAAGGAGATAGAGACATGAAAAACCCTTCAAAAAATCAGTGAATCCAGGAGCTGGTTTTTTTGAAAAGATTAACAAAATATATAGACTGCTAGCCAGACTAATAATGAAGAAAAGAGAGATGAATCAAATAGACACAATAAAAAATGATAAAGGGGATGTCACCACTGATCCCAGAGAAATACAAACTACCATTGGAGAATACTATAAACACTTCTATGCAAATAAACTAGACAATCAAAAAGAAATGGATAAATTCCTGGATACATACACCCTCCCAAGACTAAACCAGAAAGAAGTTGAATCCCTGCATAGACCAATTACAAGTTTTGAAATTGAGGCAGTAATTAATAGCCTACCAACCAAGCAAAGCCCAGGACCAGATGGATTCACAACTGAATTCTACCAGAGGTACAAAGAGGGGCTGATGCCACTCCTTCTGAAACTATTCCAAGCAATAGAAAAAGAGGGACTCATTCCTAACTCAATATATGAGGCCAGCATCATCCTTACACTAAAACCTGGCAGAGACACAACAAAAAAAGAAAATTTTAGGCCAGTATGCCTGATGAACATCAATGTGAAAATCCTCAATAAAATACTGGCAAACTGAATCCAGCAGCACATCAAAAGCTTATCCACCACGATCAAGTCGGCTTCATCCCTGGGATGCAAGGCTGGTTCAACATACACAAATCAATAAACATAATCCATCACATAAACAGAACCAATGACAAAAACCACATGGTTCTCTCAATAGATGCAGAAAAGGCCTTCGATCAAATTCAACAGCCCTTCATGCTAAAAACTCTCAATAAACTAGATAATGATGGAATGTATCTCAAAATAATAAGAGCTATTTATGACAAACCCACAGCCAATATCATACTGAATGGGCAAAAGCTGGAAGCATTCCCTTTGAAAACCAGCACAAGACAAGGATGCCCTGTCTCACCACTTCTATTCAACATAGTATTGGAAGTTCTGGCCAGGGCAATCAGTCAAGACTAAGAAATAAAGGCTATACAAATAGGAAGGGAGGAATTCAAATTGTCTCTGTTTGCAGATGACATGATTGTATATTTGGAAAACTCCATTGTCTCAGCTGAAAATCTCCTTAAGCTGATAAGCAACTTCAGCAAAGTCTCAGGATACAAAACCAATGTGCAAAAATCACAAGCATTCCTATATACCAATAATAGAGAGCCAAATCATGGGTGAACTCCCATTCACAATTGCTACAAATAGAATAAAATACCTAGGAATCCAACTTACAAGGGATGTGAAGGACCTCTTCAAGGAGATCTACAAACCACTGCTCAAGGAAATAGATGACACAAACAAATGGGAAAACATTCCGCGTTCATGGATAGGAAGAATCAATATCGTGAAAATGGCCATATTGCCCAAAGTAATTTATAGATTCAGTACTATCCCCATCAAGCTGCCAATGACTTTCCTCACAGAATTAGAAAAAACTACTTTAAATTTCATATGAAAACAAAAACGAGTCCATATAGCCAAGACAATCCTAAGCAAAAAGAACAAAGCTGGATTCATCACGCTACCTGACTTCAAACTATACTATAAGGCTACAGTAACCAAAACAGCATTGTACTGGTGTCAAAACAGATATATAGACCAATGGAACAGAACAGAGGCCTCAGAAATAATGCCACACATCTACAACCATCTGATCTTTGGCAAACCTGATAAAAACAAGCAATGGGGAAAGGATTCCCTATTTAATAAATGGTGTTAGGAAAACTGGCTAGCCATATGCAGAAAACTGAAACTGGATCTTTTCCTTATACCTTATACAAAAATTAAGATGGATTAAAGACTTAAATGTAAGACCTAAAACCATAAAAACCCTAGAAGAAAACCTAGGCAATACCATTCAGGACATAGGCATGGGCAAAGACTTCATGACTAAAACACCAAAAGCAATGGCAGCAAAAGCCAAAATTGACAAGTGGGACCTAATTAAACTAAAGAGCTTCTGCACAGCAAAAGAAACCACCATTAGAGTGAACAGGCAACCTACAGAATGGGAGAAAATATTTGCAATCCATTCATCTGACAAAGGGCTAATATCCAGAATCTACAAGGAACTTAAACAAATTTACAAGAAAACAAAAACAACCCCATCAAAAAGTGGGCAAAGGATATGAACAGACACTTTTCAAAAGAAGACATTTACGTGGCCATTAAACCTATGAAAAAATGCTTATCATCACTGGTCATTAGAGAAATGCAAATCAAAACCACAATGAGATACCATCTCATGCCAGTTAGAATGGCAATTATTAAAAAGTCAGGAAACAACAGGTGCTGGAGAGGATGCGGAGAAATAGAAACACTTTTACACTGTTGGTGGGAGTGTAAATTAGTTCAACCATTGTGGAAGACAAGTATGGCGATTCTCCAAGCATCCAGAACCAGAAATACCATTTGACCCAGCAATCCCATTGGATTATACCCAAAAGATTATAAATCACTCTACTATAAAGACACATGCACATGTATGTTTATTGCAGCACTGTTCACAATAGCAAAGACTTGGAACCAACCCAAATGCCCATCAATGATAGACTGGATAAAGAAAATGTGGCATACATACACCGTGGAATACTATGCAGCCATAAAAAAAGGATGAGTTCACGTCCTTTGCAGGGACATAGATGAAGTTGGAAACCATTATGCTCAGCAAACTAACACAAGAACAGGAAACCAAACACTGCATGTTCTCACTCATAAGTGGGAGTTGAACAATGAGAGCGCATGGACACAGGGAGGGGAACATCACACACTGGGGCCTGTCATGGTTTGAGGGACTAGGGGAGGGATAGCATTAGGAGAAATACCTAATGTAGGTGAGAGGTTGATGGGTTCAACAAACCACCATGGCATATGTATACCTATGTCACAACCTGCACATTCTGCACATGTATTCCAGAACTTAAAGTATAATAAAAAAACGAACAGCAACAACAACAACAACAAAAAAAAAACAGAAAAGGGATTCTCTCTGTGGAAGGAAGGTGTAGAAAGAAAAACAAAAAGGACAGCAGACAATTTCCAGTTAAATGGAAATTGTACCTTTCACCGTAAGTCAAGAAAGGTCTTTTGACATGGAGTCAAAGAAAAGACAGCCAAGGCCTCCACATATATAGATTTTCAAGCGGGAGTCAACAGCATAATACCATAGTTCAAAATGGATTACCTAGTGAAACTCCCCACACTTCTCAGTCACCCTCCTTCATATCATTCTGTTTTATTTTTCTCCTAATATTTACCACTATCTGAAGTGATCATAATCATTTAGTTGCTTATTTATTGCCTATTATTTTTGTTGCAATATAAACTCTGTGAGGGCTGGGACCTTGGCTACCTTTTTCACCACTATAGCCTCTGCTCCTGGAAACACTGCCTGATACAGCAGTCACCAACAAACATTGAATGGTGGAGAATAATGCCTGAAAGAGTCAACATTTTACAAAGAGAGCCAAAGTGACATTTTACAAAGATGGCCAAAGCGAGGATGTTCAGTGAAGGGCTGTGGCTTCAGACAAACTGAAAAACAACTCATAATGCAGTAGGCTCCAGTGGGTTTTGAATATGGTCAAAGTGAATGGTTTGCTTTTCTGATTAAGGAGACCCTGTGGTCATCTCAGTGGCCATCTACCATCTACACACCCACACAAACACACATTATATATGTATATATACACATATATGTATATATAGTTATATATATTTATATATAAAAATATAATCTTATAATTATAAATAAATATATATTTATTTATTAACTCCTTAATTTATATTGTAGAAAGAGTGCTTTCTGCATATTGAATTGTCCTGGAATTTGGAGTAAATGCATTATTCTATGGGGCAAAATTTAATGAAACACATTATCTGGTGAAATTCGTGGGAATTTGGGTTTACAACTGTCCCATCTGTGAAAAGAAGTGATTATAGGGCCAGAATTTTATAGGAAATCCCTATGTGTCTTTATTTTGGGGTTCACATATACATATAAAGAAAATATTATACATATAAAGAAAATATACATATAAAGAAAATATTAATATACATATATACATATAAATAAAATATAAAGTGACTTCAAAATATAAATAAGATCATTTGTTTATGTCAATCCCAATTTGGATTGTGAGTTTTGAATAACATGGTAAAGAGGTAGGAGTGGCCAGCATTAGGTAGGATGTTGAGAATTCAGAATCGGTGCCTGACTTGGGGAGCACCAGACTCACTGTAGCCACAAAGTGGGTTGGCCATGGGCATTATAAATTTATGCCTGCTTTCTAGTTTCAGTACTAAATGGAATAGAACAATCCAGAAGACAGATGAAGCAACACATTTTTGAATAACTACCATGTACTTTGTATCAGACTAAGGCTATGGGAGAGCACTTAACAGGGTTCTCTCTTTGAGGAGGTTAAAATATGCTGAGAAAATATGGCACACATATATCAGTGAGATGCTTCAATTCCAACAAAAGAAAACTCAGCTAGAATTGGCTTAGGCAAAACATAGGAATTGACTGTCTCTTAACTTCTGTTAAAGTTTCAAGCTAACTTCAGGCCTGACAATAAGCCACCAGATCTCAATATTTCTCTGTCTCTCAGTTGGGCACTGTCATCCTCCCTGCATTGCCTTCATTCTCAGGCTCTTTGGGGACAATTCCTCCAGGGCTCAAGCCTAGTGGGATAAACCAACAGCTCGTCCTATCTCTCAGACCAAAGCCCTACAATGAACCCTGAGAGGGCTGATTAGCAGGGCTTGCCCAAATGAGAACTGGAGGCTGATACCTGAAGCCCTGTGAGTAGAGGGGGGTGACCAGGAGATGACAAAAGACCACACATGCACAAGGACAATAAATAGGGTGAAGCAGAAAAGGTAAATGCAAATATCTCAGGTCCAAAGTCATTTGAGGGTTTCGGGAGAGAGAGGTTGATGTGATTGGAGTCACGAAGATAGGATAAAGAAAAGCTTGGTAAGGACCTTGCAGGACAATTTTTTGGCATCTTCTGTGACTCGACATTTTCTGGAGAGCTTAGTATATATGAAGGAATGAAAGAGCTTCAGGGACAGCACGCCAGTGTCACAGCCAGTATCCAACACATGGTTTGTCCCCTTCAAAGTGATACAAACAGAAGACAGGGAAATACTGGGTAGAAGAGGGTGGTTCCCTGGCAAAGGCCCCCCCCTCAAGCCTGGATACCCATGGCCCTAAATGAGAACAGGCATTCCTGTTTTCAGGCCCAAATCATTGCCTTTTGGCCCACCATGCCCCCTATCCTGTACCTATATCAACCCCAAACCCCAGGCTCCAGAGGAGACCAGCAGACAAGGAGATGAGACAAGCAGACAAACAGTCGAACAACACAGCAGAGACAGAGAGAAGAGAAGGAATGCCTGAATGCTGAGAGGAGTTTGGCCAGGGGTGGCTGGAGAGGAATTCAGCCACTGGATGACCCAACACCAGGGGAAGATCACCTTCCCACTCCATCTCTCCCTTCTGGCTCCTCATCCATCCTGCTGAGAGCCACCTCCAACACTCAATAAAACCTTGCATTCATCCCTCAAGTCCGTGCGTGACCCAATTCTTCTGGGACCTTGGGCAAGAGCTGGGGATACAGAAACTGTCACACTGGCCCTCTGCCCTTGCAAAAAAGTCACCTACGGACAGCAAGGCTAAGACAGCATTGTAACACTGAGGTTGCAGGCACCCACCCCTAGACACTACCATGGGGCCGGAGCCCAAAGCGCTCACCCTGGCCTCTGCACCTGCCCATCTGCATGCTCCCCCTCCCACAAGGGGCTTGAGCGACTGAACAGGCAAGCCATAACCCTGTTGCACATCCAGTGAGAGGGATCAGGAAACTCTCCCATTTGAAAGTGCAGTGAGAAAGTTGCTGCATTTGTAAATGCTCTAGGTGCGGGGCCATTTACTGAGTCCCAAGGTGCTTAGCTGACACATGTTTTGCTTCATGGTGATGGGGCAAGTTTCATTTCAGTTTTTGGTCTGCTGCTACTTGCTTTACACCTTGCCTGAGCAGATGATCTGCTATCTTATCAAACACATTCCCTAAGTCAGTTTTGAAACTGCAAGGCCTGGGAAGCATTCTTTCACCAGAAGAGCAAGCTCCCCTGCAGGGCAGACATGGCTCCCTCAGTGTGGGAGAGACCTGAGGGATTCAGCCCTGAGTTGAGTGGCAGACATTAAACCTTTTGTGGAATATTATTTCTGAAAGGAAGATCTCATATCCTTAGCTAATTTATTTTTATGCTGCTTTTTATATTGACCTGCCACATGAGAAAACAGTGATAAAAGCATTTATTAATAAACAGTGCTTCTCTGATTGCATCATGATGATTCTAGTTTGTTGGAATGCCACTAGGAAAAGATGTGGTTTGTTGTGGTGTCAGACTTGGATATAAACCATCTTTATCTTTTCTGTTGGAGCTCAGCAACAGCATATGTCAATATTGACCTAGGATCTAGGGCTCAGTGTTAGGTTTATCTGGAGGCTATGAAATTTGGGCTCTCACAGAACTTTCCAATGCACAAAGTTTAAAAGAAAGATAATCTAAAAACACAAGACACACACACACACACACACACACACACACACACACACATATATATATACACACACACACACACATACACACACACATACTCCTATGGGCTGGAAGGGTTGATTAACTGGAAGGGTTGATTAACTGGACTCCCTGAAATAGTGTAAGATTCTAAGTATGCATTTGCTGGTGTCTTCTGGGACAGGTAGATGACAGTGAATTTCTCTTGTCCTCACATTGCACTACTAATATAGTGGGATCAAATCCATTGGTCTATTTCACTTTATCTTGGTAAAATGATGTAGTTCCTGCTTTATCTTTCTGAATATGTTGTCATTTTTTTTAAGCCTCAAAGTAGTTCTCAAGAATATCTGAACATCTTTTTTTCCAGAAAGTTTTGTCTCTTTCCAGTGTTTTAGACCTATTTCTGCTCGCACATCAGAAGCTTTAGGATATTTTACATATAATTGATGTATTATCAGTCACAACTAAAAGCCCAGTGACTAAATGCAAGTTAAAATTTTACAAATTAGAATCCTATTTTTAATCAGAAGGGATGCTTGCCAAGTTTATTTGTTCCGCAAATACTCAATGAGAATATTTGCAGGTCAAACACTCTGCTTAAATATTACTATTATTATTAGTATAAGATATTTTTGTGCCTAAATGTAAAGGCATTTGTATTTCAAATATTGGCCACTTTTCTGTTCTAGATGTGAAAATACTATTTCTATATCCATATATGCATATGGATATATAAATATACATATGCATACACATAAACTTATACTTAGAAAAATATCAAGTCCATTATCACTTACTGGAAACCCTGCTGATTTTAATGAAGGTAGAGGATCTTGGTTAGATAATTAACGTCACAAGAAAGGGAAAATGTTCAAAATGAATGACTTTGTGAAATATTAATAGCTAAGGAAAAACAAGTAGATGATGAAGAGAATTTTTATTTTTAATGAATTAGGATTATACAATAATTGTATTTTGATTGCTGCTGGCTTACACTTATACACACCCCAATTGACCCTCTGAAGTCTTTAGATCTTTTCATTTAATGAAATCAGGTGAGAGTTTGTTCAGGGGCCTAGAACAGTCCTGAGGCAAGAGATCTGAATGGAGTCATACTTTGCCAACCATGAGCTGTTTAACTTTAACTAGTTAAAACCCCTCTTGAAAAGTGAAGACGACGTGGTTCTAATGATCCTTCGGAGTTCCAGGGGTCTATGAAATACAAGAGGAAGGAGAGTATAGCTTAAACTTCAGAGGGACCTTGTTCAAGTTCCACCACTTCCTAGCTCTGTAACCTTGGGCCTAATTATTTAAACCTCGTAATTCTCAGTTTTCTCATGGTATGATGTTGCTAGTAATAGTACTTAACTCACTGGGTTGGAGTGGAGGACAGATTAAATGAGAAAGCGCAGGTGAGGTGTTTGGCACATTGTGTGTGGATGGGAGATAGTCAACTCATGGAAATCACCTGGAAGAATGATGACACTAGTTTGTTCTCTGCTTAGGAAAGTTGAATAAACAAGGATATCAGAGGCTCAGACAAACGGGAAAGATGGTGACAGAAGACAAACTGGGGCAGTGCCTCCTGTCTCAGTAGATCTCAAAGCAGTTTAGCATCGCCCTGGGTTGGTGGGGGCTAGCTTGCTGTTTATGGCAGTCAAGCATCCGAGTACCCTGAAGGGATATTGGCTATGCTGTCTACACAACTTAAAAAGCACTTAGAGGAATGCAGTTCCATTAGACCAGACATAATGGACGCACTCAGGGCATACTTTGTAAACACACGGCTAATATCATTCTGACGTGTTTACAGGCCAGGAAAAGCTTCACACAGGTCAGGACCTTCGGATGAATCTGCTGGCTCTCGGGAGCCAGGCCCCTTCCCTCTCACACCCAGGACTCCATATTACTACTTGAACATGGAAAATCTTTTTAAATGACAGTAAATAAATTACTTTTCTGAAAGACTGCAGAATGACCTTGAAGGTACACGTGTCAGACCAGCACAAGGCAATTACCTGGAGGTTAAGAAAAGCCATTATCTGACTTTGTAGCTGGTTAATTAAAGGCTATTTTTGTCATCTTCAATTCTGAGAAAATCAAGAGAGCTACAGCCACACTTTCACAAGAGAAATTCCTATAATAATAGGGTGGAAGAGGCAAAATGATCACACGCTTTTTCTCCTTTGAATAAGAGTTAGGCATTTGTCCTTCTCACATCCTCCAGAATTTGCTTGGTGCAGTGTAAACCAAGATTTGAAGCCTTCCCGGAGTCCAAATTACTTGTAGCTGATCCTCCAGGAGGATCTTCCTGTTGTGGCTTATCTGATACCTTTTTCCATTTTGCAAGGTCACTGGCGTTACTAATGATAGAATGTGATAGGTCTTAATATTATGCCTTAAAAGCTGATGAAGGTATTTTTTTTTAGAATTCCTCCCTTTATATTCTGGAGACAAATTCTTTCTTTCTTTTTGTTTTTTGTTTTTCAGCTGCATCAGGATCTCCTAGCTCAGAGCAGTTTTGAATTGATGCCTAATATTTTAAAGTTAGTAGACTACTAAAAAGTTATTTTTCTGGACGTGGCACATTTTTGGGACTCATTTGCAAGACTGAAACAATTTGATTGCAATAAAAATTTATACAACTCAAAATTCCATCAAAGAAAAAACATCAGCTCAAGTCAATGACTTCTGATGGTTAGAGAGCTTCAGAAAACCTGAGTACCTACTATCTTCACTGCATTCACCTCTTTTTTTTTTTTTTGACATGGAGTTTTGCTCTTGCCACCCAGGCTGGAGTGCAATGGCTCAATCTCGGCTCACTGCAACCTCTGCCTCTCGGGTTTAAAGTGATTCTTGCCTCAGCCTCCTGAGTAGCTGGGATTACAGGCATGTACCATCACACCTGGCTAATTTTGTATTTTTAGTAGAGACCAGGTTTCTTCACGTTGGTCAGGCTGGTCTCGAACTCCTGACCTCAGGTGATCTACCCACCTTGGCCTCCCAAAGTGCTGGGATTACAGGCATGAACCACCACACCCAGCCTGCATTCACCTCTTACATCCCCTTTAAGGACACTGGGTCTCCTTAGCAACAAAATGGGTGATAGGTTTTTCTTACTCTTTGCTTTTCTCTTCATTGGTAGAAATTTAGAATTATGCACTTCAAAGTAAAAATACTCAATTTAATTTTCAATTAAGTGAAACAATTAAGTTTACAAATCAGATGTTTACATTGAATTTCCAAGTGGTGAATATTTATAAATCTGTTTCCAGTGCAAAATTGATGAGAGGAGATGACTTTTGATCTTCAAATCTAAGATCCTAGGAATGGAACAAATCCTGCCAATCACACTGTTGGGATGGAACACATTCTACCAGTCACACAAATCCTACTGTGTTGCGTCAAAGGAGAGGGATCAGGCTCGTGAGGAGGAGGCTGGAAGGAGTTAGCAACCAATAAAAGAACAAACGGCTTCTTCGGATTCCTAAACTGTAGCTCTGCCCACTGAGCCCTACATCCTTATTATCCCAAGTTAGCCATTGGTCCCGGCCCTGGGATCATGGAATTATTTTCTGACAGGGATATGGTAACATTTTCCATCTTAGAAGAAACTGATACAGACTATGCTTCTGTAGTCATCCAACTAATTTGTGGCAGGACTGATATAGAGTTACAGGTTTGCACACTTGCATACCTCAGGATCTTTGTGCATATTTCTTTGTGTGTGTATTGCTCCTCTCTGACTGTTAAATTCCTGTCTGTCCTTTCGGCACTGACTGGCATTTCTCCTGCTCCAGTCCACAGATTAGGAAGGTTTGATCATCTCTTGCCCTTTACCCGTTGCGCATTGTACAATCTCTATTGCAGCACATGCTACATTGTCTCACAGTTGTTTGTGCTGCTTTCCCTCCATCTAGAATTTGAATTCCAAAAGGACAGAATCAAATTATATTCACTGATTTATTCCCAGCACCTGAACAAGAGCTGGACAAGTTACAAAATCCACATAAAAAGTCTTTGAATGGTGGACAAAGAACCCCCATCCTCAAGTCTCTGTGCTCCCCGCCCATCCTCCTGCCTTCTAGTCCTGTTTTCCTATCACCCCTCACCCCACTCTGACTCTGTGCTCGGCCCCCAGGTTCCCCAAGTCAGAAGTCAGTGGTACTGTGATACTCTCTGAGAGGCAACGCAGGAGATTGGGTTTCCCATTTGGAAAGCACCATCGATGCTAACTAAATCACACCATCATGTGTCAGGTTGCTCTCCATGGCTCCAGGTCAAAGTCCTGGGTGGAGCCAGGATCTTCATGAATAAAATTCATTAACCCAGATGTTAACATTTAGTGGTCCTGGGATTTAGCAGTGACTAAATGCCACAGAGTATGCTGCTTCCACATATAGCTTCAGAGAAACCCCCTGCTTTTAATGATCAACAGATCATGTTTGTTTTCTTTCATGGTCTCTGAGCATCTCCCCAATCATTGCAGTGTGGAGGCAGTTCCCGTTGGCCACATTTTATGGTAATTCACAAATTGCTTCTAAATCTACCCCTGTCCTGTGGGTCCAAATAATTAGAGACAAGGACTGGCCCCTTAGAATTGACTACCATGGTTCTTTTCTATCTTGGAGTGTGTATTGCCAACATGAGGCTACAGACAATTCCACTGGGGTTGAGAATTGACCGAAAGAGAACCCGTTGTCCTTTTTGGCAGCTGGATGAATGAATAAGTGAATGTATAGAGATCATTTACCTAAAATAGGTAAACCAAGAGATATTTATTTATTACTTCGCTTTGAAATACACTACAGAATTTTTGTTAATATGCTAGTTGATTTGTATCCATTTTGGTGTTAAATTAGTTTCTATTTCACACTGAACCACATTGTTGTTTTCTAAATATAGCTCAGTCTTTAAGGTTTATTTTAGCTCAAGCTGGTTCCTCTAGTTGGATGCGCCTTCTTTTTTACTTTTTCCCTCTCCAACTAATAGGCTCTCCCTTGCTGCAGCTTTTTCTAGGCATGGCCCATTGCTATGTGTCTTTGAAATTCAAATGTCTCCTGCTCTGGTTTTTGTAGCTAGAACAAATTACTCCTTACTCTCTGCTCATAGCAAAGCTTTTATCAGGCTGGGTATAGCCAGTTTACTTCTCTATCCCCCGCTGCTGTGTGAGCTTCTTGAGGGAGGCCTCATGTGTTACCCACCTTGTCCCAAATTACTACACAGGAGCCCATCAATGATAGCTAAGAACTTCTTAACAACTTTCTATGTGCCACGCACTTTTGTTTTGTTTTGTTTTTGTTTTTGAGAGGGAGTCTCCCTCTTGTCACCTAGGCTGGAGTGCAATGGCGCAATCTCAGCTCACAGCAACCTCCGCCTCCCGGATTCAAGCGATTCTCCTGCCTCAGCCTCCCGAGTAGCTGGGATTATAGGCGCACGCCACCGGGCGTACGGAGCACTTTGGTATGGAGCTTGCCTGCATTAATTGTTTAATGCTCATAGCTAGGCTTCAAGTTAGGGACTATTGTTATTCTTACTTTCCAGTGCTGAGAATTAACTTGCCCAAAGTTGTATTCCTTGTGAGAAGTGGAGGCATGATTTGAAGCCAGTGGGTGTGGTTTCTGACTCCAGTCTCCTCGTCACCATTGCTTTTCAATAGGTGTGTTTAAAATCTGTCTTGACTGACATATGGAAACAAAGACCCCAAACTGACTGAGAGGCTAACTCCTCTTTCAGGAACTTAACGGTAAGCTGTATGGCAATTCTCCCTCCACAGTTTCTAAATTCATGCAGGCCCTGTGACCTCCATGCTTAGACCCCTAAGGGCAGAGATCTGCTCACTTCGCATACCTGTGCCTGTGTTCTAACCTGTATTTTCACATGTGTGCACTCTCCCCAATCAGGCTATTTACTCCTCCCATTCCAAACATCTTTCATTTTTCATAAATCTTAGCAGAATCTCTTGTATATAAAAGACGTTCACTGGAGCAATGGTTATTTTTGTTGATGGACTCTACAATTTTTTATTGAAGGGCAGCATTCATATATAAAGACACACAGATCTTGAGTGCACAGCTCAATACATTTTTGAAAGGGCAACATACCCATTTAATCACCACCCAAATAGAGATATACAATGTTGACAGCACCCAAGAGGCCTCCTTCGTGATGTCCCCCCAAAATCGCCATGCCCAAAGGTAATCACTATTCCGACTTCATCACCATAGATTTGTTTTGCCTTTTTTTGAACTTTATACAAATGGAATCATAGAGTATGTGCTTTTAGTGTGTGGCTTCTGTCCATTCAGCATTATATTTGTCATATTCATCCTTATAGATCTGGCTGGTTTATTCTCATGGCTGTATAACAATAACCCATTGTATCAAAGCACCATAATTTTTATCCATTATATTATTGATAGGCAAATGGTTTGTTCCAGCTTTTGACTATTTCAAGTGATTCTGTTATGAGCATTTTTTTTTCAGGGATACAAGTATGTGTGTATTTCTACTGTGTATACATTTAGGAGTGAAATTGCTGGTTCATTGGGTATGAATATGTTGAGCTTTATTAGATGCTACTAAGTGGTTTGTCAAAGTAGTTGTATTAATTTAGATTCCCACAGCAGTGTGTGAGAATTCCTGCTGCTTCATATCATTGCCAACATTTTACATGCTCATTTTTGTTCCATTTTAGCAATTCTGGTGGATATTTAGTGGTATTTTATTGTTATTTTAACTTGCATTCTACAATTGATTTTTGTATACTGACCAGTATATTTTGCATAGTATATTTTGTGTAGTATACTATATTGTACAGTATATTTCAGTAAACTTACTAAATTCACTTATTAATTCTCATAGTTTATATGTGGATTCTTTTGTGTTTTTTTTCTACGTATACAATCATATCATCTGAAAATAATGATAGTTTTATTTCTTCCGTTTAATACTGTATGTCTATATTTAGTTTTCTTTCTAGGACCCTCAGTACCGTCTTAAATGGAAGTGGTGATAGCTAACATCCTTGTTTCATTCCCTATTGCAGAAGGAAAGCTTTCAATATTTCACCGTAAAATGTAATGTATACTGTGGACTTTAAGCAGACAATTTTGTTGAGATTAAGATAGTTTTATTGTATTCCCTAGTTTCCAATAATTTGTTTTAAATCCCAAATAGGTATTAAATGCTATCAAATGTGCTTTGTATGACTACAAATTTTCTCCCTTTTCCCCCTTTCTGTTAATATGGGAATTGCATTGAGTGATTTTGAAATGTTAACCACCCTTGAATTCCTGGAATAAAACCCATTTAGGCATGCTACGTTACCCTTTTTATGCATAGCTGAGCATGCTATTATTTTGTTAAGAATTTTTGCATCTGTGTTCACAGGAATGTTGGTCATAATTTTCCTTTCATGTAATATTTTTATCTGGTTTTGGTATCAACTTGATGGTGTCTTTTGCTTCAGTTTTATTCTATTTTCCCCTCTTTATTAATTTGTTAGTGATATATCCTTTTACCATTATTTAGTGGTTACCCTAGACATTACAACATGCTCACTTGGCTTATTATCATGCTGTCTTCTCCCTAATAATACTGAAACTTCAAAGGCTTTAACTTCACCTCTCCCATCTTTTGCATTATTATTGTCATATTGTATTACATATATTTTAACTCTAATATATAGTATTGATTTTACTGTTAATAATTATTTTATTTTACTGAATTTTTACCTTTCTGATTTTCTTTATTCCTTCCTGCATTATTGCCTTGTTTCCATCTAGGAATATTTTTTCTTCTGCTTGAAGAATTTCATTTAGTTTATCTTTCAATGTCAGCCTACTGGTGATTAATAGTCTCAATTTTTGTTTGTCTGAAAAATCTTTTACTTCATCTTTATTTTTGAAGGATAGTTTTCCTTCATGTGGGAGTCTAGATTGTCAGTTATTTCCTGTTAGAGCTTTAATGATGGTATTCCACTATTTTCTGGTTTCTACAGTTTTCAACTGAAAACTCAATTATTAGTCTTATTGTTGTTCATTTGAAGGTAATTTGTCTTTTTTCTTCTTGCTCTTCTCAAGATTCTTCTTTGCCTTTGTTTTTCATTGATTTTACTATGATGTTTTAAATTTTGATTTTATCATATTAATCATAAACTTCTTGAAACTATGTTTGCTATATTTCAGAAATACGGGAACATTCTCAGCTATTATTCATTCAAATGTTTTTTTCTGTTCCAATCTAACTCTCATCCCCTTCTGGGACTCATTTATGATGTGTCAGAGCTTTTCACAGGGTACTGTATTTCACTAATGCTCTTTTCTGTATTTTCCACTCATTTTGCTCTCTGTGATTGAGCCTGGATATTTTATACTCACTTGCATTCCAGTTCACCAATTCTTCTTTCACTGTATTCAATCTGCTATGAAACCAACATTTTGAGTTTGTAATTTCAATTTTTGTAATTTTTAATTCCAGAATTTCTATTTGATGCTTTTTCTATTTGATATTACAGGTCTCTGGTGAAATGCTCACATTTTTAAATAAAGCATTAGTCAAAGTTGCTTAAAAATCTGTGTCTAGTAAGTCAAATAACTGGGTCATCTGTAGATTCGTTTCTTTGGTCTGTTCATTCTCTTGTTTCTCTTATCTGGCATGTCTGATGGTTTTTTATTGAATGCCAGACATGGTGTATGAAAACTATGGAGACTCAGGACAATCTCAACTTCTTCTACAAAGGGTTCACCACATCCTCTGGTAGGCAGGTTGCGTCTTTATCTAATCAGGTACAGAGCTGACTCAGGGCTGGATTGCAGGTTTGGTAAGGCTCCATCTACCCCTTGTTTATCCCTGCTCTTAGGGTAGAGCTTACTGGCTTTATTGAAGGCCTGCGGTGCTCACGAGGGCCATTTTATTTTGGCTGTTGCTAAACTGAAATTTTTGTCTTCTCATCAACACATTAGATTGTTAACAATTCTGATGTATTCTGTTTCCTGCTGAACTTTTTAGGCTCTTGCTCTGAGCAGATTGATGATTTGTTCCTGTGCTCCCTTTGCTATAGGTTCTTGGCCACTCCAGTATGGCCTGCCAGGCTGCTGTGCTATGGTCTGAATGTTCCTGTCTCCTCCAAAATTTACATTGAACTTAATCCCTAATGCAACAGTACTAAGAGGTGGTGCCATTAGGAGGAGTTGGGTCCATAGGACTCTGCCTTCATGGATGGGATTAATCCCTTATTAAAAGACTTGAGGGAATAGGTCCACTCTCTTCTATTCTTCTACCATGTGAGGATACTTAGATGGCACCATCTGGGAGGAATGTGCCTTCACCAGACACTGAACCTGCCCATGCCTTGATCTTGGACTTTCCAGCCTCCAGGGCTGTGAGAAATAAATTTCTGTTGTTTATAAATTACCCAGTCTCAGGTATTTTGTTATAACTGCACAAATGGACTAAGACAAACTCCAAATCCTATTTTTTTCTCCCTATTTCTGTGAGATTTGCAAATGTTCTAGTGGCTTCTTTATCTCTTAGCCACAGCTCTCTGCCCAGTTTTTCAGATTCTAGCACATGATAAAAGTAAGAGTCAGCAGATGTCTTGATGGGAAAGGCAATACCCAGAAGGTCAGCTCACCTCCCTACAGTTCCTTTTTCTCTAGGCTCTTGCACCCTCGAGTCCTTGTTACCTTGGCAGCCCTTCAATACCTTCAAGTAAATGTTTTAGTATTTTATCTGATTTCCTCGTTAGTTTTGGAACTATGCTATCATAATCTAAAGCAGATTTCAGTAGATTTATTTTTTAAAAGTCTGGTAACTAACATGTGGATTATAGTTCAACTGTGGATATTAAAATATTTTTGGTAAAAAGAAGATGCTAGGGAGTTATAAAGTAAGGTGGAAAAATGGACTTCTGAAGTAGAGTTACACTGTGCTTATATCTAATCCTAACGCAAATTAGAGAACACAGAGTGTTGAGCAGGCAAACAATGGTCTTATTCTATGCTTTGACCATGAAATCTATAATTCCCTTTAAAAATATATATAGTTTAGAGTTAAATAGGTGGGTGCGGAGCAAAGAATAGATTAAAAATATGTTTATCACGTGCTCATACATTCACATTCAGAGATAATAGGAGATAAAGAACATTCTGATCTAAGCCATGGACCTTGAAATATACTCAATAGTCATAAGTTGCTGAAAGTGATTTTTCTAATTTTGCATATGAGAATATTTCATGGTGCTGTGTCTCTACTTGAGTGCCATGTAATCTGCATTAAATGATGTCTCTCCTTGAAAATAAGTTATTTTCACGAAGTACATGGTTAAGAAGGTTAGATTATTTCCAGTTTGGGACTCAAGACAACCCACTGAAAAAATTTGTCCTGTTGTTATTTTCTGTTTCTGGAAATTACTGACCATGCTTTGCACTGTGTAATGAAATAAAGAGCTAATGAGAGGCACAGTGCCATTTTCCTTTTTTTTTTTCCCTAAAATATTAAAAAGTATTGTCTCTTCTGCAGACTTGGCATTGAAGGTTGTGTAATAAGCCATGGCAAGACATTAGACGATAACAATGGGTATCTTGGATGCTCACTGAAATTCCTATTAACTGAAATAAAATTCTGACAGTGGTGAAGTGATCTTTCTCTGCAAGAAAAAGTTAAAGACCAGCAGTCAAACTCAGCAGGAGTTAAACCACTGCTTCAGAACTGAAAGTGGGGAACAAATAACATCAGACCACCAGTGCCCAGAGAGCCTGGAGCATCTCCAGTGAGGTTAGGCAATAGGGATGGTGTCTGGGGAAGTGAGGCTTCTGTAAATGGGGCCTCTGGGGAGCTGTGACGTTCTTTTTGATGTCATTAGAGGTAAGGATGAAGGAAGGATTTATATGTCCTTTGACTCATTTCTAAACTTTGGATAGTAAGCACTAGAAAGTGCCTCAGGCATTTAGAAAAACAGAAGGTCCTAGAAGATGGAAAAATCCTCCTTCCACTTTTAAAAAAGAATAAGAATCCTTTGGCAATCTTTGCTGTCATCCACATATTCTTTGTTCTATATCTCTGCCCCTGATCTGCCAGTATTTCCACCTCCAATGCTCCTTTCCCAATTCCACTTCTTTAAATATTTGAATTTGGCCAGCTTTCAAACCCAATTCAAACCACACTTTCTCCATGGAGCCATCTCAGGCACAGAATTGGTGCTCAGGGAGAGAAAAGGGCTCAGCAGGTGGCTCTGGGAATATTTCTTATGGGGTTGACAGCTGATGCAGGAAGAGGTGGATTCATCCCTAAAGGAAAGAGGTGAAGAGACAGAAAGAGAAAAAAGTGTGTACTTAAAGGGGATTTGCACATTTAGTAGCCAAAGCAGGCTGAGGGAGATATGAAGAGACTAGGAAAGTCTCCAAAGCCAATGGGGAACGGGCCCAGAGGGACCCACAGCATCAGAAAGTTCTCAGAGGTCCAGAGAACCAGAGAAGTGGCTGTTAGGTTTGGCCATTGTGGGGTTACTCAAGCTCTCAAGATATCCCTTGTAAATTTATGATAAAAGTAAAATAAAAGTCAATACTTTGGATATTAAAAGATGAAAAGTTGCTCTGCTATGTGCAGTTATAGAGTCATCATCATTATTATTATAGTTATACATAGAATGTTCTACATAGTTTTCTTCTACCTGCATTTCTTTGGTTCAGCACTGAGACTGCTTCCAAGAGGATTTTGAATAAACATTTCTCTGCTTTCTTCTCTGTCTCTTTTTCTCATTTGTTGCCTCCAAAAACATTGCACATGGCAGACTGTATTCTTGAACTGTTTTCTTTTCTTTTGAACTGCCATTCTCTCTCATATTGAAAACAAACTCAATCCTTGTTGCCTAAATGGTGTTGTCTTCAGAGACTGTCAAGCTCAATTAAAGCTGAACAGTTTTCCAGGTGGCATATTAAGGACCAATGTAACAGCCTGCATTTAGGGACAGCATCTAGCCATTTAAGAGGTTCCCCTGGTAGGGAGGTAAAGTTTCTACTTGCGGTTGACGTATTGAGATAAATATTCTCCAACCGATTCAGAGACAGTAACTCTGTCTCCTTCGCCATCCATCCATCGAACATGCTTCCAGTTAGCTTTCTTGAGGAAGAGAAAAAAAAATCAATAATATTTATGATTTCTTGAAAAGACATTTCCTTGCTGCAGCATTACTCCATTAAGTACAGGCTTTTTCCTATTAATAGAGTTCTGTTGGTTGCAGTGGGGACATTAGCCAGGGTTCATTATATCAAGAGGGCTGTAAAGATTGTCTGTCCAGCTGAAAATAAACTTCATATTAACTTTCGTGCAGGAATGACATGCTAAGAACAATTTTGTGAAGGCAGTCTTTTATGATAAATGATAATGACAACAATAATAACAATAACTACATATGTTTTATGGACTGCTTTCTAGGTACTAGAACCTAGGCTGAGTGCTTTGCCTATATGATACAATGTAATCTTCAGAGTAACATTGTGAAGGTGGCAGTCTCGGATCATTTTCAAATGAGGAAATCGAAGCACAAGGAGGTATGGTAACTCCTTCAAGGTCACATAGAAGACTGTATTTTGCAAAATTTAGCTGGGCATGGTGGCACGTGCCTGTAATCCCAGCTACTCGGGAGGCTGAGGCAGGAGAATAACTTGAACCAGGGAATCAGAGGTTGCAGTGAGCTGAGATCACGCCACTGCACTCCAGCCTGGCGACAGAGTGAGACTCCATCTCAAAAAAAAAAAAAAAAGACTGTATTTTGAACCCCAATCTTCCTTACTCTATAGCTTAATTTCTCTCAACCAGATTATTCTGCCTTTAATAGAGCCAGTGATTGATGCCTCTGCAACATGTAACATTAACTGTACAGCATAAATTTCCCATTTAGAAATATATAGCACTCTAGTTTTTGAAAAGTCACAAATATGATTCATTTAATATATATGCATAAGTGTTCTATTAAGCAATTCTAACTCAGATCTTTTCATGGTTTAATATGGCAGATGAAATTATTTGAAACATGTATTTTCGAAAAACTTTTTGTGCTATTTTTTATAGTCACAACATTAAATTTACAAATTTACCCCAGTGATAAATTCGGTTATTAATAATATTGCCTATAGCTTTTAGTCTACTTTAGAACATCATAAAAACCAGTACTGATACCATCAGTAATACATATTCATCTGCGCTGGCTAATAGATTTGAAAAATTAGCTACAGATGGTTTCGTGTTTATGAATATCCATGCACATTTTCTAGTAGTTAATGAGGATCAATTTTGGATGCTTGAATATGTGCCTGACAGGTATATGGGATGCAGAACAGGTATGGAAATCTATGTCTCAGTTTCCATGTTCTCCCTTGTTCCAGTTCCATTATTAATCACTTAATAAGTAGTATCACTCAGTAACTCTGGGCCTAGCGCTGTGAAGAGCTTTACTTGAAGGTCAAGCACAGACACAGTTCCTACCCTCAAGGGCTTTACAGTAGAGTTGGACAGATAAGGTGAAGTCCTAGAATAAGTACCTCACATGGATCATATAGAGAAGATGATGTGTTGTAGGAATTTGAAGTTTGAAGAGATCACCAAGGGCTAAGAAGGTCAGGAAAGGTCTTATGGACACAGAGGGTGAGCAGGATTTGGAGATGGAGGAGAAGAGAGTAGGTATTTTAGGTGCTCACAGGAAAAGATGGAGACAGGGGCCTGGGGATGAGCACAGTGGCCATTGGAACAGTAGGAGGTTGGCCCTGCTGATGCAGATGCCGTTTAGGGCATGATGGGGGATACACGCATCTGGGTAATATGGTACCATGATATGGAAGCTCTGTAGCAGGTCTGCCCAATATAACACAAATTGGCTAGAATTAAATAAAGAATGCTTCCTGCCCTTCCATTGATCTTGGGACAGATAGAATGGGAAGGATGGAGAAACATCACAACAACAAATACAGAAAAAGAAATGCCTTGTGAGGCTGTTAAGTGAAGAATTATAATCAACTCATGTTGGACTTCCCAACAATATCTTTTATTGATATTATTTACACACATACTATTAAAAGCAATATAATAGTGTTAAAAGATTTTTTGAAGATAAGTCTGTATTTTCACCACTCTAATGTAAGAGAGAGGAACGAGTCCTATTTTTGTGTATTCTCTCCCAATCTAGATTCACATAATTGTATGAGCAGGTAATAGGATTTTGTGTTCTGCTCTCTTTATATAAAAAAGTACAGAACTTTTCATGCTTCCACATAGTTTTTATGCTAATTATTTTTAATGGACACATAGTAACCCATTGTGTTAATTTGTTTGCTAATGCATGAGAGTATTATTGGATACTTACATGGTTTCTTACTTTTTGTTGTTATAGATGATGCTACAAAGGATATCGGCATGTGTGTGACATTTTTTTGTCTTCCATTGAATTGCTGAGCACATTCCTGAGAGTGTGTTTACTGGTTCACAGAACAGGAACACATTACAACCCTTTCTGTGTAATATCAGACTGCCCTGCAAAGGCCCATACTGATTGAAGATGGCACCAACAGGAAATGAGGGTGGCATTGTCACCTCCAATTTGGGCAGAAAAAAAGCACTGTTGATGGTAAAATCCCATTTTATTCATTGGAATTTCTGTGCAACTACACATTTTGTTTTGTTTACATTTTCTTTTAAAATAACGAGGAGAGAGGAAGCTGAAATGGATCAGGAAGAAAAGCAATTGATAGGTAAGGGGGTGAGGGAAAGGAGATGGGAGAAGGAAGGGAGGAGAAAGCAATGGACAGCTGTGATGGAGAGAGGGGAAAAGGGAGAACGTGTCGGAACGATACAATTATGCTGAAAGAGTGAAGGCTCCCGTCGGAACCCTTTGGTTTCTAGATGCCGTCAGCCTAATCTCTCCCTAGGGTCTGAGAGTTCTGGGAGGCTTTGGTTTGAAAATTCCCATTCCATCTCCTCAGCTCTGGCAACCACCTAAGTTTCTGTATTTCTCTTAAAGACCCTTTCCACAAGACCTCTGATTCTCTTCATAGCCTCTCTCTGCAGATGGGCTAATGGCTGCCCTCATGAGCCATCTGGGCATGGAAGTGGACATTCTGAGGAGGGCTGGCTGTAGATCCCAGCGCCTCCTTCCTGCTCTCATGCCCTCTCTTTGGCCTCTCTTTGGGGAGGTGTTTAGGAGAGACCTTGACTGTTGAGATCAGTCTCTGAGTTTGCCCTCTCTTTATCTTCCATCCCCATGAATCACAGCCGTAGAGACAGAGTGCACAAATATGTTTTTTTTTTTTTGAATAAAGTTTCAAAGACTTTTTTTTGTTCAGGACTGCAAGTAGGACCTCATTGTCTACACTGGCTGAGAAAAATTTAGAAACAGAGTATGCTAGGGTGGCCTTCCCCTAATATTTGACAATTTTTCTAGTCTAATCATATTTTTGTCCATACTTTAGAAGCAAAAGCATAAACCTCAAAATGTTTTAACATGATTTTAACCATCATGGAATGTTTGAAAAGCAGAAGAAATATGGCTACAAGAAATAGATTGTTTTTTCTTCCTGAGTGATTTTGCAGGTCTCGGGCAAGGAAGACCTGTTTCCTGTCCCAGGAATTCTCTTCCCCCCTCCCCCGGCATCTCATTTCCTCTCCTCCTCCTCACTTGTCCTCTAACATCTTTTAGGTCTTTATTGAAATATCACTTCCTCAGAGAAGCCTTTTCCATCCACCCAAGCTAAAAGTTTCTTCTCCCTCACACTCTATTCCCTTATCTACTTTTTCTTAGAGCAGTTACCTGATACTACTGTCATTTACCAATTTTTTTTTCTTGTCTCTCTCCCTCACTGAAACGAAAGCTCAGAGAGGGCAGGGACTTTGGGTCTCACTTGCCATTGTAACCCCAATTGCTAAAACAGTGCCTGACACATGGTAAGTACTCAAAAAATATTTGTGGAATGAATAAAGAAATGAATGAGACAAAGGTATTGGATCTTCTGACTTAAAAAAAAATTAAAGAGACCACACTTGGAACACAACTTAGACATCTAGAAGAAATGCATTGATCACAATAGAGATGGAATACGAAATGAAGATGGCTTACAGGACCATGTCATCTCCAATTCTAGGAATTCAAACGCAGACCCAGCCAGCGTATATGAAGTGTAGTAGCCTGTTACCCTCATGTGCCGGGTTAAGGGAAGGTGCACGGGGGAGCATGGCCGCACATGCAGAAGCTCTAGTTCCTGGGAGTGGGTCATGAGGAGGATGGTGGTGTTGAAAAGTCAGGATGCAAGTAAACCACCAGACATGTGTTGACCAAGATTGGAGTTAGAGAGTATGGGAAGTGGGTTTTTCCTGTTCCTTCTCCCTCTGTCCTTCCAACACACAGCCATACCATTCTCATGGCAGCCCTCTCCTTCCCCAGAAATTATCTGAGCTGAAAGGGGAAAGGTGACTGTGACAGTGACCTCCTCCCCTTCCCCACTAGTCACAGTGGTCTCAGCCACCATGGGAACATGGGGAAGTGCAGTGCCTCAGGCCTAGGTGAGTACATTGCAGAGACAATTATTATTTATTTATTTATTTATATTTTGAGACAGAGTCTCACTCTGTCACCCAAGCTGGAGTGCAGTGGCACCATCTTGGCTCACTGCAACTTCCACCTCCCGGGTTCAAGTGGTTCTCCTGCCCCAGCCTCCCGAGTAGCTGGGACTACAGGTGTGTGCCACCATGCCCGGCTAATTTTTTGTAATTTTTTTTTTAATGGAGACGGGGTTTCACCATGTTAGCCAGGATGGTCTCAATCTCCTGACCTCGGAATCCGCCCACCTCGGCCTCCCAAAGTGTTGAGATTACAGGGGTGAGCCACCGCACCTGGCCTCTTTTTCTTAATTATTATTTTTTATTTTTTCATAAGTTATTGGGATACAGGTAGTATTTGGTTACATGAGTAAGTTCTTTAGTGGAGATTTATGAGATCGTGGTGCACTCATCACCTGAGTGGTGTACACTGCACTGTATTTGTTGTCTTTTATCCCTCACCCCCCTCCTACTGTTCACCCCAAGTCCCCAAAGTCCATTGTGTCATTCTTATGCCTTTATGTCCTCACAGCTTAGCATCCACATATCAGTGAGAACATTCACAATTGCAAAATCGTGGACCAATCCAAATGCCCATCAATCAATGAGTGGATAAAGGCACTGTAATATATATGTACAATGGGATACTACTCAGCTATAAAAAGGAATGAATTAACAGCATTTGCAATGACTTGGATGAGATTGGACATATTATTCTAAATGAAATAACTCAGGAATGGAAAACTGAACGTCATAGAGCCAGCATTTAAAGTGTAAATGATGGGCTACGGCTTTTTCTCCCTCCTCACTGCTAAGGTGGTAGCCTTTCTTCCACCCTGAACTACTTGCACCAAAATGAAAGAAGTAACATGGTCTGAATTATGGGTCACCAATTCTTCTGAAGCTTACTGGTATCTGCTTTCAACACGCTTAGGTATCAGAAGATGGGGACTCACTGAAGTAAATTTCACTTATTCCTAGGACAAGAAATGGGATCAGATCTTGGGAGAGATAGTTTCCTTTGTACTTGAGAAAGCCTGGATGCCTCTTGGGATAGTGTAGTGAATTTTTGTAATTTTGTGTTGCTTGACATCAATTTTAAATACAAGTTTAACTTTCTCAGACCAGAAGCAGGGCTCAGTCACCCTTGACTCAGTTTCCACTTCTGCACCACACCCAAAAGGCTCAAGCTGGTGGCCAGAGATAAGAACCTAGAGGCATCTCTCCTACTTGGAAGACTGGGCTCCCGGCTTTCCCATGGCTTCCTGTACAAGGATCATCAGGCATTTGCTTGTGAACTTAGTGCCCCACACCCTATTCCCTTGTTCGTGCTGCCAGTCACCAGGTGTGCTCTCTGCCTGAACTCTTCATTCCTGCCTCTTCATGTCTGCAAGACCCAGGGATATAGG
Source organism: Homo sapiens (assembly GCF_000001405.40). Taxonomy (NCBI): domain Eukaryota; kingdom Metazoa; phylum Chordata; class Mammalia; order Primates; family Hominidae; genus Homo; species Homo sapiens. Next base: position 85,230,519 of record NC_000009.12, on the reverse strand, counting down.
ACTGCTCTGCTGACTCAGTATACCCTCCTTGCCCCGGTCTGTAAAGAAAATATTTGAACTTGTTTCCTGCTGTGGTGATGTAATGAATGTGTACCTTCTATCTGAAGAACTAGGGGCTACCACAGACTGGGTTTGCTCCAGGCTGCTGGGGAGAAAACAAGGTCAGGCTCCCAGCACCAGAGCAATGGTCAGACAACCATAAATTGGACACGGGTCAGATGAGAGTCACAAGGGCATCTGCCAGTATAAACAAGCTTCCCATGTGAGGGACTCCTGGGCACAGATTGGACAACTAGGCATTATACCATCTGTCAAATAATAAAGGCATCTCATGAAAGGCACATCGTCAATACCTGTGTCCAAGTCTCTTTTGTTTCCTACGAGGGCAAGATTGTAGTCGCCCTAGTATTGGAAACCCAACTTAGCTTTGTGCTCTTAATACAGATAGATTGTTCACAAAAATGGGCAGACGCTCCACCCACCCCCTGTATGCACGCCCTTTACAATATGATTTTGCATTCTGCTGGCCAATGGGTGCATTTTGTTTCCCTACCTCTGAGTGCAGCAGAAAGGGCAGTGTATCAGCTCAAGCCTAGGCTCAGCGGCTTTCAAAAGAAAGCAGTGTTGCATGGCTGTATGGACTGAGAAGTGGAGGAGAAGGGCAGATATGCAAAGAAGAGCCTCTTTTCTTTATCTGACCATTAAGCCTGCTGAAATCAAAAGATTCTCTGGCAGCAAAGAAGAAGTGTATTGACACGAGAGAAAAAGTTGTTTGTTTTCTTTAGCATGGTTGAACACATGAGCATGAGTCTCAGTGTTTTCTTGCTGCACAACCAACAACCTCAATACTTTTGTTTACAGCCTGCCACTGCCATATGCACAAGTGCGGGCTGACCTGTTGAATAACATGAGACGTGTGCCTCAGTTGCTATTGTCACCCATCCTAGACCAGCCAGCCTCCAGCCAACCTGCCAGGTGACTACAGGCACATGCATGAGCCTAGTGAGATGGGCAGAGCTTGGCTCAAATTAGCAGACCACACAGCTGACTCACATACTTTACCCCACTAGTTGGTGGAAGATTTGTTACATAGCAATGGGTAACAGATACATCTAGGCTCAGGGAAAGGAGGCCTTGGATCCAACATTTGGCTGAGTTTGGGAACCCTTTGCCACTCAGCCATCCCGAGGAGAAAAGGCCAGTGTGGGTGTCTGTACTGAAGTATTCATATAACCAAAGAACTTGGGGAGCTAGCCTCCAGACCCTGCTGCAGAGCTCCTCACATGGGAGCACATCTAAGTGCTCCACGGCTGGCCCTTTGGACACTGCCTCCAGCTCTGATGTAAGAAGGATGAGGAGAGGCAACCTTGTGGAGGATTAGTCTCCTTCCCAGTTCAGGCAGAAGGTGTCCAGCTGGCGGTGTGGTTTGCATTCCCAATTACAACACAGGAGACTCCAGTTATGTGGATGAAATGATTATATTGGACTGTTGGTCTTGACCACTTTCACCTTAGTGTACCTCCACACAAAACCTGCTGAGCTCTAAATCCCAGGTCACATATTGCAGGTCATCGATGTTGTTAGAGTGTTAGATGGGGTGGAGAGAAGCATGAGCGAGAGGACGCAAGCCCAGCACTTGGTGGTAATTGAGGATGAAGTCATAGGAGGAGCAACAGAATAAGGAGCTCCTAAGCTGCAATCACCACACTCACTTAGGCCCTTTCTTCTCCAAAACCCTGGCTCTGCTCTCTACGCTCATCTCATTCCTGCTTACAACTTGGGTCAAGAATTTCAGGGCTTCTTCGTTCAGTCGTAGAACTGCTCATGGGTAAATGCTGGGATTAGGACTTGAATTTATTTTAGAGATAAAGGCTCAGAACTAAAAACAGTACTCTCTCTGTGGTTAAGTGGCTTTGTGGTATAATTCAAAGGAAATTATGCATTTGGAACATGCCTGGGATGGTAATTTTAGAACGCGGATATGTCCGTCAGTCCCTTTCTTGTTCCATAGAATGCAGTAGCTTTAAAGACTGGCTGATATCTGGAAAACAGAAAAGATCCTTCCAGGCTTCTGAAGATAGCTGTGTGGCATTGCTTCTAGCCTTGTTTATTGTCTTTTGGTCCTAATGCTGAAGGCTTAGTGAGTTTTGCTGAGAGCCCTTTGCTGCGTGTGTAGTTAAAGCATTCTTAATTGATTCAACAGATGACCGCGGTCCATTCTCAGTGCCTCCCCTTTCTCTTTCTTGAAGCTTTGCTCATATCTGATTTGCTCTGTGGTTTGAGTTTCAGACAAATATTTTGGAAATATGTCATGAGAAGAACTACATGTTCTAATATTTAAAATTTAGATTGTAGTTTCTTTCAAAATATTAATATTTTCTCAGTTGAGTAAATCATTACAAATTTGCTTCTATGTATTTATTTTGGTTCTTAGTCAGAAATTTCAAACTCAGTTTAGCAGGTTTTGTTTGACTCCAAATAGCAAGGGGATAAGGAAAAATTACTGTAACAGGCATGCCCTTCCCAGGTTAGGGTGCAAATGGCTTCAAGCCCAGTCCTTCCCACCTCCGTACATCACCTGGGTACCCACATCTAGAAGGAAATACAGAGACACTGGTCCCCTTCAGGTTCCTAATGCAATCTTGTTTGGTTGGAGATCTGTGAATGTCTGGAGGGGAGATGCCTGGTCTTCTTTGGTCCTACATGGCTATGCTAACTACAAAGTGAGGCCACAGCTGCTCGGATGACAGAGGCCTCAGTGAGCTGGGCCCAAGTGTGGAGTCCTTGCCTTCCAGAACAGTCCCAGTGCTCAGGTGGCTGCTCCCTCATGGTAGCTCATCTTCATTGATCAGCTCCTCTGCCCCGCCTCCCTCCTGTGGAAGGATTTTTGGCTGAATTTCCAGAAATATTTAGCTTACAGATCTTCCAAATCTTTATTTCTTCCTGGTGTGAGGCCGTGGAGCTCCAGGCTACAGGGCCGGGGCTGCCAAGGAGCCTAAGACCTTATGAGATAAGATGCTGAGCAGTGTGACAGTGGAGAGCCCCGGCCCAGAGGGAGTCCAGAAGCTTCTCAATAGCATGAGAGCAGTGAAGTCTCTCCAGAGGTGGATGCCATGTTCCTCAGGTAAGGAAGCAGTGCTGGGGTAACTGTACATTTGATACACGCCTGCATCTGAAACCTAGCATCACTTAGCCATCACCTCTTTCAGTTCTCATGTACAGATGCTTCTCAGGGAGCAAGCGGGCATGGGGAGTGCTGGATTAAGGGCAGTTCCAGCATCCAGCCATGGGGGCTGGCATCATGTCCCAGCCGCCCACAGCCAATGCTACCTCTTTGGAGAGGCCACCCCTTCTCCAAGACCATTAGGCCACAGGCTCTGCACCTGACCCTTATGCCTCAATCTGGGCTCCCTCCAAGAAAGACCAGAAGGTAAGACGATGGGTGTCATTTATTTGAGAGGGGTTCCAGGAAGCAAGGCTGGGAAGTGATTACAGAAGAGAAGAAAGATACTAAAAGGTATGTTCATGAGCAGGTAATCCATGAGGGCAACTGGGACTCAACCTGCTAAGGACCCTGTGGGAGACTATGAATCCACCTCAGGGCTGTTATACTGAGACACAGGGAAGCTGGGTATTTATCCATCCACTAACAACCCTTATCTGTTAAGGATCGTGGTAACTCCCTAACCTTTCTGGCTGGCCCTTTCTGTGGCAATGCAACCCCTTAAAGACAGAGGATGGGTCATGCATGGTGGCTCACGCCTATAATCCCAGCACTTTGGAAGCCTGAGGAGGGTGGATCACTTGAGGTCATGAGTTCAAAACCAGCCTGGCCAACATGATGAAACCCTGGCTCTACTAAAAATACAAAAAAAGTTATCTGGGCATGGTGGTGGGCACCTGTAATCCCAGCTACTTGGGAGGCTAAGGCAGAAGAATTACTTGAACCCAGGAGGCAGAGGTTGCGGTGAACTGAGATCATGTCACTGCCCTTCAGCCTAGGTGACAGAGGGAGACTCTGTCTCAAAAAAAGAAAAAAGACAGAGGATGCCCTCATGCAGAGAGACTCGGGAAGCCCTTGGTTTGGTAGGGAAACGTTTGCAGTGGATTCTGGAAGGGCTGAGGTGATGGGTGAGACACCGAGAGTGTCAACTACACCTTGCCAGGAAGACTACTCCCAGCGTCTCCAGGAATAGGCCATGTCTCCATCTCCTCTGTGCAGTGGCTAGCAATTTTTCTTACCAAAAAATCTGAATTCTTCCCAGAGAAGCCTACTTACTGCCTGAAGGGTAGGAGTTGGTAAAAATGGAGATGAGGACAGATACAGTAACAAACACCAGAGCATTGGTTTGTCTTGAGACGTGGGTCAACCTTTTGTATTCCTTGGTGTCAGGTCATGGACTAAAGCCTCAGGGAGTAGGGTGAGGGCAGCACATACCATTGGTGACTTCCTGAGAAGGGGCCTCAAGAGGCTTATGGTGGCTGGGAGACAGGTCCGCTGGCAGGTGGAAGGGCGCGGGTGGGAAATGACAGCATTTATGACACCCCTCTTTCCTATCACAGTTCCAGTGCTTAATAGCTAGTTAAAATGTTTCTTTGGTGGTGGTTTTACACACTCAAGACACATTTAATGTCATGTAGGTAGTATCTGACAACAAATATTATCATTGTTGTTTTTCGTCCTTTCCCTTTTCCTAGACTGATTTTGAATAAGCCAGATATACAAGCTAGGGAGACAGGAAAATTGGGGTAGCTGTGTCCCTGACTGCAGAGACTTATATGTTGATGTGTCATGCGGCATTTCCTCTGCCCTAATGTGTTGTAATTAAATAAAAAGGTCTTTGCCTCATCTTCAGAGGGCCTCATAATATGTTCCCAAGCAGGTGGTTGCTGCTTTACATAGGATATCACTTGGAGAATTTGAGTAACCTTTTCAGCATTCAGCAGTTGAGGATGTACATCCAGTATTCTGGATGGAATATGAAATCACTAGTGTTTATGTCCTCCTTTTGGAATTGTAATAAGCAGAAGGTAAAAAAGGTACACCTTCTACCCAGCAGAATAATCTACTAATGGCTGGGGAAGTTATTCTGGGATGGTAGAGATCAGCACTAAGGTTTTCAGAATGGAAGGAGTCAGCTGAATTTGTAATTGCCTGAGTCAGAATTTATTACGTGTGTCTGTTTGACCTTCAGGCTGATACAAATTGAAATGGCAGAATTGATCTCCTTCTTAATTTATGACATTGCAAAAAAGGACAACAAACCCCTGATTCCCTGCCTCTCAAAGAAACCTTGCCCGGATTCTCCTCCAAGAGGCATTTTTGTATTCTGAAGAAAATTCTCTTGAATGGTAGCATTAATGTTGGAAATCTTGCCTGTGTTTCTAAAGGTAATCGTGACTTCTGCTAATTTCCAGGAGAATTAAAAAAAGCAAGCCTTATTGCAAAAAGAAAAATCTAGAAGTTGATTTATAATCGTTATGAGAGGGGTTATGAGCTTCAAGGAGAAAGGTGATTGAATTTCTTCAGATTGGGCTTTGAGTCATCCTTTCCTGCAATTAGAAACAAAAAAATGAAGTGGTTATAAAACATGCCTAAGTTAACTATTGGCAGCCTGCAAAGTTGACTTAGTGCTCAGGAATCTTTCATGACTGACTAATGGCACAACCCTTGGTAATGCCTAAAGCGCAAACTTAGCTACTTCTGTGTTTGTTACTATTGGCATAAAGGGAGCGATCTGAAGAGAGGTTTATTTTCCAAATGTACCAACATATCAAGAAAATGTTTATTTTGGATGTCATGTAAGCGAGATACTTGTAAAACTGAAATTTACTCTACAAATGAGAAGCACCATTATTATTACTGGAGACAGACATGGGAAGTATTTGCTAGGCATAGCTGGCCTTGATGATGGATTTGGAATCACCCGAGGCCCAGAACATGTCACAGGAGTGGTGGTGCTGGCAGAGACCATGCAGAGCATTGGACTTTGCTCTCACTGGCTGATTCAGAGTTGGGGTGCACCCCTAGAACAGGAGCTATCCATGGTTGGGCTCCGTTCTATAAGGAATGCTCCTAGATGATCTGCCCAACCAGATACCAGATTCTTGATCATAAAGTTTGGTCAGCTCCATCTGATAAAAGTACATAGCATATAAATACAGCAAAATAAATAGTTGATAATGGCTGAATACACTCAAGCCATATGATGCATGCATTTAACTAATATGAAATCAACCTTTCCCATTAAGCAAAATGGAAGATATTTTTATTATTTGCTAAAAAAAAGATACCCTAATCAAATTACATTTTGGCCTTGATAGTCCCAGAGGAAGGAAGGCCATAGTCGAAATGCAAAGAGAAACAATGTAAGTTACTTCTTGGTTTTTGAACTCCAAGGATCTGTGTCTTGGTGAATTCAAAAATCTGTTGAATAGATTTTCAAGGATAATTTAGGCCACAGTTAATTTTTAGAATCAACCCTCTATAAATGCACATTGTGAGGAAAACTGTTTATAGCAACAAGGGTTTAAGTATAAACATATACATGCCAGCTACCAACATTCTTATTGTATCTAGTTACACCTGCAGCTCAGCCTCACAAACCTCAGGGAATGTGTTTCTCTCCATTTTACCAGGCAAAATGCAAGGCTCTGGTGTTAACCACCCATCTCTCCTCACGGGGCCTTTGACAAAGCCCTCGCTGGTCCTGCTCTAATCTGATTCCTCTTCCTCTTTGTTTTTCTGGATGATTCTGTATTGGTTGAAGCAACCTACATCCCATAGTAAAATTGTGACACTGGTTGCTTCCTTCTGCTTTAGTAAATGCTAAGGTATCTTAGTCATGAGTCTGCAATGACTCAATATTCAGCCCTAAAACACAGCCTTCAGTTTTCATAGTTCTTGAATTCTATTTTGATTCCTAATTTCTCTAACCATACATCCACAAAGTGCTTGAAGGAGGACACTTCTCAGATTCAAATATTCTCTGTAAATATCTCCTGTGAATGCTATTGTGATGAAGTCTTACAAGGCTACCTGATTTTTGGTGGGAAGACGGTAACTTTTGTGCCAAGTGATTGATACCTGAGAACTGAGAACTTCCAACCCTTCTACTTTCTGGTAGTTTCTTATTGGTTCTGTCATTCTTTCTGGTTGCCCAGTGGCAATTGAAATAAACCTATGCATATCGGCTGGGCGCAGTGGCTCACGCCTGTAAACCCAGTACTTTGGGAGGCTGAGGTGGGCAGATCAATTGAGGGCAGGAGTTTGAGATGAGCCTGGCCAACATGATGAAACACTGTCTCTGCTAAAAATACAAAAATTAGCTGGGTATGGTGGCACATGCCTGTAGTCCCAGCTACTCAGGAGGCTGAAGCAGGAGAATTGCTTGAACCCGGGAGGCAGAGGTTGCAGTGAGCTGGATCGCGCCCCTGCACTCCAGCCTAGGCAACAGAGTGAGACTCTGTCCCAAAAATAAATAAATTAATTAAAAAGAAACCTATGTGTGTCACCCTGTGGGTAAGGTGGTTCTGTTTAATTATTCTATTAGGCAGAATAATGCCCCCTCAAAGCTGTCCACATCCTAATCACTAGAACCTGTGACTATGTTACTTTAAATTATCAAGCGGAGTTAGGGTTGCAGATGGAATCAAGGTTGCTAATCAGCTGACCTTACAATAGGAAGATTATTCTGGGTTACTGAGTGAGCCCCATGTAATCACAAGGGTTCCAAAAGCGGATAGAGATGGAGGAAGTGAGCTACCAGCTCAGGGATGCTGACGGTCTCTAGAAGCTTTTCCAGCTTCTAGAGAAATGGCAAGAAATGGATTCTTTCCTGGGCCTTAGGGAAGGAACACAGCCACCACCTGGATTTCAGCTGGCGAGATCCATGTTGGACTGCTAACCTACTCAACTGTAAGATCGTAAATTTACCATGTTGCCAGCTGTTAAGTGTGTGGCAATTTGTTATAGTAGCCAGAGAACACGGATACAATTGTTTTATTTCAAACTGTACTTGGGATTCCTTGGCTTTGGGCAATCTGTACTATAATTTTGTCCTTGTTGTTATTTGATAATGACTATCATTTATTGAACTTTTACCATGGGTATAGTCACTGCTCCAGGTGCCCCACAAAGAGCAATTTCTTGAACCGGTACATCAAGGCTATCAGTACCATCAACATCCCTGTTTTACATGAGAAAACCAAGACTCAGAGAGTGAAGTCACACACAGCTTGATGGTGGTGGAATTACGATTCCACACAAGCTGATTTCAAAAGCCCATCAGGTCCTCCTGACTTCTGTGATAGACTGTTCCTTGCTTTACCAAGTAGAAAGGATGCCCATTTTGCAGATGAGAAAGTTAGAGCCCTGATGAGGTAGTGGTAAAGCCAGAGCGTTTGGTTCCCAGGGTCGGGGTTTTTCAGTGAGTTATCTGCTGGTTGAGAAACACAAATGCTTCCAGTCTGGAGGGACACAGCTTTCTAGCTGCATGTGATAGAAAGGTTGGGATTGGGAAGCAGAGTGAGATTGGAGGAAGAAGGGCATGCAATGGCAGGATGGAAGTCCTAGGCAGCCGGTGGTGAATGGACTTGCTGTCTCTTGCTCTATGACCTATTTTATTTATTTATTTATTTATTATTTATTTATTTACTCCAACTTTTATTTTAGGTTCAAGGGGCACATGTGCAGGTTTGTGATGTGGGTAAATTGTGTGTTGCGGGGGTTTGGTGTACAGATAATATTGTCACCAGGTAATCAGTGTAATGCCTGATAGGTAATTTTTCTTTCTTTCTTTTCTTTTTCTTTTTTTTTTTTTTTTGAGATAGAGTTTCGCTGTTGTCGCCCAGGCTGGAGTGCAGTGGCACCATGTCTGCTCACTGCAACCTCTGCCTCCTGGGTTCAAGTGATTCTCCTGCCTCAGCCTCCCAAGCAGATGGAATTACAGGCACTCGCCACCACGCCTGGCTAATTTTTTGTGTTTTTAGTAGAGATGGGGTTTCGCCATGTTGGGCAGGCTGGTCTTAAACTACTGACCTCAGGTGATCTGCCTGCCTCAGCCTCTCAAAGTGCTGGGATTGCAGGTGTGAGCTGCACCCAGCTGATAGGTAGTTTTTCAATCCTCATCTTCCTCCCACCCTCCACCCTCAAGTAGGCGCCCGTATCTTTTCCCTTTTCTGTGTCTATGACCTACTTTTTTGAGACAGGGTCTTTCTCTATTGCCCAGGCTGGAGTGCAGTGGGGCAAACACAACCCACTGCAGCCTTGACCTCCCAGGCTTAAGTGATCCTCCAGCCTTGGTCCCCCAAATAGCTGGGACTAAAGGCATGCACTACCATGCCCAGCTAATTTTTCTATTTTTTTGTAAAGACAGGGTTTCACTATGTTGCCCCCTGGTCTCGAACTCCTAGGCTCAAGTGATCTGCCTGCCTTGGCCTCCCAAAGTGCTGGGATTTCGGGCGTGAGCCACTGTGCCTGGCTTCTATGACCTATTTTAATAAGAGCAATGTATTTTATCTCCTGAAGCCAAAAGTATGGCTCAATATGGGGGGAGCGTGTACAGTTTGCCAAAAACTGTCATGAACATGGGATAAAAGCAGAAAGACAGCCCTGAAGCTTAGTTCCCACAACCATGGTTCCCTTACTCTTCTGGGCTACAGACCCTTCACAGGCATGGGAACCCCTTCATCCACCTGTTTCCACTCAGCTTTCTAATTTAACAAAGAAAAACCCAACCACTGCACTGAAATCAGCAAACAAATTGTGCTGCTGTTGATGAGAAACCAGTGAGGTTCTCCTTAGCTTTAATTTAAAACTACAAAGTGAAAGCCTTCAATCATGCCTGGAAAAAAATGCAGAATCATTGTCACAAAAAGAAGAAAAAATATCTTAAATAGTTAAGGTGTCTGTTATTTAAAAGACATTTTAAAAGTATCATCTAAAAAGATTTTAAAAATGGGGATTTTTTTCAGCCCCGCATTTGGCCTTCCACCACACTTTAAGAATCTTGCGGCCGGGCACGGTGGCTCACGCCTGTAATCCCAGCACTTTGGGAGGCTGAGGTGGGCGGATCATGAGGTCAGGAGATCGAGACCATCCTGGCTAACATGGTGAAACCCCCGTCTCCACTAAAAATACAAAAAAAAAAAAAAATTAGCCGGGCATGGTGGTGGGCACCTGTAGCCCCAGCTACTCGGGAGGCTGAGGCAGGAGAATGGCGTGAATCTGGGAGCGGGGCTTGCAGTGAGCTGAGAGGTGCCACTGCATTCCAGCCTGGGCAACAGAGCGAGACTCCATCTCAAAAAGCAAAACAAAACAAAACAAAACAAAAAAACCTTGCCGTAGGACATCTGGACACCACCAATTTGTGAAATGAATATGTGGAAGTATGAAAATATGTACTCCATTGTCCCAGGTCATTTAACATTTATTTGTTAGCATGCTGAGCTTTTTTTTTTTTTTTCCTCTTTAGTCATTCCAAGCTTTAGTATTGTCCAAACAAATTAAAATTCATCTCAATAATTTAGATAAATGTGGGTCTCTTCAATGGACCTATGTATATATTGCATAAAAAATGAGACCATTAAAAGACTCCTCTGGCAGCTTAATACAGAAACACAAATATGCACTATAATAATAATATTAATAATATATTGTTTTATGCACCTTTTATTCCAAAGGGTTTCAAAGAGCTGTATCAACTTTACAAATAATGTTTGTGTATACAAGTAATGCATGTATGCATTAACCTTCTAGGTAGTTCCTAATATTATTTGTTCTCCCCCAACCCCCAATTTGGGCCTTAATGTCTTTATGGGTATTCTCCATGTTTATCTGTTGCCTGTCTTCTCCTCTTACCATTTAAGCACCGGGGCCACCAAACTCTTTTGTCTGTGCACTTCCATCAACAAAAAGGGGTGAAAACTGTACCTTTACTATGTGTGTTTGTGTGTGTCTGTGTATGTTACATAAAAATTATTCTTCCATACCGTGGTACTAATATATTGTGTGTGTTGTAAAACATACCTAGAAATGTATAACATTGATTATGCAAAGTTGAAATACAAAACATTTTGCAATATTTCTGATGGCTTCTCATCTTCATTAACTAATCTCTCAAGCCACAGTAAATACCTAGAGAAAAATTTACTGTGAATGATACTGGAGGTAAATAAAATAATGTTCTTGATAATTTCATCATTGTTTTTTAGCCAACCTAAAATTTTTTAAACCTTTCATTTTGAAAAACTTTAAATACACACAAAAGAAGAAAAACTAGTATAATGAAACCCCATGTTTTATCATTCACCTTCAACATTATCTATACTTTTAATCATCGTAATTAGATCATTATTATTTTTATCTGGTAATGTGTCTAATAAAGAGTTCCTAGTAGAAGTGAGGTCTCAGCTCTGCCATTTTCTTTTTGCTCCAAGATTTCGTGGAAGGCATCCTTTTTCTGTTCTTTTCTTTTCTTTTTTTTTTTTTTGAGACAGAATCTTGCTCTGTCGCCCAGTTGCCCAGGCTGGAGTGCAGTGGCACAGTCTCGGCTCACTGCAACCTCCGCTGCCCAATTTCAAGTGATTCTCCTGCCTCAGCCTTCTGAGTAGCTGGGATTATAGACATGCACCACCATGCCTAGCTAATTTTTGTATTTTCAGTAGAGACAGGGTTTCGCCATGTTGGCCAGGCTGATCTCAAACTCCTGACCTCAAGTGATCTGTCTGCCTCCCAAAGTGCTGGGATTATAGGCATGAGCCACCGCACCCAGCCAAGAAGACATCTTTTAAGATACTCTTTGTATTAGTCAGTTCGGGATGCCATAATAAAATACCATAGAGTGGCAGGGTTTAAATAACAGAAATTTATTTCCCATGGTTCTGGAGGCTAGAAGACTAAGATCAGGGTGCCAGCGTGGATAGACTCTGGAGAGGGCCCTCTTCCTGGCTTGTAGATGGCTTCCTTCTCACTGTGTGCTTGCCTGGTTCTTGTTTAGTTCATGCATGGAGATAGGGAGACTGTGAGCCCTCTGGTGTCTCTTCTCACAGAAGCCCTAATTTCATCAGACTAGGCCTCACCCTTATGACTTTGTCTAACCCTAATTACCTTGCCAGGGTCCCATCTCTAAATACCATCATCACATTGGAGATTAGGGCTTCAACATATGAATTTTGGGGTGACTCAGAATTCATATAGATTCAGTCCATAGCACTGGTATAATTTTTGAGAGTTAGTTTATGTAACACTAGAGAAATGAGTGTCAGAGAAATTATACATTCTCTTTGCTGGCACACTTAACGACAATAAGTTACAACATGTTGAAAATGAGCAAATGAGGGAAGGAACCACCACAGCAAACTCCCCAGTTTTCCCTCAGATGCCTGTAATCCTAGACATGCTCTGAGATACACGATCTGCATGAGGCCATCTGTGTCACTGAGTCAGTGAAATATTAAGATAGTCTTTCGTTCTTATTTTTTTAAGAGAAAAATATAGACCACCAGAAGTTTTAGTATTTCCTTTCTGTAACTCTCATATACCATTCTTTTAAGTAACCACATTTCAATAAATTTGTGAAGACCAACCTCTTGTTGGCTGCCAGGTCTTTTGGATAGTATCTGTCTTGGTCAGGTAAACACAGAATTAAAGCATATTGGCTTTGTCTAATTTATGAAAAATATATAACCTTTGTTTCACTTGAAATAAAATGACCATAGTGTTTGGTCTTCTGCCCGTAGAACTGAGCCATATAAAAGGTCTGCATTACATCTGTCTGAGCATATGTAACATCTTGCATGAACTGCAATGTTCATTCAACTCTTATTCATTCACTTATTGAGCATGTGCTGTGTGCCCTGCACTGTTCTTGATGCTTGGGTAATATCAATGAATTACACATAGAACACATATTCTAGTGGAGGGAGGTAGAAAAATGCATAGATCTGTAAATTATGTGGAATATTAGAAAAGGTAAGTGCTATGAAAGAGTAAAAGCAGGCTAAGGAGGAGTGGGGGTGGGGTGGGAGTGGGGCTGAGTTGCAATTTTAATTACAGTAGTCAGGGTAGGTCTCATTGTGAAGGTGAGCTTTGAGCAAATATTTGAAAGATGAGACATTTGGTTATAGGGCTAGATTGTTCTGATCAGAGGGAGCAACTCTTGCAAAGGCCTAAGGAAGGAGTGTACATGGTGTATGTGACCATTAACTTGGGGGCCAGAGTATATGGAGGGTGGGGAGAGAGACACAGAGAGAGTCAGAAAAGTAGCAGGGACCTAGCCTGTGGCCTTCCATGTCATTGTAAGACTTTGGCTTTTACTTGGAGGAAAATGGGGAGCTATTGCAGGCTTTTGAGGGGAGGAGGCATATGATCTGACTTATGCTTTAACAGGATCAGTCTGGTTCCCACGTTGAGACTCAAGAAAGGACAGAAGAGTTCACAGGAAGACTAGGTAGGAGCCCATAACAGGAATCCAGGTGAGAGATGATGGTGGCTCAGACCTAGGTGGGAGCCATGTGTTGTGAGAAGGGGTGAGATTTTGGATATATATCGAAGGTAGAGAATGCTGTTCTTTGATGAATTAGATGAGAAAAATGAGTTAGGAATAACTCCAAGGTTTTTGGCCCGAGTCACTGGAAAGATGGAGTTTGCATCATTTGAGATGGAAAGGTTGCAGTTGGAATGGGTTTTGTGGGGAAGAGCCAAAGTTCAGGTTTGGACATGCTCAGTTTGAGGAGCCCACCAGGTAACCAAGCAACGTTGTTGAATAGGCTGTTGAATATATCAGTCTAAAGTTCCAAAGAAAGAATGAAGCTGGAAATAAAAATTTGGAAATTGTTGGCATAGAGAGCATGTCCTATGTGCCAGATATCATGCTAGGTGCTAGGAATACACGGTGAATAAGATTAACGCGAGGTCTTGTGCAAAGTTTTCCAAACTATGCTTTCCAACCATGGTTCTGCATAGGTTAATGAGTATTCTGAGGGGGGAAAAAAGCTCTATAGTCAAATAAATTGCAGAAATGTTATGTGTCACTCTTTGGATTCATAATGCATATGAACATTTTAAAGGCTTTGAGAAGTTCTGCACTAAAGAAATCTGTTTAAATGCGTTTAACCCAGATTTCCCCAAATTTATTTTTCATTGCGTTTTTAATTCCCTTTTGTAGGCATGTGTATTACCCTCTGAAGATAACAAATTTGGAAATCCTGAACTGGCACAATTGATAATGCAAATAACTAATTATGTTGTGATGTGACAAGGGTCTCAAGTGAGATGTTCACTAAGTTTTATTGAAGACAAATGTAATATATTTCTACTTGGAAAGGCAAGGAGAGGCTTTTATCCATATTTGTTAAACCTCAGAACAACAGACTCATGCCTTATGGATGAGGTCCAAATACAGCCCCAACAATAATAAGTTCTGATTCAGTGGATGAGCCAGAGTAAGTTATATTTCTGTTTCTTTCTCAACTGGAAAATTAAGACAGAAATATTGACCTACACCTCAAGGATACCATAAAAAGCAGCTATCTGTTTTGCAAGCATTGTATTTAATTAAATTGTATTCACTTCTTGGGAAATACATTTGTTAAGAGTAAGTTGTCAATTATTGATTAATAAGCACACTTTACTTAGCCTAATTACCCCTGCATTCATAGCTTTAATTAGCACCCAGAATGAATTAATTAGAGGATAAGGGTGGTAGAGTTTATGGCAGCCCAGTTTAGTTTGATCAGAGAATGGTGCTAGCCTGAGAGATTTTAGAAAACTTGTAAGTTTTGAAGGAGTTGAACTGCATAGAATGCATCACAGGTGGGTTGTAATTGCCTCGTCCTTTTGATATTAATATGTGGAGTACGCACAGAGGGGAGCTGTACTTAGATTCTATTATTGACATCCTCCTAAACATTCCCACCCACAAACTCAATGAGGGATCCCACAAGACTTTGCTCAATTCTTTCTTCCCAGATGATGTGCTAATTTTAAAAAAAATTACTTGCTGAGACGTATGACTTCATTACGTTATGTAACATAGGTTCAGTTGTGACTAAAAGTGCTGAATGGAATGGAAGAAATGGGATGATGGAAGAACAGATTTGGGCAATTAATGATTACATTTGCACCAACAACCATCAGCTTTCATTTTAGGCTTAGTCTCAAAGGTAGTTGTTTCCACCTGTTTTTTTCCCATTGCTTTTTACCCCAATCTTGCTTCGTGTTTCTCACGTTGAGAAATGTCTGACAATCATGCCTTTTAATATATAGGCTTATCTCCTATCCTACCAGTGCAAAATCAGAGATAATAGATTGAACATCTTCGTTTTGTTTTTCTTTCTCTTATTTTAATTAGAATGTGATTTCAAAAAGCATTGCTTGTATTTCCCCATTTTATCTAACACAATATTACTTTTCCTGTTTTGCCTGCAGTGCTTGGTGTGCCTACCTTTATGTCTTCTACAGTTTTGAAACACTTCTAATTTCCACACTGGAATGGCGATGTGTGCTACAGCTCTTAAAAACATCTCCACACTTGAGAAGTTGGGAAGGAATGTACAGACAATTGAATTGTCACGCCATGACCTAGTTTAATGAATCAATATCATTCCGATTACATAATTTCTAATGCAATCTCAAGAAGGAAAAGTGAAAAATTGGAGGCAGAAGATGTCAAGAGGTATCATAATAGAAACTGGAAACTGTCTTCAAGGGAAGTTGGTACATGAATATATATTTGGAAGTGATCAAACCTCCTGGCCACTGGGAGTACCAAAAACTGACTTATCTAACAGTAGATTTCTCAAAGTAGCCCAATGGACTTGCTTTTGAATTTACCAATAATTCTCTCTTTAAGCACCTAACTCAAGATAACTACGATTGAACTCATAATTACTACCGTCATCTCCCATTTTCCTTATCCCTCTTTTCAGTGTTTTTCCCCTTGGTGAATGGAACCAACATCCACTCGGTAGAACAAGACCAAATCCTTTGAGTTACTCTCCAGTGCCTAATGGAAAGACTTACTTCTCCTCCTCTAGATACTGTTCACAGACATTTCTTTGTTTCATTGCCACTGTCCTAGTCCAAGCCACCCTCCTCTCTTGTGTGGACCTCTGCGGCAGCCTACTAATGGTCTCTCTTACATTTTTACCTTCAGTCTGATTCTTGTGCTACAGCTGGAATTAGCATATGCATCAAAATGCCAATCTTTTTTAGAAAGCCTGTAAGCTTCTATTAGCATATGCATCAAAATGCCAATCTTAGGACATGTCCCCCTTTCCCCTGGTAAAACACTTCAGTGGCTCCCTATCACTTTAAAATTCAGCAACAAGTCCTTTTAACAACAGTATACCTCCCCCTGCTCTGGCTTCCTCTCACCCCCACTGCTCCTTTCTCCCTGATCCGCAGCCAGGCTGCTTTCTTTCAGGCCCTTGCACCAACCCTGTTCCCTCTTGTCCTGTGCACATGCTCTTGTCTCTGCCTGTAACCTCTTTCCTCATCTTTGCTCCAATCCTGTGTACCCTTTAGGTTCCAGGTCGATCACCATGTCCTCACTGCAGCTTTTTGACCCCTAGACCAGGTCATTCCTCCCTGCCCATTACATGGTCTTACTCACCTGCCCCTCCTTCACAGCACTTCACTTAATTGTGATTTTATAAGTATTTCTGTGATGACTTAATTCATATTCATCTCTACCACTAGGCTATAATTGCCATGAGTCAAGGGCCATCTGTCTATCCATCATCTATCAATCATCTATCTATCCATCTTCTATCTTTAAAATATATGTATTCAAATTCAGAAATACACATTCAAAAATATATATTCAAAATTATACATCAGTTTTTTTTTAACAGAGATCCTAGCACAAGTAGTAGCTTGATACATATTTGGGAAATTGATAATTTTTAATTTTCTACCTGGTTTACAAAGTTTTCCCAGAATGAACAACTCCACTGTGTCAAAGCAGGAAGCAAACTGCTTCTCTCCCATCTGCTATTTTCTAAGAATTTTTAGTGTAAAACCTAAGACCATTAGTTGGTTTTACTTCAACTTTCTTTTGTCTATATTTTCTCTGCGGTCTTTCTTTGTATTCTCTCCTTTTTTTCTCATTCATGCCTTCTAAATTATGTTAAAATCTCATAAAAGGTGTGCCTTTGGTCTTATTGCTCTCTTTTTGTAGTGTGTATCACTGCAGCCTGAGCAGAAAGGTGCTGTTAAGTGATTAAAAAAAAATTTATGATGGGAATGACAAAAGCATTGTTCCACCAATGTGTTCCACTCTCAATAACTTTACCTCCTCCTGGATACTGAGACAGTATCAGTGGACGTATAATTTCTCTATCATGAGATCAGACTCCAACCATTCCCACCCAATAGCTTCCTTCATATGCCATAGTGTGTGTGTGTGTGTGTGTGTGTGGGCGTTACCAGAGTAGCTTGATTGTGGTAATGACTCATAGGGAGAGTCATTCAGCTTCTCATATCTGAAAAATGATCAATGACTTAATTAACACATTGCTCCTCCAAGTCCCCAGGGGTAAATGTATGCATATGGACAAAATAAACTAATCCATGAAGTCAATGATCATTTCAGTAGATTCATATGGAATTTCACATAATAAGTTGAAAATATGCAATGGCTTATAAACAATGTTCTCTAATGAAACTTTACATTTAAGTTAGCAGGATGAAAAATAAAGTAACATTTGTTTGTTCAGCTGAATCTTTGAGGCAGTTTGGTAGCACCATGAGCACTAGTCCCTGAGTTAGATCTGGGCTTAATTTTTGGTTCCTTGTTTTCTATGCAGTTGATCTTAGGCGAGGGATCTACCTGGACCTCATTTTCCTCTTCAATAAAATTAGAAGCACAATGCCTCTCACACAGGAATGTTTTTATAAAACACAGAACACCGTATTGTTAATGGTGTTATTGCTAAAAAGCAGTCTGAAGGTCGTTTGTCAAAATGTTATAGCCTCCAAGTGTGAGGATGATCTCGGGAATAAAGCGGTCTCAGGAATTTGCCTTTCCTTTAGTAAGATCCAGTAATAATCATGAGGAGTGGCAAAGTGGGTGCATGACTCATTCATTCAGACACATCCAGGAAAGAACCAAATCAGCAAACCAGCCTGTGTGTCTGAGTGCATGTGTGTGCATGTAGGTGTGTGTGTGAGTCTGTGTGTGAATCTATGTGTGAAGACTGCTGATTCCTTCACTTCAATCACTGTCACAAAGTAGGTGTCATAAAAATGAACCCAAATGCTCTCCTAGTTCAGGAAGAAATAAAGGCAGGCAGCTAAAATGAGTCCACAAAAAAGCAGTAATATTGCAGTTAAGTGTTGGAATGAGCAAGACTTCTGCAATTGATTCCCAGTTAGAAAATGAAGACATTCTCTTCTTTCCCTAAATGTGAAAAGATAATTTTCAAAAATCTAAAATCAGGACTCATTCAAATATAGAATGAACAAATATCAAAATGTATTAATTCATTACTAAGGGAACAAGTAAGTTGATAAAACTGCAAGGAACGTTTAAGAAACTGGGGTTTTCACAGATCTTTAGGGAGGGCACACTGAAATCTGGATACTATCCTACAGGGCCATGCAACTATAACCTTTGAGGGCATTTTTTTTTCTACTGAATACAAGTAATTTGCATTTTCACCAGACTAAAATCTACAATTTAGCATATAACATCACAGTGTCTGGGCTCTAATCAATAGTAAACAGAAATGTCAACAGAGGCACATTCTCGTAGAGATTTAACCCCTCCTGGGCCAGTTGAACAATGCTTCAGTGTTTCAGAATGGCATTAAAGAGTTTGTAGCCATCCTCTTAGCTCTGTTTCCAAGTTTGGATACATTTTCTTAACACAAATGGTTGCTTAAATCTAATTTTCTGATTTTTCCAATGTAGGGGAACACATCCAGCAACCTGATAATCCTCTCGTATGCTGGCTCTGAGCAGGAGTTCAGGACTGCATGAGCAACACGGCTGATGTTGAAGCCTTTGGTGGTGTGGCTGGCAGTCATTCTGCCCTGAGCAATGCAGATACTAGAGGGTATCAGGTTGAGCCTTCATTTTAAAGCTGAGGAAACTGAGGCCATAGAGGGAAGTGATTGTCTGGCATATCTTTTCCTGCCTTGTTTTTTAAGGTCCAACTCAAGAATTCTCTTTCTTTTTAAATCGTCTCTGACATCTAATGCCCAAACCCTACCCACCTTAACAGAAAATAGGGCATTCCCACCTCTGTGATCCCATAGAATTGTATTTGTATCTCTACCATCATGTGCGCCATATTGCTTTATACCCATTTGTTTGTTTGCTTATCTCCCTGGCTAGGCTTGGAGTATTTCAGTGTAGGGAGAGTATCATATTCATTTTTGTATGTTAGTGTTGAGTTCTGTGCCTGACATATAATAAATGCTCAATAAGAGTTTATTGATTTGAATTGAAATTGTCTGAGATTCAACAAGTTTAGTGGCAGAGTTGTGAGAGGACCCACCTCTTCTGTATCTCAGACCATCACTCCTTCTATGACATCTCGGTATCCCTAAACACTGCAGCACTGTGTTATCATAAATGAAAGCCTAGTCTCATGGACTGTGTAATAAATGATACAAAGAGGAATTTTGAGCAGATGAAATCTTTCTTTCTTTAAGCTTTCCATTTGCTTTGGTACTCAGGCAAGCAGCACAGAAAGAACAGGAAAGACCCTTCCCCACTTCTCAGTGCCTTAGAGTGGGAGGCCCTCCTGCCTTGCAAGTCTCATGGCCTTGCTAGCGTACATGAGCACGCAGCTCTGGCTTCAGGGCTAATGGCCTTCAGGGAATATACGTGGTATCTGGTGTCTAGGCATAGCTTCTCAGTGAAAGGCAGCTTTTTATCTTTTCTAGAATCCCAATTTTCATAACAATTTTATATATTTCATTCAGCCCTCTATATCCTGCAGATTCCTCATCTGTGGATTCAACCAACTGCAGGTCAAAAATATTTAAGAACACACAGTAGAAATAACAATACAACAATAAATAATAAAAATTTTAAAATACAATATAACAACTATATTACAAAGCATTTATGTTGCATTAAGTATTATAAATAATCTAGAGATAATTGAAAGTATACAGGAGGATGTACCTAGGTTATATGCAAATACAATGCCATTTGATATCTAGGGACATAAGCATCTGAGGATTTTGGTATCCACTGGGGTCCTGGAACAATCCCCCATGGATACCAAGGGAAGACTGTAAAATTATCTGATGAACATGTAGATAATTCTTATTGGAGAAAATCTCAAAACTATTAGAGAAGAGCAGAGCATTAAATCACCTAAAATTTCATAGTTAAAAGCTAACTACTTGTAACACTTTGGTGTAAATTCTTAACATATTGTTCTATACATCTGTATCTATCTATCTGTATGAATTATTTAACCAGATTGTTATCACACAGTCTGTAGTTTTTATAATTTGCATTTTATAACTTAACTATATATATGAGCTTACTGCCCTGTTGGAAAGTAGAGTTGTATATATAATTTGTAATCGCTGCATATCATGTCATGGTCTAGTTGACCATTATTTATTTAGCCATTTAAAAAATATTGTTGGCCATATTGGCTGTTTCTAATTTATGATAATTATAAACAATCTCAAGATAAATATCATTGAGGCTAAATCTTGGCATACAACATTTAAAATAATATTTCTTGTATGGGTATTTTATTATTATTATTATTTGTGTGGTTTTTATTTTTTTGAGACAGGGTCTCGTTCTGCCACCCAGGCTGGAGTGCAGTGGCACAATCATGGCTCACTTCTGCCTAGGCCTCCTGGGCTCAAGGGATCCTCCCACCTCAGCCTGCTGAGCAGCTGGAACTACAGGCACATGCCACTGTGCCAGACTAAGTTTTTTAAACTTTTTGGAAGAGATGGGGTCTCACTATGTTGACCAGGCTGGTCTCCAACTCCTGGGCTCAAGTGGTCCTCCTGTTTCAGCCTCCCAAAGTGCTGGGATTACAGGCATGAGCCACTGGGTATTTGTTTTCTGTTTACAAAATTTAGTTTCCTTATTTCTTGCTTCAGTTCTCTCTACCTTAGTGTCTCACATTTTTCTTTCTCTGAATGCCTTGGCCCAGATGGAGTTAAGAGAAGTAATATGCCTCTCTTTGCTTCCCTGGTCCCATTTGCTGGTTCTCTTTATTTGAAAAGAAGTAACATCAAAATGAATAAGGAGAGATGAAGTCTCTGGTTCACCATGGTTCCTCTGTTCTTTCTTACCTATTTTTCACATTCTCTTCGCCTCCTTCCCTTTTCTTCAATTTAATTCAGGGCTACCCTTCTGAATGGTCAGAAACCTGGAGGACTAGCAAAGCAACATGATAGCCATGGCCAGCAGACAGGCCACATGCCACTGGTGGCCACCATCAAGATATTTCATCTCAATTGATGTTATCTGTGCTTCTTCAAGAAGAAAAAAGACTAAACAATCCAAAATTCCCTAAGAAAGAACCATATGCTTTTAACTGTTAATGAATCATTGAAAACTATTATTTTAAAGATATTCCTGGGAGTGAAATGTTTTCCATGTGTGTGATTGTCCAAGACATCTTGATAGTGCCTGCCATCTGGAATGGTTATTTGGGATCTCTAGCCATGCAACTTTCACAACTCTTTGTAACATCTCCAGAAACCATGCTTGTCTTGAAATGCTCATTTCTCTGAATTTGAATTAACAACGTAACAGCTGAGAACATGGTTGATTGGAGAGGACAGCAGATGAGAGTTCTGCTCTGTCTGGGTGTCCTGATGTCAGGTGTGACAGCAAAACTGTCCTGTCACCTTCTTTTCTCCTCTTCTGTTCTGCACGGTTGGCTTGTTGTGTGCACAAGGCCCTCCTCCTTTCAGAAGGCATTGCTCTGACATCATGTATAGGACCAGCAATGTCAAATTCATGCAGTTGTGAAAGATTAGAACTGAGAGAAGAGTAGGGGTGAGGTGGTGGGGAAACCATCACGCGTGATTACTAGCTTCCTCATACATATTTCATTAAACTGCAGGTTGGTGGTCTTCCCTGCTTTTCCTTTCTGCTGACCCTCCTTGGAAGGTGAAGAAAGGTTGTGCATGTGTGTGTGTGTGTGTGTGTGTGTGTGTCTGAGACAGGATTATTACAAAAGGGATTCTGTCTTAGAGTTGGCTGAAGGCACACAACAATTGGTGTCAACACATTCACATTCCAAAGCCAGGTGCTCTCTCAGCCTCCTAAGCTGACATTTAGGTACTGATATAGAGACCACTGACTCCCATCTACAAGAAGTTGGAGATGCCACAAAAGAGGTTGAAGATGAGGTCAAGAATTTCTTTGGAGAGAGAACTTTGTGTTGGATCCCATTCCCACCCCTCATGGAGGAGCACTGGGGGTGTTCCTCTCTTTCCTAGTGGCCTGGGTTTCAAGAGACCATTGGAGACCTTGGTCTGGTGGGGGATAGTGTTGATTCATGATAGCTCATACAGTCTGTGTGAATTAGTCTGTTTTCATGCTGCTGATAAAAACATACCCAAGACTGGGCAATTTACAAAGGGAAGAGGTGTAATTGGACTCAGTTCCTTGTGACTGGGAAGACCTCACAATCATGGCAGAAGGCAAGGAGGAGCAAGTCACGTCTTACATGGATGGCAGCAGGCAAAAAGAGAGCTTGTGTGGGAAACTCCCATTTTTAAAACTGTCAGATCTCATGAGACCCATTCACTATCACAAGAACAGCATAGGAAAGACCCACCTCCATGATTCAATGATCCCCCACCAGGTCCCTCCCACAACATGTGGGAATTATGGGAGTTACAAATGAGATTTGGGTAGGGACACAGAGCCAAACCATATCACTGTGTTAGTAGAGTGGAAGCTCCCATTAAGCAGTGGGAACCCCAGAGTGAGAGGTAGTGTGGAGGTGACTGGCAGTGAAAACATGATGTCATCCTGACAGAGACCTATGGGTAGGGGAGTCCAGTGAATGATTATCCCCAAACCAACAAAGCACCCTATGTGAGGGTAATTCCCACAGCCAGAAAATGCTGCCACAAGATCAGTCAGTGACATCAGAATTTTCCTCTCTTTACTTCTCCCCATCCTCTTCCCACCTTCACCCTTCCCACCCCCAAAGGGTTAGAAGCAGCTTGGTAGGTGGAGGGTTTGCACAGAATGTAAGTGAGGGAAATCAAGAAGCTGACCGTGAGCTCCTGCCCCATAAGCTTTCTGCCTGAAGCAGGCCTAGATTGGAAAAGGAAGAAGCTTAATTTACAAGTGAAGTTTAGCATTTGATTATTACGTTGGACTGGATATCTAAATACTGAAATGAGATAGATTGGGAGATTAAAGTGACAGAGATTGTTTTATTACCCAAGGGGAGCAGATAAGCCCTGATACCTGCTGGAGATTATTTCTAGGGCAGAGAAAGAAGTAGCCATAGAGCAGGTTTGATCAGGCAGTGGGAAAAATAAAGCTGCCTTATGATTTGATAATATGCGTCTTACTCTTTCAACATCCAAGTTAACTTTATTTGTCTGAAAAAAATTGTAGCCTTAAATAGACACTAACATGCTTATTTTTCATTATGAAAGGGCCATAACTTTTGTACCTTCCCTGCTACAGAGTCCAAGAATTACTCAGGTTATAATAAATATAAGAAATCTTGACAGGCTGGGCGCTGTGGCTCACGCCTGTAATCCCAGCACTTTGGGAGGCCAAGGCGGGCGGATCACGAGGTCAGGAGATCGAGACCATCCTAACACAGTGAAACCCCGTTTCTACTAAAAATGCAAAAAAAATTAGCCAGGCGTGGTGGCAGGCGCCTGTAGTCCCAGCTACTTGGGAGGCTGAGGCAGGAGAATGGCATGAACCCGAGAGGCAGAGCTTGCAGTGAACCGAGATCACACCACTGCACTCCAGCCTGGGAAACAGAGCGAGACTCCATCTCAAAAAAAAAAAAAAAAAAGAAATCTTGACAAAAATCTATCAATCACAACACTGTATACACATAAGAACATACTTGTTTTTATTATTGGGAAACTCCTCCAATATAAAATTAGAGTCCAACCATCCCTGAATGACAAAGCTACTGGATAGGCCTACCGCTTATTATCAAATATTTAATACCAAATGTTCTTTTCTTCTATTATAAGGAAATGACCCAAAGCAATTATTCTTGTGTGAGGCAGTGTATTGATTGGCTAATTACTGTTGTATGACAAACTCAATGACCTAAAGCAACAAGCTTTTATTTTCGGCCAGGGTGAGTGGACCTAGCCTGGCCTTGACTGGGTGGCTGGGTGGCTCTATGCTGGGCTGGCTCTCATGCCTGTGGCTTGGTGAGGGGTCAGCTCATCTTGGCAGGGCTCAGCTGGCCAGCTCTCCTTCTCAGGGTAGGTCTAGGGGAGAGATGGCGCAGTTCTGCCTCAGGCTGCCATGATAGGGGCAGTTCTGCTCCATTGTTCCATCTTCCTCCTGGGACCAGTGGGCTATCACAGGCATGTTCTCATGGCAATAGCAAAGGCACCAGATGACACATGGAAAAATGTGCGAGGTCTCTTATGACCTGGGCTCAAAACTGGTACATTGCCACTTCTGGTCCCATGCCCTTGACCAGAGCTAGTCACATGTCCAAGTCCAAAGTCAAGGGGCAGGGATAGATGCTTCATCTACGATGGGAGCAAATGTAGAGATGCAGCAAGTGATAAAGAACGGGGGACCCAAAATACAATCACCATCAACAGAGCTCTGGGAAACGATGAAGACCAGGGACTCAGCATTGCGTGCTGGAGACAAGCGAACACCTCTTATTTCTGTGTTGCCTGTCCCTTTATTGCAGATCTGCCTTGGGCGTAGTAGGTCTCAAAAGCATTGAGGGAGGGAGGAGACTTGGTGAACTGCCCATGGGGTGGGAGTTATCTTGGGGGAATGTTCTTAGCAGGGAGCTGAGGAAACTGCATCCCATCCTCTACTAACTCTTCTGAGGAGAATAACCTTGGAAAACTGAAGGGATCATGTCAGCCAGTAAGGGCCAAGAACAGCTGGTTGAGTCCACTGAAGGAAAGCAAAAGGGGAAATTATAATAATAATAATAATTATTATTGTTGAGACAGAGTCTTGCTCTGTCACCAGGCTGGAGTGCCGTGGTGTGATCTTGGCTCACTGCAACCTCCACCTCCTCGGTTCAAGTGATTCTCCTGCCTCAGCCTCCTGAATAGCTGGGACTACAGGTGCATGCCACCACGCCCAGCTAATTTTTGTATTTTTAGTAAAGACAGGGTTTCACCGTGTTGGCCAGGATGGTCTCCATCTCCTGACCTCATGAACTGCCTGCCTCGGCCTCCCAAAGTGTTGGGATTACAGGGGTGAGCCACTGCACCTGGCCAGAGGAAACTATTATTTTTGAATACCTACTATATTCCAGGAACTATGGTAGATGTTTTTGTGGAGCATCTGATTTCATCTTCACCGAAACTACACTGTATGGTAGTCATTGATATTCCCATTTAATAAATGAGGAAACTGACGCAAAAAGAAGCGAGTCACCTCCCCAAGGTCACATCATTAGTACGTGACTGAGGCAAATGAAGTTGGTAATCTGTGCTACATTCACTGCTGCAATTAAGGCCTGAGATGAGGGATCTGGTATAGAAAGGGGTCCTCAGTGTCTCCAGAGCTATGGGCTCACCTTCTTGTGCTACTTCCCACATTCTTGCTGAGATCCAGGGGTAAAAAAAAGTGCACAGAGGGAGACAGGGAAGGCACATGTGTATTGAGTGCCTTCTCAAGATGAGGCATGTAACGGGGGCTGGTTAGATCATGTAGCTGAGGCTTATATGTAACACTTCCAGAAATATCTAGCTTTCTAATCGTTATGAAATCTCTCTTCGTTCTCCCTGAATGAAAACTTGAATCTGTACCTGGTTTATTTTTCAGGAAGAGAGTAACTTTCCCTTTTCAAAATCCCAGACATCTTGACGTGATTTCTGCCTATGGCAGGACTGGAGGCAGGCTCCCCTTGTGCAGCACCCTTCATTATTTTCCAAGAAATAAAAACACGGACTCTTCATCTCACTGTCATCTTTCATAGGCCCAATGCAGGACACTGTCACCATGGCAACTGCAGCAGAATTTAGGATATAGAGGATATTTAGGCCTTGCTTCATCTTTGACCAAAAGTTATGCCATGTGACTGTTACAGTATTGTAACTGGCTAACTGTCTTCCCCCCTCACAGTTAAAAGCATTTGGGTGAATCGCTTTCTCTTTTTGGATACTTGCCACTCACACTTGCTACCTAGTTTCACATTTAACTCACCAATCAGGAAGCAATTTTTCAAATGTTTGATTGCCAGGCCAGCAGCAGAGGACAACATATATGTGTCTTCTGTTGTGGGCTGTTTTCCGTCTCTTCTCACTGACCTCTCCCAAAGTCTTCCCTACCACCTTCTCCAAGACAAACTCTGAAATATCAGTCACATATAGGACTTCAAATGTCAGTGACTGAATTGAGTTATCTTTGAAGGATTTCTCAAAATAATTTTCTTAAGCTATGTTAATTTTATCTTTGGGGCAACCATGGGAAATTTGAATGTGAATTGGGTATTTGATGTAGTGAAAATTAATTGACACTAAAGTGGTGATCATTAAGATCTGGTAGCATATACACTAAAATGTTAGTAGTATTAATCTCTGTTTATGAGGATATGGTGTATTTGTTTTCACATTTTTGCTTCATTTTTTTTTTTTACAAGGAACATCTACTACTGCTTTGTAATTATAAATATTAAAAAAGAAAATGTCAGTGTCCGTTTTTAATGCTATTAAAATTTCAAACCAGTTAAAGTTTGTGGCAAAAAAAATTAACAAAGGAGTGAGTTAAAATTCTGCTTTCTTTTCACACTGCACTTGCATCCCCAGAAATTCTGATCTGTAACCTCTACAGAATCACTTTTGAATATATGAAAAGGGAAAAACAAAGGAGATGGTAGAAATAGATTCTCTTCCATAGATTGTTATCTTTCCTTCCAGCCAAGAGCCTAAGATGCTCTAAGTCCATGAGAGGATGAACAGTGAATCCACATCCACATCCTCTAAAGGGCCCCACCTTCCACCAATCTGGCTTATTGCCCAGTTGGGCCCTTAGCAAGGAAAAATGTCTTGAAATCTTGCTCCTGAAAGTGTCCTCTGAGAACCAGCAGCATCAGCATCACCTGGGAGCTTATTAACAAAGCAGAAACTCAGGCCCCACCCAGACCTGCTAAATCAGACCTCGCATTTGGCAAGATTGAAAGGAGACTCAAGGGAATATTAAAAGTTGAGAAACACTGCTTTCTATACCACCTCTGGGCTCAAGGATGTTTTTTATTTCCCACTAACTGGGTACCCAGGAATTCTTGACTACAGCTCGTACCTCATCAGATACATAGAATGCCCTGTGAATGGGTATGTTTTCAACGAAGTCCAGAACATTGAAAAAATGGTTTGGGCCAGTCTTTGGTTCTCTGGTCCTGCAACCAGCACTTGTTCCTTTTTAGCGTTGCATTGCTCTGTTGCTTCTGTTACAAGTACTTCTTTGTACTAGTTATCAGTTGCTGCATTCCAAATTACTCCACAACGTAGTCATTGAGCACAACAACAAGCATTTGTTATCTTGCAGCTTCTGTGGGTCGGGAAAGCCCAATACAGCTTAGCTGACTGGGTGCCTCTGACTCAAGGTCTAGGGTTGTCAGATTTAGCAAATTAAAATACAGGATGTCCAGTTAAATTTGAATTTCAGGCTGGGCATGGTGGCTCATGTTTGTAACCCCAGCACTTTGTGAGGCTGAAACAGGAGAATTGCTGGAGCTCAGGAGTTGGAGACAAGCCTGGGCAACAGGGTGAGACTCCTGTCTCTACAAAAAAAAATAATAATTAGCTGGGCATGGTGGCTCATGCCCGTAGTCCCAGTTACTCTGGAGGCTGAGGCAGGAGTATCCTTTGGGTTCAGGGGGTGTAAACTGCAGTGAGCCATGATCATTCCACTGTGAGTTTAGGATAAATAATGGATAATGTTTAAGTCCTATTTAATATTTGAGACATTTCTAACAAAAAATTATTTGTTGCAGCCCTGTCAAGGTCTCTCATGAGGTTACAGTTAAGCCGTCAACCAGGACTCTAGTCATCTCAAAGGTCTATGTGATAGTTAATTTTATGGGTCAACTTGGCCAGAGCATGGAGTACGCAGACATGTGGTCAAACATTATTCTGGATGTTTCTGTGAGGGTATTTTGGGCTGAGATTAACATTGGAATCAGTAGACTGAGGAAAGCAGATTGCACTGTCTATCACAGATGGCTCTCATCCCATCAGTGGTGACATGGTTTGGCTGTATCCTCACCTAACTCTCATCATGAATTGTATAATAGTTCCCAGAATCCCCATGTGTCATGGGAGGGAAACAGTGGGAGATAATTGAATCATGGGGGCGGTTACCTTCATGTTGCTCTTGTGATAATGAGTTCTCACGGGATCTGATGGTTTTATAAGGGGCTTTTTCCCCTTTTACTCAGCACTTCTTCTTGCCACCATGTGAAGAGGGCGTGTTTGCTTCCCCTTCCATCATGATTGTAAGTTTCCTGAGGCCTCCTCAGCCCTGTGGAACTGTGAGTCAATTAAACCTCTTTCCTTTTAAATTACTCAGTCTCAGCCTATTCTGGAAGGCCCATCCATGAAAAGATAAGAGAGAGCACACACCCAGTATGGAAACCAGTCTTCTTACAACCTAAACTTGGAAGTGATATCCCACACTCCAATTCTTTCCTTTTAAATTACTCAGTCTCAGGCAGTTCTTGATAGCAGTGTGAGAACTGACAAAAACAAGCGGGAAGGCTGAAGAGAACAAAACGGCTGTCCCTCTTGCAATTAAGGCAGAACTCCTCCTGCCTGACTACCTTGAGCTGGGACATCATATTTTTTCCTGCCTTCAGATTTGAATTGAAATACTGACTATTCTTGGGTTTTGAACCTGCTGGCTTTCAGACTAGAACTACACCATTGGCTCTCCTGGGTCTCAGGCCTTAGGACTTGGGCTGGAACTACACAATTGGCTGTCCTGGGTCTTAAGCCTTAAGACTTGGACTGGAACTATACTTCTGGCTCTCCTGGTTCCTGGATCTCTAGCTGGCCTACTGCAGATCTTCGGACTTCTCAGCTTCCATAGCTGCATAAGCCAATTGCTTATCATAAATCTGTGTATATACTCTATTGATTCAGTTTCTCTGGAGAACCCTGACTCATAGAATCTGGCACATGGTTGTTGGCTTTGGGCACTTGCCATGTGTGTCTCTTCCCAGGAATATTTCCTGACATGGCAGTTAGCCTATTCTGGAAGGGCCATCCATGAAAAGATAAGAGAGGGCACACACCCAGCATGGAAACCAGTCTTCTTACAACCTAAACTTGGAAGTGATATCCCGCACCCCAATACTTCTGCCACATTCTAATCACAAGTCAGTGTGTCCAGCTTTCACACAAAGGGAGGAGATTACCCAAAGATGTGAAAATCAGGAAGTAGGAATTATTGGAGGCTGTATTAGAGACTGCCTACCATATCCTTACTTCTTCCCAACAGCATGGAATTATGGGTTGGAAGGGACACAGGCACTCTCATTTGTTATGTATATTTGAGCAGCTTATAAAACTTGCAAGAAGGTAGCAGAGAAGTTTGAACGTTGCTCAAAAGATGACAGTCATTCCAATGAAGACAAGACAAAGAACTCTGAAAAACGTGGATTCAGAAATTAAGCTAGTGGGAGGCCCTCTAAGTCCTGTTGGTTCCCTGCCTAGGGACCTGCTGCACCGCCACTCATGTCCTGACTCAACCACCAAGACTTCTGCTGAGTTTCACTGGGAGGCTGTGATAGACCCCCTGGTCTTCTCAATTCTGTCAAACTTACATGCTAGCGTTGAAAGGGAAATGTCCCAAGAGTATTTTATTTCACACTTTGAAAACAAGATGTCTTTAGACAGTGGAGGAAACAGAGTAGGATTGGGGCAGAAGATGTATTCTAGAAAAAACCATCCAGAAGAATCCTTCTTTTAAACTAGCTTTCCAGAGCTCTTTCCCACAGAGAGAACAGGGACTGTTTTCCTTCTACGTGCCTTGTTTTTCTCTCTCTGCTCATAAAGAGAGGGGTCACAGATGTTGCTGTGCCATAAGCCAGCCTAATTCTGAATCCAATCATGCTTAGAGCATTTTATGATAGGAGAAAGTGGGATCAAATATAAAGGGAGAAATAAAATGTAGTAATAAAAGGCTTTGAGCCAAAAGCACCATTAAAATAAGAGCATGAAATAAACTACATTTAACCATCTTAAGGTCTTTTTGTTTCTGTTGTGTGTGCTTTCTGTTTTCTTTTTCTTTTTTTTAAATAACTATGCTATGCAAACATTAAGAAAATTATTTGCACAGAACTCAGCTTCATTTGAAGCAGCTATGTAGAGCCAACTCCTAATAATTATAAGGCAATCTCACAAAATAAAGCTAATTCCATGGCAGCCTATCAATTTAAATTTTTGTGAAACAAAATGTCTTTCCAAAGTTTCCATTAAGCATGGGCTGGCCTTGTAAGCATATATGTATTTGATTTAAAACAATAGAGTAGAAATTGAACTAAGTGGTTTTTACATTGAATTCTCCCAGCATTTTGTACATTGTATAATATCATCTGTATCCCAAAAGTAGGCTACTTATTTAAGTTTCATAGGATGAAATTGGAAACGGGTTCACTGTGGTGATATCCTCAGTGACCAGAGAATTTTCCTTTTATTTATATTACAAAATTTGGATAACATCCCTTGTTTAAATGTATTACAGAAACAATGCTTATTGAGGACTTCTCTTCTAACTCCTAGTGATTCCTGTCAGAAAAAAAAAAAGAAATTCCTTGTGGAGTTTAAGTGCTATTGCATACTTGGTTAGGCTGAGTACACTGGCCTTGGCATTTTCAAAAGGGGCAAGGAAAAAAATGTGGGTTTTGTTTTTTTAATAGAGTTATATACAACTTATGTTTTCCTCTCAGGATAGCTTCCAACCAATTTAGCATTTATAAAAAAAGATTAAGCATTGAGTTTAAATATATTTATCATGTTGAAGCACTGTCTTAGGAAAAACAGAAGAAAGAGGCTGGGCGTGGTGGCTCATGCCTATAATCCCAGCACTTTGGGAGGCTGAGGTGGGCAGACATGAGATCAGGAGTTCAAGACCAGCCTGGCCAACATGGGGAAGCCCCGTCTCTACTAAAAATACAAAAATTAGCCAGGTGTGGTGCTGAGCACCTGTAGTTCCAGCTACTGGGGAGGCTGAAGCAGGAGAATTGCTTGAACCCAGGAGGCAGACCTTGCAGTGAGCCAAGACTGTGCCACTGCACTCCAGCCCGGGTGACAGTGCAAGACTCCATCTCACAAAAAAAAAGAAGAAAGAGATGGATATGATGCCATCTCTGCCCTCGAGGAAGCCTTCCACGTGATAGTGGGGATCAGGCAAATGCACCAGGCTGTGGTGATTGTTGTCTTTCTTGGTATCATCATCTATGTTCCAGGGTCTGTTTCTGGTGCTTTATGTGAAATAACTCATTTAATTTCTATAACAGCCATGTGAAGCAAGTTTCATTACCATCCTCATTTTAGGGATAAGGTAACCAAGGCTAACAGAGATGTTAAGAACTCTTCCCAAGATGAAATACCCGGATGGTGGTATGGACAGTGTTATGGGCTCAGTTGTGTCCTTCCTCCTCTCTCTGTATCCATATGCCGAAGTCCTAATCCCAGGACCTTGGAAAATGACTCTATTTGGATATTGAATCTTTAAAGAGGTAATTAAATTAAAATGAGGTCATTAACATGGGCCCCAATCCAATGACTGGTCTCCTTATAACAAGAGGAAATTAGGACACAGATAGGTACAGAGAGAAGAACATGTGAAGACACAGAAAGAGGATGACCTTCTACAAGCCAAGCAGGGAGGCCTCAGAAAAAAACCAACCCTGCTGACACCTTGATATTGGCCTTCTAGACTCCAGAATTATGAGTGGCCGGACGTGGTGGCTCACACCTGTAATTGCAGAACTTTGGGAGGCTGAGGCTCATGGATCACCTGAGGTCAGGAGATCGAGACCAGCCTGGTCAGGAGTTCACGAGTTAGTGAAACCTCGTCTCTACTAAAAATACAAAAATTAGCCGGGCATGGCGATGAACACCTGTAGTCCCAGCTACTGAGGCGGGGGTGCGGGGGCTGAAGCAGGAGAATCGCTTGAACCCTGGAGGCGGAGGTTGCAGTGAGCCGAGATCACACCATTGAACTCCAGCCTGGGCGACAAGAGGGAAACTCCGTCTAAAAAATAAAAATAAAAACAAGGAAATAAGTTTCTGTTGTTGAAGCCACCCATCTGTGTTATGTCAGCCTCAGCAAACTCACACAGACAGGATTCAGACACAGACTGGCTGGTGTGAGAGTTCTTTACCATCCTGTGCTTGGCTCTGTTGCCTCCTTTAACTTAAGAGCAACACAGGAGAGATGCAAGCATGTGGCAATGAGATGCAAAAGATGCAGCAATTGCCTCTTTTGTTTGGGGGAAGAAAAAGGCTCCTATGTGAAGAAGCCTTGCCTTGATATGGTCCTTGCAAGTGAGAAGAATTTGGACAGATTTTAACAGCTGGGAAAAGGCATTTCACAGGCCACAAACGGAAGAAACAAGAGTGCTGTGGTTGGAAAGCTTGAGGCAAACTCATCACACCAGGAGCTGACCTGGCCTGGATAGTGTTGAGTACATGCAGGTGTCTAGATCTGGGGGTCTCAAACTTTTTTGCGTATGTGGCATGTAACTTTTTAGCAATAGGATGAATTCCGTGAATGCTTATGTAGATTAATGTTTTTAATTACATAAAAAATACAAAAAATTGTTTAATAGCAGTCGTCAAAATAAATATTAAAAAATTAGGGTATGTAATAAATAATACATGTGCTTCTTTATTAATGTATTAGAATCCTAAATCTAGTGGCAGGTCTAAGAACTCTCATAATTTTGAAGTAGTACTTAACACATTTGATCTTTTGAGATGTCTGCCATACCTGCAGTGCAATTGGAAAACATCTTTAATTTCTACCGATAGCAAAATCATAGGCACTACAATTAATTATGTGCTTTGCAGCCTACATTCACAAAGAAAAGAAATGCTAAAGTTCAGTTAGAGGTTAGTAGAAATAAAGATTTACTTTTTCCATCTAAATTCACAGACCCCTGGCACAAAGCAATAGTTTTTCATCTCTTTGGGTTTCTTTACTCTTTCTGGAATCTGATGTTAGTTGTAGATTTTCCTGCCTCTCACCTATACAAGAAAAAAGAAAGCCCATGTAAGTCCATGGAGGGTTTTCAGAAGAAAAGAATGCAATTGAGGATGTGATCTCAGAAGACTTATAATAAATGATTTCTTTAAAAGTGAAATACTCTGTTTTTAATGGTTCCTTAATTTAGTTTTTACAAATGTATGAATCTTCTAAATACCTGTAAAATCTGAATAATGCATTTTGCATGTGATTTCTTAGTAATGCAATGTTATTGCTTACAAACTTTGTGAGGGGAATCAATAGTCAAAGAAGCTCTGGCAGGGCCTGCAGCAAAGGCATTGGAGACCACCGTATTTCAGGTATTGTGTGCATGGCAAGGGCTGAGCACAGAGCCATTGATCAACTGCCAAGCATTCAATCCAATTTATTTGTTGAAATGGCCGAACAACTAGGCAAGTGCCACTACAAATGCTTAACCACAGAGCTGGTGTAACCACTCATCCATCAATTGATTTTTTTTAGCCCTTATGACAGCTGGGAAACTTAAGAATAATCTCCCAAGAGTTCATTCATTGCCATTCCTCAGACTTGGCTGCTCCGAGGAGCAGGGGCCCTTCCTTTTCTGCCTGGTGCCAACTGCAGTGGTTCTTAGGACTCAGAGCGACCCTCCTGGAGGGAGCCCCTCACAGTCTCTGAGGGATGCGATGGTCCGTAAGATATCTCGATGCAGCAGCCATAACTCAAAACTCAGCCCCCGACGGCTCAGCCGTCCACAGCACTCATGGTCAAGGCAACAGTCCTATACAAGTCAGCCAAATCCTTGACTTGCAGTCTGAAAAAGCCACATGGGGATTCACAGGAGCTCATGCAGGCAGCCCTGGCTTCTGTCGACTTCCGGCACGCCCTGGAGCGGTTTTTTTTTTTTTTTTTAACTTTTCTTTTTTTTTTTATTATACTTTAAGTTTTAGGGTACATGTGCACATTGTGCAGGTTAGTTACATATGTATACATGTGCCATGCTGGTGCGCTGCACCCACTAACTCGTCATCTAGCATTAGGTATATCTCCCAATGCTATCCCTCCCCCCTCCCCCCACCCCACCACAGTCCCCAGAGTGTGATATTCCCCTTCCTGTGTCCATGTGATCTCATTGTTCAATTCCCACCTATGAGTGAGAATATGCGGTGTTTGGTTTTTTGTTCTTGCGATAGTTTACTGAGAATGATGGTTTCCAGTTTCATCCATGTCCCTACAAAGGACATGAACTCATCATTTTTTATGGCTGCATAGTATTCCATGGTGTATATGTGCCACATTTTCTTAATCCAGTCTATCATTGTTGGACATTTGGGTTGGTTCCAAGTCTTTGCTATTGTGAATAATGCCGCAATAAACATACGTGTGCAATTTTCGCAACCTACTCATCTGACAAAGGGCTAATATCCAGAATCTACAATGAACTCAAACAAATTTACAAGAATAAAACAAACAACCCCATCAAAAAGTGGGCAAAGGACATGAACAGACAATTCTCAAAAGAAGACATTTATGCAGCCAAAAAACACATGAAAAAATGCTCATCATCACTGGCCATCAGAGAAATGCAAATCAAAACCACTATGAGATATCATCTCACACCAGTTAGAATGGCAATCATTAAAAAGTCAGGAAACAACAGGTGCTGGAGAGGATGTGGAGAAATAGGAACACTTTTACACTGTTGGTGGGACTGTAAACTAGTTCAACCATTGTGGAAGTCAGTGTGGCGATTCCTCAGGGATCTAGAACTAGAAATACCATTTGACCCAGCCATCCCATTACTGGGTATATACCCAAATGACTATAAATCATGCTGCTATAAAGACACATGGAGCGGTTCTTTTACATTGTCTTCACCATCACCTACCAAACCTCTCTCAACTTTTAGGCCTGTTCTGCTTCTATCGCCTTCTTCCATTCTCTCCATTTCTTTGTTTTTTGTTTGTTTCTCACTGACACATAATAATAGTACCTATTTATGGGGTACGATGTAATGTTTTGATCCATATATTCATTGTGTAATGATCAAATCAGGGTAATTAGCATATCCATTACCTTGTGCACTCGTGATTTCTTTGTGGTAACAACATTCAAATTTCTCTCTTCTAGCTATTTGGAAGTATATAGTACATTACTGTTGACTGCAGTGACCCTAATGTGCAATGCAACACCAGAAATTATTCCTCCTAACTGTAACTTTGTACCTGTTGACAAACTCTCCCAATCCACCTCCCCACTACTTTCCCCAGCCTCTGGTAACCATTACATATCCAAAGAAAATGAAATCAGTATGTCAAAGAGATATTTGCACACCTACATTATTGCAGCACTGTTCACAATAGCCAAGATATGGAATCAACCTAAGTGTCTATCAACAGATCAACAGATAAAATGTGGTATAGATACACAATGGAATACTATTCAGCTGTAAAAAAAAGAAGGAAATATTGTCATTTGTGACAACACGTATGAACCTAGAGGACATTATGATAGGAGGTATAAGCCAGGCACAGCAGAACAAATACCACATGTGGAATCAAAAATGTTGATTTTAATCTTTACTATGTAGGTTGACAGACTTTCTCCAGCAGGGAGGAATTCTTCCTCTTTCGAAGTGGGGTGGAAAGAGGAGAGATGAAATCTGTGCTGGCAGTTGCAGTGCTCCCTTTGGAGGGCTGGGTAATGAGGAAGGCTGGGAACAATCCCACAGTAGTCATTTTTGCCCTTGTTTCATAGTCAAAGACCTTCAGTCTTCATGTGGTCAAAGTTGAACAAAGCCTTGGGAGCCATCATTTTAAAGGTGATCATAGAGAGGACTCAAGAGAGGTAAAATGACTTACCTGACTCTTGTGACGAAGAATTTGAACTGGTTTGAGTCAGAAAGGGGAATGTGTTGGCTTTTGTAACTAAAAAGCCTGAGCATGTCTCCTCTTCAAGAATAGCTCGATCTAGGTATTCACATGATATTATTACCAGGATAGTTTGTTTCATCTTTCTGTTCTCCGTTGCCCCTATTTTCTGGGCAGCTTCTTCCTAACTGCTGGCAAAGTGGGTCAGAAACAGCTCCAGGTTACAATCTCAGCAGAAAGAGTGTGGTTCCCCCTTCGTAGTTCCAGGTAAAGTCTGAGAGCCCAGAGTAGGCCACATGGCCATCCCTGATGCAATCTCTATGACTGTCACTGGCTGTGACTAATTCTTGCTTTATTCCCTGGAACTGGGATGGACTGAAAGTGTGTGCACTGGGGAGAGAGTGGTGGGTTCCCAAGGAAGCCTACATGTTATTACCACACAAAGGGTTCAAAGGATATTTGGCAGTAAGGAAAAGAAAAAAAAAAAAAAGCCCAACATCCTGCAGGCCAGTTGCTGGTATTGGATTACAACCAGAACAAGATGGCACCAACACCCCCCAGTGCAGTTTGTTACTGTCTTGCTGTGGTCCCTGATGGATGAGTCGGCTGAAGTACCAAGGACTTACGTGGAACTCAGGATTGCCCCTTCCAAATACTAAACCTCTGAGTTAGCTTCTTGCTGAGTTAGTTGAAAACCTGAAGTCCCCCTGTTCTCAACTATAGGACATTGCCGTCTGCCTGGGACCTATTTCCTGCCTAATTCTTTCTGGCCCCATCTTCCATGTCTTAGGCCTTTCTTTGGTGTTTCTTGGACGTGATGCTTATGCTGTTTAACACCCTGCCTGTTCCACACTGCACTTCTGAAACAGTTTCACCAGGCCTGTTTGATTCATTTTCCCTGTATTTTGACATCTTTCTGCAATTGGATTAGTTTTCCTGCACCTTTGTTTGGACCAAAATGTAATTTATCAAGTTTTGTTCTCCCCACATTGCCCTCATGTGGCTTTCTACCCCTCTGACGTTATTCCTAGTGCCTCATGCCAGGGTTCTGGTACACATCTGGGAGCCAATGCCAACATTACTCTGCTACAAACAGAACTCATTCATTCAATAAACACAACCAGTTTTGCTTTAGAGTTCCATAATTGTGCTGTGAGGAAAACAACTTCTGAAAATTATGAACCGCTTATTGTGACTTTCAAGGCCCCTCTTTCATATCTCTCCCATCCCTCAGCGTGTTAATCCGTTATTGCTGCACACTATACCATCACATTTCAGCAATATACACTAATAAGCATTCACTCCATGCCTGTAGGCTGGCTGGGGCTTGCTCATCCAGGTTGGGCTTGGCTGCAACTCTAGACTATGTCCTGGTTCAGTCCACATGATTCTTATCCTCCTTAAACCAGCGGCTCTTCATGGCATGCCATTCTTATGGTAAAATGCAGGAGTAAAAGAGGACAAGTCCATCTTCATAAGGAAATGTTAAACCTTTGGTCATGTCATGTTGGCTAAATACAATTGACCAAAGCAAGTCAGTGACAAAGATCTAAATCAAGTATCAGGAAAAATACATTCTATCCATGAAGATGGGGTAGGGAGAATAAATATGTTCTAGACAGTAATCTAATCGTTTTTTTTCTTGAGACCGAGTTTTGTTCTTGTTGCCTAGGCTTTGGAATGCAGTGGCACGATCTCGACTCACTGCAACCTCTGCCTCCCAGGTTCAAGCGATTCTCTTGCCTCAGCTTCCCAAGTAGCTGGGATTACAAGCATGCGCCACCATGCCCGGCTAACTTTGTATTTTTAGTAGATACGAGGTTTCACCATGTTGGTCAGGCTGTCCTTGAACTCCTGACTTCAGGTGACCCACCTGCCTCGTTCTCCCAAAGTGCTGGGAGATAGTAATCTAATCTACTGCTCTCCTGTCTTATGACTACACCCACTCTGGATCTCTTTCTGCTCTTTGAATCCACAAAATTCATTCCTGCCTTGGGGCCTTTGCACTTACACTTTCCTCTGCCTTTTCCAAATTGCTTCTTTCTTTTATCTGGGGCTTGCTTCAAGTGCTACCCATCCAAAGAGATCTTCCCCAACTAACCTCCCTCACCCCGTCACTTATTAGATCAATTTTCATATTTTTTCTTAGCACTTATTGCATTTGAAATTATATTTTTCTACACATCTCCCCTTTACCCATGCTCCACGTACAAGAACATCAGCTCCATAAACCCAGCCTTGTTCACACTGTATTCCCAGTGCTAGAACGGCAGCTGGTCCTCAGACAGCTTGCAGTAAACATTTGCTGAAAAAAGAAAGGGATTATAAAAATAATGCAAAGTTTGATCAAAATGAACAAAAACAAGCCTAAATGCTTCCTTACCTGTCCTTTATTTTACACACTGAAGTGCCCCTCTCTCTGCTACCTCCTTTGAGCTTGACTTCGTTGGCTTCTTCTGCTGGTAGCTCAATTCAAAGCCACCAGAGTTAAGCAGAAGCATATGGTGACAGCTGAGCAGCAGCTCCTCAAACTAAGAAGCTATATGCCCTGTGATGTCTGAACTACAGCTAAGCCATGGTCTTGGTTTGCAATCAAAATAGCTGTATAATGTGGACACTATACAGCGTCCCCATGTGGATAAGAAAAAGTGCCACTTCCGGACACAGCCATAATATGGCAAGCTGACCACACATTTATGCCAAGAAAAAAGTGTCCCTTCCTCTGGGCAACACTGCCCTTTTCCAGACCACTCAGCCGGGCATGTGGAGCATGAACTAAACTTCAGCTCTTCTCACCCCATTCTGCTGAATACCATTGTGCTCTACTCCCACTCAGCAACCTTGCCTAGCTGCCTGGGATCCATGTAAAGCAAATCATACTTCTTAATTCATAGATTGCATTAAATCCAGATCAGGTTAGGAAATACCATGCTGTAGGAGAATTGTTTGCATTTACTGAGTTGTCTGCCATATGCCAGACACTGTGTTAAGCACCATGAATATGGCTGTAAACTGGAAAGATCACAGTACCTGACCTAGAAATGTTAGAGGGTATTGAAGAAAATGTGCAAGAAAATACTTATCATTGATTAATTATAGTTCTAATAGTACTTTAGGGCCCTATTCATCCAGCCAGGTTTATGGCAGAGTCCCTAGCACTTAGCATCATGGCCTGTGATCGCTAGCCTCCCTGGATGCGCACCAGGAAGGCCAGACCCCACTCCCCTTGCCAGCCCAGTTCATCTTTTTTTTTTTTTCTTTTGAGACGGAGTCTCACTCTGTCACCCAGGCTGGAGTGCAGTGGCGCGATCTTGGCTCACTGCAAGCTCTGCCTCCTGGGTTCATGCCATTCTCCTGCCTCAGCCTCCCGAGTAGCTGGGACTACAGGCACCCACCACCATGCCTGGCTAATTTTTTGTATTTTTGGTAGAGACAGGGTTTCACCGTGTTAGCCAGGATGGTCTCGATCTCCTGACCTCGTGATCCACCCGCCTCGGCCTCCCAAAGTGCTGGGATTACAGGTGTGAGCCACCTCGCCCGGCCCAGCTCAGTTCATCTTAAACACTGCGCATGAGATCTCTAGGCAGTCAGGTCAGTTTCTGCAGGAAGCTGGCTTCCTCTAGCCACACACTTTCTCATTTCCTCTAGCCTGCCTTGCGTGGCTAAACCAATCTGAGTAACGGTGTTGAGGGCACAGGTGTGAAAAGGCAGCCTTCCCCGTGACTACAGCATCAGCCCTATGAACAGGAGGCAGACATTTCTTTCCTTTGTTTGCCCTGCAGCAGGGTAATTTCAAGTGTTGCACTGCCTGTTGCTTGTGGTTAAGGTCGTGCCCAGGGTGCAAGATCTCATGGTGGGCTTGGAGGACTTGAGGCTCACCGTCTGAAGCAGGTCTTAACAATGTTATTCTGAGAAGCCCCTTCTTCAGGTTCCCAGAGTAAGTGTGAAATCTTCCCTGCTAGCTTTTCCTCTAGCTTATTATTCTTTGCATTTCCAGAATAATATATTTAGTAGACAGAGACCTAAGCCCAGAGTTCTGTACTTTGCCCTGTAATCCTGATGTGGGGAGACAGAGGGGTCCTTCCGGCAAGCTCCTGAGTTTTGAACATCCCATTCCATCTCTTTTGTTCCCTCAATTCCAGGGGTGGTAACTGCATGCTGAAGTTTCTAATATCTGGCTACTCCAGCAGCCTCATTTTGCTCTTTCAGTATTCCAGTCGTACAATCCATTTTTTGTATTAAATCTACTCTCTGAAATGTCTAGCATGGTTTCAGCTTCTCTAATTGGACCCTGACTGATACAAAAAAAGTCAATATAAATGTGTTTCGATCTCAAATGAACTTGATCTCTCTGTGTTTAACAGCTGTTATGTAAAGATATTTTGGGGCAGAAATGGATTCTTGTTGCAGCTCAGCCAATATTTCACAATTTGACCTTAGGCCAACCACTTAACCTCTGAGGGTATCCATTTTTTTACACAACTCTGTGGGTCTTCATTTACAAAATGAAGTTGAATCCTATCACCTCTAGAGTTCCTTACACCTTAACATTCTATGATGCTGTGGTTTAATCATTTCAGTTTCATCCCAAATTTCTTGTGAATAGTCTTCTAGATCTCTAAATTCCCTCTTTAGTAGATCTCTTTATATATTTTAATCACATGGAAAATTTGTTCTCTTTTACAGACATTGCTTTTATTTCCCAGGGCAGCCTCCCTGTAGCCTAATTCCAGTTAAGTCATTTCTTC
Source organism: Homo sapiens (assembly GCF_000001405.40). Lineage (NCBI taxonomy): Eukaryota > Metazoa > Chordata > Mammalia > Primates > Hominidae > Homo > Homo sapiens. Next base: position 85,189,528 of record NC_000009.12, on the reverse strand, counting down.
GCTAGAGTGGTTTTCCCAGGGAGAATTTAACCATCCCAAACAACATTACTCTTTCTCTCTAAGGCAGCTTAAGAATGGCCTTGCCTCATGTTCTGGCACAATGAACTCCTAAACTCTCCTCCAACCCTGTGAGTTTTGTGCTAAACCACTTTCTCTCTTAATACAATGCTGCATATTTTAGCTATTAATGCTGTCAAGTCAATATTCTGTCTACACACTCTTCCTGACATGGAGCGATAATAACAGTAATAAAAAAGAATAGACTAAATCTGTAACAGATGCCCAAGAGCAACTTGAGGTGAATAATTGTGGATATGAAACTGTCATCACTTACCTCACAAACATCCAGCTGGTATCTGAGACATAACTTATATGAAAATGCGGAACACATCCTCAGCCAACCTCAGGTATCAACATGAAAGAAATATGGGGCCTTAGTGTTAGAGAAACTAATGGTACACTCTGTTAGTTTCTCCAGCCCTTGCCACACATAACAGTTTCAAGCACATATTCCTGCTAGAAGTTAGTTCATCTCTGTGACAAATTGGTCCAATTCTTACATTTTGGAAGCAATGGCAGGATCTTGGGCCAGAAAGGCTGAAGCAGTTGGGTTTGGGGTGCTCTTCAATGAGCTGTATCCTTTAATGAGATCACATGGGCCTTCCACTGAAGCCACACCCACTACTAAGCTAGAGAATAAAATTATTGTTGAGAAGATGAGAAAGAAGAGAAAAACAGAATGCAACCTTGGATAATGCTGGTGATATTTTCTATTTTTAAGCATCATGTAATCACCCTTTTCCGTTGATGAATAACTCTTATTTCCAGGAAATAACAGTGGAAGAATGTGCTTTTTTGTGGTCCAATTGAGATCTCTCAAACAATGTTTTTGGTGTGCTCCATTCATTGTCCTGAGGTGACAGATGAGGAACCACACACACCCAGTGAGGACCCTCTGCTTCCTCATCTTCTGGGCTGAGCACAACCCCATTGTTAGCCTCTCAGAGGGTTCTTCAAGAGCCACTTGACTCCTTTGCCAGGCTACCGAGGACTGGAGAGAGCATCAAAAGGAGAAGGTACTTGAGTGTGGATGCCAAACACTAAGATAACTTTTCCAGCTTTAGAGTCATGACCAGGGCAATGCCTTATGTGATCATGTCCGCTCTCATTTTGGAGAGAGATCTTGCTTCCTTTCATTTTCATCCTCATCTTACAATTCATTTCATTTCCAACCATTCTATCAGGAAATGACTTATAATTTATTGACATCAAATACCGTGAAACGCATTTATGGCATCCGCTCTTGTTTAAATGAGTAACTGTCTGGTGGTCTGTGAGGTGGGTCATGGTACCCCTCAAACAGAAAGAGACACCATGGTGCTAAGCATTGGGTCCCACTTTCAGGTCCAGACCTGGGTAAAATTGTTCTGAGAGTAAAGTTTATTGTCTGCCTACTAGTCTTCTTTTCCTTTTATCCCTTAGAGGACCTCTTATCTCCTTTCCTTCTCTCTTAGACTGGTATCCTCATTTCTGTTCTTCCTTTAAAAATCTCCTTTCAATAGTGGATTTAATAAAGTCATTTACATTGAGTTATGTAGGGCAGATGAGGCTTAATGTGTCCATTATCATAATCAGTTAAGGGAAAAAGATAAGAAAACATGAGAGGGGGAAATATCCAGAGTAGTTTACATTTAAAAGGAAATAAACCCATAAATGGAAGAAGTATATATCTAATTGCAGAACTGAAGACATCAGTGAGGTGGTCAGGAACCTTTTTAAATCCTAGTCATTCCGTCTCCATGACCACCAATTCATGGTTAATCTTGCCCAACTCTGAAGGCCCCAACAACAGACATCAAGATGGACATCTCTAATCTTAGGAGTTTGGCGTTTTGAGTGTTCTTCACTCTGGCTTGATATTGTGAGAATTTGCATCTCCAGTAGGATGGAGCTGGTCTAATTTTATGTGGGAAAGGCATTGGTCTCATTATATACATAACTGACATACTAAACAAGCACAAATTGTGATGTAATCAAACACAAGTGCATTTTTTTTGTCTCCCACTTCACCTTTAAAGTATATATTTTGGAGGAATCTTTTATAATGTTCCTGGATGAAAACTTTGCAAGTTCCTGGACTTTTTCAGTCATTCTTAGATAATAGACATCCCTCTAGTAACTTTGAGTCATGAAAATGATCTCAGTCCAGTAACCAGAATGTCTAGGAGAAGACATTAATGTAAACTATGGAGCTGATTTAAAAAAAAAATTATTTCTGCATTTGCAACTCTAAGGAAGAGGAAGTTCCCTGAGGGGCTCCAAGTGGTCCCACAAAAGTGTTCTTCACTGGGATTTAGGTAAAGAAGGCAACGCTCCTTTCCCACTCCCATAAGGAATTAGAGACTAAGAATGACAACACCTCTTTCCAAAGAAACATCCTTATTCTGTTTACATGATGTCCTTGTTTATGACTTTGATATTGTTGGAGGGGTCAGGCGTCATGGAACTAGGTCTCCATCATACTTTGTAAATTATGCATTTAAGTATTTGTCTCACATCCACTATGATAAATTGTATGTATTCTAGAGATCCTTCAGTTGAAATTAAGAGATGAATAGATGCACTCTAAATCCCCTTATATCAATAAACTGATATTGCCCTTACTGGTTTCAATTTGAAAGTTGAGGCTTGGTAGGGCCCCACTGATCAGAAATGTTAGAGATTCTCTATCCTGTAGCTGCAAACACAGAATACAGAAGTGGTACTTTCTGCCCAAACAATAGATACATGGATTGAGAAAGGCAGTTATTGATTGGACATCTGTTAGAGATCATAAAGCCTTGTATTTACTGCTAATTTAAACTTTCCTTCCTTATCAAAGGCCCACAGGACAGTCTGTCAAGTCTTTATAATCATGTCATGTTTCTGTAAGTCTTATTCTTTCTTTCTCCCTGGAAAACCAAATAGTAAGAACTATTTTAGTTGTGATCCTGCAGACGGAGAGTGAAGCAGGGATGCTCTTTCCACTGTGCAAGACAATGAAAAAAGTACTAAAACCAACCCACAGTCTCATTCCACCAGTGGTTTGTTTTACAAGCCTACACCTCATTACACTCCATGTCAACATAGGCATATTACTATTCTACTTAACAGCTGCAATGCTCTGGGTGGTGGTGATGGTGAGAGTGAGACAATCACCACAACCTGTCATGAATGCAAAATAGAATGTAGGAGCGAAAGTGCCACACTCCTTCCTAGTAGGTCATTGGTCAACATGAGTGCTTCTCTTTCATTCTGCCCCATCTCATCTTTTACCTTTGTAAAGGACCATTTTCTAGAATTCTGCACATATGTGGCAAGACTGTTGATTTCCTAAAGTTTATCACAACTCCTTTGTGTTTTCTCATGTATCTGTTGATAAATCTTTTATTAAACATAGCCTAGAGGGACTGACTAATTCAGTGAACCCTCCAAGAGGTTGGGCTTAGTTCTGAAGAAACTGGCATTTGAAATTCTTATTCAGCAGGGCACTTGGTAAAGTCCTTTGTTGATACTAATATTGGCTTTATAATAGATAAATATAGATTCTTACCCTTAATATGGCTCTATTTTTATCCCTTGCTTTTATGTGCTTTCTCATTATGAAAGATATTCCTCTAGTAATCAAAAGACCTCCAAGGCTGGTGGTGAGGTGATGGGCACCAGGTCAATGCAATCAGTTGAAATTAAGAGATGAGAAAACATAATGAACTGACTTATGAGACAGTAAGTCTTTTGATGCAATGAATGCCTGAGCGGTGAATCCACATACTACTAATGATGGCTTTAAAGAATGTCCACACATTCTATGATACTCCTTCTTTCAAGAAGTAGAGTTTAATTCTGTTCTCTTTCAGTATGGGGAATTAGTGACTCACTTCCAATGAAAGCACATATTGGACACATGGTGGGTAACTTCATAAAAGGCACTGCAACTTCAGCCTTTCTTTCTCACGTCATTCCCCCGGAGGAAGACAACATAATGGCATCAAGCAGCTGTGGAAGGGCCTGCAGGGTGAGGGACTTGGTCTTTCTGTCAAAAGCCATGTAAGTGAGCCATCTTGGAAGCAGCCCCATTCAAGCATAATTCAGATTATTGCAGCCCCATCCAGCATTTTGGCTACAATGTCATGAGAGACTCAGAGCCAGAACTCTCCAGCTAAACTTTTCTTGATTTCCTGCCCCACAGAAACCATGAGATAATAATTGTTAAGAAGTCTCTTAAGTTCTGAGGGTAAGTTGTTATGCAGCAATAGATAATTAACACACCTCTGAGCCAAGGGATGCTTTCTGCATGTCTCTGAGACATTGAAAATGAGAACCTCTTGATGATATGGAGGAAAAGGTGTTCATTGCAAGCAATAGATGGTTTCATCACTTTAAGAAGAGAAGTGGTTGGCATAAAAATGAAGTCCTTGGGGAAGCTGCTAACAGGAGTAAAAAGCATTTGAGAATTTTCCAGTGAAGGTAACTGAAATCAATAAAGAAGGCTACTGTTAACAAGAAGTGTTTGATGTTGATGGAAAAGGAACCAAGGGAAAAACAAGACACTGTGAAAATGCCCTTCCCTAGCGCTTACTAAAAACAAAATCTTGGGGCATTCACATATGTGGACTTGGCAGTAAACATTTTCAAAATAGAAAAGCTTAATTCGAACCAAGTTTGATTATCCTAGCAAGAATAAGGAATGCCTATACGTATTGTAAGAAGATTATTCTTCCTTAGCGCCTAGGGTTCTGCACTATCCCTTGAGATATCTCTTTACTTTGCCTATACTTTTGTAAATAGGTGCTCTATTAATCTCTCCTTCACCTGCTTAATTTGAGAGTATCACCTCTCTCTCTTTTTGCTGGCAGCATCCTTAGAGGTCTTCCTGAGACCCCCACAATGTTGGGCCTTTGCTTGTGAGGGGCAGGGTCACATCATTTTCATTTTTGCTCCCAGCAGAGTGCCTAGACCCACAGTAGGTGGTCAATACAGTTTAATAAGTATGTGAACAAACAAATCCAAATAAGGATAAAGGAGGGGTGAGAAAGCCCCTTCATTATATTAATGTATTTTGCAACTGGGGAATAGGAGGGAAAGTTGCACAGCTTTAGTTTTGTTTTTTTGTTTTTTTTTTTTTAAGACATAGGGTTTTGCTATGTTGCTGGACTTGAACTTCTAGGCTTATGTGATCCTTTCACCTCAGCCTCCTGAGTAGCTGGGACTACAAGCTTTAGGTTCTTTTGAGATGAAACTTGACCTGTAAGACATCTGGAGAGAGGGCAAGTTTTGTGTTTAGGGACCAAGGCTTTGAAATCAGGCAGACCTTGCTGAATCCTTATTCTTCCTTCCTAGTTTCAGAAACTTAAGCAAGTCATTTAAACTTGTAGCTTCACTTTCTTTATCTATAAAGTGAAGATAATAATTCTTACCTCTAAGTGTTGTTATAAGAAATTAAATGATATCTGAAAAAGAAGAGATCATGTCTTTTATGGGAACATGGGTGGAACTGGAGGCTATTATCCTTGGCAAACTAATGCAGGAGCAGAAAACCAAATACCACATGTGCTCCTTATAAGTGGGAGCTAAATAAGAACTTATGAACACAAAGAAGGAAACATCAGACACTGAAGTCTACTTGAGAGGAAAGGTTGGGGGGAAGAAGAGGAGCAGAAAAGATAACTATTGGGTACTCGGCTTAAGAACAGGGTGATGAAATAATATGTACAACAACCGGTAATCCAGCACTTTGGGAGGCTGAGGCAGGTGGATCACTTGAGGTCAGCAGTTTCAGACCAGCCTGGCCAACATAGAGAAACCCTGTCTCTACTAAAAATACAAAAATTAGCCAGGCATGGTGGCGCGCCACTGTAGTCCCAGCTACTTCGGAGGTTGAGGCAGGAGAATTGCTTGAACTTGGGAGGAAGAGGTTGCAGTGAACCGAGATTGCGCCACTGCACTCCAGCTTGGGTGACAGAATGAGACTCTGTCTCAAAAAAGAAAAAAAAGTACAACAAACCCCTATGACATGTGTTTACCTATGCAACAAACTTTCACATGTACCCCCAAACCTAAAGTAAAAGTTAAAAAAAAGTTAATGAGCTCATATCTGTAATGGCCTTAGAGTAGGGTCAGACACTGGGACAGAGCTCAATAAATGAAAGCTTTTATGTTTGTTTTTTGAAGGCATTGTTCACCATTGAGTCCCAGTGCAGAGAACAGTGCCTGACACCTAATGGGTACTCAATAAATTCTTGAAGAATGAATAAACGAATGGATAGATGAAATTCTAAGAGTTACAAGGATAACAGTGTATGATGTCATACCCTAACTATATATTACAATCTACTTACCTGCACTTGTTTTTTTAATTCTTCCCACCTGGAATATACTGATGATATTTCTTAATTATATTAATCTTCAACTCCAAGTTCATGCCCCAAATTTTCCAGAAAGATTTGTTCCATCAGTGCAGTTTACACAAATATATTCCTTCTCTGACATCACTTAGGACAGATCCTAATTAATGAGAAATGATAGAACAAGAAAACCACATGACTGATTTCTGATGGCAAGGAGGACTATTTGTGCAGTGGAGGCAATATCTATTAAGCTTCTTCAACCTAGTAGCCTCGTGACTAATAATAAGTACCCATAAACTCACCTGGTGTTTGCTGCTATGTTTTCCTCTTAAGAGTCTTCTGTGCTGGCACATCAGGTGTGGGGTACACGAACTGGCCAAATCAGTTTTAACTGGTACCTGAATCGTGTGGAGGTCATTCCAAATGCCTTGTCTGTTCAGTTAACATAAATCTGCCCAGGCTTTGAAGATAAATACACTTGCTTTCTAATGAGATAGGAAAAGAATATTTAAGTCGTCACAATTCTATTTTAGACCCTGAAGGCCTAGGAAATGACTCAGTCATCATGCAATGAGAGGTGAAGACAACAGGATGCATTTCCAAGAACCATGTAATAGACAGAAAATTGGCCCTAGAATCAAATCGTCTGGGTTCAAATCCTGCCTTTGTTTCTTACAGACTCTTTGTTCTTGAGAAAATTGTTTAATCTTTCTGAAACTCAGATTTTTTCCTTTGAAAATGGGAACAATAGTTGGCCAACTTACCATACAAGGGTGTTCTAAGGATCAAATGACTTACTCTATGTGAAATGGCTTATCAGGCTATAAAGAGCTTTTAAAATTAAGTGAAATGGCCGGGCGCAGTGGCTTACGTCTGTAATCCCAGCACTTTGGGAGGCCGAGGTGGGCGGATCACGAGGTCAGGAGATCGAGACCATCCTGGCTAACATGGTGAAACCCCGTCTCTACTAAAAATACAAAAAAATTAGCTGGGCGTGGTGGCGGGCACCTATAGTCCCAGCTACCCGGGAGGTTGAAGCAGGAGAATGGCGTGAACTCGGGAGGCGGAGCTTGCAGTGAGCCAAGATTGCGCCACTGCACTCCAGCCTGGGCGACAGAGCGAGACTCTCTCAAAAAAAAAAAAAAAAAAAAAAATTAAGTGAAATATGCCCTAGCTCTTGTGCCCAGCTGCTGTAGTCTTACCAGCTGTGGTTCCCTGTGCTTAGACAATGACTGTCAGTGTGGCTATTGCTACAACAGACCTTAAAGCTGATGGATTCATTTAATAGTGCTCTCATAACAAAGTGCCAAAACTGAGTGACTTAAACAACAGAAATTTATTGTTTCAAAGTTCTGGAGGGGAGAAGTCCAAGATCAAGGTGTTTGCAGCCTTGACTCCTTCTGAGAGCTGCAAAGGGAACCTGCTCCACGCCTCTCCCCTGTCTCCCGATGGTTTGCTGGCAATCTTTGGTGTTGCTTGACTTCTTGAAGCATCTCCCTGATCTCTGCCTTCATCTTCACATGCTATTCTTCCTGTATGTGTCTCTATGCTCAAATTTCCCCTTTTTTATAAGAACGCCTGTCACAATGGGGATGGGACCACTCTAATGACCTCATCTTGATAAATTACATCTGAAACAACTCAATTCCAAATAAGGTGATGCTCTGAGGTTCTGGAGTTAGAACTTCAACTTATTAATTTTGTGGGGGACACGATTTGACCCCTAACACCGATGTACCCAGAATCCCTTGCCTGATCTGATTACAGAGAGGCAAAGCATTGTTTCTGGGTTAACCTAACTCATCTTTCCTGAGGGTATTATATTTCTTCTAGCCCACTGCCAGTAGGCCTCTGTGTCACCTTCCCTTTGGTTCTCAGACATCTCCTCCAATGTGGAATTAGATGGGAGTGGTCTGCCCTAGAAGGGATGAAGATTTGTATCACTCATGTTGTTCAGAACTGCTGGTGCAAGGCAATTATGAAAAGCAGACTAACTTTTACTTGGTTTTATTATTGGTGTTAAATTCTCTACAGAAAATACATTGCTTTATTGCCAGCATCGAGGGCAGATTGCTCTCACTGCCCTGACCTTGATAAGCCATTGTCTGACCTACCCCTATAGATCTCAGCCTGCAGTGGGAACAGCATACATTATTTCCCAGAAGGCTCCTCAATCCCTATGCAAATAGAATTTCACCAAGCTCATCCACAAATGAGCAAACATGCCCAGATATGCTTGTTAAGAAAAAATTATTCAAAACTTGCATAAAGGCCAAGAGAATGCAACACAGCCTCTCAAAGACAAGCTGGGGTGCGATTTAACAAGCCCACCCAAGGATTACTTAACTGTCTATGGGAGTGTATTGTCTATGGCTCAGCTATTTATTATTAATTAAAGACTCCAACTCCGTGAAGTTGTAGGTTAACTTGTAGGTTTTTGTCCAGAGATGCAAATAGTTTTGTGCACTATAAAAGATAACCCCTTAAGCCATTAACCTAGTATTCTTATTCTTTCTTCCTTAAATGTCTATAAAGTCCAGTTCCTTGAAATATTATTTTAATCAAATTTACCATCTATGTGGGTCTGTCATTAATGAGTTAACATCTTTATCACCCATCAAAATGCACCAATCAGCAGTAGAAGGTTATGGCTCAAGCTGCATTCCAATTTTTACAGTATGTGGCTTATTTCCACTATAATTCTCAGTGTTCCAAAGTCTGGTTGATAGAGACACTGATATTTCTTGTGTGGCAATTATTTCTACCTCTTCTTCCCTTTTCATTTGTGCCCTTGTTAAAGCCTCCTCTACTCACTGCTACACATTTTTTTTTTCAGTTTGAGAAAGAACTAGAGGGAGGAGGAGGAAAAGTTTTGTTCAAACATGTACAAGAAGCATTAGAAGTTAACTTTTGAGTAGAAAGTATGGTGGAATATCTTTCAGTTGTACTGTATACCTGCAGCACAACAAGACCACTGTGGGCTGAGATCTATACGGGCAGGTCAGACAATGACTTATCAAAGGCAGGACAGTGAGAGCAATCTGCCCTGGATGCTGGCAATAAAGCAATGTATTGTCTGTAGAGAATTTAACATCAATAAGAAAACCAAGTAAAAGTTAATCTGTTTTTCATAATTGCCTTGCAGCAGCAGTTCTGGGCTCTGGGTGCCTGAACAGAGAGGAGTCATGAGCTCTCACTGGTAAAGAAAAATACAAAAAACAAAACAGAAACAAACAAACAAAAAAACTGGGAGGGCTTTGTCACTGGAAATTCATTCTCTCTAAGACTTTTTCTAGGATTCCTACATATGCAATTTCTTGTTTTTTCAAAACCTAACTAACAAGAGATTATGAGGAAGGATGGTAAATTCCTTGTTTCACTAAAATTAAAATTTCTTTTTAAAGCCCCAAAGTTGGTCATTGCTGTGTGCATTTCCAGGTTTTGGTTATGTAAAAAGATGTCAAAATGAAGGATTTGGCAGAGACCCTTATGCAAGAGATATTAGATATTTAATTGAGTTGCAAAGCAGATCGCCTTTCTTTTAGAGAAGAGAATTAAAAGTCAATTACTCCCCTAACCTTTATCAGGAATATAAAAGAGTCTAGATAGGTAGAAATGAAAGGAGCACTTATGACAAGGAATTCTTTGAAGAGAGCTGTGCCGTGAGTCCCACTCACCATCCCTTTCCCAAAAGGAGGGGCAGAAATGTTCCTTGGAGAGCTTATGTCCTCTGAATTGAGGGGACACAGTGGTTCTTGGATGTAAAAAATTAGATTATTAAAAAATAATCAGTCCTTCCCTCTCCATCTCTATGGGAGTAGAGATGCCCTTGACTTATTACCCTACCATGTGACTTGATTTGCCAGTGGGATGGTAGTAGATGTGATTCAAGCAGGGGCTTGGAATGTGCTTATGCGGTGAGTATGACATCTGAGTTTGTGCCTCTGCCATTTTCACGGAAGAACATGCCTAGCTGGACACACTGTCCAAAGAGAATAACAGACTCTCAGAGTAGATCTGCCGTTCCAACCAGCCCACAGGTATGAGAATAATCTATTATTATTTTAGTCCACAGAGACTTGGGGGTCTTATTATGCAGCATAATTGTGGTCATAGCTGATGGATATTGTTGGCTAACTGCTTTGATGGCAGAGAAAAGGAGAGTTGTTACTTGCTGTATTGGAATCAGCCCTCTGAGTTTGTCCAGGCAAAGATACACCTGAATGTTTCCTGTGGATCAGATGTGTGCTCTGTGCTAGAAAGAGACTTAGCATGGGGGTTATCAAGCATGACTGACAGATTTGGCTGGGAAAGAAACAATGGGCTCTTATTTGATTTAAACAGTTTATTACTCACATAGACAGCAAAAGCAAGAGTACCAGCCCTTTGGGTCCTTTGTTCCACAGGATAGCACCAGAACAAAAGGGGCAGGATGACTGCAACGTGAGTGGTGGAACATCCTGTTGCTGAAGAGCCCTTGCCATGCTGAAGCAAGCAGTTTTATAGCCTGCAGCTGCACCCTAAGTGGGAGTGTGACAGAGAGCCTCCTGCCTTGTCAGGCTCCAGGAGGCAATAACGAACTGTCTCCTGACAGCCTTTTAAGAAGATACGGAGGCAAGTTAGAGATGGCCTTGTAGTAAGTAGCTCCTTCCACACTCTATATTATCGTTAGTCTTCTGCTCACAAAAGTGTTTGAATGTACTGCTACCAGAGTATTTCCAGATTCCAAAATTGCAAGCAAATTTTCAAGTGCTGAGATGAAATCAACCGCAGTAACAAAAATATACTAGCTCCATTTATTATTACCCAGATTATCAAAGATCTTTTTTAAGGTGTAGCCACTGATCCAAGTAATCATGATACAGAAAAAAATATCACTTTGATTGTGCAATTTTTTTGTTACTTTAAAAAAGCTTGCTTATAAGGCTACTGTGAATAAAAGCCCTTCCAGATGAGAACTCAAAAATAACAGCATATTTTTGCAGAGACTCTGGTTGAGTTAGGACTTAATGAGAAAAATTTTACTGCTTTTGGGGAAAGCAATACAAATACAAATTTTGTGAATTTGCTTATGTACCTTTATGGATATAGACAGTACTTATTAAATGTTGAAGCAAAGCATGAATGATTCTATGGAAAGTGTTGGCTGTCCTGTTCATATTCTGCATAAAGCTGCTCACACAGCATCTGATGTCCTTTCTATTGACACCGAAGTAATTGTCATGAAATTCTTGTACTTTGGCATTTATATTGTTTGTGCAATTAAAGGATTTTTGTAATTGGTATTTGGTATTCTTCAGTTCTCTTGCATTCCAAAGCCCATTGGATCTCTTTAACAAATGCAGTTGAGAGACTCCTTAGTTCGTTTGAAACACTGAAGTTAAATTTTAATTCTAACAGAAAGGCCTCCAAATTTTAAGTAATCTAATGAATGAAAACCTACTTCATTTTTTATTTTTTATCACTCACAGTTTTCAATCTCTTCAGCAATATGATTATGTAAATTGAAACAAAACCCAACAGTATTATTGAAGACTATCCCTTGAAGAAAGCTGTGGCATGTGTTAGAGAAAGAAATGATAGAAAATTTATCCCTTTAAGTGTCATGGCTGTTCTTCAAAGGACAAATTTACTATGAATGGGAAAATAAATACCAAACTGAAGAGGATAATTATTACATCACTTGACTATTTTTTATAAATGGATTTTATCCCTTGAAGAATTTAATTGTTTTATAGGGATGCTACTAAATACTCTTTCAGCATGTGTAGGGTTGAAGAAGAAAGGATTTAAAATTGATGACCATGCTTTCTTTTTTTATGTTTCAGAATTTAAAAATTGTTGATCAAGAGATTTATTTTAATGCTGAAGAATGGAAAAGCAAGTTATGCCATGAAAGATGGCATTTTGTGTGGCAACAAATAAAATTTAAAGAGCAATTTTTAGATTTGTTAACTTTATGCCAGTATGTGTTCAGTATATCAGCTCATAATGTTAGTACTGAGAGTGGCTTCTCATTAATGAATATTCAATGAACAAAAGAACAATATAAGTTGGATGTGACCACTGTTGAAGCTACATTACAATGTAATGGGAACACAGACTATAATTGCAAGAAATTTTGTTAGCAAATTCTGCAAAACAAGCAGCTGCTGGGGACAGCCAAATCATCAAGGAAATGCAATTTTTAAGAGGCATGTCATTTAGATTTTTATCAGCTATTTCAGATAAACATCAGGTAATTTTTAGTACAATATACCATTTCTAATACTTTTTAAAATTTCAATCTGCAATGCATAAGCAATTCAAAATAATTCAAATCTACCTGAGTGTCTCATATTTTTATTTGTGTAATCAGACAAACCTAGCTAGGGGTCAAGTGAAAGATGATCCAGGACCTTCCAAAGCTAACTAATTTACTTAGGAGCCAATCTTTCACACAAGCAGACCATGAACTAAAGAGGAAAATATCCATGGTAAATATAGGTTCCTCAGGTAAATCCTAGAATCCTAGAGATTGCCTACAGCCAAGAGAAGAAATCCCATCATTAATTCAGCCCTGTGTCAATAGTCTAACAGCTGGAAAGATGCACAGAAAGACAGTCAATCCATTTGTTGTACAAATTTCTCAATACTTTGCAAGTTGTTATTAAAAATGACAGTTTACATAAAAGTCACTTGTGGTTCTTGCCAACTACAGACAAAACTAGCACTGACCCCTTGAAGATGCTTCCCTCAGAGGAGTTTGGTTTGCTTTGAGCACCCACAGAATGTGTAATCGATCTGCCCAAGGCCCCCCGATCCCTGGGGGTGGCTAGAAGACTCTGGGTTCCATTCTTAGTGTTTCTTAAGTAGCAGTAGCACTTCCATTAACATATTCCCTACTTAGAAGGTAAACTTCATTCATACATATATTCTCTGGGGTTTTTCTTTCTTTCTAAAGTACTTCTTGTAATGGCCTCTCAAAAAATTTTTACATTTTCTGTCCTTGTTTTCTTTTTCTTCTATTTATTAATTATTATTATTATTATTATTATTATTATTTTTGAGATGGTGTCTCGCTGTGTTGCCCGGACTGCAGGGCAGTGGCGTGATTTCGGCTCACTGCAACCTCCGCCTCCCGGGTTCAAGCAATTCCCTGCCCCAGCCTCCCGAGTAGCTGGGATTACAGGCGCACATCACTGCGCCCTGCTAATTTTTGTATTTATAGTAGAGATGGCATTTCACCATATTGGCCAGGCTGGTCTTGAACTTCTGACCTGAGGTGATCCACCCTCCTTGACCTCCCAAAGTGCTGCGATTACAGGCATGAGCCACGGCGCCTGGCCCCTTGTTTTCATTTTACACCAAGAAGCATGTTGCTGTATCCAGCCCTTTTACAAGGGCTCTACATCCATCCATGGCAGCGCATGAATGTAATTAGCTAAATCCGAAGACCGTTCTTTTGCTTCCAGGTTACCTTTAGGACAGATGATGAGGAATAGCAGCAGCAGGTGGGATTGCTGGCAGAACTAGGCCAGCACTCCAGGTAGCAACAGTGCTTCAACAATGCGATGGTTACTGAAGAGGAATCTGAAGTTGCACTAAGTGGAGTCTAGAAGATGCCCTAGAGGCAACTCACCAACCTGAGTTCAGCTCCATGAAGTAAAATTCATGATGCACTTCTACTAAAACAACAACAACACAATGGAAGGCTTTAGTGGAAAAAGCAGTGGATTTATACTCTTACAGATTTATGTTATGATAGGTCTGAGTTCAAGTTTTCACCATAAAGAAATCAGTCTTTTAAAATTGGTTTCCTCTTCTGAAAAAAGAGGTGGCTGGGGGAATGCCTTTCTCATAATATTGTTATAAAATATTTAACACACAGCAGGCTGCCAATAAATGTTATTTCTTTCCCCCCTTCATTTATTCATACCGCTCTATAATTATTCAATACACGCATATTTACTGAGCATCCAGTAGGCATCTGTATTCTGGTAGGTGCTAAAGATACAATGAAAAACAAAACAGAAGCAAACCCCCCAACTCCAAGATTCTTGCCCTTATGGTATTTAAATTAGAGGAGGCAGATGTTAGTTAGACACAAAATAATTATAACTGTGACAGTGGGTACGTAGGGCGTTTTATTAAAGATGCTATACTTATTAGGGGCTTCAGGTAAGCTTTCTCTCTAGAAATTAAAATTGAGTGTAGATCCAAAGGCTAAGTAAGAGATAATTGGGACCAGCACGTACGAAGTTGGGAGGGAGCGTGGGGCATTCTAGGGAAGGAAAAGAGTCACCAAGGATAGAGCATTTTGGAAAGTATAAAGAAAAGCAGAGAGAGTTAGCATTTGGATTGATCTTATGTGCAAGACCGAAGTAGATGACATCACAACTCTCCGCTTAGCCCTAAAATTCAGTGCATATAACTTCATGTTCCACTACACTGGCGATTTGTGGACTGACTCAGTGCATAGCCATCGATTAGATTTTCTTTAATGGCCATTCAATTCAATTATTCATTGGGCAAAGAAACCAGATCATAAACAATTATTTCAGTCTTCTTAATAACACATTAGCTTGATTACAGCAATAATTGGGAAAGAAGACCCAGTTAATTGGCTTAGGGGAAAATGGGTTTCCCCGTATATACAGGGCTTAATGTAACCTAATATGGTTTGGTTAGAATCTAGTTGGAAATGGAAAGATGTGTTCATGACAAGCTAGTTTAGGCTTTAAAATTATGTCTTTGTTTATGATCTTGTTGTACTGATCTCATGTTGACCTGACATGACCTGATATATTATGCATGGCTTCTAGTAGCCAAGGATATATCCATATATCTGTCAGAGAACCTTCATCAGCAGCTCAAACCTCAAGTGTTTAACAGAGCAAAATACTGTGCTATGATGTGAGCAAACTAAGACATATAAGAGATCAGTTCTGAAGTGTTTATCCCCAAGTGCAGTTTAGTAGAGCAAGCATGAGATTTGGAATTACTCAATCTAGGGTTTGAAGCCAAGCTTGGCCGTAAGCTGTGTGGCTTTGGCAAATGACCTAAGCCATCTGAATCCTCAGGCTCCTCATCTCTAAAATGGGGATTATGGTATCCATTCCTCAAGATCAAATGAGATCTGATACACAGGCTTATATCCAACACATATCACATTCTTTCCTTCCTTTATAAGTTAGCTGAGGAGGCTGAACATGCACCATGAGAGAACTTATGGCCCCAAACAGCAGCTCCAAGTGCCTAAAGGGGCTCCACAGATAATAGCAGCAGAGTCCAACAGAGGGGATGTCAGGACAGGACTCCAGAGGGAGAGGGAACAGTCTCTGGGTTTGAAGGATTATGCCACCTAGAGATGGGGACATATACAGGGGTCACTATATGTGTCCATCAGACTCATCTGCAAAGGGGCTGGTGTGTATGAGAATCATAAAATAATTAAGAATGTGTGTGGCTGCCTTAGTCTGTCCTGCTATAGAAAAATATCACAGACTGGGTAATTTATAAATAATAGAAATTTATTTCTCCCAGATATGAAGGCTGGGAAGTCCAAGATCAAGGCACTGGCTTTCAGTGTCTGGTGAGGACTTTCTTGCCCACATGTGGTAGAAGGGATAAACATTGTGTCCTCACATGCCCAAAGGCGACAGAGTAAAGGGAGATGGAAGGGGAGAGCTCACTCTCTTGAGGGCTCTACTTCCACCCATGGGGGTGCCACCTGCATGACCTAATCACCTGCTAGAAGTCCCACCTCTTAATACTATCACATTGCCAATCAAGTTGCAACAGATGAGTTTTGGGGGATATGTTCAGGCCATAGCAGTGACTAAAAAGACCAATGTGCAAACGGCTGTCCTTTGCTTTTTATACACAAAAAGCACCTGCTCAACAAATTCTTTCATTTCTTCAGCTCAAAAGACACCAACTCTAAAGGCAGGAGGGGACCAGATCTGCCAGAACTGGTTATTGTTGTGCTAAGAGGACCTACGCAGGGGAACCAGCTACCCTTGTTATCTTCATCTCAGGAAGAAACTGAACTCCCATTCTGAGAAGTCCAGTATCTGTTTTCCAAAGTCCTATGCACCCCTCAGGCTGCAAGAGAATTCTGTCGGTGCCTACCTGAAGCTGGTTGCAATCGCCTGTTAAAATCATGATCCCATTAGTCGTAGCACTATTAATCTTCTTATAGACTGTGAGACAGAAAAACCACAGGCAGTGAAATAACAGCTGATTGGGAGTGATGAAACTTTAAAAAGACACAGTGGAGAGGCCTGGTGTGAAACCACACCAAAGCCCAGCCTTCAAACAGCAAACCCGATTACTATCCCCCACAGGCTGGCTGAAACACGTTCAGAACTGAAAAGATCCACTAGGTGGGTGTGAGAGGCCTGACATGCCCGTTACTCATGTCACTCACTGCTTAAGGCCTGGAAGAAGCACCCAAAAAATACAATCTCTGGGCTCACAAATATTCTGACCAGCCCACAACATGTTTCTCTCCCTTCACTTCCCACACTTACCCATTGTCAGAGGTGACACAGCCATTGGCAAGTTGCCTAGAGAAAGATCTGGGTGCAGGTTAGAAGGTTTCTTACTCTCTCAAGACTCAAATTTTTCTCAGTACCTGGTCTGGGCTTGAGCTATGTGCTAGCTTCAAGAGGTATATTATTTAAGTGAAAGGAGAATAACAGTAGCCAATCAGTTCAGCCCCAGGACATGGCGGTGTGAAGGACAGGAAGGCTGCCAAATTTCTCAGGTCCCAGTGAGCCAGGCCTGGATATGAAAGTTGGACTTATTGCAGGTATGAAATCATCCCAGCCTCCTCCCACAAACCAGGCTAAAAGATCAACGAGAAAAAGCAAGTTCTGATACTCGGTTGGAAATTATTGTCACATGTGGGGCTGCAGAGTGCAGGCAAAACAGTGCTGCTTGAGAAAGAACCAGCAGAGCCCAGTGTCATCGATGTAGGACAGTGTTTTCCCAGTGACCTATGAGATGTATGACATGGTAACTATGCTTTGTTTTCACAGATGTTTTCTTTTTATGTTTTGCAAACAAAAAAACCTCCTTTATGAGGATGAGGGGAAATTGAAACCCTTCTACATGGCTGGTGAAGAAGCTTTGAAAACAGCCTGGCAGTTCCTTAAAAAGTTAAATATAGAGTTACCATATTACCCAGAACTTTACTCCTAGGTGCATACACAAGGGAATTGAAAACATGTGTCCACAAAAAAAAAAAAAAAAAAAAAAAAGTACATGAAAACTTGTAACAACGTTATTCGCAATAGCCAAAAAAAAAAAAAAAATAAGGACAGCCCAAAGGTCTAACAGATGAACAGATAAACACAATGTTTACCCACACAATGAAATATCACTCAGCCATCAAAAGGAATGAAGTACGCTACAGGTTAAAACATGGATGAAATGTGAAAACATTATGTGAAGTGATAGAAGCCAAATACAAAAGGCCCCATAGTGTATGATTCCATTTAAATGAAATGTTCAGAAGAGACAGACACATAGAGACAAAAAGTAGAAATTGTTTGCCAAGAAATGGAGGGTGGAAATGTGAGAAAACATTCTAGAAATTTATAGCTAAGGGATAGAATTTAGATTTGTGTTTAGAAATTTACATACTTAGTTTGCACCTTGGATAGACATGTTTAATTTTGAGCACTCTATGATGTATATAAAAGGGTACTTTTTAAAAAGGGCAAACTTGTAAACCTTATACAAATATAAAATGAACATATACAGAGGCATTATTTAATTCCTTGATTAATGAGGGAACTAGTAAGATGATATAAGTTCAAAGGGAAAGTCAAAGAAAGAAATACATGGGCAAAAAGGAATGATAAAATGAACTTCCAAATAAATGTAAAACTAGTCTGTCCTCAGGACAATAATCAAGCACAATTCACAGACATAATTTTTTTGCATTTCTATGGGCAAGAATCATTTGCATTATCAATTATTGTAAATTCTTCAATTTACAGCATTGTAAAACAGCTCAGTCTATAAAATGCAGAGAAGACCCCAAAGGGTGTGCTAGAGAAGACATCTAGAAATCAAAACTTTTTTCCCATTTCAAAATTCAAACATTTTCCTGGGTTGTCTGAGTTATTGTAAGTACTTCATAAGGTTAAATAAAATAATGAATGAATGCTACTGTTTTCATCATCAGTATTCAGACTTATAGATTTCATAACAAATGACATCATGTCAATCATTGTCTGGTTGATAGATATTTATTTAGTTGCTACTATGTGCCAGGCCAGGAGCTTTACAAGTTAGTCAGTGGTGGGGTGGGTGGGAGGCACACAAAGCATGGGAATATGAAAGTGATTAGCTACTTAATGAGAAACACTGGCAGTGCATGTGGGAGTCCAGAGGGAGGAAAAACCATTGTGGGATGGAAAAATCTTAGACAAGAAGGGCACTGTGAGCTGGACCTCCAACACACAACAAATATTTAGGGATCAATTAAATTGATTGTTGTTGCAGGCAATACAGTAGTAAGGCAAGGGCTTAGGTTCAGGAGCCACCCAACCTGGGTTGAATCCCAATTTTATTTAACCCATGTTACCATGGGCATGTTGCATCTCCTTTCTGAACCTCGATTTGCTCATTTTCAAAACAGGGTTAATAAATGTAACTTATCTCATAGATTTCTCATGAGGATTAAATGAGATAGGAAATGTAAAATGCTGCAGCCCATACCCTGCACATAGTACTCAATAAATGTTACTTATGTCCATTAAACTGTTACTGAGGTCCATTTCTTGCCCTAAAACAGCTCGGTCAAGAGGGGAGATACCTGTTACACAGGGACAAGGCACTAGTGAGTTAAAATGCCTATAAAGTGAACGTTCAACCTGACGGTTTTATACACATTATCTGCCCCAATTCTTATGACAAATGTATGAGTTAAATATTATTATAATCTTCTTAAAGTTTAGGAAAAGGAGGCCCACAGAATTGACCAATCTGGGACTGAGAATAATGGGTTCTGTGCTCACAGCAGAGATAAATGTATCTTGTTTTGAGACAGTACAGAGAAGAAGACCAATTAACACATGTAACAATGACAAGAGAGAGGAAAGACTATTAATAACTTCACATTTGGATGCAAACGCACAAGGAGAAGCTGAAGCCTGAGAGTAGTGCTCTCAGAATGAGCGTGTAAAACAGCTTTAACTCCCTCAAGCCTTGCCTTTCCCTTAGATTGGTGTCATCAAGCATTTCATTATAACAGCAAGGCCTTTTGTTCAAACACAACCTGAGACAATTCAGTTGAAAATGGACCCCTGATGGAGACTGGGTGGGGGCCTGGAGTCTTACCCACTTTGCCTTCCTTGCCTGTACTTGTCCAAAGACAGCAGCTGAGGCAAGTCTTTGGGGCCACAGGATTTTCCAGAGCTTTCTGGTTCATGGAGGACTCAATGAAACATTGTACAAAAAGCCACTGAGTTAGGTAAAAATAATAATTGATCAAAAACAGCCTGGAATTCTATACCCTTGTGATGCCTGTCTGAGGTCGAAGATGGGTGATATTAATGGTGGTAAAGGCAATGATTTCAGGCCACAGGGGAGAGAGTGACGTAACTCACAGCACAAAAAGTGTGGGTCAGAACCGTTCAATCAAGGTGGTAGCCTGGAGTTCAACAATGTAGAATCCAGGTCAGGGGCAGAAGTACCAATGAATGGGGCATCACTCCCAGAATCTTTGAGTCGCCATAGATGTTTGTGGGCATCTGATGATTTTTATACCCATGACAGCTTGACCGTCTGGCTTAGTAACTTTGTCTGAGCATCTCTATCTGAACATGTAGTCTACCGTCCATGTCAGAGACAGAGTTACATCTTGGAATTCACAAGGGGATGTAGCAGGAGAGCCACCAATCCCAGGGAATTCATCGCATTGAACTAGGAGGGTGGTTTAAGCTTCAGGGTTTGCACCATGGCCTCCTTATCATCCTTTTCTGAGGAGCTTGAGGTCTCTTAACTCAGAATCTTGAGAAAGGATACTATCGGTTAAAAGTTACTAGGTGTCTGAAGGGTTCAACTAATATTAACCAGTAGAAAGATACCCACTGTATTTGATGGGTCATGACTTTGGGTCCAAGCCTGGATGATCTCAGGGTCACAGTGCCCCTGGTTTTTATTTTCAGATTTTCCTTAATGAAGAGCCTTTAGAGAATCAATAGAAAATGTTCTAGTCGGGTTACTGCTGAGATAAATCGCTTTCAGTTATGAAAGGAAAATACAGATTGGACTTTCACATAGCAAAGGAGAGCCTAGGTTATGGAATTTTCTTTGCAAATGTGAATGTCATTGTATTCAGTAATTTGTATAATATACATTAAGGATTATTAGAATCTGATAAGCTTCTTTGTTGCTTATGAACAGGCACTGCATGCTGAGAGTAACAATCTAATTATCCTAACTGCTGGTATCCAAGATACTGTCTCCCAAGATTAATGTGTTTGCATTATGAGTTTCCCTCTGAGTGAGAGACAGTGGTCCTAAATAAATTGCACTGAATTGCTGTAACAAACAATGAAAATAAATCAACTTCTCATGTCAATTCTAGACTCGGGTGATTTCCACTGTGGATAGAGCAAGGCTGGTCTTCTTGTGTGTTAGAATCAAAGCGATTTTGAGGACCATAAACAACCATGACAATCCTTCTTAGCTAACTTGCTGCTCTTCTCAAAGCTCTGTCACTTGAAATTGTCTTTTTTTTCTATGCCTTTCTTCTGGTGTTCATTTCACCCTGTGGCTTTTCATCCTGCCCAGATGCATTAGGGTAGTCCCAAAGGCCACCCACCAGGGGCAGAGATATCTTGACATTGGGGTTGCCTCTAACAAAACGATTAAAAAGTAGCTCTGGAGACACATTGCTCCGGTTCAAATCACAACTTCTCTACTTATTTACTTTGCAACTTTGGAAAGTACTTAATCATTCTGTGCTTCAGTTTTATGGTCTGTAAATGAAGATGATATTGCAAAAATATTCTATGGTTTTGTGTGAGGATAAAATGCATTACGACATATAAAATGCATAGAACTGTGCCTGACACATGATAATGTTAGTATTATTATCTTGGTTATTACTATGTAAAATGATGGAAAGAGTTCTGTATATGGAATTTTTAAAAAAATCAATGTACCTGAGTACGAGTTTTAGTTCTACTACCAGGATTCCAGATCTGTAAATTTGTGAAAATTTATTTCAACTCTTGTGAAAATTTATTTCAACTCTTAAGTCTGTTTTCCATCTATGAAAGGCAAGAACATCTACCTCATGAGTCCATGAGCATTCAGTAGAAAAGCATGTGGCTGCAGGGGTAATGTTACTTCATGGTAAAGGGCATACATTATGGAGCCATAATGACATAGGTACAAATCTCAGCTAGCGATGAGACCTCGGGTAAGTTTTTTTCCTTTTCAAATCTTAGATCCTTTGTCTGTAAATAGGCACGATAATGTCATTTCTTGTGTGGAAGTTAAATGGTGTAACAGTTTCTGGCCTGTGTTCCATTGAACAGTGAGCAGTATCATTAATAAAGCTCCTGACGAATGACTGGCCAATAGCTGATACTCAGGGCATCCATCTGCCATCTCCCATGCCTTGGGATTCCTCCTTCCTCCTCCCCCAGCACCTGATTAGGACCTGCTGTACAGGGAGAAAGCTTTAAGGTAGACATAGCTCTCAGACCTCTTCTCCCCAGCGTAAACCCCATCTGCCCCAGTGGGAGGGAACTTACCATGAGATCTGAGCAAACAGCATCCCTGTCCTGGGCCTCCTGCAAATGAAGAGTCAAAACAGAAAGGAATGTGTTCTATCATAGATCAGATCAAAGTCTTTGTTTCTCCTCCTGGCAAGAAAGCAGACACTCTGCTGATGGCTCTTAGCAAAAGTAGTTATCAGTGGCTTTGGAAAGATAAAGCTTACCTAAGGCTGACATGTATTTTATTTCAGTGGCCTTGACTGGTGGAAGTTGCTCTTGCTTTTCCTACTTGTTTTAACTCAGGGAACAACACTTGACATTTTTTATAATGCTCTGCTCTTCCCAAAGGGTTTGCATGACAATAAAACCCTGTAGGATGCAGGTGTTTCTTAGCACCATTCAACAGGTCAAGAAGTGTGGGCAACGACACATTTATTGAGGGTTTAGGATGTGTCAGACACTCATGAAATAGATATTATGACCCTGTTCTTGCAGACAAGGAAGTTAGATCTGAGCAGGATGAGGGCTCTGCTCACAGTAACACAGATGAGGAGAGCTGCCGAGGAAATTCATCTAGTCTGTCTGATTCCCAAACCTCGACGCTTAAACCAAAAGCACAGACAGAATCAAGGACTTGCCACAAGTGTATTACTAATAAGATTTGGCAGGGAGAGGGATGGTCCACAGATTATTTGGGTGCAGCGTTTGTTTTCTGGATTAAAAAAGTAGAGTGAAAAGTCCTGAATAAGTCAAGAACCTGCCCCTGAGAAACGTGGGGTCCATGAAAGTCATTTGTGTCACGGGGGGAAACATCAACATGACTCTAGCCTGCCCCAGTTCTGAAAGAAATTTCTAGTAAAATCTAAGCCTGCATTGTGCAATAAGGTAGCCACTAGCTGTATGTGAATACTTTTAAGTTTTAATCAATTAAAATTAAATACAATTAATGCTATGCTATCTGGGTCTCTTGCCAATGCTGCCTTCATCGAGAGCTGGGGAAAATTATGCCCTACAGGAGCCTGTCATTGTAGGCTGCACTGAAGAATCTGCATTGTCTAGCAGTGAAGAATTTCAGAAACATGCTTCACTGGAGACTGGTAAGTGAGGTACCCTGGGACCAGGGAAAGAAGCCCTTTCTTCTTCCAGAGCCTCTCTCAGAAAATACAGAAGGAACATGAGAAAACTTTTGAGATACGGAACTATCTGGTTGATTGTGGCAGTGACTTTATGGGTGTATACATCTCTCAAAGCTCATCAAATCATGTATTTTAGATGGTTTCCATTTCTTATATGTACATTGTACCTCAATAAAATTGATTTTTTTAAATATTTTATTTTATTTTATTTTATTTTTTTCTTTTTTTTTTTATTATACTTTAAGTTTTAGGGTACATGTGCACATTGTGCAGGTTAGTTACATATGTATACATGTGCCATGCTGGTGCGCTGCACCCACTAACTCGTCATCTAGCATTAGGTATATCTCCCAATGCTATCCCTCCCCCCTCCCCCCACCCCACCACAGTCCCCAGAGTGTGATATTCCCCTTCCTGTGTCCATGTGATCTCATTGTTCAATTCCCACCTATGAGTGAGAATATGCGGTGTTTGGTTTTTTGTTCTTGCGATAGTTTACTGAGAATGATGATTTCCAATTTCATCCATGTCCCTACAAAGGACATGAACTCATCATTTTTTATGGCTGCATAGTATTCCATGGTGTATATGTGCCACATTTTCTTAATCCAGTCTATCATTGTTGGACATTTGGGTTGGTTCCAAGTCTTTGCTATTGTGAATAATGCCGCAATAAACATACGTGTGCATGTGTCTTTATAGCAGCATGATTTATAGTCCTTTGGGTATATACCCAGTAATGGGATGGCTGGGTCAAATGGTATTTCTAGTTCTAGATCCCTGAGGAATTGCCACACTGACTTCCACAATGGTTGAACTAGTTTACAGTCCCACCAACAGTGTAAAAGTGTTCCTATTTCTCCACATCCTCTCCAGCACCTGTTGTTTCCTGACTTTTTAATGATTGCCATTCTAACTGGTGTGAGATGGTATCTCATAGTGGTTTTGATTTGCATTTCTCTGATGGCCAGTGATGATGAGCATTTTTTTCATGTGTTTTTTGGCTGCATAAATGTCTTCTTTTGAGAAGTGTCTGTTCATGTCCTTTGCCCCCTTTTTGATGGGGTTGTTTGTTTTTTTCTTGTAAATTTGTTGGTGTTCATTGTAGATTCTGGATATTAGCCCTTTGTCAGATGAGTAGGTTGCGAAAATTTTCTCCCATTTTGTAGGTTGCCTGTTCACTCTGATGGTAGTTTCTTTTGCTGTGCAGAAGCTCTTTAGTTTAATTAGATCCCATTTGTCAATTTTGTCTTTTGTTGCCATTGCTTTTGGTGTTTTGGACATGAAGTCCTTGCCCATGCCTATGTCAATAAAATTGATTTTAAAGCTATGACAAAGACTAAACAGGCTTCTCTCTCTCTCAAACACACACACACAGGATAGCTAAAATGAAGAAGATAATAAATATCAACTTTGGTGAAGATGTGGAACAACTGAATTCTTTTTATACTGCTGGTAGGAAGGTAAAATGTACAACATTGAAAACTTCTTTTGCAGGCCCTGTTAAAGCCGAAAAACATATGCATGCCTTTGACCCAATAGTTCTGTTCCTAGTAAATAACTGACAGAAATGTGAACATACATTCACTAAAAGATGTATAGTAGAATATTCATAGTAGAAATGGAATGTTTGTAGCCTCAAATTGGAAAATATCCAAGTGGCCATAATAGGAAAATAGGTCAATCAGTTGCTATACATTAATACAATAGAATACCAAACATTAATGGAATTGAATAAATTATATGTACACACAATAGTGTGAATGAACCTCTCAAATACAATATTGAATGTAAGGAGCTCAACACAAAAGAGTAAAAATAGCATAATTTAACTTAAATACATATAACGTACATACATAAAAACATTCAATTTTATGTAGGCAGAAGTATGGTTAGAAGTCAGGGTGGTGTTTACTTTTGGTGGGAGGTAGTGACACGGAAAGAGAATGTAAGCGAGAGGTTTCTGGGGCTGCCGCTACTGTATTTCTCTCTTGATGTGGGTAATGTTAATAGAATACATTCAGTTTGTGAAAATTCATTGCATGGTACCCTTTCGGCTTATGCTGTTTCCTGCATGTAGGTGATACTTCAATAACATTTACTTAAATCTAAGCACTCCTTAGTACACTCAGGGTTCTTCATTTGGGTTTGAATGTGTTGCAGGAGGCTCGTGCTTCTGCAAGAGGGAGTGTGCTGTTACCACTTTGATATGCAATGAATCTGTTCACTTTGGGTGTGACCCAAGAAGCCTCTGCAAGAACATACATGGTCATTACAAGCAGGACAATATAACTTCTCTTCAACATCTTGTTGATAGGCAGAGGAGGGGCTAAGTTGCAGCAGAGAAAGCATTGCAGGTTGAAGGCTGAGAAACTCTGGAAGGGGAGCAAGTGAGCCTTCTTTGCTTTGGTAGATATGTGAAGGGAAGAGGCCTTTAGGTTTCTTTTCTTTTCTTTTCTTTTTTCTTTTCTTTCTTTTTCTTTTTTGAACTTTACTTTGTTCTCTTAGCTGGCTGTCTTTCTAGTTGGTGCATTAAGGAGAGCAAAGACTTGAGGCTATGCCAATGACATTGGTGTAAGCCTGGGTCTTGGATGATAGAAATACATCATGGGTAACAAAGGGAGCTTGGGCCTTGGAGACACAGGGGCCTGATTTGACTGTGAGTCATCACTTGGTATATCTGGGTGAATGCGGAGAAAGTTGTGAAATCTTTCAGAGTCCCAGATTTCTTTACTTTTTTTTTTTAGAATACAATGAATTGCTGTCATTTTGATACACATTCATATTTCAGCATTTAGTGGTCCTGAACAGAAAGTGGAAAAATTCAGCAATTTGCTAGGAAGTCAAGCTGGCCAATTTTGGGGATCTGCTGGGCACACTAAGTTCTTTCTTAATCCCTGCTGAAACTGTGAGAAGCAGCAGCACCAAAACCAAAGTAGAGTATGTGCTCAATTCAAGGTTCTTTTTGTGCCAGTTGTCAGATTCTGAATGGACCCAAATGGATGGCAAGAACAACCAACTGAGAGTCCTGTTTAAAACTTCTTCAATTTCTAAAAGCAAAAACAATGATAGGGAATGAAAGCAATTCAGAAAGGTGGTGCATGTTTACAAGTGTCTTTGTGTGGCCTTTTCCAGGTTTAGCCACCAGAGACTCTGAAGCTGGCAAGTCTGAGTAACCCGGTGACTATGTTTTCCCTTCATCACAACACGAGCTAAAAAACACATTGGTTTAAATATGGTTTAAATATGGAACCAATGTGTTTTTTAGCTTGTGTTGTGATGAAAGGAAAGCAGAGTCACTGGGTTACTCAGACTTGCTGGCTCTCAGAGTCTCTGGTGGCTAAACCTGGAAAAGGCCACAGAAAGGCACTTGCAAACAAAAAGAGCCGGTATAGCCAAGACAATCCTAAGCAAAAAGAACAAAGCTGGAGGTATCATGCTACCTGACTTCAAACTATACTACAAGGCTACAGTAACCAAAACAGCATGGTACTGGTACCAAAACAGATATATATACCAATGAAACAGAACACAGGCCTCAGAAATAATGCCATACATCTACAATTTAAACATATTGATTTAAATATGGAACCAATGTGTATTTTAGCTCATGTTGTGATTAAAGGAAAGCAGAGTCACCAGGTTACTCAGATTTGCTGGCTCTGAGTCTCTGGTGGCTAAACCTGAAAAAGGCCACACAGAGAAACCGGCAAACAAAAAGAGCCCGTATAGCTAAGACAATCCTAAGCAAAAAGAACAAAGCTGGAGGTATGCTACCTGACTTCAAACTATACTATAAGGCTACAGTAACCAAAACAGCATGGTACTGGTACCAAAACAGATATATAGACCAATGGAACAGAACAGAGGCCTCAGAAATAATACCACACATCTACAACCATGTGATCTTTGACAAACCTGACAAAAAAAAGCAATGAGGAAAGGATTCACTAGTTAACAAATGGTGTTGGGAAACTGGCTAGCCATATGTGGAAAACTGAAACTGGACCCCTTCCTTACACCTTATACAAAAATTAACTCAAGATGGATTAAAGACTGAAATGTAAGACCTAAAACCATAAAAACCCTGGAAGGAAACCTAGGCAATACAATTCAGGACATAGCCATGGGCAAAGATTTCATGACTAAAACACCAAAAGCAATTGCAACAAAAGCCAAAATTGACAAATGGGATTGAATTAAACTAAAGAACCTCTGCACAGCAAAAGAAACTAACATCAGAGTGAGCAGACAAACTGCAGAATGGGAGAAAATTTTTGCAATCTCTTCATCTGACAAAGAGCTAATATCCAGAATCTACAAGGAACTTAAATAAATTTACAAGAAAAAAAAAAAACAACCCCATCAAAAAGTGGGAGAAAGATATAAAGAGACACTTCTCAAAAGAAGATATTTATGTGGCCAACAAACATATGAAAAAAAGCTCATCATCACTGGTCATTAGAGAAATGCAAATCAAAACCACAATGAGATACCATCTCACACCAGTTAGAATGGTGATCATTAAAAAGTCAGGAAACAACAGATGCTGGAAAGGATATGGAGAAATAGGAATGCTTTTACATTGTTGGTGGGAGTGTAAATTGGTTCAACCATTGAGGAAGACAGTGTGGCAATTTCTCAAGGATCTGGAACCAGAAATATCATTTGACCCAGCAATCCCATTACTGGGTGTGTACCCAAAGGATTATAAATCATTCTACTATAAAGACACATGCACACGTATGTTGACTGCAGTACTGTTCACAATAGCAAAGACTTGGAACCAACCCAAATGCCTATCAATGATAGATTGGATAGAGAAAATGTGGTATGTATATCACATATATACCATGGAATACTCTCAACTCCAACTGAGAGTCCTGTTTAAAACTTCTTCAATTTCTAAAAGCAAAAACAATGATAGCCCCCAGGCTTGAGGGCTGCTGCAGGGAGGGTGGGAGGCAGGGGAGGAAAACGAGAGAAGGCAGAGATCCCAGACCACATAACCAGCAGCAAGGCAAATGTGTGATGCACCTTTTCACCACTGAGTTAGATGTGCCTCCCTGGTTATGATGGGAATCAATTCAAATATACTTTCTCGATCAGTTCAACTACATGGAAAGTGGTCACGTGACAGAATGACAACTCTCAAGTGGGAGTTGAACAATGAGAACACATGGACACAGGGAGGGGAACATCACACACCAGGGCCTGTCCGGGTATAGGGAGCTAGGGGAGGGATAGCATTAGGAGAAATACCTAATGTAGATGACAGATTGATGGGTGCAGCAAACCACCATGGTGTGTGTATACCTATGTAACAAACCTCTACATGTACCCCAGAACTTAAAGTATAATAATAATAATAATAAAAATAGAAAACAGCATTTGCAAAGTGATTTGTTTATTCAAAAATAGTGCCTGTTATACTAAAAAAAAAATTGGCTGATGATGCCGGCAGAGGGTGGCAGGGCCCAATATTCGCATCCCAGGCTGAGCAAGAGTGAATAAATGTGGTTCCAAAACTAAACAAGAGAAGTCAGAGGTTCTTTCCAACCTTGCCTGGTGGGCTTCTGGCCACAGCAAGGAAGTGTCATGGAAAGTGTTGGGTGGTGACGATGCAAAAGGGAACTTGAGCAGGAGAGAGGAAAAAGCAGCACCCCTTGAAAAAGGTGCAGAGAGAAGATATGGGGAAAGCCCCAAATTCCTCACCAAAGGCCAGCCTCAGGGTTTATCATCGGTGCCTCAGCCCAGCGCGGGAGTGGAGGAGTGTAGAGACAGGGCTATGGCTTGGACAAAGGCATCATTAAAGACTCAAGAAACAAGGGATGCAGGCAAAGCACCTCCACACGCAGCAGGTCCACAGGTTGAAAACTTCACATCTATTCTAAAAAGCCCCCAGGCTTGAGGGCTGCTGCAGGGAGGGTGGGAGGCAGGGGAGGAAAACGAGAGAAGGCAGAGATCCCAGACCACATAACCAGCAGCAAGGCAAATGTGTGATGCACCTTTTCACCACTGAGTTAGATGTGCCTCCCTGGTTATGATGGGAATCAATTCAAATATACTTTCTCGATCAGTTCAACTACATGGAAAGTGGTCACGTGACAGAATGATTTGTTATAGCACAACTTACATATTTCAAGTGGACTAAAAATTAGCATCATTTATAGTATCTTAAGATAAAAAACCTTTGACTAGAAGCTTCCTTTCCCATACTTTGAGGTCTACAAGAGGCATCTAGAACGTTTACTACTGTGGAAAATGAAGACCAGTTAAATCGAATGGAAGGAAAGAAGGGCCTGTGGTTTTTCTTTTTGATGAATTGCTGCAACACTGTCCTTCAGGTGGCTGAGGGAGTTTTATATCTGCTTTGGACATGACTAGGTGCCAAAGCTCTTGCAGAACAACTATGATACTGTGTGAATTCTGCCCTTTTGCTAGTACTAATATGGCTTTTGGGTCCACCACTACATTAGAGCTATCAACTCCATTTGTATTAATTTTTGTTACAATCTTACAAAGTTAAGTGTTTTTAGGTGTTTTAGGTCTACATTCTATTTTAAGACTGTGTGTTCTGTTTTCATAAGTTGTCTGAGCCCAAAGTAGCGTCCAGAGCCCCAGATTTCTTATATAAAACGGAAGAGATACATTCTAAAGTATTAGCATTAGTAAAGGCAGTTTTATACTTTTTTAAACCATGATCTTCATTAAGATAAACAGTTTACATCAAGATCCAGTACAAGTTCACAACGTGTGCACACACACAAAGAAATATTTTACAAAACAATTTCTGTAATATTACAAAGCAATTATTACAAAATAATTATCTATAATGGACTCAGATGTTTCCAATTCTATTGTATTTATTTTTAAAACAAAATGTGCCAGTTGCAATGATCTAAATCTATTTCATCACTTCCCAGTAAGCCACCACCCACAGTCTGAAAAACACCAGTGTGCAAGGCACAAGGTAGTCAGGAGTAAATGATACCACCATAAAGATTGGATCAAATAACTTTCTGTTCACTAGCAAAACTGGATCTTTCCAAAGCAGAAAAAGCACCTGAAAGTAGTGGTTCCTAGTGAAACTCCTGACTTTAGTAGTGGTTTTCAACCTTGGCTCTGTATTAGAATCACCTCTTGTGTTTTAGAAACTCGCTGGCCTGAAGCCAACAACCCAGGCCAATTAAATCAAAATTCCTGAAGGTGAGACCCAGTGATTGCTAGGGTGTCTCAAGGGATTTCAATGTGCAGGCAAAGCTGTGAACCACTGGTCTACTGGGAGATAGTTGTTTTCTAGATAGATGCACTCCTCAAAAAAACTCCCCTTGGAAGAATCAGCCCATCCCTACTCCAGCTCACTCCTCTTCCTCATGGGGTCAGAGACACCTGGACACTCAGCCTTCCATTTTTTCTAGGCCCAGATACCAGGCAGGAACATCACTGATGCCCTAGTGATAATACATTGATACCCACTGTTTGGAGAGGGGTGAGAACTTCCTTTCTTTGGCTCTAAAGCAGAGACTAAAATTTGCAGTTATCTATGAATTCACCTGAAATGACATTAATGGGCAGCCTGCCAACCCCCTCAGGTTCCTGCTGGGATTAGCAGGCTAATGTTGATAAAGCACACTGAGGTCTCCACACCAAATGACCAAGAGATTATGCCAAGAAAGCTGTGCTATATGTAGTTTGCTATTAAGCAGGGCAAAAAAGATAAGGTAGTTTCTTCTGTTGGGGTGTGTTCAAATCAAGCATTTTTGCTGCTGCTACTTTAGCCCATAAAATGTCTCATCCAGGTTGTACAGGGATTTAATTACATAGGAGACCAGATTTTGCCTTTTCACCTGCATTCTGAAATAAGCTTTTAACCAAAACATCTATGGCTCCCGAGATATTTTTCCAATCACATCTGAACATAATTATAAAGATGACCTAAATTTCCAATCTAATTGCTGCACTTAGTCCTGCCAGAAATCTCTCTCTGTTAAATATGGCTGGAAAATGACATGGCAGAAACACTCAGCAAGTTTTCTTCTCTTGATTTTTGCAGGATACCAGGGTTTAACCTCTAGCAAATATGCATTTAATAAAAAAGGCTTATTTGCATATTTCTTATATGAAATATATATATCTCTATTTAGCATTTTTTAGTAGAGCTAAACCACAGGGAGGGAGGGAAAGAGGAGGGAGAGCGCAGAGAGGACGTCAGTCTCTCCTGTGCAGTTCTGATCAATCATCCCATTTATCACATGATACCAGGCCCGGGAGTTATCTCATTATAGGGCTTATCGAGCTCAGATCTTTGCGACCCCATTTGTTATTCCAGAAGTATGTGCTCTGGTTAATAATAGATGGTTAGCCACATAGTTAAGTAGAATGATTGGCACCTTTTATTGGTGGTCTTTAAGAATAATTTAATGAAAATGGCTGACCAGAGAGCAGAGGTTTATTGTTGCACTGGCTAACAAACGCCTGCTTGTTTGTAAACAAAGAAACTCCTGCTTCCAAAGATTAAGCTCCTGGAGCTATCTGGAAATTTGCTCTATTGTAAGTGGTGTTCAAATCCTTTTAGGAACTACGGGTCCTGAATCTTCCCTTCCTTTTTCTCTAGGGATATTTAATTATTTTTGGGAATTGTCAAAACTTGATGCTAATACATCTATCCCTCAAAGCAGGCAAATTAATTAGAAATTAACCACTAATTTAGTGCCAGTATCCGATGGGCCAGGTAAAGTTTGGGAAGAACAGGCTGAAGTTTGATTGCTAAAAGCTCCACTAAGGCATGTAGAGTGAATAAACACTTAAGCCAAAACCTAAAAATCAACCACACATAAATAGAAAGCCTGACATAGAAAGCGAGCATTATGCGTGTGTGCAAGTTTGTATCTGGAGATCTCTACTGAATGTGGGGCAGGGACTGTGGCTGCAAGATTGTGGGTTTCTCAGTGAGAGGTGGGGAGTGGGGAGGGTTTAGGGGAATTAATGTTTACTGAACTCCTATTGTGTGTCAGGCACGGGCAGGTTTTTACAAACTAACTTAATTCGTGCTTATACCTTCCTTGGTGGTATCTATGCCGGGTATCTTCTATAAACTCTCCCACTCCCCCACCCCAGACCCACTACTACCTTGTTCTGTCCCCCCAGGAGGCTGACCTGTATGAACTGCATCAACCAGCTCCTTGTTCTAGCACTTCCATTTGGACACAGCCAGTAGTTTAGCATCAGTAGAAAATCAGAGAGCAGGGAAAAGTAGTTAGTTGACTCTCTGGTCTGTTCCTGTGGAGTATCTGCAGAGTGATGCTCTCTGGTTCCTGGAAACCATTTCCTCCCTCAGCCCTTTAGGTGAGCCTGACTGCTAATGATTCTCCCCTGCAGATCCAAGGATGGTATCAGCCCTTGCTGGCTTCCCCAAACCTTGCTCACACCTGGTAAGTAATCCCTTTATTGAAATCTCCCCACCACCCAGCTTGAGTGTGTCATCTGATACCTGCTTAGGCCCTGATGGAGACAGTATCCTTGGCCCCATTTGTAAACACGAGGAATTGGAAATTCAGATTAACTAAGTAACTGGGTTGAGCGCATGCAGAGAATAATTGTTGAAATTGTGCTCTCTCCTTTATGCACATAAAGCGAAGTATCCTCAGACATTGCTGTAGTTATAGAACACAGCTGCGGCTACAAGGGTTCTAACAGGGGACTGGATGACAACTCAGGTGGGCTTAGGAATCCAAGTGAGGAAGGCAGGTGTACTGGTCAGATCTCTGCTGCTTCCCATGTCCAGTCACCCACCCTGCTTTAAAGGGATAATAAGCAGAGGGATGAGGCATCAGCACACCTCAGCACTATGGGCTCCACTAGACACCTGAGGCCAAACTGGAGCCCCTCAGAGATATGGGCCCAAGTCTGGTTTTTGCTTTGGAAACCACCACTGCAGTAGGCTGGCATTTGCCCTTGTACTGTCAGCTCTCTGGCAACTCACCAAAGGGTTCTGATTTTCCCCTAGCATTTTCCTAAAATGTTTTCAGTCCAACAGGAATTAAAGATGAACAGGATTGCAAAACTATTGTGCTGGGAGAGCTACTCACAGCGTTAAAAAAATACAGCTGATATTTAGCTTGTGGCTATTATATGCTAGATGACGTCAAATAATAACTGAGTGTACAATCTTCTGGTAATGTTCCCATTTCACAGATGAGAAGACTGGATTATAGAGAAATTCAGAAACTTGCCTAACATCTTATAGCTAATCAATGGTAGAACTGGGGCTTAAGTCTAAGTCTGTTTGATATAAATATCTTTGCTTTGAACTATTATGCTATGTAGGTAGCTGAATTTGTTCTTTTCCTTGCTGTTTTCCTCTGAGATAGGTAGCAGAGTTGCAACCATCTGCTAAATATTTTCCACCTCCTTCTTAATACACTTCTTCTCATTTCTTCCCAAGCACCCAAAAGATGCTTTTCATGGTGGAAGTCCTTTTCATGATGGAAGCCCTCTTTTCTCCTGGCTTAAGCAAGAACCTGTCTTTGATCTTCCATAGCTTTGAAATGATTGAATCTAGATGTTGTCCAGCTCTCTTGTTCATTCATTAATTGGAGAGGGCAGGTTTGTACTAAATGTTAAAAGTAATGGATCACCATTTAAGAAACACTAAGAGCTCTTCCATTCCGTATTTTCCCAGAACATAGAAGTATTTCCAATTATCCTGTTTTTCTTCAACCTAAAATCAACAAATGAATAACAGATGTCAGCTCCCATGGATGGCTACTTACGTAATACTGGCTGTTCTTGCTTATTGAAAACCCTTTAGCATGGGTTCTTTCTGTTACCATGACAATATTTGGCCCCTTCCCCAGTTTAGTTTTTCCAGATCTGAGGCACACTTCACACAAGTAGACTGATCATTACAACAAGTAGTATTCACCATGTACGATAACTGTTTTAAGTGGATTTAATTTATTGTTCATTATTACGGTCCTGTTGCCCATATGTTTACTTCAGTTCACCAAGTATGGCACTTAGTACAGTTGATATTTCAACTATTCATGGTGCAGATTTCAGCTCAAAGATCACTTACTTCAAACCGCTTTTCTGATTCTCCAAGACTACACTAGACTGCTGAGTTCCCTGCATAATCTTTCATTGCATTTTCTACAATCAGAGTAGTTTTATTTTGTTGCTTTTTAAATAGCTTTATTTTTTAGAGCAGTTTTAGGTTCACACCAAAATTGAGCAGAAGGCACAGAGAATTCCCATATATGCTCTGCCCCTATGCAGGCACAATCTCTCCCACTATTGACATCACCCACCACAAGGGTATATTTCTTACAATTGATTAACCGACACCGAGACACCATCACTGAAAGTCCATAGCATACACAGTAGGGTTCACTCCTGCTGTACTTTCTATGGGTTTTGACGTATGTATAATGATCTGTGTCCGTCATCGTAGTATCACACAGAGTAGTTTCACTGCCCTGAAAGTCATCTGTGCTCTGCCTTTCATCCCTCCCTTCCACCAACCTCTGAAAACCACTGATCTTTTTACTGTCTTCATAGTTTCGCTTTCCCAAGAGTGTCATAGAGTTGGAATCACACAGTATGTGGCATTTTCATATTGGCTTCTTTTAGTTAGTAATATGCATTTGAGATTCCTCCATGTCTTCCCATGGCTTAATAGCTCACTTAATTTTTTTGTGCTAAATAATATTCAATTGTGTGTACGTACCATAGTTTATTTATCTTTTCACCTATTGCTATGGGTTGAGTGTGCCCCCAGAACGCATGTTTGGAAATTTGGTCCCCAATGGAGTCGTGTTGGGAGATCTTTAAAAGGGGATTAGATCGTTAACAGGAATGAATGCTACTCTCTTGGGGTGGCATTTATTGTCACGGGAGTGAGTGAGTTCTGGCTCTTGAGGTGCTCAATTAGTTACCATGAGAGTGGGTTGTTATCAAGTGAGGCCACCCCTTTTGATTTGCCCTTTTCACAAGTGTCCACTTCCTCTTCTTCTTCCCCACCATATTACAAGGCAGCATGAGGCCTTCACCAGAGGCTGGCCAGATGCGGGCTCCCAATCTCGGACTTCTCAGCCTACAGAACCATGAGCCTAAGTGAACCTCTTTTCTGTAGAAATTACC
Organism: Homo sapiens; assembly: GCF_000001405.40. Classification (NCBI taxonomy): domain Eukaryota; kingdom Metazoa; phylum Chordata; class Mammalia; order Primates; family Hominidae; genus Homo; species Homo sapiens. Next base: position 85,154,134 of record NC_000009.12, on the reverse strand, counting down.
CAGTCTCAGGTACTCTGTTCTAGTAACAGAGAATGGACTAAGGCACCTTCTGAAGGGCTTCTTGGTTGCATCAAAGTTATGGCAGTTATGTATAAAGCTGCTATAAGTATCCAAGCGCAGATTTCTGTGTGGACCTAGGTTTTCAGCACCTTTGGGTAAATACCAAGGATCGTATTTGCTGGATCATGTGGTACGATTATGTTTAGTTTTGTAAGAAACCACCAACTGTCTTCCAAAGTAGCTGTATCATTTTACATTCTCACCAGCACTGAATGAGAGTTTCTGTTGGTCCGCACTCTGGCCAGCATTTGGTGTCAGTGATCTGGATTCTAGCCATTCTAATAAGTGTATCTGCTATCTTACTTTAATTTAAAATTCCCTAATACTATATGATGTGGAGCATCTTTTTATTTTACTTTACTTTTCTTACTTTACATCTTACTTTACTTTTCAATTAAGATGGCTTACTTGCCATCTGTATATCTTTTTTGATGAGGTGTCTGTTTAGACTTTCTGCCCAATTTTTAATCAGTTGCTCATTTTCCAATGTCTGTGTTCCCTGAAGAAATATAAATCCCTTGAATGCAAAGGTGATGCCTTTTGTATTACTGCTGTGCTCTCTGCACTTAGCTCCGGGCCACAAGGGTACAACAAGAGTTTGTTTAATGAAAGAACATGTATGTGCATAAACTTGAACACTGCTCTGTGAGGCAGTCAGCCTAGGATTGTTGATACCGATATTGGCTAATTTGCTAACTTTGCGGCCATGGGTGACTTACTTAGCCTCTTCAAGTCTCAGTGTCCTCATCTCTAAAGTGAATATAGTAAGTCCAGGCACAATGGCTCATGCCTGTAATTCCAGCACTTTGGGAGGCTGAGGCAGGTGGGTCACCTGAGGTCAGGAGTTCAAGACCAGCCTGGCCAAAATGGTGAAACCCCATCTCTACTAAAAATAAAAGGATTAGCAGGGCTTGGTGGCACATGCCTGTAATCTCAGGTACTTGGGAGGCTGAGGCAGGAGAATCGCTTGAACCCTGGAGGCGGAGGTTGCAGTGAGCCAAGATCACGCCACTGCACTCCAGCCTGGGCAATAAGAGTGAAACTCCGTCTCAGAAAATAAATAAATATAAAAATAAAAAAATAAAGTGAGTATAATAATATTATCAAACTTTCTGGCAGTTGTGAGAATTACATGAGACAATAAATGTGAAAACAGTTTGTGAACTGTAGTTGTAGATATTTAGAAGGTATTACTCATGATAAAGTCTGGCAAATTGGACCCTAAATAAGCGTTTCAGGAAAACTTTCAGCACAGGATAATTGTTACCTGCTTCAATATTTACAGTTGATGACATTAGCACTTAATTGTAGCTACTGTTAAATGAATGTGTTTTGTATGTCAAGTGTTTGCCACACGTGATTACAACCACCATCCACCGTAAGTGTTATGTCTTCTCTTTCAGAGATAAAGAATTTAAAGCTCAAACAAGATTACAGTGACTGAGCAAGAATTTGAATCAGGGTAGGTTTGAGAGCAAACAAGAAGTGCTTTCTACTTGCCCTGCATGACCTCTGACAGCTAAACTAAATTTGCCAAAATAACAACCTCTAGTATGCACATTTTTAAATTTTTCTAAAATAATTCTATCTGAGCAAGAGATAATTGGGAAGGCAGAACATGTTACTGGCTGCTCTGGGCAGTCTTTGTGAAAGCATCTCTACCCATGCCCTCTGCATAGATGGGCACAGGGGCTCACGCAGGGATTGTAGCCCTGCCTTGGCCTTGCTATGAGGCCAGCTCTTCATGTCGAATATGAACAGTGATGCTTTGCCCAGTGGGGTTGCATGTGTCAGCTAGAGGCCCAGATATGAAGGCAGGAATACATTTGTTCCTTACTCCCAGGCCCACACAAGTCAGAGATTAGCCTTAACTTGATGGGATTTTCTCTATTAAGGACAACCAGACTGTTAGTTTCTGTTTCCAGTGACTAGAAGATGACTATGGAGAGTTGCTTTCACAGTGACACTTCCCCCGATCTTGCTACGTCCATAGAACTCCAGCAGAGAAAGATTTCAGAGGCCACCTGGAGAACAGGATAGCTTGGAAAGGCGGGTTGGAGCTGTATCTATTCCCGCATACTCAGTCACAACACAACAGATGTAGATCTAAAGGAGTCTGTTAGAATCAGTCCCCAGCAAATTTTAGGAATTCGACAATTGCTAGGGTTTCTATTTTAGTCTAAAGTCTGAAAATGTGTTTAGTGCTTATTCTGCTGCCTAGGTACAGTAATCCCCCATAGAATGCTGGTTCTTGCCCTAGTTTTTCTTTCCTAAAATCTCTTTGAGGCAGAAATATGTCTCTTCTCTATATTGCTATATATTTCTTCATATGAAATGTATCACTTCAGCTATTATAAAACTAGGGAATAGTAAATGCTCTGTCACTATTGAAGGGCTACTAACAAAAATGACCTTTCTTCCCCACTCTCTCCCCAGCCTTTTGCCCCTGGCCTGGCCATCACTCCTGTCCTAAGATATTTGATGAGGTCTTTTAGGACCACAAATGTGAAAGGTTGTCCCCATCACTAGGTCTGACTTCTGCCCTACCTCAGTGCATTTTATTACTCTTATCTGCTTATTGGATTACCATTAGCTACTTATCTTGACAAATGCACAACCATAAGTATAATTTACTGGATTTTGAAACCGTAAGCCACGGCTTGTTTATATCATTCTTTGTTTCCAGGCAGGATTTAGTAGCACATATGTTTATCAAGGAATCCTTCCCATTCCCTACTCTGAGCAAGGGAATATATTTCCCAGTTTCTTTCCCCTTTATTTCCCTGCCAAAGAGGCCCAAATAGAAGCTGCTTCTTGGTTTATATCCTTTTTTATTTTTTCTTGGAACAGAAGGATATGGCGTTTGAGCAAAATATGGTACTTCCTTCACAGAAATTTATGTTATTGATGAGCATGAGCCAAGGAAAAATTCAAAAATATCCTTGACACCTATGTCTCATGTATGTGCCAGTGAAGTTTTAGACAAGAATTCATGAAGTAAAGAATCCTCTGATCATTTATACTTAATAAACGCATATATTTCTTCATCTGAGCAACATCTTAAGTAGTTCATATTTCATTGAGCCCTCAAAGACAAAGCACCTACAATTTGGGTTCCAGCTGCCAGAATTGGAGTCTGAGAATGGCTAAACATACTCCTGCCTCGATGTCAACCCTGGAACTTTTTTGAAATGCCTCTTTTACTTGTTCTAAAATCACAAATGACACCGTACCCTTTTCCTGTGAATGCTTCTTCCCTGGTTAATTGACATTTCTATCCAAAATGCTTTTCTGAAATTTGAAGGGGGAACCTGAGGGGCAGGATATGATCCCCTGAATTAAAAATTTTTATTTGGAGTTGAAGGCAAATTCAGAGCTAGAATTCACTGGCTCAGGCATGGAAGTACTTCAAGAGCCTGCAGCCTCTGTTAATGGACTCTGCAGTCATCACTTTTAAGACCTCTCATCCAGCTACTCATAAAAGAGCAGGGAAGACCTGCCCTTTGTGCAGCTCTCCGTACTTCAGCTTTCAGATCCCCTCAAGGGCCCCCGAGGCACTAGGATGGCTGCCTTCTGGCCTCTGAAGCTGTTGGGTTATCCCAATGTTATCTCTGGAGTTGGGAGCAGGTATATCTCATACATTCACACAGGCAGATGCATGGAAAAGTGCATTTGTGAGTGATTTTATTGTTTTGACCAAGTGCACTTAAGAAAACAAAATACTCAATTCAAATAGACTCCAGAGTTCTCCATCCAAATGTCTCAAACGTCTAGGGTGGCCATTTATCTTAGTACTCAAGCCCCCACCCCACCTTCTATGTGCTACTCCTTTCAATATTCCAGGAGATTTCTTGGTCTCCTGGTAAGTCTGCATAGCATCTAGCTTGATAACATGGCTTTAGGTTTTATCATGTAGGCTTCCTTCAGCCTACATTGCAACCACTCCAAAACCTTTCTTCCCTCAGAGGGCTACTAACACTTTTGCAGAAAGTTTGAAATAAAAGGAGCTATTGCATAGCTCTGTACAGATACAAATTTCACCATGGATATTAGACATCACTTTCTGGAGATTCCATGAGCCATCACTCACCAGAGGTAACTTATCAGTGGCCATATTGTCCCCATCTTGTCACAATCTTTTGGGGCCTCATCCTCTCTGGATAGCTTCTTTTCCTCTCTGCTTTCTGTCTTTAAAACATAAATTCTTCATATGTCAGTCAAGCTCTTAACTTCCTAGTTCACATTAGTTTACAGATACCTCTGCTAGCCGAAAACTCATTGAGTTGTTCAGAAAAGCAAAGAATATTCTACACCTTCCAGCTATCCATATTTTGTTGGCACAAAACAGGGGGCATGTTAAAATAATAATAAACCACCAATACAGCATGGCCCTGACCAATCAGAGTGCTGGCCATAAACCTCCACGTGGCAGACCATTGAAAATCAACTATGGGGCAAAAAGCATGAGCAAAGATTATGAAATTGTGGTTTCCCTAGGCAGGAGATTCTATGATACTTCAGCAGGCTCTGCAAGCAAAAGAAGAGTTGAAAGCTGTACCTTCTCACTGACCAAGGAAAGTCTCCTGTTTTCTTTTCTCCTCCCAATTATACTGATAATATTGTTATGGTTGATTAGTCCGTGGAATACCTAGAAGTGGAAAGTGAGCATTCATTAGGTGCCTACTGTAGGCTGAGTGCCAAACGTTATTATTTAAATCTCATACACCAATGCCTGGAGACGGGTAACATAATCCACATTTAATGAAAGGAGAATGGAAGGCTGAAATACCCCAAGATGCTAAGTAACTTGCCCAGGGTAACTCTCCTGATAAGAGATGGGGTTGGGATTTGATCCAATGTCTGGCTGAGTTCTCAGTCTGTGCTTTTCTCTTGCTTTTTGGATAGGCAGAGATCGTAATCCCAGCAGCTGAAGAACTTAAGAAGCTAATGGCTCCTGATAGGGTCTGCCCCTGCCTTCCTTTTTCCAAACACACACTGAACTCCTTACAGAAAAAGTTTACTCTCCTGTTTATAAAAGCCCTTAGGTTCTCCAAAGCTTCGCAGCTGTGTGAAGCACATTATGCTCTCCTCCCCAAATCTTGCTATGGAACAGGCACTTCATATAGGCTTGCACTTCATCTACAAACACTCATTGCATTTTATCCCAAGCACCCATCAGTACAATTCATTAATATACCCCCATTGTTGTGACTATTCCAGGTGAAAATTATAATAAAGAAAATGGGGCAGGGCACGGTGGCTCACGCCTATAATCCCAGCACTTTGGGAGGCCGAGGAGGGCAGATCATGAGGTCAGGAGTTCGAGACCAGCCTGACCAACATGGTGAAACCCTGTCCCTACTAAAAATACAATAATTAGCCGGGCATGGTGGTGGGTGCCTGTAATCCCAGCTACTCAGGAGGCTAAGGGAGGAGAATCTCTTGAACCTGGGAGGCAGATGTTGCAGTGAGCCGAGATCGCTCCACTGCACTCCAGTCAAGGGTGACAGAACAAGACTTTGTCTCAAAAAATAAATAAATAAATAAATAAAAATAAAAATAAAATGATCTAGAATATATAAATGGAATAATTTCCCCACTCAAGTAGAAGTTGATCTATTTTTCTCCTGCTCTCCCAAGTTTCCTACACTTGGGAGACTTGTAGGAAAGTCAAGTCAAAATCCATCCTTGGGAGGGTTACAAGGCCAGTGGGTTGTCCGCCCATTTGAAATAATGATGAGGTTACTAGTGGCCATGTTGTGGAGGTGGAGATCACAGACAAATCTGAATGCTATGGGTTTCTCCTTGTTCCCAGGCACTTCCAATGACACTTGCATCCATTGCCTGATGCAGACCTGCTGGCTCACACCAACAGAGAAACAAGAAACCTTGGTCTTTTTGCTTAGCATCTTAGAGATACCAAGTTTCTCAAGAACTTCTTCACTGGGGAAAAAGCAGAAATGATTCTCTGACAGATCAGACCAGAATTAGCCGTTTAATAAAGAGATTCTGGATTTCATCAATTGACATTCATGAAAGGTATCTTTCCCTTGCCAAGGAGTTTCAAAAGAGTCAACAGAAATCCCAGGACACTGATGGGACAAAATCATGGCAGATGCCACCCTGCTCTGCCACCTGGATGAGTGCATCTGCTTCCTAGCTTCTCTCCTGGCCCTCACTGTGTGTGGGTGGGTGGGTAGGGGAAGAGGGGTGTGAGCAGCTTAGGGAGTTAAGACCACCCTCAGGCATTTTTTTTCTTTTCTTTCTTTTCTTTTTTTTTTTTTTTTTGAGTGTGCAGGGTTTGAGCAAACCAGGCCTGCTGAATTAACCTTCTCCTGCCCACCCTCTCACTTCCCTTGAGTCTATTCTTTATATGGCCAGAGAGACCCTCTTTAAAGTTGAAGTCAGACCACATCACTCCTCTGTTCAGAACCATCTACTATCTTCCCTCAGTAAATTCATCTCCACAACTCTACATGATCTGGGCCCCTATCATGCCTTTGTTTATGTCATCTCTGCTCCAGCCACACTGACCTCTTCCCTGGTCCTCAAAAGCACAGACACACTCCCGTTTCAAGGCATTGGCCCCTGCTATTCTCTGTCCCTAGATGCTCTTTCCCATATATACACACGGCTTCCTTCCCTAGCGGCCTTATCTAACATCCTTCCAGAACATTGCATAACTTATCTCTGCCTACTTATTCCTCCTTATCACTTATCTTCAACTATCATAGGCTGTAACTTAATTTATTGTTCATCTTTGGTGTCTTACCTAGACTATAAACTCCATAAGTGTTTTATCTGTTTGTTCCCTGTTGTATACCTAATGCCTACACCCAGTGCCTGGCACACTCAGTAATGTTTATTGAATGAATACATTAAATGAGTCAAAGGTGGCTGCATTCATCTTTATCCTCAGTAGGTAGGAAACTAGCAGCAGCAGCAGCAGCAATAAAGCTTTAGTTTTTTGTCGTTTTCCCATTGTCAAAGAGTTTTCACATCCATTAACCATCTGAGCTCATCTCCCTGTGAGATGGTTATAACACATGTTGATTCCCACTTGTACACCAACGTGGAGTGTGGGAGAAGGCAAGTGGAAGAAAAGGCAGGAAGATGCAGACCAAATAATGTTGGATCCAATGTCAGAACATTTTGAGTCTCTCACAAACTTCCACTCGATGGGGCTTACCATGAGTCACTTTATCATTATGGATCCAGTTTCTTCTTGTCTATAAAATAACAAGGTTGAACTTGTATTGGGTAGTTTTAAGTCTTCTGCTTTCTGGAAGCTGTTGTAAAGTTCCAGCTTTATGACCTCCAATGTGTTTCTCTCAACTCATACTGAATGCCTCTCTTTCTGAGAAGTGGTATCTTGACTCTATCCCTTTCTTCAGTCCCTGTGATTGTAGCTAGACCTGTCCGTGGGTTCACCTTAAGGTTTCTACGGCAATCCCTGTAGTTCCAAATATGAAGGTCATTAAATTCCTTTTAAATCTATCCCTTCATTCTGTCTGGGAGTCATCTGTGCTCTCTAACATGCAACAATTTTTTAATATCACAGAGAAATGCTTATGTTATCTCTGCTCCAGCCACACTGACCTTTTTACACATTACTAAGTGTAAAAAGCAGAATCTAAAATAAATAAATAAAATAAAACAGTATGGTTTCAATTACACAAAACATGTATAACAAAAAGACTGGAAAAAAAGATGCAAAAGGTAAATTGTGGCTTCCTTTGCATAGGTAGCTTACAGTTTTTCTCACCTGTTTGTTCATTTAGGTATTTTTCCAATATTCTCAAATAAATGTATTTTGCTTATTAACATTATTTCCTTCATTAAAAAATTTAAGACAGATAAAAAAAGAAAAAACATAAAACATAAGAGAAATAATTTAGAGCAACTATTTTTATTTTCTAAGAAAATATTTTTGAGATTCTGAACATAGCCTACCTCAAATTTTTTTTTTTTTTTTTTTTGAGATGGAGTTTCACTCTTGTTGTCCAGGCTAGAGTACAATGGTGCAATCTCAGCTCACCCCAACCTCTGCCTCCTGGGTTCAAGCGATTCTCCTACCTCAGCCTCCCATGTAGCTGAGATTACAGGCATGTGCCACCATGCCCAGCTGTTTTTTTGTATTTTTATTAGGGATGGGGTTTCACCATGTTGGTCAGGCTGGTCTCGAACTCACGACCTCAGGTGATTGCCATCTTCTCTTGCTCTTCTGATGCTCTTTTTGAGTGATGGAAAGAGCTGTGTGAATTCTCAGGGTGAGCTCTTTGTGTACAGGTTTGGTGTAGGTAAACATTCCGGTGAGCAAAGGGAGTTTTTACCAAGCCCTGGGCCAGCACAAGACCACCTGCGCTATGCTAAATGAAGTTTCTACATGCCAGGCAGGCACCCTGGGAGGAAATTTCAAAGCCAAAGGCATTTGGAGTTATGGAATGGCCAGTCACAAGACTTAGAGAATGAGATTGAAATGCTTATGAATCACCATCAGAGGTCCACTTTCCTATTTGCAAGGTGTCCGGAGCCTGGGGAGAATGTTTCTTTATTCTGAAAATTGGCTTTGAACTTTAGGCCTGCTTATTGAACTGTAGGCCCACTTATGGAAACCCTCCAGGCCATTTAAGAGCCCCCCAGGGGATGAGAGCTCCAGTGTTTGCAGGTTGAGCTCTGTACAATTTGAGACCACCATTCTGAGAGCAGTAGTTCAAGACAATGGTCTTTCTTTAACTCATTTTTTTCTATTGTTCATAGCAGATAACTCAGTTGTCAACAGTGTGTTAATCAAATCGTTTTAGAGTGAACATTTTATTTTATTTTATTTTTGAGACAGTCTTGCTCTGTTGCCCAGGCTGAAGTGCAGTGGCATGATCTCAGCTCACTGCAACCTCTGCCTCCCAGGTTCAAATGAGAGGCTCATGCCTTAGCCTCCCGAGTAGCTGGGATTACAGGCACCTGCCACCAGGCTAATTTTTTTGTATTTTTAGTAGAGATGGGGTTTCACCACGTTGGCCAAACTGGTCTCAAACTCCTGGCCTCGGAGTGATCCACCAGCCTCGGCCTCCCAAAGTGCTCGGATTACAGGTGTGAGCCACTGTGTCCGGCATAGAATGAACACTTTAAAAACAGACACATTGTGTGGCATGTCCCTTAATGTATATTCTGGTGCACATGAAAGCCTACAAACAAAGCTATGCCTTCAGTCCCATTCCTTCCTTTGCTCTAGAAATGCAACATGCTGGGGTGGCTTAAAAGGAAGGTCTTGCTGTGCTTTATTGATCACCTTGGTCTTTCCTGCTAGTAGGCAGCTGGTGATCCTGGAAACACATCTTACATTTATGGAAAACAGGAGGACTGAGAAGGGCCTTTGGAAACTGCAGGAATGAGGCACTCTGAGAGCTCCATGTATCCAAAATACTGCTCTCGTAGGTGGGAATTAGGTTGAAAATTTGGAGGAAAGAGACTGGGAATGAACAAAATGACTCCTTCTCGGCAGGGACCACGTCACTCCTTCTTGGGAAGCTGGAGACTCACTCCCAACCTTTCCTCAGCCCCAGCCTGCTCCAGCACAGGTGGTCTTGTGATGGCCAAGGGCTTGGTAAGAACTACCTTTGCTCAACTGAATGCTTATTTACACCAAACCTGTACACAAAGAGCTCACCCTGAGAACTCACATAGCTCTTGCCATCACTCAAAAAGGCATCAGAAAGAAGGCAAGCCTGAGTGTGTCGGTCCATGCGCAATGGAGACTTCAGAAAAACAGCCACTTTGGAGACCACATGGCCGGCCAAATGCAGGGAATTCAGAGACCAAATGTGCTGTTGCTTTTCCCAAACAGGAACTGGCCATGCAACTTCATGCCTGTGGTTTCTGTCAAGTCCTTTCTTCCGAAGATTGTATTTTCTTGGTGCTTTTCGTTGGAGAGAGCTGGACTTGAGACATGGTTGATTGTTAATCAACACCACAGTCCATGTCACTATTTACTTAAAATGAGACTTTCATCCTTTACATACTGAGCAGCCACATGAAATGAAACACCCTTGTGCAGACAAGGCTCAGGGATTTGTGTAACTTGGGCTGTCTGCATCTCTTTTTCCTGATGAAGCGGCCTCACTTCTGGTTTTCTGCCTATAGCTGAGTTTGGGAAAAGCACACGCCAGCTTTCCCCTGAAAGAATAGGCGGCTGAAACTCCTCATTGCTTTGCTTTCTTTCTCTCCCTTTGCTGAGTTGTTCCTTATTCCATGGCAGAGGAAGAACCAGTTTGGGTGGAAATAAACTTAAAATGCAGTCTTTGACTCTATCCCTTACATTTGCAATTTCATTCCCCCTGAATTTTCTGGATGTGCCACACTCCGTATTGTGCAATGCTATCTTTGATGTTTGCTGATTTTCGTGTGCAGACAGTCTTAAACATGTCGTGGTTGTATTCGTTAAGGTCACCAACCAGCTTTTTGTTTGGACCCAGAATGAGTTCCCTTCCCATTGAAACAATGTTGTGCTTGGAAGCTGGATTACAAGACAAGTTCACCAAGGCCTGATGTCCCCTGTGATGGTGACAGTTTTGAACACAGTAGTGGAGAGAGAATGGGTATCAATATTCTGAGTTCCAACTTGCTATGGCAGGAATGTGAGGTTTTGCAAACAGATGGAAATGCCTCTATCAGGATGTGAGAGAAAGATGTGTTTGGGCTGGAGGAGGGATGAAATAATTGGGAAGCTGAGGGGTGGGGCTGACAGACATTTGATCCAAGTTATTTCCCTCCATTTTTTCTTTACCTTAGCTGAATGCTGAAGAGAGGTAAATGTGAAATGGATTGAGTCACCTATGCTCTTCCAGACAGACAGATGGCAGTATAGGTCACTTTTTCCTCCACCAATTTGTTTTTCTCCCTATGGCTCTCTATTACCTTCATAGGCCAATGCTTCCAACAAGAAAGTTTGCATCTCTGCAGTTAGTTTTACACAGTATGGCTTTCAAGGGAAGTGTTACGAAGTGAGTGTTCCTCCCAGATGATGCCAATTCTCATCATCAAGATGGCTGCAGCCTGCAACAATCTCCAGTGGGGTCAGCCACTTTGGAGGACAGGTGGGACACTAGCAAGGTAGAGATGTCATTGGTCAGCAGGGAAACCATACATAAAATAATTTCTTCTTTCAATGAGCATTCTTTCCCCCACTTGCCCCGCTGCTGGCTTCCTGGAGTGGCAGTCAAAGCCTTGGCACCAGCTCACTGGGCCCTGGAACTGCGCATTGCTCAAGACTTTGGAATGGCTTGGCATCCTGTCAACATGCACATCTGGGTGTGCAGCTGGATTCAGAAATTTCCAGTGGACTCTGGCACTTGGCACAGTTTTAGCCCTTTTCACATTGACTCGGGCTTGGGAGGGGTCACAGTATATCTTTTCTCAGTGAGTGCTTTTCAATCCATCAACAACTGTACCCAAGGAGGGAGAAGGAGCCTCTACTCACTCAGGCATAGAAAGTGAGGTCATGATTAAGTTCAATGAATAAGCACAGCACAGAAAATCCAGATGTCTGTCAGCCATGGGATGACATCTTCTATCCACGAGCTACAGAAACTGAGAGAAGAGTGTTTGCAAGTCCCTCTGGTTGCAGAAGCAAGGTGAGCAGATGAAGCCATTCCTACCCTCTCCTCCTGTCTTCCAACTTCCTTAGTGTGTCTGACTCCTGAGCAATAGCAACAAGCATTTGTTTAATATTTATTAGATGCCAGGAACTGTGTATACACCAGCTCATTTAACCTTTACAACAATCCTATGATGTATTACTTACTCAATTTTTAAGCAAAGGAAACCTAGCTCAGATATTTTAATTACCTTGGCCATGGAGACACAGCTAGGAAGTGGCCAAGTAAAATTCAGGGTCAGTTCTATCTTACTTCAAAGTGCACAGACTTCATGGATATGTCATGCCACTTCCCAAACCTGTTTAGCTCTATTTTCCAAGGGTTTTGATAGGAGTTAAAGCAGTAGCCATAGCATCTAAGTGCCTGGATTATCTAGGATACAGTGTGACTGCATTAGGATCCAAGAGTAGCTTACACAAATTAAAAGTTTATTTTTTCTGAATCTGAGCCAAAACAGTTCAAGACTAACGTAGCAGCTCCACATTGTTAAGTAGGCACTACAGTTCTCTTCTCATCCATGTGGTCCAATGTTGCTCTTTATGACATCTGTTTCCAGTGGGAGAGACAAAGAAAAACAGGGCAAGACAGGGCACACCCCTAAAATGGCAGACACAACTTCCACTCACATCCAATTGACCAACACTTAGTCATAGGGCCACGCATAGCAATAAGGGTAGCTTGAAAATTAGCCTTTACTCTGAACATTCATGTGAATGTCTGAAGTCTAGTACCAAAGAAGCATAGAAGGCAAGAATGGATATTGGGACACAACTCTTGGTCTTTGCCACATGCCTTGATGGCCAATTTGACTTTCAGAATGTAAAGAAGTGTTATACTTCAAGTCCAAAGGCAGCTGGGACATCCTGGAGAGAACTGATGAAGGATAATAGGAGCCTGAGGTATACCAACTCATACTCCTAGAGAGAGAGAGAGAGACAGATTGGGGGAGAGAAAGGAGGGAGGAAGAAGACTTGTAAAGGCCTTGGTGATTTATATCTCATTCACTTCTGCTCACAGGCCATTAACTATTGGATAGAATGGTCACAGGGCCCCACACCTGACTGCAGTGGAAGGAGGCTGGGAAATACAGGGAGCTCATGGACTTGAAGTGAGCATCTACTGTCTCTGCCATGGAAATTTCACGTACAAAAGAGAATTTCCAAATTCTCTTGGAAAATCAAATGTAGCAAACTTAGCCCAACTTTCTACTGGGCAAGATACACTGGAGCTTCTCAGCTGTCCACTGTAGTCAGAGGACTCAGTTTCCAGTGTGCCTCACTTACCTTTTAACACCCCACTTTTGGGGCCTGACAACTTGAGAATATAGTTTACAGTGATTTCAGGAGCCTTTTCCTAAGTCGTTCTTGACAAGCCAGGGTATTCCCTTTTACAACCAAAGTTACAACTAGTGCACTTTTCCCTAAAAGCATTGCCTTCCATTTCTCTCAATGACTGTTTATATTTCCCCCTTGTGAGAATGGCCTTAACATATCCCTGTAAGGTTAATATTTTATACTCAACTATTGTGGGGGCTATCTGGTGTGGGCTTTATAAAGAAATATAAAAAACATTTTCATTTTGCACATTTTAATCAAAGCTTCATGAATGATTGTGTCTTCTCTTTTAATTCTATTTATAGAAGGTGGATGGAATTTATAATCTAAAAGTTTCATTTGAAGTCTTGGTCCTATGACTTAACTATCTGACCATGGATACATCTCTTAACCTCTTGTTGCACTTATAAAATACTCAGTACAAAGGTTGACATGAGTAAGTGAGATAAAGTTTATGAAGGGATTCAACACTAATTCAGTTTCCAGTTTGGCTGTCTTTCAAGTTTTGTTGCTTTACATTTTTTCTAAATTTTTAATGATTCAGTATCCTCTATTTTTATTTTACTTTATTTTGTTTTACTTAAGAAAAAGAAGTCAGCTGGTTGCGGTGGCTCACGCCTGTAATCTCAGCACTTTGGGAGGCTGAGGCGAGTAGATCACCTGAGGTCAGGGGTTCGAGACCAGCCTGGCCAACATGGTGAAACCCTGTCTCTACTAAAAATACAAAAATTAGCTGGGCTTGATGGTGCACACCTGTAATCCCTGTTACTTGGGAGGCTGACGCAGGAGAATCTCTTGAACATGGAAGGTGGAGGTTGCAGTGAACTGTGATCACGCCACTGCACTCCAGCCTGGGCGACACGAGTGCAAGAGGGAAACTCCATCCCTGCCCCAACTCCTGCAAAAAAAAGAGAAAAAGAAGCCAAGAACTCAAATAGAGTTCTAGACATGTAGAAGGAACAGGAATAATCTTCCTCCTATACAGTCAAAGAAACTCAAGAACAAGTAGACTTACAGAAAGTCAAAGTGCCAAGGCAGATTAAAAGTTGAAAGATTATGGCAAAATTGAATGGAAAACCAAATACAGTGTTTCCTGCTTATTTGTGGATTCCATTTTTGCTAATTCACCTACTCACCAAAAATTAACTTATAGCTCCAAAATGGATATTCCTGGTGCTGTTTTTTTTTTTTTTCTTTTTTTTTTGAGATGGAGTTTCGCTCTTGTTGCCCATGCTGGAGTGCAATGGCACACGATCTCAGCTCACTGCAACCTCCGTCTCCTGGATTCAAGCGATTCTCCTGCCTCAGCCTCTCTATTGGCTGGGGTTACAGGCACCCGCCACCATGCCCAGCTAATTTTTGTGTTTTTAGTAGAGACGGGCTTTCACCACATTGGCCAGGCTGGTCTCGATTTCCTGACCTCAGGTCATCTGCCTGCCTCAGCCTCCCAAAGTGCTGGGATTACAGGCATGAGCCACCATGCCTGGCGGGTGATTTTATAGTTATTTGAAGACATGCAGAGTGGCAAAAAATTTGAGTCACCCCAATGCACATGTTCCTAGCTGAGGTCAAACAAAATGACACACTGCCTTCTTGTTTCAGTTCTCATGCTGTAAACAAGTGTTCTTTTTGTAGTTTGTCACATATTTTATGCTTTTTATTGGTGCTTTCATAGTTTAAACTGGTCCTCAAACATAGTATTGCAGTGTTTTCCAGTGTTCCTAAGTGCAAGTAGAATATGATATGCCTTATAGAGAAAGTATGTGTACGATATGAGCTTCATTCAGACATGAGTTATATTACTGTTGGCTGTGAGTTAAATGTTAATGAATCACACACACACACACACACACACACAATAAGGTGTTTAAATAGAAACATAAAACAAGCTTATGTGTACTTCAGTTGATGAAAATGTTGTGACTACAGGCTTGCAAGAACTTAACTCTTCCTCCTAGAAACAATAGTTCAGTATTAGCTAATTTTGTGTTTGAGGCAACTTTACAGAACATAATTACCACGAATAATGAGAATCAACTGTACATTGCTAAGTGCAGAACATTTACCTAATTCAAAAGTTTTAACAACATTGCTTTCGTTTCAAGCTCCCTTCAAGTATAGTGAAACAAACAGTGAAAAGTTTTGTATCTTCATGGGCACCCTTGACATGCCACGGAACAACAGCCAACTTTGGAAATATGTAGTCTAGCTACAGGTCATTTTTGGTTCCATAAATCCAAAATTCAGGATTTAGGTTTTAAATTCAGAACTGAATGCATTTCATTTGTTTCGGCCTCATAGTCAAAATGAGGTAGAAATTGAGTAATTGGTGGGTTTGGTTAATGGGACAAGAAATTATGGAACACTCAGATTCCTTATCTCCTCTTGAAATGGTTATGTTTCAAGACCTGTTGAAATTGATCTTTTTGCCTTTTTTTCTGTTTTTTTTTTTTTGCTTTTCTTTCTTCTTTCACTTTTCTACTCAATTATCACCACCTTTTTCTCTCTTACTCCCTTTCTATTTTCTTCTTTCCCTTCTACCCTCTCCCCCATTGCCCCTTTCATTTCTCTTCTCCTGTACCCACAGCACAAAGCAAAACAGAGACTTGCCAATTACTCATTTAGTTTTATGAATACAGACAGCTAGCACATCAAACCCACTGTGAGAACTCTCAAAACTCATGGACCAAAGACAGTTTAGAAGAAGTTGTGTTTTGAGACAACTCTTAAAGCTTCAATTTGTTTTTCTCATAGCTCAAGGCAAGTGAATGAGAAATAATGGGACTATATCTCAAAGAAATCCCTAAGAATATCCCTGTATTTATAGGTAATTTAGATCCCAAACTTAACTTTTAAAAACATAATTAGATATTGACTGCATTGAACAAAGCCTGATAATGAAATGAAAAGACCATTTCACTTGAAGACTTAGGAATTAAGTAAATGTGGGGCTTGGTTTTGTCCTTTATAGAATTTCTGCTTGGTTTGCATTTTGAGCCATATTTCACATTTTAATAATTAGCTTGGCTTTGTTAAGGATGTGTGCACATTGATGGTAATGTGTTTGATCTAGTTTAGACCTGTTGGGGCACTCCCTTGTTCTCTCTTAGACATAGATGTTTCAGTTCTGATCCATTATCCCAGGATAAGAGCTGGGGAGCTTTTAGCGGAAGAGCAGCCGTTTAGTGCATCTGAAGGAAGTCTAACGGCTGCTTCTCGGTTTGCCTGGAGTCACTTTAACGATGCAAGTCAGCACATAATGCACTTTACCCTGACATTTCACTACTTTAGGCACTAACCCACTGTCAGATCCACCATCAATAGCTTATTAAATTCATCTTTATGTCTTTGACATTATTTTAATAGCACTGGCAACTGCATGATAGAAATAAATAAATCACAAGCAAGCGGTACAGAGCTCAAATTTTCTTTTATGTGACTCTGACTCAATCCACTAATCACTTTTCCTTTAGTTATAAAAATACTTAAGCCATCAGTCACTCTTTTTCAGTTGGGAGCACTAAGATAGAAGCTTTCCATAGTTGCTTTATGAACTTTGGCTTTAATGGTGCAGATTTACCCATAGAGCCAAACTCTTGAACATCGGGGACAAAGAGTGTTTGATTGACCACGGTATAATGAGAAGTTGGCCACAGCATCTCCAAATGCAAGCACCAATTCCAGGTACCTGCTAGAAGCACACGGTCTCACGATTTTTCCGCATAGGTAGAGTGTGGATCTAAATGCTTTCTTCCATCCTTGCGAGATGGGAGCAAAATTACTATTTCGAGTTTCACCAGCAGTCTGGATTTCTATATTTACAAGCTTGAATAAATCGAACATCTCATTCTGAGAAGTTCTCTGCCCTTTTCTTTCTCTTCCTTTTTTTCCC
Organism: Homo sapiens; assembly: GCF_000001405.40. Lineage (NCBI taxonomy): Eukaryota > Metazoa > Chordata > Mammalia > Primates > Hominidae > Homo > Homo sapiens. The sequence continues at coordinate 85,137,194 of NC_000009.12, read as the reverse complement.
CCTCTAGCAACAGATGAGCCTTTACATTTTTTCAGCATTTACTGATGCAAACTGCGGATTTTTTTTTTTTAGAACTATGCTGTGGCTAGCTTCCTCAGGCTATAAATACTCCAGCCTGGCTGTTTTAGAGACATAATTTATAAATTTTGTGAAAACCAGGGTAAGATCAGGGTCCTATTAGATTATATTATGGTCAAGGGGCCACAATTCCCCAAATCAAACTTCTAGAGCACTCACCCTTCCATGGACTACGCCTAAGAAGCAGATGTAACCACAGCGTGACAATCTGCAAATAGAAGACAAAGTAACACTATTTTTAGCTGGCCCCATTCTGATGAAAAACTTGAATAAGGTGGAGTGGGTCATGAGAAAGCACCTTTTTCTTCTGCAAGTTATATCCATGGTTCTCAAACTTGAGCATGCATCAGAATCATCTGGAAACCTGATTAAAATACAGATTTCTGGACACATCATCAGAGTAGCAGATGTAGGGCAGGGCCTTCAAATTTGCATTTCTCACATTTCCAGGGTGGATTGCTGCAGCTGCTCTGGACACCCCACTTTGAAATGCACTGAGTTAGATCTTCATTAGCTCAAGATAAACAAACAAACAAAAAACATAAGGTTGATTTGCCTATACCATCTCAAAACCTGTACCCAAGTTTTTTTATTTTAGCTTATCCTTATGGAACTACGAGGTCCCCTCTCAGTGCCTAGCTTTGAGCTGGTCCCAGCCCAGCATCCTGGCCATCTCATAGCATTTACGTAGTTGCAAGCCTGCCTGATAGATGAGAAAAGTTCACTACTGGACTTCAAGAGTAGAAGAGGAGAAATAAGACAAGGCTGTTTCCTCATCCACCATCCTTGACTGTCTTTCAGAAGCTCTGTTCTTCAGAATGTGGCCCACAATCCAGGTGATGGTACCTGGCTGAGAGCTCAGTCCTCTTTCTGCATGACAAGCCTCAAGGGACAAGAGCAGAGGAGGGCTCCAAACTTCCTCCTTTTAGAAGAGAAAAATGTATCCCCATGTCTTTCTTCATTAGCTAGCTTCCTTTGATAAACCTTAGCCTGAGATAACTCCTGTATATTTCATGGCCCACCTGTGCCAATGAATCCTCTCTGCACCTGCGCTTCTATATAAATAGCAGAGGTATGCCAGAAAGTTGCACACTTATCTCTGAAAACAGACTCAAATTCCACATGCGTTTGCAGAAAATATCATTTAAAAAATTCCTATGATGAGTATTTTTGCCAAATACACCCTGCTATAGTTTTACTGTATCCCCAAAAGTTTATGTGTTGGAAACTTATTCCCAATGCATGTGTTGAGAAATGGAATCTTTAAAAGGTGATTAAGCCCTAAAGGCTTTGCCTTTACAAATGTATTAATGCCATTATCATAGGAGTGGGTTAGTTATCATGGGAGTGGGTTTCTGATAAAAAGGATTAATTTGGCCCTGTTCCCCCTCTGTCTAGAACATGTGCTGTATTAGTCTATTTCACACTGCTATGAAGAAATATCTGAGACTGACTAATTTATAAAGAAAAAGAGGTTTAATGGACTCACAGTTTCACATGGCTGGGGAGGCCTCACAATCATGGTGGAAGGTGAAGGAGGAGCAAAGGCATGTTTTACATGGTGGCAGGCAAGATAGTGTATTCAGGGTATCGGTCCTTTACAAAACCATCGGATTTCATGAGATTTATTCACTATCATGAGATGAACACAGGAAAAACCCACCCTGCTGATTAAGTTACCTCCCACTGGGTTCCTCCCATGACATGTGACATGTGGGGATTATGGGAGCTACAGCTGAAGATGAGATTTGGGTGGGGACATGGCCAAACCATATCAAGTGCTTTCTTTTGCTTCCATCTTCCACTATGGGATGACAGCACAGTGGCCCTCACCAATTGATTTTGGATTTCCTAGCAGCCTTCAGAACAGTTAGCTAAATATATCTTTTATTTTTTAATTACCCAGTCTCTGGTATTCTGTTACAGCAGCACAAAACAGACTAAGATACACCCTTTCCCTTTAATAAATACATTCTATATAGTAATACTCTCATTTATAAGGTCTGCTTCAAGTGAGGCAATTAAATTTGCACCTATCTGCCTGTTGTTTATTATTGTTGCTAACATTTTATTGTGGGAATTTTCAAATGTCCTTTATTGTTCAATTTATAAAATGTTCTTCACTTTAAAAAACTGTTTTACTCGACTTTTCTATTGTTTCAACGTTGGTACTGAGGGAGACAAAACTGTACAAATTTCTCCATAAAATTTACTCTCAAAATGATATTTTTCCTATCCCACAGTATTTCCTCTATGAGGCTTCGGTGCTGGGGAAACTTGCTTGGCTTGAGTAACTGGTCTCTTTTAATTGTGCAAATAATGTGAATCTTGCTCTGATTGTGTTTGCCTCTTTACCTTAGCTTGAGGACACTTAGACTAAATTTGCAATCAACTTCTAGCTGTTGTGCTAAACCTTTGGGCACTCATTTCAGAGTGTTATAGTTGTCCTTAATTTCTTTTTCCTGTCTCCTTTTAAATTCTATTTTATTTTAAACATTGTAGTGCAGTGGCTCAATCTTGGCTCACTGCAACCTCTGCCTCCTGGGCTCAAGTGGTTCTTGTGCCTCAGCCTCCCAAGTAGCTGGAACTACAGATGTGCACCACCATGCCCCGCTAATTTTTGTATTGTTAGTAGAGACAGGATTTTGCCATATTGGTCAGGCTGGTCTTGAATTCCTGGCCTCAGGTGATCCTCCCACCTCAACCTCCTGAATAGCTGGGACTATGGGCGCATGCCACCATGCCTGGCTATTTTTTTTTTTTGAGGCAGAGTTTTGCTCTTGTTGCCCAGGCTGGAGTGCAATGGCGCGATCTCGGCTCACTGGAACTTCTGCCTCCTGGGTTCAAGTGATTCTCCTGCCTCAGCCTCCCGAGTAGCTGGGATTATAGGCACCCACAACCACACCTGGCTAACTTTTTGTATTTTTAGTGGAGACGGGGTTTTGCTATTGGCCAGGCTGGTCTTGAACTCTTGACCTCAGGTGATCCACTCGCCTCGGCCTCCCAAAGTGCTGGGATTACAGGCATGAGCCACAGTGCCTGGCCATCTGGCTTTTTTTTTTTTTTTTCAACTTTTTATAGAGACGAGGTTTCTCTATATCACCCAGGCTGGCCTCAACTCCTGGAGTCAAGCAATGCTCCTGCCTTGGTCTCCCAAAATGCTGGGATTACAGGTGTGAGCCACTACCTGGCCTAAACTCTAATTTTATTCTTTGAAAAAGGAGGTGGTATAAAAATACACAAATGATTTTTTTTATAGAAAGGCACTATCTTCCTGTCCTTAATATAAACTATAGAATGAAATCTGCATGCTGTACAGAAAAAGTGTTGGATTTCACCAAAAGAAAAGTTGTGTTCGGAAGCAACCTGATAAGCTGATCCCATGAACATCAATGGCCATGATGAGAATGAATTCTTATGGCCAAGTCTTGATGCCTTTCACATTGGTGTGTTTGAAAGTGTCCATTATCCCTTTTTTTTTTTTTTTTTTTTTGAGACAGAGTCTTGCTCTTTCACCCAGGCTGGAGTGCAATGATGCCATCTTGGCTCACTGCAACCTCCACCTCCCAGGTTCAAGCGATTCTTCTGCCCCAGCCTCCTGACTAGCTGGAACTACAGGTGCATGCCACCACACCTGGCTAATTTTTGTATTTTTAGTAGAGACAGGGTTTTACTATGTTGGCCAGGCTGGTCTCAAACTCCTGACCTCGTGATTCGCCTGCCTTGGCCTCCCAAAGTGCTGGGATTACAGGCGTGAGCCACCGCGACCAGCCTATTATCCTTTTTTGGAGCTCATTTACTTGACTGAGCTCTCTTGAATGAAATGGCCTTTCAAGTATGATCTGTTCTAACTTTCAATAGGCTGTGATTCTCTCAAGTTTGACTATTTTTTGGTGGTAGAACTATTATTAAGGTTAAAAAACTGGACATGATTGTTTGTAATATATAAAGAGCTCCTACAAATCCATACAAAAGACAACCCATTAGAAAAATGGCATTGGATTGAACAAGCAATTCACAGAACTAAAAATGACCACAAATGTACAAGAAAATTCTGGTCAACCTCATTCAAAATAGAGGACAAGCAAATCAGATGACTGATGATAAAATTTGACCGGCTAGATTGGCAATGTTTTAGGAAAAGTAACAGGGGAGCCAGAGGTTACCTCCAATTCCCCTTAGTTGTTATGTGGACTCTTCGACTGGATCTAGAAACCAAATTGACACCAGGCAGATTAACAAGTGAAAAACAAAGAAATTGTTTTTATTTAAATTGTCTCTTCACAATAGAGTGAGTCTGAGAAGGCGTCCAAAGCAAGATTGCTTTTTTTTTTAATGCTTTAATTTCTAGGGTACATGTGCACAACGTGCAGGTTTGTTACATAGGTATACATGTGCCATGTTAGTTTGCTGTACCCAGTAACTTGTCATTTACATTAGGTATTTCTCCTAATGCTATCCCTCCCCCAGACCCCCACGCCCTGACGGGCCCCGGTGTGTGATGTTGCCTGCCCTGTGTCCAAGTGTTCTCATTGTTCACTTCCCACCTATGCGTGAGAACATGCGGTGTTTGGTTTTCTGTCCTTGTGATAGTTTGCTCAGAATGATGGTTTCCAGCTTCGTCCATGTCCCTGCAAAGGACGTGAACTCATCCTTTTTTATGGCTGCATAGTATTCCATGGTATATATGTGCCACATTTTCTTAATCCAGTCTATTATTGATGGACATTTGGGTTGGTTCCAAGTTTTTGCTATTGTGAATAGTGCCACAATAAACATACGTGTGCATGTGTCTTTATAATAGCATGATTTATAATCCTTTGGGTATATACCTAGTAATGGGATCGCTGGGTCAAATGGTATTCCTAGTTCTAGATCCCTGAGGAATCGCCGCCACACTGTCTTCCCCAGTGTTTGAACTAGTTTATACTCCCACCAACAGTGTAAAAGCACTCCTATTTCTCCACATCCTCTCCAGCTTCTGTTGTTATCTGACTTTTTAATGATCGCCATTCTAACTGGTGTGAGATGGTATCTCACTGTGGCTTTGATTTGCATTTATCTGATGACCAGTGATGATGAGATTTTTTTCATGTGTCTGTTGGCTGCATAAATGTCTTTTTTTGAGAAATGTCTTTTCATAGGCATTGCACACTTTTTGATGGGGTTGTTTTATTCTTGTAAATTTGTTTAAATTCTTTGTAGATTCTGGATATTAGCCCTTTGTCAGATGGGTAGATTGCAAAAATTTTCTCCCATTCTGTAGGTTTCCTGTTCACTCTGATGGTAGTTTCTTTTGCTGTGCAGAAGCGCTTTAGTTTAACAGATGTTTTTATACTTTTTAGACCTAGAACAATTAATTGGAGAAAAAAATGACAGGATAAAGGCGATCTGGCTAGGGAAGTATATTTCCAGAAGAGTCACTAGGAGATATGAGAGGAGGCATAAAACTAGTGGAAGATAAGGGTTACTTCAGTAAGTATTTTTATTCAGGTCCACTGCAGCCCTCAATTCCCAGTTGCTGGTGATTAGGGTTATTTTCTCATTCTGGAACAGGAAGAGTATCCCTCTTAGAAGAATCTTTACAGCTTGCTGCGTGTAGAAAGAGACAGGTCCACTAGCCTTTTATGAAACTACAATTTCTCTAATGTTGTCAACTTGAAATAATCAATATATAAATTTGGCATATTTCGGGATGGCACGTCCTTCACTGCGTCACAGGACAGAGTGTGGGAAGTGAATACTTTTAATCACTTATTTGAGACAGAGTGTGGGAATTGGGAATACTCTCCATGAATACTCAATCAGTGTGATTATAAATTGTCATTGACTGGAGGGAAAGTTGGAAGGCATTATCAGAAATGTAAACAGAGACTGTGCTGGGAATTATTCTTTTAGGGGTTTATCCTACACAAATATTCACATATGTGCATGGAGGCACGTATATAGATGTCATTGCCTTTTGAACCATAATATTGAAGAAGGGGAATAATTAAACTAAGCGACAGTAGGAAAAGGATTAAATAAATTGTGATGTGTGTGTGTGTGTGTATATATATATATGATGGAATACTATGCAGCAGTTTAATGAGCATGATGGTTCCTATGTGCCAGCCTGGAAAACTCTTCAAAACATATGGTTAAAAGGATGAAAGCAAGATGCAGAACAATATGAGAAGAGTATGAATCCACATATGTATCGAATAAACTATCCCAGGCAATATGTTTGTGTATGTATATATAAGAATGCAAATAGATAAAGGCTTTTTATAGCATTGCCTGGGTAGAATAGAGGGCTAGGGAGAATGCGGGTGAAGAAAGATTTTCTTTTTTTATCCTGTATAGTCTAAACTGTTTGAACTTTTGAATATTTGCATCCCTACATTGTGCAGTTACAACAAAGCAAACCTTTAAAATAGTAAGAAAAATGAAGATAAAAGAACTAAATAGTTCCATATCAAAATATAATCTGGGTAATAAGATTATGAATACTTTGTGTTTTGTTTGACCCATTGTTTTCCAAATTTTTTACAATGGATACCTATTTTGTTTTGTAATCAGACAAAACATTTGTTCAGATTAATATAGTTTCACTCCTTCCTTTCTGAAGATGTAAGAAAGCAAGATGACATAATGTATTTCAATCACTCTGACTTCCTTTCTCACTCTTTCAACCACAAACATCATTAGAGGGCATCTCCTCTTCTGTTTCATTACTTCTTTTAATACTTCTGACACAAGGTTCCTGGGTCAGGCTCTCTTTGACTAGCCCAGCACTTGGAATAAGTTTCAGCACAGTTAACGTCTTATTCTTAGAGATGCTCAGTCAACTCCGCCTTCCTCCAGGAGGCTGTTGGGGAAGACGCTGAGTGATTTTGCAATTTGTCTTTCCAATGGTAACATCATTATGCATCCCAAAGTCTCCATCTCCTGTGGATTTACCTAAATACTTGGAAATATCTTTTTTAAAGGAAATATGTTTTCCTCCCAGCTGTGCTCTCATGGGCAATCCCCATCTCCAGTTGATCCAGAGTTTTGACAAGCGGAATTCCTGACAGTCTCCCTTGGATCCTTAGATCAGCTCAGTCATACTTTCTTCATAACACGCCATATGGAATACCTGTGAATGATTTCCCATGGCCTGCTTATCTTTCATTATAAGCAAGTCAAGGCATCCATGTGCAGTACCTGTTTTCAAGAGAGAAGAGTATTTTGCAGAAACGAATACATCAACAGTCTTCCCTTCTCCTCTGCTCCCCAGCCTTTTCCCCTAATTGGATCTTATAAGCATACAACATGTTTTTTTTAGAGCAGGCTTCTCAAGCTGCTAAGTGCATGCAAATCACCTGGGCATCTTGTTAAAATGCAGATTCTAATTCAGAAGGTCTAGAATGGGGTCCAAGAATTTGCATTTCTAACATGCTCACAGGCAATGCTAATTCTGCTGATCCCTTCACAGGCCACACTTTGAGTGGCGTGGTTCTAAGGAACATGGAATTAGTCCCAGCAAAACCTTGTAAGGGTGAGATAAGACAGGCTTATTTGCAAAAAGGAAACTCTCTGTGCAATAGTGAATGAGAATTAAAGATATTTTTGAATGTATGGATATAGATTTCGTTCACATTTATGTTCTTAAGAAGAAATCAAGTGGTTCACAATTATATAGAAAGACCTGGCTGTGAAATTGTGGATCCCAGAATCACAGGGCTGGAAGAGCAGCCCAGAAGCGTGTATCTAGGAACTTAACAGATACTGGGGACTCCAAAAGGTGGAAATGGTGGGAGGAAGTAAGGGTTGAAAAATTACCTATTGGGTACAATGTTCACTACTTGCGTGGTAGGTACACTAGAAGCCCAAACCCCACCACTATGTAATATATACATGTAATAAACCTGCATATATACCCCTGAATCTACAAAAATAAAAATAAACTTTAATAATTATGAAAAATTAAGCCATGTGCTGAGCAGGCCATGCTTTTCTGTGGCCTGAGAGAGAGTAGTCAGTGCAGTGAACTGTGAATTGCAGGGGGAGGTGGGAAGGGAAGGCAGAGAAGCTGTGCATGTAAAACGGCTTCTAGGTTAAAAGCCCAGCTCTGAAGTGGGGAGGCAGGTAGGTGGGTTGTGGGCAGCTGAGAGAGGCAGTGGCATGACTCTAAACAGTGGTGCGGGGGCCAAGGTGAACTGCTGCATCTTAACTAGCATCGGTGTCCTTGTCCTTTGGTACCCAGCTGGAAAGCTAAGACAATCCTGACATCGAGGATTTCGAAAGGTAATAATATATGTTTCTGAAGATAAAAAAGGATTTCATTATCCTACTCGCCTCTCTATCCTGCTCCCAGTACAGGGAGAAGAGAGGTCTTTAGCCTGTTCCTAGCCTACTTCAGCCTTACCCTTTAGCCTGTCCCTAGCCTTTTTCACTCTTCAGCCTGTTTAGCCTATTTCAGCAGTAAAATAGGTTAGGGACAGGTTAGGACAGTAGACACCCCTACCAGCTGTCTGATGGCTATCTGAAATGACATCAGAAAGACACAAGTGTGAGTCCCAGCTCTCTGGGAACTTGGATATATGTCACACATTTTTAAAAAATCTTTTCCTCCTCAAATAATTTTTTAAAATGTAGTCATTGGAACAGATAAATCATTTACATGTTTTGAGCATCAAAACTATAAAATGGTACAATAAATAGAGAAAGACCTTCATCTTCCTAGTTCCCATCCTCCACTCCCAGCCAGGTGACAATTATTGTGTTTCTTGTTTACCCTTCCCAAGAATTTCATGTTTATACAACTTAATACAGGTATATATTATTTATTAATGCCACTTTCTCATGCAAATGGGAACATACTGTATGTATTTTAGTAGGTTGCTCTTTCCAGTTAAAATATATCTTGAAGGACTTTTGTTATTAATGCATAGTATCTTCCTTATTCTTTCCTTCTTTCTTGTTTTTTTTTTTTTTCTTTTTTTCTGGAGTAGGAGTCTCACTCTGTCGCCTAGGCTAGAGTGCTGTGGTGCAATCTCGGCTCATTGCAACCTCTGACTCCCAGGTTCAAGCGATTCTCCTGCCTCAGCCTCCCGAGTAGCTGGGGCTACCGGCATGCTCCACCATGCCTAGCTAATTTTTGTATTTTTGGTAGAGACGGGTTTTCACCATGTTAGCCAGTCTAGTCTCAAACTCCTGACCTCAGGTGATCCACCTGCTTCGGCCTCCCAGAGTGCTGGGATTATAGACGTGAGCCACCAGGCCTGGCCTCCTTATTCTTTCTTAACAGCTGCATAGCGGTTCAATATATAGATGAGCCACAGTTGATTCATCTTTTTTTTGCCTTGAAGAAAACTCAGATTGTTTTTGATCTTTTGCTAGTATATATAGATACAGCATTTCACATGTGTGCAAGAATAGCCTTAGGATAAATTTCTGGAAGTAAAATTGCTGGATACTGGATACTTTCCCAAATCACCTTTGTTGGGCTTATAAATCAAATAAAATGATCAAGGTGAATCTCAATCATTTTAGGAGGTTTATTTGCCAAGGTTAAGGACACACCCAGGAAAGATCATACATCCACAGGAAAAATTGTGGCCCATGCTTTTTCTGAAGAGGCCCTGGGTACCTCAATATTTAAAGGGAAAACACAGATATTGGGGGAAGAGGAATAAATTTTTTTTTTTTTTTTTGAGACGGAGTCTCGTACCCTCGCCCAGGCTGGAGGGCAGTGGCGCCATCTCGGCTCGCTGCAAGCTCCGCCTCCCGGGTTCACGCCATTCTCCTGCCTCAGCCTCCCGAGTAGCTGGGACTACAGAGCCTGGGCTAATTTTTTGTATTTTTAGTGGAGACGGGGTTTCACCGTGTTAGCCAGGACGGTCTTGATCTCCTGACCCTGTGATCCGCCCGCCTTGGCTTCCCAAAGTGCTGGGATTACAGGCATGCGCTACCGCACCCAGCCGGAATAAATTTTTAAAACGATATGGGTAGGTAAGAGGCAAGCCATTGTATACTTTTGAGTTTTTGGTCAGCCTTTCACTGAAGACACAATTTACATGTGCTAGGTGGGTAGAGGAATACTCACTTATGCCTTCCTCTGGCTCAGTGAATCTGCATTTTTACATAATATAAAGTAAGTATAGGACAAAGGAAGCAATCAGATACGCATTTGTCTCAGGTGAGCAGAGGTAAGACTTTGAGTTCCGTCCTTTGTCCTGTACCTGTGAAGATAAGCTATCAAATCACATTGCCTGGGTGGAATTCAACAGAACTGTTTTATGGTAAAGATCATGGAGACCACAAGATCTTGGGCAAATTGTGAGAAAGGTATGTAACTTTAAAAAAAAATCTTTGTAAGTATCTTATTTAAGAACAAAATGGAAGCAGGTTTGCGCAACCCAGTTCTTAGCTTGGCCTTTCCCGTTGGCTTAGTATGTTTGGGGTTCCGAGATTTGTTTTCCTTTCGCAGACTTAATACCAATTTATTCTCTGACCAGTAATGTCTAAGAGTCACACCTTCCTTGTAGCCTGACAATGCATGCTATCCAATATTTTGAATAATTGCCAGCTGGATAAGTGAAAAAGGTTATCTCATTTTAAAACCTTTTTCTTCAAGTCTAACACACATGTAGAAAAGTGCACAAATCACAAGTGTGTAGGACATGAATTTTCAAAGTGAACACACATGTGACTAGCACACATATATTTAAAAACACAGTACCCAGAAGATCCTGCATGACCTGTTCAGTCATATTCCTCTCCCAAGTGTCAATAAAAGGAGTCAAACTCTGTAAAATATTTGAAGAGATTTATTCTGTGCCAAATATGAGTGACCATGGTCCACGGCACAGCCCTCAGGAGATCCTGAGAGCATATGCCCAAGGTGGTCCTGCCACAGCCTAGTTTTATACATTTTAGGGCGACATGAGACATCAATCAAACACATGTAAGATTTACATTGATTTGATCTGGAACAGTGGGACAACTTGAAGAATGGGCTTCTAGGTCATGGGTAGATTTAAAAATTTTCTGATTGGCAATTGGTTGAAAGAGTTATTATCAATAGAGAGGAATGTCTAGGTTACAATAAGGGGTTGTGGAGACCAAGGTTTTATCATGCAGATGAAGCCTCCAAGTAGCAAGCTTCAGAGACAATAGATTGTAAATGCTGGTTGGCTCTTCCTGAATTCAAAAAGGGAGGAGGGCATAATGAGGCACGTCCAACTCCTGCTTCCATTACGGCTGTATTAGTCCATTTTCACACTGCTGATAAAGACATACCTGAGACTGGGCAGTTTACAAAAGAAAGAGGTTTTTTGGGCTTACAGTTTCACATGGCTGGAGAGGCCTCACAATCATGATGGAAGGCAAGGAGGAGCAGGTCTCATCTTACATGGATGGCAGCAGGCAAAAAAAAAAAAAAGTTTCTGCAGGGAAGCTCCTCTTTTTAAAACCATCAGATCTTGTGAGACCTGTTCGCTATTATGAGAACAGCATGGGAAAGGACTGCCCTCATTATTCAATTACCTCTTACCAGGTCCCTCCCACAACATGTGGGAATTCAAGATGAGATTTGGGTGGGGACACAGCCAAACAATATCAATAGCCTGAGCAGAACAAGCTTTTCAGGTTAACTTTGGAATGTCCTTGGCTGAGAGGAGAGGTCCATTCAGAAGGTTGGGGAGCCTTAGAATTTTATTTTGCTGTACACAAGTAAATCTCTCCTGTGTGATAATACCATAGATTAATTTGACTGTTCTTAAGCTTCATACAAATGAAACCACATTGTATGTGCTCTTGTGGATCTGGCATCTTATGCTGAACAATAGCTTCATGAGATTCAATTATATTGTTGGAAATAGTCCTTAAAGATAAAGCACCTACCATTCAGCTTTCCAGCTGCTGAGCTTAGAATCTATAGATGGAGAAACTAATGTTTCACTTCAATGTTATGTTCCGAAAGTCCTTTGAAATGCCTGTTTCACTTGTGCTAGAGTTTCTGATAACTGTGTCCTCTTTACCTGTCAATGCCATTCCCCTGGTAAGAACTTGTCACGTCTGAAACACTTTCTTGCACTCTGACATAGGAGACAGGAGCAGGAAAAGGGATAACTAGCTTTCAGAATTTACATGGAGTTGTAGGCACATCCAGAAATAGAATTTGGTGGCTGGTGTACTTTAAGCCTTGCGAGTCTGCAAACTCTACTAATGGACTGAGCAATTGCTGTTTTTAAGACCTCCCCTCTAATTACTATTCATAAATAAGCAGTAGAAGACTTCCCTTCCCACATGCACCAAAAGGATGCTGTAGAAGCATTTGCATATGATTGTTTTCACAAAATGTGCTTAAGAAAACAGATTCTCCATTCAAAGGAATCCCTGAGTCTACTATTCAAAAGTCACCTCTCACTTTCAGTGGTTGCTTTCTATCTCAATATCCCATTTCATTCCTTGTGATTTGTGTCTTCCTAACACTTCTATGGATTTCTGGCGAACTTCTTTTCTTCTGACAAATCCACAGGGCATTCTAATTCTAAACATTGCTTAGTTTCTCTCTTATTGGCTAGCTTCATATTGATAACCACTCTCATTTCCATCTCACCATGAAATGCCAGTGAGTGAGATGAAATGTCATTTCATACCTTTACATGCAATTTTTATTTCATTTTTCATAAATTCTCTGTTGTATCTTAGGCCCGCTTTTCTATTGTTTTGTTATCTTTTAAAAAAGTATTTGAAGTTTTAGTACCTATTTACACTTATTTACATTTTTGTGGTCTTTTTTCCTCCTATTTCTAGAATCTTTTTTTATATTAAGGAGATTAGCTCTTTGTCCATAATATGTCTTTTGCATATTTTTCTAAATATTTTCATTTGTGTTCTAACTTTACTTTTAGTGTTCTTTGCCATAATAAAGTTTTGGAATTTTATATCCTCAATTTAACAGTCTTTTCCTTAAGAGTTTCTGGATTAGTGTAATAATTAGAAGGACCATTCCCAATATAAGTTTATAAGATACAGTGCTATGTGTTCATATAGTTTTTATGAGTTAGCTTATTACATTTCATTTTTGATGCATTTAAAATTCATTCTGGGTATCATATGAGGTGTGGAATCAAATTAATTTTTTTCCCACGTACATCATTCCCATTAATTCTATTTACTAAGTGGATCTTTTTTTTTCCCACACTGATTTGGGTGAAACCTTTGTTATATATTAAAGTCTCCTATATTAGAATGTATTTCCAAATTTTTAAAATTCTGTTCCATTGGTCTATTCATGCATCAATAATACTGTTTTTAATTACTAAAACTTTAGTGCAAGTTTTAATGCCTGAAATACACTATCATTACCTTTTATTTTTAGAATTTCCCTATTTGTACTAATTTTGGCATATGAACTTTAGGATTGACCTGTCTAGTTTGAAAACACAACAAACAAAAATCACAACCACTAGAGAGTATTCTTGTCTTATTCCTGACTTCAGTAGGAATGCTTCTAATGTTGTCCCATTAAAAAATGATGTAAACGGAATGAATGAGCAATTTTAGAATCATTTTTCAAAAGTATTCATTGATTATTTCTTCCATAAATGAATGTTATATTTTGTTAAATGCTTTTTAGTTGTTGTAGAAAACTATGTGTGTGTATGTATGTTTTCCCTCAGATCAATAAATGTCCTGAATTTAATTAATTGTTCTCTTCATATGAAAACTTCCTTAAAATCTTGAAATAAATCCCATGTGGACATACTATATTCTTTTATGATGCTACTTCTGCCTGCTATTATTTTATTTTAGATTTTTTTGAAACTCATTGTTTTTGCTCATCAATTTTGATATCACAATTATGCTTGCCTCATAACACGAATTTTAAACTTTCACTTCTTTTTCTATGTTCTGGAATATTAAATAAATTGTCGGCTTTTTATAGACTTGGCTGATTTCCTGTAGTACCATCTGGATGTAACACTTTTTTCAAATTTATCATTTTCTACGAAAATCAGTCTGTTGAGATTTTCTGTCTCTTCTGAGGTCAGTTTTGCTAAACTTTTTTTTCCAGAGCTAGTCTGTTCACCCAGGTTTTAACATATGGCATAGAGTTGAACAAAGTTGTATCTTAGGATTTTTCTTTCTTTTTTTTTTTGAGACAGAGTCTCACTCTGTTGCCCAGACTGGAGTGCAATGGCGCGATCTTGACTTACTGCAACCTCCGCCTCCCAGGTTCAAGCGATTCTTCTGCCCCAGCCTCCCGAGTAGCTGGGATTACAGGCACCCACCATCATGCCCAGCTAATTTTTTTGTGTTTTTGTAGAGACAGGGTTTCAACACGTTGTCCAGGCTGGTCTCGAACTCCTGACCCCAGATGATCCACCTGCCTTGGCCTCCCAAAGTGCTGGGATTACAGGAGTGAGCCACCACGCCCGGCCAGGATTTTTCTTTAATATCCTAATTTATGTGGCTAATTTTTTCTTCTCTTATTTTGTACAATTGTACTTTTTTCTTTTTTAGATTTTCTTTTGATTTATCAGTTTTATAAGTTTTTAAACAGTTTTAGGTTTTGAATATATTTATTAATTTTAGTATTATTCTGTTTTCAAATTTTGCTATTTTTTATCTTTATTCATTTTTCCTTCTGTTCTCATTTGGTTTAAATGTTCTGTTTTTTTTCAAAATTTTCTAGTTGAATCATTTCATTATTGTGTACTGACATTATTTAAGGCCGTGAACTTCGAGCAGGTTTATTTAGCATATCTAATTATTCTAACAAGTGATGTTTGAATTAGAAAACATTTTGGTTGGCATTTCCTTTTTGATCTGTGAGTTGTTTCACGATCTTGCTGTTAATTTTTAGTTTTATTGCACTATGATCAGAGATCATAATTAAACTAATAATGAAGATAAAACTAATTTTTAGTTTTATTGCACTATGATCTGTACTATTTGACATTTTAGAATATGTCAATGTTTTCTTTATTGTCTCAATTTTTAAGGTCAATTTTTAAGACTGGACTGTGGGCACTAGAAAAACAGCTTTTTCTCTATTTTCAGAGTATGTAATTTTAAATATAACAAATTAATTATATTATTTAGTTCCTTTGAAGGTTTGCTTTTTTTTGTCATTGATCATCATCGACTGGGAAAGTGAATTAAAGTTCAAACTAAGTATGCGTTTCTTTTTCTCTTTGTGTCTTTTGAAGTCTTTTAAATTAATAAATGCTGAATCTATGTTATTTGGAGGATATACGTTCACAATCATAATTGCATATTGTAAATGCTCACTTTAGCATAATGAAGTTCTCTTCCTTGTCTTAATTTTGTGACATAAATTCTACCTTCTCCAATATTAATATTATGGCAACCTTTTTGGCACATGTATCTGGTATACATTTCCTGTCCATTTACTTATGTCTTAATATATTTTTAAATGTTGAAATAGTTATAGATTCATATATACACAGAAATGTGCAAGTGATTCACTGAACCTTTCACTCAGCCTTCTCCAATGGTAACATCTCACATAAGTGTAGCATAATATAAAACCAGGAAAAATCCACAGAGCTTACTCAGGTTTTGTCAATTATATATGCATTCATTACTGTGAGCATGCACGCAGGTTTACCTAATTTTATCATGTGTATAGATTCGTGTATGGACCATCACAATCAAGATAAAAAATGCACAAGCACCATAGAGCTTCTTTGTACTACTTTTTTATTCCCCCCATCTTCACACTATCTTTAACCTCTAGTAGCTAACTTATCTGTTCTCCACCTCTATAATTTTGTTTTGAGAATGTTATCATTAAAATCATACAGTATGTAAATTTGAGATCAGCTACTTTCACTCACTTGAGGTTTATTCAGCTACTTTCACTAACTTGAGGTTTATTCAGTTGTTATAAACGAGGTTTATACAAGTTGTTGAATATAAAAGGAGTTTGTTCCCTTTTATTGCTGACTTGTACCTCATGATGTGAATGTGCCATTTTGTTTAACCATTCACAAACTGAAGAACATTTGAGTAGTTTCCAGATTTCGGCTGTTATGAATAAAGTTGCTGCTATGGTTTGAATGTGCCCTTCAAAGTTCGTGTGTTGGTAACTTCATCTCCAATGCAACAGTATTGAGAGTGGGAACTTTAAGAGGTGATTAGATGGCTGGGCGCAGTGGCTCATGCCTGTAATCCCAGCACTTTGGGATGCTGAGGCAGGTGGATCACGAGATCAGAAGACCGAGACCATCCTGGCCAACATGGTGAAACCCCGTCTCTACTAAAATACAAAAAATTAGCCAGGTGTGGTTGTGCACACCTGTAGTCCCGGCTACTCGGGAGGCTGAGGCAGGGGAATCACTTGAATCCAGGAGGCAGAGGTTGCAGTGAGCCAAGATTATGCCACTGCACTCCAGCCTGGCAACAGAGCAAGACTCCGTCTCAAAAGAAAAAAAAAAAAGAGGTTATTAGGTATTGAGGGCTCTGCCCTCATTAATGTCATTATCATGAGTGTGGGTATGTTATCTTGAGAGTGAGTTTCTTATAAAAACGAGTTCAGTTCCATCTTGCTCTCTCTTTTTCTTCCTTTCTCTTTCTCTTCCTCTCGCTCTTCATGCACATGAGTGAACACTCTCTTGCCTTTCCACCTTCCACCATGGGATGATGCTGCAAGAAGACCCTCCCAGATGCCAGCTCCTCAGTGTTAGATTTCCCAGCCTCCAGAATCATGAGAAATAAATTTCTGTTTATTAGAAATTACCCCGTCTGTGATACTCTGTTACAGCAGCATAAAATAAACTAAGACAAAAAATTGGCATAGATAAGTGGGGCTGTTGCTATAACAAATACCTGAAAATGTGAAAGTGGCTTTGAAACTGAGTAATTGGTAGAAGCTGGAAGAATTTTGAGGAGCAAGCTATAAAATGCCTAGATTGCCATACATGGAGCATTAAGGGTGATTCTGGTGATGACTCAGAAGGAGAACAAGAGGTGTAAGGAGGGCCGGAATCTTCTTAGGCATTACTAAGTGTTCATGACCAGAATGTTTGTGGAAAAATGGACAGTAAAGGCCATTTGCGTGAATTCTTAAATGGAAATGAGGGACAAGATATTGGAAATTGGAACAAAGCCATCCACGTTATAAAGTAGAAAAGAACTTAGCTTAATTGTGTTCAGGTTTGAGGGCTTTGTGTCAGGCAGAACTTAAGAGCAATGAAGTAGAATATCTGCTGAAAGAAATTTCTAAACAAAATATTGAAGGAGCTGTGTGGCTTCTTTTAACTGCTTATGATAAAATGAGAAAGGAGAGTAATGCTTAAAGATGGAATTTATAATTTAAAGGAAACCAGAACGTAAAGTTTGCAGCCTAGCCATACAAAGAACAAAAAAAGAGTGTGGCCAAGCAACCCTTTGATAAAGGAATTAGTATAAACAGAAAGAAGACAAGGTAGTTTTGTACCTTAGTAATATGTACAAAGGAATATGTACCTTATCTGCTAGTATCAATGTTTAACCACTTAAAAGTGAAGGATAGAAACCTTGCTTCTGCTTAGCTCCCTTTGATCTCTCCAATTTTTTTGTTGTGGCAAAATACAAATAACATAAAATTTACCATTGTTATCAATTAGTGCATTCACAGTATTGTGCAACCATTACCACAACCTAGTTCTAGCACACTTTCATCACCCCCAAAGGAAACTCTGTACCCATTAAGCAGTCACTCTTCATTCTTCCTCTTCCTAGTCCCCAGAAATCACTAATCTACTTTCTGTCTCTATGGATTTGCCTATGCTAGATATCTCTATAAATGGAATCACATAATTTTATGTCTATTATAGTGTAATATTTTCAAGGTTTATTCATGAGTCGCCTCAGCACTCCCTTCTTTTTTATGGCTGAATCATATTCTAGTTCAACTGCTTTGTGAAAGAGAAGCTTCAGCTGCTGAGTCATTATATATTTGTGTCCATTTAGGGATGGGACTATGATGAAGTCAATGAGTCAAGTGAGGCATTTATTTCCAGCCCTAAATGTAAAAGGGTGCCAAAAAACTCAGTAACCATGATAAATAATACCTTAATATAACATTAAAGAATTCATTCAAAAGACATCTGCTGAACAAAATATCACAATTTTAAATAAAGACAGGATCAATATACTGATGTTTCCTTTTGACTTTGTTTCTAGAATGCTTGGCACATCACTTTTATTGGGGCTACATTTACTGAAAATTTTGAAATTTTGTTCATCATGCATTTTTACATTAATTTTGATTTTAAAAAATATGATATTAAGAACAGTATTTATCTTGATAGCTGAGCTTTTTGGTGCCACCTTAAATTTGGCATGAGAGGAGACCGTCTCATTTGCCTTGTCTTAATCCTGGTCCCTTGTCTATTTGTCCCTGCAAACTAGCTTGCCCTTATATATGCTAATAAAACAAAATAGGATACCAGAAGGAAGAAACAAAGAACAAGATAAGATGATTTCTGAAATGAAATTAAACTGAATTAAAAATTTAGTGAAAGTCTTGAAAAATAAAGTCCAATCTTCAAGAAAATATAACAAAGGCAATGATATAAAAATATGAGAGAAAATATTTTTTAAAAAATTAGGAAAATACATTAGGAAATCTAATATCAGACTATTAGAAATTCCAGAAGAACAAAATGAAATACCCAATGAAGCAGAAGTATTTATTAAATAAGTTATATCAAAAAATTTATAAGACCTCAAAGACGCATTCCCCTCCTAGAAAGGCCCAACAAATATCTATCTTAATAAATAATAAAAGATTCAAACTTAGTGATATCATTGTGAAACTTCAAAGCACCAACAATAAAAATATATCAAGGGGGAAAAGGCAAAACACATTACAAACAAAGGAATGAGCATCAGAATGTCCTCAGGTTATTGAAAGGACACGTTAGGAACAGCCAGGGCATCGCTTGTTTGCCCTCCAAGATACTCTGCCCCATGCTGGATACGTGCTGTGACTCATTGTGAATGAATGAATTATGTCTGACAATAAAAATACAATAAAGTTAAATGACACTTGTGGATAAGGTTACAGGGATAAATCTGAACCAGATAGTCTCCAACTAAAATTGCAATTGAGATTCTGAAATACTCAGATCAGGTGGGAGGTGAGTCCTATCCTTAGAATGCTGTGTGAACAGGACTCTCCCTTTGTCCACGTGGTTTCTTTCACAATTATACACAGTATAAGCTCACAGGAGCTGGGACCTGTTCTATGTGTTCATTAAGGCATATGTAGCAATGATTACATGGCAACAATTAGTCTTTTGTAGTAACTTATTAAATGAATATGTGAATGAGCATTTTATCTTAAAGGCTCATCACTCATTGTCCTATAAGGAAGGCAGGTACCATGTAAACAAACTGTTCATAGGTAAGCTGGAAGTGAGGAGAATCCTGGCGTGGCATGAATCAGAACTGGCACAGATCACAGAGGGATCGAATCTTTTCAAGTGCATGTTGAGAATTTGGATGTTTTTCTTTGGCCCAATTCGTGGTACACTTTTGGTTTTAATTAATAACATACTTTAATAAAGTATTTGGGAGCACAGAACAATTTAATAACCCCCCAAAATGCTTGCTATGAGGGCTCATTTCTAACACAGGCCCCTTTATTAGTTTTAGGTTTACTTGTATGTCTTCCAACAGTTTAAAATAACTGTTTCCAAGAAAAGTCAACACATCTATTTTCAGGATTTGAAGAAAATATATTTTTGGCATTTATATAGTTTCTGTCTCATTTTGGTGAGTTTCTGGAATATATTTTTGTCTGCTTATTTCTAATGCCTGTAATGAACTGAATCTCTCCTTTCATATGTATGTGCCCAGTTCAGTGTTATGAACCCTGGAAGGTCTCAACTAAATGCTTTTCAATCAACTCACTGCCATTTCCATTCCTGGTTTCATTTGGAGTAAGAAGTGTCCTCCTGTCTTTAGCAGATGCCTCGAGGTACTTGACAGCACACTGTTGTGAAAAATTTTAACAGACACACAAAGTAAGGTGAAGACTTCTTCATTTTACCTAAAAGAAATGTCCCAATTTTAAAACTACTCCCAGATCTATCCCTTCCCTGTCCTCAGGAAGAGGGAGCACAGCAAAGCTGTGTTATGTTTCTGCTTTAAGTCTTATGAATCTGATTTTTCATTATTTTTTTTAACGTTTCCCTGTGGTAAATGTAGCAAATAAGTGCATGTGATTGATTCATTTCAGCGACCGAGGCAGTTTTGCATTAGAAACAGGCCAAGAGAAGTTTTTTAGAAGACCATTCTGGCAAATTGGACTTAGCACAGGATTTGACTTGAAAGGGCAAAATTAATGGTAAAGTGGGAAAAAACTATTTCCTTATTATTAAAAAGAAAGTGGTATATTGTATATAGACTAGCACCATCATTCTAATGCAAAAATTGTTCCTCTCTCCTGCTCTGTTTCTTCATTCTGTGAAGAAAAGGTGGAAGAGAGCAGAACTAATCACATCCTTAGAGTTCTCTTAGCCTAGGAAAACTTTAGGCCAATACTACATTTTTTGCTTTTATTATTTTTAATTGATACATAATAATTATGCATGTTTATGGGGTACAGTATGATATTTCGATACATGTATACAATGTGTAATGATCAAATCAGAGTAATTTTCATATTCATATCTCAAACATTTCTCATTTCTTTGTGATGTGAACATGCACAAGCTGTTCTTCTAGCTATCTGAAAATATACAATAAATTGTTGTTAATTATAGTCATCCTACAGTGCTATAGAACACTAGAACTCTGGAACAGAATAGAGAACCCAGAAATAAATCCACGTATTTAAAGCCAACTGATTTTTAACAAAGACGCCAAGAACATTCATTGGGGAAAGGAAAGTCTTTGCAATAAATGGTGCTGGAAAAACTGGGTATTCATATGCAGAAGAATGAAACTAGATTGCTATCTCTCACCGTGTACAAAAATCAACTCAAAATGGATTAAAGACTTAAATGTAAGACTCAAACTATGAAACTATCAGAAGAAGACACTGGAGAAATGCTTCAAGACATTGATCTGGGCAAAGATTTCATGGAGAAGACCTCAAAAACACAGGCAACTTATGCAAAAATAGACAAATGGGGCTATAAAAAGCCAAAAATCTTCTGCACAGCAAACAAAACAATCAACAGAGTGAAGAGGCAACCAGCAAAATGAGATAAAATATTTGTAAATTGTTCATCTGACAAGGAATTCATGTCCAGAATATACAAGAAATTCAAACAAAACAAATAATAATCCAACTAAAATGTGGGCAAAGAATCTGAAAAGCATCTCTCAAAAGAAGACATAGAAATGTCCAACAGGTATGTGAAAAAAAATGCTCAGTATTATTAATCATCAGGCTGATGCAAATCAAAACCACATTGCAATGTCAACTCACCCCAGCTCGAATGGCTATTACCAAAAAGACAAAACATAGCAAGTACAGGACAGGACGTGGAGTAAGGGGAACTCCTATATACTGTTGTTGGAGTGTAAACTAGTACAGCCATTATGGAAAACAGTATGGAGGTTTCTCAAAGAACTAAAAATAGAACTACTATGTGATCCAACAATCCTCTCCCTGGGCATATATCTAAAAGAAAGGAAATTGATATATTATAGGGATATCTGCACTTCTGAGTTTATTTGCAGCACTATTCACAATAGCCAAGATATGGAATCAACATAAATGTCCAACAACAGATGAATGGATAAAATGTGGTGCACATATACATACACATATATACACACACCATGGAATATATACACTATGGAATACTATTCAGCCATTAAAAAAAAGGAATCCTCTTATGTGCAGGAACATGGATAAGTTTGGAGGACTACGTTAAGTGAAATAGGCCAGGTGCACAAAGACAAATACTCATAATCTCACCTACATGTGGAAGCTAAAAAAGTTGATCTCATAGAAGTAGAGTGCAGGGTAGTGATTACGAGAGGCTGGGAAAGGTGAAGGTGGGAGAGAGGATAGCTGGAAGTTGGCTAACAGCCAGTGCTACTTTAAGTGAGATCTGTGAATCAGCTGTCAGTCCTCACAGTGGTGGTTACTGTTAACGAGACAAAGAACTTGCAAGGGAATGTAAATCTATTATTACATCACTAAATACACATTTTGACTCAGCTGAAATTCACAACAAAACTTTCTTGATGAAGTAAGTAGCGTGTTGATTCACATTCTGGTGCAAGCTTCTTACCCCAGTTGAACTGACAGTTTGGATAACACTAGTGTAGTCCATAGTAGAAGGAAAGCTGCTGAGTTGACTCCTGAAGAAGCCACTGGCTAGTTTTAGTTGCCAGCAATAGCGACACAATTAGCGTAGGTCAAGAGGAGTTTATTTCAGGCATACCAACATGGGACCTCACGGAAACCCAAGAGGAGGAGCCATCATAGATTTAAGCCTCAGAAGCTAGATCCAGAGGCCAGGTCAAGATCCAAAGGACCCTAGCAAAGGCAGCAGCAAAAATGTGTGGACTTGCATGATGTGAAGTTTTCCCCTAATTTGGTCTTCAGGTCTCCTTTTGAGAGTGGCCATCATCCAAGATAGCCACTCTCTAGGAGAACCCTGACCAGGACAGAAGTTGGGTTCAGGTGTGTTGGTCAGGTGAGACAGAGGAGGCAGCACAGCGAAACACATGGAGAAACAGAAGCAGGGTTGTTTTTTTTTTTTTTAATTACTTATGGATTCCAGACATAAGAGGGCTGCACACCTTACAGGGCCAAGGGCAGGGAAGAGCTGGGCAGGATAGGCACACTCAATCAGGCAGGTGGGGAGTGAGAGAGAGAGAGAGACTGAGGGACCTGAGAGCGAACGCCTTTACTGGGGTCCCAGGCATGACTCAAGCAGGTTTCCCATGGGGAGTTCTAAGGAGTTCTTGTCGGTGGGATTGAAGGAAGCAGGCAGAAGCTCCAGGGAGACATGCTGTGACTGAGAGGGGGTCACTGTGAAATATCTATGCAGTCCATGGGAAATATGGGGGTCAGTGGGGTGTCAAGTAGGTTGTATCTAGTTGTCCCATACAAGGGTGGTCACCAGAAGGTGGTTACATAAAGCAGGTGTCTGACCACCTTGAGGAACTGGGAGGAGGTGGAGAATTGGAGACTGTGTCAAGGGTGACTGAGCCATGCTTCTAGTATGAGAAAGTCCAACTTAGAATGAATCCTGAGGCAACATAAAATTATAAGAATTCACTACACATACTTAATATGGTTCAATTAACATGATTTTGAGGCATTTCACTTTTTTACTTTTTCTGACAGTTTCTGCTCTCCCCTGACTCTGGATCTTATAGTGCCCAGCACTTAATGAATTGAATCTGAAGACAATATTTGAGGTCATCTTTTTTCTTAATGACTTGCATCAGAAGGTAAAGGGAATTTGGAGTCATTAAACCTCTGCAGAGGTATTTTGGGAAATACAAGGGCTTAGGTGATGTACTGGCAGAATCCTTTACTTTCCATTAGCAGTGATTTCAAATAACATTTGATGAAGGTACAGAGAACAGTGCCAGTCACTATAGATAAGAGAAGGATGAAAAAGAAACAGATTGAAATAGACCAAATTAATTACCTGAAGGACAGCTCTACATTGCAGATGTGCTTTGTCTGGCCTGCATGTTGCCTTTACACACACACACACACATCTTTCCACACACATATACACATGTGGGTTTATCTAAACATACTATTTGTGTGTGTGTGTGTAGTGAAAGGGAAATAAAAACTTGGGACCCCAGTTCACTCTGCCAAAAGGAAAAAATTAAGCTGAAAGCTGAGTCACGCAAGAAGCTGCCTTTCCTTTTATTCCTAAGCAGAGAGCTTACAGATCAAAGGTTAAATATCTGCACAGGTAGCCACGTATGTTCACCTTATCTTACGTAAAGTGCAGATTTACTGAGCGTCAGAGAAATATATCATTAACTATTCCCCTACCTGTTGCTTTTCCCTTGCAACATGTGGATTCAGTAATGTGACCACACCCTCCCTCTTTCTCCTCCAGCCTGCTTTCCCCCTTTAAATACTGAAGCCCTCAAATTATCTTTGGAGAAAGGCACAGACCTGTCTCCTGGGCGTGCGTCCTTAACCTTGGCAAAATACACATCTAAATTGATTGAGTACTGTCTCAGATGCTTTTTGGTTTTCTCTCTCTATATAAATATATATAGAACCATATATACGTGTATATATGATCAAATATATATAAATCAAATATATAAAATATATAATCAAATATATATATTATATATATATAAAATACATATATATATATTTGAATTTGCCCATGTTCTATTGAGTTGAACTGTATGGATTCATTTCCTGTGGCTACTGTAACAAACTAACAAACTTGGTGTCCTGAAACAACATACATTTATTTTCTCACAATGCTGGAGGCCAAAAGTCTGAAATCAGTTTCACTGGGCTGAAATCCAGATGTCTCCAGGGCTGCACTCTCTCCAGACACTCTAGGGGAGAATCTATTCTTTGAGTCTTCCAGCTTCACGTGGCTCTGGCCCTCCTTGACTTATGGTCACATGTCTCCAACCTCTGCCTCTGTGGCCCACATCCTCCTCCTCTTCTGTGTGAAATCTCCCTCTCTTCCCGGTTATAGAGACACTCATCACTGCACTTAGGGCCCATCCAGATAATCAGGATAACTTCCCCATTTCAAGAAGCTTAATTTAATCACATCTGCAAAGACCCTTTTATTTTTTTCATATGAGGCATATGCTCAGGTCCCAGAGATATCTTTGGGGACCATTGTTTAGCCTACCATACCATATGAAATTATTATTTGACTGTTTTTAACCTATAAAAATAACTTTCATATGGTAAAACCTAACACTTGCCAGCAGATAACTCAAATGTTCTATGAAATATAGGTTTCTGACTTTTCTTGAATAGTGGGAAGATCTGGACACACCCGGTCCCAGTCCTGAGTAGGAACATAGCTGGATGTTGGCAGCATCTGCTTCTGTTCACGGCTTACCCGTGACTTCCACTCCGTTGTCCTGTCCATTTGGAGACTTATTTGACCTCCGAATGGGTATCAGCTTGTACCCTTGACTTTGAAGCCAGGCAATGTTGCAACATTCACACGCATTTATAATACAAAGCATCAAGAAAACCCACAAAGGAAAGATATGTTTGACTGGTTCTCATGGGTTAATCAGGCAGAGATTGGGGTGGGGTAGAGGTGAGGGCCTTCTAATTAGGTGAGCACAGCATGGAGGTTGGAACGTGTTAGCTGCTAAGCCACCTCAGGGCACTGGAATCTTCACTTCATTAACCCTGGACCAGAATCAACCGAATCGGCAGCTGGCCCATTCTCCATGCTTTTGGAAGGCACAGGACATTTGTTCCAACAGCAACTTGCAGACACAAATGATAATGCAAGAAATAATAATTCTCAATGAGGATGTAAAAGAAATACATAATTTTGATTGCTTTTCTTGTGGTTCCTAAAATGCTGTTTGAGGAGGTTTCATATCATAATAATGTCACACTCTATTATTTTTTGAAATTATAAATTATGCCTTATTGAAAATCTGTGGAGGACTAAATACATTTCATTTCAAAGAGGTAATATGCTTTTCAAAAAATGTGTTGTCAATCACTAACAAGTGAGTTTAGCTAAGGTTAGGTTGACATTTTTGTAGCTTCTTCACTGAATCAAAGGGAAGAAAAGGGAGCAAAGATATGTAGTTTATTCTCCCAGGTGAACTGGTGTCTTTGAGACGAGGGGGAGTTATACAACTCCCTTGTTTCTTCCTTACCCTCCTTCCTGCTATGCTTTTTCTGTTCTCATGCCTGAAACAAATGTAGCCCATGAACTGAGGGAAGGGGAAAATAAGGGAGGAAAAATACTTGATGTTTTTAATTAAACTATAATTATTTGGGTTTGAATAATCAAAGCTCTGAGGAGACAAAGTAAGCACCCCTTCAACTCAGAATCCTGGACAAGAGAACTCAACAGCGAAAGGTCATGGCTATGATTTAATTAACTGTTTTCTCTTGAGAATTATAGTGTGGGTGTTAAGAGTCAAGTTTACAGGTTCTTCTCTGGGAAAAAATAAGAGATCAAAGATACAGTTTGCCAAAGCCTTGAGCACGAAAACACATGGTTTTGTCTTTCCTTTCACCTCCATCACACTTTCAGTTACTATCTTTTAATTTTTTTATTCATTAAGTCAACAGATATTTCATGATTATCTATGCCTGCCTGGCACTGGATATGGTGGTAGAGATACTGCAGTGAAGAGAATTAGAATGGTGGTTCCCAGGGGCTGGGGGAGGGGCAATGGGGAGATTTCATTTCTTCGCATGGAAGAGTTTTAGTTTTAAAAGGTGAAAAAGAGCTCTGGAGATGGATGGTGATGGTTGCACAACAGTATACATGCATTTAATACCACAAAACTCTATACTTAAAAACAGTTAAGATGACACATTTTATGCTATGTGCATTTTACCATAATAAAAATAATTGGGAAAACCTCTAAAAATATTCCGTGAAATGTGGAGATTATATTCTAGCAGGAATAACAGATAATGAACAATAAGCCAAGTAAGTAAGAGAATAATCTTGTACATCAGAAGATAGGTGCCATGGGGGAGAGTGATAGGAGTTATGGTGCTGGGGGATGAGTTGCAGCTTTAAGTGGGGTAACAAGATAGACCTCATTGAGAAAGTGATATCTGTGTGAAGACTTAGAGCAGCAGAGCAAGTGAGCCATATGGATGTCTGCAGAAAGAAGGAAGAGTGTGTCCTACAGAGGACAAAGGCCCTGGGATGGGGAGCACCCTAGTGTGTTCCAGGAGCAGCCAGGAGGCCAGTGTGCCTGGAGGAACAGAGAAAGTATAATAAGAAATAAAGTGAAAGCAGGGGCCTTACGAGCTGTGAGGAGATTTTGATTCTGACGCTAATGAGATGGGATAATATGGGGGATTTTGAGTGGAGAAGTATTATGATCTGATTTGTGTTTAACAGGCTCGCTCTAGTTGCTATTTAGGGATTGGATGATGGTTCCTTCAGAGTGGTAACAGGAAGATCAGATAGGAGGCTGGTGCAAAGAGCCTCACAAGAGAGGGCAGTGGCCACCTTAGTGGTAGGAGTGGAGGCAGATGCAGTTTTGAAGGTAAGTCAGAAGAATATCCCCACAAAGATCATATACTAATTAGAACCAAGAACATTTATTTTCATTTTATCCCAAGTTAATATAATAAAGCTTCAGGAGAAGGACCATGGCACAGAACAACAATAAAATGCTACACCATCCTGCAAATATAATAAAATGAGCAAAACATGTTTAAAAATGAGAAAATATAATAATAGCACTGAAACTATGCGTAGCTCCTATGCAGTGACCTCATTATTCACAGGATCTCTACCACGATGCTCTCAGTGACACTATTTCTCAGCCTTCCCCAACTAAATAAAGGAAACAGTGCCACATGCATTAG
The DNA here is from genome assembly GCF_000001405.40 of Homo sapiens. Taxonomy (NCBI): domain Eukaryota; kingdom Metazoa; phylum Chordata; class Mammalia; order Primates; family Hominidae; genus Homo; species Homo sapiens. The sequence goes on along the minus strand of NC_000009.12, from coordinate 85,109,614 downwards.
TAAATGTTACTGAAAATTCCCTGGGAAAACAGGAAAGAGTATTTATATCTCAGGCACAAATTCTAAGAGAGATTTAATTTTATTTTTGCCCATTGATTACAAGATTCTTCATCCTCATTCTCTGACCTCCCCTGATCCTCACCAGGGTCCTTTTACTGTTCTAAAGAGTTAAGGTCTGACTCTTAGCTTAGAATCCTCTCAAAAAAATAAAAATAAAAATAAAAACCAAAAAACTACACACTACGCTAGTTGGTTGTCCCCTTGTTCCTTAACTGCAGCAACTATCAACTGCTACTGTTATTCAAATATGACTCCAAGTTCTAATTCTTTATTCCAAGCAGTTTATTAAAGCATTAACCCACCAAATGCAGGTTTTTTCTTGGATTGGGGATACTGCTGCTAAAAAAGTATAACATTTTCTATATATTGTTATAAAAGGAAGTTTGCAACTTTATATCATAATTATAGATCATCAAACACATTGGAAAGTTTCTTCCAGAAATAGAAATAGAAGAGTCCATAAAATGACACAGAGCTAGTGGTTTCCTGGAGCCAGCTCATACTGGCTCATGAGAGCCCTTTGTATACAGCTCTTTCCAACTTCACATTCAGTGATATCATGTTGGAGCTTGACATCAACCATGGTGACAGTGTTTACACTACAGGAATCATAGCACTGCAAATCAAGACTTCTTTTTTTCCCCCTAGAATTGATTTACCAACATACCACTGCATCCAGTTCTTGCTAGAAGAGATGGTAGCAAAAATTATAAAAGCCTCACTTTTACTCCCCAACTTGGAGTGAAGCAGATTGAGAAGTCTGAGGAAAAAGTCTAGATAAAAATAGAATAGAAATCAAATATGAAAAGCTGTGTGTTGAGTCCATCTAAATATAGAATGAAAATTAAATGACTTGAGACTTCTGGTTCTTCCAAGATGCAGTAGCCCATTTCTCCTAGGTCTTTGGACATAATACAAAGATACAAAATTTCTCAAAGATGAAAATAAGGCATGCCCACGACTCGGGATTTGAGGAACAACATGGGATTTGAGGAATAACATGAAGGTGAAGTCCCTGGGTTTCCTTGATGCCTCCCATGTTCTCCTGACAGGACACGGCAGAGGCCTCCAACCCAACATCATCAGTAGACACAGGTGCATATTCCCCTGGCCAAAATATTGGGGAAGTGGTGACCCCTACTGACAAAAAATCTGTTTGATAATACCTGCCCCGCTTCTGGTAAAACACAAATGGAACAACCGCACCTCCCTTTCTGGGGGTTCAGTGCATTGTGCAGGAACTTTATGTTGCAAAAACCTCACCTTCCACCAAAGCAGGGTGGCATGCTCCGATTCCCCTACCAGGTGGTATCTGCAGGACTGACCATGGAGATAATCTTCCCTTCTCCCACCTGGGAGAAGGAGGTCATGGCAACATGACTGTTGTGTGAGCAGCTGATCTTACACTTCCTGCATGGTGGAAGCAGGCCATGCTACACATCCCTAGTCAGGGTATTGTTAATGGAATCCAGTGGGGAGCTGAGGCTTCACCTCCACTTGGCAGCAATGGGATTTGATAAGAGGCTCACTAGGCAAAGGTTACCATTTGGTTTCTCCATCCTCCCTCCTGTGTCACCAGGGCCCAGAGAAGAGTCTTTACTCCAACTTGGCTAAATAAGACTAAACAAGATGGTGCAAAGCAGAGCTGGTCAGCACACCTATTCTCCCCCTCCACCCTGCCCATATGAGTGTGGCCCAGTGGGGAGCTGATACTTTACCCAATGCAGGATCAAGACAAGAGAAAGTGGTGTAATGCAGCACTCTGTTTCTACCCCCAACCCATCACCATGTCTTGTAGGGAGCAGAAACTCCACTTCTCCCTAAAATCTGTAGGGCTGAATGAGCTTAGGGAAAGCAGGGCTAGTTGGCCACTCTGTTTGCCCTCTCCCTGTGGTGCTAGTGGGGAACTGAGGTTCTGGACTTGCCTTTCAGCACCAAAGCAGCGTGAGTAAGCTCTCTGCTTCCCCCTCCCTGGTGGCAGTGAAGCCCACCAGGGAGTTGATCTGATCTCCCTGCTCAAAGGTAATGTGGTATGTGAGGCAGTGCCCCACTTTCCCTAGGAAGGTATCGGGGGCACTGAACTCCCACACAGCACATCTTCATTGAGGCAGTGTGAGTCAGTGCCCCACTTTTGCAAGGGTGGGGTAACATTGCTCTATGGGAAGCTAAACACACTTACCCACCCAGCCCTCCTGCTACACTCCAACAAGGGCACTACCTGCTATTAAAATAAAAAAAAAAAAAGATTAAATAGGATCCTGTGTCTCTAAATATAATATCTAAAATATCCAAGATATACTTTTTTAAAAAATCACTAGTCATGCCAAGAATCAGGAAAATGACAACATGAATGAGAAAAGATAATCAGCAGATGCTAACAATAAGATGAATCCAACGCCAAATAATCTAAAAAGAATTTTAAAGAAGTCATCATAAAAATGCTTCAAAAAGCAATTAAAAATTTTCTGGAGCTGATGAAAGATTAGAATATCTCAGCAAAGAAAGAGAAGCTATAAAAAAAGAACCCAGTGAAGTTATCAGACAGAAAAATATAGTAACTGAAGAAAGACCTTACCAGATAGGTTCATTATAGAATGGAGATTACATAGAATGCCATCAGTGAACTTGAGAGCAGATCGATAGAATTTACTCAATCTGAACAACAAAACTAAAATTCACTAATAGAAGAAGAACAAAATCTCAGGAACCTGCAGGACAATAACAAAAGATCTAATATACATGTTATTGAAGTCTCAAAAGCAAAGTATATATAGAAAGGCACTAAAAAGTTATTCAGAGTAATATGGCTAAAACATATCCCAAATTTTGTGAAAGACATAACACATTACTTATAGGGAAATAATTTTTTTTTTTTTTTTAAAGAAACAGGGTCTTAGTATTGCCCAGGCTGAACTCAAATACCTGGGCTCAAGTAATCCTCCCACATCAGCCTCCCGAATATCTGGGACTACAGGTGCACATCACTGCACCCAGCTAATAAAACATTGATTTACGTGATAGCAAGTTTCTCATCTGAAACCATGGAGACCAGAGGAAGTTGCACATTTTTCAAATTTGGAAAGGAAAACAATTGTGAATCCTGAAAATGTGTCTGGTAGGCCGGGCATGGTGGCTCACACCTGTAATCCCAGCACTTTGGGAGGCTGAGGCAGGCAGATCACAAGTTCAGGAGATCGAGCCCATCTTAGCTAAAATGGTGAAACCACATCTCTACTTAAAAAAATACAAAAAATTTGTCGGTTGTGGTGGCACGCACCTGTAGTCACAGCTACTCGGTAGGCTGAGGCAGGAGACTTGCTTGAACCCGGGAGGCGGAGGTTGCAGTGAGCAGAGATTGCGCCACTGCACTCCAATCTGGGCGACAAAGGAAGACTTTGTCTCAAAAAAAAAAAAAAAAAAAAAAAAAGAAAGAAAAAAAGAAAAGAAAAGAAAAGAAAATGCGTCTGGTGAAAATATCTTCCAGGAATAAAGCAGACATAAAGGCATCTTAAGGCAAAGGAAAACCTAAATAATTTATTGTTTAAGGGGATTGGTTTATCCCCTTAAAAAGGTCTAAAGGAAGTTTTCCAAACAGAAAGGAAACAATAATAGAAAACGTGGAACTTCAGAAAGGAAAGAAGAACATTGGAATGAGTAAAAATTGGGGAAAAATTTATAGACTATTCCACTTCACATGCGTCACTTAACTCATATGTGGCTACTGAAGCAAAAATAATAAAACCATCTGATGTGGTATTTAATGAGGTATTTATTTAATGTGGTATTTGATGAGGAAAAACTCAATATAATTAGATTTTGCAGTGGAGGAAAGTAAAGGAAACTAAGTGAAAGTAAGGCTTGAAGTGGTGAAACTTCAATACCAGTAGACTATAATAAGGTACATATGCATATTATAACATCTAGAGCACTCACTAGAAAACTGTAAAAAACTATATATTCAAAACGAGTATACATAAATCAAAATGGAATCCTAAAAATATAAATAACTCACAAGAAGGTAAGAAAACAAAGGAGTGAGAATTAGAAGGAACAAACAGGAATTAAATCATGAAATGAGAAGTTAAATCCTAACTTTTAACAATTACCTTAAACAGTTTAAATATACACTGGTTAAAAACATACCTTGATACAATGTGGATGAACAATATGCTGTCTATATGAAGCATATTTCAAATATAATGAAATGTTAATTATAAATAAAAGGATGGAAAAATACCATGCAAACATTTCATTTTTTCAAAAAACAGGAATGACTACCTTACTAACACATTAAGTAGGTTTTGGAGCAGAGAAAATTACCACAGACGGAGGAATATTACATAATGATGAAAGGATGAATCCATCAGGAAAAAATAAAGATCTCAAATGTACCAAAAAGCGGAACTTCAAAATACACGAAACAAAAACTGATAGAACTGTATGGAAAAATAGGCAAATCTGCAAATATAGTTGGGGACTTCAACAGTCATTCAGCCATTGATAGAACTACTAGACAGAATATTAGAAGAGATTTTTTTAAAAATGCATACTATCAGCCAACAGGACTTAATTGGCATATATAGAACGTATCACTCCAACAGCAAAATACTCATTTTTTTTCAAGTGCTCATGGGATCCTCACCAAGATAAATAATGCCCTGGGCCTCAGTATAAGAATTAAAATCATAGTGAGCACGTTCTCTGAACATCATAAAATCAAACCAAAAATAATAACAGGAAATTAACAGAAAAATCTTCAAACACTTGGAAATTAAACAACACACTTTAAAATAATTAATGGGTCAAGGCGGAACTCAAAAGAAACAAACTTAAAAACATTGAACAGAATAAAAATGAAACACACCATATGAAAATGTGTAGGATGCAGCTAAAGCAGTGTTAAAATTGAAATGTATAGCTAAATGCTTACACTAGAAAATAGAAAACCTCTCAAACTAACAAAGTTCCTACCTCAAAAAAAATAGAAAAAGATGAGAAAAATAAACCCAATGTGAGAAGAAGGAAAGAAATAGTAAAGAGTGGAATCAATAAAACTAAGAACAAGAAAATAATAGAAAATAGAAAAAAAAAGAAACAGAAAGCTGACTTTTTGAAAAAAAAATTAACTTCTAGGAAGGCTGACAAACATAAAAAGAAAGATGAAACAAATAATCGGCATCAGGAATAAAACAGGAGATATTTCTACAGATCCTGCAGCAATTAAAAGTATAATAAGGAAATACCATAATCAACTTTTAGCTCATAAATTTGACAACTGAAAACAAATTGCACCAATTGGACCAATTCCCCAAAAGCCAGAAATAACTAAAACTCAGTAGATATTTTAGGTAAAACAGATAATTTGAATATTCCTATAAACATTAAAGAAATTGAATTTGTAATTTAAAATCTCCCACCAAAGAAGTCATTAGGCTTACGTTGTTTTTACTAGAGAATTCTGCCTAACATTTAAAGATGAATTAACATTAATTTTCCACAATCTCTTTCAGAAAATAGAATAGTAGAAAACACTTTCCACTCATTTTGCTAGGCTAGTATTACCCAGATAACAAAACCAGAGAGTACAAAAAAAGTGAGAGAATACTAAAGTCCAGTATCCTTCATGAACATAGAAATAAAAATCTTCTACAAGTTTTAGCAAATTAAATCAAGCAATGTATAAAAATAAGTATATGTCATGGCCAAGTGAGATTTATTCTAAGCATGTAAGTCTGGTACAATCTTCGAAAAATACCAATCAATATAATCTATCATACCAACAATCTAAAAAGGGAAATTATATGGTCATACTAGTTGGCGAAGGAAAAGTATTTGACAAAAACCACCAATTTATGGTAAAATGACTCCACAAATGAAATAGAGGATGAACTTTCTTAACAAAATGAAGAGCATCTATTAAAAAAAAAACCTACAGCTAACATCATACTAAATGATAATAGATCGCATGCTTAACCTCTCAGATCAGCAACAAGGCAGTTATGTTTCCTCTCTCCACTCCTACTTGCTATAGTACTGGAAGTTCTAGCCAGCATTTAAGACAAGAAAAGAATTAAAAGGCAGGAAAGGAAATAAAGAAATAAAACTGTTTCTGTTTGTAGATAATATGATTGCTTACATAGAAAATTCCAAGAAACCTACAAAAAAATAACAAGACTCAAACTCCTAGAACTAATAAGTGAGTGCAGCAAGTTTGTAGGATACAAGGTCAATATGTGAAAGACAACTGCATTTCTATGTACTGTGAACAAGCAAGTGGAGACTAATGTAAAATGCATAATATAATTTTCAATTGCTCAAAAAAAAATGAAATACTTAGGTACACATCTAACAAAACATATACAGAATGTGTATACTAAAAATTACAAAATACTGTTAAAATAAAGTTTTTAAAAGACCTAAATAATTATAGTGACATACCATGTTCATGAATTGGAAGACTCAAAATGCTAAAGATGTTATTTCTCCACAAACTGACCTACAGGTTTAATGCAATTCCTATAAGGGTCTTTTTGGAGGCATAGGCAAGCTTATTCTAAAACGTACCTAGATAGGTAAAGATCCTAAAAGACTGAAGACAATCTTGAAAAAGAAGAATAATATGGGAGAAGTAACTCTTGCTGCAGTAATAAAGAGTGTTGTATTAGTGTTGCGTTAGCAGGGAGATAGACATGTAAATTAATGGAACTGCATAGTGAACCCAGAAATAGACCTGCAAAAATATGCCCAACTGATTTTTTTTTTTTTTTTTTTTTTTTTTTTGAGACGGAGTCTCGCTCTGTCGCCCAGGCTGGAGTGCAGTGGCGGGATCTCGGCTCACTGCAAGCTCCGCCTCCCGGGTTCACGCCATTCTCCTGCCTCAGCCTCCCAAGTAGCTGGGCTACAGGCACCCGCCACTACGCCCGGCTAATTTTTTGTATTTTTAGTAAAGACGGGGTTTCACCGTTTTAGCCGGGATGGTCTCGATCTCCTGAGCTCGTGATCCGCCCGCCTCGGCCTCCCAAAGCCAACTGATTTTTTGACAAAGGTGCAAAAACAAATCAATAGAGGAAAAGATAGACTTTAAGAAATGTTGCTGGAGCAATTTCATATCCTGGACTAAAAGAAAATGAACCTCAACCTAAACCTCACACTTTATGCAAAAGTTAATTCAGAATTGATCACAAACTTAAATGTAAAATCTGGGTTCTGAGCTAGGCAAAACTTCTTAGACTTGACACCAAAAGCATAATTTATAGAAGGAAAAAATTGATAAATTAGACCTCATTAAAATTAAAAACTTTTATTCTATGAAAAACCCTGTTAGAAGGATGAAAAGACAAGCTACACAGAAGGGTAACATATTTGCAAATCATGTATCCAAAAAAGAACTAGTGTCTAGAATCTATAAAGAGCTCTCAAAATTCAGTTGTAAAAAATACCAAAATATTCAATTAGAATATGAGTAAAGGTCATAAATAGACATTTAACCTAAGATGATAAAATTGATCGACATCATTAACCATTAGGGAAATGCAAGTTAAAATACCAATGAAATATCACTATGCACATGTTAGAAAGGTAATATTTTAAAAATTACAAAATCAAATGACAAATATGGAGACACTACATTGCTCATATATTGCTGATGAGAATATGAAATGATTTAACCACTAATACTAATATACAGATACAACCACTGTGGATTAGTACACAGCAATTTCTTATATAACTAGTTAGACTTTGGAAACTTTTTTGAGAGAAAAGGAAATCTACGTTAATGCAAAAACCTGTGTGTAAATATTAATAGAAATTTTATTTGTAATAGTCAAAAACAGAAAATAACCCAGATGTCTTTCAATAGGTAAATGATTAAACATACAGTGGTTTATCCATGTCATGGAACACTATTCAATGGCAAAAAGGCACAAATGATTAATGCATATACAGTAACCTGAACTGATCTCCAGAGAATTATGCTGAATTAATATAGTCAATCCCAAAATGTCACATACTGTATGATTCCACCTATGTAGAATTCTTGAAATAACAAAATTACAAAAGTGGAGAACAGATTACTGGTTGGTTAGGGTCATGGGTAGGAGGAAGGAGGATGTGGCTATAAAAGAGCAACATGAAGAATTATCATGGTGGTGGAACTGTTCTGTGTAAATGTCAATATCCAGGTTGTGATATTGTTCCATAGCTTAATAAGATATTGCCATTGCCGGAAAGTTGTTAAAGAGTACAGGGAATCTCTCTGTATTTTTTTTAACAAATGTATGTAAATCTCTAATTATATCAAAGTAGAAAGTTTAACTTAAAAAATTTGATGGAAAAAAAACACTCTGGGATCATGATTATAGAATAGAACATAAATTGCAAAATAGTCATGAAGTAAAAATAATGTAATCTGGAAATGATAAGTCTTTAGTGAGGATGAGGAAGAGAGTTTAAGAGCACTAATTTTAGCATTTTTCATAGAATACAGTCAATTAATTTTAGAACCTTCTTCAAAGAAATAAAACATAATAAGGTGATAAACATTTATGTATGGATCAACAATTTTAATTTATTTTTGTTGTTAAATTTAAGTAAATTAAGACAATTTCTATTTAAAATGCAACGTGTGGCTGGGTGTGGTGGCTCACATCTGTAATCCCCACACTTTGGGAGGCCAAGGCAGGTGGATCACTTGAGGCCAGGAGTTCGAGATCAGCCTAGCCAACATGGTGAAATCCCATCTGTACTAAACACACATACACACACACACACACACACACACAAATTAGGCAGGTGTGGTGGTACACACCTGTAATCCCAGCTACTTGGGAGGCTAAGGCATGAGAATCGCTTGAACCTGGGAGGTGGAGGTTGCAGTGAGCTGAGACTGCACCACTGTACTCCAGCCTGGGTGACAGAGTGAGACTCTATCTGAAAAAATAAAAATAAAAATAAAATAAAATAATAAAATAAAATAAAATAAAATAAAATGCAACATGTGTAGTTTGATCCCATGTTGATTATTTCTGTATCTGCCCATTTATCCTAATTTGGGTAATGAATGATGTTTAATTCCTCTTAATAATAGAAATTTAGAGAGAGTCAGATTTAGGATGAACTTTTACTTTGTAATTTTCTGTGATGTTTGAATTAGTCATACAAAAATGTCTTACTTTTCCAAAAGAGTCACTGAATAGAGATCAAAATAAAAAAAAACAAAAAAAATCAATTTGCAAAGTAACAGAAAAATAAATAAATGTAAACATAAATGACTTAGAAATAGATATCTCAATCATCTTGATATTGAAATTAGCATAAAAAGAATTTAAAATAGTTGACTAGTCTGCTCAGGAAATTAGAGGAAAACAATTGAGTTTCATCAGAGATTTAGTATGTTTTTAAAAAGATCAAATAAGAAATTTAGAACTGAAAAATACACATTTAATATTAAGAACTCAATGACATGTTTAAAAGCAAAACAGATACAGCCAGACAAGACTAGTAAATGAAGTCAGTGAAAAAAAATTCAAACTAAAGTTCAGAGAGAGAGCGAGAAAAGGTAAGAACTGTAGAAAAAAAACCTGTGAGAGCTACTTGGAAAACAGTAGGCATAGTGTAAAATATAGGAAATTCGGCCGGACGCAGTGACTCACGCCTGTAATCCCAGCGCTTTGGGAGGCCAAGGCAGGTGGATCATGAGGTCAGGAGATCAAGCCCATCCTGGCTAACACGGCGAAACCCCGTCTCTACTAAAAACAGAAAAAATTAGCCGGGCGTGGTGGCGGGTGCCTGTAGTCCCAGCTACTTGGGAGGCTGAGGCAGGAGAATGGTGTGAACCTGGGAGGCAGAGCTTGCAATGTGCCGAGATTGCGGTGCTGCACTACAGCCTGGGCAACAGAGCGAGACTGTCTTAAAATAAATAAATAAATAAATAAATAAATAAATAAATAAATAAATAAATAAATAAAATAAATAAATATATTTATATGAAATTCAAGTCCCAAAAAGCAGCTCAAGTGGGAGTAAAATATTATCTTCAAAGAAGCAACAATTAGATTAACAACTACTTTTTCAATAGAAACAATGGAAGCCAGAAGAAGAATGACATCTTCTACTAGATTAATATATTAAAGAAATATTTTAAGAAAAAACCAAAATGAGTTCAGAGAGAAACATAGAAATTCAGAGGAAAAAAAACAACAATAGAAAAGGCAAGTGTAAATGAATATTAACTAAATAACACAATAATGGTAATGTTTTCCTCTGTTTAAAATATATTTAGAATGAGATGCATTATAACCATACATTAAAAAAATGACAAAGCAAATGTACTTAAAGCATTATCAGAGAGGTAGTAAAAGTAATAATTTGCATTATCAACTTAGTAATAAGTACCAATAAGCTAGTCTACACACGCTTGTCTACAGAATAGCTACTTAAAGTAGAAAAGAAAATGTATAACTAATAGAACAATGGAGGAAAAAAATGGAATAATAAAAATAATGTTTTATTAATCCAAAAGACATCAAGACATGAAAACAAAGGAACAGAAAACCAAGATTAAGATGGTGGTTGTAAATGCAAATATATTGGTAATTAAGTGAAAATAAAATACTCTTCTGGTTAGTATTTAAAAGAGAATGATTTGTTTAGATTAGTATATGTAAATTTGGAGGATACATAAGAGTTCATCCTTTTTTTTTTGTTTGTTTCATTTCAATAAACTAATTTTATCTTAAAAAAAAGAGAGAAACAAAGTGGACTAAATACTCTAATTAAAAATCCCAGGCTGGGGGCTGTGACTCACGCCTGTAATCCCAGCACTTTGGGAAGCTGAGGTGGGCGGATCACCTGAGCTCGGCAGTTCAAGAGCAGCCTGGCCAACACAGTGAAATCCCCCTCTACTAAAAATACAAAAATTAGCTGAGTGTGGTGGCAGGCGCCTGTAATCCCAGCTACTCAGGGGTCTGAGGCACGAGAATCACTTTTACATGGGAGGCAGAGGTTGCAGTGAGCCGAGATTGTGCTGCTACGGCACTCCATCCTGGGTGACAGAGGGAGACTCTGCCTAAAAAAAAAAAAGAAAAAAAAAAAAGAAAAAGAAAAAAAAAACCCCAGAGTGTCAGACTGAAGAAAAATATAAAACTACATATACGCCACTTATAAAACACACATCTTAAATATTAGTAAAATGATATTTCAAAACACATCAAACACAAACCAAAAGAAAGCTGAGGTAGGTAGCCCATGCTAGTATCAGACAAATCAGAATTAAGGCAAGAAGGATTTCTAGAGATAAAGCAAGTTATTTCATTATGATAAACATGTCAATCTACCAGGAAAATATAACAGTTCTAAATCTGTAGAATGTTCTAATTACTGAACATAGCATGACTTCAAGATATATAAAGGAAAAACTGACTCAATTAAAAAGAGAGACAAATCTACAATCATGGTGGGAGACTTATAAAACTTCTCTCAGTAGTTAGTAAAACAGACCAAAAAAATCAATAATGTTATAGAAGATCTTAACAACATGACCAATAAATACAGAATACTGGAACTGAAACAATGAAATACAGTTTGTTTTCAAGTTACATGAAATATTTACCAAAATTTCTAAGAAAATAGTAAATATGTAAGGGTTTAAAATATACAATGTAAGTTTCCATTTCAGGCAGCCAGGAAAAGAATAGCAAAAGAAATTCAAAGGAAGTAGATGGAAGAACATAATAAAAACACAAATTAGTGAAATAGATATAAAATAAAGAAAATATACAGAGCCAACACTAATTATTTGAAAAAAATTAATGAAGATGATAAACTTCTAATGATACTGATGAAGAAAAAAAGTACTAGTAACAGGAATAAAGTAAGAACATCTGTGTATATCCTACAACTATTAGAAAGATTATAAGAGGATAGCCCAAACAATTTCACTTCATTAAATTTAAAAATTTACATGCCATGGACAAATTCCTCAACAAACAAGAGTTGTCAAACCTGACCCATGGAGAAACAGAAAATCTAAATAATTTTTAAAAATGTTTAAATAAATTGAATAATATTCTTGCCAGAAGGAAAACTCCAGGCCCATATGGCTTCATCAGTGGAATTTTCCAAATATTCAAGGAAGAAATAGTACCAATCTCATATAAGCTCTTCCCGACCAAAGAAAAGATGGAGCACCTCCAAACTTGTTTTCAGAGGACAGTTCAATTTTGATACGAAACCCTGGCAAGGATCCTAGAAGAAGGAATATTGCAGACCAATGTCACTCATGAACATAGACATGAAAATCTTAAATGGAAAATTATACATCAATGAAATTACTGCATAAGGGTGGTTTAACATTTAAAACATTAACCAGTATAATTCACCACATTAACAGAAAATAGAGAATTATTTCACAATTCTTATTGGAAAAAAGAAAACAATGAAGAAAATTCAATACCCATGATTTTCAAAAAATCCTTTTAACAAACTAGAAATAGAACAGTTCTTCTTTAAGTTGAAAAAGACTTCCACAGAATCTTACAGTAAACATACTTAATAGTAAAATATGAAAAATCCTCGCCCTTGAGATGGAATAAAACAAAGATGCTCAGTTTACATCTTCTCTTATTCAACTTATACTGGAGATTCTAGCAAGTATAATCAGGCAAGAAAATTAGGCGGCATGCTAAAGACTGGAAAAGAAAAAATACTCTTATTATTTAAAAATATTATGTGTGTACATAGAAAATTCAAAAGAATCTGCAAACAATTAGAATTAATGATTTAACTTAGCAAAGTGACTAGATACAAGGTCAAAATAAAAATAGTTTGTTTCCATACAAGAAACAAATAAACAATTAAAATGGTAGAATCTGTATACTATTCAAATTAATGTTTGTATTTAGCAAGATAAAAAGGAAAATTATAAATAGAAAATTAAGGAAGCATCAATGTGCTTAGAAGTAGACATAACAACATTTGTGAAAATCTCTACGCTATAAACTACAAAACATTATTGAAGGAAATTAAAGATCTAAATAAATTGAACAATATGCCATATTTGTGGACTGGAAGCCTCAATATTATAAACATGCCAATTTCTCTAAATCTTATCAACAGATTCAATTCAGTCTTAATCAAAATCCCAGCAGGGGTGTGTGCATGTGTGTCTACCTGTGTAAACTGAAAAGCTGATTCTAAAATGGATATGGAAACGTAAATGGGCAAGAATTATTAAGGCATTCCTGAAGAGCAAAAAAGCTGGAGGACCCATACTAACAGACACCAAGGATTGTTATCAATCTATGGTGATTAATATAGTGTGATACTGACACAACGATAGACATACTGGCCAGCGTAATAGAAGAGAGAATCCGTAAACAGACCTACACATATATGATGTGCTGGTTAATGACAGTGACATTGCAATACATCGAAGAAAGAATGGTCTTTTTAATAAATGGTATTGTGTCAACTGAATATCCACATGGAGAAAAAATAAATCTTGACTTTTATTTCACCCCATACACAAAAATCAATTCCAGATGGATTGCAGATGAAAATATGAATGGTATAACAATAAAGCTTTTAGAAAAATGTCTTCATGATTTAGAAGGATGTCTTCACGATATCTTAAGTGTAACACAAAAAGTACTAGTCATAAATCAAAAAATTTTGATATACTGGACCACATTAATAATACAAACGTTTGTTCTAGGAAAAGATACTATTATGGGAGGGAAAAGACAAGCCACAGAGTGGAGTTACAAATTTGCAAAACAAGGAATTCATGTGCAGAATAGATAAATAGATTTTATGTATTTTATATATCTTCATATACATATATGTATACATTAATCCTAGTAATCAATAAAAAGGCAAGAAAAAACAATAGAAGAAAAGAGCAAAAGACTTGAACAGCCCCTTACAGAAGAAGATATCCAAATGGTGAATAAACATATGAAAAGGTGCTCAACTTCATCAGGCATCAGGGAAATACGAAAGTAAAACCACAATACAATACTTCTACATACCCACCAGAATGATTAAAATGAAAAAGACAAGAAAAAAATCATGTTGGTTGGATTAATCGTATTTCTCCTTGCATTGCTGGTGGGTCTCCTAAGTTGGCAAAGACGTTGGAAAACTACAAGTATCTGCTAAATTCAAATATGCAGATCCTGTGAGAGAAGAGTTCCACTGTTAGGTATATGTCTAACAGAAATGCAAACACATCTTCACCACGAGCATGTATGAGGATGTTCATAGGAGTACTATTTGCAGGCCAGGTGCGGTGGCTCAGGCCTGTAATCCCAGTACTTTGGGAGGTCGAGGCGGGCGAATCACTTGAGGCCAGGAGTTCAAGACCAGCCTGGCCAATATTGTGAAACCCCGTCTTTACTAAAAATACAAAATATTAGCCGGGTGTGGCGGCAGGCACCTGTAATCCCAGCTTCTCGGGAGGCTGAGGCAGGAGAATCTCTTGAATCCGGGAGATGGAGGTCGCAGTGAGCTGAGATCATGCCACTGCATTCCATTCCAGCCTGGCAGACAGAGTGATACTCCATCTAAAAAAAAAAAAAAAAAAAAAGGAAGAAAGAAGTACTATTTGCAGTAGCTCAATGTTAAAAATAAGCTGAGTGTCCATCAAAGCTGGCTGACCCGAAAATGAGTCTTGGACCCATTAAACAATAACTCTCCATTTTAACCTTCCCCCAGCCCCTGGAAACCACCATTCTGCTTTCTGTCTCTATGAATTTGAACTACTCTAGGTGCCTCATGGCTCCACCCAGAAGTGGAATTCTTGGATCATACTGTAATTCTATCTTTAATTTTTGAGAAACTGCCATATTGTCTTTCACAGAGGCTGCACCATTTTACATGGAATAATTTAGAGTAAGCTTTTAAGTGAAAAGGAAATTTAAGATAGAAGCTGAATTCAGTTGAAGAAAAACAAAGAAAATTACGTTTATTTTCCACATCTGTGTTTGTCAACTGAAGAAATGCATACCTGCTATAGTAGTTTGAATCATGGATTCTGCTGTCTACCTTCTGAAGTTTGGTTTTAGTAACTTGCCCCTTATTATTTTCTCATCTGCAGAATGCCTAGAAGGATGACTAGCATGAATCTGTCATGTCACTTTATATCCTGTGCCTCCACGTGATAGAAATGCAGGCATTCCTTTCCTTTTCATGGGCTAAGAAGTAAGCAGCAGCTTTATTTATTTAGAGACAGAGTTTCACTCTGTCGCCCAGGCTGGAGTGCAATGGCACTGTCTCAGCTCACTGCAACCTCTGCCTCCCGGGTTCAAGCGATTCTTCTGCCTCAGCCTCCCGAGTAGCTGGGATTACAAGCCTGTGCCACCACGCCCGGCTAATTGTGTATTTTTTTAGTAGAGACAGGGTTTCACCATGTTGGTCAGGCTGGTCTTGAACTCCTGACCTCAGATGATCCACCCACCTCAGCCTCCCAAAGTTCTGGGATTACAAGCATGAGCCACCGCACCCGGCCGTAAGCAGCAGCTTTAACCAGGGACATGTATTATTTTCCCCCCTTCTAGCTCTTCTCTTCATGGACATCATTATAGCACTGTCCATTGCTCACCAGCCTTTCTGCTCTCCATTCCACGCCACCTTGTGCTGCTGGGATCATCTTCCCAGAACACAGCCACAATCAGATCACATGCTATCATGTGTTACACAGCATGCAGTACACGCTACCACGCAGTCATATTACATGTTGTCATGTGCTACGTGGCACGCAGTACACACTGCCACACAGTCATATCATATACCATCATCATATATCACATGTCACACAGTAAATTGTTCTTCTGTTTTCTTAGATTCTGTATTTGTCTATTAGGCATCCATTCACAACAGGGCCAATTATTTAACTATATTTTTTTATCTTCTGTATTCTTGATGCTCTGGCACTTGGGGGCCCTACAGACCCAGGGAGAGACTGCCCTTCTGAAGGAAGGCCAATTCTTAGAGATAGCAAAGGGCTCAGCCTGGAGTGCACCTTTCATAGGCAAACTAACCAACCCATTATCTATTTCCCCAACTGCCTCTCTATGTAAAGCTCACACGCCAAGCCCATATTTCCCATGCCCTAAATCATCTCAGGACTAGGTATCCAGCAACTAGAGACCACAACCTTGCCCCAAAGTCCTCTGGAATTATTCAAACTGGCCAATCCTGAACTGTTTCCCAGGGAAGTCTCAATAAAAGCTCTGGCTTCTGCCTTCCCCTCATGCCTTTCTGCCTCCTGGCCAAACCTGGTGCTCCTCTGTGGCCCTGTGTAGTGGACTGTGCTTCTTGTTTCAATGGGAACTGTGAGTAACATTGAATTTTTCTTTCAATGGCATTGACCTGTTCATGTTGCCATTCAGTCATCCCCCTATGAATAAAATCCCAGATATAACTTTAATACAACCCTACCATACAATCAAATCACACACTGTATCACACTTTACATGGTCCATGTATTGCCTGGTCATATCACATGCTATCATCACATATCACAGAGTGCACACTACAACATGCCACATACTATCATATATCACATGGCACACAGCACACACTACCCCACAATCATACGACATGCCAAAACTGTAATCTCTCAACCACCATAAAGGGTGCATCCCATCCTACTATTAGTATATTAAGTGTGGATTTTCTACCAGGTAATTCCATCTAAGTGAGGATGTTTGGTTGCAAGACACAATCCCAGAATCAAAATGTCTTAAACAACAAGGATACTTGGTATTTTCCATAACTAGTTAGGTAAGTAACTTTAACCTCAATTTAGAGAAGAGGAAACTGGGACTCAGAGGTGTTAACTGACTTGCCCAGCACAAAAAAAAATGCTGATAAGTGTCCAAGCCATCACTTTTAACTCCATCTTCTAGGTCCCCAAAGTCCTTAATATGGAGACTCCATATCTAACTTGCTCCACACCCACCTTACTCCATACCTACCTTGAGCTGCCTGGTTCGAAATTTTCTTTGCCTTCCCCATTTCTTATTCTAAGAGGTCAGAGTGAGGGAGCTCTTGCTAAAAGTCAAGACTGACACTTTTTCAATTTTGAGACAGTGAATCAAAAATTGTATGTGGAGTATTTGCTGTATCCCGGCATATGGGAAAGGTTTAAAATTCCATGGTCTGGTTCTTGCCCTCAAGGAACATCCAGTCTGGTGTGAGAGACAAGGCATTGAAGCTTAGGCAATCTCTGGAGGTCCATAAAATGGGTTCAGTCTGTAATTGTGCAGAGCAGAGGAGAAGCTGGGGTGGGCTGCAGACCACCTAGACCTTGCAGCTGGGTAGGACTTTCAGAGAGTGAGTGAAGAAGCATTCAAAGTGAAAGTTGCACCATGAGCAAGGGCAGGGAACCAGGAATTTATGGGGAAATTAGTAGATATTAAACAAGAAATCCCCCAAGTGATTGGCACTCCCCTGCTCTCTTCTCTTCACACTCCTACCTGTCCTTTCCTATAAGGAAAGAGGTATGAATGAGCTAATACTGCAACTACCCTTTCTTTTTCTTGAGAATTCTCTTTGACCCCCCTGCCTCCCATTTTCTCTGCAATCACAATCTCTTGCTGTCTATTGACTCCTTCCCTTTAGATGCATGTAAACATCCTTAAGTCACTCCTATCTTAAAAAAAAATGCTCTTGCACACCTGTTTCCATCTTTCTCTTCCCTTCACAGCCCAACTTCTTCACAGAGCAGTCAATGCACTGAATTCCACTCCTTACTTCTACCTTCCACCCACCACAGCCTGAATTTCATCCTCGTCATGCCCTTTGAAATTTTCACCGAGGTTGTCAAAGGCTTTCATTGTCCAGTCATTTCTGCCGTTGTTTGTGCAGCATTTGGTGCTGGCTCTTCTCTCACAGGGAACCCTTTTCTGGTTCCTCGAATCTCACCCATTCCTGATTCCTCGAATCTCGCCCATTCCTGGTTTGCCACTCATTCTCATTCTGGTGTCCTTTGGAAGATCCTCCTCCTCTGCCCCTCCTTAAATGCCAGTTCGCTTCATGATGCAGACCTGGACCTTTCATCACTGTGCACGCTGTACCAGGGATCACCAACCCCTGCATTGACTTCAATTCCCGTGAGTCTCAGATTTGTGTCTTTGGGCCAGAGATTTCTCCTGAGCTTCCAATACTAATGGACATCTGTATTAGTCCATTTTCATGCTGCTGATAGAGACATACCCGAGACTGGGTAATTTATAAAGAAAAAGAGGTTTAATGAACTCACAGTTCTACGTGGCTGGGGAGGCCTCACAATCATGGCAGAAGGAAAAAGGCACATCTTACACAGCAGCAAGCAAGAGAGAATGAGAACCAAGTGAAAGGGGTTGCCCCTTATAGAACCAGCAGATCTCGTGAGACTTATTCACTACCATGAGAACAGTATGGGGGAAACAGCCCTCATGACTCAATTATCTCCCACCAGGTCCCTCCCATGACATGTGGGAATTATGGGAGCTACAATTCAAGATGAGATTTGGGTGGGGACACACCAAAACCATATCACCTCCTCACCAGGATGTTGTCCCCCAAGGCTGTCAAACTCAACATGTCTGTAAACAAGTTGACCATCTCTTTCCCCTAGCTCCATGCCTGCTCCTCTACTTCTACAAACAGCTCTACTACCCTCCTCAAGCCAGAAACCTGGGCCTAGCCCTCAATCTTCCTGTCACTGCCCACAGGCAATTGGTGACCACCTCTCATGGACTCTAAATGTCAAGCACACATCTCCCCACTGTTCTCTCAATCCCTCCTGCCACCATCCTGGTGAGACCATCATTATCTCTCTCTCATCAGGATAATGGAGGCAACCTCCTAACCGAGCTCCTTACTTCCATTCTTCCTCCCTCACAGCTGTTTCTCTGCACTGTAGCCAGAATGCACTTTCAAAAATTCAAATGTGGTCCTGTCGCTCCCGTCCTTAAAAATCCTTCAATGGCCCTTAGGCTATCACTCGTCCCCCGGTGACCTGGCTTGCCTCTCCTGTCTCATCCGTGACCATATTCCCTTCACATTCTTAGCCCTGTTCTTCCAGGATGTCTTTCGTTTCTAGAGTGTGTCATTTTCTCTATTGCCTTTCAGTCTTTGCAGATGCTGGTCCCCCTTGTCTGCAACATTCTGCCTCCCAAATGCTTTCCTTGATATTTTGAGACTGGGAGAGGTGCCCTTCCTGTCTTCTGTATGGCATCTTCTGCTTCCCTTGCATACCATGCTTGATTTGACTCAAGACTGTGAGCTCCATGAGGTTTAAGACCATGGCTAACGTTTCAATTGCTGAGTCCCCTGGATCTAGCATTGTGCTTGGCACACAACTGGCATTCAAATTTCTGTTAAATAATGAAAAAAAAAATTGTATGCAATGACTTTGACACATTCCTTTTCTTTCTAGGTTCATTGATGGAGAAAGGGATCTGAAGATGGTAAATTGACAGTTGAAGAAGATATAACTTCTTATATCTTCCACAAAGAGAAAAACCCTCATATGAGGAAACACCTGGGCTTGGAGTTCTGGCTCAGAATTTAAAATTTTCAATCTAGTGTTATAGACATATAGAATATTAGAGCTGAAAGGGCCATCAGATATCACCATTGCCCAACCTCCTGATTTTACACATGAGGAAATCAACATGTAAGTTGTCCAAATCTGTAATCAACCTAAGCTAGAACCAAAGTCTTTGGGGTTTCATGGCTACACACACTGAAACCACACAGTTTCTCAGTCTCATGGCTCTTTCCACAGCTGGGGTTAGCACCATGCTCCAGTTCCAGGGAGGAAGTACAAACAGCTGCTGCCACTGACCACATCTTATTTTCCTCCCTGGACCTACCCTGAACTCAGAGTACCTGGGAGTCTGCTTTTCTCTGAAACAGCCCACATGCAGCCCAGGTGAAAGAAATTAAACCACCACAATTTTCTGTCATCGCTCCCCATAAAGACAGCATGCTCATCTATCAGACTTGGGAATCTCCCATCTTTTTGTGCCAAAGGCTAACACTAAAATCCTTTCTCCATAATCTCATGCTGCTGCCAGAATTTTTTTTTTTTTTTGGTAAAATGATGTTCTTTCCAGATGCCTGTTTATCATTATCAGATAGTTCTTTCATAAAATGTCCATGTGCTCACATTGCTCTCCTAGGCACTATTCAAAGCACACAGGAAAATTAGTCAATGCTGCTCCAGTGACAGAAATTTTAGAACTCACACACAAACAAGCTGTCTATAGGCTAGAGGCACTTACGGTAGGGCTGCTCAGACCTGGGCCAGTACTGAGAGGTTTTTGTTGATCTTACAAGCAGGCACTTACTTCTGGGGAGGAGATAAAGAAGGGAAGAGAGCTCCTGCGTTTACCCCTAAGGTCAACTACTTCTCTCTGCCTTACATGAGTGACAAAGAGGTGAGATTACCCCAGAAGACAAATACAGAATGAGTGGGGGTTGGGTGGCTCCAGGGAGGGAAGAGGTGGCACAGAGAGGAATTGGGGAGGCCCCTTTAAAAAAAAAAAGCCAGGCACGGTGGCTCACGCCTGTAATCCCAGCACTTTGGGAGGCCGAGGCAGGTGGATCACCTGAGGTCAGGAGTTTGAGACCAGCCTGACCAACATGATGAAACCCCGTCTCTACTAAAAATACAAAAAACTAGCTGGGCTTGGTGGCACATGCCTGTAATCCCAGCTACTTGGGAGGCCGAGGCAGGAGAATCGCTTCAACCTGGGAGGTAGAGGTTGCAGTGAGCCGAGATCGCGCCACTGCACTCCAGCCTGGGCAACAAGAGTAAAACTCTGTCTCAAAAACAAAAAACAAAAATCACAGAAACCATTTTTTTAGAGCAGTTTTAGGTTCACAGCAGGGGAGGCACTTTTAAGAGAAGAGTGAGAAGTCAGACACTGAGTTAAGATTCCATTTCCCTGATGAGAACACATGGACACATAGAGGGGAACAACACCCACTGGGGCCTATCGGAGCGTGGAGGGTGGGAGGAGGGAGAGGATCAGGAAAAATAACTAATGGGTACTAGGCTTAATACCTGGGTGATAAAATAATAGGTACAACAAACCCCAATGACACAAATTTACCTATGTAACAAACTTGCACATGTACCCCTGAACTTAAAAGTTAAAAAAAAAGAAAAGATTTCATTTCCCGTACCAGGGAGGTAACAGGTGGGTGGAGCAGAGAGAGGCATATGCCCTTGGGCACCAGCCTATTAGGGCACAGGAAAAATATCCATCTGCCGACACCAGCTGTGTGGTGGCACTGTCTGGGGAGAGAAGGGGCAAACCCTCTACCTTGCCATGGAATCTCTGTCCGCTGCCCACTGTGATTCATGTAGAGCAGAGGTCAGCAAAACTACAGAACCGTTTGAAGGCCAAAGCTGGCCTGCAGCCTGTTTTTATTTGACCAGAGAACTAAGAATGGGTTTTATATATTTAAATGGAGTTTGAAAATAACAACCAAAAAGACACGTGGCAAGAACCACATCTTTGTGCCCCCCCAACCCTCTGCCCAAGCCTAAACTATTTACTTTCTCTCGTTTCACAGAAAAAGTTTGCAGACTATCATGTAGGGAACCAGCCTGTCTGGATGACTCTGAAGGGTATTATGTTGGTTTTTGCACTGGGCAAATTCCCATTTATGGAATTGCCTTGATGGTTTCGGGTACTGATTCCCTCAAGGCTGGGCAAGGATAGACCCTGATCTCTAAAGGTGCAGGGGAGGGGCAGCCTCATGCCCTGGGAATCTACTGCCCAGTATTGCCCTCATGGGAATTTCAGGGTTATTCTAGTGTTCAAGATTGGCTTGTAAATACAGGCTTACAGGGTATTTTTTCAATTAAACAATATTTTTCAACTGAAAGACAAATATGTGCATTTTTTTTAAAAAAGGAGAAGTTAAACAATGAAAAGAGTCATCCTTCCACCCTGGGCTCCCAATTCAAAAGAACTAACATTAGAAGTTTCTTGTGTATTCTTTGTGAGTGTGTCCATGTGGGTCTCCTTTTACTTTATACAAATAGGAGCAAGTTATACCACTGTCCTGGCTCTTGCTTTCTTGATTTTTTAAAACTTAGTAATATAATGAAAAGATCTTTTCATGTCAGAAAGTACAAATCTGGCTTCTTTTTCATAGCAGCATAGTATTCCTTTGACTGAATGAAGCACGTTTGAATTAACTATTTTCTTATTAATAAAAGTTAAATCATCTTCAGGGTTTGTCTATTACAAAAGTACCAAATTTCAAATCCTTATACATACAGCTTTGCGCAAATTAGTGAATATAACTAGAAAATAAATTCCTAGATGTAGAATGGCTAAGTGGTGCATAGATTTTAGATTGGATACACACTGACAAGCAGCCCTCCAAGAAAGTTGCACCAATTCACACTCTCACCAACAGTCAGTAAGAGATCCTTTCCCCTGTGTATTTCTTAGCACTAAGGCTTATTGTTATTACCAGTTTGCTAGGTGAAAATGTCATACCATTTCACCTAGTTGTTTTAACTTGCAATTAAAATTATGAATGAAATCAACTGTATATTTTAACTTGCAGTTAAAATTGTGAATGAAATCAAGTGTATATTTTCAGTTATTACTATCTAATTTAGGCTGCAATCCTAAATTAGCTTGTAATCCCAGCACTTTGGGAGGCCAAGGCTTGAGGACCTCTTGAGGCCAGGAGCTTAAGACCAGCCTGGGCAACATAGTGAGAGCCCCCATCTTACAAAATAAAAATTAAAAAATTAGCCAGGCATGGTGTCATGCATCTTTAGTCCTAGCTACACAGGAGGCAGAGGCAGGAGGATGCTTGAAGCCCAGGAGTTTGAGGCTGTAGAGAACTGTGATTGCACCACTGTACTCCAGCCTTGCAGGCAACAGAGTGAGACCCTGTCTCTGAAAAGATAAAAAACTTTTTAAAGTTACATAAATAAATAAATA
Source organism: Homo sapiens (assembly GCF_000001405.40). Classification (NCBI taxonomy): domain Eukaryota; kingdom Metazoa; phylum Chordata; class Mammalia; order Primates; family Hominidae; genus Homo; species Homo sapiens. The sequence goes on along the minus strand of NC_000009.12, from coordinate 85,086,584 downwards.
GCTAGTTAAACCTAATGATTAAGAAGTGTGAGTTCTGGAGGCAGGCTACCTAGGTTCAAACCCTAGATATATTACTTACTAGTTCTGTTATTTAGTGCAAGTTATTAATACTTATTTCTTCATGTCTTTAAAATGAAGATGAAGATAACAGTATTCATCATATAGAGTTGTAAAGATTAAGTGATTTGATGCAACATAAATCCCTTAGAACAGAAAGTGCTGAATAACTAAGAGTTGTCATTTTTTATATTTGTTTTTAAGAGATCTGCCGGTTTATGCTTTTGTTCATTGATGTGTTTGGGTTTCTTTTTTTAAAATCTCTCACAACTTGTGTACACACCTTCCAGAATATAGGCTGCATGAGAAGAGGGACTTTATCTATTTTGTTTACTCACTGTATCCACAAATCAATGCCTGGAATTTTGCTGATACATAGTGGGCAAACAATCAGTATTTGTTACATGAATGGAGACGTTGTTAAATCATGATATATTAAGGAAATTAGGCCCTATGACTGTTAATGTGGGTTGCAAATAACTTGTTTCCCACTGTGCCATATTTCTTTGGCTTTGCTATTTTTATTTTTTGCAATGTAAAAGGCTCATAATTTTTTTCATAGTTAAGGGTATCATTCTTTGATTCATTTAAAATATATTTTGCTATATGGTGTGAGGTAGTGCTCCAACTTAAAGTTTTCTGCCTTGATGTGATTTTAAGAACACTTGGATGTGCCTCTGCCCAGAATGTTTCCTGCATGCCAATTGTCCATGAAATCCCACTGCATGCATTTTAGGCTTTAATTCTGAGGCTCTGGTCCATATTCCTTTGAAGTGGTCTTAACATTGTCAGCTCTCAGACTTTTATATAGACAAATTCATAGGCTATTCCTGAAGTAAGTTTTACTATGATTAAAAGATGGGACAATTGTGACCACACAGAACACTGGTTGGTGTCTAGAGGGAATATTGCATCAGAGAGTCAAATGTTTAGGGAGAGGATGTTGGAAATTCCACTGATGAATTTTGCTTTTTTCACATTAATTCTAGTACTGATTTAATTAGAATATCTTGCTTTTAAGGTAGGTGCAATTTTGTTTTGGGGTTTTCTTACATAATTCAGGCATGTCAATTCTGAACCGCATGTCAGTCCTTGAGATTTGAGGAGACGAGACAGTCCAAAGCTCGTCCAAATATTTCTGAGAATTCCTGGAAGTCTTAAGTTCTCCTGCTTCTTTGGCCTCTTCAACTCCAGCTTGTTCATCATTGTCTGTGGGATGCCTCACATGTGGAAACACAGATCCTTCTTCATTGTCACTAACCAAGAATCAACAAATACTTCTTACTCCAAATATTTTTGGGGTTAGTGGCATTTACTGAATAGTTTTCTGGGTTAGCCTTTCTGCCACCACATTGGTGCCATTTTTCTTTTTGTTCTAAACCCTATGTCTCTGCTCCTTACCCCCTCTCCACTGGATTGGTCTAAGACTTTGCAATTTTTCTTCCTCTGTTAAGACAAGTAGCACCCCCCACCTGAAACTTCACCCAGCAGGAAGGGGAGAGAGTGAGTCACTTGTAACCCTACACAGCATTTTTCCAACAAAGACAATTTTGTACCTGGGTGGAAATCTGGTTCCAGCTGTCAAGGTCACAGAATGTTCTCTACCTTGTTGCATTTACAGTTCATCCTTGAACAACATGGGTTTAAAGTGTGTGGGTCCATTTATATGTGGATTTTCTTTACCTCTGCCACCTTTGAGACAGTAAGATCAACTTCTCTTATTCCTCCTCTTCCTCAGCCTATTAACATGAAGATAATGAGGATGAAGACCTTTATAATGTTGCACTTACACTTGATGAGTAGTACGTATATTTTCTCTTTTTATGACTTTTAAATAACCTTTTCTCTAGCTTATTTTATTATAAAGAATATAGTATATAATACATATAACATAAAAAATATGTATTAACCAACTGTTTGTATTATTGGTAAGGTTTTTGGCCAACAGCAGGCTATTAATAGTTAAGTTTTTGTGAAGTCAAAAGTTACGTGTGGATTTGACTGGGTAGGGGAGCTGGTGTCCCTCTATCCCCCACGTTGTTCAAGGGTCAACTGTGCATTCCATTTAAACAAGTCCACAACTGCTTTCTCTCATCATATTCCAACTACAACCACACATGGACATCCACATGCACACACTTCTCTCCTTTGTTCCCCTTTACATATTACAAAACACCTTAACAAGCAATATTAAAGCCAAATGTATTAAAATAATTGATAATCTTTATGATATGTGGCTGAATTTTTACTGTTTCGTTGCAGTGCAATAGATTAGACAGATGGGTTCTAAACTAGATTCAGAAATTAGAATTGCTTACTGGGTAGAGCAGGCCTTAGTGGTCCCTTAACATTTTGAAGTCTTAGGAGAAAGTCCAGACTAGCAGACAAAAGGCAACAGATGGAAGGGCATAGTCTAATCCTTCCTCTAGCATGGGGGAGTCTACAGAGACTCACTCACACAATGTTCCAGAAGGTGAGCAGAGGCTGATGACAGAGAATCCAGAAGCTAATCACACATGACGGAATTCATCTGGGGTTCTCAGCTAATAGGTGTTTAGTTATCTAAACTGCTAATGGTGGAGTGTCACTGAAATCTGATGGCAGGGCGTGGGCCTGGCCAATGGGCAGAACTGCTCCCCTGAAAACAGGGTGAAGGAGGCTGATAAAATGAGTATGGTATGCAGCAGGCTACTAAAACAAGAAAATGGGGAAGACTTAAATGGAAGGTGATATCGTTTGGCTGTGTCCCCACCCAAATTTTATCTTGAATTGTATTTCCCATAATTCCCACATGTTGTGGGAGATACTCAATGGGAGATAATTGAATCATGGGAGCAGTTTCCCCCATACTGTTCTCGAGGTAGTGAATAAGTCTCATGAGAGCTGATGGTTTGATAAGGGGTTTTCCCTTCCACTTGACTCTCATCCTCTCTTGCCTGCCACCACGTAAGATGTGCCTTTCTCCTTCTGCCGTGATTGTGAGGCCTCCCCAGCCATGTGGAACTGTGAGTCCATTAAACCACTTTGTTTTTGTAGATTACCCAGTCTCGGGTATGTCTTTATCAACAGCATGAAATTAGACTAATACAAGGTAAACTTGATCATGAATCTCTGGCCCACCACCTATTTTTGTAAATAAAGTTATATTGGAGCACAGCTACTCCTGCTAACTTGCATTTTGTCTCTGATTGCTTCTGTGCTCTCACAGCAAAATCAAGTAAATTGCAACAGAGGCCATGTGGCCTACAGAGCCTAAAGCATTTATTATCTGGCTGTTTGCAGAAAAGGTTTGCTGACCCCTGCTCTAGAGTGTGAGTTCCTGGGAGCAGAGTGTTCTGCCCATTGTTTCCATGTCTGTTCCCAGCCCCTACAGTGGTCTCTAGCACATAGTAGGTACTCAATCAACATTTGTTAAGTGAATGAATAAATGAGCAAATGAACAAATAAACCCACAAATATTAGAAATCTCTCACTTTCCAAGTTCTTTCTGATTGGTCCTGGGGACCAGGGGTCTCTCACAGTTGTGGAGAGGGCAAGGTTCTCAGAGAACATACGAGAACCTGAAGATCATTTTGCAGATGAAAAGAGGTTTGCAAATGTCCGTAACAACTTTACCAGTAGAAACTTCCTCTGCATGTCTATTTCTAGAAATTAAGCCCAATTTTAAATCTGCAGAATTAGCAAAGTACTCTGATAGTTTTCACTAATGAATTCTAATGGTTAATTATGCTTAGTCTCTTAATGGTTTTCTTCCTCCATCAGGGCCTTCCACGCTGGTTCTGCTCAGAGGGCACAAAACGATACCTACTGATTGTATTCCTAAAAAAAAAAAAAAAAAAAAAAAAAACAGCTTTGAGTTTGCTGCAGGTATCTTTTCTTGTTTTTATTGATCTTCCTCGTTTTCACTGATAACTAACAGCTGATAGGAAAAAAATATAAGCATGGAGACTGCTGGACATGTTTGGGTTTCAGTTTTTAAATGCCTACTGCTGACTTTTCAGAACCTGAGTGAAGGTTGGTATTAAGTGGCCTCCCACAACACCAACGAAAGTGTCTAAAGAATAAAGATAAAGACCTCATTCTTAGGATTTTAGTGTACAAGGCCTCTAAGAAGAACTTGACAAGGGTATCACAAGCCCGCCTATGGTACCCAAACTGCTTAGCAGAAGCACCCGGCTCTCTGAAGCCTCCTGGGGGGATCATGTGTTAAAGAATCTGGGATTCCTTTGTTGGCCATTTTCCTCAAGGATTTCTTTCTTAAGGAAGAAGTGAAATTATGCAATGAGAAATCTTGAAACCCTGTAACTGTGGTTACCTCTTGTCTTAGTCAGTTCAGGCTGGTATAAGAGAATACCATAGGCTCAGTGGCTTAAACAACAGAAGTTTCTTTCTCAGTTCTGTAGGGTGGAACTCTTAGATAAGGGTGCTGGCATACTAGGTATATGGTGAGGGCCGTCTTCCTAATTTATGGATAGCATCTTCTCATTGTATCCTCATGTGGTGGGATCATGTCTCTCGTGTCTCTTCTTATAGGGGCACTAATCCCATTCATGAGAACACTCTCTTGACCTTAGCATCTCTCCCAGAGGATGCACATCCAAATACCATCACATCTCAACTTATGAATTTTAAGAGGACACAAATGTTCAGTCTATAGCACCATAGATTTCCTTATCTATGATATAGTATTTTCATCTGAGATTTAAAATATACAATTTTGAACATAGGTATAAAATCATTTCCTGATGTGGACTATACAACAATGTCAAGTTTTTCTTTGAACAAATAGCAGGAACTGTGTTTCCTGAATTTCACCTTTCCTGCAAGGGGCAGGATGAAATGGAAAGGACTTTGGTTGCAAGCAGAGGGATTTTATGTGATGTGTGGGAAAGATCCCTGGCCAGAAGATGTAAGGTCGCATGTGAAACAGATGAAGACTTGAGATTCCTTCCGGAATTCAACTCTTCATCTCTCCTTAGTTACTTTTGGTGGTGAGCAAGAAGAGGGGAGAATGGAAGAAGGACAGAAAAAGAGGAAAGGAAAAAGAAAAAGAAGAAAAAGAGAGAGAAAATAATTAGAATTGATTACATGACAGAGCCCTTACTAAGTGTGCAGTACTCTGATAAAAACTTTATAAGGATCTTCTCACATCATCCTTACACTACCAGTGAGGTAGACATGATGGTTGCCATCCTAGCAAGGAAACAAAGAGGTTAAGAAACTGACCAAAGGCCACACAGCTGTTAAGTGGCTGAGCTGGGACTCAAACCCAGGTGGTCTGCTTCCAAAGCTCAAACACTAAAGAAAGAAAGAAAAAATAAGGGAAGAGAAGAGAGAAGGGAAGGAAAAGGAGACACAGATTGAGTCACAGGAAGAGGAGAGAAAGGAGAAAGGAAAAGAGAGAAACATTGAAGAGACAAAGAGAGAAGACAGGAGCATTCTGCATGCTTATAGCTTAAGAAAAGAGCAGTCAGCCCATAATCTCCTATCACTGTGAATACCTTGGCCGAGGCCTGTGTGTTGGTGGCTTGTCAGCATATAAATTCACTCTGATTTTTAGTTGGAAGGCTCCAGATGTCCTGGTTACATTACAGTGCTCCTCTCTTCACTGTGGTAGCGTTATTACATGCATCTCTATAAGAGGCTCCTGCAAAGGCAGGTATTTGATGCCTAAATTTAAATCTCCACTTTGCTCCCAAATGTTTACAACCATTGAACATCTCATATGGGACAAAGTCACTATGTACGTCTATCTAAAAGCACTGCTTTCTCATTGAAAGGCATTCGAAAGGGAATGCCCCATCGTGGGGAATTGAGAAGACATATTTCCTTATGAAGATTCTTGCAGAAGTTAGCTTTTAACTTGGATACAACTCTACTACTTGGTTAAAAAAACAAACAAACAAAAAAAAACCAAAAAAACACTCACAAAAAAACTCTCATTCTTTTGTTTATCTTCAGTCCTTCAGACCTCTATGTATATGCCATCCACTCTCTGAACATCTTTTTACCAGTTATTTCTGGACTTTTCCCATTCACCCTCCCCTAGGAAAATCTTCCTCCATTTTCCCAGACTTTATGTACTCCAAAATCATCATAGCTAGGCACAAATAAATCACTGATGAATTATACAATATTTTATGACTCCCTTCCTAATATGCACCCCCCTGAAAAAAAATTTAAGTGCTGATAGTGTTTATCAATTCAGGAATGATAATGGCAATGGGTGGGTCTTAGGTTAACACAGATGGAAAATATGATTTATCAACAATCTGCTGGAAACCTGATTTTGATTAATGGTATTTGGTGATGAGGGATAGAAAGTAGCTAACTGAACTTAGGTTGTGTTTTTCTAAACATCTTACCATAATAACACAACCTATGTTCAGTTAGGGATCATTTTATGGATGACTGCTGTACACCGCCACCCCGACTGCTCCCTGAGCAACTCCCTAGATAGTCACTCACATGGACTTCAACTCAGTGGCACCCCAGGAATGTGCAGTGCACAGCTTGGACAACTGTACTGGCTATCCTGGATAAGCACTGACTATGCTTCAGACCTGCACGTACCTCGTCCCTGATCCTCATAACAACGCTATAGGTAGAAATAACTTGGTCAAACACACATGGCTACAAATCTAGGATTGAATCAAGGGTTGTCTTATCTCCAAACCCTTGTTGTTTTCCTAGATGACAATGTTCGCCAAGTACTGAGGGCTTCCTGTGTGCCAGGATCTCCTCTAATGGCTTTCCATCATTGCCTCAGTGGATCTCACAGCAGCATCTGGAGAGAAGCATCTGTCAGGGCTCAATCAGAGAGGCAGAACCACTCAAGGGACATACTTCCTACAGAGATCTGACCTGATGCAATCGTGGGAGCTGGTTCAGCAGCCTCTGTATGGCTCTTGCATTTGCTGTTTCTACAATTGATGTTGGAGCTTGCAATCCACAGAGCAGGCAGTAGGGGAGGGAGGATGGATGTAAATTGAGGGAGAGCAAGGACAAGCTGGAACCAGTAAAATGACCTGGAGCCTTGTGGAATCCATAGGACAGATTGGAAACAGTATCACTTCCTGTTGCCTGTAACCTTGCTGGTGTGGCTGCCTTCCAAAAGCCAGGGCCCTTCATCATGGAACTAAACACACACAGCTGGCCCAGGAGCCAGAGAAGCTGAAGGAGAGAGTCTAAGGGAATGGGGAGCAGTTGCAGGCCCAGCTGTGGCCTCACACCATTGAGGTGAGCTGGCAGGTGAGCCAGGACACATGTGAGCTGCAGCATGGCAGCTGCTTTGCTTTGCCCTCCAAACCTCCAACAAGAGTCTCTCTTGGTTCCCACTGTAACCAGAAATAGAAGAGGAAAAAACGTTGGGACTGTGGTTTAACCTAGCCAAGTTAACACACTACAAAGACCTCACAAAGGTTTCCGATTATCTTCTTTATTTAACGGGGAGAAAATTGAGGCATTTTAGGTTAAGCAACATGTCCAAGGTCACAGCATTAGCTCACCATGCAGTTGGAATTGAACTCTGGAGAATCAATACTGGTGCAGAGAGAGGCTCCCCCTTGACTTTGAAATAGCCCAAGACATCTGACAGGTGTGGAAGTTACTGAGCGGCAGCCTGAGGGCCACAGCACCTTAGCAGGTGGACTAAGAAGGACAGAGAGCCCGTGGAACTGACAGCCTCAGTCAACTCTGACACTACTATGCCAAATAAGGTATCTCTAAACTCAGACGTCCCCTAGGAAAGATAGGAGGGAGGGGTACATTCTGAATTTTGCTTTCATCCAAAAGCAACTAATGGAAACTAGCAGTTACTAAGTTGAACCCACGTGTGGTTGAGTGTTAAGGTTAAACTGCTGCCTTCTTCTTCTTTTCATAAGTAGAAATTGAGATTTGGAGCTACTTTACATTTCATCATAGAGAAATACACCATATTTTGTTTCGGCACCACTGAGTTACACAGTCCGTGTCTGAGAAAAATAATATCCATTTCAAGAATGGTTAAAAGCAGGAGCTATGGATAAAGACTGGGTTTTACTTTCTCAGAACTTCTCACCCCTCACTAACTGTAGGAGCTCTGGCAAGTTACTTATTCATTTTGTGCCTCAGTTTATTTGTGGGGAAAATCAGATTAAAAATAGTCACTTGCTTGTGACTGCAAAAATTCAATGAACTCACCTGTGTAAAGCATTTGGCACTGCCAGGGAAGGCTGCTGCATCACCTAACTCCGGATGGCACACTTACATCGCGCTCCATATGAGCTCTGCTCCCCCAGCGCCAGCAGTCCAGTGCAGAGCTGGCAGATAGCATTAACAATGTTAGCAATTAGTGGAAGTCTTATTACTGGGCTTGAGTAATCTCATTAGCTCCTCTGGAAAGTCCTCCCTGCCATGCTTCACTCCCTCCCTCCAGCCTGGGTGAAGGGCTTGCAAGCACGTGTGAGTTCCCCTAGAGCTCTGCCTTTGCCTCTCTCAGTACACATTGTCCAGTGATCTTCTGTGATTGCCTATTTGTCTAATGCACTCAGCTGTGAGCTCCTTGAAGGCAAAAATTATGGCTCTGATTTATCTATCCTCAGGCCAAGTACAATTAAGGGAACTTGGGAACCTGGCAAAGTGAAGACAGCTGTTACATAAAGAGTGGGCATATGAGGCCAGGACTTCTGACTTCAGATCCAGTGACCTCCTTATCATAGATTTCTCAGTTTGGAGAATTGCAGAGAAGTGGGTGCGGAGATAGGACAGCCATCTGAGAGAAGGCCAGGTGGTATATCATTTCCTATTGCTTCTATGACAAATTACCACCAACTTGGTGTCTTTAAAACAACACGAATTGATCAACTTCGCAAGATGGCCGAATAGGAACAGCTCCGGTCTACAGCTCCCAGCGTGAGCGACGCAGAAGACGGGTGATTTCTGCATTTCCATCTGAGGTACCGGGTTCATCTCACTAGGGAGTGCCAGACAGTGGGCGCAGGTCAGTGGGTGCGCGCACCGTGCACGAGCCGAAGCAGGGCGAGGCATTGCCTCACTCGGGAAGCGCAAGGGGTCAGGGAGTTCCCTTTCCTAGTCAAAGAAAGGGGTGATGGACGGCACCTGGAAAATCAGGCCACTCCCACCCGAATACTGCGCTTGTCCAACGGGCTTAAAAAACGGTGCACCACCAGATTATATCCCGCACCTGACTCGGAGGGTCATACGACCACGGAGTCTCGCTGATTGCTAGCACAGCAGTCTGAGATCTAACTGCAAGGCGGCAGCGAGGCTGGGGGAGGGGCGACCACCATTGCCCAGGCTTGCTTAGGTAAACAAAGCAGCCGGGAAGCTCGAACTGGGTGGAGCCCACCACAGCTCAAGGAGGCCTGCCTGCCTCTGTAGGCTCCACCTCTGGGGGCAGGGCACAGACAAACAAAAAGACAGCAGTAACCTCTGCAGACTTAAATGTCCCTGTCTGACAGCTTTGAAGAGAGCAGTGGTTCTCCCAGTACGCAGCTGGAGATCTGAGAATGGGCAGACTGCCTCCTCAAGTGGGTGCCTGACCCCTGACCCCCGAGGAGCCTAACTGGGAGGCACCCCCCAGCAGGGGCACACTGACACTTCACACGGCAGGGTACTCCAACAGACCTGCAGCTGAGGGTCCTGTCTGTTAGAAGGAAAACTAACAAACAGAAAGGACATCCACACCAAAAACCCATCTGTACATCACCATCATCAAAGACCAAAAGTAGATAAAACCACAAAGATGGGGAAAAAACAGAACAGAAAAACTGGAAACTCTAAAAAGCAGAGCACCTCTCCTCCTCCAAAGGAACGCAGTTCCTCACCAGCAACGGAACAAAGCTGGATGGAGAATGACTTGGACGAGCTGAGAGAAGAAGGCTTCAGACGATCAAATTACTCTGAGCTACGGGAGGACATTCAAACCAAAGGCAAAGAAGTTGAAAACTTTGAAAAAAATTTAGAAGAATGTATAACTAGAGTAACCAATACAGAGAAGTGTTTAAAGGAGCTGATGGAGCGGAAAACCAAGGCGAGAACTACGTGAAGAATGCAGAAGCCTCAGGAGCTGATGCGATCAACTGGAAGAAAGGGTACAGTGATGGAAGATGAAATGAATGAAATGAAGCGAGAAGGGAAGTTTAGAGAAAAAAGAATAAAAAGAAATGAGCAAAGCCTCCAAGAAATATGGGACTATGTGAAAAGACCAAATCTACGTCTGATTGGTGTACCTGAAAGTGATGGGGAGAATGGAACCAAGTTGGAAAACACTCTGCAGGATATTATCCAGGAGAACTTCCCCAATCTAGCAAGGCAGGCCAACGTTCAGATTCAGGAAATACAGAGAGTGCCACAAAGATACTCCTCAAGAAGAGCAACTCCAAGACATATAATTGTCAGATTCACCAAAGTAGAAATGAAGGAAAAAATGTTAAGGGCAGCCAGAGAGAAAGGTCGGGTTACCCTCAAAGGGAAGCCCGTCAGACTAACAGCGGATCTCTCGGCAGAAACCCTATAAGCCAGAAGAGAGTGGGGGCCAATATTCCACATTCTTAAAGAAAACAATTTTCAACCCAGAATTTCATATCCAGCCAAACTAAGCTTCATAAGTGAAGGAGAAATAAAATATTTTACAGACAAGCAAATGCTGAGAGATTTTGTCACCACCAGGCCTGCCCTAAAAGAGCTCCTGAAGGAAGCGCTAAACATGGAAAGGAACAACTGGTACCAGCCGCTGCAAAATCATGCCAAAATGTAAAGACCATCGAGACTAGGAAGAAACTGCATCAACTAACGAGCAAAATAACCAGCTAACATCATCATGACAGGATCAAATTCACACATAACAATATTAACTTTAAATGTAAATGGACTAAATGCTCCAATTAAAAGACACAGACTGGCAAATTGGATAAAGAGTCAAGATCCATCAGTGTGCTGTATTCAGGAAACCCATCTCACATGCAGAGACACACATAGGCTCAAAATAAAAGGATGGAGGAAAATCTACCAAGCAAATGGAAAACAAAAAAAGGCAGGGGTTGCAATCCTAGTCTCTGATAAAACAGACTTTAAACCAACAAAGATCAAAAGAGACAAAGAAGGCCATTACATAATGGTAAAGGGATCAATTCAACAAGAAGAGCTAACTATCCTAAATATATATGCACCCAACACAGGAGCACCCAGATCATAAAGCAAGTCCTGAGTGACCTACAAAGAGACTTAGACTCCCACACATTAATAATGGGAGACTTTAACACCCCACTGTCAACATTAGACAGATCAACGAGACAGAAAGTCAACAAGGATACCCACGAATTGAACTCAGCTCTGCACCAAGCAGACCTAATAGACATCTACAGAACTCTCCACCCCAAATCAACAGAATATACATTTTTTTCAGCACCACGCCACACCTATTCCAAAATTGACCACATACTTGGAAGTAAAGCTCTCCTCAGCAAATGTAAAAGAACAGAAATTATAACAAACTATCTCTCAGACCACAGTGCAATCAAACTAGAACTCAGGATTAAGAATCTCATTCAAAACCGCTCAACTACATGGAAACTGAACAACCTGCTCCTGCATGACTACTGGGTACATAACGAAATGAAGGCAGAAATAAAGATGTTCTTTGAAACCAATGAGAACAAAGACACAACATACCAGAATCTCTGGGACGCATTCAAAGCAGTGTGTAGAGGGAAATTTATAGCACTAAATGCCCACAAGAGAAAGCAGGAAAGATCCAAAATTGACACCCTAACATCACAATTAAAAGAACTAGAAAAGCAAGAGCAAACACATTCAAAAGCTAGCAGAAGGCAAGAAATAACTAAAATCAGAGCAGAACTGAAGGAAATAGAGACACAAAAAACCCTTCAAAAAATTAATGAATCCAGGAGCTGGTTTTTTGAAAGGATCAACAAAATAGATAGACTGCTAGCAAGACTAATAAAGAAAAAAAGAGAGAAGAATCAAATAGACACAATAAAAAATGATAAAGGGGATATCACCACCGATCCCACAGAAATACAAACTACCATCAGAGGATACTACAAACACCTCTACGCAAATAAACTAGAAAATCTAGAAGAAATGGATAAATTCCTCGACACATACACTCTCCCAAGACTAAACCAGGAAGAAGTTGAATCTCTGAATAGACCAATAACAGGAGCTGAAATTGTGGCAATAATCAATAGCTTACCAACCAAAAAGAGTCCAGGACCAGACGGATTCACAGCCGAATTCTACCAGAGGTACAAGGAGGAACTGGTACCATTCCTTCTGAAACTATTCCAATCATTAGAAAAAGAGGGAATCCTCCCTAACTCATTTTATGAGGCCAGCATCATTCTGATACCAAAGCCAGGCAGAGACACAACCAAAAAAGAGAATTTTAGACCAATATCCTTGATGAACATTGATGCAAAAATCCTCAATAAAATACTGGCAAAACGAATCCAGCAGCACATTAAAAGGCTTATCCATCATGATCAAGTGGGCTTCATCCCTGGGATGCAAGGCTGGTTCAATATACGCAAATCAATAAATGTAATCCAGCATATAAACAGAGCCAAAGACAAAAACCACATGATTATCTCAATAGATGCAGAAAAGGCCTTTGACAAAATTCAACAACCTTCGTGCTAAAAACTCTCAATAAATTAGGTATTGATGGGACATATTTCAAAATAATAAGAGCTATCTATGACAAACCCACAGCCAATATCATACTGAATGGGCAAAAACTGGAAGCATTCCCTTTGAAAACTGGCACAAGACAGGGATGCCCTCTCTCACCACTCCTATTCAACATAGTGTTGGAAGTTCTGGCCAGGGCCATTAGGCAGGAGAAGGAAATAAAGGGTATTCAATTAGGAAAAGAGGAAGTCAAATTGTCCCTGTTTGCAGATGACATGATTGTGTATCTAGAAAACCCCATTGTCTCAGCCCAAAATCTCTTTAAGCTGATAAGCAACTTCAGCAAAGTTTCAGGATACAAAATCAATGTACAAAAATCCCAAGCATTCTTATACACCAACAACAGACAAACAGAGCCAAATCATGAGTGAACTCCCATTCACAATTGCTTCAAAGAGAGTAAAATACCTAGGAATCCAACTTACAAGGGATGTGAAGGACCTCTTCAAGGAGAACTACAAACCACTGCTCAAGGAAATAAAAGAGGATACAAACAAATGGAAGAACATTCCATGCTCATGGGTAGGAAGAATCAATATTGTGAAAATGGCCATACTGCCCAAGGTAATTTACAGATTCAGTGCCATCCCCATCAAGCTACCAATGGCTTTCTTCACAGAATTGGAAAAAACTACTTTAAAGTTCATATAGAACCAAAAAAGAGCCCACATCGCCAAGTCAATCCTAAGCCAAAAGAACAAAGCTGGAGGCATCACACTACCTGACTTCAAACTATACTACAAGGCTACAGTAACCAAAACAGCATGGTACTGGTACCAAAACAGAGATATAGAACAATGGAACAGAACAGAGCCCTCAGAAATAACGCCACATATCTACAACTATCTGATCTTTGATAAACCTGAGAAAAACAAGCAATGGGGAAAGGATTCCCTATTTAATAAATGGTGCTGGGAAAATTGGCCAGCCATATGTAGAAAGCTGAAACTGGATCCCTTCCTTACACCTTATACAAAAATCAATTCAAGATGGATTAAAGACTTAAATGTTAGACCTAAAACGATAAAAACCCTAGAAGAAAACCTAGGCATTACCATTCAGGACATAGGCATGGGCAAGGACTTCATGGCTAAAACACCAAAAGCAATGGCAACAAAAGCCAAAATTGACAAATGGGATCTAATTAAACTAAAGAGCTTCTGCACAGCAAAAGAAACTACCATTAGAGTGAACAGGCAACCTACAAAATGGGAGAAAATTTGCGCAACCTACTCATCTGACAAAGGGCTAATATCCAGAATCTACAATGAACTCAAACAAATTTACAAGAAAAAAACAAACAACCCCATCAAAAAGGGGGCGAAGGACATGAACAGACAGTTCTCAAAAGAAGACATTTATGCAGCCAAAAGACACATGAAAAAATGCTCATCATCACTGGCCATCAGAGAAATGCAAATCAAAACCACAATGAGATACCATCTCACACCAGTTAGAATGGCCATCATTAAAAAGTCAGGAAACAACAGGTGCTGGAGAGGATGTGGAGAAATAGGAACACTTTTACACTGTTGGTGGGACTGTAAACTAGTTCAACCATTGTGGAAGTCAGTGTGGCGATTCCTCAGGGATCTAGAACTAGAAATACCATTTGACCCAGCCATCCCATTACTGGGTGTATACCCAAAGGACTATAAATCATGCTGCTATAAAGACACATGCACACGTATGTTTATTGCGGCATTATTCACAATAGCAAAGACATGGAACCAACCCAAATGTCCAACAATGATAGACTGGACTAAGAAAATGTGGCACATATACACCATGGAATACTATGCAGCCATAAAAAATGATGAGTTCATGTCCTTTGTAGGGACATGGATGAAATTGGAAATCATCAGTCTCAGTAAACTATTGCAAGAACAAAAAACCAAACACCGCATATTCTCACTCATAGGTGGGAACTGAAAAATGAGATCACATGGACACAGGAAGGGGAACATCACACTCTGGGGACTGTTGTGGGGTGGGGGGAGGGGAGAGGGATAGCATTGGGAGATATACCTAATGCTAGATGACAAGTTAGTGGGTGCAGTGCGCCAGCATGGCACATGTATACATATGTAACTAACCTGCACAGTGTACACATGTACCCTAAAACTTAAAGTATAATAATAAAAGAAAAAAAAAACATGAATTTATTCTTACCAAAGTCCTGGATGCCAAAGGTCCAAAATCAATATCATTGGGTCAAATCAAGGTGTTAAGGCTGGGCTCCCCCTGGAGACTCTAGGGAAGAATCCCTTCCTTGCCTTTGCAACTTCTAGGGACTGTCTTGGCTTGTGATCACATCATCACTCTAATTTTCCAGGCCAGCATTTTCATATCTCTTGTTGTTCTTTCTTCGTGTGGCCTTCTCTCTATCAAAATTTCCCTGCTTCTCTCTTATAAGCATAGTTCTGATTGCATTTAGAACCCACCCAGATAATCCAGGTTAGTCTCCTCATTTCAAGATCTTTAACTGAATCACATCTGCAAATACAGTTTTCTCTAAAAAGGTAACATTTACATAATTCAGGGGTTAGAGCCTGGATATTTTTGGGGGCCGTTATTCTGCCTACTACAGGTAGCAATGCACATTTTGTGTAAAATTGCATGTACTTCCCTCCTATCCCCTTCCCCAAATGTTCAATATAGGAGGAAGAGGTAATGGCTCAATTCCTAGGAAATGTCCTGGTATTATGGCATCCTGGGCCCCAGGTGGGAAGCTTGTGATTGTGGCATTTCTCCCTGAGAAGTGGAACAATTTAATTCCAATCAGTCAAACAACAAGCATCTTGTGTGTCTTCCACGTCTATGACTGATATGGTTTAGATGTTTCATCCCTTCCAAATCCTATGTTGAAGTGTGACCTCTAATGTTGGAGATGGGGCTAGTGGGAGGTGTTTGGGTCATGGGGGCAGATACCTCATGAATGGCTTGTTGCTGCTGGTACTCACAGTAATGAGTGAGTTCTCACTCAGTGAGTTCACATGAGATCCAGTTGCTTAAAGGAGTCTGGCATCTCCTCCCTATTTCTCTTGCTCCCTCTCTCACCATGTGATGCACTGGCTCCTCTTTGCTTTCTGCCATGATTGTCAGCTTCTTGAGGTCTCACCAGAAACCAAACAGATGTATGTGCCAAACTTGTACAACTTGCAGAAATGTAAGCCAAATAAACCTGTTTTCTGTATAAACTACCAGCCTCAGGTATTCCTTTATAGCAATGCAAATGGACTAACAGTGACATTCAGTTGGATGTGTGCTAGAGATATAAGGATTGTATTAGTCCATTTTCATGCTGCTGATTAAGACATACCTGAGACCAGGGTGCAGTTTACAAAAGAAAGAGATTTATTGGACTTACAGTTCTGTGTGGCTGGGGAGACCTCACAATCATGGCGGAAGGTGAAAGGCACATCTCACATCGCAGCAGACAAGAGAAGAAGAGGGCTTGTGCAGGAAAACTCCCTGTTATCATAACCATCAGATTTCATGAGACTTACTATCATAAGAACAGCATGGGAAACACCTACCCCCGTGATTCAATTACCTCCTACCAGGTCCCTCCCAAAACACGTGGGAATTCAAAATGAGATTTGGGCGGAGACACAGCCAAACCATTATCATTCTGCCCCCGGCCCCTCCCAAATCTCATGTCCTCACATTTCAAAACCAATCATGCCTTCCCAATAGTCCCCCAGAGTCTTAACTAATTTCAGCATTAATTCAAAAGTCCACAGTCCAAAGTCTCATCCAAGACAAGGCAAATCCCTTCTGCCTATGAGCCTGTAAAATCAAAAGCAAGTTAGTTACTTCCTATATACAATGGGGGTACAGGTATTGGATAAATACAGTCATTTCAAATGGGAGACATTGGCCAAAACAAAGGGGCTACAGGCCCCACGCAAATCTGAAATCCAGCAGAGTGGTCAAATCTTAAAGCTCCAAGATGATCTCCTTTGACTCCATGTCTCACATCCAGGTCACGCTGATGCAAGAGGTGGGTTCCTATGGTCTTGGGCAACTCTGCCCCTGTGGCTTTGCAGGGTAGGCCCCCCTCCCGGCTGCTTTCACAGGCTGGTGTTGAGTATCTGCAGCAGCTTTTCCAGGCGCATGGTGCAAGCTGTCAGTGGATCTACCATTCTGAGGTCTGGAGGACAATGGCCCTCTTCTCACAGCTCCACTAGGTGGTGCCCCAGTAGGGACTCTATGTGGAGGCTCCAACCCAACATTTCCCTTCTGTACTGACCTAGCAGAGGTTCTCTATAAGGGCCCCACCCCTGCAGCAAACTTTTGCCTGGGTATCCAGGCTTTTACATACATCTTCGGAAATCTAGGCAGAGGTTCACAAACCTCAATTCTTGACTTCTGTGCACCCACAGGGTCAACACCATGTGGAAGCTGCCAAGACCTGGGGCTTCCACCCTCTGAAGCAACAGCTCGAGCTGTACCTTGGCCCCTTTTAATCACGGCTGGAGTGGCTGGGACACAGGCCACCAAATCCCTAGAGTACACACAACACAGGGGCCCTGGGTCTGGCCCAGGAAACCATTTTCTCTTAGGCTTCCAAGCCTATGATGGGAGGGGCTGCCGTTAAGACCTCTGCCATGCCCTGGAGACATTTTCCTCATTGTCTTGGGAATTAACGTTTGGCTCCTCGTTACTTATGAAAATTTCTGCAGCTGGCTTGAATTTCTCCTCAGAAAATGGGTTTTTCTTTTCTATCACATTGTCAGGCTGCAAATTTTCCAAACTTTTATGCTCTGCTTCTCTTATAAAACTGAATGCCTTTTAACCCAAGTCACTTCTTGAATGCTTTGCTGTTTAGAAATTTCTTCCAGCAGATACTCTAAATCATCTCTCTCAAGTTCAAAGTTCTACAAATCTCTAGGGCAGGGACAAAATACCACCACTCTCTTTGCTCCAAAGGTAACAAGAGTCACCTTTGCTTTCAGTTCCCAACAAGTTCCTCATCTCCATCTGAGACCACCTCAACCTGGACCTTATTGTCCATATTGCTATCTGGCTTTTGGTCAATGCCATTCAACAAGTCTCTAGGAAGTTCCAAAGTTTCCCACATTTTTCTGTCTTCTACTGAGCCCTCCAAACTGTTCCAGCCTCTGCCTATTACCCAGTTCCAAAGTTGCTTCCACATTTTCATGTATCTTTTTCAGTAGCGTCCCACTCTACTGGTACCAATTTACAGTATTAGTCTGTTTTCACACTACTGATACAGACATAACTGAGACGGGGCAATTTACAAAAGAAAGAGATTTATTGGACTTAACTGTTCCACGTGGCTGGAGAGAGCTCACAGTCATGGCAGAAGGTGAAAGGCATGTCCCACATCTCAGCAGACAAGAGAAGAGGGCTTGTGCAGGAAAACTCCCCCTTAAAATAAACATCAGATCTCATGAGACTTACCATCACAAGAATAGCATGGGAAAGACCTGCCCCTGTGATTCAATTACCTCCCACCAGGTCCCTCCCACAATACATGGGAATTCAAGATGAGATTTGGGTGGGGACACAGCCAAACCATATCAAGGATGAATGAAGCAGGGTGCCATCTTGAGAAAAAGTGGAAGAGAAAACACAGAGACACACATACAGTTACTATTCAACAAGTGCTTAATTAAAATCCCAGGATAACTTTGAAGTCTAACCGAGTAGGAATTGAATTGAAATACAGATCCTGGTCCCATTACAAATACCACCAAAATGTCCCATTCCTTCCAGGTGAGGCATGCAAGCACTGTTGACAACGCAGCTAAAGTTGCCTTCAGCAACCCTCAGCAGAAAATGCAGGTGACCGATCTTAGTTCCTCTTGGAAGTTTTGTTTTTGCTAAACTAGATTTCAAAATAGTGTTTGCACAGGACTGTGGAGACATGTCAATTTCTGGATTGCCAGGATATTTTTAGATAGATGCTGAGTTAGAGAAAAGAGTAGTAATTGATTTGGGGTGAATATTTATATCTTTTCAACACCTTATTTGTAACTTTCCATGCAATTTTTCTATTATCTATTTTCAAAGTGAACTTAGAATTAGTTTTAAAAGTTATTGATGCATACTAAAACCATAACAGCATAGGTTCTACAGATTTAATAAAACTTCCAAAAATAATGACTATTAAATTGCAAATATAAGTGCATACTCCTAAATAAGCCCCTAATGGTATTCACTGTGGAAGAGATTTTTGTATTAGATAAGTGTATTTTGGTCATACTCACAGAATTTTAGTTTCTGAACATAACTTATTATGAGACATTTTCTTCTATTACATAAAATTTTCAACAATCCATCCCTGCATCTCTTCACAGAATTTCACTCAAGTACTACTGCCTTAAAAAAGTGATATTTCACATTACATTGCCTCTTCTCACCTCTTCAACAGCTTTCTCTGATGGATGAGAATACAGTAGCACTTTTCAACATGAGAAGCCTGCCTTATATAAATCTTCAGTTCACTATTAAACAACTATCAATGGATTAAGAATATTTTTTCAATTTGGAGCTTTGCCAACAAAAAACAGTCACATTGTAAAATATTTAGAGGCTTATTCTCAGCCAAATGTGAATGATCAAGTCCTGAAGCACAGCCTCAATAAGTCCTGAGAACATATACCCCAGGTGGTTGGCTTACAGCTTGATTTTATACATTTTAGGGAGACAGAAGTTACAGGCAGAGACATAAGCCAATACGTGTAAGGTGTACATTGATTCCTGTTAGAAAAGCAGAATATGGAGAAGTGAAGTCTTCCAGATCTTGGGTGGTTTAAATATTTCACGATTGATAATTGGTTGAAACTTCTGCCTGAAGTGTTGAAGTCAGCAGAAAGAAACGTTTGTAGTTAAGATAAGGGGAGACTGTGGAAGCCAAGGTTCTTGTTAGGTAGGTGAAGCCTCCAGGTAGCAGGCTTCAGAGAGAATAGATGGTAAATGTCTCTTATCGGACTCTAAAATGTGCTAGATATAAGAGTCTAATCTCAATCTTTCTCTAATCTTAATCTTTAATCTAATTTTAATCTTTAAGAATTAACTCTCTCCTGGATCAGGAAAGGACCTGGGAAGGAAAGAGCCTTCTGTACAGAATGTAGATTTTCTCCGTCAGACAACTTTACAGGGCCATTTCAAAATATGTCCAAAAAATATAGTTTGGGGAAAAATACTTCAATTTTTTTCAGAGCCTACTGTCTGTCATGTGATGCTATACCAGAGTCAGGTTCGAATCTGGTATCTTATTTGCTAGAGAGTCTGTTTTGTCAATCTTAAGATCTCTATTTTAATGTTAATGTTGGTAAGTTATGCCTGAATCCCAAAGGGAGGAGGGTATAATGAGGCAGGTCTGATTCCCCTTTCCATTGCCACCTGAACTAGTTTTTCGGTTTACTTTGGAATGCCCTTGGCCAAGAAGAGGCATCCGTTCAGTCAACTGGGGGCCTTAGAATTTTATTTTTGGCTTGCAGCTTGATACAACTGACTGGTGTTCGTGTATTGAAGGTGAAGATGTAGAAGGACTATTTGCCCTGGTCTCCTGGGAATAGATATTTATGCAACCAGTCACAGAGGTAAGACTAAAAGCAGCAGATGTCTGTCATACAATTTTAAACTTGTGTCTTGCTAAGAAAAATTTAGAAACAAGGCAAAGCATGATTGTATGTTCTTTAATACCATGCATTGCTCAACAGGTCTGATGAAGGGTCATCAGACTCTCTAGGGAAAGGTAACTGAGTTCGCACAATTGATTGGGGTCCAGATATTTACAATTCTGAGAAACCAATAAGGTGTGATAAATTTCTTTTCTGGCTCTAAGATAAGATAAGCCACAGATTATGTTTCATTACTCTGTGGCATATTCATCATTTAATATCTAATTTAGTAATCATACTTTAGCATTCCTGAATTGCCCATTTGCTGTAAGAATCTCAATTTTTCATAGCCTCCTTTTTAACTGGTGTCATTTTTCCTGCATTAATCAAATGAAACTTTGGCACACGTTTCCTATATGTCGTGTGGAGTTGGTGTTAATATGCTTTAAAATTATATTTGTCTACCTGTTTCCAGACCACACTGCCTATATTGAACTATACCTAAAAATATTCATAAATCTCTTAATACCATCGTGAATGGCTCATATGGCATTGTGTTTGTTAACAGCATTAAGTTCTTCATTGAAAATATTTAAAATATGGCACAATTTTTATATCTCTGTTTTAGCATTTCTTTATTTTTAACATATCAGGAATGACTCAAAAAATGAAAGAGGCACTGGTTTCTCTTACCTTCTGAGAGACCCTGGTTCATCATCACCTTCTGTCATGTGCCAGTAGACTTGAGAAAGTCTCTTCTGGTTGCTAAACTATCAATGGGATTTTAAAGCCTTATTGGGCATTGAGAAACATTAACATTCAGCCCCCTTTTCTTTCCTGAAATAAGATCTTAGGAATGTCCCAAGGGGAAAGAAACCTTTCCCTTTGATTTTGTTTTTTATGTCTCTCTTAGAGGCTGAGTACTATTAACACCTGACATCAAAGTCACAGGCCAAAAGCATGACCTTCCTCAAAGGAATTCTGAAGAAAATCACCTTTCAAAAGTGGCCAGTTATGGCCATGGAATTTGGGGAATCTAAAGGTGGAGATTAGAGTCTGGAGCTCTGCCTTCTAGGGCTGCTGATCACCTCACTGAGATTTGTGCAGGGTACTTCTGCTGGGAAGAACCACTACAGCAGCCTTGAACAATGACACGTTCAGCCATCCAAAGCTGAACTCATGATGCTTTCTTTATTGTCTTTCACCTCACTCAGTGGCACCTATTTTCTCATGATAAACCTCAGAGTCAATTTTAAAATACTGTTTTCTTCTGACTCAGCCTGGTCAAGCCCCAGGAATTCTACAACCTAAATATCTCTTGAATTCATTCATGCCTCCCCACATCCACTGCCACCAGCAAATGTAAGACAACATTATTTCTCTCCTGAAAGACTGCCATAGTTTTCTAACTGACCTACCTTTTACCTTCCTCCAATTTTGGTAAACGTAAATTGATAACCTTTCATGTGCTCACTGATCCCTCATAGTGAAGCCCTGTGTGACACGGCCTGTAAGGCCTCAGATGACTTATGCCCGTGTATCTCTCCAAGCTCATCCCCCCATTCTTCTCTCCAGCTCCATTAAGATACCTTAAGTTCCTTGACTATGCCAGGTCTTTTGCTACCCCAGGGCCTTTTTTTTTTTTTTTTTTTTTTTTGTTGAGGCAGAATTTCGCTCTTGTTGCCCCCCGAGGCTGGAGTGCAATGGTGAGATCTCGACTCACCGCAACCTCCACCTCCCGGGTTCAAGTGATTCTCCTGCCTCAGCCTCCTGAGTAGCTGGGATTACAGGCATGCATCACCATGCTTTGCTAATTTTTTGTATTTTTAGCATAGATGGGGTTTCTCCATGTTCTTTAGGCTGGTCTCAAGCTCCCTACCTGAGATGATCCGCCCACCTTGGCCTCCCAAAGTGCTGGGATTACAGGCGTGAGCCACCGCATCCAGCCCGCAGGGCTTTTAGCCTGCTCTTCCCTCTGCTAAGAACACTCTTTTCTCCTTGCCCCCTTAGGGATGACTTCTCTGAACCCCTCGGCTGGGTCAGAACCCCTCGTTACAAGTTCTCATCTCACTCCACATTTGTCTATCAAACCATTTACCACAATTGGCATGGTAGCAGGATCTCAGTGTTTGAATATTCAGTGTATCATTGATATGTGGAAATATATTGCTTTTCTTCTTTTTTTCTGCGTTTGCTACAAAAAGAGTCATTTTTTCCATTTGGCGTGCAAAAATGACTCTTCTCGGATCACAGTGAAATTGTTCCTCCCTCCCTCCACTCTTTCCACCTCATGCAGGCCAGGCAATTCTAATGACCAAGGGCATCCTACTCTTGAGAGAAGAGAAACATTTTCTGTTGGAAATGATTTAGGAGAAGTTCTGATAGGGGATCAAATTTTTCCTGATGGAAGAGGTTCCATTGGAGCATTCATTAATGTTGAGGTAAAACATTAATAGCCCAAGGGTAGGAACTTGGGACACCTGGAGGCAGGATCAAGTTGCTAATAAGGAGAAGCTTCTGAGAGGCACTGGGCTAAGCCCAATTAGTTGACTGTGAGAATATCTGCTGCCAGGATGTGTCTGACATGTGGACTGAGAAAAGAGCCATAGAGAGAGTGGCAAGCCCAGTAGGCTGCCTTCCTGCAGGTGGCATTTCCAGGTCACCTGCACCCAGGCTACTCTCTCCAACCCCCATGTAAGGAGAGCTTCAGGGCATTTCTAAACCCCAGGGGATCTCTAGAACCCTATGAAAGACTAAGGAGGAATGAGACTTCTTTAGAGCCTGACTGGGTGCTCAAGAGCACTCCAGGCTGACCCGGAGCAGAAACTGTTGTATAATTTATTAATGATTTGTTTGCTATCTGGGCGTCTTCCACTTCACTCAGCAGAATGTAACTTCCAAGAGAGTGGGAAGGTATCTGTCCTGATCACCACTGTACAACACACCTGATGCAGCAGTTGGCTCACAACTCTCGTTGAATATCTCCATGGGCCTCAATTCAGCACCTAGAAAATGGGGAGATTGGGTCCTGTTACTGGTTCTTGTGATGATTTGAGCCTCAGAAGTGCATCTAATTTAAAAAGAATCTGACTTAGCGTCCCAATATGAATATCAATTAAAAATGAGTTTGCTCTGACTGAGTCAGCAACGGGGATTCATCCCTCAACACCTCAGTCGACCCTAAACCTACTGTTATGTGACCTAGCTGAAATTTTACTCCACCTTAATTCTGCTTATCTTTAAGAAACAGGATGCTTGCAATTAGAAGTTTCCCCTGGCGACCAAATTGGCTGAAACTGGAAGGATCCAAGACGGCAGCTCACTTGACCTCTGCAGAACCTCTAACTTCATTATAATCTAATTTCCATGCTAAATGACCTTCCCTCCAGCCCATGACTATTGACAATCACCATGACAATGACTGGAAGAAACCATAAAAGGACAAAAAGGAAGGCAGCACTCTGGTCCTGAGAAATTGTCTGCCTATTTCTGGAAAAGACATGAATATTCCTATCCTTGCTTTTAATACCCAACACCTACATTTAAGGTGCCCCATATCTGTGGCTTCCTAGCTCTCATGAACTGAGAAGTTGATTTGTGAGCCACGCTCCTGCTTCTCAGTTCCACGGCCATCAAATGAAGCCTGCATTGCCTGACAATCACTTTTGGTTTCACATATTGGCTTCATGACACCAAACAAAGAAAGAACCCATCTTTTGGAGGACTGGCTTTGTCAGTAACACTATCTCTTCCTTCCTCAAGGCATCCCCTCCTGGGCCCCTTGGAACATCACCCAACAACCCTGGGACTGAATCATCTCTTAATGAGCCTGTTTTAAGTCACATAAAGCTTTCTAGTTGATACAGGACAGGTGAGCCCCAAAACCGGAGCTTAGCCCAGGAGAGTTCTTGGCTTTTCCCAGGAAAGAATTCAAGGGCAAGCTGGTGGTGCTGGGCAACTTTTATTAAAGTGGCAGTGTACAGCAGCAGCAGAGGTACTGCTCCTAGTGAAGCAGGGCTACCTACAGGTAGTGCACCCAGAGCAGCAGCTCAGAGGCAGTTGTTTAGTCATATTTATGCAAATTAAGGGGCAGATTATGTGGACATTTCTAGAAAAAGGATGGTAACTTTCAGATTGTCAAGTCATTGGCTTGGAAAGGGACAGTAACTTCTAGGTGTTGCCATGGCAATGGGAAACTGACATGCACACTAGTGGGCATGTCTTGTGGAGAGGTTACCTCTTCCCTGTTTTAGCTAGTCCTCAATCTGGTCCAGTGTCCAAGCCCTGCCTCTGGAGTTGAGTCCTGCCTCCTACCTCCCAGTTACAACATGCTTTCCAGTGTCCTATTCTTACTACAGTGGTGACCATCCTGTTTGAAGACTCTCTGAAGTTAGTGTGCCAGGAAAGTGAGCTAAGACAATGGCAAGCCATAATAGTCTTAAGGATGATGTCTGAGGCAGGAATTCTTGGCCCCAAACACAGATTCGTTAGCACACTGTGATGCACTAATTCTGGTATTCCAACAAAATAGAGAAAGGTAACCCCTGGCTATGGGCTGTCTCACACTCTCAAGGTGGTCAGAAAAGTTCAACTTAGCCAGTTCCTACTTTGGACAGAGAGGCCTGCCTGGCTTTTTGGATTAGCTATGGTATTAGACATCCTGGCCTCATCTTAAATTTCCTGCCCTCTCGAGAATGAATGTGGGAACTCCTTTCTGCAGAGTCTGGGCTCCATATGCATCCTCCTCCCACTGCATTCATCAAACCCACTATCTGCCATAAGTGTACGGACCCCAGTCAAATCTTGCACTTCACCAAGACCTGTCACTACTCTGCTCTCCTCCTCTTTTACTTACTCTTAATCACTCGTCTTCAGACTAAAGGGAGAGTCTCAGCTAAGTAAAGATGACATTGTTCATAATACATTTCCCAACATGCTGGGACCAGATTTTTAGCATAATGCCAGCCCCTTATGACAGACATGCATATTAACTAAGCCCATGATCTGTAAGAAATTAAAGGGGATTAGAGCTAATCACTTGTTGCAGGAGAGTAAGTTTTATATTGAAAATATGACCCATGGCCAGCATCTCACCCTAATATAGCTGATATAGAGCAAAACCTGGATTCTGTGCTTCTAAAATTCATGAATGCTTAGAAAGAGGCCAAAATTCTCCAGACTGTAAGAGAAACCTGCCTCTGCGTCTTCATAGGTAAAGATCACTGTGGTTATGCTTTTAGGTCTTGATCAAATATTTGTAGAGCCCTGTAAATATGTGCTTTTTTATTGAAAAACAATTATGTTGCTCTATAGCTGCACTCTGAAAATATTTCTGTCTGACAATAGATGTACTTTGATTTATCTTCATAAGAACAACTTTTACAGATCCTAATTGTTCTGATTGAAAACTACGACTTCCAAATTCTTTTAGGAAGAGGAATACTTTTTCAATCAACCCCCCAAAGCTGTTTCCTGACTTATTCCCCTACCCTGTCTTTCCCACTTGTGCTTTTTTCCAATGAGCAAGATTTAATCACGCCATTATACTATACACTAATGAGGAAATTGAGGCTCATGGCTGGTAGGTGGCAAAGCCAGCAATTGAAGTCACATCTGCCAATTTCCAAAGGATGTGTTTTTTGCTATCTTTTGGAATGAATCATCTATAAAATGCTTCCCCTGTCAAGGTTCTGTTTTCATTTTTTTTCATTACTTTTAATTCAGCCCATTTACCTACTTTCCAACCCCCTCCCCACACCACCTTCACATTAAGCCACCTTTTTTTTCCTTCTGTTCCTATTTTGAAAAGGCAGACAAAGCTATAGAAAAAGAAAAATTGATTAAAGAGAGGATTGGAATGTAAACATAATTGTCTTTATTCTCCATCAATTGCCCTGGATATTAGAAGATCCCATGAGCTTTCCAAACAACTACCCTAGCCTAAATTGTTAGTCATAAAACAATTTCCTGATTTCCTGAGGGACCATTACTTTTTGTGAAGCTAATATTCCACATTAGGATTCTTTTACTATGAAATCTCATTAAATTTGGCTCAAATAATTGGGAAAGTGCAAAAATGTCTCTGCATTGGAAGAAATGATTTTTTACAGCATCTATGAAGAAACTAACATGCTAAGCAAGTAATAGTGTAAACAAGGGACATGTTTGACCTACTTTAAGCAACAAATATTTAAAGAACTGTGGTATATGAACAATTTATGTGTTAACGCAGTGCTTCCCAAACATCTGTCATTCATATAACATGCTTGGAGTTTCACATATCTTGAATCACATGTACTGCTTCAGGAATACTTTGCTTTATATCTACTCTCATTTTTCCATAAATAAATATATTTCCAGAGGAAACTTTATGTCACATAGGTAAATGAAAATAAGAGTCAGTTCATAAATAAAAGCTATCAGTAAACATTAATTCAAATGAAACAGTACAAGTTATTAATTTCTGGCTAGATGTTGTCTATTGATGGCTCCAGGCTGAAGAATTATCTTCTCTTTCTTTACATATTTTTAAGGGTGATTGGCAAAGGTTAGCAAAGTGTGAATCAATAGCTGTGCATTGAGCCTTCCTCCTTAGGGAATCAAAATGTATGAAGGGAATTAAAAATGTGATTTTTTTGCTATGCAATTTAATAGTATTTAATACATCATGCCCTTAAAACCCCAAATAATCTTTCATGTCACTAGCTCTTTGTTTTCCTCACCCCCAGAATCCAGTGAATTTCATTCATTGGCTCACTCATTTATTCACTCACATTTTCTCTATAGGCAGGACCATCAGATCTCCTTGTAGATATTTTATTTCTGGTAAATTTCAGAACTTAAATGTCACAAGATTTCATTCCTTTAAAATACTCCATAATTCAGATCCTTAATACTTTGCAGTGACCCTCCGAGATGTCTCTTCCCCTTCAAATCAGCCATATTAATTCCATGTTTCAGTGCAAACAATGAAAGTTAAAGAAGTTTGGACGTCTTTCCTGACAATTCATCATGCAGTTGCCCTGTGCTGCATTCAATAAACAAATCCTCATTCACTGGGTTAATTGCAACAATAACTAGAATTTCTACAGGAATATTCTCCTTCTGGAAGGACCTTGTTATTCATTTTAGAGGTGCCTGGGACCCCTCCCTCCTATTAGTGACATCTGATTTCCTTCACACCAACATAAGGCAAGTGATGAAAGTGACAAGAACTGGTTACTGGGCAGATTCTTTAGGGCAACATGGAGAGCAAGGTGTATGGGTAGAATCCCATTTTTACAAGGTAAAAGCTAAAACGGGTCTGCATGTAAGCATGAAATAGGGTAAATGTTTTATTATTATTATTATTATTATTATTTTAATAATAATAATAGAGAAGGACAGGGTTTTGCTCTGTTGCCCAGGCTAGAGTGCAGTAGTACAATCATAGCTCCTTACTGCAACCTCGAACTTCTGGACTCAAGTGATCCTCTTGCCTCAGCCTCCCAAGTAGCTAGAACTACAGGCATGCACCACTGTGCTCAATTCATTTTTTGATTTTTTTTTTTTTAAAGAGACAACGGTCTCACTAATGTTGCCCAGGCTGGTCTTGAACTCCTGGTCTTACTTGATCCCTCTGCTTTTGGCTTCCCAAAGTGCTGAGATTACAGGCATGAGCCACCATATCTGGCCAAGGGTGAACTTTTAAGTATTGTTACTGAGGTATGCATAATTCCTGTAAGCAATTGAACAATTCAATACTTCTGAATCCTCAAACCTCCAGAGAGCAAGGAACTTAAACTTGCCAATTAATGGATTTTTCGATACCTCAGTTGCTTCCTGTGAATGAGGCACTTGCCCTCCCAAGTTTAGCACAGTCTCTTTGGGGTCGCCAAACTGTGAATTTAAAATTTAACTTTCCTCCTCCTCATCCTCTTCCTAAGGTGATGTCTGGCAAGGCTCTCACCTAGAATCAAGGCAAGTTTATGCCTCTAGCAAACAGGAGACTAGTCATGTTCAAGGCAATGCAAGAACTCCTCCCTCCCTTCGTTCCCTCCTTCCTTCCTTCTTTCCTCTCCCCCTCCTTCCTTCCCCTGCCCCTTTCTTTTTTTCCAGTGCTGCTGTTTGGTCTTTGGTGTTTTTCTTATTTGTGATGGACCATTTTTCTTAGGTTCTGTGTTTTCTGCCAGCAAGGCCCAGGCCAACTTTTATGATTTATGTTGTGTCTTCTTTATTGCTGTTAAAAAGCAAATGAAGTAAATGTGATTATGTTCAGAAAACCAAAGAATCACCACCACTGACTCATTTTTGTGAGTTCTGCAATCTTATATTTTAACCTCTTGGAAGAAAAATTCAAAACTAAAAGGTAGAACCCAGAATACCCAGTTGCCTCTCGCCTGTCCTTCAGCATGTTCAGCCATTCTGACAGCGAGAAAGAAACCAGGGCACATCTGTCAGGACCCATGTTTAGAATACAGGTATATTTCAATAAAATTTAAGTATGTTTGAAACATGTAAACTGTATATATCTAAGGTATATTTAATAATGAAGAAATAGGAAAAAACGGGATTATAAAAATGGAAGTGTATTTTACATATTTAATTCATAAATAGAAGTTATAATGTGATCAGGCAATTATGCTATTCAGAAAAACTTTTAATAATTTATCGAAAGTATTGATTTATCACAGAAAGAAATATGAAGTCTGAGAACAAAATTTAAGATCAGAGTTGTATGATGAGTGTCTCCTTTCAATCTCCCTTGTGCTTCTTTGGGACTCTGTATAACTTTGTCCAGGGATGACATCGAAATGATGGTTGAGGCCTCTGGTGGACGTGAAGTTCCATCCAATGGCCATCATCTAGGCCTTGCTCCAGGTAAGCCTGGCCTTGCTCCACCACTGGGGTCAGAGTTGTGCATGTGGAAATGCAAAGAGAGCAGATCTGAATGCCTTTCCCTCATCTTGCTTTCCCTTCTTGGAAAGGCATTGATGTATCTCAACCATAAGTACTGCCCATGGCACCAGAGGTCCTGCCCTCCCATGCTGCCCACCTCCCTGTGCAACCTGGTGGGCTTCACTCAGATTCACAAGTTCTGCCTCATCCTCTCTTACAACATGACATGCTCTTCTCCTCAAAGATCTATACAAATGTTGAAAGGAAGCAAGACACATCAACGTATTGTAGCAAAGAAACAAGGTGCAACTAGCATGACCCCCAGCTTAAAAAGAACAAGAAGGGGGAAAGGTATGAATTCCACTTGAGGTTGAAAAATAATGCCAGAGCTCCCTCATCCATTGTTCCATCCACAGGCATATGGTGGCCCTTGAAGGTGTGGTCACATTTATGTGGCTTGGTAGACATGCTGTGGACTGAGAAGTAGACCCAGTAAATAGGCCCCACCTGTAAAATTTTCTTGAGCAAAATCCTAACAGAAATGAATCTTTTCTAGAAAAGTTTTCTGAAGAAACTCCAAGTGGGCATTGATCCACCTGGGAATACTTGTTAAAGGAGGAAATAGCAAAGTGACATAAAGGCTTTCAGAAAGACCACGTCGAAATGATGTAGAAATTTTTAGCAAGAGTATGAGGCGAAATAAGGGAAAATGGAGTCAGGTGACCCGGCCTTGGGCTGAATCCTCTTTGTGGTTAAGGGAGGATTAGGAGTATGGAGCCGGGTCAAGAAGGTGCCCTGAGCTGTGGAACAGTGTGGCCATGACAGAGCCACATCTATATACCTCATGGATTCGGGAAGTAGGTTCAGAAAGTCCCCTAGATAGAGGGAGGATTGACGCAATAGGGGATCTCCCAACTTTTTGTATCTCAAGCAGCCAAGTAACTGTCTCTCTAGAGTAAACATAGGACAGAAAAGTGTGCATTCAAAATGTTGGGTTAAAAAACCAGCAAGACCTTGTCACATACAAAAGGAGGAATAGCCACAAATAGCCCTGTGAACTTGTCATCAGTAACAAAGCAACTGAATTGACCTGATCTGCTTGAAACTTAGTGGGAGGAAGAATTTAAAAGTGTAGGGTGGAAATTCATTGTCGAGTATATATGAGTATTTAATAAGATAGGTAAAGTGGTATTGACATTTCTTTTACTTTGAGTGCCATTTTTTTCTTACATTTTGTACATGAGAGTTACACGTGGGGGCTTCATTTCTTTATTCACAAACTTTTTGCCACATGTTGCTATTTTCATGAACTCCTGAAACTGAAACCTTTAACTGTGAATTCTCCTACTTTGAGAGTTTTGAGGACATAAACTTAAAAGTCCCCAGAAGTCTGAATGTTTTGATGGTGAAACCCAGATTTAGCATTTTTGGTCCTAGTTTTCCAGAGATCAGGGGTAAAAATTTAAGCAAGTCCACATGATCTTTTCTAGGAATACCTCACAATCTTTCTAAGGCAAGAAAAGTGGAGGCTTTAGAGAAACTGCTTAAACAATGACTCAAAAACATTCTGTCTGCCTGGCTTCAGGGCATCCTTTCTCTGTGCCTCCTGTGTGGTTCACCTGTGATGCCTGAACCCTTCTGATGCCTCTGCTCACACCTATGTTCAGTTTCCTTCCTATAAGGAGGAAAAGGGAACTGGACCAAATGCAGTTTAAAAGAGCAGTGTGAAAACCTCTGGCCCAGGACCTGGAAAATCTGGATTCTAATCTCAGTTCTTTCACTATCTGACAGTGTAGCTTTAAGTGAATTATTCAGTCCTTTGGGCCTTGGGTTATCTATCTTTAGAATGGAGAGGTGGGCAAACTCTGTAGGATTCCTCTAACTCTTAGCAGAGGAGAAAGGATGAGAAGATTCTTTTCATACATGTATTTTTTATTTTTAATATATATTAAATAAAATCCACATAAATACCTTTGTGTTTCCCACCACCTTCCTAACACACCACATGTTACCAAGACTTCCCTCTGTTAGACTTCCCTGCATCTTCTTGCCTAATTACCCCCCTTCCTCATCTCAGAGGTAACCATGATTCTGAATATAGTGCTCATTCTTCCTTGCATTTTTCAGACTTCAATTATTTATGTTTGTATCCCTAAGCAATATATATGACTGTTATGCATGTTTTAAACTATATGTATACAACCATATGTATATTCTTTTATAAATGAATTTTTTGCCCAAAATTATTCACATGAGAATAATACATGCTGGCATCTAAAGTTCTTTTTTATTAATTTTCTTTTGTAAAATATCACATTGAGAATATTCAGAGTATGTATATTCTCCAGTTACTTCATATGTAGGTTGTTTTTTCAGTGTTTGCTACTACTAACACGAATATTTTTGTAAACGTAGCTTTATATACAAAGGTGTATTCTTTGTACATACTTTGTATAGTTTGTATATACTTTGTACATTCTTTGTATATTTCCCTAGAAATGGAAGTGCTGAGGCTCAAGGTGTACGCACATGTTCAACTTTGCTAGACTTGTTTTCCAAATTGTTCTACAAAGTGATTGTGTCCATTTATATTTCCACAAATGGAATAAGAATACATAAATCTAGAAACTGAGGCTCCACTATAGCTTCTCCTGATAGGTCAATGCAGTCCTTCTTTGACAGGAAATGGGGCACTTACCTAGTTCATAGAGTGACTGTGATGGGAAATTGGAAAGAATATGAATCATTTATCCCACATATATTTTTGAGCATCTACTCTATACCAGGCACTGAGGAAAGTGCTGAGGATCAACAAGAGTGCTGCCCTTATGGATCTAACTACTCATGTATTTATTAAGTGTCTCTGTTGTGCAGGGAATTTGTCACCATTATTCTCATTTAATGATCAGAATAGCCATTTGGAATTGCCAACCCCATTTTACAAAGGAGGAAACTGAGGCTCAGAGAGAGCACACAACTAGGTAAGAGTCAGGCAGGGGTAGGAACCCACTGTGACTGCAGATGTCCTGTCCGTTCCTCTACATGGTCCTTCCCCATGGTTTGTCTGAATGCCTCTGCACACACGGGCAGAGAAGGCCAGACTATGTGCTTGACTCACACTGGGATCCAGTGTGAATATGAAATGCAAAGCCATGTGCCTGTCCTTCTGATAGAAGCCTGGAAATCTCCAAGGAGGAAATTGTTCTTGAATGCTCTCATATCTGGAAGTGTTTTGAAACTCTTGGGAAGAGTTCGCATGTCTTCTCCCCTGCGTTATTTCTGTATCTTTCAGGAGAACTCATGTTTGATTATGGATTGGAAGGGATATCTGGGTTATGGTCTCTGAGAAACAATAAACACTCCTACCCCACAGAGATATGAAACTATGCAGGTGATGAATAATATCAGGTTGTAAAGAGCTGGAGTCTTGAGGATTATTTTTTTCCACAACATCTTGAAAGTATTTTCTCCATGTCAGCTACATATTCTAATCCTAAAAGAAGGATCTTGATACTTGGAATATACAATGTGCCTTTTTACCCCTCAGCAAGGTGTACAATTAATTCCTTATGTTCTCAACATGGTGGAGCAGAAAGTGTCTTTATGCTTCCAGAGCCTCCAGCCACACAATAAGCATGTTCATCTTTTCATTTTCAGAAGAGATCACTGCATACCCCTGCCTGCAGGAGAATGAGTAGCTGGGATTTCATTCAATTGTTTTCCCAAAGAGAGAGTAAGTGAAGTCAAACATCTGGTCGACCTTCAGCAGTCATTTACCATATGTATGAGTAAACTAAGGGCAAGTAAAGAGTTAGTCACAGAAATAAGAATGCTGGGGAAAGTTTAAGTGTTAAAAGGTTGAAATGTATAAAAAGAGTAAACAGAAAAAGGGACTATAACTTTACATACCTCACACTCTCCTCCCTCTGCCTGTGTTTCTGCCATCTGACCTGCTGTCCTGGCTCTAACTTCTGACTCATGGTGGCAGGTATTTTTCATATCTGCTCACCCGAGGAAAATAAACAAACAGGGAATCAAAGTCTTGGGGGCCTCCCTATCTTAAGAGCAAACCTCTGTCTCTCAGAGGCTGAGTGTCTGCCTCAAATCACAGAATTTTAGACAGATAATGAGAAAAACAAAAATCATAATGAAATTGGAGCAGGACACACAAAATAAACACAGTAACTCATAAGAGCTGGGCATATTTTTGCAGCAGCAGTGAGCTGGAACAAATTCACTCCTTCCCAATGTCTTCCCATCTCCTTTGAAGGTGGGCAGTGTCCATATCTTCACTAGCTGGTGCCACAGTCCCTCTGGATGTGAACACGCATACAGGAGGGATACCTCAGAGTCTACATTCTGTGCATACTCACATTTCTTGGTTTAGGAGACAAAATCCTGACCCCCACCCACCACCCAACTTCAACTTGTGTGCAGGGGGGCACTTTAATTGTCTTATCCCTTTAGGTTTTCTTTGAGGATATTTCTAAAACAGATTGTAAGCATCCTAATCTGGCTATTATTTTAGCTTTTAGGCTTCCTTTCCTGGGGAAAATGGTCTTCAGCATCAAGAACTTTGCTGGGACACTTTGCCTTTGATTACTACATGTACTAAGTTTTATAACTACTTTTTTTTCTTAGAATATGGGAAGAGAGGGCCGGGTGCGGTGGCTCACGCCTGTAATCCCAGCACTATGGGAAGCCGAGACTGGCGGATCATGAGGTCAGGAGATCGAGACCATCCTGGCTAACACAGTGAAACCACATCTCTACTAAAAATACAAAAAAATTAGCCGGGCGTGGTGGCAGGCGCCTGTAGTCCCAGCTACCCGGGAGGCTGAGGCAGGAGAATGGCGTGAACCCGGGAGGCGGAGCTTGCAGTGAGCTGAGATCACGAGACTGCACTCTAGCCTGGGTGACTGAGCGAGACTCTGTCTCAAAAAAAAAAAAAAAAAAGAAAGAAAAAATATATATATATATGGGAAGAGAGGACAATGGAAATAGATTAAAACTAAGTAGAATAGAGATTTTAAGGCATAAAGCTTTTCTGAATCACTCAAAACATAGAAGACATTACCTAATTTACCTATACATGAGGCTGATCCTGGATTCTGCACGTTTTCATTATAATAGTCTATCTTCCTCCACTGCCCAGAATTTCCAGTATGTCAAGTAGGAGCTGTGTATATTTCTCTTACTATATCTGTTTTTTCAGATGACAGAAGGAGAGAAATGAAATTCACTAATTACTGTGATGGATATTGTGTTATGTAACACAAGTATCCTTTCAATGAAAGAATTCTTGCCCTACTTGCTGGGAACACTGAGGACAGATAGCTGGCAGCACCTTCATGTAGGTGGTCCTCATCTGAGGTCACCCAAAGTCATATCTCTGCCTGTGGTGGTCCACATTCATGTCTGACTAATATAAAATTGGTGGCAATATAAAAGCCTGACAACCTCAGGCCAACTCAAGGCAACCATGAAAAGCCACCACAGCTTCAAGTTTCTGTTGGGATTGGCTGAGACTGTTTCGGGGCCTGTAGGTAGCTTGACCTCACCCTCTGACCAAATTGCTTCTTTATCTTCCCTTCCCCAGCCGTTGGCCCCAAACACGTCCTTGTAAATAGCCTGCATGCTGATCTCTATAATAGCTGGTGACAAGCATGGTGTGGGAAAGCAGGTGCTAGGGGGTTTAGAGCTGGGTCATTCTCTTCTTACTAACAATGAAGACCACAACTAGTCACAGTAGGAGTCCACACAACTCCTGGCGCAACATGGCCAGAAAATTGTTAAAAAGTTTATTGATGATGAATGTGGTTGTGGATGATGTTATCTGATAAGCTCTATGAGGACTTTGAGAAATGTGGGGGTCAGGTGCTGTGGTTCATGCCTGTAATCCCAGCACTTTGGGAGGCCAAGGCAGGTGGATCACTTGAGGTCAGGAGTTTGAGATGAGCCTGGCCAACATGGAGAAATCCCATCTCTACTAAAAATACAAAAATTAGCCCGGTGTGGTGGTGTGTACCTGTAATCCCAACTACTCGGGAGGCTGAGGCTGGAGAATTGCTTGAACCTGGGAGGTGGAGGTTGCAGTGAGCCGAGATTGTACCACTGCACTCCAACCTGGGCAACAAGAACGAAACTCCATCTCAAAGAAAAAAAAAAAGAGAGAGACAGATAGAAATTTGGGGGAAAGTATCAAATATAAGACAATGTACCTTGGTGGCTATTGCTAAACTAAAACTCTGGAAAAAGATAAGGAGAGGCTGAGAGTACTAATTTCCAACTGAATACTTCATATGAAAACCATAGAACCTCCTTGCTATTTTACTAAGAAATTCTAATGTCCTGTGAGTGGAGGAAAGGCAGAGAACAGTAAGAACCAGGCTTAGGGCTTATTCTCCACAATAGCCCAATTCCAAAGATCGGCAAACTCCCAAACCATACACTGGAGAGAGGGATGCACTAGTCTTAGTAGTGGTTGTCCTCTGTGAGCCAGAGATGACAGTAGTGAACACCATAACAGAATTAGGCTCATGAATAGCCTTGGAGATGATAGGACCCCAAAATAATAAAGGAAAAGTGGGCATGTTAGCCATCAGAAGCCAGTAAGCCCTTACCTGTAGAAAGTTCGGGAGATGATTAACAAAACACAGCATACTCATCGGGTAAAACAGATGAAACATCAGTAAGGATACAACTCAGTCTGCATCATTAAAAATATCAAAGATGGGCCAGGCACAGTGGCTCACGCCTATAATCCCAGCACTTTGGGAGACTAAGGCAGGTGGATCATGAGGTCAGGAGTTCAAGACCAGCCTGGCCAAGATAGTGAAACCCTGTCTCTACTAAAAATACAAAAAATTTGCATGGTGGCAGTCACCTGTAATCCCAGCTACTGGGGAGGCTGAGGCAGGAGAATTGCTTGAATCTGGGAGGCGGAGGTTGCGATGAGCTGAGATCGTGCCATTGCACTCTAGCCTGGGCAACAAGAGTGAAATTCTGTCTCAAAAAAATAAAAAATAAAAAAAATCAA
This sequence comes from Homo sapiens, assembly GCF_000001405.40. Classification (NCBI taxonomy): domain Eukaryota; kingdom Metazoa; phylum Chordata; class Mammalia; order Primates; family Hominidae; genus Homo; species Homo sapiens. The sequence goes on along the minus strand of NC_000009.12, from coordinate 85,050,299 downwards.
AGATGAATGATAAGAAATTACATCTCACCACATTTTCTGTAATCTATTGGTTTTAGAGGCAAGTCATAGGTCCTGATCACACTGAAGCGGAAAAGATTAAACAGAGTGCAAATATTGGGGCTACCCTAGGGTCTACTGCTGCTCTGGGTAACCTGAAGGCCTGTCAACTTCAAATACCCATATCAGGAAAGGACTTTGCGGAAGCTCTATGGTGCAGTGCAAACAGCCCTGATATTTGGGTCATAAATCCTGAGAGACCCTGTGGTATTACAGGTAAAGTTCTGGGAAGAAAGGCCATGTGGAGGCCAGTGCAGTGCCTCCTGCCTCTAATCCCAGCACTTTGGGAGGCCAAGACAGGTGGATCACTTGAGGTCAGGAGTTTGATACCAGCCTAGCCAACACAGTGAAACCCCATCTCTACTAAAAATACAAAATTTAGCTGGGCACAGTGGCAGGCACCTATAATCCCAGCTACTCAGGAGGCTGAGGCAGGAGAATCTCTTGAACCTGGGAGGCGGAGGTTGCAGTGAGCCAAGATTGTGCCATTACACTCCAGCCTGGGTGACAAAAAAAAAAAAAAAAAAAAAATTCCATGTGGAATTTATGGCAAATCCCAGTGGAAGAATCACAACACAAACACTCAAATTCTAGACCAAGAGCATCCACTCCTGGCTTGCTACTGAGCTCCAGTAAACATGAAGAATCTACCCAAAGAGCAAACTTACAAATTTTAAAAATTAATATTCTTGGTGTCATAATTTTATGTAATACAATAAATAATACTTTATTAATGTTATATCTTGATTGATCATGAGATTTTTCTGACTCCTTTTTCTGCAAATCTATACAAACTTATCAAATTTATTTTTAATGTTATAATTGAGTGTAATGTCAATTGCATTTAGCAAAGTAAATTAATAAATAATTTTTTAATTTTCAGAAAGATCTTTCTTCTGTTGCAACTGTTAATGGAGCTGTTAAGAGTATGTTATAGATTGTGATAAAATCAAGATAAATTCCTGGCATTATTTTATAATATAAACTTTAGTACATCTCAAGCATAATTCTAAATCTTTTCCTAAAAAGATTTAACTCCTTACATAAATAATATTTGTTTCTCTTAGTGTTAAATGTAAATTTATGTAATGGGATTTTAATGCTTCCTCTGACATTTCCTGTAATTTCTGGAGTTTGTATAAGAAACCAAAAATAACTTCATGATTTGCATATAATTCAAAATGCCTGTTATGTATTCTATTGCTGTATCTCCGATGACGAGAAGACATCAATTTAAAAATTGCCTTTATTGTTGACAATTGGTTCATTGGAAAGTTCACATGGAAATACTGGGCTCCCATTGAACGCACTAATCTTTAAATTTAATTTCTATTTTCAAGGCTGTTGGTATTTGCTTTTCAATCTTGCAGTAGGTTTCAAAACCAGACATTCCAAACTCTTTAAAGAATTCGAGTAACTGCTCAATTGCTTTATGGAAATGTCCATGTTAATGCTTTTATTAACTATAAAATGAATTGAAGAAAAAGTTTATTGGCTGACCATATAAAATTCCTGTCTTGGTGCTCAGGCCAGAGAGTTAATATTTATGCTGATGCCACAGTGATAGGCTCTGGGGTTGGTGGGCAAACTGGCCTCTCAACACAGGTCCCAGCATTGCATCTATGAGGAGTATTCCTTCTCTTTCAGGGCTGCAGCTGTTACCTCTGCTGTTTCTGCTGCTGTTGCTGCTGTCCCAGCAAAGGCCATGCTCTTGGGGTCTGCAGAGTTCCAGACTGCCCATGTATGCCTGTGTGTACCTGATGGCCAGGCCAACTGCTTAGCACTCAAGCTACCACTGTCTGCTGTACCTGCAGACCTGAGACCACATGTTTACTATCATCTGGTTATGTCCTCTGCTCAATGCATGCTCTATTGCCCCATTAAACTTTACTTATAAGGCCTAGGTACAAAATTATAAAATGATTAAGGATTTCAAGACAGCATTGAATTCCACAGAGCATTGAACCAAGCCCGAGGCCCTTTCTGAGAGTGGGGTCCTGTGTTATCGCACTGGAGTGCCCATGAGCCTGGCCCTGTTGGCTGAACTTGATGGAAGGGTGAGCATCACTGGACATTCCACATGCTGCTGGCTGCCATGATGTGATAGGAGCAAGTAGGGAAGAGCATACCAGAACCAGGAAGAGAAGCCCTTATCTTTCAGCATCCCTCCAGTGTCCTTCTAGTACTCTCTACTGAAAAAGCTTAATATCATGTCAGCTGAAAAAAAAAAAGGTATAGGGTCCAACTCTACTATCACAAACAGGATAAAGAAGAATGGAATCTAAGTCACTTTGGAAATGAGTGGTATCTATAAGACTAAAGGCAAAATGTACTATCCATAGGAATTTTACTGTAGTTGGTGGTATAATAAACTTTGGATACTCAGAAAGGGGGAGGATGGGAGCAAGCTAAGTGATAAAAAATTACATATTGGGCACAATGTACAATGTGCATATTCATCTATGTAACCAAAATCCACTTGTATCCCCAAAGCTATTGAAATTAAAAATATATTTAAAAAATAAAAATTAAAGAAAAGATTTGTACTCTAGATGAAATTTTTTTCCATTAGTATATGGGTTAACTGTTCTGAAACCATTATATATGAATGCTGGAGTAGAACAATCAAGTGAATGGATGATGGGAGCCCGATTTTTCCCTGTTGTAGTTAGAGAGGTTACAGATAAGCAAAGGGAGAAAGCTGGAATGTTCCTTGTGGCAACATATTAGAGTTGGAGACATCAGTATGAACTCATGTTTGGCTTAATGTAGAAGCAGATGGTTATAGATAGAGAGATATTTATAGATACATGTATATATACTAGTTAATATACACACATATATTTCCTTGTTCTGTTAGCTAAGAGGACCGAGAAACAATGACTCAGATTGCTGCAAGTACACCTAGCACTCAGATCATGGTTTCTAACACCATTCTCCAACAAAAGGAAGCAAGCCTTTTTGAAAAGATGGTTAATTCTAGGCCTAGAGCATGCATAGTACCTGAAAGGCAGAAAGTGCTCAAACAAAGGAACTCCACAATGATGGGGGTATGTCAAAGGGATCCAGATGCCAACTGAAAGAGCTCCAAATGGCCAGAGCTAGAATGCTATGAATGGCAAAATAAATCAAATACTATTGGATTATTACCCAAAGTATAAAATAAATATCCATGAGTTCCTACTGATATAAATAAATGATTAAATACATTAATATATAGAAGAGTCAAATCTCCCATGCAGAAGAATTCTAAATAATTTATGTTAAAACTGCACCCTCAAGGAGGCAGAACATGAAAAGAGAAGAATAAAAAAGAGTAATTAACAGTAGAGAAACCTGGCAAATATCCACTTCAAGCCAGGTCATCAAAGCTAACGTCAACAGTGTTAAGTTCATGTTACTAGAATGTACCCTTTAAAATACGTGACGAGAGTGACTCTTTATCCCTGTGGTCTTCCTCCTCAAGGCACATTATCTTAGTTTAAGCATGATACAAACTTCAGACAAACCCCAGTTGAGGAACATTATACACAATAATGCACAAGGACTCCTCAAAACGGTCAAAGTCAGCAAAAACAAGGAAAGTCTGAGTAACTGTCACAACAAAAACAGCCTAAGGAGACATGACTATGAAATGCAATGTGATATTCTGGAGAGGATCCTAGAACAGAAAAGGACATTAGCAAAAAACCAGTGAAGTCTGAAGAAAGTATGGACTTTAGTTAATAATAATGTATTAGTATTGATTCATTGATTGTGACAAATGTACTATACTAATGTAAGATGTTAATAATAGGGAAAAGTGAGTGAGGGGTATATGGGAATTCTCTGTACTTCTTTCACAATCATTCTGTACATCTAAAGCTTCTCTAAAATAAAAGTTTATTTTAAAAAGAATGGATTTGAAACCAAAAGGCAATAACTTGATAACTGATACATGCTAATGCCCTTCAGAGCATACCCATCCCTGAAGAGACACTAAACTTATTGTCTTAGTCAGTTTTGTGCTGCTACAACAGAATACCATAGACTGGTTAATTTATAATAAACAGATACAGGTGGGACTCAAGGCACAGTTCATCCTAAGGCAAATTCCTCTCCAGCTGTGAGCCTGTGAAATTAAACAAGTTATCTACTTCCAAAATACAATGATGGAACATGCATAGGATAGATATTCACATTCCAAAAAGGGGGAAATAGGCAAGAAAAAAGGATTAATGGGCCCCATATTAGTCCAAAACTCAACAGGAAAAACAACAGTAAGTCTTAGAGCTAGAGAATAATCTCCTTTGAGAGGAGTTAGCGTCATGATCCTCAGGAGGAGATGTGTTGCTCTTATACAATGGGGCAGAGAAGAATTTGTTTAGCACCCAGTTGATCTATTGGTTGCTTTCTGATACTTCCTTGACCAATTTTGATGGTAAATAAACAAGTGCATCCTGAGATGGGCATGGTGACCAGGAGCTCTGGGATGTGGGTCTAGGTCACTGCACCAGGTAAACTATTAAAACCAGCTAATGGCCAGGCACAGTGGTTCATGCCTGTAAATTAACAGCACATTGGGAGGCCGATGCAGGAGGATCACTTGAGGCCAGGACTTCAAGACCAGCCTGGCCGACCTAGTGAACCTTGTCTCTACTAAAAATACAAAGATTAGTGGGGTGTGGTGGTGAGTGCCTGTAATTCCAGCTACTCAGGAGGCTGAGACAGGAGAATCACTTGAACCGGGTGGCGGAGGCTGCAGTGAGCCGAGATTGTGCCACTGCACTCCAGCCTGGGTGACAGAGTGAATCAGACTCTGATTCACTGGGTGATTCACTCTGGGTGACAGAGTGAATCAAACAAACAAACAAAAAAAACGAAAACAAAAAAAAAAAGAAGAAGAAAAAGAAAAAAAAACAGCAGAGGTGGTAAACTGGAGGGAAGGAAGTCTAGAAAAGATAGTGGAGAAGGAAGACAATCGTACATTTGTCACTAAGACCACCTGCAGTGGCAGGGACTGTAATCTGACCAACAAATCTTTCTCTTCCAGGTTTTTCTCAGGAAGAGAAGCCTACTGGAATTACGTCAAGCTATTCTCTGTATATATACAAGGCAGTAGCTCTAAGTAGTGAGAGGAGTGGATTGTGGTGGACACAGAGCTGTGCCCTCCAAATACTTCTTCATTGTAGGAATTGTCAATTTGGCTCCTGGAAGTGTAGCAGACAGCCTACAGCTGTCAGCACCTTCACAGGCTGCTTCAGCTACAGAAAGCCACTTTGTTCAAGTTCATGCATCTTCCTGGGGCAGCTTCCATCCAGTCACTAATAAATGTGCGAATCTAAAGGTCTAGCTGTCTTGGCGAAACTTGGAGAACTCTGGAAAGCCATAGTTGTGCCAGAGCTCCCTTTGGGGGAAGGTTGAGACTGTCCTTAGACCTATATCACAGTTTAATTCATTTTTTGACCAATCCTGCTTCCCTTTCTTTCCTTATACAAGTATTGATCTCAGTGGCACTCCTTAATAAACATCCTACATTCTGTTCTCCATCCCGGTGTCTGCTTCCCAGGGAGCCTAAATGTGACAACTGTCTACTAAGTGGCAGGATCCATGCTTGGTGACTTACATTTGTCATTGCTGTCATTCCCCACTACACCTTGTGAGATGTTTTGGATGATGTCTACTTTTTAAGATTTGAGGTGGGGAGCATCAGAGGTTAATTAACTTGTCCAGGGATTGATCATTTATAGTTCTGACTGATCCCAGAGGTCATGTGTGTCCAGTCTACCATGCTAGCCACAGCTGTTGTAGGAAAATAAACAAAACAAAACAAAAAACAGACACGAATAACCACTTCTCACTATAGACCAGACATTGTGTTAGGCACTTGTACCTACACACAACATCATTCAGTTTTCACAGCAAGCCAATTAAAGTAGAATGTTAGCCTCATTTTTATGCATGTAAGGTATAAGATCAAGGCTAACAGACTTTCACAGAGTAAGAGGCAAAGTTGTTTCTGGACCCCAGACCTGTCTGATTCCAAAGGCAGTGTATTCTCCTCTGAGTCAGGCTGTTTGCTCTGTGTAAGGTGGAGGTCCTCTCAGGGAGAACATGAGAGACCGGAGGCCCTGAGATATGGATTTACCTAGAAACAGCCCAAACTATATAATATTCATTGAAATATCTACCATAAACATGAGTATCTTCTCTCTCAGAGGGAATTTTAGACATTTTTTTTTACTGCAGTCCCCCACCAGCCTTCTAAACCCTGGGGTTACTTAGATTTAGGATGCCTATGTAATTTTTGATCCAAAGCATGCCACTTGAGGGTATCATGGGACAATAGAGGTAAACCAGGATGGCCATGGGCAAAAAGAGAGAAATGCTCATTCTACTAGTGGGAAAAAATGTTGTTACATTTCTTAGGTGCTAATCTTCATTAATACTTAGCTGGTGCCTCAAACCAAATCACAGTATAAGGTGGGTTGTAAGAAAGAGTGCTTTGGAGTTAGTCTCTGAACGTCAATAGCTTTAATACATTAACGTTTCCATAGTAAATTTACCCATGATCCTGGCCTCTTGATCATGCAGCAACTCGAGTTCCACTCTGATATAAACACTGCACATTTCCGATTTGTGGAATTGTTTTCCTTTAATTAAATGAAGGAGGGGAGCTGTAGTTATTTTCAACTCTGCACAAATTACTACCCAGTAGAAGCCAAATAATGCATTGTAAGTAGTACTTATTCTATTTATTGTACCCTCTATGGATGTGTGTTGGGCTTGTTCTATTTTGGAGGCACTGCCATGGTAACTGGGCTCCTGACAAAGGCCTGTGTCAGAGCAGAACTTGAACATGCAGAACTTCAGATAAGCGATAAAATCATCAACCTCAGTAGGCTCAGAAGTAACAATTTGGAGATCATGCTTTACTCCTGGGTATATTTCTCCACGAAGTTGGGAAGAATAAGTGGTCATTCACAAGATTTATTGGACATGGAACTAGTCCTGAGGAAAAGGGTGGAAGAAATTCTATTTTCACAGTCTCTTAGATACCCTCATCAACATCTGTGGCTCAGTCTTTTGTTCCATTTTGGCCTTTAGGTCAAGCTCACAGCTTTAGGCAGAGAGCATGAGCTGGTTTTCAGCCTTCAGGGAGCCAGAGTAACTTTAGATGTCTGATCTTTAGTCCATAGACTTGAGAAATAACCCTGGCTTTCTCTTTAACCTAGCTGAGAGGCTTCCCAAAACTGTCTCTTTCCCAACTATAAACTTGGATCCATGTTTATAAACTTGATATAAACAAGGAGGGTCCTTGAGCTCTAACCTTGTGCTCCTATTAAAGTTGGTGCCCAGGGGAGCTAGAGAGGGGTTCTGACCAATCCACCCTTCTCTGTAGAATTAGCAGATCCCTGTGTCCCCAATGGGAGTAGACATCTAAGCTATGTGGGCTTTCTATAGTCCATGTGTATAGTGACTGAGAATAATAGAAGGAAGCCTGTAAGACCAAAATTCCTTTCCCCATGGCAATTTCTTTAGAGTTTTGCTTAGAAACAGATTTATCACCTCTACCCAATTTCTCACTTCTAAAGAGTACTATTAAGCACAAGCAGTGACCAGGCACTACTCTGCCTTTTTCATCTCTCCCCCAACATTCATCCTCCTTTTTGAAATCCTTAAGCCTCTTAGCCCAGGCTTATTTTAGTCCCTGAATCAGTCCCAGGAGCAAACAGGAGTTCATGTGCTCACGGGTGGCTGTAGGGTCCACCACAGACCTTGTCCTGCAATTTGGAGCCAGGGTGAGAATTGCTGTTCTCCTTTTCCAGTAGAGTTTTAGTCCTAGCTTATGTCTTCATCACCCAAACTGTTCATGCTTGAATTCCATTGAGAAGCAAGATGGTCAGCACCTACCAGGAGTCTCCTCAGAAGGACTAGAAGGGAAAAGGCTGGCAAGGCTTTATGGGCCATGAGTCCCACAGAGGAGGCTGTTGGAAATAACATCATCTTGTAAACTTTTTGGCCCAAGGAAGAGCAAACCAGGGCACAGACAGGCAGAAGAGAAAACAGAAGATTTCCTTGTTTATTGAAGAAACAGCCTATTACTTGGCTGAAATAAAATTTGGAAGATTATTTTAGAGTCAGATCTTCTTATCTCAGACATCATTTCTTACACCCAACATCTGAGAGATGGTTGTTAACTTAGGGTAGGTTTAGTGCCCTCTCCTGTTTGTTCCAATCAGTGCTCCTGCAACAAAGCACTCAGTCCTCCCTCCTGATCCTTGGCACTCCGCCCTTTCTCAAGAGCAGCATTTCAGTCCTTTTGTTTCCATTTGCTCTCCCTTACCCTCCAGCCTGAGCCAGAAGGCTTGAGCCTCTCAAGGGTTCCCAAAGTTGAGGGGCCCCTGGGTCAGCAATAACAGATGTGAGTCTTGGATTTAGAGCAGATGCAGCTGTCCTCAAGTCTCTTGCCCTTTAGTTTTCTTTTATTGATAATGGAAATCCCACATTTCTCTCTGATCCTCTATTTCTCTTTCCCCAAATATCCATCCCTCCGCTATAAACTACAGAAAGGACTGCCTTTGCACTCAACAGCCATCTCCCCTGGGATTCTGAGTACTTCCAGTGAGGGGAGTTAGCTATCATGCTAGCTCTCACCTCCCTCCCTCATTTAATCAATTCTTACTCTAGTTTGTCAAACATTCCTCTTGTCAGTGACACATTTGCTGTGGGAGGTGGGCATGGGGAGTAGAGCTGGAGATTAGGGAGGCAGTGGGACAACAGGTGTGGAGTTATGCTACAGCCAGGGAGTCTTTTTAGGCTAAAAAGCAAACTAAGATGTCCAGTGACTGTAATCTTCTTGATTTTTTTTAGAGGGCAGAGTTCACAAATAGGAGAAAAAAAAAACCAACAAAGAGTGCTTGAGTGTCTACATCTGGGCTGAATACGTGTAAAGGCGAGAGAAGGCAGGGTGGAGGAAGGAGGGGACAGTCCGGACAAATCCCTAATAAACTGCCGGAGGAGGACCTAGAGGGGGCTCTGTATTTTTAGGGGTGACGGACCACTTCCTGAACACTTCCGGCCTGTGAAGGCTTGAGATGTTAATTATAGGACCTGTGGATGTCAGCAGAGATCTTTTAAAAGAGTAACTTAAGTGCCTAAAATCCCCCCAAGAATACACAGCCAGCCCGTTTTAGAAATGGCCGTCAAAGACAACAAAAGTGAAATGCGCAAATGCCTTCTACGCAGGGTGGTGCTGGGCAACCAGCTCGCGCTGCAGCCTCCCCCACGCTGTTGCTAGGAGATCACAGGGCTATACTTCCATCATCTCCATACTTGCTGGGAGATTGAGTAATTGGTGTCTGGATGTGCGTGTGCTGCTTCCCAAAATACCTCTTTAAAAAGACGTGAGAGGGATGCGGAGCCAGTAGGTAGGATGATGGAGGGCGGACTGTGTCCCAAGAGGGCAGCGGGCTCCAAAAGCCAAGGCTGAGGCTGAGGAGGGGGTGGGGACCCACATGGGGGATAGAGTGGGGAGCTGCTGACAGCTTTCCCAGATTCCTTTTCATCCTCTGCTTGTTCTTTGGGACTGATCTCTTAAGTGAAATCTAGAAATTGCTGGGGACAACTACAATTTGGGGAGCAATGTAGTTTGGTTTTTCATCCTTACTGTTGAGACACAACAAGGCTAAGAGAAAGCCTTTAATTTTATTTTGTAGGTACTGAAATGTTAATGCACAGCTTTATGGTGCTTGGTTATAGGTGTCGAACTCTGTCTTGTGGGAGAGGGGTAGATGAGAAAATAGGGCATGCCTGTGGACACGCACACACACAAAGGCCCCAGTGATGAAAAAGGCTGCTTCAGCTGCAGGGAGCCAGTGAAATCGACAATTGGAGCCCACAGCTGTAAGGGCTCTGGAAGTTAGGAAACCTGGGGGTGAGACTCAGCCCTGCCTCAGACGATTACATCACTTTTCATGAGCCTTCTCTGCCTCAGCTTCCTCATGTGTAACCTGACATGTTTGAGCTAGTACATCTCCACGGTGCGCTCCACATCTCCTGCGTTCTAGGAGTCTGAAGTCTAGTTCCACCTTCTCCTCAGAGCCAAGGGACAATGACATATCACTTCTTTGTGGAGGCGTTCGATTCTCTCATTTCATTAACAGGAAAAATTCAATTGACTGCCGCGTTTTACACTTTTTCAAATATCTACTCAAATGCCTATTGCTGGAAGTCTAGAAAAGGAGATTGGGAAATGGAATAACTGACTTTTAAATTATATTATTTTCCTTTTTGTCGCACTTGTCCTACAATACTTAACATGCTCAAAAATCTGATTTTTGATAGCATCACTTTTTTTCTTTTTAACCAAGGGAGGAGGGTGGAAGGGGGCAGGGCGTTCAGGATATATTGATGCTGTATTCTGATATCACAAATGAGAACTAAGAATTGAGAGTGTTTTCCTTAAAGTCTCTGGCCAAATGGCTGAGTGTCCTGGAATTCTATCAAGGATTAAGAAATTCACCTTAGTTCCAACACTAACTCACAGGACAAGGACCAGATACTTATTTGTAAAAAGCGGAAGCTGGGGGTTGGGGGTGGGGTGGGGCGGGGAGTGGTGGTTGCTCTAGTCCTCATAGGAAGGTTAGGAAAGAAAATACCATAATATATGTAAATGCACCCTGGAATGTAGAAAGAGTGCACAGAATGTACTGCATTCTTTTCACTGTGTGCCTGAGAAATTTATTCATTTATTCAGAAAGTATTTTTTGAGATGTTGCTGCCGCCAGTCCTCATTAGGCATTCATTCACATGGCGCATGCACATGGTCAATGTCCCTCATCATCCACATCATCCATCCCGTGCCCACAGTTCTAGGGAAAATGACCTATTGCTGCAGAAAACCGCATTCTCAATGGCTGCATCCTCTGAATACTACACATTCTTCTAGAGTGAACCTTTGCACAGTGTGAAAAATGCACTCAAATCACTCCCACGAGTGTCTGTCTTATTTTGTTGTTGAACACTCCTGGTGACACAAACCTCAGACATTTTACTTCCTGTGTTAATGAATGTCAATGCCTAATCATTGTATAAGCAGATGTTCCTTAGGAAAAAACAAATAAAATTAAGGCTATCTTTAAGTTAACAAACACCACCCTCCCACCCAACCCTTGGCTGAGCAAGCAAATAAGCAATGCCTTTCACCGATTTTTTTTTCTCCCTCATTAGGGATGGCAAAGCTCGCTATCACGTGGATCACCCAGACTCCCTCATTTTACTGGTTCTTCACAGCACCCAGGAAGATTTTAGATGGACCTCAAATACAAAGGCTGTGAGGAGCCCTATTCGTTGTGTTGACACCACTGAGAGATTATTTTTTTCCCAGAGAAGAAAAAGGAGACACACCTGACTTTTAACCTCTTTGATCCCTTAAAAAGTTATTTTCCCAGCTGGGTGCAGTAGCTCCTGCCTGTAATCCCAGCACTTTGGGAGGCCGAGGTGGGTGGATCACCTGAGGTCGGGAGTTCAAGACCAGCCTGGTCAGCATGGTGAAACCCCGTCTCTACTGAAAATACAAAAATTAGCTGGGCATGGTGGTGCATGCCCATAATCCCAGCTACTTGGAAGGCTGAGGCAGGAGAATCACTTGAATCACTTGAGCCCTGCAGGTGGAGGTTGCAGTGAGCCAAGATTACACCATTGCACTCCAGCCTGGGTGACAGAGCGAGACTTCATCTCAAAAAAAAAAAAAAAAAAAAGAGAGAGAAAAAAAGTTATTTCCCCTTGTGCCAAGAATGAGATGAAGCCTGGAGAACAGGTGAGGGAAAATGAGCTGATGCCATTCAAGAGTAACCAAGAATCGTGGGCTGGATGTTAGTGTTACCAGGCAGAGCTTGGTTCCTTGCCCTTTCTTTTGGGTATTTGGCAAGCCATACAGAGTTTTCAGTAGGGGGATGGATGAGGGAGGAAGAGCACAAGGGAGTCATAAAGGGATGCCAAGTCATAATGAATGAGTTATTTTGTGTACTCCCAGGAGATCTGAGCCCATGGGCAGTAGTTCCGAGGACACAGATGTTGGTTCAGCACCAGGAAGTCCTTGCTAAGAAAGCTTTGCAAAATGCAGATGGACTGGGGTTGCAGGGGAGATATTCAAATAAATTTCCTCTCACTAGGGCTTGACCCAGGCAAGGGTGGTCACAGATTAACTCTCACCACTCTTCCAACCCTAATATTCTGTGATGCTATGGGAGACCCAAGGAAGCCATGCTGACCCATATTTACCTCCTCCACCCACACCCCAACATCTCAACCTTTATTAAACCCTAAAACAGGAAGGCCACATTTGTTTCCAAAACCATTCTGTCCACAAACTAAGGAAGCATTAAATAATTTTGCAAAGTGCTTTTTGAAAGTCAATATAGAAAAGTTCCCTGGTTAAGTTGAATTAAGCAAAGTAGCAATCATCTTAAAGATGTCAAATAATAATAATAATAATAATAATATTATTTTTTGAGACAGAGTTTCGTTCTTGTTGCTCAGGCTGAAGTGCAATGGTGTGATCTCAGCTCACCGCAACCTCTACCTCCCAGGTTCAACCAATTCTCCTGCCTCAGCCTCCTGAGTAGCTGGGATTGGAGGCATGTGCCAACAAGCCCGGCTAATTTTGTATTTTTAGTAGAGATGGGATTTCACCATGTTGGTCAGGCTGGTCTGGAACTCCCGACCTCCAGGCTATCCACCCACCTCAGCCTCCCAAAGTGCTGGGATTACAGGTGTGAGCCACCATGCCCGGCCAGATAATTATTTTTATGCCATTTTTATTTGGCCATTGCCTCATTTCCAGCAAGTATGGGGGAAGGTGTTCCCTAAGGAACCCTTAATCTCTTACTTCTGAATACAATGATTCTTTTTTAAGGGGAAACAACCATGATACCTCAATTGTCCACTTGAAAATTAACACCCAGCTTTTACTATTTTGACTCACGGTAACCTTGCTTTTCCTGGAGCCTTGTCTTGGATCTGTCTCCAAAGTGAGTCAGAAAGAAAGTGGCTCTGTTTACATGTGGAAGCATTTGAAGTCATTTATAATAAATTTTGTTATGGTTTCAAGTCAGGAATTAGCTAATTTTAATCTAGAAATAAAAGCCTCTATTATGTAGCTTACACATGAGGAATCTAAGTCTTAAGAGGGTTAGGATGACTTCCCTAAGGCTACACCTCCATTTCTAGGCATATTAGAGACATCAGTCTACCATAACTACCTGCCTAGGTTCTTGACCTTCTATTTCAAGCTCCTTAATTTTCATCTATTCATTCATCCACCCGTTCATTCATTCACTCATTCAAAAATATTGAGTACCACCTATGTGTCCGGAGCCATCCTAGACAGTGAACCAAAGGCAATATCTGCCTGAATGAAGTTTACATTCTACATGTAAGAAACAGCAATAAAAATTAATAAGTAAAAGATACAATATCTTCATGTAAGCAAGGAGAGAAGCCTAGATAGCATATATGACAGACATGCTGGGCTGATCATTGACTAGCATAATTCGAGGGAAAGTTCATGGGCACAGGATTAGTAGCTGGTACATGTGTACACTGTTGTCCAGGACTCTCTGAGATTGCACACAGCAATCTGGTAGGACTGAATTTAGACTCTTGAAGTGGGACCCTGGCTTTTCTGTTGCATGATCAAGGAAGTACTGGCCCCTGCCCTGCAGTGATCAGAGGCTAGGGTTTAATAGCAATATGACAAAACTTCAACTCCAGCTGGATCCTGCCAGCTCAGTTTTCATGATCATAGGCTGGGTCCAAGGCTTGCATGTTATAGCAAGCAGCAGCAGGATGAGCCTCATCAGAATTGATGGCTGGAGAACTACCAACTGTTCTTCTGGCATAATGGAGAGCTGAAGTTCCAGCTTTTTCCACGATGAGGATTGATTGATTGAATGCCTTAAGCACTGGACCATAACTGGTTTCCATGGAGCTTCGCAGGAAATTTATTTCCTGAGAGAACATGTGGTTCACTGCTCAACTCCTTGGATACTTGATGACCTGCTCCTCCGATTTATCTAGTGCTGTATGTAGCATTCTTGAACTAAAGTTCTAGGCTCTTCTCTGGTTGGCCCATTCTCTGCTGAGTCAAGTCCTAGGTCCAGCCCAGTGTGTTTTTATTTGAATGGTTGGAATTCTGGAGCTGAGCCTTATTATCCCTTAGGACAATATTTCTCTACTGTGGCTGCACCGTGGAAACACCTAAAGACAGTGCAGAAAATATCTATGCCTTGGCCCACCATATAACAGAAACTAACTTTTTCAGGGTAAAGCATTGGCTTCCGTATCTTTCAAATTGTCCCGAGTGATTCTGATCCACAGTGAAAACTGAAAACTGTTCTAATATTCACCTTGCCGGAAAAGTAAGACTATGTGAAGTGAACCCTCCTTCAAATTGGAGAAGGAAGCTTTGAGATTTCCAGGGAAGATGGAAGACAGAACAGGTGTGTAAACTCTTGTATCTTGCTATGAACACATACATATGCTTGATAAAACATAACAAAAAAAATTTAAAAGAAGAAAAACCTCCACACGCCAAATGAAACTAAAACCCAAATTAAAGTCTTAGAGATAAATCCTTGTGACCCAAAGGGGTATTAAGAGTAGACAGACAGTTTTGTGGCGGGAGTCATAAGTAGCTCATGGATTAGGTGTCAGGACTAGGATTTTTGTATAAAGTCAAGGTGCCACATCAATGAAGAGAGACTATGAGAACTTTGTTTACCTGCTCAGGAAGTTAGTAAGAAGCATGATGGCCTCCTTGATCTATGATTGTGTTTAGAGAGCTCTTGGCTAAATTGGGGTCCCAGTACCAGAGAAGTTAGCAACTTTGCCTAAATGAAAAATGAAGGGGAGCTGGATATGGCATTTACAGTGCCTTTAAGGGATATTTCTTTAACCTGGTGAACAACCTCATACCTAGTTGCCCAAACTGTCACCAGGGGTTCACAAAGAAAACTTGTTTCTACTCACAGATGCCCTTGTGGCTCTTATCTGACCCATGTTCACTTTATACCTGCCTGACCATGGCTCTAGCACTGGGAGACTGACCTTGTGTTCTACCTGGCATCCTGGGGAAAGGCCAGCCTGGGGCAGCCCCTAGTTCTTCAGATGGAAGGTGCACTTTCAATACCCAGCACAACAGAAAACAAGTTCGGAGAGTTTTATTTACAGATTGTGGACAAGGAAGGAATAATAATTCAGGGGAGCAGTCCTCCATCCCCGGGTCTTGCAATCAACCCAGGAATGATGAGAATGATGAGTCAGGAAGAGAGAGAGCACATCTAGCGATTAGCAGCACATATAAGGGAATAGGGAATGGAGTACTTTAAATTCATGGGCAAATGCCTGATGGTCCATTTAAAGGAAGCTGTAAGAAAGCAGGGAGCCCAGTCTTCTAGGTAAGAGAGATGCTCCTAAATTCTTATTTCTGTCCACCAGCTTGAGCCATTTGGGTGCGGTGTAGAACTGGAAATTGTGTCAAGGTTGACTGAGCCCTGTTTCTGGTCTAAGAAAGTTAAAACTTGTATTCAAAATGGATATCAAGACAACATAAAATGGTAAGAATTCACTACAGGGTGGAAATACAGTCACTCTCAACAGATCAGAAACCCATACTACACTATGCATGGATGTAGGCCAAATTCACACTACTCTGTGTTGTGTGGTTCTGTGCTGATACAACACCAAAACAGACCAGGAACAATACAAACCTGCAGCTCCCAGGGAGGGAAAAAATGTTAAGCTGTCACCTGGGATAACTCCATAATGTTTAGGTATAGACAAGATTTCTGGGAAAACACAACTCTCGCTGAAGGCACACCAACAGAACAGAAATGACAAAACCTGAAGGTTAGACTAGTCAGATTTAAAAATTAGATAATTAATGGCCGTACTAGTTTTCTGTGACTGCTATAACAAATGGCCACAAACTGGGTAGCTTAAAATAACAGAACTCTGAAATCGAGGTGTTAACAGGAGCACACTCCCTCTGAAGGCTCTAGGGGAGAGTCCATTCCTTGCCTCTTCCAGCTTCCAGTGGCTCCAGGTATTTATTGGTATATAGTAACATCACTCTAATCCCTGCCTTGGTCTTTACATCACACTCTCCTCAATGTTTCTCAAAATGCCTGCTGCATTTTTCTTATAGGGATACATGTGATTACATTTAGGATCCACCTGAATAATTCAGGATAAAATCCTCTTCTTAAGGTCCTCCCTTTAGTCACATCTTTCCCCACGTATGGTGATATTTTCTCTTTTGCTGTATAGTATCCCCAGGTCCCAGGGATTAGAATGTGGAATGCCTTTTTTGGGGGCTATCATTAAGCCTACTACAACCCCTACCTAGTGAGACTAGAACAACCTGATGGAGACTTTCAACTCAACGTATTTAAAATGTGCAAAGAAGTGTAGCTAGGAAATGACTCCATGAGACATTATGAAATGACTAAGATTTTGAAAAAGGACTGGGCAATTTTGAAAAAGATCCAAATAGAAATTCTAAGAATGAAAAATACAGTAAATGAAAGAAGAGGTAAACTCAGTAAATTAAGCATCAGAATAGACAAAACTTATGAGAAAACAAGAGGTCTGAAAGGCTTCTCTGAAGAAAAATCCCTAAATGCTGCAAAGGCAAATAACAAGAGAGGAGAAATGAAGGAGAGAATGAGGAGCTCCAACACATGTCTACCTCAAGTTCTAGAAGAAAAAACATAGTATGCCCTTGAGCAATATATCCAAAAGAGAATGGTGGGATGAAACAGCACTGAAAAATGACACAAGTCCTGAGATTGAAACTAAGTCCCACATAAGAAGTAAAAAAAATGTATATCTACACACATTTTAATGAAACTAAATAATATGAAAGACAAAGAGAAAATCTAAAATGCTACTAGAAAGAAATGGCAGATGATCTAAAGAGGAATGAGAATATTGACAGAAACCTTTTCATAACAAACAATGCCAAACAATGAAAGTAATATTTCCAAAGGCTGGAGGAAAGTGACTGCTGAGCCAGGATTCCATTTTCAGCTATACTAGCACCTTTCCATGCAGAGAAAAACTAAGAGTTTTCTACTTACACACCCTTACTGAAAGAATTAATAAAGACTTTAAAGAAAGAAAACTGAGTACTAGGAAGAGAATAACAGGAAAGAATATTTTGTTTATGAGGTTATGGAAGTCTTCTTAAAAAAGGATATTGCAAAATCTGCAATATGAAAAAGGTCCATTAAAAAGTTGGAGCAAAAGATTTTCCAGAAGAGGAAATAAAATATGCAAAATTCTTGAGTGATGAAAGGTATTGGAATATAGGTGAGAGAAGGCAAATATGGTGTGAGGAGAAGTTTCAGACATTTTCAACAGCACTATCTTTTGTGACCTTGTAGACCATGACAGGGAATTCAAGTTTTATTCTAAGTGAAATGAAAAGTCATTTTTAAAGAAAAAAATGAGAATGACAGAACTCAAAATAAATTTTTAAAAGTTCTCCTAGAAAATTGAAGACATAAGTAAGAATTTGAAGTCCAGTCCAAGAGGGTGGTTTAGTATTTAAATGATAGAATTTCCTGAGAGAAAACACAGAGAAGAATTAATCAACAATATAATTCAAGAAAATTTCCCAGAACTGA
The DNA here is from genome assembly GCF_000001405.40 of Homo sapiens. Classification (NCBI taxonomy): domain Eukaryota; kingdom Metazoa; phylum Chordata; class Mammalia; order Primates; family Hominidae; genus Homo; species Homo sapiens. The sequence goes on along the minus strand of NC_000009.12, from coordinate 85,032,570 downwards.
AAAAAATGAGTTTCTAGATGGAAACAGCTCATTGAAGTATCCAGCACAGTGCATTAACGTAAACCTAAGACACATCTTCGTAAAATTTCAGAATACTAAATATGAAAAGATTTTTAAAATTTCCAGATTTAAAAAAAGGATTACATTTTTGAAATCAATAATCAGGACACTTTGGACCTCTCAACAGCCTCACTTAAAGTTAGAAGACAATCAATATATGCCTTCAAAAATTTTAAGAAAAAATTCAAACTAATATTCTATATTCAGGCAAACTGTTAGTTAAGTTTCAGGGTACAATAAAAGCATTTTCAGACACAATGAGTCTCCAAAAATTTCTTGTTTGCCTTTTCTTAGAAAGCTATTGGAGGATGAGTTCCACCAAATCAAGAGGTAAACCAAGAAAAGGAAGACATAGAATAGTGGAGGCAGGAAGGAAGGAGATACATGCAGAACAAAAACGGGAAAAGTCCAAGTTCTGGAAGAGAAAGATCCCAGATGATGGCTCTGCAACAGGTTGGGAGGTCATATGTCTAGATTGCATCAGATGAGAAGGCTACAGGAGACATTGTCCAGGTGGATTGAATGGGTAAAATACATGATGCACTGGAATGTTTTGAGAGGAAATTTAGACAAATAGCTAAGAGCCTGGGTTTGAATAACGATAATTAGAAAACTAAGACAGCAAACAAACAAAAGTCAATTACTAACTCCTAAGAAAACAAAATACAGAAAAGGAAAATAGTCATGGTTTACTGTATGCCTCAGCTCCAAATAGCACTTTCATTGTCATAATAATATAAAAAGTTAACAATGGGTCAGACACAGTGTCTCATGCCTGTAATCCTAGCACTTTGAGAGACCGAGGCGGGCAGATCATGAGGTCAGGAGTTCAAGACCAGCCTGGCCAGCATGGTGAAATGCTGTCTCTACTAAAAATAGAAAAATCAGCCAGAGAATGGTGGCCTGCACCTGTAGTCCCAGATACTCTGGAGGCTGAGGCAGGAGAATCACTTGAACCTGGGAGGCGGAGATTGCAGTGAGCTGAGATCGTGCCACTACACTTCAGCCTGGGTGACAGAGCAAGACTCTATCTCAAAAAAAAAAAAAAAAAAAGGCTGAACAATGATCTAATCATGTATTTAGGAGATGATTCAGCTAGGGAAAAGGAAAGGGTGGAGAGTAGAGGTAGGATTTGTAACAGAGATTTTCCCAAGCCTAGAGATATTGGTCGGTGTGGAGTCCTCAAATTGCACAGGGAAGAGGTAGACTTTGGGGAAATGGCTGTGATGTGTCTGGGAACATTCTGTCCTAGACACAGAGCTCTCAGTTGTGGCACCAGAGCCACTAGATCATGATGGAGAGGACATTAGAGACCCTTCTCATATTTCCTAGGTATCAACGGGCCTTGGGATTCATGGGGTACCTTATGAAAGGGAGGCACGCCAAGTGATGCTTAAGGCTGATTTTGCTCCTGCAGGATATGGGCTAGAACCAGACATAGCCTGATTTAAAGGAAATGAAGCAAGTGACATTTTGCACATTTGGGTTTGGTAGCTACAAATCCATATCTACTATAGGAGAAAAGGGTCTTTATGGAAATTGTTTTATTGTCTGTGTGGCAACTGACTCTAAAATCAGTTGTATATAGTGTGATGTGCATGTACACGTTAAATACACCTCATATCCCAGAGGTGATCAACATAAACAGAGCCCACATGAAAAGTGACTTGAGTAGTTAACTGGCATTTAAAATTTTTATATCAATATCAGAAAGTGTCTTAATTAGCATAAAATATATTAGAGTTTTTCTTATTTTTTGGCAGAAATGACTGATTTTGAAGATTGAGAATTAGGAATATTGTACAGATGCTGTCATTCCTACATGAAGGAGGCAGAAGAATGTAGCAAGCTCAGCTCTCTAATGCCAGGAGTGGCACTTTCAGTGACCAGAGCTCCCTGGGTCCTCTGTGTATCCCTCCCCTGTCAACTGATTCAACAGAGGCTGGGCTGGTCCTGGCATTAGCACATTTTTGAATCTGCCTTTGGCTGTGACTTCACCCAAAGACAGAAAGGGGAAGTTTCTGGTCTACATAGCCAACATGTGGTCTTGATAATAAATCATTGCTTGTTTGGAAGAATTTGGTCTGAGCCTTACTTTTATTGTAAAACACTACCTGTAGATGGCAGATGGGGCATGGGACCTTTAGGCCTTATCCAGCTCTAAACATGGGAGGCTACCAAAGACTCTGACGTTTGGCAAATGGCCAAATTTGCAGAGATCTTATTGCAAGAGAGGCGTTCCTAAATCTGAGTTCTAACATCACCCCTTTTCTAGCTCCAGAGCCCCATTGCTAGGCAGCTCCCTTCACCTGGAGACTCATCCTCCCCTAGACTAATGAGTGAAAGTGGGTGGGATTAGTATTAAGTTGTGCAAAAAGCAATTGTGGTTTTTGCCAAAGTTGTGTCAAAGACTGGAATTGCTTTTGCACCAACCTAAGCACTGGGCCATAGGAAGGCACCAAAAATACCTAGCTGGTGGCTCTGGCGTGACTTTTTGCTTAAGCTTAGTGGCTAAATTCTCATCCTGTCCCTAATGACGAAAGTCCTTCCTCACATCCCAGGTTCAATTTGCTAGAGACTGTCTAGTCTCCTTGAACTTTGAATCTTGGCTTTAGCTCCTGCTGATAACCTCATTCCTACAGGACTGGGCCACGGAACTGCTTTATACCAGTCTCTCGGTGGCCTGGAGCCCAGACCCTGAACCTAAGTCATATGGCCAGCCCAGACCCTAACTTCAAGGCTTCCTTATGCCAGTCAGGTACCTGCCTTTCTGCCTATTGCCTGGAGCTGAGCCCCCTGCGTTCTTCAATTTCATAGAGTTGACTAAGGATTAAATGAGTTAATGTATGAAACTCCTTGGCAAATACTAAGCATTATCTTTACTGGTTAATTTCTTTTGACAGTTTTTGACAGCTTCCTTAACTCTTAGTGACTCAGTTTTCTCATCTGTAAACTGGGAATAATAATAGTACCTGCCTCCTGGGATAGGTGTAAGGGTTGGATGAGTTAAGAATCTGTAGTGAGATGAGTAATGTCCCCTCCAAAAAAAGATATACCCACCTCCTAATCTCCAGAACCTGTGAATATTAACTTATATGGCAAAAGTTGTGATGAAGTTAAAGATCTTGAGAGAAGGCACTTATCTGGATTTTCTGGGTGAGCCCTAAAGGCAATCCCATGTATCCTTATAAAACAGATACCCATCACACCTGTAATCCCAGCACTTTGGGAGGCTTGGGCAGGTGGGTCATGAGGTCAGGAGATCGAGACCATCCTGGCCAACATGGTGAAACCCCGTCTCTACTAAAAATACAAAAATTAGCTGGGCGTGGTGGTGTGCACCTGTAGTCCCAGCTACTCAGGAGGCTGAGGCAGGATAATTGCCTGAACCTGGGAGGCAGAGGTTGCAGTGAGCCGAGATCACGCCACTGCACTCCAGCCTGGCAATACAGCAAGACTCCATCAAAAAAAAAAAAAGAAAGGAAAAGAAAAGAAAGAAAGAAAAGAAAAGAAGAAAGAAAAGAAGAGAAAAGAAAGGAAAGGAAAGAAAAGAAAAGAAAAGAAAAAAGCAGACACCCAGGGAAGAAGACATATGAAGAGGAGAAGGTAATTTGATCAAGAAGGCAGAGACTGGAGTGATGTAACCACCAGCAAGGAACGTCTGGAGCCACCAATGGCTGGGGCAAGTAAGGAAACGATTCTCCCGCAGAGCCTTCCAAGGGAGTGCAGCTCTGCCAACCTCTTACTTTCAGATTTCTGGCCTCCAGAACTGTAAGAAATTAAACTTCTGTTGTCTTAAGCCACCTAGTCTGTGGTAATTTATTACAGCAGCCACAAGATACTAATACACATGTATAACACCCTGGCACAGAAGAAGGATTCATTTTGTTGGTTTATTCTAAAAGTAAGTATGTCTGTTCTAATGATGTTATTAATAGTAATACTTCAGGAGCATTTTTCTCATCCAAGAAAATAGGCACCCTTATGCATGCATGGAAGGAGTATTTGAAGAGGGAAGGCCAGATGGGATACACAGGGAAGCAAGAGAGGGCTCTGGGACACGGCTTCAGGTTTGGAATTTAAATTGATACCATTATAATTGTACCAATAACAGGAATATACAAATGTAGTCTGGTAAAAGTCAGGATCTTTAGTAGTCCAAACTGGATTGTGGCTTGCCAAGGCATTAGTCATTAAACTTTCCTCCTTCAATCCACAGTTTCTTTGAGGGGGATGTACACAAGTCGTTTTGCCCCTTTTATGGCATTGCATTTTCCAAGTCTCTGCTGAGTTTTCACCTGATTGTATTTTTTTTAACTCAAGAAAAACATACCTGCACCACTGAGAGGAGGTATTCAGGAGGCAATGTTTCTGAGGATTCTGAGTTTTGGAGCGTCTATTGCCAAGCCTATGGCAGGAATGTTGCCCAGATGCTGGTGTGCCTCTCAGAGGGTTGAGAAGAGGCCAGACCCTGGGAAATCCAACTGTGAAATACTGAGAACAAGAATGTGGGCAGACCATTCTGATGGTAAGAAAGAGACAGCCCGTAGGACCCCTGAAAAGCCACCCTAATTTTGTCCTCCCCCACCATTATGATTTCAGAAACACTGGTGCATAGAAAGGCCAAGAGAGTGAGGCATTTTTAATTCAGTTACTTATACTCCTGAGTCATTCAGATCCTCAAAGCGGCCTCAACCCTAGGATGCCACAATACACACATCTCTTGGGATGTTTCTAAGGTTTAATCTTTTCAAAACCCTGGTGATTCTGTCTTCTTGCTCTGTGCCGTCCAACATGGTAGCCACTAGCCATATGTGGCTATTTAAATACAAGCTAATTGAAATTAAATCAAAATTCAAATTCAGTTCTTTAGTCACACTGGCCATGTTTCAAGTGTCCACTAGCCACATGTGGGTAGAGGCTACCATATTGGACAGTACAGATAGGGCATTTATATTGTTTCAGAAAGTAAAGCAATTGACAGTGATGTTCTAGTTATCTAAGGTGTAAGTTGAAAATATCAGAATTATGGATAGATCAGACAGGAAACTTATTTCTATGACTAACCACTTACTCTCACTACCTTCAACTAATGAGCACTACAGGCATCTACAGTGATCCTATCTAAAAATACATACATATAGCTGGGTGCAGTGGTGTGCACCTATAGTCCCAGGGAGTCAGAAGGCTAAGGCAGGAGGATGGCTTGAGCCCAGGGAGTCAGAAGGCTAAGGCAGGAGGATGGCTTGAGCCCAGGGGTTTGAGTCTGCAGTGAGCTATGATCATGCTTGTGAATAGCCAGTGCACTCCAGCCTGGGCAACATTACAAGAACCTGTCTTTAAACAAAACCAAAACCAAACACAGACATATATACATATAGAATAAAGAGAACACCATGCTTGTGGAAATTCTATACATTTTTAAAAATTAATCATCATGTCATTTTTAGTCTCTCTTTTGGAGTATGTTATTTATTGTAAGACATCATTTTTATTAAATACACTGTAGTACAAGAGACTTTCCATGTCAGGTTGAGAGAAGCTGGTCACATGATTTACAAACAAAACTTTTTTTTTTTTAAACACTGTATTCAGGTGTCACTTTGAAATCAGCCAAGATGCAGTGGGTCTTAGTAAAGCAATGGACCTCAAAACAGATTGCAAAACAAGAACTGGTAAGTATTAGCACAGAGACATCACATTAAAAGGAAGATAAGCCAAATGAAAAGGAGAGTTCCAAATACCAGGTCACGATTGAAGGGGAAATATATCTGTAGAGAGATATGGAAATGTGTGTGTATACGGCCTGGATATATACAAACATCTCTCCAGATACAGAAGCAAATGCAGAATGTCCACATCTCCAGGCAGATTTGTAAGTCATAGGTAATGATCAAAGAACGCAGGGAGCAATAGTTCACCATAATTTGGTCATTTGTCAAGGGATTACATATTTAAAATCCACATTTAATTCAAAGACCTTGTATTTAAAACATTTCCAGCTGCTTTATACATTTTTTAAGCAATAGTAAGATATACAAGCTGCAAGATATAGGCCTTTACATTTCATTTTCTGTAATATTTTTCCTGTTCAAACACATGGCTACTAGCAGCTTTTATGATGCTTGCTCCAGTACATTGAACGTTCAGCTAACCTCCACTCAGGATCATTTTCATTAATGCATAGACTAAAGAAATAAATAAACATGGACCTGGCCTCAAACGCATAGACTAAAAAATGACATCCCCATCTTTTCTCATTTCGTCTCCTGAGATGTATGTTAAGATGGCAAAATAGTTGCTTGGTGGTGGTTGTTGTGAAATTCACAGTGTTTTGCCTACAACACATATACAGATATATATATATATATTTTTTTTTTTGCTTTGCTTTGTGTTTGTGCTGAATGGAGCAAAAGTATATAAATAAATAAATAAATACATAATTAAATAAATAAAGGTCAAAGGAAAAGGAGGGGAAATGCAAAAACTAAGGATATTCAAGAACCTTTGACTTGAGCAGCAGTGATTCATTCCAGCCCTGACAACAAGAAAATACCCCTTCCTGCACTGTCGTTTCTAACTATAAATCCCTCCCACCCCTCATTCTTTAGAATGACATTTGAAATTCATGTACAAGCTATCACAACCTCAGAGGCTCCACATTCCAATTATGCATCATAAAAAATCAGCTGTAACTACTAACTTAGACATTTGGAGAGTTGGGTCACTAGCCATTCCTCTCATGAGATTTCCTATAACAGTGATATATGGCCAAACCAAAGGTCAACATTGAAAATAAAAGTCCTGAGACAGGGGATGAAAAAGAAAATGGGGAAGCAAGAGAATTGAGGGTATGTGTGTATATGCAGTCATTTATTTAGTTAGATACAACAATGTTATTGGTATTACAGGCAGTCCAATTTGTGAAAAGAAAGATTCAAAGAAAGTCCATACTTGACCAGGTAATCCTGCTGTTAGGACGCTTTGAAAAGGACAGCATTCTATACTGTTAGTTGGTGCATTCACTCTAGGATGTGGGAATTCCTAAGAGTTGCTCATCTCGCTGTGGGGTCTTGGACTGCTCATCATTGGCCTTCAAGCCACTGGGCTGCCAACATTCCAATTTATATTTGGAATGCTTGAACTCTGAACTCAAGTGTAAAGGGGTCACAGTGAGACAGAGACAAGGTGAGCATAATACAAATGTGCTGAAAGACAAAAAGAAAGCAATGTTCCTTTCCTGGACCATTACAAAAAGTATCTTTCTTTGCAAGGAGCCAGAGAAAGCACTCAATGTAGTGGGATGGCTTTTATTCAGTTGTTTTGGGAAGCACATTATCTTAAATATGTCTTCCACCCATGCAGTACTGCACAGAGTTGAAAAGTGTGATGTAGTCCTACCCACGTGGAGTATGGAAGCACTAACAGCAACATGACGTTAAACAGTTTTGGTTATTTAGCATATTTTAAGCAAATTATTCATACCGCATCCTACTTATAATTACCTCTATTATTGTGTGCCTATAAATTTATACATAAACACACAAACACACTACGTATGTGCATTTGTATATGTATAAATCAAGTATTTATAACACATACATAAATACATGAAAACATCACAGGTAGCGCTGATGTGAACACATGTATAATATGAATTCTGATATAATCTTTTATAGCATAGTTCAAAGTGTTTTCTAAATAAGCCTGATTATGACATTGGTTCAGTGTACAAGAATTTAGCTGAATTTAGCTGAAGCTAAGAGCATGATTATATATCACAATATCTCAGTTGCTTGTCATCTCCTGTATTTCCTTTTGTTCTTCTAACTTCATATACTGCTTCATGAATGTGTTAGCATGCTTTCTTTCCTGAACTGCTTGTTTGCATATTAGAGTCTCTAGTGGACAGAACCACGAAGTTCAGAGTGAGAGTACTTGGATTCAGTCCCAATGGTGCTGGAAGCTAGGCTGGAGACCTCTAGCGTGCCTCTGAATGTCTCTGAGTCTCAACGTCCTCATCTACACAAAATAGGAATAATTTGCTAACACACATGGAAAGTGTTTGGAAAACTATTCAATGACTTCTAAATGGAAATGATTGTCAGACCAGGTTTGGGCTAGAGAATTAGGTTTGTCACTGTTATACTGTTGTAGTTTTCACAAATTTGATGGAAGGCCGTATTTGGTGATCATTACATTTTAGAACGAGGATGCCACTCTTCTAAAAATCAGACCATGAGAAAGGGGGTGGTGGAGGAACAACAATGAATAATTTCAGATATTCTGTGGCTCGTTCAGCTACTTTAAAAGCAATCTGATATTCTTTCAATTTGAGATGTCTCTGAAATCAGCACATACTCTTAAGACAACAGAGATAGTAATAGTAATAATCAGCAATAAAAATAACTATAAAACTTTGCACTTGCATAGAACCTTTTATTTCAAGACCTTTAGGGACTTGTCAGAAGGTATAAGTGGAATTTTATTTTATTTTTTGCTTTTTTCTTTCAGAGAAAAAAAAGACAAAACTGGAATGGGATGCTCCCAAAGTCTCATTTGCCTTAAACAAATCTTTGCTCTAAAATTGCACATTCCTCCTTGAATTTGATCCCTTAAATTATTACCTACTTTATTCTCTTAAAATAAAATAAATAACTTGTAGCTTTTCCCCCGAGATTAGCTGGCCAGACATGCAGCGTGACAAACCTGTGTTGGTTTTTGCTGATGGAATCTAGAAAAGTTTTTGTACAAATCTGCCCCTTCCTTACTGCGTCACAGAGTTCTACAGTGTTTTAAGAGTACCATGGGTCCTTAATATGATACATACATGCACATGTATGTATATATATGTGCACATATATATCATGGAGATATGGCTTTCATTATGTTATTATGTGTATTCTAGAGGGTTTTTTTAAAATCATCAACAAAGAGAACAAACGACCCAACTCTCATCTCTCATAGGCCAGCATATAACTTGAATGGACGTAAGGTTTATCTTGTCAACTCCCTCGCTTGACTGCAGTTGCTACTGGATTTCCTTTTGTTCTGTTAATTTGCACTTTTGAATTTTTGAGAATTGGCTTTCAAAGCCTTTAATGAAAAATAAGGTGTTCCAGTAATTAACAGGCGCAAGCAAAACCTAAAACAGAGCTATCGCACCTTCAGAAACAAATATGAAATAACATGACCTAAGATGAATGAAAATCACTCCCTTTCAATCTGGCTCATGTTATAAAGATGTCAAGTTTAGCAAAATTCCCCTCACAGAGGGTAGCAAGTTTTCTTGAGGAACAGAAATATTTTTCTTTCTTGGTATATCTGACCATTCAAATAGCTGTAAATTTCTATTTAAATTTGAGCCCTCTTTTTGCAAAACCAATGACTATGCCTAGAAGCACACTTCCAGTGCTTGGTCTGGGCACAGCCTCCCGTTGGCATGCTGTGCCAAATTTTGTATTTTGACTTTTTGAATGGAGTGAAGGAAACAAAAACAGCATACTGACAATGGAGTACACTTGGAATGAAACCACTCTCCCAACTAGAGCCCAGAGCAAGGGACTTGACCTGTGTACACTGAACATGAGTGCATGTGATGCCCTCAGGGTGAGGTTTCCTTTCCCTTAGGGATTGATTCTGCCCTTCCCACAGTCCTGTGGGTTCGACGTGGATGAGGATTTCCAGGCTTCAGGGTCCATATTCATTAAAACCCATCACCACCGTACAACGCAGAGACATTGATACTCAGCTAATAAACTCCATTAGCTTCCCCTAATTGTATAAGTCATACCTTTTTATGGATCTGCTCTACCTATCAGGGAAACGACGTCTGGAGCAGTAGTGTCTGCACACAAGGTATTAATCGACGAAGACCATGCACAATTTTGCTTGCACAGTTAAAAGGACGGGTGGGCATGGAAGTTAGGGGTCGGAGGGAAGTGAGATCTGAAAAGTTCATTGTAAAAGAAACTTGCCTCCGAATTTATAGCTTGTCTTATCTTTTCCAAGTTCTTGGCTTTCCCACCTGACCCCGAAATGAGCTCTGGACATGAATCCACCTCTTTTCAACTGAAGTTGACAAAGGTTCTGTGGATAGCGCTTGAGAAACAAACCAGTGCTATCATCACAACCTACGAAGACAAAACTGTGTCCGAGCACACTATGCGCCATCTTGTGTCTCACGGAAGCCATCTTTGCTCTCTACTGCACGCTATCATTTCTGGTGATGGGAAAAGAATCATCCATGGCACAGAGGCCAGTAGTCTTTTTACTCCTCAGAAAGGTCCTCAGGGGAAGGTGCCGAATACATTCTTCCCAGCTAACAGTTGCTGAGTATTTCCTAAGTAGGGACTGACACCAGCTGATCCCAGTGGTTGTCTTTGTTCCTCCCATATTGCGGTTCATAATAAATCTTCTTTCTCTCTGGTTTTAATCTCCCATAGATAAAGGCTTCACAGATTGAACACAAGTTTTCTTTTTTATACACAGGCTTAAGCCATCCAAAAACAATAAGAACAGTAATAATAATAAATAAATAGAAGTGAATCCATAGAAACTCTCGATATCTGTACAGCAGAAGTGACAAAGTTTAAGTGAAATATTTGTTTTCCCTTTTTTTCATCCACATCAAAGGCAGGAATACAACAAGGCATTGTTAGTTGTGGTGGGCAAACTGGAGTGTCTGCTGATATAACAAATTACGTTTGTTAAGGCCTTTGTCTATGCAGAGTTAATAGTAATGCAGAAGCCAGATTGATTCAAAAGAAAGGGTAAGAATCGTGAAGCAGGGAAGACGAAAAAAAAAAGAAAAAGAAAATTTAAAAAAAGAAAAAGGAACAACCAAGGGAGATGGAAAGAGAGAAAGAGATAATGCCAAAAAGAAGTCAATACTGTGTCTATGGATGAAGAAGTACACACTGCTTCCCTCGAGAGCTTCTCGGAGTCTTTGATGTTAATACTGTCAGAGTGAAGGAGAGCAGCTTGGTGGCCTCCAGCGGCAGTTAAAAGATGTTCATCCTCTCAGCCCGTCTGAGGAGTACGTTGGGAAGGATCGGTCTGGGGAAAAGGGCCCTAGCCTAGAATGTCCAGGTAGACCGGAGATGCCTTGGCCAAGTTCTGAAGGAGGGTATGGATGCCCTTGATGTTCTTCCTCATGTGGGGCTCTCGCTGCCAGCACCCCAGCATCAGCTCATACACCTCCTGGGGGCACGTGCGGGGTCGCTGCAGGACTCGGCCCTGAGTGATACACTCTATCACCTGGATGGAGATCAAAGATAGGATGAGACAGGAGGAAAAGCAATGCACATCGAAGAAATGTCAGTGCAAAAAAACAGCAGAAGAGAGGGCTTTTACAAAAGAAGCCCACTCTTGGTTTTGTTTTCTCAGAAGGAAGAGAGCAATTATTATAGGTTAGTTTATATCGTGTTTATTTTGATTGGCTTATATCCATTTGTCCAAGCCACTCTGATTTCACAAAACTGGTGGAAAAATAATTTATATGGAATGGTCCCAAACCTCACACTGGAGCTCCCACATGTTGTGGTTTTTATTGGTCTGAGATGGAACCTGAGTCACCTGGGTGTTAAGGCACTGACTGACAGGAAACCTCTCAGGCTATTGGATAAAGGAACTGGATTAAAAAGATAGAAATGGATCTGAAAAAGATGTACGGTGCCTGATCAAGATGCTGTGCCTCAAATATAAACAATATTTGCAAGCGTAAGAATAGAAAAAACAAAATGCTTGAGTTTTTCACTAGAAGTTAATGTTCTGGTGAAATATTCAAAAAGGAAAGAATCTTGAAACTTCATTGGAACAATACTAAAGAACTTGCTGGACTGTATGGATTCTGGAATGCTACGTCTGCTATTAATTTATCAGATGAGCTGCATAAAGTGACTCCTCAGTCCCATCACCAGAGGAGCAAGGACATAGCAGCGAGCACTGTGCTTTGCTTTCTCAGAGTGATTATACTTTGACCATGAAATTTAGAAACATAGCAGGCTACTTGGGAAGTGCTGCCACCAACAAAGCCCATAAGATCGTGTCCTGACATGGTCTTCCAACCCAAAACAAGGCCCCAGCCAATGGATGCCTCTGGGATCTCAGCCCTCTGGAGGGTCTTGGCCAGACCCATTGCACACCTCATTGTTTGACAGCTGGTACCAGGGCTGTTTGCCATAGGTGAAAATCTCCCACAACACGACCCCCAGGCTCCAGACGTCGCTTTCCGTCGTGAATTTCCTGTACATGATGCTCTCTGGAGGCATCCAGCGAATGGGCAGCATTGTGTGGCCACCGACCTGGGGAGAAAGGGATCAACAGGGAGGCATCAGTCACCCCGAAACCAGGTGTGGAAGGGAGCTGCTGGGGGACACTGTTTGCTTTCCTTATTTGCACTTTATAGTTTTAATTGTTTATAAACACATAAAGGATATATGACTTCTTCACAGTCTCAAGCAACAGAGACAGAAGGCAAAGAGTGATCAAAATCATTTAAAAAAATATTATCTGCAATTCTTTCTCTCAAAACCAGATAGGAGCAGGGATGATGATTAGGTAGATGATCACCTTGGATAAATAAAACTACACACACATACACACACTTTCTGCTAAGAGGATGACTCAATCTTCTAATTAACAAGATCACTTTGACCAGGAGAACAAAGAGGTACTCTGCATCCAAAATGACCAACCAGTGACTCTACTTCCTTGGCAAGGCCAGAGTCTCCTTCTGCTTTCAGGTCTTATGTGTGCATGATGCTGATTCAAACCCCTCCACCATCACTCAGCGATGGGCAGGTCAGGCATCATTATTCTCATTCTACAAATAAGGCAATAAGATTCAGATTGCTTACAGAAACAAAACTCAGGTCTTTGGATTCTAAGCTCAGGACTTTCCTCTATTACAGGGCACTGCTCCTTAGATTATTTACCACAATAGATAAATACATTTTTTAAATGCCCATTTTAATGAAAACACTGAGACTGGGGCATCAGATAGCAATCGCATTAGTACAGGCAAAGAAAACTTTCTTTGACAAAGTAAAATTGTATATGACTTCCTACTTCATGGAGGAAAGTTAGGAAGCTCATTTCCAGGTTTGTCAGGGATGCCCGATTTCAAACCCATGAACAGATTTCTGCACAGTAGTCCTGTGGCGGTAGGTTCTGCTTTTCATCCTGGTAACCCCCCAGCACCACCATGCTACACAGTATGCCTGACAGCTGAGAGCAGGTGGGCTTATCCTACAGCAGAAAATTGGACCTCTCTAACAACTCTGGGTCCTGAGTTTATAGAGTAATGGTGCATAGAGTTTCTGCCCAATTCTAATCTCAATATCCAGTTAGTATTTATTAAAGGAAGAAAATAAACTAATAGTGTCTGGAAAATGTTCCCCTACCCCAGAACCCAAGAGGCTGAAATGTCAGAGATGTCTAACATGCTTGGTGATTCCCAGTGATGTTCTTAGCACCAAAGAAAGCACAAGAGTACAAAAGGGGGAGGATATTTTATTTCATTCTTCTCTGTATGATGCATCCAAATTTGACAAATAGGGACAAAAACTTCTGGCTCAGGTGACCCATCTCTACTATTCAGTTTTTAATAAACAAAAAGCTCATAAAGGCTAAGTTGGCTTCCATTGGCCTTAGATTTCCTCACTCTTCCTTCAGCAGTGACAGGTCATCAGTGTTCAATGGACAGAGACTTCTCTTATGGTCTTACTTGATGTCTGAAGGTGGTGGCAACAGTCACCCTCAGGGTCGATACTCAAACTGCAATCAGTGTGGCACAGACACTGACCAACCAGAAAGGATGTGGGTAGTAAATATGGGTGCAGCTATTTCAGCACATTTCTGGTTTGGCAAATATCTGCCCTGTTTATAACTCTGTGACCCCCAGGTGCCCAGGACTTTGGGAGAGGGAATCTGCTGACATACACAGAGGACCTGTTGTTTCCAGATGCTTTGGAGGACTTGCGGTATGAGGGTAGAATGATCTCACCAGGTCTGGGCAGCCCACATGGCAATGCCAAGGAGAGGACTGCTTTGGGCCATGCAGGGATGCTGCTGCCACCTTGCAGAGGTGGGCAAATGACCCTTCTGTTTATGTGCCAGAAAAGGCTGGGCACTTTGGCACACACATTTTCAAAGATTGTTAACCCCTAGAATAAAGCATCTCTAGTCTCCTTGCCATTCTCTGAAGCCATAATTGGAATGTACCATATGGTTTAGAAAACATCTATACACGTCTGGTGTCATTTAATTGTGTGAGCAAACCATAAAGAACTCAGGACTCTTGGTGGCACCTCTAGCCTACAGATGATGAAATTGCTCCTGGCAATTATGTGACCTTGCCTGGGTGGTGCAGATAGGACAGAGGTCTACACATTTTAACAGACCATTTTCATCCACACAGCAAGCATTTTATGGGAACCTCTTAAGATACAAACATGGCATTGTTTTGCTTACCTAACATGCAAAAAAAAATGGGTAAGATGAAATCAAAGGGAAAAATAATCCCTTCTGCTATACATCTTATTTTTAACCTTACCTCTCTCATTTTAACCTTCTTCCTACCCTATAAAGAAGAGCTCATTTCATCATTGTTCATGTCAGCATAGTGCTATGGTGCAACCAGCTCCACTGTGCATTTTGGTGTTGCTGTTCTTTCTCGTTAGATAAAATAGAACCCCAGTGGTCAAAGTGGGCTTAGAGAAGTAGGAATCTTAAAATAAAGACTGGGACCTGGTCTTCTTGTTATGCTGTCTGAGTTGTGTTATTTTAACAACCCCAGAAGTTCCTAGATCAAATATGTCAAATGTACTGTAAATTGCAACCCTCTTCAATTCAAGGAGATCCATCAGGGACTGAGGCTTATTAAAGTATGTGAGGAGTTTGGCAGGAAAGAACAAACTTAACTTTGGTAAATTAAACTATTTGAATGTATGTTTGTGGGAGAGATAACCATTTATATATGTCTCAGGTAAGACAGCTAAAAATACACTTTGAGGTGTGTTAATCTAGCAAGATCTCAGGATTTCCATATCTACCTGGATATTCACAGCTGCAATGCAGTGGATGACAATAGCTGGTTTCCAATCGCTCACTTACCTGTTTCCTACTGGGGTAACCTGGACTAGTTGCCAAATCTCTCTGTGGCCAAGGTTTAATAATTATATGTAAGTAATAATGTATACCTCCTAATGTTGTTGGGAGGTATTTACTCAAGCAGGCATTTGTGAAAGTGTTTTCTAAGTCTTAAAGTATTAATGCTTTTGAGGTGTGGCTTTCTTCTCTGGAACCTTCACTCTCTTACTTACTCCAGAA
Source organism: Homo sapiens (assembly GCF_000001405.40). Classification (NCBI taxonomy): domain Eukaryota; kingdom Metazoa; phylum Chordata; class Mammalia; order Primates; family Hominidae; genus Homo; species Homo sapiens. The sequence goes on along the minus strand of NC_000009.12, from coordinate 85,017,177 downwards.
GCAGCCATTCTGGAGACATTAAGAAGAATCATCATATGTCACTCTCCTGAACTCTTCATTTGGCCTTAACCAAGTGGCTCCTTTGATAGCAGCACCCACTTTTTTTGGTCATTAGCAATGCAAGATAGAAAACCTGATACTGGTTCTCTATCCTGAATTGCTAATAGCCAAGAAAAAGCTTCTGTTTCCTTTAAAGAAGAGAGAGAGAACAAAAGATTCACGTTTTGATTTACATGTTTTCTCATCTGATCATTTATTTTCTGCTTGCTGTCTCTTTGGGGCAGATTTTTCACTCTAATTCTTTCAAGAATCCCTTCTGGGATTTCACGCATGCTGTTATAAATAATGCTTTCCTTGTTCAGATGTCAAATGGGTGAGTGGTGGGACAATCTAATAAAAGTTCAGACAGGGTTCACAAGTTTTCTAAGCCCATTTAGTACATTTCTGAACATTTCTTTTGCAACCCTTTCTCAGAATTTTGAAGCATGTCACAAAAGTAGACCCTCCCCCCAAAAAAGTCACTGTTGTTACAAATTACTGTCACATTCTAGTTATAGTCACTTGATGGTTTTTGGACCACACAAACAACACACTGTGCAGCAACAAACACAATGAGACATTTGTTTTGTATCGTACTACTTGGCAACTTGCCCTCATGCCCTTGCTTAAATATTTGTGAGATGGAATGTGATCCCAGGAATGACACTGAGAGTCAGAATTCCTGCTCTCAGCCTGATATGCTGTGGGGCCTCAGGGGCTCTCCAGTAATTAAGTTGAATGGGGTCTCATGGTCTTCACTAAACTCACCAGGTTGACCTGGTGCAAGATGAGAAACCCAGTTATCTGGAGAGTTGACTTGGACTTGCAATTTTTATTTTCCTCAACCCAAGAGACTGGAGTTCTAGTTCTTGTGCTGCTGCTATTAACCAGCTTGAGCAGGTACCCTCAGGTCTGGCTTCTGTCTTTATTGGTAAAATGTGAAGAGTTAGGGCAGCCCTTGGTTACTTCCAGCACAAAAACGCCGTGGTTCCGGAATCACCCACCACCTCAGTGCCACCGTAATCATCCATCAACACTCAGTCTTCAACATTTACGAAGAATTTCTATTCAATTATCTCACTTGAACCCAACAGTTATGCTCTACAGCAGACATGGACTTGCCTGGATAGTGCAAGTAATGCCCCTAAAAGTCAGTCAGTTTAAGTAGTTTACCTAAAGCCACATACCAAACCTTTCCCCATTGGACATCCTGTATTCATTAGGATGGACCACTCTGCTTTTCTGCTTTCTCCAGTCTCCACACACACTCTGTGTTCAGCCAGCAAGCTTAGGTGGCTTCCTACCCAGGGCCAAGTTACTCATGCCTCTTAGAAAGTTTGATCTTCTTCCCTTTCTCCCTACTTCCCAAAGGTCTCCTTTATGAAGGCAAGCTCAAGTCCCACCACTTCAAGAAAAAACTCTCCCTTCCTGCTGCAGCTCAGGGATGGTTCTAGTGCTCTTCGTGTAGCTCTGGGAACACAGAAGGAACTCCTTTCTTTGCCTAACGTATCACATGCCTCAAGAGGGATGGACACGGAATCAGTTCTTTCTGGTGGGGGATGAGGCAGGGGTTGGTAAGCATACCATGTCTTTAATGGGTTCCCCATGAATGCTGCTCTTTGGGGGAGGAATTCTCAATGTGTTCCTTGAAACAGATCAGTCTTCACTACCTTCCTGTCCATTCTCCAGTCATTTCTGTAAACTCTCGATAGAACCAAGCCTTAGATGAGACAGATGGAAACAGTCTCATCTGTTTGATGCTACAAATAAGAAATTCATAACTTCTCAAAATGCAGCCAAATCTACTGTGGTTCACAAGGAGTATAAAGTCTCTCTAAGTTGTATAAGAAACCCCATGTCTCGGTTTGCCACCTGTACAGTAGACAGGGGGAGTGTCCATGTTGCAGACTTGGAACTATTATGTCTGGGAATTAAGTCTAGGAAGACTTCATTATGTATAACATAAGGGAGTATTTTTCTAAAGATAGTTACTAGTATCACATCTCTTCTGAGGCTGGAGAAAATTAAGAGAGACTAAAGAGGGAAGTTAAACTATGAAAACATAATTTTAAAAACCAGATGACCATCAGGGCTAATCACTGCAACTTGGTTAAACCAGCAAAGCTAATCAGAACAATGTCTGAGGCACAAGGCCAAAAAGAAATTCCATAGTGCCTAAAATAAATCAAGCTGAAAAAAAATGGATCCGGTTTTTAAAATATATCAAGAAAAGAACTGTTCTTTTAGCCCTTAATATTTATTTCTATGACACCTCGTAATTTTGATAGTGATATGTAGAGAAAAATAACAACTGCGTTCTAGTTAAAATACCCAGGCCTGAACATTCTTTAAATCTACCTGTTTGAAAGGTATTTCTAGACAATAAATCCTGAAGAAAATACTAAAAGGCCCTTGGTGTAAATATCTTGCATTAGAAATCAATGATTTTATATTTAAATCAGAATGGACACATCTAATTGGTTTGACTACAAAGTTTATTTCTTACTCAATAAATTCAAAGTACACACTCTGGTCATTAGGTTGTAAATTGTGAAAAATTTCAGTTGTTTGTGGCTAACGAACAATTTATTTTTTGAAATTGGAAGACTGGAATTTAGGGAAATGAAGGAATTTGCTGAGCAAGTGTAAATATGAATTGGCGACCAAATGGTATTGAAGACAGCTCTCTATTCCACCACTCTTCATGCTGACAGGCTAGGTTCTTCCCCATGAGTTGTTGTTGTTTGCTATCCTTGGCACACGTTAACGAGGAATGCACCACTCGTTTTCCAGGTATACGTGGAGACGAGAGAGGAGGTGACAGGTTAGCTCTCCCCACTATGTTGGGCTTCTTAGAAAATGCATTTATCATCCTCCTTGTGTCCCCATCTTCTTCCCTTCTCTTCTACTGTATCCATTCGTCTCCATACTGCCCCTCCCTGTCCATTCCTACTTCCCTATGAATCTCCTCTCAAATCTCACTTGTCCAGACCCAAATGTTGCATTTAGTCTTTTCTCATTTGTCTCTTACTTCCCCAAAGGATCATACCCCACCAAAACTCACTCTCCCTCTGTCATCTCCCTTCTGTGCTTCTGAGAGGCACATTGGTAGACAGGAGCCTTTCCACAGACCCAAAGCAAATGCCTCTCTGGCTTTGAAGCTGCTAGTGATTTAGAGGTGAGTAATGCCAATCTGGGACCTTCTAAACTCACCTAGCAAAGACCAATGATGCCTGGGAGGCCACTTTCAGCTTGTGGTATTTACTCAGTGAGTGAGTGATAACTTATTTGGAAGCCAAACATCCTAGTCCCTTAGAAACTTGTAGGCCAAAGGGCAAGCCCCATTAAGAGATGATTAGCTGTCAGAGGCTTTTGGTTGCATTAAATATTGAAGGGGCTCCTAGACCTCCTCATCACACCCTACGCTCCATTGCTTTGTCTCAGCAGTTTTTCCTGATGTGTTCCTTAAAAATTCATGAACCTTTAAACTTTAAGGAATAGCTAGACCTTATTTATTTATTTATTACATGTTATATCTGTAAAAGGAGGTTAAAAACAGGGTCTGTAATCCCAGCACTTTGGGAGGCCAGGGTGGGCAGATGACGAGGTCAGGAGTTAGACCAGCCTGACCAACATGGTGAAACCCCGTCTCTACTAAAAATACAAAAATTAGCCATGGGTGGTGTCACGCACCTGTAATCCCAGCTACTCAGGAGGCTGAGGCAGGAGAACCGTTTGAACCCGGGAGGCAGAGGTTGCAGTGAGCCAACATCACGCCACTGCATTCCAGCCTGGGTGACAGAGTGAGACTCCATCTCAGAAAAAAAGAAACAATGTCCACAAAAATCTTCCCCTTGGAGAAGAACCTGGAGCCATTGTGGCCAGACAATGACCACGTCCAGGAAAATGAGAATTCTCCTACTACAAAGAGTGATAAGGGGCTTCTAGGCACGTAGCTATTCAATCAGGGGATACTTTGTGGGTAGAAACAGGCTTTTCTGCCTCATCTCTCACTCCGGAATGAACACAGCTCAGGGCAGGTAAGGAGGAGTGCTGGAACCAGCTTCATCTCCCTCTTTTGAGCCCTGGAAATGGATTATTGCCACTCCTGGAACTGCTGTTATTTGCAGCCTAGAACATCTTTCAATCTGGTCACAAACATAAGGTAATGACTTAGTAACTTCAAGGCCAAGTATTTTTGGATTAGTCAAAGAGAAGATGTGCTGGACCTTAATGCTAACAATATTTTGTCAAATACTTTTTACATCATTCAATAACTACTCTCCCAAAATAAGGCAAATTATCATCTGTTTTGAAGGGACGGGTCACAGAGCTATTATGACTATCTCCTGACACCTGGATTCTAGATAAGGCAAATTCAACACAAAATTTCCATTCAAATTTGATTGTATTTTTTCTACTGTGAAATAATAATAATAATAATGATAGAAATGATTATAATAATTATACCTCAGGTTTGCCTACACTTTTTGCTTTTACATAACATTTCCACAGCTCTTCACTCTAATAATTGTGCCAACTTCAAAATATTGTTGCAAAGAGTAGATATTAGAAAAATGTCTTTCTTTGGAAGAAGCCAGACTCAAAACCCTTAGGTGATTCCTTTTACATGATATTTTAAAAAGAAAACTATAGAACTGAGAGGAGGGGAGGACTTGCTTTAGTCAGGCACACAGGAAGCCTAAAGGTGATGGAAATGTTCTATGTCGTGGTTGTGGTGGAAGTTAAGTGACCGTGTTTGCTAAGACTCACAGAACTGTGTACTGAAAAGGGTGAATTATACTATGGGCATATTATACTTCAATGAGCCTTCCTTAAAAATAAATAAACAAGCTGGGCACAGTGGCTCACATCTGTAATTCCAGCACTATGGGAGGCAAAGGCAGGAGGGTCATAAGGTCAAGAGATCGAGACCATCCTGGCCAACATGGTGAAACCCCGTCTCTACTAAAAATACAAAAATTAGCTGGGCGCAGTGGCACACACCTGTAGTCCCAGCTACTCGGGAGGCTGAGGCAGGAGAATCGCTTGAACCTGGGAGGCGGAGGTTGCAGTGAGCCGAGATCGCGCCCCTGCACTCCAGCCTGGGTGACAGAGTGAGACTCCATCTCAAAAGTAAAATAAAATAAAATAAAATAAAATAAAATAAAATAAAATAATGCTCTACATATTTGATTCTCCACTAGTCCTGTGGGGTAGGTCAGGCATGTTCTTTTATCCCAACTTAAAAAGATGAGGGATCTCAAGGGACCGACCCAAGCGCACACAGCTAGGAGGTAGAGAGTATAGGTCAGGACCATCTCTCCAAAGGCTTAGCACTCTGCATTTTAGCTTCAGTCTGATATGGACTCAGCTGCAGGGATGGAAAGGGCTCTCTATCTTAGTCAGCTTGGGCTGCCACAGGAAAGTTCCACAGACCAACAGAAATTTATTTTCTTACAGTTTTAGAGGCTAGAAGTTGAAGGTCAAGGTTCCAGCCAATTTGTTTTCTGGAGAGGGTTCTCTTCCTGACTAGTAGGTGGTTGCTTTCTTGCTTTGCCCTCACATGGAGGGAAGTCACAGCGAGCGAGAGCGAGAGAGAGCTCTCAGATGCCTCTTCCCATGAGAACACTAATCTTATCGGATCCGGGACCCACTCTTATGACCTCATTCAACCTTAATATTTCCTCAGAGTCTCCATCTCCAAATAGAGTCATACTAAGGGCTAGGGCTTTGATGTATATATTTTGAGGGGCACAAATATTCAGTTTATAACACTCTCCTCGCTCATCCCTCCCTTCTGATTCTGGCACAGTTCAGGGGAGCAAGAACAGCTCTGAATACTAGGAGGTGGGCAATTCTGGTCCAGAATCCAAATCTGTGGCCCTTTATCAGATCTTCATATTCCCAAGTGAAGACCCAACCCTACCGCTCCCTTCCCTTCCTGGGTAACTCTTGGTGGCTTCCCTATTATTATCTCATTCTAGAGCTTAGCAAACCTGCTGTTGTTCTACAGCAGCCCTGGTCCATTTCCAATGCAAACCTTAGAGCAATCTCTTCCCTCACTCTCCTACACACCCCTTTGCAGGTTCCCTGGGAGTTGGCTAAGGGAGAATGAGGAGACCCTGACACTCCCTAATAAGGTGTATACAGGGGCAGAATGGCTTCCTGGACTCCATGTTGCTTCAGGTTACCTCCCACATGGGTTTCATTTTCCCCATGACATAGGGAAGGCACCCTGCTTGTATACTGTACACAATTTAAACAGCCAAAGACCCCTAGTTTTAGAAGCGATTATAATTTCATCTTATTTTACATTTGGCTCTAATGGGGAGCAAGTAAATCTTCTCTCAGTACAGCATTAAGCTTTAATCACACAGAAGTTTTAGAATTACATTTGGATCTAGAAACAATGATTCTTCATTGTAAGAATAAAGTAAAATTAGATAGTAACAACATGTTCTTCCCCTCCTGCTGACAGCCCCGCTCCCCAGTAACTCTTAATCTTTATAGGGAATTTCCCAAGTGGATCAATGGAAGAATGAAACCCTCAGAAAGTACTAATACACCACGCTGCCTGGTGTGAGGTTATTGTGTTTACACATCACTCAGCAATGGGAAGTTGTGCATTCCAAAGCTATACATTTCTTTAAGCTGCCTTTTTAAAATGTTCAATGTTACCGAGCTTTTCATGGCCTCCTGAGCATTATGTGTTGAACCCAAGAGACCATCTAACATTTAGCATTTGAGACAAAGGCATTGCACCCTTTGATGGTGAAAATCACGGAGACTACCAAGGTGCTGAGAAAAAGCAACCAGGAAAATAGGATCAATATGTGTGTCATTGTCTGTGTTATGATGATGGCATTATGCTGGTTTAGGACCAAAACTCCAATGTAAGACTCTTCCTATGTAAGTTACTCAGACAGGCTAATATTCCAGGTAGCTTTTAGAAAGGGACAAATGCAGCAATTTGTAAACAGAGCCAGAAAAGCAAAGGCTTCTCTGCATTCCAAATAGTACTCTCCATATCATCTGTGATTGTGGTGATGACTGCTGTCCTGCGTGCATCCTGTCCAGCAAGTAGAGAGAGTAGCTGTCCCACCATCAATCCCAGCTTCTTCATTAATACTGAAGACTTCTGGAATCTACATTCCACCATTAGCCTGAGATGAGGACTTAATACACCAAAATCAGTTAAAAATGAGTAAGTTCTTCTTTCCTCTCAGCTGGGGAAGTTCATTCTGCTATGGTTACTGATGTCTGCCTTCATGTGAGTGTAACATCAACAGAAAACCACTTTCTCTAGAGAATTCTAAATGCTAACCTGGCATCATTATGGTTCTAAATGCCAACCTGGCATCATTATGGTTCTTTTCTGCTATCTCTGATATATGTAACACATAGCAATTGTGATCTTCGTTTTGAAGGACATAATGATTACTATGATGATTGTAAGAGTTAAGAAATAATATAACAAATTAGCTTTCCCTTACTGAGCATGTACTTTGTGTGCCATGCTCTGAGCTGAAGACATGACCTACTTTTAAAGCTCATTTTCCTTATTCCTCTTTAGATATACTTACAGATAAAATATACCCATAAAAAGTGCACATGCTACAAGCAGCAGCTGCTTTGCGATGTTGAAACTGGAACTCAGTTTCTGACCAACTGCTTTTCTCTGCACAGTGGTGAAAAGTGGAAGCTCAGTGTTAGGGAAGTCACTGTAGTGTAGCCCTGTGCTTCTCAAACCTTTCCACCAAAGCATCCCAATACTGCAGAAAGAAGTAAACAGTTGAGGGACTGGGGATTAACTGGGACTGTGCCTGGAGCACTAGCCCAGGTGTTTATAGCAAGTCTGGAATTTATTTAAAGTCTTATATTTCATCTTTAACATTGGATACAATGATTGCATTAGACTTCCTAATGCATTATGAAAAGTAAGTTTATTTTGTGGTTTCATGAGTCTATGGTCCAGACACACCATCTTGGGTCCAAAGGCTACCCAGTCAGACTCCTGTTGGAGAAGCCTGGAAGCAGAAGTGAATGAGCTTTGAAGTCTACAGACGTGGTTTCCTGTTCTAGATCAGCCACTTGCCAACTAGCTGAACGTAAATAAATCACTTGCCTTAGAGTCTGTTCATTGTATCCAAAAAGGGATAAAACCTATAAGCCTAAATCAAGCCTATAAACTTCCCCAGTAGACTAAAAGTTCTGAAGAGGTGATGTTTCCCTTGGAGAACAGCCCTATGGCTGGGACCTAAGGAAAAGGAAACATTCAGGCGATAGCGTTAGAGTAACAGTGAAACCCTTGCCGCAGGATTTGACACAGTCCTGCTCCACTGCACGATCCTGAAGGGCACCATTCACGCTGTGGTCCAGGTACATTCTCCCCCTCCTCCTGGAGTTGTATGATACACTGAACTACAGTGAAGACCCAGGCTTCTTGTGATTACAACGACTTTCCATGTGATTTTGGGCAAGACATCACCTCCCTTTAAGCCCAGGTTTTTTATTCATAGAATCTGGGACAATGATACTTATTACGTCTTACCTCTGAGGTTCAAGTGAGATAGTTGACATAAAGTGTGACTTCAGTGGTAGCAACCAATCCACATGTGATAAATCACCACTCTTGCTTCTTTGCACATATCTTTATTTCAGTCCATTTCAACACATTCGTGTTTATACAGTCATGCCCCATTGTGGCAGGGACTGTTGGTTGGTGCAAAAGTAATTGCGGTTTTTGCCATGAAAAATAATGGCAAAACTGCAACTACTTTTGCACCAACCTATAGTTAGTGCTGTGTGAGCTGTGGGGAAACAAAGTTGAGTTAGATAGAGTTCCTGCCCTCCAGAGTTTGTTCTATGGCCATAATGCAAGACAGAATCAATGCCATAGTGGAAATGTGAACAAATGGCTGTGGCTTGTGATAGTCCCAGCACTAATACAGTTTGGTTCACTCCTTAATCTAGTGATGCTGTCAGTTCCCTTCTGCTAACAGGTTGAAAACAAGACACCCAAACATTTGCCAGTGTGTCCAGAGGATCACATGGAAGAAGACTGCAAAAACTAGCTCATAGAAGGTAGCAGGAGAGAAGGTTCTTCAAAGACATTCCCGTTCCCTGCCTCAAGGTCCCAGTTCCTCACTGAAGTTTTCTGTGAAGAAGGTGTTAGCCACAATGCCCCAACAGAGGCTGCAATGGCTGAGCTTATGTGTAGCTGTGTGGCTAATGTTTAACATCTAGCTACCATTTACTGCAGGCCTGCCACATGCTAGGCATAACCAAGAACTTTATGCTTATTAATTAATGAGCCACAGTGAATCACAAGCTTAGCCAATGTAGGGATAAAGAGGCCATATCAGTTAGGGATCCCCATCTGCTACATGTCACAGAGACAGTGGCTTAATCATAAGAGGGTCTTCATTTTTCTCACTTAGTAGAAGTCCTGAAGTATGCAGTCAAGGGCTTATGGAATACTCTAAGATGTCTTTCCAAGGTTATGCTTCCAAAGACATCTCGAGTCTGTCTACTTCTTTCCACCTCCATTTTGAGAAATCTTCAAGTTCCATCATTCCCTCCTCCCCCTGTCCCCTGGGCTACTGCAACAATCACTCCCCATTTTCCTTCTGACCTTTTTCCAATTCACAGTTAATACAATAGCAAACTCTTCAGTGACTTCCCATTGCCCTTAGGATAAAATTAAAAGTCATCAGAATGGCTGCTTGTGCCCCGTTTGATCTTAGCAACTTTGCTGGTCTTGTGCTTCTCTGTCCTTTCCTTGCAGGGTCCCCTACATTTTGATCTTCCCTCTCTTTCCCAAACTCCTTTAGCTCTTTCTGATGGCATAGGTCCCTCAAACGTGCTGCTCTTCAATTTTTACCTGGCTAACTTCTACTTGTCCAACAGGACTTAACTTAAATACCATGTTCTTAGGCACCAAAAGCAGGTTCCCTTGTTAGATCATAATGGTAAATCCCTTTCCCTCACAGCCCCAGTCAGCTGTAAGCTGAGGTTACATGTTTGCTATTTCCTCCAGCCTCTAGATTACAACTTCATGGGAGACAGCACAGTCCAGTGCTGGGATGCTCAACAAATACTTGTCAAATGAATGGATTGTATGTGGTTGCCCTAGGGAATGGTCTCAGAGGTGGGCAATACTGTATGAAATAAATATGGGAGGAGAACCAGCAGCTAAAACCAAAAAGGCAGCTTCCTGTAAGTGCTGGTGGGGCTGCGGGCACATACCCCTTGGAGCCCAGAGGGGTATCCAGAAGGGAAAGGCAAAATGGACAGTAGCTGATCTGCTTTAGAGAAGGACACCTATGTCCTGTTGAAACTGTAAATTAGGAACAAAAACAGACATATGTTGTGCATAGGGTAATGAACATATAGAATACGTTACCAGGAAAAGCCACTGAAAGCACAGATGAATGAGCCAAAGTGACCCCTCAGCAGAGGACAGTGTGAGAGGGAGCTGGGAGAAGTCAGTGAGAAGGGAAGTACTGGGTGCCCTGTCCCCAGGGGTGTCTTTCTTTTGCTCCTCCTGTAGTATAGCCTGTTGGCCATCCCACCTTCACTGCATGAAGCCATCCAACCACAGCAGCCTCCTTGTCACCCCAACAGAATTTCCCCAGGGTGAGGAGCCTCAGGATGGCAGTCTGGCTTGGAGGCAGGAGCGGCTCACCTTGAAGCTGCCTTGGCATGGCCACATGTATGCTTAGCATGATGGCAGGGGAGCCCAAGAGGGCCAGCAGAGCTTAATAAAAAGAGGTCTAACTTCCCCAAACCAGCCCCCAGCATTGCCACTGCCTCCTGTAGGAGCTCACTCCCACCCCTACCACTATAGTAAGGGCCAGAGTACTGTGCAGTAACTCATGTCAGGAGAAGCTAAACTTCCCTCTTGCCAAACTCCCTCTCTCTCAATGGACTATTTGCATTACAACAGATAAGAAGAAAAGCTATTATAGTATTTTTAGACTTCTTAAACACTTATTGCAAAAAGTATAGGTTTCTTTTTCCTTAACCATGGAGTTGATAATTCATTTGCTTATTTTGATAACATTCACTTATTCAGCAAAAATATATTGAGCTACCTCCTGGGTGTGAGGCATTGTCGTAGGCACAGGGGTCACGGATGTGAATAAGCTCCATATCCTCATGGAGCTCTCATTTTAGTGGGATACAAAGGTCATATGTAAATAAACAAATACTAGGCACAATAATTTCAGGTGGTGATAAATACTGTGCCAAAATAATAGAGTAAGGGACTGGAAAGAACAGAGGGGTGGTTCTATTTTAGATAGAAAGGTAGGTCAGTCAAGGCTTTTCTGAGTAGGTGATAGCTAAGCAGAGATTTGAATGAAGTAAAAGAACAAGACATGCAAACATTGGGAAGAGGTTACATTCCAGGTATTGGGGTCAGCAGGTACAAAAAAGCCCAGAGCCAGGAACAGCTTCTATGTGTTTCAAAAGCAAGCAGTCCAGTGTTACTCAGGGTTATCATTGGTAGGGTTCTGTATAATAAGCACAGCTGCACTGGGGTGTGTGTCTATATCTGTATCTGTATCTACATCTATATTTATATCTCAATACCTCTATATTGAAATAATTTGCTACTTCCAGGCAATATTTTAAGGCACATTACATAATATTATGGGGTTTTACAACAAATACACACAGTCTGTGGCCTAGTTTCATTACCGTTTACTAAGTAGGGAAACGAAGACATAGAAATCCAAGACCACAGTCAGAATCAGGGTCCAAGATGGTGATGGAAGACGGATGTTTCCAATCCTCTAACCTTGTCTCTTTCTGTTTGCATCTGCCTTTCATTTTGCATCACTTCCCCAAGTCCACCTGGTGGCATGACCAGCTATGCAAGTCAGCTAAGGCAGTCATCAGCCATGTTTTCTGAGTCTTGTTCAGGAGGGAGTCTCTTCCTCTTTGATGCAGATAATTTGACAATGACATAATTGCACTGTATCAATAACCAACGCTTTCTTTTGCATGAAGTAACAGGTTCTAGGAAACAAAGCAGGTCTGACTGTGTGGGTGTCCCTCACAGTCCCTCAAGGTCCCAGTTCCTCACTAGAAAAGAGAAAACAGCAGCAGAGGGATCCTATTATTACTAGCTCCTTCAGTGTTTCTCAGAGCTCAAATCTCTAGGATGCTTAGTCATAGCCCCCTTGGGACTTCAGCTTTAGGATTTATGCAAATGGTCTCTGCATGCTTCTCTCAGTCAGTACCTGGGTAGGAGAATCCCTCCAAATTACCTTGTTTTTCCTAATTATTTCCCCAATATTCTACCTGTTATGTGATCACATCACTGCTAAGGCGGTCACCCTTTGACTCCTGAAACAATTTGAGCTGTCTTTGAGGAAGAAAGCTGCCCTTATGGTATCCTGGGAAGAAGAGAGAAGATCTCATAGCCCTGAAGTCCTTAATGATGATCAACTGGCATTCTTTTTTTTGTGCATCTTCCTTTCTGCCTCTAAATCCCTTAGTCAACTCCTATGATTATGTTTCTGCGAATTCCCTCCCAAGGTCTCTATCCTCTACAATCGCACTTCGTTTATAACAAAACACGTATTTATGTGCAGATCATTGGCATTTAGGATACTCTATTAACTGGTTAATATCTACTTTAATCCATTTCTTGAAATAGCTTAAATAAAATATATAAAAGTCTTCCAGCACTAGTATCTACTCTCTGAACACAGACTTGGGGATTGTAATTCTCTTTATCCCTGAATTTGTCTTTGGAGATGAAGACAAGAATACTCCCAAGAATGGCAAGGCTTATACAGAATGAACAAGTGGTTGCAAATTAACTGGAAACTATAGAGAAAAGCAGAGATGATTTATTTTCAACTTAAGAACATCAGACTTTGGAACAATCTTCCCCCTTTCCAATGATGGTCTGTCCTCTGCTGGCCCAAGGACTAAATGTCCTCAGATTTCATCCCCCTTTTGAAAAGTCCCTGTTCCTCCCTCCCTTCCTTCCTTCCTTCCTCACTCCCTTCCTCCCTTCCTCCCTTCCTTTCTCTCTCCCTCTTCCTCTCTCTCTCTCCTTTCTTTCTCTTTCTCCCTTTCTTTCTCTCTTTCTTTCTTTCTCTCTTTCTTTTCTTTCTTTCTTTCTTTCCTTCTTCTTTCTCCTTAAATAGCACAACCATCACCACCAATCACTCCTGTTTTTGTTCAAGATAAATCCCGAGAAGTCATCATTGATTCCTTGTTTTCTCTTATCCCCATATCCAAGCCACCATCAGGTTCTTTCAGCCCTACCTGCAGAACATATTCTGATTGCACCCCATTCCCCCCATCTTCACTGTTGACACCTAGGCCAAGCTGCCACATTCTTTTGCCCGGATCCTCACAGTAGCCTCCTAACAGGTATGTCTGCTTTCACTCTTGCTTCCTGTAATCCATTCCCCATACAGCAACTGGAGGATTCTTTTCAAAATGTAAATTGGATCTCATCACTCCCCTGCTTACAATTCATCAGCATCTTCCACTGTACTCGGAACAAAATCCAAACATTTTAGCAGGACCCCTCAGTTCCTACCTGACACAGGTGCAGCTCAGCTCCCTCTCCTCCCCACCGACATCTCTCCCCCTTGCCTACCACACGGGGCACACTGAAAGCCACGTTGGCTCTCTTTCCCTTCCTTCTTTATTGCACTTAGAACTAGCTACAATTATTATTTGTATTATGTTGCTTGTCTTTTCTGTGTCCCTCCACTAGAACAAGCTTTCATGGTCTTGTTTGCTGCTGTAGCTCTAGTACTCAGTATAGTGCTGAGCAGCGGTATAAACAGTTGTTGAAATAGATGAAGGAGTGAAATTTTCACCCTCCACACTTTTTCTCCTCCCATTTGTTTTTGTCTCACTTTAATTATGACTGCTTCCTCCATGCTGGCCTCCAGGAATGCACTGCATCCCTTTTTAATGATCTCACAAATGAAGCTTTTCATGTTTCACCTTAGCACAGCTCAAGGTGAGCTGAATGGCTTTGCTAAACTCTAAAGGAAAACCATAGGACAATAAACACTAAGGACACAATAAAGAGAAATATTGTGTTGCACAGAGTCCAGCCTTCTAGTAGGCTCTCTCGGGGCTGATTCACCAAGCTCACTCAGCTCCGTCCCCCAACTGTTTCTCCAACTCAGCAGGCCACCTACTGGAGCCCCTCACCTCCTAGCCTGGCCTGACCTGGCCTGATGTTGGGGGCACCATTTGTAGACAACCCTATCCACCCCCAGAAATGCATTCCTAGACATCTTGAGACCTTCATGGTCAAGACATGGTGAGATTCTTCTCTGTTCCTGCTGTCCCTGCCCTACTTGCAGAATGACCATCCTCTTTGCTTCAGGGGTCAGACTTTACCTTTCCATATCCATGTAACCAAACTTGAATAAAACATAATACTGCAACCATCGAATAACAAGAAGTATATATGCTGATGGCTAGTTCTTTACAGTGTGTATTTAGTAAACCTTTCAGAAGATGAGAGTGTTTATTTTTGAGGAATTTGTGAAAGGCTTTTATCCATTTGCTGAACACTTGAACGGTCACTTCATCACCTCTCTAAATTAAATCACTGAAGTTGCACCATTATTTGAAAGTGGAAAAAGTGGTTACCCCTGGAGTGAAAAAATTAGGTTCAGCAGAAGAGGAACCCAAACTGAGCATTATAAAGTAAAATGCCGCCAAGAGACACCCACAGCACCTGGGAAGCTTCTGCATCCACGCATGTGAGCTCACACCAGATGCAAACCTCGAGCCTTCATGGGCCAGGCATTTCATGATCTTCACTAATGAAAACTCAGTCAGTTAGAACTGGCCTCATTCTGATAGTCATCCTCTTGGGGTCTTCAGAAATTGTCAACAGGCTTGCTTTGCATTTCTATCACCCAGGGCAGTAGGGGGTAAGCTTGTGCTTAACTGGAGGGAAGCAGGCAAAGGTGTGGCTAAAAACCACCTTCCAAGTAATGAGGCAGTACTGCAAGGGGAATAGTGCCTGACTACCAGTAACCAAGGTAAGGTCAAGAACAGGCAGGGGTGAGTATTAGCAGGGAGATTTCCTGTTTGCTGCAATCAGATTTTCTGTCATGAATGGCCATTAGGTCATTAACTGTTTGAATATTCAGATGAGGACAGCTGTGAAGTCCCCTTCCCCGCATACCTCTGATGCTCCATAATAGGATACTAGGGGGGCGTTTTCAATTGTCCCCTCCCTGCCCTATTCAGAAATTCTGGCCTTCAGGTGAGGAAAAAGGAGTTGTGTTTACTACCTGTTCTAGAGAAGGCTCTGTGTCAGTCAGGGGCCAGCGCAGCATCTCACAGCTGGATCCAACTTCTGCCCCAATTATGGCACGGGCCCTATAATGGCCCACTACCTTAGATCCTTCTCCTCTCTCAGTCTGTGTGGGGAAAGAACTGGGAGCAGGAGTGAGCAAGAGATATGGAGCCATTGGTCTTTTGATAGAATGTTCCAGAAGACAGGTAATTAACTCTCATCCTTTCTCCCTCTCTCTGCTACCCCATCCCCAACCTGAAACCAAATAAGGGCTTCAAGAGAATTCCTCATAAAGATTGGGGATGCTGTAAGAAGGGGTGCTGGGACCTCATTGTGCATTTGAGCTTCTGTTTAGACAACAGGCTTGTGTGTACTGCAAAGGAAGCACAAAGGGACGGACAAAGATGGTGGAGCTGAGAGGACCAGTGGCAGAGATCGCTTGCCCATCATCTGAAAAGGCAAAGACATGTGAGTCTTTCAAGAATAAGTGGGCACTGTGGAAAATGTCTACTTTTAGCCTTTTTGTCTGTACTCTGGCTGCCCAAGGGTGACCCATGGAGAAATAGTGACAACAGAAAAGAGAATGACAACTGAGAAGTAACCAGATGTATATTCTCCATCCTCAGTCCCTCCTCCAGGCCCTAACCAAACAGGAAGAACTAGCACCAGAAGAGGGAGAGGGGAGAATTCCAGGCTGTGACACCAGATGGGGAAGCTTTGAATCTGATGTAAGAATAAAGTTTTAAACTAGACTCAATTGTTTCATAACTAAAAGTGAACTGAAAGTCTTGGAATCTACCTGAGATGCGATTAAGTGGTGACCATACTGGCCCCCAAAATGCTGTAATGTGTACCACTACACACCTATCACGCCTATTAGAATGGCTAAAATCCAGAACACTGACAACATCAAATGTTGATGAGGATGTGGAGCAACAGGAACTCTCATTTATTACTGGTTGGAATGCAAAATGATACAGCCATTTTGGAAGACAATTTGGCAGTGTCTTACAAAGCTAAACATTCTCTTACCATATGACCCAGTAGTCATGCTCCATGGTATTTACCCAAAAGGAATTGAAAACTTATGTCCACAGAAACCTGCACATGAATGTCTACACCCGCTTTATTCATAATTGCCAAAATTCGGAAGCAGCTAAGATGTCCTTCAGTAGGCGAATGGATAAACTGCAGTACATCTATACAATATAATATTATTTAGAACTAAAAAGATATGAGTTATTAAGCCATGAAAAGACATGGAGGTACTTTAAATGCCTATTATTAAGTAAAAAGAAGCCAACCTGAAAAGGCTACATAATGTCATATAGTTGGAATCAAGTATGATTCCAATTGCATGACATTCTGGAAAAGCCAGAACGACGGAGACAGTAAAAAAAGATCAGTGGTTTCCAGTGGCTAGGGGATAGGGAAGGATGAATAGGAGACACACGGAGGATTTTTAGGGCAGTGAAACTATTCTGTGTAATACTACAATGCTGGATACATGTCATTATACGTTTGTCAAAACCCATAGAAAGCACATCAAGAGTGAACCTTAATGTAAGCTATGGACTCTGGGTGATAATGATGTGTCAGTGCAGGTTCACTGACTGTAACAAATGCACCGCTCTGGTGCAGGATGTTAACAGTGGGGGAGGCTGTACATGTGAGGGGCAGGGGGTATATGTGAACTCCACTTTCTGTTCCACTTTGCTATAAACCTAAAATTGCTCTGAAACTGTTTTTAAGATGTGCTGCAATGAGGACGTGGGATGTGACCCGAGGCTGTGTCTCGGGTTCCTCTCTTAGAATGCAAGACAGCTTCCATTCGTGCCATTTAAAAATTCAGGAAGGGAGGTAGCCAGCCCTGTCCTCTCCTCGCTGTGCTTTCGCCATCATTTGCTGGGCTGGGGAGGCTGTTCTGTAGAAACTGCGAACCTGAGCAGAGGACATGAAAGTGTGGCTTGGAGGAAACCTACAGGAAACAGTGGGGTGGAAGCTGGCATGGGGAGGTCCACCTACCCTTCCCCAGGGTGGGAGTCAGTGTGGCTGGAAGTCCACTCTCAACAGGAAGCTGTGCTGTGCAGGAGTCTTGGCAATGGACACACAAGGAGGGCTTAGGAAAGCGAATTTAGGGCAGGATCATTCTCACCAAGATGAAATTCAGTTTTACCATGAAATATACACACTATTCTCTTCCACATAGGATTTTTTAAATCTTATTTTAAAAACTCAGACTTTTTCTAGTTTTGATTTTGAGAACTCAAGAGCTAAACTTGCCAAAGAGGATTACAAGGCTGTCCAGTGTATCAGTATAGCAATAGTACTCAGCTAAAATACATTCAAATGAGCAAGAATTAAATATTAGTGTGAAATATCTTTAATTATAATAATTTGTGCCCTAATGGCCCAATATGCTGGTAGTACCATAGCTAAAGACATTAGAATACAATTTTCATCACAAGAGTTCTCTTTTAAAGACTTAACAGACAATACAAAAAGAGAGAGGCTTTATAACTTACTGATGGGAAGGAGTCACAATTGAGGACTCTGAGCATCTTATGCATGTTATCACAAGCTTCAAGGAGCCCAGGCAATTGTAAAAGAGAAAACTCTAATTTGGGGCCACCAAAAGTACGTTCAGTGGGAGAGGGATAAAACAGACGCTCAAATGGACTTAATGAGCGGGCTTGGTGTTTAACCTCATCCTCCTATGCATATACATAAGTGACATAAGTGCCTGGGTTCTCTTATGCAGGCCAAAGACAGGGGCTCCAGGAGGCACTAAAGAGTGTGCAGAAGATGCACCAAGAACCTCAAAGTCAGAAGTCAACAGAGAAGAGCCTCTTTAGCTGAGAGAAAAGAAGGCTGCATGGGGGATTCCAAAGAAGAGGCTGACAACCTCAACTGCAGAGAAGAGTCCATTTGGGACAACCTTTCACACATTGGTACTTCACTAGAATGACATCATCTGAGCCTGGACTGCAGAACTGTGTCATGGGTGACACTGTATCATGTGTAAATGAGGTCCTTCCAGTATCAAATTTCTTCTCTTTCCTTAATGGAATCAAATTATAAGACATAATAATGTTGGCAGGTGGGTGGGCGAGTTTCTCCGTGAAGCAGAGCCAGAGGCCAAGGTGTATCTCCTACTAGTTTCCCAAAGAGTGCAATGCCAGAGATGCAAGCATGAGGGATAAGGAGAGTGAGACAGGGGAGGATTCAACTGGGTGATAAGCAGCACGTGTCTGCACCCCTCTTTCCCCTTGGCCGTGGAGGCAAAGCATGTATGCCTTTTACAGTCGTTGTAAAGCCGCCTAAGGACAAGGTGTCTATCAGCTCCTGAGTTGCTGTTGATTTCATAGTGCTGGATTTATAGAGAAGAGCTGGTAGCCAGACAGGTGGGTGTAGGGTTGGGCAGGACTTGGGATTTAGACCTGGGCCGGTGCAGCTAGTGGTAGGGGACTGGCCCAGGGGCAAAGCTGGTCTCTGAGACTGAAAACCATCTCCAGTCCAGGTTGGGGGTCAAGAAGAAGCTAAGTGCCCCTTGAAGTGGGGCAAGAGCAAAAGCAGGAGCTACTACACTAGCCACTCTTTGGTATCCATGTGATTGACTGCTTGCTTGTGCCTGGAAAACACTGGGTTCTCAGGAAAGCCTGTTTGATGGGAAGAATAGGGGATCATTTATTTTCAGGCTTCTGCCTCCCACTGCTTAAAGATCCCAACACTTCCAAGCTGAGCATGTACAGGCTTCAGAGGAGTCTGTCTGAGCTTCGTATCTCAGCATCAACAAGGAGGCACCAGGCCAAGAGGTGAGAGGTATGTAAGGCAGGCAAGATGCTGTGCAGTCAGATGGGACCCCACAGAGAGCCGGTTATCACAGCAGGGGCTGGAGCATAGCAAAATGACCAATGGTCTCAAAGTCAGGCAGAGCCAAGAGGCTCTGAGGCAGTGGAGGGAGAGGTGGCATCTGCCACAGCGAGGGGGTTAAGCCACAAGACTCCATATCTCTTCCTTCTGCCATTCCACCATGGCTGAACACCCCCCAGCCCCACCCAGGTTTTCCCAGACCCAGCATTACTTAAGCAGCTGCAGCTTAGCCCACTTCCTTTCCAAATTTGCTCTGCTGTGCACATCATCAGCCTCCATGGCAGGCTGACTTGGTGCCCTCTGCTGACCACTCAGCTCCCACTTTATGCCTGAAATCACTCTTTTTGTTCACTTGCCCCAGGGGAGCTGACCCACAAGTACCCCTATCTCACAGCTCAACACTCGTAGCTCTGGAATTCCTCCAAATAGTCCCTTTTCTGGTACAGGGATTTGACTAGATCTCCATTCTGTTACTGTGTCAGTAACCTTACTAGTCCTCTAGACTTCCTAAGATACCTGGGTCTGAGTGTCTAAACATAAGCTCAGAGCCTGGGTGCCTGTCCTTAGGGACAGATTCCTTAAAGCCAATTCATCTGTGCATAAGACTCCTCATTTCTGGGCCCATCCACTTCAAGGGGCACTTAACTTCTTCTTGACCCCCATCCTGGAATGGAGATGGTTTTCAGTCTCAGAGACCAGCTTTGCCCCGGGCCAGTCCCCTACCGCTAGCTGCACCTGCCCAGGTCTAAATCCCAGCTCCTGCCCAACCCTATACCTACCTGTCTGGCTACCAGCTCTTCCCTATAAATCCTACACTATGAAATCAACAGCAACTCAGGAGCTGATAGACACTGGCTTTACAAGGACTGTAAAAGGTATGCATGCTTTGCCTCCACAGCGAGGTGGAAACAGGGGTGCAGACACATGCTGCTTATCACCCAGTTGAATGTGAACAAAGCCCCAGGTGACTCTGCATACGGGCCGTACTGCATTGAAACAGCCACAGTGCACATACTGCACTGAAACAGCCATGAAACAGCCACAGAAAGGAAGTAAGTTAGTTATTGGAGGCACTAGAAAATCTAGCTAAGCCTGCTTGCAGGGCACCTGCCATGATGTTTGGCACATACCTGAAGTAGGGGACAAGCTGTAGCCTGTGTCTCTCTCTACCTCTTTCTATATCTCTTCTCTATTCTTTCTTTTCATCTCCTCTGTATACAATATTATGATATAGATGGCAGACTTGGCACTTAAAGACCTTCCCAAGGCCAGCAGCTTCTTGGTTGCAGACCTAGAATAGAGTACTCACTCTGACTCTGAATGCAGGGCTCGCTACCCCAGCAACTGCATCACTGGTATCTCCTGGAACCAGCTCATGTCTTCTCCCAAGATTCACACAGTGTGGGCAGACTCCAAGGCCCTGACAAAGGGTCTTTCTCCTCCACGTGTGTGATGTCAGGAGATAGCGATAGAAGGAAGAAGTTCCACTTTAAGTCCACAAAGCTGAGCTTTAAGTGACTTGCCACTGGCATCTGTGCTCTGCCCACGGCGTACAGTCACCTGGGGCAGAATTGCTATCTCACTCTAGTGCTTCCCTCTGATGAAATGCCTTAAAGTTTCCTTTTGTAAACTTGGCTGAGTAAGAACCAATAATGGAGGTCACTGCCAAGTCTTATCATAGCAACGTCTTTCATGCTGCACTAATAAATTTCAGAGTGCTTAATCACACACATTAATGGGAAGGGGGTTACATCTTTAGAGAGGCTTTTTCCCGAGGTTAATATTTCATGCTAAATCTATTCACTCTTCTGACATTTTTATGACCTGTGTACAGCAGCCTCATATGTTCACAATAATGTTCAAATTGAAAGAGTATGATGATCACTTCACAATATAAAAAGTGCTCTTTGTTAAGTCAATTTTAAGCATCTTGTCACACTTAAGACTTGTAGCCAATCAGATATTTTCCTTTTAGAGATCTGTTTCCTTTATTTTCCCAGGATTGCAATACTTGGAAAGGCTAGAGACTGTTGACTTAGCTGAGGTTCTCAAGAATCCATATGTTTCTTGTCCTCTATTAATGGTTAATTACCTTTAGACAAGTGAATGTCATCTATTGAATTAAAAACTTTAAGCATCTGGAATTGTTAGCCTAAATTTGGACCTGACCTCGAGTTTCTGTTTAGTTGTCTAGATAAAGGTGGTATGTCCTTAGTGCTAGAAACACAACCAACACATATTCCATGCCATTTGCTAGTTCTTTATATATGTAGTATATTTAGTGCTTGCAACAACCCAGCAAGCTAGGCATTCTGATGTCCAATTCTCAGGTACAGTAACTAGGGCCCAGAAAGGATAAAAGACTTGCCCAAGTGTGTGGCAGACCCAGCGGCACAGCCTCTCATCCCCCAGGCCAGAATCAACTCCAATGTGCAGACATTATCACCCTGTTTTGGATTCAGTTCAAAACTGACAGAAGTCATATGTGTTATTCATTTGGGCAACTGGGATTTTGTAGGGTCTCATTGGGCAAAGTGAGACTTGCATTCCACTCCATGCCAAAAAACAAACAAACAAACAAAAAACAAACCAAAAAAACCCCACCAAGGGATAAAAAGTGTTTTTTCCCTTAAATTCTACCAACACTGTAACTGTTCTGGGGGAAAAAAAAAAGCAAAACAGTATGTAGTCACTCTTGGAAGTGCGGTCCTCTACAGTGTGACACCTTCTGAAGCCAACAGGGCTTTCTACAGCACATGCTGGCAGTAGACCCAGGACTGGATATGTCTCAGTAGGAACCTAGGGACTGCATTTCTCTTAGGGAAGGCCCTTGCAGAAGGGGAGAACATTTACTTTTCCCAAGGGTTTTCTGTTTCTAAGGACTCACATGGAATTTTTAGTTCTCTTTGCTCTTTTTAAAATGGTCTAAGGTTTACCTCTAAGTCCTGACCACAATATTCCCTCTTCTTAGGAAAAAAATGTTCCCTCCTCAGTTGGAGCATGTTTTATGCATTGCAATGGGGCACTCTGCAGATCCATCCTTTCTGCACATTAGTGACTTGTCTGGGTCTAATTTAGGCCACAACACACATTGGGCAGGAACTCTTTAATTCCATGTTCTCTTCAATGTTCAGCAGATTTTGTTCACTCAACAAATGTTAAATGCCAGTAATAACTAACACCTTCTCTCTCTAAATAAAGCACTATTTTGAGACAGCAAATACATGACCATTCTGATTTCATCTTTTATTTAGAGAACAGGGGGAAAAAAGCCACACACGGATTCTGTCAGCAATGCTTGAATTCCAAAGTCTAAAACTGGGTCATGGTGACAGGATGGAGGATATGAGATGCTAAAGAGTCTGGAAGCGCTGCAGTGATCTGGGAGTGGTAACAATAAAGAGTGTCTTCTGCAAGTCTTCAGGAAGGGGACAAGGTGGGAGAGCAGAAAAGGCACTGCCTGGGGAACCTGCCTCCAAACCATCCTCTGGGATCAGCCACTACTGTTACCTGTGCTCCGTGTAGCTTGCACTTTCGTTTTTATGGGATTCAGGGATCAAATTAGATGTTATCTGGGAAAAGTCTGTTCATTCACTTAAATCATTCATTTATTGAACATTTTTGTTGGGTGTCTGCTTTGCATTAGATATGGGGAATATGATAGTGAGCATGGCCCTCAACCTCATATAACTTACAGTAGGGGAGTTATTAATCAAATAATCTCAACATAGCTCTAAAATTACACATGTAATAAATGTGGTAGAAAAGATTGTGTTTAGAATTAGAAGAAATATTCAAAATACTTAACAGGCACTGACTAATCTGAACCTACATAGTTCTTGGTGGGTGAAAGTCTCCATGTTGCGCTTGGAAGTAACCCTTTAGTGGCTAAAGGATGTGGATTCAGGGTGGTGGCTACTTTAAAACTTGTATAAAAATACTTCAGTTTTTGTAACCAGTGTTCTGGCTAAATATTGGTTTGCACAAAGGCTTAAAATGAAAGAATTTGCTTTGGGCTGGAAGCCTGATATAAGGTTTCTTGTGGGGGTAACATTCAAGCAAGACCTGAAGAATAAGCAAGAATTCACCAGGTGAAGGGAGGAGGAAAAATCATCTAGATGTAGAGAGTGCAGCATGTGCAAAGGTCCTGCGACAGGAGAGGTGCAAAGTGTGTTTGAGGAGCTTGAAGAAGTCCAGTATAGCTAGAGTGCTGTAAACAATGGGAGATTCACAAGGGATGAAGCTGAGGGGTCATATGTGAACCAGGACATGCAGGATGTCGCAGGCCAGAGAAAGGATTTCACTTTTTTCCCTAAAAGCAATGAGAAAACATAGAAGATTTTATGCTGAGAATGGCATGGCCAGATTTGCACTCTACAAAGGACACTCTGGCTGCTGTGCAGAGTAGGGATTGCAGTGGGAGCAGTGGCCAGGCTGATACTGCTGCCCAGAAAGTTTGATGGCTCAGAGTAGGATGCTGGTAGCAAGAGTACAGAGAGAATATAGTTTCTTACAGAACTTGGCAGATGATGGTCATTCACTGAGATAGGAAGCACTTGAGTAGGCTAGGGCATGCTGGTGATGGGAGCTAGGAAAGAGGCTATTGGGAGAGGAGCTGCCTGTGTTGAGATAAAGGGAGCTCTGCAGTCTCCAAAGTGAAACCTGAGCAAGTGAGAATGACTGGACCAGAGGTGTGCATTTGTGAGTCATCTTTGCAGTGGTCACTGACGCCTGGAGAATAGAGGAAATGGCTTTGGGAAGAGGAGTGAGACTGGGAAGGGGCCTTGAGAAATTCCAACAGTTAGTGATTGAGCCTTTCCCTGTGAAGGAGACTAAGAAACAGTGCCTATAATACACAAGGGCCAACAAGGTGGTGTGGTATCAAGGGAGCCAAGAAAAGAACATTTAAAGAAACAGGGAGTGGATACCAATTGTCAAATAAGATGAGGACTGGAAATGCCTATTGGCTTGATTTCCAGAGAGGTTTCACTAAGGGTTTAGTGAGAACCGTTATATATATATATAATACATTAAATATATTTATATATTTTTTTTTTCTTAACTCTTTACTTTGAACTAATAACAGACTCACAGTAGTTGCCAGGAGAGTCCACAGAGGTCCCCTGTTCTCATCACCCAGCTTCCCTCAATGGTAACATATATAAGCATAGTGATAGCACATCACATCTGCATAAATGGAGCACAGGAAATTGACATTGGACCCTTGCAATTAACTTGACTACAGACTTAAATCAGATTAGACTAAGCATAACTTTGATGCAGCAATGAGGCAGAAGTCAAATCAGAGTGGGCTGGGCAGGGAGTGGAAAGAGAGAGGCAGTGTAGATGGTAAATATTTATTAGGTTCTGTTCTTTGCCAGGCACGGTGCCAGACAATGGGCACAGTGTGGAACCCGGGAGGAAACCTTCAAATCCACAGGATCTGGACAAATAATTCAGGGAAAAAGAAACAGATTATAATAATTTACCTTCAGCAGTGAGCACTGGTATCAGAGGCTACAAGGGGGCTGGGGACCAGGAACACTCTAGTGGAGTAGCCCCCGAGAACATCCAACCTCTGGCAGTGGCAGGAGAAAATATGCTCAGATAGAGGCAGACTCATCAATACTCTCCCTTCCAGACAGATTTTCTGGGGAGAACAGATTCCATTGGGCCATGTAAGTAGTCACATCTGCCTATGAAAGTGTGGTCACTTTCTTCTGTTCAATATCATCCAAGTTGGCTACCCCCAGCCAACTTGATACCCCCAGGTATCAAGCAGCCACCAATATCCTGGGACACATTTTATATTTGTCCTTCATTTCAACTGTGGTTGAACAACCATCCACCAACTAGAAAAATAATGAAATATATGAGACCTTGAAGGGTAGATTTTACCACTGGTCCACATTCCAGCACCTCCCTCACTGGGGTCTCTCCATGAAGCTCTGTTTTCAAAATGGAGGGAGGCAAAAGACAGGAGGTCAGAGGAGGAGGAGGCACTGGTTGTGGGGTGGCAGCAGGACTTGGCTCCTCCCTGGACTGAGGCCATGGAAGGCCTCCTCCAGACAGGTACCTTCAGACAGGTGCACGGCTGGGAGGTCTCCCCTCCCTTTGCTTCATTGCATCTCGACCAGCAGGGATCTAAAGAGCCCTGGCTGTTCCTCGTGTGAGAGGAACTGCAAGGGGGCACTGGCCCTGCATACTAATTGGCCGACTTTAATGACTTTTCTTCCCCTCCCTCCTACCACCACAATCCCTTCTTCCGAAATCACCAGCTCAGCTCCAGGCGGAGGAGGCTCGCTACCATGGCAACTGAGCCTTCCAAAGCTGGGAAAACTCACCATAGAGATGTGGGGAGAAAAATTCCACTGGTGAATTTCCAAAGAAGAAGGGCTCAAAGGGAAGGGAGAGGGAGAAAAATGGTTTGGGGGATGATGTGGTTGGAGATGGAGAGCTTCCACGGTTGAGAACCGACCAGGGGATGCACCCTGCTAATGTGCCACTGGACAGATAAACTCGCATAGATAATACCTGGCTGAGAGGATTCAGGGCCTGGCACTGAGAGACTTCATCTGCATAACTAATGTTCATATCGCCACATCCACGGGGTGCCCAGCACAGAAATACGGAGGGAAGCAACGTGTCCGCTATGTCCTTGTCTCGTTAACAAGATGCTACCTATGTACTCAGTAAAATGTATTAGAGATTGAATGTGCTCTGATCAAAATGTGAATCTTGCCACTGAGGGCAAAAACAAATTACTGTTTTTGCTCTGCTAGAAAATCATATTTGAAACACAATTATCCCTCCTTTGAAAAAGAGAGGAAATGTGTCAATATAAGGTGTGAGCTTTCCTAATAAATCGCTTCAGGGAAGGGACGAATCCATCCAGGTATGCTTGCTGGCCAAGTTGCTTGGAGGCAGCCTGCTCCTACCCAGTGTGACCCAAGACTTTTGATGTTGCTACAGGGAAAGATGCCGGGCCAACAGCATTCGGAGCCTTTATATCCTCTTCAATAATTTTAAAAGGACAAAAATGCAATTGACAGTGAGGGGTGGGGGTGATCCTCTCTAATTGTGGGGTGCCCCTCAGCATTGTCCTCTCTGAAACACTTCCATTCATTCCCCTCTGTTCTTTAAGCCTCTCCTTCAGGTCTCTTTTCTTCCTGTTGCTAAAGCAGGGCAGTGCTTCTTGCGTCATGTGCCCATGGCATCATTTCTGAAACACCCCAGTGTTCAGGAGCTGGCGCACGTAATGTCAAAGGGGTGTTTAGTTCTCAAAACCAAAGCAAACACACACACAAATGTTCTCTTTGGAACCAACGTGGGAGAGTTTCTAAAGGCTGACCACAATGTTTCTGACAGTTTCCTTCACTCAAAGGAATGGGCAAATTCCACCATGCCTTTATCTGTGCCTGACAACACAGAAACAAGCCAGGGCTAGAAGCTCGCTTAACATCCAAGTCAGGAAACCCTTAGAGCAAAAGAGTGCCTGGGCTTCGAGAATGAATACAAAACCACACAAAATGGGAGGCAATTGGTTTTCAGATGGAGCAATCAGTGCAGAGAAAAGCCTTATTTGTCCGTATTAAGTAAGATACACAACAATGTCACATTCACCTTTTTTCCTCTGATGTCATTTTTGACACAAAGACTCTGTGACATGCTTGACTCCCAAGCGCTGGCTCTCAACATGACATTTGACAAATCTTTCATTCATTTCATTTCAACAAATATTTATTGAACAAACTCTGCTAGATGCCTGGGATACAAAGATGAATATCCGCCTGGCCTTTGAGAGACTATTGGAGATAATAGCAAGCTCCTACATTTCTAGGCTCCTTCCAGTTTCCAAAGCATTTCATCTAATTTAATCCTCAGGACCAGCCTGGCAGTGCATAGATAACGTCTGTGCTGCCTGAGCAAGGAGTGAAAGGCAAAAAACCCCCAGCAAAAGATGCCACCAATGTTGGGATATTGTACTTGTTATTACCAACTCACTTTACACCTAGGAACTTTATGTGCTAAAATTGTATGTTCTTTAGGTACAAGGTACTAGACTGCCTGGGTTTGAAAAAACTCTCAGGAGATTAAATAAATTTGCCTTCAAAGACGTTTTTTGAAAGTGAGGACACATTATTCAGAAAGAAAAGTGGTTTTACTTTTAAAGAAGACTACAAAAAAAAGACATTTTCAAAGCAATGGCTTGATGAGGTAGAAAAAACACTGGACAAGGAGTCGGAAGGCTTATAGCCTGGTTCTGCTCTGCGGCTTTTGGAAAATGAGAAAATTGAGCCAGATTACTTCTAAACTGCAGGTCAAAAACTCTGCATGACTTTCAGGGTGGGTCTGAAATTATATATGCTGTTCAGCAGTTCTTGAAAAAAGTGGGATCAATTGCAGTTTTAGAAATTATGCAATTGGTTATGACTTATATATGTAGTCATTTAATTGCCAATACTGGGGCAATGTCAAGAAATGAATGGCATTTTCAATGGCTTATTATTTTGAGGTATCCTCTCACATATATTACGGGACCAGATAAGGATGGAAGTATAATACCTGGAACAAAATAGACATTCCATAAATATCTAGTTAATAAATATATAAATATATGGAAGAATAAATGAAGAACGGATGATTTTAAGAAGCAAAGAACATAATTTTGAAGTGGTGACAACTGAGAATATAAAGAGATAATTTTCAGAGAAGTATTTAGTGCCTCAAACAAAAGGCATGTAACCAAGAAACAAAATAGTAGTTTGTGGGGTGGGGTGGTGTGAGCTGTGCAGGTCCAGTGGTAAAAGTTTGAATTGTACTACTTTAGTCCTACAAGCCTTTTCTTGAGGTTTGGTGATTTGCTGCTCAGTAGCTGAGGAGCTTTGGCTGAGTAACCTGTGTTCTCTGATTCGGGATATTTGCATTTGGAAGATGAGGTTGTTTCTCTTCCAGCTCCAAGGATAGCATAATTTTGTGCAGATCCAACTATCAGATTTAAAGCCAGAGTCCCAGCTTGTATCAAAAATATCTGTCACCTTATGCCATTTGATGTAGTCAGATAAGCCACTCCTGGTAGCCTCAGCTCCTTGGTGTTTTGGCCTGTGGGTTGGCACAGTGATAGTGCCTCTAAGGCCAACCTGCCTGTTGTGCAGTTGCCCAGCAGCGCTGGCTGACTTTGTGGGCTGCCTGCCTTCCAAGGTCCTTCCTGTAGCACAGGCAAGTGGCCTGGCATCGCCTGCCATCACTTGATCTAAATAAATTGGTTTCACCCTCATGATAACCTAGGTTCCCCATTCAAAGGGCTCAGGCTCATTAGGACTTCATGTTGGCCCTGTAAGTGTGCACACAGCTGTAGAGCTGATTTCCCTCGCCGCATCAGGGTCCCATCACAAAGTTTTCTATGATTCTCTAATGCAGTGGTTCTCAAACATGATGGGAGAATTGTCTCACTCTTTGGGAAGATGTGAATGAGTGTATGAATGAGTGTGTAAGTGAGTGTGAGTGTGTGTGTGTTTGTGTGAAAGAGATGAAATTTATAGATTAAGTTCCCAGGGTGATCCTGATTCACACTCTCTGATCCACCCCTTAAGAACCTTGGGTTTACATGAGATCACCTTAATTCCCTAGAAAAACATTCAAGGACTTCACACCTTCCAGGGTCCTCTCTCACCAAGTAATTCCTTGCTCTCTCTCTCCCTCCAGCCATGGCAGCCTATCTATGGCCCTCCTCTGCCTCTGGTTGGCGTGGCTGCATTTTCTGGTGAACTGTACTCACATGTCTTCTAGATCTCACAAGCTCCAAATATCCTTCAAGATGTAGCTCAAGCTTCTTTGTGGCACTCTACTGAAACTACCAACCCACAAGGGTGTCTAGCATTTAAACCAGATTAAAAGTGCTCCTAGGGTGGAACTATATCTATTGGTGCAAATCTGTGTCCCCTGCAGAGCCCCATGGGGGCTAAGTAAGCACTTGTTGATTGATGGGTAATAAATACAACAGTAAAGATTTTAAGGAAGTAACTGCAGTATTTAAGGAGTTGAATAAGAAATTTACAACATTGAAGAACAGGCAAATATATATATCACTAATTAATAATATTAGTTAACATCATTAGTTACATGTAGGGCAACATTATAAGGAAAATACAATAAAAGTTCAGAAGTTCTACCATTAAAATTCTTTTTGTGAAAATAAGTTAGAAGGGTATTTTCTGCATCCTAAGTATAATTTAGTGGTAGTAAATAAAACAATCAAGAAAATACTATTTAAAGAGAAAATTGAAAGCAGTTAATTCTCCTCATGTTTACCATTGCTTAGTTAATGCTTCTGCTAAGAAAAATAATTTTTAAACTGTTCAACTTGGTGTCACTGATTTTTCATTCTTAATGCTTCACTACCATTTGATTCCTCAAAAATGAATCATCAAACTTTAAATTTTTCGTAAAGCTAGGAGGGAAATATAAAGAAAAGGAAAAGTAAGGGATGAAGTTTTAAGTAATAGAGGGAAGAAAATATTTATTCTCTGATTTTCTCAAGGACCAGTGATCCCCTTTGTGCATGGACTAAAGAATACTGTTTGCATTTTCCTAACTTAAAAAAATGGGGATGTGTTCCCTATCCTTTTATTTTTATAAAACTATATCAAAATCTATGAACATGAGTCATTCAAATGTACTCACTAGATCACTTCTTCATTCAGCAAACCAATTCTTGACCAGAAATTAATGAGTGCACAGCTAATGGTGCTCAATTAACATAAAACTTCAAGAATGTTCTTTCAGAGTGGTATTAGGCTACAGGGCTGAACTTCTTAACAAATTCTTTTCACCCTGACATGTGAAATTGGGTCAACCTGGGTCTTAAATGCTTGTTTTTTCAAATCAAAAGGTATCAAATATATGATCCCATTTATAGGAGCAGGTGTGATTTTCTACCCTCCCTCAGCTTCATCAGAAACAGCCCCGGCTAATGGACTTCACATTTCCTCGTGAAATCACCTGTGTTTCAAAACCCAATTACAAGACCATCTGTTCTAATCTAAAGGATACTTTTGCATGTTTTCTAGATGTATGTTAGAACGTCTTGAGTGGAACAGTTAAATTATAATTACCTTTCTGGACTTAAACACAGTGAATGTAATGGTGGGTTCCCCAATTATGGGCAAAGGCCACCTTCTGTCTCCTGCTCTGTCTCCCTTACATTCTCTCTAGACCTTTCTTGTCCATTCTCTCCAGTAATTCATCAGGTTCACTATATCTAAAGGAAACAAGTCTGTCAACAAATGAGATGCATAAACAACCATGACACTTTTCAATATTGTAAGGTGGCAAAAAAAGTTTCAGTTGTGACTGGAGCAATCCCTCTAGAGCAGGGATCCCCAACTCCCAGGCCATGGACTGGTACTGGTCCCTGTCCTGTTAGGAACTGGGCCACACAGCAGGAGGTGAGTGACAGGCAAGAGAGCATTACTGCCTGGGGTCCGCCTCCTATCAGATCAGTGGTGGCATTAGATTCTCATAAAAGCACAAACCCTACTGTGAACTGTGCATGTGAGGGATCTAGGTTGTGTACTCCTTATGAGAATCTAGCTAATGATGATGACCTGAAGTGGAACAGTTTCATCCCAAAAACATCCTCACAACCCCTGTCCATGGAAAAATTGTTTTCCACAAAACTGGTCCTTTGTGCCAAAAAAGTTGGGGAATGCTGCTCTAGAGAATTACTATCAGACAGTCTGAATATGGAGCAGGGGTCGGGGGGCAGCGGGAGTGTTGAAAATGTCACAACATCACACGGTTTGGGGGCTGTTTGTGAAAGGGTAGTCATCTCTGGGCTTCAAGTAGTAGTCAGATAATAATTGTAATTTAACCTGCCCATGCCTTCAGACAGCAACCACTGTTCAAACTCTGAGAGGTTGTTCTACAAAGAACACAGAGGGCATCTATGTGTAATTAAAGCTCCAGCTGCAGGAATATGCTCATTAGAAATTCAAAGAGTCCTGGAGCAGCTCTTCTTAGTGTTCCTTGCCCCTTCCCACACCCTCTCCTCATTTCCTCCTCTTTCCCATCCTTTCTGGTTTTACGATTCACCTGTGAACAGAGGAACACCTAACAGTCCTACTTCTTAATTAAACTGTGTGATCCTTGAAGGTGTGTCTTACTTGTCTTAACACGGAGCCTTAATCAATGTTGGCTGTATTAATGTAAGTTCCCTTTACCCATTCAGAGGCTGACAAGAACATTACTTCCATGCAATGAATCTTGCATCTTAAAATCTTGAACTTTATCTCAAATTATGCCTAACCAATTCAAAGAGAGTAGATTTCAATCTTCAGAAAGCTATCACAATAACATTTTCCGTATTTATACCAACAATGAGCACAAAGATTAATCAGTGGGTAGATATCACTCTTAATAGGTCAGTTGCATAGCTGAAAGATCAGGCTACCAGCGATTAACAGACCTTTAGGCTGTACTGTGAATATTAAGCAAGTTCAAATCCTGGCTTTCAGCATGTATTGATGGTGTGAAAGTATAAACAGAGCTTTTTTCCTTGACAGTGGAACTTTTGGGTAGATATTATCAGTAGCCCCTATAACGTGCCCAGAGGAGTTTGCCCTTAGTAAGGCTCAATAAATGTTAGTCACATCAACCACATAGGCCAGCTGATCATACCTCCTTCAAATTGAGATACAAATTATAGGGTTTTCAGAAAGAGCAACTTCATTTTGAATCACTCATAGAAAAGGACGCAAAAATCATGTCAAGAGCTTGGTTAATATCTGACTAGCTATTTCCTATCTGCCTGATTTATCTAAATAAAAATGATTTATTACAAAAGATTTGGCTGTTTCTGCAAACACCCTTGCTGGGACAGATATGTGATTTTTAAAATCTCCTTTTCCTAAGAAGACACAGTCTTGTATCTGTAGCTTAATCAAAGGCATTTCTATGACAGGAAGGTAAAGTCACACTCATAGTCTATAATAATAGCAACAACTCCACAGTTTCACTGTTTTATATGTTAATACTGCTTAAAGTTTTGTAACACATTTCTTTCATTTGATCTCCACAACAACCTGCTGAAGATACAGGATGAAGACAACAAAAATATGAAATAGAGATGTGGAGAGGTTTTTCTTTGGCAACACAGTACATTAGCGGCAAAGATAAGACACGAACCTACGGCTCTGTACTCCCAATAGCAAGTCTTTCTAGTTTATACACAAACTACTTCTTAACGAACTGTGGTTAATTTTTTAAAATCTGAGAACTTGCTCTAAACTATTTTTGCTGTATCATATAGTGGTGGTTCTCAGCTTCTTAGCCTGTGGTCCCCAGGCCAGCCATATTGGCTTGATCTGAGGATTCGAGAGACTTGTGAATTCTAGGGTTCCACCTCCACCCTAAGCCTACTGAATCAGAAACTGTGGCAGAACCTAGAAATCTTTTTTTTGTTTTTTGTTTGTTTGTTTGTTTGTTTGTTTGAGATATAGTCTCGCTCTGTCGCCCAGGCTGGAGTGCAATGGTGTGATCTCAGCTAACTACAACCTCCGCCTCCCGGGTTCAAGCGATTCTCATGCCTCAGCCACCAAGTAGCTGGGACTACAGGCGTGCACCACTATGCCAGGCTAATTTTTGTATTTTCAGTAGAGATGGAGTTTTATCATGTTGGCCAGGCTGCCCTCGAACTCCTGACCTCAGGTAATCTGCCCATCTGAGTCTCCCAAACTGCTGGGATTACAGGTATGAGCCAACATGCCCGGCCCTGAAATCTGTTTTAAGGGGGCCTCCAGGCGACTCTTACTCAGGCCAGAGTTTGAAAACCACTGCCCTGGAATATAAAGGCTAATCATCACTGAAGTATCTCATTTAATCCTCACAGCAACCCCAAGATAGGTAATTTTGTCATTACTATTTTGGATATGATGAAACTGAGGCTCGAAAGAAGAGTCAACATTTCTAAGCTCTTCAAGTCAGTAGGAGGAAACTGAAACTGAAATGTATGTGTTTGGCTAACTCTAGAGCCCCAGCTCCAAGACCCACTGTCCCATGTCTTCCACCATAATTGTCAGACAGGGTGTGACCCTAGAGTTCAAATCTGCTCACCTACAGTTTCTACTTAAGTAAGACTATTTCTTTCCTTCACAATGGACCTTCACATTTAAAATGAAAGCTATCGCGTCCCTCCATTCAAATCATGTAATTTGTGTGTGGGGGCGGAGGGGCAGTAGGGATGTTAAAATAACTAGTTTTTTGTACCTGACAGTGGAAATCTGAATTTTTATGGGGAATGATCCTACAAATACCCAGTGGGATCAAGGCTCCCACAGCTCAGGTCTCTTTTTACACTATCCCAGATTTAGAATTGAAGAGCACTTTTGATCACTGAGATCTTCAAATGATTTGTACTTATTTTCTAAGTGGTCCTAGGGAAATAAAAATTTAATCAACCTTAGTTTCCATTAGTAGAAGCAGCCCAAGGGTTCAAAGACAGTTGTTTATAGTCAGACAAGGAATTAAAATAATTGTGAAGGCCTGAATTCCCAAAGAGGAAGGCCCCAGTGGAAGCCTTGACTGCTGTCCTTCAAGATGATTTCCAAGAACAAGAGGTGCTCTGTGGTTTTGTCTTAGAATCTGTTGGTGCTGACCACAGGACAGAGCCTGTGCCTAAGTGGTTGTATGCCTCACCTTATGCTTCCTCTGTCAATTTCACCTTGGGGTCATTTAGTTTTCAGGGAACCATGGGGACAGAACTGATTATGAACTTAAAGAACAGCAATTTGGTATCAGACGCTGTTAAAGAGCAAGTAGTAGTAATTTTTAAGACTAGAACCGAGGATGCTGAAGGGGCCGTTTTTCCTCAGCTCATGCATCAGCAAAACGATCTCATTACCAAGACCTATTTCAGAAGGGTCAGAATATTAAGTATCCTTTCCCACTTCCCTATATTTGATTTGCCCAACAAAAGTCACATGGGGTATAAATTAGGCAGGAGAAAAAAAAAATCCACCACTGCTCTAAGAAAGAAAAATCTATATAATCTGCTGAATACATACATATTTTCCATCCCCTTTGATAAACATCATTACATTTTGTCTACTCGTCTTTGTGGAATGTAGATTATCTTGGGATATATCATATCTTTGAAATTATTTTTAAATCAAAGCATACACATTTATCTGTTTAAAAGATACGGTCAGGTGAACGTCAAACAGTTGTCATCCCACATACTGGATAAGTGTTAGTTCCCCTACATTTTTATATTATATGGAATGTGTACAAAAGTGTGATTTTGTCATTGCGCATTGGGTTTGTAAGTAAGAAGTGAGAGGGGGCTAAAATAAAGCTAAATGAAGATGTTGGGACAAAGAGGATAAGATGGACCTTAGATCAGCATGAGGATCTTTGTGATGATGTAGTTGGCATATAGAAGAGAGAGGCACTTAGCTACCACATGGATTCAGACCTAATGGGTTCTTTTGACAATGGAGTCTTTTGACCATAGATTCCTAGGGGAGATTTCTGGACCAGGATTCAGGTGACCCTGGTGCTGCCACAGACTCCTGAGTGACACAGGCCAGCAGATAGATCTGTTTCTTCATTAGGACCACTAATAATCTAGAGTCAAGATCCTCCTGCTGAGAAAAATTCCTGCTTAATCCTCCTCGGCTCATTCTCAGTCATTAATAGCTGCCCAGATAGCCTGACATGTACCCTTGTGGGTGTGGCATAGGTGGGTTTCCTAAAAGCAACCCTAGCTAAAGGCCACCAAACTGTTCCTCTTCCTAAATCTCTAACACTGACATTCAATACTGAAACATCGTTCCATGGGGGTGTGCAAAATATAATTCTACCCAATAAAAAGGAAAGATACTATTGCATGTAAGTACTAAAACTTGCAGAATATTCTAAAATAGTTTACATTTTCATTAATCAGAATGCTTATGCAGTAACAAAGGCAATGGATAAAACCCAGAAATTAAATCCCTTGGTTAGTTCTTCCACGTGATACTAATCGATCAGCTGGCTTGACACCCCACTTCCCCACTGAATTACTGAATTCTCTAATTTCTTGGCTAAGCCAATTAACTATTTGTCTGCATAGACTTACCTTCCAAATAATCAATAAAACCCCAGAAACTATCATTTTAAGGGTTAAACTGCTAAGTGATTCAAAACATTTTGAAACAATTTCTCCCTCTAAAATCCCCTTCCTTTTTATCCTGTGGACATAATAGCCAAAGTAAAATGCTATTTTTTAAAAATACAATTCTTCCACTTAATGGGGAACAAGAACATGTAAGTATCATACCTTTTCAACTGATTTAAGAAGACAATGAAAAAACACATCAGCTTTCAGTTATTATAAAGTTTGAATACAGGGCAAATAAATTATATTTTGTTTCCAAAAACAAAATTAAAAAAAGATTAGAATAATTACTTGCTTAATCATATATACACAAGTAACTACATACACAAATATGTATACATGTACTTTAAGGAATTATTCACTTATGAGAAAAAAAAATCAAGACTTCAAAAGTTAAATGTTGAGGCCAGGTGTGGTGGCTCACACCTGTAATCCCAGCACTTTGGGAAGCCGAGGTGGGTGGACCACTTGAGGTCAGGAGTTCAAGGCCAGCCTGGCCAACATGGCAAAAACCACTCTCTACTAAACATAAAAAAAAAACAACAAAACAAAACAAAACCGGCTGGGCATGGTGGTGTGTGCCTGTAATCCCAGCTACTTGGGAGCCTGAGGCAGGAGAATCGCTTGAACCCAGGAGGCGGAAGTTTCAATTAGCTGAGATTGCACCACTGTACTCTAGCCTGGGCAATAGAGAGAGACTGACTCAAAAAACAAAAACAAAAGTTAAATGTTGAAAGCAAAAAGCAGAAAATCTAAATAAGACAAAGCAAGAATGAGTTACCAAAATTGGGAAATCTGGTTGATTTTGCCATCTGTTTATTCCAGCCCCTTCAGACAGACCTGTCCTGCCATGAGGTCATTGCCTACATTTATATAAAAACTTGGCAAAGGATTTCTTTCACACTACCTGCTCTCTTGAAGTCTGCACCTACCCTGACTTTCGTTTCCCCAGTTTATGCATTTACTCCTATTTTGAGGCTCACATTTGGCATCACGAGCTTACGCGCTCCATTTTGGACATGCTACCCAAGCCCAACCTGGCATGCCTGCTTCAGCTGTGATTCTCACACTCATCCTCTGCCCTTTGTATGGGATGATGGGTAGGGACCTCTTTGGCTGTTGACTTCCTGCCTTGGCTCCAGAGGAACTAATAGAAAGTCAGAGGGTCAGAAGTCATGCACCAATAACCAAAGGAATACAGACTCACACCTAGGGACAGTGTTTTATTTAGGAATTTGCACAATTTCTCATTTAATCATTATCTTCTCAAGGCTGGATGTAACAGAGACACTGGGGATTAGTAGTTAGTAATGTTCATGTATTGGTGAATGCTGTGCAACTATTTTAAGAGTGGGATGACAATATAATATTGCTCAAAAGTCATAATAATGTTCATATTTTTCAAGCCTACAAGTCCTCTATTGGGAACTTATCCTAAGTAAGTAAGTCAAAAGAAGAAAACAGTCCCACATACAATCATGCTCTCTGCACAGCTATTTAAAATAGTAAGAAACAGAAAAAATCTAAAAGTCCAACAATAGGAAACAATTAGGCTAATTATAGTAATGCAATTGGATGGAATACTGTTTAGCCATCAAAAATATAAACATCACTCATTGTAACAAGAAAAATGTATAGAAGAAAAGACTAGGCACACACACACACAAAATGAACACAAATTGTGAGATCCAGATGAGTACAGACATGCCTCAGAGATATTGCAGGGTCCGTTCCATACCACTGCAATAAAGCAAATGTGGCAATAAATGGGGTCACACAATTTTTTTTGTTTTCCCGTGCTTACACAAGTTCTGTTTACAACATACTGTGGTTTATTATGTATGCAATAGCGTTATAGCTAAATAAAAACAATGTAGATACCTTAATTTTAAAACACTTTATTGCTAAAAAATGCTAACAATCATCTGAACCCGTAGCAAGTCATCATTGCTTTGCTGATGGAAGTTCTTGCCTTCGTGGTGACAGCTCCTGATTGGTCAGGTGGTTGTTAAAGGTTGGGGTGGCTGTGGCAATTTCTTAAAATTTCTTAAAATAATACAACAGTGAAATTTATTGCATGGATTGACTCTTCCTTTCACAAAAGATTTCTCTGTAATATGTAATGCTGTTTGATGGTATTTTATCCACAGAACTTCTTTCAAAATTGGAGTCATTCTCTCAAACTCTGCTGCTGCTTTATCAACCCAATTTATATCATATTCCAAATTCGTGGTTGTAATTTCAACAATGTTTACAACACCTTCACCAGGAATAGATTCCAGCTCAAAAAACCACTTTATTTGTTCATTCATGAGAAGCAGCTCCTCATATGTTCAAGTTTTGTCATGAGATTGAAACAATTCAGTCACATCTCCAGGCTCCACTTCTAATTCTAGTTCCCTTGCTATTTCCACCACTTCTGCAGTGAGTTCTTCCACTGAAGTCTTGAATCCCTCCCTCAAAGTCATCTACAAGGGTTGAAATCAACTTCTTCCAAATGCCTGTTAATACTGATAGTCTGACCTCTTCCTACAAATCATGAATGTTCTTAATGGCTTCTAGAATGGGGAATATGTTCCAGAAGGTTCTCCATTGACTTTGCCCAGAGCCATCAGAAGAATCACTCTCTATGGCAGCTATTACCTTACAATTCTTAAATCATAAGACTTGAAAGTCAAAATGCCTCCTTGATCCATGGGCTACAGAATGGATGTTGTGTTAGCAGGCATGAAAATAACATGAATCTCCTTGTACATCCCATCATTGCTGTTGGGTAACCAGGTGCTTTGTCAATAAGCAGTAACATTTTGAAAGGAATCTTTTTTTCCAGGCAGCATGTTGCAATAGCAGGCTTAAAATATTCAGTTAACCATGGTGTAAACAGATGTGCTGTCATCCAGGCTTTGTTGTTCCATTTATAGAGCATGGGCAGAGTAGATTTAGCATAATGCTTAAAGGCCCTAGTATTTTTGGAATGGTAAATAAACATTGACTTCAACTTAAAGTCACCAGCTGCATTAGCCCCTAACAAGAGAGTCAGCTGACGGGACACTGTGAAGCTTTGAAGCCAGGCACTGACTTCTCCTCTCTAGCTATTTTCATAGCCCAGATGGCATCCTCTTTCAATAGAAGGCTGTTTTGTCTACATTGAAAATCTGTTGTTTAGTGCAGCCACCTTCATGAATGATCTTAGCTAGAGCTTCTGGGTAACTTGCCGTAGCTTCTCCATCAGCACTTATTGCTTCACCTTGCACTTTTATATTATGGAGATGGCTTCTTTCCTTAAGCCTTAGAAACCAATCACTGCTAGCTTCCAACTTTTCTTCTGCAGCTTTCTCTCCTCTCTCAGCCTTCACAGAATTGAATAGAGTTAGAGCCTTTTTCTAAATTTGGCTTTGGTTTAAGGGAATGTTGTGACTGTTTCGATCTTCTATCTAGACCACTGAAGCTTTCTCCCTATCAGCAAGAAGGCTGTTTTGCTTTCTTGTCATTCATGTGTTCACTGGAGCAGCACTTTAATTTCCTTCAAGGACTTATTCTTTGCATTCACAACTTGGCAACCTGTCACAAGAGGCCTCGCTTTTCACCTACCATGGCTTTCGACATGCCTTCCTTACTAAGTTTAATCTTTTTTAGCTTTTGATTTAAAGTGAGATATGTGTGACTCCTCCTTTCACTTGAAAACTTGGAGGTTTGTGTAGGGTTATTAATTGTCCAAATTTCAATATTGGTATGTATCAGGGAATAGAGAGGCCCAGGGAAAGGGAGAGAGATGGCAAATATCCAGTTGGTAGAGCAGTCAGAATACACACACAATTATTAAGTTCACTGTCTTACATGGATATAGTTTGTGGCACCACAAAACAAGTACAATAGTAACATTAAAAACCACTGAATATAAATCACTGGAACAGATCTTATAATAAGCAAAAGTTTGAGATTTTGCATGAGTTACCAAAATGTGACACAGAGACATGAAGTGAGCCCATGCAGTTGGAAAAATGGCACTGATAGGCTTTCTTGATACCTGGTTGCCACAAACCTTCAATTTGTAAAAATACACAATATTTGCATAGTGCAATAAAGTGAAGCACAATACAATGAGGTATGCCTGTACAACTAATGTGTGTGTGCATGGGTGTATATATGGTATATGTGCAGTTGATTCTCATTATCCACGAATTCTGTATTTGCAAATTGTCCTACACTGTAAAATGTACTTGTAATATCAAAACCAACACTCAAGGTTCTTCCACAGTCATTCACAACCATGCACAGAGCAGCAAAAATATTTGAGTTGTCTGATATGCACATTTCCAGTGAAGGTTGAACAAGGAGACATTCTACCTTCTTGTTTCAGCTCCCATACTGCAAGGATGCATCCTTTATGCTATTTAGAACCATGTTTTTTTGCATTTTTGTGCTTGTTATTGGTGATTTTGCTATTTAAAATGGTCCCCAAACTTAGCACTAAAGTTCTGTCTCGTGTTCCTAAGAGCAAGAAGTCTGTGCTGTGCCTTATGGAGAAAATATGTGTATTAGATACACTTTATTCAGATGTGAGTTATGTTCAGGCTGTTGGCCCTGAGTTCAATGTAAATGAATCAACAATACATACTAAATAAGATGTATTTAAACAGAAACGTACATAAAACAAGGTTATGTATTGATCAGCTAATGAAGATGTTGTGACCAGGGTTTACAGGAGCCTATTCCTATATTTCCCCTTGGAGCAGTGATTCAGTATTTGCTAATGCAGCTAATTCAGCTAATTCAATGTAGTGACTTTATAGAAAATAACCACTGTGAATAATAAGAATCAAGTGTATGTGTATGTGTATATCTATGTCTATATCTACATATACACACAGGAAGCAAGAGAATAGTGTGTAAAAACAAATAAATCAGTAAATATTCAATCATATGGATTTATAGATGATCTAATTTTCCTCTTCAAATTTCAAGAATATTTTTAATAACACTGCTTCCACCATGAAAACATTTACAATGGACAAAAGTCAAAGAAACCCTGCTGATTGCTAACAGAGTTCTCTAGTTGTGTTTATAGTTTTTTTTTTGTGGGATCAGGGCCTTGCTACCTCTGTCAAACAGAGCAAGCTGGCCAGCACCTGCCCTTCATGCTCATTCTCTGGAAAAGTTACCTGATCTCACAGTGTTTTAGTTGGCTCTACCAAGAAGTAAGAATAATATTAGGTCTTGCATTAATGGATACTTTAAAATCTTGTGGTAAGTTTCCCAGGGAGATATTCTGATTCTCTTAGGCCTCTAGCACTACGGTAATTCAGTGTCGACTCTAAATTGTTACTTGGTGCTGTGAACTAAATTATGTCCCCGCCAAATTCCTATGTTGAAGCCCTCACTCCTCATGCAACTGCATTGCAAGCAGGGCTTTTAAGGAGGTAATAAAAGTTAAAGGCACCCGTAAGTAGAGCCCTAATCCCATAGAACTTTGTGTCCTTATAAAAGAGGAAGAGACAACAGAGCTCTCTCTGCCACACAGGGACACAGCAAGAAGGTGGCCGTCTGCAAGCCAAGAAGAGAGCCCTCACCAGAACCCAACCATGCTGGCACTCTGGTCTCAGACTTCTAGCCTCCAGGGGTGTGAGAAAATAAATTTCTGTGGTTTAAGCCTCCCAGCTTATGGCATATTGTTAACGGCAGCTAAGCTGACTCATACATTTGGACTGTCCCCTTGACCCCTGGCTTCCCACTGTTTTGAGGACAGAATTTAGGTGTGGAGTCATCATAGGCTAGCTATGTCCTTCTACCAAAAGGCAGAGCTCTTGTCAGGCAGCCCTCTCAGGTATCTACCCTTCCTGGGCTAGATAACCACTCCTTCCCCTTGTCCCTTCAGACCAAGGGGGCATAGGGACCTATGCTATCCTTTGTGTTTCCCTAAAACGTATCTACACCTTTGTCAATAGCCCTTTAATTCAAATCTGTTTCTATTGTATTCACACTTACAATACATATTGTATTGTATTGTATTGTGTGAATACAATTCACACAATTTGTGTGAATATCA
Source organism: Homo sapiens (assembly GCF_000001405.40). NCBI lineage: Eukaryota > Metazoa > Chordata > Mammalia > Primates > Hominidae > Homo > Homo sapiens. Next base: position 84,975,759 of record NC_000009.12, on the reverse strand, counting down.
CACATATTTCCTACCAAGACCCTGACAGGCAGAATCTAACGAAATGTGGGAATTGCTAAAAAGATTATTTTGAAAATATGATAATTCCAACTATTAATATTGTTGCACTGATAAACAGACTGAGACCTAAGAACTCTTAGTTCACTGGTAATAACGTCACATCCTTAAGGTCACCCAAGTCATTGCAAGTGGGATCAGCACAGGACAGCGGCTGCTGCACTGCCTGTGCAACTTGACTTGTGATGACAAATAACGCCAATGTGATGGCAAAAGTGAGACCCCCTTTAGTCTGCCTAGAGCAAAACCTATTAATATTACATTTTTCTTCCAATACTCTATGAATCAGAACTTCTGTAATCTCTGATTCCATTTCTGTTTTTGCCACATCTTTTCCTCCATCTTGGTTCCATTTGCTGAAAAGTCTCCATTGTTCTAGGGGTCAGGAAAAAGGGGCAGGGGGAGTGCTTGTTTAGAAGTGATTGCCTAGCAACCCATCTTCCTTATTCCAAGGACAGAGGCTATTTGCATTTTGGGAAAGAGGGGGGAAAAAAGCTCCACTTCTCTTGAGTCCCAGGGTGAGAATGTCTTGCTGTCCACTCCTCAAAGGAACCTTCCTTCCTCTGAGAACTGCCCCTGGGTGGCCATTCTTTGCCTGCAGCAGCTTGTGTGTGCTCCCCCGGGGGAGGGTGCCGCCTTCCAAGGTGCTCCCAGAGCCGCCGAGGGCAATGAGTGTCTCCTGGCACTGCCAAACTGCAGCCCCAGGCGGCACCAGGACAGGGCTCAGAACATCCTGATCTCATTCAAGTGGGCATTTCTTTCCCACACTGTTCTTTCCTTTTGCAGCTTTCTGTCCTGGAAATATGCCACACCCAGGGGATATCCAGGCCTGCTCCCCTTAACTCCCAAACAGCCGGCGACTTCCTTGAGGCTGCTTAGGGAAAGCTGAAGCCAGCAGGGATAAGGCAAGGGGAGGAGACATGCACCTCCACTTGGAAGTTCTAAGGGGACCTACAAAGGTGGAAACCAAGGGTGGAAACCAAGAGGTTCTCCACATCATTTGAGGATATGAACTAGGTTGGTACTTGGGAAAATCACTATTTCAAACTGGAGAACAGCCCATTCTCCATGCTGCTCAGTCTCCATGTTGGACAAATAAAGGATGTTTCTCTTATAAGTGAGATGTGGAGAGGAATTCAATCTGAGTCCTACTTCTTTTATGCCTTAAAAAGGTAAAGAAAACTCTTGGGCTATCTGGCTCCAAGTTACACAAGAGCTTTAACCTTCTGCAGCTCTAAATTACCATCTATAAAACTGAGATCTATAAAAATTACATTGACAATGGTTGACAATGTTTGACTTACTTTGCACACCACCAAGTAGCACAAGGCATGCATCCTTGGGTGTATTATTTAATAAAAACCACATAACGATTGATTCATTTGCCACCTTATCAAGTTAGGGTATTTGTTATGAGGAGAGGCCCTGGCTCTACACAGGTAATATTAGTCTATAGTATGATAGCAGATATGCGTGGGGTTCAGACACTGTTATCAGGTTTTATGTACTTTCTCATTTCTTGTCATTTTATGTATTTCCACACACACAAACATCCAGAACAAAAAGCAAACCATGAAAGTCTGCATGTGGCTAATAAATAAACTTCTTCTCTAATATGGGGATATTGCTTTAAGAGAAAAGAACAGAAAAAGATAGTATCATCTAATCCTCTTACCTGTAAGGCCAGCAGATAAAATGCATCTTCTGATGATTCATGGGGGTTAAACATAAACAGTCGACAAAGAAATAAACTTTAAAAAATACCATTGAGCAAAACTGTACATTCTGTAGGAGAAACTGTATCTTTGTTTTTTTTAAATTTTTTCCCCTAGTTTTGTAAATTCTCTAAGAATTGATCTTAAGTCTTCTCTGTGAAGACAATATTTTGGTTTAATTCAGTGAACCTGAGTCTTGAGATTAGACTTTTAGAGCTGAAAGGACTTTAGAAATCATCTGATCTGATGAACGCTGTCCTCATTTCACAACTGAGGCCCAGACACAAAGGCCCAGGGAGGGTTAGTGTGCTCAGATCATGTACAGATCACATGGGTGGCACTTAGTGCACAGAAATCGTTATTTAGCACACTTTGGATTTATGTAACCACAGGTGGTTGATCTTATGAATAACAGGAGTACTATGTTTGTCAGCAGGTCAACCTTGTGTTTTATTTGAAAGGGTTTTGGGGTCTGTTTTTGAGAATGAGGAACCTGTTCAAGGGGCTGAAACAGGCTGCCATATTCCTGTTCATTTCACACTCATTACAGTAGGAGTATTTGAGGACACATTAGGTGTTCTGGTACTGAATGAAAAACTAGGGAAGACTGTTATGGCCAAGTGTGTCCTTGGGTGAATGTTCTCTCTGTGGCAAAGTTGGTGAGTTCTGCTGAGGGCCTGGAGAATAGTGAAGCAGTCATCTGGTAAAAAGTTGAATCAAATGTTCTCTGGGTTTCTCTGATCTGCTTACCATTTTCCCCTTTTTCTCTTAACTACTGCCACTTAATTATTCACAGTGAGCTGTGCTTCAAAGCTGTGAACATTTGAACATTCTCTTCTCTGTGACATGGAGAAGCTGTTGGCCATGGTCCTTAAGCTATTTAAATACTTATGTCATAAATATAATGAGATACCAAGACTTTTTTAGAGTAGTCCATGCACATATAATCAATGTCTTTGAAAGCTCAGATGAAGTTTGGCAAGTTTGAAAGAAGGAAGGAAAGCATGGAAAGAGGGCTCAATGGAGAGCGTAGGGAGAGCTGAAATCATAGTTAATTCTGGAAGCAGAGTGCTTCATAAATGTTTCCCTGTGCACAGAGGACCTAGATCTGCTCATATGGGTTTTTGGGGGCTAAAATAAATGTATAGAAATGAGAATATGATTGCTTATTTTAATTGTCTGAATAAAACCAATGGAATCTTTGAGTTATAAGGATCTTTAGGCCTTATCTAAATTTCATATAATCTTAAGACACCATCTTCAAAACTAATGAAAATAAAAATGCATGTATTACTAGGAATTCATTTCTAAAACTTCAAGTTGGTAGTATTTATACATTATAAAGCTAAACCCCAAAAACACATCAAAGTTTTTCCACTGTCTAATGTGTTAAAATTGTGTATATAACACATTTGAGCATGTTAGTTTTCATTAGTTTTTATTGGTTACAGCATATTTCATATTAGTAGTTATATTAACGGTTATAGTACACATAAAGAGATGAAATTGAAATCAACTGTTTACAAAACCAGTCACTGAAGCCCCTTCATAAACTCACTGGGTTCCATAGAACACAATTTTTAAAACACTGGAGCCCTTTCTGCAGCATAATAGAAGATGGAAAACCTACACTTGGACACTTCCCTCCAGTGACAAGGAACTCATCTTTTGGGAAGGCAGCCCTGATACATCACAGCTCTCGTTCTTAGTTCCTCTTTACATCGTGCCAAATCTGCTTCATGAAACTTCTATGCAACAGACACAGTTCTGGCCTCTAGAACCTCTATCCTCATCTATGTAGCAGAAGGTAGCTAGTATGTCCACATTTAGGTCTTCCTTTTTCTCACCCAAATGTCCCCAGCTCTCCCAACTCTCCCACCTTGGCGTTGTTCAACTATTTGGATACCCCCCTATGAATGTTTTCATGCCGGTTAGAGGTGATCTTGAAATACAGATGACTTAAAATCACTTTAAACTTAATTTAATGCACCCAGCTGAATCCTTGGTCTCCTTCCAGACCATTCCAAAACAAGGTCATAGAATGACACCAACTGTCCAGTTATTCTGGCCAGAAATCTATCTCACATCCTTGATATCTTCCTCTTCTTTTCCCTTTCCATACCCAATCCACCTCCAGGTCCTGCAATTTTGCCTCCTAAATAGCTTATAAGTCTTTTCACTTTGCTCTGAATCTATGCCCACCAAACCATCATCTCCCCACTGAGCTTCTGTAAGAGCCCCTCAGCCCATCTGCTTACTCTGGCTCACAGAGTTGCAAAGCCCTACCTCTTTCTGAGAGCTCTTAGTGGCATCTCATTGCTTTTATGATCACAAAAAATCCTCAGCATGGCTGGCAAGGTCCTTCTGCTTCTACAGCTGGGTTTTGCACCTTGGGCTCTATGTCCAGCACACTGGCCATCTGCCATCTCCTTTACCATGTTCTGCTTCTCTTGCCACGGGGCCTTCCTGCTCATTGTTTCCTCTGCCCAGTGGGGAAGGAGCCCAGGGCTCAAAGATGCCCTCCTCAGTCTTCCCAGAGTACAGGAATCTAACCTGGTTAGATTCCCTTATTACAGATTCTCATAGCCCTCAGAATGTTTGTTCCATGCCATTTATCACAGGTCTTGTTCAATATGTGTTTGTGGAATTATTTGATAAATGTCTGGCTCTCTAGGGGGATCATTAGGTCCAGGAGGCTAAGATGTGTCTATTTTTGCTCACTTTTTCCCTCTAGTGCCCAGTGCCTAGCAGGTAAGGTGCTCATGCTCAGCAATATTTGTTAAATGAATTAGCTACATAATTCCTATTTTGATTCTTTCTGTTCCATCAAGAAGAATGACCTGAATTCTAGAAGTGATGTAACAAATATGGTTAAATTGTTCTTTAAATGGAAACTGTTTTAAATGAATCTATGTCTTCAAGCATAGCTAAACACTGTCCCAGCCTGCTCCTTTTGACAATGTAAGTGTGGCACTCACTCAGACAGAAGGAACAAGAAAAAAGTAAAAGTGGAGATGCTGAAGGGGATGAGCAAAGACTGACATAATTTCCAAGAGGGAAAAAGTAGGATTCCAGAAACAACTGATCACTAAACTTGACCTTTGTTCCAGGCTAGATTTTAACATAAACTATTTAAGCATTGTTTGAAAGCACTTAGAAAATGCAGTGATGACCAGAAGCAAGTATGGGTTCTTTAAGATGAAATCATACCAAATGATCATCCAGAAGTAAGTGAAGTTGCTGGATAGGATGGGGGATTGCCTTGGACATGAAGTATATTGATTTCAGCAAGGCTCTTGGGTAAAGTTCCTTGCAATATCCTTGAGAGGTGGAGTAATGTGGGCTGAATTCACAGCTAACCAAACACCAGTGCGTGCATGCCCTCTTAACACTGCCCTGCCCAGCGCTGACTCACCCTGATGCTCTTTATTTCTGAGATATTCTCTTTCTGTATGCACAGATAGTTACAATAATGACAGCTGACATATAAAGTGCCTGCTATGAGGTAGGCACTATTTAAGGTGCACTTAATCCTTACCACATCTCTTTAAGAAGGTATTATTATTATTATTGCCATTTTTTATTTTTTATTATTTTTATTTATTTTTTATTTTTTTATTTTTTGCACTCTGTCCCCCAGGCTGGAGTGCAGTGGTGTGATCTCAGTTCACTGCAACCTCCTCATGCCTCAGCCTCCCAAGTAGCTGGGATTACAGGCGCCCACCACCACACCTGGCTAGTTTTTGTATTTTTAGCAGAGAAGGGGTTTTGCCATGTTGACCAGGCTGGTCTCGAACTCCTGACCTCAGGTGATCCACCCACCTTGGCCTTCCAAATTCCCCTCCTTGGAATTACAGGCATGAACCACCATGCCCGGCCCTATTATTGCCATTTAAAAGTTGAAGAAATAGTGTTGAGAGGTTAAGTCACTTGTTCAAGATCACAAAAATAGTAAGAGGTGGAGCTGGAATTTGAACCCAGAAAATCTGGCTCCAGAGACTATGCTGTTTATGCAATTCTCCTACCCTCATCTCCCTGCTTCCAATGTTCTAGAGTGCTCTTAGCCAGCAGAACTTTATTGTATTATACATGTCTAATGAGCATTCGTGCACTGGTTTACAATGCTGTAAAGGAAGTGTTCTTTACCTGTAATGCACAGATCCTAAAGGGATCCATGGATAGAATTCACAGGGTTCTGTCAACTTGAATTGCATCTCATTTTCATGAACTTTTAACAAAAATTTAGCATCTCTTAGGATTGGCAGAATCTGTGAAGTTGTCACCCATAGAAATCAGATATTTTCATGCCACATTATTATTGTTATAGATTATCTCAAAACATCATTTATGATCATCACTTTGAAATTTTAATAGCTATTAGACCGCCAAAAGATCTCATTATTTAATGTTTTAACAAAAACACGTGTTATTATGTCACCCTTTTAACATTTTATAACTATGCTGAATGCAACGCTGTTCTTTTGTAATGCTGTATATTTTATTTTTTTGCATGCAGAACATTATTTGGTGCAGGAGTGGGCAGGCTTCCCCAGACTGCTAAAGGTCAGAGCCCTATCCTGAGCTATGCAAATTGAGCTTTTCCTGCAATGTGTGTGGCTTACGCCACAAAACTTTTCCTTTAACACAAGTGTTTCATGCTCAGGCAAATACATATGACTCAGAATGGCTGACAAAAGGTAAGCGAGTGATCGTTCTGGACCAACTCCAAAGACACAAAGGAAGCACATGACATGGAGTATTAAAATATGCTTTTAGTGGTGGTGGCTACAGTTGCCTTTAGGGATAGCACGGAAAAAACAGAGTACAGGACAGCAGCCAGTTAGGAATCTGGGGAAGTCTTTTGACCTTCCTAAAGACCTCATAAACACCATTCTAGCCTGGGAGGGTGGACCAACAATGCATGAAGTGTGGCTGCACTTGTAGGAAGTGTTTTATTAATTCAGGAGACATGAAGAAAACGAAAATGTGACGTCAATGTATCATATATGCCCCCACAGCAACATCTTGGGCCCATGCCAAAAAGACCCAAGACAGCATTCACAATCTTTGGAACCCATCTTTGGATTCAAGGATGTGGTTACTCAATAGAGCATCCTTGCAAATATGCTAGGTGTAGCACAGTATATGCCACAGGACTCTGCTCTGTCCCCATTCCCCAATGGCAAAAACAGAATAAATAATACTTAATAATATGTATACTTCACAATTTTCATGGTGGCATCATGACAGCACTCATAGCAGACAGAGCCGACTTCTTTACCATTTTACTAAGATGAGAAGTAAGGTTCTGAGAAGTTAAATGAGTTATTCAAAGCCACACACTGTACACATATTGAAAGTGAGAATAAATCCAAGTCTGCTGTCTGCCTGCCTATGTTCCTTGGCATATTAGTCAGGTTCAGGAATGACCCAAAGCTGGAGAGCTGGTAGGCTGGACAAAAAACCCAGATTCCCTCCTTAAAATAAAGGGACAGACTGACTACTTCTGAAGCCCCTTCCCAATCTAAAAAGCCATGGTTCTGAAATTTGGAGTATCCCTTTTCTTCTTGCAACCAACACAGCTTTAGAACTTTGCTCTGCACAGTGGGCCACTGTCCTAGATGGATCTTTTATGATTACAAAGGGCAGAGCTCTGAGAATACACCAGGCGACCCTTGCCCACCTCTCAGGGAGAAGACTAGAGGAGCCAGGGGTGTGCTGAGGGCACAGAGAAGCTTTCAGAGTGGGAAGAGCATGGAGTTTTTGTTTGAGAACAGGAGCTCAGATGCCAGTCTGCCAGAGGCATAAGGGAGGGCACTTCAGGAAAGTGACTTCACATCCCTGAATATTATTTTTCTCATCAGTAAATTGGAAGATGGCTGAGAGGGTTACATGCCAAGCTGAGACATAAAAGGAGGCCAGGTATGTCAGTCTTCCTTACAAGACCCCACATCAGCCCTCTAAGACATTAACAGGAGTCTTCTAAGGTCGTTGTTCCTACAATGAAGTCTAATGAGTTTTCCAGAAAGAAATTCACTACTTGCCCTAAGACAGCTGGGAAGAACTTAAGCCCCCATGGTAGCTGCAGAAAAAAGCCATACTGAGGTTGGACATCACTCACCCTGCAATTTCTCCTTTGAGTGGATGTTCCCTCCACGCCCTTAACCCCGGGCATCAATCTCTCCATACCTTTCCAAAACCCAGGAAGATTTCTGTGCTGCACACAAAGGCGAGGCATGAGCCTCAAATCCTCCCCAGCTTCCGCTGCAGTATCTCTGTCATCACCAACATGTGAATGAACCAAATTATCTCCAGGGCTGAGGGCGTGGGCCACATAGCTGGGCTCCGCCGTCAAAGGAGCCCAGCGTCATGTTCTCCACCCCCTTATGAGAAGGCTGGTGCTGTCGTAAGGCTGTGAGGGAGGAAGCCAGCCTGGAAATGCCATGTAGGGAAGAAACTGTTCCATTTCAGTGTTCGGATTCTAAAATAGCTGCTAATAAAATGCCTTCATACTGTGACACTTCAATACAGACACCCACAAGGATACCTTGACAAGCTGTTTGACTCTCCACAAGCCTTTTCTTGCATTTCCTGCGTAGGGCCTCCACCAGTCATCACCCACACAGATACACAACCATGCAGTGACAGAGAAGGCCAGCAGGGGTCTGCCTAGACCACCAGCCTGGGAGCCCCAGCTCCTTGTGGAGAGGGGTTGCGGGGCAGGGGCGGTGGTGTGCTCTGTGTTGGCATGTCCAGGAACATGGTGCATCACTTTCCACCTGCTGCTTGCTCTGTCTCTCTTGTGATCCTCATGATGTCTTTGACAACATTACCTAGAGAATGAGTCAAGCTCACCTCCCAGGATGAGAGAAGAGAGCCTCAAATAGCACTTCGTTTACTAACTGATACCGTAAGAAATAGTTCTTGGGTTCATTCGGAAATGTCATGGTTCAATGAACCTAAGCTCTGGTGTTCAAGAGAGTAGGATATGACTGTGCACTAGTGATTAAAATTCAGAGGGTCTTTCCCATCAGAAGTCCTAAAAATCCATTAATTATGGTAATACCATCTCTCTCAGGAAAGTCAAGGGTCATGGTTGAGAGAATTTTTCACAGCAACTATTCTCCTTTAGAAGCTTGATAACTAAGACCTTTTGTAAAGTTACCATTTGAATCTCAGCATAGAGGAGACCGTGTTATATCCTTGTCTACTTTCTGTAAGTCTACCTGAGCAGTGCCTATATAATAGCTCTACACTGGCTGGGCGCAGTGGCTTACACCTGTAATCCCAGCACTTTGGGAGGCTGAGTGGGGCAGATCATAAGGCCAGGAGTTCGAGACCAGCCTGGCCAGCACAGTGAAACCCCGTCTCTACTAAAAATACAAAAATTTAGCCCAGTGTGGTGGCAGGTGCCTGTAATCCCAGCTGCTCGGGAGGCTGAGGCAGGAGACTCACTTGAACCCGGGAGGTGGAGGTTGCAGTGAACTGATATTGTGCCATTACACTCCAGCTTGGGTGGCAGAGTAAGACTCCACTTCAAAACAAACAAACAAACAAACAAAAACATAGCTCTACACTTGGCTGGACATCAGACTCAGCTAAGAAGCTTGTGAAGAATATAAATTCCCAAATCTCATCGCTTTCAAGATGCTGAATCAGTATATGTAAAGTGAAGCCCAAAAATCAACATTACGCAAAAGACACTCTGGGGTATTCAGATGTGTGACCAAGCTTAGGAGCCCATGCAGTAGGAAGTTCTATAGTACTAGGTAAGATCATACTTCCATGCCTCCATCAGCATAAAAAGAATTTCAGACGTTTTCTCTTAGTTGGATATCACAAGCTATTTTATGTTTGATAATTCTCTTCATGGAGTCAAATTTAAACTAGTTGTACCTGGTAAGCAGAATCCCTCAGGCAACATGACTGTGCTAAGTTCTTATGGTCACCAATAGGATGATCAACAGGGAAAGCCACTGCAGCTCTGCAGAAAGAGAAACCCTGGTGTTTTTCACGTCTCTGTAGGTATCCAGTATTATGCTACGTTGATGTAACAATATCTTGGAGTTTTCTAGTCTCTCATACATAGACATATAGACTAGGTAGAAATGACCGGAGGACAGAATTTTAAGAGATTGATATGGAGAGTTGAAAGATGAAGTCAAATCATGCTTGGACTCAGGAGTAATTTTCATCCTGAAGACCCACTACTTTGAAGAGCATCTTCATTTTGAAAGACTTACAAGAAGAATATTATAGAATCTTTCTTGGAAGCTCCTTTTAGGCAATTGTCATGATCTGTAAGAACTTAGGAAGTGCCTACCATTCTGTGAGGCATGTGGAGTTCAAAATTAGAACTTCTACATCCTCCCAAAAAGTACTTGTTAACAGGTCATCTAATTGTATTTATAACATCCATCACAGGCAATAGTCTTTGCGGTTAACAACATTTCTACCTGCTATTTATCCTTTAAGGCCCACCTCAAATTCTGTTGCTTTCAGAGAATTTTCCAGATGTCATCCCACATCTCCCCCCAAATCAGTTTATCTCTGCTCTCCATAACATGTATCACACTGCCTAGTATCAGAGTGATTCATTTACGTCTCTTCTCCCCAGGACACGTGTGGTTTTCCTTGGGGAACAGAATACATCTTACTTGGTATTTATACATTAAAGAGGCATGGTTAAGAACTATGTCTGCAAAACTATCTTGGATTAATTCAGCCATTTCATCCATCCAAGGTGTTTGACCCCAACCATAGGCAAAGACTGTGGGAGAATGTGAAAAGTGGGTAGCATTACTAATATTCTGCCTACACATTTTTTTTCAAAGCCTTCTTGAACCAATTCATTTTTTTAGCCCAGGGAATCTCTCAAAGGTAACAAGTAGGCTAAGATAATTTCCTCTTGCTCAATACTCACTGGAGATGGAGAATACTCTCCTACTTAAGTAATAATTCTGTGTAGGCAGGGAAACTTTAATTGTAGAAAAAGTATTATGTAAATGTAAGTTATTTAATTAAAAAGGAAAAAAACCTTCACAGGAAGTAACTGTCTTAAAGCGATGAGAGAACTTGTTTGCCATGCTGCAGCTTGTAGGCAGTTCACTGGTAGATTTTCAAAATGATATATTCATTATCAAGAGAAATGATAACCATCTTCTGCTTTTAGGCAAGATGGAGTAACAACCAAAAAATGGCTTCATATGTGAAAAAATTGTTTTCATACTAGACAACAGGCAATGAAGGACAGTGAGTGATCTGAGAGATGAGAAACAAACATTGTGAGCTTAATTCATTGAGAAAGACAGAGTGGGGAGCCCAAGAGTCCAACAAGCTCCCTAAGTTGGGGAGATGGAGCTGAGAGTCTGGGGAGATCAAAGTGGCTAGCGTTGAAAGGACAGAATACCAGAGAAGAGAGAGCTGCACGTAGAAAGAACTCTGAAGATCTGCAGAGGATGCCCGTTGAATACCGAGCTGAGTTCTGATCAGTGCGTGCATGTGAGGATACTATTCATGGCCGAAGGAAAAACTTCCCAAAAGATCTGAGAAAACAGTGCCCAGTGCTCACACAGGGTGAGAAATAAAGCTGGTTCCTATGAAGCAGGGTGAGGACCTCCGGATTCATGGGGCATTGGGCAGAGTACACAGGAGGATCTTGCCTCAATAGTGGGAAATAAGCCCTAAAGTAAGCATTGCTGTGGTCTTGACCAATAAATCTTAACAGTAACACACAAAAGGATCAAACTGTTCCCATGCAATATAAATGCATTCCATAACAAAGCTCAGAAATATTTACAGGAATACAAAAACATCCAGCATCCAACAAGGTGAAATTCACAATGTCTGGCTTCCAACTTAAAACTACCAAGCATGCAAAGGAGCAGAAAATATGACCCACAATAAGGAGAAAACTCAATCAACGGAACCTGGTTAAGGATAGATACAGATGTTAGAATTACAAATACATTGAAATATTTATTATGACAATATTCCATATGCTTAAAAAGTTAACTAGAGACATGGTAGATATAAGAAAAGGCCCATATTGAACTTCCAGAAATGAAAACTGCAAAGTGTGAAATGGAGACTATACTGGATGAGAATAATGGCAAATTAGACATTGCAGGAGAAAAAAAATTACTGAACTTGGTGACATAATAACAAAAACTATCCAAAATGAAACACACAGAAAAAACAGAATTCAAAAACATGGAAACAGCTCAGTGAGTCATGAGACAGTGTCAAGTGGCTTATTATAAGTGAAATTGGAGTCCATAGGGGGTTGGTGGGAAAAGCAGAATTAATATTTGAGCAAAGAATAGCCAAAAAATTCTGAACTGATGAAAACTATAAACCCACAAATCCAAGAAATCCAGTGAGTCCAAGCACAATAAATATAAATACAACAATACTAAGGCATATCATAATCAAATTGCCCAAGACCAGTAATAAAGAGAAAATCTTAAAAGCAGCCAGAGCAAAAAGAAGCATTAACACAGAAGAATAAGCAATTATTTTGTATCACTTCGATTTATAGTTCTCAACTTTTAAAGGCAGGGGCTCATTGCAAATAAAGAAACAGATGTTATCATGATGCATAAGGTCAATGTGACAGATAATTTTCTTTGATGACCCCAAAGCCATTTGCTTCCTTTTTCTCTGTAACAGAATTGCAGTTTTGTCTAGGTCTTTGGTAACAAGTCATTGATCTCTGGCGAGTGAGCTCAGCCCTTAGTCTTGACCCACCTCTGGCCAATGAGGTACAAAAAGAAGTATTTGCAGAGGGGATGTTCTAGGAAAGATTTATGCCCTGATGGAAAAAGGTGTGCAGGAAAAAACAATCTGCTCTGTGCAGCAACCTGGCCTTCCTCCTCGGATTGCAGTTTTAATGTTTGGAGTTGCTGCAGCCATCTTGCAGCCAGGAGGGAAAGACCAAGTACATCTCCAGTGCCAATCCACAGCTCTGACACTGGAAAGCCTCTGAACCAATCAGAAATTGCCCGCTTCTGAACTTCCTTTCACTTGAGTAAAACAACCCCTTATCTGCTTAGCCACCTTTAGTAGCATATTGGTTCCTTAGGCTAAACACATTCCTAACTGATATGATCATAAGGGTAGAAAAGGAAATCAGAGACTTGAATATCTGTCTTCAGGCTCCAAATTGGATGCTCTTCCCTCTGTACCCCAGCTAACTCTTTGTTGCCAGCTTACTTTTAGAAGAGGCTCTGGTCTGAGTGAGGCAAAAGCATAGAATATCACAGGCACGAGAAAGCGGAGGCCCAACTGTTTCAAAACTGGAGGAGGAGAGACCTCTTAGGACCTTGAGGCATCAGAGTCCTTCTGCCCCATCCAAGCCAATGGGCAATGTCCACTTTTCCCTACTGTCATTCCCAGTGCACCTGGAAGCATAACTAATTTCTGAATGTAGCACTTCTACGTATAAAGTATAGGGGCTAGTGATTTCAAGAAAAAGAGACTCAGAAGACCAAAAAAAAAGGGGACACAAGGATTTACCCATCTACTGCTAGCATTCTTCACCAGTTGGGTGAAGGATGGGACCAAGAACTGGAATAACGTGTCTCCATGCTGGTTTCCAAAAGTTTCTATAGCCTTTGTTAAAAGATCACAAGGCATAGCAATAGATTAAAGGCTCTGAGGATTTCTGCATCAAGGAAAGAGATTGCTTACCTTATGATTACAAGATCACATTTTTGAAGCACATCCACTGACAGCTGATGGGTGAGAGACCCTGCTCTAGGCAAATCAAATAAGTACAGAGGTGAAGATGTTGGGATCTGTTTGGCGGATCTATTTCATAGACCATATGACATATCAGAATGCAATCTAATATGTCATTTTCCAGTGTAGAATCTCTCAGTGGCTCCACACTGCCAAAGGATCAAGTCCAAAGTCTTTGGCATGGCAAAAACCCCTGTGAAATGTGATAATAGCCTCAAGAGCGTATTTTGATAGCCTCAGAAGAATAGCAAAGAAGACCCCACTCCTGGATCACATACTGTGATGTTTACATTGACATCTCTCCTTATATCCTACTTTCTGTCTTCCTCTCTATCCTGGCCTAGGGCCTCCTTGCAAATGGAACAATTTAGGGTCTATATCTTAAATACCAGCTCAAACGTTGTGTCCCTGAGAACCCTACTCTGAGTTTCCAAAGCAGGCTGGAGGCTTCCTCTTTTGGGTTCCCATTTTGTATCTACATTACAGCATTTATCACATTGTATTAAAATGTCTGGGAACTCCTCAAAGTAGAGCCTAGGTGCCTTTCTTTAAAAAGTCTAGATGCTTTTTGCATCTACCATTGCATCTAGCACATAGTAGTTGTTTCATAAACATGTACTGATAAAATGAATGAATGAGAGGACTCTCACGCTCACCCTGTGGCAACTCCAAAGCATATGTAAAAGGTTCTTAGGGAGGCTGAATACAAATTAAACCAATTTAGAACCTTGAAACAGTTTATGCAAGTCCCGTTTAATACAGAAATAGTCTGAACTTAATAGACTTCTCCCTGGCAGACGGGTTCCTCTGAACTGTGCTCTAAGTGTTGTAAGAAGCATTAATTGAAGATGATTTCATAAAATAAACAAACTCTTATGGTTTTAAGTACACTTTAATCAAAAGAGCCGAAACAGAAAGATCTATAATTGTTCATGTGAAAGCTAAGAATTATTGTCTAAGTATTATATAGTGATGAGAAAAATAAGAAAATGATCCATGCAAATGAGAGTTAATGACACAGAGGACATCCCTCTTTTAGGAAGGAACTGATTTGCCCTGTAAATTGAATATTGTGCCTGGTTTCAAAGGTTCTAGACATAGTTTACAGGAGGAAATTTTCTTATTATGGTAATCAATAGAAGTAAGTTTTAGCCCTGGGCTCTTCACTGCAACGAAAATGTTGTCTGAGATAGGGATGGTCCTATATTCCTAGCTTTACTTCTTGAAGTCAACACTCCTAACTTCAAAGCCAGACCCAAATACAAATCTGAGTACCTTATTTATTCACCTGCAGGGCTACAAAGGCACACACAAAAAGTGGGAGTCCTGGTGGGAGTCCTGTTCAACAATCATGTACTGACCACCTCATATGCGCCATGCCCTGTGCCAGTTTCTGCAGAAACAAAGATGTGTAAGACTTATCTTCTATCAGCTCTCATATTAATGAGAGACATAGATATGAGCCAGTTTCCTTGATGCAAGGTACTGTATGCTGTGATGCCTCTTTGTATGGAGTATAGAAAAATCACATATTTGTGAGCAATTATTCTGCTAAGAGGAAGTCAGGGAGGAGGTGGAACTGAAACCTCCTCTTATGCTGCTCCTCATAGAGGGAATGGTGTTAGTACATGACAAAACAAGATGGTAAAAACATCTGTGGGATGAGTCTATCTTTCTATTAATCAATCAGTCAGTCAATCAATCTATCCATCCATCCATCCACCTACCTATCTCAAAATATTCACATTACATAAAAATATTTCTTAAAAATAAACACAGTCTTTTTAAAGACCAAGGAATGATGGTTAACTCTTGATTATTTCTTACATGCTTGGCCAGTTCTTAAATTACTAAACCTTCTCCCTTCTGTGGCTCAGGACTATATTTTCCAGTTCATCAACCCTTGGAAACCTCTAAGGTGAGTAGGGTAAGGTGAAAGGTGCTAAAATTCATATCTGTTCATCTGGCCACTTGCTATATTAGCTGGTCTTGGTACCACACATCTTCCTTTCTCTTCCCAGTTGATAAACTGGGAGTGGGCATCTAATGATGATTTCCTGGAATCTGTTGCTGACATCTCTTTAACACTTTAGAGTTCTGCCCTGGCCTTGCTCAGCCAAGTTATATTCATTTGTTTCTGTAAATGTCTACTATAAATCACTTTGCTTATTCTTCTTCCTTTTCTTTTCTTAAGTGGAAGATAAATTAAAGGACAGGGTTTCTTACCACTCCAACATAAAGCTGAAGCCCAAGAGAGAACAAGATTTAACAGCTAGGATTGCAGATGTTTGGGGCCCTCCACTCATCAACAGATCACATACATTTTAAGCATATGTTAAAACCAAACAGTGCAAACCACCCAAGGGGCACATTACAAAAATTTAAATGGTCTCAATGCGGCACAGGCATGACCAAGTAGAGTGAGACCCTAGGTCTCCAACAGGCAGAATGTGACTGAAATCTGGTTCAGATGTTTCCTAAATGTCAGGTTTTGCCAGTGGAGGAAAGAAACAAAAAAACAAAAGACTGGTACTGCAGATCTGCTAATTAAAACAATTCAGAGAACATAAATGCTAGAGTAATTTTGGACCCGCCATGTTGGGCTGGTTTCAATGCAAATGTAGTGTTCCGATTTCTCCCTTCATTGGGAAGGTATAATTAGCTCAGCTGCAACAGGGTGGACGCCTGGAGGCAGCCATTTCCTGGTGCTACCAGCTCCCCTGTAACGAAAGAACAGCTGCCACCCGCCCCTCCTGCCATGAATTGCACAGAGACATGGCTATCCCTCAAGGCTGCTTATAAGCCACCATGAGTGGAAGGCTTGGACTTCTAGTGGGAATGGTTCTTGCTTAAAGATAAGGAACATTTTATGCAATTCAGTTGACTCCATGCCCAATCACCATTCTTCCACATAAGATAGCCCTGGTCAGAAAACAAAACCAAAACCAAAAACAAACAAAAAAAACCCACACACAACTGTGTCCCATTACTGCGATGGAAAGAATTTTTAACATTGGTGACGACAGCTCACATCAGCTAAAGCAGCTTCTCACCTTGGAGTTCAATGCAGAGTGTTGAAGAGGATAGGGATAAAATAATGAAAAAAATTTTTAAAAATTACTAAGGTGCCAGCAAATGAGAAACCTGAATCATAAGGAGAACACATTACCCCAGCTATGGTGATAGAGAAGTTGAAGAGACACCGTGAAGGGGATGGGTTCAAGGTTAAGCTTTCAAGTGACCCAATAGGTGGATGACTGATGTAAAAGCAAGAGTGCTCTGGGACTTAGCCACCGCAGGAGGCACTGGAGTTCTCCTGTAAAACAGATCAACAGCTTCTGCTTGTCCATTTGACAAACTCAACAGAATGGGCCCCATCGATATGTCAATAAGCAAACATCTCCCAAGAACCAGTTCTATGATGGCAAATATTCACTTTCATGAAACGAAAAGGTGAACCATCATTCTGACATTTTAGAAAGGCAAAATAAAGTGTCATTTCCTTGTTTCCCTAGGCTGCTAGCAAATTGTCAGGTTTTGCATCCATCCTTCACTTCCCTACCCAGTCTTGCCCATTCCCATCTGCAACAGAGGCCATTGCAAGGCTGGTTCTTTTCCCTCATCCTGAATGGGAAAATCAAACAAAAACTAACCCTACAACTGCAACCGAGTAGTGGCCACGGGGGTGAAATTAACATGGCATCTGGAGCACATTTCTTAGTGACTCAGCCAGTTCCAAGATCATGTAACAAATAAAGGAACTGGGAATCGTTATTCTTCCGATCATTTCAGAAGAAAGTACTTCAGAATATTGCCACCTAAGTGGAGGATTTTCTTTTTAACAAATGTTAAAATATGGTAGATGGCAAAGTCCAGTGTTTTTACAATGTGTAAATAAATGACCGAGATTAATTTCTTATGTTCATAATGATGGTCACTGTTTTGCTATTATTTTCCTTTTCATGCTCTTTTTTTCTTTTTTGAGATATAATTCAGGTACCAAAATATTTAGCCTTTAAAGTGAATGATTCAGTGTTTTTTTTTTGTATATGATTAATGTTGTACAATTGCCACCACTGTATATAGTTCTAGCACATTTTCATCACCCCCAAAAGAAACCCTGTACGCAGTAGCAGTCAATTCCCATTCTTCCCTGCCCCCATCTCCCGGTAACCATTAATCTACTTCCTGTCTCTATGGATTTGCCTATTCTGGACATTTCATATAAATGGAATCATATGGTATGTGGCCTTTTGTGTCTGACTTCTTTCACTTAGCACACTGTTTTAGAGGTTTATCTGTGTTGCAGCATGAATCAGTACTTTATTCTTTTGTACTGCTGAATAATATTCCATTGTATGGATTACCGCATTTTGTTTATTCATTAATCAGTTGATGGACAATAAACTTGTTTCCACTTTTTAGCTATTAATAGTAATACTACCATGCACATTTGTGTTCAAGTTTTTGTGGGAACATATTATTTCAGTTCTCTTGGGTACATGCCTAGCAGTAGAATTACTGAATTACATGGTAACTCTATGTTGAACATTTTGAGGAACTACCAAACGGTTTTCCAAAGCAGCTGCACCATTTCACATTCCCACCAGGAGAGTACCAGAGTTTCAATTTTTCTGCAGCCTGGCTAACACTTGCTATTGTAGTCATCTCAGGGGGTGTGAAATGGTGTCTTATTGTGAGTTTTCTTTGCATTTTCCCTAAAGACTAATGATGTCACCCATCTTTTCATGTGCTTATTGACCATGTGGATGTTGTCTTTGGAGAAATGTCTATTCAGAACCTTCTCCTACTTTCGAATTGAGTGATTTATCTTTTTATTGTTGAGATTTTAGGTATTTTTCTTTAAATTATTTTTGGAGATTCCTAGAGAGGAGGATGCCAGGTTCCATCCAGTTAAGTCCTAGCTTTGGAGATGAAGTGTATGTCTATTGATTTGGGTAATAATTAGGTGGAAAAACTTAACAAGCACTCACTTTTTGTGCCAGGCACGTTGAACCCTTTACTAATACTGCAGAGAGAAAGCCTTTGCCTGGGCCACATGTCCCTCCCTTGGGTGCTCACCAAGATCAGCAAAGCTTTTCTTCGGAGAATCATCCATGTGTTTCCCTGCCCCCATCAAGGAAGGGAGAACTTTCATTAAGGTGTAGAACTAGCAGAGGAGACCATCTCTGGTAGGTAAAGTCTCCCCACGTTTTAAATATCTTGAACAAACTAGTCACTGCTTTTAAGCTACATTTTGAACACCTGAAGTTAAGAGTGTGCCCCCATCTCCTGCAAATACACCCAAGAGAATCTTTTTCCATGTGGTCTCTATTCCTTTTTGCCACACAAAATGTAAATGATGCTTATCAAGGTGACCAAGAAAAAAAAAAAACACCACAAAACAGTCAAATGAAGAATAATGGAGCACGACAATAGATTAATTTTCTTACACTAATTATAGCAAAGTTCACCCCACTAAAACGCAGAGGCCATAGAGGTGAGCAAGACTGCAGGAAGGGGAACAGGAAATAAACTGAGAAGGTGCCTCCTCAAAAATAAATAACAATGAGAAGAGCAAAGCCAGCATCTTCACCAGCCCTACCCTATTATGAAAGGTAGCCAGTTCTGTGCTTTATGCTGTTAAGCTATAGACACCAGCACATTTATTCCCTTCCTTCCTTTTCCCTTCCTCTCTCCTTGAAAAACAGCAAAACACACAAGAAAATCAAATTGAGGGTTGGTAGAAAATCAAAGTGGTAGAACACCACCCCGAATCTTCACTCTAAATATCACAACTTCAACATTTCCAGAAATTCCCTTTTCTCTCATGTCCGAGTTCCAAAATCTCAGTTAACAAAGTTAACATATCCCGGGGGCCAGTTCTAGGTCATCAGTGGATCTGAGTCACTGTCTGTAACTCTGCCTCTCAGTGATTTCAGTGGTGGAAACACCAGACAAGCTGTGTGGAAGTGTCTAGGAACAGGCAGGATAAAACTTCTTCCATCTCACCAAGCTAAACCGCTTTCAACCAAGATGGCGCTTGGAGGGAACTTCCAAAGTCCGGTGTACTATTATTTATGTGAACAAGTTCACTTTTGTTCAAATCTCAAACAAAGGCTCCAGGCATACTTTCACAGAATCAAAGCCAAACCTCAGCATCCTTTAACCTCACCAGGAATTCCCCCAGGCCCTCAGTTTTCTCTGGAAGGATTCTCACACTGAGGACTTCACTCTTGGAGATCTCACCCACCACGCTGGAGTGCCAAGAGCAGGGTGGGTGCTATGGGCTGACCTGCGTCCCCCCAAAATTTATACGTTGATAACCTCACCTCCAGGGCCTCAAAATGTGACTGTATTTGGAGACAAGACTTTAAGTAGGTGATTAAGTTAAAAAGACCATTAGGGTGGGATGCAATCCAATCTGACTGGTGTCCTTAAAAGAAGAAATTTAGGCCTAAAGGGAAGGATTGGGTTGTCACCATCCCAATGTGAGGGCATAGTGAGAAGGCAGCCACCTGCAAGCCAAGGAGCGAGGCCTCAGGAGGAACCAATCCCACTCACACCTTGAGCTTGGACTTCCAGCCTCCAGAGCCATGAGAAACACATGTCTGTCGTTTAAGCCACCCAGTCATGATATTTTGTTATGACAGCCTCAGCAAACAAATACAGCAGGGGTCCCGCAGGGAAAGAGGTCCCTGGGGTCTCTGATCTGCACAGCTACTCACCCTGTAGTAGTCAGTGCTGTACACGTCCCGGGACATCCCAAAGTCCCCGATTTTCACCAGCAAGTTCTCCCCGACCAGGCAGTTCCTGGTGGCCAAATCGCGGTGCACGAAGTGCTGGGACGCCAGGTAGACCATGCCCGCGGCGATCTGCTGGGCTATATGCAGCATCTGCGACTGCGTCAGTTCCGTGGGCGGGTTGCCCTCAGCCATCAGCACGGCATCAGGGCCGTGTGCCCTGGGGAAGGACATGGAGAATGAAGCTGGGGGCCTCAGCATTTTCACTCCAGGGGCCCTTTGCCCCTGCCCCTCCCCGTCCCTCTTGCTAAGCTCCTCACCCCCACCCTGTAGCTGCTGGTGCTAAAAGATGCTGCCTGACTTAGCATGAAGAGGAGACAAAGGTGCTCACACAGTTGTACTTCTGCAGTCCTGAGAGCACCCAGGCTGCTCTGTTTCCCAAAGAGTCTGGAATTCCCAGGACCCCGTGGGCCTGAATGTCCCCCTTCCCTCCAGTGTACAGACAGGTTGACATTTTAGGGGCTCTGGCACTGTGCTGGGTTCAGGCACTTACCAGGGCCCCCTGACCCTGAGAAGCAGCAGGTAGGTGAAGGAAGACAAAACCAAAAACAAAACATATGGGGAAAGATGGACTCTCCTAGTGGGATGGACATGGCAGCCCAGTGGGTCCCCACCCCTTCCCACCTAGCCAGGCTATGCCAGAGTATCCCCCAACCAAGCTGATTCCTCCAGAGTGTCCCCACCAGCACCAGAGCTGGGCAGCCTGCGGCCTTCCATAGTCCACCTGATCTGTGGCCAGGCATGGTTTTGAAGCTACGCCTGGCTCTCTCAAGCCCAGTTCAACAACAGAGTCCCAGGGCATTCTCAATCTGGATGTTCATTCTCAATACAAAATACCATTTCCTTCTGTCCACCCCTCCTCCAACCTCCGCTCAACACAGGCTATGGCCAACACATAGGAGAACTCTTTTGAACCACAGCCTGTTTATTCTTTTGCTGGGGAAAATTTTATTGTTTACACTATGGGGAGGGGGACTATGATTTTTTAAATCTTATTTTTCTTCTGTCTTACACACCTGGCCTCTCCTCAGCTATGTGATGACTTAGGGCACCCTAACACGCAAGTCCTGCAAGGGTGGGAGGATCCGCGTCTTAGGATGCCGCCCTCAGCGCGGCAGGCTCTGCTGTGACATCCTGCGCTGTGAGCCAAGATGAGCGTCATTGCCCCTGGTGGCCTGAGGGGGCGCTGCAGTGCAAGGAATAAAGGCGGGGTTTGCTGTCGGGCTCTGCCCTGGCGTGGCCAAGGGCTTCTCTCTGGGAAAGGAAAGATCTCTCTCAAGACGTTTTGAAACACTTAGAATAAATATAGAGGATTCTGCATAAATGTTAAAGTAGGTAACCTCACCTGCAGGGTTTCAGAGCCGTGTGAGTATTTGAAACTGAGAAAGCCAGAATTGTCTGAGAACACATGTCAGGGTTTGCCCTGCCTCTCCGCCCTCCTTCCCCCAACTATTCAAGCCACAGGCGTATCCCCACTTCCATCCCGGCTCCAGCCTACAGTGACTGTCTTTGCCTTTGATTTCGGGAATCATTCTGTCACCAGATCTTTCATTCCTGTAATCTCAGGGAATGAACACTGGACAGGAGTTGGGGGGTCTCCCAGGCCTACCAGCGTCCAATGCCATGATCCTGGGAAGCCCTTTAATTTCTCTCATGTACAATTTCTTCATTAGTCAAAAATACAGAGGAATATTATACTGGGTAATTTCTTAGGTTCTTCCTGTCTCTAAATACCTGGATTTAACCATTCCCTGGGGAGGAGTTTCCTGTTTTTGTACAAGCCAGTCCTAACATATTTCACCTCTACTCAAACCACAACCCCCAGCTGCCTCTTGTCACATTGAGGAACAATGCTGGGAAAATGCTCCAGGGCTTTCTTCAGCTCAAAAGCACCTACTCAAGGTAAGAAGCGGCACAGTGGCCAAAGCTCCGGGATATGTGAAATGAATTTGGATCCTGTCCTACACTTGCTGTGTGATTTTGGGTGAGTTACATAACCTCTCTGGGCCTGTTTCCTCACTCTGTAAATTGTAGATACTAACTGCCCCTTGCTAAGGGCATTGATGTGAGGAGGACTGACACTGTGCTTGCATAGTGCTTCGTGGCCTTTCACAGGAAAACCAGGGAGAAAGGCTTTGCAAACAAAGATTCTCTTTAAAAATGAAATTGACAGGTGATGTGAAAACACAAGTTATCCTCTGTGCATTACTTTTTGTAACTGGCCTGTAACAGGGCTCTTCAGGATACTAGAGGGTGGGCCCTTTCCACTTCACTAAAGGTGAATCAAGCCTAATCCTTTTCAGCACTGAGGGGTCAGGGGAAATTGCCAATGTTTTCACTTGTCTTCCTTAAATCTACTATGACCTCAGCACCAGGAGAAGGGGCTGGGGTGCACATAAACTAAAGAAAATCTGAAATAAAGACCCAGAGACTCGGTCAGAATTTAATCTTCATAGGTACCATTTAAATAATAAAATAATTTGTTGATTGGCCACAGCCTTATATCAGTTCCAGAAAACTGATCTACTTTAAATATCTCTCAGAGGCAAGACTCCAGGATAGAGGAAAAGTTAGATGTCAGTGCAAAAGGCCACCTCTGCACAAAATTCTGTCCTCCAACCCCACACTCTGCAGACGTCAGGAAGCTGGTGGCCCTCAAATGCCTAATGCACTTTATATTAGTATGTGTGGGTTGGGGGAGACTCCTGGATTTTTAAAGTAATTTCCCCTGTTTATATCTGGGTATTTGCTGTTCAACTTTCTGAACACGGCTCTTTAAATAAAATAAGCCTCTGGATGCTTTCTCTGAGCAGAACATACTGCTGTAAAAAGTGGGTAGGTGGGTCTGCTACACAAGTCCTTAAGAGGAACAGAAATAACGGTTAACGCTGCAATCCTCTGCTTTCACTTTCCCAGGTCCTCGTGAAGTCTTAGAAATCAAAACACATTTCATCTCTTCCAGGAAGACATTCCTTAAGAGGTAAAAAAATAACAAAATTAAAAAAAGCACCATCAGCTCCCTGGCTTGGGAAGCAAGTAGCAGGTTCATGGGCCTGACTTAGCTGTCCAGTTCTCTCCAGCGTGGGTTACAGCCGGCACTGCACCAACTGCTCTGGCTCCAGGATTCTATAGCACACCACTTTCCTTCTGGTCTTTTCAACAAGCACCTCAGCAGAGAGGATGGCAGAGTGGTTAAGACCATGAGTTCTTGCAGCCAGGGGCTGCAGGTTTGAATCTCAGCTCTGTCATCTGCTACCTGTGTGATTCAGTTTCCCCAACTGTAACGTAGGAATGACGGCAAGGATGGTTTATACCCTGAAACATATTAAAATGCTTAGAAAGTTCAATAAATGTTAGCTGTGATAGTTTGAAAAATAGTAGTCTATTTTTCCCCTCATTAGACGGCAACTCTGGACAGATTCTAAGAGGAAAAATCATGAAACCCTTGCAAGCAAAGACATGTGTTTTATTCCTCATTTCCCACCCTAACTAGCTTAGAGCCTGGCCATGCTGGTGCTTAATATATGGCTTCTGGATGAATAAAGAGGGTAGGGAGACAAGAGAAGACATCTGTCTTTATAGGGCAGAGCTGATACAGCTGGGGACTTTTCATGGCAGCTAAGTGCCCAGCTCCCTTGCGGAAAGAGGACAGCCTATATTTGCAGCATGTTAGTGCACCTGAGAACTAGACTTTTGGCATGGCAAACCTCTTGTTCCCAGAGTTTAGCAGGTTCTGAAACCAAGCAGGCTAGGTTTCCAATTGCTCCACACCCTGTGCAAGGTGCCAAGGGAGAACCAGGTGCCTGTTCCTTCTGCAAGGCAGGAAGGAGAGCTAGGGAGAAGGAGAGGCTGAGTGAGAAAGTGAAAGAGTCAAGTTGCAACACACACACACACACATTCATGTATGTACAGACACACTGTGAGCTCACGGAAGCATTTAATTGCATCCAGGTGAGCACATTTGTATTTCTTATGCTACAGATTTTCGAAAGCACCATCTTGAATTAGGGAAGTAGACTGGGGCATGGGAACAATGGGAAAATATTTCTCTTAGAAGCAGCCAGACCTCAACCACATTCAGCTTTTTTCTTCCTTTCATGTTAGAGCTGACAAGACAATGTTCAAAAGTCATCCCCTGTCCTATCACTTACAAGAAAAATTTTGCTGACGTAGGATAATGCATCAAGATTGTCTCAGAATACTGCAAATCGGCTATATATTCCTAATTCCACCTGGCATTTCCTCGCCCACACAATCATAGGAAAAGCAGAGAACAGGGATCCAGCCCAGCAAAGAAGAATTAAATTGCACGTGGATCCATGAGGCTAAAGAGGGTAAAAATGATCCAGACGGCACCAGCCATGTGATACCATTTCTAAAAACAGCAGTATGTTCTCGCAGTGATTGACTGATTACTTAAACTGCAGTGTCTGAGTCTTCCAGCAGATACATGAAGCTTACTGGGGCTGATTTCTGTGCAAAGCCCTCTTCAGCACCCATGGAAATGAGAGGCAGACAGAGACTCCTAGGTGTTGCCATCACAAGAAAGGTGCCACTTCCCCAGGATTTCAGATCTCTCAACCAAAATGAAGAGGAAATTGTGGCAGAGATGAAGTATTGTGAAAGATTGTGAGGACAACATTTCTTGATTACCTCTCAGTCCAACAATGCACACACTAGACCTTGAGATGGATTAAATGATACCCCTTTCACAGGTAAGGAAACTGTGCCCAGCAAGGGCAGGTGAACAGCCTTTAACAACTTTCCTATTACTGTCTACCAAGATATCACAAGCAGCCCATTTGCTAATCTTTCCAAAATGAGGACTAGCTAAATTAAAAAAAAAAAAAACATATTAGACCCAGATAAAACTTAGAGAGGATACAAGGCAGGCCTACCTGAGAACAAAGGTGATTGAGCGAACTGGGGTGGAGGCTCTTTTAAGGGACACCAGCAGCTGATGCAGAATAGGAAGGAGAACCTGAATCTCCCGTCCTCACTACTGGGACTTCTTACTCTTTAGGTTCATGATAATGTATTTGCCACTTCCACAGAAGCCAAAGCATCACTTGCCTTCCTTCCCCAAGGAGTATCTTGCTCAGCACATTTCTTCCCTCCCTTGCTAGATGCAGGAGATCACTCACTGTGGACCCTACCAGGGTGATCACCAACTTCCTGCATCTTATCAAACTCAGCTCTCCTTGTGATTTCTCTTACCGAGGCAGCTGGTTTACCAGCTGACATCATTCCTGGCAGAATTCAAGCGTCTGCTTATTGAACGTTCCCCATTCGCTCCTACGCTAAGAGCTTTCTATACTTATTCTAGTTCAGTCCTCATGCCTACTCTGCCAGCTCAAGATTCTCATCAGAACAGCTAAAGAGACTTGCCTGAGGTCACTCAGCTAATAATGCCTGGACTGAGACTCAACTTCAGCTGTGTCTGGAGGCCAAAATCCCTACTGGTATCATCACGCAGCATGGTCTCCTCAAAAGTCACCACTTATATTGTGTGAGTTAGCTTTACTGTTTCAAAGCAACTTGACCTTTCTTCCCAGATCACAGTCACTTTCAGCCATTTCTCACCTGCTCTATCTTGTGGTTCCTCCCAGTTCCCTGTACCCATCATCTGAGGGAGGGGAGTTCTTGAGAAGGCACAGCTGAACTAAAACCCAATCAGGGCCAGGTGTGGTGGCTCATGCCTGTTTTCCCAGCACTTTGGGAGGCTAAGGGAGGCAGATCACTCGAGGTCAGGAGTTCGAGACCAGCCTGGCCAACATGGCAAAACCCTGTCTTTACAAAAATATGAAAATTACCAGACATGGTGGCACATGCCTGTTATCCCAGCTACGTGGGAGGTTGAGGTGGGAGAATCACTTGAACCTGGGAGGCGGAGGTTGCAGTGAGCCAAGACCACATAACTGCACTCCAGCCTGGGTGACAGAGCGAGACTCTGTCTCAAATAAATAAATAAATAAATAAATAAATAAATAAATAAATCCCAACCAATCAGGCCAATGCTAGAAATTCAAATGACACTAACCCTAATCAATAGCCCAGTGACTCCCTTTATAGTCAACATTTTCTCTTCCTTGCCTTGCCTTTTTCTGAAGACCCCACATCCCACAAAACTTCTCAGTTGAAGCTGTCCATCTTTTCATGACCTCAGGGTCTCCGCATAATCTGGAGTCTTCAATCAATGTTTTTACCTCCTTCCTTCTGAAGCTTTTCTTCTTTGGATTTGGATCTTTCCACTGTAGATCCTCTGAACTACTGGCCTCCTGGTTATTCTTTTTGTCCTTAGGATAAAGTCCAAGCACCTGCCCCACCCTTTCAGCCTTGACTCCTCCAGCTGTTTTTCTGCTTCCCTTCCTTACTGTTCATTCCACAGTCTGGGAACTTGAAAACTTCACTCTCACTGGACTGCAATTTCCATTGTGACACCTGGGTACCTTAGCTCTTCCTGTTTCCTTTGCCTTTAATAACACCACATAGCAAACTCCTACAGATCATCTAAAACCCATCCCAAATGCCCATGTCACATACCACTCCATGTAGCAAATGTTCAGTGAATGCGGACTGAATTGAGTTGGATCATTTGCATCACATTACATAGAATTCATTAAGGAAAAAGAACAAGACTGTCACCTTCTTTTTTCTCTCCTCCTTTCTCTGGCATATGCTGGTGTCATTATCAAATAAGATGCTTCGAGAAAGGTCCAGGGGTCCCTTGTTCCCTCCCATGAACCCTCCACTCCTGAACCCTGAAGGCCTGCTCCCTCCTGGAGCCCACCTCCCCGCCTCACTGTACCTGAGGAACTTGTTGAGGTCCCCATGCTTCATGTACTCAAAGACCATGATGAGGGGGTCGCCCTCCACGCAGACGCCATAGAACTTGACGATGTGCTCATGCTGGAGGTTGGTCAGGAGCTCGGCCTCACGGTGGAAGTCCTTGCGTGCATTGTCACTGGCATCCTTCAGGGTCTGGGGATGGGTGTTAAAAGAGAAGGATTACTTCAGTGGGCCCTATGATACTGAGATAGGAAAGACATCCATCTCATTTGTTAGGCAAAAGATGAGAAAACAGCCTAGTTCCTAAGGAAATAACATTTGTGCTAATAACTGAGGAATAACTCCTTAGGCATATGCAAAGCTTTCCAGCTTATGACACACTTTCACAGAGGTTCTCTCATTAGGTTACAGACAGGAGGTCTTTTTAGGGTCCACATCCTTTCTAACCCTGGTCTGCACCCAATAATTCCCACGGGCTTCTTTCCCTTGTTGGTGCCTGTTGTGCTTTCTTTCTGTGATGCTATGTGCAGCTTACCTCTGCTCAGATAAGATTTAAAAACTTTATGTTATGATTCAGTAGAAAGAAGAGTACAGTGAACCTTTGTGGACCCATCTCCAGCTTCAGCAACGATCAGTTTGCCTGTCTTTATGTAGCACTGCACAGAGCCTTCTCCAGCCTGTGCCCACAAACACTGCCGGCTCACAAAACATCCCTGCCCAGCAAGCCGCAAGAAGAGTGGTCATGCTGCCAAGGTGAAGATGCCCAGGAGCATGACAGCTGGGTTTTGGTGCCTTTAGTTCTCTGCTTAGATAACTCTGCCACTGTGGTGTCATAACAGGGCAAAGCTGGCATTTAGTGATGCAAATAATGTGCTGAGCTCTTGGCATGTGCCCATCACTGAGCCAGAGCTGTGATGACATCAAGAAGGCAATGACCCAGATCCTGGCCTCAGGCACTTATGGGCAAATAGGGAGATATGACATGTATATAAATAACTGCAATTCAAGCTCAAAACCCACTGTCCTGAATGAATCAGCACCTGCATCTCTCTCCAGCTCAATCCCTTGACACTCCTCTCGAAACCCATGCATCCACGTTAGGAACTGTCTGCAGCTGCCCCGATGACAACAGGCCATGCCTCCCTCCCTTTGCACATGTGCACATTCCTCTGCCTGGAATGCTATATTGGGTGTGGTCACTGGCATGGAAGGTTGAACTCCTCACCTTTGCCAAGGCTGTTCACTTCCTAATCCTGGGAGCCTGTGAATATGTTGCCTGATGTGGCAAATGCAGCTTTGCAGATGTAACTAAGTTAAGGATCTTGAGGTGGAGAGATTATCCTGGATTATCCAGGAGGGCCCAATGTCATTACAAGGGTCCTTATAAGAGCAAAGAGAGACCGGGTACAGTAGCTCATGCCTGTAATCCCAGTACTTTGGGAGGCTGAGGCGGGCAGATCACCCAAGGTCAGGAGTTCGAGATCAGCCTGGCAAACATAGTGAAACACTGTCTCTACTAAAAATACAAAAATTAGCCAGGTTTGATGGTGTGTGCCTGTAATTCCAGATACTCGGGAGGCTGAGGTAGAAGAATCACTTGAACCCAGGAGGCAGAGGTTGCAGGGAGCCAAGATCATGCCACTGCAATCCAGCCTGAGCGACAGAGCGAGACTCTGTCTCCAAATAAATAAATAAAAGCAAAGAGAGAGCCATAAGGACAGAAGATCAGAGAGGAGAAAAGATGTCACATTTCTGGCTTTGAGGATGAAGAAAGGGGCCATGAGCCAAGAAATGTGGGTGGCCTCTAGAAGCTGAAAATGACAAGAAAACATGCTAACCTAGAACCTCCAGAAGGAACCAGCCCTGTAACATCTTGTCTTTAGCTTAGCAAAACTGATTTCAGGTGTCTGACCACCAGAACTGAAATAAATCACTTGTGTTGTTTAAGCTGGTGAATTTGCAGTAACCTGTTATAGCAGCTGTAGAAAACCAATATACCTGGCTAGTATCTAGCAGTCCTCCAAGACTCAGTTCAGCTGCCACCTCTCTGAAAAGTGTTCCCTGACCACCCCTCATTGCTGTCACATCCCCTCTGCACTGCAGGCCAGAGTGGTTGACTCTGCTAGGTGCACCTCATGCTTACCTCTATCACATCACAGACCACAGTACATTCCAATTGCATGTTTACTTGCTTATCTCTGGTACAGGCTGTGAGCTTCTTGACCCAGGAACTATGCATTTCTGCATTGCCAGCCCTGGGCAGAGCACAGGGCTAGTATTCAACATCTATTTGTGTAATGAATGATGAAGGCCACGAGAACTAAACACTGACAGCAAGAGAGGTCAGAGAGGGAGTGGTTGCTTCTAATTGAGGAAAAGGCATACTTCTCCTGGCAGAAGTGGCACGTGAGTTGTGAATCCCATCTCCAGGGAGACTACAGTCAGTCATTAAGGTTAGATGGCAAATGGGAACATCTGTGTTCACTTAAATTTAGTATTGGAATGGAATGAAAGCACTGTCATCTGTCAGATATGTACTGACTGCAAAACTAAAAGATGATATCCAGTGTCCAGAACACGGCCAGGTCCCTGGTGGTCATTTTCTAGATCACGGCCTCGGTGCTTCTCTCCCTGTGGGGACATGCCTGACCTACGTGACCTGGAGACCTTGAATGTGCCACAGGTGAAGTTCCCCAGGGAGCAGATCTGAGCTGGAGATTAGCAGGTGAGGCATTTATTAGGGCACGCTCTCGGGATCAATACTATTTTCACTTTACTCTGTGGTTTTCTGAGAAGTGTCTTTATAAGCACCACCAGCTCTGTTTGGAAAAGTGAGTGAATTTGGGTCAGCAAGTGCTCAGGGGCCATAAAGCTTCGATGGGGCTGTTGCCATAGAAACCGCACATTCCTTCATTAAATAACAAAATGAACAGTGGCCGGAACCTGGGGTCTGGGTCTCTGCTCCCTTGAAGCTACAGAAACTGGGCCTGACATGGCCCCTGTGCCACCCAGATTTAATTAGTTTAGTGTTTAGCTAGATCCAAACTCAACTCCTTTGCATCCCTCTTGCACAGGGAGAAGTGATGTGCTTATCTCGCTGAACTTCACAGTAGAAAAATAGCAGATGAGGTATGGAGGGTATGGAGGAGATGGAGGAGATAGAAGAGATGGAAGTCTATCTGCTGGGTCCTTCTCCTGGGCCCATGGAGCAAACCACACACACCAGTGCCTTTCTCACACTTGCACTTGCGTAATGGTGTTGGGTACATGCCTGTCTCCACTCCTGCCTTTGACAGTCGAAGTGTGTCCTGTTCACCCTTTTATCACCTGCTGCCTGATCCAGTATCAGGCAACTAAAAGAACCCCTGATACACGAAGTTTGTGAAAGTAGAGATAAAAGAATGTGAGGAAGAATGACCAGTGAATGATCATCTGGAAAAGTTGAACATGGGCCAAAGTGAGGAGTGGAAATGAAAGACGGACCAGGAAAAGAAACCAAGTGAAAGGACTTGTTTCCAAGGCTGAGGGGAGCTGCCCAAATGCACTCTCTCCTGGAGAGTTGGCCCCAAACTTGTGTTCCCCTTCCAGTAAAATGACAAATCCTCACAATGGTGGTGCTCAAACGGAAGGGGTTCTAGCTTAGCATCAGAAGAAGCAGGTTCAAATCCTGGCTCTGCCCTCGAGCTCTCTGACCCTGGTTTTCTTCTTTGAGAGTGAGGATAACAATATCATCATCTACTCCACAGGGACACAAGGATAATGATGCAAGGTAGTGTAAGTTGGGATGTTTTCCTTGGTAGAGAGGGACATTTGATGATTTGAATTTGAAACCACAACCAGTCTTGTATTCAGTTTGCTCACGTAAGAATCCAAGAAGGTCAAAGTATGCATGAATAAGGCCCAGGGGCCAACCCAAGATATGAGAGCAGAGGTGCTGCTGGAGCTACCACTTCTTCCCAGAGGACTGTCCAACCTCCCCAAAGTGTCATACTGCACACACAGATCCAGCCCTTGGCCTGCAATGTTTTTTCACAGATCCAGTCTCTACAGAGGATGGTCTGAGTCACTGAGATAGCTTATTTCTAAGGCACATGCCTATCTTTTTCAGTGAGTTGGAAAAGGTACTGGCCCTTGAAGGTCATTATCACAAGGCATGAACAAATTCTGTGTATAATCTTTCTGCTCAAATTTTAGCTATGTAGTATTGATTCAAGAATGCTAGATTGGGCCAGGCATGGTGGCTCACACCTGTAATCCCAGCTACTCGGGAGGCTGAGGCAGGAGAATGGCGTGAACCCAGGAGGCAGAGCCTGCAGTGAGCAGACAGCACGCCACTGCACTCCAGCCTGGGCAACAGAGCGAGACTCCGTCTCAAAAAAAAAAAAAAAAGAATGCTAGACTGTGTGTGTGTGTGTGTGTGTGTGTGTGTGTGTGTGTGAGAGAGAGAGAGAGAGAGAGAGAACAAGCTTTTCTTTTTTGAAACGCCAACCTGAAAGAGTTAAGAAGCATCTAACATTTCCATGTCCCCAAAGCAAAATATGGAAAAGAGCCCATTCTCAGTGCAATGTCAAAAACTGTGCTTCAGTAACATTTTTGAAATTGAGAGAAGAGATTCCACTATTCATGGGGCAAATGCATCTCACAAACCTGGCCTCATCCAACATGCCCATCCATTTTTGCATGTTGGGTCTTTTTTTCTAAATTATGATTCAATTCTATTTTAAGAGATTCAGAAAATATGGTGGTAACAACTTGGGCAAAATCATCTTCTGAATTTGGCACTGTAAGGGCAGAATTTTTCTAAGGGTGGAACCATAGCCAGATAGCAATCAGAAGCTGGAAAATCCTGCTATCAACCCTATTTATAAAAATCATCTCTGTTTTAGTACCATGGCTGATTGTCATTTTACTCAATTATGCAAGGCTTGGCTGGTTCCCTGAGTCCCTTGGCAATGCACTGAGGCCATGAATATCGGGTGGCAGCTTCCCTCACTGACAATCCCTCTTCTTCAGGTTCATTTTGACAAGCATATTTGCCCGATCACTGAGCATTGCTATTTTCTTACTCCTACTGTCTGCTTTGTAGTTTCATTTCTTCTTATTCCTGGTGAATTTCCTGACACCCCAAAGCTGCCATCTTTTCTGAAGATACTCTTAAGGGAGAGGGCTCCTCCAGAACTGTAGCGAGATACTGCCTGGAGTACATATTGATTCAGAATTGGAAATAATGCACTAGCATGAAACAAATTTTAGCACAGAACTGAGAAACTAGTGCTGGTGAAATAGAAGAGCAAAAACAAAAGAAAAATCAAAATTCATATGAAATGCTTCAGCAAAATGTTAAGGTTAATGGAAAGCTAGTAAGAGAGGCAAGAGGGCTTATTTGAAATCATTGGTGTGATAGAATATTGTAGGATGTGACAAATGATCATCCATTTCAAAGTGTAGGTGGTTTAGGAGAGATGAGGTAAAATAGAGGTTGTGTTCTTTTTAAAAGTACTGATCTTATATTCTTCTTCTCATATATTTTAGAGATCATAGAAACAGTGTCTTTGTTAAGGTGAAAGACAAAATATAGAAGAGATTATTATGGTAAGACCTCACTATGCCCAATTCCCACCATAGTGTTTAAAACACAGAGGGAAATTTAAAAACTCCCAAACCAGTCAACCAAGATGCATGAGAATGTTTGGTTAATATGCCTGAGTTCCTCTGGGTTAGGATCACTGTGGCAAGATCTGTTGCAAATGGAGAATCTTTAGTCTCCTGATGGCTTCTGGATGTGCACTGTCCAATATGGTAGCCAACAGTCACAGGTGGCTAGTGATGATTTGAAATTTGGCAAGTCCAAATTGAGATGTATTTTAGGTAAAAAAAAAACCTAACAGATTTTGAGACCTTGCTATAAATAAAATAATATAAACTCTCTCATTAATATTTTATATTAATAATACATTGAAATGATAATATAGATATGTTGAGTTAAATAAACTATATCGATAAAATAAGTTTCATATGTTTCTTTTTACATTTTAAATATGCATACTAAGAAGTTCAAAATTACAAATGTGACTCTCAATAGTGGCTCACATTATGCTTCTGTTGGACTTCATTGTTCTATAAAAGCCACCTCCATAGGCTATTAGTGAGCCAACCTCTTTCTTGGGAATGTTGGAAAACATTTCTAAACTATAAAATTGAGATAGAATTAAGGTAGACACACTTATAAGTTTGTTACAGGCAATGATTAACCACGCATTTAGAACAAGCCTTGATCATAATGCTGCATGCTGCATGAACTTCTAACGACAGAATCTTTTCTAAAAATAGGTAGAGGAAGTGTCTATCAAATTCTTACAAAATTCAGCTTTGGAGGAGTGTATTTTAATGAATTCGTGGATAGAAAGAACTTGGGAGAAATAAAATCTTAGAAACTAGAGAGAGTGCAATAGGTAGCTTCCCAACATCCCTACAAATGTAAAAACTCATTAAATGATTGTATGAAGAGGATAATGATCACAAACACTCAGATTGTGCTTGCTATGTGCTAGAAAACAATACTCTATGTATATCAACTCAGTTAGTTGTATATAACTCCTTTGACAGGACTTTAATTATGTACCAAGTGACAACCTCATATACAAGATTTATAGCCAGGGTGTTCACTGCTATCTCTATTTTCTCAGCCATACTGGCTCTTCCAGCTCAGATCTAACAAGGCAACTATCCAAAGGGAAACAGGAGGTTAAGTTCTGATTCACATACTTTAAACTATTTGCAATAATATGGTGGATAAAATAGATGGTTTATACTTGCATATGATATCAAGTTGCATATTAGAAATGTTATGTCTTTGTACAGGAAACTAATTCGTAGCAACTGTCAATTAGAGAAATATTGAATCAAAAGAGAGTGAATCAGAAGTTGACCTCCAATGTGGACAACTGCAATATATTTACAGGCTTTAAATACACCAGCATAAAATTTTCCAATAAAATTTTGCTAGACATAAAGGAGCTGGTGGATCATGGTAGACCATTGTTTGACTGGGAATTCGTTCATCATGTTAAAGTAAATTAAAAAGCAGCACAACTATTTCAATGCATACATTCCAGAGATACAAAAGTGTGAAATGAATCCTCCAGCTATGTTTGATGCCAGATGAGTCCTCATTAGAGTGAAATGCACTGTTTTGTTTTAGCTTTTCTGAAAATATGTGGATAAATAGAAGATAAGCCAGAAATGAGGGTCACCAAAGTGATTAACAATTCAAAAAACAGATCCCTGACCCAAGGTCTAAAGTTGAAATTACTGGGAAAGGTATATTGATATAGGAACTTAATAATTGGGGCCTATCTAATTCAAATGCCTAACTCTCTATCTTACAGTGCACTCCTGCATGCATGCATGCATACACACACACACTCTTGAGTGTGCACACCAGGAAAGAATGTACATACCCAAAGAACAATAGAAATCTAGTCTATTAAGCAACATCTGGATAATAAAGACAATCACAGACACTATTAAAAGTTTTACAGTTTCTGTTCCTAGATCCTTATAATGTTGCAGTGCTTTGTGCAACATTACGTCATGTTGACACAAACTATTTTTTTAGAGTAACACTAACAATTGTCTTCTTAAGTAACTAATCTTTTCATCATCAATTTCCATTTTTTGGGAACAAGTATTTCACATGCCAATGTAAGTGGAAACATGGGAAGGAGGCACCGGAAGAGGGAGGAATGGGAGAAGGACTTCACAATTAATGAAGACGTGAAAAGTGATATGATGACTGTCATAAAAAATAAAAAGAAATAATGAAAAGAGCCATCTGTCTTAGAAATAACCTTACCTGGGTAGAGCACTTGAGTCAACTAACTCTTGATGCTTTTTCTCATCTATGTTTTTTTTTTTTAAACTGTTCCAGAATTGGAGAGAATGTGCTTTTCTTGTGAGCCCTTATACTGCTCTTGTATAGATTCTGAGACAAGTGGCTCTGGTTGCTTCTGTTCCCAGAGGTGGCCTCTTCTGTACCACGTGACCACCTCAGATGACTGGATGGAAGGTAGGTGTCCTGGCATGAAGACTAAATGGCATTGCAGATGACTAATTGGAAGAACTGGACCATAGTATTTTCCCTCTTGGGGAATCAGCAAGTGAGTCATGGAGGCAGTGTGGGCAGTAGCTGGTATGAAAGCTGCAGGCAAATATTAGGGAGTAGCAGAGGCAAGAGACAGCTGCACTAAGCAGGGGAGTCCCAAGGAGATTCCCTGATGTCTCCTGCCGAGATGATAAAGAAGGGACAGTCACCAGGGCTGCCTCAGATCTTGAGTGAGCTTTCAGATACCAGCTCTTCTCATCACAGGGAGGCCAAGCTCTCCTGCAATTCCTATTTGAGTTGGTCATCTTTCACTTTCTTCTGTCAGATTTCTTTCTCCCTTCTTTTAGTTATAGCATCTCTAATATTCTTCCAGGGAAACAATACTTCCCCACGTTCAGTCCATTTGGGTTGGGTAGAGTGGACCCCAACTTTCATTTCCAAGGGTCAGTATGTGACCCAGGCCTGGATAATCAGAATATTCCATTCCTCTGGCCAGAGGGTCTGGTGACACAGCCCAAGATAAGCCAATAGGAGTCATCCCTTGGATTTTTGCATAGCTGTTTGGAAGGAGGAGCTCTCTTTCTTTTGAGTTGCTGGGAGGGCAAGATCTAAGCCCTGAGTCATTGCTGTCAAGTCTTTAGCAAAATGTGGAAATAACCTGCCTGAGAATTAAGCCAATACAGAGGGAAGCAGAGCCAAGGGATGGAGAAGACGAGAAAGAGAATCGTTCATTCCCTGGATCTAGTGGTGCCTGAAAGCTGGGATACCCATAGGTAGGTTTTCTAGTAGCATGGATTTCTAGAAGCCAATAAATTCTTTTTTTCTGCTTAAGCCAGCTTGAGTTGGGTTTCCAGTGAACATGATATTGTTCTTTTTATAAAAGCTGATTATAATATTTTGCTTGTATTCCCCTGAGGCCTAAACACTCCCTCAGGAATCCAGTATATCTTATTTCCACTTATTCCCTTGAATTAAATTTCTACTTGGGAAAATATGAACATGTCTCCCATCCTTCCATATAAACGACATAACTAACACACTCCTTTATATTATTTGATAAGTGTCATTGTGTTGGATTTCCTCAATCTGGTTCACCAGGGCACATGTAAAATTCAATAAATGAAAATATGGTACCCAATGAGCACTGGACTGTGTTTAAGTCCTAGGTCTGACATTGACATTAAATGATCTCTTTTAGGCTAGGTGACCTTAGATAGGTCATTTGTCTTCTTTGGATTCCTGTTTCTTCATTGGCAAAATGGTGGAGTTAAGCTAAAGAATATCAATATTAGCTCTATATATCTATATAGTGATTCAATCATTTCTAAAATAATTTCTTGTTAGATTACGTTATTCTATATATATATCATCTTTACAGTTTCTTTCAGCTATAAAAGTCTATGACTATCAATAGATCATCAAATTATTTCCCTACCTAGAAATGCCAACTGTCAACTCTTTTTTTTTCTTTTCTTTTCTTTTTTTTTTTTTTTTTTTTGAGTTGGGGTCTCACTCTGTCACCCAGAGTGGAGTGCAGTGGTGCAATCTCGGCTCACTACAACCTCTGCCTCCCAGGCTCAAGCAATCCTTCCACTTCAGCCTACCAAGTAGCTGGGACCACAGGTGCATGCCACCACACTCAGCTAACTTTTTGTATTTTTTGTAGACATGGGGTTTCATCATGTTGCCCAGGCTGGTCTTGAACTCCTGAGCTCAAGCAATTCATCTGCCTTGGCCTCCCAAAATGCAGGGATTACAGGCATGAGCCACCACACCTGGTGCAACTCTCTATTTATCAAAAGGCTATTATTTTCATGATCTTTTTGTTCTTCCATGCACCCACCCATCCATCCCTTCATTCATTCAACAAGCATTTACTGCATACTACTACATATGAGGCAGTGTGCTAAAAGGCACTATTGCCATCCTGGGGAATATGCCACTCTACTAGAGGAGACAGACATTCAATGCCATTCATTAAATAAGCCCAGAAATATATATATATAATTTTAAAATATTGACAAATGCTATAAAGGACAAGTACAGATGTTTTAATAGCATATGTCATGGAGATGTGACCTAGATGGAGGAGCAAACAAGGCACATCCTTCCCAAGAGGGACAACTTGAACTGAGAGCTGATGCGTGGATGGGAGTTACCTGGGCCAAGAGGCTGGGTAGGGGCCATCCCGACATGGAAATGGAAGAAACATGTTGGATGCCACTTGGGGCCTGCCTCATTATGTGCTAGAGGGTTTATCAGAAAACTTTTCCAAACTCTTGGTGGAGAAAAACATCATCATTTTCTCTGTTGACAAGAAAGAATTTGGAAACATGAAAAGCAAAAATCCTAAGTCAGATTCCAACGAAAGTGCTTGCTGAAGTCAAATTTTACCATTTTTTATCTTGCCAAGTCTTCTTCCTGTACAACACCTCTGATTCACTTTAACTTACACCTTGGGGAAGTCACTCAACTTCCTTGAGTCTCAGTTTTCTCATCCATAAAACATGAGGCTTGGGTTATATATATGATTTCTAAGGTCTCTCTCCTATTCAGCATTTTATGTTTCTAGAAATACACCTGAGTTAGTGGGGAGGGGAGGAGAGACCATGAATCCCACGATGCACACTTGTGGATATATTTAAAAAGCAAAAATCAATGTGGATTCATAGTACAAGGAAATGTTATAGGAATTGCAGCTTTGGAAATACAGGTTGGATGGAGCCAAAAATAGCTAATGCATCCACAGTTAATGCAGGGAAACTGCGATGAAGCGTTTCCTTGGCAATTGACTTACTTAAAGGTAAAGTAACTCAGTTTGATCAAAGACTGGTTTCTCTGCTTCTCCTCCTCTCTATGGGTTCTTTGATTATAACTCAGTGCAAAGGGAAAAAAAAATGGTTGATAGATCAATTTCACTAAAAAAACAAAGGTCATCCAAAGATATCAGGAAAGGGACAATCTGGTTGGATCCAAACAAGCAAATACTCTGATGGGAGAGGCATGCTCAGCTCTGTGTGCCCTCAAGTGTTGTGCACATGCCTTAGGATCACTTCCACCCTAAATCTCTTCCTATGGATCCCTCAAGCTCTTAAATCATCAACACCAGAATTTACAGGAATCTGACATCTGTCAATCTGAACGTAAAGCCTTAGATTTCACACCAGAGTCAGCTCCTTCTAGAGAAGGAAAAAGGACAATAGCTGCTATTTCTTAGCATGCATAATCAATGCAGCAGGGGTTGCTAAGCAACAGCAGAAAGGCTGTCAAACATCCCTGGGTGTCTCCAATGGAAGAGGAGCAAGCCCGGCAGTCACTCCATAGAGGTGAGAAGCTGTGCAATCCCTGGCAGCTGCATTCAGTTGGTTTCATTCCTTTAAAAAATCCCTTCATTGTGGTCAGGGCTGAACTATAGACATTTTCTTCCCAGGCTCCTTTGGATAGTCTTTGAATACACTTTCAATAGGCCTAAAGCCCTAAAAATGAGCAGGTCAGGCTGGCGAGTGACAGCTCTGTGAAAGGTCCATGGGTTATTCTGATCCAATTCAGCCTGGAGCCTGTGGAAGGTCCAGCTAGTCCCTTACGTGGCTGCAGCCTCTGAATCCCAGAGAGTTGAAATAAACATCCTCTCTGAAGCTTGAAATTACTCTAGCAAACATAAGCAAAACCTCTCATTTAAAAAAAAAAAATTCACATGTAAGGTCACTGACATGAGACTTCTTAAGTTTGTGACCATGAAGTTAGAATGAATTTTTAGTCTGCAGGCACTTTGTCCTCCTTATTTGAGATGACAGATGATAGTTTCATTTGAATTTCAACAAGAATG
This sequence comes from Homo sapiens, assembly GCF_000001405.40. Classification (NCBI taxonomy): domain Eukaryota; kingdom Metazoa; phylum Chordata; class Mammalia; order Primates; family Hominidae; genus Homo; species Homo sapiens. Next base: position 84,936,723 of record NC_000009.12, on the reverse strand, counting down.
AAACTAGCAAAGAGAAGAGTTGGGATTTAACAAAGAATTAAATCTTGTTTTTCCTTTTTTTTAAGCAGTGTTGATTAAAGAAGCACTCATCATAGGTCATTACTTTGCAAATACTTACTTGGCAAAGCCAGGATGTATGTGAAGACTAGGCCCTAGGTCTGGTTCAGAGGTGGAACTAGGAATGTGATTGGGATATAAACTAGAGAGGGGCCTCACTGACAGTGATAATGGGACATATGCCCAAACAGAAGCATGCCGTGGGCAGGAAACTGGAATGGCATAAGATGTCTTTTAATGCCAACCCAGCTACTAGGCTAAACATCACTGTCACCAGCTGACTCTTCACTGTTAGTTGTCCAAGCCCTGAAGTCCTATTTGAGCATATGTTTGGAAGGAAATATAACACATAAGCTGAGGGTGCCCTGGATTCAGCTACGCAACACACTCTCCTTAAAGGTATTGCAAGAAGTACAGAGAAGTAGGCACAGGGCAAGAAGTGGTACTAAGATGAAAGGCCATACCCACTGAGAAATCTGTTGGCTCTATCTCTATATCTGCCTGAGGTTTCTTAGCTATTTCTACACTCTCATCTAGGATTCCCTAGTCTCCCAGGATTTCTTTACATTCAAAGAGTCCATCTTGTGACACCTGCAGAGTCTGAAGGTCTGACTTAGCTTCCTGGGTGGCAGTACAAAATATGCACCCAGAACACAAATCCAGAGTCTTAAGATTCCTTGTCTATAATACATGGCTAGCCTAGGATTAGATGTTCCCAAAGATTCTTCCAGCTCTAACATGTGATCAAACTATGAATTTACAAAAATAGAGCTACCTTTTGGTCTCATTTAACCAAAAGGGGGAAAAAAAAGATACAGTAAGAAGAAAACAGAGACTGCAGATTTAACACTGCCAAATGTTCTGAACATTTTGTGCTAAACAATGACAAACAAAACTTTTTGAGTAAGTAAAAGAGGAAGTAATAGCAAAAGCAAGAATTAAACATCTCCATAATGACTACAAGATTCTCACTTTGCCACCTTCTACCCCATTCACCCTCACATCTCTCTAGGATCTCCTTCCTCTCCTCTCTCCTCTCTCTCTCTCCCCCTCCATTTGTCCATCTTGGGGAGATGATGTTTATTTGAAAAATGTTTACATTTATCATTCCTAGGAAGGCCTGTTCTTTATTCACCCCAAAGTGCAGAGTTTAGGAGTCTTCTCTGAGAGTTTAGGAGTATCATGCCACCTTGGTTAGTTTCTTTTGGTGACAAAGCAAATGTACAGATTTTCTATTTGGATAAACTTTAATAAAAACCATTTAGTCTGCTGGATGACTCCAAGAATAATTTTATTTCTCAGTTGTGCCCATTATGTATGTACTGAAACATTTTAATGTTAAGTATAACAGTAATGGAATAGACTCCTGATTTTCTAAAATGAAAAGTTGTCCTGGTTATGACTAGTAAATAAATGCCATTTGTAAAAATGTTTCCTGTTTGGCAGAAATAAAACAGCAAAAAACTCAATAATCTTATATTATGTCAAGAACTTACATTTTATTACATTAGCCATGTCCATATTCATTTGGAGCTTAATTCATTTTATAAATATATGCCCCTTTTAAGTGTTTTAAATATATATTACCCATTATTTTGGTGAGTTAAAAATTTTTTGAAAAATATATGTAAAATACCTGAAGCCTTTTGTGCTATTTTTGTTAATTCTTGTGTTTTAGAGAGCTCAGTGGAAATTGTATCCCCTTCAATCATAATGATTATCTAATTGAAGACCAGGACTCCTTTTTGAGTTTATGAGGACGTGACTATGATGGAGGACTTTCAGTCTTCATTTTAGTAAAACCACTATGTCTCCTTGGGTGGTGAATTCCACAGGAGATGCCATCCAGCCCTGGATGAAATCATGCCTGTGCTATATAAAACCCTGGAGATTTGTACGCATCTGGGAGGGTCAGGGTAGAGAATTGAGTGGCACAGAGGCTGAGAGGGGAAGTGAAGTCCACAATCCTTCCTTCCAGAACCATAAACCTGACACAAGCTTCAGCTGAGCTTGGAACAAGCACCTAACAATTTGAGGAGACACATGTGAGTCTTCAGGAAGGACTCAGCTGGTCGAATTCTGTTTGGCCCCACTGACTTCCATCCAAAATTCAGTTAGCATGGACTTGGAAGAGTAGCTCAGAGCTCTTCACAGCCTGCAGACTTGTCAGTGGCCACTGAGAAGAACCTCTGACAGTTGGATGTGCCCCAAATGTCCTTTCCACTGTCCATTTAGTTTAAAGGAATTTGAATACATCCATCATAGCAGGAACAATTTACTCCTGCATTGGCCACCAAAATATAATAAAATAGAGTTAAATTTCCACACGTAAGTGTGATCATGGTTAATGAGACATTCTGGAATGTTCTCTTACCTTCACTGCCACCAAGATCTTGTCCTGCTCAGGACAGAGGTTATAGCATTCAGCTAGGAACACTTTTCCAAAGGCTCCTTCGCCTAGCTCCCTTTTCAGAACAATGTTATGTCGCTTGATGTGCTGAACAACTGCAAAACAAAGACAGAATGGAAATTGGAATTGAAGCATGTGGAGGTGAAGGCAGCGGGTGAAGAGTTGGTGGCCTGTACCTGAGCTTCCAGGCCCAAGAGTCTCTCCTCTGTGCACAGTGAACCGAAGAAGCTGGGTGTCCATCTTCACAGTCCACCCCAAATGGCTGGGCGGAGGTTTCATCACCTTTTTCTCCAGAACTCAGTTATTGTTTCTGATAAAACTAAAGTAGATACCTAGTTGCTGACTGCAAAATATCCTTGATAAACTTTATAGAGTAAAAAAGGGGAGAAATGAGAAATTCACATTAATGGCAGGCTTCTTATAAGCCAGATGCTTTGCATATATTTGTTAGCAGTGTGTCCAGCAGGGCAAAGCAGAGAGATAGCTAGCAATCCTGAATTATTGGTTAAGCCATCTCAGATTCCTAAGGGAGACAGAGTCAGAGGATACAAAAGGAAAATGCAAGATCTTTGCATTGTTAATTAAGGTTTTGGCCTCACCTCAGTTTTAGCCTTCTAGTGGGGTGGGCTAAAACATGGTTGGGCCTCACTGACTTCCTTTGTTTGGATCAGAAACATCTAGACGTCTGCATTAAGGACTAGCTTCCTTAGCCGTGTTTTAAAATCATGGCTCAGTCTTGGCTCTCCAAGGCCAAGAAGAGACAAAAGCAGATGAATCCCAGGACAAGAGAATGTTCCTCCCTACAGTCTGGAGCAGCGACGGCTCAAGTCATTCATCCATACACCCTCTTGGTGCACAAGGCAGGAGGCAGTTAAGGGTCCTCAGAAGCTCATTGGCTGCAAGGTGGAAACCAGAGAGGGAGCACACCAAAGGACAGAGGTCATGGAGGACAGGCCCACAAGGAGACCCTGCAGAGGACAGAAGTACATGTGAGCTGTGCCTCCTCACTCAGCACGTTAAATGTTGAGTCCCTTAGCACGGGAGTTCCGCTGGGTCTTGGCTGGTATTATTTTCTGAACTCCTTGTTGCTGAATGGTAGTGCATTAAAAAGAGATTGTGATGCCCTCTAGAGCTTGGAATGTGTGGCCAACTATATTCTCTCATTTCAGTCTCACAATCCCATGACATAATCCTCTCTGCATTTTACAAGTAGGAAAACAGTCTGCAGGAATTTCCAAGATTTACAGTCTGGGAATGGAATTGGGATTTGAACCCGAGTCTGTCTGATTCCAGAGTTCATGTGTTTTCTTCTACTTCACAAAGTCTCTTTTCAATTGTAAACTGTACTAAACATGAGCAGAGACTTAATTTATAAGAGAAATAGAGAAAAAAGTAAAAACAATTGCCAGGCTTCCTCTCTGCTTAGTTCATCCTTCAAAGCCCCGTTCAAATTCTTACTCTCTCATAGAGCTTTCCAGGACCACTTTGACCACCAAAGACCTCTTCCTGTGAACTCACATTCTGTCATAGCTTGTTCGTATTCTGATGTATCCCACAATTATATCACATCTGTAAGCTCCCAAGGTTAAGACCGAGCCCTAAATATCTCCTGATGCCTCGTGCAACTCAAAGTAGAGATTTAGTACTGCGGTGTAACTTGATAACATTTTTTAAAATGTTTTTTTAATTGATTGTGAACTGCATTATACGAAAATATAAACCATATATCTGCAGTTTAATTTAAACTGCAGTAAATAATAATAATAAAATGGATACCTATGAACCCACCATCCCATTTAAGAAATAGAATATCACCAGTAACTTTGAAGCACCAGTGTGTTCTTTCCTGATTGTACCTACATTCCTACTTATCTCCCAGAGCTTGTTCAGCTTCACCTGTTTCTGAACCTACATTAAATGGAGTTATACAGTACGAATTCTTGCAGATCTTGAATCTCTCTCTCAACGGTGTCCTTGAGATTGGGCTGTATTGTGTGTGTAGTATGAATTATTTCCCTTATACCACTGTATAATATTCTGTGGAAGGACTGTACCACCATGTATTTATCCATTCTATGTTGATGGACAGCCTGCTTGGTTTCTTTTTGGACACAACTTTATAGAAAATGCAAGTGGTAATTAAGATTTTGATTTAATGGGATTTTTCTTTCCCCCCGATAATTCATGTGGTTCAGAGCTATGAATGCTTTTGTGAGCCTCTGGGAACTCAGGGTGATAAAAATCAAAAGGTCTTTTTATGAGCAACAATATTGATGAATATAAGAACGTATATTAATTTCTCATGCTCCAGTGACAACGACTGAATTTAAGAGGAGAGAAATGTGTTCATTAGGGAGAGTGCCCATATAAAGACACAAATGTAATTCTTGCAGATAATTAGCTGCCCTATTTAAATCTAATATTTAACTCCCTGGTTGTCACATGTTCATTGGGAATTAAATTCCCACTTGATTTACTTCTCACTCTAACCAGAGCAAGGCAAGTATTTAACGTTGGTTTTTTTTGTTTTTTTTTTTTTTGCATTTTATTACATACCTTCTTTCTTTTCGCAGTCCAAGCAGGAGAAAAATTTGGTGGAAAATAAGTTTTTAAGGCCAAAGCCACAATTTCATTATTTCCAAAACTAAAATTGATTAAAGCAGTTTTTCCACGTTGACCTTGAAAGCAGGAGAGCTGCATCTTTTCTTTAGGAAATGGGCTACTATATTTGCATTTATCTGCTTTGTTATGTTTTGGGGCACCGATAATCTGAGCAGTGTCCTTTTGCCAATGTATTCTCTCTAAATGGAATAAATTTCTCTCTCTCTCTCTCTCTCTCTTTTTTTTTTTGAGACAGAGTCTCGCTCTGTCGCCCAGGCTGGAGTGCAGTGGAACAATCTCGGCTCACTGCAACCTCCGCCTCCCAGGTTCAAGCAATTCTTCTGCCTCAGCCTCCTGAGTAGCTGAGACTACAGGTGTGTGCCACCACACCTGGCTAATGTTTTTGTATTTTTAGTAGAGATGGGGTTTCACCATATTGGCCAGGCTGATCTTAAACTCCTGACCTCGTGATCCACCCACCTTGGCCTCCCAAAGTGCTGGGATTACAGGTGTGAGCCACCGTGCCTGGCCAAATTTCTCTTTTTTAAGACTGAGCTACTTAGGGGCACAGGAATTTTGTATTTGTATTCCTGACAGGGCCTCACAGTGCTGTGCATACAATTGGTGATTTATAAATATCTGTGAAAAAATATGTTTAATAATGATAACCACAGACAAGTACTACTTGACTATGTTATTTGAGTTAATTGAGGTCAACTCTTCTAAGCCTGTAGGTGATAAAATAGCTCTATTCTCTGGGATGGCAGCAGTGGGAAGAACATCTAATCTGAAGCTTTCCTGTCATTGAGCTAAGAACGTCTTCCCATTCTCCTTTAAGAAGGCATCAAAACTCATCCCAACTTGCCCATTTTCCATTTCCCTACAACACCACAGGAAGTCTCTAGTTATCCAGACACTATCCTCCCAATGTGGATCGCTTATGCCCCTTCAGCTCCCCTGGACACCCCTCCACGGTGTACTCTGAGCTCACTGCCTGTGACTCCACAAGCTCCTTATTTCCTCAACTCTCCTTAAACATCCCTTTACCTCCCTGATTTAAATAAAACCTCGGCAATGCACCAAGGATGCCCAAGCCTCTCAATTGGACGCCATCTCTATCCCTCATCCCCTGGTACTTCAGGGCTTACACACCTGATTTCTGATCCTTTACTCCCTCTCCCTCGTGCTAGAGCCCCAGCTGTCTTGAAGCTTCTATCTTAGGGAGCCATTACCCTGCACCACCTCTGCTGACATCTCGGTTGCTCCTCTCACCCACTGAGCTCTGGGCCCACATTTTCCCTCTCCACCCTACCAGTGCCTTCCTTCTCAGGGGCCGAGCTCAGAAAGGCTCAGTAACCTGCCTAAGCTGTAACAACACTGGGCTGCCATTTCTCCTCCAGCTTTCAGCAGTGGAGCTAAGAGGCCAGACATCCAAAGGTTTAGTTTGGCTGATTGTGTGACATTAGGCTAACTTTTCCTGAGAGTAAGACTTTTGTAATGAAGGAAGCAATGCCCTGATTCACATTCTGGACAAACTCCTATCTCATTGTGGTCTAAGACTTTGAATATCAGTATCTTGAAGGGCTCTGTGGACATTTTTGATTCACTTTACACAAAATATCCTGAGTGAAGCATGCCTAAGGATTCCATGATAAATAAGCTATCACATAAGCATGCAAAATTCTCACATGCTTCCTTTCTCTGTGATCAGCCAATCTGCTGCTCTTAACTTTGGAGACTTGAGCAAATCACCTTAAACCCAACATAAGCAACTGTAATAAGAAATAAATAAGAGGCTGGGTGTGGTGGCTCACACCTGTAATCCCAGCACTTTGGGAGGCCGAGGTGGGCTGATCACTTGAGGTCAGGAGTTTGAGACCAGCCTGGCCAACGTGGTGAAACCCTGTCTCTATTAAAACTACAAAAATTAAACGGACATGGTGGCATGCACCTGTAATCCCAGCTACCCGGGAGACTGAGGCAGGAGAATTGTTTGAATCCGGGAGGCAGAGGTTGCAGTGAGCAGGGATCGTGCCACTGCACTCCAGCCTGGGCAACAGAATGAGACTCTCTCAAATTTAAAAAAAAAAAAAGGAACCAAACTCTACCATGAATGACTTCCTAGATTTGAAGGAAAACTCAAAACAATCACTTAATTTAAAAAAAAGAGTTTTATAGAAAAATTTCTGTGTAAAATTCACCCTGCCAAAGGAAAAGGAGGAATCAAATAAGAGCTATAGGAAATACACCACCAAACTCGTGTGATCTGCACCCTGTCTGGGCAACCCTGTCACTGATGGAATTTTTCAGAATGGAAATGTGGTGCCCTTGGTCATTTGTCCCATGAGTGCCAGAAGTGAACTGACTTCCAGCTCTGTGTTCGTATCACATTAGAGTCCTGAAAAATGCATTGTGTCGCAATGTGTCTTCAGCAGCTGACATAGATGCTTGTAGTTTCAGATTGCTTAAATCAAATTCTGGTATAGATTCCTCCCAGAAGTACATATTCCATATATACACACAGGCAATAGATAAAGTATTACTCTATGTCTATACCCATTGCTATGAAATCTAAAACTAATAAAAAATAAATATAACTTTATTCATTTAAGGTCTCAGGAAATGTGCCTTTCCCATTTCCTCAATAATGGGGTTTCATAGATACTCTTGGCCCAGTGGACTTATTCCACTAAACATATGGACTTTCAACAGAGACATTTATTCAGTATCTAATATATGACAAGGATAAAGCAACCTGCAGTTAAAAAGAGAGAGATCTTAAAGTTTTCAGGAGAAAGATTAAAACTAATATACTCTAAAAGATAATGGCCTGTACTGGGAGTTCCCGAAATTCTCTCTCTCGGTTTCCCTGTGGTCCTAAATGCAGAGCCTGCCTTTAGCAGTTCCATCTCCCAGGACTGAATACTGTGATAGGAAAAGAACTTAAAGATCATCGAGACTGGCTCCCTCGGGTTTGACAGATCAGTGAGAGGCTTGGCACAGTGACATGACTTTCCCGGGGCCACACAGCTAGAAGGTGACCCAGCTAGGATTCAGGTTCCCTCCCTCTCAGAAAAGCAACCCTTGGACTCTGAAATAGAGGACACTGATTCATACTGAAGACAGAGAGGGTTTCCTGACATTAAAGTGAAAACAGGTATTTCATTTAGTTGATATCTTTTCTACTAGAAATACTTGAAACACTCATGTTTATCATCTGAAATGAGCCGCACATCTCCTAATAAACAATTTCATTAGAAAACTACTGATAAATATAAAATATGAATGTTAAAAGCAGAATGTAAATGTTAAATACTTCAAAAAATGCTTGAACTTGATATAAAATAAAATTAACAAAAATGATTTTCCAAATATCTTCATGTATTAGCAGCATATTGAATCAGGTAAAATCATCCACCTTATAAAAACAAATTTGTGTGAAAGATAGAAACTATGTTTTAAAGTTTCACCTACATTTTTATTAAGATACAAGTTGGTACTAAATTAAAAAATAAATGCAATTAAGACCACAGACATAAAACACACCAGAACAAGAAAAGGCTAAATATTCATAAATAATATTAAGGATGAAATAGAGCACGTAACAAGACTGAGCCATTCTGAAGCACTTCTCAGCAAAAATTCCCAATGTGCATTATCATCAATTAATTTCATATCCCTCTGAATGAGGTCAATAGCCACACTTATTTTACAGATGACACCTCAGTTAATTGACTTACTTGTGGCCATAGAGCAATCCACTTACTTATCCTTTTCCAAGTACTGTTTCCAGTGAAATCAGGAAATAGGGAGGCAACAGGGTGCCTAACCTGTGCTGATTGTTATTATGGGCCAGAGAATGTGCTGAGATTTACAGGACTTACCAATTGTCATAGCAATCTGGAAGGGTATTCTTACCTCCATTTTCAAACTAAGGAAACAAAGAGGAGGAGTGGATTAGCTAAATAACTCATGTGAGATTGTATAATTAGTAAGAGGCAGGGTTTGAATTCTTTCCACTACAACATACCTTGCCTTGGCCTTCTTACAAAAAACAAGCAAAAGAGAAAGCATATGAGTTCAGCTGTGCCTATCTAGGAAATCAGAGGTCTATTTCTAACAATTTAGTTCAATAAACTTTTACTATGCACCTACTAAAAGTGCCTCAGCATTTTCTAGGGCCTAGAAAAAGAGAAGAGTACAATAATCCCTGTCTTCAAGGACCTTATAACCTAAAGGGCAGAAAAACCCATGTACTTATATCTTTCATGCCATTTACTTACATCTTTGCTCCATTCACAAAAGATTTTAGGTACTATAAATGACACAAAGAAAAACAAAAACTGTAATAATAACTGAAGTCAAGAGAAATAAAATAGGAAGTTAAGACAAGGTGTTAAGTAGAAATGCAAGCATGAAGATTCTTGGGTCCTCAGTGGTTATTAAACTTAAGTCATAATTTGATCCTAAGCTTGCTGGCAGGAGAAGCCAAAAAGAAAACACAATAATTTACAAAATTTTGGCTACTCATAAATAAAAACACAGCGATCCCTTCTTCATGAAGTAAGATTCTTCATGACAGTTTGTTTTCAAAGGAATGTTTCAAATCGATTTTACAAAAGGGATGCCGATAGGCACAATGATCAATGTCCTCAAAAATGTCTCCAGAGTAAGAAGTGAGTTTCCTAAAAATAGTACTCATAACAGAGATCAATAAGAAATGAACACATGACACAAAAGCTATCTTCACCCAAGGCATTGCATAAGGAGTCCACAGTTCTTATCATAAGGACATTAAAATAAACACCTATGGGCATACTCAAGAATGCTTTGGGCATGGAGTTGACAAATAGGTGTAATTTCCCCAATCCACTGCTGAGCCTGGAATACATGAGACAACCAAAACTATTTTATTAACAAATAATAACACGAACATGTAAAAATAGATGAGTAATTGAATAAGAGAAAAAAATGGTGAGAAAGAGAACACTTAAGAGGGGAGAAGAGAAAGAACCAGGATGAGGTGAAAGAAAAGTCCAGAGTGGATTTAGGAAAGAGTGATTTATCTTGGTTTTTCCAAAAGAGGAACAGCAGGCAACATGCCATAAAAAAAGAAAGAAACTGGGCCGGGTGCGGTGGCTCATGCCTGTAATCCCAGCACTTTGGGAGGCCGAGGAGGGCAGATCACCTGAGGTCAGGAGTTCAAGACCAGCCTGACCAACATGGAGAAACCCAGTCTCTATTAAAAATTCAAAATTAGCAGGGCATGGTGGCACATGCCTGTAATCCCAGCTACTTGGGAGTCTGAGGCAGGAGAATCGCTTGAACCCGGGAGGGAGAGGTTGCATTGAGCTGAGATCACGCCATTGCACTCCATCCTGGGCAACAAGAGTGAAACTCCATCTCAAAAAGAAGGAAAGAAAAAGAAAGAAAGAAAGAAAGAAAGAAAGAAAGAAAGAAAGAAAGAAAGAAAGAAAGAAAGAAAGGAAGGAAGGAAGGAAGGAAGGAAGGAAGGAAGGAAGGAAGGAAGGAAGGAAGGAAGGAAGGAAAGGAAGGAAGGAAGGAAGGAAGGGAAAGAAAGAGACTGGATTATGGAGGGCTTTGAATATCTCACTAAGTAGTTCAGACAAGTTCTGGCACTAGTAAATATGACTTCCTTCTCTGTGCCTCCCCTTCCTCATTGTTAAATAAGGGAGTTTGGACTACATGGCATCTTAGGTCTGCCCCAGCTCACACACTCCACAGGCATTGAGTCCATGATTTTACATTATATATGTGAGTCCTGGGGAGCTATTGAAGACCTTTGAGCATGGTAAGAAGTGATCAGGGCAAGTCTTTAGAGAGATTCATCTGGCTGGACTAAAACTGGAAGCAAGGAAGCCAGTGAGGGCATAGCACTAGAACTTGTCCTCACAGAGGCTGGTACAGAGCTGAGGGCGGGCTCCTTCCCATCCCTCATCCATCTTTCCTCTCCGGCCTTTTGCCTGTCAAAAGTCCGCAGCTCAGCAAGACTCTTGTGGGAGGTGCTGTCCCCAGCCACAGAAGCTGCAGTCAGATCTGTGACCCCTAATGGTACAGAGGATGTCACCAAAAATGAATCCTCAAAGAATGACTATGAGGAAAATCAGGGAAAGACAGAAAACAAGATGAAAATGAACTAATCAGAGGCAGGAGAGGGCCATGGATCATGATCACGAAGACAATAGAAGGCAGCCTACCCTGGGTGGTGTCCTGAATGGGAAGTGAGGAAATGGAAGCCAGGACTGAAGAATGGAGGCCGAGCCTGTGGGAAACGGGAGGGGGCGGAGGATGCAGGGGCAGACAGGTCCATCTAGAGACAGCACCATGGCTCCAGCACATGGGGGTTAGGGGCTGTTGTGAGGTTTGAGAGTATTTGTAAGTTAAGAGGAATAGTTGAGGGTCAGAAATAAAATAGCTCCAAAAAAAAAAAAAAGAAGAAGAGAAGAGAAGAAGGCAGAGGAGATAACTGCTGGAAGAGATTCCTAGGGAAGGTGCAGAGAGGGCAGTGGGGTGGGGGCACAGAAAAATTCTGAACAGAGAAGAGAGATTTTCAGTGAGCTAACTTCTGAGGGCCTCAAGCCCTCATAGCACTGGGGCACCGAAGGAGCAAGTGGACCTTCAGAGATTCCCAAGGGGCCTAGACACGCGAGCCATCCTAAGCCTCTCTATTTAGCCTTGCATTTATTTGTTGCAGTGATCGACTAGATAGCCTGCTGCAAATCAACTTTACATTTCTGGGAGGGCACCAGGGACCTATAGATGCCTCATACAACATCCAATGCCAGCAAATGGCCCTTTCCTCACTAGACTAATGTTTAATACCCCAAATGAGAGCAAGTGTCCATAGGAGTGGAGGGAGAAAGGCTTAATTTAACCTGCATGTTACAGCAGATAAAAGCAATGGAATTATTTGAAGTTAAATTCCCAAAACTTCTAGAAAAAAGCCAAGGGGGGAAAGCCCCAGAAATCTTTCAAGCTGTTAGACTAAAAAGAACACCACATTTCAAAATACACATACGGTACATCCTTCGCTTTGACATCCCCGAACAGCCAAAATTATATCTGTTCTACACACTGGCATGTGGTAGAATTGGATTGATTTGCCCTGACAGCTCTCCCCGCTGGAACAATACTTGTCAGTCAGTCCCGGCAATGTTTGTATTTTCAAGAATCATTATGCAGCGTGATTGTACAAAATCCTGGCAGGTGGGCCAGACAGTCTTATCTCTGACTCTGTGTCCCTGTGCCCTAAAGTTCTTCCTGCTCTCAACACTGGAAAGCCTCATGCTTTCAACCCTTGTACCTCCCACACTGTGTGCATAAACCTCCTTTTTTTCCTCTTTCTTTCTTTCTTTCTTTCTTTCTTTCTTTCTTTCTTTCTTTCTTTCTTTCTTTCTTTCTTTCTACTTTCTTTCTTTGAGACAGGGTCTCACTCTGTCATACAGGCTGGAGTGCAGTGCAGTGGCATGATCACAGCTCACTGCAGCCTCAACCTCCTGGATTCAAACAGTCCTCCCACCTCAGTCTCCCAAGTAGCTGGGACTACAGATGCGTGCCACCACGCCAGCCATAAACCTCCATTGAGGTCTCTTTGCTGGTGTCTGTTTTATCCCTGGTATCCTCCACTCATGTGCCCTCCCCACAAAAACTTTTCTTCCTTCAACAATTTAAACTAGTAGCCACTACAGTTTTTTGTTTGTTTGTTTGTTTGTTTTTGTTGTTTTTTTTTTTGAGATGGAGTCTCACTCACTCTGTCGCCCAGGCTGGAGTGCAGTGGCGCGATCTCAGTTCACTGCGACCTCCGCCTCCCGGGCTCAACCTCCCGAGTAATTGGGATTTTTTAGGTGTGTGCCACCATACCCAGCTAATTTTTGTATTTTTAGTAGTGATGGGGTTTTGCCATATTGGCCAGGCTGGTCTCCAACTCTGACCTCAAGTGATCTGCCCGCCTCGTCCTTCCAAAATGCTGGAATTACAGGCATGAGCCACCACACCACGCTGCTACTACAGTTTTCTAATTGACTTCTTTAAGTAAGTTGGCTTTTACCAATGAACCTCTGAAAGAATGTTCCCATGGTGGAAGAAATCTTTTGTTTTTGGTGGGGATAAATTAAAAAATCACACCAGTGGTTATTCAGGGGCTTCCCTGACCTGTATCTTAATGAATGAACATTTTATTTTTACATAAACATATGGAGTATCTTCTCTGTGCACATACTCTAATGATGGCACAGGAATAGGTAAGAGAAATATATCAATGACAATAACACAATCAGAATGTGGTAAACAGCGATAACAGTGACAAGCAAAGTGTTCTGCAGCTGGGCAACTCAGAAAGGCTCCATGGAGTCATTGGGGCCAACTTTACAAAAACAGGCTGGAGTTTTTAATGGGGAACGCTCTGAACAGAGGAAGGAGCAAGTGCTCAACCTATTAAGAGGCTGGTGGGCATTTTTTGAGGTCCAGAACTCCATGCAAGCTTCCCAGGCTGCTCTCCTCAGCTGTAGACTCTACCCCAATTCCATAGAAGGCAGAGGCTCAGCAGAGTTCACAACCACTGATACATGGCCAATGTCTGAAAGGTGGAGGGTCACAGGCAATATTTTTGGAGGCATCCCAAATGGCTTCCATCTCTGGATGGTTTTCAGATCAGTTAATATGCAAAGCACAGTCCTGTGCTATTTCCTCTTTAATATGCTTATTTGAGAGCTCTTATTTTAAAAGGTAGTGTTAATATCTGTTTTCCTGAAAGGATTTTGCAATACTTTCAAAACCTTTCAAACCAACCTACTTTCCCCCACTCCTTCATTTACCATTTAATCATCTAAAGGAAAAAGAACTGTGTTTGGTGCTGTGGAAGACTCAAGGATGAGTAAGAGGAAGGGGAAGTCAATGGTTGTTAATTGCACATTAGCTGTGTGCTGGGCATGTTTTAGGCATTGTGCATGCATTTTCTGATTGAAACATCCTGATGGGCCTCGGGAGAGACATCACTGTCCCCATTTTGGGGATGTAGTAACTGGGTCTTGAAGACGTTAAGGAAGGTGCCCAAAGTTATGCAGCTGGAAAGTGGGCAAGGCATGCCAGAATTGCTTCAAAGCCCACACAGTCTCTCCCTATAGAAAATGATTCTTTTGCTCAAAAGATGGAGAGTCTAACAGAGAGATGAGATAAGTATACAAATAAAGTTGTAAAAGGCAGAATGTAAAAACTGCCATAACACACGTAAAAAATACTGGGTTAAGGGTATTAGAAGAAGCAAATCCTTTGAGCATAGGGTTTGCGGTTGGAAGATGTGCCCTTTGAACTCTCTCTAGTAAGCTGAGCAGAACTTGAAGTGTTGGTTGGAAAGAGAACGTTGTTGGACACAATGAATTGTGACATTTCCAGGATGGCAGGATGCCACCGACCCAGTCATATGCTGGGCTTTCAGTGAAGACGTGTCCGCATGAAAGAACAAAATCTGAAAACTATTTCGGTTGAATCAAATGAAATTTCCATTCATACAGGTCAAAAACGAACCAATATTTGCTATTTCATATAGCTCAACCTAATTTATCACTAAGTCATATCTTCACACACACAACCCCTGAATTTTAGGGAAAAAAATCCATAGATTTTTTTAATTTTAAGAAAAATATTTAAAAAGCAATACATGCACATAACAAGCTAAGTAGTACCAAAGAGTTTAAGATGGAAAGAAATTGTTCCTTTCCACAATCCTTTCTGTCATTGGTCCCATTCTCTTGGGCAGCCAATTTGAACACATTTGATTTTTGGTTTTCTGGGTATTATGTCCATAACTCTAATGAATATGCTTATAACTTCTGCTCAGGTTTTCTCACTTATTAATTCCCCACTACATAGAGGAGGATTTAGCTTGCACTATCTCTTATCTCCTCCCAAGAATTGGGAGTTGCATTATTTTTCATTCTTCTATTAACTATCTTTCATCCTTATATCTTTATTCCAGCCATATCCTGACACTACTTTCCTGAATAGCTCTTATAAGAATATAAGAACAGTGCAGGCAGGAAAGACAAAGGCTGTATAAAATCAGTGGAATATTACTATAGCCTGTCCCCAGAAGTCAAATAACCCTTTCTCTGCAGCCACCAGATGTATTTTTTTTGTCCCCTGCCTCTTTACACCCTCCATATCAATGAGTTGCAAAATCTCTGGTGTGAACTCATGTCAAGAATCACTGGTGTTAAAAGTAGTTTATGAGCTGAGGGCAGATTTATAAAGTGAGAGTCACAGTGCTTGGGTTCCTCTCCTCTGTCTTGAGATAAGGACTTGTTTTGTATGCTTCTGTCAGCTGGAAGACTGCCACACTTTGCAGTCCATGCTACAAACTCAGCTTTTGAGGATAGTAATAAGAACTGTACAACAAAGTCACATTTACCTAATCATACTGCTTCAGAAAAAAGAGAATTACTCCACCCATTGGGCTTTGGGGTCCTTTGGGGTCCTGGTGAAGATACTGCAGAGGGTCAGACTAATCTGGCTGCTGTTATGGCTCCCACATTTTGTCATGAAGTCCCTTCTCCTGGGAGAGCTTCAGTGATGCTATTATGCAGGGAACTACTTACTCTGGGTGATAAAAAATTCTGTTCTTATATGTTAGTATGAACCATTTACATCTGGGATTGGCATGGTCTAAAGTATTAAAATGGCATCAAATATTCCGAGTAGATTATATTGGAAAAATTCACTCAAGAATAAGCCAATGTTAAATTATACTGGAATTTATGCTGAAGTTGAGGAAGTAATCTGCTGATGACACTGTCCCTGTGGGGATGGCTGAAAGATTCTAATGCTTCCAGCAGCACCTCCTTAGAAAGGTATTGAAGAAATCCCTTTAGATTGGTGAGGTGAGGGCATCAGTTGGCCTCTTACCCATAACGGTGAAGTGAAGGGCAATGTAAGTCCTAATGGATGAGATTTTTCAACGGATTTCTGGAAGGGAGATGGGGGCATGGCTTCCATGTTAATGCATGAAACATAGAGTAGAAGAATTCTCACCTCAGAACATGCTGTAGTGGAGTCAGCAGTAGAGGCAGGACTGCCCCATTTGGTGGAGGCTAGAATAGCTCCAGGCTTGGGGCCAGCAGGTGCAACAGACGGAAGGAGTGGGAAAGAGCTTAAGCACAAAGGAGGGACAACTGGATGAGTGGTGTGCACTGCCACATCCAGTCTGGAAGCATACCAGATAGCCTGTTATTTATCCTTAGGCCAAAAAGAGACAGGTCTCAGTCTCGCCCGCGTGGACAAGGCTCTAGGGAAAGCCTGACCTGTCAAGAGAATTAAACCATCTGCAAAGAAAGTGAGGACCTAACATTGAACTCAGGTCTCTTCTCTGATCTAGGGTCCCCCAACCTAAGACTACTTCAGTCAACCAACAGTATTTGTAAAGAGAAAAAAAATGTCCCTCCACCTTATGAATGTGAATGTAATTATAATGAAATGAACAGGAGTGAGATCCTTGCTAGCCAATATAAAGCCACCCTTGCTGTACAAGAACCAATGAGACAAAGTAGGAAAAGTGAAAACCACAGAGGAAAGCGTCCTAGAGGCAGGGGTCTGGTGGTGATAAAGTGGAGACTGAAAATGACCACAATTTTCAGGCAAGGAATAAGAGGCAGAATGGAAGCTTCAGTTCAATTGTGGCCATCAACTAACTACGTGACTTACAGAAATTCACTTACTGTATTTGTTCCCTTTGATTTCCTTTTTCTAGGTGCAAAGTGGGAATAAAAATACCTGATCCTCACAACCTCATGAGGCACTGGAGAGAACAGAATGGTAATCCTAATAAAAAGCACTCTGAACAATGAAATGTACAATAAATGTTATATGGTGCGGCCACTGCTATTTAGCAATTTGGCCCTCAAGATTACACAATGGCTCACAGATATATTTTCCTGGTTCAACTTAAGTTAAATATTACAGACAAACTACAATAATAATGGGGCCTTCTGTTCTCGCAGCACTTGAAGGCTCATAAAGTACTCTCACATGCAATTTTATTTGAGCATTAAAATGACTCGGTGAAATGGGCTGTGAAAATATCTTGAGTTCCATTTTACAGCTAAGGGAACAGAGGCTTAAAGAGGTCAAGGGCCCATTCAAGGCTACATGACTTGTCAGTTAAAGAGCCAGGCCTTAAACTTGGCCTTTCAATTCCAAGTTCAATATTCTGTACACAAGAGGAGCATACTAGGCATTCTGGAGACTAAGAATCAAGAAAGCAAAAAGTTCATCCTGGAGATGAAGCTTTGTAGATAAGACACTAATATCACTGCAAGAAACTAGACTAAAAACAGTGCCAAGCATTTGCCTACTAGAGTGATAGGAACTCAAGAAAGAAGCTGATGTGGATGGTAACTATCGGAAAGGCTTTATAGACACAAAAGGGTCTAAGGTGAGATGTGAAAAATGTATTTATCTGAATGGGCAGAGAGGCAAAGTAGGGATCTTAAAAAAAGGCAAATAGCAAGGCACCGAGGCAGGGTGGTAGGACTAGGATTCCTCTGCTCAATCAGGGGTATGACGCAAGGTGGTGGCATGTAAGTTTCAATGTATGTGTAGATAGGGGACCAGACCATAGAGAGCTTGAAGGTTAGATGAAGGGGTCTAGATTTGATTGTATAAGCAGATGGGAGCTATTGCAGGTTCCTTAATGAGGGAATGGCATTATCTAAATAGCATATCATCTGGTAGCAATATGCATGGTGTATTAAATGAAAGTGCCCAGAAGCAGAGAAACAAGCTAGAAGGTTGTTGCATTAATAAAAGCATTATCATGAAGTTCTAGATTATAGTGGTAGTGATGAAAATAAAAGGGAAGCTATAAATTCTAACAGCCAAGTGATTTTATAATCGGAACGAAAGAATTATTCACTCGGCTACCATACGCAACATGACTCTCAGGAACATAAATAGCTTTCTCAATCATATTTTCCCTTAACCATGCTGCCAAATTAAGTGATCACAGAGTTGCCAAAGCAAAGAGTTTGTTAAAAAACATATAAATTTGTCATAAAAGATCCCTTATTTCATCCATTGGTCTTCTATCCCAGGCTTTTCAGAAGTAAAAAGATTACACTCATGCATAAACACTGTGTGGATCCCCTTCAGACCTCCCCAGTGCAAATAACCATGGAGTCATGGTATGTGAATCCCTGCATCTAATGTCAGAAGGTGTGGTCATGTGTCACCTTTCACTGGACCCATGTCAGGCAAGGACATGCAGGTGAAGACAGGTGCAGAAGCAGATGCAAAGAAGCCCCCATTGTGGAGCAAAGGACAGGGGCAAAGGAGGCAGAAAAGAGGTAGGAAGACATCAATGCATATGACAATGTGTATGATGGCCAGCCAGTTCCTAATACCTGATTGCTTGGCGCTGTTGGAGTCTTGGTTCCTGATACTGCCTTTCCAGCACCTGTTATGTGAAGCCCTGCTCCAAAGCAAAAGAATGAATGAATGAAAACTGTGCCTTTCTGTTGCTTGACAAGTGGGTTCACAGACGTGATTGTATTTGAACATAGCTACAGCCTCCACTTTTGTAAGTCAATTGTAATAAAGACTTACTTCCCCTTTAAATTTCAATTGCAGTGCTGTGCTTTCCATTCTCTCTTGATTTCGGTGTGTGGGCACACCCAGACACCTCACAGGCTGCACTGACAGCTGCTTGCCAGTCAATGAAGTCACATTACTCTGTCATGAGGATGTGTGAAATAAGCTGCCTCCCAGGAGGTGGGCAGAGGCATTCAGGACGCAATCAATGCAAACAGGATTTTTCTCTCTCTGGCGCCTGACTGTTTTGTTGGCTCATTGAGCAGAGGAGTGAACAAGCTTCACTGGGTGCAGAACTGTATTTAGGAAAAACCCTTTCTTTTTATTGTCATTATATGTGATAATAACTGCATGAGATTGTCACTCTTAGATTTACTCTGCTTGGACAAAGTAGGCTGCCTGCTCTTGGAAAAATCCAACAGAACTGACCTCTTTTTACCACGGAAATGTCAACAGCAATTATACAACCAGTACTCCCTAGGCAAGAACACTTGAGTCAGAGCTCCTCCAAGGGCTGTGAGGGCTGTGGACAAACTCGATCACTGTCATGATATCTTCAGCACCTCAAAGCATCTCCCTTACAACTGAACATTACAATGCTCCATGCCATGCAGCTGTCATTGCAACCAAGAAGCTGCCCGGCCCAGTGCTCCTTCCACTGCACACGTGCTTATGGGCTGTCATCCCACCAGAATGATCTCCATCCCAGACTCCAGAAACCCAGAAACGATCATCAAAACCAAGTACCTGAGAACTTAATTGTATTATTTCATGGAAATTCAATACTCAATTTAAAAAACAACTTTGAAAGAGGAATACTTATTTTGGGTCAAATGCACTTACATAATGTATGATGGTGTACAAAAATGGTTTGTCTCACCTGACACCATTGACTGCCAACAAGGACTTCTATGCCCCCAAAGTCAAACCTCTCTCCAAAACCAACCAAAGCCAAACAGCAGGCTCATTTGTTTAAATAAGAAACATACATTGAGAGGAAAGCTACAGGACACTGAGACAGTAGGAGGCTGTGGAAGGCTAATTAACAGGACCAGGAGAAGGGAGTGTGACAGACTTTCACATGCAAGCGAGCTGGCAGCCCTAACTAATTAGCAACAATTAATTTTATGGTAGGAGCAAGAACACATGTATTATGTTCTATAAAAGCTTAATAGATGTCACCGTAAATCACTGCCATCTCTCTCTTGAAATTCAACTTGTAAGCAGGCTAACTTGAAATCTTCAGGAATTAACAATATAGATCAGCTAAGCCTAGGATCTTAATATGCAAAGAAAGATTTTTTTTTCTCTGCCACTTGGTCTTTGACTAATCTCAGCTCTCATAATCAAAGTCAGCAGTATCAGGCTCAGCTGCACCCAGACCCTGAACCAATTCTCATTAAGGAAGGCAAGAAATAAGCAGCCTTAGGCCTGCTCCTAATGGGATCTGGAGTCCACTGTGCTGCTCTAGATCTGATGTCCTGTGTGCCTGGAATGAGCTTCCCGCCTGAGCTGGAAAACAGATGTCTTCTTACGTGTCTCCACCTATTGATTGGTAGTGCCTGCATGGGACATTATGTTGAGAGGATTGTGGGTCTAGTGGGAAACAGTACCATGATCAACTAGTAATGTCTCCTGAGTACTAGGATGAAGAGTACTGATGTTTTTAACCACCCTGCCTATCCCTTTTTGTTGACTAACATTTTCCTCTAGTTTCCTAAACTATATTTTAGCTCTCTTCTGAGTCAAGAACCCACTGTGACACATAGCTACATCCTTCTAGGCTCCTTCTTCAAATGGTTCCATTTTATTTCTCATCCTCCCTGGCCCTTGGTGGGATGCTACTTTTGGGAGGACAGAGTAACTGTAGCTATGACTCTTCTGCTTGCTAAACTACTTCTGTTGCTATGATCCAGCAACTACACTGGAGAGCCTTGGAACAGAGGTAGACTTGACCTACCCTTTGTAGCACTGCACGTTGTGGACTCTGGACTGATAGATTTCAAATGCCAGATTTTAGCCAGGTGAGCTCCCCAATTTGGACCCTACCAATCCTAAACCTCCTTTCCTTAAGTCTAAACTGTTGTATCAACCTCATTATCCCAAAGTCAAATGCCTCCTTCATAATCATCTCTTTTACATTGAGCAGGACACTTCTCTAGTGATTTGGGGAAAACATAATTTCAGTTAAGAAGTCACATATATAGCAAGTGTTCTTCTACACTTGAGTAGTTTTATTAATTTTCCAGAAAGCTCAACATCTGGGGAACCATAGTGGTAAATTAAAATATAAGAGATGTAACTTCTGCTTCTGGGAAGATGGAGTAGATGTACTTTTCCCAATTTTTCCCACTAAGTACAACTAAAAACCCTAGACAACTGTCTTAGTCCCTTTCCCTTGATATAAAGAAATACCTGAGGCTGGGTAATTTATAAAGAACAGAGGTTTTCTGGTTCACAATTCTAGGATGTACAAGAACAATCGTGTCAGCATCTGCTTCTGGAGAGGGCCTCAGATTGCTTCCACTCATGGGAAAGGGAAAGGGAGCTGGCCTGAGCAGAGAACACGTGGCTAGAAAGAGTGGCAGCAAGAGAGAGAGTGGAGGAGGCACCAGCCACTTTTCAACAACCAGGGCTCTCAAGAACTAAAAGTGTGAGAACTGATTCTCTCAAGAATAGCACCAAGCCATTCATGAGGGCCGCATCCCCACAGTCCAAACATCTCTCACCAGGATCCACCTCAACACTGGGGATCACATTTTAATAGGAGACTTGGTGGGGCCAAACAAACCATAGAGTAACATACACTAAGCCAAGGGTCCCCAACCCCCTGACTATGGACTGGTACTGATCTATGGCCTGTTAGGAACTGGGCCGCACAGCAGGCAGTGAGCAGCGGATGAGTAAGCATCACCACCTGAGCTTTGCCTCCTGTTAGATCGGCAGCGGCATTAGATTCTCATAGGAGCATGAACCCTACGGTGAACTGCGCATACGACGGATCTAGATTGTGCACTCCTTATGAGACTCTAACTAATGCCTGATTATCCGAGGTAGAACAGTTTCATCCCAAAACCATCCCTCAGTCCTCATTCCCGGTGTGTGGAAAAATTGTCTTCCACAAAACAAGTCCCTGGTGCCAAAAAGTTGGGAACCACTGTGTTAAGCAAACATAAGAAGACTGAAAGGTGAAGAGAAGGCAGACTACCTGGAGACTTTGGAATGACATGGTGGTGAATTCCCTGGATTTTCTTTTTGCTTCGTATGTCCCCAAATTGGAGCTTAAGAAGCCAGAAACCTGAAAATGCCAGTGGGCACAGAAAAAAATCCCCAGAAAAATTCTGACCTCTTTGTCCAAAGTACAGGAAAAGGGAAGTCTATACAGAAAACTCTTAGACAAGAATCGCTATACTCCAGCGAACCACCATAGGGACAAAGCCACTCCTACCCGCATCCAACAGGAACAAGGAGACTGCCCTCTCAAGTGTCAACAGAGATTGAGTGGAAAATATGGACTTCTACCTTCACCTGGCAGTAATGTGTCAGAGTCCCCCTTTCCCCTGGTGGAGTGCTGTCAGAGGAAACCATCTCAAACAGAAGGTTTAAATAGCATAGAATCTCATAACAGAATACCACAAATGTCCAGATTTCAATAAGGAAAAATCAGTCATCATATCATGAACCAGAAAGATATCAAACTGAAGTTTAAAAAGAACAATCAATAATGCCAACACCAAGATGACAGTAATGTTTGAATTATATGACAGGGATTTTTAAAGCAGTCATCATGAAAATGCTTCAATGAGCAATTACAAATACAATTTAAACAAATAAAAAATAGTAAGTGCCGGGAAAGAAATATAAAGTCCCTACAAACAAACAAATAAACAAAAAAACCAGAGGATATAAAGAAAACCAAATGAAAATTTTAGAATTGGAAAATACAATAAGCAAACTTGAAAACTCAGCAAAATGGTTCAACTACCGAATAAAGAGGGCAGATGAAAAGAATCACTAAATTTGAAGACAGAACAACAAAAATTACTCAATTTTTCAGAAGGAAAATGGACTGGAAAAACTAAAGAAATGGAGCCTCAGGGAACTACATCTTAACAAAAGCTCTTAATATTTATGTCATCAGAGTCAAAGAAGAAAAAAAGAAGATATGGCAAAAATAATAATAATAATAATAATAAAGTTGAAAAATAGCAGCTGAAACTTCCCAAATCTGGCAAAAGACATAAACCTAAAGATTCAAGGAGTGAACTCCAAACAAGCTAAGCCTTCCAAAAAAATCCACACTATGAAGATTAGAGTCAAACTTCTCAAAACTAAAGACAAAGAAAAAATTTTGAAAGCAGTAAGAGAGAAATAACATCTTACCTATAAGGAAAAAACTATTTGAATAACAGCAGATTTCTCATAAGAAACCATGGAGGCCAGAGGAAAGTACCACACCTTATTCAAGTGATGAAAATAAAAAAACTAATTAGTCCAGAATACTATATCCAGTAAAAATGTCGTTCAGGAACAAGAAAAGAATAAAAATATAGGTAAATGCATGCAACACATTTTCCTTTTCCTCTTGAGTTTTCTACATTGTGCTCAATGGTTGAAGCAAAAATTATACATTTTCTGTTGTGATTTTAATGTATGTAGAAGAAATATGTAAGACAATTATATATGAATGGAAAGGGAAAGTAAAGTGGAATAAAGATGATTAAGGCTTCCACACTTTATTTGAACTGGTAACATGTCAAAAACAGAATACTGTAATAAGTTATATATATGTATGTATGTATATAAAATGTGCCTAAAGCAACCACTAAAAAGGGCATACAAAGAGATGCACTCCAAAACACTACAGGTAAATAAAAAAAGAATTCTAAAAAATGTTCAAGTTATCTGGAGAAAGGCAGGAAGAAGACAAAAGAGAAACAAAAACAACAATCAAAGAGAACAAACAGAAAACAAAAAATAAAATGGCAAACTTAAGCCCTAACATATCAATAATTGCATTAAATAGAATAATCTGAATGCACCAATTAAAAGATAGAAATTGATAAATGGACTAAGAAACATGACCTGACTATATGCTATCTACAAGAAATTCACTTCAAATATAAAAATAAGGCAGGTTAGGCCGGGTGCAGTGGCTCACGCCTGTAATCCCAGCACTTTGGGAGGCCGAGGTGGGCGGATCACAAGGTCAGGAGATCGAGACCATCCTGGCTAACAAGGTGAAACCCTGTCTCTACTAAAAATACAAAAATTAGCCGGGGGTGGTGGTGGGCGCCTGTAGTCGCAGCTACTTGGGAGGCTGACAGGAGAATGGCATGAACCCGGGGAGGCAGAGCTTGCAGTGAGCCAAGATCGCGCCACTGCACTCCAGCCTGGGTGACAGAGTGAGACTCCATCTCATAAAAAAAAAAAAAAAAAAAAAAAGGCAAGTCAAAAATAGAAAGATGGAAGAAGATTTAGAAACATTAATCAAAGCAAAGGAGAGATGGCCATATTAATATCAGATACAGTAAACTGTATAGCAAAGATAATTATCAGAGAGAGAGAGAGGGATATGAAATAATGATAAAAGAATCAATTCACCAAAAAGACATAATAAACCTAAATGTGAGCTGAAAACCATACGAGGACAAACTGATATAACTGAAAGGAGAAATAGACAAATCCACAATTATAGTTGGAGACTTCAACACCTGCCTTTCAATAATTGATAAATCCATTAGACAGAAAAAATCAGCAAGAATATAGAAGAAATAAAAACACCATTAACCAAAAAGGTCTAATGGACATTTCTAGGATACTCTACTCAACAACAGCAGAATGCACATTTTTTTCAGACTTATTACTGAACATATACTAAAATAGATCATATCCTGGACTAGAAACCAAATGACAACTAATTTAAATAAACTGAAATCATGTTGAGTGTGCCCCTTTACTACAATGAATTAAAATAAAAATAATAACAGAATGACAAGAAAGTCTTTGAACACTTGCAAATCAAGCAACACATTTTTAAATAATCCTTGGGTCAAATAGGAAATCTCAAGGGAAATAAGAAAAAATTGCATTGAGCTAAATGAAAACAAAACATTAAAATTTGGGGGACATAGATAAAGCAGTGCTGAGAGAAAAATTATAGCACTAAATGCTTGCACTAGGAGGAGGAAAAAACTTCAAATGAATAATCTAAGTTCCTACCACAAGAAATTAGAAGGAAAGCAGTATAAACCCAAAACAAGCAGAGAAAAGGAATTTTAAAAAATGTAAGATCAGAAATCAATAAAATTGAAAACAAAAACAATAGAGGAAAACACTAAACCAAGAAATTGGTTCTTTGAAAATAAATAAATAAAATTGACAAACTTCTAGTAATACAAAGAAAATAAGAGAGAAGACACAAATGACCAACATCAAGAATAAAACAGTACAAACCCTACAGACATGGAGAAGATAACAAGGGAATACTTCAAACAACGTTACACATAAATTTGACAAGTTTTATGGACAAAATGGGCCAATTCTTTGAAAAGCACAAATGACCACATATGAAATACCTAATTTGAATAGCTCTATAACTTTTAAGGAAATTGAATTTGTGGTTAATAACTCCTCAAGAGAAAATCTCCAATTCTAGATGGTTTCACTAGAGAATTCTACCAAACATTTAAAAATTTCATCCCAATTCCACAGTCTCATCCAGGAAGCAGAAGTGGAGAGAGTATTTATACATTTATTTATAAAACTAGTATTATCTTGATATTAGAAAACATAACACAAAAAATACTACAAACATCTTCATAAATATATATGCAAAAAGCCTTAACAAAACACTAGCAAATAGAATTTAGCAATATATCAAAAGAATGATACATCATGATCAAGCGGGGTTCATTCCAGGAATGCAAGGCTAGTTGAATATTCAAACATGTGTAGGATTTGCATACTCAAAACTACAATACTGATTAAAGAAATCAAAGATCTAAATAAATAAGAAACATACTATGTTCATGGATTAGACAACTCAGCACAGTAATGATGTCAATTCTCCTCAAACTGACTTACAGGTTTACCACCATTCCTATCAAAATCCCAGTGAAATCTTTTGTAGATATTGACAACACTATTCTGAAATGTATATGGAAATTCAAAATTCATACAGAATAGTGAAAAACAATTTTGACAAGAAGAAAATGGGAAGACTCATTCTACCTGATTTTAAAACTTACGCACCTGATTTTAAAGCTTATATAGCTACAATAATTAAGACTATGTGCTATTGGTGGAGAAATGAACATATAAATCAATAGAACAGAAGAGAGAACCCAAACAGACTCAGACAGATATGCCCAGATGATTTTTGACAAGCATGTAAAAGCAATTTTGTAGTGGGTTTAATTATGGACCCAAAAATATATGGCTGCTGAGTCCTCAGATTGGGACCTTATTTGGAATAGGGTCTTTGCAGATGTAATTAAGGTTAGGATTTCTAAGATCAGATCACTCTGGATTAGAGTAGGCCTTAAATCCAATGACGAGCATCCTTAGATGGGACAGGAAAGGAGAAGACAGAGAGTGACAGGGACACAGACATGTGAAAAGGGAGACAAGAGATTGGAGTGACAAATCTATAAGCCAAGAAACACCAGGGATTACCAACAGCCATAAGAAGACAAGAGACAAGGGAAGGGAAGAGTTCTCCCCTACAGCCTTTTGAGGTAATATGGCCCTGATGATACTGGTTTCAGATTTCCAGCTTCCAGAGCTATGAGAGAATACGTTTCTGTTGTTTTAAGCCACCAAGTTTGTGGTAATTTATTATAACAGCCCTGTAACACTAATACAATAACTTTTCCAATAAATGGTGACAGAGCAATTGGACATCCATAGGCAAAAATCAAATCTCCTAAGTCTCACATTGTGTATAAAAATTAAATAAAATATGAATCATGGCCTTAAATGTAAAACATAAAACTACAGAACTTCGTAGAAAAAAATAAATATAGAGATAACCTTCAGGATCTAAAACCAAGCACAGTATTCCTAGACTTGACAACCAAAAGCACAAAACCTAAAAGGAAAAATTAACAAATTGGACTTTCTCAAAATCAAAACCTTTGCTTTACATTTTTATCCTGTTAAAATGATGAAAAGACAAGCTACACACTGGGAGAAAATATTTCCAAGTCCTATAAATGACATAGGACTACTATCTAGAATACATAAAGAACTCTCAAAACTGAATTGTTAAAGATAAACAATCCAATTAGAAGATGAAGAAAAGGGATGAAGAGATGACATTTCACCATATATAAACAATGGCAAGACAAACACATGAAAAGATGTTGAAAATAATTAGATGAGGGAAATGCAGGGTGAAAGCACAACGAGACATCTTACATACCTATCAGAATGGCTAAAACAAAAAACAATGACAACACCAAATGACAGTGAGGATGTGGAGAAACAGGATCACTCATACATTGCTGGTGGAAATGTTAAAGGGTACAGTCATTCTGGAAAATGTTTCGGCAATGTCTTAAAAAAAAAACAACTAAAACTAAAGATGCAACTACCCTACCACCGAGTAATTGCACTCCTGGGCACTTATCCCAGAGGATTGAAAACTTATGTTCACACAATGTATGCAAATATTTATAGCACCTTTATCCATAATAGCCAAAACCAAAAAACAACCCAGATGTCCTTCAATAGGCGTATGGTTAAACAAACTGTGATACATTTATACCATGGAATACGACTCAGCAATCAATAGAAACAAACTACTGATACACACAACCACCTTGATAGATTTCCAGAAAATTGTCCTGAGTGTAATTTTTAAAAATCCAAAAGTTTACATCCTGAATGACTCCATATATATAACATTATGATAAACTTATAGAAATGGAGAATAGAATAGTGGGTTCCAGGGGTTTATGAATGGGGAGGAAAGTGGGTGTAGCTATAAAAGAACAGCATGAGGGATCCTTGTGGAAATGGAAATGATCTGTATTTTGACTGTATGAATGTCAATATCATAGCTTTGTGATATTGTACTATAGTTTTACAAGGTGTTACTATTGGGGGAAACTGGGTAAAGGGCACATGGGCTCTGTTTGTGTTATTTCTTACAATACCATATGAATCTACAATTCCTTCAAAGCAGAAGTTTAATTAAAAATTGTAAGAGGTGTGCCTTGTGCCATTGAGTAAGTTTTTAATACGGACAAAGGACATTACTTGCTTGTAAGGAACAGTTTGCCACTAAAAGCTACCATTCATTATTAACAATTATGGATTTGGTCCCACCTGCATCATAAGTGAGCTCCTTGAGGGTCTGGCTCATGTATTATTTATCCATAAATACCCCACTGTGCCTAGCAAGCACCCTGCTATTTAATAAGTGCTCAATAAATGTTTGTTGACTTAATGTTTTTATCAGCCATGCATTGAGTATGTGTATTGTGCACTGTTAACACATGGCTTGCTGCAAATGAGAGAAATATTAAAGAAATGTGTCATCAAGTAAATTAATGCCATCATTAAAAAAGCAATTAGATCTCTTTGTTTTGTTTTATTTTTAACTAGTGTTCTGTTTATTATTTTCGTTTTTTCTTTCTTTGTGTCTGATTACAAAAGTAATAGATGTTCATTGTAGAAAAGTTTTAAAGACTAGAAAGGCATAAAGGACTTTTATTTACCTATTTTAATGACCAGACAAGTCACTTCTACTCTGACATGGTATGCTTCCAAGTGCTTCACCTCAGTTTTCTTGCTCATTGAGTCATTTGTTCATCAGATGTATGTCGAGAATCTGCCAAAGGCAGTCATACAGACCCAGAGGTAAATGTCGTTTCCCACATTCTCCTACAAATGAAACAGACTCCTTTGTTTGAAGGGTCCAGCTAGAGGGAGCTTGTTTTTGTTTGTTTGTTTGTTTGTTTTGTTTTGGTAGCCAGTAGTAGAATAACTTCAGCTTTCTGTGCTCTGACATCTTAAAAAGACACTTGCTCCTTGGTCAATGATAAACACAGCTGAGTATTTCCCTGAGCAGTAAAGGTTTCTAGAGGACATCTTCAGGGGACATCTCCTGGTCCAAAACCACAACCAACAGAGAACACAAGAGGCAGCCAAAGGGTATTGTCTGACCTTTATGTAAGAATTTGAGAATTCAGAAGCTATCAACTTGGACAAGGCATTTGAACATATTCAAATGCATTCTAAAATAGAACAAAGCAAAAGGCAACATAGGACAAGACTCTAAAGTCCACAACCACCTTTATTTATATCAGATCTGTAAAACCAGGAAAAGCAAAGAGTGTTACTCAAAAAAAAAAAAAAAAAGAAGAAGAGTAATGCCTCCGAAGAGGCAAAATGTTGCTTTATCAACAGACACACATTATTTTAATTCCCAGGTATTTGTTGCTAGTGTAAAATTTATCCCCCCACCCTGAACAGAATTAAGCAGAGCTTTTGGGATTTTTGCCAGGCAGGCACAAAAATATGTGTGCTGTTTTTTGTTCCACATTTTGAAAAAGAAGTAAATGAACTCAGAGAGAACGTTTCTGTTTGCTTATTGTTGCTGCTGGTAATAATAGGGAACCAAAGATTCTCCATTTTTACCAAAATGCCAAGTGAGATTCCATATGCAACACATCTTTCAGTTCATTTTCTGAAAATATTCCTTTGCTATGGAAATGGCTATGCAACTTATCCAAATAAAACACATTCTTCCCAGGTGAAGACTCTCTTACTGGATTCACCGTATTTCTTTGCCTTTCATATATCATGATCTAGTAGAAACCTGCATTAGAAGCAGTCCTGCCAGGTATGGACAAAGCTATAGGAGTAAAGTTTAGTTTCATCATCACTTAATATTAGTGGTCAGTGATTCTAAATACATCTTTTTGGTGTGGTTTAAAGTAGATTTCCATGTTTCAATCCAAGAAATATTGATTCCACATTTACTCCATAACTGCCACAAGTGCGGTGACCCTCACTGTAATTTACACAAATTTCCCCAACAGCATAGTAGATTCTTTTGAATTACATAATTGGTTAAAATTTTTCTTTTTGAAAAAGGAACACTCCTTTTAAAATTACTTTAACAAAAAGCAAAAGTAAAAAGTGATTAAGGATGGACATGATGGGGGAAGGTTGTCTATTGATACACACAACTTACAAAGGAATACTTAAAGAAGCAAAGCTGTCCATCGACAGGCACAGCCAGCAAGGCACTTCCAACCAAAAACATCTCTAAGTGCCTTTACAGCCCTGCCAGTCCCAGAATCCCCTCAGTCTTCATGGAGCTGGGAGTTATGGGACTGGAATCATTACCATCCACTAACCCTAGAGCTCTGAGAGGCAGGGACAGGGGATGGGTCTGTTTTAATGGAAAACACACTAAATCCAGCAAGGGTCATCAACGTAGTGGTTGGACAGAAGAGAGAAGACCCAGTCAGCTGGAAGAACCAAATCAAGTGTTCTCAGTCACTCTCCATCTGTCCCTGCCAAACTGACTGCATGGGGGCCTTCGCCACCAGACCTCCCAACCAGGTCAACCCATACCCTAGCAGTCAGCTCGCTCCCACTGCTCTGCTGAAGCTGCTCTGCAAGGTCACTACTGGGCTCAATCTGGCAAATACACTTTTTCTCTCACATGCCACCTTCTCTGACCTCTCTGTCATTGGATCCCATTGCCTGCCCCTCAGAGCTGCTCTTGTCCTTCCACTTCAGTGACACTAGTTCTCTCATTTCTTCCCCTTTTTCCTCATCTCCTTGCTGCTCCTGAATTCTAGGCATTCCCAAGTCTGGAATTCCAGAATTGGTGTTTTCTCTTATTTTTTCCTCTTTACACATTCCCTCACACTACAGCTATACATTTTCTCAAGAGCCAAATCTCCCTTCCATAGGGATTTCTCTCAATTCACAGCTCCAGCCCCACAGCTCTCCTGAGCTCAGTTCCCATTTCCAGCTTCCTTTGGGATGTCTCTTTTGCTTCACACATGCAAAGTATTGGAAATCGAATTCACATTCTGCTGCCCCAAGCCTGAGCTTCCACTCATGTTCTTTATACCTCTTCTCTCACCGTTTACTCATGTACCCAGATTAAAACAGAAACAATTTGTATTTCTCCTTTGTCCTCATATTATACATCCAATCAGCAGCCAAATGCTATTGGTTTCACATTTATCGTTTCCCCATGTCTATCTTCATTCATTCCAATCACTGCCATCACCCTGACAAGACCCTTCCTCCTTTCAGATCTATATTAATTTAAGTCTGCGTACAGAATCCACCTACCTGACACTCCCAGATTAATTACCCCAAAGTACCACACATAGCAATGTCATTCCCTGACTTTGATTGTAATCCAAATTAAGAAGTACTTTTACATAGCAATCTAGTAGACATTAGCCAGTATACACCTAAAATTTCATGTTTTCTCTCCAAAGGGTAATGTACTTTTAAAATTCAATTTCATTTGATTTTAATTTCTAAAAAAATATTGATTGTTTGTGACCCATGAATGAGCCTAAAAAGCACTGGTTTGTAAGATAGCTTGGAAGAAACTTGTTTTACCCTGTCTCATCTCCTGGGACTGTCCTTCCCTCTATCCTTCAGGTGAAGCAGAAAATTTCAGCCTTCTTTAGTTATGCCTAGCACTTTAAAAACCCTGCTTCTGTGTCCACATCATTTCCTTGCACATGCCTGGTTTCTGTCAGTCACACACACACACACACACACACACACACACCCTCTAAAACCCCACCATGGAGTAGGTTTGGGGTAACAGTGTCACCTTGAAGGCTCTTTGCTCTGCTCAACATTTCTACTACTGTCTTTCTTCCCCTTCAGAGGGACATTTTGTCCCCATATCCTTCTCCATTTGCCACTCGTGTTTCACCTTCCAGAATAAAGATAACTCTACCTAGCAAATTCTTTCTCGTGAATGTGGCCACCACTGCAGGCCACCGTGTGCCTTCTTCTCTCATCTGATGCTTACATAGTCATATCAGCACCATTTCACTATTCATTTTTCTTTTCTCCTTTTGTTAAAGGAAAAAAAATCTTTAATGATCTTCAAGAGTTGACGAACATATGTAAGGCAAGAAAAATATTAGTATAAAGGAGAAGAAAAGCTGGAGGTTTAAAAACTAAAATGGAGATGTTTTCTGTTCTATTTAAATACTTGGATTATAACAGCATTGCTTCCCAGTATTTTTCATTTCAAAGCCAGAGATTGGACTTTGAGTAAAACAGACTTATGTGAGCTATCTTCATACTCTAACCACCATTTATAAGATTGTTACTATAGGGGTAATGTGAGTTTCAAAAAACCAACTTTATAGTCAACAAGCATATGTAATATGACAGAAATACCTCCCATACACCTTCACAGAATATTCTGTTGTTTGAAGGGATATCACTAAATTTTTATTTTCTACATCAGAGGAGAAACAGAGCTTGAATAAAAACATTCACAGAAATTTGAGATTCCCTTTTTAACAATTAGCTTCCATTTTCTCAACTACATTTTTAAAAACACAGTTGTTATAAGAAGATAAAATATTATGTTGGTGTATGATGGTAGAGAAATCCATCCAAAGGGGAGGGAGGAAGAGGAGATAAAGCAAAGAATGGGAAGAAACCATAAATTAAAAGTCATGCTTGAAGAATAAATGGTTGCCTTGCTGTGAACTTGCCTTATTAAAATTCAAAGGTATTTATAAAGATTAAAAATTAAGGTTGGCTGGAGTTATACAGCTAGGCAAGTTCTCTGCAAATTCCATTAATAATTAAACCTTTTACAGCATTGTATGTGATTCCTAGAGGAATGCATTAAAGACATGGTGTGTCCTCTGCCCAAGGTTAGGCAAGAAGCCAATTTACTAATGAGAATTAAAATTCATGAATTCTTAGTTCGGAACAGCATGTGCCTAGCATACAGGGTAGGAAAAAATAATCTATAATAACTTCGGATTTAAAAGGAGAGGCCAAAGAAGAAGGTGTTCAGAAGCAGGGACATTTCCATATTGAAGCTGTTTTGTAGCATCTGTGAGCTTTTTTCTCATTTCTTTCTTTGGCATTGTAGGTACTGTCCATTTAGTTTCACTAGTTTTGAACAGCCTAAAACAGGCCATCAGTAATGGTGGATGCATCTGCTTAGAAAAATACTCGAGGGAGGGATTTCTACAGGTTCACTGATGAAGCATTTCCCTATTACAGTAAAAGAGTTTCCCAGGCCAGGTGAATGTCTTTTCTATAATCTGAGAGAGAGAGAGAGAAGGGAGGGAGGGAGGCAAGGAAGGAAAGAAGGAAGGAAGGAAGGAAGGAAAAAAGAAAAGAAGGAAGAAATGAGAAAAGAAAAGAATAGAGACAAGAAAGAACAATTGGACATCAGAAGAAAGAAGGAAAGATTTTTCTGCCTTCCAAGAACACACTACCTCTCCTATCTGGCCTCCTTTCCTATTGAAAAGAACATGATGCATTGAGATTAAGACTTTGCCCAATTTAAGAAAGAGCTATTAAGTATTTTAGTTATGAGATGACCATAACATGGAGATTGGGAAAGATGGAACATGATGAGATTGTGAGAAATGGCTAGCTGTTAAGTATCTCCAAATGACCAGCTCTAAACTAATTCTCTACTCCTTTCCTATGGCTTCCATCCTCAAGATCACCTCATGGTCATAACATCAACCCGGCAGCAAAAGCTGCCTTCCAGAAAAGCTTTACCTGGAGACTTTTGTTGACATTTCCTTGACCACAACTGTATCACACCTATAGCTGCAAGAGAGCCAATAGCACCACAAGCACCAACAGACCTTTCTGCAGTGATGGAAATGTTCCATCTGCACTGTATTATTTCATAGCCACTTTAAACAAGAAAATAAAATGTTAAGTTTATGGAATTTTAAATAATTTAAATTAAAATAGTTACGTGTACAGATTTTCAAACGAGCAGTACAGTAAAAATCAAAAACTCCTTTCATCTTCAAATTACATGGTAACTATAATGAGGCAGGCTAGGGTGGAGAAAGGAATGAACAATCATTGAGATAACTTGTTTGTAAGCATGTGAAACTGTGTGAATGACTTGACAATTATTGTTGCATTTAGACCTCATGGAAGCTACAGAAGGCTTCATTGTGCCCATTTTACAGATGAAATAACTAAGGCTCAGTTTGAGTAACTTGGCTAAAATCATGGAGTTCATAGAAGCAGAAATGAGTTTTGAACCAGCGCTCTCTGCCAGCAGAGCCCAGGGTGTCTCTGTTATCACATAGAAAGCCTTAGAGACATAGGGAAGGAAGGGCCAGGATTCCTACACAAGACACCCAAAGATTGAGGGGATAGAGTTAGCCGGAATGACTTATCCCTCTTTGTAGTACTAGTCCTGTGGATTCGTTTGCCTGCTTCCCTTTCCTTCATGGTAACTTAAAGATTTATTTACATGTTTATGTATGTATTTATTTATTTGCAAACCAGTGTATACTCATTATTTACAAAAATGAAGATTTCTCCCAAAAGTACCAAAAGCAGAGAACGAAAAATCATCCCCAATCCTGCACCCGATTCTAAAGATTTTCACCTCCCCTCTCCTTCTCCTGAAGTGTTGTGAAACAAATACAGATGCACACTCACTCACCCTAATTCTCACATTCTTACAGCATGCATGGGGACTCTTGGAGGCTTTCAAAAAAGAACACACAAGAATCTTTTGAAGTTTTCTGCCTTCTCATTGTAGGAAAAAGACAAAGATCCCTAAAGTGGAAAACACCAATAGTATTGATGGCAGTCTTTTTTTTTTTTAATTTTTAATTTTTTTTTTTTTAGACAGAATCTCATTCTGTTGCCCAGGCTGGAATGCAGTAGCATGATCTCAGGTCCCTGCAGCTTCTGACTCCCAGGTTCAAACAATTCTCCTGCCTCAACCTTCTGAGCAGCTGGAATTACAGGCACACACCACCATGCCTGGCTAATTTTTTTGTATTTTTAGTAGAGACAGGGTTTCACCATGTTGGCCAGGCTGGTCTTGAACTGGCCTCAAGTGATCCGCCCACCCCAGTCTCCCAAAGTGCTGGGATTACAGGCGTCAGCCACCGTGCCCAGCCTGATGATAGTCTTCACATTCAACTACTACTGAAGCAATATTACTAAAATAACATGCATCTACACTTCAATGTAAGGTGACTCTAGTGAGTTTTGGAGCATTCTGTACAGAGGGAATTATGGTCTAGACATACATGGAGAAGAAGCCAGGGGAGGGAAGGGGGAATCTAGCCCTGGACTGGACTGGGGTTAGCTCACTCTTAGCACCACCATCATTATTGCATTTTAGGAGGTGCAGTATTTTGGAAAAAGAGGGTTATGAAGAGACAGATGAAAATCAATATGCTCTTCACAATAACTTGAGGTTTCTTGTATAAGTATTATACATAATGCATTTGCTCTTATTTTATTGGACTTAAAGCACTGTTTACGTCTTAAAAATTATGGTCGGGCGCGGTGGCTAACACCTGTAATCCCAGCACTTTGGGAGGCTGAGGCAGGCAGATCACGAGGTCAGGAGATCAAGACCATCCTGGCTAAGATGGTGAAACCCTGTCTCTACTAAAAATACACACACACACACAAAAATAGCTGGATGTGGTGGCACGTGCCTGTAGTCCCAGCTAATCAGGAGGCTGAGGCAGGAGAATTGCTTGAAGCCAGGAGGCAGAGGTTGCAGTGAGCCAAGATCACACCACTGCACTTCAGTCTGGGTGACAAGGAGAGACTCCATCTCAAAAAATAAAATAAAATAAAATAAAATAAAATAAAACAAAACAAAACAAAACAAAACAAAATAAAATGAAAGTTGTAACAGAGCTATAGTAATTTACATTTATCACCTCATTTTGAGGGTTCTCATCTGTGAGTTATCTGCTGGGGAAAAAACATTAATTGAATATGTAACCTGTAGTTATCCATTTTCCTTTAGAAAACACCATTCTATTTACAATGTTCTACTTCGTAGTTTTATTTCTAGGTCGAAGTGGGAGCTGACTGTATGCCGTTTATTAGCACAACCGGCTCCTTACCTCCTGCCACTCATTTGTTTTTTGATCAATATGTGGCTTCTTGATGCTTGCAAAGAAAAAAAAGTTTCTGTACTGAAATTGATAGATGGGTTTAGCTGTTGAAAACTTTTTAATTTGAAGACTTGGGGGAGAGGAATTTTAAATGAATCGATACAATGAGGCCTTTGTGTTTTAATCTTATCCAGACTGTCCCTGTTATCTGAGAAGTGCTCACAAGTCTTCCTTTCCTACTGGAGAAGGTGGTATTCATGATCCAATCACTGAAAAAACTAAGCAATTTACAGTTAGACTCACAAGTGCACATATTTTTACAAGGCGTGCCTCTGAAATGCAGCCTGCTTTTGTCCCTTTAGAATTGGTGTGGCTGTCATGACCTCTGAGAGATATGGATGCTGTACCAAGAACAGGAAACCACAGATGCCAGCCCTTCAGTGTGCCCACAGTATTCTCAGTACTTTTCATGGGGTTTCTGGACTTCAGGATGAAAACTTGAAGAATATCCTTTCCTCACTAGCCTCAACCCTGTGAATGCACACAGAATCCTTCACACACTCTGAGCCTCAGGAAGCTTAGGAGCTAGGTTAAGGGTAGAAACAGAGTCAATGAGCAGAAACAAGTAGCTTGATGTCTGGTCCCACGTCTGCTCTTTACTACCTGTGAGACCTTGAACTAGTCACTCTATGAATAGTTGTCTTTTAAGTGAAGAGATACAATTACAGGACCTCTAACACCCGAACCAGCACTCATTTTCCGAACGTGATCATGGCTATAGGGAAGTGCGCGCTTCCTTTCCTGACACTAATGAAACTGGTCTGATTTCCAGCAAGAGAATCAGTGCATTTGGTGTCATGTCTCATGGGAAGGATAGACCTATGCCATGTTCCTTTTACTTGAGATGCCCAAAAAGTAAGTTGTTCCTGTAACATGGCCTGCTTCCTTTACACCACCCTGACAGATATTGTTCAGTTGCATCCCTTCGTATTTTCTAAAGGACCCTAAGACTTGGGTAGGGCAGGAATTTTCTTTCCACAGACCAAGGGACAAAGAATTTGAGAAGCTTGGTGTCCACCCCATAGGGAACTAGTATCCTGTAGTATCCAGGTCTTTGGGTTCTGTGGGGAGTCCACTCTGCTCCACTGCTCTGTTCACATCCAGACACGTTTTTCATTCTTCACTCTTGTCTCTGTTCTGACTCTAACTCTCTTTTCCCTTTTTCTTCCTGTCTCTCTTCTTCCCTCTATCACCCCAATATGAACAACAGGAACAGGAAACACAATTTTCACCTAAACAATATAGAATCGTATGACGTGCTATTCTCTAAGCTCAGCTGGTTCCAATTCTTGACCTATATTTAAATATGTTACTCAAACTGTGGGTTTTGGCCTTCACTGATATAGTTGCAGAGGGATGGGAACACCAGACTGGGAAGTAGGTCATGGCTGGTGGGAGGGCAGGTGCCCTCCTGACTTTCCAGAGAGAGAGAAAAAAAGTAAAGGATAAGGATTAGTGGTGTAACAGAACTGTTAAAAATTCAACTGAGATTGGAGGTACAAATATAAAACCCATTCCTCTGGGCACCCTTTCAGATATTTTAAACACACCCTGTCTATGTTTTGTCCTGAAATACACATTTAACTTTTGATGGGGTGTTGTTTTCTAATTAGATAAGATAATTTTGTTTTTAATTTCAAAGTCATTCAAATTTTCTGAAGCAAATTAATACTCCTGTTTGTCTTTAAATAAACACATATTTCATGTTTCCCAATATGGCTAAGGAGACATTCATGCTGACATCCTTCTAAGAGGAGCTGTATGTTAGGTTGGAGAATTATCAACCCCCTCAGCTCCCATATTTCAGTGCTCAAATCACTCAAGGAAAAGCATATTTGTGTTATACTAGACTTTGTTGTCACTGAAGGCAAGCCTCTTATTAAGCAAGCCTTTGTTCAGAAATAAACTGAAGACGCCTGTAATCCCAGCACTTTGGGAGGCTGAGGTGGTGGATCACCTAAGGTCAGGAGTTCGAGACCAGCCTGACCAACATGGTGAAACCCCATCTCTACTAAAAATACAAAACTAGCCGGGCGTGGTGGTGCATGCCTGTAATTCCAGCTACTTGGTTGGCTGAGGCAGGAGAATCACTTGAAGCCAGGAGGCAGAGATTGCAGTGAGCCAAGATTGCACCATTGCACTCCAGCCTGGGCAACAGAGCGAGGAAAAAAAAGAGAAAAAAAGAGCGAGACTCTGTCTTAGAAAAAAAAAAATGGGGGCTCAGAAGGGTCTTCCCAAGGTTCAGCTTAGCCCCTCCATTTGCCAGCTGTCTAGCCACAAGGAGCCACAACAATCCCTGGGCTTTGGTTGCCTCATATGTTGAATGGAGTCATGACAGGAATAATAAGAAATAAAAATAATAAGAAATAAGAACGAGAAAAAAAAGAAAGAAAAAGAAAGAAAGAAAGAAAGAAACTGAAAACACTAGATAACCCTCTTTCTTCAACAGTGTTTTAAGCCACTGTGTAATTCTTCAAGTCTGAGTATGTACATAGTAAGAACAAGGTCTGCTTGTTCAAACACAAAGATCTACTTCACCTAAGTGCATTGTAGCCAGCCACGGACAGACAGGATATCACAGTATCACTTGAAAAACCACTAATAGCTAGTAAACTGGAGTTGACTTCTGAAAAAGTGATGGCACCATGGAAGGACTGTCCTGACAGAGAAGCAGAGACTTCTGCAAGCCCAGAAGTCAGATGTTGCTAGGCTGCTCCTGTGTGGTTATAATGAATCTCATCAGCTACAATCATTTCCCAAAAAGACAGAAGTGAATCTGTCTTATAAAGATGGTTTTCAAAGCCAACTACAGATATCATAGAAAAAAAAAAAAAAACAGTGGCAGATAAGACCTTTCATCTTTTTCTTATCCCATGGGCTTTTCTGCCTCCAGATTTCCTTGCACATCAAGGGGGTTCTGTGCAAATCAGTGGGCCTGGCCCTCTGCCCACCCTGGGCTAAGCTGTGGTTGCCATGGCTACGAAGACAAGAATGACCCTTGGTTTTATAGAGCCCTGGGTCCCTTGCTCACAGGCCTTTTCAGTTGATATTTCTTTCATCTTCTTCAGAACCCCATGTGGCAGGTGCAACAAGGAGTTCACCAATGCTCCGGCCAAAGTGAGTAATGAGGGACACATGCACGACCAGGCAGAGCAGCCCTGAAGAAGTGGTTTGTGAGGGTGTGGAGGAAGGGCTTGCTTCCACACTCTGCACTTCTGGGTCCTAAGGCACTAATCACACCTGGCTCAGGCATCATTCTCAGCCTCATGCTACTTTTGTCCAGGGACAGAACAAGAGGTGCCAGCACTCAAGGGAATCCTGCACCACAACAGGCAGGGGACCATCATGACTGCTGAAATAGGCAGCAGGAGTCCGAACTATGGCATAAAAATGTCACAGCAACACCACAGGGGGAACCCCTGGGGGAAGTAGGGCATGGTGATTAAGAACGGGGGCTCAAGGCCAGGTGCAGTGGCTCACGCCTGTAATTCCAACACTTTGGGAGGCTGAGGCAGGCAGATCACGAGTTCAGGAGATCGAGACCATCCTGGCCAACATGTTGAACCTCTGTCTCTACTAAAAATACAAAAATTAGCTGGGTGTGGTGGTGCGTGCCTGTAATCCCAGCTACTCGGGAGGCTGAGGCAGGAGAATCACTTGAAATAGGGAGTCGGACGTTGCAGTGAGTGGAGATTGTGCCACTGCACTCTACCCTGGCAACAGAGTGAGACTCCGTCTCAGACAGAAAAAAAAATGGGGGCTCAGAAGGGTCCTCTCAAGGTTCAGCTTAGCCCCTCCATTTGCCAGCTGTCTAGCCACGAGGAGCCACAACAATCCCTGGGCTTTGGTTGCCTCATATGTTGAATGGAGTCATGACAGGAATAACAAGAACATCTCTCAGAGCAGGGCTATGATTCCAGGAGAGGTCAGACAAACAATTCTAGGAAGGGAAGGTGGTCTACCTCCCCAAATTATGCCTACTCCTCTTGCTCCTAACTCTCAGCTACTGCCACGGGCTTCCCCATTTACTCTCATTCGTCCTGGTCTTCATCCTCATCCTCACCATTCCTCTTATCAGGAGCCACTCCTAGGGAGAGGCAGAAGAACAAGCATTTTGTGGAGATGTCCTGACAGGGCTTTAGAATATCTCACTATTAAAGTTTAATCCCTCCTAAAGCATATGGTACGAGGTCATTTATGTATAAGTACAGTCGTAAGCCATAGGGGAAAAAAGCATTTTGTTAAAATTTTGATTTATTTTTAAAAAGCAGGTCCTTCCAATGCACTTACACTCTGCCAGTTCCATTTCAGAGTTGTCTAAAGTAGTGAGATAGCCCAGAATCCTTCAGGACACTAAATCACTTTAGAGACACACCACTGAGGCCTAACATCATGAAATTACTTCTTTCTTTCCAATCTGTGGGTTTCACAAGTGATTAGAACTGGGTTACAGCCTTAGGGAGGAAAAAATGTGCTTCCAATTTCCCTCATTGTATGTGCAGGCTGTCCTCATGCTCCTGAGCCCCAGCTCTGTGCTGGGCAGTGTTTCAGGCATCAAAGATACAGCAGTGGGCAAAGAAGACCAATATCTCTATCCTCATGGAGCTTCCATTCTTGCACAGTGCCTGGCACACAGGGCGTATGTCACAAATCACTGCTCAATGAATGCATGCATGCTTGTTCACCCTAATGATGAAATTATCCTGCTATATTTAGAGTAGCCATATAATTTCTTTGAAACATGGAGCCACGTGCATTAACCAAAGTTGCCTTGTTCAGAAAAACACATAAACAAACACACCTAGGTTCATTTCACAGAGAACTCATCTAAAACAGAACAACAACAAAAATGTATGACAGAGTGGGAGAAAAGAGAGGGTGAGAGGCTTACTCAAAAGTGGGGTGGCCAAAGATCCTAGAACCATGTTATTTATTTACGAATTAACATAGGCCTCTGCAAGTGAATAATATGGAGGAATGCCCCATGGCACCCTTTAAAAATTTTATCAAATGAGTTAAAGGTCTCGGAGCACCATTTATTTGCCCTGCGTTGCTAGGTAATAATTCCCTAAACCCCCTCCATGCAGCAAGCAAGCCCCTTCTACTACAAACTTCCACTGCAGAAGTGAGGTGGGAGAAGGGAGGAGATCCTGCGAAGGCAAGCCTCACAGCTTTGCACTCTCTCAACACTCTATCGATTTGCTCACACTCCCCAAAGAGCTGAGACATTTTATAATCATGCCCATAATTGAATGCCATCAGGGGTTCAACAGGACTTCCCTCTTTAACATTTAAAAAGATAATAAGAACCGGTTTAAAACCCTTTACCAAGAAGCTAAAGGAGCCCCACAGCCAGGCCCTGCCTTTCTGGCCTCTCTTCTTAATTGTGGTTATGGGTGCCTGGTCATGGGCTCCAGAGAAATGTGAAGAGAATTCCCTGTCTCTCCTCTAGGATTTGATTATCTGGCTGCCGGGATGAAGTATAGGAGAAGAGAAGAGCTGCTTAGGGAGAATCATTTTAGGGAAAAGCAGTTTACAAAGACTTTTATGAAAGGCTGCTTCTGTGAACCAGCTAATGGATCAAAAGTGCCAGGGACTTCTAAACCTATTGATTTCTAAAATCACATCCAAGCAGCATCTCCAGATTCAGAGAAAGTAGAAATCTCTGTACCCAAATAATTGCTTAAAAGTGAGGCCTGGAAAGTTGCAAAGTATGTCTTTACTTTAGAAGACATTTTTTAAAAGACTTTTTAAGAGTACGAAGTCCACGAGCCTCCTGTGCTTTTGTTTCTCTTATTGTCAATATCCTGCTGTCTCCCCACCCTTCACTTCCTTCTCTTTGTCCTGAATATGGTAAGCTGTATAGGTTATTGTTTCAGGTTGCCCTATTATCTAAGGGTTATATTTTTTTCCATTATTGCTTAGATAAGCTTGAATCATAAACCTGTATGTTTTCTTGTGATTTTGTTCCAGCTGAGCCCAGTGGCATCTGTCTTATCCTCTCTGATGCCTGTCCAATTTCCCTCTATCTATTGAGCTTTGTCTGTAGCTAATTAGAGGAAAAGGCTTATGAATTGTGTCCCTGGTCCTGTATGGTGTTTTGAAGTCATCCTACACAATATTAGAAATGACTGATAGTTATCTGTTGTTTAGAGATGCATATGGCAATTTATTAATCTGATGTCTGTCATCACTCAGATATATTTGTAAGTTAGTCCTCACAGTAAGATTTTTGTAGGCAAACTATTGCTTGGATAATAATTTTACAAGACTACAATATTTCCAGGCTGTAAAACTCAAAGAAGCCCCTTGCTCTTAGCCAACCTTGAGCAGCATGAAGTTTAGATAGAATATTTAGGTGGAGGTTGTGGGGTATGGTGGGGGAATCTTCCTGTTATTTGCTGAGTAGTATCTGATGGGTCCATGCCACAAAATGAGACAGAACAAAAAGTTGGGATAGCTGGACTGCAAGAAGTCAAAGGAGTCGCTCAACTTTGCCTTAGTTCAGCAGTCCATGTCCCAATAACGCACAAAGCTAAATAAAATAATCCATTAGAGGAGATAATTGCTGCTAGTCTGCTTATACGAACTGTGTCGCGTTAAACTACACGTGTGAGATGCAAAAGAGAACCAGCTCACAGCTGGAATACATTCAAGACTATGGGGCTGCAGCTTCTTAATGTGGGTGTGCAATGAGGACTATTCAATGTGTTATAAAAATATATTCTCCCAAATAGTCAAGTAACACCCAAACACCCCCAAGTGTGGGTCTCACCAGTGCATGCAATTGCCAGGCACCTGTTAGACTTTTCATTTAGCCAAATAACACTGAGAGACCCAGACTTGGGAACATACTCAGTCCGCGCCCCCCGGATTGAACAGCCTGATGATATCTCCTTGCAACACTCGGTTTGACAGGCCTCGTGGGGCACATTCCATCTGTGTTACCCTCTCTTTGTTCCTGAATGTACTGTTTCTATCTTGGAAAGTAGGGTGACCTGTTTCTTGTTGTCAAAAGAACTCTGTAGGTGTGGAAAAGCCTCTTAAAGATAACTTCAGCTCCCACAGGTGGCTCTTTTACTACATTGAAGGCAGAATGAGCAGTGTCTGCCTCGTTGGCCAAGAAGCTTCATCCCCAGCGATACACACCATTCTCCCCTCTGGGTCACATTGCATGCTTTGAAGCAAACTATTTCCTCCTTTGTCTCATGGAACAATCAGAGTAAAATCAGTGATACAGAGT
Organism: Homo sapiens; assembly: GCF_000001405.40. Classification (NCBI taxonomy): domain Eukaryota; kingdom Metazoa; phylum Chordata; class Mammalia; order Primates; family Hominidae; genus Homo; species Homo sapiens. The sequence goes on along the minus strand of NC_000009.12, from coordinate 84,893,651 downwards.
CCGATTCACAGACACAAAGGCAGACCTCCTAATAAACACACAGCGTCTGGGGTTCGTGAGTGCCTGCATGGGTGTGCCGGCTCTTCCTATCTCTGTCACACGCTGCCCTGCACGTCCACATCTACACTGCCAATGAGAAGCTGCTGCAGGCTTTTGGGGACACTGAAATAAGAGCATGGGGTCAAGTGCTCCAAAATTTCTGGGCAGTCAGAACTGACTCCTGGGATAATTCTTGCTCCTGCGAGGCAAGGAGAGGAGCAGAGGGTCTCAGCATAGCTGCCTCTGGATCCAGCACAAAGAGGTGCACTTACATGATTTCAGATTTTTAAGATGTATTAAAGAAGCCCAGTTCTCACACAGAGTATACACTGTGTGATGCCATTTATTTGAAGCCCTAGAACAGGCAAAATGAATCTATGGTTTAAAAAAGTCGGAACAGTGATTGCCTCTGGTGGAGGGTGAGTGGAGGAAATTGACTGGAAAGACATAGGAGAGACCTTTGTGAGGTAATACTAATGTTCTGGATCTTGACAGGGGTTATGGTTACACAGGAACATGTATTCACCAAGCTCATAGAATAGTACATGTAAGGCTAGTGTATTTCATTGCATGCAACTTTTATAACCAGAGACAGAGAGAAGGAAAGAAGGAAAAAAGGAAGGGAGGGAGGCAGGAAAGAAGGAAGGAAAGAAAAAGAAAAGAAGAAAGTACAGTAATTTTTTTTTTTTTGAGATGGAGTTTCGCTCTTGTTGCCCAGGCTAGAGTGCAGTAGTGCAATCTCTGCTCACTGAAACTTCCGCCTCCCCAGTTCAAGCAATTCTCCTGCCTCAACCTCCCGAGTAGCTGGGATTACAGGTGCCTGCCACCACACCCAGCTAATTTTTGTATTTTTTAGTAGAGATGGAGTTTCATCATGTTGGCCAGGCTGGTCCTGAACTCCGGACCTCAGGTGTTCCACCTGCCTTGGCCTCCCAAAGTGTTGGGATTGCAGGCGTGAGCCACTGTGCCCAGCCTAGGACAGTAAATATTGAACTGCAGTTTGTACTTGAAGTGTCCTGTTTTCTTCAGCTTATTCTGAATTGCTTCTAGAAATGGATGGACTGATGATGCACTGACAGGGAAATCTTAATTGTAGAATCCAGGTGGGTAGATGGGTGCCCACTGAATAATTCTTTTAACTCTTCTGTATGTTTGAAGCTTTTTGTTAATAAAATATGGAGAGTGGGAAGCAGAAATTCAATACTACTCTTTAGAAGTCAGGTTTCAGAGTTGGCAGTGTTAGCTTTGGGGATGTGCCACATGGAATCTCTCACACAGAAGGTTTAAGATGTGAGAGACAGAGCTAAGGCAATCAGGGCAGTGCATATTTTCTGTACTTTGCCTATGTGGAACCTACTGCTTGGGGCCTCTCTCTGGGCCCTACAGGAGTGAGTGTAATATACAATCCTGTGTAGCAGCAGAGCTCAGATAACTTAAGCAAGAAAAATGTCTTTTGGATAATTTGCAGACTTTGGCCTGAAACAAGGGCAGATACATTTAGATATATGATTTGTTTTCCAGCTGCTGTGCTATTTCAAAGTATCCTTGTTACTGATTGCAGTGAAAAAACTCCTCCACCCTTAGGGAAATAAATCAGACTGGGTTACTAAAACCATACTCTGCAGCTCTCCTAGCCTATATCCATCTTGATATCATACCGGCCTAAGTTCACCTCTTTAAAAAAAAAAACCAGTTTTAGTGTGACACATGCTGGTAAAGATTTTATTAAGCAGACTATATTAGCTGAGCCAAGCAAATTAAGTTACATCCCTGGACATCTTAATAAAACAGGGTCTTTCCCATACTTCTCTAGGTTCTAATTTATAACTTAATTCTGTGGGTAAAGGATGAAAACATAGACATGAACGTCAATAAAAATCACTTGTATTTAGCTTTGGGATTCAGTCATACATGCACACTAAGTGAGATTAATATGTGGACTAACCATCTGTATTCTACTCTCGTCCCAGATCCGCCCTACTGGGTCCCAAGACCTAACCTTTCAGCTGAGAAAAGAAGAAAATCCTGGCACTTACTTCCCTAGTGGCATGTCCACAGTAGTGTGCCAAGGTAAGCAAAACCATGGAATGCATATTGCCACAGCTTATACAAGAGTTCGTTTTACTTGACTATTTGGGAGAATATATTTTTATAACACATATAGGAGATGTATTCTGGAAGAGTGTGCAAAATTCCCATGTTGTAGTGCACTATTGCTTTGATGGCCTCCAATGCACCGTGTCTTCCTGTTTTCATGCTCTCGTATAATCTCTTCACTTGAATCTAGGCTATTTTAACCAAAAGAATGCAGGGAAGGTGAGACAGTGCTCATTCTAGAACCTAAGCTTTCGGAAGGCCTGGCACTTTTTTTAAAAAAAAGCTTGACCATCTTGAGTCCTCCATGACGTGAAGAAGCACAAGCATCCATGAGAACTGGGGCCCTTGGCTGACAATTCCAGCCGAATTCCCTGCCAGCAATCACCAACTATCGGCCACAGGCAAGAAACCATTTTGGACTTTCCTATCAAACTGACAGCACACGGTGAAGTAAACAGCCAGGTTGACACATGGGACTATGGGAAAAGTAAATTGTTCTTATTTTAAGCCACTAATGGTGGGGTGGTTTGTCACACAGAATTAGATCACAAAGCATATGTTTAAAATAAAATCTGAGATTTCAAAGATATATTACAATTGAAGAAAGCACCTTAGAGTTATAGTCTCAGACTTCTGTCTGCCAGTCAGTACTTCAATGAAGATGACTGAGAAGCATTTCCTTATAATTCACAAGAAGATAATCTCCCAGATTCAGGTGTATTTCTTTGTTGTTATATGATCAAGGGTAGCCTTGTGTCCTACGTCTTTGTTCCATTACCACAGATAAGCATTTTTTAATCATGGCATTCATCCCAAGGGGATTGCTAATGGGATCCTTTGAAGATATTATGGCAGTAGGAAGATGGAAATTTCATTTATATCTCGCAATTTCCTCTAGATCCCTTAATTACTTTTCTTTCAAATTACTGCTTCTGTAACTAGGAGATTTCATTCAAATGGTCAGCTATAACTGATCCTAGAGGATGAGAAAAGATCAAGAAAGTCCAATGTACATTTTCCCTACCTGGGACAAGCAACCTAAAGCCAAGGCTAAGAAATGGATCCTTACCCCAGCAGTTCATCAAATGGCCCCTTCATAAAAAAGATTCTGAGTACCCCCTACAGGTTAAATCTCTAAATGTAATAGAATCAATTAGCCCCAGTCTGGCTCTGAGCCTGTCACATGAGGACGGTAAGGGTCACGGCCATTAGCACTGATCAGTCACACCCATGGACCTGCTGTCACCCATCACCACCATGTTTTATTGAAGACCTTAACAAGAGGTCCTGAGTTATTAGTGACCTAGTGTGACCTAAGGTGAGGGAGGGGGAAGTAAAGGGGAGGAGAGCAGGACTGATGGCTACTGACTACAACATGCCAAGCCTCATGCTAGATGTATGTGTATTGGAAATCCCTGAAGATGCAAAAGAACTAAAGAAGTTGGGCATACTTATCCTCATTTTACTCATGTAAGCAAAGTGCTAAGTGCAGCAGCTGGCTCTTAATAAGGCCCCCAAACAGCAGACATTTATATCTTTATAATGCTGCTACTACCATTTTTCAGAATGGAAGCTGAGGCTGATTGAGGTTATGTGACTTGCCCAGGGACACATAAGAGTACAAGCTGTGAGGCTAGGATTAAAACTCAAGTATGAGGCAACTGTCTCGATACTGGTAATAATGATGGTGGTGTCAGGACAATTTTTTCTGAAAACTAAATCCTAGTGAAGACTGAATAAGTTATACTTTTAGAATATGCCACCAATGATATGTGATGTCCACATTTAAAATACAAAAATATTGGCCGGGCACAGTGGCTTATGCCAGTAATCCTAGCACTTTGGGAGGCTAAGTTTGGCTGACCATTTGAGGCCAGGAGTTTTAGACCAGCCTGGCCAACAGGGTGAAACCTCGTCTCTACTAAAAATGCAAAAATGAGCTGGGTGTGGTGGTGCACACCTGGAATCCCATCTACTCAGGAGGCTGAGGCATGAGAATCACTTGAACCCAGGATGTGGAGGTTGCAGAGAGCTGAGATTGCACCATTGCATTCCAGCTTGGGCAACAGAGTGAGACTCTGTATCAAAAATAAATGAATAAATAAAAAATAAAATACAAAAGTATTTTTGAGTCTTACTTAAAAGTATCAAAGGTATTTTAGAATTACAGAAAGATTTTTTAAAAGCGTTTTTAAAGAGCCACTTTTTAAAAAATTGCTGTCATTGGGCCGGGCGCGGTGGCTCACGCCTGTAATCCCAGCACTTTGGGAGGCCGAGGCGGGCGGATCACGAGGTCAGGAGATCGAGACCATCCTGGCTAACACGGTGAAACCCCGTCTCTACTAAAAATACAAAAAATTAGCCGGGCGTGGTAGCGGGCGCCTGTAGTCCCAGCTACTCGGGAGGCTGAGGCAGGAGAATGGCGTGAACCCGGGAGGCGGAGCTTGCAGTGAGCCGAGATCGCGCCACTGCACTCCAGCCTGGGTGACAGAGCGAGACTCCGTCTCAAAAAAAAAAAAAAAAAAAAAAAAAATTTCTGTCATTAATAAATAATGGGGAAAGTTCGCCAATGAGGCAATTAGCCAAAAATGAAGGCTGGGCTTCCCAGAGACTTAAACTAAAGCAGGTTGTGTGACTTGTGATTTGTCCTGATCATGGACTCAACGCTTTTGCTATTATGGGTTGAAGCAGGTCTCTGGGGTCAGGTGAACTTTATAATATGTTGAGTACTCTAAGCACTGGGTCCAACCTCTTAGGGATTTTTATAGGATTGGTGCCCAGTGCCTGGTTACAAAAAGGTAAAGACAGAAGTCCCTGGGGTGGCTTTGAGGGCAGGGAACCTGGGTTTGAGTCTCTTCTCTGCCACTTTTTTTTTTTTTTTTTTTTTTTTTTTTTTTTTTTTTTGAGATGGAGTGTTGCTCTGTCGCCAGGCTGGAGTGCAGTGGCGCTATCTCGGCTCACTGCAACCTCTGCCTCCCGGGTTCAAGCGATTCTCCTGCCTCAGCCTCCAGAGTAGCTGGGACTACAGGTGCCTGCCACCATGCCCAGCTAATTTTTTTGTGTATTTTTAGTAGAAACGGGGTTTCACCATGTTGGCCAGGATGGTCTCGGTCTCTTGACCTTGTGATCCACCCGCCATGTCCTCCCGAAGTGTTCTCTGCCACTTTCTGCCTGAGCTATGAGTCTGTTATTTAAACTCTTCAAGCATCCCTTTCCTCATCTATAAGAAATTGCCTGAAGGTGGAGTTTAGCTGAGATAACGTATGTGGAAACACTTAGCAGATGGCAAGTCTCAAAAAAAGTTTTCTTTCTCCTTCCCTTTCCAGAACTGGTTAAGTTCTCTCAATGCTCATCTCTAACATCTGAACCCAAGAACCACATTTTTATTCTGCTTTCTTTGTCCTGGCTGGCTTTTTCTTGCATTATTAACTATGTGGAAAAAAAATACGAGGCTGGATTTGTTTTGTTTTCTGTTCCACTCTGTAGTTTATCCAGACGTTGTGTACCTTTAAAAAAAATGGGTTTTGTCATCCCTTGTAACATTTATCTGAATTTTAATCAAATAGGACAGAAAGTAAGATCATGTGTCACTTTTGTCCCCACAACATCAAGAAAATAATCTGCAACCTCAATTAACGTTAACAAATAATCTTTCCTTTAAGGAAAAAAAATGTGGATCCAGCCCTTTTGTAGTTTCCCAGTTTAAGAGATTTTTTCACAGGGGTCCAAGCCAGAAAGCTGAAATCTATGTAACAAAGTCAAGCTGAGAATGGATGCCGCTGGTCCTGCTGGAGATGTCTATCTGCTGTCCCTGGAGGCAGAGATGGTCAAAAAAGGAAACAGCATCTTGGGCCACCCTCTGGACTTGAGCTGATCATTGGGGTATTTGGTCTTGCTGCATGAAGAATCCTTACTACAGCTTAGCATAGTCAAGCAATGATATAAAATCATTTTCTTCTAGAAACTCACATCGTTTTTCTCCGAGGCCTTTAAAGGCATCATAAGTGATGTTAGAGTATATTTTAAAAATTTCTTTGAGAGCAGGAAATCTTCCCCTCCAGGGGGTACTTAATTTCTTGCTAGTCACTAGGAGGTGAGCAGGTCTTAAGGTCTTAGGCTAGGTCCATGCCACAGGGAAGGACAAAAGCTGATGGAAGATAACCGTAAGTTAACCCCCAAAAGATTCCTTGGCCCTGAAAACTGACCTAGAGAAAGTGTCTGGCTTGAGGGGATGAGAAGAAAAGGAGCAACACATTCATACTTGGTTATAAAACACCAGTTTGGGCCTTTGCGAGAACCCCTTACATTTCCTGAAATATTATAAATTATCCTGAAATAAAATGCACGAAGAACTGCCACAAATCATTGATTTCTTTTTTTTCGGATGAACCACATACTTTCCGCCCAAGCAAAACTTATTCTTGGGAACGGAGTCCAAGCCCACGCTGAATCTTATCTTTTGTTCAAACCCCACACTTGTTTTACCCTCAGCGCGTTTAGACAGAAACTGATAGCTAATGCTTTTCATTAAGCCAGTCAAGAAAAACTGCTTACCAGGTTTTACTCCTTCATCAGCCTGACTAATTACACCCATTCACTGCTCCTTTCATACAGAGATTTCAAATTCCAATTCTCAAAGACACACACCACCCAAGAGACATCTGCTTCCTGGCTTGCTCTGTCTCCTTTTACATTACCCAGTGAAAAGTATTTGGTGGCCCAGAAAACACAAGCTAAGCAAAATCTAGAAGCAAGAACTGGTTTTAAGCTGATGAGGGGTCAGCTCAAGGAGAAAGTGTTGACATAAAGGTAACAGGAGATGGTGGGATAAAAAACAGAAAAGAATCTTCTCATGCAATATATTCAAGGAACGGCATTAGGTGAACAGACTCCAGTGGCAGGCCTCAGATACCACTTTGCAGCAACAGAACAGAAAAAGAGAATGTGCCTGTGTCGCTAAGACAAAGACTCATCTGAAACAGTTGGAGGCCCCAGGTTAGATCAGGGGCTTCAGAGAATGGCAGTGGCCCTGAGCTTCGGTGATAATTAAGGCTAGACTTGAACACCCAAGCCTAGGCAGTGCCTGGGTGGCAATTACATTTCTCCAAACCATCAAATGTTGGGCATTAAGGAGGCGAGGTGACCAACAGCTCCAAAAGCTTTCGAAGCTTCTTCCAATGGGATCATGGTCCAAACTAAACTGTTGTCTTCCAGGAAAAAATACAGGAAGACAACATCAACCTCATGAAGAGTTATAACCATTACTTCCTCTTTGGGTGAATTTCTTTGTGTGGCACTGCTTTACCTGAGTCCACAACAAATTCTTCATAGTGGTCTCATTGGTCACATATATTTATACTGGTCACACATTTCATATACCTATGAAAGTATATAGTCTTGACCTAGAGAGTTAGAAATCCCATTTCCCATCTACAGGTGTTCTGTATTCTCTAAAGTTCTCTTTCAGCTAATTCTTTTTTTTTTTCAGACGAAGTCTTGCTCTGTCACCCAGGCTGGAGTGCAGTGGCGCAATCTCAGCTCACTGCAACCTCTGCCTCCCAGGTTCAAGCGATTCTCCTGCCTCAGCCTCCTGAGTAGCTGGGATTACAGGCGCCGCCACCACACCAGGCTAATTTTTGTATTTTTAGTAGAGAGGGGGTTTCACCATGTTGGTCAGGCTGGTCTTGAACTCCTGACCTCGACCTCATAATCCGCCTGCCTCGGCCTCCCAAAGTGCTGAGATTACAGGCGTGAGCCACCAGGCCCAACCAGCTAATTCTTTTGTTGGTGAAAACATGATAGTAACAAAGCACAGAATTCTTCAAGATGTCAGTAGGAAAACCATTTTGAATACTGGGTTCCAATAAGTCTCATAGGAAATAACCCTTCCTTACCTTCTTTTCTTTCAAAGTTGCCCAAACTAACTCTGTTTATTGTTTCAGTCTAAGGGTTTTCCATGTGTTCGACATGATGCTTCTCAGGATTATTAAAAGAAAAAAAAAAGATAACTTCTATTCTGCTACACATTCATTTTATGTGCTCAGTTTATTACCATACAAAGAACACCGGATGCAGTTCCCATTTAAATGGTGTCTTTAATATAAAGACCCGCTGAAATTGTGTTTGTATGATAGCCATTCTTCAAAAAAACACGTAATAGCTGGAGACTATGTTTCAGGGTCTCGATCTCGTGATTTAGCACTTGATTCTTTTAGTGGTTGGTCATTTGAATCTCATTTTCAAGGGATCATCTGAAAACAGGCCTCTGGTCTTTCAGGTTTCTGATTAGTGAAGCCATGCTAAATAACTTCTGATTTACTTAAATCACAGATTGCAGAACTGAGTAGCCTGGAGGGACCTCAGTGATCATCTCTATCCTAGAAAGTTATAAAGTATTAATTAGACCTGGAGACATATTTCAGACTGGCCAATGCCCTACTTCTTTCTACAGCCCTAGGCTAACTAGGGAGCAAAGAGACTGAGTTTTCCATCCGTTTCCTTGCCTCCTGACTATATCCAGTACATATTTTACATGTTCTACTCTTAGTTTAGTGGCTTTTCTTTTATGTTTAATATTGTGAAAAGACACATTGATTCTCAGAAATGCAAATAATAGTGTGGTTGCAAAAAACCCTGGTTGCACTGATACATATTAAATAAAGAAAATATTTAAAATCACTCTTACAGGCACTACACACAGTATAATTAGTGTTCAGCATCTGTGATAAATAGTGCCTGACAAATTGTTCAAGCATCATAAGCACTATGAGAAGACAACAGTTTTATTAAACACAGAAAATTGTATTTTTCCCAGTGGTTGTATTGCAAGATAATGAACTCTACAAGCGGCGGCAGAGATGCAAATTCAATTTTGCACAAGACTCACAAACGTCGTGATATATTATGCCAGTGGAGACACAGCCTTCGTCTAGACAAAATGCAAAAATGTCCTCATGTTCAGTAAATGTGTATAATTAGGAAAATATGAAGAACAGCTAATCGTCGATGTTGCATGCATGTCTGTATCTCCCATCTTCTTTTTTTAAAAAAGTCTAGTTGAAAGTTGAAGGTCACTCTTCTAGGTTGCAAATTTCAGTTTTTCAACTTTCAAAAAAATTGATATTTGTAAAATTAGAAGGTGCCCTAATCAGGCCTCCAAATTTTCTAACTCTTCCTTACATTTTTGTTTTCAACTGAGTTATATGCAAGAGTTTTTATTTATAAGAGCAGGTTATATTATACAAATAAAGCAGACAATGTCTGAGGACCAAAATTGAAGCAGCTCTGATAGTTTTATTAATTTATTTGATTTACTTCTGGTTTCTCTTACCCAATCTTATTTATGTCAAAGTAAGTTGAAGCAGAATTCATTATGTAGTGAAATGCAATTTGAATACTTTTCATTGAAACACGGTGATTCAATCATTTCTCTCCATCTGTCCCATTCTCTTCTTACATTATTTTGTACAGATCAAATCACATAAAATGAAATTCCAAAAGAAACTTTAGAATTTGCAAGGAGGAATAAAATGATCTCCCAATAATTCCTTATACTAAGTACTAAATTATACAACTAACATTCTGATAATTTGACATTATTATAGCATATTTTCTCTTGAGAAAAGTCAACTAGGTTAGTGAACTTGAATTTTGAGAAAACTTTTGATGCAACTCCAGTTTCTAATTATTTTGATACCGAATTATTAGAAGGATTGAGCCTAATCTCACCCACTTTGGGCATTTCTGCATTTTGCTGATTATATAGATTAAAAAAATTGCCAATCCTTTTCAAATAGTTAAGCTTAGGAGTTTTGGCATTTTAGCAACTTTATGAAGTGTTTGTGAAAATATCAATCAGTAGATTCTTCTCATCCGCTATTTGGTGACCCATGTCAGGTGTATTGTTGGTGCACAGAGAATCCTAAACTCATGAATGGATCAAGTTCCATGTTGATTATGCAAAAACAAGAACCATGGCCTCATGGAGACATTGCGCTTGTCATTAGAATGACAAGACTATCCCTTAAATGCCTTTTCAACTCCTGTGCTACTATACCCTCAAAACCACAATCCCTGTGCCCTAAACCCGCATGAGTGAAACAGTTCCATGTTTTAAAACCTAAAAGAATTGTACTGCAACCAGGAAGGGTAACCATGTATCAGCAAAGCTGGGAAGGCTAGGAAAAAAACTTACCAGCAACCAAGGTACAAGCCTGTCCTCAGGGAGCTTGCCACCTCACGTCACCTTACCCAGCTTCATGGTCCTTCTGGATGAGAACCTTCCACAATGGGTCTAACCTGGAACAGTGATCCCCAAACTCTTACATTTATCCTAATCGTCTGGGGACTTTTTAACAATGCAGATTATTTGGCCTCACCTCTAGCCACTCAGATTTGATAGATACCAGTTTGGATGCAGGGATTTGATTCTTAGAAAGTGTTTCTAGCAGGCCAGGTGTGGTGGCTCATGCCTGTAATCCCAGCACTTTGAGAGGCTGAGGCGGGCAGATCACCTGAGGTTAGGAGTTCAAGACCAGCCTGGACAACATGGTGAAACCCCATCTCTACTAAAAACACACAAAAAATTAGCCGGGTGTGGTAGTGCCTGTCTGTAGTCTCAGCTACTCAGGAGGCTAAGGCAGGAAAATCGCTTGAACCCAGGAGGCGGAGGTTTCAGTGAGCCGAGATCGCGAACTCCAGCCTGGGCGACAAGAGCGAAAACTCCGACTCGGAAAAATAAATAAATAAAAGAAAGTATTTCTAGTTATTATAATGCACACATGCGCGCGCGCGCGCACACACACACACACACACACACTAGAACAAAAGAGATGACACAGTGAAAAACACAGGTCCAAGAGCTTTTGCTTGCTGACAACTGCCAACAGCCAAGTGGCTTGCTACCGGACATGGGGTTAAGGATAAATAGATACAGATCTCCTCCAACAGTGGTGTCCTCCAGCTTTCTTGCATATTTGAGAAAAACTAAGCTGAGCAAAGCCACAAATAAAAGACCGCCTGGTAACTTGCTACCATCACCTTCCAAATCACCTTGGCCCTTGGCAGTGGCCAAGGGGTGGCTCTCCATCAAAGATGAAGGACTTGAGACTCTGGCCTGGCCTTTACCATTTGGAATCATACTCTCCCTTGTTGTCAATTTTGAATCTAAACAGTGTTTTATAGTATGGAAAGAAATTTCAGGATTTAAATGACAGGGAAAATGAGAAAGTTGCAGATACCCATCTCATCAGTTAAACTGGCTGCATTTCCAACGTAAACTGCCTCAAATCCATTGTGGGTCAGTGTGTGTGTGTGTGTGTTGGTGGGAGCATGAAAGAAGCCTGGCTTGATGGCTAGACAGAGAGACGGGCACGAATTCAGTGTGTGCATTAAAAGCCGATGCTAGGGTTTGGGTATCTAGGTTCAACTCCTAGCTCTCCTGCCTAGTAGTTGTATGTTCTTGGGCAAGTTGCCTAACTTCTCAGTGCCTTACTGTTTTCCTTCTGTGTGATTAAAGTAACAAGAATACCCACCATATGACTATTGTGTAAATTCAATGAGAGAAATATGTATATTTCCATTAAAACTTCAGCATTAGGCCTTGTGAGAAATTATTCTCTCATAATACAAAACATAAAGCTTTAGCATACCTGAAACCCAAGTTACAAAACCAGACAGGAGAATTCTCAAAACACAAATTACTTAGGAGGTGGGACAGAAAGAGCAAGAGAAAAAGCTTCAAACCCAACACTGAACAGACATGGCAATGGGCATAGCTAATATGCAATTCAAAAGGAAAGATAACCAACCTTTTGCTCCTACCAGAATCATAGGCAAATACTAGAGATGCCTGAAGCTCAATGAAGTAGAGATGTATTTTCTTCCCAAAGCTACAGTAAGATGACAGGCAAAGTAGATAAGATCATCCATTCTTTTGTTCATTCAGTTTACTACCTATTTATTATAAACCTACAATGTCTTGGGCACTGTTCTAGGAGCCGGAGATGCCAAAGCACTTGTTTGTTCGTTGAACAGACTATGATTCAGAACTTACAAAATTGCCAATAAGTATTTATTTCCATCTGCAATTTTTTATATCAGTCATTGACTACTGCCACTGAATTCCTGGTGAGACGTGACTTCCTGATTACACGTTCATCATCCAACAGAGACATACGACATATACCCTAAGCCTAATCTGAACTTTCATTCCTACCCTTGTTGTCCCCTCCCCATCCTGGAGTTTTATTGTTAAAGGTCCCAGACAGTCTTATTAGTCAGAGATTTGTTTTATCTCCTCTCATTGGGAAAATTTTCCATACTGGCAAATATTTCGAGATTCATGCAGAAACATACATAACCCCCACCCCAGGGAAAGCAAAGGACTCATCAAATTCTCTGTTTGGAAATATTTCAGCCCCTTTTCTCTGAAGTCACATTCTAATTAGTTTCTCCAAACCACTCTCTGGCTGCATCTCCACCCCAAAGGGCTGGCCATGCTCTGCAGCTTTGTAGCTGATAATGCATAGAGGTTCAGCGGGCTTGGAACACTCTAGTAAACAATATTTTGAATGTATTTTATTACTTGTCACAATGGACTTTGAACTACATTTGAATAATTCATACTCCAAACTATGGTTTTTTCAAAGTTATCAAGATAATTAAGAGAATAAACATTGAGTCAGAAAATAATTATTCATTTTGGCTAACCTTGCCGTTCTAACTCATCTGCACTTACCAAGCCCAGTAAAGAAGTGCTGTATGATGTTTTTAAAGAACATGTGTTACTCTCTCCATTAAAAGACTTATATGAGATATTGGTCAACATGTGTGTCTGTCACAAAGTGCTCAAGAATATCAGCTCCTTGATATCTCCTGACTTTATGAAGCACGTAGATGCAGGCTTGGAAGAATGCCACGTATGAATGCCAACTCTTGTTTTTAAAACGGCTCTCTAAAGCATAAAGATCTATAGAAATTTTGACTCCATTCAATTAGCCAGTTTGGAAACATGGACCTTTGAATGGAAAATGAAGGAACGAGTTGTAGAAGGTGAGCCAGAGGAGTACTTGTCTGTCCTCTGCGATGCTCATAAGATTCGCATCAAGGCTGGTTCCCCATAGGATGCTGAAAAGAAGGCTTTACTAGACACTGTGTTCCCTTGGCCTCCTTGTACAGGGTGACCCTGCCCAGGAGCTGTGGGTTCTCACTCCTCCCAGCATTGCCTACAGAAACTCAGCAAATATATGCACCTCAACATGCTCCCAAACACAGTTGGCACACTTTGAATTCTTTTCTTGGATATCAAGTTCACCTAGGAAATCAGATATGCTAATCTCCGAGGAGTGAACCCACTCAAGAAAGAGTCTGAGATCTATGGTATAGCTTGCTTTTTCTAGGATTTTCTGAACTAAAACTAAAAATGTAAACTTTTCAGAGAGGGCTTGGCAAAAGAAAAAGTGGAATTTTACATAATTTTAATTGGCAAAAAAATAAAAATAACGGCTTTATATTCATGATCATTTAATATTTCTTAAAGACACTACTGAGAGAGAAAACATCACAGGCCAGTGAGCCTATATCAATCATTGTACCATAGATGGCCTGGGCTCTGCCCACTGGCAGGTTCCTCCTTTATCAGTAAGTTCAGCACCCACCATGTGGACACTCCTCACCCTTCAGATCCAAAGGTTAATACACCCCAGCATACTTGATCACCCACATGAAAGGGGCAATGCCAACACTACAATTCCTCTTGCTGAGTTAGAAAATTGCTGGGTATTAATTTGGAAAGGATGAGCAGCACTGGGCTAGAAAGAGTCCTCACTTCCAGGACATCCACCTGGGCTTCAATAACAACCCCTTGTTCAGGATGGAATTTGCATTTTCCTTTTCCTCCTAACTTTTCTGAGCCTCACTTTTCCCATCTGTAAAACAGAGTAATATCTATACTGCAGCAATTATTAAGATTTTTTTAATGTGAAAATACAATCCATGGGGCCTGGCCCATAAAAAGCATTAGGTAGAAATTATATAAAAATAGAGAATGCAAATATTACAAAAAGAGCGCATGGCATTAAGAAACTGGCTGAGTGAAAATGGAATATTTTAAATCTCAAATACTGTATCTTCAGCTTAGCAAATGTATCATACACCTCCAAATGTGGGGGACAAAAGCAATATAGGTTTTTTAAAGAATTTCCCTTATTTTTTAAAAATTTTATCCATTTTTCCCCTAGATTATTTCTCAGACTTACTGAGAAAGTCCCCTGATCCTCCCTCCTGTCCTTTTCCAAAGAATCTATCTCTCTTTGTCTCTGTCTCTGCCTCACTCTCCGTCTCTCTCTCACTCTCTCTCTGTCTCTCTCTCTCTCTCTCTTTGGCAGCCTCATTCATTTCCTCACTCTGGAGAGTCACATACAACAAATAAAAATTTTAAAAATGTAGTGAGAAGATGAGCATGCACTTATCTGCTATTTCAGTAGATAGCACAGGATGGTTACTGCTGGAGATGCTGAGGCTGGCTGAACAAAAGGGAGACAGGGGACTGCATCTCCAAGGGAAGACGAGGCAGTGAGGAAGGACAATTAGGCCAGGAACTCAGGAAGTATCCGAAGACTGACAGACAATCCACTGAGAAGTTTATGTACACATAACAGCTTTGCAAAGGCCAGAGGTTTACACAAGATCCAGGCCAGAAGGAGCCCTGAGGCCAAGGTCAAGGCTAAAGGGAGTGAGATTCTTGCTTTGTGCACACAATTAAGGAAATGCTAAAAATCCAGTTATTGAGATAAATTATATTAAGTGTAATGCAATAGTTCTTGATAAAATTGAATGCAAATATTTGCGCTTAAAAAATATCAGAATTTTTTTTTTTTTTTTTTAGACATAGTCTCTTTCTGTCGCCAGGCTGGAGTGCAGTGGCATGATCTCGGCTCACTGCAACCCCCGCCTCCTGGGTTCAAGCGATTCTCCTGCCTCAGCCTCCCAAGTAGCTGGGACTACTGGCATGAGCCACCATGCCCAGCTAATTTTTGTATTTTTAGTAGAGATGGGGTTTCACCATGTTGGCCAGGAGGGTCTTGATCTCTTGACTTCGTGATCTGCCCACCTCAGCCTCCCAAAGTGCTGGGATTACAGACGCGAGCCACCATGCCCAGCCAAAAATATCAGAATTTTAAGGAAAGACAGGATCTGACCCTGAACTTGTAGGACTAAGCTCACTCACCTTACACTCATCCCAGCCCTCCTGGGATTATGCTGGCTTTATTTAAAATTTTGATATTTTCTTCATAGATCTTTTGCATTCTTTTTTATCTTTTAAAATGTTGCATGAGTATATTATTTATCTTGAGTACTGACACTTCTGGTGTCACTTTAAATTCTGTGCCTTAAGCAAGTGACATTCTTGCCTCACCCTAGTGCTGGCCTACCTGAGTGAAGGAGTTGCTTCGAGAAAACCCAGAGAGGCTATGTGGGGGCAACTGGGGAACCAATGCGGACAACTTCTAGAGCTCTGTTCGTGGTGCCTTGAGGAATCCCAATGTTGAATTATATTCTCAAGTCTATGTAAGAAAAAGTATTAGCAGGTGACGAAAGTAGGCAACAGAGACCACATATATGACAGTCTTGTCTTTATTGGTATATGCGTTTGGCTCTGAATGATCAACTACATCACAAATTCCAGTACAAAAGATCTCATTTTCGGACAGATCATATAGATAAAGAATTCCAAGCTCCATTGGTCACTCATACATACACGTGGGCAAGCCCTGGAGTTTCTGAACATAGGAAGAGAATGCAAGTCATGTGTTAGGTCCGCTCCCTTGCATGAAATGTGGGAGAGGGAAATAAAGTTAGGCAACATTTAGCAATCAACAGAACCCCTTCCCTATCCTACCGCAGCCCAACATGGTGCAGCAGCAGCAGGCTGAATGGTTGAGACCAGTGCAATGAGGTGGCAGGAAGTGCCCTGGTAGGAGGGGGGTCCTTGGCCACATGGGGAGCTTACAGAGAGAATCACAGTAATACACAGATGTAGTGCCCATTAGCCAGCAGGGTTTCCTTGAGGAACATCTATCCATACCCACCCACTCAAAGTCCCCTCTCTCCAAAAGTAAATAGATGGCATGGGGACCATATGAACTAATCCCCCAACCCAGCAACCCTTCACATAGCTCCGCCCTCACACCAAAGTTCTTCCTCATACTGAGACAAGTGGAGGCACAAAGGCCCTCAATGACATGAATCCTCAAAGAGAACTAAAGAGGACACTGAGATGTTAACGCCAAGAACTATGCCGATGAATCAGCCATTAGACTCAAATCTGGCTAAGATCCACTTTACTTAAAAACTCAGGATGTAATATGTAGGAAGTGGCAGAGCATATACACAATCCGAGAAGGAAAGTGTGATTGATTCAGGACATGAGTGATGATCTTATTCTGCCTGCTACTTGGCCACTGTCTCCCTCCCCAAAGCTCAGGAGTATGGAAATCAATGGCATAGCTATGTATCACCAATATCTTACTAAGAAAATGAGTGTTTTCCTCTTTAAAATCCAATGTCCATAAAAATCTAGGTAGAATTCAGTGAAATCAAAAATCTCACATGTAAAAAGAGGAATTTTGCCATCAACCCAGAACAAAGACTCCTAAAAGGGAAAAAGACAGACTAAATGTATACATTCTGACAGCACTTGGAAAAGAAAGGCTAGCCTTCTAAATAAGGCTCAAGCAGCTACATGTATTGATAATTGTTTCTGTAGATATCAGGAAATGGCACTAATGAAATTAGGAACTAGGAAGAAATGTGATCATTAGCATCATAGTTCCTGAACCCTAATACATATGGAAAAAAATGGGAGGATGGAAAAATCATGTGGGTAAAGATATTGATGTTTATGGAAGTAAAACCAAGATAGAGAAAATGTGAGACCAGTTAGTCCATCTGGCTCAAGTACTCTATTAATAGAAGGTAAGAACATGAGTTCTGATCCTGGGTAAAGCAGTTAGTGCCTCTCTATTCCTCAGTAGTAGACTGAAGACCAAATGACTTGCAAAAGTAAACTCTTTGGGTGTTGCAGGGAAGGGGAGTAAGTATTGAGCATGAAAACATAAATGGATCTGAAAAGTAATCATTCCTGTAGGAAAACAATTCAGGTGGCTGCTTAGTGGTGCCATCTCTGCTTATTTTATAAGCAGACATTTCATGTAATCTCTAGTAAAGGCATTCCCTAAAGTGGAGACTAGCTGTTTTGATATAACTGCACACTATAGGGCTTTATCCTGTCCTCTCTATATCAACCACTTTATTGGAAATTTAGGAATATGGCACTCAGTCCAAATGCCATTATTATCTAATGAGGAGCTTGGGTTCCACTTTAATGCACCCAAAAGTTCAATGGCATGGTTAAAAAATGTGTTAATTAATAGTAACAGCATAAGAAAGAATATTGATCTCTACCCATATACAGTAATGAATAAAAATAATATATAGAAACTAGGATTATATTATTGTTTTCTTTCTGGGATTCCCCCCTGCCTTTGGTTCTGAAATCACACATATCTAATCTCTTACATCACAGGAACTTATTCATTTGAACTCATTTTTATAATCTCTTAAACTTAATATTACTGTGCAAAATATCAACACTAACATATTATTGGATGTCATACTATTGATAGAGGCCTCCTTGCCAGAACCCCAGTCTAGGTCTAGAGGCCTGAGACATCAGGAGAGGAAGGAAGGCTTTCATGATGAAAGATCCGGGGATCACTGGACAGCAAACTCCATCAAGTTTAAGCAAAGCTGGGAGTGACCAAAAGGAGACTCCAGCTATCAGAGGTCCTTGCACAGCCAAGGTATCCTTGATGGAAGTGAAGGCATCCCTAAACATCAGGAAATGTATGAGATGTAACTAGTTTGGCCCTTTAAGATCCAGCATACTCGGCTCTTTGAAAGGAGCTAGCTAGGGTGAAGAACTTGGAGGCAAAAAGTGATCATCTGCTTCAGTTGAGCAATAAACTGCATTTGGAGTTATCTGGAGTGATGACCCTAAATGAGAGCTCTCAGCCTGCCTTGTCAGAACAAGAGAGCCTCTCATTTCCTGAGTCTTTCCAGCGCATAACACAGGCCTCATGTGCTCTGTGATACTTACCATATGAGAGTCTGACGTGGCCAGCTATGGCCAGACCCCCGCTCTTAACCCCTGCACATCTCCAAGGAAATACAAAATACAAAACTGGGAATAATACACCCAATGTGCTTCCTACACACTGTGCAGCACAATCTCCCCAAAGTGAGCCATTACTATAGAAATATTAACAGAGTCCAGTACAAACAAATGCAAGGACACATATGGTCAGACTTTATATTACAAGAGATTAAAAGGATATCCACAAGACTAGAAAGCCATATATCCAAACGATATCAGTGGTTAACTCTAACTGGTGGAATTACATGGGACTTTTCGTTTCATCTTTGTTTCTTATGTTTTCCAGGTTTTCTACTAAATCTACATTATTTATTCTTATTTTAAAATACCCATTTTAGGGCACTTGAAGGCATTTTGGGTGAGGAAGACAATCCTATCTTACTAGCAAAAATCATTGGGCCTATACCAACTGGGATTGACCAACTCATTCCAGTCTGTTTAGGACTGTCCTGGTTTTAAAAATGAAAGTTTCACATAACAGGAACTGCCTCAGCATTCTCTCACTGACAGGAAGCAAACCCAAACAAAGGGCAGAATGGATTCATCTCCTCCTCGGGCTGCTCTCTCAGTCTCAGAGGGCAGTGGCTCTTGCTTCCAGTTAGGGGCTGAGTCCAAGGAGAGAGATTCCTTTATGTGGCAACCAGGTTGAACTAAGAAGTAGCTCTCTCCCCATTTCCTTCCTGGCCGTGGGTTAGAGAAAGTGTTTCTTCTCTTGCCATTCAAGAGAAAGAAGAACAATCAAGAAAAACTAAACAAAAACAAACAAAAACCCACTACAACCTCAGCAATCAACCTCAGAGCAGCATCACAGCTCCCCAGGAAGGAGACCTGGCATGACAATTAATCTGAGAAGAAGCCCAGCTACGGTGGTTACTCTCACAGGCTGGCAGAATTAGTAAAGACAGAGAAAAGCTGCATTTCCCAGGGAGAAAACCTTCACTTTGTTATAATAGCTGCCGTAAAGGATTGAGCCTCACATCCAAGAAAAACTCCGGTGGTGCCATCTCTACTTAACCAGAGGGAGCACTCAATTGTTCAAAGCACCTGGGTAGCAGGAGCTTCTTAGCAACATAGGAGGCTACTCTGCAACTGTGTTTGCTCAGCTGGTCCTGGTCCACAATCTACTAGCACATGCAAGAGTGGCCAATCCGAAACCAAAATGGGGGCGTAGCTTGATTGGATTCATCCTGTTGGTACACACACTCCAGTCAGGCTGGGCCTTGGGAAATACCCAGAACAAATACATTAGGATCCTCCATCTGCTGGGATGCTTCTAGAACATCACTGATGCTTTGGTGAAATTGGACTGAAATGTCTGATATGTGCAGGATGCAGAACTCCATCTTGGTTGGCCGATGATGAGGGAGTAAACACAGTCTTCAGAATATCACTCTGTCTCCCTGACCTAAATCCATAATCTTTATTTTTGTTTTTCTTTTCAGACACCAAGCTTAGGACTGGAGTGTTTCCTCTAGGAGGTCTAAGTATACTATACTTGGGTGATATTTCTCTTTTGATAACAAAGAATAATATTACCCAATGGTCAGATGCTAAAAACATGATTTTACTTCACTGTGAGTGTGCTTGAAACTGGTTTGCTAACAAATCTTCATCTCAGTGCGGCTTATAATAACATGGCTTACATTTTAAATGTAATTATGCAGCATGTATTCATTTCCTTTCTTTTAAGAAACTCAAGTTGCTTTTTTAAAGCATTATTTGATAGCTTCTTATCATCTCCTTTGGAGTTGAAAAGGGAATATGATATCAAATTGTTGTAGCTAGCAATGGGGGGGCCGTGGCACTGAGAGGGGGAAGGAATTGTATTGGGACCTGCAGAACAGCAGCAATGTGCCATGAAGGCTCCCACGAGATGAGTCGTCAACCCAGTGTGCCATAAAAGAAGCAATTTTTAAGGATCCTAAAATAAGTGCATTCTCTGTCCTAATGCTCGTGCTGGGCAGAATGGACTTAGCTTATTTTTAAAGTGCAGGCCATGGCCTTCCAAGGCATACAAACAACTCCCAAAGCAGCCATTATTTGGCCAATTAAACAATTAGGAGAAAATATATTTTTGAAAGACAAAACATTAATAGGCAAAGTACAGAAGGAAGCGCTAAAGCAATTGTTTCTACCCGTTTTTCAGTCCTACCTCTGACCATCAAAATGGACCATGGTCATTCGATTGCACTGAAGTCTGCAGATAATCTCTGGTAACTCTGAGGGGCCCCGCACTCTTTGATCTAATGAGCTTCTGGGGTCCTGGATGTAATTCAGAATTTTTGCTCATGTGTACTCAAAGTAATGTTGCAAATATGTTCAAAACCTCTGCGGTTCTGTGAAAAATATCACCTCCAGCCTTTCCCCTTATTGGTAAGACAAGGACGAAGTGGGCTGTGGCTGTTGAGGGGAGCAGAATGGGTGCCTTGTGTGATAGCTTTAGCTAATGTTAAAATACTCCCTCCCTTTATAATGTCTTCTTTCCTCAGGCCTAGCTGGCCTATGAATCTGTGCTTATTTACATAATTGCCTAGTAAGCATGTAACCACTAGGAAAACACATATGCACACACAAACACACATATACACAAGGATACACACACATTAACTATAATAGCTGGAGAAGTATGGCACACTCTGGAGAAAATTTTTAAAAATCCATTTCATTGGAAATGGAATTAAGTTGAAAAAAAAAAAGTCAGAATACTTTACATGCCTCTGCCACAGGGAGTTACTAGCCCTAGGCACATGAAGAGGGCATGCTCTGCAAGTACAAACACATCCAGGTACATATTTAGAGACAATTTTAAGTTGATTTAGGCCTCAACCCTAGGACCCTAGCTAATTTACAAGGCTGCTCTAGGGAAGACAGAATTTTAGGGAGGACATCTATAGTGTTTGCTCCGACGGGAGAAGATAAAACACACTCCTGCCCTTCAAGAGAACCCAAGATTGATGATTTGGGGATTTTGCTGGTTAGTATGTTTTGTTTCTGTTTGTTTGTTTCAGCTCAGAAGGTGTGTTTCCATTGTTCCCTGTCAAAAAGTTTCTCAGCAGTCAAGGAAAGGAAAGCAACACAGCTGCCCTTGAGCTGAGTTTGTAAATTTTACTGGGAAACCACCCCGTGCTGTCAGGTGATGTGGTGTTCAGACACGTCTAAACGAGCTAGTTGAGTTAAAGACCAACTCCAGACTTGATGTTGCTGAGCTCCTCAGCTCCATCTTGCCATCCTGATTGATCGAGGAGATGGGTCTATAGTTAAAGTGGCATAGTACTTTGAGGGGTTAGTCATTAGAGCACACTGCTTTGTCTTGGAAAGGCAACTTCTTGCTTGGCTAGGTTATGGAAGCTAAGGAGTGACGTCAAGATGTTGTCTGGCCAGAATTTGCAGATAACCATAGAACTCTTCTCCTCCATCAGGCATGGATTTAGCCTCCTTTAGTTCCTGCAGTGACACAGGAGCCTCCAAATACCAAATTATTATCAGGCGGTCTTGGGGGAACCTCTGGGCCCTGCAATAAAGTAGACAGACTTGCTATTGGAAAGTGCTCGGGAGGAATTCAGCCCTGTTCAGATTGCTCTACAATCCTGCAAACCATCTCTGGACTTTGTAAATGAAACCCTCATATCACTCCAGATAGTGAAAACATACTTCAAGGGATATAATTGATCACCATCTTTCACTTAAATGATTTTATGCATCATTTTAAGAAGTCGAATTTGATCATGTTTGTTTATTGTTTTGTTTTTAAAGCCAAACTATGCAAGTATTGAGCTTGTGTCACTCTGGACAAACCACTTTTGAGCATCATTTATAAAATAAGGTGTTTTTATTCATTGATCCTTCAAGTCTAACTCAGAGTATCACACCCAGGTGGTAGACTGTGAGCCAAACCTGACTCACACTGATATATTTTTATTTATCTCACCCGGTGTCTTAAATCTTGGGGAATCCACATAAAATAATAAACACCTGTTTTCTCTGGAAAAATTATAGTATCTGTCAATACCAGGCCCATACTCCAGCATGGCCCTCACTAGCCCATATCATTTTTCCTTCAGCCTGTTTCTTGCATTGACGTGCCTGATCGTTGTTGGTAATTGGGGTTTTGGACCCGTGCTCTAACCTATCCTGTTGTAATGTCTATCACATTGCATTATGATTATATGATGATCTAACCATTGGCCTTGCCAGTGAGACTCCTTGAGAGCAGGGAACAAGCCATCATTTTCAAGAGATCTCTCGTTCCTAGTATTAAAAGAGTGTTATAAATAAATATGTAATGAATCGTCTTTATTATATAAGTCAGATTCTTAAAATTCAGTGAGATGAGTAAGATCATACATATAGATCTTACATATATTAGATTCTTACAATTCAGCGATCTTCGTAAGACCATATGTATATTCTAAAGTCAACATCTTTGAATAGCATGCAGTTTTAGGAAAGAGAAGTAAATAGGCCAGGTTTTGGCTCAAGTCTCTGTTGGATCCATAAGAATAGCGATATTGTACTGTCCATGTGATATTATGCTGTAAGCACATTGAAAGTGTTCTAAACTCTCTCTGAGATCTTCTCAAATGTTTTTATCATTGCAACTTCTTGAAAGAGCCCTTCTTTGGAGGTTCTTTAAAAGCTCATTTGTAAAAAATATTCAATGGGGCTCATGCCTGCATTCCCTCCCTTGGGAGGCCAAGGTGTGAAGGATCACTTGAGTCCAGGAGTTCAAGACCAGCCTGGGCAACATAATGAGAACCATATCTCTACAAAAAATGAAAACGAAAAATAAAAAAAAATTAGCCAGACATGACGGTGTGTACCTAGAGTCCTAGCTACTCAGGAGGCTATGTCAAGAGGATTACTTGAGCCCAGGAGGTCAAGGTTATAGTGAGCTATGATTGTGCCATTGCACTCCAGCCTGGGTGACAGAGTTTTATATATATATATATATATATATATATATATATACACACACACACCCCACATATATGTATATGTACATGTATATGTATATGTACACATACCTATATGTGTGCATATAGGTATGTGTACATATACTTATATATGTACACATACCTATATGTGTGCATATAGGTATATGTACATATACTTATATATGTGTGTATATATACAGTACATGTATGTGTGTGTATATATATGTGTGTGTGTGTGTATATATATATATATATATATATATATATAGTCAATGGGAATTATCTAATTGAAATCTAAGTTCTCAACATTTCATGGGCCTACACCAACAGATTCATCTACATGTCAGGTCTATACATTTTGAAATATTTTAATTTCTGCACGACTACAATTAGAATGTTCAAAGAAAAGATTTTTTTGTCCAAAGTCTATTTCTGCTAAAATTGTTATCTAAATCTGTTTAAATTGGCTAATATATTGTTAAAAACATGTCTAATAAATAAACAACTATGTAGGCAAGTTTGATAGGAATAAAACCAATGAAAATGATTATGAGTCATCTTTCTTGTTACATATCTGCTAGAAATTAATATTTCAGTAATATAAAGCTACATCTGGTCAACATGTGGCCGACATCAAAGGTACACCACGTCCTGTGCTATGAAGGAATGGTTCAACAGATAAAGATCCTGCTCTCCAAGAGCTTACAGTCTAACCTAAAAGAGACTGCAGAAACACATGAGAGTGCTCATACTCACTACTTAACAAAAGGCCACAGATACACCGAAGATAAAGGAAAAAAAATTATGAGATAAAAAATGACATTTACAAAAGGGTGAAGGGAAGGAAAGAAGTAAATCGCTTCTTCATTCTCATTTATTTGAAAAAGGATTCATGGAAGATTTGTTATTTTAAGTGTTCTTAAAATCATGAAAGAGTATAGTGACTTGTTGCCTGGAAAAATGAAAATCTCGTTTGATATATGGTGTGGAGTGACTGAGGACACTAAGCTGGGACATTGCGGTTGGGTGCAGGGCCTAGCAAGACTTTATACAGAAGGAGTGACCAAATGGAGGTTGGCCATTTGGGTAGAGGCCAGAAACTGACAGGAGGCACAGAATGACTGAGCCACACAATCAAGACTGCTCCAAAAGGAACCCAAACCTTTGCAAAAAATCTCCACAGACTCCAGATTAAGGAAATAACCTTTGAAATCTTTCTTTCTGAATTTCTAAGGGAAGAAAGCACTTCCAGACATGTAGCCCACTTTTGACTAGAGGATCTCATTTGTTATTTTGTTTGTTTGCTCTCTTGCTCGTTTGTTCGATTTCTCTTACTGGACTTGTTGGGCTGATCGGGTCTACTTAATTATGCAGCTTTATCTTTCCTCCCTCCACAAAGGAAAGCAACTTTTTGAGGGTATGTTGATTTTATCAGCCTCAATTATACTACAGCCTCAGGCTAATTGAAATGCATCATAGGCCTGGTTCGGGTGGTGACTGAGGTGTCAATGTCAAAGTACTCTATTCCTAGGGAGAACAATCAAAATGATGACAGATGCTCCCATCACAGTATCCTGCTTAGTCTTACTCCTTATTTGACAGTTCTGTGTACAGGGCATTCCAAGGATCTTTGGAGGAGGCTCACCCCATCAAAGAAGGCACATTTTAAGCAATGCCTCTACTCACCTTGTTCACACCACAATGACAGTATTAAGATTAATAATACCTTAATTTCAACTAATACCTTTTATTTCAAGGAGCTCAATATTCTTCACACATTATTCTATTTATCTTGTCATGTTACAGAGTCAACCAAAATCTCTGGTGGATTCCAGTCTCACACATTAAAAGCTCATAATACTGTTCTTCCTAACATTTAAACTCATATCCAACCTTAAACATGCCTTGGGATAAATTTGAGTGAATAGGATGAAGTTACAGATATTTCCTTATATATGCACAGATCTGATACTCATTGCTAAGGCCCTTCATCCCATGAAAGCTCTCAACAGAGAGGCAGCCCCCAAAGCCTAATCTTGCAGTAATCCTCTACCTTACCTCTATGACAAGGTAGGAGAATGGTATTTAAGACAGGATAGGAACATGCATGATACCCACTCCTTAGTGGCAGGGAATCTCTGGGATCTGACATCATAGCCCTCACGGCCCCTTATTCACATATGAAGGAAGGCCTGGAAGCAATGCCATAAGCCTGTTTGTCCACTGTGGGTTTATTTTTTGTTGTCTTTAAGGCTGTGCTACACATTTAATATTGGAGCAGTGGTGCAGAAGATAGCACAAAAGGCCCTTAGAAAAATCTCAAGCTTGCTAACAGAGATTAATGGGTTAATTTGTTTTTGAAAAATGAAAGTAAGTGTACTTAATATGCAAATCATCTGCTGCCATGTCTCTTTGCTATTGTGGCAACACAACAAGGCCTCATGCTGGGAACTCGGACTGAGCAAAGAATACAGGACTCCCCAAACTGATACCACCTGTGGGCAACACAGTGCCTTCCCAACTACCTAGAGTGCATATTTCAATTACTTTCTATAGGCTAAATTTAAATTACATTCATTGCTTGTCATCTATAACTGATATATGTGCATTCAAATGACACTTCTGGTTTCTGTCTCTCTTTTTCAAGATAAGCATGCCTTGATTCCAACTTCACATTGACAAATGGTTTTGGAAAATAGATCCCAAGAGAGTCAGTATCTGCCCACAGTTCCCTTCCCAGCAGGAGACACACCCGGAGAATTCCATAAGCAACAAACTAAAGGATCTATTCCTGGGCCAAAAGCTGCAAGAATCCTCAAACATTTCACTGCACCCTGTTCCCCGCCAGTCATCCCTATCAGGGGCTCTGATAAACACTCTGGTTGATACAGCTATGCAGCAAATGGGACAATAAGTACAAACAGCTGTACTTACATGTGTCTGGCTTGAGCTGACTGTTGGTGATGCCAAAGTACTGGGGATTTTCAATGACAGGGATCTTGGTCATTCCAATAATGACAGCATCTGGGCCACCTTCCGAAGAAGATGGAGTGTTACTCCCATTGGAGATGTGATGGAGTGGGCTGGCAGAGTCATCATCATTGCTGATAACGGAGGCTGGGCCTGGAGATGGAAAAATATATATATTCTCCTGTAATCAATGGCTTTATTGAGCTGTAATTCACATACATAAAATTTACCCATTTAAAGTATACAATTCAGTGGGTTTTAGTATATTCACAGAGTAGTACAATAATCACTATAATCTACTTGTAGGACATTTTCATCACCCAGTTAGCACTCACTCCCCATTCTCTCCACTTTCAGCCGTAGACATTCACAGATTTACACTCTATCTCTCTGGCATTTCATATGAATGGAACCATATAACACGTGGTCTTTTGTAACTGGCTTCCTTCACTTAACATCATGTTTTTAAGATTCATCCACATTGTAGTATGTATTAGTACTTCCTTTCTTTGTATTGCCTAATAATACTCCATTGTGTGGATATGTTGCATGTTATTTATCCATTCATCTGTTGGTGGACATTTGGGTTGTTCTGGCTTTTTGGCTATTATGAATAATGCTACTATGAACATTCATATACGAATTTTTATGTGGACACGTGTTTTAATTTCTCTTGGGTGGAATTACTGGGTCATATGGTAGCTCTATATTTAACATTTTGAGGAACTGCCAAACTGTTTTCCAAAGTGGCTGCACCATTTTATATTCCCACCAGCAGTGTATGAGAGCTCCAATTTCTTCACTTCCTTCTCCTGTAAGATAATACGTAGCTTTCCTCTCTGTTCTATGATTGTCTCTAGAACACTCTGTCATTGAAACTGTCAACATGAATCTGGGATCCCTATTTCACAGAGCATTGAAAGTTGTTCTGGGAATTTCAGGATCTGAGTTTCCTTTCTCTACCCTTTGGACAAGTCACTTACTTTCTTTGGACCTCTACATCGACTTATATGCAAAATAATATTTGCTTATTTTATGACACTAGAACGAGATTAGTAACAGGAAAATGTATTATAAATTTAAATATGCTTCATGAGTATGTATTAATACTAGGTATTACTAAATGAACTTTAACTGGTAGACCAGATATACATTTGACTGTCCTATGACTACATTCCTCTTTCTTCATATTCTGTGAGTATCTGCACCACTTTTGTCTACAAAATACTTTTATAACAATAATGGATCAATCCCATGGCAAAGTTACCTGCTTTGTTGTTAGCTGTAATACTATTTATAGTCATAACTTGGTGTCTTTATACTAAATTAATAATCATAGCATTTTTTGTACAAGACAAATTTTCTAGCCCAAAGTCTCAGAATGTATATGCTCACACATACAGTCTACTGTATCTTGTCTAAACAATTTACCCATTAGCCACTAAACTCATACTGTTTGCAACCAAAATTAGATGCACAAAGATAAAGGTCTACGTGAAAGCTTCAAACCAACGAAGACGGCAGTGGCTCATGACAGGCACTGTCTACGTGGGAGGTGCACAAGATATGTATTACACAGGCAGGGTCCCATGGAAGCAGACCACTGACCCGACTACTGGCACAAGCCCAGAGAAAGAATAAAGAGAAAAGACAATAGGGAGTGAAAAGGCAGAATCAAATGCCCAGCCAAGGCAAATGCCATGCCAGGGAAATGTCTGAATTGCTACTTCCTACGCAAGGAAATGTGCTTTCTTCCAACCCCCCCTACTAAATGCATGTTTCAGCACTTCCATCCTTTACCTTTTCCCTCACACTTAACTATTTTAGTGAGAAGCACAGCAATTCTGAAAACAAAAGTTGTTTTGTCATCCAGTCTTGAATCCCCTATGAAATATAATAATATCTCATCCCCCAACCTCCAAGATCCATTTTTCCCCCTCATATGGAGATTATCACAGTTTGTAGTGATAACAGTTGGACATTCCCCAGCTAAGCAGTGTCTTAAACAAACTATGCAGGAGACAGCCAACTCTTATTATAGGTAATTTTTGAAGCATTCTCTCAAGGGGATGTGCATTGAAGCTGCCTTTAATGATGCGCTCCGGCTCAATTCTGCAAACAAGTCCTCACACAGCCAATTTAGAAGCCACAGAACACTCAAAAGCAAAGGCAAACCCATCAGTTGTGTTCGTCTTGTGCCTAGTTCACCTGCATTAGGATACAGCAGAAATCCTGCCAAGAATAACTACAAAGACAAGTTCTTTCCAATACTCCTAATCATCCCTGTTCTGCTACTTGCTCCCTGACAGGCCTAGATCATCCAGCTTCTGGCCATCAATTAAAAATGAAGATGTGTTGGCCGGGCATGGTGGCTCACATCTGTAATCCCAGCACTTTGGGAGGCCGAGGCAGGCAGATCACGAGGTTAGGAGTTTGAGACCAGCCTGGCCGCCATGGTGAAACCCTGTCTCAACTAGAAGTCCAAAAATTAGCCAGGTGTGGTGGCGTGCACCTGTAATCCCAACTACTCGGGGGGCTGAAACAGGAGAATCACTTGAACCTGGGAGGCAGAAGTTGTGGTGAGCTGAGATCACACCACTGCACTCCAGCCTGGGTGACAGAGTGAGACTCAGTTTCAAAAAAAAAAAAAAAAAAAAAAGAAAATTAAGATGTGTTATGCTAAGGTTTCCGCATCTTGTCAACAAAACCTTCTCACCACTGACTCCCTTCCTTGGTTCCCGGCATGGCTGTTCCCTCCTGCAAGATTACTAAAACATGCTACTGCCTGCGCTCCCTGAAGGACTGCAGCCAAGGCTGCATGTTTCTCAGTAGATTCCAGGCACCACCTTTACCCCCAGAAATGCAGGAGTTTCTTTTTCTTAAAATTTCTTTTTATTTCAATAGTTGTTTGGGGAACAGGTGATGTTTGGTTACATGAATATGTTCTTTAGTGGTTTCTGAGATTTTGGTGCATTCATCACCCAAGCAGCAACACCGTACCCAATGTGTAGCCTTTTATCCCTCACCCCCCTCCCACCCTTTCCCCACAGTCCCGGAAGTCCTTGGTATCATTCTTATGCCTTTGTACAGGAGTTTCATTTTAAAAGACTCCACGTGCTGTCAGAGATCCAGCAATATTTCCTTCTGGAGCCCCTGGAACCATTAGAAATGCATTGACCCCAGTTGCTTTCTTCTCTGACTCTCCCCTGGCCCAGGATGCTCTGAAGTTCATGAACATCAGAGCAGCATTCAATCATTTTTGAGGAGGCTGATACCTAGAAGACAACTTGAGATTCCCAAATTCAGACTTTGAATCTTCTGCCAAGTACACAGCGAAGCCCTCACTTAAAGAGTCCAACCAAGTGATTTGCTCTCTGCTTCTCCTTCCTCACTAAGGGATACCCTTTCCTTTCCTAAACCTCTCCAATTAAACCCCCCAACTCCAATGTAACAGATTGCAAGGGAATGAGCTCTTGTTTGGGGAGCGAGGGGAGGATTAAGCGTAGAAGCAGTAAAAAGCACCACAGGTAATTTTTCAAAAGCCTTTTCACTTTGCCAGAAAAATCACTGTTGACAAATGTGAGTAACACATAAACCTCAACAATTCATCAAGGGGGATATTAATTCAAGTGCTGTTTTCTTCATTATTGATGTTCCAAAACCTAGAAGATTGATATGGCTGGCAAGGTTGCAGGGTTTAAGCCCATTTTTCTGTGAACATTTTGATATAATGGAATGCAAAGCACAGCAAAGTTGAGAAGGCAGAAGAAGCTCTCAGCGGGACAATGAATGTCTACATAATTTGACAGCAGCCTGTCTGTGCATATCACAGGATGTGTCTTTGTATGTCTATGCATGTGTTTGAGCAGGCACCATGAAAAAGACAGAAGAATAAAGGGGCACATCACCGTGTGTTAAACGAAATTCATATGAGGACTTGAAAAAATGTATTATAATATTCATATAAAGTTTTAAATGGCGAGGTAGGTGCACACTTGGCTGATTTAGGGTAAATAGTTCTAATTACTCAGCTGAAAAACATGAGTTAAGTCTGGAAACATTTTTAGCCCATTTTTATTTTAATATGTCTGCTTGGTCACACATCCTGTACTATGACTTTACAGACATTTCTAAGCCTAATGTAGACTTAATTTCCTGTGATAAGAATCACGAAGTTCATCTGGGGGAGTTTTCTTCTCTCAATACCAACAGTGCCTTCAAGGTGAGGGGAAGGGTTAGTACTCTTGAGCAGCTGTACTAAGCAAGCCTTTTTATATTCTGGATTCTGGTGCTTTGACATCTGGGGCCGTGCTAATCCTGGAGGAATGGCCCCTCCCACCCCTGGTGAGTCAGTTCCTACAGATGGTAAATACCCTGCCTGGGAGCATGCCTTTCAAATGCAAACCAACCAATCCAGAGACAACACCCCAACCACCTTCCAGATGTGAGGCTCACACTCTAGGCCACTATCCACCTGCCCTCCCCACCCCAGGGCCAAGTACTTGACAACTCTAGATAGCTCCTGTACCCTAGAGCCTGTTGAAGTTACTCAGACTAGCCAGTCCTAAACCTGTTTACCCTCCCTCCCCAGTTCCTTACCTGGAAACACACTAAAAGCTCCTGCCCAAGTTCTCCCTTCCCTCCTCTGCCTTTTAATGGATCCCAGCACTTCCCCACGTGGCTCTGCATGCCATGGTGTGCCCCTTTCTTTTGGGAACCACGAGTGACACACTATCTTCTCAATGGCAATCATCTCCTAAATTGTTGGTCTCACCAAACTTGAAAAATAATGAAACCTATGTTTTATAAGAGCAGCACCTCTGCTGGACTGCAGCCGGAAGAATAATTCTGAAGAGCTCTCTGCTGTGGCCTAAAACAGTAAAACCACATTTTTGCAGCTTTCCGGGAACAAGCACCCTTCTGCAGTGCAAATTGGCTTGGAAAAATATTTAAGTGGTTGCAATGACTTGCTATTTAGCAGAAGCAAGACCCTGTCTTATAGGACTGTCATGGGAGAGTTTATTACCACCTTCCCCAAAAACACACGGGATACACCTACGCACGCATACACATCAAACCCGTAAAACAGAACACCTTTAAGACTGCCCAGGCAGGATCATCCCTCTGATATCTTGGCAAAGTGACTATGATCAGCTGTGTCTGAAATTTGCCCCTAGGGAGCTGCCTAGAAGCCCTGACTACTTGAGCTTCATGTTCTAACTTTGCCAAGTCTCCACTTCCCCTTTGCTGGTTAAGAACTTTAACCTTGGAATCCATGGAGCTAGCGAGAGTCAAGGTGACTTTTCCCCCTCCAGGCCCCATCTGGCCAGGCTGCCTCAGCCGGCTGGTCATTTTTGGATCACTGGACAGACAGTGATAGAGACTGCCCAACAAGACAAGGTCTGACGTCAGGATGGAAAGTGACAGGAAACAGCTCCTTATATGGCCAGGATGAACAAGCATAGGGTGGATGGTTTGGAATTGAGCAGCCTCCTGACATTGGTACATTTCCCCTACTTTGCCATTTTACCTATGGCCAACCTTGCTACCAAAAGAATAACTAACCAACAGATGCCCAAGATGGTCGGATCTTGGAAACCCACATGAAAGATGTAAGAATGCCGTCTTTTCATGCCTTCTAAGCAATTCCTGTTCATTGTCTCTGTACCCATAGAAAATTCTGAACAAATTAGAGGTCCCAAGAGATCACACCTGATTTCAATTCTAATGAGGAGCTACATCATCTGCATTCACTTGGTAAGCTACAAACTGCTTTTCAATTGTCAGCACATAGTCTGAATGCAGGGAATAGAATGCAATCAAGCAGAAATCACAGCGTCTGGACGTTAGAATCTGTTTTGAAAGAGGAATGGTCATAAATGGAAACTGATTTACCAATTCAGAACTCTATTACATCTTGGCCAATGGAAGAAAGTTAAGACCTAAACTTGTCCAGCTTGACTATTCAGTCAGCTATTCCCTGTACATGTAGCTGAAATGTAGTTGTATTTATTTCCTTAACCTTCTTAAAAATGCATCACAAACTAGAACTGGAACGACAGTTAACACTTCCCCCACAGGATAAAAACGAGTCAAATCTAAAAATGTAAAACCATGTACTAAACTCAATTAACAACAGTAATGCCTTTTCTGGAAAAATTCTAGACCTACTTCTTCAACAAATCAAAAACCAGGAACACAGAAAATGAATCAAAGACCGTGGAATGTAAAGAGGGTCTAAGCATTTTCATCCGAATAAAAACATAGACTCATTACTTATCCAAAGAAGGAGTGAGTTAACTACTTACCAACACCTTGTCTTGATTTTACTTTCCCAAATCCAAACCATGAGAAATCTGAAAACCACAACAAAACATAAAATAAACTTCGAAAGAGAAGTAGAAACCGGAGGTGGTCAACACTGTCCTTGGTCAAATAATGCAACAAACTCCCCCCGACAAAAATAAATAAATAAATAAATAAATAAATAAATAAATAAATAAACAAACCACTTGGGATGAAAGCTTCCTATCAAACACCTGGAAACTAACCCTTGGATTTTTGTGTAGAGATTTATTTCCTATTCAGAGAACACGGAGGCTCCAATCAGATAAGAGAGAGCAGCCTGTCTATGAGAAAAATAGCCACAACCCAGGGTTAAGGGCTCTGAGCTGTTTTCTTTCTTTCTCACTTTCTTTCTTCCCCCTTAGTGGAGAGATCATTGCCTTGTATTGAATCATCTGACAGGGAAGCTGCAGGGGTGAAGACACACACAATGCATTTGACAAATGCACTACGGTTCTGAACCGCAGCAATGTGGGAAAATAATAAGAGAAAACAGATCCTTTTTGAAGCTGAGACAGACGGTAAAAAAAGCAACACAAAATCCCGTGGGAGAGTAGACACGGGCTAGATAGAGATTCAGGAGGGAGGGAAAAAAAGATCTTAATTCTACATGGATTCTCGCTCCTGACTTGCTGTGTGACACTGGGCTGTGTACAGCTGTTCTGTGCCTCTTAGAACACAAGGTCCAGTAGGCACATGTAAGAAAAGACCTGCCAAACGTCTGGAGAGCCTCCCGTGAATAAAGCCACAGTGAAATGTCTGCTTCCTTCCTGAGCCCAGCTCTTTCCTCCTAGGTAATTTCCGCTGGATTCAAAGTGAATTCTGCACAGTGGGGAAATACCTGAATATGAGAAGGGTAAAGGGAATGGACCCCAAATCAGTAACTGTGTTTCCCTCCTCTGTCATAATTTTTACAGACATTTTGGATAATTAGCTAGCTAAACTGAAGAGGAATCAATTTAAATGAACAATGTACAGAAAAGCACTTTGCACACTCAAGATGACTTAGGAGGTTGTTGTCATGATGATTGTTCAAGGGTAAAGGTAGGCTTTCCCTCCCTCGTATCCTACAACTTCAGCCCCCCAACTTCTAATCCGAATTTTACTTCTGATCTATATTTTCCTCTGAAAGCTTCCTTCTAGGTTTTAGAAGATGAGATGAAGGCCTAGCCTTGAGCCAAAGCCAAATAAAGATTCCTTTGCACAGAAGACAGTGAACTTCAGTCATTGGAGCTGTTAGTCTAGGGAGGCAGAGTCCTGCCTATGGATTTCTTAGTTACAACTAACCCCATTTAAAACAAAGTGTATTTTCCCACTGGTCATCTTTTGTTTTCTTAAATTTGTTTGATTTAAACACTTTTAATTAAACCATAGATTGAATTTTTTAAGCCTGTTTTTTTCACTTAAGATGTTTTTCAATGTTACATTCCCATTTTAGAGAACTCACTGAAGGGCAATGTGATCATGGTCCCTCACTGATTGCACATTTCAGATTATTTTTGATCATTAACTATAATAAACAACTGCAATGAACATCTTTACACACCTTAAGTGCTCCCCTTCTCTTGTTAAAAATAATTCCCTTAGATAAATTCTAGAAATTGAATTACTCATTCAAAAGGAATGAATATTGTGAAGGTTCTCAATACAGGTTATCAAATTGCTACAACACTATGCCAGGTCTCACTTTCACCAACAGTATTTGAGAGGGTAGAAGTGTGTTTTTGAGCTCTACCCAACGGGAAAACTAAAGACGCACAATTTCCAATTTCCCCTTACAGGAATTGCTGAATTCCCCACCATTGGTGTGGCTCCACCTAACTGGGAAGAGACCTCACAAATATTCCCCTCCCATCGTGTGCCCCATGAAACCATTCACACCCCGCTTCTCCCAAGCTGGAGTTTTGCACAGGTACAATGAGAATTGCAGATACAAAGCAAATAAGAATTCCTCTCACTTGTGAAGTCATTATAGTTCACTGAGTGCCTCCACCTACCCACCGGGCACTTCTTCCTTGGTCCTCAGCCAACCTTTGTTTACATGAGAAATTATCCTATGCTTATTGACGAGGAACTGAGATTCAGGGAGGCTGATACACTTAGCAAATCTTTCAGCTCGTGGTCACTGAGCCAGGATTCATATCTTCTGATGTCAAATCATAGTGGGTTTTTTTTTCATTCTTTTTTAGTTGCATTTCCCATGCTCCAAAATCACCAAAATTAACTGAATTTTAAAACAGTATAATTAGGATTCAATTTTAAATATAGAAAAACACTAAGTAGTTATTCATTCTCATTTATTTATTTATCAGGCAGAACAGTCTTCAAAGAGAAATGAGCTGCAAAGCGGCACTTGAGAAGCTCTCGGTGGAGGATGAGCCATCCAAGAAGTCAGTCCAGGGTGTGTGAGCACAGAAAAGAAGCCTCTATTCCAACGGAGGGTTGGGAGGCGGCTCGAGAAAGAGGGCTCAGAGGATTTCTAGAAAATAGATTAGAATTAGCCAAGAATGGGAAAGAGCAGAGGAAGGAACACTGACTGCACTCAGAATACAGCTCTGGCTAAGGTGAGAAGTGCTGAATGTGTCCAGAGGCTGATGCAGCTGGAAGGGGGGTTGGGGGAGGGAAATGGGAAGTACAAGTAAGGGCCAAGTCAAGAGTTTGGATATTATAGTGAAAATCGCACAGTTAGGCAAAAAAACAACAAACAAACAAACAAAAAAAACACTCAGGCCAGGAAGTAACATTGTAAAGATTAATTTTAGAGAAATCATTTTGGCTGCAGGGTGAAATCAGGATTATGGGAGGAAAAAAATTAAGGCAAGAGATTGGTTAAGGAGGTTTTTAGAGAAATCAAGGCATGAGAGAATTGTGGCCTGAACTGGGTATTGGGGAAGGGGAAGGTGAAAGAAAGGAGATGACTGCAGGCATATTTAGGGACAGTAGCAGAACTTGGTGACTGATTGCAAATTGAGGGGAGTGTGGAGAGAAAACAATGAAGGTTTCAGATTTGGACAACTAAGTATGTGGTTATGCTGCCCACAGAGTCCCTAAGGAACTTAGAAGGAAAACAGATTTAGGAGTCAAACCAAGAACATGGGTTTTAGCCACAAATTTCAAACAAGGTGCCTATGTGAAGAAAATGGAAGGCAACACCCTCAGTTGGCAGGATGGTCTGAAGCTCAAGACACAGGCTTCGTATCAAAATTCTAGAGCCCATAGATCAATCTGAGAATGGAAACTGGACTCTCTACCTAGGATTCGTTTCTCATTTGGGCCTGTACAATGCCCTGTCTTATAGGCACAAATGAAGGAGCACCCAGCTGAGGCCAACTTTTGACAAAATTATTCTTAAATTGATGAACTATGTCTAAGTTCTGTTTAAAATTAACTCAGTCATTATGTAGGAGAGAATACAATCTTCTTGATCATACCGCACACTTCCTCAAACACTTAAAAGACCAGATATAGAAAGGTCAGGTTGGCACCTCTTCCCTAGAAGCTGTTATTCATTCAACAGCTCTTTCTTGATGGATTTAAGCAGTCGTCTTAAAACTTTAACACTAAATTTCACAAGCAAAATTTTCCCACAAGGCCAAAAAGAAACAATTTCTCAATTTCCTGTGATGTTTCATCCATGGGGAGTAGAGTCCTGCCAAACCTTCTTTTATTTTCTGTTTAATAAGAGACACTTTATTCACTGCAAAATAAAGGGCTCCTTCAAAAGTAAATGTAGCTGTACTGAGCTTAAAGAATCCCCTCCTTTTGGAATGTAGACCAAGAAAGACTCTAAATTATGAAATTAACCAATTAAATCCATCTCATGTTGAAGAAAGCTCAACATTTTCCCTGACCGGAGAGAAGGAATGTAGGAAAAAATAGCATGTAAACACATTAACAACTCTAAGATGGAATTCAAATTAAATAAAATAAATGGCAAAAAAAAAACACTTTTTCAAATTTCTCTTAAAGGAAAGAGCTAAAACATAGGGGGTTGAAAAGGAAGATTTATGATGTAAATGAGAGAATCAGAGGAAGGAGCTGGGAACAGGCAACGTGGAAGAAACCTGACCTTCCCTGTAGGTACTGAATTGAGCAAACATTAAATATGAGGCTTAGAAAGGTTCTGATCTCAAGAGAGAACAGCTTCTGGATATTTTTAAGTTTCAGAAAAATCATTTTACTATGTTAAGAGAAAATCAGCTTTCCTCTCTTTTAACGCTGAAGAAATTAAAATTTGCCATGTTCTCAAATGTAATTTCTTTATGTTTTAAGGTAAGACTCACCACCCTCCATCCCCAAGAAAAATGACTTTACCATTGTCATGGAATATGGAATCAAACGGTAAAATATGATTTACTAATAAAAATGGACTTCACCTCCAACTTCTTAGGCCCACACCCACTCCCTAAAGGACATTTGAAAGAGGAGTCCCCGGGCTGCTTTGCTTCAGGGAGAGAATGGACCAGAGTTGAGTCCAGAGTAGACAGGCCAAGTGCTTGCCTGAGTAGCCAATGAACTGTCACATCTGAGATCTAGAATGACTGCTCATTGGAGTGAGAAAAAATGAATGCAAAAGTTCGCCTTGTTGACAGTATCATCATCTCCCTTTCCTACTGGCACATAATCGGGGTGAGTAATAGTTTGCTTCAAATTAATTCCAGTCCCTCCGGGCACAGAACAGTGTAGTTTGGGGCCAAGTTTCCACTTCAATTTGATCTTAATCTTTTACTTAAGGACATATCCTTAATAAAAGAAAGCCCCATCTCCACAGTGTAGGAAGAGAGCTTGCTTTGAGTTAAACTGGTTCTGGAAATCATGACACAAAGGGTATTGTATCCTCCTGACCAACTTTCACTTGGCTCCATCCCTTGTCCTTCATCAAACTTACAATGTGAGGTATTTCCACTGGTCTCTAAAAATGTAACACTGAGCAACTCCTATGTGACAAATATAAAGAAAAATGTGTGTATTTGGCTGAACCTCCTAACTGTTCTCTGAAATTCGTATTTCCCTTTTTCCCCACCCTGCTGGGCTAATAGCTACACGATATTTCCCAGCTTCCCTTGTGGTTAGTTGTGGCCAGATGGCTAAATTCTAGTCAATGAAGGGGAGCAGAGCAATGGGTCCCACTTCCAGGCCTTGCCTATTAAGACTTCCTCTGTGTACTCCCTTCTACCTGGCCAGAATTAAGATAACACCTAGGGCAAGCTTGGAAGTTATGGCTTGAAGATAGCACAGGGCAATTTCAAGGAACAACGAATTCTCTTGGTATTGTTATGTGGGCGTAGACAGAGTAGAATGCATCTCAGAGTCTTTCTACCAGAGGGCCAATGATGCTGAGCTATCTTTCCTTCAATTCTTATCCATAAACAAAAATATGTGTTTGAACTGTGATCCACTTTGGCACTTACTTACCATTATAGAGAGCCTATCCCTACTAACAGATGTAGACAAAAAAAAAAAAAAAAATATGCTTGAGGTTTTATTAACTGACTCCATGACTTCCCAACCTGTCAGCACAAATTTAAAATTGTGTGTCGGTGCACATTTGCATTTTCCTGGAGAGGAGATCCACAGATTTCATCAGATTTTCAAAGAGTTCTCACCCCCAAATGCTAAGAACCACTTCAATACATATAAATACCCACAGAGACGAAGACATAAACATGTATGTCCTCTGTGTTTGTATTCTATTTACTTCTGTTCTCTATCAACAGTTGAGTCTGGAAACTGAAAAGCATCCATCATCTCTCACCTAGATTTCTTCAGTAGCCTTCTAACTTAGCTCACTGCTTCATTCTTTCCTCCCCCAATCTGTTTCCCATGAGCTGCCAGAGTAACCATTTTCAAGTATAAATCAGATTATTGCATTCACCTGCTTAACATCCTCCAACGGTTTCTCCTTGCATTTAGTATAAACTTCTGATCCTTACTACAGAGTCTCTCATGACAAGGCCAACCTACTCGGTCTTCCCCCTCCCTGCCTCATTCCCCATGAAACAGCCCAGTGTTCTCTTTCCTATTCCTGCTCACTTTGCATTTTTTCATGCCTCTTCCCAGAATCTTCTTCTCAAGCTTTTTTTTTTTTTTTTTTTTTTTTTTTTGAGACGGAGTCTCGCTCTGTTGGCCAGGCTGGAGTGCAGTGGTGCAATCTCAGCCCACTGTAATTTCTGCCTCCTGGGTTTAAGCAATTCTCCTGCCTCAGCCTCTAGAGTAGCTGGGATTACAGGCACATGCCATCATGCCCGGCTAATTTTTGTATTTTTAGTAGAGATGGGGTTTCACCATGTTGGCCAGGCTGGTCTTGAACTCCTGACCTCAAGTGATCCGCCAGCCTCGGCCTCTTAAAGTGCTGGGATTACAGTCGTGAGCCACCGCGCCCGGCCCTCAGGCTCTTTTTTTATAACTACTTCTTGTTTTTCAGGTTTCAGGTCAAATATCACACTATCAGAGGGACCCCAACTTCACACTTCAATCAGAATTTCTCTGAACCCCTTTCCACTCTCTATCATCTCATTCTTTTCAATAGGTACCCATATGTGACCTTTTTTATTGATTTGTTGTTTATTATCTGCATCCTTTTCTAGAATTTGAGCCTCAAGAAGCCAGCGACTTAGACCAGCTCCCCTAGAAACAGACCCTGACTAAGGATTCAAGCAAAAGTAGTTTACTAAGAAGAGATCCCAGGAAGCACAAAAGGAGTAGTCAAGAAGTGAAACAAAAAGAGGTAGGAAGTCTGTAATGGATACATTATCCAGTGGGTTACACTGTGGACAACTGGAGTTCAAATGCCTGGGGAACTTGGAGTGATGGAGTAGAATGAACCTTAGAGTTATCCCATCCCAAAGCTGAGGAAGCTGGGTCATTTACCCTCCAACTCCCACCTGTCATTGACTGAAGGCTTCCAGCTAAGAGAAGCTCCTTTTTTTGTTTGTTTCTTTTTTTTTTCTTTTTTCTTTTCTTTTCTTTTTTTTTTTTTGAGACAGAGTCTCACTCTGTTGCCCAGGCTGGAGTGCAGTGGTGCGATCTCAGCTCACTGCAACCTCTGCCTCCAGCAATTCTCCTGCCTCAGCCTCCCCAGTAGCTAGGACTACAGGCATGTGCCACCACACCTGGCTAATTTTTGTATTTTTAGTAGAGACGAGGTTTTACCGTGTTAGCCAGGATGGTCTTGATCTCCTGACCTCATGATCCACCCACCTTGGCCTCCCAAAGTGCTGGAATTATAGGCATGAGCCACCACCCCCAGACCAGAGAAGGTCCTTATGCAGAGTCATGAGTGGTTGCAGCAAGACTCTGCAGTCAAGTGCTGGGGTGGTGAGAGCTGAGAGGACACGGGCAGGGGGTGACGCCAACAGCATTTGCTACAGGGATCTTGTCTGTGTAATTTACCACTATCTCCAATGCTTTGCATAAACACTCAATAAACACTTGTGGAATGGATGAGAACAACAATTTTGAAAAAGCGTAACAATATTAAATATAGCAAATGTAATGAAAATGCCAATATGCAAATTATACATACAACATAAAAACCATTATGTATTTTGCAAATATATTTGCTACTCTCCTGATTTGTGGCTCTCCAATGGAACATGACTGAAGACAGTATTTAAAGCTGAGCAATTCTTAGAATCCAGCACTCCAGGCAGTAGTGTGGAATAAAGAGCTGGACTAGAATGTCAGAAGATGTGGGCCCTCTCTAGACACTGCCAGAAGTGAACGGCATGACCTTGAGTGAGCCACTTCCCCCTTCATGGACTCTGTTTCCTACTCCATAAAAGAAAATTTGAGAAATGGCATCTGAGGCCTATTCAAGTTCTCAAAGTCTATAGGACTAAACATTAGGCATATATGACTGAGAAGATTGACACATGGCCTTATATAGCTTTCCTGAGCCTGGGTATTTTGGGAATGTGAGATCATGTGCAATATAAGGAAAAGCACTCAGTCAACCGGCCTAGATTTTCTCCTGCTAAATAATACTCAGAGGCTTTGGGGCCACTATATCCTCATCTTAAGAGAAAAGGCCAGTGCTCTGCAAAAGCAATTAAAAAAAAAAAACAGTATTTATTGAATGCTTGCTATATGCCAGGAAACTTACTAGAGGTCAGATATTGCTTTAATTTGAAAATTAATCAGCTTCTGTTGCAGCATTTTAAAAATAAAAGCCTTACATCCCATAAAGTTCAGAAGCCTCAAGTGGGAATAGATGAAATTAGACTTGCCTGGAACATAGCAAGCTGTCTTGATCACATATTTCAAACATTTAGTTTTGAGAAGAAACTTGCCAACTATTTCTCTCTTTTGTTTTGTACATGTGGACTATTTCAAAAGCAGTTTAGTGAGTCTACATTTTATTCATTCCCAATTAAACTACATACAACACTGAGTTTTTTACATCTCTTGTAGATTCCAGAAAGATTTTTTCTTTAACAGAGGTGGTCACAATCTTCACTGGGTAGGTGAAAAATGGAACCTGCAACTCCTAATAATTAGTTTCCATGATTGGAACTTTGAGAAAGGCAGGGGCAACCTCTGCTTAATAATAAGAGTTGACAGACGTGAGAAAGTCATATCAAAGATTTGCCTTTCTACAGTACCACCCCAGTGAGAGCTCAAAATGCTTTATAAACATTTTCTCAGCTGTCGAAGCTCCCTGCAGGGAAGGCAGGTGATGTCTGGTTGCACACACACACAATTTCCCTGTTAACACTGTCTTAATGTTGGATGAATGACTCCCTGAGACATGTCCCAAATTCCCTTCTCTCTGCAAAGCCATGCTGGTTAGCACTCAGGGCAAGTCTTTGCGGAGGAAGCTGGCTGATTCTCAGGGAATCATCTTAGAAGCGATGTTAGTGGCCCTGCAGGAGACTAACAAGTCCGCAGAGTCTGGCAAACACTTGATGTCAAATTCCCAGGAGCTTTTGTTTCCAAGGAAAACCTAAACAATGACTCACGTCTTGGCTGACTTGCCCAGACCTGTCCATTATGCCCAGTCACCAAGTGAGCCCAGCGTGAAGGAAGGCCGTGCTCTCCATTCTTTCTTGCATAAGCTTTGTTACCACATTAAATGTGTTTAGAAACGCCTTTGCAATTTCTGCTACGTATTTATAGTTATATTCATATTTATACTTACATTATTTATATTCACATATATAAAACATGCAAATTCTTTTTTTAGTCCTTCTAGACCAACATTTGTTGTAGCTCATGCAAAGCACCGCACAGGAAACTTTTTGCCATTGTATTATGGAATTTTGAAGGGAGGAAGAAAATGGTAAGGTTTTTAGCTCCATTCTCATTACAGGATATTTTCCATTTTAAGTGGTACCTGAATTCTTCCCACCAATCTGGGAACCATGGTGACCTGTTTCATGTCACCTTTCAGCACCTTTGTCTTTCTTTTTAGTGACCCATTGTCTCCCTTCCCATCCCATAACCACATTCGAATCCAGCCAAAGTCAGGAAATGTGTGAGGCCAACACAATAGCCAAAATGTTTATTTAATTGTATTACTGTGTACTCTTCTGTTAGGAAGTTCCCATAATGGAATAGAACATAACAGGATTATACACACTTATAAAGCTGGGTGCTGAATAAAAATAATTGGATAAAATGACCATAAATAGGACAAAATGAAAACCCATTATTTAAAATGCAATGCTGGTCAAACGAATTAACTATGGGCCATCATGCACACTGTCAGTGGAAGGAAACTAAACCCATCAGATGAGACTGCATTTCTTTCCTTGATGTTTTCCCACTAAATGCCCAATGTGCTCTTTAGGGTCCACTGATTTTCTGGAAACTAATCAAAATTGATTGCCTAGGTCAGTGGTTCTCAAACGGGGGCGATTTTTGCCTCCCAGGGGAAATTTGGCCAGGGGGATATTTTGGGGCTGTCACAATGGTGGGGTGGGTGGAGAGTGTGTGCTAGGAGCATCTAACAGGCAGAGGTCAGGGACAATGCATAGGACAGTCTCCACAACAATGAATTCAAGGCCCCAAATGTCAACAGTACTGAGATTGCGAAACCCTGACCTAGGTATTGACCAACAAGGGTAGAATTTATGCTAAAACCTTTTATCCCTGCTAAAAAGAAATCCTAGCCTGCCTATGCTCATGGTCACTACAGCAGTTTGGTCTTCTCCCACATTATTTTAATGTTCTCCTCCCTAGTGACCTGGCTGCCAGCCCCTTTCTCTCCCAGTTTATCTTAGAAACAGCTCTGACAGCGTCATTTCTTTCTACTGCTCCCAACACCAAAAGGGCGTTTCTGCCTCAGAACAGAGGGGTAATGCAGTACAAAGGAACAGAAACAGAGTTTGCACTACCTTGGGTGTTGAGTCTTAGATTCGTTATTTCCTGACATAACCTCCATAATTACTTAGTCTGTCTCTGAGTTCCTCTCTATTGGGTGGGGCAATAATTACTGTCCTGACCACCTGATTGGACCGTCTTGAGGTCATGTGAGCTTTGGTGAACATAATGGTTTATGTAAATATAGGGGTAAGGGAATAATAAGGTCCAAACTCTTCAATAACATTCAAAATCTTTACCTGGCCCCATGACCTGGCTCCAGCTTTATCACCTTAATTTCACCTTAAGATTCCAGTTAAACTATTAGTTTGCATACCTTTAATAAAGATGCCTCAAATTTTCCTATTAATTCATTCGAAAACTATTCATTGATCACCTGATGGATGCAAGACAGTGTGATAAATGCTGGGGATGTAATGAGAGTAGAATAAAATAATCACATTCTCTGCCTATAGGCAGCTTTCAGATTTGGTGTCTTTGCGTTTGATGTTTTGTTTTTGTTTTTTTGTTTTTTTTTTCCCCACCAGACATGTAACCCCCATGCTTTGTCTTTGACCATTAAACTCATTTATTCAACAAAATTCACATTAAAAGTTACTCTTATCATGAAGCATTTATTTATTCCCCAAATCAGAAATACC
Organism: Homo sapiens; assembly: GCF_000001405.40. NCBI lineage: Eukaryota > Metazoa > Chordata > Mammalia > Primates > Hominidae > Homo > Homo sapiens. The sequence goes on along the minus strand of NC_000009.12, from coordinate 84,850,086 downwards.
TCCATTGACATTTGGGCTTTTTGTCTCTTATGATAAACACCACATTCTGCACTGCATTCATTATTTATGTAATCTTATTTCTCCTATTAGATTTTAAGCACTCTGTGTGGGAAAAAGAAAAGTGTCTTATTCAACTCCGTACTCTCTTCCGCAAGCTTCATAAGATACAACAGCATCAAGCAGGGCACTTCCCACATGGTAGGTACTCAATAGATGTCTCAATTTCTAATTGAAAGGTTTTATAAATAGGACATAAAATGCCCACAAAATAGTAGAGACTGAATTGTAAAGCTCAGAGATAGACAACCGTAGGAACATTCATTAGTCGTGTCTCCCATTCTCTGTATTTCCAAGGCACCCTGTTCTTTCTCTGTCATAGTTCCATCCCACTCTGAATTTTTAGCTATCTACTTACTTGTAACCTCCTCCTAAACTGTAAGTTCTTTAAAAGCAATACATATTTCTGTCTTGTCTCCCCACTGTATTTCTAGCATTGAGTACAGTGCCTGGTTCATTGTAGATACTAAAGAGCTGAATGAATAAATGAATAAATCTTGGATGGATTGCAACTTTTCACCATTGCATTCTTCAATTGAGAACCAAATTTGGTATAGCACGGATCCATGATTACGTTAGATGTTGCTCTTCTTGCCTCTCCTTCCTTGCCCAGAAGATAATTGGACTCCCCCACCCACCGATCCATGGTGCTTGCTTTTGCCAATGAAAAAGTAAGCAGAAATGACCCAGCACTTCTAGGCAGAAAATTGAATAGTCAGTCCTGGGTTTTTCGCTTCCTCTTCATCCTGCCACAGTGAACTATGAAGCCTGGTGTTTAGAAGGCAGCATCATGAGGTTCTGGGTTCCTGAGAGACTGAAATGAATAGAGTCCCCCCTGCCAAACTGTGTTGTATGTGCAGCAGGAGGAGAAATCATCTTTTCTGTTTTAAGGGTTATCTTTTTCTGTAATAGTGAAGTTCCAAGTGAATCTTATTGCAAAGCAGCCTCATCTATAAAAATATAGGCCTTTTATCTTATAAAAAGACTCCAATATGTATGCCTAAGAAAGTACATATGTAGTCTCTAAAGCATATGTAGGTGTGTATGTCAATATGTAATATATAAATGTTTACAACAAAGGGAAGCAAGAAGTTTATAAAAAGTCACTCTAACTCATATTGACAAGCCATCTCCTTAGAAGGCCACACCTTTATTCCAAAGATGATGTCTCATATTTTTGCCATATTTTCAAAGCTCCCCTTGGGGAATTATCTTTGAATTAATGTACTAGAGTTTACCAATTATGCAAATCTTTATTATTGGAGAGAAAATTTGATTTTTTTCGTGCTCAAAGATCATTTGGCGCCGGGTATGTTGGAATACATGAGTGATTAAGCTGGGCCACATCACCATAATTCAAAACGTCAGAGGGTCTGATTCTATAGTCTCAGACTTCCGGCTTTCTTGTGGATCTCATAAGTTTTCATTAAAGGCACTACTGAAAGATGAGTTCCATAAAGGTCTCTTGCCTGATGATTGTCAAATTTTTTCATAGTTCTAGAATCGTAACTAAATGTCAGTCTCCAGGAATCTTCTTGGTCCCTAAATTCATAGTTGGTAAATAGAAACAACATGATTGGGTACATAACTAGGTGATCTTCACAGTGTACATTTGAAGCTACCTGGGTACATTTATTCTCAGACTCCATAGAAACAACTACAACTGGACTCCTAGTGGATAAAATCACACCTAAACCAGGATTAATCAGAGATGCACAGCTGCGGATTATCATTTTTGTTTGTATTGGGGACTAAATTGTGTGCACATAGAATTCATATGTTGAAATCTTCAGTGTGACTATATTTGGAGATAGGGCCTTTAAGGAAGTAATTAAGGTAAATGAGTTCACAAGGGTAGGTCCCTAATCCAGTAGGGCTGGGGTCCTTATAAGAATGGACACCAGAGCATATGCTTGAGCTCTCTCTCTCTCTCTCTCTCTCTCTCTCTCTGCCCCTCTCTACTGGAGCCACAGAGAAAAGGCCATGTGAGGACACAGCAAGAAGGTGGCCATTGGCAAACCAAGAAGAGAGCCCTCACCAGGAACCCAACTAACCAGCATCTTGATCATGGACTTGTAGCCTCCAGAACTATGAGAAAATAAATGTCTGTTGTTTAAGCCACCCAGTCTGTTTTTGTCATGGCAGCCTGAGCAGACTAATATAGTTTATTTGTCTATTGTTTTCACTGCCAACCAGTATCCACCTCCTCCTCCTCCTCCTCAACTGGTAATGATTTTCCTTTGGTTATTCACCCAACTCCCAGGCAACCTATGTGATTCAAGGTGGAACCAATGGCTCAGACATAAATAAATCAACATAATTCCAATCCCTGCCCACACTGATTTGTTCAAGGATGAGCATGTGACCATAAAGCTGGCCTGATCAAAACGAAGTCTATGATGTGTGTTCGAAGGTTGACATAAGCCGTAATTTTCTTTTCTGCTGGATGGGCATCTGGAGGATATAGCATCAAGAGTGGATGAAAGTCATCTGTCCTGCAACCATAAGACAAATGTTTGTCTTCAAGTTGAGCCACCCAAATGGAAAAGAGCCAAAAGATGGATCCTGGCCACAGTGTTTGGGCCTTGCATCAAGCCACATACAAGCTTGTATTTACTCCTGGATGGTATATTTATGTGAAACAATAAATCTCCACTATTGTTCAAACCATTTGCAACTATAAAATGCCAAACTAACACAGGGATTGGGCAATAGTAGTCTTATTTTCAAAAAGTTACTTCTGCATCCCCAGAGGCCAGAGTGAATGGGTACCACATTCTGGAGTCCTTTCATGCACCCAAGTTTTATTACCACTAATGTTGAATTGGCCTGTTATGGAGATGTAAATGTCCTGCTCTTCAAAGGCATGTTTGACAGGATAAAAGGCTTTGGGATTTCAATGACTTTGACTCCTCTGGAGATGGGAGGACAGCCTATTTTAGCAATTTCCATGGGAATGAATAGACATATACTTTAGCTATTCAAATATTTAACTAGCTCTTTTGTTGTTGTTTTGAATCCCAAGGAGCTGCAGCTGCCTGTTTGTGTCTGTTGTGCCTTTAAGGGGCTTGCTGATTCAGTAGGATCTCTTGAATGCATTAATTAGCCTTCTCTCATTTTCCCAGCCCATGCCTATGAAGAAATGAGCATTTGCAGCTCCAGTTGCTGGGAACGATGCGAGTCTTGAGGGTACTAGATAAATGGAGATTCAGAGTTGCAGGCTTTTGATGGGCAGTTTTACGCTGGCAGCAGCCTGCATGGCAAGGCTTGTGTGGTTGCATGATTAATTTATTGGCTATCACTATTGGCAGGCAAATGAAACACAGGCCCTGGATTACAGTGTAACTGGAGAGACGGGCATTCATCAGCCCAGGTACATGAGTCAGAGGAGGTAAGGATCCAGAGAAAACAAAATGTAATGAAAGGCTGGAAAATGATTTATCACTTTTAATATACATCATCTAAGCCCAATCTTTATAACTGCTTGTAGGCCTTCATGTTGTGAAGACTTTGGCAATAAAACACTCCTTCCTTAAAACACTAACGTGAAAGATGCTGGTGGGAAAAATAAAGAATCATGAAAAATGAGCTGACTGTAAAAGGAAAAAATAGTGTCCAGCTTAAAATTAAATTTCCACTTGTTTCTTCTTAAATGATTTAGAAATATAGCTTTTGCTTGGAAAACTGCATTCTATTGATCACATGGAGGGGACGATGAGAGGTCTGTCCAGGAAGGACAATTTCTCAGATCCCTTTGGAAACTATAATACGAAAATATGTACTTTCAAAGGGTAAATGTTCACATCAGGTTTAACTGTTAACCCAACCAAATAAATTATTGTTAGCCAAGAATCCTTGAGCTTGGAAGCTTGAATCCACACAACTAAGCATTGTCAAATTTGGAAGTTAGCCAGATTAAAGTCTTGCAATGAAATGGAGGCTTGTATGAAATGAGATATCTCTATTTATGTCCTTGGGCTTATTCAACCCAAGAAATTATAAGAGCCATTTTTGGGAAGGGTTCCCTTTCTGTAATGGGCAGAAACAAATAGAAGCACATTCCTTAGCATTCTGTAACACTTTATGGCTTCTTTTTTTTTTTTCAAATTTTAATAGTTTTTGGAGTACAGGTGTTTTTTGGTTACATGGATGAATTCTTTAGTGGGGATTGCCGAGATTTTAGTGCACCCATCACCCAAGCAGTGTACACTGTACCCAATATGCTGTCTTTTATCCCTCACCCACTTCTCAATTGACACCCCACCAAGTCCCCACAGTCTATTATATCACTCTGTATGTTTTCGCATCCTCATGGCTTAGCTCCCACTTATACATGAGAATATATAGTGTTTGGTTTTTCATTCCTATGTTACTTCACTTAGAATAATGGCCTCCAGTTCCATCCAAGTTGCAGCAAAAGACATCATTTCATTCGTTTTTATGGCTGAGTAGTATTCCATGGCATATATTTATACTTATCATTAGCCAAGAATCTTTGAGCTTGGAAGCTTGAATCTACACAATTAAGCGTTGTCAAATTCAGAAGTTAGCAAGATTAAAGTCTTTCAATTAAACTGAGAATTGTATGAAATGAGACATCTGTATTTACTCTTCCTCTTTGGGTTTATTCAACCCAAGAAATTATAACAGCCATTTTTGAGAAGACTTTCCTTTCTGTAATGGGCAGAAACAAATAGAAGCCAATAGCAATAGCCACAAATAAATAGAAACAAATAGTGATAGCCGTGTGTGTGTGTGTGTGTGTGTGTGTGTGTGTGTATACACCACATTTTTCTTTATCCACTCATTGGTCAATGGGCACTTAGGCTGGTTTCATATCTTTGCAACTGCAAATTCTGCTGTTATAAACATGCCTATGCATGTGTCTTTTTCAAATAACTTCTTTTCCTTTGGGCAGATACCTGGTAGTGGTAGTGCTGGATCGAATGGTAGTTCTACTTTTAGTTCTTTAAAGAATCGCCATACTGTTTTTCATAGAGGTTGTACTAGTTTACATTCCTACCAGCAGTGTAAAAGTGTTGTTCCTTTTTCACCGCATCCACACCAACATCTATTGTTTTTTGACTTTTAAATTATGGCCATTCTTGAGGAGCAAGGTGGTATTTTTTTTTTCAAATTTTAATAGTTTTTGGAGTACAGGTGTTTTTTGGTTACATGGATGAATTCTTTAGTATTTACTCTTCCTCTTTGGGTTTATTCAACCCAAGAAATTATAACAGCCATTTTTGAGAAGACTTTCCTTTCTGTAATGGGCAGAAACGAATAGAAGCCAATAGCAATAGCCACGAATAAATAGAAACAAATAGTGATAGCCGTGTGTGTGTGTGTGTGTGTGTGTGTGTGTGTGTGTGTGTGTGTGAGTGAGGTATTACATTGTAGTTTTCATTTGCATTTCCCTCATGATTAACACTTTATAGCTTCTTACAGTTACTGTGCTTCTCAGTTCCCCTTCAGAAATGTCAGCTGTTTATAACAGAAGGGCAGGAAAAGACCACAGATTTATGAAAGTTACCCAGAAACATCAGCAAATATAACAAGAGAAGAATAGGGAGTCATTTTTCCCCTCCCCTTACAAAAATTTGACCTCCCTCCCCTTACAAAAATTCTCTGACTTATTCTGAATGTGGGAGGAGTCTGTAATATGTTTATAAATATAAAGCCCATTAATTTATTCAAAACAGTGAACCATCCATGGCTGGACTAAGGTTGGCTGAAAAGGCAGCAGCCAGCACTCTGGCCCAGGCCTCTCCAGCTCTCAGGCAGCTGCAGCTATGGCCTATTCTAGCCTCTTGCCTCCCTCTTTCCCTCCTCTGGTCCATCCGCCATGCTGCAGCTGAAAAGACCTTTCTAAATTGCCACTAGGATCCTCTTCCTCCCCTCATTGTTACTTAGAATGGATCAATGGCTTCACATTACTGCCTTAGAATCCAAACTCCTCACCTAGGCCTTGGCCCCAACTTTCTTCTCGTATCTCCCCTCTTACACCCTAGCAACTGCAGTAGTGATTGGTAGCTCAATGTTCATATTGTGCTGTGTCTTGCCTCTATGTCTTGTCAATGCCAATCCTTCCCCCTTAAAATCCTTTTCCCTCAAAAATCAGCTCTTTCAGGATGCCTTCCTGACCACTTCAGACTGGGCTAAATGTTTCTCCTGTCTGCTCACATAAAACTGTTTGCAGATCTTGATAGCCATGGATTATAACAATCTGTTTACTCATCTATGTCCTCAGCTAGATTGTAAACTCCTTAAAAGAAAGCTTCTAGTTTTTCAACTCTTTATTCTACATAGTGCATAGCATAAAGCCTCTACCCCTACAGCAGGTCTGCACAGGGCTGAGGCGTTGCAACACTCCCTGACTTGTGCCCCCTACAGTTCTCTGACTGAGGGCAGGGCCAAGCTGCACGTGACCCACCTTTGGAGAGCCACACCTTTGAGTTCTAACACTGCCCTCAAAAATCTCCAGGGAAAATGCAACTTTCCCTGGTAAAAAGAACACATCAAACCATCACAACCATTCAAACCAAGCACTGCTGGTGGGCAGCTGGCTCACCTCTCAGTCGGGTCCTGGGAGTGAAGGGCAGTGGGAGCCACCTCTAACGGAAGGAAAGTGAAAGGTGAGAAAGGCCTGCAGCTCAGGGGACTTCCTGGGAACTGAGAGAATGCTGTGCTGGGAGGGGAGGCTACTGAGAGAAGAGCAGAAACACAGGTCGCATGCCTCATTCACTTTACAAGGCATCCAGAGCACCTGCAGGCATAATAACTACTCATCTACTGTAGACCCAGGGAACCAACCCACTAACTTAAAATGTTGAGATTGAAAACCTACTGTGTGCCATATAGTAGGAAGAATTAGCACCTACTGAGTTCTTTATACGCATGAGGCATTTTATTAGCTCCTCACCGTAATACCATCCAGTAGATGCTATGACCCCCCATTCCTACAGGAGGGAACTGAGGTGCTGGGGAATTCATTCAGCCACACAGACAGCAAATGAAGCAAAGTGAATATGTAGTTCTTGCTCTTAGATGCCAAGAATTATTCAAAAAGACTGGATCATGGGAATAGATTATGAGGTCCTCTAGGTACATACTCTGCCTCATTCCTCTCCTTAGAGACACTCCTGGTCATTCATAAACTTCTGGAAAACTGGGTTCCCCCAGTCTAAGGTCTTCTAAGGCCTTTGCATTGGCTCTAACAGTGGGTCTAGTTTTCCCAAATGTTCACTCAGATCTAGTTCTCTCCAAATGTGGCATTAAAAAACTGAGGGTTTGAATAATTAATGTAGCCAAGTAGTGGTGCCAGACTGTGGATGAGGTGAGGTTCCAATGGTCATACGGAGGGAAGCCCCAACCATCACTGAAATCAGCCCCAGGGAGATGGGAGCACCCATGAGCATGCCGGTTTCTGCTGGAGAACCCAGAGTGAGGCCAGGGAAGCAGCACTATGGGTGGAAAACGAGGAGAGGCAGAGCCACGGCCAGAGTCCCAACCCTGGAGCAGTCAGATACCTGTGAGCCTGCAGTGGAGGTAAAATCCTGAAGCAGATCAGTAACTTCAGCCAACGGCATTCCTCTGGGTTCAGAGCTGGCTGTTGAGCTATCCAGAACCAGAATGAGATTCTCACATAGTGCCTTAAAAACGTTCTTTCCCTCAGATAAGAAAACACAGATTTATGATGATAACGCTGGCAGCCATGGGGAGTATGATTTGCAGGAGGGCAAGACTTAGATCAGGAGGGTGAAGAGTAAAGAAGGAAGTGCAGATAGAGAGGTCAGAGCCTCTTCACGAGGAACGGAGTTGCATCCCAAAGTACGTCCTATACCCAGACAAAGCTCAGTCAGCCTTTTCCTGAGCAGAAGAAATGTAATGGTATGCAAGACTGGCTGGACATGAAAACAGGGGATTAGCAGGGATTCCAGAGTCATTCACACTGCTTGTGTCATCAAACTTCTGGAGAAAGGGTGAATAGTTCCACTGGTTGCTTCAATGTTTTGTCTATGGGATTGAACATATCTGCACATGTGGAAACATCTGGGCCACTAACAGTGACACTTTTCTTGGGATGCGTCTCATCACATGGCTCTGAACCTTGCTGTGCCCTAGATTCAACCTGGGATGTTCATTCTTTCATTCATTTATTCAACAAATATTTATTACAATGAACTGTTTTAGGACAAGTGAAGAAATGGACCAAAATTTCTGCCGTGAATGTAGCTTATATTTTGTGGGGGCAGACAGAGAATTACCAACGACAACAAGGAAATCTGCAGCACATCTGAGAGTGGCAAGTGCTCTGACCATAAGTAAGGTGGGAGGAGGGACCGGGACAGTCTAGCAGGTATAAGGGCTGCAATTGAAAACAATGGTTAGGGAAGGCCTCCGGGAGACAGTGATATTTGAACAAAGACCTGAAGGAGAGGAGAAAAACATTCCAGAAAGAGGGAGCCACAGATACAAATGCTGTAGGGAGAGAGTACGGTGCCCAGGGTGCACTCTGGCCAATGTGGCCAGATATTCTAGGAGAGATTAGAGAAGACTGCACCAGGTTAGTAGCTGTGAAGGTGAAGCAAAGCAGTTGGAGTCTAGCTATACTTTGAAGGCAGAGCTAATATAGGCTGGGGGTGTAAGTGAAGAGAGGGGTCACAAGGACTCACAGGTTTCAGCCTGGGTGTCCATTTATTGAGTTGGGTTTGATTGTGGGAGGGTCACATCTCATGGGACAGCTCAGCGCTCTGTGTTGGTCATGCCAAGTGTAAGATGCTCACCTGGCATCCAAGTGGAGCTGCTGAGCAGATAGGTGGCATACGAGCCTACAGTTCGGAAGACAGGTCTCCATTGGAAACGAGAGGTGGGCAATGCCAGCATGGAGACGGATTCAAAATGCATCTGAGGTTTCTACCCATGAGACTGGATAAAATCCCCATATGAGGGAGAGCAGCTGGAGAGGAGAGGGTCTCAAAGACTGAGCTTCAGGGCTCAGCAACAGTCCCACTTGGTAGTTTCCTTCTACTACCCATGTAGAAGGAAAAGAGAGAATGCAGCAGCCTGGAGCCAGTGAAGAAAGTGAAGTCAGTGAAGAAGGAAACAAGAAGCTGCGCTGGGTGCCTCCAACAGGCCAAGTAGGATAAGAACTGGGAGGGGCTATGGGACTTAGCAATGCAACGACCTCTGAAGGGGACACTCTGGTGCAGCATTTGGAATGAAAGCTTGATTTGAGGGAATTAAAGAGAAAGGAGAAAGAGAGGAATTGGAGAAAGAAAGAACCCTTTCGAGAGAAGGTTGTTGGAGGCAAAGGAGAACAGCGCGCTAGATTGGGGCATGGTGCATGGGAAGTCAAGAGCAGTGTGTTTTTTCAGACATGAGGAATAGAGGAATATGAGCTTCCAGATTTGTAAACTGATGGGAATGATCCGGTTCAGAAGAAAATGTAACGCTGCAGGAAAGAGAGTGGACAATGGCTGGGGTGATGTCTTTCAACAGGCAAAAGAGGTCAGAGTCCAGCCAGTGCACATGGGGAGGGCGGTCCTGGGGAGAAGCCTTGTATCAGGAGAGAAGGCAGAGCCATGGCCATGCATATAAAGGTGGCATATGGTCTGGGGAGGCTTGTGGGTGTTTTCTTCAGACAGCTTTGATTTTCTCAAAAAAACAGTGACCTTATAACCAGCGACCACAGAATCAAAGTTAGACAAAGCGAAGACAAGAGCAGAGTGAGAAAGAGTTAAAAAAAAAAAAAAAAAAAAAAAGAATTGTCAATGATTGTGGTCCTGGAATGCATCAAGGTAGCAGAGGATGAGCTGGAAACAGGACAAATTCAAGGGAATGTTCACATGAGAGCATGACTGACGCCAGGCAGAGGACACATTTCTCACAAAGGACCAAACTTAGAACTGGCTGGCTATTTTTCCTAATCAGCAAGAAAAAGCAATAAGAAGGTCTTATTTTATTTCTAAATTTTTAAGAAAGGAGGGAGGAGGAGGAGGAGGAAGAAAGGGAAAGAACGAGGAATGAAAGGAGGAAGGGAGGGATGTTGGCAGTGAAATGTACCACTTACTAACATCGTATTTCTGAAAGTAGAGCTTGAGAAAAAAGTAGCCAAGAAACCCAAAGCCCTGTAGTTTCAGAGCTTCCCAGAGTCCTTCATCCGTACCTCTAATAAAGAGCAGCAATTTGTCTGCATTTTGCAGACACACTTGATGTGCTGGCAGACTCCTCACACGCTGCCTGTTTGCAGGGATTAGGGAGAAGGCGGCAGCATAGCTCCCGGGCAGCAAAGCAGAGAAAACCCACAGGCACGCTGGGGCCTGGCCTGAAGAATGCACAGATTGCTCTGCATCTGCTAGAGGCTCTGAAATCAGCTCCACATCATAAAAACTAACGCTCAGCCCGATTCAGCACATGGCCTGTACGCGCTCCATAAATATCTGGTGTTGACCTAATGCAGCAAGATGGTCACTGCTCTTTACAGAGTAAGAGTGACCCCAAGGATTAATGTCTTTAGATGAGAATCAAAATGTACTAAGACCCGTCACAGTGAAATGGGAGGACGGGTCCAAGAGTTTGAAGCCTCTGGTTTTTATTCTCATTTCTATCCAGTCCACATACATTTCCTGAACAACTGTTACATACTAAGCTTTGTGCAAGGGACTAAGGGATTCATGGAAATTAATCAATATTGCATTTTACCAGAGTGAACAGGATACAAGACAGGCCAATTAAAAGTCAGAATTAAAATCTGCCCTCATCTGTGGTCTGCATTATTTCAAGTTTTTTAAAGTGTATTTGACTCTTCTGATGAGAAATTATTGGACAAGCAGATGAGAACAACTTCAATGTGTTTCACAAACAGAAACTTTCTGACAAAGATACCCATTAGGTTGACCACCAAACCACAAATGGGTGGTAATAAATAATACAAAGCATCGTTCTGAATCAGTGCAAATGTGAGTGTTAATTACTATAGTCATAAAGAAAGTGAGGTCATTTATTTTTCAAAGAATTAATGAAATGGATGTTATTTCACCTCCCAAGGCCTTTGTGCACATCTTGGCATTCCCTCTACTCCAGAAATTGAATCCAAGTTGCATAGCAAAACATTGTAAAAAAAAAAAATCATTAAGGCTTCTGTACAGAATTTCAATTTTTTAAATCAATGAAGCAGAAGGTATGTAGTGTTATTTTATATTTTAAAGTCCAGAATTATCTATTTTTGGTAAATAAGCCACCATTTATTTTGCTTTAAATTATATATTGGCAATAAAACTTCACAAAATAGTGAACTATTATAATAGTGAATTACAATATACTATATCGGAAGAAAAGTAATAGTAGGTACATTGATTCCTCTGGTATTATTTTTTCTTAAATACTTTTGAGTAACATGTTGTATTCTATGACTGTGTGCTTGCTTTTTGTAGAAAATTTGGAAAATGCGGTAAGTATAAAGAAGAAAATAAAAATCACCTACAACCCCATGTCTGATAATAACATCTTGATCTCATCATTTTTACTGCATAAAAAATAAGTTTGGGATCATAATGCATATACAATATACACTGAAAATAGTGTAATATTGTACATTTTTTCTTAACATTGTATGGCGAGCATGTACTTTATTTTATTATCTCTGCAATTTTACCATCACTCAATGAATTCGGTTAATTATTCTGGTATTACTGCACACTATTTTCTTTTTCCTTTTTTTTGCTATTGTAAGTTCTGTGGAGACTAACAATCTTGTCCACATAACTTCCTCCCCATCTCTGTCGCTATTTTCTTCTGGATGTACTATAGCTGTTCCTGCTGCTGTTGTTGTTTTCCTATTCTGAGTGACACGTTTGCCATTATATTGTCTAACATTATTGCTAACATATGGGAAAGCCACTAAATATTGTATATGGTATCCAGCCAGATTATAGGACCTCTAGTTTTATTATTGGATTTGTAATTTGATTCTCCACTATTTTTGAAGAAAGCATAATATCTATAATTATTAATATATTTGCCTTTTCCATAAGCAAACCTTTTATAACCATTTCATGTCTTATGCCATTAGCCAGAACTTCCAGGATGTGATAAAATAATGGTAATAATATAGGCATTCTTGTGTTGCTTCAGATATTAATGGGAAAATTTCTTAGATTTTATCAGTAAGTATGATGGTGACTGTTGGTATATGACATGGCATCTTTAGCATATAAAGGAAGCATTCTTCTATTCTTAGTCTACCAATTTTTAAAAGAAAAGTTATTTAGTTTTAGCAACACCTAAATCACTTGAGACAACCAAATAGACTTTCTTTTGTGACTTAGACTTAGTTACTGGATCCTGAGTTTATCATAGTAGCATGTGATTATTCTTTGATTAGTGGGTTATATATGAGGTTATCTAAAGTTTTATCTTTTTATTCTCTATTCAATCAGACAAAATTCTTTGCTACAAAGCCTCCCTCGAAAGCATCAGTTTAAGCTAACATTCATTGAGGGTCTATCTAAGTTCCAAACACAGTTTGTAAGCACTTTATATATATCTGTAAATAATTCTATAACATAGAACTTATTATTCTCATTTTACATGTGAAGATATTGAGGCACAGCAAAGTCAGACCATTAGTGTAAGTTTACCTGGCCAGTGAGCGGCAGAATTAGGACTTAGATCCCAGGCAGCCTGACATTTCCAAGTGGGCTCTTGATCCCCATAGCCAAACCCCCTAGTTTCAATCACAGCTTTATCAACTGCCACCCTGGTAGCTTTGGTCACTTAACTTCTCTCAGAAACAGTTTCCTCATCTCTAAAATAAGAATAACAATAGGAATAACAACACCTACCTGAAAGGATTAGTATGAAGCTTCTCTATGCCTGACATGGTATAGACACTCAATAAAATAACAAGTAACATTTCTTCTTATTACTTTTGTTATTTAGTTAACAAATATTTACTGAATGCCTACTCTGTGCCAGGAATTGTTCTGGGTATTTGGGAAATAATGCCCTCATTGAATTTCTGTTATAGTATATTCCAGTATTATTATATTATATTATATTATATTATATTATATTATATTATATTATATTATACTCTACGACAAGCTCTCAATCTATTATCTGCACTTTTGAAATCCAAGATGTTCTGAAAACCCAAAGTTACACTCGCTTGGCAGGAAAATCTGACTTGAATTGTTGTAAGGTTCTTTGTAGACTTTACTGATCCCAGTTACTGGGACCAGCCTCAGTGCCACCGCAGAAATATCATTGACTGTGGAGAGCTCCCCAAGGCCCCAGCGGAGGTGGTAGTGATAATCACTGTATGAACCATAGTGAGCATTTCCAAAATTTCCAAATCCCCCAAATCCAAGGCATCCTGTTCCATGAGTTTTGGACAAGAAACTGTGGTCCTGCATACTAGATGATAATATTAGATTATGCTAGAAAACAATAACATTACATTAGAGTGTAATCTAATAGGATAATAATTTATTCTCTCAATGAGGATGCAAGTCCCCCAAGGGCATTGACTGTACTTGCTCATCCCACTTTCCCTACTGCAACTCACATGCTCCAAGTACCTGGTGGGTTCTTGCCCATCATTCCACTCCATTTAATTCAACTCAGGAGCATCCTCCCTCATTCAAGATGTTTCAGTTCCTTGCAGGGCTACTTCTCTTACTTAAAAGCACCAACATAGCCATCATTTCCCAACCAACTAGGGCAAAAGAACAGGGCAGATCATAGGAAGAGCTGCCCTCTTCTTGCATTTCTCTAAACCTAGCAGTGATTTTTTTGCCCCATATCAACATGCACGGCCTTAAATACCTGAATAGTAACTCTTTGATTAATAAAATGTTCACAATATGTCAGCATATTTTAACAATTTTACTTCTGCCATAAGGCTAACTTAAAAACATTTTGGCAAAGAACAGAACTATGGTGTTTGCTAGAATGGTAAGAAGCTCTGTTTCCCTGAGATTTCTGTTCTAAGACGGCCCCACAATGTGATGGGATCTAGCATTATGCCTTGGCACAATACACGAGCCATGCCAGTAAATCCTGTCTTACTCTTCAACCACGAGGGCCTCCTTATGTTTCTGGAGCTGTTCTGTCTTGTCAATTGTTTTGAGTTTTATATTAGATTAGGATTTGCTGGCATTGCAGGGGAAATGCCGAAATGCCTCAAGCAAGCTCTATGAGCCATAAATAAGAAAAGAAATGCCTTACGTTGCTCTCACACATTTTATTTTTCAGGTTACTTTCACACACAGGATTTCAGAATAGTTTTCCATCAGCTGGCTTCCCTGGGTCAGCCTCACGCTGCTGTTACCCATGCGGCTATCTTCAGCAATGATTTTGAGAGACAACTGCCTGATTTTACAACCTGACCATTACAAAGAAGGGGGGAGGGGCAGCTTTGGTTTTCTGCCAACCCAATGGGCCATCTTTGGAGTTTTGTGCATTTTTGTTGTTGTTGTTGTTGTTCTTGTTGTTCTTGTTGTTGTTATCTCTGTCTAAATCTAGTAGTGGCCAGAAAACATATCCCGTGGCTTTAGCACTTGATAGACACATCCTTTTTTAGCTGAGGAGAAACTCTCTGTTCCAAAGACAACCCTGACTGCCTTTTGGAGTGGGGGCTCATTTCGCTGACAGAATACAGCTTAGCACACACCATCTTGAAACAAAGGGTCATGCACAGATGGGCACTGGATACATCTACTGTGATGATTGATAATGATGAAGGGGCAAGCGAGGAAAGATGTCTTGCACAGGGCCAGATACTCAATAATTGCTGATTGATGAATGGCGACACCTACTAAATGCCACTCTGAAAGATAGCCACACTTGAAATGATATGTAGGTGAATTCAAGCTCCCAGATAAAACGTCTGGATTTGGATGGCAGAAGTCTTTGTTAAGGCAGGCATCCCTGAAATAGCTAGAAGGCATGGGTAGGCAGTTGTTATGGTTTTCCCCGCCAAAGGAATATCACCTACCCAAGAGAGAAGACTAAGGCCATACCCACTACCAGGAATGTAAATTATCAGCTGTGCAAAAATGCCACTGCTTTTAGTCTATATTGCCCATGTTTTGTTGCATGAGCTGGACCAGCTACATAATTTTCAGTGTCCATTGCTAAATAAAATGCAGACCCCTCATTTATAAAATATTAAGAATTTCAAAATCTTGACAACAGAGCATTAAACCAAGCAGGCAGCCCTGCTAAGCTATATGACAGCACAGATCTCAGTCCCATGAAGGTGGCCCTGTGTATGAGTAATGGTTTGTGCGTAATGTTACAGATGCCTTTCCTGTTGCCTGCAGTCAGTGGGCTTGAACTAGAACTCTCAACATGTGCGCAGAGGTAGTAACCCGAGCCAGGAAAGATGAAGTCAATTGTTATACTGGCTCAACATGAGACACACCCCTCCGATTTGAAATGGAAAGTGACTAGAACAATGCTTCTAGGGGTTCCTAGATGCTCCAGACTAAGTGTTGACCTAGATCATCAAGGGAAAAAATGTAATTAGTGGTCAACTCCCTCCTTGTTAACAGTGACTTAAGAAAGGGGGACTAACACTTTGGGGCTCAGGCCTAATTATCCTGGGGGCAGCCTCCAGGGCACAGCAATCCTGGAGACCTGTTATTAACTGTAGAATCAGACACCTGCTATTTTAAATTGATTTGATTTAACTTCCTTTATAGGTAGGATTAAATAGAGAATTCCCAGCTAAATTTAAATTTCATCAAAGAAGAAATAATTTTTTATTTTGTGCATGAAACATAATTATACTAAAAATCATTTCTTGTTTATCTAAAATTCAAATTTAGCTGGGAATCCTGTATTTATTTGCTAAATCTGGCAACCTTATTGATAGGCTTTTGATAGGTTCTCCGTTTGTATTTTGTAAAGTTCTGTATGAAAATGCCCACCTCTCCAGCTAAGCTAGAATTTTAGGCAGGTGACAGTATAACACCACAGACACAGTGGCTATGGCGATTGTAGTGAGCTACCCAAGTGGAAGATGAAAGTCAAATGAACTAAGACATGGAGACACCTCTGTGCCCATCCTCACCCGGGCATCCTCCTGCAATTCTCACCCTTGCTGCACAGTGGAATCACCCAGGGAACTTTAACAACATTGATGGTCCTGCCCCCAGAAATCCTTACTTAGGTCTGGGATATAGCCTGGGTTTTTAAAAAGTGCTCCAGGTAAGAAATAAAGTGTCAGTGAGTTACTTGATTTGGGTTATCAAGGGAAGCTGCTATGAAGCTCCAAAGATTTATATGTAGTCCTAAAATACAAGAGTAAGAATGGATTGGACACTCATCTTAGTATCTATAGGAGTGATCCCTGCCCCCTCCCTCCCCTGCCTCCCTCCTTCCTTCCTGCCTTTCTTTCTCTCTCTCTTTCTTTTCTTTCTTTTTCTCTTTCTTTCCTTCTGTCTCTCCTCTTTTATTCTTCCTTCTTTTTTCTTTCCTTTCTTAGTATCTACTAGAGTGATCCCTTCCTTCCTTCCTTCCCTCTTTCTTTCTTTCCTGTTCCTTCCTTTTTTCCTTCCTTCCTTCCTTTTTTTCTTTCCTTTCTTTTTCTCATGCAAATCACTAAAAGCATTAGGTTACTCTCATCCAATTCAAGTTATTCTCAAACCTGTCTGCACCTTAGAATCACCTAAGGTATTTTAAAAAGAGACTGCTGTCAAGACCCCATGCCCAGATATTCTTACTTAGTTCCTCTAGTGTGGATCCCAGGCATGGATATTTTAAAAATCTCTCCAGGTGATTTTTAGTGTGCAGCCCAAGCTGAGAAGCACTTCACAGAACAATGGCTGTCAGACCTTAGTGTGCATCAGAACCCTGTAGGGAGCTTTTTGAACATGCAGTCTCTTGCCCTCCCTACCCACCCACCACCACCACCACCACCACCACCAATGAGGCCCAAGAATATGCACCTTTAACTGGATGATTCTGAGACAGGCCACACTTGAAGAAGGGCAGCCTCAGCTGTGGGCTCCTCTGACACAGAAGTCCCCACTCAGCCCAGCACGGCCTTCTCAAGGCTCCATAGAGTGTGCAGGAGTGCCCGCATCCAATCTATCCAGGTGCGGGGGTGGCTGCCGATATTATCTATGGCCCAAATAAGAAAACCAAGGATTCAAGCCAATTTCTCCCGCATCGTCCTCCTCCCTGCGATTCAAACACACTGGGCCAGCTCAGGAGCACTTCCGTAAAACAGACTTTTATTGAAAAAGACTACAGCAAATCATACTGAGGTGAATGAAGACAGTGAAATGAAGGAGAAGGCAGGTCCTCTTTATGTTTTCGCAGCTGGTTCAAGGGGTTTGGGGTTTTCTATCTAGGTTAAAGATTGCGTAATACACAGCTGGAGCCATAGACATTAATGCATGTTTATCACACGCAACAACGATGCTGCATCATGTGATTACAGCTGGGCCTGTGCTGCTTCTACACCTCCCTCGCCCTGACACTTCCACCAGGTTGCTCCTCACCTCCGTCTCTGCTTTTATCCTCTTACTGCTCCTTTCAGGACCAGCAGAAATGTCAGCTTCCCAGGAATCCTTCCCTGGATCTCTGCAGCAAGAAATAGCTTCTCTGATCACTGTAGCACTTGGTTCTTTAATATCTTTATCTTGCTCTACCTTGTTATATTTTTCTTGTGAACTTAAAATTCCCTGTGAGGACGTAAACCTTTGAAGGTATGTCTCATATCTCTGAACCTCTTTAAAATGCCTAGCATCCCTGTGTGGGTGCCAATTGCTTGTGTATTGAATTAAATTGTGATTGTTAACTTAACATCACAGGCATGTAACTTATTAAGAATCTAAGAAAGCCACTAGGTTTCCAGTTATATGGAGAGAAACGGGTAACAAGAGAATACAAGAATATTAAGCTTCATCAGATTCCATGTTCTGAAGGTCAAGGTGGAAAGAAAACCCTAACACCTCTTCGTATTTAGAAAACAACTATGTTTTTTAGGCATAAAACAAATGCAATTTCTGAATTATTTTGGAGTTAACTGGGTATGATCATGAAGAATAATTTACAAATTTTATTTCAGTGGCAGTGAAAGATCTTTCCGTCTGAGCTAAAATATCTTGCCTTTTTTAGAGGTTTATCTTACTTTGAATCAGAACCTACTCTTCCAGTCACTAAGAAAAGAGAACTGTGAGAATCTCCTAAGTGTACTTACATCCTGTGATCACCTGTGCTGACCACCCCTTCTGTTGATTATCCATCATGTGGCCTAGGCCCTGAAGTCTCTTCTTTTCTCTTACAAGAATGCAGACTCTGGATCCCAAAGGCCCTGTCTGAATTCTTGCTGTGACATTTATTAGCTCCGTCACCTCGAGTAAGTCATTTAGCCTCCTTGGGCCTCACTTTCTTTCTCTGGATGGGGATAATGGTGGTATCTACCTCACAGGAATGTTGTGAGGATTACAGGAGTTGGCATATGGAAAACACTTAAAGTACTGTCTGGTATATGCTAAAGTGCCTCTCCTGGGTAACTGACCACCAATGTACCACGGGCATAGAAAACTAGAATTTTTTCTTATTAGGCAGTGATCCTCTCTCTCTCTCCCTTTCCCTGACCCCCTCCCTTCGGTTAGACTTGTATATAAAACAGCATATAAACACTAAAGCAAAGATGAGGGGAGAAATTAGCAAAACAATGTTAACAAGGTTGCTAACAAATGGGCATTTGTATACTCTTCTGGTGTGACTGTGCCAATATTTCTGGAAAGTAAATTGGCAATATATTATAAGGGTCTTAATATCAAAACCTCATAATTTAGAAATGTTATATCTGGAAATCAATCCTAGGAAAAAATCCAGAGATATGGACAGAGATGCCCATTACAGTGTTACTTTTAACAATGAAATTGGAAATTACTTAAACATCCAATACTAGGAAAATATCAAACACATTATGGTTTATTCAAAGGATAGAATATTACAGAGCGATGGAAAAGTTTATTTATGACAAATGTTAACTCCATGAAGAAATCCTTGTAAATATACTGTTCAGTACATGTAATAGGAAATAAAAATATTTATATACAATATGATTCAAGCACAGAACAATTATAGGCACAGAAAAGCATTAGGAAAACTAAATGAAATATTTCTGGGTGGCAGGATTATAGGAAATCTTTACTACTTTGTAATTCATATATTGTTTAAAAAATACAATGCCAGTAGGATTTTTAAAAATCACTTGAGGGAAGAAGTAAACACAGAATATGGGATCATAATTAGTTCATTACCATTCTATGGTTATTTCAAAATACTTTTTTAAAAAAATATTGAGAAAAGCTTTGGAGATTAAACTGCCTCTACCTGGCATAGGGTATGAGCATATTTTGTTCAATAATCTATAACATCTCCTTTCTCTCTTATAGGCTAAGAACAGTTCAAAGAAAGAAAAATTAAGCCAAAATCACACACACACACACACACACACACGCATGCATGCTCATACACATACACGCATGCTCACACACATACACACACACCCTTAGGCTGCTCTAAAGCATAAGGAGACAGGAAAATAATAAGGAACCCAAACCTGTGCCAGTTTCTAACAGCTACTTATTGGGAAACTGTTTCTATCACACTTCTAACCAGTGGTGCTAATATTTAAATGCCCATAAAGGATCAATAAAGCCCTGCCTGGGTTAAAATGAGATACGATGGTGCACAACATTCTGTGTACAGGAAACTGTATACAAGAACGTGAGGGTAAACAAGGACAGACTTGTGCCTAGGGTGTGTGAAAGGCATCATGGGAGGGCCTGAGAAAGGTGGGAAGAAGCATGAAGCATGTCTTGACCTGCTGTCGTTGCCAGAGCCACTGTGAGGCTTCCATACTTAGCATAAGTCTACATGAATGCCAACATGTCTTAAATCTAACTTTCAACCAGCGAGATGATAGGTGATAGATGTCCACCATAGGATGATTTGGAGAGAAGGGGGTGTTCCCTAAACTGCTCCTACTCTGGTGCAGTAATACCCACAGGGAAGCTTTGCCCCAGATGTTTTTGATGGTTTATTCCCAAGAATTACTAGTGTTTTTCCCTCATTGATGAATGAGTAACAAAACACTCTCAAATGCAGTAAGAGGAAAGAAAATCTTTGCTATCCCTTGTGGAAAGGCAGCAGCAGTCCAGGAGTTCTCAATACAAAAGAAAAAGATGGGGTTTAGTGCAGAGGATTAAATGACCCCATCCATCAAGAACAAAAAGTGAGCATCATAAATCCCTGAACAATCCCAGAAGGCATCTGATGGACCCCCGCCATCCATCTTGGCATGTCGGCGAGGAGCAGGTGGGATTCTCTCACTGTGTCCTCTCCCGGGTGGTGCAGAGTCCAACAACGGCCCAGCATGCAAACAGGCGGAACATCGCCCCTTAAGAGGCCAACAGACAGAACACTCAACACACCAGATCCTGAGAAGGCCTGGAGAGCACAATGATTGATTTGGCTATTTCGTTTAGAGAAACAAAGCCATTCTAAGCTGTTGTGTAGCATTCATTAGGGCAGAAACCAAATCTAGGAGTCCATAGAGTGAACCTGCCCTCAGATGTGCTTTGTTTGACTATTACCTGCTTAAAAAAGAACAAAAAACAAACAAACAAACAAACAAAATTCATATGACCTGAAGACATTTTAAAATTAGAAAATTTCATGTGAAAATTGATCTCTGGGCCAGGCGCTGTGGCTTGCACCTGTAATCCCAGCATTTTGGGAGGCCAAGGCAGGCGGATCACTTGAGGTCAGGAGTTCAAGACCAGCCTGGACAATATGGCGAAACCCCATCTCTACTAAAAATGCAAAAATTAGCCAGGTGTGGTGGCACCCGCCTGTAATCCCAGCTACTGGAGAGGCTGAGGCATGAGAATTGCTTAAACCTGGGAGGCAGATGTTGCAGTGAACTGAGATCGTGCCACTGCACTCCAGCCTGGGTGACAAGAGTAAGACCCCATCTCAAAACAAACAAACAAACAACAAAAAAAAAACACCATAGATTTCTGGCTTCTTTAAAAAAAAAACAAAACAAACAATCCTGTACAAGGGTCCACATTTGTCAGTAAACACTAACAAGCTACTATCTTCAGAGAAGGCATGTAGCATTCCATTTGACACAGTCCCCAGGAGCCTACTGCACTAATTTATATATTTGCCTGCCCCTTTAATCGGCTTTGACTTTTCAATCCATGAATCACACATCACACAAGGAAATATAATAACTAAATATTTCACTTTCTCCAGCTTGTAGGAAGGATTTACAGACATTTTCTTTCTTCCCTTTCTTTGAACTTTACTGCCAAAAATAATCAACCAATAAAATTTTAATCTTTTAAAAGAAACAAAAATCATATTTAGTTAGACACACTTGGCATACAATTTCACCTTTGTTGTGTTGTTGTACTAATGAGGCCATCTGAGTTCTCTTTGGAATGAATACAATAATTCATCTGGGGGTAGGGGGAGAGAATGAAAGGTAGGAGGTTTGTCTTGTTCTCTAGAAAGTATTCACCTGAATCCTGAATCTCCCTAAAGACAAGCAGAATTAGGGAGAAGAAGCATATCTATGGAAATGCAAAATTTCCCTGTCATAAAAATAAATTCTAAAAGATAAATTTTCAGCTTCAACATATAATGAAGTTATAGCTCTTTGACAAATGATGTTCTGCGTTGTCATGGCAACTGGGCCTGTTAGAGGTGTGCACAAAGAGGCCTGCCCATAAATCAGTATGTTTTAGGAAGGGGTTAAAACAAACATCTCTAGACTTTTCCCCAGATGTAATGCCAAAAATGTAATTATAGACATTTGTATCAGTCTGCCATAAAGAATGACAGCTCCGATTCTGCAAAATGTTAATTAAAAAGTCTATTAAATCCATGTCCCTCTGAGAGAAATTAATATCACACCTAAGGTTGGGAGTCAATGCAACTCAATGGGTATGAAAATTGGAAGGGCAAGTTTCAAAAGAAAGGCTTAAAAGCAGCTCTAATCTATAAGCTGTTTAGTTAAGGGTTTGGACTAGATTCCAATTCTCAAGAGAAGAAATGTTGAGGGAAAAATGGGCAATGCTCAGAGCCTTTCTGGAAGCTTGAGAGAACACGAAACTGTAATCAAAGATATGGGGCTTAGGTTTGCAAGGGAGAAACTGATAGACTGAGGTTAGCTCAGCTGAAAACGCAGAGGTGAAGCACCTAGGAATCGTTAAATCCAGGAGGACATAGACAACAAGCAGTAAGCATTGGCAGCTTGCAATGAAGTCAGGAAAAATGAGAATTAGCGTAAAATCAGACATTTGAAAAATGTTTCTTAAGGCAAAAGTCATGAGATTCCACCCCAAGGGTTACAGATTGGCAGCCTACAGGCCAGGCCCAATTGAGTCAAAAGACAAGTTTTGTCTGGCCTGCACAGTGTTCTTTAAAAATGTACATTGTTTGCCAACATTTAAAAATCAGGAGATTTCACATAACCTCTGGCTTCTTCTCTTTAAAAAGCAGATGATTTGGCAGCAAAAAGCCCTAGATTCCCACGTGGCACCCAGAGCTGGAGTTGCGCTCAGAGAACATAAGCTCCCTGAAGACAGTACTTTGCTTTTCTCACCCTGTGGCCCCAGCACTTGGCACAGTCCAAGGCAAGGAGAAGGGTTAAATGCATGGTTGAATGAACGAGTGAGTATCAGCTGCCCTGTTTAAATAAGACACACACTCTCCAAGGGGCTGCCCCTCTCTCCTCCCTTTAACTGTTACTTGCCTGGCCCCACCTTGCTCTGTGCTGTAAGTTTTTTTCTTTAGTTAAGACACCTCACATTGCCTCTTGATATTAGTTCCCCATAGAATTCACTCTGATGACCACCTATGTGGACCATTGAAGTGAATGATAATGTAATGATATTCTTTAAGGATTATAAACACTAGTCTAAAATAGGAGCTTCCTTTAAAGTCTGGCATCACCATCATCATCATTCACCCTGCAGGCAGCACAGTGCATAAGAGGACCTGCCAAACCCCCTTCTTTCGCTTGGAACAAAGCAAATACTTCTGATAGGCTTCAGATCTGAACACCTGTTTATTCATTCAACAAACACAAAACTCCTTCAAAGTGTTTTTATGACTAAAAGCCATATGATATGTCTCTTTCACCTTGATGTCCAGAGATTTAAATTTTTATTAAATGAATGAATGAGTGGTGGTAATAGCTATAGACAATAACTATATTGTGAATCTACTAAGTACTAGATACATGCATTGTTAACTTATTCTCACAATCTACGTGGTGGAAATGAGTATCCCCCTTTTACAGAAAAGGAAAAACTGAGATTTAGTGAGGTTAGGGGATACGTCCACATCATGGGCCAAACAGGGATTGGAACTCAGATCTTCTTGGCATCTACATCCTGTACCTTCCATTGTGCTATCAACCTCTCAGTTCAACTCTGTTCTCCAGGTAGTGGGTTACATGGTGGCCTGTAAAAAAAGATATGTCCAATCCTGAGCCCTGAAACCTGTGACAGTGATCTTACTTGGAAATAAGGGCCTTTGCAAATGTTATTAAAAATTACTAAGATGAGATTATCGTGGATTTAGGGTAGGCTTTAAATCTAATGAGAATTTCTATAAGAGGAAGAGAGGACACAGAGACTCAGGGAGAAGGCGAGCTGAAGGCAGCTGCAGTGACTGGAGTGATACAGCTACAAGCCAAAGGATGCCGATAATTGCCCCTGGAAACTAAGAGAGACCCTCAGGTCCTCCAAAAGGAACCAACCCTGTCAACACCTCACTTTCAAACTTCCAGACTCCACAATGATGAGAATAAATTTCTGTTGTTGTAAACCATCACGTTTGTGGTAACTTGTTATGGCAGCCCCTGGTTCACATCCTGAAGAAGTTCCCCAGAGATCTTTGCTTCTGCTGTCCATGGCGGGTGGGGGGTGGAATTTAGTTTCATTCAGAATCCTAAAGCTTTACTGATCTTCCGTGCCTCAGAAGCTCCCTATTTCTGATTCAGCCTTTCAGCTATGAGGTCCCACATAGCTTTACTCAGAAACATTCACACATCTCAACAAAAGTGAACTCAACTGAGAATCACATCTTTTTCATCTGTTTCTTTGAAAGCCCAGTAGCACCTTTGACAGGAGTGGCATGTGGTCTAATGCTTTGGAGCAATCCAGTTTAATGCAGCAACAGCAGACCCAAGCTCCTCTCACCAGATGAACACTATGGCACAATTATTAATATGGGGGTATAGGAAAGAAGGTGCCACTCTGTGTGCAGAATTCTGTGCCAGCTTCTAGGAGGGTGGGAAGATAGGTAACAATCATGATAATCATTGTTATGGTCATTGCTTCTGTTACTGCATGCCATGCTGTCTGAATGACTTGCCAGACTTTTTTTCCACTTAAATCTCCTAGTCACCCCACCCTTGTTTTAATGAGGACAAATCTAAGACTTGGAGAGTTAAGTGCCAAGTTCAAGGTCACCCAATCAATAAGTTGAGGGTGGTGGGAGGAAGAGGGTCAAACCAAGTGGAGTAGGCAGCTTAAGGAAGTGGACCAGAGGTGGTGGGTGGGGAAGCATGGCTGGAGTGACAATGTCCTGAACTTGGGATGCTCTTTTGAGAAGCTTGGACTTAATCTACTCAGCTGCGCAAGTTGCCTAAGGCTCAAGCCTGCATCTTGGGAAGATAATGTGGGGCTCAGGGGGTGGAAGCATGGTGAGAAGGGGAGAGAGAAGACCAGCTTGGCCCTCTCAATTACAAAGGGCCTGGAGGATGGTAGACAGGGTGGGGGTACACAAAATGGACAGGTTTGAAAGATTTGGGTGAGGAAGACTTGGCTTGATTTTGGAACCACATTCAAGAGCCCAGGGAGAGGAAAGCTGTCCTGGGTAATCCAGGAGTTGGAAGGATGAGCAAATTGTCCACTACAGCAGAAGGCACGGGGCAGGTGTGTCTGGGAACACGTGATGAACTCAGTTAAAAAAAAAAAAAAACTGATCTTTTTGCCTCTGGAACCCACAAAATCCAGAGGTGTTTGGTTAGCAGATGGTGCTGTAGCTTCTGTCTTCTCTCCTCAGATCTGATAGATTTCCTTCAAGGGAAATTGGTTGGATTTTAGAGGGTGTATCTCCAAATTAAAACCATGAATAGCTTTAAGCTCTCCAAAGGAAACAGCCTACATACTGTGGCACTGTGATGCAAGATGTAGAAGCTGCTGGCCTATTTCCCCAAAAGGTCCACCTTTCCAGCAGCGGACAAGTGTGTCTCATAGGCCCAGAACTCACCAGGACACAGAGCACCCAGAAACACTGTCTGCATCTCAGGGAAGAAATTGCCAAACTTAGCAAGAAAAATTTAGAACTGAGAGCTGCCTCAGCCTCTCTTGGGAGCCCATTTAGGGCTGCCTACAGGGTTGGGGGCTCCAGAGCCCCTTTCTTGCTCCTGTTGGGCTGCCCCACCTCTGAATAGCCATGCCACCCTCTCTCCATGCATTACTAGAGGAAAAGAAGAGCTAGTAGCCCAGGGCCAACATACCAATTTGCCAGGGTCTAAGATGATCTGAATTCTGCATGCTGATCTCAGTAAGAAGCAGGTGGAAAGGGTGCCAACAAGCACTGGCCACAGAGTCAAAAGATCAGTTTCTGAATTCTGGCTCAGCCTGTCGACTAGGGAGAGCCACAGATTGCTGGTGGTGGGTCGTGAGGGTTCTCTCAGAACCACTGTTACTGCCATTGTGTGCCCTGCAGTGCCAACAGCCAGCACCTGTGTCACTTTTCTGGAGGCCTTCCCTTGAGCTATTGGAGCCCATTTTTGCCTGTTGCAACCTGCAGCTAATGACTGACAGGTGTACACATATGAAAGCCCAGCTCCCTAAGCTCAGGGTGGGACAACTCTGAAGGGCAACTTAAACCACTGAAACTAAATGGCTGAAACCACCTCCACAAGGCTTTGGCTCAAATCATACTCCTGCTTAGCTCCTCCCCCACTGTCCTGCTTCCCCATACCGGTCCCAGGCACACCCTTAATAAATTACTTGCACATGAATCCTCATCTCAGCATCTGTTTCCAGGAAGCCTGACTTAAGACAAGTATCTACTCAGGGCTGTTGTAAAGGAACCACGTCTGAAAGCCACGAGCAGAATGTCCAGCCAGAAAGTCACAAACGGCAACATTTGGCATCAACACTTGTTATGTTTGGCTCATAGAGACCTTAAAAAATGTGAAGGGTCTTGCCAACATTTAAAAACTAGAAAATTTCACATAAAAACCCGGATCTCCCCTTGTCTTAAAAAAATCAGAAGATTTGGGTACGCTAGGCTTTCATTCCTGCACGCCAACATGGGCTGGGCTAGGGGCAGCCCTATCCTGTGCATGGGGCATTCTCCTCCACCCCAGCTACTGACGCCCAGGACTGTCCCAACCTGTAGTCATTTGAATCAGGAACCTATGGTCTACCACATAGAAAGTACTCAATAAAGTTGGTTGCATCTGAATAAGGTCTCATTTTCCTTGAAAACAATTCAATGCAAGGGCTGCTGAAGTCCAGGAGTGAGTAATTGTGTAAGAGGATGCATCGCTCTGTACCACTCCGACTTGGTCCTCATGCCTGGCAAGGCATTGATGTACACTTCCATAAACACTCTTCTGAAAGAATATGAATCAATAACAAGAGCTGTCATGATAGGAAATTTGTTTGATGGGGAACACAAAATGAAATGAAATAAAAATCACTCGTGGTTTTAGTATGTAGGCGAGAAAAACAAAAACAGGTCTTAGTTTCAGATGTTGTTTTATGTTGCCATAAATAAAAGGGTAGCTACAGCTCAAAAATTACATTTTTTAAACATTTCAAAATGTTGACTTGCCCAGCCTGGGTACTTTTAAAAAAAAAAAATGATTGTAGTAGAAGCCCTTTTAACCAATGAAACTGACAGTAGGTCATTTAAGGAAGTGGAGTTTCCGAAAGCACTCAACCCAGATGTTCAGCCAGGAGTGTCCAGGGTGTAGGTTGGTCATTGTGTTTTACAGAGAGATGGCAAGCAGCAATTAATGAGCATATCTGTTAAGTGGAGCTCAGATAAGACAGTGTCTACTGTTGAGAATGCACCTCGTAGACCTTCAAGGACAGGGAACATAGTTGACCAAGGGTACCAAATGCTGAACTCAGGAATTTATCGCCTCATTTGCACAGAGGCCAAGCTCCAGAGCCAATGAGTGAGAGTGGTGGAAATATAAAGGCAGAACCCTCCTGGGAGACAAGGAAGTCTTCTGATGGCTGATTTGGCTCAAATACTCCCCAGCAGCCTCGCCAGTAACTCCCTAGAGTGAACGGCAGTCGAGGGTGCTTGACCTAAGCCTCCATCCCTCTCTTATTCACCCACAGTCCTGCTTGCATTGCAGTCTGATGCTCTTACAGATCCTTGCTCTCGGATTCCCTTCCCAGTTTCTCTCACCCAAGAGTTTCTCAGGATAAAAATCTTTGCAGCTTTAATTCCATCTTGGTGTCTGCTTCTGAGAGGACACATTCTGCACTGCAAAATTCCTATTGCCCACATTTGGTAAAATCTATCTACTCTACCCAATAAATGAAGGCTCCTAATTTCTTCATATTCCCATGAATCGAAAGGAAAAAGCACTTACAAAGGAAACCTAAGATGAGTGGGCTTTGAGGAATTGAGTATAGAAGTAAGAAAGTGAAAAAGAAAAAGAAGAAGGCTTCAGTGGGGGAGGAGTGTCAAGGGAAAAGAAGGTGACAACTTCTTTGTTTTTCCTCCACTTGGACAATTTTCTAAGAATATGGGCATGGAGACCCCCTGAAATAGCCTATTCACACCACTAGAAAAAGACTCTCTGATACTTTATGCATTACCTATCTTGCTCCAGAATTCCAAATGCTAAATTGCAATTTGGAGATGAAATGTATCATCCCTTAGAGGACTGCTGGCCAAGAAGTCCTTTATGGTGAAAATGACAAACACAGGTTGTCACTCTCTGTATCCCAAACCTCAACATTTCTAGATTTTCATTTTGTTGAAAGGCAGAAAAAGGGAAGTAAATGGGCTTATGAAATATGTAAAATGCACCTCATAACCAAGAAAAGAAAGAACACAGCAATTTACACACATTCTCTCTTCTCTCTCTCTCTCTCTCTCTCTCTCTCTCTCTCTCTACTTCTCTCCCTCTCTGCTAAGAGGGTTAATATTATAAGGAAACCTTCAGGCTGGTTATTTTATAATTCACAGCAAAATAAAAAAAGGAGACAAAATCAGCAGCATCATTTATAAACCCTGGAAAATGGAAGTTTCCAAGCTGTCATAAATAAGGATGGAAGCATTTGCCAAGTCAGAAATTTTGCCAAGTTTGAAATCCACTCAATCCTTACATCTTGGAGCTCAGAACGGAACACCAACCTTTTGGGATTTGTAATTATTTCTTCTCAGCAAAACTTCTTGCTATTTATAAGGAAGTAAAAACAAAGAGCAAAAAATACAACATGGAAAGTTTTTTAAGAAGAGCTGGGAGTGTTACAGCACAGTAAGCACTGAGGAGGTGATAATGGTAAATGGTGTATGTACTGGGATTACATTCCCATTTGATCAAATAGAACTGAAAATACATGGTATTCCTATTCCATAGGGGTGTGTGTGTGTGTGTGTGTGTGTGTAAATTCTTGTGCCCTTTCCTTGCTCTCTCTCTCTCGCACACACACATAAACATGCAAGCTAAGTACATTCCGCCCAACCAATTTGAAAATTTTAAAGTGTGAAAATTAAAGAAAAGACAAAGCATATTTATGGTGTTTGTCTTGAGTAAAAAGAGAACTGAAAGAAAAGAGAAGAAAATGATTTTTTTAAAAAAAGATAAAAGAGAAATAAAAAAAAGAAAACAGGTTACAAGGGCAGGGATACTTCATGCATTTACACCAAGTCAAGAAGAATTACAGCCACCAAAATGAAGAGCAGAGATCTTATGGCTAGCTCAGAACTTGCAGCCTAGAGACACCCAAGAGACAAAGGAAAATCATTGGCCTCAGAGAAACAATGCCAGAAGCAGAGATTTTATAGGCAGACAAATCTGATGTGTGTGCCCTTGGAAAAGTCATTTAACTTTTTAAGCCATTGTTCTCTTATTATGGGCAGTGATAGTATCAATATTATACACATTACCATTAGGCCATAGCCCATAAGGCCAAAGATGGAGTTGCTTGGTTTGTGGAGGTACCTCCCAGCACCTAGCTCACTGGCCGACATACACACTTGATCCTTGAACAACGCAGGTTGGAACTGCTTAGGTCCGCTTATACACAAATTTTTTTCAATGAATATATTCGAAATTTTTAGGAGATTTGAAACAATTTGAAAAAATTAACAGATGAACCTTGTAACATAGAAATATTGAAAAAATTAACGAAAAGTTAAATATGTCATGAATGCGTAAAATACATGTAGATACTAGTCTATGTATTAACCAACTGTTCACGGAATTAGTAAGACTTCTGGTCAAAAGTAAGCTATTGGCTGGGCACGGTGGCTCACACCTGTAATTCCAACACTTTGGGAGGCCGAGGCAGGCAAATCACTCGAGGTCGGGAGTTCAAGATCAGCCTGGCCAACATGGTGAAACCCGATCTCTCTTACAAATACAAAAATTAGCTAGGCGTGGTGGTGCACGCCTGTAGTCCCAGCTACTAGGGAGGCTGAGGCAGGAGAATCACTTGAACCTGGGATGCGGAGGTTGCAATGAGCAGAGATCGCACCACTGCACTCCAGCCTGAGCAACAGAGCAAGACGCTGTCACCAAAAAAAAAAAAAAAAAGAAAGAAAGAAAGAAAAAAAGTAAGCTATTAGTAGTTAAGTTTTGGGGCAGTCAAAAATTATACTCATATTTTCAAATGTGCAGGGGATTGGTGCCCTTAACCCCCACATTGTTAAAGGGTCAACTATAATTGACACTTAATAAATATTTACTGGAGTTGGAAGAGATTTGATGGAAGATAAAATGAGATCATACATTAAAGAATATAACATATGTCTCAGGGTTTTGTCAAGGAAAAATAACTCACCCCATATGGTTCAAATGAAGAGATATATTGTAGGGCCACACAGAGAGATGCGGGCGGGGTAAAGAAACAAACAGGAAATAGGCACTCAGGAACTGACAACAGTGGGAAGCCCTTACCAACTCCAGGGATCAGGAAGGGAAAATAGCTTTGCTGGATCCCAGACAGAGCTGGAGCCACAGAGAAGGCGCCATTCTGCAGGACTCCAGATAGGGAGGGCTGAGCCTGTTTAAGGCTGGCGCCTCCACAGGGGGAACACAACAGACATACCCTGAACGCCTCCTCTGCCTGAGACCTGCCAGTGCACCCCATGGGTCAGACACCCTGAGAAGCCAGCAGGAGACCTGCATGTAATTAGACGTGGCATTCAATTCAACAGCGTTGAGTGAAGCGTGATGGAGAGGTAATCAATCAACCTCCCCAAGACCCAGGAGCCTGGAGTAAACGCAAAGAGGAAAATCTGCCTTGAGAGCAGTCTTTGAAAAGCCTGGAAGCACCCTCAGAGGCTGTGTCCTAGTTCAGGTGACAAACCTAGAACTCTCCACAGGTAAGGTAAAACAGTGCTGGCGACTCTGTACTTCCTACCCCGACTCAAGGGGCTTGAGGTGAAATTGCATGAATTTACTTGAGGCTGAATTAAAATCCTTAAAGCAAACAGCCGTGGCCTATGTTTCTATATAATAATTCAGCAAGACTGATTACAGCATGATGATAATTTTTAAAAAGAGATGGAAGCGTGGTTAATAAACACAAAAGAGGTTTCTCCTTTCCTTCTTGGCAACAGGATAAACATTTCTAAAAGAGAGAGGGAGGGAACTTACTGTTCATTAATTTATGGTCAGGCAGAGATTTTAACTCAGTAAACACAGGCTCCAGGGTCTTGTAGCGTGTGAGATGGGGCTTGACCAAATGACTGGAAAATTAGCATGTGCCCTCAGCAGTCTCTCTCAATCACTGGCTGCCAGACGGGACATTCGAGGACAGGCACATTGAAGTGACCAAGCAGCTCCGACGCTGCTCTGCCTGTGGGTGTTCGAAAGGCAAGGAACAGCGCAGGCATTTTTCACCACCTTGTTCTGATGTCTGGATTCTGTTCATGGAGATGGCAGGACGTGTCCTCCACACCCCTTCCCACCAGGCCCTTTCCACTCGCAAGGTTTCCCTCAAGTTCACTCACCAGAGAGTAGGGACTACTCCAAAAGAATGGGAAGTACTAAAGTTCAAGAGTGATGAGAAAATTCACCTGAAGGCAATAAAAAACAGCAAATCCATCTTCAGTTATAACGGACAAAGCAAACGTGCTCTGGGGTTAACTAATTAGCGCTGAATTACAGACTTGATGCAACTTCTCTTTTTCACAAGGTGAAATTTAAAATGTATGTGCCAATTTCACTACTGTGCCACATACTTGCAAGTCAAGATCTGAAAAGGATTTGTTCATGGCACAAATACCTGAAGACTTGCTGGGATCAAGGGGTGCCTCTCCAGTGACTTCAGTTAACTTTAGAATTCTACTTTAGTGCAACAATAACACAACTGCCAGTGCTAGTAGGAGTGGCCACTGGGCACTTGCATGAACCTAAGAGTTACCACCGTCTTTCAAATTGTGCCCTAGACACCTGGCTGGCCTCGCTCTAGCCCCAGCCCAGTTCAAGAATCCAGTTCACATACGGAGCACCAGCTTTACAGACAGCCTGCTTGAACTCAAATCCTAGTGTTAACTTGTTAGCTCGGTAACCTGAGGCACGTCCCTCATGGCTCCATTCCTCAGTTTCCTAATCGTTACAATACAGGCAATATTAGCTTTGGCCTCATAAGGTTGTTGGGAGGATCATGAAACACTTAAGTTTGAAGTCAATACCTGTTACCTATCATTATCTCTTAGGTCCTGTGGTAGAGCTCACTAAAGGATGTATTAGGAAAGGTGGTAGCAATAGTAAAATTGTCCTAAATTAAGTGCTAGAAATACATCAACGCCACTCATTTAAAATGATTTAATGATAGGAAAAAAGTGCAAATTATGAAGTATTTTTAATAACATGAAATTTATGACTTCAAACATGAAGTAGTTCCAACTAGGCCAATCATGTGTGGCCTTCTAGAGCTATTACCAGAAACAACTTCAGGAAGGAAAAGAATAATCTAGTTATTCATAACTCATTGCCTGTGAATACTCGTTTCTAAGTCTTGAGGGAACTTGAAACTGTCTTTTCTTTGAAACAATCTTTTGGCTAAGTTGTTACTTACATTCTTAGCCAAAGATTTTTAAATAGATAATTCAAAAAGTAAAGTTAATGCATTCCCTGTTGAAATGATAAAAAGAAATCTGAATTAACAAAATGAGAACTAGTGAGGCCAGCTGTATTCAGTGTAAGACATTCAGAGCTATTTCTCCAAGAATTTGCAAATAACAGACCATCATTCAAACTCATGGAACTATTAGAATATTGGCCAAATAAATCAGATCCTCTTATTTTATCAAAATCAAACCTGAGGCAGAATCAGTGTGTAAGAATTGGCTTGGATAAAGAGAAGAATTCAAGAGCAGAATCCTAATAACTCCTGAAACAATTCCAAAGTGGCCTTCACAGGTTGGGCCACACCCAGGATGACCCAGTGAGTGAAGTTTCCTTTCATTTGGTTTCCATTATTTGCAACCACACAATCTGCATATGACCAAGATATGCGAGTGGGTTTGTAATTCGTGGACATTTACCGAGGTACACCCAACGACTCGCCAACCAAAGCTCCTTTGAAGTATTAGTTATTAGCAATACCGAGTGTCCCACTTGCCAGGCAATGTGCCAAGGGCTTTACCTGAGCCATCTCATTTAACTCTTATAAGAGCCCAGTGAGGTAAATATTGTACTATTCTTATTACCATCATCTCATTCTGCAAAGGAAGAAATTGAAGCACGGAGCAGTGAAAGAACTTTCCCAAGATTATATTGTTCGTGAGCATAGCTGGGATTCAAACCTGCATAGTCTGTGACAAATGCCTGCCACTCCAAATTATCATATGACCTTCAGATGTTAGATGCAACCTGTTCTTCGTTCAACAAATGGAGAAGGGAGTTTGGAAAAAGCACAAGTCACTAACACTGAAGTTTGGGCTTTTTTCTTTTCTTTTTTTTTTTTTTTTTTTTTGAGATGGAGTCTTGCTGTGTCATCCAGGCTGGAGTGCAATGGCGCAACCTTGGCTCACTGCAAACTCCACCTCCTGGGTTCAAATGATTCTCCTGCCTCAGCCTCCTGAATAGGTGAGATTACAGGCGCCCGCCACCACGCCCAGCTAATTTTTGTATTTTTAGTAGAGACAGGGTTTCACCACATTGGCCAGGCTGGTCTTGAACTCTCGACCTCATGATCCGCCCGCCTCAGCCTCCCAAAGTACTGGGATTATAGGTGTGAGCCGCCACGCCCAGCCCAACACTGGGCTTTTATAAGAGGGGCAGTATACTTGACTTGATAAAGCATGAGGTCACACTAGATTAGTTTTTCCAATCCCTAAGTCTGATTTAGAGCAAAACCCTTTGGGTGTCAACAGAAGGGAATGGCAGGCTCAAATGAATTGGAGCCTGAGGTCCTACAAACCTCACTTTTACATCCTGTTTTCAATGGGAAAAATGGGGCAGGAACCATGCAGCTGACCTGAGGATAGAGACAAAAGGGACATGAAGTGTGGGCACCATGCTAACAGTTATGGTCTCATGGTATCTTCCCTCTACATCCAACATATTCCCCTCTCTCTCGCTTTCAAGTACAAGTCATTATGTTTATATGTCCACAAAGTCATTTAGAATAGAGAAACAGAGCATTGAGTATACTCTCTTATTGTGACCTGGGTCATTTCAAATTTTTAAAATACCAAAGGGCTTTGCCATAGAATTTAGGGTTTTTAAAAAAAATTCGCATAAGTTTTTTTTTTTTTTTTTAAGGATTGCCTTTTAGCCAAATAAAATATTTCTGATGCAAGAATCAGTAAACAATGAATGGACAATTCATACTGACAGGAATTTTAAAAGACCTTTTTGGGGGGATAATTTATCACAGAATCTGAAATGGGCCTGGTACTCCCCTGAAACTCTCCGTGACATTTCTCACACTGTTTCTTCTAAAGTCTTCAGTTCTGAACACAACCAAGGGCACTCAGGTGACAGCACACACTTGAGGAAGTGTGAGGAAGTACACAAGATCTACAGAGAATGCAAGACACATGGAGATGAATTATCAAACTTTATTGGCTTGTTAAAAATGATTGAATTCAGCAAGTACATTTATGATCTATCTACATTGTTAAAACAGCACTAAAAATAAAAATTTTTAAAATGATTATCCATTATTTACAGAAAATGTGGAAAAGATGGCTTTTAAACCCAGAACATTATAGGAAAAAAAAAAAAAAAACAGGGCATGAGAATGATTCACAGGCTGCCTCTGGATTACAGCAAATGGTTGAACATGAAGTGCGTGAAACTCAAGGATTTGCGTTTCTTAGGAATCTCTTGTTACTTTGTATGTGTTTATACTCAATTCATAAATGGACTGTCTTACAATAAAGGTGATAAAAAATCTCTGTTCCTTTCTTTTTGCTTTTCACACTTTTTTTCCCCATAAAAACCCACTGCAGTCATAGTCAGTAGTTAGGGGTGGGGGTTGGTTCAACACATTCTGGGTGCTCACTCATGAACATGCCAAAGCTATACTGCAACACTAGCCTGAATTCAACTTAGAGTTACCTCACCATCAAAATCAGGTGGCTGGGACGTTCTTTTGTCTCTGAAGACCAAAACTTGAAAATGGACTGACTTTAGTGGGAAATTTCCTTCTGCGACAGTCATTGTCATGGAACTTTCCTGGGCTGGGAGTTCTGTCAGCCAAATTCAGTCTGGCAGCACCTGGCAGCAAATTCAATTCATGGTCTGTCCAAAAGAGTCCTTAATCTTCCCCTATGTCTTTAGATGAACCTGGCATGGTTTGCAGGTACTACAGGCATGTGAACATAGCAGAACACACTTAATAGAGTGGTTACTTCTGTACTAATTTCCTTGGAGTCAAGTCAGCTAAGCTGCGCAACTCCAAGGGCTCTGGGGACATAGACTAGATGTGACTGGCCCTGCCCATGTGGCTGGATGCACCAACCCTGAGAGACCCTATGCTAGATGGAATTGCTTGTCCTCAGTCCAGCTGTCCCTCTGTATCTGGAGTCTAGACAAAACAAGATGAAATAAACTTCTAGTGTAGTGTGAAGGAATCAGATTCAAACCAAGAGAGAAGTTCTAGACAGCTAGCACCAAAACAGGCGGAGGTGTAAATCATGCAAAGGAAGAAAGCACAGGTCTTGTGTAGTATCTTGATTCCATTTTGCAATGGAGGAATAAAAAGTCGTGTGTGTTCTAATTCTGTGAAACAACCAATGAAACAAAAATAAATTCTCAGTTGGTCATGGGGTCAGTTTAGAATACTAGAGAGAGAGAGAAAAAAAAGTCAAGTGCTCTAAAGAAATAAAGAGAAAAGAAGAGGAGAGAGAAAGCGGGCTTCCCTCCATTATGCTCTCTCTCGCACCTGGCGTGAAACTGGTTTTCTGTCTTCAGCTCTTCGAGCTATTTACTCCACACACCCCTGAAGAGGTGTCGCCTCTGCTCTGTCTGAGGAGATGCTCCAAGCCTCAGCCATTCTGGGCCTAATTCAGGGTTACTTGGAGAGTGAGAAGCCAAAAGCAAACTCCTGTGTTCTGTGTTGCTGGGTGGGGCTGGGATTGTTTAGTTCTTGTCCTTGCTACCTATTTCTGGAAAGAAAACCTAGTGGGTCAGAAATGAAATCAGTCCCTGCTGGGAGACTGGGAGAGAAAACCCCTGAATCAATTATCTCTAATGTGTGTTGAGATTTGTTTTTCCTGTTGTGAGATGAACCTTTCTTAGCCTCAGACTGTTTGTACTTTTGTCGTCACAGAGTCAGTGTCTCATGTGATGACGGTGGATGCATTCCTTAGTCTAGCTCAGCAGCCTGAGAGGGTCTCTGGAGGCCCCCATTGAGCCATGAGTAAATATAATAAGATATAGGACGTGGACCACATTAAGGGCACCCATGAAAATGGGACATGTACTTTCCTATCTAAACCTGGCAGCACCTGACTGGGCCAAGAGACATGAGCGCTGTTGAAAAGAAATTAGTGTCAGATATAATAGGAGGAAGGATTTGCTAGGATGTCTCTGGCCACACGGGAGTAGGACCAACCAGGGAATGGGTTGAGGGGAGACATTGGTGCAGAATTCCCAGCAAAGGGAGACAGCTGAGGGTCACAGCATGGTGGGAATCACAGGAGAGGAGCAAAGGTAATTGACATGTTGCAGATAACTGGGCTGTTAAACTCAGTTTCTTAGCTTGTGGTAACAAAGCCCTCAATGGCAATGTCAGGAAGAAAGAAAAGTGAATTTGCAACGGGAAGACAGAAGGATACCGTGAGAGAACAATGATCATGTTTTAAGACAAAAGTAATAAACTGGCAGCCCACAGACTTTTGTTGGCTTACAAAATGTTTTAAAAATAATTGAGCCAACTTTTTAACAATCGGGACATTTCACACGAAATCCAGGTTTCATGTTTCTCCTAAAGAATCACAAGATTTGGAAACCTAGGCTCCCATTCCTGTGGGACACAGTTGGCTGCGGCTGGGGACAGTGGCCCCTCTGGAAGGGCAGGCATCGGCTCACACAGATCATTCTGTTCATTTAGGAGACCTGCCTGGCATTGAAGTGCCAGAACCTTTATTGGAGAGTGACAGGCCCGATTTCAGCAAAAATGCTACCTCTCCTTTTCTAATGCTGCAATAATGCAACACATGCATTAGGAAGCTCTAAAAAGCACATTTCTTATGGGAGACATAAAAAGCAAAATGATGAAAAGGGGTGGTCTAGAGTACAGAAAAGAGAAGCTATGTTACTGATCATCCCTTCAGGGATTAAAAAAAAGAAAAGAACACGAGAACTATATGAAATAATTTTCTAATAGCCTGCTGTTTTCATCATTCCCTAGGAGATGTCAACTGATCTTTGATATATTAAATGGCCTTATCTGTCCACTTCTCTCCATTTTAAAACAAAAATCTACCTTGCAATCCTTCTAGCTGTTGGGTACAAATATTCCTTTTTTTTTATTTTTCCTTTTTGGGTCTGGAACACTTTAAAATAGTTCTTAAACAATCCATAGCCTTTCTATGGCTCCATGGTATAACATAAAAGCTTTAAAAATCTTTTTTGTACCAAATGGCTGATTCTCAAGAACCTTTGCCATACTGAGCTCCTGCCTGGCTCACAGCTTGAATTTCATCTCTCTTTCAGGGTCATGATTTCTGCTATTAGCTGGCCTCTTTGTAAATCAACACCTTTGGGAAAGATCGGAATCTAAGTAATGACAGAAACTGTCATTTAGCCGCGAACAAGAAAATGGGAATTCAGAAAATGTTCGGACCTCCCCACATTGGGGGCCAGCTGCCCTTACATTCAAATGGAGTTAGGAGGAAAACTTGAGAACTGGCGGCATGTTTCTGCTTTTGAGAAACTGCCCCTCTTTAAGGCATGGGTATGAAGTAGCCAAGTGAAATGCTGCAATCCATAGGATTCTGTGAAAGGTCTTCATCAAGCAATAACGTATTTAGTGGCTAATGTAAAGGATGCAGTATAAAATATTCATTATGGATATCCTTTTTATATCAAGTGGTACCTAAATGGATCCTGGTTTATTAAGATTAATGCCTTGGTTTACAGAGGATTCAAAACAATGTTTCTGACTGTGTTGGACTAGTTAAAAATCTATAGAACCTTAAAGCTAAATTGCAGCATTTGTGCAACTATTTCCAAAAAAAATAAATTTTTAAAACATCAATGTTTCCAATCCAGCTATGGCGTCTGTGTGCATGTCTAACTGTCAGAGCTGATTGTGTTTTCAAACAAAATGCTGCAGGCCTGGCTCTGAAGTCCTCCTGATAAAAAAGGAACAGGGTGGGGTGGGGTGGGGTGGGGATAGCCAAACCTCTCTTCAGGACAAGCATACTGCCTGACACAGACTGAACAGAGCATACAAAGGTCACTGTGATGCTAAAGTGAATGAAACAGGTGTCCATGGGTCAGACTCAGGGGGGATGCAGAAATCCACAGCTCTAAGGCTGCCCTCTCAGCAATGAAGAAGGACATTATAAAGCATATATTCATTAGCGACCTGCCACCTCTTTGCTGCTGGGGTCAGGACAAGCTTTCCTACCCATGAAAACCCAGCAGTATGACAGTATGTTGTAGGGGGGACTATCCTTCTTAGAATCTCCTCTCCTGCTCACAGCAGGCCAGCCATTCTGCTCCCAGGCCTTTTCAGAGTAGAAAAGCTGCAGTTCTGTAATGCAAACAGCATGAGATACTGTGGCCTTCTCACTCGGCAGACTTCTAAAAAGCAGGTGGATCGCAGAGGGCAAATAAAAAAGGGCAAGGTTATAATTTCACCATATGCATATATTCCACTCTTAGTTATTCTGAAATTGACTATGCCTAACTTAAATCTATAGCCCCAACAAAACAGCTGTTGCTGCTTGTTCTTGTTTTTTTTCTTCTTCTTCTTTTTAAACGTTTTTCATTTGTTTGTTTTGTTTTGTTTTGTTTTGCTGGCTAAGGAACTTTAAGACAATCCTTAACATTGTTTGACTCTCAGACCTAAGCTAAACATTTGGACTTTTATTGACAGTGAAGGAAATAACCTTTTAATAATACTACCAAGTCCCAAAGTGATGGTATATATACCCTTAACTCTTTTAGTCACTGTGTTATAGATGAAAAAGTCAAACCCTCTGAATTCAGTGCTGATTAGAGTATAGAAAATCACACTAAAATATGTGTTACATGTAGATTAGACTATTCAGTGTGCACTTATACCTGTTCTCAACTTTAATTTTTTTTTAACTTTGCAGGTCAATTTTAATAAACAGAAGCAATTAAGTCAATAAATGTCCAGTAGGGTCAAAAAGCACACTTTTCAGAAGAGAAGTACAATCCAATGGGATTTCATTTCAGTTTTGTATTTGAACTACTGTAAGAAGAGAAGCATTAATTTAACATGTTTTCTTGAGGTGCTGCTTAGCTGCCTGAGAGTTACCTCTGCATTGGTGTTCCCCAATCACAGCTCACAGTATATGCAGGCTTCATATAGTACAGCCTCCAAACACCGCCCACATCTACCAGAAAACCCCAGATAAGCAGCACTTCCCGGGATAAGCCAACAGCAGTCCCAGGAGTCCAGCTTACATGGCAGCATCAACCAACAAGCACCACAGCCCCTTTCTCTGTCTTTTCCTTTATTTCAGCTACCCATCCAGTGGGATCTTATGAAACAAAACAAAACCTAAAAGAAACACAAAATAAAACATAAGTCATGCTCAAAAGAAAAATCAATGAAAATTAACATACAAGTACAATAACTTTCAAATGAACATAATAAATAAACATCAAAAATGAGACACAACATGGAATACACTTTAAACCATAGAGCAATATATAATAACAGAACAGAAGTTGGGGGAAATGGGCATCTCATTATTGAGCAACTTAGTTTTAAACTTAAAACTGATTTTACATGGTACATGAAACAAGGAAAAGAAATGCGAAGGATTTCTGCATACAGCTCCATCCACAACTGTGTCAGCTGTTAGCAGCTTACTTTAAGGAGGAAACATCTGTGTACAATACAAATGACCCTTGAAGAATTTTTATATATAGGTTCATGCAAAAGTAATGCCACTACTTTCAATGGCAAAAACCATGATTACTTTTGCACCAACCTAATATTTGTCTTTATGGGTGGGGGGAATTAGTTTCAACAATACCTATCTACCCAAATCCTGATTTTCTTTCCCCAGCTAATTTTAGCAAATCTTTTCTAAAAGAACTGATTAGTTACTCAGCAACTGGCCCAGAGAACTGGCTAACTTTAACTGGTGAAATACTAGACAATACAAATAGTTAGATTCTTCTCTCTTCTTTCTTTTTTTTTTTTTTTTTTTTCCAGACAGAGTATTGCTCTGTTGCCCAGGCCAGAGTGCAGTGGTGAGATCTCGGCTCACTGCAACCTCTGCCTCCCAGGTTCAAGCAATTCTCTTGCCTCAGCCTCCCAAGTAGCTGGGATTATAGGCATGTGCCACCACGCGCGGCTAATTTTTGTATTTTTAGTAGCGGCAGGGTTTCACCATGTTGCCCAGGCTGGTCTGAAACTCCTGACCTCAAGCAATCTACCCACCTCGGCCTCCCAAAGTGCTGGGATTACAGGCGTGAGCCACCAAGCCCAGCTATTCTTTTCTAAGAATCCTAATATAAAATAATTAATTAGTTGCTTAACTTTAAGTATTATAGCAAATATATGACACATATGGAGATGTAGTATTCATTATATAACTTATATAGCATACAACATGCAGTACATTGTATATGTATATATTATATCTATAAGACATATAGTATATGTATATATTATATATAATAATATATAAATAATATGATGTATAATATCTAACATTAAGTAATCCTACATTTGTTAAGCACCAACCAAACAGTAGACGCTGTGATAAATGTTACAAAAATAAAGAAAACACAGTTCCTTGACCTCAAATACTTCATTGGCCCATAGAAGGAGAAAGATGAGTAAATAATTTGCTCAATAAATGACAGTGAATCTACTTTGCACCAGGTTCTCTACTTAGCATTGCACCCAAACTATTCTTTTTTATTTTTACAATAACCCTATGAGATAAGTTCTGCAAGAAGAAGACAGTGAGCTTTCACTGAACTTGCCCATGGAAACCCAGTGGATCAGTGAAGGTTCTAGTATACATAATACTGTGTTTAATTTGCATGAATCTTTATTAGATCCATAAGTGGCAAAATAGACCATGTGGTAATAGAAATCTCCGAGACATTTTCAAGTTCAACTTTGGAAGACGCCTCTAAGCCCAACCATGTAGACTCTCCATCTTCCTCCACCTGGTGTCTGGTCTGCCAAGTGCTAGTGTCATCTGCCTCCAGAACCGTAAGTACCACCACCAATCTGTGTCATCATTTACAACAATGCTAAAAGAGTCTATGGAGCTTAATTTCCATGGCATTTCTCCCTCCTGCCCTTCCAAAAGAACTCAGTACAGATGCCAAACATCATTTATGGATTTAATCACCCACAAAAGCCCTAAGAATTTAGGAAGTACTCAGTAGCACTGATTAATTCTCCTTCATATCTGTCTCCAGTCTCCTTCTAAAAGTTTTGCCTCCAGGCAAACAGAAGCTGAGCTAGTTTAACAGTGCACTATGGCATGTAAAATGAGCATGCCAAATTAACAAATCAAACTTCTTAGCTTTTAAGAGGGTGGAGCTCAAATTCTTTCCCACTGAAACAATATGAGTATTAATATAAGGATGTCAACTTTGTCAATAAAAACAGGAGAAACTTAGTGATAGAGACAGCATGACCCCAGAATAAAAAGATTTGTTGACTCAATAACACGATTAACCTGCTGGTATAAAGGCTTATTTCCAATGGGTTTATGGCACAGGAACTCCAAGAGTTTACTAATCCCAGCATGTTTACAGCAGGAACTTAACCAGGCTTCTCTTTCTTTGTTTCTATCTGCTATTTTCCTGCCACAAGCCCCTCCAGGCTCACTAATTATTACAGTTGGAAACACAGCTAACTTTGCCAGAT
Organism: Homo sapiens; assembly: GCF_000001405.40. Taxonomy (NCBI): domain Eukaryota; kingdom Metazoa; phylum Chordata; class Mammalia; order Primates; family Hominidae; genus Homo; species Homo sapiens. The sequence goes on along the minus strand of NC_000009.12, from coordinate 84,808,198 downwards.
GACGGTTCTACTGGACCATTGCCATCCACTCAGGATGCAACTGCCCTGGCCCTTATTTCAATTGATGTCAAGTGTCCCTCTGCAACCTTCTTGTGCTTGCCTTTTGTGATCCATCCTTCCCAAAGAAGTAGATCTCAGCTCCACACGCCCATGCAATAAAAACAAGTGAAGCCGCCATAAAAACACATACGGCATTTTTCTTCTGAGGAAAAGCCAGCCTGTTGCAATTGTAAGCAATATGCATTCAAACTATCACTTCCACCCCCTTCACCTCAAAGAAGGCAAGTCACCCTACTCTTTCATACCCTTGATCTTCCCATACTGTGGACAGACTAAAGATATTTCACTACATATTGAAAAATTAATTTGATTTCAAGAGAGACTGATAGCAAAATTCAATCCAGGCCACGATTTACCTATCAGGATCTCATAACTTTTGCCCTCTCATATTATAAAAAACTCAAAAGACCACAAAATGATACAAAACAATAGAAGATTATTTTCTCCTTGTGAGGGGGAAAGTTTTTAGACCACAACAAATGGCTGAACATCTTGTGGGTTTAGCAGCCAAACGAGCTGTCTAGCTTATGAGCCTGAAATATAGATATTTTGACAATGTGACATTCTGAAGCATTTGTAGCATTCCGATGGTGCATGGTAGTTACCGTGAGACCAGCTCCTTTATCAAAAACAACTTTAGAGAAACTTTGCCACCATTGCACGCACTAGCTGAGCTATATAGGAACAAGGATAAAGCAGGTGCTATCTGAGAAATGGGATGTAAAGTTGAAAACAGAGAAGGAAGAAACTGGATGTGGCCTGAAACTCAACCTCTGCTATTTGCTGATTTAGGATCTACTCATTGACCTTTTCAAAGGGAAAGACTGGGAAGGGAAGGGAGTTGAAGGTCAGCGAAGTGCTCTGCTTTTTTATCATTGGCTCACAACCCATTTAAATTTATTTACATTCAAGCATGCACACATTTTCCTCCTATTACTCAGAAGCAATCAGCCATAAAATGGCAAGGATCTGCAGTACATTTAAATTAACAGCAATTTATCTGGAGCAAAAAGGAAAACTGCTGAGCCCAAAGGAAGTGAAGGGAACGGAAGAAAGATGCAGCTGCTATCTAAAAAAGCAAATCTTATCACATTTGTCATTGGGAGAGTTCAAGCAGAAAACTGCCAACTTGAGCATCTGCGTGGCATGGTGCCATTGGAGATGATCTGGTGGATGGGGCACCAAGGTAGCAGCTCACCTTCATTGGAAAGCAAAACAAATGCCTTTTAAGTCTTCTGGAAAATGTTTACTAGGTAAAATGAAATAATAAACTCCTATGTTCTCATAACATCGTGTGTCTAGAATACAGTGGGTTCAAAAACTTTCCATCACAAAGTGAGATGTGAGCAAGGTACAGTTGTGCTTTGTTCAGCATCTGGGCTTAAACACCTATTGTCTTAATTTGATATTTGTGGAGCACTTTATATCTGTTGGTTGCTGCACCAACTATCCCTTGCTGTTGTCGCTTTTTCTATTTTATAGATAACTGGCTCAACTCACATGGTGAATATGAATTGTCCAAGGTCACCCAAGAATGAATGAGAGAGCTGAAATCTAAACTCAGAGCCTCGGAATTGTCAGTCCCTCTTTGGCAAAGGTATCATCTGCACCTGTAGCAGAAATCTCCCCATATATAAATTTAGGTCCTGGTCTTGGTCCTGGTCCTTTCTTCTCTGTGCTCAATCCAGAAGTTGCTTAAACATCCCTAAAACACCCCTTTTGCTTCCCAAGGATTTACTTTGTCCACATATTATCCCTTCTCCTGGATCTCCTCCCACCAAATGAGCTCTCCTTTGAGACGCTCAGACTATTCTTCAAGATCCAGTGCAAAAGCCTTCTCCTGCAAGTACCTACTTCACCCTCCTCTAAACTTCTGAAGCATTCACTTCCACTCATGGACCTTCTTTTGTACCTTTTAAAACTTGTGTTTATTTTATTTTGATTTCCCTCCATCTCAGACTTCATCCCACAGGAGGACAGAGGGAGCACATCTATACATTTTCTATGCTCAACATGGCCTCACACAAATACCAAGAGCTGAAGGCATTTTTGGTTTCACAATAGTAAGGTCTAAATGTTGAGTTTTATTTGTCTTAGTCTGTTTTCTGTTGCTTATAACAGAATATCTGAAACTGGGTAATTTATAAAGAAAAGGAATTTATTTCTTACAGTTATGGAGGCTGACAAGTCCAAGGTCAAGGGGCTGTATCTTGTGAGGGCCTTCTTGCTGGTGGGAAATCTTTGCAGAGTTCAAAGGCAGTACAGGGCATGACATGCCCAGGAGGCTGAGTGTGCTAGTACAGCTGTCTCTTACTCTTTGTATAAAGCCACCAGTCCCACTCCTGTGACAATCCATTAATCCACTGAGCCATGAATGAACCCATCTATTCATGAGGGCAGAGGCCTCATGACCCAATTATTTCTTAAAGGCCTCAACTCTCTATACTGCCACATTGGGGGTTAAGTTTCAACATGAGTTTCAGAGGGGACAAACATTCAAACCATAGCAAACTTCAGTGTACTCAACAACCCAACTGAATTGAAGGAGAATGAAGGATGCAACACAATGCAGGATCTACTGCTTCTCATTGGCAACTGGGTGAGTCCAGGCATTCCAAAGCTTCCAGTACGAAATCACATTTTTCTCAGAAGTATAGTGAAGGCTGCAGAGTTAGACACGTGGACACACAGTGAGTACTTCCTGGAGCATTTTAATCTACTGGGGAAAAGGTGCTAGACTTGGTTTATTCTAATTCTCACTTTGATCAAAATTACAGTAGTGTATGCGGGACAAAGGGAAAAAAACGTGGTCCATTTATTAGCTGGAGGTGAAAAACTAAAATTACTGAGATGGTCAGGAAGGCTTTTAAAGGAAAAGCTCTGGTCTGATGTTGCAAAATGAAGTTTCATTATGAGCTGAAAATGAAAGTAGAAAGCACACTTGGCAAAGCTGGAATTTGTAAGGAAAGCCAAAGTTATTGCACAGTTAAAACTCAACAATTCTAAGGGGAATGTGCTCTAATCAGCAGGCTCTGATGACAAGTGTCCGAGGACTCAACAACTACCATTTCAGAGACTTCACAGAGGATGGGGAATGCATCCAAAGACTGATACCATTGCCCCATCCACAGAATCACCTAAAATTGCTTTAAGTGGAGTAGAGAAAAAGAAAGAAGAATTTGTGGTTTGAGAGGTACTCAGATGCTCAAAAGGCTTTACTACTACCACATGGAGACACCCAAATTAATCTATTGTTCTCCTGGGGTGTGTCTAGCCTTTCTGTCTTGCTTCAATAAACATATATTGAAAAATCTATAGGGTCGATATCTGTAGAGTGAAATGACATTTTCTTAAAGATGTCATTCCACAATTCTAAGTCTAGAGGGGCTTATCAGTGATTCAAATAGTCAGTACAGATAAGCAATATATGTCATCACAGAAGAGTATGCAGTTGCTGCTGCCACCATAGATCTTGTGCCTCAATTTATTTTCGTCAAAATACTCTAGCCAGTTCTTTATAGTATATGAAGCCAGAGTGCTGAAACTTACAGAGTCCAAACAAGAGGTTAATGATATAAATCCATTACCCAATTCAACCTATAACTATATAAAATCTGCAAGAACCTCAGATATACACAATGTGAGTTGCTTGGCTCTGCCCAATTTTGGCTGAAACTGTAGGCCATTGACCAAAGTGGATCTGGGAATCAATTTGTACAAAGTAAATAATGTACAACAAAACACATAAAAGAAGTACACATAGGTCAGCCAGTGCCTGTGTGAGGATGACGATAATGATTGTGGGGGAGATGAAAATCAAGAGATAGAAAGAGGAAGAGGAGGAGGAGAAATTTTTTTTTAAAGTGGTTGGTATTGATGCGCCTCAGACCCCTCAAGCATGTTCAGAGACTGAACACAATTATTGAAGAGTAAAAATAGAGATAATAAGCCTCCAAAACAGGAAGATAAATCCAGGTCCAAGTTTAAGCTGACCCTAGAAGAAAGAGTGTAGGTGAAAATAAAATTTGTCATGAAGCAACACTTTTTCATCAGGCATCCCAAGCAATACTTCAGAAATAGAGTTTGGAGCTCTTTAACATTTAGGATTCGTGTTAAGATAGCAACAATCAGGGGGGCTTATGTGTGGCCGATGTCTCTGCCTATTGCTGCAAGTCCCAAAAGTCAAATCCACCAGCAGTACCAATTAAGCTAGAAGAGGGTCAAACAAATTACCCTCACTTGAATACAGGTACCTGATAAATCCCATCTCCATTTAAATTAGCTAAGAGCAAAAGATAATGAAACCTCAGCTAAGCAGCAAGTATTCCGGAATGCGAAACATACATATGTGGGGCTAATAATCCCCATGAACTGACTACAAAAAACATGAATTACCCAACTCTGCCTGAGAGTGGGATAAAATGCAAGGCCTGGGTTCCGTTTGGCCAGGGACTTCTTGGAAGGTAGGCCAACATCCTATGATCTGGAGCCCACAAGGTGAAACTGCTGAAGTCCTCATTCAGAGGACTGAACTGTGGCTTTTCAAGGAACCTAGTTCAAGTGGTCATCCCCAGACCCACGGAGGGTATCCCTCTCCCCATGTGCTGCTGCCTTATTGCCTCCTCCTCACTGCCCACCCCCACAAGTGAGGACATTAACAGCCCACTGCTCCAGCTCCTGCTCCCAGACCAAGGTAGGGCCGCATATCTGCTTCTGACGCTGCTGCAGGCAGATGTGTGACCCCTGATGGGGAGGGTGGCCACAGAGCAGGGAGCTTCCAGGCTTCAAAGACACTTCTCTGGCTTCAGCTTTTTACCAAAGAAATGGATGTGCCCAAACTTGAAAACAGAGGAGGATTATGAGGAAGAAAGAAGGTTCTTTACCCAGACATCCCCTTTTTCTCTAGTGCCTGTTCCCAGGAGCAACCATTAGTAGAACTTCCATCATCTCAGACATTACCTAGCTACAGTGAGAATTAAAATGTGCCTCTCCTCCACAGCAGGGTGGGCACAGACTCATTTGGCACTCTGTTGGTATCTGGGGAAGCTTAGGTTGAAATGGTGATCATCCTGCCCTTTGTCAGTCCACCTGGGGCATTAATTGACATTTCTCTGTAAGAGAAATTGAAAGTCATAGATCAGATCCTGGGAGGCATACCCAACTTAAACCCCAGTGATCGTGTCTTATCCCAGCAAGGTTTATAAGGGCAGATCCCTGAATTGTTCATCAGTCTTCAAGAGAACCCACTCATTCACGTCACGAGCACAGAATCCACGCTCCTAAAGCTTTTCCACATCTGGTGGCACCCTCAGGATACTGTCAACGGCAGATCACTATGCACACTCCTTAAGCTTAGCAGGTGACCCATTTCAAAAAGCCCCATTAAAACAGAGAGCTTACTCTATCTGAAAGCAGATTCTCAATAGGAAACTTGAAAAGTGCAAAGCCAATCCCAGGGTCACAGCCTTATATATGTTCCGACTGAGGCAGCCAACAGAACCCCTCACTTGAGTTAAATTAACCCACAGTTCTAGAAGCCTCTGCTGTCAGGGACATTTTTATTTGCTCAAAGAGCTCATTTTGGAATAAGCCCATGCTGCTAAGTCATCCCACCTCACTGTCTTTCCTAATGCTCAACAATGTCTTACAGCAGCGGGGCGTGTGCCAACCTCAGTGGTTTTACACAGCAACACCTCTTTCTGAAGGATTCTCTCTTCTCCTCGACTCCTTCATGTTGGAGCGCAGGAAGTCCCTTCATAATTCTTTGGTTCAAGTGGAATTTATATATGAGGAAAACCCTGGATTGTAAAGGGCATAAATTTCTATATACACACACCAGATTTCGCAGTTTATTTTTCTTTTTAAAGTATGGAGGGCCAGCTAAGGCATTCCAAATATAACAGCTTGGTTAGAAATTATGGTGACCATGCTAAAAATCAACCAGACCTAAGACACTGGAAAAAAAATGCATTTTAGATTTTTTAAAATAAAAATTTAATGTACCCAAAACATCTGACATTATTTTAAGAGATGTTTTCCAAAACTTACAGGAAGTTGTTGGCTAAGTCAAAGTGATTAAAAGGAAAAGGCGATCTACTTCATAACCTGATGCAAATTCTTAGCTTAAAAAAGGAATCATCATCTCCTTAAAGAACAAGAGGCCTTGAAAAACATGTGATGGACAAATGCATTTCCTTCTGCGAAAGCAGTAAAAAATTTAAAATGTCATATAGATGAAAAGACACAGTGTAATTACATGGGTATAGCAGGAATGACTGGATTATATATTAATTTTCCTTTCATTCATCACAATTATGGCCATTTACCATCCATCATTTAACTGTCCAAGATCCCAGAACTAAACAGAAGCTCTTTAATTGATGATGGGATTATGTCCTAATAAACCCATCATGAGCTGAAAATATAGTACGTTGAAAATGTATTTAATACACCTAGCCTACCAAACATCATAGCATAGCCTGGCCTGCCTTAAAACTGCTCAGACACTTATATTTGCCTACAACCGGGCAAAATCACCCGGCAACACAAAACCTTGTAGGGTCTCAGTTGTTTACCCTCTGAATCCTGTGGCTGACTGAGAGATGTGGCTTGCTGCCCCTGCTCAGCGTCACAGGAGAATACCGAACCACTTTCTACTGAATGCTCATCACCACTGCATGATCATAAAGTTAAAAAATTCTAAGTTGAACCATCCTAAGTCAGGGACTGTCTGTACTAACTAGTACCACTGGAATTTGAATTTTAAAAAGTACAGTCATTCCACGCATTTCGTGCTAAAGGATTCATTTCTACAGTGATGCCTGAAAGAAACCCACCTGCCGCTGGTTAGGCAGCAAGAAGCAGTCTACAACCAGAAACACCCGTTTGGATCCTATCCCTTTCCCTCCTGAGCTATGTGATGCTGGCCAAGTGAGGGGACCTCTCTGAACCTCAGTTATCCAACTTTACAATAGAGATGAAAAAAAATCTAACAGGTTCTGATAACCAGAACTAATGTGAGTACCTTAGTGCCTTCCAGCTTTCCATTCGCAGGCACGAGCAGTGAACACCAACCCTGCCTGCAGTAGCTCAGCAGCCACTGCAAATGATCACATCAATTGCATTGTAAATCATGGGCCAAAACACATTCTTTGTCATGAGTTATGAAGCAAAAAGTCATGGAAAGGAACTTTGCTCAAAAATTCCAATTCCCCATGGAAAAGGGTGGCCCAAACTGAAAGAGTGGCCCCAAAATTCCAATTTCCTCCTGGAAAAGGGTGGCCCAAACTGAAAGAAGTCTTTAGGTTCCTGGAGGAAGGCCCCAGAACCCCAGCTTGAGAGACCTACAGGGTGGGCTCGTGCCCTCTTGACCCCTCTCGGGAGGTAAGATGTCCTTCCAGCCAAATGGTGGGTCCTGGCTGCTGATATCACTCTGTGTCTGAATGCTGGCAAATGCCAGTGATTTCACACCCATGGTAGAAAGGGTCTGAGAACTGTTCCATGGCTTTAGTTCCAATTCTGGGACCACAAGGAAATGTTTTGCAAAAGGGGTTTGCCTCTATCCTTTATTGTGGAATTGACTCTGCATTCCTCGACTGAGGAATATACACATAGGTGGTAATTATAAAACTACATCTTGGCCAGGCACGGTGGCCCACATCTGTAATCCCAGCACTTTGGGAGGCCGAGGCAGGCAGATCACCTGAGGTCAGGAGTTCAAGACCAGCCTGGCCAACATGGTAAAACCCCATCTCTACAAAAATACAAAATTAGCTGGTGTGATGGCAGGTGCCTGTAATCCCAGCTACTCCGGAGACTGAGGCCGGAAGAATCACTTGAACCCAGGAGGCACAGGTTGCAGTGGGCCTAAATCATGCCATTGCACTCCAGCCTGGGCGACAGAGCGAGACTCCATCTCAAAAAAAAAAAGAAAGAAACTATATCTTGATAGAGCTTCGGCTTCCAGTTGTTCTAGACAACAGAACTAGCTGTCCAAAGGCGAGAGGAGTGCCTCCAGGAACACATCCTCTCTATCCAGGCTTGCTTCTGAGACAGTGCCTGTTTCCATCTTCCGGCAGCAGCTAAATGAACCAAACCCTAACTAAATTTAACTGGCTAATTGCACCTAAATTACAGTCACAAAGCCCCTTCAGAAGATTCAGTCAATTTCTTGAGGGAGAAAGTAAATGTTTTACTATATAATTATAAACTTAATTAACATAAAATAAATTAATTAGGGACTTGCGTTGGTAATGAATATCATGGTTTAGATGTTTATTGCTGTATTTTCCAGGGGAAGCTAAACCTTGAAAAGTGGGCTAACTTGTTCTTTAAGCCTAATTTCATCTCACCTCTCCCACCCCCAACTGAACTGTTAGATTTCTTGTTTATATTCAGTAGAATGGCACGGAATACCAATTCTTCTATGCCAGAGATCATTCTCATAGCAAGGAACTATAGTGAAAATGCCCTCCCATGCTGAACATCAAAAATTCCACAGAATTCAAATGAAAATAATTTATGTCCTAATCTCTAGGAAAAAAAAAAAATCCCCATCCTAAACCCGTATAGCTACAATAGTTCCTAGCTGGCAGTTCACTAAAATAACAGATGATTATCTAAAGTAATAATTTCCACTTCCCAGAATATAATGACAAAAACTCACCTAGAGCTGAAATAACCATCTGCCACAGATTGTTCCACATCGGTTGTTTGCTTGTTTGTTTTTTAATTCTCAGAAAGAATTCAAAAATGGCATTGGCAAAGAAAGATGATTTCAGAAAAATGACCCAGTTTCCAACCTGCATTGCCACTATCATCCTAATTTTTTTTTTATCTGACTTAGGAGAACAGCAGGCTGAGAAAAGGAGCCTTGAAGCATGATCTTGAAGGCACAGAGTAGATCTTTGGTGAATGAAAGTCTTGTTCTAATTTTCAAGTGTCATAATTTCTAGGAATGCCAACCTGCATCTCTCATACCTGTTTTTCCCCTTGATTGATGTGAAGATGGAGAACAGCCACTGTGCTAAAGCCTGACCCACTGAGAGGCAGAAAGAAGAGTGGTTGAAAGAATGGGCCCTGAAGGTGGAATACCCAAATGACTGTGTGACCTTGGGCAAGTTGCCTCAGTTTTCTTGCCTATAAAATGGAGCTAATGATAATAGTTAATTTGGGGCTGATGTGCAGATTAAATAAGCATATATATATATATATATATATATATATAGCACTTAGAAGTGTCTGGCATATAGCAGGTGTTCAGTAAATATCAGCTGTTTCCATTATCTGCAGACCTAGGTCTCAGCTTTTGTCCTTGAAGTGGCAAATGCTTTATGTTCACAAAGAGTTGCAAATGAATGAAACAGATCTACTTTGTTAGGACACACTGGTCAACATACGCACCAAACGGAAAAGACAATTCAGGTTGAGATTGTAAATAAAAATAATCATCTGTGTCAGATAAGAAATAGGCTGTCTTATCACTGTATCCGGGAACTTTTGTGAAGAAAGGAAATTTGGAGACCCTATAGCCCATTTTCTTCAGTCAATATCACCCTTTCACTTAGGACATAAGGAAGGTAAGTTTCTGAGAGGTTAAGTAACTTGCTCCAGGGCACAGGGCCAGCCAAGGGCAGACTCAGGGCCCCTGTCATTGTGTCAGCAGCAGACTCAGTGCTAGAATGAAATACAATATGGTGAGACCATCTTTCATGACAGGCTAAAGCTGAAGACAGAAACAGAACCCATTGTTTTGATATGAAAATTAATACCCCTCCTATGGTCTGAATGTGTGTGTCCTCCTAAAATTCATATGCTGAAACCTAATTCCCAGTGTGATGATATTAACAGGTGGGGCATTTGGGAGGTATAATAACTAGGTCATGAGGGTGGAGCCCTCATGAATGAAATTAATGTCCTCACAAAAGAGGCCCAAGGGAGCTCATGCGCTCCTTCCACCAGATGAAGACACAATGAGAAGGTGCCATCTATGAACCAGAAAATGGGCCCTCACCTGACAATGAATCTGCTGGTGCCTTGATATCGGACTTCCCAGCCTCCAGGACTGTGAAAAATAAATTTCTGTTGTTTATCAACCACCCAGTCTGTGATACTTTGTTATAGCGGCAAGACTAAGACAGTCCCAATGGCTCATACCCAGGAGTCCTGAACACACTACTGCTACATTTTACTTTATATATTTTACTAATAGTAAATATTAATAGTAATTAGTAATTATTATAGTAATAATAATTATTACTATATTATATATATTATTATAGTATATATAATATATAATATATATATTATTATAGTATATATAATATATAATATATATATTATTATAGTATATATAATATATATTATATATATTATTATAGTATATATAATATATATTATAGTATATATAATATATAATATATATATTATTATAGTATATATAATATATATATTATAGTATATATAATATATAATATATAATATATATATTATTATAGTATATATAATATATAATATATAGTATATATATTATATATAATATATAGTATATATAGTATATATAATATATATAATATATAGTATATATAATATATATATTATATATACATTATTATAGTAATAATAATAGTAATTATTATGTTACTTTACTTAAACATTAAAGTAATTTCCACATGAAGAGAAGAGGGATCCAGTCACTGTGTTCAGCTTTCACGGAATCCCCCATAACTAGTTATGCAGGTATCACCAAACTTTTTCTGCAAAGGGACAAATAGTAAATAATTTTCAAATTTTCAGGTCATTCCATTTCTGCCACAACTGCTCATTCTGCCATTGTAGTATGAAAGCAACATAGACAACATGTGAGAAATGAGTCGGTGTGTTCCAGTAAAACTTAAATTTATGAAAAATAGATAGCAGGTGAGATCTGGCCCAGGGGCTGTAATTTGCTCACCTTTGGGTAATGCAACCACCTGCCTGATGCTCTCTTTATTTCTTTAATTTTTCCCATGTTAAGCTTCCTCCTTCAGTGAACATCGTACTGTTTCAATATACTTAACAGGGTATATTCAATATGCGGTAGAATCTAATTTATTAAGACTAGAAATAAAAGCCAGTGTGAATTTATGAAAGCTCTAAGTTAGGAAATATATTTAAAGAAATGCAGCTTTATTACTTTCATATATATAAAGGAATCAAAATTAAGCCAATAAAACATTTCCAGCATGTTTTGGCAAGTAGGGGGTAATTCAGCCTTACCCAAAAGAAAAAAATAATTTAAGATTATATGATTCATCAATTGTTTTCATGAGATTCCTTTGAAAATGCTTAAAAAGTTTGTTTCCTAAGATGGTGATATATGATTCCTACCACCCATCTTGTTTCCACTAGTCATTAATTTAGAAATTCCTTTGTTCATGAAAGATACCCTAATATTCCACCAACCCAATTCCTCACTAAATTAATGATCTGAATCAGCAAGAGTTTTTGAACTTTCAGAAAAGCTAAATAAATTGTAATCCTATGACATCATAGATTAATACCATCTTTTGAAATAGCTTTACTGCTCTCTGTCTAAGGACCTCTGTCTGACCTTTGGCAGATATTGTAGATTGGCTGTTCAAAATCCATTCACAAACCCCCTTTCCTTTGTCTTCCTCTACCCTGGATGGAAAGGATCCAATATACTTTTTCCCAGCACCTCTTGAAACTAAGTGTGGGCTCGTGACATAACTCTGGCCACTGAGATATAGCTAGAAGGTAAGGGGGAAGGATCTTCTAATCTTGAATTAAAAGAAAAAGCCTCCTTATCCTTCTTCATTCTTTCTAGTTGGGATATAGTTTTAAGGTCTTGAGGCAAAGCAGCCTTTTTGAGACCACTAGGTCACAAACAAGAGGAGAAGGCCTAGATGCTGAGGATAGCAGATATGAAAGGTGGAAAGAGCCAGAATGTCCCTGATAACATTAAGCCACCTTAATAACCCTGGATCCCAGAATTCTTGCTGTGCGAAAAAAACCTATCTGTTTAAGTGGTTGCTGTTTTTATTTGTTGGTTGCAGTAGCTAATGCAATCCCATGTGACACAATTCATGGAGGCCTTGGCGTCAGTTCTGTGAGATAGGGAGCAGGGATGTGGTCAACTATAAATTAAAGAATCTTAGCTACTACCAAAAAAAAAAAAAAGAAAAGTAATCAGCTTTGAAGTGACATTGTGACATCTATATAGCACCTGGAACTCTATGCAAGGTGCAAGGGTCCATATTACATACTTGCAGCCCAACAGAGCCATAGGAGAGCAGCCAAACCTCCCTTAAAGGGCCATGGCAGTGGCCAAGAGAGGGAGGATGTACTCAGGTGCATGAGCAAGGAGCCAAAATACTTTGGGGTCCGGGAGAGGAGAGCTCTGCACAGAGAAAAGCTATACTGTGAGCAGATACCTTAGTGAGTTAGACGCTGAGGATGAGGCACTGTGGGGGCCCGAACCCTCAGGCTAACTCCTGGGGTCAGTGAGAAACAATAGAACCCCCTTGACATTTGAAGATTGAGAGTTGAAGAGACCTGGGGCTGCTTCCCATAAAGACCTCTGGGAAGCAGCAGCCACACATAGGTCCCCTCTTCTCAGTGCCAGTGAAAGAAGAAAGACTGCACTGTGCTCGGCCTGCACCAGCATGTGCAGGGACCTCACTCAGCCCTCGCGTTTCCCAAGAGCCCAGGGCAGTAAGTTAGAACATCCATAGTTCCTCTGTCCCCAAAAGAGGCACAGACGTGGCCAAGACTGTCCCTGGGCGTGTTGGGATGAGGGGTACACGGGACAGCCTATGTGGTCTTAGTGTTGGGGGTCACGGCAGGTCTGAAAGTGTCAGCAGTGGAGGCACCTAGGGCAGAGGCCAACAGCAAAGACCTGGCAGCAGGACAAAGTAGGTTTCAGTAGATGCAGGAAAGCTGCCACCACCCCTCAGGAGGTCCTCCCACTTCCCTCTGTCTTTGGAGAGAACAGATAGATCCCTGAACTTGCCTATGCTTGCAGTCGGAATATAATCCCAGTTTTGACCAATTCACCTGGAAACGACTACATGAAGCTCTCTGTCGTGGACAGAGCTGAGAGCTCAAGGTAGACATTAATTTGGGGGGTGGAGGGCACAGGGGGAATTAAGACAGTAGATGTTTCCAAGTCCCAGGCTAGGGAGGAGTTTCAGTATTTTTCCCAGTCACAGCTTTGATGAGATTGTGCTTCTGTCTACCATTTCATTTTACTGAGATGTTATCTTCTTACCAAATATAGAGAGGTGGAAACACATAAAGGTGAGATTTCTGTGATTTCTTTTTAGATCAAGACATGGAGAAAAAAATTCCAACCTACTTAGCATTAGGTTCAACCTCTGTCCTAGACTCCCAAAGTCCCTTTATATGCAAGAATTTCCCCTCCTTTGACTATATGCCCCTCTACCATAATTATAAAGCTCTGTGTGTGACAGAGGAAAGACAATAAAAAGGGAGAGTAACTAACATTTTTATGCATCTAACTATATTCTGTATTGCGCAAGGCACATTTTATACATAGCTCATTTAAAGTGTATTTTATTTCCATATTGGAGATGAGAAAACCGCTGAGATGATAAGTAACATGCCCAATTCCAAACAGCCAATAAAAACTCAGCTATATCTAAGTATAAAGAGTATTGCATTACACTGGGGTTTTTTGGCTATGCCATGATGTTAACTCATCTGAACTGCCTTTTAATCCTGTTTCCTCTCTGTCTCCCAGAAAGGAAAATGAAGAGCAACCTGCAACCTATGCCCCTGTCCATATAAGCAAATGCACCAACGGCCACGGACAAGGATGCCCCCATTTTCGGGTGATGGCTCCTGCCTATTTCTAGGCAACTTCTTCCTAATCTCCTTGTAATTTTGTATTTTCATAGATTAAATCTCTCTCTCTGAACATGTGGTTCGTATCTACTGCCAAATGCTGTAGGTGAAGGCTAAAATACTCCTGGATGTAGACATTTTCAGCGTCCTGGCAGATATACACGTCAACACCTGAGATCCCCAAACCTCACTGCCAAACTTGCAACACTGGACACAAAACAAAGGCAGCTTGAGCTTGTACAAAGTCAACTTAGTTGTCTAAAACCACTCCATTTTGCATAGAAGAGGTCAGCACAGTTTTTTCTGCAAAGGGCCAGATAATTAGGATTTCCAGTTCTGCCTTCGATATGTGCTCCATAGCAGTCACTCAACTCTGCTGTTTTAGAGCAAGAGCAGGCATCGACAATATGTAAACAAATGGACGTGGCTGTATTCCAATAAAACTTTATTTATAGAACTATATTTGGCCCATGGGCTGCAGTGTACTGACCCCTGTCTTATAGTCATTTCTGCGAGCAACAACAGAATTATTTGTTCTTCCCTCCCTCTGAAATAGAACAAAATGGAAATGCTTCATTCTTTCTCATTAAAATAGCTCAGTCTGCATAGTGTAAGTCTACATGTATGCTGCACATCAAATCAAATCCAGGAAAACAACCATTTAAAAACTATATTTTGTAAAATTATCATCTGTGTTTGTGCCTTGGGAAGCGAATGCATGGGGCAGGTGGCTGAGGCAGTGAGGTGTTTGTGGGACTCGGTTGGGAAGATTCCAGGTGGCCACACTCACTATCTCCAACTTGACCATATGAAAAATGCAGCCTCTCAATTATCAGTGCAGACATAGTAGTGCTTTCATGATGACTCACATTCTGCAATTTAGGTTATGCCGACAGCAATCAATAAAATCCTCTACTTAGATTCTCCATGGCTAATTTGATCTCCACTCTCCTACTAACTGGGGCAATTTTTTTTTTGGATTGTTTTCAATTAATCCAATTTGTCACAGGCACCTCTGTTCTCAATATGGTATTTTCTTCCAATTTCTCTTTTGTTTTGAAAATAGCAAAGTGGGCAAAATGCATGTGCAAGTGTTCAGCTCAAACACAATGGCTTTTGCAAGAAGTGACTGCAAATAGAGAAAAGACCTCTCAGCAACCACCCCCACCAACACACACGTACACACCAGTTGCATCTCTTCATTCTCTAACTGTGCACGCTCTGTACACAGCCTTGAGCAAGTGAAACTTTAGGCCCTGATGATAATGATGGTGATGATGGTGATGATACTGATGGTAGTTACAGCTACACATTATGTAGCAACCACTACATCTTGGTCACCATGAGAAGCACCTCCCAATCAGAGGAAATTAAGACTAGGGGAAGTTATATAATATCTATTTTATAGTGTGACTAGAGAAAATTGAGGTCCTAAGATAGCTCAGAGTTTTAAGTCTTCATTTTACTAATTTGTGACCTTGGGCAACTTTCTTAATCTTGTGTAAGGCCAGATATTCTTATTTTTAAATGGTGATTATTATATTTGCCTTAAAACTGTGTTGAAAGAATCAATTGAGATGACATCTACACAGCCTTAGTACAGTGCCTCAGTATATGTATTAGGCTGAACCATATGAAAATGTCTACGTTTGACCACTGTCTTAGCTTACAGAAATGACAAGTTCATATGGCTCAAACTCATAATTGCTCAGTAAATGGTATTATTAGTATTATTCTTGTTGTTATTGTACAAGGACAAAAGTAGGTGGCAGAGAAGGAATTTTCATCTGAATTTGACTGATGGTGAAGGCTAGTGTTTGTTCTAACTTTGTGACCTTCAGGGAAATCCAATGATATTTTTAACTGAAGTTTCCCTTAATAACCTGAAACTGACATCAGAAAGCTAGTCAACAACAAGAACAACACTGATACTTTTTATTTTATTACAGGCATTTTATGAACAGGATAAAGTCCATTTCATTATTATCTCAGTATATCCAAAACTTGTTTGAAGCATATTAATCAAATGTCAGTTGAATAAAAATGTGAACTGTCTCTCTTCTTTAATGTATTAAGGGTCATGATCTACTGAAAATTGGGATCTGCCTCATTAAACAGTTATAATTAACTCTGTTCATAATATTCCACAGTGGAATTGCTGCTGTAGTTCACACTTGAAACCAGGAGGATAATTCAGCAACACTCAATGAAAGAACAGTCAGATTTTCTTTCACATTCCATGATGAAAACTGGGAATAAAAATAACTTTCTCTTCCCAGGCTGGGGAATCACAGGACAAAGAGACTCCCCCTCAAATGCCTGTCTGCTCATTGACAAGCTTAAAAGAAATAAATTCCCATCTGAAACTAAACCATCTCTTGTTGTTTTACCATATTCCCAGTGGCCTCGTCTGTTAAAAAAAAGTCTAGACATTTTTCAAGCTTGAGTTGTGTTTTAGATGTCTTTCAAATTCAGAGATCATTCTAAAAAAGTCTTTCTCACTAAACTATGAGATTCTAATCTCTAGGGTGTTGCCACATAGGACCATAAAATCCAATCAGAAAGAGGAATTTCTCCATTTGCTTTTTTTCTAAATAAATAACAAAACATTACTTCTACGAGCAATGTATAAAGAAGAAATACTGTGGTCAAGAAAATATTTCAAAATATTTGCATGATATTTTGACTGGAAACCACATGTGTTCTCTGGAACTTTTCAGGGTGTCTGTGCCCCCCACCCCCAAACACCTTGTGCCCACATCTAGGAGAACTCTATGCAGATGAACTTTTTAAAATGGCCCTTACCACTGCGGGTTCTGTTAGCTTCTGAGGCTGCATGGAACCAAGGCTTGCTTTAGAATGCTACAGAGACAATAGTCAGTTGACTCATTTTTTTCCTTTTTAATTAATCCAGACATAAGAAAATATAAGTATATTATATATACCTGCAATTATACATATAATTGCAAAGGCAATTAACTCCAAGAGTTAATCTAGGTGTTCTGGTCAAAGTCCTCAAGTAATGAGAGGACTTTGGAAATCCATTTTTTGGAGGGATGGGGGTCACAGGACAGGCCCCCTTTCATGTCTTGGTTGCCATTTTGAATGTCATGTTGTGCAGTCATTAAAACTTTTTGCATAAGTTACCAAAAGAACATTTCACTTATTTTGGTCAGTATCAGCGTTAAAAAGCTCTGACATTAGTAAGTTAGAGAATCTTTATTCTAAAAAAGTCAACTTAGCCAACAAATACAAAAGTGAACAAACAGAATATGATGTGAACTACTAGGCAAGCCCACGGGGCCAATGCCACATTTGAAGGCAAACAGCTAGCTAAATTATGACACAGAAGTAATTGAAGAGGAAACACATTGAATAATGTTCTTTAAAATCCACGTTATAGCCAGGGATCCTTTTAGTAATAATAACTGCCTTATCAGAACAGATTGGCTATCACAAGGAGAGTTTCTCTCTTGTGTCCCCAGGTTCTATCTTGAACTGAAAATTTTGTGGTAGATTTCCCTACAGATTCCCACAAAGAAAGGCTACACTTCTTCCTTCTGCATCTCATCTGCCCCACACTTAAAACCATATCTCCCTGTACCAAAACTGAGCATATTTATCAGGATGGATGCATAGGATGGTTTTCAAAACTCTAAAAAAGACCAGCAGGCATAGCAAATAGCAACAGTGACCTTGAGAGTATTGATCAAGCTCTGTTTCTTGGTTACAGAAGTAGGGAAATTAAGCAGTCCTCTAAATCATTAATGGATTCCTTTTATGTTCGTCTATTCAGCAACCTCGTCCCTCACCCAAGCCAGGACTCTGCATCCCTCCTACATCTTGGTGAGTAACAGCAAAATTTCTCTTGTCAAAATGTTCAATAAGAAGGCTCTGCTTTTTTTCATTATCCACTGCTTAGAACAGCCAGACAAAAATTCATCCACAATCAACTGAATAACTGCCTTGGAGAGACAGATAATCTTTGCCTCTTTTGTGGGGATGATGATTAGTCTGCCTTAAAAATTTACTTAAAAGGTAATGACAAATAAAAGGCTTTAGGCACTTCATTTTTTTAAACTAAACGTTTGCTTGACTTCATTTTTCTGACTAAAAGTGTTCTCTGAGAGAGTACTGGCATATAGACCACTTAGATTCCCAGACCAAGAGTCTGTCTATGCACTGAGGAGGATGTCCGTACTAAAAAATGTCCCTTCTCAAATCACCTCCCTTCATCACCAGTCAATACCATAGAGTTTGGAATGTAGACAGGAGAATAAGTGGAACATTTGAACGAAAATCCAGCGAGAAGGTATCTTGTAAAAGGCAAATGTATTGCCCAGGAGGAATAGAATGTCATATCCCCTACATCCACTACATTGCCACCCTAGCACTTAAGCTGTTTAGTTACCAATCACCAAATAAGGCTCTGAGAAAAGAGCAGGAAATGCTCTTATGGGTAGGAAGATAGAAAAGGGATCAGAAAGCTTAGGGTTAAGGTAGATTTGACTGACAATCTCTGCGGCCAGAGGGCAAAAAAGGGCACCAGAGAGAGGGGCTAAGGGAGAATGGATAAGGCTGCAGAGACGCATATAGTGAAACATGTGCAGCATCAGGAAAATCCAGTTCTTCTGGATTTAGGTCTGCTATTTACTCCAGGCTGATTTTAACAAGTCCATGGGTCACGCTGGGCCTCAGCTTCCCCAAGGAAGCTGTCCTAGGCAGCCTTGGACTCCCCTTTCCAGGTCTAACATTCAAACTTGTCTTTCTTTGCTAACCAAACCTTGAGCCTCGGTGTTTTCCGCTGGTGGACAGGTAGGCAGCTGCCTCTGAGGGCCAGGTCAGCAGAGCACATTCTGCCTTCCAACTCTTGAAGGCAAAGGCTCTGGACAATTGGCTCTGGGCTCTCAAGATCTGGAGCAGATACAATTAATTCAGTACACCTCACCGAGGCTTCTGGCTGTTCCCCAGCAGCTCAGCCATTTCACAACCTGCTTGAATTGAGGCCAATCTGTGGTGTTATCATCTCTTCCAGCCATACCTGAGGACAGGCAGTAGCCTCTCTGTGTGTCCCTGTTAGCCTCACTGTTTCTTCTCTCCCCCTGCGTGCCATTGAATGAGAGGCAGATACCTCAGCTCTTGGCAAATCAGAACCTAGCTGTTCTTCAACTTGGTTTGAGAGCTGGCTTTTCTGCTTTGCCACTCCTCTGAAATACCCTCTCAATGGCCACCACAAAGCCCTTAAAAGCAATTTCTCAATGGCTTTTTCTCTATGCCCTTCCCAGCTAACAAGCGGAAGCTTTGGCTCTGGTGAGCACGCAGCAGAGCCAAAGTAGAGGATGCGCTACTTACCTCTAGGCTAATGACTTCCTAATGGATGGGTGTGGGCTGTGTTCTAATTCCTTGTTTCTCACTGCCTGGGAGGTAGCCACCTGGTCTGGGAGGAGTGGAACCCTGCACCAAACTCAAGGTAGCTCGCAAAGCTGAGGAAGCCCTCTTCTACCTAACATCCACTTTAGGCCCATCCCAGGCCACCTCTCGAATTCCCCCACCCACTCTGCCATTTGCTCCCCCTCCTCATGCATGCTGTGTCTCCATCATCCAGGACGCTGTTCCCACAGAACACCCCACCTTGAGCTCATCCCACACACTCAAACCTCTGCACAGAATTTCCTGTCCCACTGTTCTGCCTGGGAGACTCTTGGCCTCTACATCCAAGTTCAAGTGGCTTCTTCTACATAAAGCAAGCTCTGGTCTCTAGGACTGGGGTGGAAGAGCCCCCATCTGAACCCCTCAGATAGACATTGATGACACAACATGTCACATTGCCCTCTGATGTTTGCTTTTCAGCAAACTCACCAGGTGCTTCTCAAAGATGACCTTCTCCTCTCTATAGTCCCAGCACTTAGCTCATGTTTGAGAAATGACAGGCTGGTTCAATGACTCTGATCTGCATCTACTGAATTTATACTTTTTTGTTAATTTCATTTTCATTTTCCTCCTATTTTCCCAATTTTTAAAATTTCATTTTCATGTCCCTACTAAGTATAACTATTCTCCATGAGTCACTTTGCTTTGGATCGCCAAGATCAATAATTACAACGTAATAACATAATGATGATCGTGATGATGATAATATACTTATTGGATGTTACTCTTATGCTTATTATGTACCATAGTAATACCTGATACATGGCACAAACCATATGCCAAGCTTTTTAGCTTTCTTCTAAGTGCTTATCATATATTAATTCATTTAATCCTCATAATAGCCTTATAAGTAGCATTGTGATTATGCCCTTTTAGAGGTGCGAAACTGAGGCACAGAAAGGTGAATAACATGACCAAGGCCACAGATTTGGTAAATGCTGGAGCTAGCATTCAAACTCGAGAAGTCTGTCTCCATAGTCCTGCTCTTCACTGGTAAGTTAGATCACCTCTCCATACACTATATTGCCCACCATACCAAGGGATTTATAGATAGTCCCTTATTTAATCCTCACAACAACTCTATACAGTAGGAGCTATTATTATCACCATTTATTTTTGCAATTGAAGAAATACTTATTTTGCTTTGAGATATTAAGAAATTCACCATAGGTCACATAGCTAATAAGGTGAACATTAGAACTGAAAATGAGGGTTTTGCCTGACTTCTAATATTTGAGAAGATGAGATGAGAAAGAATATAGAGAGTTTACTAAGACACCTCCATTGACAGAGTCATTACTGTTTATGCAGCAGCATTTCGCCATGACCTGGTACCCTGAATAAGTGAGGGATCAGTTCATGTCATCCTAATTTTATGGATGAATAAAGAGCCAGTGATTAACTCAGTCTAGAACCCATGTCCCCCGGGTCTAGAGTCTACTGAGTTGACCTTGTTTAGTTGTCTCTGTTGCTACCCAGGAGATTATTTTGTGCCTGTTTTTTGTTTGTTTGTTTGTTTGTTTTGTTTGTTTGTTTGTTTGTTTTAGACGGAGTTTTCCTCTTGTCGCCCAGGCTGGAGTGCAGTGGTGTGATCTCAGCTCACTGCAACCTCCACCTCCCAAGTTCAAGCGATTCTCCTGCCTCAGCCTCCCACGTAGCTGGGATTATAGGTGCCTGCCACCACGCCTGGCCAATTTTTGTATTTTTAGTAGAGACGGGGTTTCACCATGTTGGTCAGGCTGATCTTGAACTCCTGACCTCTGGTGATCCATCCGCCTCCACCTCCCAAAGTGCTGGGATTATAGGTGTGAGCCACCGCGCCCACCTGACTGGTCATTTTTTTTAATCTGCATTGTCTTTGATAGCACCATTTCAAGCTTCCAAAAGTCTAACCAGCAGAGAAACAGAATGGCTTCTTTCTTGGTTCAAGGACAATAAAATGTCAATTTAAAAAGATGAAAATCGAGAGTGGATTTTCGACATATTTTTCAGGATCACTCATGCAAAATTCTTTGTAGTAGAGCTGCCACCTTCACTCTTACATGTCCACAGTTTCTCAAAGCAAAAAATGAGTTTGCAAGCACACACACGTGGTGGCCACTGGGAGCGGTAAGTCCATAATTCAAACATGTGCAACATAAAGCCTTCCTCTGAACCAAGATTTTTTCCCACTGAACCTATTTAAGTTTTAAGATAATACTTTTCTTTTCGTAGGGTTTTTGTTTTTCCCCCTTAAGTATTATTAGGCTAAAATAATTAAAAGATGTCTACTGAGATAAAGAAAACAACATATCCTATTTTGGAGAAAAACAGCAAAAAGGAACCAGAAGTAGAGACAGATGGATCAAAATAACAACAAGAACAAAGAGAAATGAATAATTAAAATAAATAATAATCTTGAAGATCGCTGCAAATTTGTAAGCCTAGGCTTGGATCCTGGTATTGCCACTCACCCCCTACACACAGGTGAGGCCAGGTAGGTTACTGCACCTCTTCGTATCTCAGTCTCATTGTTTAACTCATGAGGTTGTTTAGGGTATTACATGGGATAATGCATGCAAAGTGCATGGAAACATGCTTAGAAACAAGCAAGTGCTCCATAAATAATAGCAATAATTGTTGTGATGGTTATTCTAAGGAACACACATAAATTTTACCAACTTGATTAAGCTTCAGGGGACTGTGGGAATGTGAGGCTCAGATGAGATGGGATTGGCAGGGATCAGCATAAGGGACTGCAGGCTCATACAGTGGCTGAATGTGCTCTGGTTTCCTTGGTTTTATACAAAGGCATGGGCGACTTTTGGAATTCCCAGGTCATGTTGCCAAAGGATTTCTCAGTTCCTTTCACACTGAGGTTGCAATAAATTCTGGTGCACACTGCCTGGGGAGAGGCTCTGATAGCATGGCGCTTGTGTGCAAGTCACCAGCTTGGCTGGGAATGAAAGAACCTCAGTTCATCCTTTGTCCACAATGACTAGCCATCCCTGACTCTCAAAATTTATGTTTTAAGAAGAGTTAGTCCCACAACTCTTCTTAAATACCTCCCAAGAACAGTTTTCAAATGTAGTGTGAGTTATTAAAGAATGAATAAAAATCTCATAGGAAGAAATAAGGTGCAGTACACAATTAAAAATCATGCCCATAAACACTGTGTAATTAGGGACTTCTCAAACTGGAAGATTCTACAGGCCAATATTTTCGAGGCACAACTTGAAACTAATTCCTCCATAAAAGTATCTCAATAGCATGAGCCAAGAGTAATCTTTCTCTATGAACTCCCACTGCAATGCATCTGCCCTTCTTCTGGAAAATGAGTTATACGAGCTCTTGATCCACGGAAGCCACTTGACTGCAAGGGCTACTATTTATTTTGCCTTATAACCACACTTCTTTCTCCACATGTACATATAGCAGGCTCACCTCAAACATGTAATGTGAATAGTAAATACATTCATCAGATTTAGAATATAGATCCTCTGTCTTCCAACTATCATGGGTGATCAAAATAGCCAGACTGGTACAGCCTATTTCAGCAAATAGTTGGTTTTTACCTATGACGCAAGTTTTGGTTTTGAATTTACCATTCCTGTTGTTTAAGGGCCTGTGTGATGGAGGGTGGGAGGAGGAGTGAGGAACAATCCTTTAAAGGACTTCTGTGATATGATTTGCATTTTTAAATCACTGCTAACATCATCTGTTCAGAGGTCTCAGGGGAAGTACAATAAGAGGATAAAGAAGGTGCTTTCTCTAGTGAAATGCATGAACTTGAATTAAATAGAATTTATGACTCTCTGGTTTCTCTCTGTAGTTCCCAACCTCCTAGAGAAAATGAATTCTACTGTATAAATGGGTTCACCAAAAACACTTTATAAATGTTCAGTTCTCAAGGAAACTAAATTGCGAGAAGAAAAAAACACTCACTAAGGATATAAATAAACCCCCTAAGGACTTATTTTTCCCTATTGATCTAAATTAAAATGTTAATAACTCAGATGGATGGTTTTCTAGTATTTTGACTTGTACTGGCTATTAGACACTTTTGTCATCATATGTGGGCATGAATTAGTTGACCAACATTAATTTATTAAACATCTTCTGCCCTCACCCCCTCAGGAGATGTCACTAAAGGGAACAGAGTCCTTAGCTGGCACCTTGCATGTGTGTACCACTAAATAAGTATTTGTTGAGTGTGCAGCATGTGAATGAAGAGTTTTAAATAAGCACAGAGAAAATCGATGTCTGAATGGAGGTCCTCTGTCTCTCCTTTCTTCATACACGTACCCAAATGTACACAGGCACACTCATGTGTCCTCAAAGAGTGACTATCAAACTCTACCCCTGTAACATGCATAATCTAATTTCACTTCCACCACAGCACCATGAAGAAAGAGTACCATTCCCATTGTCCAGAAGATGGAAAGCCAGCAAAGAAAGGTGAGGACTGGAACTAGAGTTAACAATAACATACAGTTTCAAATAGCTGGGAGGAAGATATTGAACATTCCCACTATGAAGAAATGATAAATATTTGAGATGATGGATATGCTGATCTGATCACTATGCATTATTTGTATCACGCATCACTATGTATCTCATAAATATGCACAATTATTATTTCTCAATTTAAAAAATTTAAAGACAGGTGAGACTATTGGAGGTCATACAACTAGTAACCGGCAGTGCTAGGTTTTGAACTCAGACTCATCTGACTCCCCTCTGCCTTTCCCTCAGGCCATACAGCTTCTTTCAACCTTGCTGCCTTTGCCCACAACATTTTTGGGATTCATTTTCTAATCTTACCTTTACAGCCTGCTAATATTAGACTGAGTTATTTGAACTTGATCTAACCCAGTGGCAGTCCCACCTCCCATCACACCCCAGTCTTCCAACCTCCATCTCCTCATGCTGCCAAGTCTTCTTTCTATAGCATACACTTAATTAGGGTACTCCTCCATGCGAAGTCTTTGGGATAAATTCTGTCCATACTGTCAACTCCCTAGCCCCCTTCATGCCCTGCCCCCACAACCCAGCAGTCTCTTCTCCCAATTCTCTACCCCCGTTCTCTGCTCAAGCCAAACCAGACTCCTAGCAAATGTATGAATGCCACACATTTTCTTACACTTTCACATCTTGGGACATAAAATTTCTACCTGGAATCCATCCCTCTCTCTTCTCCATGCTCTTTCCCCAACTCTCACACTCTGCAAATCCCAAAGCCTCCTTCAATGCCCATCTCTGAGGACCATTTTCTAGGCACCTTTCAAACTCTATTTAAAGTATCCACTGACTTCACATTTTCCCTCCAAAGTGTCATTCCCTGGGAAATAGGACCATCTAACCCAATGCCTGATACAGACACATATCTGAAAGTGAATAAAATTAAGTTGAAATCCCTGACAGTAGATACTAACCCTTCAGGGATGAATCTGACTCAGGAAATGTCTGAGAATTATTCAGAGCCAAGTCAAGTAAAGAACGTGAGTGATCAAGCTGGGTAACCCTGTTTAGAGTCCAAAACCATTTCAACAAAATATACATTGCAATACAGACACAAAAATGTGATACAGATACAAAAATACATTGTGATAAAGAGCACTGTCAAGAAGGGAAAGTCAATCCCTAGACACACAAAATGTCCCTTCACAGGTCACCCTTCACAGTTCTTCTAAATAAACATCTGTGAGAGGCAATGTCATTAAGAGCATTTGTTGCATTATATTTTAGGGGTCTCTCATGCTGGGAGGTGGGACAGCGAGAGGACATTCACAGTAGGAGAACAGCCTATTTCTTATCAAAGAAACAAGTTCTGGAATATCTACTGGAAGCTTCAGTAGTTTCTCTTGATCTCTCATATGTGAGAAGTATTGTATATTACACTTCTTACATTTGGGGAAGTCAAGCCCCATTTCCCACCCACTTCAGGACATAAGCCACGGATAACATAAGATTAAGCATCGTGACTTGATGAAAGGTACTGGTTTAAGAAGAATTTCTAAAGAACTGAGTTCCCACCCAGCCATTAACATATCTCTAAGTCCTTTCAAGTTAATAGACAACTTCAGCCTGAACCGTTATACTCCAGAGTGCAATCTCTCACAAATGCTGAGGTAAAGAAACGTCACTGCCTCGGAAAATGTGGCACTTGGTGATATGACAAGTACAATGGTATTTATCAGCCATATCCACGGCTTAATGGACATGAGCCATATCTGAAAAGGGAAAGGGTGATTCAGCCCATTAAGTATGCAGAACATCAGCTTTCAATACAAGATGGCTCTTGATTATTTGTTTTTTTCATTTCCAAAGGCTCCATCCAAGTGGGAAAATTGCAGAGGCAGAAAAAATACCACAGCTTTTCTGCTAGAGCGACAGCCACAGCAAAGCTAGGTATGACGGGGCAGAGGGGAGAGCCGCAGAACGTGCCAGCAACCTCTGCTTCTTCACAGTTCCGTTTCCTATAGAGGGGATACAGCCTCATACTTCACTTTTGCTTTTCCCTTTTCCTGCTTCCTTTTAAATGGTTTTCCAAAGTTTTCTGAGAATTAGATTTCAAGTATGTTCAGATTAGAAATTTCCAAAATAAAGCTTTCTATAAAAACATGAGTCCTGGCAAGCTCACATGCCTGGCTTGGTAAGCATTCCCTATGGAACCAGAGATGGATTGTCTGGCAGTTAACGAGACAAACAACATAAAGTTGTCATTGGTGAAGCTTAAATCCCAAAACCTGCTCCTCTCACCCACTGACGTGTTTGTTTGTGGGTGTGTGTGTTTGTGTGTGTGTGTGTGTGTGTGTGTGTGTGTTTTCTTGGAGGCCATCTTATAATCCTTTAAGCAATTCTCTCTTATACAACTATTTAGTTTTAGAACACCCTCCAAGGTATTATTGAAAATTCCTCCATTAAAAAATCGTTACGAAGAGCCTTGATATAAATGACTTTACTAGCTAAGAGATTCCCAAGCTGAAAAGAAAGACGCTAGAGAAATTGCCATAATAAGGGTTTAGTTAGTTCCTTGTTGAATGTTTTGACCCTCCCAATTTGATGTTATCTTCTATTTACTGCATTTAAATGAAGTATAGACTTAAAAAACTAAAGACACTCTCTAAGCTATGTCAATTATATGCCTACATTGTTCCATCATTACACTTGATATGCTTGTTCTTGTTGTCTGTGGGCCCCCCAAATCAGTGCAAATATTTGCCACTGTTTCCACCAGGGGGCATTCATCTCATTGAAAATAGGTATTGTTTTTAACCGGCAAAGTTAAGAATGTTATACTGAAATGACTAAAATACATTATTTATTAATCTCAAAATTCACATTTTCAACGGGAAGCAAAAAAGGCTAGGTCTTTAATGGGTAATTCTTGAATTAGATGTTTGTATATATGAAAAGTTATTATATGAGTAAGAAAAAAGTATACTTATGATCTGAAAAGTATGATATACCAGAGAATGTTATGAACTCTTAAGAAGCGTCAACAAAACATATACATAAAAACACTCAGCTGTAAGTAGAAATTAATTTTAGAGGTGGTGTTCAGTTGTATGTTCTCCTAAGACATCCTAAAAGTACTAAGACTCCTACAGAGGCAGGAATTGCCCTTTTTCAAAATGCCAGTTTCTCAAAACTCCTATCACCTTTCTTCTGACTGAACCACACAGTTACTTTGTACACATAAGGTTTGGACACCGGAACATACAAACAAGGCTGGCCTTCTCTGCAAAAGTTATGAAGAGAGGAAGAAAAGACAATGGAACATACAAAGACTGCACATTTACCCTTTTGCACCCTGAACCCTGACAGTCTTTTGTATAAAAAAAATTAGTGTGATGTTATAACAAAAAAAAGACTCAAATATAGAATTCCTGACAGAATATTTATCAGAACCATACCTTTTTTCTTTTACTTCCCAAGAAAATATCACAAAGTCTGCCATACCCCTGAAATTATCACTGACCCATCCAAGCCAGAAAACTTCATAGCTCATAGCTTTCTTTTAGAGAGGAAAAAACATCCACCTATGTTTCCATGTATAACCATCTAATATACTAGCTCTTAACTGAGACCTAATCAAGTAGGAACTATGGACCAGTGAGGTCTAGCACCATTCGCTACCCCTGATGGTAGCTTTGAAGGTGTCTCTTTCTCTTTTTACACAGTACCCATGTTAGTATATGAAATGGAAGTGTACACAGAGGGAATCACAGACTCTTAAGGTAAAGTTGCGCAGAGCTGGACCTTGGTATTCCCCTAAGTTTGAACTTCTGCTCCCATCTCACTGCTTGTGCATCTGCCTACGTTGATTTAGGGACTGGCCTGACTAAAACAGAGAAGCTGAACCGGGCAAGATCCCCATCTCCACAACCTATTACAAAATATGTGGAAGTCCGGGAGGTGGATGGTTATTTCATTAGATATTTTGCTTATGTGTTCCATTAAGGCAGGGGTCAGCAAACCTTTTCTGTGAAGGGCCAGAGAGTAAACATTTTAGGTTTTCTGAGACATAAGGTCTCTGTCACAGCTACTCAACTCTGCTGCTGTACCATGAAAGCAGCCATAGATAATCCATAAATGAATGAATGGGGCTGTATTCCAATAAAACTTTATTTACAAAAACAAACAACTGGTCAGATTGAGCCTGGGGTTCATAGTATGACAACTGTTTTAAGGGGATAGCTCAGGTTTTTTTTCTTCCCTTGTACTGGTGGAACTCTAACACGTAGCTCAGACCAAATGTTCCCTAATGGCAAGAGTGTTAATAATCAAAACCAGATTTTTAAGGAAAAAAAAAACCGCAGAGTCCCATTATAATGCCTTATTTTCTAATCATAAAGGCTAGCTGCCAGAAATGCTAACCTGACCCACTAGTGGTGTGGGTTGTTAATGCTGGACGTGTTGGTGGTCCAGAGTATCTTGGTTCCCTTTTAGCATTTCTACCATTTGTTTACTCTTATCAGAAGTAAACAGGAATACAGAAGGAGGCTTCTCCAGAGAGAAAGTCCAGCATGGAATTAAGATTTCAGATCTGACACGTTGAGAAAAGTTCTTCAAACTTGCTCACTCTTTTCTGATCTAATTAAATGCCTCACCTTCTTGATCTTGAACAGTTGAGGAGAAACAATATCATCAGCACACAGCTAAGCCTTTAAACAACCCACAACTACTGTGATGTTCTTGTGTCAGTGTCAAAAAAACAAAAAAAGGTGCAGCAACCCTACGGCATGACATAGCACACCCTCCTCAGAGAATTCTGCCCCTTTTGCAGAACAAGAAAACTCTTTTGAAGCTAATTTGTCTCAGTGTGTCTAGACAAAAATTTGGGACAGACAATACAAAGCCCTCTTTTAAGATTCACTTCTATTTTTGCCTTCACCACAAAAGAAAAGATGAGGGGGTTGGAAACTGATCTCTGCAACATGGCATATGAGTTCTTTGCAATTTGGCCTTAGCCTCAACAGCAAATCTATGTGTTCCATCTCTTTGCTTGTTAATGCATTTGCTTTATGCAGGAGAACAAGCCCCCTTGGACGTGGGTGTGTTTTATAAAAAGAAAAGAAAAAAAAAGTCAAGTGGTAATGGAAGCTCTAAATCAATGTCACCAGGCTTCCAATGGCATTCATGTAGAGCCTTCAGAATGAGCACCTATGTTTGGTGGATTTTTATTATTATTATTGCTTGTTGTTTATTTTTACTCTTGTCCATGTGCCCAGAGACCTTGGCAAGATAAGCATTTTATAAATCTGATAAATAAGTAATTGAAGCCTTCTAATCAATATTACCCAAGGGAGAGGGAAGGAGGCACTCAAATCTGCATTAAAGTCGAGGTCCTCCCTTCTGTTAAATGCTGGGAGAAGAAAAGACCAGCCTGTTAAGGCTATGAAAAGGGCATCTCACTGGGGTGGGCTAAGTGCAGCAAGTTTGCTCTCTCCACATATCCCTCAACATTGAGGAGGGAGAGGACACAGCAGAGAAGAAATCAGTCCACTGTATCAAACTCCACATGACAGGCACGGACACACCAGAAGATAGGGACATTGCACGGTGTCCGTGAAGGCACAGTCCACCAGCGGGAACTGCACAGTTCAGGCAGGAGGGAGGCTTACTCATCATGAGCTTCACTGAAGCTGCAGTGTGTGGGCCACTGTTATATTCTCTGGGAAAATGTTGCTGTCAACACAGCAATAGAGCCCTCCAGAGAGGGACTTTACAGAATCGACAGCCAAACTGAGCCCAGAGGGAATTCCAGGGTAAGTCTCTTGAAGAGGCACAAAGCCTCATTAGTGCAGAGAAGATTTACCATGATCTCAGTCCAACCAACGATGCAGGCACCTTGTGTCCAAAGTTGTAATTCACTACGGTTCTACATATAACCCAAGTATAAGGAATCATCACTGGTTGGTTAAGTCTGAATAACCTCCTGCTTCTCTAAAAATATCAGTGACAATCAGACTGCACCTACAGGCCCTTCCATAGGAGAGAAATAAGCTGAGCTGGTGGCCAATTTATTTAAAGGAAGCAAATCAGCTAGTTAAACCCACAATTTAAGGAAGGCTTTGTTTTTGTTTTTGTTTATTTAGACAGGGTCTTAATCTGTCACCCAGGATGGAGTACAGTGGTATGATCTCGGCTCTCTGCAACCTCTGCCTCCCAGGCTCAAGCGATTCTCTCACCCCAGTCCCCTAAGTAGCTGGGACGACAGGTGCCCGCCACCACTCTGGGCTAATTTTTGTAACTTTTTGTAGGGACAGCGCTTTGTCATTTTGCCCAGGCTGGTCTCGAACTCCTGAGCTCAAGCAGTCCACCCGCTTCTGCCTCCCAAAATGTTGACATTACAGGCGTGAGCCACTGCACCAGACAGGAAAGCTTTTTCGAAAAATCAAATTGCACTGTTGAAACGAACTTCAAAAGATCATGTAGGCTGTCATCCTACCTTAAGGTAAATCTAGCTTGAATCACCGGGGGCAAAGAGAACATATATTATTTTAAAAGGTCTTGCAAAAAAGAGTTTCTACAAACAAACCTCTTGCATGATCAAACTACCTTTACTGTCGAAAAATTGCTAATTATGACTGTTTTGCAATGGCTTGCTAGAGACAGCTCGTACTTCTTTGTCTAATTTTCAGGACTTTTTTGAGCTGGCTGACTTCATGGTGGGAATGTTTACACCGCGGAAATCAGCAAACATTACAAATTAGGACCCCAACCCCACTGTATCCTTGAGTACTAGTTCCTGAACATTTCTCAGCATACTATTGTCATATGCTGTGTAAAACTATTCGTTTTTCCTTCTCCAAACTCTCTTGTTCTTTGAGAGCTGAGAAACACTCTGAGTCAAAGAAGAAATCTGTTCTACAATATTTCTGAAAGTTTCAGGCTCTTTGTGGACACCCAGAGCAAAGGGAAATTAACTGTTTTGCATGATAACCCATTTAGGGACAACAAGACTACTGTATTAGAAAATGATTATTAACCCCAATTTATCTCTGCTTTTCTTCCTACTACTATTTTCCAATCTTGTAAACATCCGTTAGAGTTTCTCCAGAGTTCTCTGAACGGTGTCACATCTCTCATCTTGAGAATAAGAGGAGGTTCTGTACTAAAATGGGACAACCAACACTAGGAAGAGCTACCAGTGACTCTACTATTTATGATGCACAACCCCACTTGTTTCCTTTCTATAACTTCTCTTTTCCTGTAAGGGGCTTAACTGAATGCCCAGACTGGAAGTTTCCCCTCAAAGTTTCTGATAGAAACAACCATGAGTACAATCTAGGTATTAGGAAATATATCTTCCATGGCCACCAGAAAATATTTATTGGTCCTAAAACCCAATGATAAAGATGTTCTAATACCTATTAGGAGGAGACAGTTCTCTCTAGCACTTCTGTATATCTCACAAAGAAAGGTACTGACTGCCCTTTGTTTTGGATTATCTTTTCAAAGATGTTTGTATAGTGAACAGCCTTCCAAAATAAAGTGTCTCCAAAACAAAGAGCAGGCATAATTACTGTCCATTTTAAAAGATTCAGATTCCCTAAATTCAGGGTTCCTCTCCTATAACACAATCCAGAGAATGTGCAGGCATCCATTGGGTCCCACCTGCCTCACACTCATGGGGTTTTGGAAGAGAGAATTGATACAAATATGCTGTTCATGCCACATGCTGTGTAAAAGTAATAGAGTCCTCTGTCTCTGACCCCAAAATCTCATGTCTTCTGCCATCATCTATGAAATCATGGCAGGCTAACTTGTTAGCTTGAAAGTAGGGTAAGATCTTAGACATTTCATAGTTTTTAATAAAGCTTTTAAGAAACAGGCCAGACATGGTGGCTCACACCTGTAATCCCAGCACATTGGGAAGCCAAGGTGGGCGGATCACTTGAGGTCAGGAGTTCGACACCAGCCTGGCCAACATGGTGAAACTCCATCTCTACTAAAAATATAAAAATTAGCTGGGTGTGGTGGCACATGCCTGTAATCTCAGCTACTCAGGAGACTGAGGCATAAGAATCGCTTGAACCTGGGAGGCAGAGGTTGCAGTGAGCTGAGATCATGCTGCTGCACTCCAGCCTGGGCGACAGAGTGAGACTCTGTCTCAAAAGAAAAAATAAATAAATAAATAACAAAGCTTTTAAACAGTCTGTATCTATATTTATATTTATATTTAT
Organism: Homo sapiens; assembly: GCF_000001405.40. Lineage (NCBI taxonomy): Eukaryota > Metazoa > Chordata > Mammalia > Primates > Hominidae > Homo > Homo sapiens. The sequence goes on along the minus strand of NC_000009.12, from coordinate 84,776,168 downwards.
ATCTATATCTATCTCTCTACCTACCTATCTATCCATCTAGTTGGATAGATAGACAGGTACCAACTGTGTGCCTCAGAGATGCTTTATAGATACTCTCTTAGGTAATAATGTAGAAAACAGCCCACAATGAAGTTTCTAAGATGAAAAGTGCAGAGCTGTTGCACTCTGTCAAAGATATAAATGTGCAACTGGGAAAAATGGGCATGAACAAAACGAAGACTGGCCTTAATGTTTTTTGTGTACTCTAGATCAGGGCTTCTCAAATTTTAAAGAGCATATAAATCACCTGAGAATTTCATTAAAATTCAGATTTGAATTCAGTAGGTCTGGGATGAGGCCCCAGATCTGTATTTTGAAAAAGTTCCTAAGTGATATTGGTCCAAGGACCACATTTTGAGAGCAAGGGTCTAACAGCAACTAAATATAAACTGTATACATATTGTCACTCTTATATCTGCATAAACTATAAAATGTTTAATAAAAATATCCATAACAACCCAGGAAGTCCATTTAAATATCTGATTAGGAATATATGCATATTTATAAGAGAAAAATATCAATATTGATTATAAATTTGTCTTGATTCCAAATTATATACACATTCTATTCAAAGAACCAAGAGCAAAAGAAATATGCAGGAGAAGCCCGTCCTAGGTTACGCCAAGAGTCTGTGGACTGTAGCAAGCAATAAACCAGGCAAATTACAATCTTTATGGTTTATGTTGCTGGCAATATCTCTGGCTAAGCAAATGCTGATGGGCTAAGCATAACAGGGAAAATAATATGTGAGCATAAGACAGACTCTGAAAAAAAATAAATGTGCTGCAGGGAAAAACACACTGGGCTGGGAGTCAAGAGGCTGGAGTTGTCCCCGCTCTGTCACCTCCTTGCTGTGGGAGCCAAGGAAAGCAGATTCAATTCTCTCTGGGCAATGAGGGAGAGGAGCAGGTGCCTCTAGGCCCAGGCCCTATGCCACCTCTCAGCTCCCACATCTTGGTGTTAGGGCTTGGTCACCTGCACAGACGGCCTCTCTCAGCCTCATGGACCATTATTTAAGACTGTCATCAGCCCAAAGAGATTAATCTTTCTATCTCATCTTATATACTTAGGGAAACATTTGTGTACCAATTTGAAAAGCACAAGAAAGAAGGCTCGGAAATAAAAGAAAAACTGACAAGGTATTTTAGAATTTTATTGTGAAATATTTGAGTACCTCCTGTGTCCCTTTTCCTTCCACCACTGTCTTTTTTTCTTTTTGTCTTCTTTTTTCCTTCCTAACCTCTCTCTCTTCATCCTCTCTCTACCAAAATTACAACTGGGGAGACAGTAAGGTGTATGTCATTATTCCATGCGCTAGTTTCTCATTATGTTAGTGACTATTTCTTTTGAAAAGATTTCTGTGGTTAAATACACTTTGTGAATCTGGTTTAAATAGAATTAAAAGATTCCTATGGACCCTATAATATGCTGACGCAGAATGTGTTTCTCCAAGACGGGCTATGGAAAGCTCCATTTGCTACACTGGACTACAGAAACCAGCCTTTTCCCCAATGCTAGTGTTCTAAGGGATCCACTTTGAGAATGACAGCTCCAGCACTAAGATTTTGGATTCTGGAAATGAGCTGTGTGTTGAAATCAGTACCACCTGGAACAGCCTTGCAGCTTTGGGCAAGTCACATAACCTCTCTGAGCCTCCAGTTCTTTATGTGCAGAAAGGGTCAATGACATCTACCAAATGTTTCCATGGATAAAACTAAGCGAGACAAAGTACATGAAGTGCCAGACATGGAGACCCCTCTCCATCCTGTCTGTTGAGATTCAGAAGTGAGGTCAATCTGTGTCCCTTGAAAACTGGCCGGGGCAGCATCCATCTCACTGAAAACCACTCTTGGAGACAAGGCCATTGGCCCTCGTTTCTGACTTTGTCCATGTTTCAGAACTCAATATGGGTCCAGTCCCCTCCATTGAAGCCTGAATATCCCCTCCCAGTGACTGCCCAGCAGTCTGGGTATGTTTGCCATCTCAATAGATGACATTTGCCAAATGAATGAGGGAGAGAAAGAAAATATTTAGACAGAGAGGGTCACAGGAGAATAAACAAAGGAAGAAATGAAACCAGGCCATAGGGGAGGGCAGGAAGGCACAGTAGTTAGGACATGACTGTCCTGAGGCAGACTTGACGTTAGGAGCCACAAACCTTGGCAGATCAGCAAAATCTCCCTGAGTCTCAATGTCCTCAGTTACAAAACGAAGATGATGATGCATATCTCACAGAGACATGTTGAGGAGTTGAGAGATTGTATGCATAAAGCACTTAGCACAAAACCAAGCACAGAGTAGGGACTCAATTGAAAAAAGAGAAAGAGTGTTAAGTGTTCTTTTTGAAGTGAAAGGGGAAAAAAAAGATGCTTTTATTCTCAAATCCAATTCTGTGATTTCTAGATTAGAAACTGGCTATCATAAACCTTCTGCATAAATCCCAGCAAAGAAATATTTGTAAGGTAGAAAATTTATTTTCCTACAGCGAACTTCAGACGTGCCCCATAAGTGGTGATAAATATAGTTTTCATTTTGCCTTTGAGAGAGAGAGAGAGAAAAGAGAGGAGAACCTACTACTTACTAAACTCCAAGAACGTTAAAATCAGCAATGGAAAAACAGTAAGATTTAAGATTTCCTAAACAGGGAACCCCGCACTAATCCCTCCTCTTCATAGTCAGGTAGAGAGAGCACTTCCTTAAAGAAGGACTCCCCTCACCCCTCCATCACTGCTGTGTTCTTCCCATGCCATAATTTCTATAGCCCTTATATATTTATTAGTCTTGCCATCTGCCCCATGGCAATGGAGGCTCCACCAGGCAGGGACTCTAACCATCCTCAGGGTCTATAAGAGTCCAGAGCAGGCTCTCAATAAATAGATGTTGAAGGAATGAATGGATTCCACATTAGTCATTTAACAAGCATGCCCATGCAAGCATTTACAGTCCATTAAAACAATGTGAAGGCCAGGAGACCAGAATGTTTTAAAAATTAGTAATGTTATCACTTTATTAATCACTTCCAACTTTAATACCAAATTAAGAAAGTAAAAAAAAAGGCTTGGCAGGAGCTAAGAAATCTATATAAACATGATCACTCTTCACATTTAGACATTCTAGCACTCTCAATTTAACTATTTTGTTACCAATCACTAAATTCAGTGGCTCTGCTGTGCCTGCAGTATCAACTCCAAACCCCACAGCAGGGCACAAAGGCCTTCTGCACCTTGACCCTTGTCTGTCTCTCCATCATCGTCCCCTGCCACTGTTCTCTCATATCTTACACTCCATCAATATCCATGCCACCCCAACACGAGCCTTCATGCCTCAGTAAGTAACACTGCCTCCTTCTCCATCTCGTCTGTGCAGAGATCTCTTACTCACTCTTTCAGACCCCACTGGAGGGTGGACTCTGCTGTGAAGAATTCCCTGATTTCTGTAGACAATGAATCATCCCCCTCTTTTGTGGGGCTTCTTACATTAGCCACCATAGAAGCTGCTGGGATGTCAGGCCTCCTCTAGACTACAAACTTCTAGAGGTACATCACACAGGTATGATGTACACATGTAGATTCCCTGTGGCTGGCATATTGTACATGCTCAGTAAAATGTTTATCAGCACCTTGGGAGGCCGAGGTGGGCAGATTGCTTAAGGCCAGAAGTTTGAAACCAGCCTGGCCAACATGGTGAAACCCTGCCTCTACTAAAAATTAGCCAGGCTTGGTGGCATATGCCTGTAATCCCAGCTACATCAGGAGGCCAAGGCACAAAAATTGCTTGAACCCAGGAGGCGGAGGTTTCAATCAGCTGGGATCCTGCCACTGCAGTCCAGCCTGGGTGATGACAGAGTGAGACTCTGTCTCAAAAAAAAAAATTGTTTATAGGGAGAACAAGTAAATGGATGCATGTCCACTGTTAACAAACCTATTTCCCCATCATTGTCCATCTGAGGTATGCTTTATGAAACTTTATGGAACACCAAATATTTGCTGGGCAGTATCTTATTAACCTTTAGACCATTCTCAGGAATCTTCCCTAACTTTGGTGCTGGCATGTGACTTCACAGTGAAAGAAAATAAAATTTAGAGAGGTTGAGTCACAGAAGAAGAACATAGGAAAGCTTGGAGTAAAACCTCAGCCCCTGCTCCTTCTGCTACTCTATCTTGCCTCAAAGGCAAAAATACAATAAAAATAAAATACTTCATTTTACTCTTTACCATTTCAGATTTACCATTACAATGCTGACCTCTCAAACGATACCCCGAAGTGGCCCTCAGATGGTTAGTGGGAAGATTAACAGGAAAACATATTCTTTCAATATGATAAGCTAAGCATTTTTTTTCTAGATGATTACACACGATCACACAAATTTACTAAAAAGGGACTTTGTCCATGTTGTGGGGATCAGAGAAGCATTCCTGAAGGAAGTGACACCTGAGCTTCATCTTAAAAAGCCAAGTAAGAAATAACCAGGCAGATGGATGGAGGAAGAACATTCCAGAAAGAAAGACTAGGTACAGTCTGCGATAAATGCTGATGACTTCACCATACAGAAACTTTAAAGGTCTCTAGTATGGCTTTTGTGTATTTTTGCTGAATTTTTAACTTGTGTAGAGGGCTTGTGTCAGCAGTGAATAATTCAATCAGGTCCCAATACGGACACTAGAAGGAAGTCCATCTAGATGGCCATGCCATCATTGCCATTATCCCTTCATTTTCTTAAAGAACCTCCCTGCAATGGACTGATAACTTCTATGTGATGAGTTAGGGCTTTCAGGACACTGTGGTCCATTTCAGGGCCGAGGAAGTCATTTTCTAAACAGCACTGTGGTACACTATAGTCACAGGACCGAGCGTGACCACCTCAAAGGGAGAGCCACGAAAGAAATTTCCATCTCCTGCTCTCAAATCTCATTGCTAATGCCCTGTCCCGTTGTCACCTGCTGAATAATTTTGTGTTTCTATGAACCACCCAGATTCTGTCAAACATCGCACAAAAGTCTCTCTGTATACAACAAAGTGACATGACTCAAGCTCTTATTAGAAATTATTTTCAATCACTCCCATTCTGGGAAATTAAGTCTGGCATTTTCTAATGTATTTTATCTCTTCCTAAAGAGACAGTCTCCTTTCATTTTAGTAAGTCATAAACTTTGATGCCAGAATGCCTCCTTGATAGCTCTAGAAATAGAAGTTTTAATACCCAGGGGGGAAAGGAGAGTTAGCAGGGAGGTTGGAAGAGCTAACACATCAACATCACAAGATCTGGGCTTGTATTGTGGTTCTACCAATTACTAGCTCTGTGACTTGGGCACATTAATAAATTTCTCTGGACTTCAATTAACTCATCCTTAAAAAGCAAGATTATTATGAAACGTGGAAAAAAATATGTCAAGGACCTGGCCCACAACGGCCCTCTCAGTAAATGGTAACTATAATCTACACCTCAATTCATTTTTAAATTAACTTTTAAGATTCCCCCACTTGCACATATAAAGTCCAAATTAGCAAATGAGAGACAGAAATAGTTTTAAAGATGCTGATAAAAGGCATCAAATAACATATTAAATTTCTTAGTGTTCCAACACTGTCTTTGGCCAGTTCCTCAGAAGTAGACCCAGAGTGGAGTGTTCATGGCAAGTGATTTATTAAGGAGGGGCTCCCAGGAGAGGGGAACAGGGAGGGGAGGAAGAAGCCAGGCAAGATTGCAACTTCAGGTGAAATCTCAGCCTCAGCCTGATTCTACAGAGAGCTGTGGTGTGTAAATTATACCACAGATCCTGCAGAGAACTTGTAAATTATACCACAGAGTTTGCCCAGTCTTAAGACAAGAGGGTGACCTTTCATACTCCTTCACCACTCATCAGCAAAACCTGGCAAAGGGTTGAGGGAAGGGAGTGGAAGGCACTTAACTCCCAGCTGCTTCCAGCTGTGTGTTTGTGTGTGTGTGTGTGTGTGTGTGTGTGTGTGTGTGTGTGTTCTCATGCACATGCCAGGAGTGGGGAGGAGCTCCACTAGCTCAAGTCCAGCCCTCTGAACAAGGTTCCAGGTGCGTGACCCTCAGAAGCAAACATATGCAGAAGCCAGGGTGAGCACACAAGGCCAGTAAAGGGAGTCAGAGGGTACCTGAGCAGAGCACTGACGACAGTTGCAATATGAATCAAGAAAATGCTGTGGAAACGTGTCTGTGTCACCTCTTCCTTTAGCTCACAGGAGTTTGCTCATCACCAAATGATATGCATTTAACTGTAAATCAAGTCATTTTTCCCTTTGGTGATTTATAAAGGAATAAGTTTGCAATCAATACTTCCTGACAGTATAAAATTCAATTTTGAAGGTTTGCCTTCAGGCATCAAAAAATGAGCTCCTCAACCCACTACTGTTGTGGTTTTCTGCTGAAGAACGTTGTGCTGGTCCCTAATGGAGGGCACAGACCCTGCTCAGACTGAAGTCATGGGAAAGAGCACTGGCTAACTCCTTAAAAACCAAGAGAAACACTGGCAGCAATAAGTCCTTGGCTCTTTCATATGTGCATATTCATTTAACCAACAACACCACTCTGAGATTTCTGGGATGCTGTTTGAATTGAATTGTATCGTCAATGCATTTGGTTAACACAGATCTATAGTACAGAGATTCAAGACTCTGCCTTATTCAAATAAATTCTTGTCATTTAAAAAATAGAATTTCTTATGCCTCTACATCTTTATCTATAGAAAGGAAATCTGGCTTAACTTCAGGTGATCATTCAGGGACTCAATGGAGACAGCCAATTGGGTAGGTAGATTGGGTCATAAGATTTTAGGATTAACTAATGTACTATTATGAATGATTATAGAAATGTGAGATATCAGAATATTTTTAAGTAACACATGCAATTAATTTGTTAGGGTAGTAAGTAGTTCCATACACTGCCTTTTAAAATTTTTTCAATAATGTTTATAATTTGACCACGTACAATTTAAGGCAATTACGTCAACACATCTGGAAGACTAGAACTGGAAGAGCAGAGTACACCCTACGACAAAGATCCTCTCCTTGACCAACCTCTGCTTGGGCTCCCCTGAACTCTTTCTCAAGTAGGCCTGACTTTTGGACTTCCACGTTCGTCTGCCTTGGATTGGTAAGAATCCTATTAAGTTGGTTAAGCCAAAATCTTCCATATCTGATTGTCCTCCACATCTAATCAGGTTCCTCATCCTCTACTGTCCCGCAGGGGATGTCTATCACCCTGGCCTGCCCTCAGAACCAGTCCTGTTACATTGGTTTATCCAGGATCCCCCCTTACCCCTGATGTTTCCTCTTAGTAATTTCCCATCCACTGCCACCCACCCTGCTTCTTGGCTATGAATTCCCACATGTCCATGCTGTATGCAGAGTTGAGCCCAGTTCCATACTGAGCTCTCTTTTTCCATATTGCAATAGTCCTGAGCTCTGGTTTTCTTTGACACCTACAAACACTGAATAACCAGATACGTCAAAACAAAAGTCATGATGAATTTCTGGGGGTCCCAACAGAGAGATCATATTGATGATTAATGGGCACCTTAAGTTTTTGCACCTAGATATGATGTCCATTTTTAAATAAGTGAATAATAAGTAACTACAGTACCTGCCACCAAGGGTCAGGGGATGTTTTCCATCTCAGGGGTTCAGAGGACACTGCAGTAGCTCAAGAGATGAAAGAAAAACCCCTGCGGAGGGAGGGGCTTGGCAAGGGGAGAGGATTTAGCCTAGGAATGACTGAGTGTCTTCCACAAACAAAATTCTCAACAATTACTACAGTTACAAAATAGCTACAATGAACTATCATTTTAAGGTGAAACATTTGCTACAATCAGTGCTAAAGTGATTGAACTAAGCTACTTAGACTTGGCATTTCCTACACTTGGCATATTTGAATTCTGAAAATTCTGAATCTGATTAGACTTCTTTTCTGTTTTTCCTTGCATTGTTTTGTAATTGAAAATTGTTGAAATTGGTAAGAATCTGTTCTGTAGTGTAAGATTCTGGCTAGAGAGGGAACTGAGAAGTCAAAGCAAACTTAACATTATTGATTTTTGAGAGCCCATGCCAATGAATGGGATTATCCAAGACTATAGCCCTTATTTTCCATTCTTAGGTTTCCATTATGCAAGTCTGTACACAGCAGATCCATCTTTTCAAACATGCTGGTTTTCTGGTAATATCTGAGTTAGTGTCTCTGAGTTTGCTAACCCATAAGCATTTTAGGTGATGGGAAATAAATCAGACTAGAATAAATATGTACTATTGAGCAATTTGTAAAGAGAAAGAGCTATATGACAGTAATGAAGAATTAAGAAGAATCGAATTCCCAGATATTTGGGGGAAAAGAGGTAGAAGACACTGTTTCACAACATGCAGGACCAGAGGAGAGAGAGACGTAGTATGGGGAAATATGTGGGAAGAAGATAGGAGATCCCAAAAGGTGACAGCCAATCAACTATTTTCCAAAATATAGAGAGATTAAGAAGGGGAGATGAAGCACTGTGACACTCAGTCATTCCTAGGCTAAATGTGTGAGACAGAAAACCATATTTTAGGAGATTTGGATAATTAGATCTCCACTATCACCATCACCAATGGTGATTCAAGAAAGATTAATTCAGACAAAGACGGCAAAGTACTATTAATAATTTGTCAGGAGGACAATAAACAGAAAAATCAAGTGCTCTTTTCTCTCTGCAAATACATGGCCTCAAAAATCTTGAGTCTTAAAATCTTAGTTTCATCCTTATCTTTTCAGCCAAAAGGAATGCTATGCAAAAAGCATGGATGGGTTCTACTTAATGTTTAACCATTGTGAGGAGGAAAAATAAAATTCTCACAATGTCTTTGTTCACTCTGAAAATGCATCAGCTGAGTTTTCAGTGTCATTTTTCTCCCAATAGCAACTAAGATCTCAAGAAGAGAAAATTTTACTCAAATTATATTAGCCTTGCAATTAATGATATAATATCCCAGGCCTTAGAGTAGATTAGACTGTATAAAAGGAATCAGGCTGAAGATGAGAAGAATTTCAAGAAAAAGTCAAGACATAAGTCAAAGTCTGGGTCCTATCCCTTTCTAGTCTCAAGTGGCCATGGCCATGTGATGGGTAACAATTACAACATGCCAGGAGTGTACACTATGACCCAGGGGAACCGCAGACACCTAGAAACCTCAAGCCATCATTCTGGGATGAGTGCAGGTGTTTTCTGTATATTGAATACATGTGGGTCTTGTGTGTATGTGTGTGTCGAACGTGTGTTTTAAAAGTGTGTGTGTTGAATGTGTGCATATTATGTGTTGTGTGTGTGTTGTATGTGGTGAATGTGCATGTTATGTATGTATCTGTGTGTTGAATGTATGTATTAAAAGTGTGTTGAATGTGTGTGGTTTGTGTGCATTGAATGTGTGTATGTTGTGTGTATGTGTGTGTTTTATGTGTGTGTGTTTGTGTGTTGAGTGTGTGTATGTGTGTTGAGGGGTGGATTCTCCTCTCAAAATGAAGCTGATCATGACCCTGAAGTGAAGTTTCCTCCATACTCTTGTATGAGGAACTCTCCCCGCATGAGATATCTTTCCCTTCAGTCATGCTTCAGTATAAGAAATTAATTTAATACATCATTACATCAGTGCTGCCCACATTTAATCTCTCTCCATACACTTTCACAATTTCTGTCGTATCCAAGTACCTTGGATAAGACAAGTACTCCTCACTCTGAATAAAAAAACAAAACAACAACAACAACAACAAAACTCCTAAATGCTGCAAGTCCCTCAGTGAGCTGCATTTCCATCCCTCTCTGCTCTCCTCCCCAGGCCCCCACTCTGCTCTGGCCACCTTAGTCTTGCACCCACTCTTCCTCTGTCTAGATCACTCTTCCCCAGGACATCAGCGAGCTCCCTCCCTCACTTTCTCTCACTCTTGGCCCCAGTGTCATCGTAGCAGAGCAGCTTTTCTTAACTATTTAAACACAGCAAAGCCCTCTTGCCCTGCTTCACTTTCAGTCATAGCATTTGCCATCACCTGTAGATTTCTCTATATTTCTTTCTCTGTTTTTCTCTCTCCCCTCCCATAAACTTTAATAAACTCCATGAGGTGGAAAGCTTGTTCTGTTCAGTTTTAAATTTGCAGTGCACTGGATAGTCCTACCCAATAGTCTTTTTAAAATTTAAGTTGAAATGAAATTGTTTAAACCATATTTTTTAATTTTTTCTATTATATTAATTTAGTCTCATCCTAAACAATAATATGATGAAACCAACAGTATGATGTAATAGGTATATTTTTTCTAATGAACACTAAAATAAATAGATAACAGAATTACCAAAATTTAAAATGTTAGTCCCTGAGCACCTCCTAAAACTCTCTTGTTACCACAGATCTTAAGTGTCCCCAGCTTTGAGAAACATAGCATTACCCAGGGGCAAGACAATACTAGTCACGTATGACACGCTCAAGCAGTGAACATGGCATGGAAATAAGTTGTGTTGTGGAGTCTTCTTACAAGTCTTAGTTTCACAGCAGAAAACACTGAAGCTGGAGTCATGAGACCTGGCTTCTGCCCCTGGATTGGCCACAAACCAGGTAACCCTCAGGCAAGTCGCTCAAGTTCTCTGGGCCCACCATCCTCATCTATAAAATAAAGGCTGCAAGTGATTTCTCACCTGCTGCTAGCTCTCACTGTCTTTGATGCTACCACCAGCCACAAAATGCAAAAGGGAATCCTGAAAGCATTTAGGCTCATTATACTCTTTTTTATTTATTGTTTTTCAATTTTTGTGGGCATATAGTGGGTGTACATATTTATGGGGTACATGAGATGTTTTGATACAGGCATGCAATGTGAAATAAGCACATCATGAAGAATGGGGTATTTATCCCCTCAAGCATTTATCCGTTGAGTTGCAAACAATCCAATTAAACTCTTTAAATTATTTTAAAAGCTACAATTATTATTGACTATAGTCACTCTGTTGTGCGATCAGACAGTAGGTCTTATTCATTCTTTCTGGTGTTTTTGTACTCATTAACCATCCTCACAACCTCCGCATCCCTCACTACCCTTCCCAGCCTCTGGTCACCTTCTACTGTCTGTGTCCATGAGTTCAATTGTTTTGGCTTTTATATTCTACAAATAAGTGAGAATATGCTATGTTTGTCTTTCTGTGCCTGGCTTATTTAACTTAACATAATGACCCCAGTTCCATCCATGTTGGTGCAAATGACTGAATCTCATTCCTTTTTATGGCTGAATAGTACTCTATTGTGTACAAGCACCACAGTTTCTTTATCCATTCATCTGCTGATGGACACAAGTTGCTTTCAAATCTTAGCTATTGTGAACAGTGCTGCAACAAACATAGGAGTGTGGATATCTCTTCCGTATACTGATTTCCTTTCTTTTGGGTAAATACCCAGCAGTAGGATTGCTGGATCACATGGTAGCTCAATTTTTAGTTTTTGAAGAACTTCCAAACTGTTCTCCATAGTGGCTGTACTAATTTGCATTCCCACCAACTATACTCTTATAATAAAATAATATTTTTGATATAGTGATCCTATTAACTGTAACTTTTTTTCTATAATCCTATGACCCTCCCTAGTGTAGGCAGCTGGATCCCAAGCACCCAATCATTGCCTCAAGGAAGAGTCATCAAGACAGAACTATAATGAAAGAGCTGAAATTCTTGGCCAAGGCCAGAAAGCTCTCCTTTAAAAAAAAATTAATGAAATAAAAACAGAAGAAATGATTGGATTAGAAAAACACCTCTGCAACCCTTAGAAATTAAGTAGCTTTTAGGAAAGTATGCTAAGCCCAGTAGGTTCAAGTTTTAGGAGGAGAGGATATTTGCTAGATGTCAAATTATCACCCTACAAACCAGCTATGAATTCCAAAGGGAAAAACTTGTATTTATAAAGAAAAGATCTGGTATCTGGTGGTCACTATCTTCAAAAGGTGATCCAACTTCCACTGATAGTGTAACAACCTGACACAATGTGATTCCAGATGTGACACAGATGAAGTGCACATCATCTTCTGTGATGTTTTCTTCCCAAAACCTCTCACCTGAATCTGACCAAACCTTTAGAAATAAGTTCCAGTTTATAGGAAATAGAGAGGATAAATGGCAAGTTGAAGAATACCAAAGAAAACAATCACACAGAGACAGAATGAGGGACATTCTACAGGACAACTGCCTAGTCTCTTCAAATAGCCAGTGTAAGGCAGGGAAAAAGAGAAGCCATGTTCTAGACTGCAAGGGACCAAAGAAACTCAATAAAAAAAAAAAAATGCAACGCATGAACTTTGAATTGATCTTGGTTTGATATATAAGTAACTATAAAAGGCATTTTTAAATCACTGGGGAAATTTGAAGATAGTCTAGGTAATATCTGTTATTACAGGGTTATCTTAATTTCCTTGAGCACAATGGTAATGGTATTGTGGCTGTGGTTTTAGGACACTGTGTCCTCAGTTTTAGGAAAAACATGCTGGAAATTTGGGAGTGAAGGAACATGATACTGTCAATGTATTTTTCAATAACAAGATGTTAAGCAGAAGTTGAATCTAGGTGTTGAGTGTATGAATATTCATTGTTAGTATTCTTTCAGCTTTTATTCATATTGAAAATTTTACAGTAAAAAGCTGGAGGGAAAAAAAAAACCAAGATCCACATATATGATGAAAAGTATGTGGAAGAAGATGAAATCAGAAAAAATCATTTTTCATGTTCTTCCTGTCCCCATAGGAAATAGGAAGAGAGTCAGTGAGGGGAAAAATGGTTAGATACAGGCAGGAAGAGTCTATAACCTGTCCCCAGGTCAAGTATGAGGGTTAAGGAAACACAGAGCCCTGACTCAGACTTAGAGTTTCAAAAAGAAGAATCCTGAGGACCCCTTTCTTGGAAGACGAGAGAAGTTGTCCAGAAGTCAGAGCAATCCCAAGCCTGTAATGGCACAAGAGTAATAAAGTAGGGGAATAGTATGTCTCTGCATAGTATGTCTACGCAGAGACAGTGGGGGCCAGTCTCAGTATTTTCCATGTCCCCAAAGCTGCAAAGACACCCTTGCGGAGACACATATGAAGGTGGCAGAACTTGGTTAGGAACACAAGATGGTACACCTATGACTTGAATAGAGTGGTGGCCAAGGACAACTGGGAAGATGGACAGCCACCAGCATACAGAAATTACCACCAAGGCCACACTGTGGCACTTTATTGAACTTGCAGCACACTCTCCACTATTTCCCAGAAAGGCAAATGCAACCTGAGTAAGGGAGAGGAAAGTGAGAGACCTGAAGTGACAGAGAAAGTGTGGAATTTTTTGTGATTACCCACCATTGTCTGAGATTACCCAGAGTGGTAGGAGATTAATTTTCTGCTACTCAGTACAGAAAGGGCTAAAAGGGTATACTTCATTGAACAATAGAAAAATAAAGTCACATGGCTCACAGGTTGTGCCTGAGATAGGTGTCTGCTCATTCTCAATCCAATCCTAGACATTTTACTGATTAATCCACCCTCTGCCATGACATCACAGGAAAACGAAGATATAATGTGAGGGATAAACGATTACATAATATGCACATAAATCTACCTCTAAAATCACCTTGCACTTGTCCTCACTCATAGAGGAAAGGCTACAAGTAAATAACACAGAAATTATGTCTTTTGGGCTATGGAATGCATGTCATTTCAATATAGAAACATCTAATGTTTCAAGGATTTACTTCAAACAAAATGACAAAGCCATGCTATGAAGTCTGACTTAAAAGATCAAGAAACAGCCCACATGTTGAGCTGCTCCCTGACATCCACACCATTCCAGGAAGAGATGGCTAAGGCAGGGCTGCCTCTCTTTGCTCTCAAGCTGGAATGTCAAAGGTACCCTTGTTTATTAGTCTGTTCTCATGCTGCTAATAAAGACATACCCAAGACTGGGTAGTTTATAAAGGAAACAGGTTTAACGGACCCACAGTTGCACAGGGCTGAGGTCTCACAATTGTGGTGGAAGATGAAGGAAGAGCAAAGAGACTTCTTACATGACAGTGTGCAAGAGAGAGCTTGTGTAGGGGAACTGCTCTTTATAAAAAAAAAACCTCAGATCGTGTGAGACTTATTCACTATCACGAGAACAGCATGGGACAGACCCACCCCCATGATTCAATTGCCTCCCATCAGGTCCCTTTCAAGACACATGAGAATTATGGGAGATGCAATTCAAGATGATATTTGGGTGGGGACATAGCCAAACCATATCACTCTGACAAGATGCATGCTACCTGCAAATTAACAGTAAACAGATTCACTGGGAATGCCAACTAAATAGAAAATACCTTCTATTGATAACTTAGAGGCAATATTTTCTGGAGATGACCGCACATTTGAAGGTATAGTCAGGGATATTTAGTGTTGGCTCCAGATGCAGTATTTCATATGTCAACAGTAAAGAGACTGTGGCTACACAATAGAGAAAAAGATTACATCATTACACACCATAATAATAAAGGATCTCACCAGAAGTGCAGGGCAGACTTTTGTAGTGAGTGTGTGATTGTATATAATGGTTTTGTAACAAGGTGGTAGATATTAAAGCTGGAGGGGAGGCTCAGATGATTCTCTGTCCTGTACTATTATAATATTTCTGGTCTTTATGCAATTTTCATTTACAGGCAATCCAGGAAGCAAGTGCAGGAAAGGCTCAGTTGGGTGGTTGACTATACTCAAGTCTTGCCAGGACTTCTAAAGTTGACAACCACAACCATAAATAGAAACACCACTTCATTCTCAACATTCTCCCTCCCCACAGCACCCTCACCCCTTAAGTCACCTCCCCCTTCCTTCCTTACACTGTCGCTGAAGACAGAGATGACTCTTCTGCTTCAATCCAGGATATTAATGTCTACAAAAGACTTAAAGAATTGAAATAGAGATCAGGTCACTAGCTCACTGGCTCATTCTCTCTCTCATTCTCTTTGTCCTCAGGCCACTAAAGTTCCCAGATGATCACAGAAAAGGCCAATGTGTTTCTGCTTTTGCTGACGCTTTGATAAAAACAAAGGTCTTCCACCACTGTTAGCCTGTCCAAGCCTTGGCTTTCTCACAGAAAATGCAGGGTCTGTGGTTATAATAATATAAATGACAATCTATTGCATAAGGAAGAATTTAATTTCTTGACAATCCCTCTTTTCCTTTCTAGCAGGCTGTACATACATCAGAATTAAGGCCTATTTTTTAAAATAAATCACTTTAGCAGTTATAATCCTTTCTGTACAAAAGGGAAACACATTAGAAGTTTCCATGAGGTCGTGTTTTTAGATCTAAGCTAGTGGGTGTTGGGGGGTCCCATCCCCCTCCCATTCCTGCCCTTTCCACCTCTTTACTTTGGAAAATATTTCTCCCCTGAAAAACTGCTAAAACCTACATACCAAATCAATCAATCAATGAAACAAGTTTTTATAAACCCCAAAATAATTTAAAGTGATGAATTCTTCAGAGGACAATAAAATTAAGAATTTGCAATAATTCACACATAGTGTATTAAAGGGCTGAAGGGCTTAAAAGAAGCACACATATCAGCACATTTGTATTCATGATACATACCCATAAAGTAGATACACATTGTAATTACAATTTTTTTCTATAGACTCAACTAATAAACCTGGAAACACTAATATTCACTGTTTACATTTGCGACATTTTTCTGCATTCCAGATTCAATATGAATTCAACAAGAATCACCCTATAATATTTTCTTTAATAATGTATTACTAAAACATAAATCTGAAAAGTAACTACCTCTTAGAGAATTAGTTTAAAGAGACAGATACTAAACTAAGCACTGATTTAATTCTTATAATCACCTGAAGAGATGAGTATTATTCCCTCAATTTACCAAAGAGGAATTAAGATTTAGAGTTTAACAATTTGCCCAAAATGATGACCAGCAGGCGGGAGATCTGGGATTTAAACTCAAGCATGTTTGATTCATATGTCTTCAATATTACTTTCCTATATGTTCCTTGGGTTGAAGACTCAGGAGTTAACAACTTACAAACATGAAGGATGTGCATTATTCAAACAGGCTGTCTTCTGAAGTGCCACGTGACAATTCTGCTGATTTAGAGCTAAATGTATTCCCATAGTCATTTAGTATTCTTGCTCAAAATAAAGTAAGATAAAATCAAAGCATATGTTAGAATTTAAGCCAAGTTATTATCTGTCTTCTTCATAAATTCTGAAAAGCTTTTCCACCAAAATCAGATGTTAGGAATGAGATGGAAGAAAAACAAGAGAGGAAAAAATATAAAATTAGAAAGCAAAGACATGCAGGACAAAATGACAGGGAAAACAACGAAAGGTAAAAGAGAAGTGAAGGGGGAAAAGAAGAAGAAAACCAGAAGATTTTCAGATTTTGAAAGTCCTGTCTGAAATAGGCCATAAGCTATGTGAGGAGGTCAAAGCAAATTCCCCCCAAGGTTAATGGAAGACCAAAGAAGTGGTAACAATATTTCCTGACCTTTAAGTACAAAATCTAATTTTTTATAGGCTCTTTCACCTTTAGTGAAAATACTAGCATGGAAAGTCCCAAACAATATTGCATGCACTTTCTACATTACAGGAAAACAAGAGCTCTCACATGAATCATGCTGCGGTTGTGGGAATTCCCAGGTAAAACCAGCAATTAAAAGGTAGAGTGCATCCACCTACAAGGCTAAAGGCAGAGATGCCGATTCTTTTGCTTCCTGTCTGGGCTACTCTAGCCAATTCTTAGAAGTCTGACACACATTTTCAATATGTTGTAAAGAATAAGCATCTTCTGCTCTCAGATAGACAGAAGCCAAATGTTGGCAGGGAAAGAAGTAAGAGACTTTAAAAAGTAGATCCTCACCTCACAAACACACGGGAAAAGCTTTCTATAGCATCGCCAAACAACAGAAAAGGAACACTTGGACTAATTCTTTTCTCTAGATTCATTTTCATTTTGTTACCTTACTCAATGACTCTTTCAACTGAATGTCTTTTCTGAAATTTCTGAGGACTTGGTTGATATTGACAAATTTTGTTGCCTCTTAAGAGAGTGCTGAGATAGACTTTGAACTCCACTTGAAGCTGGGAGGAGAGTAGTTTAACAAAGGGTTTCTGTGAAAACTTATTTCTCTGATACTATTTTGTGTGGTTTATATTCCCATGCTATAAGAAAGAACTGGCAAAGTTCATTACTTGTTTCACAAAGAAAGAGTTAATTACTGAGATTTTCAAAATTTCTCTTTTGCTTTATTAGTGGCTTTCTGATACAAGAAATTTAAAATATTATTATTCATCTCTATGAAAATGTCACACTAGAATTTATTCAAATATCTTTATTCTATACGTCTCTGAAAAAGAGAGGACTACTTCATACCAAAGTTTAATAAAATAATTACAAAAAGGCCGGGTGCGGTGGCTCACGCCTATAATCCAAACACTTTGGGAGGCTGAGGCGGGTGGATCACCTGAGGTCGGGAGTTTGAGACTAGCCTGACCAACATGGAGAAACCCCATCTCTAATAAAAATACAAAATTAGCCGGGCGTGGTAGCGCACGCCTGTAATCCCAGCTACTCAGGAGGCTAAGACAGGAGAATCACTTGAAGCTGGGCGGCAGAGGTTGTGGTGAGCCGAGATCATGCCACTGCACTCCAGCCTGGGCAACAAGAGTGAAACTCTGTCTCAATAATAATAATAATAATAATAATTACAAAAAGACTAAAGGGCTAAGTTTAAAAAATACATAGAGTAAAAAACTAGTGAAATAAATATTTAGAAATATGTTTACCACCTTAGAGCAGGAAAGATCTTCCTAAGCAAGACACAACTTAAATGGAAAAGATGGACAGATTTGCTTTTATAAAAAGGTAAATCTCTTTGGTTACCAAAAGACACTATCAAAAAGTCAAAAGACTAGAAGAAAATATGAGCCACAAATATCATGAATAAATAAATATATATATATAATTGGCAAAGTATATCTATAACTCAACAATAAAAATAAACATTACTCTTATTTTTCACATGATAAAGATATTTACATTCATTATTAATCAATGTATCATTTAAACTCAAATAGCCAAAAGATTGATAATATTCAGTATAGATCAGAGTAAGAAATGAAAGGGTATCCTTACATACTGTTAGTGGGAGACTAAATTGGAAAGGCATTTATGCAAGGTAATCTATTCACATTTAAACATATATATCTTTCCTCCTAGCAATACATTTCCAAGTATCTATCTTTATACAGAAGATATTATTTGAAAATTACTTGAAATAATTTTCTGAAAACTTGGTAAAAACATAAATGTCCATTAAAAGAAGAAAAGTCAAATAAATCATAATTTGTCAATAATATTAACAACATTACATATTTATAGAGCAATTACTAAGTGTCAGAAACATTCCCAAGTGGTTTATATATATAAGCTCAGTTTGTCTTCATAACAACCCTATGGGTTAGGTATTAGTATTGTCCCATTACAGACGGAAATACCGAGGCAAGAGAGGATGAGATATTTGCTCAAAGTCACATAGCTCGTAAGAGGCAGAGCCAGGTTTCAGATCCAAGTAGCCTGATATCAGACAACTGGGAAATACTATTAAATGGAATGTAGTAGATAGCTAGGTACTGATAAAGAAAAATCCGCAAGGCAAATTGTTACCCCCAAAAAATGCAGAACAAGACTGGTATTATAATTTCCTTATGGAATCAAAAATGAAGCCATATATTTGATTGTTTACATACTATATGCACCCTATACAGTTAAAGAAAGTTATTTCTAGGAGTGGAAATGGTCATGCAGAAGAAGGTGATGGGAACATCCATTTTTATGTTTAGGTATTTCTAAACTCCTTGAAATTTTGAAAAACAAGAGTGCATTCAATTGTTACCATTCTAATTTTTCGACGGCATTTTTCTTTAAAAAAAAGAAGAAGGAAGAGGGTGCATATGGAAAACAGTTTGTCCTTACAGATGTTTCTACAACTGTGTTTCTGGCTTTTGGTCACATTTTTTCCTCTTAAAAGTTGATCCAAATATCTGTTAAACTCAACCTCTTAAATTTCCCAGAATTGTTTTCAGCTCATATAAAAGGCTTTAACCTTCAACCTCTTTAGCTTTGGCCCCGCTATGTTTATGACTATTTTTAAATAGGCAGATTTTTGGTTGCTATTGAAAGACACTCAGAGATCATTTATAAGAGCAGAAAGTTGAACTGTGGGCCTTCAGTCTGGACTTAGGAAAACCCAGATCTGCATCCCAAGGCAGGGTAGCTTTCCAGCCTTTACTAGTTGGAAACCTCCAACACTTAAGTAGGACAAATGAATGTGGATAGGGGAGTTTACATACAAGAATCAGAGGCTGCAGAGGAAATCTGTGCAGTCTATTAGCACTGAATGAGAAGAAAGCTTCCTCTTCTAGTCTCTTCTACAGAGATTTCTTAGGGTCATTT
The DNA here is from genome assembly GCF_000001405.40 of Homo sapiens. Classification (NCBI taxonomy): domain Eukaryota; kingdom Metazoa; phylum Chordata; class Mammalia; order Primates; family Hominidae; genus Homo; species Homo sapiens. The sequence goes on along the minus strand of NC_000009.12, from coordinate 84,756,635 downwards.
AGATATTTCACTCTTGAGTGACAAAGGCTGCATTAGTACTTAGGAATTAGATATCATATGTGGACTTCCATCAGGAAATGTAAATAACACAAAACTGATAGCCGAAACTATCCTCCAGCAGGGTGATGAATGCCAAGCTCCCTCCTCCCTGCTGGCTCCCTTATATTTTTTGCAACCCTGTACACCATCAATGCCACAGGCAGGGCTCCCAATGTGGAGCACCCTTTGAAGACTTGGCAGCTCTGGTGCTCCTCAATGCTTCCATTTTCCCCTCACATGCACTCCTACGTCTTCAGTGAAGACACGGAGCCAGGAAGCAATGCGAGAGCTAAACACAAGACTTGGTTACAACACAAGGAGAGCATTCAAAGGCATGGTTGCCTATTCCTTTGGCAATGGAGCTGTTCTGGAAAATTCTTTCAGCCCTACTTCAGTGAAAACTAAAATTAAAACAAACCAGAGGCAGCCTTAGAAGAAAAGGGATAATATTATGCATTTTCATATAGGGATATTGATACCGACATAGATTTAGACAGATTTGGTATACATTTTATTCATACATATTAAACATATGTATGAATAAGCCCTACATAGATGGCCAACACTAACAGAAGGGCATTATTTGGCTTCTGCAATTATGGTAGCTACATATCAACCAAAAAAGCAATAGGACAGTGTAAAGGCACAGAAATAAACAAGGAAAAACTGACTGGGAGATATTCTACCCCTTGACATCTTTATGGAAACAGGGCCGGGAGCCTATTGGACACTAGCAGCAAGAAGCTTAAACTCTATCAAGCAAGAATAAAACATAAATTCTAGGTTTACCACAAGATAAAATCCCCAATCTAGCACTTTTGCCAACTTCAGAACTGAAAAAACAACATATTCCAAAACGATACATTCAAAGGTAGGGAGGTAGAAATTGAAGATGTTCACATGCAAAATAAAAAGTCAAAGTGAATCCTCCAAACTTAAACAATGACGATTGTTGAAAACAGTGTGTGAAAACCTACATACCCTGAGACAAAACCGGGACAAACTGATCTCTTATCTATGGCCATGACTCATATGGAATAACCAAAAAAAAAAAAAAAAAAAAAAAAAAAAGAGGTGGGACTTTGTCTCTTTTAGAAACTTAGAAAAGTCTCAGGTTCTCTCTTTAGTCACTCACTGTTTAGCCATCCTCCAAATACTAACTGTTTTCCAATTACCGAACTTAGGTGGACGGAGTTGAAAATCTTCTCTGATCATTCTGTCGTTAATATGTATTGAGCGCCAACTCTGGGCTAGGCACTCAGTAGATAAAGATGAACACCACAAATATGAATGCTGTTACCATGGAGCTCAAAGTCTGTGCTGCCTGTTCTGGAGTGGACCATCAGCATTTGGTTTACGATGAATCCACAGAACAAGGAACAAAACCCGACGAAGCTTACAGACCTGCAGACCCATCTTCAAAGACAACACTGCAATTCACTGGTTGCATTTACAAATCCAAGTTTCACTCACTAGTTTGGAATTTAGAAATCACCTCCCCATGGGAGCAATACCATAAGTAATGTTTGCAGGAGTAAGGGGTGGATCTCAGGCCAATCCATAAAGCTTGTGTTGCCCTGCACTCAGCTGTAGTGTGGTGACCTTAAGAGGTTTCTGGGGTTTGTTTCTCTGGGCCCTTCATATCAGCAGCATTGAACTGTCATTTATATTCTCGAGTTTTCCATTACAGATTGAAACAGTCAACACTCGAAATAAACCACGCATTGCTAGGGATGGGCAAAAAGCTGTGAGTGCCTATGGGTGAGCTGGCCACCTTCCTCCTGTCCCATCTGCCTCCAGCAAAAGAGAATAAGGATGAGCTTAGACCCTCCCCAAAGATGCTTAGGAAGGGAGGAATAACATTCTGAACAGCTCATCTGCACAGCAGCCACAAGCCTTTCACATGGTGCCTAGTCCTGGCCAAAGCTATGCACAGTTCATACCGTTGTTACTAAGAAACCACAACTAATACATTGCCTGGTTATTTTCGGAAGCATAATAGTGTTTTTACATTTTCTTCCCTTTTTTAAGCATATGTTTTTCAGTGGTAATCTCAGCTCTAATAGCATTTAAAATACACTGACTCACATTAATGTTTAAATACCACGTTTTAAGCAGTTTCATCTGCACTTGATACATGAACCATATCTTAATTTCTAGATCCCCAAAGATTTATCAACTCGACATCTGACTTGCAAAACAATAACCCTAGATCAGGCTCTTTTTATTCACATCATGCCCCAGATAGACATGTAGCTTAAAATAGAACAGTAAGCTATTCTAAAAAAAAAAAAGTCTCTGAGACAAAATTTCTAAAAATGATTTTATTTGTGTGTAGGAATGAGGGAACAAAACATACAATATGTATAGTAGTTACTGCTGTAGGAAGCCATTTACTGGCTCTGTGGCAGGGTTAAGCACACTCTTTCTTATAATTCATTAAGGATGCCCTCAGGTTATACTCAGAAAACGTAGACGCTTTAGTGGTAATCACCCCAAATTATCTAAATGAAATACTGTTTCAGCGTTAGTGCTGGAGTCTCAATATGCAACATAATTTTCTTCTCTGAAAGAAAATGTCTACGCTTTTTCTCCTCCATTGCCACATTGTAAGGAGTAGGTTGCCATTTACTGGTAATTCTGCCAGTGATTTTCCTAAACCAAGGGTGGGAAGAAGTTCCTAAATTTTGCTCCATGGATTCCCACTTAGCTTTTGCTGAGATCCCAGAAGAACCTGGGTATATCCTCTCTCCAAAAAGCTCATGGGATGAAATATTTCAAACTAAACCCTTCAAGACCAGAAACTCTAATGTTAGTTGGTAGCCTCCAGTGAAATCTATGTTTAGAGACATCCAGTCCAAGTGCCTCTAAGGAAGGAAAGCACCTGATAAACATGAGAACCGCCAAATGCCATGGTAGGGTGCGGCACACACAGAGCAGCCGCCTAGCCTGGGCCTGGGTGCAGTTGAGATATGGGGATCCCAAAATGTGTGCAAAGCTGTGGGTGAGTTTGGTTTGCGATGTCTCTACCAACATCTTGTCACATTCTGAAGGGGGCCTGGCAGCCCATGTTTATTGTAGAGAACAGTGATTCCCTACACTGTTGTGTAGAGAACACAACAACCAGGGCAAGCAGGATCAGTATTCTCCAGAAACTGTTAGAAATGCCAGCTGTCAGGTGAACACTAGGCCTGCTAAAGCAGAAACTCTAGGGGTAGCCCAGGAATCTGTGTTTTCTCAAGTCCTATAGGAGTTTTTGGCACACAGTCAAGTTTGAGAACCACCCCACAGGATGAATTAAAATCACTGTGGGGTGGTCCCTCTCCCAAGCTTTATTTATAATTGGAGAATGAAAGATCTTTCCTCCCCTGAAGAAACATCAAGGATCAGCTGGCCAAGCAGGAACCAGGACGAGGTTTTTTGAGTTATTTTAAGCCCCAATTTACCACCACTCCTCCCTGTTCATTTCTGGCTTAGAAATGTTCACAGGCACCAACAAAGGGAAAAGAGGAAACATCAGAAATAGATCTGCTCTATCCCAGATGTCAGTGTATGCTGGGCAACTTATTGCTACTGAAACATTCCCTTTCAAGTAAATAGCAATATTAGCAACATTACCCATAATTCTAACAGACCATACAGATAAAGAAAATCCACCTGACCTACTCTCCAGCACAACTAAGACACCACTAAACCTTCTTCACAGCATTCCCATTTAGACACTTTTAAATAGTGTCTATCTATAGGAGACCACACAAAATACAACACTGGCATATTATCCAATACATAAGTTTAAACTTCAGAGCAAATGGTTTTAAATCATTAAATCACTGCTCCAAGGCATTTTTTATGTAACAAGAAATTTATACAAGTTTTCCCTGTAAAATTAATTTTCCATCCTCTAAAAAAAGACAAGTTATCTATTTTGGGTCAATTAGTGCCTAATTTTTAATCTAGCCCTGCTAATTTTTCCACTTAAATAAAAAAAAAGCTATGTATTCACGAAGCTTCTATATACTGCTGATAGCTGTTCTTATTTTGCTTCATAACACTGTTGTTTAAATTTCAAAGAATGAGGATCTGGAAAAGCAGGAACAACACCAAAAGCATACCACTGAAGATTTGGGAATCAAATGTACAGCAGCATAGACCTTTCTGCACAAAATACATGTGTCCAGGTTATCCTATCCCCACTGTGTCTCACCTGCCTTTCTGGAGCAAAAGAAACATCAAGTACTATTTCTTTGTCATATCTTTATTAGTCCCTTGATACTCAAGAACCCAGTTCTGTCTCCCGGGACAACTGTTCTCATGGAAAAGTGGGTAGTGCTGAGTAATCAACATTATTTTGCTCCGTCTTGATTTGTAGTATCAAAGCCTTGTTGCTATTTTTTTAGCCTTAAAACCTAATCATCATAAATCTAGCCACTTCCTTCTTTAGTGGTAATTAGCATTAGTCATAAGCCAAAAATGATCCACATAAGAAGCTAAATAAACACAACCCTTCTTACCTTTCATGCCAAACTTGGAGTGTCTTGCCAACTTAAGCAGAAACAGCATTACCAAAAGGCAAAATCCCACCACAGACGCAATCACCACCACAGCATAGACCTAGAGAAAGGAAGGGAGGGTGGTTATAACCTTGCTAATTAGTTCCCTATAATCATATGGTGATGATGATCATGACGATGATAATGATACAGGCAGTTCATATTTATTGAATGCTTACCACTTGTTCTTATAACAGCCTTATGTACACCAACTCACTTAATCTGCGACAACCCTATAGTGAAGTATGTAAGATCTATTATTATGCCTACTTTACAAATGAGAAAACATAAGTTAAAGCTTATAAAAATGGCTATCCAATTGGCATTTTAAAAATATTACAGCTCTCTCTCCATCCATCTAAAGAGGGAGGAGAGAGAGAAAGAGAGGTGGGCAGAGAAAGGGAGAGAGAGAATATGAAATATGAACAGCAAAATACTGGTGATTTTTCTGTGTGTGTGTGTGTGTGTGACGGAGTCTCACTTTGTTGCTCAGGCTAAAGTGCAATAGCACAATCATGGCTCACTGCAGCTTCGACCTCCTGGGCTCAAGGTATCTTCCCACCTCAGCCTCCTGAGTAGCTAGGACTACAGGTAAACACCACTATACCTGGCTCATTTTTAAGTTTTTTTGCAGAGACAGGGTTTTGCCATATTGCCCAGGCTGGTGTTGAAATCCCGGGCTCAAGGAATTCTTCCACCTACACCTCCCAAAGTTCTGGGAATATAGGCATGAGCCACCGCATCCAGCCCGATAATTCTTGAAGCTGGTGAAGAATACAATGGGGTTCATTTTACTATTCTCTCTACTGAAGTGCATGTTTGAAAATTGTCCATAATAAAAGGCTATTTTTAAGGTTAGCTATTGTTGCTCTTAGAAGTCAGGGTACCCTGGGAACAGTGAGTGGCACTGGAAGGGAGCAGGAGGGCACTTCTGGGGTGAGTTCCACTTGTCAAAGCCCATTGGGTTGTAAATTTATGATATGTGCATTTTCCCATATATATGATATAAGCCTAAAAATGTTTAAGTAAGTTTAAAAATGTAATTGCCAGGTGTGGATTACACAAGTCAAGAGGGTAGATGTAGATATATGTGAATCCTCTCCCATCCCAGAGGTAGAGATGACAGAGGTACACATAGAAATGCGATCACTCTGCTACCATTGCTGCTGACCAAGGCATGATGCTCCTCTAAGTGCATCTTAACATTTTAGAGCAAAGTTGTCAGCGGCACTATGTGTCTCCTTCCAGTCTTACTCAGCCCAAAGTCCTGCTTCCAAAAACAGTTGGCTTCTCTAAACCAGGAGTTGGCAAACTTTTGCTGTAAAGGTCAGATGGTAAATACTTCAGGCTTTGCCAGCCTTGCAGTCTCTGTCGCAACTAAGGATCCAGCTCTGCCGGTGGAGCATGAAAGCAGCCAATGATGATATGTAAACAAATGGGCATAACTGTGTTCCAATAAAACTTTATTTACAATGGCAGCAGCTGGACTTGAACATAGTCGCCAATGCCTGCTCTGAGATTTCTTAGAGAGCCATTCTGGCTTAAGAATCTGCACAACAATTTTTAAGATGGATATTATTATCCCTATCCATAGTAATCATTAATGCTGTTTGTCTAATATTTCTGGTTTTCTCTGTGTTTCTCTTTGTAGGATACATTTCCTGGCTTGCTTGTGGTTAAGTGGTTCATGTGACTAGTTCAGACTTGTGTCACTGCCAGGGTGTAGAACTTCACTTCTTGTCCAAGATCTTAGTCTAAGGCAGTGTTTCTCAACCAGGGACAATAATATTGCCATCCAGGGGACACTTGACAATTTGGGGTTGTCACAACGAGGGGGAAAGTACTACTAGCACCTAGTGGGTAGAGGCCAGGCATTATTAACATCCTACTGTGCCCAAGACAGCCCCCCAAACAAAGGATTATTTATCCCCAAACGCCAATAGTGCCAAGGTTGAGGAACCCTGCTCCACCTGCTCCACAGTGCTCTTTATCTCTGTCATAAAGAAAAAGGCTAACCTTTAAAAATGTGGATGCTTTGTCATCCACAGTCCTGGAACAAGGACAAGGCTGAACAGAGCTCCTAGCCAATACACGAAATGAAGCAAGAAAGAAAACTTTGTTGTTTTAAGTCCCCAAGATGTGGAGGTTTTGTTACTGCAGCATAGCTTATTCTGACTGATATACCCATCTCATAGTGAGAAGCATTATAGGGTAGAGATTAAGACCATGGGTTTTTCCTGAGTATAAAATCTAGATTTCTCACTCTGCTGCATGACTTCAGAATTACTTAACCTCTCTGCATCTCATAATCTTCATGTGTAAGATGGAGAATATAATTATTCTACTTTGTAGGTTATTGTAAATCCTCAATGAGTTAATGCAGGTAATGGGTTTGGAACAGTATCTACTACAATATATAATAAATTAATGTTAGCTGTGATGATGATGATGAAAAAACTAAGATTTACAAAAAAATTAAGTAAGCTGCTCACAGTCACACCTTCTGAGCTTGGAAATGGAACCAAGTCTGCCCAAGTATAAATCCTGTGATTTATCCACTACACTGTCTCTGCAAAGCATGTGGTTGAGAATGAAGGCAGGAAAATAAAAACATATGGCTAATTCTCCCAGGACACCATCTTTCATGTCAGATGAGAAGAGCATTAAATAAATCACAGAGCACAAAAAGAAGACATACAAAGCTCTTGGCCAGTGTGGAGCAAAAGTAATGATCATTCTCTTCTCTGGTACTTTAACTGTGAGTATATCTCCCCAAAAACGCTTCTGCAAATGTTTGAGTATAGACTTTTTTTTTTTTGAGACGGAGTTTCGCTCCTGTTGCCTAGGCTGGAGTGCAATGGTGCGATCTTGGCTCACCACAACCTCCGCCTCCTAGGTTCAAGTGATTCTCCTGCCTCAGCCTCCCTAGTAGCTGGGATTATAGGCATGTGCCACCACACCTGGCTAATTTTGTATTTTTAGTAGAGACGGGGTTTCTCCATGTTGGTCAAGCTGGTCTCGAACTCCCAACCTCAGGTGATCCGCCTGCCTCAGCCTAAGTCCTGGGATTACAGGCATGAGCCACCATGCCCAGCCAATACAGATCTAACTCCGTCTCTGCAGCCTATATACAAACAGAATGGTAGCAACTCCTACAAAGCTAATTATGGATAAACGTAACCATTTCACTCAAGCTGACCTCATGACTTTGGGTGTTTTTTAAAAATCTTTATTTCTAACTAATGTTTTCATGGGAAAGAGATCATAGTATTTTAGCTATAAGTTTCTTTATTATTAAATTGCAGACTTCTACAGATAGATGGAGAATACCTAAATAAACAAAGTCAAACTCCATTTGATAAATAAGAAAACTGCGATGGGGGAGGTTAGATGACTTGGCCTGAAAGTCCCCCAACCATGCAGCAGTACCACAGTACAGTCTCTTCCCTGCTTTGGACAGTCCTTAACTGGGATTTAGGAGTCCTAGATCCCTGCGTTCACAGGACACCTTGCTTTTACCAGTCATGACAGCTAGAAGAGATGCTTCACTTATCCAAGCTTCTGCTTCTTCATTAGACAGTAATGCCTGCCCTGGCTTCTCTGCCTAGTTATAGAATGTGTAAGTCAACCTAGAAAATGGGAAGTGGGCTCTACTGCTGAAAAGCAGCTAAGGATCTGTAAACAAATACTTAAAGCTACTGAAGCCATTCTAAATTTAAATCCTTTCGTAAACAAGGATGCCTTTGACAATGAAAAGAATTACTTCCTCAAAATCAGATTGAGAAATACAGAATTTTGTGTACCTTGCATGTGTTGAGGTGGTTTTTACACGGGAGATGAGCATGGGTGAGTTTGTTTGGTCAGTTGTTTGATTGGTTGGTTGGCTGCTTGATGGGTTAGTTTTCATCTGAGGATATTTCTTAGGATAGAACAAGGGAGATCTGCCCTCCCCTGCAAATCCAACAAAATGCTGGAAGAGCACTTGTTGGACCAGAAACATTTTTAACTTTTGTATCTGCTTCTTGGCTCTCAAACTCTTCTAATCTAATGATCCCTCCTGTGATCAAGAACTCTTTATATATAAAATATCTGAACCACACAAATTCTACAAAACACAATATTGCACCTCTCATACAGATTTTAGGAGCCTTCCGCAAAGTCATAATATACAAACTCACTGATCTTGCCTTCCAGCAACTATACTATAGATGGAGATATGCCAATCAGGTGCCTAAATTTATCATTTGTATTTTAAAAACCCCAGAAGGCCAGGTGCGGTGGCTCATGCCTGTAATCCCAGCACTTTGGGAGGCCGAGGCGGGCAGATCACAAGGTCAGGAGATTGAGACCATCCTGGCTAACATGGTGAAAACATGTCTCTACTAAATAAAATACAAAAAAATTAGCCAGGCATGCTGGCAGGTGGCTGTAGTCCCAGCTACTCGGGAGGCTGAGGCAGGAGAATGGCATGAACCCGGCAGGCAGAGCTTGCAGTGAGCCGAGATCGTGCCACTGCACTCCAGCCTGGGTGACAGAGTGAGACTCCATCACAAAAAAAAAAAAAAAAAAAAAACCCAGAAAACTAAAGTCAACATATAATTTTGTGTAATTGGGCTTAATACATGCTGCTTGGATTTCTTACGTACACAAACAACTTTCTTACACCAAGAAATATTAAGTGGATTGGTATAAGAATTAAAAACTAAAATGATTGCATACGGCAGGAAGCAGATACCATTCCCCAGTTGACTTACCATGGTATTTGTTCTTGCTATTTCAATGTAATGCATATAGTCATCTACGGAAGCATGTGTGTTTGTGTGTATACGTGTGTGCATGTGCATGCATGCATACCTCTATACTAGATATGCATAAAGTTGCAGTTGCACTGCATCTGTTTACGCACCTCCCATTTCCACTCTTGTGGCCTTGGTTCAAGTATATATCACATGTCTTTATTGCTCCACCAAACCCCTAATGGATCACCCCTTTCCAATTCCTCTGCCCTATACTGTTCACTGCAAGTCTAGCCAGTCTGCAAAATGTACTAGGTGCCTACTAGGTGTCAGCCAGTATTCTGAAGGCTTAAGAAGACAGCTGTGAAAAACACTGACCACGTTGCCCCTACTAAGAGTCTTACTAAAGAATCTAGAGAAGAGAAAAATACATTAAACAAACAAATAAATGGGGTCATTCCAGACAATGATAACTGCTCAGAAGAAAATGGAAGTGGGCAATGGCTGCATGCTGGCCACCTAGCTGAAGCCACATCATGGCCATCAGGAAGCAAATGCCTGGGATGGGGAGCCACAAGTACAAAGAGCAGGACTGGAGCACTGGAGAGAGCATGAAAAAGGCAGGTGGCAAGCAGTAAGAAGAGCGTGGGAGATGAAGTCAGAGAGCTCGGGAAGGACGAGGTCACCCAGGGCTCATAAGCCACCATGAAGAGTGTGGCTTTCATATGAAAAGTTTTATTGCAATTGCAGTGAGAGGACTCTGAGAATTATAACAACAAAAAAAATGATCTGATCTGCACTTTACAAAGATCACTCTGGCTGCTGTGTGGGAAAAGACCAGGAAACACAAGGCTGGGAGAGGGAGATGGGTTAGGAGGCTGCGTGGTCATGCAGGAAAGAACAACTGAGGCAAACTTTCCTTGTAAAGGGCCAGAAGTAAGTATTTTCCACTTTGCAGACCATATGGTCTCTGCTGCAACTACTCCACCCCCATCGGAGCACAAGAGCAGCCACAGACAGTACGTAAATGAACACAAGTGACTGTGTTCCAGTAACACTCTGTTCATGGACAATAAAATTTTAATTTCACAAAACTTTCGTGTGTTATGAAATATCATTCTTTTTTGTTGTTTTAAACCACTTAGAAGGTAGAAACCATTCTTAGCCTGAAAACCATACAAAAACAGGTGGTGAGCTGGACTTGGCCCATGGGTCATAGTTTGCCAACCCCTGGGTTAGCCTGTGACAGTGGCAGTGGAGGTAAGGAGATATGGACAGATTTGGAATTTATAAGGAGGCAGAGCTCACAGGAAGCTCTGTGTGCATATGACAGTGAGGAAAAGAAACAACTGGAGGAAGTTGTTGGGTTCGGACCAGAGCAACTGACCATAGACCCCTGGGATCATGTGACTTCCCTCTTCAATGGCTCTTCACTGTGCCATAAATCTACACACCTGAGACTCTGTGTCAAGACCTACAACCTGGCCACAATCTTTATCTCCAACCCTGCTGTCCTGCACATGCCTTACCCTCCAATCAAGCACCTTCACGATGTTTCTCCACCTACAAGCTCCTGTTCACATGCCCCAAATGCCCTTCTCTTCCATTCCTGTATGTCAAAATCCCAACCCTTCTGCACAGGCCATGCAAAAAGTCACTTGCCCCACAAAGGCTCCTCAGAGTGTCCCAGCTACAAGGAACAAAACATCTGCTCCTCCACTTCTATCTCTTGTACTGCCTTGCTCTGCTTCTATTTGTATTTGAGGTGCTAATATTCACCTCCAGGGTCTCTGATGAATTCTAAACAACTAATCTTAATTTTGTTCATATGATTATATCCCCTCCACCGCCAGTCCCTTTCAGAAGCTACTGGATTCCCTACATCTAGCGAGCAGTCAAAATTATATTAAAAATTTAAGGAGACAGGTATGAAGGTGTAGTCCCTGAATGATAAAGCTGGTTTCTTGCTCTTCTGGTGATACCCTTCTAAAGCACAGATAATTGAAATAGGAACCACTAACAACCAAAAGTGGTGCACAAAAGCAGCAAATAAGTCAAAGGCCATATAACACCTTTATCACTTTTGTTAAGCCTTTTATTAATTCTTCCAACCTAGGTGTTAACACCCTATTTATATCTGAACAATAAAAGTGTCTTATTGAAGCAGCTACATTCCTCTAACATGGAGGCATCCAAAATGCTCAGAACCAATTCAGACACCTATTTATTCCACTCACCGAGAGATGTTCCCGACCGGTTTTATCAGTGACGTCTGTGGAAGGGATTTCATTACTTCTGTTCGTGGTGTCCCCGATGTCATTCGCTGCAGTTCCATAATCTTAAGTGGGCAAAGGGGGAATGAGGAAGAACATGAAGTTGTCATTAAGCTGCCAACAAACACAGGGCCACAGTAAGAGCCAGAATGAAGCAAGACAAATCACAAAGATTCCAAACCCCCGACAGTCTGGCTGTGGAGGGACGTGACCAGGCTGCTGAGTTCAATGCACTGCAGCGCTGAGACTGCACAACGCCCACATTTTATTCAACCCAGACCTTTACATCATTGTCTTGTTGGTCAGCCCCAAACCTGGTTCAGGGATTTTTCTTTGCACATAAGCATATACCCCTTTATGGATGGCATATTTAAAACAAGTACGACAGGGAATCGATCATCTACGTGTCATAGATTTATAGACCCGGAAAGGTCTTCAGAGACAGAGCATAACTACCAGTTTTACAGCTGAAGAATATCAGTGGAGGAAAGTTACATGACCAGGTGAAGGCAAGAAGATGGTAGCGCTCACACGTGACGCCAGATTTGAAATGAGCAACACTGATTTCCAGGACAGGTGCAACTTATTTGCACAAAGGGCAGAGACGTAAGAGGATATGTGGAACAAGCATCAGTATGAAACTTGGGTCCACACGTAAACTTTTTTGAAGAGTTCTGAATTGCCAATATTTCAGTTTCAGAATGATTAAAAGGTAGATCCACACAATACTTAGAATTGTTAACGCTCTGTTCTCATTTCACCAAGTCGCAAATGCAGTTGCTGCCTTCTGGATCAATTTTAGTCTACATGGGTCAGGATAGAAATAATGACTGATTTTTTTTCAGGGGTTGTCAAAGTTTTTATTAGCAATATTGCATATAAAAGGTCTCAGAAAACTCTTGGTAAACTTATTGCAAACAATGAGGTTTATAATGTTTGTATTTTAATTCTAAATAGGTACACTGCCTTCAATTTCCATCCTGAAGAGGCTACCTTGTTAATGCAGCCCCAGCTAAACTTCTCCAGGTAGAATCATCATGCTGGCCTCAGGGCAACCAATTTAAATTGTATTTTTATTAGCAATGTGTTCCTTTGTGAATAAAAAATAACAGAAAAAAATCTATTTTCTATGTGTTTGCTGTTTCATTCTTAATGCCAAAACCACATTCTCATCATTTTCCTTTTGAATATCTTAAAACTTATTAATTTTAAACACTAATGGATATCATTTATTTGTTTAGTTTTCCCTCTTCATGTTATAGCCAACTACGTCTGCAAAATTTAAATCATTCAAGTGTCTATAGTTTAGTATCATGACATTTTGGCCAAAAGATCCAAAGTAGGATCTGAGGCTAACAGGAAGATGACATTTTTAAAGTCTTGAATTAACTGGGAAAGGGTCAAAAATGTAATTTTAAGATGTAAAACCACAATTCAAACGTATTTCTCTGTGAAACAATTTGAGAGATTCTTCCTTTAAACCATATCAAGACAAATACAAACACAACAACACACAAATCATATGCAAAAAATCAACCAAACCACAGCTTGGAAGAAATATGGCTTAACATGCACAAGCAGGTAAAGACAATATTATTCCCCAACTTAAAATTAGCTCAGGTTAAATACACACGCATATAATAAACATACAGACAGGCTCATTTTATAGAAAAAATAAAATATCAATCAATATATATAAATATAAAATTAAGGAACAGAATATTTTACAGAAAATATATAAATGTAATGTTTTAATCAATCTTTTAATCATTCCTAAATTTAAAGCAAGTCTTGAAATGTAGCCTTCCACTTCCCCAAACAGTGGCTTGCTGGCTTGGAAATCTGTTAAATATGGGTTTTCACACCTAGGAAAACATCCTTGGCATTCGATCAAAACAGCAAAGGAGAGATGCGATATTCCATCAAAAGCTAATATAGGCCGGGCATGGTGGCTAACCCTGGTAATCCCAGCATTTTGGGAGGCCAAGGTGGGTGAATCACCTGAGGTCAGGAGTTCGAGACCAGCCTGGCCAACATGGTAAAACCCAGTCTTAACTAAAAATATAAGAATTAGCCGAGTGTGGTGGCACGTGCTTGTAATCCCAGCTACTCAGGAGGCTGAGGCAGGAGAATCGCTTGAACTCGGGAGGCGGAGGTTGCAGTGAGCATAGATCGCGCCACTGGACTCCAGCCTGGGCAACAAAGTGAGACTCCGTCTCGGAAAAAAAAAAAAAAAAAAAAAAAAAAACTAATATAATGGACTTTGGTTTCTTTCTTTCCACGTTCCTGAGAGAATCCCATTTTTTTTTTCAAGGGGTTAAGCCTATCCACCTTCGGGGAAGCTGACTTAAAGTCTGGGGGTGAATTTAGTTACTGAAGGGATAATCCATCCCTCTTAGCAGTAATAAGGGCAAGAATGGACTATGACCCAATTGGGTCTTGACTTGGATACAAAGAGGGCTTGGCTCTTGTCTCTTGGGAAGTTCTCTTTCCTTGAGGACGCCTTCAGGAGCGCTTCCCTTTCTCCCATCCTTGTGAATGGCAGCAGCTCCCCCGCCACATTCTCTTGTAACCACAAGGGGACCAGCCTTCAGTGAAGCTGGCGTGGTGGGAAAAAGAGAGTAGGGTGAAGGGAACTTGGGTCCCAGATGACATAGTGGAGCTGCTGCTTTAACCAACCCTAAATCAAGCCCTACCTTTGAGGTTCCCATCTGTGAGCCAAACACCTTCATTACACAAGAAACATCATTTTGAATTGGCTTTACTGTCATAGCCAGAAACTGATATACCTCCCTTTTCTTGGTAGCCATGGCTTTTAAACAGGTAATTAGTTCCCAATTAAGGAAATACGATGTCTGTTACAGCCAGCGGAATGGATTCACTACTTCCAAGAACAGGGTATGAGAGAGAAAGTGCTATTTACAGGCACTGTAAATGTCAAGGGAAAACGGCCATCAATATTGAATGATTTTTTGAAATACTATTTTGGCCTATGTAATGCTTAAAGTGTAAATTTAACTGAGCTTAGAAGAGTCTTCTTTCAGTTGATTTACTTCATGATACACAAACATTTTGAAAAAGAAATACAAAGTAGAAAACACGATAGCTACCTTCATAAATTACATCAGGATAATTTGGGTTTGCACCTAAAAGGCAAAACAGAGCAAAGATTTGTAAGTATGCATTTTGGAGTCAAAAAATTACTAACCTATGTCAACTAAAATAAGCTAGACATACACTGAAGTTTTGCAATTTAATAGACTGCTTTCACAGGACAGGTAAACAAAACTTTAAGTTCTTGAGTTGTTCCACATTAACTCCGTTCCCCTCCCCGGTTCTCCCACTTTCATCCCTCCAAAAAAGAAAACAAATCACAAAAAAAGATCACAAATTGCTTTGAAAAAACTTCAGCAATCAATGAATTATTACCATTTTTCTTCTTTTGGTACTGTTTCTCTTATACAATTGGCTACTTTCATTGCAGTTTCGGTATTTTTATTCCAGAGACAAATAATTTTCGTACCACTTTTGTTATTCTCTGATGGTTTGAGGGTTACTGTTAACTGTGTAGCAGGGCCATTTGCATTCAGGAGCTTGTTATTAACCACCCTGCATAATGCTATCTAAAGCACAATTTTATTCTCCACCTTATCTTCAGGGGAGTTTCTAGGGCTGAAGAAACCTTTTTTAAGCCCTAACACAACAAAGAAAAATAAAATGTACTTCCTCTATTGAAATCATTGATGTGTAAGAAGTTATTAAAAAATGGTATGTCAGAGAGAAATGTAAAAGTTATCAATTTAATTTTGGAGGATGGCTCTGCAGTCACCAAGATGATCAAAATATTCTGCTTTAAGGTATTCCTATGAGACTTGCCAAAAACATTTTTTTAACTCAGCATCAACAAGAACTGGTAACAAAAACATTTGCTACTTATTCTCCAATCAGAGCTAACTGGGTCTCTACATGAAAGTCTACTTGGAAATGAAATTAAATTTTGTTTTAACATTTAAGTGATTGCAAAATGAATTTCCAAAGCTATTTCCTATGCTTTTAGTCCTCACTTGCCATGTGAAACAGTAAAACTTGTAAACCATAAAGCTTACTCAGTTTTCATTTCACTTCTGAACCCTTAGCAGGAAAATGCCATTAAAGTAAAGCGAAATGAGCCAATTTTCTGTTCATGCATTCCCCAGTGAATAATCAAGGTTAGTCTAAATGAAGAACCAAATAAAAGTGGCCCCAGTGTTCAAATTAGAATTGTAACGCATTTCAACTAGAAAAATATCTATTTTAGCAGGGAAAAAAAATGAAATGAATGGCTGTGTACTTCCATCCAGGGATGCTGCATACTGCTGTATAGTGCATGCTTCGCACAACTCTAGGGGGCGCCTTTAATGTTGTAGTCCATGTGAATAACATCACCTGAAATTGTGCCATGAACACCCTGCGCACCTCTGCAGTCACATGTGATGGGAAATTGTGCAGTGCACACCCTGTGCACCTGTGCAGCCACATGTGATGGGAAATTGTGCAGTGCACACCCTGTGCAGCCACATATGATGGCACTGTATCAATGTATGCAAAGTCATTGATTCCAGTAAATTTCAATCATATTTTGAAGAATTTTATTATCCCAAACACCAATTCAAACTCATTTTGAGTTATCATATGTGAATATGTCTTGTCAGGGTTGCTTATAGCTGTTATAACACTCTGAGAAGAGTCTTGAAAGCTGCCCTGTAGTTTGAGGGCTAACTCAATGAATAAAGCAGCAGCAAGAAGTCCCAGTGGCTGCCCTCCTGATGTCACTTGCAGGGGACTCAGTTGTCCTCTGAAGTCCTTTCCCTTTACAAAAGCCCTAGACCAAATGGAGTCCCCCTCACCATGGGAATTTACTACCCCTGCTGAAGGAAAGATTCTATAAGCCCAAGAGAGCAAGTCAGTCTTCAAAGTACTCAGTAATCCATTAGTTTAGAAGATTTCACTTGTCCCTCTTCCTGATGTGCCTTTCAACACAATATGAGATTTTCAACTT
The DNA here is from genome assembly GCF_000001405.40 of Homo sapiens. Taxonomy (NCBI): domain Eukaryota; kingdom Metazoa; phylum Chordata; class Mammalia; order Primates; family Hominidae; genus Homo; species Homo sapiens. The sequence goes on along the minus strand of NC_000009.12, from coordinate 84,739,999 downwards.
CAAATCCAGCCTTCCACGTCATCATAACTATACATTTGTCTTGCAGGAAGGTGGAACCTACTCTATTTCACAATTCACATTCACTGATTTGATTTATAATCTTTAAATATTTGGATATAAGTATGTGGGTCTTCATTTGCAGTAGGGTGGCCAACCATCCCAGACTGCCAGGAACTAAGAGGATTCCTTACAAGTTTTAAAACGGGGACACTCCCAGCCACATCCTTTCCATCTGCCCAGGACTGAGGGCTTTTTCTAGTTCTGGGGCTTTCACTCCTTAGCCTGGGAGGAGTTGGCCACTGATTTATTCTCAGGCCCCCACAGACCCCCACCGCATGTGAGAGAAGGGCCTGTGGTCACCATCGCTTTTACACCTACAGCTCCATAAGAAAGTGACAAGCCTGAGGATTCAGAGCCAGATTTATCTCAGCCACACATTTAAACGGCCTCAGTGACTATGAATGACATACAGGTTTAATCTGCCACGTTGCAGAACAGGAACATCCAAACACACTACCCACACGAAGCCCCTAGGAAGATCCAAGAACATCACATCTATTCACTGTAACAAATGTTAGGTATGGAAAAATGGGATTTGGGGTCCAATCGTAAATAAAGACGTTAGCCCATAATCTAAAAAATAGGCCAGGGCCGGGGGTGGTGACTCACACCTGTAATCCCAACACTTTGGGAGGCCAAGGCGGGCAGATCATCTTAGCTCAGGAGTTCAAGACCAGCCTGGGCAACATGGGGAAACCTCATCTGTATTAAAAATACAAAAATTAGCGAGGCATGGTGGTGCATGCCTGTAGTCCCAGCTATTCTGGAGGCTGAGGCACGAGAATCGCTTGAACTCAGGAGGCGGTGGTTGCAGTGAGCTGAGATCACACCACTGCACTCCAGCCTGGGCAACAAAGTGAGATTCTGACTCAAAAATAAATAAATAATTTAATTTAATTTAATTTAATTAAAAATAGGTCAGTGTCCATCCAGTCTTATGACCCATATCAGCGCATGCCTTTCCTACCAAGTTCACCAGCAAAACTGTTAGGCCATATCTAAACTTTGTGAAAAGCACTATTTTTTCCTAATTTCATCCTCCCAGATGTATGACAAGTACTGTCACTTTACTTTTGTCCACAACAGCCAAATTTAGTGTAAGATTATGAAACTCGCAGAAAGACAATGTGAGACGAACTATAACAGAGTTGCTTTTATTTCTCCCAAGCATACTGCACTATGTCTGACAAAGGTCTACTCACCACAACAAATAAACACCTCTCAGTATACAAAGGTTTAGTTAGACTGGCACGTGAGAGGATAGAGACCTAATGTTTATGAAAAGTGAGGGTCACATTACTACAGCTGACCCCAGCTCATCAAGTATTTTGCTTCCAGCAACTTCCTAGTTTAGCAAAACCTCCCATGATATTTACACTCCAACAGTAAGGTAATTATTAACATCATTTTAAATGCTGACAGAAAAAATGTATCACTTTCTTTTTAGACTTCTGGCAATGGTCAGATGTTGAAAATGTCTTGCCATTTTTAAGTCTAATTTCTAAATGGTTCCTTCATTACATACTGTTGCACACTGTTATATGCTAAAGTTAGGAAGCCCTGTTGGAGATATTCAGGACTAAAAGGTCACTGAGGAAAGACAAACACTAGCTATGAGAAAAAAATCCAAGAAGAAGAGAATTAATGAAAGACAAAGAAGCTGTATCTGACTTGAGCCATGCCCCTGAAAGTGGGGTTTTGAAAGGGTTATTATGATTTCTTGAGTGCTATCCTAGTAGTGCTCATCAAATCAGAAATCTCAGATTTAGGTAGCAAGAAGTAGCGTCAAGCCTTAAATCTTCATGTTGGGAGACAGTGGAATAAAATATTGAAATCCAGGAACTCTATTCAACCCACTGGAGTTCCAAACAAGCAGCAGACTGTCTATGATCCCCACAGCTCACTGGGATGTAAGCTGCAACTCCTCCTCAGCTGAAAGAGGTTGAAGGCCAAGTACCAAGGTCTGCAGATCTGATGGTCAAATCCTGTTTTCTGAAGAACGTGTTGAGCATCCTAAGGTGCCATACTCACCTTTACTTTGTTCTTGACCTAAGGAATGTTGTCAAGAATTACCGAAAGTGAGTAGCCAGTCCACGGTACAGCCTGAAGTGCCCCAAGTGGGACTACTGAAGATGGAGAGAGACGGATGGGGGGGAAGGCTGAAAAACTGCCTATTGGATACCATGCTTATTAGCTGGGTACAGGTTCAGTCACATCCCCATCCTCAGCATCACATAATAGACCCACGTAACAAACCTGTACATGCACCCCGATTCTAAAATACAAGTTGAAAAAAATAGTAAAAGAAGGATAGCAACTGTATCACAGCCACAGCCGCACTCCTGACAAAGCTTCCCAGGGAGCCAGTGAGGTCTGCACCTCCAAGAGGCAGATGAGCCCTGAGGGCATTTGGTCTTCCACACATCAAAGATGGAATCACTTTCCTCTTTCCCCAACAGCATCAAACCCAAGCACTGCACCATCCTCCTAATTCCATGCAAAATAACCTAAAATAGGACCTTTTTATTTCCATCTTCTAAACTCACTTATAGCTCATGAATAATCTTATGACTTTATGTAAATCTTGATGAAAGAGAAAACATCTTTATGACATTTCAACTGTTAAGACTCTATAGTTAAAGGAAAAACAGGTTTGTTGGATAAAAAAAAATATATTGTGGGAAGAGAGGTAGCCTGACAGTAGGGTTCATTTTCCATTCTGCTAACAAGATAAAAAATAATGGGGAGGCCAGGAAGACACATCTGTTTCCTTCCTTTAAACTTTTAGTCTCCCTCTAATGCTCTACCTAAAGAAAAAGAGAGAGAGAAAAGACTTTTCTATCCATTCTATTTGCAGACTCTATTTAATGTGATCATGTGATCCTGAAAAATATTTCAAAGAATTCCATATGATAAGGCAATTACAAAAGATTTGTTCTATTCAAATAAACTGTCCTTGCTTTGCCGACAGTATTTTCTCACTCATGGGGGGATCAGCCTTTTGATTTTCAGGTTCTTCTCTTCTCTTTCAGAAGGGCAGGCTGAACTCAGCGCCTGAAATTGGCATTGCAATATCTGGTTTCCTTTCTGGCTGAACCACTCATTTGCTATATAGCAGTGGGAGTCTCCACTTTTTCTGTAACAATGGAGTCTTCTATAAGACAGGAGAGGATAATAGCATTGGCTCTGGCAATTCCTCAGGAGCTTTGGGAAGCATAATTAACTAACATTAGCACTCCTGAGGTATAAGAAGCTATTTAAGTATAAATCTTAATTATCATTATTCTGAATGTATGGCCAAATCATTCTCTTCTCAGTTATTTAAGGCAGAAAAGCAGACATAAATTTCTCTCCTTCACCTCCAGGACAAGAAATAGGTCCTGACAAAAGACCAAAGGAACAAATAGTATAAAGCCAGGAGAGCTTTATTTAATGCATAACATTTGGAGAAATTTCCTCTCCCCTCGTTCTTTAGACTAAGTACACCAAATCTAAATCCACCAGTGTGGGGCATTCTAAGTGCCGCAGAGAGCTCTAGTTCATCCAGATGTCATGAATCTTTCGATAAAACAGCACGGAAGGAGAAGCTGTGGGAAAAGCTCTTCCAATATTTATAGTTTGTTCCTGACGCGCATTTCGCATAGGAGACAGGAGCTCCCGAATTAGGAAGCGCAAGTCACTGACTCCCACTGCTTGTGTGAATGAGCATTCTTGAGCTGTGACATTCTTCCTGAATGAGTGGGCCATACAGACACTCTTTATGTACTGCCTAAAGAATGGTAAGCTTTAAAACGAGGGTATTTTATCATCTGGTGCTCTGGTTAGGTTTGTTCCAAGCCAAAGGGTTAAATCACTTGGGTAATGATTCTGAACAGAATCTACTTTGCATCAACGTGATGTTCACATTTATAGGACTACCTGGCCTTCAAAATTGTTGCAACTTGGGCTATCTGATCAGAAAATGCTAACAAAGGCTTCAGGTTTCTTCCTCACAACAAATCATAAGTGATCTCTCTGCCATTAATTTCTGCCTCAAATTCTACTCAAAAAGAAACCTTCATCACTTCTAATCTCCACTCAGTCTCCATGTACACTTTCTGGTTCATGAAGGGATTTTTATATGGAGGATTGAATTTCAATGACTGACATACAGTGGATCAATTTCATCTTAGACAAGTCTTTCTTTTTGGCTGGTAAGCTAAATAGGATACATGAGAACTTTTGAAGATTCCTCAGATAACCCCACCCTGTGTGTGTGTACGTGCCTGCAACTGCTGTCTCTACTTTTTGTTCACTCTCCCTAGCCTTCTTAAGCCACATATTGAATTCATCCAACTTTATGCCAAAACCAATTAAAGGGCATCTCTGTGCACCATCTATTCTATATTTGTATTGTTATTACTATTTGATATCCTCAGGGAAAGTCAGTGAGGTCATCTTGATGGATGCCTGACCAGTTCTTCCAGTGGTCCCTCCAGCTTCTGCAGGGCATCCTCACTAAGCAAAGTATGATCCATGGACCAGCAGTACTGGCATCATCGGGGAGCTTGTTAGAAATACATTAGTTTGGCCCATTTTCAAATCCATTGAATCATAATCTTCATTTTAACAGGGTCCCCAGGAGTTTGGTATGTGCATTAAAGTTCGAGAAGCCCTGATTTAACAACTCACTGAGAAGTTTTACCAGAGTCAAAAGGTCTCAGTGAGCATGAAGGACGACAATTTTTATTTTTATTTCTTTTTATTTTTCATAGACACGGGGTCTCACTTTGTTGACCAGACTGGCCTGGAACTCCCAGCCTCAAGGGATCCACTGCACTCAGCAAAAAAATGACAATTTTTTTAATGAAACACAAAGTAATAGCCAGGTACCTAAATATTGGAGTCAGGGTATCTTTGACCATAGCTACAAAAAAGAAGAAAGGACAGGAGATTGGTTTTGTCCCCAACAGCACATTTCTAGGCTACATTCCAAATGAAAAGGAGAAGGGGGAAAAGAGCTTAGACAGCAGAAAGATCTAAGACTGACCCACCCTCTGAAAGGTGGGTCAAATTTTTGACTTAATTTTCTCCTTAAAGGGCTGTATTAGCCTGTTTGCATGCTGCTAATAAAGACATACGCAGGACTGGGTAATTTATAAAGGAAAGAGGTTTCATTGACTCATAGTTCCATATGGCTGGGGAGGCCTCACAATCATGGCAGAAAGTGAAGGGGAAGCAAGACACGTCTTACATGGCAGCAGGCAAGAGTGTGTGCAGGGGAACTTCCTTTCATCAAACCATCAGATCTCATAAGACTTATTCACTGTCATGAGAACAGCACAGGAAAAATCCACCCCATGATTCAATTACCTCCCATTAGGTCCCTCCCACCACACGTGGAAATCATGGGAGCTACAATTCAAGATGAGATTTGTGTGGGGACATAGCCAAATCATATCAAGGGCCAAGTCTAGAAAGCTCAGGTAGTAAAATGATAGAGTCTCAAGATCCTTTTTCTGGGCAAGCCCATGCTTCTGAATAAGGAAGGGCAGAGTTAGTCTGAGATAAAAGCATTTCTGGGTAGAAAGCTGCTCCCTAATGGCTACAGGGCATAAACACAAAGGGAGGTGGGGAATGTTCGCCTCCTTTATCATATTCTCAATGCCTACCTAAGGAGAGGATAAATAACACTGAGCACCTGCCTATCATGTGTCAGGCACTGCATCGGCACTTCAGATATGCTCAGCCTCAAGGCGGCAACCTTCTAAGCTGGGGCTGACACATGACAGGCAGATGGCCTCTACTTGGGGCTAGAACCCTACACTTTATGGAGAAGGAAAGTCACGCTTCACACTCCAAGGTGTTAAGAAAATTGCTCAAAGCCGCAAAGATCATGGAGGATGGAACTCAGATCTGTGACTGAATCAGATCTGAGTTCAAAACCCAAACCCTTCCCACTGCAGCAAAGCTGCTCTTTAAATAATATGGAAAGTGGAGGCTAACTATGCTCAGGATTCCAAGTTCAAACATCAGATCTGAATGAGTCATTTGAATTGAGAATAAGTGAAAGTTTATCTCATTAGAAGTAAAATCTTAGAGGTTCCACCTATTCCATTTAATAGTCTCTGTTCCCTGGCTTCCACAAGAAAGAAGATTTAAAGAGGTGTCTTTGTCCTCCATTGCCTATATTTTCTGCATACCTTCATCTGGGTCCTGCCTAATATCAAGGCAGGGACATCCCTGGGAATGAGAAGCTGATGTCTTACAACCAGAATAAAGGCAACCTCAAAGAGGAACAGGGGACAGGAATAAGCAGCCAAGTGTTTCTCCACCTTTTATATTTTATGGTTGGCTAGGGTGTCTTTTGTTATATGGGCAAGAGGCTGTGTTTTATTCCCACCATCCTGCACCCCACCCCTGCCACCTTCCTAAGAGGTAGGGTCTACGTTGTCTCAAGTGTTACAACTCGCTGCAAGGGGTAGCCCAGGACCCTCTGTTTCTCATACCTCCAAAGACAGCTGGCACATTGTTCAAAATCCCTAGATTCTAGCATAATAGGATGTTAAGTGAGACTCTTCCTGCCTCAGTAACTTATACCAAAGTGATGTGAGGCACTCAGAGGCAGAAATCACAAAGGAACTGGCTGAGAACTGGACCTATGTCCTTGGAAATGTCTGATTCACCTTGAGAGTGTAAGATATCCCCGGAAGGAGAGAACAAGGAAGGATTTATAAAGAAGTTTCTTTAGGGAAGTGCTGCTCTGACACCACCCCACCAAGGGGCTTCCATGGAACCACTCTGAGAGTTGAATTATGTTCTCTGCAAACGGATGGCTCAGAGGACAAGGCCTGACCCTTGCCAGAGAAGGTGAAAGAAACCTGCAGCCATGGGGTATAGGTGGCATTTGGCTTGACCTGTACACCTAGGGGACAAGAGACTATGAGTGTCCCCTGCAGTCCAGAGGCAGCACAGGAGAAAGTCTTTGTGGGGAGTCAGGTCCTGCTGAGGGACCCCAACAACATAAAGTACTTTCCTGGAGTTAGGAGTTGCTTGTGCCAGCTGGAGCAGAGGCACATTTGTTCATGTCATGGGAAATACAGAGAGAGAAATCTCCAAAAGCCCACAAAGGTATCCAGGAAAGAAAGTCGGCACATCAGCATTGAACATTCCCAGGTTCCAAGAGCACAAAGCCACTAGTGAGCCAACTACCCTGTCATCTCCTTCTCCACCCCCTTTCACCTGGGCAGCAGGGACACTGAAACTTCAACAAACTCCATCCCTGACCCCATACTGCCAGCCTGAACTTGGGGAGGACAGGAGACTGGCCACGAGCTCAAATCCAGAGTTTTCATTTCTAGCTCAGGTGGGACATGCCATTTCTCAATTGAGATTCTATCTGCAGCTGAAAATAACCAAAGGATTGTTTGTCACTCAATCAAAAGCAGAAAAATGTTACACAGCTCAGAGTTCTCCTCCAATCAGTGAGGCTCACTCCTGGTTGCTCATTAGAATCACTAGGGACCTTAAAAACAAAAAAAGCCAAAGCCCAACTCCCATCCCAGAGCCACGGAATCTGAGTTGCTAAAGCTAGGCCCCAGGAATGTGTATTTAAAAATGTAATCAAACAAAATAGTGACAAAAAGTCTCCAGTTGATTCAAATGTGCAACAAGGGGCAGGAAGCTACTGTTCTGGGAACCAGGGAAGATCTCTCATACTGAATCGATTTTAAAGACATGATGGAAAACAAAAGTAACATAAAACTCCTGTAGTCTGATTGTCACAAGTTGTACTCTTCAGTGTGCTGGAAGAGAAACATCATGGTTTTCTAGATTTCATTTTGAAGCTGAAAGTTTGCATTTTTTGCCTTAAACACAATCCCAAACTAACCAGAGCTAAGTTCAATTCTTAAATGTGGGACCCAAAGTGATCGATTTAGTATCTGGAGTCTGGGAAGGTCTTTTCTCTTTCTCAGTTACTAGCCAGGCTACCAGTGATTAACAGATGGGGAAGGGCGCTGGCTTGGTGTCTGGGGTCCTGCTGACATCTGAAGATCTGCTAGCACCTGTCCTTCCACATTAGCCTGCTGGCTGGGGAAATGGCAGAGTCTGCAAGGCCCAGCACTCTCAAGATACATTACACGGGGATCTTGGTTTGCTGGGCCGCTCTCTTTTAATGCCTGCCTCACATCCTCACACGCTGTGACTGGCACCCCCTTGGACTGGGCTGCCGCTGTCTTGAGGTCGAACTTCCCCATCCTTCCTCCAAGTAGAGAACAGAGTGTCTGCCACCTCGTCTAGTGTCTGCATCCCAAGCGGAAGTAAAGGTTATGAGGACTGTCATTACATCCAATTGGTCCATTCCTCTTCACCAATTTTTGTTTTGGAGACTTTTGGTTTATTTATGCTTCAGTTTCTTTCAATAGTCTTTATTCTCTCTTTTCAAAAACAAGTTCCTAAGCAAAATGACCATCCCATGGAAATCTTAGTTCTTTTTTAAAAATTATTTTTTACGTTTTATTTTTGAGACAGGATCTGGCTCTGTCACCCAGGCTGGAGTGCAGTAGCACGATCATGGCTCACTGCAACCTCCGCCTCCCAGGCTCAAGCAATCCTCTGACCTCAGCCTCCCGAGTAGCTGGGACTACAGGCACACACACCACATCCAGCTAATTCTTGTATTTTTTTTGTAGAGAAGGGGTTTTGCCATGTTGCTCAGGCTGGTCTTGAACTCCTGAGCTCAAGCGATCTGCCCACTTCAGCTTCCCAAAGTTCTGGGATTACAAACATGAGCCAGCGCGCCCGAGCAGAAATCTGCTCTAAGCTGAATGAGGTGCACATACGCTAAGCGACACCAGAGATGTCACATTAATTATGGCTCTGTATGGAAATGCAACTAGCTTCACAGTGAGCCCAGGCTGCCTGCTTCCTTGTAAGCCGGGAAACTTCCAATATAACAAATAAAAAAAGGGAAGGGGGGGATCTTACCAAAACAACTGGGAGAAAGTAGCTGAAATTTCTTATAAAAAATATTTGTGAGAGCTAAACTTCTTCATCAATTATCATATGATAATAGTAGAAATATTAATGGAATATAAAGCCAAACTTGACCTGCTGTTGTTAACTTGGAAAGTACTTTAGACAAGCAGGGATTTTTTTTTTTTTTTTTTTTTTTTTGCTATTTGTTTATTTTTCTTTAGTTTTTTTTTTTTTTTTTTTTGAGACGGAGTCTCGCTCTGTCGCCCAGGCTGGAGTGCAGTGGTGCGATCTCGGCTCACTGCAAGCTCCGCCTCCCGGGTTCACGCCATTCTCCTGCCTCAGCCTCCCCGAGTAGCTGGGACTACAGGCGCCCGCTACCACGCCCGGCTAATTTTTTGTATTTTTAGTAGAGACGGGGTTTCACCGTGTTAGCCAGGATGGTCTCGATCTCCTGACCTCGTGATCCGCCCGCCTCGGCCTCCCAAAGTGCTGGGATTACAGGCGTGAGCCACCGCGCCCGGCCTATTTTTCTTTAGTTTTAAAGGAGGTTAATAGAGAAAGGAAGCAATTCTAAGAAAGGTCATTGTCTGTGTGCTATGGTTGTGAGTCTCATAAATACCCACAACGATTCTATTTCCCAAGCCAAGTGGGGTCAATCTCTAATCGGTCACACTGGTTTATGGCCCACTAGGGCCATTTATATCCACTGTCACCCTGGGCCAAGTCTCCTTCATTTCCACTTTCATTTATTACTCCTTGATAGCTGACACTTAAGTAAATACTTAAAGAGAACAAAAAAACGGGCTTTTCTGAAAGCAGTTATTAATATTTTAAGGACCTAATAAATTCATGAACAAGAAGATGGAAAGAAAGAAGGGGAGGAAACATATTTATAAAATTTAGCCTAAGTTGTATTTTTTATAAATAATTATTTCTTTTAAAGGGAATGTTTGAGAAGCACCAAGTTATTCTTATACCAGAAAACAATTCTTCCCCATCACAAGCTAAGTAAAAACTAGCAGAAATGATCAATGAAAATGAGGCCACATGGATAAGAAGAGTTCAGCTCTACCAAATATCAGTACCATATAGAAATGTTCAAAAGGAAAGACATCAAAATCCTTTCCAAAACAGAAGCTACTGGCTTTACACCAACAGTACTGTGCATTGATATCAAAAGACTCAGACCACTTCTGACAGCTTTTCACTGCAGACCTTCACTCTGAATCAAGTTTTGCCCCCAAGAGTTTCAAAGGGCCACTGGTGAAATTCAAATAAGTCTGAAGTTCAGTTGTTAGTAATGTACCAATATTAGTTTCTCATTTGTGACAAATGTACCAAAGTAATGTAAGATATTAACAATGGTGGGGGAGGTGATAAGGCTGTGAACGCTCTATACTATCTTTGCAACTTTTCTACAGATCTAAAATTATTCAGAAATAAAAAGTTTATGTAAGAACAAGCAAAAAGCTACTGTCCTAAATCAGTGTCTCTGGATTTAACTGTGAAGCTATTATTCCCTCAAACATGACTTCCTGCACACTGCAAGCTAGGGATTTACTGCAGCAACCATAGCCAAGCAGCTAAACTCTCAATTAAGAGGAAGATTTAATGGAAAAGACAGCAACAGCCAGGGGTGTCTGGGTTTTGCATCCAAATATTGCTTGTTTTATGTGCTCCTGAAGGGCTACTGTTTATAAATCAAACACATATTCCAAATCACATTTTGAATATACTAAGCAAGCTTGTGCATTTAAAAAGAGGTCTAGTGAAGAGCAAAATAATAGGAACTTATCATGTAATGAGAAGGACTGCATTCTTGTTTATTGTTTTGCAGAGATGGCTTTGCATGGATCACCTTTGCTGGTGGGGGGGCCCTGGGAGCCACACAGGTACATGCAGCCCAAGCAGCCCCTGCCTTACAAGTCTCCCCAGGGTTCTATTTTCCCTTCTCTCCACCAAGTCATCTTTGCATGACTTTGACTGACTCAGAGCTACTCTGATGAGGAACTCTATTCATGTACAGCTCCCAACATCCAAACACAGGCCTTGGCCACCACATTGGTAGCAAGCATTTGGGCAATGAGACTGAGTAGGTAAGAACACTCCACTGAAGGACAGCATCTGAAGCAGGTAAATGCATGACACTTGTCCCACTGTTCCTGAAGCTCACACTGACACGCTCCTGCTGTGCCCAGAGTAGACCCCTGATGCTAGCCATCCTTTCCGCAGTCCTAGCCTTTGGCCAGAGAAGCACTATTACCACTCCTAGGAAAACAGCTCCGGAGCCAATAAAAGAATCACTCAGCTCAGTCAGCCCGGGTAAGCAAAACAGTCCAAGACACTAATTTCTCATCCATGGATGAGAAACCAGAATTCTCCTTTTTGAATTAGGTAAGAGGCTAGAAAATAAATCTTAAATGCATCACGAGCCAACCATACACAGTTCCTGCGCTTGCGGTTTTGCATGGGTTTTGCCATTGTGGGTACAAAATCTCATTAAATACTTGCAACAGTGATGGAAATAATAATAATAACCCTTTTCTCATAAGATACCCAAGCATCCTGGAGTAGTTATTAATCCAGTGTGTATCAGATAACTGTTCAAAATTATTAATTTCCTCATCACCTTCTTGGGAGGAGTACAACTCCCTGCCCCTTAACTTGGCTTTGGCCCTGTGACTTGCTTTGGCCAATGGCAGATAAGCTGAAGAGACAGTCCAGTGCACCAGCCCTGAATCTAGGCCTTAGGAAGCCTCACATCGTTGCAGTTGTCCTCTTTCACTCCACACTTATCATAACAGGCACATCTCCTATGTAGCTGCTGCTTCATGACCCTGAATTCCACAATAAATACATGCAAAATAAAACCACTCCGCTGACCTATGGATCCATGAGCAACACTAAATAATGGAGTTTTAAGCCACTAGGTTGGGGGATGGCTTATTGTATACATGATTTTGTCAACAGGTGAATGATAGACTTTATCTTCTCCCCACATACAAAAGTGTCAGTTACTCACCATCGTCAATTCCAGGCCAGCCCATGAAGTGAGCAGAAATCTGTTTCTCATCCTTCCCATACTCATTCTTGGCTATTAGAGTGTAGTCCCCATTGTTCATGTGAGTGGGATTATCCAGCTGGAGGCAGCCGTGGTACTCCGTGTGATTGGTAACATGTATTTTAGTACAGATGTATTTGGACTCATTCAATATTGCCCCGTTATAGAACCACTGAAGCGCTGGTTTGGGGTTGCCTTTCACAGTGAATGGAATGCACCAGTGGTGGTCTGAGGTTGGAGATTCGAGAAATGTGATAGTTGGTGCAACTAAATTGAAAAAGAGAGAGTTAATAGCATCAGAAAGCTCAGAATTCTCCCCATCTCGAGATGTCTGTGTCATTGATAGGGAATTTTACTCAACCATTGTTTGGCTTAGAAAAACACATCATCAGAAACTCTGGAATCCATCAGTATTTTGTATCATCATCAGGGTGGATGTAACTCCCCAAAGAGAGCTTCAGAGAGACTCCTTTCTCTGTTCTACTTAAGACCCCTGCATTACAGTCATTTCTCAAATCTATTCAGTATAAGTGAAAACCAGCTCCAAACAGATCCAAGAGATTTCTGACAGCGGAAAGAGTTCATTTGAAGTTGACTTTGGTTTCTAATATCTGTATCTTGATATTATACAGATTCATCACCAAAAAAACTCAAAATAATAAAATAATGAATACTTTTTGATAGCACTTCTTTCCTAAATAACAAAAATGACTTTTAAAATTTTGCCTGAAGCCCTGATCTCACATAACTTCGAAAACAGATCAAACTGATCAATGCAATAAATGTTGCTGCTGATGATGAATTATTATAAATATAACAAATCAACATTTATTACTGATTGTCAATAGTAAATACTCTTTGAAAGTATCACATTTCATGATAGTGTTGTCCATTTTTGCTAGGATCCTAGATGCCAATGTTTAGATCTTTTAAATGTTTGGGGTCCAATCTAAGCCTGGACAGAGTAGGGATTATTTCAACTTTAGATATAAAGCACTTTATGCTTTGGGGAAACAAACATTATCAAGTAGAATTTTTAAACAGAGTACTTATCCTAAGTGAGGGTATTTAAAATGCTTCATCTGTTCATTTTAATGTAGTCTGGCTTTGGTAATTACAAAATCAAGGACTGGAAAAGACCTTTGAGATCTAATAGCATCATTTTTTTCAGATGAAGAAACCAAAGTGCAATGAGGTTAAGTGAGCTCATCAAGGTTACTGAGCAAGGCAGATCTGGAACAAGAATCTTGAATCCTGATGTTTAATACAGTGGCCCTTCCCTCTCAGGCACTGCTTCTTGACTGTATGTGTTCATCAAACAAGAGGAGAAAAAAATCTAAGGTATTGTAGCCAGGGAACAGACAAACCCTCTGAGTGGGGTCTCTGCACTGGTTATCTTGGTTGTTAATATTTTTAGTTTGTTTTTTGTTTTTTTAGACAGATTCTCACTCTGCCACCCAGGCTGGAGTGCAGTGGCACGATCACAGCTTACTGCAACCTCTGCCTCCCAGGTTCAAGCGATTCTCATGCCTCAGCCTTCCGAGTAGCTTGGATTACAGGCGCCTGCCATCGTGACCGGCTAATATTAGTATTTCTAGTAGAGACGGGGTTTCATCATGTTGCCCAGACTGGTCTTGAACTCCTGATCTCAAGTGATCCACCCGCCTCGGCCTCCCAAAGTGCTGGGATTACAGGCGTGAGCCACCACACCCAGCCAGTTGTTAATATTATTTATAATTTATTGCTTCTGCTCTTTGTCTAAACTATGACAGATAAGGTCAATTTTTCAGAGCCTAGTGACCATACAGATATTAACCTGAAACTGAGAAAAAAACTCAAGTTTGGATATTTTTAATAGAAAGCAGGTAATCTGATATTACCCCCTTACTTGTATTCAGGTAAATCCTCCCACAGTACTACCTAGGAAGAAGCAAAGCCGATAAAAGGACCCAATTCACTTTCATAATTTACGGAAAGATTTCCAGTTACCAGTGACATTCCTCTCAACTGAGCACCTGTGCAGCTGAACTCTGCACATGTATGTTGTGACTATGTCCCTCACTCTGAGAAATGTGATATTACTAAATTTAAATGGGCAAAGTTTAATTGTTTGCTTTACCAAATATCTCTCACAGGCCTCCTTAAAATAGTCTTTGGAAAACAAAAGTTTTTAATATGTGACTTCATCTATAAAAATTCAATTAAAATATAATTTGGGGAGACCCTATATATATTATACATATGCATATATATATACATAATATATATATAATATATATAATGTACATATATATATATTACACAAAATAAGGTCCATACATGTGTAGATACACACACTTGTAGACCTGTGCTATGAACCAACCACTACAAGGACCACAGTGGGGCAGGGGCCACACTTACCTTCCTCCCACCAGCCCAGGTCCCCACACCCAGGGCCCATCATTCCTTCCACCATGCTCAAATGAATTTTGGGTTAGGTGCTGATTTAAGGACATACAGTTGAAAGTGCTTGCATATGTTTGGAGATAACATTGACTTCAGGCTTCTGAGTGGGTCAAAATGATGAGAAATTATGAGTTTAGTACCCACTGGGCATAGTGATTGTACTAACAATGATAAAGGATTACAGCTGATGATTTCAATCATTCACTCCAGCAATCACACACTGAATGTGTGCTATGAGTGAGTGTTAACCAGCATATTGATACCAGCTATGGCCATGGGTCTACACGTGTGTAAGTCAGACATACACTTACACACATGCATGTTCATGTTTTTCTCATCCAAATTCTAATCCAAATAGAGTAAAACCTCATTAATTTATACCGTGCCAGCTCAGAATTTACAATGACGTGAAGTGTCTATATAGTTTTTACTGAATATACACCTTCATGCTAAAAGCCATAATTTGGAATTTCAAAATGTATATTGTATTAGTTACAATACTGAAAAACAATGTACTTATGTTTAATTAAAAAGAGGGATATCTTTGAACTTAGATTCAATGTATACAGAAATTTAAAACAATAATAATAAAAGTTTTCTACCGGTGATAATAATTTTCAGTAATTTAAGTAGGACTAATCCTACCTTCTCACAGAAACTTGATAACAAAAGAATGAGGTTTTATTTTATCAACAGTACAATTAGGCATTTGTGAACAGCTAGTAAATACTTTAGGTATCATAACTTTAAAGCATCATATTGCTTTTATAGAGGAAGAAAGTTTTAGAAACTGATTTACGAAAATTTAAGCTAAAACATTAACCAGAGGGAGCAACCAGCCCAAAGTATATTCTATCAGAAAAAAGACAGAGGAAGGCACAAAATGACAAGCTCAAAATCGAAAAAGAAGCTTAAAAGAAAAAACATGCATGAGCAAGAGTTATTAAGCAGAAATTGAACAGTAAAAGAGGCTGATAATGTTTCTTAATAGAGTATGCACAAAACACTGCATATACTTTTTTTAACAAATTTAAGCAGCACCCAGAGTGCCCCAGCAACAAACGTAGGTACGTCCATGATCATTTGCTATTAAAAACACATGCCAGTCTGATTACGTACAATGCACAGTGAGGTTGACAGAATCTTGATCTTCTCCTACAAGATTTTCCGCCACACAAGAGATCTGCTTCCCACTGTCATCGGATGAAATGTTAGTTATCCTTAAGGAGCCCTGTGTGTGGCTTGTTTCATTCTACAAATGAATTAACAGACAAAAATAACCTTGATTAGGATTGATCCCAAAGTGACAAGATTTGGGGTTTCTTCCCCTAACTAGAGAAAATATGTATATATAGCATTAGAAAAGCTTCTCTGCCTGAACTGGGCTCAGGCGAAGAAGTAAATCAGAAGTTATTCTATTTCTCTAGGTTTCAATTGCTAAGTGCATGAGGTTGACTTGATCCCTGAATTCCCTCCAAGGGAGAAGACCACAGGGAAAGTCACTCGCTTTGTTCAGGATGATACAAAGAGCTCACTAGGGATATAGAGACTCCTCGCTCTCTTAGGTATGCATAACTAAAATGCAAGCCTGCATTAGTCTTTATTAATTAAGAATAAGTAGAAAGTGAATGTACATCAAAAACTCTTTGTAAATTTCTATATGTAGCCTTATAAAATATCAA
This sequence comes from Homo sapiens, assembly GCF_000001405.40. Taxonomy (NCBI): domain Eukaryota; kingdom Metazoa; phylum Chordata; class Mammalia; order Primates; family Hominidae; genus Homo; species Homo sapiens. The sequence goes on along the minus strand of NC_000009.12, from coordinate 84,723,793 downwards.
ATGATCATCACTAGGTTTAATACATTCTCGCATTCTGAAACACTCTTGTCTCTCTATTAAGACACAGCCAAACACAAGCCTTACCATATGTTTGGAAACCAGGTTACCAACATCCCAATACATATTAGGAACCGGATCACCTGCCACACTACAGGATAATGTGATAGACTTTCCTTCCTCCACAGTGAGGTTAGGTGCGGCCAGATTTGCAGATGGCAAACCTATGGAACAAGAAAAGTAAACAGAGGCATATGCAAATAGTTAAATGCAGTATCAAAATAAAAGCAATAAATTGAAAACTGTTTATGCTTTAAAAATCAATCTTTAATTGCTTTTTGAGACTGATTTCTGTTGATCTGAAAAAGTGCTACTTTGATCAGCTTCATAGATCTAACATAAACCAAAAAAAGCTATAATTAGATTTCAAAATAAATTATGCACATTACTTAAAGCATTATTGCCGAATAACCTTTTATTTCAAGAACACTAGTATAAAGAACTGTCTTCCACCTCTTTTCCTGTTCTACAGTTACTAATCCAGTTTTTGCACATAAACAGAGATTGTACATAAGGACTGACATCATGTCTTTTATTTCCTCCTGTCTCCTACCCCCCATTTTTTACTAATGCTCAAGAACACAAAAGGGTGAGATGCACCTATTTTGTTTTTGCAAAAATCTGTTTTTTGCTTTAAGTAACTCTCACAAATCTAACCCTCTACCAGACACAGATTTTGAAAGACTCATTCTATTGAAGAAAATGTAGTTTCAAAGCATTTTTCAAAGACAAGCAGTTTGAACTATTGCAGTGTTAGAAAGTTTCAAAGTTATATAAATCATAGTTAAATATTATAGGTAAAATTGCTATCTTGTTTGGAATATAATGAAAATGGGTTGGACTCATTTCAGTGAAAAGTTCTTTTTATTGGAAAGACTCTGAGAATGTATTTATCAGATGAAACTTTGAACCTCATAAACATTTTTAATAGTCCAGCAAAGCATCATTTTTATACTTTTATATTTCAAAAGCTATGTGTAATTTTAGGGATGCTGCTATCACTTCATGAAATTATCACACCAACTGAGTGTGGACACTGCTTTAAACTGCATAAGAATCATGGTAATTTTTACACGTAGGCATGTCTTAGAGGGTATAACAATATGTCAGGACCTGCTAGTGGAGCCTGTCCCTCTCTTGGTGTCAGGAACTCTGCTTGGGACTATAGTCACCCGACAGCTATGTCTTGAAGAACTATGATACATCATTAACTCAGATCAGAACCTGGAGGTCAAAGAAGGCGATTCATTTTCAACAGCCGTTAAATTGCAATTAACCCACCCACCTGGCAATATCTGACCCTTCGTCTTCACATTATTATGGATAAACCTTTCTCTTATCATGTATTCTTACCGGCAAAGCCATCTTTCTTTATTAGTGAAATCAGACTGGAATAAGATTTGTACAGTCTATATTTCATGGTTATCCCACCACTGGGAGAGGATTCCCCAATAAGATCTGGCTTTCAGGGGCTAGTGAGACCCCCCCTTCCAAACTCTTCCTTCCCGTAAGCATCCAATAGAGACCAATGTTACATCTTTCATGGGGTTTCAAAAAAAAAAAAAAAAAAAAAAAAGCCCCTAATAGCCAGAGTTATACAGGGCAATGAAATATATAACAATGATTAACAGAGTGTAATACAAGCCCCACACCCTAAACCTGGCACATACTAACTTTGTGGCCTTAGATGAGTCTGTTGTTTTTCTCAATGTGTTTTCTTCACAACTTCTATGACAATTAAGCTGTTCAGTTTATTACAGAGCATGTCAAGGCAAAATAGAAGAAATGGGCTTACTTAGTGAAAAATCTCCTTGAAGTCAATGGCATAATCTGGGTGACTTTTAAAAATATGTATATACTTAATTTTGTTTTTCAAAAATCAAATATTTAGTCACAAGAGTTGATAATTCTATAAAAATTACGAAAAAGATTCAAGCTACTATGTGTGAAAAACAGTAGTCCCACCTTACCCATGTGGCACTATTTCCTGTTCCCTGAGGCACCCATTTCATCTCTTTTAACTTCTTCTTTTGGTATTGCTCTGCTCATCACTAAGTATCATTCTTTATTGCTACTTGTTGGTTTTCCTGTTTCAGCAGTATCTATTGACCTCCCACTGTGGAAGATGAAATATAGGCTCGCTTACACACAGAATGCCAGCCCTCCCCATGGCCCCCACCACATTCAACATACTCTGTCTTCACATTTTTTCATGTGCTGTAATTGTCTCAATGGAGACATAAAGATTATTATGAGTATGTGGCCGGGTGCAGTGGCTCACGCCTGTAATCCCAGCACTTTGGGAGGCCGAGGTGGGTGGATCACGAGGTCAGGAGATGGAGACCAGCCTAAACAACATAGTGAAACCCCATCTCTACTAAAAAATACAAAAAATTAGCCGTGCGCAGTGGCGGGTGCCTGTAATCCCAGCTACTTGGGAGGCTGAGGCAGGGGAATTGCTTGAACCCGGGAGGCGGAGCTTGCAGTGAGCCAAGCTCGCGCCATTGCACTTCAGCCTGGGCAACAGTGCAAGACTCCATCTCAAAAAAAAAAAAAAGATTATTATGAGTATTATGAGTATGCAAGCCTTACTAACACCAGAACCATCTAATATGCAATACTTACTTTATTTCATCAAATTTAAAATGGTATTAATTACAGGTTGCAACACCGTTATATGTACCACTATGAAAGGAAAAAAATGTGCCAATATAACTATAACACATGCTTTCTTACCACTTAGAACTATTGTTTGGAGGTTGGACCTTATAGATAGTCCATTTAATTCTCTAATCCTTTCCTATTTTCCAACTTTTCATTTATTTGCTCTATTTGCAAGGAGTTTTTTTAGATTAACCTTTAAAGCCCCCTTTTAAGGTTGTTCATTCCTCTGTCAATTTTTTATTCCCAAGGCCCTTCTTTTGTTCCTGAGTGTTCTTTTTTTATAGCACCCTCTTCTTGTTCCATGGATGCAATGTCTCTTACGATTTCTATCATATATTTATAATCATTTCTTGAATTTTTCTTTTCTCTATATCAGCTTTGTTTTTCGCATTTTTTTCCTCTCTTTCTCTCTTTGGTGCTTTTGTGTTTATCTTTCAATTATAAGCTTTCCTCAATTATGTCTGGCTATTCATACATCTTTAAGAATGGGGTACTAGAAACATCGCACAAATTTATGAATTGTCATCTTCATTGTAGGACAATATTATTGGCCAATTTACTAGGTACCACCTGATGTCAGGATCATGAAATCATTTTGAGGAAGGGGGTGGTCAAATTATTCAAATAATGCTCTTCCAATTTCCTGCTTGGAGGAGAAAGAGGTCTGGAAATATTAATATTCAGTATGTAAATCCATCATATTCTTTATGGTTCCCATGGCCTCACTCTATCTGTAGTTTCTCAGAACCTTTGTTTTATCCACTTTAGAGAATTAAGCCTCCGGTTTTCTGCTGAGGCAGGAGAGGTGCAGTCACCTGGGCTTAGCCGACTTTCAACCAATACAGTGTTTGGTGTTCCCTGTACTCTCACACTCTAAGCATTGTAGTAGTTCTGCCATATAAACCAAGTTTCCCCTTGGCTTTCTCCATTGTCAACTTGGTAACCAGTATTCTCACCCTTTAAGTCAGTTACTACTCAACCATCTGCTTTTTCAGCTTGCAAGTGTTTGTGCTTTGTTGACTCTCCCTCTCCCTTTTTTTTTTTTTTTTTTTTTTGAGATAGTCTTGCTCTGTCAACCAGGCTGGAGTGCAGTGGCACAATCTCTGCTCACTGCAACCTCTGCCTCCTGAGTTCAAGTGATTCTTGTGCCTCAGGCTCCTGAGTAGCTGGGATAATGGGCACACACCACCACCCCTGACTAATTTTTTGTATTTTTGGTAGAGATGCGGTTTCGCCACATTGCCCAGGCTGGTCTCAAACTCCTGAGCTCAGGCACTCGACCCGCCTCAGCCTCCCAAAGTGCTAGGATTATAGGTATGAGCCACCGTGCCCAGCCGACTCTTCCACTTTCTATATTTATAGATTTATCTGCTGACTCTGGGGTGACCATCAGAGTCAAGGCCCGTCATGGTGCTTGTTCTCAAGGTATGACCCCCTCCATAGCCAGACCCCACTGATGAAGCCTAAAGACACCCACCTTGGCATTTCAAGTACAAACCCATGGGATGAATTTCCTACCTTTATAAATGTATCTAATAGTTTGGAAATTCTGAGGAGAGAAAGGTTAAAATAAAGAGATTCTCAGTAGGAAATGTTATGTCATAATGTTAATTTTTCCTATAAAATCTAATGTGGGTTTTTTTTCAAACTCAAGCTTACATAATTAACAGCTCTAAAAGCATTTAATTATAGTGATACTAATATTATCATTTATTGAGCATTCACTGAACCAGATATTCTTGCCTAGTACCTTGTTTTATCTCATCCTTAGAACCAATCTTGAAGATAAGTATTTTGCCCTCATTTAATTAATGAAGTATATGAGTTTTGGAAAAGTCAAATACATTATTCAACATTGTCCGAGTACATATAGACCTAGAATTTGAACTCAAAGGTCAGGGTCTTCACCACTACCTCCCGAGCTGTACATATCCATTTCATCATGGACCATAAATACCACTGATAAAGTGGTATTTATGATTCCTTGATAAAGGAATTATTTCATTTAAAAATAATTACGTGTCTATTCTGTAGAAGAGTGAGTCTCCTTTATTTATAGAGAAATTGTATCACCCTGTCATCGCAGTTTCCAAAGGAATCTGAGCAAAATTGGCCAAGTCTTGATCTTTTAAATGTAAAGTCTTCCACAAATAAGTAAGCATCTGACTCATGTTAATTCTACAGCGTTAATATGCTGGCCAAAGATTCAATAATGGAAAAAACAATCTGTACTTGAAATACCACTCGAGGTTTAATTAGCACAATAAAAATGAATTGGGAAGCATGAATAGCCAAGGCAGGATCAACCATTTGCCAGGCACTACTTCTTGGCTTAACAAGATTTGAAATCAGCACAAGTACACAGCAAAGCCCAGCAACGTTTCCAAGAGCTGCTAGCTCTACTGTAAAAGGATCCTGACTCTAAGCCCTACAGCTGTCTTCCTTTGCACTCTGGGGAACCTCGCTGGAGATCGGAGATGACCAGCTTCTCAGGCAGACAGATACCTCTGCGTAAATGTCTCTTGATCTGGATTCCTTCAGGAAGGATGTACTGGCCTGTAGACCTCAGCAGAAAATCATCAACCAGGCAGTGAAAATGTTGACTTTCTTTACACCAAAGCTTCCCAAAGCTTTTCTTTACACCAAAGCTTACACACAAAGTTGTGTGTAAGAATATTCATACACACAACTCTATTGTGTGTATGAATCACCAGGGTATCTTGTTAAAGATGTAGCTTCTTTTCCAATATGTCTGAGTTGGGGCTTAAGAATTTGCATTTCTAGCAAACTCTCTGTTCCACAGAACACACTTGGAAGGACAGGGATTTAGACCATAAGTGTCGGGCAATTGTTCAAAGGGCTTTTGTTCCTACAACTATTATTCTTAAATCTGATATGGACCTGAGTTGTCCATCAAATTTTCCCCAAAGTGTGTCTTATAGAACTCTAATTTATTGAGATTCTAGAGGGAAAAAAATCCAAGATTACAAAAAAAAAGGAAGAAGAAAGAAGAGGAGGAAGAAGAGGAGGAAGAAGAGGAAGGGGAAGAGGAAGAAGAAGAAGGAGAAGGAGAAGGAGAAGGAGGCTCTGTAAGAAGCTCTGGATGTTCACAATGCACATTAGAAAATTAAAAGTTCTGAGAACTCCTGCTATAAAGAAATCCATTTGAATTCCATTGATCTTACATTCCCCAAGCAGATTTGAGTACATAATCAGTTCTTTGATTGTAATGTTTGTTGTGGCTTTATTTTCATTTCAAGCAATTTGACAAAATATAAGATATACATATATTTAAATTCAGATGTAAAATACATTTAAATCTAACTATTCTTGTTGATGATAGTAATAGCTATTATTTATTGGGTACTTAGTATGTGCTAGACTCTGTTTTAAATATTTTCCATTTATCACCTTATCAGTCATCCTAAATATCCTAGAAAGTAGGTGCCATTAATATTTCTATTTCCAGATGAAGAAGTTAAGGCTATCAAGTATTATGACTAAATAGCTAGTCAGTGGGGTTGGCCCTGGCCCACATCTGTCTGTCCAGGGCCTTAACCAGAGCATTCTGGCTGCCTCCTTTGCTGGGATCTTCCATGTCTCTGCTTCCACCTATTAGTGCATACTTCTTGAGAGTTGACCAAATTGACTAGGTGCTTCAATCACTCATTCAAAGTGTGTAGGCCCTCACTTTCTCTTAAGGAAAAACAAATCTCTAGTCATTTTGGATTAACCCAGTTTGGCAACAAATAAGATGGGTTAAGGTTGGGTTTTACTAACATTTTTTAGTAATCACCAGTAGGTCTTGCTTGTGTTTGTTTTCAGCTTGCTTCAGTGATCCTGAGCTCTGTTCATTTCATGTTGGGTCATCATTCCACATGTATAAAAGTATTCAAGTAAATTATAATGTTGTCTGTTCTCTGCCTTCTCTCCTCTCACTTCTATTTGTGCACACATAACAGAACTTAAAACAAATAAACACTTGACCTATCTCTTAATTCTCTCTCAACAGAATACTAAAACCCTATAACCTTCCCCTCTACCCTTCCACCTCCTTGTCATATCTTCCAAGTTCTTTGCCTCCTGAACAGCTATATTCCACAACCAGGAATGAAGTCAAAATGAGCCTGACCTATTTAGAAGTGATTGCTTTATACCTGGTAGGAAAAATGACAGAAAGTTAGCAAAATGACTTTGCAAGCTCAAATTTGAAACTGCACTTCTAAACACATGTGAGCCATGTCACAATAGTGACAGGTACTACATAACTTCTAAACACAAAAATTTAAACAGCAGTTGACAGATGAGAAAAAAACAACTTCATTTGACATTCTAAGAAGATAAAGAAAAACAACGATCCACTGTGTGGTTTGCTTGATTTGGGAGATAAAACCTGATCTCTAAGAAAATTAAACCAAAGCAGTACACTAAAATAGCCTTTGTGTGTGGTTTTCAGGAAAGAAAGCCAATCCAACTAAGTTGCTAAGAAAATAATGTTTCATATCACTCTAACTTCCACATAGAGCATTAATATAGCATATTCTTTTAATCTGGGAGTGTTAACAAAGTAGAATTACTACCAGTCTATTTTCTTGGTTCAACACGAACAAAAGAAGGAGTATGTACAAATATGCTACACAGACATATGTGCTACAAACTGTGGTTGAAACCAAAAGTAATTCTTAAAAATAAATCATTAAATTCAATTTATCTCAAGGAACCCGGCCTCTCCTCCTGGGCACCTGTGAACTGACCTTCACTATCATAAATAGTATTTTGTCGATGTGCCTTTAAAAGCTTCTACATTAAAAGTTGGAAGGTTGGAAAAGTGGAAAACTGAAATTGTCCTAATAAATAGGAAGGAAATCAAAGGCAAGTCTGATTTCAATCCATGGGACCATTAAGGATGGTTTATATAGTAACTGCACAGTTCTTCAACCAACAAGTGAATTGCCACCTTATATTCACTGTGGGACTATTATTCTGTGTGGTAACTAGTTACTAGTAAAATAGGTGCAGGGATTCTTTTGATATGACCCAGAGGAATACTGCCTTTCTTAAATGTATTTGCCATCAACTTAAGACAGAGCATTTCATGTACTATTAACACTTGCTGAAGAAGCTCTCAGATAAGATTTAAATAATAATGATAGTATTTTTTAAAATTAAAATATAACATCCACTTCTCCTTAATAATCCCATTATGCCAGGGGAGGTGACTGAAAGGTTTCTACTGCAAGACTAACTGCTGAAAATCATCTAAGTGTGCAGGAATTGAGCAGAAATTAAAAAGAAAATACTACGTGATAAATAATTTCATTAGAAACACTTGAAGAAGTAGCAGGGAGATTTTTTATACGAGATGATAATCAGCACAGCCTGGCCAAATCAGCTTTCTTCACCAGCACTTACATGATTCTGTTTCAGTCTTCAGAACCACTGCTCATAGCACCTCTCTATTCCAATTAATGTGGAAATGTTATATGAAAATGTTCTCTTGCCTTGCAATTAACAAAGTTTTTCTAAGGTTTAGAAGGGCCGTTTGAAGAAATGAACCACCACTTGTTTTACAGCATGAATAAATTTACAGTAATTCACAGCAGGAGGGGACTGTTAGAAAAATATTGTGAGGCATTTTGACTGCACTATTAATGAGAATGATGCAGTTAAGCTTCCCAGCCCCATCTATCATGCTCGATTAATCTCTAAGGATATAAAGAAAAAAGAAGAAATGAGACTCTCTCAAAAATGCCATCAAGATAAAAATTTCAAAAATAATGAAAAAATACTAAACTATAGAATAATTTGGCTAAAATAATGTATGTAAGTTATTTTTAATTAACTGAAACGTTCACACCATTATATTAAAAACCTGGTCCAATATGAACATTAATATGATATGGTTCATGCATTTGTTAATTCAGCAAACCTTCATCAAATGCCTGTTATGATCAAGGAGTACAGCAGGCACCATGGAATATGCATATTTGCATATAAAATGTAGAGAACTTGTTCTCCATATAATATCTCTATGATGAAATACTAACAAGGGAAACTTTTAAAGAAAACTCATCTTACAAACAAATAAAATCTCAGCAGCTCTTCTTTTTCATTGAAATAAAAATAGTACCAATTGCAAACTAAATACAATGGCCACAGTAGTTGGCAAATTGTTGGTTTACAAAGATGACACACACAAGACCATGGTCTTCACTGATTCAGAGTTAGCTAAAAAGTTTTACCCCCAAAAAAAGTGTGGAAATAAGATGAACTTCAAATCTGTGACTTAAACACAACAGATGTGTTTTTAAAGTATATGTAAAAGAAAAAGCCAGCTGACCATAAATTCATTTTTTTCAAACAAGACTTGAAGACTTATCTAACTTGAAGATATTGGCGTATTATTATCTGGTTTCTTCAACACAGAATTCCAGAGAATTTAAATCCAACATTCTAGTGTCATTTTCTGTCTAGATTATAACTTCTCCTGAAAGAACCAAAGTTGGGAAACCATCAAAAGAAAATTAATACATGACTAAGCCCCAAAGTGAAGGCTCCCTTTCTTATCCCAGATATCCAGAAGTGATACTCAATATTTTTCTTAAAACCCAGAACAAAGTTGGAAAGTGAGAAGGCACATCGCTGATGGAGAAGAAACTATAAAGAACTCCTAAGCGAGAGAAAGCAGAAGAGGATTAATGAAAAGCAGTACAGCCCCAAGTGGACACATAACCATGTGCTTCACAAAATAGTGAGGCTTTCAAAGGACCGAAAAGTAGAGGCAGGATTGCAGGACTCCCTGCTGATGTAGCAAACCCCGTATGGAGAAGGGCATTTCAGTCACAAAAAAAATGACTCACGAGAGATTGTGGAAATTGATCATCAGTGGTTGAAAGGAAAAAAAATCAGCAGCTGGAGAAACAGCTGAAAAGCTAAGTAATGAGCAAACCAATTCTCCCATAATGCGGTACACAAGGACAAGCAGATGGAAACTACTAAGGAAAAGGTGGCCAGCATGGGTGGAGCCAAAAGTGTAAATATCTATCCAATGTCGATTCCTGAATGAAAGAATAAATGGAAAGAATACATAGAGCAAATCAATAAGAAAAATTTTCCAGAACTGAAGACATGAACCCACACATTGAAAAGGTATCCCTCACAATAAGCAGAATTAAAAAAAAAAAAACCCACATCTAGTTACGTTGTGGTGAAATTTAAGAATAACATGGATAAGGAGTAAATTCTCAAAACCTCTAGAGGGGAAAAAATATAAAAAGCACAGTTTACCTAGAAAGAGCAAGCAACAGACTGACCTCAGACTTCTCATCAGCAACACTCAATACAAAAAGAATATGGTGCAATATCTTCAAAGTTCTCAGTTTTTGAGCCTATAATTTTTTACTCAGCAAATTCCACTGAGAAGAAAAAATACAGGCCAATTTCCCACCACCCAAGAACTTGATTTTATTTTTTTAATTTCTATGAAAGAAGTATTAGAAGATATACTCCAGCAAAAAGAACAATCACACCAAAAGAACACAGTAAGACACAAAAGTCTATGATATACAAAGAAATATGACATCTTCAAAAAAGCCAGGTAACAATACAAAAATAAAATCCCAGATGATAACAAACTGAGAGCTGGGAGGAGAAGTAAAGGGAAGCAAAAATATTTTTTCTGCCTTATTGGTGGTTATCTCTATGCAGAAAATACATATTTAAATTTGTGCAGAAAATATTTCAGTATTATAGACTTTTTTAAAAAGAGAATATTTATCACTTTCAAACAATTAAGAAAAAACAAAGAACAATGAAAGTAAAGAAACAGAAAAACCCTACAGAAAAATAGACAAAGGATATAAACAGGAAATTTACTGAAGCATAAACACAGTCCAATAAACATATAAGATACTCAATAGTAATCAGGAAAATGCAAACTCAAAAGCCATGACAGCAGTTTTTAGAAAGACAAACACTAACAAGTTTGCTAATATCAAGGTATACCTTGTTAGGGTGGGCATAAATAGATACAGCCATTTTTTCATGTGCAAACCACATAAACCAACAATTCTGCTTCTTTCTGTGTATTCTAGAAAAAACTTTGCACTTGTACATATGTGTAAAAAGCATGAATAAGGATGCTTGCTGAAACATTTTTGCAGTATTGAAAAAATGGAAAATAAGCAAAATGCTCGTCAATATGGAACACTTAATTAATTAAGACACATTGTATCATGAATTTCACGTAATGGTTAAAAAGAATATGACAGATCTATGACTACTGACCTGAAATGGTTAGGAGAAATGGTTAGGCAAGAAAAAGACAAACATCATATGTGTAATGTAGGAAATTACTTTTGCAACAAGACATATCAATATAATACATGCAATTATAAAAAGTAAAACACTTGAAAGAGAATAAAAATTAAAAGGGAAAGAACAAAACAGTTAAGAACACAAAAACGATAGGAAAAATAAGTCTGTCGATTCACTTGCCACACTCTTCTATAATGTTGCTTTTTGAAAAGCATCCTTGACATTGAAATGAATTGTGAATGTTACCGTGAATGTAACCATTCAGTCCTAATCGATCAATTGAGCCCATGCCCTCATTACAGTAGATTCAAAACCTCACTCTTAGACACACAATTCATTGACTAATTTGTAGAAAACAGAAATAAAAAATGACTGAAAATTGACAAACTGTTTAGGAAAAATGAGGACCAGTTCACTCCCTACACGTCCCCTATCCCAATCACAATGGCCGAGCAATAACACGTAAGGCGGGGTGCATTCCCGGAATGCTGCCAAGACAACACAACCAAAAATTACAATGGAAAAAAATGAAATTGGTTTCAGGCAAGGACAAAGCAGACGTCTGTTAAGAGGCAGTTTGTGAAATCAGAGCAAGAGTCAGATGCTTTCTCTCTTTTCCTCTCAGTGGTTGCTGAACCAATGTGGCCACAACTGCCATGGGGATTTGGGAGCTGGCCAAAAGGCCAGGTGACTCAACATTGAATTTCTTGTCCCTCTAGGCAATTTCTCTCAGCAGTACAAATTTGCACCAGAACAGAGAACAGTTACCCTCTTATCAATCAGGAAAAGACACATATTAAAAGTTTTTTTATTTTTTAAGTGTTAGCTAGCAAAGAAAACTGACAGAGGTTGGCAAGAGAATAAAGCCTTATTCCCCCATTATGAAACCAAAGGACTCTATTTGTGACAGAAAAATCTGTGGGAAGGGTCAGGGCCGTCTTCTAAGGTCATTCAGGGTAAGAAACAGACTCATATCTTTATTTTTATCGCATTCCTACAAAGCGTGTGCAGCAGCTCCATTTTTCTTAAATAAAAAATAGACCTCAAATAATAGCGTCTTCCGAAAACAAAGAATCGGTTGTTTGTGATTAATACACAGATTCCTTGTGCACAAGAACCAGGTGCTACATGGCTTTCTGCTGTGTCACCAGCCACTAGGCCAGAAGATCAAACATAATTGTTTGTGAACTTGTTAACTGGTTGACTAACCGATTCAAATGTCAATGGGGTAGTAACATGCATGTGTGGGTATTGTAGAGGTACATCACTGAAGACTAGTAAAATCCTAAGCAGAACACTTTGCTATTCCTTCCTTATAACTCACTAGCACTCACATGAGCTCTGATTTTGCCATTCGGTGCCCTTTTAAATGTTGGAGATGAAAACGCTGGGAAGAGGAATAGGGGATGACGGTAAAGTAGGAGATCTTAAATCCAGACATGGGGAGAAGCACGTGGCATGGCAGACTTGGGGCACCCCATCAAGAGACACAGACCTCTGGCAGTAAGACAAGTTTAAGGGAATGTGCTGGATTGAATTGGATTTGCTTGTGCTGCCAGGACACTTTCATCACCCTGAGATCCTTGGCCTGGGTGCCATCCAAGGGTATATGTGGCCAGAGAAGTGCCACACTTTTAGCAGATAGTTTTTGCACAGATGGATGGGTGGATAAATGGATGGATGGATAGATGGAAAAACAAATATGAACAAATAAGCAAATGAACAAACAAACAAAAAGAATAAGCAGTGTACTTTTTCTCTATGCACTTTACAGCCATCCACTCTGAATTAATATTCTACTTGCAAAGATTACTCCACACTGCACATAAATGTTGTCTGAGTCACTGGAGACATCAACAGAATACTATATACAATCCAGGTAGTGGTAATTTTCCCAGACTACCGCACCAAGGCAATGAGAATAATTAATAGCAACTAGAACACATTGATTTAAAAATAAATTACCACAATTGGGTATCTGCAGGTTTGCCAGGGGAATATTCTTGCTGCTTTCATTCAGGCAGTACAAATCCTGAGTGTCTGGACTGGATTTAGCCTCTTGGAGAGTCTTGATCCACATAATGTCACAGGAGCATGTAAATGGATTGCCCACCAGGATCCTACAGGGAACAAAAATGACAACAGATCAAGTTCCTTTTTCCATTTTAGCTACATTAGTGCTTGTAAAATACTACAACATTATGAATTCTTTCTAGCCAGCAATGCTTGGAAGTCATACCACTTTCATAGCATGACAGTACTTATTATTCCTTCATTTATCTGATACTTACGGAGCATCTCCTATATGCAGACAGCACTGGAGAATGATAGAAGACCTTACAGAATAACAGGGGAAACAAGATAGAGACAGAAATAGCCAAAATATAGGATAGAAAAGAACATCTCATAACATGGGGAAAATAAGGTGCCATGACAAATTTATCATGGTTATTATAGAGTTATTAAAAGGATGCCAACAAGAAGTTTTCAGGAATGCTAACATACTTATTTCTGACCAGGCTAAAGGCTCAAGTGTTACCACTTTCTAAGCTCAAACTTCAGCAGGGGGCAGAACAATTTCATCTCAATTTAAAATGAGACTGTAAGTACAAAGCTAAGACTAAATTGTGAATGCCAGAAGGCTGGCACCCCTAGCTTTCTGCATTATACAATCACAGTCAGTTTCATTGATTCAAGATAGCTGGAGTAAAGGTGAGAGAGAGAACCTGAAAGGAAGCTGTAGACCTCCTTCACACACACACACACACACACACACACACACACACACACACACAGAGCAAGCTATTCTGAGGGCAAGGCAACTGAGCTGCAGATTGAGCTGCGTTAGACCACTGTGGGTGGAAAGCCACCGCCATTCAGACCTCAGCCATGCTGCCTGGACTCCTGTGGCCTGCAATGGGTAAAAGAGGAAGTAGTCAAGAGGAAAATAAAAACCACAAGGAAAAAAAAATCTTTAAATGCTTATTTGTAATACTCAGTGGCCTATTTAAGATGAATTCCATTTATGGTAATGAGCCTTTAAATGAGGCCATTTAAAATCGTTACATAGACTCTGCCTGGCATTAACCACAATACTTAAGATTTCCGTGAAGACAGGACCTGGGCTTTGCAACATCATTTACTCCTGTGGTTTTCTGGTTGGGTTCTAAGAATCTCAGGGATCCCTGGAGACTTTTCCAGGAGTTTCTTAGGGGAAAATGTGGTCATGGTAGACTCATTTAATTTGTGTCTGCTTGATCGCCTCCAAGTATCCCTCCAACACCAAAATGGGATTTGATGTTATGAGATATGGAATAGAATGCAGAAAAGACCCACCACCAGTTTAAACCCCACTAATCCAAAATGCTTCCTGGAGCTCTGAGTACATGCAAAACTAAAGAGTCTTTCTAAAAGAAGATATCATTAACTCAGCAGAAGGGATAAAGAAGGAAAGGAATGCTTCAATTATGAATACAGCAATGTTCATATGACAACACAACACTGGTGCACAGCTGGCTTCTTTCTCCAGCTTACTATGCAAGCTCGATGATTATGACAGCACATTACACTTTTATCTTTAGGTTTCTACTTCTCCCACTGGATAACAGAATCCAGGAACATAGAAACTTTTCTCCCTTTATCCCCATGGCCCTGTGCCATATCATTTTGATTTGTAATAGGTACACAATTAACATTTGTTGAATTAATTGATTAAATATGCTTCAAGAAGAATATTGAGACATAAATTTGAAATTGAAACTCTAATTTTTAATCCAGCAAGAAAATTTTACACAATGTTGCCCAAAATTTTTACACCAAGTACTTTACCCTATCTCATGTATCTTCCTTTAGTTTGTCATGCCTATTCCTGTGTTAGAAGCATTAGTGCTTCAACGTCCTGAATTCACTTTATTCCAAATAATTCTCAATTGCCAAGACTTTCACCATATAACACCCATTACACCTATTAACTTGTTGTCTCTCCAGCAGTGACATCTTCCAATCTGCACAATTTCCTTGTGAATAAGGATGGATCTTCATAAAAAGACTCCACAATTCAGGCAAGATAGAGTTTAAGCAAATGCCATTGCCTAATCTTCAAAGGCCTCTTCCTGGGCCCACATCTGCCCCACAAAGCCTCTGCATTAGGATGCTTTGAGGTGCCTTACCATAAGAATAGCAACAGTTCATATTTGTTTAATGGGGACAATGCAAGGAATGGAGCTCACTTGGAAATCCTGGCTGTTAGTCATCAACACCTTTCAATACGTTTTCTATCATTTTACAACAGAAGAAAATGGGACTTAAAAATAAATATTGAATGCAATAACAGATCTGGAAGAAAATCTCACAAAGATGGGTGGGGAGAGAGAACAACTACCTCTCCTCCAATGTCCCCTATCCTTAAGATGGACAAAAGTGAGCAGAGTTTTGCCCATTTTTATTTCCTCCTTGAATGGGTTTGCTTGACTTTAGGGCCTGGATCCAACAGGAACCAAACCAGAGCTGTGAGATATAAAGCATACAGCCGTTTTCACACAAAGCCCCCTTCTTTTTCTCTTTTTTCCCTGTACCAGAAATTATTTATGTAAAATCAACATTTAAATGAATCAGAAATGATATGTCACTACTGAGATTTCTATTTTTTTTAATTACTGAATTTTAAAAATGAGAGATAATAAACCTTGAAGGAATAAAAGACTGAGAGACTGAAACTTGAGAAATCATTTTTTGAGAATTTGGTATAAAAATAGATCTGCAACATCACTCATTAAAAGAAAAATACTTAATTACCCCTTCCTTTGAAAACATTTCCCCAAATGCCACACAAAATCATTACTTACAGTTCAGACAAGTCAAGGTGACGGAAATGTTTCCTAGACAAACTCGTCAGTTTGTTTCGGGTAAAATTGCTGAAAGGAATCAAAAACATTAAACATGAATTTAAAATGTTACATTTTAGGAACACAGTATTCAAATAGAGATTTGTTTTTCAAAATATAATTTTATTTGATCATTATATAAGCTTTACTTACATCCAGATCTCTCTCTCTTTCACTTAGAGTGATAGCTGAGTTTTTCCTCTAACCTTGTCTATAATTTTTTCTTTGCTGGGAGGGGTAGCATAAATATATTGTGTATTTTTAATGTCTTTTTCACCCAAAAGCTTACTTTTCATATGTTGATTTGGAGCCAAGTTATATATCTTATAGAAACCCTGATCTTTTGAACAATTAATAGGAGGATATGTAAGATTAAATAAAATTTAAAACTATAAACCCAGTAGGGAAAAAATATGCCTTAAAACTAAAGAGCATCATGGATATTTTGAAATTATGTGGCATACAAAACTCTGAATATTAACTGAATTCAATACGTCTTTATAGGAAAGACATTTTATTGATAAAAAAAACTCTACTGAGATTGTTTACATATGATCTAAATAACCGCATACCTCCACGATGAGAACAAACAAAAATTAGGTAACAAGGAATATGTCAGATTTCATCTTGAACCATTCTAGTGACATACCATCTTCAGATTTAGACCAACCAGACAATAAAAAGATATATTTGTGACTAAAAAAAATAATAATTTACTGACATGTTCCAAACATGTAATTTGATTCTATAAAAGAGTTTCCAATGATCAGTGTCATGAGATTTTGGGGTAGGAAACTCAGAGCCATAACCCTGGCAGCCGACTCACTCTGCGAATTTGTTTACTGTTTAAATTTATTTAAAGAGTATCCGATGCTTGGGCCTCAAGATGTGTTTAATAAATAAAATGAATGTAAAATAAACATCAACTTTCATAAAAACAGCCAAGACCTCTACAAACCGGAGGAAGTCAATGAGACTTTCAGTGTGTGTTTCCTGCCGAGGAAGGCAAGTGTTGGGTTGAGAGTTGGATAAAACATGAGATCTGGCCAGGTGCGGTGGCTCACGCCTGTAATCCCAGCACTTTGGGAGGCCGAGGTGGGTGGATCATGAGGTCAGGAGATCGAGACCATCCTGGCTAACACAGTGAAACCCCGTCTCCACTAAAAAAAATACTAAAAATTAGCCAGGCGGTGGCGGGCACCTGTAGTCCCAACTACTGGGGAGGCTGAGGCAGGAGAATGGCATGAACCCGGGAGGCAGAGCTTGCAGTGAGCAGAGATTGTGCCACTGCACTCCAGCCTGGGTGACAGAGCAAGACTCCGTCTCAAAAAAAAAAAAAAAAAAAACAAAAACAAAAAATAACACACATGAGATCTGAGGGTGACAGTGATCCTGGCCCCTCACCTGAGGCTACTCTTTGCCGTCAGCCCAAGGAAGTCATCACTGAAGTATCCTAGTGTGTTTGATCAGTCACACAGTCCTGGCATTACAACCAGGAGCTAAAGCATGAACTAAGGCTAGTCAGTTGATAAGAAAGAACCTACCACTCTGGTGTCTCACAAATCATGAATGTGTGTGTCCACTCCCAGCTTAATTCTATATTAAGATCTCCACTCATCCAAACCCCTACCTACACAGGGTACCGTCCTTCCTCCTAGGCGTGCATCTTCTCTCTTCACACTGAGTATAAAGTGCTCACCCACATGAAAAATAATCCACCAGGAAGTTGTAAAATGTGCCCACATAGGTCTCTTCTTTTGGAACGTGAATTAAGAATGGGTTTTGGCCGGGTGCAGTGGCTCACACCTGTAATCCCAGCACTTTGGGAAGCTAAGGCTGTTGGATCACCCGAGGTTGGGAGTTTGAGACCAGCCTGGCCAACATGGTGAAACCCCGTCTCTACTAAAAACACAAAAATTCACCTGGTGTGGTGGCGCCTGCCTGTAATCTCAGCTACTTGGGAGGCTGAGGCAGGAGAATTGCTGGAACCCGGGAGGCAGAGGTTGCAGTGAGCCAAGATGGCGCCATTGCACTCCAGCCTGGGCGACAACAGCAAGACTCCTTCTTTAAAAAAAAAAAAAAAAAAAAAAAGAATGGGTTTCACTGGTATACAATGCATTGAAAAGTCAGTCTGCCTATCTTCCACAGTTTCTAAGGCACAATGCTTTCATCTTCATCAGAAGTCCCAATCTTTCTAAAACAAACAAACGAAAAACCAAAAACCTGCTTTCCTCCTCAAGAAAAAGGCAGAGAGAGGCAGCAAAGAAAGAGGAGGCTTAGGGTGAAGGGTCTCCCTGTCTGCTGGTAAAACCGCCGCCCCGCAGAGCTGCTGCCTCTGTGGGGCTGCCAGCAGCACCGCAAAGAGCGGGGTTACCGGCCAAAGAACAAGATGAGTTTTATGAGCCATACTTATTATTGGGGCCAAAAGCCAAAATGGAGGAAGAGGGGAGGGAAAAAAATCAACAATCCTCTTACTGTTTGATTATAGAGCTTTGCAAGGGAGCTAATTAGCACCTCTGCAAAGTCCCTGGAAAACACAAATACCAGCTTTTCTCACAGTCCCTGGGCTCTAAGGGGCTGGGCAGGAATTAAAGGCATCAAGAAATAACGCAGTGACCAGTCTCTGGGGCTCTGGGCAGTCCCCATGTGATGCTCACATGGACAGGGTAGGGGGAGAAGTGGTGAAAGTGAGAGAGAGGATCCCATTTAAATTTCCCTAAAACCCGAAGTGAAATAGACTGATCTTGTATGCATTTTTATATTGCTGGGGAAACTCAGAGAGATCATCAGTATATCCCAGGGGTAGAGAGAAACAGCTTTTAATACATATTTTGTTATCAGCTCCCTTGCACCCCACTGCGTTGATATTTGAGGGAAGAGTGCAATTTGCATGTGGAAAATCAGGGGACCACCAACCAAGCTGTTCCCCAGAGTCCTCCATCACAAGCAGAGGTTAGGTCTAAGATCCGGAAAGGCAGACACCTGACTTAATTCCTTCCTTCCTCCCTACTGTTCTCAAAAGCAAACTACTTAATTTAATTTCAGATTTTGGTGATTAAGAGCCTCTTTTGTCCTGTGACTATATGAAGCTTACTGCCATCTGATGACCTCTTCATAACTGCCTGGCACTTGCCTATTTCTCTCTGTCTTACTATTCAATAAATGGCTATAAATATTAGTAGCATTTTTGCAATTTGATCAATGATTGACATCCCAACAATTGCTTCTTCAGAAAACTGTAAGATATGTATGTCCCTTTAGCTTCCCATTTTAAAATAATTCTTCTCTGAAAGCTAGGGAGAGATATTTGACTTTATATAAGCTGTGTACTGCACAAAGAATACCACCGGCCAGGCGTAGTGGCTCAAGCCTGTAATACCAGCACTTTGGGAGGCCGAGGTGGGCAGATCACAAGGTCAGGAGATCGAGACCATCCTGGCTAATGCGGTGAAACCCAATCTCTACTAAAAAAAAAAAATTAGCCTGGCGTGGTGGCAGGTGCCTGTAGTCCCAGCTACTGGAGAGGCTGAGGCAGGAGAATGGCATGAACCCAGGAGGCGGAGCTTGCAGTGAGCCGAGATCGAGCCACTGCACTCCAGCCTGGGTGACAGAGCGAGACTCCATCTCAAAAAAAAAAAAAAAAAAAAAGAATACCACCAAAATCACCGTCATATATCAACATGAAAAAATATACAAAGTGGCTTTCATATTCATAGAAATAGCATGCAATAATGAAAATATACAAAGTAAAGTAATCAGTAAGTCTATTAATAAAACTATAATTAGCCAGAGCCCACTGTCCAAATCACAACATTAGGAGAAGTGATGTGATAAAAGAGCCAGTAAAATGCAGTTGTTGAGTAATTTGGGTCTAAGGTCAACTGTAATGAAAATACCAGAACTTAACCACTGAGGTCATTAATTACATCTAAGTGACTGCATTAGAGCATTTTGCCTTTTTCTTCTATCCAACTTCTCTCTTGTTTATGCTATCAAGGCCTATGCAGCCATCAGATTTGTGCAGGCAAAGATTTGTGCAGACTGCAAAAATGATTCCAAAAAGCATTTAATTGAAATGTGTTAATAAAGTTCCCTGGAGTTTTATCACATTTTTGTAGAATGTTTTATGTCTTAATTTACAGACTTTATTTTTAAAGTGACTTCATCATTAATGCCACCTATAAAATATGAAGCTATGATATTGGCTTTATGAAATTAATATTTTCCATAATATCAACAAATTTCAATAGAGTGTCCAGGCAATCTGCTTCTAAGAGAATGGTTTCTTTTATAACTGGCATGGAAATCAGTTGGGGAACTGTTCTCCTCAAAAAAAAAGAAAGAGGACGAACCTTATAAGAAAGTCTGATTCTCTAAGGATGATACAGATTTTATTTCCTGTGCTCTTATTGTAAGAACATGGAGAGGGGTTGGCCCTGGAGTCATAACTCTGCTACTTACGATCTATGAATCTGAGCAAGTCCTAGAACTCTCTCACTCTTATTTTATCTATGAAATGTGCATAAAAAAGATCTGTCCTACCAATTGTCAGAAAAAAATCATGTGAAATAATCCAGGTGAGGGTCCCACAGATAGACTATGACATGTAAGGTATCACTGCAAAGAGAATTTGGTACAGCAAAACAGAATCAATAAATGCAGGCAACAACCTTCTGGCAGAAGTTCCACTAAAAACTCAGGGGATGGGAGTACAAGTCTGAGCTCAGTGATGCATAAATATTCTGCACTTAGGTGATCTTTAGTTTAATGAAGACAACTCTCAGGAAAGCCACACCTTATGGACTTAAATGCCATCATCTAGAGGATTTAGCAACAAACAAGCTAACAGTTCCCATTTTCCATATTTCCGTTTGACTTCAGTGGACAAAGCATCAACAAGACTTTGGGGAAATATTTCCCATTGTTAATAATTTTCTGTACCTTTGGCATGTCCCATGATTGATTTTTCTCTACCTTTATCAAACCATGACAGACGGCTTTGGGAAAATGAAGGTTCAAAAGAGAATCCTATTGTGAGGGGAAAAGCACCAGTAATTTTTATTTCCCTATAAAGGCCAAGGCCAAGTCAGCTTCTTTCGATTCCACTAGTTTGATGTCTTCCAGGGAGTATGTCATTATTCCAAGGAAGAAAATCAAGAACTCTGTGCAAGGACACAGTTTTCACATCAGACTCCTTGCTGCTAGCCTATTGCTCTGTCCAAGATGGAACTGGCCCAGAAATTCATGAAAGGGAATAAACAGCCTGTTCTAAGTACCCCTCTGAAGCTATTCAAAAAATCAAACAAAATCAGAGCTAATGTTTCTAAGCTATTATCACAGCTATACTAACTTTAAAAAGGGAGGTTTCAAGTTGGAAAAGAAGGAAAATAAACAGAGGGGGGAAATATTGAATAAAATGGGTCCTGGGAAGCAAAAGAATCAATCTCTACTTACATGTGCTGCAGGTTGCTGTTTTTCAGAAATGCTTTATGAGCCACAAATTTTAATCCAGAATCCACAATTGTCCTGTGAAAACACATAATTTCATGCACATTAGAACGAACCAGTGAATGCCTGCCTGACCAGAGCAGACAACAGGAAAATTCTCTGAGATAATGTGCCCTGGTCCTGAGTACTCACAGATTTCTCAGTCCCACATAAGCTTCAACATCATCTTCGTTGATGATTTCTAACCTTTTCTGGTTTGCGATGAAACTGTAACAAAGCAGAGAGTGAATCGCAGTGACTCAGAATGTAGGCAGCAGCACCATGAAGAACTCCCATCCACCTCACCCAGGTGTCCAAGGTGCTCCCTCCACACCACTCTGAGCCTTGCCATTTTTTTAAATACAGCAGTAGAGCAAAACTGAGCATGACTGAGCAGAAACCATGACTGACCAGGTTTCATGGTCAATAACCCTTGCACTGGGTTTCATTTCTCCTCGTGTTTCATCACTCTTTCACCCAACAATTTCACTTTTCTTTCCCTTTTGGAGTATCACCAGTGTACATATGTGAAAACACCGTGGAAATGCATCTACTCCTCTCAAAGGTGTTTCCACTCTTACGGTGAGAGCCACAGAGATGCTGCTGTCATCACTGCACAAGAAAAGTCACATATTTCCCCACATTTCAAGAGAGACAGCCACTCCCTCCTTTACCTCCTAAAATACTAAGGTGCGTTTTCCCTACCCCTTCCTCTTTTCTCTCTATTTTCCTGGCCCAGCATCTCCTCCTTCTGCCTTTGTCAGTAACAGTATCAATCTTTCCTTTGATGAACCACATTTCACAAACCCCATATGGCCTTAGCGCATTCTCCGTGGGAACCTCCTCCCTCCCCCACCCCCTAAGCCCTCCAATATAGGGGTGAATAGAGAGAAAACTCCATCCCTTTGCCCACATTGGTGGGCTTAGAGATGTGCACATGATCTCAATTACACTAAGAGGAGTCTTCCCCGAGATTAAATAAATGAATGCTGGGGAAGAGAGAGTCTCTGTCTTACTCTGGGATCATAGCTGAAGGATGGCACAGGCCTGGGGCTTCCATGGGGAAATTTTCTGCTACAAGGAAATAGACTGTCCAAGAATGAAGTCAGTCCACAGAAAGAAGCAGAGCTAAAGAGACAGAACTCTAAAAATACCACTTGAGCCTTTAGATACAACTGTCTCTCAGGCTAGATGTCACTAACCTAAGTTAATCTTAAGTTCTATCATTTGCAATCAGTAAAGTCCCTAGTGATCCAAACAAATAACTATTAAAACCATCATCATGGAATTTCCTATACTCTACCCTGTACTACAGTTATTTAAGTACCTGTCTATTCAGTTTTCTTAGATCACAATGTCTTTGAGATAGCTAGATCTGTTTTATAATTCTTAATATGCATCACAGCACCTGGCTCAGTACCCAGTACAAGGTAGGTACTCAAAGGATGGATGGATGGATGGATGGACGGATGGATGGACAGATGGAGAAAAGATGAACTGCACTTGGAGTTACAAAGGCATTACAAGAAATTATGCCAGGAGGAAATCTCCCCTTTCTTTTTGAAAAAATTTAAGATATATAACATATTCCAATTAAGACACTGAAAACAAATATGCAGCCCTGCTGTTAACAATGTGAGTTAAAATGAAAAAAATATTAAATGATGGGGAGGAACACACAGCATCTATAGGTCCCCCACTGTGTGAAAGAAAATGATGACAAGCTGTATAGTAAGGGTTTGGGCACCTCTTTTTAGAAAATAAATTTTAAAAATAAAAATCAGTAGATTCTCTGAGAAGACAAAATTACACCAAAGAGAAATACTTTTAAAAGCATCCACACAAACATTGTCCCCTGTTACATAAAAAACCAGCCTCCAAGATAGAACGGCGGCTTCTTCTGAAAAAATTCTTGGTTGTCCCTGATACCCAGGGCCTGGCACACTTAATAAATGTGCAGGAAGCT
Organism: Homo sapiens; assembly: GCF_000001405.40. Taxonomy (NCBI): domain Eukaryota; kingdom Metazoa; phylum Chordata; class Mammalia; order Primates; family Hominidae; genus Homo; species Homo sapiens. Next base: position 84,700,420 of record NC_000009.12, on the reverse strand, counting down.
TTCGTTCCCTTCTCTCCTCCCACCACACATAGAAGAAAGAAACATTTTAAGACTTGAAAGGAATGCTCAATTTTTAACATCAACTGTTTCAGAGTTATCATACTTTAGATACATTTTTGCAAGATTTTTCACCAACATTTTCAATAGAGACCACAGTGACCTCACTCTTCTAAATGATCTCACAGTAAGAACTGCATTCTAAAGAGCCCTGAATTTTAATACTTTTTCTCATGCAACTGACAGCAAAAAGGATAGATAATGTGGGCGAGTTTTCCTCTGGAGTCACAATCCAGACTTCCAGGCAAGCCTGTCCCCTCCTACCAGCTGTGTAAGCATGAGGCCTGTCACTGTCCTGAAGTCATTGAGAGTTCTTCCTCACTCTTTTCCTGGATTATCCTTGCATCCTCCATGCTCACAACAAGGGCCTGGAACTCAATGGGGACTTTATTATGATCTGCACAAGGCACTCATCTTTAACTTTTTGTTACTTATGCCCTTTCTTTTCATTTTTCATCAGACATTTAATTTATAAACTCCCCGGTTTTATTCAATAGAATACAACGAACCAGCAAATAAAAATGGAAGGCATAGAGGAGAGAAAGACAGGGGTAGAGATGTCAATGGATTGCACAAAACTATGTGGGAAAAAAAAGAAAAAAAACAATTTAAAAATAAAAATAAATTAAAAATAAAGAGATATCAACGGAGCCCGGAATTCAATTTAGAAATGCATACACTCGTTAGAAAAAAAAAAAAACACACACATAAGCTTAATTCTATGCTTTCTAGTCACCAGTGTCCAAGAAAGAAGGAGATGAGGATAAATTTGGTCAATGGTAAATTCACAGTATTCATGAGATGAAAATGAGCCAATTAAGCAAAGCACCACTATTCTGAAATCTAAGACCAGACAGGAAATTTTGCTGAAAACCATTCAAAAGCACCATCAAAAGAAGTTATGAAAAATGGTCACTAGAGAATACGCTTCTACTGTGGGGGCAAGAATGCCCTGGATAAATAAATACATTTTTCTTCTTGTCAAGATGGAAAGGCCAACAGAAGAGCTGGATTACAAGTTTAGCAAGGGCCAGGAGCAGTGCCTCACGCCTGTAATCCTAGCACTTTGGGAGGCCAAGTCGGGCGGATCACGAGGTCAGGAGATTGAGACCATCCTGGCTAACATGGTGAAACCCCGTCTCAACTAAAAATACAAAAAATTAGCCAGGCGTGGTGGCGGGTACCTGTAGTCCCAGCTACTCAGGAGGCTGAGGCAGGAGAATGGTGTGAACCCGGGAGGTGGAGCTTGACATGAGCCGAGATCACACCACTGCACTCCAGCCTGGGCAACAGTGCAAGACTCCGTCTCAAAAAAAAAAAAAAATTTTCAGCAAGGGCTCCTCTAGTAGTAGATCCTAAGAATTCCCCCTCATAAGCTACTACGTGTAGTCATGTCCACAATATAGATGCTAGCTACAAACTGCTCAGGAAATCTACCCCCTAAGAAACTCTCCTTAGCTACCACTAAGTGAAGAATCAAATCATAGGGTTAGAAAAGAAGCCAGTAAGGTGAATAACAGGGAATTCACAGAGGGAAAACTTCGGTGGCCAAGAAACATGAAAAGTTGCTTATCTCCCAAGAAATGTGAAATGTAAATTAAAATAACAATGACATATTATTCCTCTCCCACTAGATTGACAAAATGTTTAAAGTCTAACAATGTAAAACATTTCTATGGATGTGATGAAATTTCTCTGAAATTGTTGGAGGAAGTGTAAATTGTTATAACTACTTTGAAAAGCACTTGGCCTGTATCTTGGAAAATTATAAATCAGAACCCTTCAGGGCCCAGCAATTCTATTCCAGGTATTCATCCAAGAGAAGTTCTCACATATGGACTCAAGAAGAGTCATTGTAATATGATCAGTAGAATATTACAACATTCATTGTCATAGAGTCAAAAGCTGGAACAACCCGAGTGTCCATCCATAAAGAAATAGACATTGTTTAAAATAAGGTGATATATATATATATATATTAGATTAAATCAGATCTACATATTTGAACAGAAAGACACTGCTATGCGAAGTGAGAAAGAAGATAAGCAAAATTGTATACTGATACGTACATGTAACATAAAACAATCTGTGTGAACTTTTAAAAATACACAAAAAATAATATCACATAGTGTTCACAGTCAAGTAGATATGCCAAGTATAGAAAGATGATTCCAAGGAAGGTGGCCTTGGGAAAGGAGAATGGGTCTGGGGTTACACACACACACACACATACACAGAAACTATTTATACCATTTATGTTATTAAACTGCTAAACTATTTTATTAAAAGAAAAAATAGCTTAAAAATATTCAACTATTATTTCTGAATGTAATTATATAAAGTTATTATGTCATTATACTTTTTTGAATTTTTAAAATTTATGAAGAAAAAAGAAAAGAAAGAGACAGCAAGCAAGAAAGGGTGGGAGGGAGAGAGGGAAAGAAAGAGAGACAGAGACTGCAACAACCATACAAAGGAAATAACTGCAGGAAAGCCAGACCCCAGGGTTTCTCAGTGACTCAGTGGACAAACACACCCGAGCTCAAGTTCTTGGTTCCCTGGACCACCCAAACAGCAAACAGCTAACAGCTTTCTTTCCCTGCTCCACAGCCTCCGCATGGAAACAGAAGACCAAGGTGTGTGCTGCGCTGCCCCCTCCTGGTGACTTCCACCTGCCTCCAGGAGGATCTCCACAGCCCTGGCCTCTCCTGCTCTCTGCCTCAGGGCAACTGATCCCAAAGGCACAGGGTTAGGAAGGAGAGAGGAAGTGCCAGGTCAGGGCCACTGACAGGCGGGCAGCAGGCTCTTTCCCAGAAAACCACTCCCCACTGCCCCTGTTAAAGTGCAGTGACACTGTGGGCTCTTCACCGAGTCAAGCTCTGCTTAATAAAACACATCTCCAAAAAGGGTGCCATTCCCTCAAGGGAGCAGTGGGAAGGCCCAGAATTGTGGCACACACCCCAACCAGGAGATTTCTCTCCATGACAACCTCAAACTCCTCTAACCTAGGCCCACTGCTCTAGAAAGCTTAGGCCCAGGGGCTTCCAAGCACAGCCCCTCCGCCCCCAGAGCCCATGTCCCCGCACTTGCCTCACAGGAATCTCACGAGGTCCACGGAGTTTTCATCTTCTCAGAAAATTGAGCTTCCCTCCACCCCCCAGCCTGCAGACGTTGCTTGCATGCTCTCTTAGGCAAGTCAGCGGCCCTTAAATAGTGACCAAGAGGCATGGTGAATTCGGATTTTTTGTTTCATTTGGTACTCCTTAGGAATTTCTCTCACCTCGTCAGTCCCTCAGGGTCCCTGGCCCTCAACCTTTATTAATAATCTGCCAGGAATCATTGGTGGCCTTCAACCATCCTGTTCTGCCCAGAATGTGCCTTCCTCCCTTACCAAGTCCATATACAGGACTCTTGCTAGGACCTCATATTATGAGGGCAGTTTTTGCTGTTATTTTTTGCACATTTACTACATCCCAAGGTCATTAACTATTGCCCTAAAGATTGGATCTTATATGATAGAGTCTTATCAATGTACTCATCTAAATCTATCCCAGGACCCTCCACGACTGCTTGAGTGATTTGTAGACACAACACCAAAAATGCTTTTTCCAATCAGAACATTTTTATTCCATCGGTTGGCATGCAGTTTTAGCATTTATTGCACTTGTAAGTTTGCAATTAAGAATTAGAGCAATGGGAGGTACTCTTTGTACCCTCAATTTTATTTTTCTATGAGTCTACCTGACCCCATAACTGAATTGCTAGCTCCTCATCTCATCTCACTGATCTCCGTTTCCTAGCACAGAGCTGATGCTCAAGGAATGTCTGCTCACTTAGGGCACCCAAACTGATCCTCCACCTGGAGTTTATCACCGTCATAGGACACAGCTTCACTTCTCATGCAGAAAACAAGCAAACAAAGGAAAGACAATAACAGAAGGGGGTGGAAAGCTGATTTGGAACCCCAAATTTGTCCAATCTAAAAGCTAATTTAGATTACAAGAACACAACATATTCAAACCCACTACTTATTTACTTATTTATTTAAGTGATAAAAACCAGCTAGCCACAGTGGCTCACACCTGTAATCCTAGTACTTTGGGAGGCCAAGGCAGGAGGCTTGAGTCCAGGAGTTCGAGACCAGCTTGGGCAACATAGTAATACCCTGTCTACACAAAATTTAAAAATTAGCTGGGCATGGTGGCAGGTGCCTGTGGTCCCAGCTGCTTGGGAGACTGAGGTGGGAGGATCACTTGAGTCCAAGAAGTTAAGGCTACAGTGAGCCATGATAGCGCCAACTGCACTCCAGCCTGGGTGACAGAGCAAGATCTTGTCTAAAATAATAATAATAATTGCCCTCAGCAGATAAGCATTCATTTGCCACAGAACCCCAACATGTGAGGAATGTAAGACTAGAAATGGCCTCCATGATTCTTCAAATCCAGCAATTCTTTATCTTGAAGGAGATGATGCTCTAAGGAGAGACAGTGGACACTGCCACAGGATATGATGAGCCAAAAAGAAAAGGTTTTAAGAAGAAGTACATGCACTTGCCCTGTGAGGGCACAGTGGAAGGAACTACAAAAATTATTGGAAATATATATTTGTTTATATATATTTAAATAATTGGGCAGGTCAGTGAAGGCTTAAAAGGAGAAAGGGCATTGAGCTCAAGCTTTGAAGAGTGATCGGAAAGTGGATAAAGAATTAGAACATAAACACAGTACATGCTATTTGTCATCTTGTTTTGTGTTGTCACCAAATCTTCTCCAGTCTCAATTTGACATTCAGGACCTTTACTAAGACATTTTTCTGAGGGTAAAGAATTTCCTCTTCTTTGGCTTAACAAAAAGCTTATAGCTGGCTTTTTGGAAAATAAGAGAAAAGAGGTAATTTTAGAGAAAATTCACAGAAATATTTTTGACTTACAGGTTCCTGGAAAGGGTCCTCATTACATTTTAAAAGGTTTCACATTTGCTTTAACAACCTATCAAATAATTCCTCTAGGTAATCTCTTCAAGCAACAAGGAGTAGTATCTAATGCATCTTGTCTTTAAGCATATTAGCTTAATAGTGGTATTACTCAAAAGAAAAATTCCCCTTTAGCCTAGACTTTATTACCTGAACTGTACTTTGGCAACACATCAAAATGAAATGGAAGCAGCTGTGAATATTTCAAATGGTGACTCTTCAAAGTGGAATCGTTTCCTGCTACCCCATCCTCCCTCCTTATAGATAGATCAATAAAATAGATAGATACATAGATAGATAGAAGTTTTTTGTTGTGTGTTTTTTTTTTTTTTTTTTTTGAGACGGAGTCTCACTCTGTCACCCAGGCTGGAGTGCAGTGGCGCGATCTCGGCTCACTGCAAGCTCCCCAGGATGGTCTCCATCTCCTGACCTCGTGATCCACCCGCCTTGGTCTCCTGAAGTGCTGGCATTACAGACGTGAGCCACCGCGCCCGGCCAATAGATAGATTTTTATCAAATCTAATCTATCAATCAATCTATCATCTCCAGATGATATCTATCAATCTATCTATCATCTCTAGATAGACAGATGATAGATAGATGATTGATTGATAGATTAGATTTGATAAAAGTAGATAGACCTCAAATTCCCAGGCTTACAGCCACGGCATTTCAACTATGACAGGATTCTCTCTGCTCTAAGGTTTCTTTCATAGGGAGTAGAATAATCCTTTTCTAAAAAAAAAATTCCCTTGGTCCCTGGGTTCACAGCTAGCCAGTTTCAGTTTCTCAGCAAAAATGCTGAGAAAGAGTTTTGAAAGTCAGTCCCTGAGCAGGTGCAGGTGATACGGAAGATCAGACTCTCAGTCTGTGGCTCTATTCTTGAGGGGGTATGCACCCCAACTGTGAGGACGTGAATGGAAAGAACGCTAAATGAGCAAGCCCAAAATCTAAATTTGAAGAGCTTACTACTGCATGCTGTTGAGCAGTGGCATTTTCAGCTTTCAGTTTCTTTTTGGCCATGAGCTTTGAAGTAGCACCAGTAACTCCCTCTTTATGGAGTGCTAACTGGTGTTAGCCAGAAGGCTACCCAGGGACTGTCTCCTAACAAAATAATGCTACCAGGAGAGTTCTATGATTGTTCCCATTTTTCAGAAGACAAAACTGGGGCCTCGCCATGCCAGATCACTTCCCCTAAGTCACATAGCTGCCAAAACAGGATTTGAACCCAGATGTACCTGCCTCTGAAGTCTGAGCCCATAGCCACTGTACCACGCTCTAGGACTGGGGACTTGTAAATCCAGCACCTTCACGATAAATAATTTCTAGAGTTTTTGCACAATGGACCTTTACAAATAATCACAGCCCAAACACAGCAGTCAATGGAAAAGAACAGGGATACTTTTTAGGATGATGTCCTGTATTATATTTACATAGAGCAACAATAGGAGATAAATAAGAAATCTTCAGATTCTTACACAATGCCTCTGAAAACTGCAGCTTATTAGAACAGCCCAAATACTCCGGGCATTTACAAATTTGAGTGCCTGGAAAATAATTGGTAGTGTAGGATGAGGACTAAACATACTGCACTAGCTTCACCTCTTACTGGCTATATGACCTGAGACAAGTCCCTACGCCTCAGTTTCCTTGTCTGCAAAATGCAGTAACGACAGTAACTGCCTCCTAGGGTTGTTGGGAAAATTAGAAAACCAGACTGCACATGAGAATTTCAATTAATGCTAATTATTATTTAAAATGAACAGACCAGTTTCAAGGCCTGGCTTGGTTACTAACTAGCTGGTGAGCTTAATGTCACCCAGCCTCTAGTGCAAGAGGAAATTTGAATTGATAATATCTCACATCTCTTCAATACATAAATTATGAGAAAAAATCTTCAAAATATTATAAAGAAAAAAATTACACTCTGTATTTCTCTCTGAGTGTTTATATAGCACTTTTCTTATCTGTTCCCACCAATATGGTGATTTCCAACAGGGACCACCAAAATTTATGATGAGAAAAAAAAACTTAACATTTTCTTTCTCATAAAACATATAGGTCTCTATAATGAAAGGATAACTTTAATTTAACTTATTGCCAGAGCCCTGAATGCAAGTTTAAGACTGGATCTCAGTCTACAAGTAGCATGATGGGTAAATCTTAGCAACTGATGATCAGCCAGAGGTCACAGTCAAAAGCACGTGGTCGGGATCTGACCAACAAGGGTGCTTTATTTTTTAGAAAATTTTAATTAGTCACTAACATTTGAGATTGAAAATTTTCACATTTAAAAAGTTTTGAATTTCCATGTTGTCTTAAGAAAACAGAAGGTCCATGAAACTGAACCAGCATCTCCTCCTGGCAACCACGAGCTGTGCTGCCCCTGGGTTGTTCGGAGCACATTTCCAATTGGTTCCATCTTGAGCAACTTCCGATCTTTCACTGGCCCATGGAAAGATTTTATGACACCTGATTTAATTCTTGCTCATAAGAGACTTTAATGCTCCAACTAATCTCCTACATGAATAGGAGATGTGTAGAGCTCCCATGCATAGCAATCTCTAAAATGAACCTCATCAAATAAATGCTACCAGGAGACTAGCACACAGAAACTGTATGTAAACCCTGGGCGCGGTGGCTCATGCCTGTAATCCCAGCACTTTGGGGGGCCAAGGTGGGCAGATCACCCGAGGTCAGGAGTTCGAGACCAGCCTGAGCAACATGGAGAAACCCCGTCTCTACTAAAAATACAAAATTAGCCAGGTGGGTAGCACATGCCTGTAATCCCTGCTTTCAGGAGGCTGAGGCAGGAGAATCCTTGAACCTGGGAGGCAGAGGTTACAGTGAGCCAAAATCGCGCCATTGGATTCCAGCCTGGGAGGCAAAGTGAGACTCTGTCTCAAAAAAAAAAAAAAAAAAAAGAAAAAAAGAAAAAAAAGAAAAGAAAAGAAACTGTGTGTAAAATGACACAGAAACTACAATTAAAAATTGACAATGTCTTTAAGTTACTTTTACCTGTTCTGGAAACTTTGCAAACTTCTTCTGTTGTTAAAAATGAACTAATACTTGCACAGACATAGCCAAGGTAATTTGATAGTTGGTATAATGGTAAATACAATTCCCAGGAGAAGCAAGGGATGGGTTTTTTTCTGACAATTTTTTTTCTTCCAACGTATTTAATTAATATAATTGTATATTTTACATTAGGTCTCAGATCTTTCATAGGTCACAGTAATCCACGACAGCCGATGGGAAGACAATAACTGAACAGGTACCATGGCACCAATTTACCATATTAAACCATGAAGAGTACCAGGACAAAAATGACACTGAACTACTCTCCAAAAAATAGAAATGGCTTAAAAGTTGACGTTTAAGCCACAGTTTTTATTTGGAGCAGATGTACTCTAACATCGGTCAATATGAAACCATCAGAAACACAAGTCAGCTCATTCAGCGACTTGGGGTGCCCTCTGCAGCTAATTCATCCTGGCAGGCTCACAAGAGGACCATCTCTCTCAGGGTTGGAGGCACCACGGGAGCCTAAGGGAGCTTTTCCTATGGCTGGGGAGGCCGTCTGGTCACACCTGCTCCTAACAGCTCCTAGGCCAAAACCTTCTCTGCTGCTCTGTGGGGTGGAACTCTGGGATTTCAATCAAGCATTTGTCTAAGTTCTGGGGCAGTCACAGGGCTGCTTCCCCCAGGAAGCCTGCATCTCTGCTGGTACCTCTGCAGCTCATCTTCATACTCAGATAGGGTAGCTTCCACCTGAACAAGCACACAGACCAGGCTGCTTGGTCTTTATAAAAGGATGTCAGCCCCCACCATCTGCTTGTTTGGTTTTCAAAGAGAACAGATCTGGCCTTAACCAGCAACAGAGACTAAAATTTTCCAGGCTCTTGTCAAAGGAGACAACTTCAAATCATGTGCAGTCCAGTTTCCATCAAAGCCTGGTTCAGCAAAGGGCATGTAGGAATGGGAGTCTAACATCCTGAGTTGTATCTGTTATAATTACAGCCCTGGGATAGGAGATTAAATTCTTGGACAACTTTAGCCTCCTTGCAGAATTGATGTCCTTGTCACTTCCTCCAACTTTCACTGGCTTTCTCAGGAAGAAGAAAATGAAAGCTACTTCTGGATTTTTCATAAAAACTGTGCGTTACATCACTTATTGTTCCTGCAAAAGAAATTCCTTTTGGAATACACTGCCAGACAAATCTGTGTTCCTGTGGAATTAGTAGGCATTCTCCTTCCTAATAATGAGTTTCTCTTTTCACTGCCAGGAAGTTGGGGACAAATGTTGCACTCAGTTACAGCAACTATGCCAACCATTAGGGTTAGTTGGAGTTCTTGTCTTTAATTCTTTCATCCCTCTCATTTTTACCTTATTAATTTTATTGTATAAAATAATTATAATTCAAATAGTTATTCAAATACTGATGAAAAACTGATTGTGACATTTTTAACATTCATTCCATAAAAATTAAATGGTCTTTATGTACAATATGCTGACACTATAGAATTACTCTATACTAGTTGTTTTCAAGAAATGGGTTAGTAAGTAGTTTCATCTATGATTTATTAAAATTTCAGAATGAATGCTCATTAAAAAGTAAAATCTTGAAACTTCAATCTAACATATAAATTATCATTTTTTTTATTTTTTTTTTTGAGATGGAGTCTCACTCTGTCGCCCAGGCTGGAGTGCAGTGGCGTGATCTTGGCTCACTGCAAGCTCCACCTCCCAGGTTCACACCATTCTCCTGCCTCGGCCTCCCAAGTAGCTGGGACCACAGGCGCCTGCCACCACCGGCCACCATGCCCAGCTAATGTTTTTTTTTGTAATAAATTATCATTTTTTAAAATGTCTTTTCCTCTTTCCCTGTTCTTTCAAGCCAATACATTTCCCATTTATGACTCTTGAAGAAGAATCTCCAATGATTCGCCTGGACTGTAAGAATTCTAAAAAGCATTCAAGTCATCACGAATCACAGCAGAACACAGTTTTGAAAGCTCTTGGCCTCCAGTCAGGACAAATCATTTCACAAGAAGAAAATTTTTGGAACTAATACTTCTTCTCCAGCTTCAGGATAGGTCAAGCATGGCAAAGAGAAAAATGAGCATAATGTCAAGAGAGGAGAATGATTCCAGTGGTAAAATTTTAGGATCTCTATGAAGGTCTGTTTTGATATTGGCACAATTTTTCAGCCAACTTTTATAGGCTATGGGAGTAAGGAAAGGGAGTGAAATTCAGGGACACTTCCCATTTTATCTTCAGCATTTCACTTCTCATGTTAACCTTCAGTCATTTTTATAGATGGCTAGAGATTACTTTCTTTGGAGTTAAACTTCAAAGATGCTAGTGGAAAGAAATTCCAATCATAGTGGTTGTGTAAGGCCACAATAAGTAAGTTATTTTGCAAAAGGAAAGCATGAATAGCTGTAAAAGTCCTAAACAAATATCTTATTTAAAAAAAAAGCTTTTAATTCAAGGGATATATTACTGTTCAAAAAGATGTACATTTTTGAGGTACCTAGAACAGTCAAATTCATAGAGACAGAAAGTAGAATGGTGGTTGCCAGGCACTAGAGGGAGGTAAGGTTATGGGGGGTCATGGTTTGAAGGGTACAGAGTTTCAATTATTCCAGGTGTAAAGAGTTCTGGAAATGGATGGTGGTGATGGTTACACAACACGTGGATGTACTTAGCATCACTGAAATATGAACTTAAAAATGGTTAAAATGGCAAACTTTATGTCATGTGTGTTTCACTACAATTCTTTTTTTTAAAAAAAGGATAAGATGTCTATGTTTTAAAGGCCTTACAACTAAAGAATAAAAAGGACAGTTAAAAGAGAAAATGGAGAAAAATAAAAGAGAAAATGACTGACAATCCCAGAGTCCAGGAGGACTGTTAATAAACAACCTGACCAATAAAATAGACCAGGACCATCAAAGAAACCAAAGTCACAGAACAAAGACAATGACCTGAATAACAGTCATGAAATCTCACTTGTGATCGCTCAGCACACGAATGGTTAATGTCCCAATCAGCTAAGCACACCAGGTCCTACACGATGAGAGTAATGCACAGACAAGCCAAAGGGCATGCAAAGGTTGCCATAAGGGAACCAGCGCCATTTACATCTGTCCTCTTAGCCTCAGGCTGTTCAGTGTCATGCTCAAGGCAGAGTCTTTTGCTTTTCAGTCCTCCCAACCTCACAGAGTAGTTTCCTCTGAATCATATTTGAAGATAGCTCCACACATGCGCACACATATAAGCTAACAGCAGAGTGCGAACTGTGTGTCAGGCACTGCTATAAGCATTCTACATGCATCAGCTCACTTTAACCTCACAGTAATGCTTTTCTATTTTTCTATTATTGCCCACTTTTCCAGATGGGGAAACTGAGACATGAAAGCTTTAGTTACTAGTCCAAAGTAGCAGTGGCAGACCACACATCCTAGTGGAGCCCTTAACCCACCAATGTTACAACAGGAATCACTCCCCTACACAAACTCCCAAAGAAAATGGAAAATTAATCTATCAATCCATTATGCATGTCTACTGACATATTCAGTAATTTTTCAATTCAGGAAAAAAGACATCGTGAGGAAAGGAACTTTTCAGGCACAGTTTTTACAATCTCAGGATCCTCCAGGGGTCCCAGTAAAAAATAATAGTATTTAGCCACAATTAGCTGATTCTTGAAACATTACATTTAGACCCAGAACTTTCAGGGGCAATAATAAAATCCATATGGGGAAGAGAGAAAGGAGGAAGCTGGTAGCTAATGACGTTTAACAATTCTCATTGACTGCTGGGGACAGATCTATGCTTTGCTTGTGATCTGCTTGTGTCTATGATAATATCACAAAACTTGATGGGGAGGAATCCAGTATACTCTGTCCTTGTTGGGAACATGGAGCCCCTGAAGAGAGGGTGGGGCACTGAAGTGTAGGAACCATCTGAAGAGCCTGGCCACCCCCCTACACACTCCCAGGACATATGCCCTGCACTTGCCCTGATCCAGAGCATCATCGTCATAGCACAAAAGCACAATGAGGCAGAGGCCAGGTCCACAATGCAAAGGGCCGATCAGCCTGGTCCATGGCACCTTTAGCCCTGAGCATTGGGCCCAGGTCCTTTGGAGTCCATCACTCTGTTCTCCTTCAGCAAGTGCTTCCACATGAGGCAAGGAGTCCACAGAGCCAATAGGATGCTCCTTCCTGGATTTCACCCTTCCCCAGGATCCCAGAATTCCCTACTCAAAGACCCTGAGTCCACTCCTACGGCCTGAGCAGGCCTTTTCCTTGGATCCATCTTCCTGAGGGTGCACCAAGCCATGGATATGCACACACCAGGTACAGCAGTGTAAGGGAAAGGGGGAGGTCCAAGGTTGATGTCTATGGTGGTGTTGATAGAGTTTGGGTGTGTAGGCCGAACTGTCCATGCACCTGCCTATGAGGTCCCTTGTAGTTTTGGGGAGAGAGAAAGGTAGGGCCATCTGACTGGGGGCTCTGTTTGTGCCCTTGAAACAGACCATATAAAAGGTATAAATGGTAGGAGCTGGCCTAAGTCTTGTCACCCAAGACCCAGGAAAGTACCAGGTACAAAGACATGTTCAAAACTGATTTGCTGATTGAGTAACCAAATGAATGAACGCATGAGTCAGTCAATCAATCAATCAATATAAGCATATATAAAAGTTAGTTCCTGTCCTCAATTTGAGCTACCCATGGGAAAAGATGACTTTGCCAACAGAGTATCTATTGCCTTCTGAACTGTATGTGTATAGATACAAAATGCAATCAAAGGATGGTAATGACCACATGGATTCTAGTGTAGACTGGGTAAGTAAGAGGCTCTATAGTACCCTCAAGACACCAGGAATTTAAGCTCCAGAAGACACTTTTTATTGGTGGGAAAGCAATTCCTCCGCAATAGAGGAAAATCCAGGGGAAAATAATCACTCCAGGGTTACCTGATCTCCAACAAACAAAAATAGGTCTAATGAGAAAGATTTGTGCAAATGAGACAAATGAGACAGCCAAGAAGTTAAATCCTAGAGGGTCACCTAGGCTTATCGTGAGAGCCAATGACTCAATTCCAAAAATAAGACTTTTCTCATCAGAGTTAAACATTTTATGTTGGTTCCATAATTCCCATTCCAAAACCAGGCACAGTGACTTACACCTGTAATCCCAGCATTTTGGGAGGCCAAAGGCAGGTGAATCACTTGAGCCCAGGAGTTCAAGACCGGCCTGAGCAACAGGGCGAAACCCTGTCTCCACAAAAAAAGGAAAAAAACCCGTCAAATACATAATTCCCATTCATTTTTTAAAATTTAATTTTCAAATACACATGGAGTCTAAACCACTTTCATTTGTATACGTATTATGAATATACTGATTATATAAGCATAAATAAATAAAACATCAATAGATATGATTTATATTATTTATCTTAAGAAAGAATTATCTTTTTGATTATTCAACACAATTTATTAACCTATAGACTTCACTCTATTTTAAAAAGCCTTCTAATCTCATATGTCTATCAGTTGGGTTTTTTGATGAGTTTTGCAAGCACCTATCAAAACTTCTCAAATGTCTAATAGCGTTAATTTTTATAAATATAAAGGAAGCCCCATGAAACATTCATAGGATCAGCCCAATGCATTTTTACTGCAAAAGTGCAAAAGTATATGTATCAGATGGTACATTAAACTAGACCTGACACATTATCTTTTTATACTCCTGATGTTTGCAATTCTTTGAGAAAAATGAACAGCCTCTATCATCCGTACTCCAAGAAGGATAAATCACATCCGAAATCTCACACCAGAATTGCCTTTTAAGTGAAGCCCCATAAATGCAGTCGCAGGGAAAACTGCAATTGATCCACAAGGATATCCATTATTAGCTATTACCTAACAGAAAAGGCACAAATCTTTCTCATTAGACCTATTTGTTTGTTGGAGATCAGGTGACCCTGGAGTGATTCTTTTCCCCTGGATTTTCCTCTGTTGCTGAGCTTGTGTGCTCTGCATCTCTCTTCATCTGCAGAACGCCCTCATCCTCCCCTCTCTTTGCTGTCCCTCCTTCCTGTTGGATATGTAATCAGCCTGCCTCATCAAGGCTTTGCCTTTTTTCCTTTCCACAATTAATCAATCTCTTGCTGTGCATGAACTAACACTGTGCACTTTAATTCCATAAAGGTCATTTATATAAACAAACATCTTAACTTGATAGCTTGAGAAAAATTATGTCTAGAGATTTACATATTGATGACCCAGAGACCAACTAATACTCTTATTTAGAGTTCTAGATGATAGATTTATGTGTATATATATGGGGGTGGGGAGAAGGTGCTCATGAGTGCATATCCGTGTGTATTTGTGTAACACAGAGAACTAGGATATTGTGCTAGATGCTAGGAAAGAGCAGTAAACAAGATCCATATGTCCCTGCCTTCATGCAGTTTATGTCCTAACGGTGTGTACAGACAGGTGCACAGGCACACACTGATGATACTAAGTGACCTACGCTGCGATGTGAAACACAGGGGGCTATAAGAGCATGTAGTGGAGGGGACATAGACCAGGTGTAGAGGCAGAGGAAGCAACATCACAGCCAAGGCCTAAAAGATAAGCAGGAGTTAGCCAGGGTAGAAGGCAGAGAGGACAACCTGGAAGATAAGTGAGAATATAGCTCAGTAGATAAATTGAAAACTCAGAGTGGCTGTATCATGGCATCAAACAAAGGTAGAGGCATGAAATGAGGCTGAGAAATGGCTTTGAATTTGAGGACACGGGGCTTTCAAGACTTGATAAGAAGTTGTCAGCCTTTGCTATATAAGTGTAATGCCATCTTTGTTAAAAACACCACTATCAAGCAGGGGAGCTAGGCAAGCAGTTCCTAAAATTCATGTGGAATAATCATCACGCTAGAATCATCCTGAAAATTCTGAAAGAAGACTGATGAGTAAGACACTAATACTTCAAGTAGAAAAAAAAAAAAAGAAGAAGCTGTGGGAGATAAAATTTAATGCTGGCATGTAAATAGACAGACTGATTAATGGAATAGGCTAGATCCCTAAACAGGCCCAAACACAAAGGTAGTCCTGCCACAGAACCAAATTGCTATTTTAAATTAGCGAGGGAAAGATAGCATTACATAACTAATAAGATCCAGAAACTGATTGGCTATACTGAAAAAAAAAATAATAAAACAATTGTTACATCATTCCATATATTTTTAAAATTTAGATAGACAAAAGCTTTAAAAGTAAAAACATATAATAGTAAAAGTAGTAGAAGAAAATATAAAATTGCTCATTTTATACTCTTAGAAAAGGGAATAATCTTCTTAGCCACACCTACAACATAGAAAAAAAAAATAAGCTTTACTAGAAAAAAACTTAATTCTGCTTCACAAAATAGGAGGAAGAGAAGGAGGAGAAGAAAAGAAATATCATAATCCTTAACTGACATTAGAAGACAAGCAAAACATTAGGTGAAGTACAAATTTTATTATTTTTTGAAAAGGCCATCAATTCAATTAAAAAAGAAAAGGGCTAAGTTCACGGAAAAAAAATACCAATGACTTACAAACATACGAAAAGACTTTCAATCTGAATCATAATTACATAATCGCAAAATACAGCAATTGAGGTACTATTTCTCAGGAAACTGGTTGACAAAGGACAAAAGGTTTGATAACAAAAGTTCAACGACAAATAGTACTGCCTTAATTGTAGGAAAGCAGACACTCCCAGTTTCTGTGGGAGAACAAAATGATGTGACCTCTTTGCAAAACAACTTGGCAATATTTACTTAAAAATCACAAATATTACTGAGCCTCAGAAATAACATCACACATCTACAACCATCTGATCTTTCACAAACCTGACAAAAACAAGCAATGGGGAAAGGATTCCCTGTTTAATAAATGGTACTGGGAAAACTGGCTAGCCATATGCAGAAAATTGAAACTGGACTCCTTCCTTACATCTTATAGAAAAATTAACTCTAGATGGATTAAAGGCCTAAATGTAAAACCCAAAACCATAAAAACCCTAGAAGAAAACCTAGGCAATGCCATTCAGGTATATGCATGGGCAAAGAATCCATGACTAAGACATCAAAAGCAATTGCAACGAAAGCCAAACTTGACAAATGGGATCTACTTAAACTAAAGAGCTTCTACACAGCAAAAGAAACTATCATCAGAGTGAACAGGCAACCTACAGAATGGGAGAAAATTTTTGCAATCTACACATCTGACAAAGGTCTAATATCCAGAATCTACAAGGAACTTAAACAAATTTACAAGAAAAAAAAACCCATAAAAAAAGTGGGCAAAGGATATGAATAGATATTTCTCAAAACAAGACGTTTATGTGGCCAACAAACAGATGAACCAAAGCTCATCATCATCCTCACTCATCATTGCATTAGAGAAATGCAAATCAAAACCACAATGAGATACTATCATGCCAGTCAGAATGGCGATTCTTAAAAAGTCAGGAAGCAATAGATGCTGGCAAGGCTGTGGAGAAATAGGAACGCTTTTACACTGTGGGTGCGAGTGTAAATTAGTTCAACCATTGTGGAAGAGAGCATGGTGATTCCTCAAGGATCTAGTCTCAGAAATACCATTTGACCCAGCAATCCCATTAAAGGGTATATACCCAAAGATTATTAATCATTCTACTATAAAGACACATGCACACATATATTTATTGCGGCACTATTTACAATAGCAAAGACTTGGAACCAACCAAAATGCCCATCAATGATAGACTGGATAAAGAAAATGTGGCACATATATGCCATGAAATACTATGCAGCCACAAAAAAGAATGAGATCATGTCTTTTATAGGGACATGGATGAAGCTGGAAGCCATCATTCTCAGCAAACTAACACAGGAACAGAAAACCAAACACTGTATGTTCTCACTCATAAGTGAGAGTTAAACAGTGAGAACACATGGACACAGGAGGGGAACATCACACACCAGGGCCTGTCAGGGGTTGGGGGGCAAGGGGAGGGAGATCATTAGGACAAATACCCAATGCATGTGGGGCTTAAAGCCTAGATGACAGGTTGATAGGTGCAGCAAACCACCATGACACATGTATACCTATGTAACAAACCTGTACATTCTGCACATGTATCCCGGAACTTAAAGTAAAATAAGCAACAAGAAAACACACACACACACACAAATCACAAATATCTTGCAATTTTCCTGCAATTCAAATTCTAGGAACATTTCCTATAGATAAAATTATGCATGTGATGTTAGGAGGTGGGGCCTTCTGGAGGTGATTACATCATTAGGGTGGGATGAGATTAATGCCCTTTATAAGAGAGGCCAGAGAGAGCTTATTTGTGCCTTCTGCCATGTGAGGACACAAGTAGAAGGTACACACAAGAACTTGTACACTGGAGTTGTCCAGTAAGAAGTTGGTTAAATAGAGTCTATTCATCCAGTGGATTTCTGTGCAGCTGGGAAGAAAATAAGGTTGGTTACATATGTTTATCCAGAAACATTTTTAAGATACATCGTCAAGTGAAAAACGACCAAGATGTAGAAGAGGGGGTATAGCATGCCCTCATTTGTGTACAAACTAAAAAGACCTATATATGTGCTATATATGTAAGACAAAGATTTCTGAAAGGGGACCGACACAAAATAAAATCAGTGGTTGTTATTGGAGAGGGGAGCTGAGGGATTTTAGAGGGTGGGAGTACATGGTGGGAGGGAATTGCCTGGGCTCTCGAGGTCGAATTTGGGCAACAAGATTGGAGTAGACAGAGCCCTAAGAGAGACATTAGATAGGATCCTATCCCTAACTATGCTCTGCTTTACCAAAGGGCCCAGGCAAACTAATAAACCTGACAGCCCCTCAGAGGCTGCCAAAACCTCCCCAACTTCTTCAGAGTGAAGGTACACTCTTTGTAACAAGAGTTACAAAGTGTATTCATGGTACACTCCTTTGCGCTGCTTGCATTTCTGATCACTTTCAAATATTACTTTAAAAAATATAATTACCAGCTAAATTCCATACAATAAAGTTAATGCATTTCAGAGAGAAGATGTGCAAAATCACTTTAAGGAATTTGAAAGGCTCCCAGACATGAGAAGCATTGGTTAAAGGCACTAACCTTTCCAAAGAAAGAATACATCAATCAGCATTGGTGTTGGGCAGTGAATGAAGGAGAGGAAAAGGAGTGTCCATCCAGGGGATACAAGTCTGGGCCAAAGTACTTCAAGTTCTACATTCCCTTTGTGAAGGCTCTCCCATTATGGAGATGGATGCCTCAGGCAAGCTTAGCTTAATGCCATTTAACATTTTAAATGCAAAATTAAATGCCCTTGCTCTAATTCCAAGATCACCAAGCAAGCTTCCAGTTATAATTTGTTCTTTTTTATAGAGCTGCTGGTGTAGAAAAAGACTGTTATGCTGATCTGTGCATTCTGGTCCATGTAATAGTTATATGCCTCTTTATATAGCAATATAGTGACAATTTTGTTCTATTCTTTAAAAACTGAAACAAAAATAAACAACTTTAGGCATTATTTTAAGAGACACTGGGAGCCAGAGGGTAATTATAAGCAGTGACAGGATAAGATCAGCATTTCAGATAGACCGCTCCAGCTACAGTGTGGCGTATGGGCAGAGAGGGGACAAGACTGGAGGCGGGGATGCGAAATAGGAAGCGATTGCAGCATTTTAGGCAAAAGATGATGATGGCATGAATTATATTGTTTTTATGTTAAGTACTTATTAGATGTTTGTTCCCCATCCCCCACTCCCACACACTGCAAGCCCGGTAAGAAGAGACCAGGGCAGTTTTTCTCACCATATCCCATGTACCTAGCTAGTTCCCAACATAGAGAAGACCCCAATCAATATTTGTTGAAAGAATGATTGAATAATGTCAGTGGAAATATTAAAAATTAGATTTAGGAAATACTTAGGAAAATGGATTGACAAGACGTAATATGTGAATGAGTGTAGGGGTTACAGAGAAGGAAGAGTCACGGTTTGTGGCTTGTATTACTGAGTGGATAATGGTGCCATTCATTACAATAGGGAACACTGGCAATGGGTTTGGGGCAACAATGAAAAATTTTGTTTAGAAATAAGAAGTGTGACACACTCTCCTGTATCTGAGAGGGGTATTGCACACATGAGTCCAAAGGTCTTCACTGATAATTGATGGGGAAACAGATTAGGACATCATTAGCACAAAGAAGGTAACATAAGTAATGGATGAGGGTGATGTAGCCCAGAGATAGCCCAGGAAGTGAAGCAGCCATAGGACAGAATCCCAAGGGACATAAACTTTTAAGGTCTGTTTTTAAGAGCAGAGAAAAGGGAACCGACAAATAAAGCAAACAAGTAGCATGCAGAGAGATAGAGGGAAAACAAGAAAAGTGTGGTGACACCAAGGCCAAAGGAAAAGGATGTTTCAAGAAGGAGGGAGTGAGAAATGAAGCCAAGTTCTGCTAAGAAGTCAAGTAAGATAAGGACAGAGCAATATGGCCCATGAAGGCTTCTGGGGACTATGGTGAAGTGAGTTTGAAAAACAGTGGAATGGGACTGGTATAAGAGATAGGAAAATAGACATAATGAATACAGATCACTCTTCCAAGATCTGGCTTTGAAGGGAGAGGTACTTTAGTCAGGAGCAGAAGGAGAGGGAGGGAATCACACTAAAGAAAAACTTTTCTAAGATGGGAGGAACATGAACCTGCTTCAATTCTTATCTTAAAATGTGGAACAATAGAAAGAAACAGAAAATACAGGTATGTGAGAGAGGGAAAATTGCTGATAGAAAAAAGCTCGAGGTTGAGTGATTAGCTTCAGCTGAAAGGCGCTCCAGCCCTTCCATCGTAACTGGTTGCAGATGCAAGTTGCAGCTTACTCTAATGCAGTATGAGTGGAGGTGGCCCCAGGAATATCAAAAATTATTTGACAGAGAGAAAATAATGAAACTCAGCTGGATTACTGCTACCATAGGAAGTAAGGATTGGGAATTACTCACATCCCATCTACACATCAATGCTTCCCACTATTGGGAGTGTTTAGATGTGTATGCATCTGTCTCTTGCTAGATATAAGCTGCTCAGGGGCTCCTTGCCTCTGCAGAGTACCCTGTTTGTTGGACATCTCCATGTCCTCAATAACACTAGTGACACTGAACTACTTTTTGCATGATGGCAGCCCACCCACATGACAATCAGGAAATGTGACAAACTATTCCACCAAGATGAAAAGACAACTTGATGAGCAGAAAAATAAGATTTGATGTCCATGAAAGCTTCTGCTCTTGGGGGTCACAGAAAACAGAGACTAACCAAAGAGGTCAGTTAGAAAACTTGCCAGAGCCTCATCCACAGAAGTGGGCCAGGAATGGGCTGAAAAAGTCTTGAACACTACTCCCAGGGAAAAAAATAAAAATTTGTTTCTATTGGTGGGAAACCATGGAAGGGCTGTCACCCAGGATGGCAGGAAGCTGGTGACCTGCAAAACCATCCAGCCTCAACGGCAGAGCTGGACTTAAAGAAAACCTACTGGTCAGGTTTCTGCTGTTTAGCCACCAAAAGAACTGAAGCAGGCTCTTGTTTGCCCCTGGAGTGAAGGCAATGGTGAATTCTTGAACAGAAAAGGAAACACTAGTGCTCATGGCTGACTGATTCAGAACCACAGAGTCTTTCAAGGAGTAGCATGCATGAGTGTCACAGCCTCCAGGTTCAAGATGAAATCAGTCAGGCTGGTGAGGTCAAGTGGCTCAACCAAAATCCCAGACCCTGATACTGTCAGAGAGTGGGTATCCAAAATCCTAGATCCCTAACCAGCGCTCCTTTCAGTTATACCACGTTCCTATACTTTGTCGCCTTTCCCACTGTGTTAACCTTACCAAGCCAGGTTCAGTTGAAACAATGATGGTCTGCCCACAGGTCGTCCACCAGAAAAAAGTACACAAGTCAAGATTTCTTTACAATCCATTAAAGGGGGTTTACAGCCAAATGATTGTTTGTATATATATGTCTGTGATTTGGGAACAGAGGAGAAGGGGATAAGAAACACCACCAGAAACAGAAAGAGGCTGAAGAGTTGCAAAGAGAAAGGCCAAACCCATGTACCTTAGTCCATGTGGGCTGCTAAAATAAAATATCTTAGACTGGGTAATTTATAACAACAGAAATGTATTGCTCACAGTTTTAGAGGCTGAGAAGTCTAAGATCAAGGTTCTGGGAGGTTTCATATCTGGTGAGGGCCCATTCCTCATAAATGGCACCTTCTATGTGTGTCCTCACATGGCAGGAAGGACAAACAAGCTCTCTGGAGTCTCTTTTATAAGGGCACCAATCCCATTTTGCCTTTATGTCCTAATCAACTCCCACCTCTCAACACCACTACCCTGGTGACTGAGTTTCAACACATGAATTTTGGCAGAATACAAACATTCAAGCCATAGCACCAGACGCACACAAGAAATAACCAAGGAGCAATATCATCTATAACATTCTTTGAGTTTGGGTGGTAGCAGCAGGGTTTTGAAGTAAAATTGGGAGTAAACTAAAAAGAGTGTTCTGGTTTGGGGTTTTGTTTTGTTCTTTGGAGAAAGACACTTGTTTTGTTTTGTTTTGTTTCACCATAGTTGTGTGTTTTTTTGTCACACCTTACCAGGGAATCTAGGGGCTATGATGTCAAGCTCTCTTGCCCAGCACCCTCCACCCCTACACATGCATCACACAGAGGAATAAGCCAAGCCCAGAAAAGAGAGGTCACTTGCCACACAGTGAGCAAGAGTCAGACAATTCAGGCATAGGCCCCTCTGCCACCTCACAGCAAGGGACTCTGGGGTACATGAAGTAGAAACAACTCTTGTTACAAAGATTAGCGTTGAGAAGATCCTTTCTTTTTAAATTGCACTATATTGCAGAGGTTGAAACCAAAATTCCGATACCTTTCAATTTTGTTTACATTGTTCGTTTATGTTGAGAAGATATCAAAGAATCAGAAGATAGACACAGTGGGTCTCTGAGTGACCAGGTCGGCTAACAGGGTCAATGCACTAATGCTCAAGTACTTCTCTCAAAGAAGACAGCCCAACCAGATCCTGGCCAAGGGACATCCAGAATGATAAAAACAAAATTAAAATAGTGGTTTAGGGAAGCACATTCTCAATTATTCAGAAAATTTTACAACTCAAGATAATTAAGTTGAACAAATTACACATGGCAGAGTTTTATACACAGATTTATGTATTGATGAAAACACGGTACACACATACAACATTATGGTGTGTGTCTATGTGTGTGTGTGTAGACAATTCTTGGGATATGAAGATTACAGGAAAGGATGGGATGCTAAGTAGCAATTTGTCCTTATTTGACATAAAAAAAGGAACTCTAAATGGTGTGTGATTATTAACAGTTTTATTTTGTACAAGAAGATGCCATATTACCAAAGGCAACCAAATCATTTATCTCTTCACAATATATATCAGACTGCTCAGGAGCTGAACAGGAGAAGAGGATAGGGGTGGGGAAGACAGAGGATGAAGCACCAGCCCACCTCCTTCCCACTGCATGAAGTTTAATCTGTGAACATGAATTCAAATCTCTAGACCTCTCCTAGAATTGCCTTGGCTCTCGAGGTCAAATTTGGGCACCAAGGTTGGAGTAGACAGAGCCCTAAATGAGACATTAGATAGGATCCTACCCCTAAATTATGCTCTGCTTTACCAAGGGGCCCAGGCAAACTAATAAACCTCACAGCCCCTCAGAGGCTGCCAAAACCTCCCCACCTTCTTCAGAGTGAGGCTGTAAACCTAAATAAGCAGATGTCTGTAAAGGGCCCTTCACGTCCCATGGGAGCAAATCTTCATGCAACCAAAAATATGTCTCAGAAGGGTGCTTTTCCTGGAAAGGTCTCAGAGCAGAACACGAACAACACATAAAATGGTAGCTGGATGAATTTTGGATGGGAGCCAATAATCCTGAAGTTTGCTCACTGGCTCAGCCACTGAGACTAGTCATCAATCTTGAGGCATTGAGAAGTCAGGGGGAAGAAAGAAGTCGGGGAATAATAAGTACTCTCTGGCCACAGGTCTTTCAGGGCAGCTAACACAGACCTCATCGAAAGGGCTGCGGGTTTCTCCACTTACATAAGCACCCCCGACTGTGGCAAAGACTCCAGGGGCAACAGGTTTCATTTCACTCTGTCTGCTCTGCCCCTCTTCTAATGCCAATCTGCAAAGATGGCCCAGCAGGCCCAAGGTTAGCATACCTCATTGCTGCCAACTCATGAAGGCTTTTCTCTGAAGCTCAAATTTTTTGTGTATGAATTGCCTAAAGAAGAGGAACACTTCAAATTTAACACACACACACACACACACACTCACACACAGTAAGCTAAACAGAAAATATATTTCTTCCTATATGAAGATAAGATGATTGCTTTCAGATCAGTAGCTCATGCACTTTTCAATTACTTGGTCTCTCACAGAGATGAGTTTGCACAGACTTAGCCATGTTAAACTTGTCTCCCCATTTATGGTGGTTCTATTAGGTTGGTGCAAAAGTAATGGCAAAAACCACAGTTACTTTCGCACCAACCTAATAAAATGATGAGCCAGAATTAGGCGGTCTGTTTGAGAACACAGAACGGAGGGGAGGCACCCTAAAGCAAAGGCCCCCAGCATTCATTTGGATGCTAGGAGAAGGAGCTTCTAGTTCCCACAATGCTGTTAATGAGTCGGCCTTCGGCAACTTTCTTCACTGCCCTTGATTTTTGCAAAGAAGAGGCTGAAGCAGATCATTTCTAAAGCCCTTTCTCTTTCTGAGGTTCCGATTCTAAGTGACCCATCTGAACACTGACCCTGTGACCTTGGACTCATCAGACCAGTACTAACATGCCACTAGCCTTGTTAGCAGCTCACATTTAAAAAGACATGGTTTGAGGGAGTTCAGAGCAGACACTGAAAACATTTCCACATAACACTCTGACACCAAAGGTCTTCAGATTCACACACTGCCAGACCCCGAGCACCTTGTATCATGCCCTTCCTTCACAGCTGATGTATACACTTCCTTATCTCCGTGACCGAGGCTTCAGGGAACTTCAGAGCCTTGAGAAACTTGTCTGAGCATCAAATCCAAAGCCCTCAGTTTACATGTGACAAGCTGAGGCCCAGAAACATTAAAAGGCTGCTTCAAGATCAGGTAACTGGGTAGTGACTGGGTAGTGGTGACATTGGGATGAAGTTCCAGGTCTCCTGACTTCAGCTTTCCATGATATGCTTTTTTATTTTTATTTTTTGAAACACATAAGGAATAAACTTAGTATCTACACATTGCTTTTCTTTGCAAGATTTTTGTAACTTTGAGCACATTCACTCATCCATCTCCCAGATCAATATTTATAACTTCCCAGTCCTTTGGACACCCCAGAGAGCAAAGTAAGTGGTGAGAAGGCACCCAGTTATATGGGACCTTTACTTTTCTAATGGAGATTGATCAGCAATCAAATGTGAGCTAAAATTATCAGGCCACAGTGGAGCTCAGATCTTTGCCATTTGAGGCTTGAGGTGGGATTTGTTTTAAAATAGCTCAACCAAGTAGACTATAAAAATGATTGATCAACCATAAATAATCCAAGATTCAGGGTTTTTTTTCTTCCCTCTATCTTTCTCTCTCTCTCTCACAAACACACATCAAACAAGTAAAAACTTTGCCATGCTTCAATAGTCTCTCCCCCAAATCCTCCTATTGATTACAGGCATCAGAAGCAACTAAAAATTGGCATTGTTCCAAGGGGCAGGTCTTTCATGTCACATCCTACGCTATAGCTTTTGAACCTACAAGAAACTCTCTAGAGAAGTGGTAAAGTTAGCCAGAGGGATAAGGCCAGTTTATGGTATTCAATAATGGTTTGATAATGTTTTTTTCCCTAGCAGGCAAGATGACCAATGAGTTAAAACTGGATGCACTTGCTTAACACTCAAGGCAAAAAAAAAAAAAAAAAAAAAAAAAAAGGAAAGAAAGAAAGAAAGGAGAAGAGAAAAGAAATTCAATTCCCCTTCCCCAGCTAAACAAAAACACTAGTTTTTATACTCCTATGACCTAGATATAGTCAAAGAGATCATACAGAATATTACTAGGGAGAAAGAGACCTCAACTCTCAGCTGTTCAGCCAACTCTTCAGCTTAGAAAACACCTTTATAAGGGAATATTGAAGCAGACACAAACAGAGGTTTATGGGATAGAAACAGTGAGAGACCTTAAACAGACCTAAACTCCACACTAGGGAACTGGGACCACATTGCTTCAACTTCCCAATACTTGCTTGTAATAACATACAGCCCAGGCTCTTCTCTTAACTCCAGCATTCTGAATTCCCATAAGGAAATATCACTTTTCAGAGAAGAAAAAAATCAAACCCATTTTCCTGTATAAATAATGGGTGATGGAAGGGGAGGTGGAAGAAAGTAGGGTCAAAAGGGTCACAAGGCTTTTCCACTGTTTTACCCAGGGTAACAAAAGTGTCCATATTGCAGAGATTGAAGGTATGAAACTAAAAAGACTCCACACAGTTGTGCCAAGCTGATGTCTGTAAATACCTACACTATGAAGACAGCATGTTCTCAACTCCAGCTTGCAAGTTGTATTAAATAATGAATGATGTAAATTAGACTGCCTTATTCATTAACAAGTCTAGTGTGGCTTATGTAACCGTGCTCCAAATTTAAATACATGGCTCTTAAATGCATATAAGACACAGTCCAAAGTTCTAAAACCCCCAATGGAGGGGCTGAGAAGTAAACATCAGAGTAATAAAAATTGATGCCTTTCACTGAATCTTTGTGAATGCCAGGATTTTTTTTTAAGTACAATTAATTGCAATGGCAAAGCTTATTAAAGTAAGAGGGCCAAAATCAATGTATTAATGACACAACATTACAGCTGCTTAACCAGGCCAACAATAAATTGCACATAGAGTCTGTCATAGGAGAAGCTCCAAATTCTATTTAGGTTGTGCTAAGAGGAAAAATATAAGGCTGTTCTCAAATATTACCCCCAAATCAGAGAATACCACTGGAGAAATTCAAAAAAAAGATCCCTATTAGTCTTCATAAAGCACGTGCAACATAAAAATGCATGCCCTTCCACAGCAACATGGATACACAGAACACTACTGAACTGTAAGATGGTACATTTTAGGTTATGTATTTTTTTTTTACCACAGCTAAAAAAATGCACGACTTCTTTTGACTGTGCCTTTTACCACTTGGGTGAAACAGAACTTGTCCTTTGCAATGCACTTTGGCACTTAATACAACTGGGATTTAAACGGCCAGTTACATAATTCCAACAACAGGCTTCACTCTTGAATTCCATTGCATGTGACATTGGTACTGCGTTTAAATTCATTTTAACACTGCTGTGGTATAACCATTTCCAAATAACAGGAGCTGCCACTTAGCAGTGTGATGTTGAGCAGGCGTGATACATACCTATAGATAGATATTGATCTAGTTATGTCACATTAGTGGGCAAAAAATATAAAACAGGTACTGTGATGGGAAGATTTTTAATAAAATAGGTTCAATGACTCTGAAGACAAAATGTCAGCTTAGCTGAAAGCATGCATGTAAAAACAAAACAAAACAAAAAGATCCTACCTCTTGGTTAATCTACACATTTTTTTTAATGTCCCACTATTTGTGTTCTTAGAACCCTAAGGGCATGATGGTTTAATATATAGATGCTAAAAGATACACCATTTTTGAATGATATGGTAAACCGTTGTTTCAGCAAGTTGTGTGTTGCTAATCACAGTTTATTCACCACATTATTTCTATTTTTAAAAAATAGACGCACGTAACTTCAGCTACATACCACTAAACCAGAACTTTACAACAGGTTATTTTAGGAATACCACTGGGCCTAACAACAAAGTTTTAAAATATGTATAATTTGGTTCCAACTGTAGCTGGTATCCACTGGACAAGAATTTAAAAGCTGTGCAAGCAAATATTAATATGTAAGAAAAAGAACATAGATGGTGTCATATAAGGATGCGAGTGAAACAAGCGCATCCACTGATGTCATTTTTAGGTCAAAAAAGCAGAATTCAAAATAATTATATGGAGTACTTTCCAAAGAAGTATTGTCATACGAGTTACAGACAAAGGCACTGGGGCACAAACTGGCTGGGCTCACACAAAGCTGAGATAGAGCAGAGAAACATACTTTGTCTCAGGACTCACATCTACCCAGCCAGACTAATATTACTAACCTAATTCCCTGTTCTCAACACTTAGCCCTATATACCTCTCCAATCCCACAACCCCAAGAGGTTTTCAAATCAAAAGGGAAAAAAGTTAGAGTAGAAATTAGAAGTGCCACGATTGAATGAATAACTATGACACATGCTTTTGTAAATATTTTTAAAATCTACTTTAAAAAAGCTGAAAATAGGAACCTGCCATCAGATATAAAAGAAGCAACAACAATTGTGAGGACAGATATAAGAAAGCTCTGCTGAAATCAATTGATTTCATATACATCAGGCAGCTAAGATCAGGAAGGTCTGAAATAATAATTTTTTAGATTTAAAGATAGTTTTATTTCCTTTTTCTCAGATCATGGCCTTAAAATTATCAAACAGAAAAACAAAGTGAAAATGATCAGCCCTATCTTCTTTCTTTCTTCATTATATGCATCTATCACCTAAAACAGAATTTTAAAAGCACCACCACACACACACAACAATATCTGACTGTGGAAGGCACTCCCCATAATCTCAAAACAGTCAGAAGCACTCTGAATTCCATATGGCCTTCTCCATCTAACTACTGACACCCCATCTCATGAAAAAGATTCTGACAAAAGGCCACAGACTTTGGACCAGCCTGGTAAGCCTCAACCAGCCCAGTCCAAGACCACCACAGTTGGGGCCCTATCCACCCTTGCTCTCCGCTCTTGGCTCCTGCTCTCCTTGCCAAAAAGATAGAGATCCTAGCACCCTGGACTCAGCCCGACAGTTGGCTGCTCCCGACACATCTCAGCTATGCTAGGCCTGAACATTCCCCTCTGCTCTGCTGTCATTTCCTTTTGCCTGAGGCTTACACCATAAGCATCAGCAGCAGAACAGGCAACAGAGACTAGGAAGGTCTCTTACTTACATTAAAAAACAGGTTATCTTGGTCAACTACGTTGGCAGAAACATGGTTGTATGTTTTCTGTGGAAGGAAAAATGCATGCGCACTCGACAACCGGAAGGCCACAGCCCAAGCCCCACTTTAGGGCTGCCTATCTCAGTATCAAACACAATAAGGAAAACTGGGAGAAACTTTGCCTTACAATCTTCCACGTATACGAATAAAATCTCATGTTAATGAGATGTATGGAATGACAGCATCCTTCAGGAAAAAAATGATAACAATAACAGTCCAGTAGAGGTGACACAGGAATGCTAGAGAAAGGACTGGCAAGTTCTTGCTTGGTGATGCATTTGTCACAAAGCATCAGAAAAGGAGAATAGAAATACACAGTTCTGTTTCTTCAAGCCACAACAAGCTCAAACATTTCCAGGGACACAGAGGTCCAATGCTAAAGCCAGCCTTCATCAGAGTTCTACCCAGTGCTTTATCATCCAACCTAGTCCTGGGAAATTATTCAATGGGCAATTAAGAGTTATAATCCAAGTGGTCTCAAAATCATATCTCTGGGAAGTCAAGTCCAAATTAAATTAGACCAGGCTTTTAGGCTTCCAACTATCATATTTTTTTCTTTTGAGCGAGTGCATTTCAACACTCAGAACTTCTCCTCTTACAGATCATTTTCAAGGCCATCTCTGGATGCCATCTCCTAAGCAAAATCCGATATATAAAATGAAAAGGGAAATTGGTTAACTTAAATCTCAAAAAAGATGTTAAGGGAGAGACTGTCACTTCCCTCAACAGATTTGGGAAAGTTAATTATTTTAACCTCTTTTCTAGTGAATATTAATGGAACTTCTAACACAACATACACACAGCACTTTATGAAACAAAAATGCCCAAAACTAAGTTAGTGCATACTGAAAGCCTAAAGCACACCCAGCAGAGCTTTGAAATATAAAAAGCATAGTGAGTTCCTTCCCACGAGGAATAAATATATAATCGGCATATGTATATCTATATTTGAAACTTATTCTAAAGTGTCACACTTCTCCCTGCACTAGCAGTCCCAAGCCAGTGAAACAGCAGGTAACTGACAGATGACCCTGTCCTGCATCCCTTGTCTTTGACTTCTCCCCACTCTTGGGACAGCATTCACTTCCAGGACCTACCCACCTGGCCAGCTCGGGCCCTAGGGGCAAGGAGAAAAAGGAGGAAAAGCTCCAGGAACTCACATTTCGGTGATGTTCTCAGGATCTACACTGTTAGGCTCCAATCTCGGAAATGCCACGATGCCAGGAGAAGGGTCGCTGCACCAGATCCGAGAGGCACTGCATTTGCAGGACGTGGGACAGGCGAAAGCGGCCCTCCAGAAGCCCACAACCAGCCAGCAGAAGCCCCAGAGCCGCGCCATGGCGGGTCCATGCCACCTTATCCAGGACGACATCCCTAGCAGCCAGTGCCAGCCCGAGTGCCTGTCCCCGCGCTGCACCGGCCGCTTTCCCCCACCCGTGCGGGGAGGCCTTCCCTGCGCTTGCGGCTCTCTTAACTCCTCGGTGCTTGTTGCGGGCGTGCCGAGTCCAGCTTATCAGAGGCTGAGCTGGTCCGGAGCGAAGAGTGTTCCGGCAGGCGGCAGGGTTCACAGTGGCCCCGGCATAGCGAACCGCTTTACAGGGGGGCGCTACCGCTGCTCGGAGCTCCGCGGCGGCCGTCGCTGCATGGCCCGGCGCGCCGGGCACCGACCGGCGGCGCTCCCGGGACTCTCTGGGGCGCAGATTCCTTGTTAGATGCGAATGGGGGTCCGGTATGCACCTCGAGGCTGAGGACAAACAGACACGCGTAAGACTGAGCGTAGGACCCCCAACACCACTAATTGGGGCACTCTCCCTCTCTGCTCGCGTCATCCCCACCCCGACCCCAGCCCGGAGACTGTGGATGGATGAGTGCCCAGCTCCGGCCCAGGAATCAACTTGCCCCGCGATGGCACTGACGCCGCTGGAGCCACCAGTGTGCCCACTCTCTCTTCGAGCCTGAGGCCAAGGGAGGGGAGGTAGGGAAAGGGTCCCCAAGACAGGATTCCATGGTACAGGCCGGGCGAAGGACCCTTTAAAGGGGAATGCGGAGACTGCCGGCGGCTTTGGCTCCGCGACGGGGCCCCCGAATGATGCTGCAGAATCCGCCACGGCCGCTGGGTGCCGGTGGCGCGGGCAGGTGGCGCGGCACGTCCCACCTGGGGAGTAGCCGAGGCCGCCCCAGGGGGAGACAGTGAGGGCCGAGGCGACCGAGGGCACTATCTGCGCTGCTCACCCGGGCTCCGGCGCCTCACGCCCGCCGGCGGCGCCTGGGTCCAGGCTCCTGCTACCGCCGGGGACTGAGCGCGTAGAGCGCGAGCGAAGCAGCCAGCGAGGCTCCTGCTCCAACCCAATTCCGGGAGCCGCCGCCGCCGCCTCTGCTACTGCTGGCGAAGTGACGTGAGGGCTGACGCAGAGCAGGGGCAGAAACTCCAGAAAATTAGTCTGAAATCCAAAAACACACACACGCTCATACACACACAAACCCATAACACCCTCCAGACAAAAGCACCAGGGAGGGGAGGGGAATCTGGGGGCGAGCAGGGAGGAGGGAGGCATCGGTGCCACTGGCCAGAAGCAGACAGCAGCAGCATGTGGGAGTTCACACACGCGCGCACACACGCACACATCCTGGCCGTGTAGACATGCACGCGCGTGCGTGTGTGTGTCTGTGTGTGTGTGTGCATTTACATCCAGGTACCTCTAAGATGAACCGTTCCTCCGTTCGACGCCTCCCGGTCCCTAATTCACACCACAGTCTCTTCTACAATCGCGGTAGAGGCTGTCTCCCTTTTTGAAATGGAAACCGTGCTTGGTTCAGCTCTGAAAAATGCGCTGATTCTTATTATAGGAATCCTCCCTCCCTTCTCCCTCCCCGCGTTCTCCTTTCCCACCCTGCCTAAAAGGGAGGGCAAGCTATCCTAAAAATAAATAAATGTTGTAAACACCAAAACGTGTTCTGCATTGGTAACCAAGGATCACCGCCCCCATTCCGGGCCACCTATTTGGGGATCGGTGGTTTTGGAGGGGCTTCCTGTTGGTGCTTTTGCAGAGGGAAGGGAGTCTCCAAACACAATTCTAGCTCTCTAAGTGGGTCTTTTTCCTGCCGTTTTCTGCCATCACACGCCCGGGAAATAGAGACATGTGAGGGGAAGGGAGCGCGCCTGATGCGTATTCTAAATGCTCGGTGGCCACCCTGGCCTGTCCGATGTGTGGCGCCGCGTCATTTTCTCTCATCCTTTAACCTGACGGGATGTAGCCATTCCCAGATCGTGGATTCACTCCCCGCGATGCCCACCCCCACGTAGGGCATCCCAAGCCCTTGCTCCCCTGCCGTACCTTGCGCGTGTTCATGTGTGCTAGGGTGTGCGCGAACGCGTGCCCTGCGCCCGCGCTGCCCGGAGCACGATATGCATCCAGCTACGAAGAAGCCAGGCGCGGGCAGAGCCTCGGGGTCTCACTAGGGACAAATTAGGCGATCCGGGAGGGTCGGGTGACAAACCGTAACTATTCTGCGGGTGCAGTTAAATGATGGCTGCGGGGCATTTGCAAGCCTTGTCTGAGAATCCGTCTTCCCTTTTGCGGCTCGGAATCTGTTTTTCCGCAGTCATTTAAAAGAGAACGGGGAAAATACACCGCAGTGCCTGACACTTCCGAGGGCTCTGGTGCCCCCGCGCGGGGAGAGAGCGCCCGGCACGCTCCGGAGCACCAGCCCATGGCCCGGGTCGCGGCGGGCACAGCGCTGGGGGCGCGCTCTGGCGCCAGATGCGCAACCAGCGGCGCCCGACGCCTGCGCGTCCCTGCCCGGCCGGTGCGCGGCTCTCCTGGCCTCGCCGAGCTCCTGCCCGGGGGAAAAAGGCGGGCAATCCTTCTCTCTCGAGAGAGCAATGGGTTGGAGTCTCGTTCAAAATATAGTAATAGTCACTGATCTACCCGCAGAGTTTGGGGATGGGAAGGATCAAGAAACCGAACGTTAGAGTGAATGCTCGGATCTAGGCCAAGCGTTAAATATTACGAAGGGAACGTAAAACATCTATTGGGGCTTTTTTGTACAGATCCTGGGCGCTGAGTGTAACCGCGGGAATTCTTGGACAGCACCCAAAAATCTTGCTGCAGGTCCCGAAAGCAAGGCCAGCAGGTCTATCTCACCACTGTCACTCGGCTGTAACACACATCGAGTGGTGAACGGCCAGGCTGAAGTTTACTCCTGAGCTGCGCCTCTATTCTCTACTAGGTGAGGACGCGCCAAGGAAGAGACGCCAAGGGCAAAAATGACCTGGTCTCAGACGCACGTAAAACTCCGCCTGTCTTGTCAGTGAACCTTAAGCGGAGAAGCCCCTGAGGAACACTTGGGGAAGGAAGGAGTGTGTGCGTAATCACCCACATTTCTCTCACACTCCCATACTCTGAGCCCATTTTTCTAAGAAACGGCCCATTTTCGCCCTAGTGGCTGCAGCATGTCAATGCGGTATGGAGAATAGGCAGTCTTACGGTGGTTTGTACACCAGAAGAGTCTAATTATGTTGGAATATTTGTAGAGTTTCTATTAGAGTAAATATATGCTACTATTATAGTTGGATTCTAAATATATTCCACTATCTCCCACTTAAAATTAGGATTTGCGGTCCTACTTCTAATCACCCTACTTCTGCTCTACTATTTCAACCATAGCAGTTTGTCCTTTGGACAGATAATTTACTTATTATATATATTTTTAAAATTTCTCCCAGAAGAATGTACACTCCATGAAGGCAGGGATTTTTATCTATTTTATTCATTGATATCTCTCAAGGACATAGTAGGTGTTAAAATATATGTGTATTTTTAATGAATAAATAAAATAAAATAAAGGAGATCTCACTTTCTTAACCTCTAAGTCTGCAAGAACCTGGATAATTCCCCCAGACACGCTCCTTCTCACCTTCACAATTTCAAATCTTCCTTGCGTTCTGAGTGCTCCTAGCACTGCTTAAAACCTTGCCTTACTTTCTGTCTCATTTAGTAGCCAGATAGGCTTCAGTACTGGGCCAGAGAGGGCCTCCCACTTATTCATGCTAGTAACTGAACACCTCCATGGACAGTGTCTAGAACACACTGGTGATCAGTAGCTATTTCTTAACTGATAGAATTGTGGATCTACCTCGATTTTAAGACCTATAAGATATGTCCCAGAGATCACTTCAAGGATTCTCAGATCACACCTTTGTAAGAGATGATGAACATTTTTCAGATGAACAATATAGAGATGACTTTTTTCTAGATCCCTTGAATGCAGGCATAGAAATTAAGTGCTGCAGGTTCCTACCTGCACTGAACCATGATGTACCTAGAGCAATGTTTCTCAAACTCTTTTGACCATGATCCACAATAAGAAATGCCTTTTATATCACAACCCAATGAACACATACATAAAGGCATATACTAACTAAAAAAGAAGTGTCATAATACAAAACTTACTTACCCTTAGTACATAAACTAATATATCCTTTTCTCTTCTACACCATTTCATTTCTGAATGCATGTAATAACTCAATACATTGATTTTAACATCCAATACTGAGTTGTAAAAAAATAAGCAAGAATACTGCCAACTTCTGATTAAAATGGAGTAATAGGGAACGGATTTGTTCTCTCAATCATATGACCAAAACACTGAACAAAATATATTAAAGTTAAGACAATGGATATAAGACAATGAAGGTCATCGTTCAGAGAGAAGGAACCCAGGCAGAGGCCATCTACCTAAGTTGAGGAGACTAGCTCAAGAGAAATCAAGGAGTGCAGAGTTCACAAGACAGAGTAGCAAAGAGAAGAGTATTGCCCAGAAAGAACTATGGACATCTGCAGAGGGTTCCTCTCAAGTATTCAGCATAGTGCTGATTGACACATGCAGGTAATAAAGCTACCTGAGGCCAGAGAAAGAAGCACGCAAAAGATTAAAGCGAATAGAGTTAAAACAAATCAAAAGGAAAATGTAAAACACTATGTATCAGAATTTGTGTGATACAACTAAAGCAGTTTTTAGAGGGAATTTTATAGCACTAAATTCCTGTATCAGGAAAGAAGAAAGATCTCTAACCAATGACCTCAGCTTCCACCTTAAGAAATCAGAGGGAAAAAAAGAACAAATTAAACACGAGGTAAGCAGAAGAGAAGAAATAATACAGAGCAGAGTGGAAAATAATGAAATAGAAAACATAAAACCAATAGAGAAAATTAATTAAATCAAGAGCTGGTTCTTTGTGAAGATCAATAAAAACAGCTAGTCCAACTGATCAGAAATAAAAAAGAGAAAACACAAAGGACCAATAACAGTAATGAGAGCAATTAAAACACTGAATATTTCATAGATATTAAATACTATGGATATATTGTGAACAACTTTATGCAAATAAATTTAACAACTTAAATGTAATGAACATATTCTATGAGAGATAAAAAGCCAATGAAACTCACTATAGAAGAAACAGATTACCTAAATAATCCTATATCTATTGTAAAACTTGAATGTCTGGTTTAAAACTTTCCACAAAGAAAACTCCACTCCCAGATGGCTTCATTGGTGAATTCTACAAAACAATGAAGGAAAAAGAATACCAATTTCATACACACTCTTCTAGAAAAATGAAGAGGAAGAAATACTTTCCAATTCATTTTATGAGGCCAGCATTACCTTGATACTGATATACAAAAACATTACAAGAAAAGAAAACAACAGTTCCTATTAATGTCAGTGCTAACATTCTAAGCAAAATTTCAGTAAATTGATTTCAACAATACATCGCACATCCAAAAACATCATGAGTAAGTGGAGTTTGTCTCATGAATCCAAGTTGATCTCATGGGGGCAGAGGGTTGACCTCATGGAGGCAGAGGGAGAATGAGGGTTACCAGAGTCTAGAAAGTGTAGTGGGGGTAGGGGATGTTTTTCCAAAAAGCAGTTAAAAGACAAGGAAATCCACTTTCACCATTTCTACTCAATATTGCATTGAAGATTTTAGTTAGTTCAATAAGTCAAAAAAAGAGAAATAAAAGGTATTCAGATTGGAAAAGAAGAATTAGACTGTTCTTTTTTAAAACATACAACGTTGAGTCCTGTATAGAAAATTTAATAGAATCTATGAAAAAGCTACTTATACTAATAAATGAATTATCAAGTTTGCATAATACAAGATAACTATTTACAAATCAGATATATTTCTATATACTAGCAACAATCATGAATTAATTTTTTAAAAACTACAAATTACAATAGCCAATCAAAAATACAAAATACTTAGAATTAAAGCACAGCCCATAAATAGAAAAACATAGATACATTGGATTTTATAAAGATTAACAATTTCTGCTTTTCAACAGATACCACTAATAGAATGAAAAAAAATGCCACAAAATGTAAGAAATATCTGAACATTTGATAAAGTCATATCAGAGTATATAAAGAACTCTCAAAACTGAATAATAATAAACAACATTTTAAAAGTGTGTAAATGTGTTGAACATATACTTTACCAAAGAAAATATGCAGTTGGCATGTAAGCACATGAAAAGATGCTCAACAGCATTAGTCATTGAGGAAATGCAAATTAAAACCACAATGAGATAGCTACACACTAATTGGAATGGCTAAAAATTTATTTATTTATTTATTTATTTAATTTATTTTTGAGATGGAGTCTCACTCTTTTGCCCAGGCCCGAGTGCAGTGGGGCAATCTCGGCTCACTGCAAGCTCCGCCTCCTGGGTTCACACCATTCTCCTGCCTCAGCCTCCCACGTAGCTGGGACTACAGGCATCCGCCACCGCACCCGGGCTAATTTTTTGTATTTTTAGTAAAGACCGGGTTTCACCGTGTTAGCCAGGATGGTCTCAATCTGCTGACCTCGTGATCCACCCATGGAATGGCTACAATTTTTAAAAACTGACCATACCAAGTGTTGACCAGAATGTGGAGCAACTGGAACTCTCATACACTGCTACTGGGAGTGTAAAATTGTATGGCCACTTTGGAAATGCAGAAGTTTCTTCAAAAGTTAAACGTATACTTACCAGGTGATCCAACCATTCTACTTCTATATACTTACCTAAAAGAAAGGAAAGCATATGTCCATACAAAGACTTGAACGTGAGTGTTCATAGCAGCTTTATCTTTATATGTAAAAACTGTAATAATCCAAATATTCATTGACAGGCGAATGAATACACAGATTGTGGCATACCCATACAACAGAATGCTACTCAGCAATGAAAAGAAATGAACAAAGCTTGCAGTCATATGCATGAATCTCAAAATAATTATGCTAAGTGAAAACATCAGATAAAAAGGAGTACATACTGTATGGGATCATAAAACTCAAGAAAATGCAACAAAAATGCAAAAAAAAAGTGCAAACAAATAGATTGTGACAGAAAATAACTCAGTGACTGCTGGCGAGGAAAGAGAGAAGTAGGCAGGGAGGAGCCAGAGGGAGCAATGACAAAGGACACAAGGAAACTTTATGATGATGGATGGATTGTGGTGATGGTTTCGATCTGATCAACTTATTAAATGTTTAGCTTATTAGCAATTATACCTCCATAAAGTTGTTTCTAAAAACAAAAGAGAAATGCTGACCTAGATCCTCCAATCATCAACTTCTTGTTCTGCTGGAGTTCCTTTAGAACCTCCAATTTTAGAATGCTATTATAAAGTTTGGAGATTTTTAAATAAACTCAGATTCTGTAATGTTCTAGTTTTAGAAGTACCTACTCTGTAATTTCTTTTACACTTTGAAAAAGTCTGGGGAAACCATAATTTAATAAATAGAAGACACAGTGGCCCATACCTAAAAATAGGACCTGAATGTCCATTAATAGTGGAACAAGTCAATAAATTATAATACAGTCACGTGTCCCATTATGATGCTTCCATCGACAATAGACTACATATACCATGGTGGGCCCATAAGATTATAATGGAGCTGAAAATTTTCTATCTTCTAGTGACATTGTAGCCATTTTAATATTGTAGTGCAAGGGATTACTCACCTGTTTGTGGTTAACATTGGAGTAAACAAACTTACTACACTGTCATTTGTATAAAAGTATAGTGTGTAAAATTATGTATAGTACATCTATAATTGTTGATAATGATAATAAATGACTATGTTACTGGTTTATGTATTTACTATACTTTAGCTTTTGTTGTTACTTTATAGTGTACTCCTTCTAATTTTTTTTGTTGTTTGTTTATTTGTTTGTTTTTTGAGACCGAGTCTCACTCTGTTGCCCAGGCTGGAGTGCAGTGGCCCATCTCAGCTCACTGCAACCTCCGCCTCCCGGGTTCAAGCGATTCCTCTGCCTCAGCCTCCCGAATAGCTGGGATTACAGGTGCGTGCTACCACACCTGGCTAATTTTTTGCATTTTAGTAGAGATGGGGTTTCACCGTGTTAGCCAGGATGGTCTTGATCTCCTGATCTCATGATCTGCCTGCCTCGGCCTCCCAAAGTGCTGGGATTATAGGTGTGAGCCACCATGTTTAGTGCCTTCTACTTACTAAAAAAAGAAGTCAACTGTAAAACCGCCTCAGGCAGATCCTTCAGGAAGTATTCCAGCAGAAAGCATTATCATCATCAGAGATGACATGAATGTTATTGCCCCTGAAGATCTTCCAGTGGGACAAGATGTGGAGTGGAAGACAGTGATATTGATGATCCTGACCCTCTCTAGGCTGAGGCTAATGTAGATGTTTGTGTGTTCGTTTTTAACAAAAAAGGTTTAAAAAATGATACATTTTAAAAATAGAAAAAAGCTTACAGAATAAGAATATAAAGAAAGCAAATATTTTTGTATAGCTGTACAAAAATGTATTTGTGTTTTAATCTAAGTGTTATTACAAAAGAGTCAAAAAGTTAAAAAATTAGAAAATGTATAAAGTAAAACAGAGGAAGCTAAGGTTAATATATTATTGTAGGAAAATGTTTTGTAAATGTAATGTAGCCTAAGTGTACAGTGTTTATAGGGTCTATAGTGGTGCACAGTAATGTCTTAGGCCCTCATATCCATTCACCACTCACTCACTGACTCACCCAGAACAACTTCCAGTCCTGCAAGCTCCATTCATGGTAAATGCCCTTTACAGGAGTACCATTTTTTATTTTTATACTCTCTTTTTACCGCACCTTTTCTGTGCTTAGATACGCACAATTGTGCCATAATTACTTATTATATTCAGTACAGCAACGTAGTGTACAGGTTTGTATCCTGGAAACAATAGGCCATAATGTATACTTGAGGTGTATAGTAGACTCTACCACCTAAGTTTGTGTAAGTGTACTCTGTGATGTTCACACAACGACAAAATCACCTGACATCTTTCTCAGAATGTGTCTCCATCATTAAGTGAATACAGATCTGTACTTCTATTCTTTAC
Organism: Homo sapiens; assembly: GCF_000001405.40. Taxonomy (NCBI): domain Eukaryota; kingdom Metazoa; phylum Chordata; class Mammalia; order Primates; family Hominidae; genus Homo; species Homo sapiens. The sequence goes on along the minus strand of NC_000009.12, from coordinate 84,661,712 downwards.
ATCAGTACATGCCTAATTAAAGATGAGTTTTATAGGGCCGGGTGTGGTGGCTCATGCCTGTAGTCCCAGCACCTTGGGAGGCTGAGGCAGGCAGACCACGAGGTCAGGAGTTTGAGACCAGTCTGGCCAGCATGGAGAAACCCCGTCTCTACTAAAAATATATAATTAGCTGGGGATGGTGGCAGGCACCTGTAATCCCAGCTGCTCAGGAAGCTGAGGCAGGAGAATCGCTTGAAACCAGAAGGCAGAGGTTGCAGTGAGCCGAGATCGCACCACTGTACTCCAGCCTGGGCAACAAGAGCAAAACTCAGTCTCAAAAAAAAAAAAAAAAGAAAAAAAGAGTTTCATATAGATTGACTTGGAGGCATATCCACAATATATTAATAATGCATCTCACATGACAATATGTAGTCTGAGCCTACAAAGAAAGCCAGTATTTGTGAATATGTTTTGTTTGACTATGGAGAAAAACAGAGAAGTATTTACACCAAATCACGACATTAGTAACTTAGAGGAAATAGAGAGGTAGTTTGAGGTAAGAGGAGAAAAGACCAGGAAACCTGTGAATACTTATTTGGAACTTACAGCCTCCTTACCCATACCATGCCTAATTTTCCTCTTTGCGTTGCCTCTTCCCCTTTAGATCCGGTGTTATCCTATTTCTAGAGTCCTTCCCGTCAGTGGAAGGAACAGAATCTACAAGCATGTTCACAATCCAAATAATGTTCATCATCAGACACTTCATTTTCCCAAGAATGTCTGTATTTTAGTGGAGGACACTGGGAAAAAGATGTAATCCAAAGGAATTTCAGGTACCATGGCAACCATAAAAGAGGGAGTATTTGAGCATGGAGGACTCAACACAGGTCACATGGAACCAAAGGCTGATATTCATGATTAGCACCACACTTGCTCCCTGTCACCCCAACATCCTCTTTTGAAGTTTATACAGTTTCCTACTGTTTTCTACCTAACATCCTCCAACTCTGAGTAAAGGTCTCACTTTTCCCCACCTCTGCCTAAGATGGTCTGTGAACTGTATGCTACCTGGTCACTCTGAACCACAGCCAAACCCAAGGTTTCATCCCACTTCCTTTCTTCTCTGTGTCCAAATCTTCCACTTTTGTACTTTTAGTCATACACAGCACATACTAAGTCAACACAGACTTATAAAGTTTTTATGAACACCTAAAAGGAAGAGCATATGGAGAAAATTCAACAGAGCCTCAGAAAACTGGAGTCACGGGCATGTGGGTGATCCTTAAATCTAAGTTGCAGGCCATCCATCTGACGAGGTTTCGTGGTCAGCTCCGGATTATTTTCTTAGTTCATGTTGGTAGTCTAGGTCAATACCCATACCTGCTCCCGTGTTGTCCTGTTTTGTCAAGGTTTAACTATTATGGCTTAATCAATTACTTAATCCTGTTAATTGTCCCACAACCCCAGTGTCCATTCTCCCATTCTTCTCTTGAGTAATAGAACACTTGATCGCACCCAGTCAACAACTATATTTCCCAACTTCTTTTGAAGTAAAGGTGTGGCCATTTGACTAAGTTTTTACCAGAGAATTTAAGTGGAGGTGATGTGTACAATTTCAATATTATTTCTTTAGAAGAAAGTTATTTCTTTCCATTTCTTCTTGTCTTTCCTTTCTGCAGACTGGGAAGTCTATTACAGTACCACATCACAAAAGAACTTCAGTTGTTACAAAGAAGTTTACTTATGCTTCAATGAACAAGTATAGTATGATGTTTCAGTGCTACTCTGCCCATATTTATTGTGACAGTCAAGTGTTCCCAGTTCAACGCAATTGACAATCACAGTTCATGCAAAGAACAGTTTTATGGCCATGCACTTTTTAACTACATGGTGCCATGTACTTAAAGACCCACAAGCACTATATTATATCAGACCTCTGCAGGTGATTAACCAAATTGTTGCAGTCAAGCCCCAAATTGGGAATTAGCCCAGAAAAGTTCTGGGTTTCACTCATGAAAGAATTCAAGAACGAGTTGGTGGTAGAAGAAAACAGCTTTATTGAGGTGGCAATGTTACAGCTCCATGACTGCTCCTGCAGAGCAGGGTTACCCCAAAGGCAGCCTGTTAGAGAGTAACAGCTCAGGGGCGGGTCTACAATAATATATATACTCACTGTAATTACATGCAAATTAAGGGGCAGATTATGCAGACATTTCTAACAAAGAGTGGTAACTTCTGGGTCGGCAGGTCGTTGCTATGGAAATGAGTGTTAACATCTGAGTGTTGCCATGACAATGATAAACTGACATGGCATTGGTGGGTGTGTCTTATGGAGAGGCTCTTTGGCCTCTTCCCTATTTCAGCTAGTACTCAATCTCACCTGAAGTTCGAATCCTTACCTCTGGAGCCAAGTTCCACCTCCTACTTCAAAATGTTCTTCCAACTGGGGTAGCAACCCATTACTAAGTCAATTTAGTGGCTTTTATTAGGATATTTCTAACGGAATAGACTAGACAATGCTAGAATAGAAAACAGCAAAGGTATAAAGGCAACATTGTTTGATGAAACTTTATTATAGGTTGTACTGGATTTTGTTGTAAATGTATTTCTTATCGTGGTTCACAGTCAAGTTTGAAACCAACTGGCTGAGCACAACGTTTCAACCATTTGCAGGAATCTCCTTTACAAGGAGATACAGTTCCTAGTCTGGGCTTGAACACTTCCAGCAACTTTCCTTAATCAGGATATTAGAAATAAGCACTTTACAGATTATTACTGAAGTTAGCCATAAATTCTCTTACAGCCAAATAATTCTCTTATTTGTCATTATATCTAGCAGAGTATCATGTATGGAGCTCAATACATATTGGTTGAATTAAAGTTAATCTCAGCTGGGCATGGTGGCCCACGCCTGTAATTCCAGCACTTTTGGAGGCCAAGACAGGTGGATCATAAGGTCAAGAGATCGAGACCATCCTGGCCAACGTGGTGAAACCCCATCTGTACTAAAAATACAAAAATTAGCTGGGCATGGTGGCGCACGCCTGTAGTCCCAGCTAGTTGGGAGGCTGAGGCAGGAGAATCACTTGAACCTGGGAGGTGGAAGCAGTGAGCCGAGATCACGCCACTACACTCCAGCCTAGCCACAGAGCAAGACTCAATCTCAAATAAAGTTAAATTAAATTAAATTAAAAAGTTAATCTCATCTTTGTACACCATTAATTGCAAGAAAGTTCCATTTTATGGTAAGCCTAAATCTGCCTCTCTAAAAATGCTCCTCCGTTGATGCTAGTTTTAACCTCTCAGGGGCAAAGTAGAGAAAATGGAATCCTTTCTTCAAGTCTGCCATCCAACATTTTAACTGTTCCTCTTATATTTTTTTCACCTGCAGGTCTAATATATTTGCCTTTCATGCTTCTATTTAAGTCAGTGATAAAGAATATTTAACATGACAGGTCCAGACACTCAACTAAAAACGTTGCCTATGCTGACATCTATTTCTTAACTAATTAATTCATCCTTACATAGAAGGTGACTGTCTAACCAGCTAAGAATCCATCAAACTGAATTCTATGTCTTTCTTAACCCTTAGCCTGAGCCACCTATGCACCACATACCCAATTACATAAAGACCAAACTGGTATTGTCCATTAATATTTTGTTTTTATTTTGCTTTGTAGTCATTCTGAAGTTCATTTTTTGTGCCAACTTCAGACCTCATTCTAACCTGATGTCAACCTACCACCCGCATTTCAGCTTTTTAAACCTGTAACTCCATTTCTTCCTTTGGTTCCTTTTGATCCTTACACCTTGTTTCTTTAATATCAGCTTCTCCAAATGATTTATCTCAACTGCCTTTTCAGGACCTAGTGTACTGAGTTGTCTTGGATAGAAATTCCCCTTTGTAGTTTAGCCCTATGAAACCCAGCCACAATCCACCTGGCTCATTTTGTACCCACTCCCTGTCCAGTGATGGGGAAAGATTGGACAAAATAGCCCAAAAAGAGAAAGAGTAGGCTAGGCAAGTGGAGGCGGTCTGAGAAAACAGAATGAACAGTAATTTAGGTGTATTCTGGATCCCAAATTTGCTCCTTCTTGGAAAATTGAGACAAATTCTCTTCCTTTCTTCTATGTACCATCTTTCTCTCCAAGTATTTCCGGCAGCTTATCCTTAGTCATATAAGCAAACCCAGTAATAACCTTTATCATCTTTGCAGCCATTTAAATAAGCTTATGATATCTCTTATGTGATCTCCCTCAACTAAGATGTCAACTTCTTGTTAACCACGTTATCTCTACCATTTCTAAAGGAAAAATCCTTTTCCTCGCCAGAGAAAGACACAGAATAAGAGGTAGAAAATACTGCTTTGTCTCTATTATCTGTTAATGTCTCACCATCTGCCCAAACTCTGGTCTTGTCACTTCATCCTTCTTACTCTAAGCCTGGTTCAAATCGTCCTTTTTTTCTTTTTTCTTTCTTTTTGTTTTGTTTTGTTTTGTTTGAGATGGAATTTTGCTCTTGTCGCCCAGGCTGGAGCGCAATGGTGCAATCTCGGCTCACTGAAACCTCCGCCTCCTGGGTTTAAGTGATCCTCCTGACTCAGCCTCCCTAGTAGCTCGGATTACAGGCACCCGCTACCAGGCCCAGCTAATTTTTTGTATTTTTAGTAGAGATGGGATTTCACCATGTTGGTCAGGCTGGTCTTGAGCTCCTGACCTCAGGTGATCCACCTGACTCAGCCTCCCAAAGTTCTGGGATTACCATTGCCCAGCCCAAATAGTCCTTTTCTGTTGCTCTCTATTTATTTCACAACAACTTTCACACATTCTGTACTTCAGTCCTTCTGCCACTGTTGTCACAGTTTTGTGCTGCCCTATTGTATTCAAAATTTGGCTATATACCCACCTTCCATCTTCTTCCACACCAAAATCTACAGTGTAGTTAAGCAGAGTCTCATTTCTTCCTCATGAGGATCATTCATGCCTCTGCTGTCAGGATTTTGTTTTAGAATTTCCTTTCTCTCTCAAATCAGTATTATTTTCTAGAGTCATTCAGTCAAAGGGTTTTATCTACATTTCCTAAAAAAAAATGCAATCTGTCTCTTGAAGTCTAGAATGCACAGAAGTCTTCTTAGGATCCCATATTTAAACAGTTTAATCTCCAGCGCCACAGCCAGATCAGTCTTGGTCTGGTGTAAATGTACCCGCCCTCACCACCCACCAAGAATCTTCTCCATGTCTCTTACACTTCTCTATGCAAATCTTTACCTTTATTACATAATTAGCTAACTCTCAATCAATAAAGTAATTGCTCTCTATCAAAAGGATAACTTCTGGAATTACACGAACAATAATACACAGTTATTGGTTGTGAAGGAAATGTTTTATACAGTCTTAGAACTTTCTGAAGGCATCTGAGACTACCTTATAATCAGAAGCATCTACAAGCCAGTGGAGACCTACCAATGTCAGTGCCCATACAATGACTTCCAGGGAAGTATTTGGAGGTGGGAAGCAGCCCTTAACAACCAGACTTTTAGTTATCTTCAAGTCAATTGACAGGCACTGTTAACACTGGAAATATAAGTAGGAAGAAGGCATCACTCCTATATTCTAAGAATTTGAAATCCTATGGGAAGACACATGCTAGATCATTTCAGTGTGTATGGATAATACTGGACGCATGTACTGGGTCCTATAGGAGACAAAGGAGGAGCACAGAGCTCCCTCTGGGATCCAGGTAAGGCTTCATGGATGCACTGACCCTTGAGCTGAGTCTGAGTCCTAAAGAATGCACTTAATATCTCAAAGAAGTGACCAGGAGGATGGCATGAGTAAAATGCAAGGAGGCCGGAAACAGCATGGCGTGTGAGAGGAACCACATGCTGCTCAAATGTTGGCCACGCCTACACCTTTCCTCTATCCGCCCAAGAAAATCAGCACCAACTGTGCATGCTGGCCTCTTGCCCCCAGATTAGACTCTAAGAAGACATGGTGATGTTTTTTTCACTGCTTCCTTTTGCTTTGATCAGCAGGCCCTGAGGCCAGTCCACACTCAGCAACACAGCAGCCTGTCTAAAGTATGTTTGGTAATTTCCGCCAAGACCTGCATCTGATAGGCCCTGGGGCGCTTCCAAGTATTTTCATGTGTGGACCTCTCCTTCTGCTGTTCCTCCTTCCCTCTCCCGGTGACCCTCTCCCTTGGCTTTACATAAACTTCTGTTTTATCCTAAATATGAGGAACTGAAAGCCTTAGGGAGACAAAGTCCATATCAGAATTGCACTTCTGAAGTCATCCTAGTGAAGAAACAACAGAAAACAAATTATTCTGCTGAATGAAGCCACTCCTTGATATTCTGTTATTTTTCACCTAATTAGTTTCTCTTTCTTAAAGAACCTTTGTGGGATTGGGCACGGTGGATCATGTCTGTAATTCCAGCACTCTGGGCGGCCGAGGTGAGTGGATCGCTTGAGTCCCAGAGTTTGAGACCAGCCAGGGCAACATTGCAAAACCCCATCTCTACAAAAAAAAATACAAAAATTAACCAGGTGTGGTGGTGCCTGCCTATAGTCCCAGAGGCTGAGGTGGGAGAATCGCTTGAGCCTGGGAGGAGGAGGTTGCAGTGAGCTGAGATCGCACCTCTATACTACTTCAGCCTGGGTAACAGAGTGACAGACCCTCATTCTCTCTCAAAAAAAAAAACAAAAACAAAACAAAACAAAAAAAAACACCTCTGTGATCAATTGACTGACCTCATGTCTTGTAATAAAAATACCTCTTTTCTGTTTAGAAGCCCTAGAGATTCTGCAAGCCCTGTTTCTTTGCAAATACAGAAATTGCACCTTTGACCTTCCCCCCACTGCTCTTCAAAAGTTTCAGTAAACCTTCTCTACCACCTGGGAGACATCTTCTGTGCATGGGGAAAGATTTCTTATGGATTAAGGAGAAGGTGCTGGAAATGAGAGAAGCCCTCCTGCCTTCTGTTTCCTCTTAGCCTCTCAAGTGACATATATAGAATAGAAAAATCAGTCCCCAAATATAATTCAGCTTCTGAGGGCAGGAGCTACTCCTATAGCTAATTCTGTGTTTTCAGTAGTCCAGAATATTTCTAACAATCTTAAAAGAGTATCAGATCCTCAAAATACAACTTTAAAACATCAATTCTTTTTAACCTAAATTTGAAAAGATGTGTCACTCAGTACATTTTGGATTGGGAGAGGATATCCTGAGAGCACTGCCAGTGGTCTCACAACCCCAAAGTTATCAAAGATTATCAGCCACTGCCTCTGGTGCTAAATCTCCACTGTCCTTTGGATTCTGTTCTCTAAATAAATGAATAAATATTATTCGAAGAAATATCACAAGGTTGTTTATGGAACAAAGACATAGTGTGGTGTTAGGTTACCAATTTGCCTTTCTGTGCCTGCAACTCTACATTTAACAAAACTCTATCTCACGAGGCTCTTGGATGACTAATTAGATATTGTCTTTGAATGTCCGCAACTTTAAGTCTGAAAGTTTCCTTTTTCTTTGAGGTGGAGTCTCACTCTGTCACCCAGGCTGGAGTGCACTGCCGGGATCTCGCCTCACTGCAACCTCCGCCTCCCGGGTTCAAGGGATCCTCCTGCCTCAGCCTCTGAAGTAGCTGAGACTATGGGCACGTGCCACCAAGCTTGGCTAATTTTTGTAATTTTAGTATACGAGGCTTTACCATGTTGGCCAGGCTGGTCATGAACTCCTGACCTCAAGTGATCTGCCTGCCTTGGCCTCCCAAAGTGCTGGGATTACAGGCATGACCCACTGTGCCCAGCCCTGAAACTTTCTCCATGTGAAGGATGTTGCCTCCCAAAAATGGTTGTATTACCTTTATTAACCTCATTTTGTGAGTGAAGAAAGTCATACAATGAAGGCTTAATATCACTTCAACAAGGATTGAAAGTGTCACTTTAGCCCATGTTTTTTAGTATGGAAGGAATGACAGAGAGCTGAGATGGTACCTCTGTGCCTATAAAAGGCACTGCCCTGTAGCTGGCCATCGGGAAAAGTGGCAAGGCACAGAGTAACCTCACCTTACCCCAGGAGCAGCAGCAGCCTTCTAGCCTCCTTTTCTTTGGTGTTTTTGACACAATCTTAGGGCTGGCCATAAGGACCAAATTACCTCCGTACTGCGTGGACTACGTTGGGTGTCTAATTCAAGAATGTCAAAGAGCTTCTTGTTAAGTTAGCCTTTCCTCTTCCTCCTCCTTTTCATCCTGGGATATGATATTTTTCTTTGCAGAAATGAGAGTGTTCCAGTGTAGTTAGCTTTCAGTGGCTACCAGAGAAAGAGAAAGAGAGAGAGAGAGAGCAAGAGTCTCTTTCACTCTTCTTTTTAATATCTACCTATGAGTTGAACTCTGTCTATATGCTTGCCAGAGTATGGCATAAGTCTTTGCATAAAAAAGAAAGTTTTTCATTTTATTAGTTTCATAAGAAATACTATAAAGAGGTTATCATAGCCTAGCCCAAGACTTGCTCCGTCCAAGTACCTGGACCCATTGCCTACCTTGCGCTAGAACATATGGTGTCTAGATTTCCTTCTGCATCCCCTGTGTCTGCTAGGGTCTTTGCTCTATCTAGATCAGAGCTGAAACATACACGTGAGACTCCAGCCTACATGTATTTAGCACAGAGACTCAAGACTGAGCAGAGCCAAGTTCTAAACAAAGCAAAACAAAACTCAAAAACACTTGCATGTATTTTCCATCTCTTTTCTTCCCTCATCACTCTTCTTGATTACTGTTTATTTTTCAATATTTCTCAGCAACACAAGCAGTTTTGTTTCCGCTCTGTTTCCTATCACTTCTCTCCAGACAGCCAAAGGCAGTGAAGCAGAAGTAAGACTGCCATCTTGTGCTCAAGATGGTTATCATGTTATCATTTTCTCAAATCAAATAAAAAATGATTTGTGGGGTTTGAGAGAAGGTGTTGGAGCCCAAGTCCGACATTCCCTGACCTAGGTTTTCCCAGAAGATTTTGAACTCTCCCACCCTTTGGTATTGCTCTTTCTTGGCCTTCACGCTCCAGGATGCCATGAGTCATCCTTAGTCAAAAGCCAACTTTTTTTTAATGACTTTAAGTGTGACTTAGAATAATTATAGTTCAGATGCTATCACTTATGCTTTTATGACTGAGCTCAGTGGCCCAACTCAGAAGGGCAGGCACTCAACTTAAGGACTAAAGCATGACAGGTTATTCAAAATCACAGATCTAGTGGGTATTCTCTGCACTCTACCACCACTTCTGTGTTGGAAGCCCACGACTCACAAATTGCATGCTGCATGCTAGGCCTTCAAAATGACTGGAAGTCCTGTAGGGTCAGGATGTTACAGGGCCTAGGAACACCCAGTGATAGGCCACTCTCGGTGACACTTCACTACCAATCAACAATTAATGGGCTTAAATAAATAATCAAAGAAAAACAGAGTAAAGGAGAGAGAGAGGAGAAATGGAAGGAAATAAAGAATGACAGGCCAAGAAGAGAAACCTAAGGAGGTCACAAATGTGAGGATTTAAAGGGAATGATGAGAGCACCACATAGAAACAAGCACTGGACAACTAAAGCAATAATGCAAGGAAAACAATAATGAGAGGTGACACTGAAAAGGGGTCTCAGTGTTGGGGGGTCAGCAAGGATTGGTGGAGACTGTAGTGAACTGGAGAGAGCATGTCTTCTCTAAAGAAGCAAGCAGCTCCAGGCAATGACATGGTTGCCAGACAGGAATGTGGAGCTACTATCACTGAATCTTCTGATTTTTAAAAAGAATTTGTAGATCTACATTTGCATATTAAATCTTCAAATTTGTTTTAAGTCAGCTCAAGATTTTTTTTTAGAACACTGTGTGGGACAAACATGTCTGCAGGATTATTTGGCTTATGCTTGCTTGTTTAAAGCCCTTTCCCTCTGCTGACACAAAATTTTATTGATAGGTAGGCACATAAATAGATACCATAGCTGTAGCTCCATGCCATCTTCCTGTCTCCCATTCAAGAAAGTTTACAAAAACACAAGTAAGGGAGCATCATGAATGGTACAATTGACTGCTGTCATTTCTTTATATACAAAAAGGATTTACATAATTATATGTTCAAAAGCAAAAATAGCAATAATAAGCTCAACCTACACTTTACTGCTCATACAAAAATTTATCCCAAATGGAACATGGACTTAAATGTAAAATTATAGAATATTTCAAAAAAAAAGTCATGGAAGAAAATGTTTGGGGCCTAGGGCTAGGTAGAGTTCTTAGATTTGATGCAAAAAAGTATAATCCACAGGAAAAAATTAATAAACTACACCTCATCAAAATTAAAAATGTCTGTTCTATGAAAGATCTACTGAGAAGATTAAAAATCAAATGACAATGTGGAAGAATATATTTGCAAACCACATAACTAAAAAAGGAAGCTATATCTTGAACCTGTGTTTCTACAAGGAATTCTCAAATCTCAACATAAAAAACAAACAAACAATTCAATGAAAAAATGTACTTAGACATGAACAGTTATTTCATTGAAAAGGAAATAAGTAGACAGTAAATAAGCACACAAAGAAGTGTTCAACATCACTAATCACTGGGGAAAATTAAAATAACAATGGCAATATTACAACACACCTCTGAGAATGGCTAAAGTGAAAATTATATTAACATCTAATGTTGGCAATGATGCGGAGAAACTGGGCCATGCATACATTGTTGGTGAAAATGTAAAATGGTTCAGCCACTTTGAAGAACAGTTTGATAGTTTTCTCTAAAACTAAAAATGCACTTGCCATATAGCCCAGCAACTGCAGTTTCGAACATTCATCCCAGATAAAAATTAAAAGCTACATTCACACAAAAACTTATACATGAATGGTCAGAGCAGCATTATTCATTATAGCCCAAAATTGAGAGAATTCTTAACTTTGTCAATGTACGCATGGTTAGACAAACCATGGTACATCCATACAATGGAATACTATTCAGTAATATTTTAAAAATGAACTATTGATATACACAACAACTTGGATGTACTTCAAGGGAATTATGCTAGGTGATAAAAGTTGATCTCAAAAGGTCAACTACTACTTGATTCCATTTATGTAATATTCTGAAAATCAGTTAATTCAGGAACTACCGGACAAAGCTACAAAAACATTAAATAAAATAAATACTTAGGAATAAGTTTAAACAAGGTGGTGAAAGATCTGTGTACTGAAAACTATAAAACATTGATTAAAGAAATTGAAGAAGATGGCCAGGTACAGTGGCTCACACCTGTAATTCTAGCACTTTGGGAGGCCAAGGCAGGTGGATCACTTGAGGTCAGGAGTTCAAGACCAGCCTGGCCAATATGGTGAAACCTCATCTCTACTAAAAGTTCAAAAATTAGGTAAGCATGGTGGTGGGCACCTGTAATATCCCAGCTACTTGGGAGGCTGAGACAGGAGAATTGCTTGAACCCAAGAGGCAGAGGTTGCAGTGAGCAAAGATTGCGCGCCACTGAATGCTAGCCTGGATGACAGAGTGAGACTCCGTCAAAAAAAAAAAAAAAAAAGAAGAAGAAGAAAGAAAGAAAGAAAGAAATTGAAGAAGACACAAATAATTAGAAAAATACACTGTGTTCATGGAATAGAAGTACTAATATTGTTCAAATACCTATAGTACCCAACATGATCTACAGATTCAGTGCAACCCCCATCACAATTCTAATGACATTTGCTCATAGAAATAGAGAAAAAATTCTAAACTTTTCATGGAAACACAAAAGACCCAGTATAACCAAAGCAATCTTGGGCAAAAAGAACAAAGTTAGAAGCGCCACACTACCTGATTTCAAAATCTCCTACAAAGCTATAGTAATCAAAAGCGCATGGTACTGACGTAAAAACAGACACATAGACCAATTGAACAAATAGAAAACCCAGAAATTATTTAATTCAATTTAATTTAATTATTAAATTACTTTTGGATTTTTAAATAATTTGATTTATTCATTATCAAAAGAAAAAACATTACAAATGTTGGCAAGGATGCAGAGAAAAGGGAACTCTTTTACACTGTTGGTGGGAATATAAACTAGTACAGCCATTAGGGAAAAGAGTATAGAAGTTCCTCAAGAAACTGTAAGTAGAACTGCCATATTACCCAGCAATCCCAATGCTTGTAATTTGCCCAAAGGAAAGGAAATCATTATAGTGAAGAGACATCGGCACCTCCTTGTTTATTGCAGAACTATCCACAATAGCCAATATATGGAATAAACTTAGGTGTCCAACAACAGATGAATGGATAAAGAAAATGGGATATATACATATATATACACACACAATGGAATACCATTCAGCCATAAACAAAGAATGAAATCATGTCATTCACAGCAACATGCATAGAACTGGAGGACATTATGTTCAGTGAAATAAGCCAGGAACAGGAAGTTAAACACTACCTGGTCTCACTCATATGTGGAAGCTCAAAAAAGTTGATCTCATAGAAGTAAAAAATAGAACAAGGATATGAGAGGCTGGGAAGGAAAGGAAAGGGGAGGATAGGAATAGGGAGAAGTCTGTTAAAGAATACAAAATTACAACTAGATAGGAGGAATGAGTTCCAGTGTTCCATGCCACTGTAGGACGACCATCCTTAGCAATAATAGATGATACAGTTTAAAATAGCTAGAAGGAGGATACTGAGCCTTCCCAACACAACAAAATAAATGCTTGAGATTGTGGATATGCTAATTACCTGGATCAGATCACTATACTATATATTATATGTATCAAAACATCACTATGTACCCCAGGAATATGAACAATTATTTGCCAATTAAAAAAAATAAAATTAACCCAAAAATGTGGTATATATGCATACACTGAAATACTATTCAGCCTTTAGAAAGAAGAAAATTCTGTCATTTTTGCCACAACATGGAGGAGTCTGAAGGACATTATGTTAAATAAGCCAGGTACAGAAACGCAAATACCATAGGATCTCACTTGTACGTGGAATTTAAAAGAGATGGAGTCATAGAAGCAGAGAGTAGAATGGTGGTTAGCAGAGGCTGGAAGTTGGGGTGGGGCACAGAGATTGGGGAGATGTTGGTCAAAGGTTACAAAATTTCAGTTAGACAGAAGGAATAAATTCAAGAGCATGGTGACTATAGTTAAAAACGATATATTGTATACTTGAAAATTGCTAAGAGAATAGATTTTAAGTATTCTCACCACAAAAAAATGTTAAGCATATGGTAATAGATATGTTAATTAGCATGATTTAGTCATTCTGCAATGTATACATTTATCAAAACATCTTGTTTTACACTATAAATATATACAATTTTTATTTCTCATTTAAAATAAATTTTTAAAAATCAGGTATCTCCTACTTCAGTGAAACTTCTAGGGGTCCAGTGGTATGGGGCATGTCAAGCTATCCCTCTGAAGGTAAAAGATGAGTTGTTGCATCTCGTCTTTCCTACAAGCAAGAAAGAGGAACAATGCCTAGTGGACTTCTTCAAACATTGAAGACACATTTCTCATTTGGGTGTGTTACTCTGGCCCATTTACTATGTGGGATCTGAAAAACTGCTAGTTTTGAGTGGGGGCCCAAAACAAGAGAAGGCTCTGCAAAAGGTCCTGGCTTCTGTGTGAGCTACTCTGCTACTTAAGCCATAAGATCCAGCAGATCTAATGGTGCTTGCAGGGTCAATGGCAGATAGAGATGCTATTTGGAGCCTTTGGCAGGCTCCTGTAGATGAATTGCTGCACAGGCTCTTAGGATTTTGGAGCAAGGCCCTACCATAATCTGCTGATAACTGTTCTTCTTTTGATAAACAGCTCTTAACCTACTACCAGGCCTTAGTGGAGACTGAACAGATGAGCATGGGCTATCAAATGACCACACTACCTGAGCCGCCCATCATGGACTGGGTATTTTAAGACCCACCAAGCCGTGGCATTGGGCATGCACGACAGCACTCCATTGTCAGATGGAAGTAATATGATTAGGCTGGGCATGCAATGAAATCACAAATCAGCTACATGAAGAAGTGGCCCAAATGCCCACAGTCCCCACTCCTGCTACACTGCCTTATCTCTCCCTGCCTGCATCTATGGCTGCATATGGAGTTCCCTATGATCAGCTGACAAAAAAAAAAAAAAAAAAACTTGGGCCTGGCATGGAGATGGTTCTGCCCAATATGCAGGTATCAACCATAAGCAAAAGTACTGTAACCCCTTTCTGGGGCATCCCTTAAGGACAGTGGTGAAGGGATATCTTCCCGGTGGGCAAAACCTTGAGCAGTGCACCAGGTTGTGCACTTCTCTTGAAAACAGAAATGGTCAGATGTGCAATTATACACCAAGTCATGGGCTAAGCCAGTGGTTTGGCTGGATAGTCAGGGACTTGGAAGAAGCATGACTGGAAATTGGTGATAAAGAAATCTGGGAAAGAGGTACGTGGATAGGACTCTTAGAATTCTCAGAATGAGCAAAAAAAGTCAAAAAGATATTTGTGTTCCATGTGAATGCTCACCCAAAAGTGACCTCAGCAGAGGAGAATTTTAATAATCAGATGGATAAAATGACCCACTCTTGGATAAAAGTCAGCCTCCTTCCCCAGCCACCTAAGTCATTGCCCCATGGGCTCATGAACACAGTGGTCCTGGCAGCAAGGATTATTAGGCCCTGACTGACAGCACTGACAGATGGCCACCCCAGTCATTGCCCATGGGCTCATGAACACAGTGGCCCTGGTGGCAAGGTTATTCATAGGCTCAGCAACATGGACTTCCCCTCACCAAAGCTGACTGGCTATGGCCACTGCTGAGGGCTGAATATGGCACAAGCAAGACCAACCATGAGCCCCTGATATGGCACCATTCCCTGAAAAGTTCAGCCAGCTACCTAGTTGCAGGATGATTACATTGGACCACTTCTATTATGAAAGAGGCATTGTTTTTGTTCTCACTGGAATAGACACTGTGAATATGGATTTGCCTTCCCTGAATGCAATTCTTCTACCAAAACTACCCTCTGTGGACTTATAGAATGACTTATTTACTGTCATGGTATTCCATACAGCATTGCTTCTGACCAAGGAATTTACTTCACAGCCAAAGAAGTGTGACAATGGGCTCATGCTCATGGGATTCACTGCTCCTACCATGTTCCCCACTATTCTAAAGCATTTGACTGATAGAACCGTGGAAAGAGCTTGTGAAGATTTAGCTACATACAGCATCAACTAGGTGGCAAAACCTTGCTGGGCTAGGACAAGGCCCTCCAGAAGGCAGTATATGCTCTGAATCAGTATCCAGTATATGACACTGTTTCTTCCACAGCCAGGATTCAACAGGTAAAAACGGGAGTGTTCTCACTCATTATTACCTCTAGTGATCCACTAGCAAAATGTTTGCTTCCTATTCCCAAGACTTAATGTTCTGCATGCAGGTCTACAGGTCCAGAGGGAGGAATGTTTTCTTCAGAAGACACAACAGTGAGTGATTCCTTGACCTGGAAGTTAAGACTTCTGCCTGGCCACTTTGGGTTCCTCATGTGTCTGAGTCAAAAGACCAAGAAGGGAACTATGATGTTGTCTGGAGTGATTTACATTCACTACCAAGGGAAAATTGGACTACTGCTCCACAATGGAGGTAAAGAAGAGTATGTCCATAGGCATGGGCAAGGACATCCTGACTAAAACACCAAAAGCAATGTCAACAAAAGCCAAAATTGACAAATCGGATCTAATTAAACTAAAGAGCTTCTGCACAGCAAAAGAAACTACCATCAGAGTGAACAGGCAACCTACAGGATGGGAGAAAATTTTTGCAATCTACTCATCTGACAAAGGGCTAATATTCAGAAACTACAAAGAACTCCAACAAATTTACAAGAAAAAAACAACCCCATCAAAAAGTGGGCGAAGGATATGAGAAGATGCTTCTCAAAAGAAGACATTTATGCAGCCAACAGACACATGAAAAAATGCTCATCATCACTGGCCATCAGAGAAATGCAAATCAAAACCACAATGAGATACCATCTCATGCCAGTTAGAATGGTGATCATTAAAAAGTCAGGAAACAACAGGTGCTGGAGAGGATGTGGAGAAATAGGAATGCTTTTACACTGTTGGTGGGACTGTAAACTAGTTCAACCATTGTGGAAGACAGTGTGGTGATTCCTCAAGGATCTAAAACTAGAAATACCATTTGACCCAGTCATCCCATTACTGGGCATATACCCAAAGGATTACAAATCATGCTGCTATAAAGACACATGCACACGTACATTTATTGTGACACTATTCACAACAGCAAAGACTTGGAACCAACCCAAATGTCAATCAATGATAAATTGGACTAAGAAAATGTGGCACATGGAATACTATGTAGCCATAACAAAGGATGAGTTCATGTCCTTTGTAGGGACATGGATGATGCTGGAAACCATCATTCTGAGCAAACTATCGCAAGGACAGAAAACCAAACACTGCATGTTCTCACTCATAGGTGGGAATTGAACAATGAGAACACTTGGACACAGGGTGGGGAACATCACACACTGGGACCTGTCGTGGGGTGGGGGGAGGGGGGAGGGATAGCATTAGGAGATATACCTAATGTAAATGACGAGTTAACAGGTGCAGCACACCAACATGGCACATATATACATATGTAACAAACCTGCGCATTGTGCACATGTACCCTAGAACTTAAAGTATAATTTAAAAAAAAAAAAGAAGAATATGTCTGGAATAAAAGCAATCCCTTAGGGCATCTCTTAGTATTACCATGCCCTATGATTAAGGTCAATAGAAACTAGAACAACCTAATCCATACAGGAATGCTAATGGCCCAGACCCTTCAGGAACAAAGGTTTG
This sequence comes from Homo sapiens, assembly GCF_000001405.40. Classification (NCBI taxonomy): domain Eukaryota; kingdom Metazoa; phylum Chordata; class Mammalia; order Primates; family Hominidae; genus Homo; species Homo sapiens. The sequence continues at coordinate 84,644,825 of NC_000009.12, read as the reverse complement.
GGTCACCCCATCAAGTAAAGAACCATGACCACTGAGGTGCTTGCTAAAGGCAAAGAGAATACTGAATAGGTAGTAGAAAAATGTGATTATAAATATCAGCTGTGGCCACGCGGCCAGTCACAGAAATGAGGATGGTAATTGTCATGAGTATCTCCTCCTTATTTTGTTATGAATATGTTTGTGTGTGTTTGTGTAGATAGATGCATTAAGCAAATACTTTTGTTTTCTTTCCTCTCTTATTCCCTTATCATGTTACATAAAATGTATTGACTTTATATCAGTACTTAAGTACTGTTAACTTTACATTATAGTATTTAAATGATGAGATGTCAAGAGAAGAGTAAACATTACTCAAGGATTTTTACCTCCTCTTCTGGGAAAGAGATTAGTGCATTTTTAGTTGCATGCAGGGCAGTTGAATCCTGTTAGGTAGAATTATGACCTTGTTATTTTCTTTACTTGGTAATTAAGCATGGTTTAAGGAGATGCATATGGGTGCCAAGTTGACAAGGGTGGACTCATGATGGTTAATTTTATGTATCAACTTGACTAGGCTAAGCAATGCCCATATAGCTGGGAAAACATTATTTCTGGGTATGTGAGGACACATCCACAACAGATTAGCATTTGAATTGTAGACTGAGTAAAGAATAGCCATTCTCACCAATGTTAGTGGGCATCATCAAATCCATTGAGAGCCTGAATAGAATAAAAAGGTGGAGGAAGGGTGAATTTGCTCTCTGTCTGCTTGAGCTGGGACATCCATCCTCTCCTCGCCCTCAGTCATTGGCAGTCCCAGTTCTTAGGCCTTCAGACTAGGACTGGGGCTTACACCATCCATTCCCTGGTTCTCAGGCCTGCAGAGAGACTCAGACTGGGGCCTACACCATTGGCTTCTGTGGTTCTTGGACCATGGGTTTAGACTGGAACTACACCACCAGTTTTCTGGCCTCCCATTTGTAGATCACAGATTGTAGGACTTTTCAGCTTCCATAATCATGTGAGCCGGCCCTTCATGATAAATCTCCTTCCTATATAACCTATTGGTTCTGTTTCTCTGAAGAACCCTAACAAATACAGACCTCAAGGGAATTATGCTGAGTGGCAAAAGTCAATTTCAAAAGGTCAATACGATTCTGTTTATATAATATTTTCAAAATCACAGGATTATAGAGATGGAGAACAAATGAGAGTTAGGAAATGGGAGGAGAGAATGCTGGAGTGCAGGCATGGCTGTGAAGGGCGTGGCTATGCAGGCATGGCTGTGAAGGGTTAGCATGAGGCATTCTTGTGATGATGGCACAGTTCTGCATCTTGATTGTGAGTGGTAGTTACATGAGCTACACATGTGATACAATTGCATGCAATCACACACACACACAAACAGTGCATGTGTAAGTGGTGAAATCTAAGTCAGTTCTATAGATTGTACCAAGGTCAATTTCCTGGTTTTATAGTGTTCTATTTTTATACAAGATATCATTACTGGAGAAAGCAAGGGTAAGAGGTCCATGGAACACCCTCACATACTTTTTGGAATTTCTTCTGAGTCTGTAATTATTTTAAAATAAAAAGATTTAAAAACTCAGAAACTTCAGCACATTAACCATTATTAACAATCCTTTATGCTATACCTTGCAACAGAACACAACACACTGTGCATTATTGCACCTGAAGTGAAAACCCAAGCTACCCCATCACCTTCCCTTCAAAATGGATTGCACTTAAACAATCTCCTAAAGTGGCTTTCACAATTACCGACTAGTTCAATGGCCCCTGAAGAAGCTAATTCAAACATCGCCAGAACAAAAGGGCCTTGTGATTCTAACAATCCCATAGTTTTAGGACTTTTCCTTATGTTAAGTGAACTGTGAGTCACCTGCATTAATGATGAACTGATGAATAATGAATGTTCACAAACACAGATGAGTGAGCTGCTCAATGTATTAGTTGGGATAAACTAACTGTTCTAAGAACCCCAAATTCCAAGTGGCCTAACACAATGAAAGTTTATTTCTCACTATGCAAAGTTCAAAGCACATATTTCTGATTGGGTGCGTCTCCTCCCATAGTGACTCAGGGATCAGGGCTCCTTTCATGTAATATCTATTCCATCTTCAATACAAATTTGCTCTTGTATCACCCACCTACAAAGAGTGGGGAAGAGAGGGAATATATTGAATAGGACAGGATGCTTTCTGGGTCAGCCCTAGAGTGGCTACGTCATTTCCTCTGGCATTCTTCACACAACTCCACCTAGAAGCAGGTGGACTGGGAAAGGCAGTCTAGTTGAGTGGCCAGAAAGAGGAAATGAGTTTGGTGAGCATACAGCAAATCTCTGCCACGCTAACATTTCTAGGCACACTTTTCCTGAAAGTGGAAGTGTATTAGTCTGTTTTCACGCTGCTGATAAAGACATACCCGAGACTGGGTAATTTATAAGGAAAAGAGATTTAATGGACTCATAGTTCCACGTGGCTGGGGAGGCCTCACAATCATGGCAGATGGTGAAAGGCACGTCTTACATGGCGGCAGATAAGAGAATGAGAACCAAGTGAAAGGGGTTTCCCCTTACAAAACCATCAGACCTTGTGAGACTTATTCACTACCATGAGAACAGTATAGGGGAAACTGTCCCCATAATTCAATTATCTCCCACCAGGTCCCTCCTACAACACATGGGAATTATGGGAGCTACAATTCAAGGTGAGATTTGGTGGGGCACAGCCAAATGATATCTGGAAGTTAGCTGCTAAACAACTGAAGAAAAGATTAGGTAAGCAACAAGGGATTAAAGTAACTGGAGGATGGGATACAGAAGGTTCTATGTGGAAGCTTTATTTTCAGGGCCAACCAGAAAACCGTAACTGTTGACATTCAAAACGATCTTGAAATTTATAGAAGGCTGAAAATTGCTCTCACAGCTACTGTGGTGTGATCCCATATGTTTTGCCAGTTGTTTTTCTTGTTACTTACTCTAATACTGTCCTGATAATTATTCGCTGCATGTAACCATTATTCACTGTCAATTACTCAGGCCTCGATTCTCCCCTTCCATTTATTGAATGTGAAATAATTCGCCAAATAGAGCCAAAAAGGAGGAAAATTCTCCCACTAACTCTCCCCCTCACTCCAATATGAAGCTAGAGCTGAGTGAGAGCATAGAATGTCCACAGCTTCCAGAACACATACTCTTCTAATCATCTTTCCCAGCAGTACAGAAAATGGCCAGAATTTGCAAACAAGAAATTCAATTGAATTATGGGAAGAACAGACCCAGTAACATACCTTTTCCTTGGCCAAATCCCCAACTGGGCCAAATTCGGCCCCTCAATGGCACAGATGGGTTATAAAAAGACTTAGTCATCATAAGAATGATGAAGGAAACAGGATGAAGGAAACAGTCTCTTTTCCAACCCAAGATGGGAACATGGTTTATTCCATCCAATAGTGTCCCCAAATGCCCTCAATTTATCTAATGTCCTTCTAAAAAGGAAGAAAGTATCCTTGCTTATGGGTGAGAAACAAGGGTCTTACAAACAGTAGGATGCCCAGGAATTTTGCTTATTTTTTAATCTGTGTGTTACATGGCCTTTCTTGCTCACCAACTCTTTAACTGCAGGTAAGAATGCTCTCAATAGGAGTAAGATGCCACTTCATGAAATTGGAGGAATTTGTAAAAAATTACACGATGGATATGCCAAGTCTACACATACATAAGTGATCAGTCATAGCCATATCTTACTCCAAAAATGAAGGGAAGGGATGTAGTTTTTAATAATTTAGCAGAAGCAAATGGAGATTGATACTCTGGTTGAAATTGTTTTGAAAAAACAACAACACTATATTGCTCAAGAGAGCCACGAAAAATTAGATGATCAAGCTCATCATTTTAAGTCAACCGGACACAATCTTTTGTCCTCTTTTTGGTACTTTGATGACAGTCACCTAGTTGACTTTGTTACTTCTAGCATCCTATTGTAAAGAGGCTGTCAGAATCAGTTAACTTGTCATGTGACCCAGTGAACAAATGAGAGAATTTTGGCTTGGAAAATCATACAAAAATCTGTTAAAAAGATAGTCCCAGTTATGCATAAACATCAAATCTAGGGGATTCTTGTATAAAAACATAATTAGAACTCCAAATTTCTCAACTTGATTTTCCATAGTTGCAAGTATGGCATGCTTTTTGTTTTATTTTGATTGTGTGTGTGTGTGTGTGTGTGTGTGTGTGTGTGTATTCTTGGCACACTGACCTCACCCATATAAAATAAAAAAATATTAAAATATAAAAATTCACCAATATTATTTCATAAGATCACTACTCAGTATTAACTTCAATGAGTTTTTACAAGACTATACAATGGGGTTATAGATCAGAGGTCTGCAAAGTTTCTCTGTAAAGGGCCAAATAGCAAATACTTGGGGCTTTGTGAGTCAAATGATTTCTGTGGTTCTATGTAACTCTGCCATTGCAGCATGAAATCAGGCATAGACAAGTACATATACGAATGAGTATGTCTATATTCCAAGAAATTTTACTTACACGTGGCAAGTAGGATTTGACACACAGGCTGTAGTTTGCTGTCTTCTCTTATAGATTAATCTCCTATAAAAGTTACAGCTCTCTGCAGCTGTTCAGTTTTCCCCTTAGATAAAAATGTTTTTTCATTATCAAGAAACTAATGTTAATGGCAATTACTTTATGACAATTTCCTTATATAAGACACAAAAGATGTGACCTCTAATTACCTCTTTAAAGGGTCTGTCACATTTCATGCATTACCAGGGGGACTGATATTGTCATTGGCTCAATCTCCATTCAAAACCCTCTAGCATGCCTTTCAGCACTGCAGATGATGGGGCATGAACTATATTTACTAGACTCTCTTGCAGCTAGAGTTCCAGAGATAAATATGCTATTTCCTGACTGTGGTGAAGGTGGCAGTTAGCTTGGAAATCTAGGTATGTGTGGAACTGAGGGAGTTATGCTTGTAGGTTCAAGTTATAACCTGTTTATCAGGTCTTCCAATGATACTATAAACTAGATAGATTCATCAAATATCACTTTTGCCTAAACTAGGGAGACTGAATTATGTTTTCTCTATTGCTAATAACCATGACTAATAGTAGGGGTGGTTATGTTCGAAAGTTAATAGCAAGCATCTCCAAAATTATATATATATTTGCATTTTATATGTTTGTATTTTTAAAATTTTATGTATCAATTTTAGTTTATTGTCATTAAAGTATCATGTTACATGTGGTGAAATAGAAATATGTATTTTTTATATATAAATACTATTTCACCACATGTAACATGATACTTTAATGACAAAAAATTTCCAAGATATAAAAAATGCACTTTGATAATGTAGTCAAATCAAAATCAAAAAGTTATAAATTTCTAAGTTTTTTCAAAATGTATATAACTTGACATGTGCTTCCTGGAAAGGAATTTCTTTAAAGCAAGTTTACCTGCAGCAAATTTTCAGAAAATGATGTTTATCACTATGACCTCATCCCTTTTCTTATACTAAGACTCCATTACATATAATAAGATGACTACAGAGTCAGATGGTAAGGTAAAAAAAAATCTCTGAGCAACTAGATGTAGTGCGTTGTGTGGCTGAATTCTTGGTCTGATTGGTCCAGGGTCCAGTATTGTTGTTAATAAAGAAGTCTCCTATTGGGAACATGTTAAAGATTAAATAAACGGACACAGTATCATGCAAAGTAATCTTTTTTTTTTTTTTTACTTCCAATGCTAATCAAAATGGTTCCAGAGACATATGTAAGGCAATTATACTTGCCCAGTCTGATATAACATCTACCAAAAAGAAAAAATATCTACCTATTGATCCATAATTTAAATTTATCCTCTTACAAATATAGTTATATGATTTTAATGCTATATCTATATCCATCCATGATGACTTTGTGTAGAATACACTAGAACATACCAGAACCTTCTGTTTGCCTCTATCAATACCCCACTTTGCTCATGGACATGTTCCAGGCTAGGGAACATGATTCTATAACATCACTGCTGTTTTTATTTCTTTAATTAACCCAAAGCTTCACAACCCAAACATCTATTCCCAATATATCAGCCTCATCATCTTTTTTAACTCTTCCTAACAGCAAGTTTCCTATTTTCAGAAATTTCTTACCAAAATGTCAGGAAAATTATTTCAGTGGACTTTGAAATGTTTATATTTTAATTTCCTGTTTATAAAATATTAAAAATTGTGAGTATTAAGTCTGAGGAAACATGAGAAAAAATGAGATGAAGATCCTCTCTGAACCCAAGATAGATTATATAACCAACAATCGTCCAGCACTTACAAGAAGCCATTTGTTGTCTCATTTAATTCTGACACCAACTTAAATTACAGATATTATTATAATCCCCATTTGACAAATAAAGACATTGAGGCTCAGAGATGTTAAGTAACACGCTAAAGCCATACAAGTGGGAAGTGACAGAGCCAGGACTCAACCCCAGGTCTGTCTGCTCCAGTCACTGCCCTCAATTACCATGTCAGGGTCGCCTAAATGCCAGGCAGTGACAATGTTTTTGGCAGTCAGCAGTGTCAGTAAAAAAAATGTATTCAATTTCTTGAAATTGGGAGATTGCATGCTTCTTACTTATTTTGATTTTAAATCACCCTTCCTTTTATTAAATAGTAGTTTACTACATAATTAGTAGTAGCGATTCTCTGACATTACAGTCCATTGTGGAACAGGTAGGTAGTTCTCCTAGGGAGATAACCTCCAAGTAGTGACTCAGGAATCCAGGCAACATCTATTGTGAAGATCCACCACCTTGGAGTTATTCACTTCAACCAGAGGCACGAGGGAAGGGAGAAAGAGTGAAGAAAAAACTCTGGTTCTAATTGCCTTGGTCTGAAATTGAGCCAAGTCATATCTGTTTATATTCCATTGGCCATAACTCAATTGCATGGCCCTATCTAAATAGAAAAAAAGACTGGCAAATATAGTCTTCCTGTGTACCCCAAAAGGAGAGGAGAACCTAACATTGGTGAACACTAGCAATGACTACAAGAGTTCCGTATCAATGATCAATGTCCTTACATAGCAAAATTAGCTGCTGACAACTCTATTTTGAAATATTATTATTATTCATTTACCTTACTGGTGCATAAATCCAAAACTCTCTACTGAATCCTAATCAATATGGTACATGGAAGAAAAAAAAAGTTCAGATTAATTAATTTTAAAATAACTAGGCTGTGGCAAATTAGGGGGGCAAATAATTGGACTGAAACTGAGCAAAATAAGTTTTTATATCAACATTGTTTAAAAGACAGACTGTTACTGATATCTACTAATACTTCTTTCTCATCATGCATTCTGTACAACATAGTCCCCAGTGTATCTCAGATCCTATGTAAAGAACAATATGCAGTATTTAAGAGTGATTTGATGATTAATAGGTTATCACCATTAATAAGTAAATATATAAATCTCCTCCGTTTATAATAAAACATATCCAGTAGAAACTTCAATCCAAAACTCAAAAAACATATTTTTTTAGAACCTATATATTCAATTTACGGAATTAAAAGAATTAATATAATTATTTTCTTAGAAGAGGTAATTCAATGTCCTCTTAAGAATATCTTATATATATATTGTGTAGTCGCCACACTGATTCAAGGTGGTTCACAAGACAAGGAGTAGGAAGGAAACAACAAAATGTTCACAATCTTGAAGGAAAACATTGGCACACACCTGTAGTCCCAGCTACTCAGGAGGCTGAGGTGGGAGGATTGCACTGATGCCCTAGAGGTTGAGGGTGTAGTGAGCCATGATTGCACCACTGCACTCCCACCTGGGTGACAGAGCAAGACCCTGTTAAAAAAGAAAAAAAGGAAAGGAGAGGAGAGGAAAGGAAAGGAAAGGAAAGGAGAGGAGAGGAGGAAAGAGAAAAAGAAGAAAGAAAGAGAGAAAGACAGAAAGAAAGAAAGAAAGAGAGAAAGAGAAAGAAAGAGGAAAAGAGGAGGAGAAGAAGAAGGAGAAGGCGAAGAAGGAGGAGAAAAGAAGAGGAGGAGGAGGAGGGAGGGGGAGAAGGAGGGGGAGAAGGAGAAGGAGGAAGAGAGGAAGGGAAAAAGGGAGGAAATCCAAATATCTAAAATGACAATGGTATTTCCAAAGCATCATCCAAAGTTTCAGCTTTTGGATTGACTGCCAGTTTCTCAATTTTAACAGTGAGTTCTGGAGGAAATTTTAAAATATTTTAAGTGACTGATGAATAAAAAGTGGGAAAGACACCATGGCTTCTTGCTGCATGGATATAAACACTAATGTTTGATGTTTCTCATATCTGATGCTGTGGAGTTGCCCTCTGGTCACCCTCCACTTAAGTTCAGAACAAAAGTAGGCCAAGAGGTAAATCATTGAATATTTTAAATAATCTTCCAGAGAGAGTATTTGTTCAACTGGAAAACTCTGAGGGCTGAGAACTTTGAGAGTAATCTGCAAATCCACTAAACTCATCTGGTTTTGATTCCCTCATACATCTGAGTTATCATAAGAGTCTGAGATGATGTCATGTGTGCCCAAAGTGATTTTTCAAACAATTACCTTTAAGGCTTGATTTGTTAGCATTCAGCAACCTTTACACATTGGCAAAGTAAAATCACTACTGAAAGGTTCAGATAAACTTCCAAGAATTTTAAACAGATCTCCTTGGGGGCAAAAATCCTCTAATTTCTAGCTTACATCTACATATTTTTTAAATAGCTCAATAAATAAAGACCCCCATCTGAAACTTTTTAATTGCTGAGCTCCTTATTAATCCTAACTGATGTCCCATAAATCACATATAATGGGACCTTTTAGATAAGGTACTAATAAGATCCTCTAAGCTCCACAGTTCAATTTGCCAATGAACTATGTGGAACATGGGTCTCTCATCAGCACCTCAAATTCAACAAAACCAAAACTGCATTTGTTGTTTCCATAAAACTCACTTTCTGCACAGTTGTAACTCCATTCACTCAAGCCACTCAAGGTCAGAACGTTGAAGTCATCTTGGACATTTTTTTCTCTTCTTTCACCACACCTGAAGAGTTGCCAATTCCATTAGTTATTTCTTTGAAATAGCTCGTGAATTTGCCTCTTTATTTCCAGGCTACTGTCATTACTTCAGCTCAGGTATTTATGACTTCAAGTCTAGACCACCAAAAGAACTTTCTTACTGGTTTGTCAATCACTTTTTTCCCATCTATCTATGGACAGATTCTGTTCTTATCTGCCACTCACCTATTTTATAAATCTTTTCTTGGGTTCATATTCCCATTCCCAAACTTAATCTCACCTAAAGACTCTCTAAGAGTCTCTGGGGCTAACATCTTTATAGCACTATTTCCACCCTACCTCTGTGCACACCCTGACATAAAATCCAGCCAAAGTACACTGCTGGTTTCCCAAACACAGCTTGCAAGGTGTCCCTCCCCAGCTTTGCTCCTGCCTCTCCTGCTCACCTGGTGTGTCCTTCTCCCCATCTCCTCTCCTCCATCTGCTACCACTTAACAAACCTGGATCCTTAGAAGTTCAGCTAACCCTGTGACATTTTAATGGAAGTTATGTCTCCCTTCCTTTACCTACTATCATTTTTTGTTTGTTGCCCTCCATATACATTGATCTTATGTTGCCTTATATTCTTTCAAATATCTTTATTCCTCACTAGGTCTTAAATCCCCAATTCCTATTCATCCTTTTATCTTCCACAGCTCTTCTCGCTGTATCTAAGAGCTCCCTTCTTTGCTGAGCAAATGCCTACTTATCCTCCAAGACCTGTCTCATCTATTACGTCCTTAGAGATGCCTTTTGTGACTTTCCAAGGAGTTACTTCATGCATAGTTTTCATGCCTCATTTCTGGCTCTGATTCCCAACATTATAATTTTTTGCTGACATATTATTTACCCTACTGGAAAATAAAAATGATCATGTCTTATTCAGTCTTTTTGATTTGTGTATTATCTCAAGCCCACTACAGGACCTGTGTGATATATAGTGCCCAGGAACTGTAGTAAGCTTGCCTACATTAAGATAAATTTTTACAAGGTGGCCCCATTAACCTGGTTTTACCATCAATGGTCTAATAGATAGGATCCACCTGGAATTATTAATTATAGTAAAAAATTAGCCACAACTTGAATATTCCAATTTGTGGATGGTTAAGCCAGCTATACCATCTCCACATGATACACTGTTATGCAGCCATTAAAATTATGTTTATAAAACACTAAACTACACAGAAATTTAGATGCTGTATTATTCAGTCAACAAATATTTACCATTGGCATAAAAATTAAAATGTAAAATACAGATATATATATATGATGACCATACTTATACAAAATAAATGAACAGACATAAGAACCATTGCCAAGAGAAAAAATAAAATACCCCCCAACTCTTAATAATGGAGTATAGGTAGTAGAAAAGTCTTTTCCCCTTCTTCTACTCTTCTTTTTTTCAATGTCTTCTACAATTAATATGTATTTTTTTATAACCTAAACAACCCAATATATTTTTAAAGCCTATATCAACTATCATTCCCAGATCAGTTTTTACGGTAAATTTTTGTATTTCAGATTTTGATTTTGATTAAATTTTTATATTTCAGCTTTTTGTATGAATGTTTGTCCTATATTCCCTTTACTTCTACCCTCCTGTTAATAGCAAAGTTGTCTGTACTTTAGGTCTGTGAGCTCAGTCAGCATTACTCAAAATGAATTAACAGCTGCTCTGTCAGAGAAAAGGATATTTGTCAGAGGGCAAGCGATGAGGCCAGCAAACTCTGCTGTGAGCTGCCTTCCGCCTCTGTAGGACTAGCCCAAGATTCACCAATGAGGTAGAAAATACCACTCTTCCCTTAGAGTAACATTCTTTTTAACATCTTTTGGACCAAAAGGAAAAAAAAAATCTGTTTCTTTCCCTCTCTCCCTGTTATTCTGCCCCACTTTCTTCTTTCTCCTACTCTCTTTTCCAAAAATAAACTGCAAAGCACTTAAGAGTTTTTTAGAGTTAGGCATAAGGTATAAATGGCCACTCTTTTGTTTTCCAGATTAATGTGAAAGTTTTTACTGTTTGCCTTCCAAATTTTTCCTGTGGGTATGTTTTCCCATTTGAGATGCCTGTGAGAGCACATCAAACCATTCCAACAAGGCCATTTCTTCACTGGGATTCACAGCAGAGTAATTTAATTTTGTGATTACAAAATTATTTTTCTTAGGGCAATGAGTATCTGCTTTTTCTTTTCCCTGGTTTTCTTCTGCTTCTCCTTCTTGCCATATATGTTAGTGGCTTGGGGTTGTATCACTTGCTGCTCTTCAAGCACAAAGGTGATGATACAGACTTTTGCTGAAATTATTTTTTAATGCAATCAATCTCAGACTTGTGATTATGACATACCTGCTTCCTTGCCTCTCCTTTCCTATTAAAAGTGAGTTCCCAAACATGCGTCTGCAATGCCCTGATGATTTGACCAATGAACCAACAGATTGATGTAAAGTCAATGAAATCCATGACAATTTATTTTTTGAATGATAGGCTAGGCAGTTAGATGATAAACTTAATTGTGAAAAGGGAAAATATGTTATTGTGTGGAACATTATCAGACACTGCAAATCCACTTGTCTCTGAGCCAAGAAAGTATTGCAGCAAAGATACTCTCATTCTTTAAATCTTTTAGAAAAGGTAGAGTAAGGAGAACATTTTCTACTCCAGTAAAGGATGGCTTTGGGAAAGGACTGGTTAGCATGATATCAAAATTCAGGAAAATTCTAATCACTGATGGAGAATGAGCAACACATTTTCCCAACGTTTGTTGAAATTATTAAATAAGAAAGTTGCAATTCAAAGTAGGTGTTTACTAGAAAATGGGCAGCAAGGGATCAAAGAGGATGAGGAGATGTTGTCATGGAAACAGCCCTTTCCTAACATTTGCCTTTCAAGGACTTTTGAGGCTTTCATGTACATTGAATTTTTAATAATTTTCTAGATAAGTGACCCTACTTATGAACACTGTTCATAATTGAAGAGAGTGCTGTGTAGAATTTGGATTTCAATAACTGTAATTAGAACTCTCAGTAATTTTCTTTGAAATAGAATTTTTGCTTCAACACTACTTAGGGATTGAGGAAAAAGGCAAATCTTTGAAGAAGACAGTTTATCAGCCATACCTTCATTTCAGAGAACAATAGCAAAGGGAGATGAGGAGGGCCGTGGAAACAATATGGAACTCTGAAGATTTTTATGGCAATTCCAAGAGATTCTCAGGCCCCATGAATGAGCAGGCAGAAAGAAATGTTTCTCACCTTATTTCACAGTGAGAGTCATCCTTTTATGTTCCAAGGGGAATGGTTAGGTATGTTCTCACAGGCATCTCAGATAGGAAGATGTACCCACAGGAAAAATTTGGAACACGGTGAAAACTTTCGCATTAGTCTAGAAAACCCAAGAATGGCCATTTGGAGGCAAACTCCATTTGGAGGCAGCTAATTAAAGTTTCTCTCTGTCCAATAGGAGGAGTCCACCATATGGAGATTAGAGCATTGGTCTCCAGGTCCAGCCTATGTAGGGCCTGCTCCATCCCCATCTGCAGCTGAGGCCTGCCAGCTCATTGCCTTGGTATCCTTCGGGCCCCGTCTTCATGGCCATTCTTACCTAATGTACAGATGCTTAGTTTTCTTCTGCACATGCTGTCACCTCCAACTTGTGGTGAACATGCTCAGTTTACAGAAGAGGCAGTTGATTGTGTTATTTACAAATATGAACTCTGAAGCCACACTCCCTGGGTTCAAATCCTGACTCTACCTGTTACTAACTGACTTGGAGAAGTCACTTAACCACTTTGTGCTTTAGTTTCCTCATCTGTAAAATGGGAATAACAGCAACTTCTTCAAAGGGCTGTTGTGAAGAGGAAATGTGAATAAATATAAAGTCATTTGTATATTTAATTATTTGTCATTGATATTTTTCCAGTATCTTCTCAGAAATTATTTGGAGTTCACAAAAGTGTTCTGACACATATTTATATATTCTGACTAACATAAATAACTTTATCCTTTATAACTTTCACATACAATAAGCCACTTCTTAAACACTGTTTTCATAATACAGCTGAAGTAGAATTGACATGGTTAGAAAGTGTTGTGGATCACATAGGGAAAAGTGCAGGATTTCACCCCAAATCATCTTTTCCATAAATAAAGCCTAAGCTTGTACACAGAGAAGTGAAAAAGGCACTGCGGCAGAAGTGGAAAAGCACAGCTGAGATGCCCATTCAGGAAAAGACTTGCCCTGCCGCTTGGAGGGGCCTGGTGAGCTGACAGCCTCCAAGTGTCACCTCTGTCAGTGTTTGCTTCAGTGTTCAGTCCAGGCCATGCTCTTCTCGGGTGACCCTCAGAAAACGACTGTGTAAGAAAGTGATACAGGGCTCAGTACAAGGGCCCAGCATGGGTCTAATGGGCCTCTGGGCTCCAGAGCTTCCCTGGGAGGTGGGAGAGTCAGGTCTGCAGCAGGTGCGATGGCTTCCTCCATGGAGCACTGCTTCCGCCCTTCACAGGTGTGACAGCCCATAAGCCTTCTGCACTCATGACTCTGTCCCAGCACCTGCTTCACTGAAAACCCAGACTAGCACCACACATTGTTCAACCTCTATATTAGACTGCATTATAGGACACCTCAACTAGTCTAGCCCATGTGGAAAAATCCCCCAGAAGGAAATTTCCAGCATTTCATTTTTTAACACCTAAAATTTGCTCTGATTAAGAAAAGAATTGTGTTTGTTACAGGAAATTCAAACATAAGAGAAAATCATAATGTAGAAAGCGAATATCTCCTGTGGTCCCAAATCTCTTAACCATTAGGTGCATAGCCCTCTAGGTTTTCTGTGCTTCCATATGCTTACATGTCTGGTTGTTATTACTTTGCAAAACAGCATCAGACTACAAACAGTTCTGATTTACAATGGTTCAACTTCTGAATTTTTTACTTCAACGGTGTGAAAGTGATATGCACTCAGTATGCTCTTTATCTGCTTGACTTCCATCCAGATGCACTTTTGGCTTACAATATTTTCAAATTATGATGGGTTTATTGGGACATAACATGATGGTAAGCCAAGGAGCGTCTGTGTAGCCTTTCACAATTTGTGTTGGTTGGGGGCTGGGGAGGGATAGCATTAGAAGAAATACCTAACGTAGATGACGGGTTGATGGGTGCAGCAAACCACCATGGCACGTGTATATCTATGCAAGAAACCTGCACGTTCTGCACATGTATCCCACAACTTAAAGTATAAAAAAAAAAATACACACTAGATATTATTATCTATGTCCACACAGGTAGATATACTTCATTTAATTACCATTTACATAGAGTTTCATTCTATAAAAATTCCATAAACATTTCCACACAAATGGGCATTTGTATTCCCAGTTTTCCATGATCACAACAGAACTCTTAACACTGTTTAGCTTTACATAATTAAAGGTTTGTGAAAGTGTATTATTTGAGTTTCATTTTAAATTATTTGCATCATCTATTTTGGTATTTTGGGGAAAGGGTTATAAAACGGGATTCCAGGGACTGAACCTAGAATTTTGTACCTTAGGTCGTAAGGGTTTGAGTCATTTTCTGCTAAGTAGGGCTTTGCCTAAAGTGTCAAGCCAAAGTGTGCTCTATTCACCCTCTTTCCCTTATTTACCTTGTGATCCTATGTGCAAGTCAACTGCAGACTGAGGAGGACAAGTTTCAGTGCAGGGGGTGGGCGGTGATGGCTGCTAACTCGTAGGACCGACCCAGTCACTGGCCACATCAATGGCACCTCCCTAATAGATCTTGTGGTCTCTGTTTTTACAAAGGTCTCCTATAAACACAGAGAGTGTATGCAGTAATATTCTAGATTCTATGGAGGATGTAAGATGTTCAAATATAGCCTAACCTCTTTTTCTATTATAGAAAGGTAAGCTTTTGTTGTCTTTAAGAACTTCTGTTGTACAGGAACCTCCTTTTATCAAACTTTTAAAAAATAAAACAACGACAAAAAGGTAAGGACATAAAAGCTATAAGCTTCAGCCAATGTTTGCATCATCACCAACTGAGTTTGTTTGGCCAGTGGATCAAATGTTTTTGCCAAGGTGAATTCGCCCTGTCAGATATCCCCTGGTCTTAGAGACAGCTTAAGAGCTCCTGTACAATTCCTGTCAGGGCTACTGTAGCAAAAATGTTCTTGGCTTGCCAATGTTGTCAATGTTGTCTGCATTTGTTTGGCTAAAGGGCCCAGAGAGACCCTAGGAGGCAGCAGGAGAGGGCTCTCAGGCAAGGTTGAAGGGTTAAGAAAGCAAAACAGTGCACAAATACCAATAAATGGAGACCAGGAATTGGATAGACTGTACCCATCAGTGACTTATAGATCGCCTCATTTTCTTTAAAAACCTCTTTGGAAATAGTAGGAAGCATTAAAAGTACTTTTTTTTCAGTTTCTCATTTTCTTTTTTTATTATACTTTAAGTTCTAGGGTACATGTGCACAATGTGCAGGTTTGTTACATATGTATACATGTGCCATGCTGGTGTGCTGCACCCGTTAACTCGTCATTTACATTAGGTATATCTCCTAATGCTATCCCTCCCCGCTCCCCCCATCCCACCACAGGCCCCGGTGTGTGATGTTCCCCTTCCTGTGTCCAAGTGTTCTCATTGTTCAATTTCCACCTATGACTGAGAACATGCAGTGTTTGGTTTTCTGTCCTTGCGATAGTTTGCTCAGAATGATGGTTTCCAGCTTCATCCACGTCCCTACAAAGGACATGAGCTCATCCTTTTTTATGGCTGCATAGTATTCCACGGTGTATATGTGCCACATTTTCTTAATCAGTCTATCATTGATGGACATTTGGGTTGGTTCCAAGTCTTTGCTATTGTGAATAGTGCTGCAATAAACATACGTGTGCATGTGTCTTTATAGCAGCATGATTTATAGTCCTTTGGGCATATACCCAGTAATGGGATGGCTGGGTCAAATGGTATTTCTAGTTTTAGATCCTTGAGGAATCACCACACTGTCTTCCACAATGGTTGAACTAGTTTACAGTCCCACCAACAGTGTAAAAGCATTCCTACTTCTCCACATCCTATCCAGCACCTGTTGTTTCCTGACTTTTTAATGATCACCATTCTAACTGGTGTGAGATGGTATCTCATTGTGGTTTTCATTTGCATTTCTCTGATGGCCAGTGATGATGAGCATTTTTTCATGTGTCTGTTGGCTGCATAAATGTCTTCTTTTGAGAAGCGCCTTCTCATATCCTTCGCCCACTTTTTGATGGGGTTGTTTTTTTCTTGTAAATTTGTTGGAGTTCTTTGTAGATTCTGGATATTAGCCTTTTGTCAGATGAGTAGATTGCAAAAATTTTCTCCCATCCTGTAGGTTGCCTATTCACTCTGATGGTAGTTTCTCTTGCTGTGCAGAAGCTCTTTAGTTTAATTAGATCCCATTTGTCAATTTTGGCTTTTGTTGCTATTGCTTTTGGTGTTTTAGACATGAAGTCCTTGCCCATGCCTATGTCCTGAATGGTATTGCCTAGGTTTTCTTCTAGGGTTTTTATGGTTTTAGGTTTAACATTTAAGTCTTTAATCCATCTTGAATTAATTTTTGTATAAGGTGTAAGGAAGGGATCCAGTTTCAACTTTCTACATGTGGCTAGCCATTAAATAGGCTATTTAAACAGCCTATTTAAATAGCACCATCAAATAGGGAGTCCTTTCCCCATTTCTTGTTTTTGTCAGGTTTGTTGTCAAAGATCAGATGGTTGTAGATGTGTGGTATTATTTCTGAGGGCTCTGTTCTGTTCCATTGGTCTATATCTCTGTTTTGGTACCAGTACCATGCTGTTTTGGTTACTGTAGCCTTGTAGTATAGTTTGAAGTCAGGTGGCGTGATGCCTCCAGCTTTGTTCTTTTGGCTTAGGATTGTCTTAGCAATGTGGGCTCTTTTTTGGTTCCATATGAACTTTAAAGTAGTTTTATCCAATTCTGTGAAGAAAGTCATTGGTAGCTTGATGGGGATGGCATTGAATCTATAAATTACCTTGGGCAGTATGGCCATTTTCATGATATTGATTCTTCCTATCCATGAGTATGGAATGTTCTTCCATTTGTTTGTGTCCTCTTTTATTTCCTTGAGCAGTGGTTTGTAGTTCTCCTTGAAGAGATCCTTCATATCCCTTGTAAGTTGGATTCCTAGGTCTTTTATTCTCTTTGAAGCAATTGTGAACGGGAGGTCACTCATGATTTGGCTCTCTGTTTGTGATTTTTGCACATTGATTTTCTATACTGAGACTTTGCTGAACTTGCTTCTCAGCTTAAGGAGATTTTGGGCTGAGACGATGGAGTTTTCTAAATATACAATCATGTCATCTGCAAACAGGGACAATTTGACTTCCTCTTTTCCTAATTGAATACCCTTTATTTCTTTCTCCTGCCTGATTGCCCTGGCCAGAACTTCCAACACTATGCTGAATAGGAGTGGTGAGAGAGGGCATCCCTGTCTTGTGCCCGTTTTCAAAGGGAATGCTTCCAGTTTTTGCCCATTCAGTATGATATTGGCTGTGGGTTTGTCATAAATAGCTCTTATTATTTTGAGATATGTTCCATCAATACCGAATTTATTGAGAGTTTTTAGGATGAAGGGCTGTTGAATTTTGTCAAAGGCCTTTTCTGCATCTATTGAGATAATCATGTGGTTTTTGTCTTTGGTTCTGTTTATATGCTGGATTATGTTTATTGATTTGCATATGTTGAACCAGCCTTGCATCCCAGGGATGAAGCCCACTTGATCATGGTGGATAAGCTTTCTGATACACTGCTGGATTCAGTTTGCCAGTATCTTACTGAGGATTTTTGCATCAATGTTCATCAGGGATATTGGTCTAAAATTCCCTCTTTTTGTTGTGTCTCTGCCAGCCTTTGGTATCAGGATGATGCTGGCCTCATAAAATGAGTTAGGGAGGATTCCATCTTTTTCTGTTGATTGGAATAGTTTTAGAAGGAATGGTACCAGCTTCTCCTTGTACCTCTGGTAGAATCTGGCTGTGAATCTGTCTGGTCCTGGGCTTTTTTTGGTTGGTAGGCTATTAATTATTGCCTCAATTTCAGAGCCTGTTATTGGTCTATTCAAGGATTCAACTTCTTCCTGGTTTAGTCTTCGGTGGGTGTATGTGTCTAGAAATTTAACATTTCTTCTAGATTTTCTAGTTTATTTGCATAGAGGTGTTTATAGTATTCTCTGATGGTAGTTTGTATTTTTGTGGGATTGATGGTGATATCCTCTTTATCATTTTTTATTGCGTCTATTTGATTCTTCTCTCTTTTTAGTCTTGCTAGCAGTCTATCAATTTTGTTGATCTTTTCAAAAAACCAGCTCCTGGATTCATTGATTTTTTGAAGGGTTTTTGTGTCTCTATCTCCTTCACTTCTGCTCTGATCTTACTTATTTCTTGCCTTCTGCTAGCTTTTGAATGTGTTTGCTCTTGCTTCTCTAGTTCTTTTAATTGTGATGTTAGGGCATCAATTTTAGATCTTTCCTGCTTTCTCTTGTGGGCATTTAGTGCTATAAATTTCCCTCTACACACTGCTTTAAATGTGTCCCAGAGATTCTGGTATGTTGCGTCTTTGTTCTCATTGGTTTCAAAGAACATCTTTATTTCTGCCTTCATTTCGTTATGTACCCAGTAGTCATTCAGGAGCAGGTTGTTCAGTTTCCATGTAGTTGAGCGGTTTTGAGTGAGTTTCTTAATCCTGAGTTCTAGAGTAGTGGTTTGCCTAGCACGGAGTTTGAGAAAAGTACGCTTTTTTAAAAAAGTAAACCAGTATTTTTTCTTTTCGTTTTTTTTTCTTTCCTAATTGACCCAGAAAAGCCAGTTATTTACTTCCTAAATTTTTCAATTTATGTATTTACAAAGTCAAACAGTTGAGATATAGACAAGGTGAAAAGCTACACCTAACAAGGTGGTTCTCAGACTTTACCATATCAAGACTCACCCAAGAATCTCACCAACATGGCAGACTCTTTGGTCCCCATGCCAGAATTCTGATTCAGTGCATCTAGGACAGAGTTCAGGAATCTGCATTTTAATAATTCCAAGTGATTCTCATAGGAGGGATAGAGAGAATACACCTTGAAAAAGCTTGCAGGCTTGAAGCCTGCAAAACTCCTTTTTCTATCCCTAGTTTGTTAGTGAGTTTCAACACAGCTTTGGGCCAAGTCACATCCACTGTGTCCCAATTTCCGTCTATAAAGTGGGGCTGATCATATTTGCCACCTACCTCATTAGCATCACATGTAGATCATGAGATAATTCCTGCAAAGTTGTTTAACTTCCTCAGTAGAAAGGTGCTATATTTCAAGTATTATCAAGTATTTGTTTCAAGTATTGCAGTGACACTGTTTTTCAGGGGCCCATAAAAAGTGGTACCATTGTTGGAAAATGTGTTTTTTCAGCAACTACACTATAGGTGCATGCATATTAAACAACTTGCATACTAAAGGAGAATGGGTTTGTGCCTCAACTTTGACTTGAATCTCACTGGCAGCATGACCAATGTCATTTTTCAACTACAGAACACATTTTAACATTCTATGGTCTATCAGTCATGGTTCTAACAGAGAAACGGAACCAGTAGGAGATATGTTTATACCTATATATATACAAATACATACATATATGTATACACATACGTGTGTGTGTGTGTGTGTGTGTATACAGTCATGTGTCACTTAACAATAGGGATACATTCTAAGAAATGCATCATTAGGCAGTTTTGTCACTATGCAAACATCACTGAGTGTACTTACACAAACCTAGATGGTATAGCCTACTACACATCTAGGCTATAGGGTATACCCTGTTTCTCTCAACATGTTACTCTACTGTATACAGTAGACAACTATAACACAATGGTATTTGTGTATCCAAACATGTCTAAACATAGAAAAGGTATGGTAAAAAAATACAGTATTCTAATCTTATGGGACCACCGTCATAGATGTCAACTGAAACCTCAGTATGTGCCACGTTACTGTGTATTTGGAGGAAGGAGGGTGGGTTTGTGCAGTTCGTGGATCTGCAGGGCAGCTTGGCAGGCTGGAAACTCTTGGGCAGGAGCTGACTCTGTGGTCCAAAGGTGGAATTTCTTCTCCCTCAGAGAAACCATGTTTTTTTCCACTAAGCTATTCAACTTGTGGATGAGGCCCATCCACACTCAAGAACAATCTCTTACTTAAGTTCACTGATTGTGGACGCTAACCACTACATAACGCCTTCACAGGAAGACCTAGATTCCTGTTTGGTTGAACAACTTTGTGCTATAGTCTATCTAAATTGACACATAAAACTAACCATCTCTTGTGATGAAATTAAAAGCAACAAAAAAATTAGGAATAAACAAAAACTAACCATCACCCATGGCTTCCTATGTTTTTTGATGCTTGCCAAGTTAACCTATTTATGAGTTAGAAACAAAGATCTATCCAGATAATTTAATAATTGCATAGGTGAAGCAAAAACTGATATTAATTTCATTATTTTATCACTGTGTAGTTTGATAGGGCAAATAGGCTAATAATTAGATTTTTCATGGGCCTGAAATATTCTTATGTTTATGTTGTAGGCACAAGGATACCTAGAAACATGTCCTTTCTTTGTAAGATTTAGATATTTTATAAGAAAATACATGAAAGTACTGAGCCCGGAGGAAACACTTGTTGTTTTGTGTGTCCTTAATATCCCTTCTTCTGGTAACACTACCTAAATTTACCCTATATTTGGTTAATCTCTCCTTCCAGCAGGGAGGCCTGGCCAATCAGAACAAGTGTGTCCCACTCCCTACAGGAATTTGGTCAGGATGGACAGATGACTCAGTCTGGGAATTCTTGCTGGAACCAGCAGAAAAGGGATGCTTTTAGCTGTGGTTGCAAAGGTGGTAGAAAAACTCCTGGCATTGTTAGTGACTATCTTGCTGCAACAAGAGGAGGACCTGCCTAAGAAGGAAGAGCTGAGATTGAGAGACAGATTCTGAAGACATGGGTTTAGTGACTGAAAACAGCCATTGTGAAGCCATGTGGATTTTTGGCTCCTTAACCAATTATTCCCTCTCTATGCTTAAACCAATTTGAGTTGTGTCCCTGTAACTTGGCACTCAAAATTTCTGACTACAGTAGGTACCAGTTCTCCATGTTTGCATTTAGGAGAGTATTCACAATGAGTTTGCTCTGCAGGTAATTAAAAAGAGAAGCATTTCTTCTGCCCCCCACCCTCGGCCTCATTGTTCCTGCCAGTATCATGATGTTCCCAGGAGTGCAGTTCCCAAGGTGGGGCAGCCAAGGTCATCCCAGTTTTTCCTGCTCAGAAAAGTGGAGGCCTCTCTCAGAGGTCACAATCCCTCTACCAGCTGGCGTCGTCTCTCACAGGCAGTCACTTCCACAAGAGACTCAAGGAAAGGGGGCGGGTCCATGTAGAAGGGACAACAATTGCCACAACTTAGATCAATCTCTGTGAACATCTAGACCTGCACCAGCTACCCCTAAGGTGACGTCAGAAGACAGGGAAAGGGGAAGGCAGTAAGAATGGGAAGAAGAGGACGAAAGGGAAATGAGGATGAAAATAAACTTTTAATAAGTTCCTACTATGTGCCAGGCACTGTGACAAATTCTTATCACATAGGTTATCTCATTGGATCCTCACCGCGTTCTATAAAGTTCTGTAAAGTATTTCCATGAGGCACTTGTTATCATCTTCATTTTAACCCATAAGAAAATAGTCCTACAGAGATGAGTAACTTATGCAAAGTCACACACTTAGAGTGTCACTGGCAGAGCTGAAATTTAGACCGGATTGCCTGATTCTAACACCTCTGTGTGTGTGTGTCCCTTTCTTTGAAAATATCCTTATGAGAAACCCCAAAATATAGAAAAGACAAAAGAGCCATGGCCACCTGCTTACCCATTCCTTCCCAACTCCTTGGAAGACCCTACCACTTACCCTGGGAAATGCAGAACTTCAAGAGCACACTTTGGTAGAAAAACACAGACAGGAATGGTAGAAAAACACAGACAGGAATGGTGGAAAAACATCTTCATGATTAGGATTCAGCTCAGACATCAGGTTTTCTTCTGTGATGGAAGGGGGTAAGAAAAATTAGATAAATAATTTTTTTTAAAAAAAAAGGAGCTCCCATATCCCTTGTAGTTCCAGTACCTACATAGAACAAGATATGTTGCAGGTACTTAAATAGATATTTGGTGAGTGAATAAATAAATGAATAACAACGAGTAATTAACTTGACTAGTTATAATAAAGGGGGAAAGTTTGGCTTCCTGATTTTATTTCTCCTTGCAATAATAATTTTCCTCCAAATTCTACATTGGATTATTTCTGTAAAGCTGGGACTTTAGTGAGAGTTTGCTGGAAGACTGCCTGATAAGATATGGTAGGCACATTATCTACCACTTCATCTCTGGTCTTCATATCAGAAGCAAGGATTCGGAAGGCTTTTAAGATCACTGGGGGAATACAATGTGGGAGTGGAATGAAATGTTGAATAAAAAGCAAGGTAAGGATGTAATGTACTTTCTTACAATTCTAATGATGACATCTATCAACCTGTTAAAGTTTTTGGATGCCATTCTAGTTTGCACAATTCAAAGAAAAATGTTTCAGAGTGGCATTCCATGAGTTTGAATGCCACAACAGGCCTAAAACCATCATTTTTTGAGTTCCTCGCATGGGCCAACCACTGAAGTAGACAGTTTCTGTTTCTGGCATCCACTTACATTTACCTCCATAAAGGTAGGCATCTGAATTCTGCATCAAGAGAAAAACACTCTCCCCATTCTTAACTTTCTCCTCTTCAGGCAATATTGCCTCCACTCCTGACTCCAGGACATGACTTATGCCTGTCACAGTGAAAGCGTATGACAGGCATTTTATATACTCTCTCTTGCTTAACATCCTAACAACCCTGTAGGAAAAGAATTATTATTGCAATTTTACGAATAAGAAAACCAAGGCTTGGAAAGGTTAAATTACTTGTCCAAAGCCACACAGATGGTGTCAACGCTAATTTTAGAGAATGAGGATAACTCTTATTAACCTTGACTATTCAAAATGTATGCACAAGTTGCTGTCAATAACTATTAAAAAGAATGAGCTGTCCGATATCTGAGGATGGATAACATGACACTTTTAGGTTTCCTCGACATCGTGTGTGTGTGTGTGTGTGTGTGTGTCTGTGTGTGTGTGTGTGTGCATTAGTTCGTTTTCAGGCTGCTGATTGATAAAAACATACCCAAGACTGGGTAATTTATAAAGAAAAGAGGTTTAATGGACCTACAGTTCCACGTGGCTGGGGAGGCTTCACAATCATGGCAGAAGGTGAAAGGCACGTCTTACATTGGCAATAAGCAAGAAAGACAATGAGAAACAAGCAGAATGGGTTTCCCCTTATAAAAGCATCAGATTTTGTAAGACTTATTCACTACCATGAGAATGATATGGGGGAAGCCGCCCCCATGACTCAATTATCTCCCACCAAGTCCTTTCCACAACACGCGGGAATTATGGGAGCTATAATTCAAGATGAGATTTGGGTGGGGACACAGCCAAACCATATCAGTGTGTGTGTGTGTTCAATCAATGTCAACAGATGGTCTCATGTACTGGTTAAGAGCTTGGACTTTGGAACCCACTCCCTGGTTCAAATCCCATCTCTATCTTATACTAACTATACGTAACCTAACCTTGTAACTGTGGACAAATTAATAACCATGCCTTAGTTTCCTCATCTGAAAATCAGAATGAGGATAGTGATGGAATTTGCCTTGTGGAACTATTGGATCAGCTGTGCTAACATCAGTAAAGTGCTTAGAACGTATCCAGCATCTGGTCAGTGCTACCATTGCTACTAATGTATGTAATGTTCCCCATATATCCAAAACCTAAAGACATGTATTACTTTGATGCCCTGTTTGTTTGTACTGCCCCAAAAGACATAATGAAGCAGATAATTGCCAATCATTTCCCTCCAGGCACAATTCTTCAATAAAGTCCTTGTCCTTGCTCAAGCTGGGAAACCATTTCAAGACTCACAGTGTATTGTCATTATTCAAACATTAGAAATATTTTTCCAAGTGCAGCATCAGCTTCTAAGCAGGAGTTGTTCGGGAGCCAAGTCACGGGATACCATCACATCCATGTGAAGGAAGTGGCTTCATCCAGGCCCACAGGGATCATGATAAGATCCTTCACTATCAGCAAGAATAATTGCAAAGACTTCACTGTAACTGCCATCTCACTGCATTGTGCAATTTTTAAAATTCCATTCACTCTTAAATGTTCCCTTAGTTTCTATCCAGGGTTCACTTAGCAGAACTGGCTTGTCAAGAGGAGAGGCCTCTTTGTTTTCCAAAAGCAAGTGTACTTCTGTCCCAGAGCATCCATCTTGCCCCCACCATCCTCATCATCTTCATCCACATAGCCTCTCTCTCTGGAGAAAAAGAAACAGAGCCTGGCTTTTCAGCATCACCAAGACCGTTTTAGCATCCTGCCCTAATGCAAGGAATGGGCCTCACCAAATTCCCACTTTACCTAACGAGATGGAACAATCAGCAATTAGCATTCTCTGATCAAAACAGCAAAGGCACCTGGCAAAAAGCGTTGGTGAGAAGCGAAAGCAACACAGAAAAAGTTAGAGGAAGTTCCCCTCTTCCTCTATCACAACTTGGGAACAATGTTCGAGCAGTGTGAACACCCTCACCACTGCTCAAACAGGATTTCTCTGGTCTGTTTTGTGCTACACACAAAACAATTTAATTGTTAAGTAGGCTTTGATTCTTTCCAACTTATGCTGTGTAGTGTCCGTTGGGAGTCACTTGGTATAGGATGGATCAGCTACAATTAGGCTTCACTGCAAATGGTGTAAAATCAAAATTAGCAGTTGTTTAAATTAGCTAAAAGGGCCAGCGTGATGGCTCATGCCTGTAATCCCAGCACTTTGGGAGGCCGAGGCAGTTGGATCACTTGAGGTCAGGAGTTTGAGACCAGCCTGGCCAACATGGCAAAAACCTGTCTCTACTAAAAATACAAACATTAGCCAGACATGCTGGCACGTGCCTGTAATCTCAGCTACTTGGGAAGCTGAGGCAGGACAATCACTTGAACCTGGAAGGCAGGGGTTGCAGTGAGCTGAGATTGCACCGCTGCACTCCAGCCTGGGCCAGACAGAGCAAGACTCCACAAGACTCTGTCTCAAAAATAAATAAATAAACTAAAAGTACATTTTTTCTAGTGTAACAAGAGCAGTCCAGGACCTGTATTGCTTTCCACAGGACAAGGATCTTGGCTCTTTCTGTCATTTTGCTTCATCATGATTCACCTCATGGTCCAAGATGGCTGCTGGATCTCCAACCATCCTTTAAATCTCAGCCAACTGGAAGGAGCTAAGCCAGAAGAAGAGACACAGAATGCATGTTAGCTTCCTCACAAAGAAGTTTTCTGGAGGCTCCCCCATGTCCTCCGCTTAATCTTCTTTATTAACATAGAGTTGCCAGAGACTGCAATGAATAAATATCTGGTTCAATGCACCCTACACAGAAACACACACACATAATTATATTCTAGATCCTTGTCCCCAGAGCAGAGAAGGTAGGCATCCTCTCTTATTGAGAGTCCTGCCTTAGCCAAACTTCCTCTCTTATGGTGCTAGACATCGCCCACACAGAGGCTGGCAGCCCCTTTAGAGCCTGTGTTAAGGCTAGCATTTTCTTTCTTCCTTTCTCTCTCTCTTTTTAAACTGTAAAATAGACTTGCTTGCATCTCAAAACAGACTTTGGATTATTAGAGAAACTTAGCTTGGGTATTCTCTTCTTGAGGCTATTGCCTTATCTTTCTAATATTGACAATAATAATTTTAATATTGCTATCATGACATTCTTGGAATATTACCCTCATCATCTAGAAACCAGAAGAGGAGTACAAGATATTTAGGCCACAATTCCTTGATATTGGCCCCAGCTGTCAGCCTCAGACTTGCCATAGAAAAACTAATGTCTTTGGTTCCTCATCCTTCTGAGTCTGCCAGTCTGGAAGGGAAAGAGGAGCCCAGCACTCTCTAGCTCTCTATATCACTCTTGAATCAAAAACAAGAATCCCAACTGTGTGGGTGGGCCTGGTGGACCCTCCATAGGGACTGTTTGTTCAGCTGATGGGTACTGTGTGAAGCATGTACAATGTTTAGGACAGCCTTTATAGCCAGGCAGGCTGTGTTCAGACCTCAGCTCTACCATTCCCAGAGTACGTGCTCTGGAATGAATTATTCTCTGCCTACTCCCTGCCTCCAGTAAGATTCAACATATGTGTAATATCCTCCATCTCACAGGTCACGTACAAGGTGAAATGATTCCATAGGTGTAAAATGCTTAGCAACAAGTACCCAGTAGATGATGATGTGGTTAGTAAATGCTAACAGCTATAATTCACTTATACATTAGAGGATGCCTTTGTATGAAAAAATGAGCTAGACTGTATTTTTGTCCTTTTAAGGATAATTAGAGAATTCATCCAACAAGTATTTATTATAAATTACTATGGTTTTACTCAGCAAAGCACCTCATCTATAGTTGTAAAAGAGAGAAAAAAAGAGAGGAAGAGTGGAAGGATAGGAGGAAGAGAGGGAGGAAGGGAGGCTGAGTGGGTGGAGGGGCAGGCAGAGCTTGTAGCAGATGGTCGTGGAGCATGTACCTGGGGACCAGAGGCCATCACTGAGAAAAAGGATACAAATCCTTTCCCAAATTTTTATGTATTTTTGATCCCTCAGGGAGGCTATTCTCTGCAACTAATGGCTGTGTATGCATCCAGGCAGGGAGCAGGTGTTAATCTACACAGACTAGTTAATAGCCATTAACAGCACTTAAAAATCCAATAAACAGAGAAGGACGTTCTAGCCATCCATACCAGGATCAGAATTCTGTGGGGCCTTCCTATTGTGGTAGCATTCATCACCATCATCATCATCATCGGCAAGGATTTCTATTTAATAACCAACAGCACAAACCTCTTCTGTCCAATCCTATGTGCTAGGCACTGTGCCAGAACTGGAGATAAAAAGATTAATGAGATCTGATCACTGGGCCCAGAAGCCTACGGTGCAGAAAGCAAAGCTGTCTGGAACTGACTGCAATATAGTGTGATGAGAACTATGTGAGGAAAATAAACTCAGTTCCATGGGAGAGTGTGACTAATGGCCTGTTTTCTGCTTGAAATGGGACCTTTTTAACATCAAATATTGTTCAAGAGCAAAGAAAATTCACCAAACAAAACAGCAGTGGCAGCACAAAACAAATGAATATAACTAAGGGTAAAGTAACACGCCTCCTAAAAAACCTTATAAAACTTCAAGAGAAATGGCAGACTGAAGAGTCATGAAGTATAAGCTTTTTCCCGGGCCTGGCTCCAAACACATAATGGATCAAATAGACCCATTTTTTAAAAAACTTCTAAGCTGAATTCAAAATAAAGACATGAATATCTTCAGGTACCAGGAAGGAAAAGGAGAAATTAAAAGCTACAGAGTTATATCTTAGAGATGATACCACGGCTTCCAAAGGATGGGTGCTGGGGAAATCAGATCAGATCTAGAAATTCTGATGCTCCTGAGGGAGTAAGATATCTGCCCTGAGCAGACTGGAGGGACTATTTTCTTCAAGAAGAGGAGACCAGAAGCAAACATTACAGTTGGCCTACCAAGCAGCAAGGAAGTATATCTCTGCCCTTGGCCTTGGATGCACAGGACCAAACAAGGCATGCCCGTGCCATGTGTAAATTAGGAATTCTCTGCAAGTGTCGTGAAGCCAACCTCAGGCAAGTTGTCCTGAGCAAGTGAAATCCACTGGACACCTGATAAAACTAAGCAAAAACTACTCTGTAGGGATACTTTCATATTCCAGGGATCTGAAAATCCCATAGGAAACAAAACAAAACAAAAACCACTGAAGATGATCCTACAGGCAAAATGGAAAAGCCATTAATAGGAAACTATCCTCCATGAGGGTGAGCCAGAAAATGCAAAAATAGAATACTATAGGATACCCCCAAAATACTGTACATGTCAACTTTACGTAGCTGAATAGCTACATAAGCAAACATGCTGAGTATGGCCCAATACAGAAAGGCCCTCACTCAAAGACTACTGCCCCACTGGTGTTTGAATCTCAGCTTTTAGCAAATCACTCCTTCATATGAAACATTTCCTTCTTTCAGCTGTCTTTTGAAATATGTAAATGCTCCTGGGAAAATTAATACAAGCTAGCCTTTCTCAAATTTCAGTATTTATTAGAATTATCTGTGGTGCTCTTTCAAAATGGGCCCTACCCCAGGAAATTCCGGTGTAAGTAGATTTAGGACAGAGACCAGGAATCTGTATATTTAATTAGTGTTGGTCAGGAGGGTTTATAGTGAAGGTGTTTTGTGCTGCTGAATGCGTAGTCTACTCTAGAAACTGTTTAGGGGCTGGGAATTAACTTGGTTGGGAACTTTTAATTAAGAACTCTATTTTGTGATAGAATAATTTTATTTATATAGAGCTATATTACAGTCCATAGATATTCTTCTGTATACACACCTTCTAAGTCATATTGGCTTTTAACCTTTTATTTAAAATTAGATTTTAGCATATTTTATGGATATTGGTAGTAGAAGTGAAAAGAAAGGGGGAAGTGTGAAGGGGACTGTTGCTAAGTCAAAAATTAAGTAGTAAAAATGAGGAATTGTATCTTTTTTATGTCTGCCTCAGATACAGCTTGTGTGTCAGAGACCTTTACTATTTATCAAATAGGCTCTTCCATATTTCCAAACCCCCATGGTAGGGCCATGTGGCCAGTTGCGGTCAAAAGAAACAAAGCAGAAGTAACATCTATCACTTACAGAACTGCCCTTAAGAGCGGTGTGCAACCCTCTGGCACTGAGTTCCCCTCCTCCCAGCAGGGAGATCAATTCCCAGGAGGATTATCTGCCCCCTATCAGGCCTGCAAGAACCAGAAACGAACCTGTGTAATGTAAAGTGAGTAATATGCAGCTGTGGGTGGGGAATAGGGAAAGGGTATTTGTAAGCATAGCACAGCCTAGCCTAACACTCTCTATGAGAAAGGGAAATAGGAAAAATCCTGTTAAAGAAAGTGGCCTCCCATGTCCAACCTAATGGTTATGGATAGCAGTTCTTGTCTTGCATCCTCTTCATCCTCTTTAGCTATTTTTTAATCACTGTTTCCAACATCTTTAAATTGGTAAAGATGAACAGATATCTAAGTAAACTCCAGGATACCACTTATTTATTTGCTTTTCCTACAAAAGCAAACAAAGGATATATTGCCTTATCCTTTAGGCAGAGTTCCATGAAGCTACAATAAGTGTGTGTGTGTGTGTGCACACAAAATTTTACTTTTAACAAGCAAAAGATCCTGATATTTTTGATCCATGCCTGGGAAGAATAATACAGGCACTTACTGGCAATGTGCACATTTTACTGACCTTTTGGAGTTAGTTTCCTTTTGGAGTAAAGAGAATAACAGAACCAAACAGATGTCCCAGCCACTCTGCAGCTGCTTGATTTACAATGTGACACCAAATTTATGAAATCAGTTGGGGGACTCCATGGCATCCTAGGTTTCAGGAAGGGAAATTCACAGGTTTGAGTCAATCCAGGTTCCGTGCAGTCAAGTGCTCTGCACTGGGAAGTTACTGTGAGGTGCACTGGGAAGTTACTGTGAGGTCCCCAAAGTATAGCTATGGAAGCCAAGAAAGAGGGCAAAGAATGGACAGAAAGCAGTGTGCTCTCTTCCTTGCCAGGGCAGATGGGAGGGTCAGGAGGAGCAGGAGGCATGGAGAGGAGCCCATGAAGGAAGGAAAGAAACGCAATTTTTTAAACTGATCATGTCCCCTAGGTTTGCTATCAACCCTCACTCCAATATGGGTAGAATTCAGGAACCATTTTTACCACCATGAAGGAACACCTGCCCTGGGGTTAATGCAAAACGTTGAACCATTCCTTCCACATGCTTTCGACCCTTATTGTGCTCACAATAAAAAGGCGGGTCTCTGTGGGCTGAAAAGTGGTCTGGTTTGGAGATTAGTGAGCTAAAGAGAACCAAATTAAGTTTGACAACATCAGGGTGGAGGACCTATCCCCAGGCAACACATTGAGTAATTTGTAATAATGTTTCAGTGCAGGAACTTGCAAAGACACCACCTTATCAACCTATTGTTGTCTGCTGCAACGTGGAAGAGCATGATAATTGCATTTAAAAAGATATCTTTACACTTCTATTTTACTTTTTTAAAAAAATTACAAGATCATTGGCCATGAAGTTTTCCAACTGCCCTTGTAATAAAAAAAAAAAAACAAAAACAAGACTCAAGTTTCAAATGGTCAAGAGGAGAAGGTATTTGGGGGCACGATGGGAAATGCAGTTTTAAACACCTTGGCTTTGAGATACTAACTGAAATATCCATGGTAGATTAACAGATTTGGCTACATAGAAATGTAAAATTCTGTATGACAAAGGAAAGCACAAATAAAATTGAAAAATAAGCACGCCATTGGAAGAAAATATATACAATGCACTAAATAAAGGATTATTATCCAAACTATACAGATCTCCTACAAATCTATAAGAGGCCCATATCTCAATTGTTAAATGAGCAAAGGCTATGAACGGGCAATTTGCAGGGGAATTACAAATGTCAACAAACAGATGACAAAATGTCAATAAAAAGATGGTGAACCTTATTAGTAATAAAAGAATCACTTACGAACAACCAGTTTATCAATTTTTTGCCCATCAGCCTCACAAAAAGTAAAAATATTGATGATTTCAAATGCTGAAGGTGCTATAAAGAAACAAACATTCTCATTCAACGTGGAAGAAGTGTACATTTTAAAGCCTTCTGTGTGTAGAAGGGAAGCAATTTAGCAAGAGTTATCACAATTTTAAATGTGCCTACACTCTCAGCAATTTCATTGCTACCAACATATCCTAGAGAAAAACACATGTGCCCAAAGAGCATGAACTAAGATGTTCTTGGCTGCTTTGTGTGTAATAGTGAAAACTGGAAGCAATCCAAACATCCATCAGTAGGGTACATCCATATAAAGGAATTTTAAAGTGCTATCTCAACAGGATGTAATAGATTTTTATATGCTCATATGGGAAGATATCCAAATCAAAAAGCAAGCAATTGGTAAAGTATGTGAGCTCGTTAAACTACATAGAAAAAGGACTGGAAAGACAACCCACCAAACTATCGACGTTGATTTTTTTGGGGGTGGGCAATGGTTATGGGAAGGGCATAAGGGTTATTTTTACATTTTATTTCAACCATTTTCATATATTCTTCACTACAAAGAATTTCAGGTGACAGGAAATTGATGGAGTAGAAGGCAAGAGAATCCATTTGATGTTGTTGCTTAAAGAGGCAGAACAGTGTAATAGTGAGTATCATGGACTAGAATCAGACTGCCTGGTTTCAAACCGTGTCTACTTTGCTCTACCAAATACGGTGAGACCTTGGGACAAGGTTCTGAACCCCTCGGATCTCTACATCCTCATCTTTAAAGTGGGATTGATAGTATTCCATAAGAATTGGTGTTATTACTAACATTGCTTTGCATGGCAGCAGTTTTGATTATATTTCCTTCTCTAAAGGTCCAATCACAATAATCATTTTGGAAATAACAAATATTTGTATTAAGTTATAATATTTCATAAAAACTTAGAAGCTTTGAATTATTGTTAATATTTAGAATGAACATATGGACAATGCATAGAATAATCATATTTATAGAGCAAAAAACGAATGTTATTGATGTTGACACTACAAAAGAAATAGTTTTTAAAGTTGTGAAGATAACCAAAAGAGGAATTAAAAAGAATAACTAACTGAAAAATGGAAAGAGAGGAGTTCACTTACATTAGTTAATATAGGTTGCTTTAGATAAAACATATCATACTGGAGAGTCCTATCTGAAGTTGATAAGTCCAGAAATAGAGATATAAGCACTTTATTTAAAGTATGGAGCTAGGCACCAGAAGCACTAAAAAATAAACGATCCCAAAAAAGTTTTTTAAAAGGAGAAGGATCAAGAAAGATTTTCTTTTGTAACTGATATCTTTCCATACCAATTTGAATTTTATAATGTCATGCTTTATTTTCATGATACCCCCAAAATAAGGGACTCTTGTTATAGTAGGGGCTTGGCATGTGTTTATGGTGGATGTTGATTGCATACATATTCATTCGATCGATAATTATACCAAAAAAACTAGTAGCAGTTGTTGTCTCTGGGGAAGAAAATTGGGTGGCTGAGGGACAGGAGTAATATAAATATTTTCACTGAATTCCTTCTGAATTTTTCAATTTTGTGCAATGTGCCTGTATCACCTATCTCCCAAAATACTAATTTTGTAAAGCTTCTGTCTTTTCATTACATGGCCCCATCTATTAGGGCAGAACACTGAAACTTCCAAATGAAAAATGTTACCAGGGCTTATACCACTTGATCAAGTTTCTGTGCCCTGACTCATGGTGCTTCCTCCCTCAATCGCACCTGAATCCTAAACCTGAGCAACCTCTGGGAATTCCAGGAAGAACAGACTGCACCACCTTAGCCAGGGCTATAAATTCTCATTTGGCCTGTTCAGTTTTGCAAAACATTATCAAACAATGAAAATAACTTACCTCATTTAATATTTTAGTTAATTGACAACTGGGGATAGAGAATAGTCCGAAGCAATATGTGTGACTGGAGACTTCGTGGACTGGTGGCTGAGCCCATGACTTGTGG
Organism: Homo sapiens; assembly: GCF_000001405.40. Lineage (NCBI taxonomy): Eukaryota > Metazoa > Chordata > Mammalia > Primates > Hominidae > Homo > Homo sapiens. The sequence continues at coordinate 84,611,891 of NC_000009.12, read as the reverse complement.
CAGAGTTGCCTGGATTACTACCCAGCTATGATAGACGTGTGTCTGTAGACAGGGAGACTGTAGTCACATGTCATTTAGAAGCATAGCTAATAACTATCACAACTTTAAAGTAGTGATGAACATAAACAGAATTTCAAGATACCTGCAACTGTCGTAGTATATGAAAATATTAGCATCACTTCTTGGCCTTTTGGTTAAGATCAAAGTTAAAATATTGTTGACTTCTTTCACTGGCAAATCCTGGAGTCATAGGTACTGAAAAGATTAATAAAAATATATATACAATTAATAAATATAATTTATTGCCTACATTTGTAATTGAAGAAAATGCTGTATTTTAACTAGAGGTTAGTGAAAATAAACATGTAATTGTTCCCATCCAAGATCATGGACTCCCAGAATTCTATCTGTGCACCCCAGGTGATATTCCCGATATAGATCCAAATGCATCCCATAATTATAAATTCTGTTTGAGATAGCCTGATTGGTCTGAAGCCAGACTTGAAACCTAAACACATTTTGGGAGGGAAGCCACATATCAGGCTAGAGAGGATTCCAGACCAGATAGGATTCCATATTGCCTCAAAGTCCAATGCATTAAAATTCAAAAAAAGAAATCCAGACTTCTAAAGAGAGTACCTGGGATGTGTAGCATATTTCACAGTTTAAAGCAATTAGAATTGTCCTTATTCATTTTAGCTCCTTACAGTGATGAGAGGTGATCAAAGAAAGTTAGAGATATTTTGAGCTTTTGATGAAAACTTACTCCTTTCGCTAAATGGCCTGCTTTATATTATGTGCACAAAGATACCAATTAATGTGACAGTCTATGTACCTTTTAAAACATGGCTTCAAGTTGTTTGACATTCTTCCCATAAAGAGGTAGGGTCTAAGTACCCTCTGCTTAAATCAAGGTAGGCTGACAACTGTTTTGACCAATAGCATTCTACCGAAGTGACACCATGTGACTTCCAATGCTAGGTCATAAAAGGTTACAGGGCTTCTGCCTCGTTTGTTTAAAATACTTGCTCTTGGAGTCCTAAGGCACCATGTAAGGAGTTTGACTATCCAAGGCTGCCATGCTGTGAGGAAGCCCAAACCACATGGGGAGGCCATTTGGAACACTACAGGTGACAATCCCAGCATTCCAGTCTTCACAGATATGAGTAAAGGAACCTTGAGAGGATTCCATTCTCCAGCCATCTGAATTGGTCTGCAGATGTTCAAGCCTTTATTTTTTTTTTTAATTTTTATTTTTATTGTTGAGATAGAGTCTCGCTCTGTCACCCAGGCTGGAGTGCAATGGTGGATCTCGGCTCACTGCTAGCTCCGCCTCCCAGGTTCACGCCATTCTCCTGCCACAGCCTTCCGAGTAGCTGGGACTACAGGCACCCACCACCACGCCAGGCTGTTTTGTATTTTTACTAGAGACAGGGTTTCACCATGTTAGCCAGGATGGTCTCGATTCCCTGACCTCATGATCTGCCCGCCTCGGCCTCCCAAAGTGCTGGGATTACAGGTGCAAGCCACCACACCCAGACATTTAAGCCTTTCAGCTAGGTACCCAGTCACCAAGAAGCAGAGTTAAGCCATCCCTGCTGTGCTTGTCCAAATTCCTGACCCATAGAACCCATCATCTTAATAAAATGACTGGGTATTTTTACACCATAAAGTTTTGAAGGAGTCTGCTACACAAACAAAGAAAACAAAATATAAAGTCCAGTATCTAAACAGAAGGAAGCTGGTAGAAAGACCAAAATGGTCAGAATACAGATATAGTGACTAGATACCAGTATAAATTTAACAAAGCATTCCCATCCAGGAAGGACTCTTTATATCCACTAAATTGTTGTTCTAAAGTAATGCATTAACCACACACCAGGAGCTACAAAGCCAATTGCCTACAAGTACTTCTTAAGTAATGCAAATGAGATCAGTCAAGAATAAGAAAAGTCATGAGTAAACCCTAAACCATTAGAAAAACAGTAGAGAAAAGATGATAGTAGCTGAAATGACCAACTGTCTACTCAAATCCATGTTCCCTTTTCCATAAATAGTTGTTGCTACAAAGTGGCTGCATGGAATACTTTTTATAGCTCCCTTGAAGCTGATTGGGACCATTAACTAGTTCTTGCCAATAGAATATGAGCAAAATTGTTGTATGTTACTTCTGAGCCAAGGCAATTCAGAAACTAACCCTTCTCTCTCTTCTCTTCCCCATCCACCAGCTGCATACATAGGCCTCTAAGGTTCAGATGGCTGAGCCATGAGATGGAAAATTCCTTTAGCCCCTAAACGATCGTATGGAAGAAGACTATCCACTTACCAGGAACCTTTGTGTTGTGTTGGACTATTACATCGGTAAGTGATGTACTTCTATATATTAGATACTGAGCCAGTGGAATGTCAGGGTTTATTTGTTACAGCAGCAAGCATTTACCCTAAACAGCAACGATAAATAGCAACTCACACTTGGCCTCAATGTCAAAAGAATACTAACTCATGATAGACTATGGAAAACCTAAAAATAACAGTCCCAACTCAGCTCCAGCTGATTCTTGTCATGTGAGAGAGGTTACAAATTCAGATTTTTTAAATATTGAAGTTCAACTCCATTTAAAAAAAATCTCAGTGAATCCAGCACAAAACACACGTTCAAGTCCATTTAGCCACATTGCATTTTCCTAGCTTTATATTAAGATTGGTGAGATCTCTTTATAATTTTGGTTATATGGCAGAGTGCTATGGTCTGAATGTTTGTGTACTTCCAAAATTATATATCAAAACCTAATCACCAATGAGACAGTATTAAGAGGTGAGGGCTTTAGGATATGATGAGGTCATGAGGACTCCACCCTCAAGAATGAGATCTGTATACTTATAGAAGAGGCTTGAGGAAACCTGATTGCCCCTTCCACTATGAGAGGATGCAGCAAGAAGACATCATGTGTGAAGCAGAGAGCCTTCACCAGCCACGGACTCTGCTGGTGTCTAGATCATAAAGTTCCCAGCCTCCAGAATTGTGAGGAAGAAACTTCTATTTTTATAAATTCCTTGATCTAAGGAATTTTGTTTTATAAAATTCCTTATTTACAAAATAAATGCTACAACATTTATTTTGTTGTAGCAGCTCATGCAGACTAAGACACAGAGCTAACCACTATTACAGATCAATCATATCACATCAGACTTCTATCCTATCTGTCATATTCATCAAGTTACATTTCAGGACAGCTCATCCTTCCTCAAAAGCCTTCATTTCAACAAGACGAAGTTTTCCTTTTCAGCTCAGCACTCAAGGCCTTCCAAAATCTTACCTTAACCCAATCTCCTCAGTGTCTTTTCCAACTGCATCAGACACTTTGCTCTCCCACGCACTTTCTCAGCTTGGTGCTTTGCTCAGGCTGCTCCATGGACAGTGCACAGGGGTCTCTGGCTCTGCTGCTCAAAAGCAGCCCTAATCAGTACATAAACAATTGGGTGTGGCTGTATTACAATAACGCTTTATTGATGGACAATGAAACTTGGATTTTATGTATGTTATGAAATATTTATTTTCTTTTGATTTTTTCTTATCCTTTAAAAATGTAAAAACCATTCTCAGTTTGTGAGCTGAACAAAAACAGGTGGCTAGCCAGATTTGGCCCACGGGCTATAGTAGTTTGCTGACTCTATTTCATGGCTATGTAACCCAATCCTGAACCATGGAGTGGCTTTGTGGAAAACTGTCCTCCCTATTTAAAAGAGACATTGGAAAGAAACACCCCCTTTTGGAGCAGACATTGTCTCATCTCCACCTGATGCCATCTTGGGTTATGAGGGGCAAGGACACATATGAACCCCTGCCATAATGAGTCATGTTATAATTGCTTCTACTGGCTTAAGAAAATGAGGAATAGTCTTAGGTTTCTGCCACTTGGCATTCCATAAACCCACAGTAGAGTCATGAGCCACCCCATCCCCATAGTGACCTCATGCAGTTTTACAAGCACTTCTGAAGACCTGGCTATGTTTACCAGGATGGTCCTGGAAAGGGATGCATTTGCTTTAAGTCAAATGAAGAATCAAAATAAACTGAAGACAACACACTTGAATTTACTCAAGAAATGCAATGTCCCTGATATGGTTTAGCTGTGTCCCCACCCAAATCTCATCTTGAACTGTAATTCCCATAATCCCCATGTGTCATAGGAGGGACCTAGTGGGAGGTAATTAAATCATGGGGGCAGTTACCTCCATGCTGTTCTTGTGGTAGTGAGTGAGTTCTCATGAGATCTGATGGTTTTATATGGGGCTTTTCCCCTCCTTCACTCCGCACTTCTCTCTTGCCTGCTGCCATGTAAGACATGCCTTTGTTCTTCCTTTGCTTTCTGCCATGATTGTGAGGCCTCCCCAGCCATGCAAAACTGTGAGTTATTTAAATCTCTTTTTCTTTATAAGTGACCCAGTCTCAGGTATTTCTTCACAGCAGTACAAAAATGGACTAATACAGTTCCAAAATAAGAAAATTATCTCAATCCAGATAAATGTATCCAAAGAACCCAGGATTCAGAAGCATATGAAGTGGGAGTTCATGGGCAGCTAAAAGTAGGCACGGCTTCTACACCACCTGCATCCCTCCTGCTGACTCTGCTCTGGGGCCACAGGCCATTTAGTCAGGGCTATGATTAGTATATCCTAAAGCCATTTTCTATAGAAACTGTGTGGACATGATTTAAACACTGAGCCTTGATTTTTATCAAGGTTTTTTTCTCAGCTGTATTTTCTACTGTACTATAAAATCACATGCACAGGCATACATACACGTACACAAAAACACATATATCAACAAATATATATGTACAGATATGCAAGTTAATGCATATGTATGCAAGCACACATGCACAAACATGCACACATAAGTATATACACATAGGCAAAACACACATGGATACACTAAGACATGCACATACACAACATACACATGAGCACAAAAACACATGCATGCATACATACATATGCAAAACAAATACACACCCATAACACATATCCTTCAGCACCTGGATATTAGGTTTTTGTTTGTTTGTTTAACTTAATATAACAGAATTGTTAAGAGAGGCTCAAAACTCAGACCAACCTGGCTTGAAACCTGGTCATACCTCTTTCTATCTACATCATCTTGGACAAGTTATAGGTTGGGCATCCCTAATCCAAAATGCTTCAAAATCTAAAATTTTGTGAACATTGACATGACACAAGTGGAAATTTTCACATCTAATCTCATGTGACAGGTCACCATCAAAATGCAGGCAAACAACACAGTTCATTCAGCATCCCCAAGGGAAAAACAAAATTACCTTCAGGCTATGTGCATAAGGTTTATAGGAAACTTGAATGAAATTTGTGTTTAGAATCTCTTCCACAAGATATCTCATCATGCATTCCAAAATCCAAAAATAGCTCAAAATCCTAAACACTTTTGGTCCCAGGCATTCTGGATAGGGGATACTCAATCTGTAGTTAATTTCTTTGAACTTTAGGTCTCTAACATAAAATGGAAACAGCAAAAGTTCCTCTCTGATGGAATTGTATGAATTAAATGAGTTGATGTTTATAAATTCTCAAGACAGTCCCGGTCACTTAAGCACTGAATATATATAATCAACAGCAGCAGCTGCTTCTTCTTCCTTCTTCTTCTCCTTTTCCTTTTTTTTTTTTTTCTTCTTCTTTTCTCAGTCACTTCTAGGCAACCACATGTAGTGATCAGGAGCCAGACTGAGATGGTACTTTTGGCTTCCCTGGTTTATAAGGTCAAGAGAACCAAAGGGCTTTGTGTGGCCACCCTATCAGGAGTAGGTAAGAGCACATTAGCCCATTGGTAGAAGTCTGCTGCTGCCCCAAACCCCTCCCTTGCAGGCTGCCTTACCTCCTACCTGCTCAGACACCACCTCCCCAGGAGAGTAGCTACTGTGGCTGGGCATAGTGTCTGATGGGCACTGTTCCCATGCATAGGCCCCATCCCTCCCCAGATAGATTCTATTAATGTGCATTTCCATGCATCAAAGCAAGCAGTTTCCACTTTAAAAGGCCAGTGCTGCTTGACCTGAAAGGATGAGTTAATGCTAAGCTCCAAAGTCTTTGGGGCTCCAGCAGTGGTGGCAAAGCGGGAAGGAAGAGACCTTTAAGACTTCTCATTCTGAGGCCTGACAATCCAGAGGAAGACGTGGACACCAGCCAGAAAAGCACATCCCAAACTTGAGCAGTGGGTCCACACTAGGTAAAGGAGTTAAAGAATGAGAGGAGAGATGTGGTGAAAGACAAGGCAGGAAGTGATTACGGGAAAAGGATGTTTTCATGGCAATGTCTTAAAACCAACCCAAGATCGACCCTTTTTTGCCCAGAACTCATCTTCAAAGGAGAATATTCTCTCTCTCACTCTCTCTCTCTCTCTCTCTCGCTTGCTCTCACTCTTCTCTCTCCTCCCCTAAGAACACATTCAAAAAACTGTCATATTTTCCTATTACTTGATGAACTAAAATTCAAAATAGGTTAAAGAATGATTATTAACTGAGCCAAAACATCTGCACCTTAAGCCAAGATCTACAATAAAGTCTGATGCTATTTTGCCTTTCAGGAGTTATATTCTGTCTAAAAGAGACACACGCTAAGTACATACATACATACATACAAATAAACAAAAGAAAATTTAGTGAGACAAACTCCAGAATAAATTTGTTCCATGTGGCCTCCTAAAGAACAATAATGATTACTGTCATTTGGAAATTGCCTTGATATTTTCTATCTATCTGAGACTTACTGGCTTTCCTGAAACTTATAACCATTTTAAAATGTTTAACAAATATGGATAAAACCTGACTGAAACCCAACTGCAAAGTAGTTTTGAATGGAGATCATGGATCTTGGTTCTCGAGCCAGGGCCCAGCTCCAGCAGCACCCTCCCAGAGAAGACACAGGGAAGTGTGAGCACAGACAAGTCCATGACAGAGGCTGGCTTCAGTGTCCAGACAGCAGTGCATGACTCCAAACAAAGACAAGTTAGAGTGCATCTTTACTGAAAAAAATCGAATATGGAATTTGGGGACCATCTACTAAAAATATGATTGCAGATACATATTTATAATTTTCCCCTATGACTTTGCCCCATAAGCTCAGTTTCATCTGCCTCATCAACATAAATGCTGTTTCCTGCTGGCATCCATGAAGGCCTTGGTGACAGCTGCACCATTAAGAATTAGAAATGTAAGGGAAAAAAGAAGAAAGAAAAAAAGGAGAAAGAAGAGGAGGAAGAGAAGGAGGAGAAGGAAAAAGAAAAGAAGAGGAAGAAGAAGAAGAGGAAGAGGAAGAGGAAGAAGAAGCAGCAGCAGCAGAAGAAGAGGAGGAGGAGGAGGAAGAGGAGGAGAAGGAAAAAGGAAGAAAAAGAAGAGGAAGAGGAAGAGGAGGAGGAAGAGGAAGAGGAGGAGGAAGAGGAAGAGGAAGAAGAGGAGGAAGAGGAAGAAGAAGAGGAAGAAGAAAAGAAGAAGGAGGAGGAGGGAAAGTAGGGAGAGGAGGAGGAGGAGAAAAAAGAGAAAAAGAAAGAAAAAAAGAAATAAGAAAAAAAGAGGAAGAAAAATAAAAGCAGAAAAGAAATGTCTCCATTTACCTGTTCACAGCCACAAGAAAAACATTCTTCTATACTGCAACTGGGTGAAACTTACCTGATTAGTACAGCCAAGATTGTCTTATCCAGGTTAGGCAAAACTGAACAAGTAGAACTCCTCCTTTGCGAAATGTTTTGCTACTGAAGACCTTGCTTGGGCCAGGTGTGATGGCTCATGCCTGTAATCCCACCACAGTGGGAGGCCGAGGCAGGTGGATCACTTGAGCCCAGGAGTTCGAGACCAGCCTGGGCAACATGGCAAAACCCCATCTCTACTAAAAATACAACAAGTAGCTGGGCATGGTGACCAGCACTTGTAGTCCCAGCTACTAGGGAGCCTGAAGTGGGAAGATCACTTGAGCACGGGAGGTGCAGGTTGCAGTGAGCCAAGAGCAGATTGCGCCACTGCACTCCAGCCTGGATGACAGAGTGAGGCCCTGTCTCAAAAAAAAAAAAAAAAAGAAAGAAAGAAAGAAAAGGAAAAGAAAAAGACTTAGCTATGAACTCATAAGCCAGCAGGAGAGTTTGCTCTCTCCGGTGAGACTCAGTGAAAGCCATCAGCAAAACTACAGTAATGTGGCACTATCACCACCAAAAGTGAAAGAATTAAAGCTTTCGCTTTAAAAATGTAGTGGTAGTCTTGATATGATGTAATGAGATTGGCACTTTTTACCTCTGTGGTCTTCCTCTCACAACCCATAATCCTAGGCTAACTATGAGAAGAACATCAGACAAACCCAAATCCAAGAACATTCTACAAAATACCTGACCAGCCCTTCTCAATGTTTTCAATTGATGGAAAACAAGGAAAGTCTGAGAAACTGACTTAGACCAGAAGAGTCTAAAGAGACACAACAGCTAAGTATAATATGGTGCCCCGGATCCTGAAACAAAAAAAAAGCATTGGGAAAAGCTAATGAAATTTTAATGAAGTATGGCGTCTAATTAACAAAGTACCAGTGTTGGTTCCTTAGCTGTGACCACAGTAATGTAAGATGTTAACAACAGGGGAAACTGGATAGGGGGTACATGGAAACTCTCTGTACCATTTTTGCAGATTTTCTATACATCTAAAACTATTCTGAATGTAAAAGTTCATTTTTAAAAATTCAGTGGTAGGAACTGATAAAAGGTGAAATTTGGTTAAAAACAAAACAAAAATCTTGCTAAAGTTTCCTAAATATTTGGGATTATTTACATATTGCTGTTAATTGAATTATTTTATATTAAAGCATGCTATGTACCTAGTTTTTTTGTTGTTATTTGTTTGTTTTTTGTTTTGAGACAGAGTCTTGCTCTGTCACCCAGGCTGGCGTGATCACAGCTCACTACATCCTCGACTTCCCAGGCTCAGCTGATCCTCCTGCCCCAGCCCCGCAAGTAGCTGAACTACAGGTGCTTGCCACCAGGACCAAGTAATTCTTGTATTTTTTGTAGAGATAGGCTTCGCCATGTTGCCCAGGCTGGTCTCGAACTCCTGGGCTCAAGTGATCAGCCTGCTTTGGCTTCCCGAAGTCCTAGCATTACAGCCATGAACCACAATGCCCAGCCCAGAAGTGTCTTTCTATAGGTAAAGCATAACTGACTAAAAAGCAAGTATTTAGCAGTTGACCGCAATTCCATGCCTGTGGAGAGCCCAGCTGTATGGACCACACAGTCAGAACCAGGCCATATCGTCTGTGCTGTTGATAGTAGTTCACCAAAATTTGTACATAGTGTGAAGGACCATATCAAGAACTCAGGCTTGGTGTCATACCCAGACTCATTCATTCATTCTTTATTTCATCTCCTCCCTAATTCATTTGCATTATTTTGTTCATAGAACATTTAAAAACATGTATGTGCCCACCATGTGCCTGGCACTCTGCTAGACTCTGGTCCCTGTGCTAACAAGACTAGTAATCAATTATAATAAAGGAGTAAAGACCATGTGCTTTAAACTTGGATTCAAATCTTGGCTTTTGCCACCTGGTAACTTTGTGATTTGGGGGAAATTATATAAATCTTTAAGACAGTTTTCTCATGTGTAAAATGAGAAAAACAGTAAAAGGACTTCATGTTATTTTTGTGAGTGACTGCATGTGGTATGTTGAGCACATGCATTGTCAGCTGTTATTATTTATTTATCAACATTAAGAGCTCTGAGTGCTTGCATAGAATAAAGAACAGAATACAATGGGGCAAATCACTTTTCTGTCACTTAGAGGCTGGGTTGTCTTAGGACATGGTTAACTACACTAGGACTCAAGCTTCCTTGCCTGAAAAGAAAAGGGGGGCGAGGGGGAACATTTTCCACGTCAGATTTGGGAGAAAATTTAAAAAGATTATACATGTGACAAACTTACCAAGGTGCCTGGCACATGGCAGGCTCTCAGCAACCCGCAGCTTTATTGCCTAAGTATCATGACAAATGGGAAAGTTAGAGCAGCATGTTAAGGGCTTGTCTTGTGCAAGGAAAGAAGTCTGGCCAAATATAAGAAGATGGCTAGAGTAAGATGCTACCTAAGGTGGCAATTTCGGTTCCCCACAAGATAGAGATGAAAGATTTCATTGAGGATCCCAGACCCAGACAACTCAACATGAATCCACTTTTCCAGTCTGCCTGAACTTTCCCAAATTATTCTCCCGACATTTCTATTGCTTCAATTCCTTTGCCTGGTAGCCAAGACCCATTGCTGTCTGCTCTCAACTGACCTCCCCAGCCAATGTTTCCTTCCTGCACGAACACTGCAAACTGGACTCCTATTTCTCTCTCTCCTACATTTTCTCTGTGTGCCTTCTGGATGGCTGCCCTAACTTATAATCTGTGTACAAGCCAGTTGTAGATGTGCAAATTCTACCTAGTCTGCTGGGAAAGTTTAATTGCCACATTTTACAAGAAGCTTTCCCTGGTTTTTCCAACCAAAATCAACCTCCCCTTGCTCCACCCTTATATCTTCCTCTCTTTTCTCTGCTCTCCTCTTAAGGCACATACCACTTCCCGCCCTCATCTTGGAGATCTTTTTATCCCTGCACTAATTTATAAGCTTCTTGTGGGCATAATTCATTTTCAACCCCAGCTCTTTGCCATGCAAATTTCTACTTGGGCACTTCATAAATATTTGCTGAATGTTCTGGACTAGAAAGATCGTCCATGACAGCTGTCAAACACGTAGATGTCTGATGTGATTACTCTGTCAACTCCACATTTCTGCACTATAAGGAAAGGGGCAATAAAGATGAATTTTGTGGCAACTGTTTGGCTTAGCTACACAGCCTTGCTGCCAGCACAGCCTCACCAAGGGAGCAAGGCTGAGTCATCAGGAGTCGCACAGCAGCAGAACTCAAACAGAAAGTTTCACTTAAGTCTCTGTACCTAGTCTGGAAGCCTCCTGTTCAAGTGGCCACTGCAGGACATAAGTAAATCAAGCCAAACTTCAAGGGCGACTGGGACACATTTCTATTGCTTTGCCTTGAACTTGGCTTGGGGTGAAGAGGGCTTTTAAAATAAAGGTTAGCCCTCAGTGTCCCCAAATCTACCAACTCTACCCATCTTGAAGACAACTTTTAACATGGAAGGAAGGAAAGGACGGAGGGAGGGAAAAGGTAAGGAGGAAAGAAGGCAAGGAAAGATGGAGAATTGAGGCTGGGCACAGTGGCTCACGCCTGTAATCCCAGCACTTTGAGGGGCCAAGGTGGGTGGATCACGAGGTCAGAAGACTGAGACCATCCTGGCTAATGCGGTGAAACTCTGCCTCTACTAAAAATACAAAAAATTAGCCGGGTGTAGTGGTGGGCGCCTGTAGTCCCAGTTACTCGGGAGGCTGAGGCAGGAGAATGGCATGAACCCGGGAGGCGGAGCTTGCAGTGAGCCAGATTGCGCCACTGCACTCCAGCCTGGGTGACAGAGCGAGACTCCGTCTTTCAAAAAAAAAAAAAAAAAAAAAAAAAAGGTGGAGAATTGATCTAACAATGAGTTCTTATAACCACTACTTCTTGAATTCTGGTCTGTCTTTCCATCATTTGATGGGCTACAGTTAACCACTACAAATTTTCTCCTGGAATATAAAGATATGGTTAATATAGCCTGCTAAAACTGATGTTTTCAAGGTAGGGAAACTGATGGCCTCAGAATTTTATAAACATTCACTCCTTATAAATCTAAAAGAACTCCTTCGAGCCCTGTAGGACGCTGATTTGATGCCTGCCTGGGCTCTAGAAAGTACTTCTCTTTTAGACCTAACTCAAGTAAAGGGGTAGAGAAACTGCTCCTAGATTAATGCCACAGCTTGAACAAATGGACCAGTAGGAGAGAGGGCTCATGAAGGCTTTAGAATTGTCTTTGGGGAAGGGGAATCATTTTCAGCCTCTCAAAACTTTGTCTAGTTTGACATAATATTTTCCCCTTCATTTAAACCCTTATTTTTTCAAAAGAAAGCTAACTTAAACAATGTGTTATTGTAATTAAATAAAGGACTCAGTGATACAAACACCAAAATTCTTGTTTGAAATTAAATCTTTCCTGGTTTCTGGGACTGCCAGGGAATCTTTTAAAGAACTGCAGCAGTTCAGAGCTAAGAGTTTTCACAGAGCCAGAGTGAGAAAATTAACCAGGAATTCACCATTTGAACACGGTGTGTGGAGCCTGTGGTGGATAAAACTCGCATTCCTGATCCTCATACACTCTAACTACATGTGCATAGTAAGCAATGCCATTTCTGAGAAAACTCAGAAGTCTCAGTAATTCTTCATTCACAATGAGTCCACGGCACAGCACATTACATTCACTAAAGAATGGCAGCATGCTGTTCTGGAAATCCCAACAAGCAGTAAATGCCACATGAAGAATTTTCTGGGAGCTTCAGCTGCGTTCGTTTACTGCCAGTGATGCTTCATCTCAGCCACTGACAACCAAGAAAATTGGTTGAGGATTATTCTCCTGGAAAAATCTGAAGTTTTAAATGGAAACACAGGACAAAATGAGGATGCTTGAAGATAACTGAAAAACAATGAAGAACATCTCAACAGAAAAGGGGTTGGATAACTTCCTGGGAGAAGGCCAGATGAATTACCCTCCAATGCACCAGGAAATGCCTGATTATTTTCTGGATTATAGCAACACTGCGTGAATATGGGATCATTTGCTATATGCTCAAACAAGGGCAAAGAATCCATACTGTGTCTGGTTCCAATTATGTGTAAGAATCTAATGGGTCAGATTCCAGACAAGGCCACCACCCAATTTCTGCCAACAATGAGGCAGAAGGAGATTTGGAGAAAGAGAGAAGGGAGCCAAGACATAAAAAGCTACCTCAACAAACAAACATAGTCCCCTTTCTTTCGATACCACCTGGATGGCTGGGTACCCTCTAGTCCATGTAAGGCCATGTCATTTCCCACCCCAACACATGGTGCCACCGCCATGTTATTCCAGCTCAATACTAAAGATTTAAGGAATTGATGAAAGTCCACTTGTAGCACCAAGGACAAGGGTCCTCCACAATCATTCTTCACTAAGCAGGGAAGGTCTCATGTCCTGATGATCCGGGAGGGCCAGGGGAGCGTGAAAGTGCAGTGCCTTTAACGTATCATATGAAAAGTTATATACAAGGGAGACCATTCAACGACATGGACAAGAAAGCCAGTCAAACAAAGTTATCAGTTAAGGGCAGAGGGTGGAGCTCAAATGAGGGGAAGTTGAGGAATCAGTTCTGAGAGAGAAGATAGATCAACAGGGACTGGGTAGAGTCTGAATGCTGAGTACCAAAACATGGGTGTAAATGGGTGAAACAGGCTCAGTGGAAAAGACCATGAATGGACAAAGATGCCAGTGCATTCAGCCTACAACAGCAGCAACAACAACAAATGATAACATTTATGAAGCACTTACTATATTATCTCATTTAATCCTTACAACACAACTTCCTAAAATAAGTACAATTATCATCCTCTCTGAGGGTGGAGCATTTCAACAGAAGAGCTGGAAAGGAGAAGCCATCCATGAAAAGCCAGGGGCACAGCAATCCAGGCAAAAGAAGATCATAGTTGCAAAGGTCCTGTGGTGGGAATGAGCTTGGCATATTCAAAGAACAAAAACCCAGTGGCTGGCACTCAGTGAATGAGGAAAAGAATGGAATGAGATACAATGGAGTGTAAGGAAGAAGCTAGATCATGCATGGCTAGAACCATCATGGTAAGGAGTTTTCTTTTTAGTTTTTCTTTCCCCTCAGTGACACAGTAAGTCTGTGAAGGGTGTAGTGTGACATAGTTTATGTTTTAAAAATATTACCCTGACTGCTTGATGGAGAATGAGTTGCAGGGGGGAAAAAAAAGTAAAAAAAAACAAAAAACAAAAAAACCCCCAGGAAGCTTCTGAAAAAATTACAGATGAGAGGAGATGGTGGCTCAGGTAAGGCATCACCAATAGAGATTGAGTGTAGATAAATGCAAGATGCACTTTGGAAGTGGAACTGACAGAAATCCCTCGTGTATTAATTGTAGGGGAGTGATGGGAAAGGAGGAACCAGGGACAACTCAAGTTTGGGGCTTGAGCAAACAGTGGAGCCATTTGTTGAGATATTGAAGACTGGGGTGAGGTAGGAGCAAATCTGGGATGAAAGCCAGTGTTACATTTTGAGTGAAGTATGAAATTCCTCTCACACAGACCTGGAGATATGAAAGATACAAGTGGAAATACAAGACTAAATTTAGGGCAAGGTCAGCGCTGAAGAAAGAGGCATGGGAATTGTGAACATAGAGACAACATTTAATTAAAGCTCTGGAACTGAATAAGGTCACCCAAAGGTGATCTTACAGAGACGAGAAGTGTTAGAGGTACCTTGAGCAACTCTCACATAAGCAGATTGAAAAAGAGAAGGAGGCATCAAAAAGGAAACTGAAAGGAGTAACCCAAGAGGCAAGAACAAACCAGGCAGTGACTTGTCCTAAAAGCCACAGGAAAGGGAAGTGCTTCTATGAGGGGCCAAAGCCTTATTGCCTAGAAGGAAGGATGAATGGGAAGTGATCTAAAGTCAAAACAGAAAGTATGGACAACTGTCTTAGTCTACTCGAGCTGCTACAACAACATACCAAAAACTGAGTGGCTTATAAGCAACAGAAATGTATTTATCACAGTTCTGGAAGCTTGAAAGTCCAAGATCAAGGCACTGGTGGCAGATTAGGTGTCTGATCAGGGCCCACTTTCTCACGGACGGCACCTTCACGGGCAATAATCCCACTCATGAGGGCTCTGCCCCCATGACCATTACATTGGTGATTAAGTTTCAACATATGAATTTTGGGGATACATGAACACTCAGACCATAGCAACAATCCCTTGAAAAAGAAATTTGCTTTTTGGAGAGAGGGGCAGGTGATGGGTAAGTAGAAGCTAGAGGGGTATGAGGATTCAAACGATTTCCTTTTTCTTTAATTCCTTTTTAAAAAATATTTGTTTGCTTGCTTGTTTTAGGAAAAGAGCTACCAGAACATGTTCACATGCTACAGAAATGGCTAGGAATGAAGGAGCAGTTGATAATGCAAGAGAGAGGGAACAACTAATGGAGCAAAGTCCCACAATGGGCAAAGAGACCCTCACAAGTAGAGTTCAAGGTGGCCACTGCTCAGAGCAGGGACATAGTGGAAGCACTGTCATAGAGGGAAGTTTGAGAAGATGGGCAGAGATAAAGAGATGGCACAGCCAGTGGTGGGAAGATGAGCTGGGGCACTCTTTCAGATGCTATCTTCTAAACAAAATATGAAGCCAGGTTATTTACTGCTAGTAATGTTAGGGGAGAAATGGGATAAATTTCAGGGAAGAAGAGATGATGTGAAGTCATTGTTTTAGAAAATAGTTATTCTAGTGAAATAGAAATCATCAAGATATTAGGAAACATTGTCAAGCAGTGTCGCATATTCATTGCTATATGTTGCCATAAATTTGAAAAGAAATCCATCTGGCCAGTTGGGTACCTCTCTGTCAACATTTAATTGCTTAAATGTGGAGATGGAAAAGAAGACTGGATAAGCTCAACCACTGTTTGGGGTTTGTCAAGAGAGGAGAGAGGAGGAAGATGGGAAAAGGACCTGCAGAGGTCAGCAAGGAAGGGGCTAAAGTGATAGACCATAGACCGTGAGTGGAGTGAGAAGGGAAATGAACAGAGAAAAATGGTGGTAATGAAAAGGAGTCAAATGGATCAAAGGTCTTGATGAAGTTGAGAAAGTATCATGAAGGTACCAACGTAAGTGAATAGTTAGAATAGGAAGTGATGGTCACAGTAGAAGACTTAAAATTGAGGCTTTGGTGATGGTTACAGTTATTACAGGTATTGTCAATGCCTAAGGTGTGAATATCCCATTTTACAAGTAAAGATATGGCACCTCTAAAGGATTGTATGGACTTGCTCAAGATAACATGGAACTGAAACTTGAAACCAAGTTCTTCTATGTCAAATTCACTCCTTTTTTCTTGTCCCATGCTGTCTTAGACTTAGGCTGAAATTACTTCAATTTCTAGCAGTTCTAATTGATAATTTCTTACCTATAGCCTTTCTATGACCTCCAGGACAGAGATCAACACTTCCCAGAGCTAATCATCTGGGAGCATCCATTAGAGACTCAACTGTTAGTCAGAAATGTGTTTGATTTGCAAGAGGTAGTATGACTGTGACCATGGACTCTCTGCTTTGTTCACAGGAGAAGGAAACTGCCCAAATCACTAATGTAGATTCAGAGTTCCCAGTCCTCTCAGGGACTTCTCTTAGGTATATACCTTACAGACACACAAACAACTTGCATTTCATGGGACACTCTGTTCTGATCAGGGGTCATGGAGAAGGATTAGCGTTTTTGTCTGTTTCAAGGTTCCATGGTAGAGAAGGTCGGAGAAGACTCAGAACTTGAACTTTTCCTATTGCATGAGATTTCTAACCTACTCATGAGAATCCAGGTATAAATCAGCTTTTATGAATTTTTAATAGAAATTCTGCAACCCCATTGCTGCCCCCAGACTACCCTTCCAAATTCATCACCACTTTTCCTCCAAATGAATCTCCCATTTTTATATAATTAGTTTATCTGATACTCCCTATCATGCTTAGCCTATTCTTACTTCCTCATCACCTTCTTCCACATGTTCTCTCCAACAGGATTGCTCCTCTTCCTTTCTTTGCTGAGTCCAGCTGGTGTTACCCACTGCATGAGGCCTTCCTGACTGCACCTATCCACAACTAAGCAGTCAACACCCACAAACCACCGTGTCCAAAGCACTCATTTGATGCTTGCTATTCACTGCCTTGATTGTGAGTTAACTTTTTATTATTTTTATCTAGTTTCTTCAAATAAACAATATACAACTTGAGGTCACATGCTTCCTTGTATTTGCCTTTGCTGACAGTGACTGGCTAGGTGTCTCTACTGTCCTTGATAGCCTTTGGCTCACCATACTGCATTTAGCAATTTACTTTTATTTCTCTTAGATCTCTCTCTCTCTCTCTCTCTCTCTCTCTCTCTCTCTCATTCAAATAAGCATCAAGTACTATTGACTCAGAATGTTTATATTTCATGTCTATATATCTCTTACCATTGTCTCTTGCACTACTGTGACTTTTACCTAGAAAAGTGGAATAACCTCCCGACTGGTATTTCTGCATCCATTATTGCCCCTTCAAACCATTCAACATACAGGGCAGAGCGGTCTTTCTAAAGTGCACATCTGATTATGTCATCCCTCTAATGAAACTTTCTTCATGACTTCTTTTTGCCTCTAAGATGAAGATCAAAATCCACCCATGGTCTCCAAGGCTCTGTCTGGCCAGGCCCCATCCCTTTCTTCATCATTTGGGGCCAGTCTTCCTCTGGCACCAGAAAAAGTCTCTTTGGCTCTAACACTCTATTTCTACCTTCACATCCTCTCTCTGTGTCTCCATCACACTTATTCCTGATCATCTTTCTGAGCACAACTCACAGGCCACTTCCCCAAAGAACATGTTCCATCACATACTCGCAGCATTCTGGTCTTTTTCTTTGTGACTCTGATCACAAGCATGATTCTACAAATAATTGTGTGATGTATGGTTTAATGCCAGCCTCCCTCTCTAGGCTTATGTTCTGATAAGTAGAAACCATTATTTTCCGGTTCGCTTCCTTATCCTGAGCTCCTAGCACTGTGTATGAAATGTAGTATGCCTCGAAAGTCTTTGGAATAAACAAATAGATAACAAAACAATAGTTTAAGTGTAAGCTCCTTAAAGGTGTGGAGTATGCCTTATTCACAATTTTATCCCCCATATCGAGCACACAGCCTGGCACATCATGGGCCCAAATAAATATTTTTGAATGAATGAGTGTATCTCATAGTGTTAGCTTTATATTTTATAAAAGTTGAAGGATAGTAAGAAATTTCTTGTTTTCATGTAGGGAGATTTGAAAAAAGAAACACTTTATTTTTTTAAAACTCAACTTTCAGTGCTGATTTAAGTCATACCCATAACTTATATTTACCTCCACTGCCTAGAGAGCTGGGCCTTGGATTTGCATGTGAAGATATAATACTCAGCTTACCAATTCTCAAATAAAATATGACTCTGACCTAAAGTTTAGACATCATCTATGAATATAGATAGGAGCGATTTTCTGTGCCAAACATGGCTTAAAGGTCAGCTGTTGTTTGGTTGTTGAATTACGTGTCCTTACATTGTAGTGCTATAAAAATAAGCAGGACATTTGTTTTGAGTTATCAGAGAACTTGAATCTTGGCAATATCCATCTCTGCTGTATGTAGGTCTCTCAGACACAAGCTAGTCTCTTGGACGTTTTGTAAAGCTGCATTAATGTGTTCAGGCAGGTTGGATAGTCAGCCAGAAACAAAAGGAGAAGCTTCAGTACAGAAAAGTGCATGGCGGTGATATATCTACAACACTAACCCCAAACTTGCAAATCCAAGAAGAGCAAGCTTTGGATGGTTGCTGCTGGCATAAAATAGTAATCTTACCCTCATGGTGAGATATAAACCAATCATGAGGCCTCAGTACAGCCTTAAAGTTTTCATAACTGCGGTTCTAGTTCACATACCTAGAAACGTTGCATGCGTCCATAAAGAAACTGGTTTGCTGAGGTTAAAAGCAAGAAAAAGTCTTGTTGCTTTGAAGTACTGAGTCATAAAACGTATTCCACAGAACACTCATACAAGACAATAAAGAAGGGAGGGATCCTACAGTCCTTCCTGGAGATTTCCCATGCATGCAATCACATTTTTTAAAAGCCCTATAGCAAAACCTGTCAAACCTGGCATTTTCCAAAATTAATTGACCATGGAACCTCTTCTTATGTAATATCCTGTTGTCATTTATCATTTTTTGGCTGCCAGGAATCTGAAGCATCTTCCTAGGTTTGGGGAATCCTCAGTTGTGTGACTGTTACCAGGAGCCAAGACCTACTGTCACCACAGAAGGTCAAAGAGCAGCGTGTCATCTGCCTCAGTTCGTGGGATTAGTGCATTACACACTCTGGACAGGGCCAGTTGGATGCTCCTTCATTGGACGTTGACTCTGAAGAAAGTGGCAGAGAAGCGGGACAAGAGAGATACATCCAGATGGCCATGACAGAGGCACAGGCTCAGTGTGAGAGCCATTGGTGGCACAAAGGAAGTGTTGGGTGTTAGGTGTCTGCAAATAGTGGCAGTGGCATCCCCACAAGCCTATCCCCATGGTGTGATTTTGGCTGTGATTCTGGCCACTTGCCTCTCCTTTGGCTCCTGCCCATTTTCTCAACCTGTTCTCCAGATTTTCCAACAAGACTTCGAATTGGCATACCCTCCTTTTCCTGCTTAAGTCATCCAGGGTCAGCTTCTGTTGCCTGTAGATGTGAACTTTGCTATTATTCACCCTTTAACATCTGACAGATGTTAGTGTTGGTGTTTAGCAGAATGACTTGGGAACATGCTGCATTCTTATGCCCTAAGACCAACCTAATAAATTTGATTCTAAGATGACAGTAGAGTAAATAAGTATGCTTTTACTGCCTTGGTGACCAGACATGTTAACACAGCTTCCAAAAGATTTTACAGTTACTAAGTATAGCTTTAAAAAAAATGGCTTACAAAGACTTTCATCTCCAATCTCACTCTCAGATCGTTTAATAAGCCTCTTGTAGGCACTCACCTCACTTCCTCTGATTTCACCATGACCCCTTCTCCCTACCCCCAGCACACCACAATCACCCAGTGTTGACCATGCATTTTGTTCTAAAACATAATATACTCCTTCTTTCTTAGTGCTTAAGCAATGTGAGATATATTCTGATTATGTGACGTGCAAAAGTAAAAAAGAAATGACATTCGTGCAAGACAGATATTTTAGCCAAAGGAAGATTATAAGCTGTTGAACTAAAAATACTGAGATTCAAAAGAAAATATTTTCTTTTCTTGGACAAACTTTTCTAGGAGCAAAAACCAAGTTCAAATGGATGACCTGAGTGGCCACAGGGCAGAGGTGGCCACGTCTGAGGACCAGACAGCCCAAGGCCCATCTCCAGCATCTTGGAATCCACCAGTGGTACTGACAAGGCTGAGAGATACAGGCACACAGGTAAATATAAACATTAACACTGGAGATGTAGTTTCTCTCCCTTGCTGATTGATGAGAATAGTCTCAGGTATTTCTACCTAATAATGTTGTATCGTGAGAATAAATATGTTTCTTCCTAGTGTGGGTAACTTCTGGACCTCTGTTTGATAAGCCCTCATCAAATCTGATAACTCTGATAACTCTCAATGTTGTTAATTTTGTTATCTTGGTCTAGCATTTCACTTGTGAAAATGGACAGATCCCAGTTCTACTAGTAACTAAGGAAAAAATCTTAATTTCTGAGCATAGCCACTCTCATCAATACACACTGAGCAACTTCGGCTTGTCCTCCTTGTCCTTCCACCCACCCACATCCTAGTGGTTCTTATAAGAAAATAGGGACTTCTATGCTATATCCTTTTTAAGGTTTTGTCTGAAACATCTCCAGCAAGTTCTTAGTTTTTTATGTAAATTCAAAATACAGATGATAGAAGAATTTGGCTTACTTAGAGATGATACTGTGAGATACTAACTAAGATGTCCTTTTTCTTTCTTTTTAATGATCCTTCTCTTGGGCTGCAAACATTAACCTGCAATTTTTCCAGGGGTGGGGGAAGGAGAGTGAGAACATCAGAAAGAAAACAGAAAACAAAGTCTCCCAATTTGAAGGGTTAAGCTCAAAAACTAGGGGTTCAAGTATAAAGAAAAGAGAATTAGGAAGAAGATGTATGAGTCAGAACTGGAGTCTTCTGCCTTTCAACCACCCACCAGGCCTCCAATGAGCACAGGGCTGCAGCTCAGCCAGCCACTGGGCAGAGGTGGCCGCGTCCGAGGACCAGGCAGCCCAAAGCCCATCTCAAGGGACAGCCTCAGGGAACCTCATCAGATAGAGAACAAGAAGCGACCAAATGACATTTGAGCCCCTTCCTGAAGCTAGCATCAATCTGCAAGACAATGAGGAAACACAAATTCCAAATGTGGCTAAATTTTTAACTGAAGTGATTGAGAAATTATGAAAGTTGATGAGTTTACTTGGAAGTAACGAGATCCCATTTTCTGTATCAGGAAAAATGGAAGCTCAAAGCCAGAAATAATATTTTTATTACCAAACAAATGCTCCATTTTATATATCTGACCTTGAGAGTTGTGAAGTTTGAGTCCATTTCACTAACGGATAAAGTGCCTAGGTGTGAGTGCAGTCCAATCAGAACTCGCCTTTCTGATCAACCTGACCTCAAGTCTTGAGAGACTGTTGAACTGTGAGAAGATGAGAGCTGGGAAAGAATGTAGGGAAACCAGGCAGCACCTGGAAAAGTCATGAGAAGTCCAAGTCAGAAATGAGGGAAGGAGGGAAATGGGAAGTAAACAAAGAATGTATCATCATCTGTCTTCTCTGAAATCCCACCCGGGACAGATTCCCTTGCTCATCACTTATGCAGGCTCTGGGGTGGGGCAGGAAGGAAAAGTGAAAAGATGACTGCAGATGATCTGGGAGACATGCATTGGATGCAGGCTTTGTGGGAAGCATCCAGCTTGGGCAGAGTGAGTTTGAGGAATTCAAGAATAAAATATTTTCATGGATCATAGTGAAAGAAATATATGCAGTGAAAATGGGTAATGATACTAACCTCAATTCTCCCTTGCATTTGAGCTGACAGAGTGATATAATTATTGCCTTGGATCACAAGTCTGATAGGTCATTCACTTCTGGTATTCTGGCCAAGTTCCAGTACAGGTAATTACATTCTGCGTACCAAAATCCCCATAGAACATCTATTAAGTATGTTTCCTATCCCTTCCGGCCCATGGTTATGCCTTATTCTAAATCTCTTATGCCCAAGGGGATAGTGAGCCATGATAAGCTAGTATTTATCATACACCTTGAGAGCTCTGAATGAGAAGTGCTATAACAGTACAAATTGATCTCAGAAAGAGCAGATCAGCATTCCTTAGGTGTTAGGCAGTCCAAATCACTTCCCCTTACATAGATCTCCCTTCCTTATTTGCAAATACTCCACATTTATCTTAATCCTTTCCCACTTCTCTCACTGTAAGCATCTCAAGAACAAACAGTATAACTTCCCTGTCTTTGGTAGCTTCCAGTGAATAAGAAATGTGCCATAAAGCTTGGTGACAGATTACTTAATCACATGCTCACAGATCCTTAGCAGTGTCCTACCTCCTAAGGCCTGTCATAAACTCATACTCCGGGCCCCTTCTCATCAATTTTTTCCAATTCATTTAAACTAAAATAGCTATTAAACATAGGGGTTTTTTTTCCTTGTTTGTGTGACATGAACAAAACCAGACAATAAAGAGGAAATTATGAAAAGGTGGGTGGATAATGTGAGCAAGACGGGACGGGAAAGCCCAGAAAGGTGTGACACTTGGTGCTTGACAACCATCTTTGAATGTGTGCACACACCCATGAATGAAGAAAGAGATCAATCAATCAATAGGCTGTCTGTGGTTGTAGCATCAGATACACAATTAGATCTAGAGCTTAAGAGGAAATGATTGGCTCATAGAAAAAGTCACCTGCCCAGGCTGCATTGAAGGCAGGGTGTGTGCAGCTGGGCTTCAGGAGCAAAGAGGACCAAGCACAGGCTAACCAACTATCAGCTCACTTTTTCTCCACCTATCAGCTGCATTCTTCCTCTTTTGGTTGACTTTCTAGACATTGTCTACAATAGCTCCTAAATGTTAGGCCTACAGTTTATTCATCATCTGCAGAAACTGATCCTAAAATGAGTCCCAAGTCTGACTGATCCAGGAAGGTCCTCCTTGACGTGGCTCAGGTCAGGTGTCTCTCCCAGGACCAATCAACTGGAGCTCTGGGGTGGATGGTTGGTGTCATATGGAGACCCCTCTCTCAGTCATGACATGAAGCAGTTTCCAGGTGGGTGAGAAGGAGAGAGACAGGATGGAGGAAGTTCCTAGGTGTACAGTCCCAAAAGTCAGGAGTTAACTGGAGGAGTAAGCATAGAGTTAAAATGAACTAAATGAAGGTTACAAGCTTATGTAAGATTTGGTGTATTTTAGCCTAATATTCTGGTCGTGTCAAAACATCAGTGGCTTGATCTTGTCTTTGTCACTTCTATAAAGCTGCCACTAATGCTAGATGGAAGACACCAAAACTCCAGGTCACTCCACAGCCCTGGCCCTCGGATAGCCTCACTGAGATACTGCAGAATCCTCCAGTACTTGCCTAATGGGTCTTCCCATAAGCCTGGTGATGCAGGTTTGCTCTCGTGCCCATAAAAGTCCACCTGCCAGGCCAGGCACAGCAGCTCACACCTGTAATCCCAGCACTTTGGGAGGCCGAGGCGGGAGGATCAGCTGAGGTCGGGAGTTTGAGACCAGCCTGACCAACATGGAGAAACCCCATCTCTACTAAAAATACAAAATTAGCTGGGCATGGTGGCACATGCCTGTATTCCCAGCTACTCCGGAGGCTGAGGCAAGAGAATCACTTGAACCCGGGAGGCGAAGGTTGCAGTGAGCCAAGATTGTGCCATTGCACTCCAGCCTGGGCAACAAGAGAGAAACTCCGTCTCAAAAAAAAAAAAAAAAAAAGGCCACCTGCCAGGTCACAAGCTCCTCAGTGGGAGGAGAGGTTGGGGAAAAGAGACAAGGATTGAAGAGAGAGCAAACTACAGATGCAGGGACATGGATCAGGAGGGGCGGTGGATGCAGTGGGGTGTTGGCATGGAAGACAGAGGGGCAGCTTTGCAGCTGGCCCAGGAGCAGGCTGTCCCTAGAACAGATCACCTCTTGAGGTTTTTATTAGCCTGGGACTCTGAGACCTTTTCAGAACCTCCAAACCCAGCCCCCCTGGTTTCCAAGCTGCCACAAGGCAGGTAGTGAGGCAACCAGGAAGGATCTGGATCTTGCCTGCTTTTAGCAAGTCACTTACATCCTTGACTTCAACTCCTCCTTTGTAAAATCATGGACTGTACTATGTATTGGCATGGTTTCTTCTCTCTCTACAGTGATAGCTTTTATCCCTGTAAAAACAGCTGACCTAGGCAGGTGGAAAGATTAATAAATTAACAGGCAACATTGAAACAAGACACAAGTAAGATGGGAGGCAATCTTTTAAAAATCTTTTGAAGTCCCATTAAAATCTACGGTCGAGCCTGCCTCTACTAGCGAATTCTGACCAAATTTCATGGTCACCCCATAACTGTAACTATAGAAACTTGGTAAAAGTCAAGAATTTGGAAGCCTTTACACAAACACTGCAATGATTTTTATTTCATGAGATGAAGTATAAAAAGCACTGGTCCTACGGTGATTAACTAGGGTTTTATAGGCAGTGTTTCAAACAAGTGCTGTGTTGCGTGTGTTCAGTTACTGTAGTTATGATTTCATTAGCTTCTCTGATAAATAATGCAACGACTTTAATGATGCATTTCCTCTTTAAAAAACCCACAATGGAAACTCCATTTCATAACAATGACTTCTGTTTAATTTTTATTACTTTTAAATTAATCTGTGAGGTTTTAAAAAGTAAAAACCATCTTCTAAGGGGGAAAAAAAGGAAAGAAAAAGGTTAACCTGTTTAAAAGGTGCAATCATTTCTGGGTGAGTACAAAATGGATATAGGTCAAGAACCAGCGTGAAGGCCCCACCTTCCTCAATTGAGTCCTTTTTAGATCACAAAAGGAAAGTGGTCCTGCCAAATTAAAACCCTCCATAACAATAAAACCTGATTTAATGCAGTCATTATTTTTCCATTAAATCTGAATATCATCTAATGCATGTATGTTATTTTAAACCCACCACACTAATGCAAATCCAGCATTCCTTGTAAATCAAACCTAAACGTTCCATCAGTTGTCATTACTGCTATTGACAATCACAATACCTCATCCCCAAGGACACCGTCCCCTCAATCCCTGACTCTAGAGATGGGAGGAAAAAATAAAGAAGATGCATTTTAATTTCCAACGGAGAGCTGCTTACTGAAGTGTAGAGGTTGGGTCAGTAACACCCTGGAGGTCTCAGCTTAATGTAGTTCAACATGTAACCCTTGCTTCTCCAGGCCACACTACACTGGGAAAAATTTAAGGATTGGGTTAGGAACAACCAGGGAAAGAGAAACTACTCTAAGTATTTAAACTAGAGGAAGTTTAGTGGTGGGATTTTGTGGTGTGGGGAGTGGATGTGACTGGAAAGGCTGAGAAGCCAAACAGGAGATGGTGGTGCCACCCAGAGATTGGCAACTGCAGGGAACTGTTACCACACCTTGGCTGGAGGGACAGAGGGAAGATGAAGTTGTGTGAGGACCCACAGACCACGGATTCTGGGAGGATTCTGGAAGAAAACCAGATCTGTCCAGTGGGATTTGGAGTCATGTACTCAGAAGAGACATTATCACTGCTGGAGATGCTGCCTGAGGCACAGGAGTGGGACAAATGCCTTGTGTCTCCCTTTCCTCTACCCTCCTAATTCCTGCGAGTGCCTCTCATGGGTCAGATCCAGCTAAGAGGCCAACTGACCTGAGAGCCTGGGAAATGCAGTCTATGGCCATGTGTCCCACTGTGGCACAGAGTAGAGCTGGAGAAGGATGAGGAAACGGTGTGAGGACAAATGGCCCGGAAGCAGCAGAAACTAAAATCACATTCCTATTCTGTCCAGTGTCTGTCTTCTTGGGCTAGGCTGCTCCAACCCCTGCTTCCAGCCCCAATACAGACCCTTTGCTAAGAGTTACCGAAGCTTAGAGAGGGTTGTGTCACCTCCCGCCCCGCCCCAGTGTGGCAGCTCTTTTGATCTCTTAAGTTGCTGCTCCCCCATGTGCTACAGTACTTTCAACACCAAACAGATTGTGGGGTGGTGGGTATCGTGATTAACTCCCTAGCACTTACTTAATTCACCCTCTATGGAGAAGTCATATGGTCTGGATGGGATTGTCCCCACCCTCCGCTCCAAGGTTAGGACTCGTTTGGTTCTGCCTAAGTGCCCCTCACCCACAGTGACTGGTTCAGAAATGGGCACATGAGACCAGCCTGGACAGGTCAGAGCAAAACATCACCCTCATGGTAGTGATTGATCCAGTGGCAGAACCTGCGTCTTAGGTGGGTTCAACCTGTGTCCTAAATGGGCTTTTGTTCTGCAAATGGAGGAAAGAGAACCTATGGGCTGGGGAAACGTGTGACCCCAGGAACTGATGGCAGAGATTTGGCTACCGGCTTGAGGATGATGCAGTCACCGAGATGAGGGCAAAACTAAGGGCAAAACTCGGTTTTCCACAGGGAAACCGAGCCACAGACTGATGACAGCATGAGCCTTGAGAACAAACCAACTCACCCTGCTTTTGGACTTCACAATTACATGAGTTAATAAATTCCCTATAGCTTAAACCACTTCAGAGTTCTATTGCTTGCAACAAGAATCCTAACTGCTTTTGAGGAACCAAGTGATTCTTCAAAGGTATGGCACATGGTAGACATTAATAAACAATTTATTGCAATTGTTTTCTTGTATAGCTACTGAGAAATTTATATCAGGTTTCCTGGAAGCTGGGATGGCAGTGATCTGGGACTCTTGTAGGACAACATCATCTTAAATCTGGTTCTCAATACTCATGACCCACACTAAACCTATCTCCAACACAAACTAGATACGCTTACCATTTCTCTCCATTTCAGGTGAGTTTCCCAACTTACAATTACAAATAAAGGGCTCAGTGGCAGCTGAGCATAAACTCAAGAGCATAAACTTAAGAAATAAATAGAAAATACTTCAGAAATTTTTTTTTGATAGATGGCTTAAATGAAAGCTGTGTTTCATTAAGCATGAGGGATGTAGATAGGTGACTGACTCCACTGACGCCACGTGAATAAAATGTCTGGGGCAGATTCTACTTGAAAATCATACTGGAATGTCTCAGGCAGTGGTTCCCTAGGGGGTTGATTTTGTTCCATAGAAGACATTTGACAAAGTCTGGAGACCTTTTTGGTTCTCACAGCTGGGAGTAGGGGTGTTACTGGCATCTGGCGGATAAAAGCCAGGGGTGCTACTGTACATCCTAAAATACACAAAAGCCCCCGACAACAAAAAATTACCCCCAGCTCCAAATGCCCACAGTGTTGAGCTTGAGAAATTCTGCCATAAGGTTAAGGATTTAATTAAACAAGCAAGAAAAAAATCACATTAAAATTTTTCCAAAAGATTGAGTACTTTTATTTTTGGTTGCATATTTTTTAATAAAATGAGATGTAAATGGCTCAACTGAATTGTTACAAACAGTGAGATTTACCAGTGCTCATATTTTTTTTACTTTCATTTTCTAGCTTTATAACAAATTTGTTATCTTACATTATTCTAGAAAAGGCAACAGTGTGGCTTATTTTTTATAACTGGTGTGTAGCCAGAAATGGTTTTCAAATAATACCAACCATGGCACAGACCCTCACCAATCAGAGCAAATACAGGCTGTAAGTAATCCTAGCAGAGCCAGCTGGGCATCGCTGGTTACTGGCCTACCTTCATCTCTTCTACTTCTTTCCACTATCACAAGATTCCACCTTCTGGAAAGCTGAGGATAGGCTGTACCAGCATGTCAAAACACTCCTTAGTTAGCAGCCACTGATGTTATGGGTAGTGGCTCTTCTTCCTTCCGCTCTCTTGTAAGCCACAAAGCAAAGAATGAGGAAGGAGTTAGGGCCAAGAAGGACATAAGTCATCAGGGTGTAAAACAAAGCCATCCTCAGCACACAAAAGACCACAATCTAACCACCTACCTAGTATACCATTCAATAGAGGTCAGCTTGGGGCTTGTGAGAAATAAACATCTGCAAAAACTGATGTGCTCATTGGGTAAACTTGAAATTCATTACTTCTGATACCATGAACAAACGTCAAGAAGTAATTCTTCCTACCCCCATACACTTATCTTTATCCTTCCCTGGTCTTCAATGGGAGTCTGATCCATCTAAAACAGCCTCCAATGACACCTCCCTTTTCCATAATCTAATTGCAGATATTAGATACTAGTATTGCAGTTTAGCTTATCCATGATCTTTCTCTCTCCTGTGTATTTGTTTTGTTTCCCTACCTAGGCTTTGAGGTCCTTGAGGATAATAAGCATGTTGTCTATCAGATTGCTGATTAGTTACTAGGTGCTTATGACATATTGAATGATTGATTAAAGCTACTCGGAATTTGAATGACACAAAATAGTATTATTTTTTCCTGTATTATCATGACAAGGTTTTGAAAAGTTCTAGTCCACATTTGCCTTTGACCTGAACAATTCAAGGTAATTTATCAAGTGAATTTTAGAAATTCATAGTAGGGAGTGTTAGTTCTACCTTACATTCTGATAAGGGAGAAACACAAAGGAAGATGCTAGGAAAAAGAGGCTGCTTCAGTAGATTGGAATTGCCTATCCACTCATGTGTATGAAAACATTTTAATACTTACATATTTTACCAGGAGTCTATGGGAAGCAGCTGGTGCAGTGCACAGAGAGTTGGAAGGCGATTCTGAAGCCTCACACTCCAACTGGCTCTGAAATAATCAAACAAAGAAACCAAGCAAGTCATTTAATCTCATAAACTCCCATGTGTTTACCTGTAGGCAGGGCTGTTGGATGTGGTATTTTATTCATTTATTTTAAAATAGTTTTTTATTAATTATTAAACACTTCCAGATGAACACTTATATGCCTAGGTAGAGGAGACAAAAAGACAAAACACTCAGGTGTTCTCTACCCAGCAGATTGAGGCGCCCTTATGCCCCATCCCCTGTCATACCCTTTAGTAAAAGCCATCATCATTCTGTCTCTTTGTGAAAATGTTACCTCATTTGATAGATTCCCCCAAAAATATATTGTTTCATTTTGCATGTTTTGAAATTTACCCAAATGGAATTATACTATGTTCATTCTCCTGCTGCTTGCCTTTTGTGCTAAGCATTACATTTATGTTACATGCAGTTGTATTTAATTCATTTTTACTGCAGTATAATATTCCAATGCATGCATATGCTGCAATTAATTCCAGTGTTGTACTATCACTGCTATGTTTTTTATACACCTCTGTTGGTAAACATTTGTAAAAGTTTTTTCCAGAGTATATGTCTTAGAAGTGACATTGCTGAATCTTTGACTGTGCACTTTTTGTAATTTACTATACGATGCCTGTTTTTCAAAGTGGTGGAAGCAATTTACACACAAAGCAGCAGAGGATGAAAGTGTCCACTGCTCCTCAACTGCTCCGAGTTGAAATTTTTGTAATAACTTTCACATGTGTATAGGCCACTTATGTTTCCTTTTCTGTGAAATTTCTTTTATTTGGTTGTCTTTTTCTTACTTAATCATGGAATTTCTTTATGTGTTCTGGGTAAGCATGCCATGTTGATTATTTGTGCAGCAGCCATCTTCCCTGCTGTGGCTGGTCTTTAACTCTCTCAATTTCTCTCTTTCTCTCTCAATAAATAGAAATTCTAAATTTTAATGTTGTGGAATTTATCAATCTTTTCATTTATGTTTCAGGAAATCATTCTCAATTTCTGGGAATATCTCTGTGGGAGAATAGACATAGTCTCCTATTTTGTCTTACAAATGTTTATAATGTTGTTTTTCATTTTTACATTTAGACCACCTGGAATTGGTTCATTATTTTGTATAAGGACTCCAGCTTCATTTTTAACCATATGGATAACCAAATATCCCAGTACCAAGTAACAAAAAATCCACCCTTTACCCACTGAACTGCAATACTACCTGTATCACATGTCTAGTGTTCATATGTGTGTTTCTCTATTCCAGGGTTCTCTTCCTGTTTCAACATCGCATTGTTTATCTCTGTGCCAATATCACATTGTCTTCATTTCTATAGCTTTATAGCAAATGCCTATCTTTTATAGAACTAGTCCCCCCCCCCTTTCTTTTTAAGAATGCTCTTGCTATTCTTGGCCCTGTGAACTTCCACATTCACTTTAGAACTAGCTGTAGGCTGTCAAGTTCCACGGGGGTTGGGGGAAGAAAACAGCAGCAACAGCAACAGCAACAACAACAAAAGAAAACCCTTCGTACTTCACAGGAATCAGGTTGAATCTATAGATCAATTTGGAGAGATATTTTACAATGTTAAGTGCTCTGACTCATGACAATATATCTCTTCATTAATTTAGGGGTTTTTTTTTTCAATAAAGCTTCCATTTTCTCCCTAATTATTGCATATATTATGATAGCTTTATTCTTAGTTACTTGATATTTCTCAATGCTGTTTTAAAATTGGTTTATTTTTCTGTTTGTTGCTGACATATAGAATAGCAATGATTTTATGTTGATTTCGTATCTAGCAACCTTACTAATATATCTTCTTAATTCTAATAATTGATCTATCTGTATCTTTCTTTGAGTTTACTATGAAGACAATCCTAAAATTTTGCCCTTCCTTTCTAATCGTTACACATGTAATGTCTTTAAATTGCATTACTGCAATGGCTAGGTCATCATGGACAGTATAGAAAAAAGTAATAACTGCATACATACTTTCTTCTTCCCTTTCTTTACCATAAAGAATAATATTTGCTGAAAACTTTTTTGTAGTTTTTACCAGATAGAGAAACTTAAAGTCTATTTCTTATTTGCTAAAGAGTTTTTATTTTTAAATCATGAATGGATGTTAAATTTTATCAAGTAGTTTCTTTTCTACATCCATAGAAATAATCATATTGTTTTGCCCTTTCTTCCATTATTGTAGTGAATTACACTAATCCATTTTCTAATGTTACACCAAACTTTCATACCTATCATAGACCAAATTAGATAATGAGATATGCTATTTCTTAAGTGTGTTAAATTCAATTTATTAATATTTTCCAAAGAATTTCTTTTTATTCAAAAGTAAAATTGGCCTGTAATTTGTCTTTCATTTTATTTCCTTTTCTGATTTGGCATGAAAGTTATTCTAGCCTCTTTAAAGGAGTAAGAAGTGTTCCCATTTTCCTGTTTTTTTTATTAAATACATTTTATATTTAGAGTAGTTTTAGGTTTATAAAAACATTGCAAAGATAGTACAGTTCACATATACCCTACACCCAGTTTCCCCTATTATTAACATCTTACATTAATATGGTACATATTTGGAAGTGTTTATGTAATGTTGAAATTATCTGTTCCTTGAGTGTTAGCAAGAATTTACCTGTAAAATTATCTAGTCATCCTGCTTTCTTTAAGGGGAAGATTTTTGAACTACTGATTAATGCTTCTAAGATTATACTAGTTTTCCATTTCTTCTTGAGTCAGTATATTTTTAGCAATTTTTGCACTTCATCTAACTTTTAACTCCTTTTGTCATAAAGTTGGTTCACAATATTTTTTCATTATCTTTTAAATCTCTGACCCTTCTGTAGTTATCTACATATTTTATTTGGCATATATATTTCTTTCTTATTCCTCTTACCACAGTTTTGTCAATCTAATTAATATTTACAAAGAGCCCTCATTTGGCCTTGTTGATTCTCTTTGTTTTCAATTTATATATCTACTGCTGTTGAGTTTATTCTATTACTCTTTTCTTTGTTTCTTAAATGGGATGCTGACATCATTAGTTTTCAGCCTTTTTTTCTTAAGTGCAAATATACGCATTTAAATTAACTTCCAAATCCTAGTTTAGCTGCATCTCACAAGTTCTGATATTTTCATTAAGGTTTAGTTACATAGATATTTTTATTTGTATTGTGATTCCATTTTAACTCATGGGTTATTTAGTAAATATGGCTTTTAAAGTTCCACACACGATTTTGTCTACTTGTTTTTTAGTAGAAACAGAGAATAAAAACACTTATTTTGTAGTCAGATAACATGCTCTATATGTTGTCAAGATCCTTTGAAATTTGTTAAGACTTGCTTGGTAGCCTAAAAAGTGACCATTTTTCATAAATTATCCACATGTGCATAAAAGAATGTGGATTTTAGAGTTAATTATAAACATATTCATTTTATAAAATTTAATTATAGTATTCAAATATTCTATATGTTTATTGACTTTACTGTTTGATCTGTTCATTTCTAAAATTGGTTATGTATTACCTTTTCACCATGACAGTGGACTTGTCTTTAACTCCTCATACTTTTATCAACTTTTAGTTTAAATATGTTGTGGCTATTTTATTAAAGTATACAAGTTTAGAATCTTATGTCTTCCCTGGTAAATTGAATATTTTGTTTATGTAGTGACTCATTTCCTCTCTGCTAAATATTGTTTTAGGTCTAGTTTATTAATATAAATATGTCAGCTTTTTTGTTGCTATTTGCCTAGTACATGTCTTTTTCATTCTTTTGTTTCCAACATTTCTTTGTTCTCATTTTTATTAATATACAGCATAAATATTTTTAATCCAGTTTGATAACCTTTCCATTTTATCAGGATTGATTTTTCATTTCCATTGATTGGGATTACTGGTATTTGGATTGCTTGTTTTGTGCTCTATATTTGTTCTAATTTTTCTATTTTCTCTCTTTCCTTCCTTTCTTGACCTGTTCTTATACAGACTCCATTTTTTTCTCATTCCAATTTTTTCCTCAAGTAAATAGAAATTACACACTATTTTTTTTTCTTTCTTTTTCTGGGGGAAGAAGAAGTGGTTTCTCTAGAAATTTAAACATGAAAACTTATCGAAGAAATCTAAAATTGCTCACCATGTTTACCTTTGTCAGAAAGAGTCTGAGAACTACAGAACAATTTGAATTTCATCACCTCTACAATGATTTATATGCCACTCTTAATCGATGTTTTTGTTCTATTTTTTAATCCACAAATTAGACATCTATCATCATCAGTGTTTTATCTAATCAATGTGTGTTTATATTGAATTTCATATTTACCAATTTCTATGTTTTCCTTCCTTCCTGCATCTCCGATCTTTATTGGGATCATTTTCATTTTCCCTGAAATACACATTCCCAAATTTTCTTTACGGTCATCTGTGGGTGGTAAACAAAATTTTTATTTGTCTGAAAATGTCTTAACTTTGGAAGACAGTTCATTACCTATAAAATATAGTAAATTCACTATATATATTCACTAGATATAGTTTCAGAACTTTTAAGTATTAGTTTATAGTCTTTTGGTTTCCATTAGTACTATTAAGAGGTCAGCTATAAATCTAATTGTCATTCTTTGTAGGTATTTGTCTTTTCTCACCAGCTTCACTGAATTTTTTTTATTTGTATGCAATGTTGGGCAATTTCCCTATGTTGTTTCTAGGTGTGGCTTTTTCTGTATTTATCCTATTTGGGACTTACTGAGCTTCCTGAAACTGACAGTTGGTGTTTTTCCATTCTTGAGATACTAAACCATTTTTGACTTTCAACATTGCTTTTCCTTCATTCTATTTTTTCCTTCTGTAATTCCGCTAAATATGTTAAATCTCTGTTTTACATTTCCTATCTACTTGTCTTTCCTTGCTGTGTTGTATAGAATTTCTTCAGCCCTATTTCTCAGTTCACTTATTCTCTCTTCAGTTATGTCTGATCTGATATTTAATCCATCCAATATTTCTCAAATATCAACTGTGATATTTTTCTAGTCTTACAAGTTTTGACTTATTCTTATAACTGCTTAGTTATTTTAATAGTATATTTTCCCATAATCATATTTCAATCCTTTTTTTTTCTTTTAATTGCCACTCTGCCCTTAAATTCTACCTCTCCCACTTAGTAACACCACCTCAGCCACCCTGACCTTCTATGTCAGGCATACTTCTACCTTCAAGCTTTTACCCTTGCTGATTCCTCTGTAGAATGTTTCCATCTAACCCCCTAGATGCACATGCCTCATTTCTCACTTCCTTCAAGTTTTTGTTCAAATATAAATTGCTCATGTGCATTTCATACACCCACTTCCTGCTTTATTTTTCTCTGTAGCCCCTTTCCCTTCTAAGTCTATACAGTTATTTTTTTAACTCGAATATAAATGTTTAAAGACAGGGATATTTTCTGTTGTTTTTCATTGTTGTATCTC
Organism: Homo sapiens; assembly: GCF_000001405.40. Taxonomy (NCBI): domain Eukaryota; kingdom Metazoa; phylum Chordata; class Mammalia; order Primates; family Hominidae; genus Homo; species Homo sapiens. Next base: position 84,577,731 of record NC_000009.12, on the reverse strand, counting down.
CAGTACCTAGAATAATACCTAACACAGAGCTGAAACATGTAAGAATTTATGAGTAAATATTAAATACACTTACTTTATCTGTTGTGTCTAATAATATTGGTTCCTGCTTTTATTCATGATGCCTTCTTTCCTTGTGTGTTTTATGATGTCTGACTGTGAGCTCAAGTTCCTTGGACTTAGATATGTGAAACCTTTGAGGCCTGAGTTGAAAATATGATAGCCCAGAGAAGATTTACACCCGATTCTGCCAGATATTTAAGATTACAACAAATTCCTGGCCGCTCTTATATTATTTGTTTGCATGAAGTTTTTCAGAACACACACAATATATATGCTAGATAAATAAATAAAAATTATCAGAAATGCAAACAGTGGGATACTTTAATATACTTCTTGCAGGACTTAACCTGAAGTCAAAAAATAAGTAAGGATGTAGAGTAATTAGTACATATATAAGAACCTACATACCAGAATAGAAAAATATGTTTATTTGTATGTCCAAAATCAATCACATATTTGGCCACAAAGAAAACCTTCTAATTTTTTTTTTTCTTTTTGAGATGGAGTCTCGCTCTGTCTTGCCCAGGCTGGGGTGCAGTGGCGCAGTCTGGGCTTACTGCAGCCTCCACCTCCTGGGTTGAAGCGATACTCCTATCTCAGCCTCCAGAGTAGCTGGGACTTCAGGTGTGTGCCACCACACCCAGCTAATTCTGTATTTTTAGTAGAGATGGGGTTTCACCATGTAGGCCAGGCTGGCCTTGAACTCCTGACCTCAGGTAATCCACCCCGCTCAGCCCCTCAAAGTGCTGGGATTACACGCATTAGCCACTGCACCAGGCCATAAATTTTTAAAAGTAGGAATTGTAGTGATCATATATTCAATCATAAGCTTAATGATAATTTTAACTACTTATAAATTAATAAACATACATGTCTACCTTTGAATCAAAGATTAATTAAAACTGAAACTTCAAGTTCTCTAGCAAGTCATTGAAATTAGAATAATTATAACAAAATCTATGGGACACAGCAAAAGCATACTTAGAAAAAAATTATAGCCTTAAAAACTTTCAAAGGCTAAAACTGAATATACTTAAGATTCATGTTAATAAATTAGAAAAGGAGAAATAAAATTAACTGGATCTAAAAAAAAAGGAGGATAAATAAAACCAAAACTTTATTCTTTGAAAAGACCAATAAAAAGGTAAGCTCTTAGAAGGAAAAAGAGAAAATATATTTAAGGTTAGAAATAAGACATAACCACAGATACAGAGATCAAATTTATCATAAGAGAATATTCTGTGCAAATTGATGGCAACAATTGTTTTCATTTTCTAGCAAAATTTCAATAGAACACTGATTAGAGCAGTTAAAATAGAAGAACTAAGGAAGATGATTTAAGGTCCTTTCAGAAAGCAACTTTCAAAGCAACTTTTAGGGCTGAAGAATGCACAGAGGCTTCAGAGTGATTCCAAAGTAAACCACTCTAGAAGAGTAGTGACCCCAACACTCTCCTCTTAAACACTATAAATTCAATATTAGGATAATCAGGTCCAAGATTGCAACACCACATTGAATCTTACTGGGAGTCCTGGATTCCAGAACCTGCTCTGGGACAGATTAATTGGAAGATGCTGAGAAGATAACACTCTATGAGGACGCTGAGTCCCCTTGGAATCAGTATTCAGGACAGGTGATAAATAAGCTTCAGGTAAATCCAGAAGGCTGAGTCTTCTTGGTTTCAAGGTCTCACTCGAAAATTCTAACAGTTTCTGAAGATGTGCAAATCATCAAATCTAGCCTTGTCAAAATGTGCATTTCTGAATTATTGTCAGTATCGGCAATTTCTTGGGAAAGTGTCAACCTCATGTTCATATGATTATTGTTCAGATGGAAACATTTAAAAACTCATGAAAGGCAAAATTAATGAAAATGCGGTTTCCAAGGTCAGAGTCATGCATTGCAATGAAAATCTACCTCCTTCCAAAACAAAAAGTACCATTGAACTACAGTTTGTGGTGGGAGGTGGGAGGAGTAAATTGATGACCATATTTATCAAAAGGAGGCCTAGAGATTATGTATTGTAGTGGCATTGTTGTTTTCTTGACTACAGTCTCACCACTGAAACCTAAATGTGAATTACTGGACGTTTAGAGTCAAGTGAGACACTGCACCAGAGAAGTTACTTAAGCTATTCCTGGACTCCTGCTCCACAGAAGCTGTAAACTAATAAATATGTATGCTCTTTTAAGCTGCTGGATCTGTGGTAATTTGTTATGCAGCAATATAAAACTAATACCACCCCTGTACCTCTCCCTTCACACTGTTCTCACTGCCTATACAGCCTCCCATCCCCTTCCTCTTCTCTCTAGATAAAGTCTTCCACCCTTTAAGGCTCAGTTCAAACATCGTCTCTTCCAAGAATCCTTCTCTTAACTCTCCCCAAACCCTCTCCTTAGGCTCCATAGTATGTATAGATATCTATCATTACACGTATATTTCAATGATCATCACCTTAGATATATGCCTCCTTGACTGGATGTGAGCCCCACTGAAGCAAGGGGCTATGTCTTTGTCATATTTACATTTTTAATGTCAAGCACAATGCCTGCCACAAAGTAAACATGCAATAAATGTTTATGTGGTGGGTATGCATCTAAGCCCCCTAACTGTGTATTTTGAATAAGTCAATATAATTACCAACTTTAAGCCCCCACTTCACCAGGCTGGCAGGAAATTTACCCTCTCCCTTCCTTAGTTTGTCTTCCCCCTTCCTGGGGGTCATTTCAAAAGTCCAAGATCTCACACTGCATCAAAGTGCTATGCATACGGGGCTCAGTCACCTGTCTGCTCATATTACTGCTAAGACTTTCACTGTCTCTATCTATGCAGCCTCTCTAGTACTTCTGCAGCAGGCTTGGAGGTAGGAATTAGATGTATCACCCAACCATTCCACCCTGAAGATTTTTTTCTCATCCTGGGGAGCCCTTAAAGAGAGCAGGGCCTGGATCCCTTCTACTCCAGGACTACAGCTCTTGCTCACCTCTTTCTCCTCCAAGCCAAATGTCATCTCCTCTAGGAGTGGGGCTACTTCTCCGAGACATGCCGTCCAAATCTTCAAGTCCCTTTGCCTCTTTTGGCTCCTTGACAAACCCTCTAAACTCCCAAGAGCTTAGGCCAGAAATCAATGCTGACTTTCTCTGCCTTCAGCCCTAAAAGGAATTTTCTCTGAGGCAATGAAGTCCACATAACATCCCTATTTGAATGGGAGGAATGTAAAGGAAGGAATTATAAATACATGAATATGCACCTCCATATATTAACCAGTCTCTCTTTGGGGTTGACTATGTTTACTAATTGGCTAAATTAGAGAATGAATGATAATGCTAAGGCATCTAGGCAGAGGGAGTATAAGTCACCAACAGAGTGTCAATCATATATCCTAAAGGAATCATAGTGGCAAACAGATCAACTCCTCTCGTGAACATAGCAAGAGCAACGGGAACAGCCTAGGCATATAAAATCTATAGATAATTTAGGAATGACCAGTTTAGGTAATCAATTTTGAACGATTACATTCTTAAGCCTTCTCTAAAGTTACTTCTGCCTCATGTAAATTTCACCCCGAGGGACACTTTTTAAGCCCACTTAGTTTTAGCACACCTGAGATGGACAGTTCTAAGCACACATCTAGCTTCCCATCTCAAGAGTCAAGGCTCCCTGTTGGTCTGCCCCAAGCCTCTCTCCTAAGCCTTGGAGGACCACTGAGACATGCCCAGGCTCATCCCAGAAGTAAAGCGGTGTTAATACTCTGCCAATTGGTCGCAGGAGTTTGTGGATAAATGTCCCAGGCTTCTGACATTCAGAAAGACAATTCTAAGGTTTATTCTACACAGCTCCTCAGGGATCCCAGGGAACTGAGCCTCGGTTGCCTGCAGTGGTAATCAGCTCAATTGCATACTCTTTATTGGCTTTTTCCCTCGCTCTCCATCTCACTTCTAACACATTCTGGCTTCCAGGAATCACTCCCAAATAAACTACCTGTCTCAGGCTCTGCTTTTAGAGGAAACCAGACTAAGACAATTCTCCGTCATGAGCATCTTTTCTGGAAGAGGTGCTAATGAGGAGTGACATACCCAAAAGGTAAGTACTAGGTTGAATAGAGGGGATGGGGAGGTGAAGTAGGGATGGATAACTAAAATAAGAAACTTGGGAAATCAACTGCAGAGCTGCCTCAACGAAGGGGCTGTAAATTGGCCCCTAAGAGTTCATATGTGCAATGTCTGGGCCAAGTTCAAGGAGAGGAATATGCTGCTTCCCGGATGAGAGTATTGACAGGTCAGTGAGCATGGATGCACGGAGAGAATGCAAGCTCAGGCTCTGACAGTGCTGCTTTAGCAATGCAAATGCTGATGCACAGCCACCCTGTGACCTCACCCTCAGCCTCAAAGTGGGGCAGCGAGAAGAGAAGAGTGCTTAGGCAGCTCTCTGGGAAGAGGAACGATGCCAGCATAAGCTGAGAGGTATAAGCAATAAGGCTGCTGGGAAAGATTAGAGCATCTAGAGCAAGTCAATGAGGTCATAGTCAAGGAAAAGGAGAGAAGGGGAGGAATGAGGTCAGGCATTTCCAGAGCCCCTCCAGAGTGCTCAGCACTGAGCTGCAAACTTGACTTATGCAACCTGGGTTTCCCAGACCACACCAGTGGATGGTTTAAAATGAGCACATGTTGACAGACAGAACCTACATTTAACCTGATCTTGCCCCTACGTGTTATTATAGGAGTTCCAGCCCCCTATAAAGGCTTCCATATTATTTTTGCTATGCCCAGTGGGGTCAAACATGTGCTTAACAACAAGTCCTGGCATTCACCTTACAGCAACTGCCATTTTCTTTCTCTTTTTGTCTAATCACTGTGGAAAAAAAAAATTTTTACAAAGCTATGGGAAGACATGGGCACCACACTTGATCATTGCTTCTGGGGTCCACCATCATGCTGTTTCCCACCAAGCCCAACCAGCACCTGGCAGGTTCTCTAAGCATCAGTCCTTCTGTTGAGTATTGATGTCTCTGGAACACTCACTAGATATCACTGTTTCTATCAGAGACTACTTCTCTCTCCACCTACGAAGAAGCACTATCTGGTGAGGTACCATGAACACCTCTGCTGGAGACCAGCCCTCACATTGTGCTACTGCCGTTTCTACCACCTCTGTGGTGTATTGTTAGACTCAAGGTAACAAAGCACGGTGGTGTCCAGACCAAAGGAGAAAGCATTCCTTTTCCTATATATGATTTTCCATTTGGCTGGAGGTACAAGAAAAATAATAGTGGCCAATATATAGTGAGTTTTTAATGTAAGCCAATGTGCTGATCGTACAATACTGGCTCCCTCCCAAAGGTAACCACATCCTAATCCCAAGAACCTGAGAATATGTTATCTTACCTGGGAAGAAAAGGACACTGCTGATGTGAGTTTCAGATGGGGAGATTATCTTGGATTATCTGGGTGGGCCTGATGTAATCAGAAGAATTTTATAAGTGCTATCTGGAGGCAGGAGAATCTGAATCATAGAGAGACCTTAAGATGATATACTGCTGGCTTGGAATTTCAGATTTCCAACCTCCAAAACCGTAAGATACCAAATGTATGTTGTGTTGAACCATAAAGTTTGTGGTAATTGTTACAGCAACCACGGGAAACTAATACAGCCCAGTTCTGGGCCAAGCACCTTACATGTATTCTGTCACTCAATCCTCTGAGGAGCCCCATGACGGAAGTAGCACAATTAACATCACTTTATAAAATAGAAAACTGATCCATGGAAAATCAGGTTAATTGTCTAGTCTCTCTGTCTGCTGCTGGCCACACACCCAGGGCAACTTAATTCAGTCAGTGCTCCTAACTACTCCACGGCATGGTCTCCTGCCAAAGCAAGGGGCTGTGCCCAGTGTTCTGTGGCATTTTCCATGAAGCAATGGTAGCGGGAGCATGCCAAGGACCCACCTTTGCAGACTTAAAGTTTGTGCCTTATCAGGCCAGGGCAAAATGCAGGGAATTCAGTCCCTCTCTGTTCCTACTGGCCTATGAATATTCCCTTCTCCACTCCTGTCCAGCCAAAGCCCTCTAAAGAAAAGTGGGGCTGTCATCACTGTCCATACCTTCCACCTTACCCATCTTATCTTCACCAGTCATGTGCAATATGTGGAATTCTTTACTAAAAAGTCTAAGAGATCTCAGAACGGGAAGAACAAACATTGGAGCTTTATTGAACTTGCTATTATTTTGGAATTTTCAGGGAAAGGCCTTTTAGCATCACATCTCCCAAAGGTGAGAGCCCAATGCTGGAGTTCCCTCTCTCCCACCTTCTAGCCAACCCTACCACCCTTCCATGTGATCCTCTCTTCCAAGTCCCCATGGATCTGGGGTTCCCTCCCTTGGGACTCTCTGCCTCTCCTTATTCCTCCTTGCTATCATCTTGCAAACTGAATGCTGAAGCCTTTCTCTGCTCAGTCACTGCTGAACCTGGAGAGGACATCTGTGAGGCCTGGCCACAGGGTGAAGACAAAAGTATTGGTGTTGAATTTCAGCCCAATCTCTCCACCAGTATAGGCTGTAGGTGACTTCTCCACTGGTTTAGCTCACCAAGGAGAGTATAGTCATTCCTAGATTCAGCACTGCTTAGCCCGATATGAGGGAGGACTTTCTCCTGACAGCAGGGCTGTGACTATTCATAGTAAACCATCCTTTCATCCTTGGGCTGAGGATCATTTGGCACTGTGCCAGGTCTAATGTAGAAGAACCACTAGGCCCACTATTAACATAACAGATTTCCATGGACATCTTGGAGAAGTGACATGACACGACCTTTGATTCTGTAGGAGAAGGGCAGTTGAGGGACAGGAAAGAGGCTCTGCAGTTCATCCTAATGCACCCTTCCTCCAGCTCCTCCTTGCAGGCTGGGCCAGGAGACAATTGAGCTGCAAACATCATGCTGCCCTGAGGTGGGGCCCTCAGTTCTGGGCCAGACTTGTCTGCCTGATTCCTTCTAACCTGAGGCTGTGCTCTCTCCAGGTAGAAGTTCCTATCTCCTGAGCAAACAGATGGCCAGAGGCCTTGAGCACATCAGTAAAGCTTTGAAGTTTCTTGTAAAGGTCTTTAACCTTGCACTTCTTGGAAGGTAGAGAAATAAACCTTTTGTTGTGGTTATTGCTGCATTAGTGGGGACTGTTGTTTTTAACCACTCTGATGGTTCTCTAGGGCTCTGTTCCCAGGGATACTAATGTTTCTACACTAAGCAGCCCTGAGGGGTGTGTGTGTGTGACCTTTTTTCAGCACCGAAAGAAAGAACTCTTTGGGTGATTATTTTTGTTTGTGTTTGGAGACAGAGTTTCACTCATCACCCAGGATGGATTGCAATGGCATGATTTCAACCCACTACAACCTCCGCCTCCCAGGTTCAAGAGAGTCTCCTGCCTCAGCCTCTCGAGTAGCTGGGATTACAAGTGCCTGCCACCACATCCAGGCTAATTTTTATATTTCTAGTAGAGACAGGTTTTTGCCATGTTGGCCAGGCTGGTCTTGAACTCTTGACTTCAGTTGATCCACCTGCCTCAGCCTTCCAAAGTGCTGGGATTACAGGCATGGGCCACCGTGCCCAGCCTCTCTGTGGGTCATTCTTAACCTCAGCCCTATGTCTAGACCTCCCACATGAGAATCAGAAGCCCCACAGGGACTTCCTACTGCCACCCTTGCTCCTTAGGCAGTGAAGCCATTGTCCTAGCCGAGCCTCCTTAAGTGCTATGGGAACTCCTTTCGATCCCTTCAGGTGAGGAGGAGAGGAGCAGTAGCTCTCCTGAGCTCAAAAGTACTATCCTGAGGTTGAGGCCACATGGGTTGGGCACATAGCCTTTGCCTCCAACCCATCTTCTTTTTCCTCCCCCTGAGTCCTCAGGTTCTTCTGACTGGCCTCCTCCCTGAAAACCATCCAGCCATTTCCCACCCACCAGCTCTGACCCTTACTCCCAAGCCAAAGACAGGACAGAATGGAAGAGGGTCAGTTCCTGACCAGGGACTTGGGTGTGCCCTCCCCACCATCCTGGAACCTGAGGTGCAGGTTGGCAGGAAAGAGATGGCTGCAGACCAAGTGGGCTGAACAGACAAGAGGGTCGGGTGGAAGACCAGGAAGGTCCAAGGAAGACAGCAGGGAGATGGAACACAGGGGAAGGTAGGCTGATCCATGCCAGACACTAAGTGCCCATGCTGGGAGCAGCTTCTTACATTCTAGCATAAACTTGGGAGCTCCAGTGAGTTTATTCTGTTATAACATGCTGCCCTCAAAATCACCTCAGATGACTGACCTCAGGTCCTGCCCCCTTGTGTGGGGCATGATCTGGGGGATTGATTTGGCATCTTTTCTTAGGCATGATTCTGATGCACACAGTCATGAGGGGAGACTGCATCAGTTTCCCGTGGCTGCTATAACAAATTATTACCATGAACTTGGTGGCTTAAAGCAGCTCACAGTTATTCACTTACAGTTCTGGAGGCCAGAAGTCAGAAGTCAAATTCACTGGCCTAAAATCATGACATCAGTAGCGCCACAGTCTCTCCAGAGTCTGGTGGGCAGAGAATCTGTTTCTCTGCCTTTTCTCACTTGGAGGCTGCTGCATTCCTTGTGCTCCTGGGCTCCATGGTCCTTTCCTCCATCTTCAAAAGCAATTGTGTGGCATCTTCACGTCTCCTCCTGCTTCCATTGTGGTCACAGTGTCTTCTTCCTCTTCTGTGTCAAATATCCCTCTGCTTCCTTCTTAGAAGGACTCTTGTGATTTTATTTAGTGCCCGTTCAGATCACCCAGGATAATCTCCCCATGTCAAAACCTTTCACTTAACAACATCCACACAGGACCTTCTTCCATATAAGATAACATTCCCAGATCCCAGAGATTAGGACTTAGTTATCTTTGAGGGCAATTATTCAGCTGTCATATAGGCCTCCCCACCTCCCTCTCAGGCCTGGAAAGGGGATCAGATTCATGAGAGGACTGGCTAATAACGGCAGGATTCGAACTCATGTCTTTTGGCCTCTGAAGCCCAAGCTTTTCCTACACCATCATATTGCTTCTTATGAAATAGTTGTGAACTTCTGTATCTAGGGGTTTAGACATTTACCCAGGATCCCCAAAATGGAAATAGATTCCTGAGCTCCAGAGCCCCTTAGAAGCAAGTGCCTGCTGCCTGCCGCGAGGGTACAGGCACCCCCGCAGTCCCTCCTGTGGCCACAGCCATCTGCCAGCTCCCTGCAGTGCAGGCTAAGTCATTCCAAACCTCTAATGGTCATGGGAAGAGGGACTGGGTGGCCAGTAGAGCTTCATCACAGCCTTAAAAACACAAATGGTGTCAGTTACCCTACGAGGAGCGGGTCAGGTGTACTGTTTTCGCTGAGGCAAGAGAGCACATTATACATTATAAAAATACGTGGGTCGGCTAAATGCTAAGTCAAATAATACTATAGCCATGGTGCTGCCTTTTTATGTGTCATCACATGTAAATCCTCATTTTATTAATCTCACAAGCATTCTATTTACCTCTCTAAGTCCTTCCCAGAGCTGCAATTTTTGCCATCTGTGTGAACAAAGCAAATGCAAGCAGTGTCTAGCTTACAGTTACTCGGAATTTCCAGTAAACATAAATTCACATGGATTCTAAGAGCTTTTTCCTGCTGCTATTGTTGTTATACAAAGACTACCCAGATTGACTCATAAATACTGTTGCCTAAGATGAATCTCCAAGCAATGCAGGGAAGTGTTGGCAATAATATTCCATTCTGAAGGGATTGTTTTTCCATCAGCCAGGTGTACTTAGCTTTACAGGAGAAGCATTCCTAAAGAGTTGACTATACTGTTTATTTTGTAAAGCCAATCTCATTTTAACATTGATTTCCATTATGTCAGAGACGTTCTCCCAAATCTTTTGCTATTATTGCTTAGTTGCGATGACTGTGCAAACAAGAAGAAAGGAAAAAAGTGAGTTTCTTAAGGACCAGCTGCCTACCTGGAAAGGACAGTTCAACAAGCAGCTTTAAGCTGCAGAACATTTCTAAGTCACTCCTAGGAAATGACCCAAGGCTGCTTCCAATTGAGACAATCTTCAATTCCTGCGTATTCTGTGAATTTGACGGTGAGATGAGGGGACATAGACATGTCACGGAGAGATAGCAAACCAAGGTATACTTTTGTTTCAGCAGAGGTGCAGGGGCCGAGGATGGCTCAGATGATGCAGGAAGACATGTGGGGCACCTGTCACAATGACCAGATTCTTTAAATTAGGAAGGCAGAGGGGTGCAATGGAAAGAGTTGGAAACTGGTAAAAGATCCGATGAAGATGAAACGCAGATTCCATTCTGGCCTAGTGTCCTCATCCTCAGGCAAGTCAGATACATCTCTGAGCCTATTCCTCATTTGTAAAAGAAGGGTAAAAATACTTACCTAGCAGGTGGTTGTGAGGATTAGACGTAATCTAGAACAGAGATTGGCAAATTTTTTCTGTAAAGGGCCAGATACTAAATGTTTTAGGGTTGGGGGGGATATGTGGTCTCTGTTACAACTAAACTATGCTATTGTAGCACAAAAGCAGCCACAGACAGTATGGAAATGAGTGGGTGTGGCTGTGTTCCAATAAAACTTTATTTATAAAAATGGGCAGCAGGCTGGATGCCACCTAAGGGCCATAGTTTGCCAACCACCTCATCTAGAACGTGACTACTACACACCCCCTGGTTGGGGTCCTGGGCCTGGGCCCATTGTCCCCAGATCCATTCCTTGTCCTCCCGTGCACCTCTCTGGATAACTGTTGGGGTGGAGCAGGGAGGCTGACACCTGCAAACTACAATTCCCATCCTCTCTTGCCTCAGTGAAAACAATACTCCTGACCCACTCCTTGTAACTGACACCTTTTGTTTTTAAGGCCATGATGCTCTACTGGATGGATTTAGGAGATGGATTTAGCCAATAGGAGGCACCAGTGGGAGTCTGGAGGTGGGAGAGCTCTCTGGTCAGCCTGCAAATCCAGCAGGGCTAGAGCGCACCTCCCTCCGCAGTCCCAGGAGCACCATTCTTCACTTTTCCTCCACCCACCTAGGGGTGGTAGCGGCTAATCTCTGGGCAGCCTCACCATGGCTTTCTAGCTCTCCTGGCCTCTTTATAACTAGCTCTCCATATTCAATCGTGTCCATTGAACTATTTGTGGCTTGAGCTTTTCCATTTTTATGACTGGACCCTGACTAAAAGTTTTATGCTATTTATTCATCTTAGCACTCTGAATGTTTTTAATTTTAGGAGGTAACAGTTCTGCAAATAGGTTCTTACACGGTTTTTATGAGAAAAGCAGAATGTTAGTCATTTAGTCAACAAGAATATAATAAGCACCTGCTGTTTGCCAGGACCTGTTCCAGACCCTAAGAATACAATTCTGAACCCAGAGGTCTGCAGTCTAATAAACTCGTTGACTTTAGCCATCAGGTACCCAACCCAACCCTTCATATTATACATGACAAAAAAAAAAAGACCCGAAAGATAACCATAGCTAATGTTTATGAGGAATGTAATTTCTTCTAGGCTCTCCATTAATCATTTTGCATGAGTTAACTCAACTCTCATAACAGCCCAATGATGTAAGCAGTATTATCATCTCCATTTTACAGAAAAAAAAAAAAAAAAAAAACCAAAACCAAAAACAAAACAAAACAAAACACTGAAGCATGGAAATGAAGTAACTTGTCCAAAAATATACAGCTCAAAAGTGACGGAGCTGGGATTTGAACCCAGGCAATCTAGGTTCATGTCTCAAGTTCTTAATCATACCATATATTTCCTCCCTCCCAAAAGAGCGAATGATGTGTTCAAAGCCATGATTAGTGGCACAGTCATGACAAGCACCAGATTCTCGAGTTCTAATTATACGTTCCAACCATTAGTGAGCTGGCCACTAATATCATTCCTAAGACAACAGCCATCCTCTAGAAGAAGTGACAAAAAGTCATTATCTCTCTCTTTACAGTCTTTAATATATGCTATTAATGAAAAGTAATTATTGGATGCAAAATTCATTCAGGAGCCTGCTACATCAGCCATCAACAAAACACTTTGCAAAATGTCCTAAAACTAACAAACAGGGAAAATCATATAATCAGAACTTGGTAAGTGGAAGATCATCTACTTAAGTGGTTTTGAAAACGTTTAAGCCTTGTAACCCTTTCCTCAAATAAAAGCTTTTCAGGAACCCCAGTAAGTAAAACAGTGAACACACCGAAGCAGACCTGCTCTGCTTGGGATGGTTTAAAGATGCTAGAATTCCCCTCTCTCTGCCCTATCTCCACTTCCCAGCAGCCCCCTGAGCGGACTCCAAAGACCCAAGAGACCAGGGATTGTTTTTGCTTTTGTTTTTGTGTTTTGGTTTTTTTGAGACAGGGTCTCACTTTGTCACCCAGGCTAGAATGCAGTGGTGCAATCATAGCTCACTGCAGCCTCAAACTCCCGGGCTCAAGCAACCCTCCTGCCTCAGCCTCCAAGTAGCTGGGACTACAGTCACATGCCACTATGCTCACCAAGAGCCCAGTTTTGAAGCCATCATACTAGTTCACCCCAGTTTCTCTGAACCCTTGAGAGGTGATGAGTCTTGCCCAAGGTCATTCAGTGAGGTCATGCCAGAGTCAAGGTCAGAGCCCAAGCTCTAAGTCCTCTCTGATGCTCTTTTGACATCCCCACTGCGTGCTCTGTTGACTTGGTTTTCCAGGAACTGTAAATATTTCTGCAGCAGGCAATAGTGTGTGCCTTTCTGAGTGCATCTACATGGGCAGCAATAAAAGAAGCCAGGATGCCCAGCAGGGGGAGGATAAATAGAGCAGGGCATTGGCAGACTTGATGGAGCAGACCTCATTTCTGAGGTCTAACCATCCTCAGCTACATGGTCAAGGCTGCAGTGAGATAGGCAGAGAAGAAAACACCTCTCTGATCTACTTGGCATAGCACTGGAAACTTCTCAGCAAGAAGCCTTTACCGAGATATCAAAAGCCGGCGTTCCTAAGATTGCTGTGAGTGCGTGAGTTGTCGATGCAAATCTGCGTCCCCAGGCTTGCTGCTCACAGCTGTTTTTATGGCATGACAGAGGGCTCCTACAGTGTTTGAGTCCAGAATCAGAGGGGATCCGCTGGCTTCCATGCTGTAGTGGCTTTTATACATTCCACGTTTCTCTTAGGCTTTCCCTTAATGTAACCAACAACCATCAGCTGCCATTTAGACTTCATGGGGGTTCCCAGATCTCAGCGTAGAGAAAGAGAAGCCATGGAAACCCCAAGCTTTGAGACAGCTCTCTTAGCCTAGGAGGTCAACTACTCAGACACAAATCCTTGATAGTAAGCAGGGGAGGGTGGGATATAGGCAGCAGAGTGATAATTTTTCCAGGGATCTTTTTGTTATCCAGGGATACACATTCCAGTGTGATGCCCAGAGCAAGGTCATTGAAGGTCATCATCATAAAGCAAAGGGATTTAACTTCCAAAATCACCAGCCAGGCTTTACATCTGTAGATGCATACCTCTGTACAGATCTCCAAAATAAATTATATTATCCCAAATTTACCCACTGCAGACACCAAAGTGAGGTCCATTGTTCCTCTTCTCTGAATGGTTTATTTCCTTTGCAATTAAGGGCTGGTTGAAAACTCAGGAGTTGTGCTTGAATTACCATGAAGCCAAGTCTTAGAAAGACATAAGGGACTGACAGTTTTCCATTTATGGATTAGACACTCATTATTTTTCTGGCTTTTAACAGCTTTTCAATCTAACTTGTCATTCCAATGTTCTTCCCATTCCAAGATGACAGTGCAAATTGGATATAGACTGTGCATTTAGAGCTGTCCTTCCAGAAACCCTGAGTACCTAATGGTTTGTGAGGTTATTGGCTTGTTTTGTTGCCTTTTCTAGTAAATTCTTTTGAAAATTCCAGGAAATTGGTTAAGTTCATGTCTGAAAGAGGAAAAAAAGTCAATGTCTTAAATCGTTTTCTTTTCTTTTAGGGTGTTGCCCCATGGGAATGCTCATCATCAGATTTGGCCAAGGGTCTGTTATTGTCTGCCTTTCTCTCCTATTTCAAATGCTCCCACTTTCTTTTGTCTGAGACCTTGATATACTGCAAGTCTGACTTTGAAAAATTCCATTCAATGGCCAATGCCCAGGGCCCACAGCACAGCAGGCACCACACTGTCACCCTCTATGCAACCTAATCATCATTCCCTTCCAGGCTCTTCCCTTCCTAAAAAGGTGCAAGTGGAAATTAGCAGTTGTTGTCTCTACTTGATGAGATTTGGGGAAGATTTTAATTTTCTTCTTCTTTATTTCCGTGGAATAAAGGAAACACTCTCCTTATCTTTGTGATCATCGTTTCCTTGCATTTTGTTCTAATTCTACCACCTACTTATACATCCCTAAGCAAGCAACTGTTTAGCATTGCCCATTTTGAAATTTTACATAGAAGTAATCATATTTTGTTTTAAAGTTTATTAAATAAAGGACAAAAATGTGATGACGCAGAGGAAGCTGTCTAGAATTACGCTGTTCAATATAACAGCCACCAACCACACGTAGCTATTGAGAACTTGAAATGTGTCCAGTACAAATTAAGATGAGCTGTAAGTACAAAGTGCACAACAGATTTTGAAGACATATTTTAGTATAAGAAAAGGAACAAAATATCTCATTAATACTTATATGTAGATGATGTATTTAGATAATAGTATTTATATATTATTTTCAATTAAATATACTATTAATATTAATTCCAACTTTTTTTTTTTTTTTTACTTTTTAATAGTGGCTTCTAGAAAATTTTAAGTTATATATGTGGCTCATACTATATCCTTATTGGACAGCTCTGGTATGCAACCTTTCTGAATTTTTTGTATCCAAAATTCCTACAGAACTGCAATTTTAAACAACATTTGAGAATTATTGGACCTCTATTTTAAGCCAATTATTTTCCTGTTGTTGTTGTTTGGTTCCATTTTGACTAACTCCTCTTAGTCTAACTCCTCACCTTACAAAGCACCTCTCACACCCCTGCATTTCTCTCTTAAAACTCCCCACCCATCAACCCAAATAAATATGTACCAATTTCTCAATGCCCTTGGCAAATGACCAGTGTTCTCACCCTCCAATTCCTCCACCTTCCCTTCTTTCCTCATGCCACACTTCTGGCCACAGCACACCTGTGTTCCTGCACCTCGGGTCTCGCTCCCCAACCTTCACCCAATTTTCTCATCAAAACCATCCCAAGGCTTTGGCTCATGTGTGCGAGATCACGGCAGTATCAGTCACAGCCACATCACCATCCCAACAAGACTTTTCACTCTCCATACAAAAAAAGGCTTGACATCTTAAAACAAAGCAAAACAGAACAAAAGGTAAACCAAAGAGCCTCATTGTCACTTTTGTTCTCTAGCAAATTATTTTTTTCTGAAAAAAATTAATCTTTATTTTTGTATTTTGTAAGATGTTTCCATTCTTTGCATTCATATGTGCATAGAAAGTTCATACTGTACTAAATCAAGAAGTGATTTCAAGCTCATCTCATCGTATTCTACGATTTTATAGAGAGGAAACTGAGGATCAAATTATTAATGCATTTGCGTAGCCCACATGAGGGCAATAGTCCTTAGAAATCACTTATCTTCAAAGCCATTTTATAAAAATCAGATTCAGAAAAAAAGGCAAAAAGAAAAACAAATGAAAAATGATCTCTTTACTCCCTCATATACCTGACTCAAATACCACTTGCTCAGATGTAATGAAGTATTTTCATTTATTTTAAAGTGTACAAACTCCATTTAGCCATGATGAATCGTGAAGCCTTTGGGATGGGCTTAGGATGATCCCACATATTGGAGTTTTCCTTGTCATTGGAATTTTCCTTGTACATGGAAATCAGGGATTAAGAACCCAATTAAAGCCCAAATTACCCTCAGAGCTTGCTGAGGGTCAGGCTGAGGCCTCCATTCTTCTGGCCTCTGCCTCGATTTTCCTTGCCTATATAAAATTCTCACAACTCTCACCATCACCTGTAGTTAGATCTATAGTACGAGTCGGAGATCACATAATGCTAAAAACTTCATACCATCAAACCATCAATCTTTATGTTGGAAAAAAGAAAAAACAAAAAAAGCTCAGAAATCTTCTAGCTCAACCTGAACCCAATTCTGTGAACTTCTTTGTAGTAATCTGGATGCACTGTCCAATCTCCGTAGTCAAGGTCCAGTTATAGGGAGGTTACTGACACACAAAACATGCTCTTCTGTTTTCTAGTAAGTTTTTTAAAGAGACAAATAATCTATCTTGGTGCCCCTGAAATCTTAACACACAACATAGGAAGCTCTCTCTGATTATGTATAACCTTTGGGCAACTGCTTCTCCTCTCTGCAGCCCAGATTCCTCGTCTGCGCAGGGGGACTCTTGTACCCAGTGATTCTCAGGGTTTCCTTAGGGATAATGTTTTAATCAACAAGAAGTTGGTTGTTTGGTTCATATTATCTCAGTCTCAATTTCCTCATCAGCAAAACCAGAACAATAGTAGGACTTACCCTGTTTATAATGCTAAGCCCATTACAGGACACTTATTTCAGACAAGCATGCTGGTTTGTGCAGACCGTAACAACTCCTTGAGGACATATTGTGTCCATTTTAATGTATGCTTAAACTCAGCAGTTATTTCTGCAGAAAAGTGCCCTGAATTTATTTTTACTCCCTTGGGTCAGGTCTTCTTTCAATTTCTTCTCTTCCTGTTTAGCTTAGGGTCAGTTTCCAGTGGCAATGTGTAAGGTGGCATCACAGTTCATGAAGACTCTTCTCAGCTCTCCTCCATCACCCATTATTTTTCTGCCCAATAGCCATCTGGATGTATACTCATCAGACCCAATACAAGTGAAGACTGAATCTTAGCTCATCCTCTTGCTCACTTTGGAGATACTGCCTCAACGTTTGTCAAGCATGAAATCCTATAGTAATCTGAGATAATTTTCCACCCCATCCAAACCCTCTAAGTGCACTGTCCAATATGGCAGCCACCAGCCACAAGAGGCTGCTGAGTTCCTTATGTGTGGCTAGTCCAAACTGAGATGTGCTGAAAGTATAAAATTTTCCCCAGATTTCAAAAAGGTAAGCACAAAAATAAAAAGTGAATGTAATATATTTCATTAAAAACATTTATATTGATTACAGTGTGAAATGAAAATATATTATTAGGTTAAATAAAATAGATTATTAAAATTAATTTTATCTGTTTATTTTACTTTTTAAATGAATCTACCAGAAAAAAATGTTAAGTCACGCATATAATTTGCATTATATTTCCATTGGATAGTGCTGCATTTACAATTATCAGCTTTTGTTACTCTCAACTCTGGAATGATATCACAGAACCTTGCTTTCAAACTACTACAGCCAGTAAATTGAATGGACACTTTGGAGGTAAAAATACAGCAGGTTTATTGTGTTTTCCCCTTGTCTTTTAACTTTCTCAGTAGGTCTAGTTTTCACCCTGCCCCCGGATGAATACTTGACATTTTGGCCACTCGTAGGTAACAGAAAATCTTAGTCATTTGAGTCACAAAACACAGTCTCAATTTCTACTTAGAATTCCAAACACACAAACTAGTAAAGGCTTCCAACTTCATTCAAGGTTTCAGGGATTTGCCCTCCCCTCGCTAGAATCCACTGTTAAAAAGAAAAAGAAAAACCTGCAGTCAGGGAGGGGGCCGGGCTATCCTCTTCCTTCCTCAACTCCTTTTCTCCAACTTGCTAACGGAGGTTTCTCCTTTCCCCAGTGTTGGGGTGCAGGCAGGGAAGGAGGCAGGACCCATTGAGAGCAGGCTGAGGGCTTTTAAAACTGACTCTTCCTTGCAGAGAGAGATTCCATGAGCTTTGCTGGGGACCAAGCTCCTAAAATTCCTTTGGTGTAGTTGATGTTTTCTCCAACTTTTTGCTACTCTTTCTGCAGCCCCAAGGAATCCACTAGTATGCTTTTAACTTCTCTCTGATGAGACTTCTTCACTATTTTCTTAATAGCAAATTTTGCTGAAATATAACAAACTTAATAAATGCAGAAATCATAAGCATGCTACTAGAAATGTCTCAAGTGAGTAAGCCTCTGTGACTACCACCTAAATCAACAATTAGTCTGTTTCCTTTTTTAATGGCCCTCTTGGACAAGGTCTAAAATGCCAGCCCTGTCTCTGGTGTGGCTACACCTGGTCCTGAGGACACTCATGTACCCTTCACCACCACAAATTCTAGGAGGACATGCCCAGGGCACCAGCAGCCCCTCTGTCACTCCCACCACCAGGGCAGGCAGCAAGCTTTGTTTTCTTCAGGTTCAAATCAGGCATTTGTCTAGCCAGCTGTGGGGGCTCTACATCAAGCTCACTGACTGGACTTGTTGTGCCTGTATCTCCCCTTTCTGTTGGGGGGTAGCACTAGGATTCATAGTATACCAATGATTCTTGCCAAAGAAATCTTTCCTAATTCCTTCCTTCTTCACTGCTCAATGTGGGGGTGGAAGGTGGGCTTTTAACTGGTGCTCAGCTACCTGCTTTCAACATCTGCCTCCCCATCTGGCACATTATTTGGTCTCTTACATCTGTCATCCTAGGGCCTTAGCCAAGATGTCCATTTCAACATGCTGTTTTACCACATGGGCACCTAGTTACGGCTTCTCTATTCTCTCTCCTCCAATTATTAAAAAAGTGGGAGAGAGTAGATAGAATTCCTGCCCACATACTATCTTAAGTTTAAGGCCATGGAAGGTTCGCTTCTTTCCTTCTACTTTTCCACCAAGTTCTGCTTGGATTCAAATGCCTCATCCATGAGGTCCAGGCTCCCACCTGCAGCCACTCAAGGCAGGACAGTAGCCCAAGCAAGGCTGATAGAAGGTGGCTCCTGATCCAAATCCAAGTTCTGCCCTTTACTAGCCTCTCAACGTCCTGGCTCCCAAACTGCAATGATGCCCTTCACTTTGCGGAGTGAAGAAATGGCTAAATCTAGCTAATTAACACATGCATTACCTCACGAAGTTATCATTTTTGTGGTGAGAACATTTAAAATCTACTCAGCGTTTTTTTCAAAAATACAATGTATTGTTATTAACTATAGTCACCATATTGCACAATAGATCTCTTGAATTTATCCCTCCTGTCTAACTGAAATATTGTATCCTTTGACCAACATCTTCCCCTAAAAATCATACACATTTTTGCATAGATTAAAGAGCTTGAAAGACCTTGAGATAGCATCTCCCTGGTCTTGACCATGATGATGATACATGTCAAGTTCAATCTTCCTTATTTTCGGTGTCTTATGTGGCTGAATATCCCCACTTCTAAAACTCAGATTATCTTTTTTATTCACCAAATCAGCATTTGTCTTAGCAGACTCATTTCAAACTATATTGACTACAGCCAAAGAGACAGAAACATGGGGATTGTTTACAGTGCTTTGAACTTGCAATCAGTCCATTTTTTAACCTAGTAATGAATACCCACCATTGTTATTTGGTAGTTTTTTTGCTTGTTTTGGTTTGGGTATTTTTTGCAAAAGAAAATGCCTCACAGTCATCCACCACCACCCTTGACTTACATGTTTCTCTAAGGCTTGCCGCCATCCTCTCCTTCTGGTTTGAGGCTGTTTCTCAGGCAGGGCTATCTGCAGATGCAGCAGAATAGCTGAACAAACAATGAAGGGGCTGTTCAAGAAGCAGACAGGATGCAGTGCTTGGCGTCTGGTAAGGACAGGGAATGTGTCATGAGCCTGTTCGGCCTACTCTAGAATCCCACAAGTTTTCTGAAGTTTTTGCCCGGATAATCCCACTGGAATTGGAAAAATGGTGGCCATGCCCAGTCTATTCCTACAGCTCAGTGCAAATGTTTGCTGCAGAAAAAAATCTACACAGGAAAACTCTGTCCTCAGTCATGGACCCTGGCCAGGGATTGTACAATTGTGTAGTTAGTTAAAAAGAGACCAGGACAAAAAGTATAAGTGGGTCTTATGACCCATCCTCTCAGCTGGGAAAACAACTCATGTACCAGTCCCGCTGACAGTGGGCCATCTCAGGAGGGGACCATCCCACGCTGTGGGGAAGCGTTGCTGGTCCTCCATGGGTCTTTTCAACCACGTTCACACGCCTGGCTGCGGGGTTTCATCCAATGCACCATCAGGAATATGAAAGGCCAGAAGTAGAATAGAAACCAAATAGTCCCTGCGGTCGAGAGGGAGGATGATGTTTGAAAAGCAGTGCAGAGTTGCTTCTTGTCTAGGCCAGTGGCTTACTGTGGTGTAGGGCAAAGGGAAATGCCTGTTACTATTTGTAGGACATAAAACAGCAGTCATAAAACCTAGAATCATCAGCAAAGGACCCGTTGTGATAAAGAACTACAAAATACCTGTGTTTGTTCTTACAGTTTATAGAAGATCCCCAGAGGAAGCCGTGGTCTTACCCCTTGGTTTCTGTCATCCTGATACAGTTTTTAAACTCCAGCATGTGAGTTGGAGGGGAAAGGAGAGGTCACTCCACTGCATCCTTGCCCTGTGTGCCCAGATGGGCATTCTCCACTTACCTTTGCATGCAAGAAACACTTAGGGAACTTCCTCTTCCCATTCTGACTCCACCTACCTAAACCAGTGTGTGTTATATAAGCAGAAATAGGCAATGAGAGACCCTTCCAACACACACACACACACACACACACACACAAGCCTTGGCCTAAAACTCCCAGGGCAATGGGGAACATTTCCCAGCCCAGCCACCATCTGAGTAAAAGTAATTCTTAAATTAGAAAAAAAAAAATTTTTTTTTCATACCTCACACAATGATGTCATGGCAGATCCTTGTGGAAACTGCCTGACATGCAGCAACACGTGTGAAATGGAGGTAAAAGAAAAGATTAATGAAAATACATATTTGAGCTGGTTATTAGAAACAATAACATTTTCAGGAATGAGTCACTTGAGGAAACAATTGATTTGGCTGGGGATAAACACTGCCTCTTAGGTATGCCCTGAGAAGATGTGATCAGAACTTAATTTTAAATTTGAGAATTGTAATAAGAACTTGGTTGCTTAAAATCACTGCCAAAGGAAAGGGAGCCAGCATAAGCCAGCCCCCAGAGGATGAATGATAAAATGTGCTTCACCCTCAGGGTCAGGAGGAGGGGCAAAGGCTAGTTAAATTAGCTAAAGCTAATTTCTACTTGTCTTTTCAAATGATTTAGTGATGGGAACCCTTTGATTATATGGTTGTCTGCCACAAAGGGTGCAAAAATGAGCTCCTGAGATCAGCACTAATGTATGGGGCAGAAAGGAGGGAAAAGTCTCATTTTCTAGCTCCGCGGAGAGCTCTCTGCCTGCTAATGGGCTTTAGTGAGATGTTTGTAACCCGATGCTTTTGGTCTTAATCTTCTCATTTATAGACTGATTTTACATTGCTGGACACTCACTGTGTCTTACTACACAATCGACGACATGACAATTCTCTTGTTGCCCAAGCTGGACTCTAAAATTTGAAACAGCTGATGTTTTCTTTCTGGATGAAAGAACTAAAACACAACTTTGGCACTTAAACTTGGTATGCTACTAAAAGTGTACTCAAATGGGTCTATGTGAACTTTGCAAAGGATAGGAATGGGATAGTCAGACAGGAAATCATTGCATCATGAGCACTGCTAGATGCAGAGCTGGGGAGGAGACCTCAGAAAAGCGCAGCACCCAGCAGGTTGTGCTTGGAAATGAAGACTTTGGAGTGAAGAATCTCTTAGGTGTAAACCTGAGATCAGGAGAAGGCTAATGAAAAAGTGATTTTAGCCCTTATGTCAGATTCATACCAAACTAACAAGGGTCTTTAATTCACATATTATTATAAAGTTTACAAATAAATTATGTCTTGCATAAACTTCCCAGAGATTAAAATTGGCTGTATTACTCTTTCTTTAAAATATTCTATATTAATCTGAAACACAAAAGCAAATGCAATGAGTCACAAAAGAATGAAATCTCAAGGTCAATTAATACTATGTTACTCAAGACTTGCGAGATGCTAAATAAAAATCCCATTATTTTGTGCGTGTATGTTTTAATATCTGCTCCCCTTGCCTGACTACAACTCAATGACCTTCAAATGCAATATCCATTGTTGCAGTTACTTTCATCTTTACCTGAGTGAAGCAGAATCAATGTTCTTGTCCAGCAATTCCAATTAAGCCACTATAGACAACTCTGCTGAATCTGCAAGCTTTGGATTTATATTGAGTTAATGAAAGCTGAAAGGAGTTCCCATATTACAGCCACACTTAACGCATCCTTGTCAAAAGGAAAGGTAATTATAACATTGCACGTACACATTAGGTTGATCAACTTAAGCAAGGTGACAACCATGAATTGATCATGTGAAGGTGTCAATAAAAATCCCACCAGCTGTTATAAAATGTACCACTTTTAGATTATTTAATTCTCTAGAGCCTGGCTGGTTCCGATGATTGGTGAAGAAAAACATTTAGAGTCATTTATTTTCAGGTCAATGTTTTAAATAGACCTATAGGTAGCATCAAAGCCCCATATCAATGAGTTTTTATTATTTAGACAGAACTCAGGTCTTAGTCTAACAATTTATTTCTGTGTAGGTAAATCCAATAAAAAAATTTTAATATTTACATTTAGTATTTGGAATAAAAACAACAATTTTCCTGAAAAAAGCAAGGGAATTGTTAAGATGCAGGCTCTTTGGATGTAGGCGTTAGACACACCATAAAGCATTAGCTTTGCTGATCAATTCTAACATTAGGTTTTGACCTGTTGGATTTAATTAGAGAGAAAAAAAAATCCAAACTTTAAAGTGGTAAGGAAAAAAAAAAAGAGTACATCTGGTTATTTAAGTACTGTCATCAGTTAACCTATGTAATAATGTTGACTGATGGTTGGCAAACTTGACTATTTTTATCAACAATGTATCATGCTAATTCCTTATTTAAGATAGTACCGATAACACACATCTATTCCCTCTTCTCCTTTAAAGTAACAAGGAAAACACAGTCTATAAAGAAGGGCTGCTGACTGCACTGGAAATAGTGCACAGGGAAGGGAGGATTCAGAAAGAGAAACTTGAGCTCTGCAAACCTTGAGCTAACATGAACTTCTCCAGACTAGATGGCCCACTGGAGGGGTAAACTAAAATGCCTTAATTGGCAGAGAAAGGTCAGGATGTGTGGGCAAGTAGAGGGAGCTTCCCACAGACAGGGAGAGCAGCTAATTTTGCAAGAAATAGGGTGTGACTGAGGCTGGATTTACAATAAACCTGGATGACATGCAGAGCTGTGACCTTGGATAAGTGAAGGTAAATAAAATGTAAATTGTCAACCAATGTCTGTGACCAAAGAGCCAGAATTATTTTTCCTTATTAGGGAACAGAATGGTACCAACCCAGCAGGGTGCTGTGACAAGGTATTCAGAGGCCATTTAGCAAATTCTCCTAATATCCCAGCTTATCTCAGCTTCTCCCTACACTTTTTTTCTACAAACAGTTGGTGCAGGAAAACTTCCAGCATTCAATGAGGGGCAAAATCATGGAATTTATGTAAACATACTTAAAGGAACAGAGAGAAAAGTAACATAATGAAACAAGGTCAATAAAGAATATACATCAGAAAATTATGGTAAAATCAGTTTCAGATTATAATCAAACATCTTAATGAAAATCAAAGAAATTAAATGAAGCATGGCCTCACTGGGGAGAAAAAAAGGAGAGCAGAAAGAAAAAACATAAAGGTTCAAGGGGAATTGACTTTTTTTTTTATAAAGGACATGAAGTGATAGAGAAAATCAAAGCATAAAAACATGAAAGTCACATTAGACATAGAAATTACTAAAATGTCAAGAGCATGTAGAAGAAAGCTTAAGAAAATTGAGCATATTGAAAGAAAAAGAACTAGTTTTGTTAATTAACAAAGACTAAATGTTAATTATGGAAGACAGTTAAAGAAGAGCACTCACTGTATTCTGAAGAAGATTAAAAAAAAGTCAAACAGAAAAATTCAAAGATAAAATAGAAGTCTCCCATAACAGCAGTTTAAGTAACTAATTAATTAATGATTAATTTAAAGAAATAAATTTAATTGTTGATTAATTTAAATGATGATTAATTTTCAAGTCCCAGGAAAACAATTTGATACAAGACAGTTTCATAAACCTTTCTAGGAAGAAGTATTATGGTACAAATTGCAGCCATCCAAGAAAATAATAAAGAACATCATTATAAAGTATGGCAGTGACTACTAAATCAACATAAATGTAAAAGTGTAAATACATGTGAAAATTATTGTTACATTACACAATATAAATATCAACAATAATGACAATGTGGAAATAATAACCTAATTAGCAAACAGGGAGAAAGGTTGAGAAAAAAAGTTTATGAGGAAATATTCAAAGAAATAATGATAGAAAAATTTCCAAAATTAAAGAAAAGCATTATTGCAAAAGACTGACAACTCCTCTTAAACGCAAGGAAGACAAATAGACATAAATTAATCCTTATTGCAAAAGGCCAAGAATTCTTCTTTAATAGTGTTAAAGAAGAATTAGGTGAGAGGGTTGACCTTAATAGATACAATAATTTTTAAAAGTGTGTTACTGGCCAGATGTAGATAAATAGTTAATAAAGCAGAATAAAGAGACCAGAAACAAACCAACTATATAGAAAGTGGTAAGCATATAAGAAATATCAATGGAAAAAGAAGGAATATTTAATAAATGGTGTTGGGACAATTATCTATATAAAAAAATTAAATGGAGAACTACTTCACCCTATTCTCCGAGATCATGCTACTACACTCCAGCCTGGGTGACAGAGCAAGACACTTCAGTCTCAAAAAAAAAAAGCAGTTCAGAAGTCATCACTCCCACCTCTACAACAAGAAAAAGCTCAGCAAACTGAATATTAACAACTGTTCTTGGACCCACTATAGAACTGAGGTCACATGAAAAACCACCACATGAAATCAGAAGACACAGGTGAACAGAGAGAATCACAATCAAGATCAACTTACCTGAAGCAACAGCAGTTGGAGCCATAAATTGGTGGGAACATTTAAATAGGAACTTTGACAAATTATGGGGGGCAGCATTTACATTACTGTTAAGAATGAGAAACTCCTGAGGGCTGCAGTCATAGGGGACCCTACACTTCTATGAGTATTACTTTCAGGAACCCAACCAGGCTTTCATAGTAAAGAGTCAAGTAAAGCCTTTGTTTCTGTCAGGGAGAAAGGAAAAGTAAAACATTTTGAATAAACCCGAAGCATTCCCCATAATAATGACTTACTGAGCAAGGGAAGAGAATTCACCAAAACCTCATCAGTGGTGGGAGGAGAGAAGTTAGCTGACTCTACCCCTTCTAGTCTCTTTGTCTCACCTAAGGGTAAAAAATGTTGAGAAACATTTGTGAAGTTCACAGTCCAGGGACACAGGCCCAATAAAAGAGTGATGCTTAGTGATAGGATTATAGAACATTACCTTTCACCCCTCACCTTACCACTATATCAACAGGACTCCAGTATAATAAAAATGGGTTACAGCTAAAAGAGCTACAAGACACAACCCTATTTAGGGAGTTTTCAGGGAATCTCAAACACAAGAGAGGAGCCAAAATGAGGACATTAGAAGAAAATGAAACCTCTGAAACCTACAGCTACAGCAATATTAAATGCAACACAACTTCTAGCCAGGTTAATATAAAATTTCACATGAAAGGTTTACTTAACTCAGTTGTTATTACTCAATATATGATTTCAAGTTTTCAAACGAAAATTACAAGGCATACAAAAAGGCAAGAAAAACACAGTCTAAGGAAACAAAGCAAGCATCACATCAGATTCAGATAGGCAGATATTTTAGAATTATCCAAACCAGGAATTTTTTTTAAAAACTATCATTAATATTTTAAAGGCTCTAAAGGAAAAAGTGGACAACATGCAAGAACAGATGAATAGTATAAGCAAGATGAAAACTCTAAGAAAGAATTTAAAAATGCTAAAAATAAAAAATACTACAGCAGAAATGAAGTGATGGGCTTATCAATAGACAGGACACAGCCCAAGAAAAGAATCAGTAAGCTTGAAGATATATCAGTAAAATTCCCAATCATAAATGCAAAGAGCCTATTTGTCCTCCAGTATTCACTTTTCCCTTCCTCCTCAGGAAAAGAACCCCCAAATTGTACCCAGTTGTCTAGAACAAAGACTATTGTTTCCAGTTTTTATTGCAGCTGGACATGGCCACATATTTAAATACTGGTCAGTGAAGTGCAACTGGAATAAATAAATAAATGTGAACTAAGTCTGAAAAGTGCAGTTACAGGAACAGCGTAGCTTTTCCTCCCTTTTTCTCCTTCCTACTACCTGGGACATGATTGCTGGAAAAAGCAAAAAAAAAAAAGCCATCTTAGACCATAAGGTGACCTCGGGAATAAAAGCCACATAAGCATATAAGCATAAAACAATAAAATAGAAAGAGCCTGGGTCTCTGATGCCAACCAGAACTTAGCAAAAAGTAAACATATCTTGTCTAAGCCATCATTATTTGGTTTAGACAAAGAGAAATTTGCAGCCAAACCTAACAAAATTAATATACTAATTTTTGTTATTTTGAAACATATATTTTTCTCTTTTATATTTCTTCTAAGAAACTTGGAAATAATTGTAGAGTAAAATAGGGTTTACAATTAATCTTTATCCAAATAAGAACAATGTAAGATCTTTAAAATGTTCCTATTATTAGGCTAGGTGCAGTCACTCATGCCTGTAATTCAAGCATTTTGGGAGGCCGAGGCGGGCCTCCTTGCTTGAGACCAGGAGTTCGAGACCAGCCTGGCCAACATGGCAAAACCCTGTCTCTACCAAAAATACAAGTTAGCCAGGTGTGGTGTCACACACCTGTAATCCCAGCTACTTGGGAGGCTGAGGCATGAGAATCTCTTGAACCTGGGAGGCAGAGGTTGCAACGAGCCAAGATCATGCCACTGCACTCCAGCCTAGGTGACAAAGCAAGACTCTGTCTAAAAAAAAAAAAAAAAAAAAGTTCCTATTATTAGAAGATGGTTGCTGTTTAATATATTCTTGGACACAACTGTAATATTTATGTGGTGCTTTCCCTCTTCTTTGTTTAAATAAAATTTTATTATAACCCTATATTTCAGGCAGTGTGGAAGGCAACATTTTCAGTGGAGTGAAGCATAATAGAAGATTTTTTTTTTCACTTATGTACTCATAAACTCAAGAGTCAGGCTCATGGATAAATTAAAACCATCATGCACTACGAGGGCAATCACAGATGCGTGTTATGGGAACACTAATTATTCATGGAGTCAAGGAAGCCTTATGGATCAAAAGGATGAGATATGAGCTAGATCTTAAAAGACAGAGAGTAATTTACCAGGCAGAAACAGAAAGGAAAGGTATTCTAGGAAAAGGGAATCACTGAACTTGAGAGATAGAAGCAAAGCCAGAGAAAGTGCACCGAGAGAGGAAAAGTTGTGTTAGAGTTGGTCCAGAACAGAATTATGTTGTGAGTACAGTTCATCACACAGATAGGATATCAACAAAAAACTCTGAGCTGACTTAAGCTAAATTGAATATTATGGCAGCATATAAAAGATTTATAAAGGCCACTTTAACATGGAAAATTCTAGTGATATAATTTTTAAGTGAAAATGACAGAATTTTGAATTACATATTCAGTGTCATTATAATTCTGGTGAATTGCAATTCTCTGCAGTTCTCTGACGATTTGACTAGGCATCAATAAGAATTGAATCATGCACTTAACAATTGTTCATGTTGGCTGACCGGAAGACTTTTCCCCATATTAACTTTTGGTTCCAAAAACATCAGATCTTGTTTGCTACTCACAATTTTCTGTGCCAGGCATCAAAGGACGTGTGCATACTGCAACACAACTTCTGGCCCCACAACATCAAGTCAGAACACTAGCCAGGTCAGCAGAAAGAAGTCTTCTTGGACATCATTTCCACAGAAGCGACTGTGAACCACTGAAACAAAACCTACCGAAATGCATCCACAACTCATCTTCTCTTAGCCAGATCCCCCCTCAAATGCCTGCTGCCACTTCATTACCACCTGATGTGAGAAGAAGCATAACGGATGAAAGTCTGAGTGGAGAAAGACAGCAGTCTTAACAATTTCAGTTAATTGACCTTACTTCTGCAAAGTTTACAAAAACATGTGACCATGATAACACATTGCTAGTGTCTCTCCCAAGCCTTAAGAGGGTTTTTTACAAGTGAGGGGCACTGAAGTTGCAGATCTATGACTTTCACAGTAAATATGTCTCTGTACTCTGTTTAAAAACAAAGCAAAGCAAAACAAACACACAAAAAAAGCTAATGTACAAAAAAGGGCTGAAAGGAAGTACCCCTAAAGTATTAGCAATGTTTATATTTAGGTGATATAACTGTGGGTGGATTTATTTTTTGTCTACTTTTCTGTTATTATCAAAATTTCTTTGAAAGACTACCTTTTGCTTTGGCATTAAAATGATTAAATTAGTTTAAGTGATATTTCTGGCTTTCTCCATATTACACAAGCTGTAATCTTTGATTTATTTTTTATCAGATAAGGATCACGAAAGATGTTTTAGCTCCCGAAGAATTTCTTCCCTTTAATAAGACATTTCCAGTCTTCTGAATAGTTTATTCACAAGCTATAGCTGCTCCACCAAGTCTTCTCTAAAACACTGCATAGTTGAACATATAGAGTTGCAATACTTACAACTTCATTGATAACCAACAATATGCGATAATAAGGATAAGACTTCCTGACATAGTGCCACAATTCTTACTGATTAAAAGATAAATCTATATGCCAAACTTTCTCCTCTGACATATGTGTGACAAGTTAACAGAAGTAAAATGGCCCTCAACTTTTCTTTCAGGAAACACAAGCATATTTATGTACATGGATGAATCCAAGAATAATTTTATTTACTCTTAGAATGAGTTTTAGAGTCTGTTGCTTAAATAGTGTTAAAATGCTGCACATTCCCATCATGAATACAACAGTGAAACCTACAAGAGTCCACATATGGTCATCGCGAGTCAATGAGTTTACAGCAAATTTCCCAAACTGGTATTACACAGAACATTCTTTCAAATGGTATTTATGGATATGGTGTGGAAAAAAATTTTCTTAAATATTTGCTAAACACTGGGTCAAATTAAGTTGTGTGTGTGTGTGAGAGAGAGAGAGAGGAGAGGATTTGTCAGTTTTTTAAAAACTACTGGACTACTGACTTTAGTGGGTAAACAAGTGTTGTACCTTTTCAAAAGAAAAGAGTATGCTGCATTTCTCAAATATATTTGATCATGGAGCAAATTTTTCTTCCTATAGCTATTGAAGTCCCTAGATGAACATTTTGAAGACCACCATTTGGAAAAATGTTGAGTTACGTTCCGATTCTTCATAGAATATGTGTATTGTATGAAGTGTGGTATTTGGGATCATTGAAAATATTTGTTATCTGTCAACAATGAAATTTAAACAAACCATTGCTACTTGGGCGCTGGTTTACCTTTGCTTAAAGGCAAATTCCATATTTATACTTTTAGCATAATTCGATTTGGAACACTGCAACACAGGAAAACAACTAAGCCCCCCAGGGCAGTCACTGTGGAAACCTGTTAAAAAGGAGGTGGGGGAGAAAGGTAACTGTGGAAGCAAATTATTAAAATCTTCAAGATAAAATTATAAAAGATAAGTTCACAAATATGTTCAATAAAAATGCATGTCTACCAGTTACCTACCCTTTTCAAGTAAAGAGCAATAACGTGCTAAAGGAAAGCAGATGGAAAAGAATTTACATTTCTTTCTCCAAATTGTTATTAGAAATATAAAACTCAAAGGAGTCAATGAGAGGCTGGGTCATGCTCCCAGGCTATTGCTTTGCCAAATAACACAAAATACTGTCAACAATATCAATTTAATGTTCAGGAAAACATCACATTCTCAAATGAAAAGAAAAAAAGTAAAATGTACCATTCCATCGTAACTACGGAAAAAATACACTGATAAATTAAAGCTGCCATGGAGGTCCAAAGTATTATTCCAAATTACAAAGAGTGAATATGATACTCAAGATATGAAGCATACAAATGAGATATACTTGGTTGGCACCACAGTTCTTGAAGGGCAAATACCAGCTGGAGGTAGCAAAGATAACCAAAATTCCAATGGGAAAGGGCCATTGCACATTGAAAAGATGGAAAATATACAAGTGCCCACAGTGATATCTTTATTAAGAAAACCACTTACTATTTTCTAAATAAAAGGTATCCTTTTCAAATTAACATCCCTGGGCCGGGCACGGTGGCTCACGCCTGTAATCCCAGCACTTTGGAAGGCCGAGGCAGGTGGATCACCTGAGGCCAGGAATTCGAGACCAACCTGGCCAACGTGGTAAAACCTCATCTCTACTAAACACACACACACACACACACACACACACACACACACACACAAATAGCCAGGTGTGTTGGTGGGTGCCTGTAATCCCAGCTACTTGGGAGGCTGAGGCAGGAAATTTACTCGAACCCGGAGGTGGAGTTTGCAGTAAGCCGAGATCGCGCCATTGGACTCCAGCCTGGGCTACAAGAGCAAAACTCTTGTCTCAAAAAAAATAAAAAATAACATCCCTGGAGTAGGAGCCATTCATCTTCATAGATTGCAGATAAAATAACATACAGGCCGGATATGGTGGCTCATGGCTGTAATCCCAGCACTCCCAGTGGCGAAGGTAAGCAGATCACTTGCGGCCAAGAGTTCGAGACAAGCCTGGGCAACATGGTGAAACCCTGTCCCTACAAAAAATACAAAAATCGGCTGGGCATGGTGGCGCACACCTGTAGTCCAGCTGCCCAAGAGGCTGAGGTGGGAGGATCACCTGAGCCTGGGAGATGAAGATTGCAGTGAGCCATTATCACATCACTGCACTCCAGCCTGGAAATAGAGTGAGACCCTGTCTCAAAATAATAATTATCATAAAAATAATTTATAGACAGACCTCAAGATTGTGGTCATTGTTTGCCTACTAGATACTCTTTTGGACTATTTATTCTTTGAACTTTGAAAATCAAGTTTTAAGATTATCACGAAATGTGAAATGAAAGTATCAATGTCCTATTTTATGTGATAGCCATACATTGTGATCCAGGGCTATACTGAAGACAATTGTATGTATGTCTTCCCAACTCCATGTTCAGTGACATCAATGCAGAGATGGCTTGAAATCAAGCTGGGGTGGAAGTTTTTACACTACAGAAATTGACAAACACCAGAAATCAAGGTTTTATCTTTTCAGATAATCGATTGTCAGCACGACTCTGGTAATAACTTGTCAGCATAACTCTGGTAATAACTATTAGTGTTCTGGAATTCTCTTGATTATTGATAGCTAATATTTGTTTTCATTAAAATATTAAGGCTCTGATACTTGTACCTAGATTTACATTTAAGATATAACATGCAGGGATAAAAGTTATGATAAAAGATGTGGGTTCCCTCTACTATCTAGAGAGACACCCACACCTAAAGGATGCTGCTTATAACACACAGTACAAGAAATATCAAACTTCTCTGACCAGAGCCCAGGTGCCAGGGAAATCCTGGCTATAGTGCATTAACAAGAACAGGAAAAACTGCAGTGAGGCATAACAATGAAGTGTTTTGGAAAGAATTCTGAAAGTGTCATTGGGAAATACTAAGAACATGCCAATTGTAGTTTGCAAGTACCAATCACTAGTTAACCTTAGTAATTCGTTTAGTAAGGTTGCTGGTAAACAGAGCCACTGTGTGGGGGATTTGGTTTATGTAAACCTGCCAAAGAGGCAAGCAGGGACTGAAGTGCAATCTGCCCTCCACTTGCAAGCTGCCGGGCTACAGCCACCTAGTATCATACAAATTGACAAAGGTGTGTTATGTACTAAGGACTATCCTGACAGTAAATAGCCCTTGGTTATAGTTAAAAATAAAGGACTGGGCTAGGCGCAGTAGCTCACACCTGTAATCCCAGCACTTTGGGAGGCTGAGGTGGGTGGATCACCTGAGGTCAGGAGTTCAAGACCGGCCAACATGATGAAATCCCGTCTCTACTAAAAATACAAAACATTAGCCAGGCGTGGTGGCAGGTGCCTGTAAATCCCAGCTACTCAGGAGGCTGAGGCAGGAGAATCGCTTGAATCCAGGAAGTGGAGGTTGCAGTGAGCCGAGATCACACCATTGCCACTTCAGCCTGGGCAACAAGAGCAAAACTCTGCCTCAGAAAAAAAAAAAAAAAAAACAATATAATAAATAAAGGACTGTAGAATGGGAGTCATTCAAATATAAGATCAATAAACAACAACAAAAGACTTGCACTTTTCAATCAGGAGCCTTCTCTTGAGACCCCTACAAACTAGTTAGAACACTGTAAAAATCATTCTTGAGAATCCCAGCCAGGACAGCTCTCTTGCTGCGAGCTCTGATCTGACACATTTCTGCTCCTCCAAATACATAACAATGATAGACTTTTTTTTTAAAAGTAAAAAGAAGTCGCAGCCTGATTCTAACACAAGACAAACACGTCTGTAGACTAAAAACAGAAGAAAAATACAAACTGACAAGCAGAGCCAGAGCCCTGGCAAAGGAGTAAGCAAGAAGGGTGAGCGCAAAATGAGAGAGAAAAACGGATGGACAGCCAGGGAGCGGACAGGGGTAGATCTGCAGCTGTGGATGGCGAGTAGGGAGATGCTACAAAAGAAAAAAACCAGAATCCTCCACAAAATGGCAAGACAGAATGACAGTCACTGAGTTCTTCCAGCACAAGGAGGTTCATGTCACTTCTGGCAGAAGGATAGAAATTTTATATAACTTGCCATATTGTTAGAAAACTATTTTGTTAAATATGTATGTTAAAATGTTAGGAGTAACCACTAAAAGAAGTGTAATCTTTTAGCTTGCCAACCAGCAGAGGAGTGAAAAGGGAATATAGAAAAGTTTATCAGTCCATCTGAAGGCAGACAAAGAGCAAAAAGGAACACATTAGAAGAATGTGAATGAGCACAAAATCAAGTATAAAAAAATAAGTCCAGCCTCAGCAGTGCTTGCAATTAAACTTGCTATTAAAAGACAGCATTTATCTGAATGCATTTAAAATAAAAATATGAGCTGGTTACCAAAAGCATATCTGAAACAAAATCATATGGAAAAGCATAAAATTAGAAGGAATATATATTTTTTCCAAGAAAATATCTAGCCAAAATAAAGCTAATATAACAATATTTGGATAAGATAAATAGAAGTTAAGAGAAAAAGCATTGAGAGGGATAAAGAGGAACCTTACTTAATAGTGACTAGAACAATTTACCAGGAAAATATAAAAACTATGAATTTGTATGCAACTAACAGCATAGCCTAATGTGTGTGTATTATGTGTGTATATACACATATATACATATATACACATATACATATATACACATATATACACACATGCGCACACATTAGGCTATGCTATTAGTTGCACACAAATTCATAGTTTTTATATTTTCCATTTATATATGTGTATATACATATATACACATATATACACACACATTAGGCTATGCTATTAGTTATACATGTACATATATGTATATATGTACACACATATACACACACATTAGGCTATAAGTTGCGTACAAATTCATAGTTTTATATATACATACATATATATATATCTCAAAACTAATAGAATGTCAAGAAGAATTTGGCAAATATATAATCATGGTAGGTGATCTTAACACTCTCTGATAGATACAGCAGACTAAAGGTACAGAAAATTTAAATGACAAAATTAACATGCCTGATCTAAAGGATATATAACTCTGCACTAGCAGAAAACATACAATCTCTTCAAGTAAACATGGAATATTTACAGAAACATACCATGTACAAGGTAACAAAGAAGACCTCAACAAATTCAAAGAATAGATGTCATATAAGCAATGTTCTCTCACAATAAGGCGGTTAAATTAGAAAGAAATAAAAAGATAATTTAAAACAAAAAGAATCACCCCTAGAGTAGGAAGGAAAAAATGGGCCATGCACTCTAAGATATAGACAGTTGAATCCCAGGTCTAACACTTGCCCGCTGAAAGTCCTTGAACAAATCACTTAACCTCTCTGGGCCTTGGTTTCTTCATATGCTATATGATTGTAATATCTCTCTCACACAGATTAAAGGAGGAAATAATCTGTAAAAGCACCTAGCACAGTACTTGGCAGAAACTCAAATACTAGTTTCAGTCCTTGTACATAATGTGTGTTTAATAAATATCAATTGAATTAATAAATGAATACCAAGTGGAGATAAATATACATTCTTTTGCAAACAGAACATATAATAAATTTAATTAATCCACAAGGTCCTATTTTAAACAGAGAGAAGGAAAAATATGACACATTCTATGTTTCTAATTATCCTCTGATTCGAAAAGAAAGAAAAGATTTTGTCTGGACGTCTGGAAAATCTGATGCCACATCCTGTTTGTCCCTCTCATGCTAATTTTTATAATCGCTTCAGATCATGAGGTCACTTTGTCCAAATAAAAAAAGGCTTCACTTGTAAAAGAAGAGAAGCTCAGAGGGCAATGCCTAGTATCTTGCAGGCCGCATCACCAGCTGTTTTCAAGAGACCCAACAAAATTTGAAGGGGACCCAACACATTTCAATGAGCATAAATCAGCTAGATAGAAGAGAGAATTTTCTTGACAGTAAGTTACCACTCCATTGCATCAGGCAGGGGTTTGTGTGATCTCCTTCCAAGTGTGACATTTCCAGATGTCCTGAACTTGATACAGGCTATGTAGAAAGCTAAGATCCACCCAACGTGCAGCTGTGATAGCTAATGAGGTGTGTGCAGGGGTATAGCACATAGACAGCCTTCATCGCTCTCTATACTCTTGTTGGCTCCCCTCCCTAGAAGGTTTTCAACAGTGTAGTTTGGTTGCTTCATTTCTATGGGACTCAGAGGAAAGATTTTCTGCTCTCTTCATTGTGTCACTAGTGCCAAGGACTTTTCAATTTAATTGTTATATGAAGCATGATATCTCCAAGGCCAATCTCAAGACTTTGGTCAAAGGGAAAAGTGTTTCCAGATCACAGTGAAACATGGCCTTGGTGACAAAGCTGACAATAACAGGATGAACATTTCAGAAATTCAGCACTACTACCAGGAAAACATGATTTATAAGCTATGAATGCTCATATTTCATATTTACCTGAAAAGCACAACATCTTGCTTTTATTCCCACTAAAAATCCTAAATATTTCTGAGGCATCAGAAAATATGGCCTAATGTGGGAGAAAAATTAGGACTAGCTAAATCAGCCTTATACCAAAATAAATTTAAGGTAGATTTGAACATTGAATATAAAATTAATATAGGTAAATGCTTTTATATTCTTAATGTAGAAAAGAACTTCATAAGCTTAAGATCAAATGCAGAATCTAAGGGAAAAACTGACGTGTTTAAAAACATTAAATTCTAAACATTTGTACAGTTAGAAAAATCATACATAAAATCAAAGACAACAAATAGAAAAAATAGTTTTAACATCTATGACAGAGAGTTCATATTTTCAACATATAAAAAGCACTTATAACCAAAAAGAAAATGAAAAATTTATGAATAAGGCTTCAAAAGCAAAATGCAAGAAAAACAAAAATAGACAAATGGTACTTAATTAAACTTGAAAGCTTCTACATAGCAAAAAAAAAGAAAAAAAATCAACAGAGTAAACAGGCAACCTACAGAATGGAAGAAAATATTTGCAAATTATGCCTCTGATAAAGGACTAATATCCAGAATCTATAAGGAACACAAACAACACAAGAAAAAAACAACCCCATTAAAAAGTGGGCAAAGGACATGCATAGACATTTCTTAAAAGAAGACATACAAGTGGCCAACAAACATATGAAAAAATGCTCACCAGTAATCATCAGAAAAATGCAAATTAAAACCACAATGAGGTATCATCTTATACCAGTCAGAATGGCCATTATTATGAAATCAAGAAACAACAGATGTTGCTGTGGATGCACAGAAAAGAGTATACTTATAAGCTGTTAGTAGGAATGTAAATTAGTTTTATCTCTATGGAAAACAGAACGAACATTTCTCAAATAACTAAAAATAGAACTAGCCAGGCACAGTGGCTCACGCCTGTAATCCCAGCACTTTGGGAGGCCAAGCAGGCAGATCATGAGGTCAGGAGATCGAGAATATCCTGGCTAACATGGTGAAATCCCATCTGTACTAAAAATACAAAAAATTAGCCAGGCATGGGGGCACGTGCCTGTAGTCCCAGCTACTTGGGAGGCTGAGGCAGGAGAATCGCTTGAATCCAGGAGGTGGAAGCTGCAGTGAGCCAAGATCATGCCACGGTTCTCCAGCCTGGGTGACAGAGCAAGACTCTGTCTCAAAAAAAAAAAAAAAAAAAAAAAAAGAACTACCATTTAACCCAGCAATCATATTACTGGGTATCTACCCAAAGAAAAAGAAATTACTATACAACGAAAACACAATTGCGCTCATAAATTTGTCAAAACACTATTCACGATAACAAAGTCACAGACTCAACCTAAGTGTCCATCAGTAGGTGATTGGATAAAGAAAATGTGGTATATATACCATGGAATACTATGCAGCCATAAAAAAATCATGTTTTTTACAGCAACATGGATGGAGCTGGAGGCCATTATCCTACATGAAATAACTCAGAAGCAGAAAGCAAAATGCCACCTGCTCTCAAGTGGGAGCCAAACAATGGGTACACATGAACATAAAAGTGGAAACAATAGACAATGGGGACTTCAAAAGTGAGGGAGGCTGAGAGGAGGATAAGGGTTAAAAAATTTCCTATTGGGAACAATGGTCACTATTTGCATAACAGGTACACTAGAAGCCCAACTCGGCTGTTACATAACATATCCATGTAACAAACATCTACATGTACCCACTGAAACGACAATAAAATAAAATGTAAAATGAATTAATAAAAAAAAATGGAAAATGGGCATAAATAGTCACTTCCCAAAGGAAGACATACAAATGACTAGTAAACACAACTGAGAAAAGTACTACTTTAATAGTAAACAAGGAAATGCAAATTAAAAGAATAAAATATAAATTTATTATTTTTCTTTTTTAAATTTTACTTAACACATTGGTAAAAATTTGAGTGAACACTCAATGTCACTGATCCAACATTGCTATGTATTTGGGGAAACAAGCACTCTTTTACTGGGTGATGAAAGTGAAACAGCAATGCAATTGGGATGGGGGAAAGAATTGACAAAATCCATTAATATATTAAAATCCCTAAAAACAAGAATACTTTTTGATCAAAGAATTTCATTTCTAGGAGTTATCCTAAGAAAATAATCAAGCAGGAGTGCCTGAATTTACCTTTAATCATCTCAGGCTTGTTTATAATAGCTATAAATCAAACAATGGAAGTGTTATTCAACAGTGGAACTTCTAAGGAAATTGTGAGACACACCCAATAAAGCACTCTGGAATAATTAAAAATGAAGGCATACGAAGAGGCAAAGCAACATAGCTAAATAGAAGCCTCCACCTATCATCTTTCTCACAGGAATACCAACTTCAACAACTATCTACACAAAATTGCACATTCATAAGAACCAAAAATCAGATGAGCAATCATAGCACTTGGTTTTAACCTCATAGCACCGAAAGCAGCAGGAAAGAGGGTAGTTTGGCTTTAGTTGCCAAAGCTACCCTTCCCCTCTCTCCTGTTAGTGGCCACATGGCATGGAGAGAGAATCTGTGCAACTTGGGGAGGGAGAACACAGTGATTGTGGGACTTTGCATTGGAACTCAGTGCTGCCCTGTCACAGCAGAAAGCAATACTGGGCAAAACTCGGGCGTCGCCCATGGAGAGAACATTTAGAAAAGCCCTAGCAAGAGGGGAATCATCCATCCCAATGGTCAGAACCTGAGTTCTGGTAAGCCTCTCCACCACGGACTAAAGTGCTCTATGGGTCTAAAAAACCTTGAAGGGCAGTCTAGGCCACAAGGACTGCAACTCCTAGACAAGTCTGAGTGCTGTGCTGGGCTCAAAGCCCGTGGACTTGGGGAGCACATGACCTAGGGAGACACAAGTTGGGGTAGCCAAAGGAGTGCTTGTTCCAACTCTCCCACCAACCCCAGGCAGAACAGCTTGCAACTCTGAAAAAGACTTTCTCATTCCACTTGAGGAGAGGAGAGGGGTTTTGTCCTCCAACTTGGATACCAGCTCAGCCACAGTAGAACAAGGCACTAGGCAGGGTCATAATGTCCTCATTCTAGGCCCTACCTCCTGGACAACACTTTTAGACCCACTCTGGGCCAGAAGGGGAACCTACTGTCAGGAAGGGAAGGACCTAGTCCTGGTAGGACTCATGACTTGCTGACTAAAGAGCCCTTGGGCACTGAATAATCAATAGCAGTAGACAGGTAGTACATACCATGAGCTTTCGGTGAGACTCTGAGATGTGCTGGCTTCACATGTGACTCAGCACATGCATAGATGTGGTGGCTGTGGTGAGAGACTCCTTCTGCTTGAGAAAAGCAAAGGGAAGAGTAAATGGGACTTTGTCCTGCAGTTTAGGTACCAGCTCAGCCACAGTGAGGTAGAGCACCAAGTGGGCTTTTGGGGACCCTGATTCCTGGCCTTGGCTCTTGGTTAGCACTTCTGAACCAGCCCTGGGCCAGAGGGGAACCCACGGCCCTGAAGGGTGAATCCCAGGCATATAAGCATTCACCAGAAGCTGACTAAAGAGCCCTTGGGCCTTACATGAACATCAGTAGTGGCCTGGCAGTGCTCCCCATGGGCCTGTGGTGGCAGTGACCGTGGGGAGAGACTCTTCTGCTTGTGGAAAGGGTACAGAAGAGTGGGAAGGACTTTATCTTGTGGCTCGGGTGCCAGCTCAGCTGCAGTAGAATAGAGCAGCAGGTAGATTCCTAAGATTTCCAACTCCAGACCCTGGCTCCCAGACAGTATCTCTAGACCCACCTGGAGCCAGGGGGAGCTCACCACCCTGAAAAGACACTAGCCAGGCTGGCTTCACCACTACCTGACTGTAGAGCCCTAGGCATCGAGTGAACATAAGCAGTAGCCAGGTAATGGTTACAGTGAGCCTTGGTTGAGATCCAGTGCTCTGATGGTTTCAGGTCTGACACAGCACAGTCCCAGTGGTGGTGGCCACAGGGGAGCTTGTACCACCCCTCCAGCTCCAGGCAGCTCAGCCCAAAGAGAGTGAGTCTATTTATTTGGAAGTAAGTAAGAGAAAAGAACAAGAGTCTCTCCCTGGTAATCCAGAGAAATCTTCTGGATTGTACCCAAGACCACCAAGGCAATACCTCTACAAGTCTGTGAGAGCCACAGCATTACTGGGCTTGAAGTTCCCCCTAAATGTAGATATGGCTGCAGTGACCAAAAATGTAGATCACAACACCCAAGTCCCTTTGAATACCTGTAAAGTTTTCCCAACTTTACAGTTGGGAAACTGCAATAAATACCTTTTCAGGACTGCAATAAATACCTAACTCTTTAATGCCCAGACACTGAAGAACATTCACAAGCATCAAAACTATCCAGGAAAACATCACCTCACCAAATGAACTAAATAAGACACAAGGGGCTAACCCCAGAAAAACAAAGACCTTTCAGATAGAGAATTCAAAATAGCTGTGTTGAGGAAACTCAGTGAAACTTCCAAGATAGTAGAGAAGGAACTCAGAATCCTATCAGATAAATTTAACAAAAAGATTGAAATAATTAAAAAGGAAGAAGCAGAAATTCTGGAGTTGAAAAATGCAACTGACATACTAAAGAATGCATCAGAGTCTCTTAATACCAGAATTGATCAAGCAGAAGAAAAAACTAGTGAGCTTGAAGACAGGCTATTTGAAAACACAGTCAAAGACAAAAGAAAAAAAAGAATTTAAAAGAACGCAGCCTGTCTACAAGATCTAGAAAATAGCCTCAAAAGGGCAAATCTTCTTAGAGTCGCTGGCCTTAAAGAGGAGGTAGAGAAAGAAATGGGGGTAGAAAGGTTATTCAAAGGGATAATGACAGAGAACTTCCCAAGCCTAGAGAAATACATCAATATTCAAGTATAAGAAGGTTATAGAACACCAAGCACATTTAACCCAAAAAAGATAACCTCAAGGCATTTAATAATCAAATTCCCAAGGGTCAAGGTTAAAGAAAGGACCCTAAAAGCAGTAAGAGAAAAGAAACAAATAATGTACAAAGGAGCTCCAGTACATCTGGCAGCAGACTTTTTAGTGGAAATCTTACAGGCTGGGTGAGAGGGTATGACATATCTGAAGTGCTAAAGGAAAAAAACTTTTACCCTAGAATAGTATGTCTATATAAAATCTGCTTCAAATATGAAAGCAAAATAAAGACTTTCAAGACAAACAAATGCTGGGGGATTTTTATCAACACCAGACTTGTCCGTCAAGAAATACTAAAAAGAGTTCTTCAATATGAAAGAATAATAATCTGAAAAGACATTAATGAGCAATAAGAAATCATCTGAAGTTATAAAACTCAAAGTACAGGCCAGGCATGGTGGCTCATGCCTGTAATCCCAGCACTAGGGATCAGGCCGAGGCGGGCAGATCACCTGAGGTCAGGAGTTCAAGACCAGCATGACCAACATGGAGAAACCCCATCTCTACTAAAAATATAAAAATCAGCCTGTAATCTCAGCTACTTGGAAGGCTGAGGCAGAAGAATTGCTTGAACCAGGGAGACAGAGGTTGCAGTGAGCTGAGATGGTGCCACTGTACTCCTGCCTGAGTGACAGGGGGAGACTCCATGTTAAAACAAAACAAAACAAAAAACCTCAAAATACACAGAAAAAAAGAATATTATAACACTGTCATTATGATATGTATGATGTGGAAACTACTCATATCCTGAGTAGAAGACTAAAAGATCAACTGATCAAAAATAACTACAACTTTTTAAAACATAGATAACATGATAAGATATAAATAGAAAAAACAAAAGTTAAAAGTTAAAGAGTAGGCGGATGAAGTTAAAGTATAGAGTTTTTATTAGTTTTCTCTTTGCTTGCTTCTTTGTTTATGCAATCAGTGTTAACATGTCATCAGTTTAAAATAATGGATATAAGATATTATTTGCAGCCCTCATGATAACCTCAAATCAAAAGACATACAAGTTCATTAAAAATAAAAAGCAGACACCTAGAAAATCGGATCACCCCCACTGTAATACTGCGCTTTTCCAACGGTCTTAGCAAACAGCACACAGGAGATTACATCCCACGCCTGGCTTGGAGGGTCCCAGGCCCATGAAGCCTCGCTCACTGCTAGCACAGCAGTCTCAGATCGAACTGCAAGGCAGCAGCGAGGCTGGGGGAGGGGCGCCCACCATTGCTGAGGCTTGAGTAGGTAAACAAAGCCACCAGGAAGCTCGAAATGGGTGGGGCACACCACAGCTCAAGGAGGCCTGCCTGCCTCTGTAGACTCCACCTCTGGGGGCAGGGCAAAGCCGAACAAAAGGCAGCAGAAACCTCTGCAGACTTAAATGTCCCTGTCTGACAGCTTTGAAGAGAGTGGTGGTTCTCCCAGCACAGAGTTTGAGATCTGAGAACGGACAGACTGCCCCCTCAAGTGGGTCCCAGACCCCTGAGTAGCCTAACTGGGAGACACCCTCTAGTAGGGGCAGACTGACATCTCACATGGCCAGGTACCCCTCTGAGATGAAGCTTCCAGAGGAACTATCAGGCAGCAACATTGGCTGTTCAGCAATATTCACTGTTCTGCAGCCTCCGCTGCTGATACCCAGGCAAACAGTGTCTGGACTGGACCTCCAGCAAACTCCAACAGACGTGCAGCTGAGGGTCCTGACTGTTAGAAGGAAAACTAACAAACAGAAAGGACATCCACACCAAAACCCCTTCTGTACGTCACCATCATCAAAGACCAAAGGTAGATAAAACCACAAAGACGGAGAAAAAACAGAGCAGAAAAGCTGAAAATTCTAAAAATCAGAGTGCCTCTCCCCCTCCAAAGGAACGCAGCTCCTCACCAGCAACGGAACAAAGATAGATGGAGAATGACTTTGACGAGTTGAGAGAAGAAGGCTTCAGATGATCAAACTTCTCTGAGCTAAAGGAGGAAGTTTGAACCC
The DNA here is from genome assembly GCF_000001405.40 of Homo sapiens. Lineage (NCBI taxonomy): Eukaryota > Metazoa > Chordata > Mammalia > Primates > Hominidae > Homo > Homo sapiens. The sequence goes on along the minus strand of NC_000009.12, from coordinate 84,535,379 downwards.
ATCGCAAAGAAGCTAAAAATCTTGAAAAAAGATTAGACGAATGGCTAACTAGAATAACCAGTGTAGAGAAGTCCTTAAATGACCTGATGGAGCTGAAAACCATGGCACAAGAACTACGTGACGAATGCACAAGCTTCAGTAGCCAATTTGATCAACTGGAAGAAAGGGTATCAGTGAATGAAGATCAAATGAATGAAATGAAGCAAGAACAGAAATTTAGAGAAAAAAGATTAAAAGAAACGAACAAAGCCTCCAAGAAATATGGGACTATGGGCTGGGCACGGTGGCTCACGCCTGTAATTCCAGCACTTTGGGAGGCCGAGGCGGGTGGATCAGGAGGTCAGGAGATCGAGACCATCCTGGCTAACATGGCAAAACCCCGTCCCTACTGAAAATACAAAAAAATTAGCTGAGCGTGGTGGCAGGTGCCTGTAGTCCCAGCTACTCGGGAGACTGAGGCAGAAGAATGGCGTGAACCCGGGAGGCGGAGCTTGCAGTGAGCCCAGTTCACGCCACTGCACTCCAGCCTGGGTGATAGAGCAAGACTCTGTCTCAAAAAAAAAAAAGTGAGACTATGTGAAAAGACCAAATCTACATCTGACTGGTGTACCTGAAAGTGATGGGGAGAATGGAACCAAGTTGGAAAACACTCTGCAGGATATTATCCAGGCGAACTTCCCCAATCTAGCAAGGCAGGCCAACATTCAAATTCAGGAAATACACAGAATGCCACAAAGATACTCCTCAAGAAGAGCAACTCCAAGACACATAATTGTCAGATTCACCAAAGTTGAAATGAAGGAAAAAATGTTAAGGGCAGCCAGAGAGAAAGGTAGGGTTACCCACAAAGGGAAGCCCATCAGACTAACAGTGAATCTCTCAGCAGAAATTCTACAAGCCAGAAGAGAGTAGGGGCCAATATTCAACATTCTTAAACAAAAGAATTTTCAACCCAGAATTTCATATCCAGCCAAACTAAGCTTCATAAGTGAAGGAGAAATAAAATCCTTTACAGACAAGCAAATGCTGAGAGATTTGGTCACCACCAGGCCTGCCCTAAAAGAGCTCCTGAAGGAAGCACTAAACATGGAAAAGAACAACCAGTACCAGCCACTGCAAAAACATGCCAAATTGTAAAGACCATCGATGTTAGGAAGAAACTGCATCAACTAACGAGCAGAATAACCGGCCAACATCATCATGACAGGATCAAATTCACACATAACAATATTAACCTTAAATGTAAATGGGCTAAATGCTCCACTTAAAAGACACAGACTTGCAAATTGGATAAAGAATCAAGACCCATCAGTGTGCTGTATTCAGGAGACCCATCTCACGTGCAGAGACACACATAGGCTCAAAATAAAAGGATGGAGGAAGACCTACCAAGCAAATGGAAAATAAAAAAAGGCATGGGTTGCAATCCTAGTCTCTGATAAAACAGACTTAAAACAAACAAAGATCAAAAGAGACAAAGAAGGCCATTACATAATGGTAAAGGGATCAATTGAACAAGAAGAGCTAACTATCTTAAATATATATGCACCCAGTACAGGAGCACCCAGACTCATAAAGCAAGTCCTTAGAGACCTACAAAGAGACTAAGACTCCCACACAATAATAATGGGAGACTTTAACACCCCACTGTCAACATTAGACAGATTAACAAGACAGAAAGTTAATAAGGATATCCAGGAATTGAACTCAGCTCTGCACCAAGCGAACCTAATAGACATCTACAGAACTCTCCACCCCAAAGCAACAGAATATACATTCTTCTCAGCACCACATCGCACTTATTCCAAAATTGACCACATAGTTGGAAGTAAAGCACTCCTCGGCAAAAGTAAAATAACAGAAATTAAAACAAACTGTCTCTCAGACCACAGTGCAATCAAACTAGAACTCAGGATTCAGAAACTCACTCAAAACCACTCAACTACATGGAAACTGAACAACCTGTTCCTGAATGACTACTGGGTACATAACAAAATGAAGGCAGAAATAAAGATGTTCTTTGAAACCAATGAGAACAAAGACAAAACATACCAGAATCTCTGGGACACGTTTAAAGCAGTGTGTAGAGGGAAATTTATAGCACTAAATGCCAACAAGAGAAAGCAGGAAAGATCTAAAATTGATACCCTAACATCACAATTAAAAGAACTAGAGAAGCAAGAGCAAACACATTCAAAAGCTAGCAGAAGGCAAGAAATAACTAAGATCAGAGCAGAACTGGAGGAGATAGAGACATGAAAAACCCTTCAAAAAATCAATGAATCCAGGAGCCGGTTTTTTGAAAAGATCAACAAAATTGATAGACTGCCAGCAAGACTAATAAAGAAGAAAAGAGAGAAGAATCAAATACACACAATAAAAAATGATTAAGGAGGTATTACCACCGATCCCACAGAAATAAAAACTACCATCAGAGAACACTATAAACACCTCTATGCAAATAAACTAGAAAATCTAGAAGAAATGGATAAATTCCTGGACACATACACCCACCCAAGACTAAACCAGGAAGAAGTTGAATCCCTGAATAGACCAATAACAGGCTCTGAAACTGAGGCAATAATTAATAGCCTACCAACCAAAAAAAGTCCAGGACCAGATGGATTCACAGCTGAATTCTACCAAAGGTACAAGGAGGAGCTGGTACCATTCCTTCTGAAACTATTCCAATCAACAGAAAAAGAGGGAATCCTCCCTAACTCATTTTATGAGGCCAGCATCATCCTGATACCAAAGGCTGGCAGAGACACAACAAAAAAAGAGAATTTTAGACCAATATCCCTGATGAACATTAATGCAAAAATCCTCAATAAGATACTGGCAAACCAAATCCAGCAGCACATCAAAAAGCTTATCCACCATGTTCAAGTGGGCTTCATCCTTGGGATGCAAGGCTGGTTCAACATATGCAAATCAATAAACATAATCCAGCATATAAACAGAACCAAAGACAAAAACCACATGATTATCTCAATAGATGCAGAAAAGGCCTTTGACAAAATTCAACAGCCCTTCATCCTAAAAACTCTCAATAAATTCGGTATTAATGGGATGTATCTCAAAATAATAAGAGCTATTTATGACAAACCCACAGCCAATATCATACTGAATGGGCAAAAACTGGAAGCATTCCCTTTGAAAACCGGCACAAGACAGGGATGCCCTCTCTCACCACTCCTATTCAACATAGTGTTGGAAGTTCTGGCCAGGGCAATCAGGCAAGAGAAAGAAATAAAGGGTATTCAATTCGGTAAAGAGGAAGTCAAATTGCCCGTTTGCAGATGACATGATTGTATACTTAGAAAACCCCATCGTCTCAGCCCAAAATCTCTTTAAGCCGAGAAGCAACTTCAACAAAGTCTCAGGATGCAAAATCAATGTGCAAAAATCACAAGCATTCCTGTACACCAATAACAGACAAACAGAGAGCCAAATCATGAGTGAACTCCCATTCACAACTGCTTCAAAGAGAATAAAATACCTAAGAATCCAACTTACAAGGGATATTAAGGACCTCTCAAGGAAAACTACAAACCACTGCTTAATGAAATAAAAGAGGACCCAAACAAATGGAAGAACATTCCATACTCATGGATAGGAAGAATCAATATCGTGAAAATGGCCACATTGCCCAAGGTAATTTATAGATTCAATGCCATCCCCATCAAGCTACCAATGGCGTTCTTCGAAGAATTGGAAAAAACTACTTTAAAGTTCATATGGAACCAAAAAAGAGCCCGCATTGCCAAGACAATCCTAAGCCAAAAGAACAAAGCTGGAGGCATCACGCTACCTGACTTCAAGCTATACTACAAGGCTAAAGTAACCAAAACAGCATGGTACTGGTACCAAAACAGAGATATAGACCAATGGAACAGAACAGAGGCCTCAGAAATAATACCACACATCTACAACCATCTGATCTTTGACAAACCTGACAAAAACAAGAAATGGGGAAAGGATTCCCTATTTAATAAATGGTGCTGGGAAAACAGGCTAGCCATATGTAGAAAACTGAAACTGGATTCCTACCTTACACCTTATACAAAAATTAATTCAAGATGGATTAAAGACTTAAAACGTTAGACCTAAAACCATAAAAACCCTAGAAGAAAACCTAGGCAATACCATTCAGGACATAGGCATGGACAAGGACTTCATGTCTAAAACACCAAAAGCAATAGCAACAAAAGCCAAAATTGACAAATGGGATCTAATTAAACTAAAGAGCTTCTGCACAGCAAAAGAAACCACCATCAGAGTGAACAGGCAACCTACAGGATGGGAGAAAATTTTTGCAATCTACTCATCTGACAAAGGGCTAATATCCAGAATCTACAAGGAACTTAAACAAATTTACAAGCAAAAAAAAACAACCCCATCAAGAAGTGGGCAAAGGATATGAACAGACACTTCTCAAAAGAAGACATTTATGCAGCCAACAGACACACGAATAAATGCTCATCATCACTGGCCATCAGAGAAATGCAAATCAAAACCACAATGAGATACCATCTCACACCAGTTAGAATGGTGATCATTAAAAAGTTAGGCAACAACAGGTGCTGGAGAGGATGTGGAGAAACAGGAACAATTTTACACTGTTGGTGGGACTGTAAACTAGTTCAACCATTGTGGAAGACAGTGTGGCAATTCCTCAAGGATCTAGAACTAGAAATACCATTTGATCCAGTGATCCCATTACTGGGTATATATCCAAAGGATTATAAATCATGCTGCTATAAAGACACATGCACATGTATGTTTATTGCGGCACTATTCACAATAGCAAAGACTTGGAACCAAGCCAAATGTCCATCAACGATAGACTGGATTAAGAAAATGTGGCACATATACACATTTTCTATGTGTATATGCACATAGAATGCAGCCATAAAAAAGGATGAGTTCATGTCCTTTGTAGGGACATGGATGAAGCTGGAAACCATCATTCTCAGCAAACTATCACAAGGACAAAAAACCAAACACCGCATGTTCTCACTCATAGGTGGGAATTGAACAATGAGAACACTTGGACACAGGAAGGGGAACATCACACACTGGGGCGGGTCGTGGGGTGGGAGGAGGAGGGAGGGATAGCATTAGGAGATACACCTAATGTAAATGATGAATTAATGGGTGCAGCACACCAACATGGCACATGTATACATATGTAACAAACCTGCACATTGTGCACATGTACCTTAGAACTTAAAGTATAATAAAAATAAAATAAATAAAAACAAATGAGCAGAAAATTAAAACACACCATCTCAGAAAATCACCTTCACTAAAAGGAAGACAGGAAGAAAGAAAAAAAGCAAGAAAAGACCACAAAACAAGAAAACAACCAAATGGCAGAAGTAAGTCCTTACCTGTCAATAATGACATTGAATGTAAATAAACTAAGCTCTCCAATCAAAAGATATAGACTGGCTGAATGTATTTTAAAAACAAGATGCAATAATCTGTCGCCTACAAAAAACACGCTTCACCTATGAAAACACACAGAGACTGAAAATAAAGGGATAGAAAAAGATATTCCATACCAATGAGAACCAACAAAAGCAGGAGTAGCTGTACTTACATCAGACAAAATAGACTTCAATACAAAACTATAAAAAGAGACAGCATCTCTATATAATTATAAAGAGATCGATTCAGTAACAGGATATAACAATTGTAACTATATATGCACCTTGGAGCACTCAGATATATAAAACAAATATTATTAGAGCTAAAGAGAGAGAGAGAGACCCCCATAGAATAATAGCTGGAGACTTGCAGCATTGGACAGATCATCCAGAAAGAAAATCAACTAAGAAACATTGGACTTAATCTGTCCTATAGACTAAATTGACATTTACAGAACGTTTCCTCCAATAGCTACAGAATACACTATCTTCTCAGCACAGGGATCATTCTCAAGGACAGACCATATGTCAGGCCACAAAACAAGTCTTAAAACATACCAAGAAATAATAGTAAGTGTCTTCTCTGACCACAGTGGAATAAATCAATAACGGGAAATTTTGGAAACCATACCCACAGGTACGAATTAAGCAATGTGCTTCTGAATGACCAGTGGATCAATGAAGAAAAAAATTGAAAAATTTCTTGAAACAAATGATAATTGAAACACTACATACCAAAACATATGGGATGCAACGAAAGCAGTACTAAGAGAGAAGTTCTTAGCTATAAGTGCCTACATCAAAAAAGTAGAAAAACCTCAAATAAACAACCTAACAAGGCATCTTAAGGAACTAGAAAAGCAAGAGCAAACCAAACTCAAAATTAGTAGAACAAAAGAAATAGTAAAGATCAGAGTGGAAATAAATGAAATTGAAATGAAGAAAACAACAAAAAAGATCAGTGAAATAAAAAGTTGGTATTTCGAAAAGATAAACAAAATTGGCAAACTGTTACCCAGACTGAGAAAAAAAAAGAATAAATAAATAGAATCAGAGATGAAAAATGAGACATTACAACTGATACCACAGAAATTCAAAGGATCATTAGAGGCTACTGTGAGGAACTATATGCCAATAAATTGGAAAAGCTAGAAGTAGATAAATCCCTAGACACATACAACCTACAAAGACTGAACCATAAAAAAAAAAAAAATCCAAAACCTGAATAGACCAATAACAAGTAACAAGATCGAAGACATAATAAAAAGTCTCCCAGTAGAGAAAAGCCCTGACCTCAGTGGCTTCACTGCTGAATTCTACAAAACATTTAAAGAAGAATTAATGCTTTTGAAATACATTCTAAGAGGCCAATATTGCCCTGATACCAAAACCAAACACATATCAAAAAGAGAAAGCTGCAGGCCAGTATCCCTGATGAACTTTGATGCAAAAATCTTCAACACAATACTAGCAAATCAAATTCCACAACACCTTAAAATGATCATTTATGATGATCAAGTGGAATTTATTCCACGGATGCAAGGAGAGTTCAGTATACATAAATCAATCAATGTGATACATTATGTCAACAGAATGAAGGACAAAAACCATATAATCCTTTCAACTGATGTTGAAAAAGCATTTGATAAAATTCAACATCACTTTATGATTTAAAAAAAAACTGGGGTCTGCCTCTGCCCTCTGGCTCTCCGTCTCCCTCTTTCTACGGTCTCCCTCTCTTGCGGAGCCTGGACTGTACTGCCATGATCTCGGCTCGCTGCAACCTCCCTGCCTCGGGCTCCGGTGATTCTCCTGCCTCAGCCTGCTGAGTGCCTGGGATTCCAGGCACACACCACCACTCCTGACTGGTTTTTGTATTTTTGGTGGAGACGGGGTTTTGCCGTGTTGACCGGGCTGGTCTCCAGCTCCTGGCCTCGGGTGATCTCCCCACCTCGGCCTCCCGAGGTGCTGGGATTGCAGACGGAGTCTCACTCACTCAATGCTCAATGTTGCCCAGGCTGGAGTGCAGTGGCATGATCTCAGCTCGCTACAACCTCCACCTCCCAGCCGCCTGCCTTGGCCTCCCAAAGTGCTAAGATTACAGCCTCTGCCCGCCTGCCACCCCGTCTAGGAAGTGAGCAGCGTCTCTGCCTGGCCGCCCATCGTCTGGGATGTGAGGAGCCCCTCTGCCCAGCCACCCCATCTGGGAAGTGAGGAGCGCCTCTGCCCGGCCGCCACCCTATCTAGGAAGTGAGGAGCATCTCTGCCCGGCCACCCCGTCTGGGAGGAAGAAGTGAGGAGCGTCTCTGCCCGGCTGCCCATCGTCTGGGATGTGAGGATCCCCTCTGCCTGGCCACCCCGTCTGGGAAGTGAGGAGCGCCTCTGCCCGGCCGCCACCCCATCTAGGAAGTGAGGAGCGTCTCTGCCCGACCGCCCATCGTCTGGGATGTGAGGAGCGCCTCTGCCCGGCCGCCCCATCTGGGAAGTGAGGAGCGCCTCTGCCCAGCCGCCCCGTCTGGGAGGAAGTGAGGAGCGCCTCTGCCCGGTTGCCCCGAATGGGAAGTGGGGAGCACCTCTGCCCGGCCGCCCTGTCTGGGAGATGAGGGGCGCCTCTGCATGGCCGCCCCGTCTGGGAGGTGAGGGGCGCCTCTGCCCAGCCGCCACCCCATCTGGGAAGTGAGGAGCGCCTCAGCCCGGCCGCCACCCCGTCTGGGAGGTGAGGGGCGTCTCTGCCCGGCCGCCCCGCCTAGGAAGTGAGGGGCACCTCTGCCCGGCCACCCTTCGTCTGGGAGGTGGGGAGCACCTCTGCCCGGCCACCCCGCCTGGGAGGTGAGGGGCGCCTCTGCCCGGCCGCCCCGTCGGGGAAGTGGGCACCTCTGCCCGGTCGCCCCATCTGGGAGGTGAGGGGCGTCTCTGCCCAGCCACCCCGTCTGGGAGGTGGGGAGTGCCTCTGCCCAGCCGCCCCGTCTGGGAGGTGAGGGGCGCCTCTGCCCGGCCACCCTGTCTGGGAGGTGAGGGCGCCTCTGCCCGGCCGCCCCGTCTGGGAGGTGAGGGGCGCCTCTGCCCGGCTGCCCTGTCTGGGATGTGGGGGGCGCCTCTGCCCGGCCGTCCCATCTGGGAAGTGGGGGGCGCCTCTGTCCGGCCGCCCCGTCTGGGAAGTGGGGGGCGCCTCTGTCCGGCCGCCCCGTCTGGGAAGTGGGGGGCGCCTCTGCCTGGCCGCTCTTCATCTTGGAGGTGGGGAGCGCCTCTGCCCGGCCGCCCCGTCTGGGAGGTGGGGAGCGCCTCTGCCCAGCTGCCCCGTCTGGGAGGTGGGGAGCACCTCTGCCCTGCCGCTCTTCGTCTGGGAGGTGGGGAGTGCCTCTGCCCTGCCGCTCTTCGTCTGGGAGGTGGGGAGTGCCTCTGCCCTGCCGCTCTTCGTCTGGGAGGTGGGGAGCGCCTCTGCCCGGCTGCCCCGTCTGGGAGGTGGGGAGCGCCTCTGCCCAGCCGCCCCGTCTGGGAGGTGGGGAGCGCCTCTGCCCGGCCGCCCATTGTCTGGGAAGTGAGGAGCGCCTCTGCCCGGCCGCCCCATCTGGGAAGTGAGGAGCGCCTCTGCCCGGCCGCCCCATCTGAGAAGTGAGGAGCGCCTCTGCCAGGCCGCCCTGTCTGGGAAGTGTACCCAACAGCTCCGAAGAGACAGCAACCATCGAGAATGGGCCATCATGACGATGGCGGTTTTGTTGAAAAGAAAAGGGGGAAATGTGGGGAAAAGAAAGAGAGATCAGATTGTTACTGTGTCTGTGTAGAAAGAAGTAGACATAGGAGACTCCATTTTGTTCTGTACTAAGAAAAATTCTTCTGCCTTGGGACGCTGTTAAACTATAACCTTACCCCCAACCCCCTGCTCTCTGAAACATGTGCTGTGTCAACTCAAGGTTAAATGGATTAAGGGCGGTGCAAGATGTGCTTTGTTGAACAGATGCTTGAAGACAGCATGCTCATTAAGAGTCATCACCACTCCCTAATCTCAAGTACCCAGGGACACAAACAGGGCCGAAGGCCGCAGGGACCTCTGCCTAGGAAAACCAGAGACCTTTGTTCTCGTGTTTATCTGCTGACCTTCTCTCCACTATTATCCTATGACCCTGCCACATCCCCCCCTCTGAGAAACACCCAAGAATGATCAATAAATACTTAAAAAAAAAAAAAAAAACAGGGTATAGACGTAACATACCTCAACATAATAAAAGCCATATATGAGAAACCAACAGCTAGTATCATACTTAATGGGAAAAAACTGAAATCCTTTCCTCTAAGATCTGGAACATGACAAGGATACACACTGTCACCACTGCTATTCAACATAGTACTCAAAATCCTGCTAGAGTAATGATACAAGAAAAAGAAATAAAGCGTACCCAAATTGAAAAGGAAGAAGACAAATTATCCTTATTTGCAGATGATATCTTACATTTGGAAAAACCTAAAGACTCCACTAAAAAACTGTTAGAACTTAAACAAATTAAAGTTGCAGGATACAAAAGCAACATACAAAAATCAGCAGCATTTCTATATGCCAGCAATGAACAATCTGAAAAAGAAACTTAAAGAGAAATTCCACTCATAATAGCCACAAATAAAATTAAATACCTAGGAATTAACCAAAGAAGTGAAGGATCTTTACAGTGAAAACTATAAAATATTGATGTAAGAAATTGAAGAGGACACAAAAAACGGAAAGATATTTTATATTCATGGATTGGAATAATTAATATTTTAAAAATATCCATAATACCCAAAGCAATCTACAGATTTAATGCAATCACTATCAAAATACCAATGATATTCTTCACAAAAATAGAAAAAACAATTCCAAAATTTATATGAACACACAAAAGACTCAGAATAGCCAAAGCTATCCTAAGCAAAAAAGAACAAAACTGGAGGAATCACATCACCTGACTTCAAATTATACAACAGAGATATAGTAACCAAAATAGCATAGTACTGGCATAAAAGCAGACACATAGACCAATGGAACAGAATAGAGAACCCAGAAACAAATTCATATATCTGCAATGAACTCATTAACAACAAAGGTGCCAACAACATGCATTGGGGAGGGGACAGTCTCTTTTATAGATGGTGCTGGGAAAACTGGATATACATATACAGAAGGATGAAACTAGATCCCTATCTCTTGCTATATAAAAAAATCAAATCAAAATTGACTAAAGACTTAAACCCGAGACCTCAAACTGTGAAACTACTAAAAGAAAATATTGGAGAAACTCTCCAGGACATTGGACTGGGCAAAGAGTTCTTAAGTAATACCCCACAAGCACAGGCAACCAAAGCAAAAATGGTCACATGGGATTACATCAAATTAAAAAGCTTCTGCACAGGAAAGGAAACAATCAACAAAGTGAAGAGACAACCCACAGAATGGGAGAAAATATTTGCAAACTATCCATCTGATAAGGGATTAATAACCAGAATATATAAGGAGCTCTAGCAACTCTATATGAAAAAATCTAATAATCCGAAACCATCATTCTCAGCAAACTATCGCAAGGACAAAAAACCAAACACCGCATGTTCTCACTCATAGGTGGGAATTGAACAATGAGAACACATGGACACAGGAAGGGGAACATCACACACTGGGGACTGTTGTGGGGTGGGGGGAGGGGGGAGGGATAGCATTAGGAGATATACCTAATGTTAAATGATGAGTTAATGGGTGCAGCACACCAACATGGCACATGTATACATATGTAACTAACCTGCATGTTGTGCACGTGTACCCTAAAACTTAAAGTATAATTTTAAAAAAATCTAAAAAAAAAATGGACAAAAGATCTGAATAGACATTTCTCAAAAAAAAGACATAAAAAGGACAGACAGGTATATGAAAAACTGCTCAACATTATTGATCATCAGAGAAATGCAAATCAAAACTACAATGAGATATCATTTCATCCAAGTCAAAATGCCTTTTATCCAAGACAGGCAATAACAAATGCTAGTAAGGATGTGGAGAAAAGGGAACCTTTGTACACTGTTAATGGGAATGTAAATTAGTACAGCCACAATAGTGAACAGTTTGAAGATTCCTCAAAAAAACTAAAAATAGAGCTATCATATGATAGAGCAGTGCCACTGCTAGGTGTATACCCATAACAAAGGCAATCGGTATGTTGAAGAGATGTCTGCACTCCCATATTTATTACAATGCTATTCACAATAGCCAAGATTTGGAAGCAACCTAAGTGTCCATCAACAGATAAATGGATAAAGAAAATTTTTCACATAAACACAGTGGAGTACTATTCAGCCATAAAAAAGAATGGGATCCTGTCATTTTCAGCAACATGGATGGAACTGGAGGTAATTATGTTAAGCAAAATAAGCCAGGCACAGAAAGACAAACTTTCCATGTTCTCACATATTTGTGGGAGCTAAAAATTGAAACATTTGAACTCATGGAGATAGAGAGTATAATGATGGTTGCCAGAGGCTGAGAAGGGTAGTGGAGGAGTTGGGGGCAGGGAAAGTGAGGATGGCTAATGGGTACAAAAAAATAGAATAAATAAGATCTAGTATTTGATAGCACAACAGGCTGACCATAGTCAATCATTATTTAACTGTACATTTTAAAATAACTAAGAGTAAAATTGAATTTTTTGTAACACAAAGGATAAATGCTTGAGGTAATGGATACCCCATTTACCCTGATGTGATTATTATGCATTGCATGCCTGTATCAAAGTATCTCATGTACCCCATAAATATATACACCTACTATGTACTCATAAAAATTAAAAATTTTAAAAAAGAAGACATAGAACTATATTCATTGGCATGGGAAAATGTCCACATTATATTAAGTGAAAAATGCAGCTTGTCCATTTTCTCCCAGTTTTACGTGTGTGTGTGTGTGTGTGTGTGTGCGCGCGCGTGTGCGCCTATAAATGTATAAATGCATGGGGAAAAGTCTAAGGGATATACAGTGAAATTTTCACAGCCTTTTTCTCTCAGCAGTAGAATTACAGGGAATTTCCACTTCTTTATATTTTTCTGATTATCTGATTTTTTTTTACAATGAAAATATTTTACTTTAGGAATTGTTCCCAGACCAAACTGAGGGTCGGGCTGCTATTTCTCATGGCCCAATAACAAAATGCAGATGAACTGGGGAGGAAGAGAGTTTTTATTTCTGCAACCGGTAATAGGGAGAAGGCCTGGAAGTTATCACCAGAGCAACTCAAAATTACAAAGTTTTCCAGAGCTTATATACCTTCTAAGCTACATGTCTACGTGTAAATGTGCAGTCAGAAGTGATTAACTTCTTTTAAGCTGTAACTAAGGTCTGAGTCCTGAAGACCTTCCTCTGGAGCCTCAGTAAATTTACTTAATCTAAATGGGCCCAGGTGTTGGGGTAATTGTCCTTATCTTGTCTCCTGCTAAATCACGGAGGTTTGGGGAGTTCTTTCAGACCCCCAATAAACTTTTGTGGAGGCCTGGGGAGTTTCTTCAGACCCACAATAAAACTTGTTTAACCCTAAATGGGTCCTGTTAAGAATTCCTTCGTTATTTTGTCATGCTCTAAGGCCCAGAAAAGACCTAGGCAAAACTCTTAATTGGCTTTTGTTATATCCTAGCCTTTGTATAAGGGTACTGGCTTTTAACTTAACCACTTGGTCAGTACTGAAATCGTTGTTATGGAGACCTGCATTAGTGAGACTTTGCATGCCACAGAATCAGAAAAAAACTTAAAATAATTTATATTGAGGAGAATAAAAGCAAGAAAGATGAAGTTTAAGCAAAGAAATTCTAGGTTTGGAAACTTCTGGGTTTTGCTACTGAATTTATTCAGCCTGTTAACTTTTTTTTTAATATCTCTTAAAGTATCTTAAAGTAGCTCAAAAGATTTTTGTTTGTTTGTTTACTTTTTCTCTTTCACTGAGCAGCAACTCTTTGCAGACATTCATCCCACTAACAATTTAAAGCAGACATCAGCATTCCCATTTCATCCATAAGAAAGCAGTCTGGGACTAATAAGAGGGCAGGACCTGTACCCCAGAGCATGTTGCAGAGGAAGCCCAAAAAAGCAGCACGCTGTGGCTTCCTGATCTGGGAGAAATATTTGGTGTGAAGTTTATTAAACAGAGGCTAAAGCCAGGCTCTCTTCGAATCCCAGCTCTGTCACCATGGCTGCATCATCTCAGGCAAATTACTTTACCTAGCAGTGATTGCATTTCTAGATCTGTAAAATAAAGATGATGAAGATAGTATCTACCTTAATAGCCTGCTGCCACGGATAAGTGTTATATAAGGTGGAACACTGGAAGTGCTCCACGTTTGCTGTTATGTTACCATTTCCCACGTGGGTCCCAGTCTCCCCACCCCCAATAGCAAGGATTGCACCAGGGCTTCACCATGGCCACATCGGCCTATTAGCTTCCAATTATTATGAAGGCCCTGCTCTAATGGCAAGTGCTCAAGGGGAGTTTCTCCCATAGTTCCAACCCCTCCTCCCATCAGCTACTTGTCCTAAGCATAAAATGTAAATGTTCACATTCTAAACACTCATTAACTAACACACAGGTCACAAGGCTGTAGAGCTGGTGGAGTCAGAACTCAAACCCATATTCCACCTGGCTCCCCTAAACCTGCTATGTACTTTCTACTGCTGATAATATGTAAAGAGGTAAAAGTATATTTATATTAGCAGGCTTACCAGGTCAATGGAGATGAAACTTAACGTGTCTGATGGCTTTTAACATGCATCTGGTCCTGGGCTCATTTTTGTTCTTTGTGGCACTTTTAATCTTGCAAAAGGCATACTTGTGGAATTTCCAGACAAAGGTTCCTGTTCTTCAAAAAGGTAATAAAGAAGTGGATCTGAAAAAAAAATGCCAAATTATCTTTTAAAAATAAAAGCAGCCCCATACCCGCTGCCTGAAATTCAGTGAAGGCAGTTACATGTGCACGTTTTATCATTGTTGCCCATTTACCCTCACCAGGGAACATCTTCTGGTGTCCCATAGGGTCACATTTTGAAAATCTGACCCTAAACATTTTCACACTGTGGATTAGACTTCAAATGAGATTTTGATTCATGTTTTGTGTTCTTAAAAACTTGGTACACCTTACCGATTACTGGGGAAAAAATTCTAGTTTCACTCAGTCACGCTGATATCCCAATAGTGTTTATGGGTATTTGTTATATCATACAGTGGCCACAGCTTTTGAAACAAATATCAGGACATTTGGTTTGACAGTCAGGAGTATATTTATGGGGACAGAATAGTTAGCCAACCACAAAATCCAGGCCACATGCATGCCATTAACTATATATAAAGAATGATCTGCATGAATAATATATAGATGTACAGGCTGGCTAGTGTCTTTGTACCAGCCAATGTACATGAACAGTCTTTCAGAGGTCAACTAATTGAGTTGCTAATGTTGATTTTGTTCTTCTTTCCAGTTGCTTATTTAATTCATATCAACTATCTTCATTAGGTTAGTTAATCTGACAAAATGATCATGTATCCTTATATTACCTCTTCTCTAAGACAAATATAAAATTATTCGTTAAAATGTTTGAACTCTGCTAAAAGACTCATGAGAACTATTATATAAATAAACCATTAGGTAGACAATTGTGATTAGGGCAATATTGTACTAATTGCTAATGGATAAAATTATGATGATCATCAGACACATCTTAAAATTATACACATTTTAATGAAAATCAATAGTCTTATGTATGTTATGGCCCATTTCTCTAAACAGTAGTGCAGATTTGCAAAAGAGCAGATGAACCCTATCCAGCTGTGAACTACAGAACCATAATAACGAAAAGGACCTACATTCTAAGGCTGTTCTGTAGGTTCAATGAGGTTATATTTGTAATGTGCTTAAAACAGTCCCTGGCACATAGTAAATGCTATACAAATACTGTTAGCAGTGTTGGCTTTAAGATAGAATTGTTAACTTTCTTTTCAAAAGTCTTTTGAAAAACTTGTCAGAAGTTTCATTTAAAGTTTATTTTTTGATGTAAAACATTTTTCTGCTTTTCAAATGTAAAACCTGTGAATTAATCATCATGGATTAAAACTCACAACCTATTCATACTTACTTATGGGCTTTTTTGTTTTTCCACAACTGTGTGGGTGATGGCCTGGAACCAACTCTCTGCCTAAACATGATCTGCTATTCCCTCTTATTTTGACCAATCTGACCCGTCAAGACACGACAAATATGCATACACAGCTATACTACGTTCCTAAATATGGACTCTGAGCAAACATGACAAATATATGAAACCTTGAATACATAAAACATTTTAAGTAAGTCTGGTTAATTACAATACAAACAAGCTCTCCACTGCACTAAATGAGTCATTGGTTCTCCCAGATGGTCTGAATAGGGTTCAAGCGACATTAAGAGAAAACAAAGTATGTCCTCAGATATTCATGGAGCTGAGGAGAATGGAGCCACACGGGGAGCTATAGTTCAGCATGTCCCATGCTGGGGAAGGACTGTAAGATCCTGTCTGATAAACCAGTCAGGTGTGGCCTTACAGAAAAGTCTATTCCATAAGGGCCTAAAAATTTTTACAGGAAAGGACTTATAAGAAAGGAACAGTGAGACAACCTCGAGTTGGTAGAAAAGCCAAGTGCTATGTTATAAAAACTGTATCTCCAAACCTTAATCTGTGTCCAAATTTTATGTGGGCATATGAGTGTGGGGGTGAAGGGGGGAAATCAAAGAAAAGTGAATATTACAAATGCTGTTCTACCAAGCATTGTGAAAGACTGAGACACGAGGCTCTCAGCTTCTGTACATCCCTAACAAATTTAACATGAGGAAGTGGGGTCTCTTTTTCCCCCTCTCCACACAATAACATCCACTTGGGCAGCTTGAAGTGTCTGTACCAGGATGAGGGGTAGCCCCTGGCAGATGCAAGGGAGAAATCATGAGGCAGCCTGTGATGTGCAGGACAGCATTTAGCAAGACCAGGCAGAAGGACCCAGAAAAAGTAGTATTGTCCAGCAGATGGGCCTGGAAGAATTGAGAGGCGAAGGCAGCTGGGCTCCTGGGTTGGGTGGGGACTTGAAAAACTTTTCTGTCTCACAAGAGGTTTGTAAAATGCACCAATCAGTGCTCTGTAAAAACGCACCAATCAGTGCTCTGTGGCTAGCTAGAGGTTTGCAAAATGCACCAATCAGTGCTCTGTAAAAATGTACCAATCAGTGCTCTGTGGCTAGCTAGAGGTTTGTAAAATGGACCAATCAGCACTCTGTAAAATGGACTAATCAGCACTCTGTAAAGTGGACCAATCAGCAGGACATGGGCAGGGACAAAGGAATAAAAGCTGGCCACCCCAGCCAGCAGCGGCAACCCACTTGGGTCCCCTTCCACACCATGGAAGCTTTGTTCTTTCGCTCTTCACAATAAATCTTGCTGCTGCTCACTCTTAAGGGTGGCACACCTTTAAGAGCTGTAACACTCACCACAAAGGTCCACAGCTTCATTCTCGAAGTCAGCGAGATCACGAACCCACTGGAAGGAACCAACTCCAGACACAGAATGACTCAAGAGAACAGAAGAGACACTGACACAGCATTGTCAGAGGATGAAGATCCTGCTTCACCCAGTAGAACAATAGCCAGGAGAGGAGTTCAGCAGCAGACTCAAGCAAGTAAAAGAAAGAATCAGTGAACTGGAAGATAGGACAGTTGAAATTATTGAGTCTGAGAAACAGAAAGAAAAAACTGAAGAAAAGTGAAAAGTGAACATATGCAGATAATATATTGAATACACATCATAATCTGCTCTTCCATTTAAATATGTGCATACAAATATTTTTTGCACTAAATTCTCAAAAATTAATAGAATTTCAAAAATGCAATCAACAAAGGGGTCACTTTTTACAGCACCTGTTGAATAATTAATAACATTCCACAAAATATATTTGTTCAGTGCCTACTATGTTGTTATGTACAGTGGAGAGGCAAAGGTGAATACTACAGAGAGGTCAAATTCCAATGAGTGGGTCCAGGGCAGGGCTATGAATTGTTACCTGGGCAGTCTCAGACAGTGCTTGCTTTAATTCTCTACATCATTGTCCTAAAATTCTTAATAATTTTTGAACAAGGGCTCTGCAGTTTCATTGTGCACTGCAGCCCCACAAGTTACATAGTCAGTCCTGCAGGACACATGAATATGAAGAAAGAGAGAGTGCAAACAAAGACACAAACACTGGGAGCCCCCAGCCAGGGTGGGGTGCAACTTGAGGTCAAGGAGTATTTTCTGGAGCAAAGTAATTGTTGAAGAGCAATAAGAATTAGCCAGAGCTGTGAGATTCTCTCTAGTTTGAATATTCACTCACTGAGGGTTTAACTGTTTTTTAAGATTAAACACACATCTTTGTACATGTGCATAATATTGTTGAAAAAAATTATACCAAACATGAAAACAAGGCAAAAGTATCTTCAGGCCTTTGGGATTATCCTAGAGGATTTCTTTACAGGCTACCTACAGAGTATCTGACTTATGTCTCTAGAGCAGGGGCCAGCAAACTTTTTCTGTAAAGGGCCAGATAGTAAATATTTTTGGCTGTGTGGGACATATGGTCCCTGTCGCTACTACTCACTCTGCCACAGTAGCACGAAAGCGGCCACACATGATGCACAGATGAATAGGCGTGCTGTATTCCTGGGCTCCACAGAGCAGGCTGGGGCTCCAGCTCTCAACTGCCAATCCTGCTCTAGGGCATGTAACTTCTCTTTGACTCCTCATTTACGACTGATAAAGTCCCAGACTGAGTAAAGTTAGATGTTACCTTGTAGATTGATAAATGGCAAGTGATTTCTAACTGGTAGAGTCTGTAACCCCAAAACTTACAGCTTTATTGCCCAGCAGGATAGGAACTAGTTTTTTATTAACTACTTTTGTATTAACTTTGTGTGATCCTATCCCAGCAGTCTTTCCTCCTCACTATATATGTATGTATGTATATGTAGCTATAGATATGGATATAGATAGATATAAATAACAATATAGATATCAGCGTCTCATATCTGCCTTAATATCCTCTTTGTCATCCTTCTGGTGCCCTCATTAATTAGTTAAATCTTTTACATATACTTACTCTATATTCGTATGAAAATTGTGTTTTTAAGTTTTTTTTACTTTTTTTTTTTTAGAGACAGGATCTTGGTCTGTTGCCCAGGCTGGAGTGCAGTGATGCGATCATAGTTCACTATAACCGCTAATTCCTAGGCTCATGCAATCCTCCTGCCTCAGCCTCTCAAGTAGCTGGAACTACAGGTGTTGTGTCACCATGCCCACCATGCCTGGCTAATTTTTTTTTTTTTTTTTTTTTTTTTTTTGTAGAGACAGTGTCTGGCTATGTTGCCCAGACTTGTCTTGAACTCCTGGCCTCAAGTGATCCTCCTGCCTCACCTCAAAAAATGCTGGGATTACAGGCATAAGCCACTCTGCCAGCCTTTTAACTTTTTAAAATATCAACAGTGCATCTTGTCAGCACATATAAAAAGAGGCAGAGACAGACAGAGAATTAATGAAGAGCTTTAACAGGTAATGCTGCAAATGTGATTCTCTCTAAAGTAAATGCAGCTCATCTCAACAGCCTGAATGACTCTACCCCAATACAGAAATCTCACAATCTGCCTTATTTGTACATACAAACCATCTACAGGAAAGAGATCTAGAGAAGAGTTATCCTGCTCCTCCATCAGCCCCAGTCTCACCTCCTCTAAGCCAAGAACCTGTAAGGCCAAGCCCTCCCCACCCTTGCCCTGAATTCCTCCATGCTCTCCTGACATAGGAGCAACAAAACTCTTTCTCCTTAATTCCTCTAAGATACAGTTAGAATCTTCAAAGTGATAGTTTACTGCTGGATGCAGTGGCTCACACCTGTAATACCAGCACATTGGAAGGCTGAAGCAAGAAAATCACTTGAGCCCAGTAGTTCGAGACTATCCTGGACAATGTGATGAAATCCTGTCTCTACAAAAAATTTAAAAATTAGCCCAGTATGGTGGCATGTGCCTGTGGTCCCAGCTACTTGGGAGGCTGAGGCAGGAGGATCACTTGAGCCCAGAAGGTTGAGGCTGCAGTGAGCCACGTTCATGTAACTGCACTCCAGCCTGAATGACAGAACAAGACCCTGTCTCAAAAACAAAAACAATAAAACAAAGTAATGGTTTACTCTAAAGCCAGAAGTAAACAAAGGCATAAAAGCAGATTACCTGCAGAGGATGCTGTCAAAGTTCAATGCCACCAGCCCAAGCTCCTCAAATCTGGCTCATATGCACCTGGGCTGACACTCTACAGGGACAGGTACAAGGGCCAAGAGCAAAAGAAGGTAGCCCTGATGTGCATGGCTACACTGGGCCAGGCTACTGCCTGGTGTCTGTAAGTTCTCTTTTGTAGAAGAGAGTGAAGTGCGAGGGTTTTAGAAAGTGTATTTAGATAAGCCAGAGGCATAAACTACTTTAGACAATGGAGGCAGAGCCAGGGATCTACAGGCTTTGGGAATGGGATGGTTGCTGACCTGACAGCTACCCTTCCCTCCTACAGGACTCTCCATCCATTAGCCCACCACAATACACTCCTCTGCATTTGAACTCTATCAAAAAACATACGTCAAATAATAAATGAATTGGGAGGAAATAATATAAATGATTTTTGTGGCATATTCACTAATTGCTTTCATTTTATAGAGTCTCCACAGCTTTCTGACATGATTCATTTTAACAAATAGGTGAAGAAAAATAAAAAAGTTTGTTTTGTTTTGTTTTGTTTTTGAGTCGGAGTCTTGCTCTGTCACCCAGGCTTGAGTGCAGTGGCTCACTGCAGCCTCCGCCTCCGGGGTTCGAGTGATTCTTCTGCCTCAGCCGCCTGAGTAGCTGGGATTACAGGCGCCCACCATCACGCCTGGCTAATTTTTGTATTTTTAGTAGAGACGGGATTTCACCATCTTGACCAGGCTGGTCTTGAACTCCTGACCTCATAATCCACCCACTTCGGCCTCCCAAAGTGCTGGGATTACAGGTGTGAGCCACCGTGCCTAGCCAGAAAGATTTTTTTTTTTGAAGGGACAGAGACATCTTCATGTTTACTGTCACCCGTGGTACTTCCCATGTGGACCAATTTAAATCAGAGTCCTGACCATTGCTCTGTACCTTTAAATCCTCCTCCCTCAAAGTCATCTCACAAACATAAAATGAGGCTGTCTGTCCTTAATTATTTTGTTTCGGATTTGTTACAACCCAGCTCGCTTGCCCTACTTAAAACCCTTCTTGTCTGGGTGTTTCTGTGAGCTTATCTGCAAACGTTCCTCTCAACTGACGGCACAGCAGTGAAGAATTTCAAATTAGTGACAAAACACAGTTGAAAAGGCAAAACTGCAGTCTCCCAATGGGGAAAAAAAAAGCCATCTACATCTACCCAGGTGGTTTATTAAAATTCTATTTGTCTTTGAAATAATTTCTGTTTGGAAAAGTACACAATATATAGTGTATTCAAAAGGTATTTTAAATGCTTTTATAGATATGGGAACATATATTTTATAAATATATAAATTATATGTGTATAATGTGTGTGCATATTATATAAAGTGCAGTCCACTACAACACACAGTATGTCCTCTCACAATCAGAATGATGCCCATTGCTCTGAACCATGAGTAAGTGACAGATCATACGGACACACTTGGCCAGTGGCGATTTATGCCCCATACTGAGCACTCTCTCAAGCAGTGAGCACTCTTAAGTTGTGTGTGTTCTGTCATGCATGTTGTTTACTTTCCTGTGTCTCTTTTTCTTCCATGTGTTTGTATTCTGGTGAGTGATTTTTATCCACTCTGGCTGATAAAACTTGTAAAGGTCATTCAAGATGTGGAAATGCAAATTTTATGGCAACTGAAGGAGTTTTCAAGAAAATGGTCAACAAGACATTAAGAAACGGGGTCCCAAAACCCGTTAAGGTCTCACCAAGGCTTTTTCTATTTAGTCAAAACCAAGGTTTAACATTTATTACAAAATCAAAAAGCTATAAGCAGTTGTGTTTTCCAAATCAGATACTCTCAGTACTGGATCAAAATAGAAAAAAGTTTTTCCCACATTGGGGACTGCAAAGAAAGGTATCTATGCAACTGCCAACTACAATTCTAATTTAAGATACTCTGTGTGTGTGAAGTCACAGAATTTTTCCTTGATTAGCTCAATCTCATTACCCAATCCTCACCACCTGCGTACACTTTGCCCTGTGATTGCAACCACCCCCCCTTGTGTAGCTTGTGCTGGGTAATATCTTTTTGGCATGATGTGTGCACTGGACTTGCTCACTGAGTTAATCAACAATTGTGTTTTAATATTTTCTATTTATTGAACTTGGATTTCAGAGCAGTTTACCTTTAGATATGTGCATGCTCTAGCAAATCATCAAACTTGAAGTAAATATTACTCTTCTCCTTTCTAATTGCTTCCTTAGCAACTTTCACTTCTTACACCAAGGGTAATTTGCACAGAAAATCAGGTACCTATGTGCATTTAAAATGCACATCAAAATATTTCATAAAGAGCCAGCATTATAACTCGCCAAAGTTTTCTTTTTCCCCTTTTGATGAAGAAAACAAGCCAAACACCGTTCATTTCTGGACTGGAGATCATCAGCCAGCACAGCCTTGCTACTAAAAGATTAACTGAGCCTGCTTGTTTAGATAGTCTCTTAAGGTCATTAACAGTGTTCTCTTTGACCAAGTTTTTTTCTCTTATCCTATTTTGTGGGTCCCCTCTGAAGCACTGGACACTATTAGAATCTCCCTTCTCCCTCAACTTCCCAGACACTGCCATGTTCTGGTCCCCTCTGACATCCCTATCTGCTCCTCCTCAGCATTTCCCTATGAGATCCCTCTTTCTTCTGTTGGCATCTTAAATCCAGATGCTCCCTGAAAGAGAGAGCATTAATGGCCCAGTTATTCACCCCACCTTTATCCATACTCTTTGCCATATGACTTTGAAGTTCCTCTCACTGAAAAACAGGAGTATATTTCCCTGATCCTCAACTTCAGGTTCAGGCATGTGACTTCTTTTGACAAATGGAAAGTTAGTGGACATGACATGATCAAATGCTCTCTTGAGTGATTGTGCTTGCCCTCTTCTGCCTCTGCCATTGCCATGAGAAGAACATGCCCAGACTAGCCCATTGAATCCAGAAGAGTCAACCGGCTGGTGGCAAGAAAAGGATGAGAGGCACCAGAAGCAGAGCTCAGTCAGCATCAGCTGACTGCAGATCCACGGAGCATAAATGATTGCTGCTCTCAGTCACTCAGTCATGAGCTGGTTTGTTATGCAGCATTGTTGGGGGCATAACTGACAGACTCCCTGAGAGTCTGTTGTCCTTGCTTACTGAACTTGGCTAATTGCTGATGGCTTAGAGGCTAAACTGACCTATCATATTATATGGAGCACCCTTGATGCAACTAACTCCATCTTAGGAAAAGACTCCATTTTACATTTCGTAGGGCACCTTGCCAACAAAGATGTTTTGCCTGACAAACAAATAAAAAATAAAGACTGCATTCCACCACATAAAGACATAAACAAGTACACACTTCCACCGTCAGTTCTCCCCAGAGGACCCTGTGACCATCAAAGAGCTGGCCTTTAGCAGCTAGAATCAGCCATCTTAACTGACAACTGTCCCGCTGTCACTCATGGTAAGAACTTGGCATTTGCCTACAAAGGCTCTGCCACATCAAAGACTTCCCTGCAAGACCAACCAGCCCAAACCAAGACTACTTTTGTCTTCTTTGCTCTCCCTAGACTGGTTCGTTAACCCTTTCTCCTATCTCTTTTTCTCTTTATGTTAAATGTTTGTCGTGGAATGTTTAATCTATAACACTTATATATTGATTAAGTGTACTATTATGTATGGTTTGCAATATTGGCTGACTTGTGGTGTGGCTTGAATCTGTGTGCCCACGGCTCTGACTGCTGAGTGAACACAGAGTACTAAGGAGAACTGCCTCCTTGGCAACTCTATGTAGCTCATGGCTTTTGCAATTGAAATAGCATCAGTAAAGGTCTGACATTGTGGAAAGACACAAACATGCATGGACCTGCTATCTCTAACCTTGTACTGCTCATGACACATATAATAATAAATAATAAAACTGAATGATAAATAATAAAATTATTACTAAAAGTAACTAATAAAATACATGATAAATAAGAGCTAGATTTTTTAAGCTCCCACTATGTTTAAGGGTCATGCTAAGAGCTTTACATGTGTAAAGTCTAAAACTTATGATTTCCAAAATGAGGAGATACAATTATGCCCAATTGTAAAAGAGGAAACTGAGACTCGGTGAGGTAACGTGACTTGCCCAGGTTCTCCAACTAAGGAAAGGCTCCCCAGCATGTGTACCAGGTCTGTCTCACTTCCACACAGCAGGGCAAATTCTGAAAGCCACTTATTCCCTGAATTCAACCAAAGCAGCTTTACCTTTATCTGCTTTCTCTGTTGGCATTTCACATACTTTTTTTTTTTTTAACCTAAGTGTCTCATTATTAAAAAGGAAACTTTGAAAAGCATTGCCATACTCCATGCTGTCTTGTGACTCCTACCACAGCCAACCATGGACTGAGAGGGTAATGAAACATCGACAAAGTCATCTTGAACCAAAGGCCCTGCCCCTGGAGTTCAGTCACGCCACACAGCCTGTACCCACCCTGACAAAGATGGCACCTCTGATCTCATGGCAGCCTTCGATTCCGGAAAGATGTTTTGGAACTTCAGGAGTCTAAGCACCTGGGTCTACAGAAACAGAGAATATGCTCCAGGTGTCTAACCACTTCTCTGTAACTGCACAAATGTTGGTTTTGTTTCTTTATTAATAGTGGATGATGTGCAGGAATTGGCTTCCCATAGTGAAGTCCTCCTGTACCAGGCACAGTTCGATCAGAGAAACAGAAACCAGTTTCCAGCAGAAAGTGATTTCATATCAGAAGTTGGGTGTTTTCAGACTACTGAAAGGAAGATAGAGTGATAGGAGGCAGATGAGTTGTTGCCTGGGCCAGGATTGGGGCGAATTGATTGCCAAGGGGGAAAGGGAAACAATATGATGGTGCTTCCCTGATTGTACATATCTGTCAAAATTCATAAAACCAGGCCAGGCACCGTGGCTCATGCCCATAATCCCAGCACTTAGGGAGGCCAAAGCAGGAGGATCACTTGAGGCAAATTCAAGACCAGCCTGAGCAACACAACAAGACTCTGTCTCTACAAAAAAATGAAAAAAAAAAAAATTACCCAAACATGATGGCACACACCTGTAGTCCCAGCTACTCTGGAGGCTGAGGTAGGAGGATCACTTTAGCCCAGGAGTTCAAGGCTGAAGTTAGCTATGATCATATCACTGCACACCAGCCTGGGTGATAGAGACTCTGTCTCTTAAAAATATGTATATATATTGGCCAGGCGTGGTGGCTCATGCCTATAGTCCCAGCACTTTGGGAGGCCAAGGTGGGCGGATCTCCAGAGGTCAGAAGTTCGAGACCAGCCTGGCCAACATGGTCAAACTCCATCTCTACTAAAAATATAAAAATTAGCCGGGTGTGGTGGTGGGCGCCTGTAATCCCAGCTATTTGGGAGGCTGAGGCAAGAGAATCCCTTGAACCCAGGAGGTAGAGGTTGCAGTGAGCCGAGACTGCGCCATTGCACTCCAGCCTGGGCAACAAGAGCAAAACTGCGTCTCAAAAAAAAAAAAAATCATCAAAGTGTGTACTTAAAATGAGTAAACTTGTTGTGTGTAAATTACACCTCAGTAAAGCTTTTTTTTTTTTTTTAATGTTGCCAAAGGCTGGAGAATGCAAATCAGGAGGACTACCAGACAGTTAGATGACTACTACCTGCAGCATACAGGAACCAGGGGAAAACAAAACAAAACAAACAAACAAAAACCTCTTCATTATTGACTCTAACCAAAAGCCATGGGGCAGGCAAATGTCAGGGGAATCCAGAGGCTGCTGCGCAAATTCATGTCTGGCATCACTGGCAGAGAAGAATGAAGTTTCTACCTGTCTCCCATTGCCCGACTCCTCATCAATGTATCTCAAATGCAGAATTTAATTTGCTTCCAGAATTTGGTGGCATGGGATTGTAGGAAATATGTTTTCCAGGCTCCCAACCTTTGTACCATGACAGTAAAGCAAATATTGCAATAAAGCAAGTGGCATAAATTTTTTGGTTTCCCAATGCATATAAAAGTTGTTTACACTATACTGTCGTCTACTAATGTGCAATAACCTTATTGCTAAAAAAAGTATATAATCTAATTAAACAATACTTTATTACTAAAAAGTGCTAGCAATCATCTGAGTCTTCAGCGAGCGATAATCTTTTTCCCGGTGGGGGTCTTGCCTCGACGTTGGTGGTTGATGATCATGGTGCTGGTTGCTGAAGGTTGGGGTGGCTGTGGCAGTTTCTTAAAATAAGACAATAATGTTTGCCACATCCATTGACTCTTCCTTTCATGAAAGATTTCTCTGTAGGATGTGATGGTGTTTGATAACATTTTACCCACAGTAGAACGTCTTTTAAAATTAGAGTCAATCCTCTCAAATCCTGCTGCTGCTTTATCAACTAAGTTTACACAATATCTTGAGTTCTTTGTTCTCATTTCAACAATGTTCATAGCATCTTCATCAATATCAGGTTCCAACTCAAGAAACTACTTTCTTTGCTTACCCATGAGAAACAACTTATCTGTTCAAGTTTTATTATGAGATTGCAGCAATTCAGTCATATCTTCAAGCTCCACTTCTAATTCGAGTTCTCTTTCTATGTCCACCACTTCTGAAGTCACTCCTCCACTGATGTTTCAAACCCCTCAAAGTCATACATGAGAGTCAAAATCCATTCTCCCAAACTTCTATTAATGTTGATATTTTGACCTCCTCTCATGAATTACAAGTGTTCTTAATGGCATCTAAAATAGCTAATCCCTTTCAGAAGGTTTTCTATTTACTTTGCCCAGATCCATCAAAAGAAGCACTGTTTATGACAGATATAGCCATAAGGGACTTAAGAAATGTATTTCTTGGCCAGGCACAGTGGCTCACGCCTGTAATCCCAGCACTCTGGGGGGCCGAGGGGGGCGGATCACCTGAAGTCAGGAGTTCGAGACTAGCCTGGCCAACATGGTGAAACCCTGTCTCTACTAAAATACCAAAAAAAAAAAAAAAATCAGCTGGGTGTGGTAGCGCATGTCTGTGATCCCAGCTACTCGGGAGGCTGAGGCAGGGGAATCACTTGAACCTGGGAGGCAGAGGTTGCAGTGAACCGAGATCTTGCCACTGCACTCCAGCCTGGGCAACAGAGTAAGATTCCATCTCAAAAAAAAAATGTATTTCTTAAATACATTTGAAAGTCAAAATTAGTATTCAATCCATGGGCTGCAGAATGGACATGTGTAAGCCTGAGTGAAAACAACATAAATCTCCTTGTCCATCTCCATCAGTGCTCTTGGATGACTAGGTGCATGGTCATTGAGTAATAATATTTTGAAAGAAATCTTTTTTTCTGAGCAGCAAATCTCAACAATGGGCTTAAAATATTCAGGAAACCATGCTATAAATAGATGTGCTTTCATCCAGGCTTTGTTGTTCCCTTTATAGAGCACAGGCAAAGTGGATTTAGCCTAATTCTCAAGGACCCCAGGATTTTCAGAATGGTAAATGAGCACTGACTTACAGTCACAGGCTGCAATAGTCCGTAACAAATGATTCAGCCCATCCTGGGAACCTTTGAAGCCAGGCATTGACTTCTCCTCTCCAGCTATGAAAGTCTTAGATTACATCTTCTTTCAATAGAAGGCTGTTTTATCTACTTTGAAAATCTGTTTTGTGTTCCCACCTTCATCAGTTATCTTAGTCAGACATTCTGGATAACTTGCTGCAGCTTCTACGTCAGCATTTGCTGCCTCACCTTGCACTTTTATGTTAAGATGGCTTCTTTCCTTAAACCTCATGAACCAACTTCTGCTGGCTTCCAACTTTTCTTCAACAGCTTTCACACCTCTCTCAGCCTTCGCAGAATTGAAGAGTTGGGGCCTCACTCCAGATTAGGCTTTGGCTTAGAGGAATGTTGGGACTGGTTTGATCTTCTATCCAGACCACTGCAACTTTCTCCATATCAGCAATAAGGCTGTTTCGCTTTTTAGCATTGATGTGTTCACTGGAGTAACACTTTTAATTTTCTTCAAGAACTTTTCCTTTGCACTCACAACTTACCTGTTACGTGCAAGAGGCCTAGCTTTTATTGTATCTTGGCTTTTGACATGACTTCTTTGCTAAGTTTAATCATTTCTAGCTTTTGATTTAAAGTGGGAGACATCTGACTCTTTCACTAGAACTCTTAGAGGCCACTGTAGGGTTACTAATTGGCCTAATTTCAATATTATTGTATCTCAGGAAATTGAGAAAATTGGGAGGCCCAAGGAGACATAGAGAAACAGAGACAGAGGAACAAGTGGTTGGTAAAGCACTCAGAACACACACAACGTTTATTGATTAAGTTTGCCATCTTATATGTGCATGGCTTGTGGTGCCCCAAAACAATTACAATAGTAATATCAAAGATCCCTGATCAGAGATCACCATAACAGATATAATAAGTGAAGTGTTGGGAGAATTTCCAAACTATGACACAGAGACACAAAGTGGGCACATGCTGGTGGAAAAAATGGCACAAGGATTACTTGAGTCCTGGAGTTCAAGACCAGCATGGGCAACATAGCAACACCCTGTCTCAAAAAAATGGCACCAATAGATAGACTTGCCCAACATAGCATTGCCACAAACCTTCAATTTGGAAAATAAAAAAAGGCAATATCTGCAAAGTACAGTACAATAAAGTTTCAATACAACAAGATATGCATACAGGAACGCCTAAAAGCAGAGTCAGAGAGGACTTATATACAGTAGTTTATTTGGGACATGTATTAGTTTTCTATTGCTGCTGTAAAAAATTACAATATAGTGGCATTTTGTTAGAATAGCCCTATGAAAGTAATATATGGAGGTAAAATCAAGGTAATGGCAGTGCTGCTTTCCTTCTGGAGAATTTAAGGAAGAATTCATGCCTTGCCTTTTTCAGCTTTTGTTGCTTGCATTCCTTGGCTCATGGCTGCATCACTCTGACCTCTGTTTCTATTGTCACATCTCTTTCTCTGACCCTCCTGCCTCCTTCTTGAATGGACTCTTGTGATTACATGGGACCAACCTGGATAATCCATATCCTTAATTTAGTCACATCTGAAAAATCCCTTTGCCCATTAACATATTCGCAGGTTCTGAGGATTCATATTAGAACATCTTAGGGATCCATTATTCTCCCTTCCACACAGGGTAATGAAAGGCCACAACTGGGAACAGATCGATTCTGCCAAAACCTCCCGATTCTGAGAGCTCCCAGAATAGCCCATCTGAGCAAAGGGCTTCTGGAGCATTTATTTTCAGGCGTCCACTTCCTTTGAGAGCTGGTCCTAGGAGCACTGGCCTCTCCTCACTGCCAGGCTGTTTTCATGCTGGTTGAGCGTGATATGGTTTGGATCTATGTCCCCACACAAATCTCATGTTGAATTGTAATCCCCAATGTTAAAGGTGGGGGCTGTGAGAGGTGACTGGATCATCGGGTGCTTTCTCACAAATGGTTTAGCACCATCTCCCTTGGTGCTGTTCTCACTACGGTGAGTTCTCACAAGATCTGATTGTTTAAAACTGTGTAGCACTGCCCCTCTCTCTCTGTCTTGCCCCTGCTCCCAGCCATGTGAAGTGCTGGCTCCCTGCTTTGCCTTCCACCATGATTATAAGTTTCCTGAGGGCTCCCCAGAAGCCAAGCAGATGCCAGCATCTTGCTTCCTGTACAGCCTGCAGAACCATGAGCAATTAAACCTTTTTTCTTTATAAATTACCCAGTCTCAGGTATTTCTTTATAGCAATGCAAGAATGGACTAATACAAGTGGGCTACATGACATCAGAGAAGGCCCAGGCATGCGCTTGAGGTGGAACATTGTCAAGCTTACCCAGAACTGCTCACTGAAACTAGAGATGAAATCAGAGATGGGCCAATGGAACGTGATGTGGGACATGAGAGGCATCTGCTACAAGAAGAGAGCCTAATTCTGCTTGCCAAGAATCCACATTTTATCCAGCACGCCAATCCCTGGCAACTGCTTAGAATTTGATATTTGATTTTAAGTAGCAACTCTAGCCTGCTTCTTATATGCTACCCCAAACGATGTGTCTCCTGTTCAACATTTAGATTTATGAAGTAGTTATCTAACAGGTCTGTCTTATTGAATGCATAGGACAAGGTTTGCCACGTCGTTAGGGGTCAAAGTTGCTCC
The DNA here is from genome assembly GCF_000001405.40 of Homo sapiens. Classification (NCBI taxonomy): domain Eukaryota; kingdom Metazoa; phylum Chordata; class Mammalia; order Primates; family Hominidae; genus Homo; species Homo sapiens. The sequence continues at coordinate 84,505,510 of NC_000009.12, read as the reverse complement.
TAAGGAGAAGGATATTACCAAATGTGATCATCAGGCAGCAAGCGGGTCACAAAATAAGGTTTTGAAAGGGATCCACAAAAGAATCACAGGGACAAAGACAGTGGCTGTAGCCCACTGGCAGATGAGAAGGAATTTGCTGGGTCAGCCAGAAGGTCTCAGTTAGGTTACATGGTAGTGAGACATGCACTTCACTTCAATAAATCCTGATTTATCGAAACTCTGTGAAAGAGTCTCAGCCAAAGAAAAGTCAAGATCCAAACCCAGTTTCCCTAATCCTAAATCTCATCCTCTTTCCCTTACTCCAGAATGAGTCCTTTCACTTGTTGATGACAGTCAGGAGAATGTCCAGGTTTTTCAAAGATGGGTGGGCAGCATCTGGCCCTGTGCTGTCGGCTGTTGAAGGGGAAGGGCAGGAGAGGTCTCCAAGACTCCTCCATGAAGAAGAACGCACCTGGGGGAGAGGCAGGCTCCTAGTGACCCAGAGGGAAACACGGGCCAGATGAACAGAGGAGCCGGGTTTTTCTAGGTCACACTGTGAGCAGGCATCATGTTCCTACTGCAGACCCCACTGCAGTGTCTTGGTGAAGGAGCTAAGATGACCTTAGGCTGTTCTTGCTCCATTCTCCAGAGAGAGTTTGCCTTTCAATGTCTCCTTTCCCTGGGTTTTAAAGCTCTCCGGGATTGCGCCTTCCATTAGAGAGCATAATCCTCTTTTCTTCCAACTTCACCCAACAAGATCCAAAGCTATTTATTTTTCTGGATGTGTCCAGAACAGAAGCCCCTGACCCTTTGCTAATACTCTGGATGTTTTGACAATTTTTCCTGGCAGCTAGTTTATCGCAGATGTCCAGTGGACTCTTCTCCCGTCTATTCACCACTACCTTCCCTTGACAAAACCTTGGGTGCTTTAAATGAGTCATGCAGCCAAGGAGTTCAAGTCCAGCACTGCAGCAAGTTCCTTTGCTCAGTCATTCCTCCCTGCTGAGTCCTTCACTGTCTGACTTTCCTTCCTGTCATTTCCAGGGAAATGTTAACCAGTCTTTTGGAAACCCATCTAAATTGAATGGCTCCAGGCTCCAGTGGCAGGAAGGGCATTCCATTTTATAGAAAATCCTGGTTTATTAAAACTTTGTAAAGAAATCTTCTTCAGTCTGAGAGCCATTGTGTACCATCAATCTTCATTCAGCCATTAAGACTTGTTCAGTCTCATAGAAACAGATTGAATGAAATATCTTTCCCCAATGTTTTTGTTTTTTCTTAATGTAGAATGGAAAATAGTTATTTTGGATCCCTATGGACCATGCTGTCTCAAGACCATTACATGACTGACCCTTGTCATTCATCTCCCAATTCAGATGTACATCTTCATAGTCCTCCCTCGACGACCAGCCACCAGTTACTTTGTCACGTTACCCTATTTTCTTCTCTCCATAACATTTATCAAGATCTGAAATTGACCCATTTGTTATTTACTAGGGTTGTTTTTGTTGTTTGTTAGTCCCTATCTTCCAAGGAACACAAATTTCATGAGCCTAGGGATCTTGACTCTTCTTTAGTTGGGGGAGTCACCAGGGCTGGTCCCAAATTTCAAGTTCCCCTCTTCTCCATATGTAGGATTAGATGTCCCTTCTCCAATTAAAGTTGGGCACAGACATGTGATTTGTTTTGATCACATAAAAGCTGAATCAAAGTGTGTGTGTCTCTTCCAGGAGGAAGGTTTATGAACTAGTGTGTGATTTGCCAAATAAAGATGAAGTGGTTACAGAAGCGCATGTTCTGATGGAGTCTTCATCATGCTGGGTAAGTGGCTGGTGACAATGGTCAGAGCCCCCTGACGGCCCTCACTAGACTTCTAATGTAAATAAGAAATACATCTTCGTTGTATTAAGTCATTGAGGTTTGGAGGCTGTTTGTTACTGTACCATACTCTAGCTATCCTGACTGTGTTAGTTTCCTATTGCTGCTGTAACATGTAACCCTACTTAGTCACTTAAAAAAAATCACAAATCTATTATCTTTGATTTGTGGATGTCAGAAGTCCAAAATGAGTCTTATGAGAGTAAAAATTAGGGTGTTGATAGGGCTGTGTTTCTTCTGAAATTGTCAGGGGAGAATCTGTTTTCTTGCTATACAAGATTCTAGAGGCCACTTTCATTCTTTAGCTAGTCGGCCTTTACTCCATCTTCAAAGCACATCACTCTAACCTCTGCTTCCATCATCACATCGCCTTCTTTCTGACTCATCCTTTCCTCTAATAAAAACTCTTATGATTACATTGAGCCCACCTAGATAATCCAGGATAATCTCTCCAATCTCAAAATCCTTAATTTAATCACATCTGCAAAGTCCCTTTTTTCATGCAAGGTGGCACATTAACAGGATATGGGGATTAGGACATGGGTATCTTTGTGGGAGGAGGGTGTCATTATTCTACATACCACACTGAATTCTACAATAGTAAATCCATCACACCAAAAACAGTACCCATTATATTAAAGACCCTCAGTTAATATTTAGGGAATGAATAAATGAATGAACAGATAAGAATAGAATGGAACAGCAGAGCAGAGCACAGCATTGGTTGTAAATAGATTTTTCTTTTTTTTTTTTTTTTTTTTTTTTTTAGTCAACAGCATTTGTAGTCTAGCTACAGCTTAAAAAAAAATATGGGTCCTGAAATGCCTGCTTATTTAAAGTTTACCATTTCTTTGTCTAAAAATGATATTGACAGAGTCTAACTTCAACCTTAAAAGAAAATGCTGACTGAAGTTAGCCAAGGGCATAACTTTTTCTAAGTCAAGGGGTGGTTTGAGTTTTTTTTTGGCCAGAGGGCAGTTGGTATTTTGTTGTTGTTGTTTGGCTTTGTCTTTCACATTCTTCTTTACTCTGATACTTTGAGAATTTTTTCCAGCCAGATCAAGAGAAACACCAGGGCCCTCACATAATCCTAATGTCCACGATGATATGGAGGAAAGAACAGAAGACTTTCAGCCAGACATTCCTGGACTGGAATCTTAGCTACATCATTATTAGTTACAAGACTTTGTGCAATTTACTCTGTCTGTGCCCCTTTTTCTTCAACTATGGTGGGGTAAGAATACTACCTCACTCTGTTGCTTAGACAATTTCATGAGACATATACATGGAACTCATGTTTCATAACACTTAGCACAAGGCAAGCACACTCAATGCCAACTTCCCACTTCCCCCTCCTCACCCTCCAGCTTCCCATGCCCTTACAACACAGAGTTCAATATGTGCTATTTAAAACTATCTCTTTCTATGCTGTCCACATCTCAGGAGTCAGGAGGGATGGCTGTTTCCTGAAGAAGTAAAAGCTCTGTTCCTCTCTGAGATAATGTTCAGGAAGCCATTACTACATCATATTCTGTAGTTACACTCAAGGCATTCTTTAATCATCATCATTGCAGCTAACATTTTTTGAACATTTGTGGCAAGAATTTTTCTAAAATATCCTGTATGTGTAACTTAATATGCAGAACAACCCTATGAAGTATGTATTATTATTTCTGTTTTACAAATGAAAAAGTAAAGGTCAAAAGTGATATAACTGGAGACAGGTAGAGAGTTAATCTGTGTCCCAAGCCTCCACTCTTGATCACCATGCTAGACCCAGTGAACCTACAGTGTTCTGGAAACCAGGGAAGATGCCTTTTTAGTGAGTCATGGAAAGACTAGAAACTAGATGGAGTTTGGAGCTTGGACCTGCTCTGTCTAGCTCCTCCACAGCTCTGCCAGCTGGCCATGAACAAAGTAATGGGTGAGAGGCCCATGAGTAACAAGGGAGTTCAAGTCAAATCAGGGAGGAAAATATATTAGCATTAAAAAGTGTCTTTTGCATTTGTGCAGAAAACCAAATGAGGTGGCACATAAACACATCTCCTGGGAATCAGAAAGACAAGTTAGAGGAGAAACAAAATGCTAGAGCCTCAATCCAGCCTTCTGGGGGTAGACCATAGTTGCCTTGGGGTCAGAAAACTGTACCTTGAAACTTGAGTTCTATTACATAATTTGTATTTTCCAAGAGCATGTCTTCTTGCCTTATGTTCTTTGACAAATTTTGTTTAGAAGATGTTGGCCTCTCTCAGCTGACCTAAAGAGTACAGAGGAAAAAGCCTGGACTTGGAAAGAAATTATGTGATTTTGTTAGAGGCTGAGTGTGGTAGCAGCAGAGGGAGTGGGGATGGGAGAGGTGATGCTAGGAAGCATATGCCAGTTATCTGCATATGCCTCCACTTTCTGGGAAGTACCTTGCTAAAGGCCTTCTCAACAGACACCGTGGCTCCCCTGGTGATGGTAGGGGATGGCCCTATTTGAACGAATGGTTGTTCCCTTGTAACCTATTGCAGTTAATGGACACTCTCCTCCAGGTGGGTCTGTTCAATGATATTCTCCACGAGTACATGTGACCTCTGGCTAATGCTAGTGCCAGAAGCCTCTAAAGCCACTGGCCACCTGCCCTAGCTAAGTAACACTGAATGCTGACAAATAAAAATGACAGCTGGTTTCATTTAGTAAACTTCCAAAGTGCTTCCCTGGAAGACAAGGCAATGAGATTGGAAAATTTTTAAGGCTATGTGATTATTTCAGAGCCATCCACTCTGGAGTTGCCTCCTCATAAATTACAAACCCTGCAAAGACTACAGACAGTACAAGGAAGCCTAGAGACTCACACATGCATTCTAACACACAGGCCAAGGAACAAGGACCTTTCCAAAGCACTTTTGATAACATCTTACTTGCCTCACTTCTTGACTCCACTTTCTCTCAGCAAATTATGATCCCCAGCCCTTACAAGTGGGCCCTTATATGTATTTGCCAGGAGTCATGCAACTGCACTCTTACTAATTCTTTGCAGTATTTTTGGTGTGAACACTATCATAAATTAAAGAAGGGCATATATTCTTCACCATTCTTGCCATTAAGAGGTGGAGTCCAATTCTCCTCCCCTTGAAGCTAGGCTGACTTTAATTACTTGCTTGACCAACAGGATGTGGTGGAAGTGATGTTCTGAGTCTAGATTATAGAAGCTTCACAACCTCTACCCAGATGACTCAGAATACACTCCTGAAGCCCTGCACCATAGTGCAAAATATCTGACTACCCTGGTACTGCTGCCTTGCAGGTGAGACCATGTGCAGGCATTCTGGTAGATGGCCCCAGCTGAACCCTGCCTTCTAGCATGACTGCTAGGGTGCCTGAGTTGTGAGGGAAACTTGCTTGGAGCCTGCAGATCAGCCTTTCACCAGCTGAATATCATCAAGTAGCTTCATTTGATGGCACAGAGAGGTGAAGAATAACCCAGCTGTACCCTCCCCTAATTCCTGACCCACAGACTCGTGGAGGAGAGCAAAATAGCAGCTGTTTAAGCTACTGAGTCTTAGAATGGTTCATTGCACAGCAACAAACAACCAGAACAACTATCTAATCAGTTACAAATTCCTAGAAATTAACTACTGTTATCCCACACTAACCTTCACTCTCTTGTCCACCAAATACTTTGCTTTGCACCAAGGGCAGACCTAATCGATGCTTCTGGAATAAGTGTATTTGGGTCTGTCTATTTCTGCTTTATTAAACAATCAGGAAGAGCCCTCATTTTTGTAGTGAGCAGATTCACTTCAGATACTGAAAAAAATTGACTTGTCAATTTCTTCCATATTTTAGAGATGACTGACATATAAATTTCATGGGTTTAATATTTCCATTATCATCTTCATAATGACTTCTTACAAGAAGGAACTATGATGTCCATATATACTCTACTTCACTTACATTATGTGGAGGCATTTAAAAACCAAGTCTAACAGCTGACCACAATACCATAAAGCTAGAAATTATCAACCAAAGAATAGTGAATGCAGCCAAAGTACTGTCTGCTTTGGAGAATATAATAAGATTTCCCTTGGGTCTAATATTTACACCAGCACTGAGCACATTGTAAGCATTCAACAAATGCTAGCTACTGTTGGTATTAAAGACGTGTGTGTGTGTGTGTGTGTGTGTGTGTGTGTGTGTGTGTGTGTGTATATATATATATATATATGGTTTTTTTTTTTTTTTTTTTGAGAGAGTCTTGCTCTGTCTCCCAGGCTGGAGTTCAGTGGCTTGATCTCGTCTCACCGTAACCTCCGCCTCCTGGGTTCAAGCAATTCTCCTGTCTCAGCCTCCCAAGTAGCCGGAACCACAGGTGCATGCTACCACACTTGGCTAGTCTTTTGTATTTTTAGTAGAGTTGAGGTTTCTCCATATTGGTCAGGCTGGTCTTGAACTCGTGACCTCAGGTGATCCACCCGCCTTGGCCTCCCAAAGTGCTGGGATTACAGGCGCCTGGCCAAGACATATATAATTTTTAAACCCTGTTTTAATTCAACAGGAGATAACTAATGCTACTCTGTCGAGTTCAAAAACATACAGTCAAAGTGTTAAGAAATGTGATGTTTTGCTAACCCTGTGCACCCTCATCAGAAAATAGGTACTATTTCTGGTAGACTTTTTGAAATATTACAAATAGTATGATAACCCCTTCTAATCTCCAACTAGGAATCTAATACAAACTCAGTCTTTTATTTCCGAATGATGAAACCAAGTTCCAAAGAGGAGTAGGCAATTTGCCCTGGACCACACAGCCAGACCCAGAACCCGTGACTCCTAACTTCCCATCCAGGATTCTGTCCATTCATACTGCTTCTCTTGAACCAAATCAGAATAAACCAGCATTATTGTTGTTTTCAGAAAACAAAGAAGAAAACAAAAAGGTTCTCCTGAACTCTGCTGTTTTCTCTGGAGAGATGATGGCAGAGCATTGAAACAGACTTTGTACTTGACTTTTACAATGTATCAGATCTAGAACTCAGGCTGTATCTTTTAGGACCTATAGGAACCTCCTATAGGATTTCCTCCAGATGTGCCTTTGGACATCCAGGAAATATTTGAAGCCTGGGTCTCCTATGAATGTTTCTATTGCAGGAAATATAGTTTATGGAAAGAGGAAGTGTTGATGGGCAGCTTATACGGGTCATATGTTATGCTGTAGATTTGGGCACTGCACCAACATATTTTCATCCTCTAGCTGCAGCACTGTGTCTCAAAACTTCAAGATTTACAATCCTATTATTGTAAAATCAAATGATATATGCCCAAGTATGAGGTGAGGCTTTTCCCCCTAAATCATCCCTCAAACAAGAAAGATGGTTTTTTTATTCAAAGTCCTTTTATTCTATTTCTTAGAAATTCTCTCATAGGGCTGGACGCGGTGGCTCATGCCTGTAATCCCAGCACTTTGGGAGGCTGAGGCAGGCAGATCACTTGAGCCCAGGAGTTTGAGATCAGCCTGGGCAACATGGCAAAACCCCATCTCTACAAAAAATACAAAAATTAGCCAGGTGTGGTGGCGGGCACCTGTAGTCCTAGCTACTCAGGCAGAGGTGAGAGGATCACCTGAGCATGGGAGGCTGCAGTGAGCCGTGATCATGCCACTCCACTCCAGCCTGGGTGACAAAGTGAGACCCTGTCTCAAAAAATTTTTAAAAAAAGGAAATTTTCTCATAGTATGGAAGTACTACCTCACCTTACTGTTGGCAAAGCCACATTTGCCTGAAAAATCATAACCAATGGTAGTTTAATTGCTTAAAGAGGTTACCTTAAGAAAGAAGGAAGTATATTAACCAGTACATAGAATAGACCATGCTGTAGTAAGAAATTAACTCTGAAATCTCAGAGGCTTAACATATAAAAATTTACCTGTCACTCATACACGTGCCACTGTGGGCCTGGGAAGCTCTCCAGGAATGTGCCCTCGAGGTGGTAACTTAGCTTTAAACTTGTGGCCCCACCTCCAACACAAGGCTTTCTTGGTTGCCAACGCAGGTGAGGGGAGAGTTGGGATGTCACACAGGGACTTCTCACCGCCACAGAGAAGCTGACACAGGAGTTTCCAACTGACATTTAATTGGCCAAAATTGCTTGACTATGAGAAGTCAGTGAGTGTGGTCTTGATCTTCTGTGTGCTCAGGAAAGACCTGCAGGAAACAGGACCTAATAAATGCCATGTATTTCCTCATTCATATGGGGTAAATGCTTAATGTAGATTTAGTAATTACATGACTTCACAATGGAAAGGGTTGAAGGTTGTCATAAACAAGCCCCTTAAAGATCACTTTAAAAAGCAATACTGGAGGCTGAAACAACTGGATATCCATCTGGGGGAAAAAATCTCAACTCTTACCTGAATACATAACACAAAAATGAATTTGATGTGGGACCTAGATCTAAACTAAAAACTAAAACTATGAAAGTCCTAGAAGAAAACGTAGGGGAAAATCTTCAGATTTGGAGTAGACAAAGATGTCTTAAGAAAATGCACAAACCATAAAATATTGATATATTATAGTTTATCAAAATTTAAAACATATGCTTTATGAAATATAGCTTTAGGAAAATAAAAAGGCAAGTCAAAGAATCAAAGAGAATATTCAATATATCTATATTGAGTATATATACATATACATGAATATATATTTTGTAATTCATTAATAATACAATAAAAAACCCAATGTATTTGATCAGCAAAAGATTCAAACAGGAACTTTCTTTTTTTTTTTTTTTTTTTTTTTTTTTTTGAGACGGAGTTTTGCTCTTGTTGCTCAGGCTGGAGTGCAATGGTGTGATCTCGGCTCACCGCAACCTCTGCCTCCCGGGTTCAAGCGATTCTCCTGCCTCAGCCTTCCAATTAGCTGGAATTACAGGCATGTGCAACCACGCCTGGCTAATTTTTTTGTATTTTTATTAGAGACGGGGTTTCTACATGTTGGTCAGGCTGGTCTCGAATTCCCGACCCCAGGTGATCCACTCGCCTCGGGCTCCCAAAGTGCTGGGATTACAGGCATGAGCCATCTCGCCCAGCCTCGAACAGACACTTTCTAAGAACATGTGCCAATTTGCAGCAACCTGGATGGAGTTGGAGACCATTATTCTAAGTGAAGTAACTCAGGAATGGAAAACCAAATATTGCATGTTCTCACTTATAAGTGGGAGCTAAGCTATGCAGTTACAAAGGCATAAGAATGATATAATGGACTTTGGGGGCCAGGCGTGGTAGCTCACACCTGTAATCCCAGCATTTTGGGAGGCCGAGGTGGGCAGATGACCTGAGGTCAGGAGTTCCAGACCAGCCTGGACAACATGGTGAAAACCTGTCTCTACTAAAAATACAAAAATTAGCTGGGCGTGGTGGCAGGCACCTGTAATCCTAGCTACTCAGGAGGCTGAGCCAGGATAATCGCTTGAACCCAGGAGGCAGCTGTTGCAGTGAGCGGAGATCGCACCACTGCACTCCAGCCTGGACAACAAAGCGAGACTCTGTCTCAAAAAGAAAAAAAGGATTTTGGGTACTCACAGGGAAGGGTAGGAGGTGGATGAGGGATAAAACACTACACATTGGGTAGAGTGTACGCTGCTCAGGTGACAGGTGCCCCAAAATCTCGGAAATCATCACTAAAGAACTTATCCACATAACCAAAAACCACCTGTTCCCAAAAAAATCTACTGAAATAAAATTTTTGTAAAAAAAAAAAAGACAGACGCAGCCGGGCATGGTGGCTCACACCTATAATCCCCGCACTTTGGGAGGCTGAAGTGGGAGGATCACCTGAGGTCAGGAGTTTGAGACCAGCCTGGCCAACTTGGCAAAACCGTGTCTCTACTAAAAATACAAAAATTAGCCAAGCATGGCATGTGCCTGTAATCCCAGTTACTCGGGAGGCTGAAGCAAGGAGAATTGCTTGAACCTGGGAGGCCCAGGTTGCGGTGAGCTGAGATCGCACCACTGCACTCCAGCCTGGATAACAGAAGATGATTCCATCTCAAAAATAAACAAACAAACAAACAAACAAATAAATAAATACACACACTACCAAAAACAAATGAACAAACATGTGCCAATTCCCAACACACAAAGCAAAGATGTTCAGCATCCTTAGTCACAGGGGAAATGCAAATCCAAACCCTCCTGAGATACTACTGCATATATACTAGAAAGGCTAAAATGAGACAGACTGATAATACTAGTTGCTGGAGAGGATGGGAAACAACTCCATCTCTTGCACATTGTTGGTGATAATCTAAAATGGTATAACTACCTTGAGAAAACAATTTGACACTTTCTTGTAAAGTTAAACATATACCTACCATACGACCCAACAATCCCATTCCTAGATATTTACTAAAAAAAAATAAAAATATATGTTCACCAGGAGACTTATATTTGTATTGTCATAACAGCTTCACTTATAATCCCCCAAACTGGAAACAACTCAAATATCCACCAAAAGTAAATAGATAGGCACATTTCACTTAATCCATATTATGGATTCTATTAAGCAAGAAAAAAAACTAATGTACTGATACACATAGCATGACTAGATTTCAAAATTATTGGGCTGAAAGAAGGCAGACACTAAGAAAACATACATAGGAGTCCTTTTATATGATATTCTAGAAAAGAAGAAAGCTAATTTGGAGTGGCAGAAAGCAAACAAGCAGTCAGCGGGGCCCAAGGATGTGGGGATTGACCACAAGTGGGATTGAGGGAACTTTGGAGATAATGAAAGTTTTCTATTTGTTGACTGTGTTGGTGGCTACAGAAGTGTATGCATTTGTCAAAGCTCACCAAATCATACACTTAAAATGTTTATCTTTTATATAAATTAAATTACATTTCAATAAAGGTAATCTTAAAAAATACTGTAAGACAATATTGTAGCAATCACAAAAATACATCAGCAGGGTGAATGGAAATACATTTTAATATTATAAAAAAGTACTTTTGATTTAGGATAAGACTACCTGTGGAAACACTATGGATCAATTCCCAAAGTTCTTTCTTTAAACAACTTTAATAGAAATGAATATAACTGTATAGTGAAAAACTGAGTTACGTGACAAGCAAATGATTATGTTAAGGACAAAAACAATATGAAGACATTGAATAAATGGAAATGGGAAAAACACTATTTCTAAATTAATACATAATTCTTAACATGTGATATGAAAATTCCATTGCATCAGAGTCTAATTAGAAAATAGAAACCACTTGAATATTTTATTTATTTGAAGACAGGGTCTTGCTCTGTCACCCGGGCTGGGTGCCATCATGACTCACTGCAAACTCCTGGGTTCAAGCAATCCTCTCACCTCAGCCTCTTGAGCAGCTGGGACTAAAGGAACTTGCCACCATGCACAGCTTGTTTTTCCTTTAATTTTTAGTAGTGATGAGGTCTCACCATGTTGCTGAGGCTGGTCTTGAACAACTCAGTTCAAGGAATCCTCTCGCCTAGGCCTCCCAAAGTGCTGGAATTACAGGCATGAGCCACTGCTCCCAGCCACTTGAGTATTTTCAGCAGAGGGCCTTTAATCCAGGCAATTATTTACACAAGTGATGGAAGGCTGGGCCGAGCAGAGGATGAGAAGACTGAGAAGAGGTGACAGTGCAATAAGAAGTTGAACTGTTTTCCTTTTTGCTGTCACTGAATAATGTAACCAGAGCCCACGGAGTGAGCTCAGCCCTCACTGACGTGGGGACAGAACAAACACTTTAGTGCCCATATTCCCAGTAGCCCCTCTTCCCCAGTCAACTGCAGAAAGAGGCAGCACCCAGAGGTAAAGCTTGCAGGCCACAGGGGCCAGAGTAGACAAGCAGGTGTGAGCACAGCAGGCCCAGGCAGGATGCAGATGAGCAGCCCCATGGCAACAGCTGTCCTCCGTCTGCAGCCTTCCCCTGGAGCACTCCAGCCCTCACGCTTGCCTGATTTTCAGCCTGTACAGATTTGAACTCCAGAAACCAACTGTGCAGACTGTATGCTAGCTGGCTGTTGCCAGATCTGGGGTCCAGGTGTATGTGGTTTAATGGGTCAATAATGGTTTTTTAAAAGAGGAGATTTCACATAGAAATTCAGATTTCTGACTTCCTCATCAAATCCAGAGCTGAAGAGACACTGCCATCATCTGCTGGAGCTGAGGCGTAGCTGCCCCTTTGGCAGGAAATGCATCCTCCACTTGCCTCTGCCTTCAGCACTCCCTGTTGTTACATCCTGCCTGCTCCATCCTCCTCTGGCCTCTGTCTTACCCTGAGTATAGTTTTGAGCATCCTGCACCTTCAAACATGTTGACCGAGACAGGGATGTATGCACTGCTCTGCAAACATCTAGATGGTTAATACTATCCTCTCGGTCCTTCCACCCATCCATTCCCACCAATGAATACCACTCACATCTCTCACTGTCAAAGTCTTTGGCACATAGTTCCAAAGTCAGGGAAATATGAATGAGTCCATGGACAGGAAAGCCCCTTGCCTGGCACCAGGCATATAGTCAGCACTAGGTAAAGATCAGTTCTCCTCTGTTTTTCCCTTTGCAGAACTAACTGTGCCTTTGGCTGGTAACCCTCTGCTTGGCCTTCTGAGATCAGCCATGAGCAGGCCAAACACTTACTAATAAGCTCTACAGCCATACACTTTAAATGACATTTCTAAGTAAAACCAACTTCAAATGACTGGAAAAGTTAAAGAGCTTTGGACGACATCCACTAAATCCCAAAGGCCAAAATGAAAGGGGAGCTGTCGTGTTCAAGTTTGTCAGTATGAAGCAAAGAACATAACTTTCTAATCAGAGAGTAAATAGTTTTATTACCTCTTAGAGTTTCTCCTGCAAAGATATATGGTAAATACGTCTTGTTGGCTTCACTGTGTGACTTCAGGGCCTAATTTAGTTGACAAAATCCTTGAAGCAAATGAAAGTTGGGAAGAAGTCATACATAAAGTCAGGAAATAGCTTTGGGAGAAGCCAGGGCCTCAGGTTCACTTCTGGGGAATTCTGCCCCTTGTCTCCTGAAGTGCAGAGGTTCCAGGGCTGGTCCAGCCTACAGACATGGAATCAGAGCTGCCTGGACTTGGAGGGAACCCAGCTGGAAACATACATTTGTGGCTCTACCCCAGAGTTTCTAGACTCAACTAAGCCCTCTCCCATCTTCATTCCAAAAGTTTCTAGCAACTTGGTCTGCATGTAGCCAAAACAATTTCTTTCTTCACTGTATGTACATAACTGAATGATATTTCCAAATCTTGGGGGTCATTCTCAGCCAAAGCATACCAACAGCTTTATTTAATATTTTATGTAAACAGTTAATAAGCTAAGTTCTTTAACTATTATTCTATTTATGAATGTGCATCTTGAAAGAAACCTTTTGTCCAAGCCAAGATGCAGGATAGAGTTTTCTGTATGGGGACAAACTTCCCTTTTGTAGACAAAGTTTTCTTTCTGATTACCTTTTCCATCCATCCATTTATCTGACCATGCCTTTCTACACTATCAGTAAAGTTTCTTGACTGCCTCTGGATAAGCTGTCACTGTTAACAAGAAGATGGGCAAAAGAATAAACTCACGCTCCTTACTATCAGAATAATTCTCATAGAATGAATATTTCCCCTTGATGTATGAGAAATAATACAGTCAAAATTGCATCACTACTATGCCAAAAAATCTAGGACAAAGTCAGCATTTATTACACGTTAAATGCTTAGCACAAAAGCTAACACAACCATAATACTGTTTTCAATTTTGCTATTTATGCTAACAGTTTGTTATCTATTTTTGTTGTTCCAAATTGCCATTAAATAACACAGGCTGTTCTTCACTGATCTCAATCCCACCTATAGATCTTGTTAGGCAACTCAGTAGAGTGTAAAAAGACTGCACCTATAAAAAGACTCAGGTTCCAGTCTGATTCTGCCTCTAACGAATTGGGCCTAGGTGAATCATTTAACTATTAGGGGTCAATTTTCTTCTCTGCTAAATGAGAGAGGTAGGCTCTTCACGCATTAAGGGTCATTCCAGCCCTAGGTGTCCGAAGTTTTATCATCAGTGGTCCTTTGTTTCTTCCAGCAGTGTGTATTAATTTCTCCTCTGTGGGTGCCATGTGAGGGACTCAGGATACTAGTGAACCAGACAACTGGATGTGTTCTAGGGGTCTCTACTGCGATGAGGGGAGATAGAATTCCAATGTGTGTGATCCACATGGATGTCTAATTGATGACAGAGGTGAACCTAGAGGGTCCCCAGTGGCATATGAAAATTGGACATAATCAAGAAGAAAGTCAAGTGTTTATGGAAGCTTCAGGGATACATTTTCTTTGTCAGACGCCTTCAAAATATTACAGTTTTTAAATGTAATTTCAGTGGAAGACACTTGAGGAGCTCAATATTGCACACTTAATTACATTTAGCTTCCCTTATAATTACTAACTGATTTAAGCCTGCTAACTTGAAAATGACATCACCAGTGGGGAAGTTAAGTTTTACTGGCCTAGAAATTCAAAGTGTGTTAACTAGGGAGAGGCAGTGATTCCACAACCTTGACTGTACTTTAGAATCACCTGGGGACTTCTTTGAACATACTTAAGCCTGAGCTCTACCCCTGAGAAATTCTGATTTAATAGTTCCTGGAAGGAGCATAGACATCAGGAGACCATTTACATTTTTAAAGCTCTCCCTGTGATTTTAATACACAGCCAATATTGACAAACACTGAACTAGGAAAAGAACAATGTTTTCATGAAAATTTCAGGTAAACCATAATCCAGGGTGAAGCAGGTGATATTTGACCCATATTAGAACCTTGGGTTCTTTGATTCCAAAGCTCTGATTCTCATAAAACACAACCTTTAAACAAACCTAATGCAATAGACTGGAACCATGCTGATTCCATGTAAAAGGCTGTTTTTCTGCCCAAACAATTCCCTGTGGGATTTCTTCAAGTAGCCAGCTCAAAGCTGTGAACTGAAATCACAATTCCATTTAGCATAAACATGTATAATACATGCAACTTCTCAGCATACTATTCCATAAAACTATTGGGGCTTTAAAAATAGCCAGCAGATGTCTTTTACTTGTGCAGCACATGAAAAGAAAAGTGACTTACTTTTGCAAACCACCTCCATATCTGAGTTGAGAACAATTTCACCACCCGGATGGGTTAAATAGATTCAATCTGTCCAGCTGGCGAGCCTAGAAGGCCAGTTGAACAAGTAACTCAGCATTCCCAACACCAAACCACTAAACCAGCTAAAAGAGAATGTGGTTGACACCTGCTAATGACCAAATCCAATTCACTTATCATGTGTACCATCAGGGTACTGGGACCCCTCCAAGCAATTCCCTTAAACCTTTTCTAATTAAAAATTATTATGGCCAGCTGCCTGTAACAACAGGCTCACGCCTGTAATCCCAGCACTTTGGGAGGCCAAGGCGGGTGGATCACGAGGTCAGGAGTTCAAGGCCAGCCTGGCCAACATAGTGAAACCCCGTCTCTACTAAAAATACAAAAAAAAAAAAAAAATTAGCCAGGCATGGTGGCAGGCGCCTGTAGTCCCAGCTACTTGGGAGGTTGAGGCAGGAGAATCACTTGGACCTGGGAGGTGAAGACTGCAGTGAGCCGAGATCGCGCCACTGCTCTCCAGCCTGGGTAACACGGCAAGACTCTGTCTCAAAAAAAAAAAAAAAAAATTGTTTAGAAAAATTCTGCTTATTGGAAGATAATTAAGGAGGTAGAACTCACAATACTTGGTTTTGACGGAATGTGAGAAAAGGTGAAGTTAAAGATGACCCCTAGATTTCTGGGTACCGTTTACCAAGACTGAGGACAGTGAAGGAGGAACAGACCTCATGGGTTCCCCCTTTGCCTCCACCTACTTTTTCCATCCCTTAAATTTGTTCTTCCCTAGTGTTCTCTTTTTGCTATTTCTCCCCGAGACCCCCGAGGTCTTTATTTGGTCTGTGTTTCTTTTTTGACACCCCAATCTCAAAGGCCTCATCTACTCTCTCCCACGCACACACCCATCAACAGCCTGCCCAAGATCCCAGATGTGCATCACACTTAGCTTATCATCTTTCCCTCAAAACCTACTCTACTTTACTTAATCTTCCACTTAATAGAATCCAATCTGTTATCTACCTGTTCACTAAAGAGAGAGACCTGGAAGTCACCAGAGAGTGTATTCTCTCTCCTAGCCCCACATAGAATCAACCACCAAATCCAAGTTTTACACTTCATTGCACCTCTAATATCTACCTCTCTCTGCTCCCACATGATCCATTATTGCTCACCTGAGTTGCTGCAGTTTCCTCCTTGTGTGTTATCTATCTCCACTGTTGTTGACCTACCTCTGCACCCCCCATGCCCTTCCCCATACTACATCTAAAAGAGATATTTCTAAAGCACAAATCAAATCATGTCATTCCTTGTTCACCACTCTCCAGTGGTGGTCATGGTGGTCATTCAAGGCCTTCCATGGCCCACCCTACCCACCTTTCCAACCTCATCTCTTGATGCTTGCTCAACATACTTGGCATTCTTGTCACCTGGCAATGTCACCACTCTGAATAAAATTATGGACCAAACGGTCACCTCAGGCATGCTATATTGCTTTTAGTTCATTGAGCCCTCAGGGAGTGAATCTGTCTACAAATTCAGGGCTTTTTTTGAGTCCTTAGCATAGTCACTGTTGAAAAGATGAAATTCTTCATCAGCAAGGCTTTGTGCAGTGGCTTTTCTATGAACAGTGTTCCCTAGATGTTCTGGGAAGGTTTACAGAACATAAAATGATAAAGTGTGTTTACTTTTGAGGGCCCAGAAAACACCTTTAACTTCTTATTTCCTATACTACCACTGCCTTTTCTTGTAGTCAAGAAGTAGAAAGGGCCATTGAATCCTGTAATAGGAGCAACATTTATCCATATGGTGTTAAGTGGTTCCTGATAAACATTTGGAAATAACTATCGTTATTGAGCACCTGCTGGCTTGTTTATTCCTCACCTCCATCCCAGGAGTTTGGTGTTATTGTCCCATTTTACAGATAACGAATAAAGGTTTCATCCATTTGGTGACATCCATTAAAGGCAACTGTAGACTCCACAAGGTCAATAAGTATTGTGTATCTACGTCACCATTTCTGAAACATGGTACTCAAATAAGTGCATATTGGATGAGCAAACAAATGATTGAAGCAAATAGCTAGTGAATGTAGAGCTGGTGTCAAAACCCAGGGTGATCTGACCACAGAGTGGTGGCTCGATGCTCGTAAGGGAAAACCCAGCATAGAAGAACATTCTGTTCAGGAGATGTCAACCAAGCTCCTCTTTGTCTGATCTCTCTGTGCTTTCTGTGTGTGGTTTGAAAAGACTAAGGGGGAAAATCTGACCAATCTCATAACAGTGCTAGGAAGAACATTTAGGAAATGTTAATGAAACCCTGTAAATATATAATACTACAAAATAAACTGTTTCTTTGTGAATGTGGAATAGGCATGCTTTTTTTGAAAATAAGGGAACATATGACTGAAATACCTCTGCTTTATTTCACATTACTCTTATCATTCCAGGTCACCCTTACCAATTGTGTGGTAATGGGAATAGAAGTGATTCTTATGTTACCTCCAGAGGGGTTGTTACCAGGTCACATAGCTCCACACGTGTCTGATAGATTTACACTGAACACTCCTTGTGGGAAAAATTACATTCACTAAAATGAGGTGAACTAGGTCCAGGTTTAGACATTACCTATTAAACAAAATCTATTACACTGTCAAGGACACTAAATTGTTTAATTCAATATTTTAAGTGTGAGAAGTTAATGTTGGTGGAAGAGTTAGGCACCTTTTACATTTATCACTCTAAAGACAAAGATATGAAAATGTCTACACCATTAGCTACATAATAGCTTCAAATGCTTTATCCCAGTAACCATAAATTGGCTAAATTATGAAACCACAATTAAGAGTAATTATCCATGAAGTAGTCAGGTAGATGCAGAAACCCCAAGGAGTACCTTGGTAATATATCAGCTCACAACCTAAGTCAGCCTGAATAGTGATGGACTCACCAGTTTTATACCCCTCTAATAACGTTTCATAAACCATCAAGAAATAGTTTGTGACAATGAACAAAGGAAAATTGCAAGATGCTAATCCAAAACCTATGTCCATCTAAAACGAGAGGTGCAAAATACTCCAGAAATGATGTTTTCCTTGTAAATTAGCACGGATGACATGAAACTCCACTTATTTTCAAAGTCATTTGTTTACAAAACTATTTTGTAAGCCTTAGATTTTAAAAAGATTTTGTATCTTCAGATTTTGATAGATAAGCCAGTATTTTTAAGTTGATTAAAGCTAGCTGATTTTAGAATATACAGTGGTTCTATTTGTAATGTTTTGAGGAGTCTTTATACTGTTTTCCCCTATGGCTGTACCAATTAGTGCAATCCCACAGTTGAATAATCCCACTTATCCAAAGTAAATGAAATCAGTATCTCAAAGAGATATCTGTACCTTCGTGTTTGTCACAGAGCTATTCACAATAACCAAGATATGGAAACAACCTACATGTTCATCAGTGGATAAATGGATAAAGAAAATGTACACACACACACACACATACACACTGGAATTATTCAGCCATAAAAATGGCAGACATAAAAAATGTCTGCCATTTGAGACAATGTAAATGAGCCTGGAGGACACTATGCTAAGTGAAATAAGCCAGGCACAGAAAGACAAATACTGTGTGATCTCACTCATCTGTGGAAACTAAAAATGTCATAGTCATAGAAACAGAGAATAGAATTGTGGTTGCCAGAAGCTGCAGGAATGGGAGACATGGGGAGATGTTAATCAAAGGGTACAAACTTTAAGTTATAAGGTGATCTAAGGCACAGCATGGGTAGCATGTTAATTAATTCGATTGTGATAATTGTTACACAGTATATACATATATTAAACCATCATTGTACACCTTAAATATACACAATCATTGTCAATAATTAAATATTAAATAAATACTTTAAAATTGAAAATGAAATGAAAATAGATGCCAGGACAGTGGCTCATGCCTGTAATCCCAGCATTTTGGGAGGCCGAGGCAGGTGGATCACCTGAGGTCAGGAGTTCGAGACAAGCCTGGATAACATGGCAAAACCCTGTCTTTACTAAAAATACAAAAATTAGCTGGGCTTGGTGATGGACTCCTGTAATCCCAGCTACTCAGGAGGCAGAGACAGGAGAATCACTTGAACCCTAGAAGTGGAGGTTGCAGTGAGCTGAGATCGTGCCACTGCACTCCAGCCTGGGTGACAAGAGCAAAACTCCGTCTCAAAAAAAAAAAAAAAAAAAAAAGAAAGAAAAAAATAGAAGCCAGCTTACTCCTAGCATATTTCTTTGGATCATTATTTCCAAAGCTCTCCCTTCAAGGTCTGTCACATTTATCCTTCTTTTTTCCATAACAATTACTCCACATCAAATCCAAATAGTGACCACTCAATAAATATTTGTTGAATGAATACATGAATGAACAAATGAATGAACTGCAGACCGTACATAGACCTCACAAGATACAAGCAATTTTCCAACTTCCCATTCTTTCTCAGTTCTCATCCATCCTGTAGCCTTGCCAAGCTAGTCCTGCCCCAAACATCACTCTCCATGCATCCATGCACCAGCCTCTTACTGAAGAACTACCAACTCTAAAGTAATTGGTTTAACAGTGAGAATCCTCCCTTACTTAGTTCCAGCTGACTAGACTTGGCCATCTTTGCTTACATTGGTCCCCTTCCTGGGAATGAGCTGTCTGTTCAGTTTCCGAGATGGCAGGGCTTCCCAACAGGTCAGAACACAAATATAGCCTAGGGCCACTCCCATTACACCAGGTTGTTCATTCCAAAGGCCAACAGTGAGGTCCGGAAACAAACAGCTAGAAACATGTTGACATTTGATTAACACAGCTGCACTGAAGTGCTCTGAGATTTTGGTAGCAATAAGTATTTATCTAAGTGCTTGTCAAACTTTAATAGGTGCAGGAATCACCTAAGAGTCTGAGATTCTGCATTTCTAGTAAACTCCCTGGAGATGATAACGATACTGACCCATGGATCACACTCTGAGTACCAAGGCTCTAGAATAGGAATTACTAGACTTGGCTGCACAATGGTATTATCTGGAGCATTAAAAATACTAGTAGCTGGGCCAGGTGTGGTGGCTCACACCTGTAATCCTAGCACTTTGGGAGGCCCAGGCAGGAGGATCCCTTGAGCTCAGGAGTTTAAGACCTGCATAACGTTGGGAGACCCTGTCTCGAGAAAAAGAGAGAGAGAGAGAGAGAAAGGAAGGAAGGAAGGAAAGAGGGAAAGAAATTAAAAAAAATACTAGTGGCTGAAACCAATCCAAGAGATTGTGATCTAATTGGTCTGGAGTACAGCCTAGGCATCAACATTTTTAAAACTCTTTCAATAATTCTAGTGTGTAACCAACACTGAGAACCACTGCCCAAGACGAACGTTTCTCCATCTTTTTTTTTTCATTATTTTTCCCTTAGGAGGCTTTTTAGACATTTTTATCCCTAAATACCCTCAAATTTTACCATTACAGATATACTGTATATCCATGTGTTGTACACATACCTTTGATTTATATCAAAAAAATTATTTAAAAGATTTTGCTCTCTGAGAACCAATTTCATCCTCTTGGGGGTGACATTGCTCCCATTGAGAACATACGCTTTAGAGTCTAAAGTTATACATGGTCTAAAATTTCAACTATGCCTAAGGCCTGGTTTTGCCCAAGCATCCACATGTCAGTCTCCACACAAATCCCCTCCAGTGGAGGCAGCAGTTCTCAGCCCCAAAGAGCCAGGCTGGAGAGAAACCACAGGAAGGTGGTCAGATCGATGCATCTGCAACCCCTGCATCCTAAGCCATGATTGGCTACAAGGCCTGAAATTCCTTTGTGCTTTCCAGGACCTCATTGGAGGCAGCCACAAAGGACAGTGTATATCCTGTCCAATCCAAACAAGTAAACTATGGTGTTTGCCAGCCTATCCCTACTTGTGTTCACAGCCAAGCCTTTCTTTAGACTGCCCAATAGCAACATCTGCCTGGAGACAAATGGGTTCTCCATCACTGCCTAAAGCAAAATGTCTACGGGAGACACTTTAATATATGTACTAATTCCTAACACTTGCTCAGGTTACACAGTAACTCGTATACATAGTGGCAGTATGGGTCACAGCTATGGGCGTGGGAAACAGCATTGCAGTCTAAAGGCCGAAGAAGCTGAACTCCAATCCAGGTGTAAAGTCCTGACTATGGGAAAGGCAGATGAAAATGTGGTAACAAAAGGGAAAAAAGATGGGTAAAGAGAAAGGGAAGGAGAAAGAAGTTAACATAATTGCGTGTCTACTCTGTGCCACGTGGTGTGTGAACACTCTTTTATCTAATCCAGGCTCCAGGAGCCCAGGAAAGAGAGGTATTATTGTCCCCACTGCACACACACAAGTCCTGAGATACTGAAACGGCCCCAGGTCCACTCCTAGAAAGTGAGAGAGCCAGCATTTAAATTCTTGTCTTTCCAACTCCAAAGCCATGCATGCTGCCCTCCCAGCCTCATGAAACACACACACACACACACACACACACACACACACACACACACACAAATGAACCACCCACAACAAAAGACAGCCTTCCAGAGATTAAACCAGGAAGCTCAAGGTGACTTTGCCATGACAGCAGGAACCCCGGCTCCTGCAGCAGCTCCAAAATATAAGTCAGGCTGAAATGGATATTCGAAATCAGCAAGAGGCCATCTGTAATCAAGACCTTCGCACAGCATGGATTTAAGCAACTAAATCCAGGAAAGCACCAGAAGTCGTGAAGAAGGGTGAAGAAGTGAGGACTGAGGACTGGTCTGCATCTAACCTTAAATAGTCAGAAAAATGGGGGCCCTGCATGGTCTGAGGACACAAAGACACCAGAAACCATGGAGGACAGAAAGGAGGCAGTGATGGTGGAAAGAATTCCAGGAAGTGGGCCTGGCGCAGTGGCTCACACCTGTAATCCTAACACTTTGGGAGGCTGAGGCAGGCGGATCACGAGATCAGGAGATCGAGACCATCCTGGCCAACATGGTGAAACCCCGTCTCTACCAAAAATACAAACATTAGCTGAGTGTGGTGGTGCACGCCTGTAATCCCAGCTACTCTGCAGGCTGAGGCAGGAGAATCGCTTGAACCAGGGAGGCAGAGGATGCAGTGAGCTGAGATCACACCACTGCACTCCAGCCTGGCAACAGAGTGAGACTCCGTCTCAAAAAAAAAGAAAAAGAAAAAAAAAGAAAGAACTCCAGGAAATGGAAAAATGAACAGCCCCAGAAGAAAGTAACTTACTTGCCTTGAGAAAATAGCGCCCCCGGGCCCACAGGTCCTCTGCTCCACGGGGGCCCTTCTGACCTCAAGGTAGGGAGTAGGAGAAAGAGAACAAAATGCTGAGCAAAGCCTAGGGATTCTAAAAATAAGATTCTCTCCTCAGGAAAAGAGGAAGACACAACTTCTCTACCCCCACCCCAGACCTAATGCCTGACCTCACCAGAGAAGCCCCTTTCTCCCTCTCTGTGGGGCAAAACTAAAGCAGCCTCACATACTCCGGAATGAATGGAAGGAGGCCTAACAACCTGAGAGTCCTCATGTGCACACAGGGACACAGAACCCACCATAAATATGATCATTCACATCCGCCTTTATCCAGGACAGGATCTGCTTCTTTTTCTTTGTCTAAACAGTGCAGCCTGAAACCCATCTAACGCCGTGACAGATCACCCCTGGGTGAATTACAGGGCTGACCCACACATCTTTCGTAGGGGCTGCAGAGGAAATCCAAGACGTTAACCATTTGTCTTACCGTCACCAACTGCGCTACTAACTACAGTCTCCCCCAGCTCCCTGCAGGTCCAGAGTGAGGGAGACCACATCCTGTGGAAGCCCACTACATCAAGTTATTTCTCAAAATATATGTTTTTGGGAAAAGGAAAAATTCCTGAATAATACACTGAAAGCCAAAGGCCCCTGAACCTTTCCGTTCATAACCACCTGCAGCTGGAAATCACCCAGGACATAAGAGCGGCTCCAGGTAGGGAAGAAACACTGGTATCCAACAACTTACTTTAAGGCTTAATGGATTTCACTGCCTAAAAGGTTAATGATGCTTTTCAGGGCCTACGAGAGACTCTGGCCATAAGAGGAAAAATAAAGATCCACTATGTAAAAGTTATCTCCCTCAAGGAATTCGTTCAGATTATTGCAAAAGTATTTTTAAATTGCTGGAGAGACTAAGTGCAGATTTATCTCCAATGCCTCCCCAGGGTCAGGCATCTGGCACGTTTGGTGATTAGATTTAACCAGTCTGCAGGGCAGAGAGAAGGGAATTGTCTCTGTTTAAGGGATGAGGAAGAGCATTCCCGTCCCATTCCTCGCTTTGCAACATTGACCATATTCCTACATTGATTTAGCTCCTCCAACTAACCAGTTGATTTCCAGTCAACATGTTTGTTAAAATATTGAGCAAGAATTGGCAGCATCTGACAATGCTGGCCCTGGCAGAAGAATCCCCACATGATGTTTTGGCAAGAGCAGTTCAAAGGACTCTTCTGAACTGGCACCACAAAGGTTTGCATTCCCAGGAGTAGTGAAGCAGAAATCATTTGATTATTTGCTGAGTATTTACCCAAGCACAATTACACTCGATAGGCAGATGAATTCCAAGAGATAAACTTTGAGTCTCTCACTAAAGCCGAGAGAAACATATCTGCGCATTTTGGCTAGAGACGATCTGCCAGTGGAAACCCATCTCTGTTTGGCTTAAGGAAGGCTGTGCAGTAAGACCAACTTAGGGGGCTTGCTCAGTGGGGAGCTGTGTGTCTCAGCCACAAAGATCAAGGTCGACGATGTTCAGGCAGGTCAAGATAGTAGCAAATACCTGGAGAAGTAACCCACTTCAACATAAAGAAAGAAAGAAAGGGAGAGAGGAAGAAAGCAAGGGAAAGAGAAAGAAAGAGAAAAGGGAAATAAAAGAAATGAAGAAGAAAGAAGTCCAATACATTCTTACTCGTCTGAACTAGTGAACATTCCCCAAATTCTCCATTCTGCTAATTCACTGAGCAATTATGCAAATTCCCTGGATAGCTGTCATACATTCTTCATCTCCTCTCCCTCTCATCCTCCGCGGAAAAGCTAATTAAATTAACATTGCAGGATAGCATGTAGAAAGTGCTACCACATTTTGTAAAAGAGGTGGGCATAAACATATATAGTATTTGCTTATATTTTCATGGATACCCATGCAACCAAACTGGAAGTAAACACAAGTAACTGCAACAGTGATTGCCCCTGGGTGAGGTACAAGGCAATTTGGGGTGGGAGGGGGCAAAGTTGGAACCAAGATTCTTCCTTGGGTATCTGTTACACATTTTGATATTTGAACCATGTGAACATGCTGCCTATCCAAAAAATTAAATAAATAGGTGGAAATGTAAAAAGCAAATTATTGGCCGGGCACAGTGGCTCACACCTGTAATCCCAGCACTTTGGGAGGCCAAAGCAGGCAGATCACTTGAGGTTAGGAGTTTAAGACCAGCCTGACCAACATGGTGAAACCCTATCTCTACTAAAACTACAAAAATTAACTGGGCGTGGTGGCGCATGCCTGTAATCCCAGCTACTCAGGAGGCTGAGGCAAGAGAATCACTTGAACCTGGGAGGCGGAGGTTGCACTGAGCTAAGATCGCACCACTGTACTCTAGCCCAGGTGACAGAGCGAGACTCCATCTCAGAAACAAAGCAAAACAACAACAACAAAAAAGCAAATTATTTCAATGGCAGCTAGCAGAAGCCCAGCCATGCTTACATCAGATTTGGAAAGGAGGGAGGGGGGAGACCCCACTAGGATTTCCTCTTTTCCTTCATTCCACCCCTCACCTTTCCCCTTCCTCTTTTCACCAAGCCTGGGTTTTTGATTTTGCAAGTAACTGGAACATCCCAAAACTCAGCAGAAGTTGAGACTGTGACAGCTGCCGGGTCCTTAGAGCAATAAATGGTATAGAAGTCCTAAAACTGAAACCTAAAAGCAGAGAAAATCTAAACTTTTCCATCAAGGCTAGGAACAGAGACACGTAGCAGCAAGACACGCTGGAGGATCTTAGAAAGGCAGCAGGTAGGAGCATCTGCTCTGCAACTAGACAACCTGGATTCCAGGCTTAGAGGTGATTCTCCTCATTGAGCCTCAGTTTCCTCCTTTACGAAGCTAACAGAGTGAAGGCCCAAAGAGGAGGTGCAGAGACAGCCGCGGCGTGGGGCCCGGGCAAGGGAAGGTGCTCACGATGTCAGCAGCCCTTATTCTTCTACTTCACCACAGCCCATGGCTGCCACTGGAAGCATGCTTTCGTTCTGACAGCAACAAAGTATGGGGGTGAAGAAGACTAGCCATGAGGCTAAGACCTCAGAGCACTGTAAGTGTTCTTTGGACATTTTGAGGTGATCAATTTCTGCACTTCAGGGGTTGCACAACAGAGAAGGGAAAACCTGGCTTTGAAACCGGAAATCCCAGCTCCTTTCACTTAACTAATTGTGTGACATCAGACAAATGGTTTAATCTCTCCACTCCTGGGTTTCTTCATCTGCTAAATAGGACACCAGGATCTACCCTACAGGAGGATGGGACAGTGGGATGTTGTGATCCAGCCCCTACCACAGATTTGGCTCCCTTCTGGGGAGAACTATTAATTCAAATGGGAACCTAGAGGTGATGGTGACAGACCAAGGTCCAAATAAAGAGTAACTTCTTCCATCCAATACTTTGTTAGCATTACTATTATTAATTTTATGTTCTTTGCCATAACATGGAAGCAATGATTTGCTGTTATTTATATTTTTTATTTGTTTTAGGCATAATATTTGTCAAAAAAAAATGCTAGAAAGAATGCCACAGGGCCAGTGTCGAACTCATGTTAGTCACTTTGCCATGGCGAGAATAGGGTTAACTATCAGCAGTATTATTCCAAGTCCTCAGGGACCTTGAGAAACCCCTTATAGAGGACCTAGTATATTTGAAACTTGGAGCAGATCATTTTCTAACACCTCCTTCTCCATAGAACAAAATTACTTTCAATTATAATAATGTTCTATGAGTGATAATCGTTATTTTTGATGTTTGTTCTTTAGTTTTAAAATAATCACCAGGCACAGTTGCTCATGCATGTAATCCCAGCACTTTGGGAGGCCAAGGCAGGTGGATCACTTAAGGCAAGGAGTTCAAGACTAGCCTGGCCATCATGGTGAAACCCCGTCTATACTAAAAATACAAAAATTAGCTGGGCGTGGTGGTGCATGCTTGTAGGCCCAGCTACACGGGAAGCTGAGGCAAGAGGATGACTTAAGCCAAGGAGGTAGAGGTTACAGTGAGCCAAGATTGCATCACTGCATTCCAGCCTGGGCAACAGAGACTCTTTCTAAAAAAAATAATAATAATAAAGAGAGTGACAAGATCCATACTCCAAACCTCAGCATCACACAATATTCCCATGTTACACATCTGTATATGTACCTCCCATATCTAAAATAGAAGTTGAAATTAAAAAAAAATAAAAATAAAAAGCAAAACAATTAATTTAAAAAGAAGAAATTTCTATTTTAAATATATTATTTAAAATGTGGTAACCTGGCCGGGCGTGGTGGCTCAGGCCTGTAATCCCAGCACTTTGGGAGGTCGAGGAGGGCAGATAACCTAAGGTCATGAGTTCCAGACCAGCCTGGACAACATGGTGAAACCCCGTCTCTACTAAAAATACAAAAATTAGCCGGGTGTCATGGCGGGTGCCTGTAATCCCAGCTACTTGGGAGGCTGAAGCAGGAGAATCGCTTGAACCTGGGAGCAGAGGTTGCAGTGAGCCAAGACTGCACCATTGCACTCTAGCCTGGGCAAAAAGAACGAAACTCTGCCTCAAAAAAATAAAAAATAAAAAAAAATTAAATGTAGTAACCTATTTCATTTATGAACTAATATTTGCACTTACCAAACAAAAATGTTATGCCTTGGATTTACTCTTTGAAGCTTCAGAAACAAATAACAACTCTAAGTAGTCACATAGCAGGACAGAATTAAAATAACTCACATTCTGGGTTTTTGTCTTTATAGTCACTGGAATGTCATTGTTTACTTCAAATCTACCTACGGTTTAAACATGGAAATATGCAGTGTCACAGGGATTGGAGACATGTTGTGATCCCAAAGCGAGCTTGAACAACTCTGGGGCATTCTTCATTTTTTCTCAAATAAAATGTGTAGCTGAGTCCATGCGCATTGGAGGTCCACTATGGGACAAAGAAGGCTCCAAATTAACGTCCATGTAGAATACTACCTTTATTACAGAATAAAAAATTTAAATATGCTAATTTGAAGCTGATATATACATTAGTAAGTTTCAATGGTAATTCTGATAATTTTTAAAAATATAGACCAACCAAAAGTTTGTTTAGGTACAAATCTTTGATCACCAACCTGGTGTAGAATTGCCCACACACAGTGATAATAGAAAGCAAACTGACTTTTAGTTGGTTTTATGGTTTTTAAATTCTCTATGGACATCACCCCCACCCAAGGCAGACAGCTCTCACCCATACACAGCCCAGCACATTCGCTCATTCATCAACCCAGCTGCTATGGCTCCAACTTCCAACCTCAGCACACAGGAAGTAGAGATTCACGTTTATCAAAAAAGCCTCTATTGATGAAGCTATCCCTATAGCTCTCTTTTTGCATTTCAGGCCATTTGGCCTTGGGATTGATTTATAGGAGATCTAAGACAATTTTATTGCAATATGGAACAAACAAGGTGTCCCCAGGGGAAAGCTGGCTGGTTGGCTAGCAGTGGAGGGCTTACTCAGGATAACACTAGGTTGATGAGTTTATCACAGCTCAAGTTCATTCCACAGCCTTGCAAGTCTAGAAACTGCAATTTCTCACTATTCCCAAAGGAAGTCAAATACATACAAAATGGTTAGTGTATCCATTTACAGTGGGAAACATGGCATTCCCATAACTAGAGGACTAATTCCCCTATCTGGCTCTTTCTCTGCAGTGGACCTTTGTTGCCCTCTCTGTATTTGGAGACTTTGCCCTTCATGAGTGACATCTCCCAAGGTAGAGTCGAAGAGGATGCTTTCTCAGACTCCCTGAAAGCTAGGGTAAAGCCATGTGACCTGGATTTTTCCAATGAGATATATCCACATGAGATTTTGGCCTAGCACTGTGCAGAATCTGATTTTTTTAAGAGGATGGCACTGAAGGTGATTTTAAAGCAGCAGTGGCCAATGATTGGGTATGTACTTTCCAACACTGATATAGTTTGGATGTGTGTCTCCTCCAAATCTCATATTTAAATGTGATCTCCAATGTTAGAGGTGAGGCCTAGTGGGAGGTGTTTGGGCCATAGGAGCAGCTCTCTCATGAATGGTTTGGTGCTGTCTTCATTATAACTTCTCATTCTATGAATTTGCGCAAGATCTGGTTGTTTAAAACAGTCTGGCACCTCCCCCTCTCATTTCCTCTGTCACCATGTGACATGCTGGCTGCCCTTCACCTTCTACCATGATTGTAAGCTTCCTGAAGCCCTCATCAGAAGCAGATACCAACATCACACTTCCTGCACGATGTGCAGAACCATGAGCCAAAATAAACCTCTTTTCTTTATAAATTACTTGGTCTCAGATATTTCTTTATAGTAATGCAGATGGACTGATACAAGCATCAGTGGTGACCTCTACTAGTATACCTTTGACCAAGGGTGACATTCATGGGATTGTCCCTGGAGCCATCCCATCATGAGGTCTGCTACAGGCTGCAGAGCACCTAAGCATACCCTTCTGACTCTCCCAGAGATTATGTGAGCTATGAACGATCCTACAATAAACTTCATTTCAGCATCATGTAGCTGGAATGGGTTATTTCCAGTATCCCAGGTAGCCAGATAAGTAATTAGGAAGTTACAGGCACAGCATATAATGTCGGTAGATAGTACTGAGGAATATTTTGTGTGAGTCAAAGTGAGAACTGTTTATGAGACAGCACCTGTCTATGATTACCCTATGTCCCCCAGGTAGGTTTTTATCCCAGACAGTGATGTTCACGTAATGGCAGAGTTTGTGCCTCTTAACCCCACTTTTTGTGCTGTAATAAATGTGTTCTTGATGGCACTATATTAATATCACTGATTAAATGACAAGTCAGAGTTGTTCCCATGTGCTGACACTTTCCATTTAAAGTAGACTAATTTATTTCTACCTAATTCAGCAACCTTATCTATAGACTCCCATGGGCCAACTCCTCCTACTTAATTTTATGTAATTAGTCTAATTTATTTATATTTAATTAATCTACCTCATTTCTAGGTTATTTGTGGGCATCTCACTGCTACCCTCACATACCACCTATAGTTGACCTAAGTTTTTAGAGTCTTTATTTTAGACTTTTTTTTTTTTTTTTTTTTTTTTTTTGAGACGGAGTCTCTCTGTCACCCAGGCTAGAGTACAATGGCATGATCTCAGCTCACTGCAGCCTCCACCTCCTGGGTTTAAACAATTCTCGTGCCTCAGCCTCCTGAGCAGCTGGAACTGCAAGCGTGTGCCACCACACATGGCTAAGTTTTTTTTTGTTTGTTTTGTTTTTTTTTTTAGTAGAGATGGGGTTTCACCATGTTTCCCAGGCTGGTCTCAAACTCCTGACCTCAAGTGATCCACCTGTCTTGGCCTCCCAAAGTGCTGGGATTACAGGCATGAGATATACAGGATTACAGGTATTTACCAATGACCGGCCTTTTTTTTTTTTTTTTTAGACTTTTAAAAGTAAAGTAGTATCATGTGAACTAAGAACTCCTCTCAAAGCAATCAAATTTCCTCATATTCACTCTCTACCAAGTTTCACTAAAAGTTATTCAATATTATAAGAAATTATTTGGACAACTTTAAAGGCTACCATTTTATTTCAAAATAGTAGACTAAATCAAAACTCAAATGTAAGGCTTTACTACATTAGGTAAAAATTACTCATCAACTTCCTCAGATGTGACATAAATAGCACTAAAATACCAGTTGAAAGATGCTGCTGAGAAAAGGAGCTCACAACTGGTCTATCAGCTCTCAGAACTCTTGGGTGATTTCCAGACAGCCCTGACAAAGGCACAGGGATGAAAACAAGTGGCACTTAAAGTCCTCAGATTCCAAAGTTTTAGAACTATCCATGATGGGACTCTTATAATAGAACCTCTAAAATCCTGAATGTATTTAAATTATTTTGCTATCTGGTGAAAAGTTATTACCAGGAAAGGTAATGGCTGGTAGTGCAGAATGCTAATTTTCTAATACAGAGTTCTGCCAACATAGTTGTGTTTGTTGTATCATTTGTCCTTGTTCTGTTTGAGCTTCACAGGGTGAACAAAAGTTTACCTGGAAAGATGCTTTTGACAAATTCACTGCATTCAGAAGATTTGGCAGCTGTCAAAAGTTATTCCTGGGCTTTCAAACATCTTGCTATATTTTTGACAAGAAAATGTTCACTAAGCCACTTAAATCATGTACCAGGAGTAAGCCAAAAGTTTTGAGCAGAATATTCTATACTAGACCAAGATGGATCTTTCTTTAAAAGGAGAAAAATAATATACTTAAGGGTTGAAAAAGAGGTTTTCTTGTACTCACTCCCAAGAAGTAAATTTTGAATGAAAATTAAATGTTTATTCAATTTTTGTTTCACATAGCATGTTAAAAAAAGTTTTCTGGATATTAATTTTTCAAAATACAGATTGACTTAAATTACAAACTCTTAAAATCATAAACCAGCCAACCCAGCAACCTGGTAGAAGGCTGAGACATCCACTAGCTGGTGCCATCATCATAAAAGAATGTGGTGGCTGAAATGTCCTGACAACCATCATATATGAACCAGTGGTTTCCAGCCTTCACTTATTCACCTACTACTTCGGGATTTTTGTCATGTTATGCACTATATGCATTCGTATTTACTTTTTCTTTTACTATCTTTCTTTAGACCAACACACTTTTTTATACTTACATAAATTTGACTTTGCCTTAAGCATTGATATCCATGAAATCAGAGATTTGAGGTATGTGATAAAGACTAGTTAGATGCTTACCATTTTTTATTTCCTCTTCTTGGTGACACAAGAAGACCCTCTTCCTCAACCATCCTTGCATTAGGTTGGCCCCATATAACTGGATTCTGGCCAATAGACTCTTAATGGAAGTGATACTTAAACTTACAAGCCTGGCCCCTAAAACATCCTGCATGTTCTTCCTTGATCTCATTCTGGCATCTGTGTGAATAGAAACAGTGGACTCTGAGATGGCAGAGCTGGGTTCTCTTAACTGCTTAGAGAATGGATGACAATAGGGCATCCAGTCCTGCACCAGACTTCACATGAACAGCAAGTAAATTTTTATTGTGTTATGCCATTAAGATTTTGTAGTTGTGTTTGGTCCTCAAGACCACACTTTGGTGGAATGATTCAGTAAAAGGACTCACTGAACTTTAAAAAGCTGTTATGCTCACAGTTTACTACAGTGAGAGGACAAAGATTAAAATCAGCAATGGAAAAAGCACATGGGGTCTTTCCATTGGTCAGAGGCCAGGAGAGTCTAGGCGTTAAGTTTCCAGTAGCCCTTTCCCAGTTGAGTCATGTAGACAGTACTTAGTTCTCCTACCAATGATGTGTGACAACACGTGTTAAGTATTGTCAACCAGATAGTCTCACCAGAGTCTCAACATCCAGAGTTTTTATTGGGGGTTTAATAACATAGACATGGCAGATCACCCAGGTGGCTGACCTTTTCTCCATCCCCTCCAGAGGTCAAGCTGATATTGTGCTGCTCAATATCCCCACCATAAATCACATTGCTAGCATAAACTCTCTGATGGGGCCCAAGGTGTCTGGCAAACAGACACATTCTTAACAGACAAAATGTTCCAGGGACTTAAGAGATTATTTCCCAGGAGCCAGGTAAGTGCCAAAGCCTTCTTTGGAAGGGGCAGGGTTTGGACCACTCATACTTGCTTAGTTGATCCTTTACTGCATGGTGGTGTACTTGTTATACAGCAAGGCCTAATCTACCCTGACTAAAATATAATGTACTATATGTAATAATAATATATAGTGTAAATATAAATGTATATAATGTATAAGGTATAGTTGTCTAATATACATGAAAATAAATACACAATAAAAGAAATATTTATTCACATAGTTCCTGAAATTATCTTGTATAATTGAAACATCAGTATAATACTAGCAGTAGTACACATATCATACTTCAGGGAATATTGATCTGGTCCAACTCCTCAAGTTAAAATGTGAGAAAGTTAAAGAGCCCAACTCCACACTGAGTTTTGTCCAGGGGGAAAGACAGTGGCCTGGAAGGAAGGATTACTGGACAACATGGGGTCTGAGGCAACAACTTCACAGATGAGTTCTCAGCAGCTTCTCCAGTCAGGGATATCCAAGGGCTATGATAGGAAGTTCACAGGAGCTACCAACCTCTGGATCCCACCAATCCCTAGCCTCTGGGTTGTTTGGACAATCTTGGGGTACCCTGACCCAGGAGATTTACCAAGCTCAATCTGATCTTTCTCTCTCTCTCTCTCTCTCTCTCTCTCTCTCTGTGTGTGTGTGTGTGTGTGTGTGTGTATCTTCAAATCTCTTCCATGAGTATCACCTTCCTGGTTTCTCTTCCTTTACAGCACTACAGGGTGAAGGGAATACAAAGGTATGGACCTAGGGCTGTGACTTACAAACCCAGAGCTTGTAACCACCTGATGTACTCAGTTTCCATGTCTTAACATTAAATTTCAAGAGAGAAAAGTGAGAATGGCCCAGCTTGGCCCAATCAGTTGTGACTACAGGGTAGCAGGGAGGGTGGTCAAATGGCACCACCAAGAGAGATGGAGCTCCTGGGGAGCTGTGGATGGGTAGAAACCATCCATTTATCTTGTATAATAGAGAAGCATAGAATAATAGAACAAGGTTGAAAACCCATCCTCCAAGTAAACTACAGATCTTCCAGAATGTGAATCTCACCCTTCACTTATAATTTTCATTTTATCTGAACCAACCTTTTCTTCTAAGGGTCAATCCAATTACTTGGGACACATACCAGGGGCACTCTGATCCTCTATCAATCCTCAGAGGACAGATCTGAAAAGGGAGGGCTGGAAGAGCAGCAGGGTCTCAGTCCCATGGGCCATCCAAATGGCTCCTCTGTGTGGATGGCAGTTTAGAATTACAGCTCAAGGGGCCCTCAATGAGATCTGTTCACAAAGACCACAGACAGATCCCTCGTCTTCTTGCTTCTCTGGACTTGGTAGTTTGTGAAGGACTGTTACAGTTCTGCTCCCAATTTGCCCTTAAAGCCATTTTCATTTTTCAAATGTCAAGTAGTTACAAGTCTGGCCAGTGACAAACAGCATCAGGTTTTTGTTTTGTTTTAGCTCTAGCTTGCTCCATTTCAGAGTTCCCTGAGAAAGAGGAGAGATGTGTGCCAACTCACTCCTTGGAGCCAGGATAATACAGGCTCAACTCCTTATCTGAACGGATGAGAGCCAGAAGCTCTGAAATTCCAAAGAAACAAAAACATAAGATAGGCACAAAATCATTGGGCAACTAAAAAATGAGATATTTTGTACTTTTTGTGTATCACATTAGTTTGAATGTCGATATGTTTCACTGCTAAAATATTAATGGATTTGATTACAGGGTGCTACTCCAGACCCCACTGGGAGTATTAAGTACTCTATGGAATGTGTGTCATATCCTCCTCCTATACCCTACTGAATTTCAGAAACATCTGGCTTTAAACCTTTCGAATAAGGAATTGTGGACTCGTTCAATAGACACAGCAGTACCTTTGGCCCAGACAGGCAGGCCTGGATTTGAAAGCCCTCTTTAGTTCTGTGGCAAGAGGCTTCCCTTCTCTGGGCATCAGTTTCCTCCTCTGTAGAATGGAGCTAATAATGGTAACTTCCTCATGGGGAGGAGGGGAGAAGGGTAGTTGGGATTAAATGGGATAATTTATATACGGAATTTAAGACCCTCCCTGGTTCCCCAGTCCGTGCACAAAAAAGAATACTTTTCACCACATAATATCCCCATTCGTTCCACAGAACCCAGGCCAGTAATACAACAATCAAAACATGAAAGAACAGAAAACAAAAAAATCATTCCCAATAAAAGGAAGGCACAAAAGCAGAGAGTGACAGGAAAATTATCAGAAATGCCACCCTGTTTTCAATGAGTAAGGTGCTCACATGGGGCTGCACATGAAAACCAGTAATAACAAACATCTACTCTCGTAGGTATTTCTTTATGCTTCTCTTGGATTGATTTTTTTATGGTCTATTAACCGATTCTAACAACTGGTGCAATTATGTGGGTGGGTGGGTAATTTCCCTTCTCCATTGGTCCTGTCATCCTGGTAAGGGATTGGTTGTAAACACTGCCAACATTATTGACTATCAACTCCAGAATCCCACACCTTGCTTTATTATTTGTTCCCTTTTTGAGACGAACTCCTTACTTAAATACTTCACCACACTCCAGTCAACTGCAAAGGCCATAAAGCATCACAATATTTTTCCTTAATGTGAAATCTATGCATGTGAAAAGTCCAGGAACATGTAAATAGATGGGTTTAATGAACTTTGCTCAAAACTGTAGAAGGAGATCCAAAAAGCAATTGTATGCAGAATTTTAACTTCTATTTTAACAATATTTTTAATAAATTGAAGTAGCAAAAAAGAGTCTTTATGCTTTTAGTCCTCTCCAGTACAAAATAGGATTGATTCCTAGTTTCTATTTGTAGTTCTGTGCTTAAACAAAGAGAGCGTGAGGCAGTCTCCCTGGCCCTCAGGAGTGCTGGGGTCTGTTCGCCATGACTTCCACACGCACAGAATTGGGAAGACGTAGCACATGTGTGGCAATTTTGCAAATTCCACTGCCTATTTTCCAAGTATTTCTCTCCATTCATTTATTTACCCATCATTCATCCATCCATTCTTGGCCTTTTTTTCGGCCAATCACTGAACTCATGTAGGGATGCAAAAGAGAGTAAGACACAGCCCCCAAGGGTGAGACAGACAGGCTTTTCATTTAGCAGTTCATGATTAACTAGAAGAATGTTTTCTTGTTGTAATGAAAACCCCATTACCATCACTAGATCATCAACCCTGCTCTTAAGGAGATCTAATCCCTGGAGGTCCTCTTGTTGCGGACAGAGCTGGGATGGGCGTGGTTTGGCAGGGTTAGAAGCAGAGGGAGGAAGAACACCATGAATTCTGTATTATGAAGGCATGGAATGTGTGAGGTGTCCCAGAGGAACTGCAGAAAATAGAGACTGGCACCAGCAAGACCGAGCTCTAAATGGAGGAAAAGCCAGGTGCGGTGGCTCACACTTATAATCTCAGCAATTTGGGAGGCCGAGGTGGATGGATCACGAGGTCAAGAAATCGAGACCATCCTGGCCAACATGGTGAAACCCTGTCTTTACTAAAATTACAAAAAAAATTAGCTGAGCATGGTGGCGCATGCCTGTAGTCCCAGCTATTCAGGAGGCTGATGCAGGAGAATCACTTGAACCCAGGAGGTGGAGGTTGCAGTGAGCTGACATCATGCCAGTGCACTCCAGCCTGGGGACAGAGCGAGACTCCATCTCAAAAATAACAAATAAATAAATAAATAGAGGAAAATGCTCCGCACTGGAATAGCTAAATGGCTTCAAGAGAAAGGAGAGTTTCAAGGAACGGAGTCATGGCCTCCAGAATCAGAGAAGGTCCCATGGGAGAAGTGGGACTTGGGCAAAAGTTGGAAGGGATTCCAGTTATTACTGTTTTGCATTATAAGGCACCCTAAAACTGTCTTCAGAAATATATATTTGGCCAGGCACAGTGGCTCACACACAGCGCTTTGGGAAGCGAGAGGATTGCTTGAGGCCAGGAGTTCAAGACCAGCCTGAGCAGCAAAGTGAGACTCCATCCCTACAAAAAATGTTTAAAAAGTAGCCAGGCATGGTGGTGCATGCCTCTAGACCCAGCTACTTGGAAGGCTGAAGCAGGAGGATCGCTTGAGCCCGGGAGCTCAAGTTTTAGGGAGCTATAATCACAGCACTGCACGTGAGCCTGGGTGACAGAGCTAGAACCTGTCTCTAAATACATATACATATATATATACATATATATATGTATATGTATATATATGTGTGTATATATATATATATTTTTTTTTATTGTTGCTCACAATTTGTGCATGTCAGGAATTCAGGAAAAACTTGGTGAGGTGGTTTTGGCTCAGGGTAGTTTACTGACTGGAGTTGGAACACTGTGGGTTAAAGGAGAGGGGCCAGGAGTAGCCTGTGAATGGCCTGTCATCTCTTTCTTCTTGGAGCTTCTCCATGTGGTCTCTCCAAGTGGGATAGTTTGAGCTTCCTTGCAACATGGCAGCTATAGGGCAATTGGACTGCTTTATGATGGCACTGGGCTACAGAACAAGTCTACATTTCTAGTGCACAGGATATAAGCTGCATTGCTTTTCATTCCCTAACCTTGAAATCATGCAGCATCATTTTTAACATATTCTATTAGAAAGACATCATAAGCCTGCCTAGATCCAAGGAGAAGGGAACTGGACCTTAATGCATAATGAGGGGTAGCAAAATTCTAAAGAGCAAGAGGGATAGGAGCTATTGTCATGGGCACCTTTGGAAAATACAATCTGTCTCACAGTGAAAAAGGTTGGGGGTTGAGAAACCTGATTATACCTGAATACCTGTGTGCTGCTTGTTCCTGCAGCCAACCTAAAAGCTCTGCCCTAGTCCCACTAAATGAGAAATCAGCACTTTCCCCAGCAGTCTCTGTGGTGGTACACCTGGAACCACTGTCAACAAGCTGCAGACCCTTCTCTCCTCACCTCTAAGCACCTCTGAGTCCCACTCTGCTCACCTTCCCCCACTGCCTGACACTGACACGATGGCCTTTTGCATGCTGTCTTAGTTTCCAGGGCCTGCTGTATCAAAACCCACAGGCTGATTGGCTTCAAACAACAGAAATGTATTTTCTCACAGTTCTGGAGACCCAAAGTCTGAAATCAAGGTGTCAGTAGGGCCAGGTTCCATCTGAAGCTTCTAGGGAAGAATCTTTCCCTCCCCTTCCCACCTCCCCATGGTTGCTGGCAGTCTTTGGCATTCCTCGGCCTAGAGCTTTGGCACTTCAACCTCTGCCTCTGTCACCACAAGGTCTTCTTCCCCCTTCTCAGGACACCAGTCACTAGATCAGAGCCCCCCGTCTCAGTAAGTTCAGGCTGCTATAACAAAACACCATAAACGGGGTGGCTTACAGACAACAGAAATTTACTGCTCACAGTTCTGGGAGCTGGGAAGTCCAACATCAAGATGGTGAGAGATCCAGTGTCTGGCGAGGGCCCACCACACAGACAGCAGTTTTTTCGCTGTAACCTCACTTGGTGGAAGGAGTGAATGAGTGGCCTCGTGCCTCTTTCATAAGGGCATTGATCTCATTCCTGGGGGCTTCACTCTGATGACCTAATCACCTCCTGAAGGCCCCAACTCCAATGACTATCACCTTGGGAGTTAGGATTTCAACATATGAATTTGGGGGGACATAAACATTCAGACCATAGCACCACTGTAATCCAGTATGATCTCATAAAGACCCTATTTCCAAGTAAGATCATCAGGTGCCAGGGGCTAGGACTAGAACATATCTTTTGGGGAAACACCACTCAACCCACATGCTTGCCAATGGGTCATGGAAGCCCTGGAGTCACCACGAGGCTTCAGGACTGTTACTCCCTCCCAGACTCAGTCTCTTCCCCCTTGCAGCAGAGCTCCAAGCCCTCCCATTCGGCAGGCCTTCTCTCCTTAATGAGACTCTTAGTGACACACAGTTTGGCAAGAACTACGTCCATGTCTCTGCCACCATCTCTGCTGCATTGCAACCCCTCTGCAGCACTAGTGTGTGCATTCACACACACGCCACACACACCCCCACACACGCCACACACATGCCACAAACACACCACATACACACCACACACACAGCACACATGCCACACACACGCCACACACACACCACACACACCCACACACACACCACACACACGCCACACACCACACACCACACGCACAGCACACACACCAGAGCACACACACACCACACACCCCCCACACACACACCCCCCACACACACCCCCCACACACACACCACACACACACACCACATACACACACCACATACACACCACCTGACTCCTGACCACAGAAAATGGTGTTCAGAGCCACACACAGGGGATTATTGATTTTCTCTTCTCTCAGCTTTTCATTAGTGCCCACAATTGCTTTTGTTCCACTGGCTTCCTTTACCTAGCTTTTTAAAAAATGAGATGTGTTAATATTCTCAGGCTGGTGCTGCTGTAAAGTTTAAAAAAGAAAATGAAACGAAATGTGTTAGCAGAAGGAGCCCAACTTTTTTCTAAGAACTGAACAGAGCTCTTCAGAATGCCAGTTCACCTTTTTTTAGGCTTGTCCATCCACAGGGCCTTTCAAGAGTCCAAATGCAGACCTCTTCCTAACGGCCTCTTCAATTACAGTAAAAGGTGAGAGTTCAGTGGAAGAAACACTCACCTACATTTTGCAGGCTTCAATCTGAGAGAGAAATAAAGCTAAACACCCAGCTTGTGGGAGTCCCTGTGTTGATGAATGACAGCCTCACCACATTGAGAGAGACTAGACTATAAAGTGCCACATTTCGACTCTTATCTGAAGGAAACCACCTGTCCCTTGTTCTATTCTGTTCTGAGACATGAATACAATTTTAAAATCACCCACATTTAGGCCGGGTGCAGTGGCTCACACCTGTTATCCCAGCACTAAGGGAGGCCGAGGTGGGAGGATCACTTAAGGACAGGAATTCAAGATCAGCCTGAGCTACATAGTGAGACCCCCGTCTCTACCAAAAAAAAAAAAAAAATGTAATCAGCCAGGTGTGGTGGTGCACCCCTGTAGTACTAGCTACTCCAGAGGCTGAGGCAGGATGATCAGATCACGTGAGCCCAGGAGTTCAAGACTGCAATGGACTATGGTCATGCCATTGCACTCCAGCCTAGGTGACAGTGAGACATTGTCTCTATTTAAAAAAAAAAAAAAAAAAAAAACCCTCACATTTAAATTTGTTCACACACGTGCTTAAACCAAAAAGCTCTATAAGAAAGGATTCAGCAATTCTTAATTAGACCTCATTATATAAAATGTGTGTGTGTATAAGCGTGTGTTTATATTTATACACACATTATGGCTGATATCCTGAAATAAACTCATTACAGAACATTTTTTCCTGCACATGTAATGACTATCCCATCTTAAATTTGCAAAAGTAGTTTTCTTCATGTTTGAAAAATTATCTGCTTGCCTGTCTTGGCCATATATGGAGGAAATAGTAAGGAGCCCCTCTCCCCTGAATTTGAAGTAATTCAAATCATAATTGATCTAAATGGAAAACAATTGTCAAAACTGAACCCCAACATGACAACAGGCCCTAAATACTGTCTGATTAAAAGAAAATGAGGTGCCAGTCAGGGAAACATAGAAATAAGAGTCATATTCCCACCCCGCCCCACCAGCCCTAGGCTGGGTTTTAGTCTGCAGGGTGGGCTCTGAGCCTTCAGCCACAGGTCTGAGATCCTGCCACTCTTTGCCCTGGGCCATGCCCTCCCCTAACCATCAGATGGCCTGATTTCTTCTAAATTTGCACATAGGAAAAGAATATACTGGGCCTCCTCAAATATCAGTTTTAGAATATGTCTGTTTTGTTTCTAGGTAAAGCCACTGGGTTTTTCAAAACTCTAAATGGAAATGATGGAATAGCTAAAATCTACCCAAGCAGGAACTTGTCCAGCCCCCTTCCAAAGTCATCAAATCCAAGTTACCTTCACATGGGTTTTAATAGTTAATTTATTGCATGTGCTGGCAGTCAAAGGAAACTATATACCTAGAGATCTGATGATCTCTCTGGATCACTGCCATGTCACATGATTTTGAAAGGATGTAAATGGTTCCCTGGTTTTGAACAAGCCTGGTGTAGCTCTTATGAGCATGTTTTTGCCCCTGTGGACTGTAACATATTTGATAATTCCTGAGAAGTTGGCAGGCTTATGTTTAAGAGCTCAGGCCATCACTTCTCGGCCTTTTGGCGAAGATCAAGTGAAGAGCTCAGGTCATGCAATAAGCTGGAATTGGGTTTGAATTTTCAGTTCTGCCACTTAGTAGCTATGTGACATTTGACAAATTGCTTGTCCTCTGTGAAGTCTATTTCCATGGTGATAAATGATAATAATAATGAATGCCACCTATGGCCAAGGTAAAGATTAAATGGTTGGGGGTGGTTATGCAATAAACAACCCTAAAATCTCAGTGGCCCTAAAACCACAGAAGAATAGCTCTGCCTCCTGCTCCACATCAAACTCAGGTTGGTGGGAGAGCTCCAGCACCCACCATCCCCCCTCAAGGGCCGAGGATGATAAAGTCACAATTGTCAAGAGCGTCTCTGTTCACCACAGCAGGGAGAAGGACTTAGGAAATTGCACAGGAGCTCTGCAAGGCTTCTCTACATGGAAGTGACATGCATCCCTTCTGCTCATGTTTCATTGACCAAGTCAAGTCCTATGACCATGCTCATCTTCAAGACAGAGGGGAATTACCCAGAAGGAAGAAAATCAGAACCATCAGTGAATGGCACTAATGTTGGCCACATATGCAGACCACGGGTTCTGGTGATGCAGAATATGTAGATCCTGTCCCTTTTCTCCTCCAATGTTGACTTCTTGAATATTTTGACTCTGAAGTTCAATGCAGGGAAAATGTTGGCTCTGTGGTAATGAATGCAAACATTTTAATGAGAATTTGTTCAACCAGTATTTGTCAAGCTTCCTGCATCCCCAGCCCTCTTTGAGACACTGCAGAGTGAGCAGTGAACCAAAGCCTTTGGAGCCCACAGTCTAGCCAAGGAGGCAAGACAAATAGACAGATATAATAATGTCAGGAAATAGTAATTACCATGA
Organism: Homo sapiens; assembly: GCF_000001405.40. Classification (NCBI taxonomy): domain Eukaryota; kingdom Metazoa; phylum Chordata; class Mammalia; order Primates; family Hominidae; genus Homo; species Homo sapiens. The sequence goes on along the minus strand of NC_000009.12, from coordinate 84,464,436 downwards.
GAAAAAAGAAAGCAAGGAAAGAGGGTGGAGAGTGAGTAGGGTAGTCCAAGAAGTTCTCTCTGAGAAGTGATACTTAAGTAGAGACCACCACAAAGTGATGAGTGAATTGGGTGATATCTGGGAGAAGAGGTAACATGGCAAGATCAAAGGAGTGTGTGCCTGGCATGTACAAGTAACAGTAAGGACAGCAGTGTGGCTGGAGCAGAGGGAACCAGGGCCAGGTGGAGGAGATGAGGCAAGAGGCATAACTAACAGCCAAGCCGCGCAGGGCCAGGCCACAGCTAGGGCTCGGAATTTGTACTGTGTCAGAACATCCCTAGAGCATGTGGACCAGGAGAGGTCTGAGTTGCACCAACATGAATCCATGTTCATAAAGAGACATTTTCAGAAGTGAACTCTATTAATTTAATTCCTTGCTTAAACGATACTCAATTATTTCCATTTTTATTTCTATTTTAATAAATTTAGTTTGATTGCTATTAAATCATTTCCTCATAAAATTTATGGCATAAATTTAGTCCAGTGAAATTTAGTTCATTGATTAGTTTTATGTCCATACCAAATTTTACAGAATTTAGCATCTGCCACTGGGAGGTGTATTAGTCAGGGTTCCCTAGGGAGATAGAATCAACCAATCGAGAGAGAGAGAGAGAGAGAGAGAGAGAGACAATAGATACATAGACAATAGATAGATAGACAATAGATACATAGACAATAGATAGATGATAGATAGAGAAATAAAGGTGACAGAGATAGAGAAGACAGATATAGGTATACAGATATACAAAAGGGGGTTTATCAGGGGAATTCACATGATTTTGGAGGCTGAGAAGTCCCACGACAGGCTGTCTTCAAGCTGGAGACCCTGGGAAGCCAGTAGCACCCAGGAAGCCAGGGAAGCTGATGGTGTAACTCTCAGTCTGAGCCCAGAAGCCTAATCACCTAAACAGCCACTGGTCTAAGTCCTGGAGTCCAAAGGCCAGAGAGCTTACAGTTCTGATGTTCCAGCAGCAGCAGAAGAGTGTATCCCAGCTCCCAGAGAAAGAAGCCAATTTGCCTTTTTTTCTGTTTCTGTTCTATCCGGGCCCACTGCCCACTGGATGATGCCCCACCCACAGTGAAGGTAGATCTTCCCCACTTAGTCCACTAAGTCTCACATGCCGAGTCTCTTCTGGAAATACCCTCACTCTAGGGAGTCCTCCATCCAGTCAAGTTGACGCCTAAAATTAATCATCACAAAAGGTGTTCCTCGTTTGTTCTGTCTTGTCTTTCTGTGGCCAATATTTTGGTCAAATCCAATGTTTCTAACCCAAGCTTTTTAGATCTAAATTTTTTCAAAAAGATTCGATTTTTCCATAATGTATTTTTTTAATTATCATGTATAATTTTAGCCACTGCCTTTTTAAGTTCATGTTGATTATTTTTAACCAGACAAATTTTCCCCTGGTCAGTTTTTTGCTATATAACTACCAAGATGTTATTCTTTTTTCTTGCTCTGTCACCCAGGCTGGAGTGGAGTGGTGTGAACATGGCTCACTGCAGCCTCGACCTCCAGGGCTCAAATAATCCTCCTACCTCAGCCTCCCGAGTAGCTGGGACTATAGGCATGCACCACCACACCCAGCTAACTTTTTGTATTTTTTTGTAGAAGTGGGATTTCACCTTGTTACTCTGGCTGGTCTCAAACTCCTGAGCTCAAGCAATCCACCAGCCTTGGCCTCCCAAAGCATGGGGATTACAGGCATGAGCCACAGCACCTGTATAATTCTTTGGTCAAGGTTTTGTTAGAAGACTGTTTTGTTTTGTGTTGCTTGCATATACCAGTAATATACATTATAATTGAATTTTTAAAAGATAGTTTTACTGGTTTCTTAGAGAAAAGGCCAAGAAGTAAGATCTTAGTGAATCAATAAGTCAAAATAGTGAGCAGGTCAGTTTCTTGCTCTTAGCAAACACTGATTGCTCAGTAAACATACTCATGATTGACCCCTGTTACAAGTAGGACAATACTGTACACCTGAATTTCTATTTATTCACTCCCAAGCAGACTATTTACATTTTTTATTGCCAAAAAAAGGCATCATTAGCTGAAGTAGGGTTTCACGCATTAATTCCATACATCAATACAAGAAAGGATCTCTAACCTGAAAACAAGATATGAAAAAATAAATTTACCTGTGCTTTTTTTTAAACTCACAGGTATAAGTGATTTTTTTCAAGGCTAACGTTGAAAAGACAGCCTTGTCAACCCCAGCCTGAACTAAATGGTTCCGCATTCTTTCCAGCTGCATAGACAGGGTTCTGTTTTAACCTATGGCCATTGCACTGCTGTTCTAGAATGTTTAGAGACTCCTGAGTTGACAGAGCTAGAAGCTGCGTGATGACTATTTCTTCTCCAGATGCACAGGAGAGGAAAGCCTAAAGTTACTTAGCAGTTATCCAGGTGTGTATCAAATGTCTACTCTTCAAAACATCCTTATGAGGCAAGAATTTCCTCCCCATTTTAGAGACAAAGAAACTAAGGTTCTGACGGGTTAAGCAGCTTGCCCAAGGTCCCATGTCTGGTACAATAATGACAGAGGCGGGAAATGAAATCCAGAGGCCAACCGGCCTCTAGAGCTCATGCATTTTAATCCCATCTAACCCAGCTTCATAACGGTTTCTATTTCACAGCACAGGAGTTTTCAAACACCAGAGGGCACTTTTTCCCCACCTGCAAACTCTGTGTGTGTGTGTGTGGGTGTGTGTGTGTCTGTTTGTGTGTGTATATGTAAGACAGAGTATAGCTATATTGCCCAGGCTGGTCTCCAACTCCTGGGCTGAAGTGATCCTCCCACCTCAGTCTCTCGAGTAGCTGGGATTGGATTAAAAGCATGTGCCACTGTGCCTGGCTCCTCCTGCAAGCTTTTGACCCCTACATACCTCTCCCAATGTCAAAAAGAATATTACAAAAAGACAATAATCAGTTTTGAGCCAGTGTGGAATACTCATGACCAACAATGGAAATTCAAGGTATGTGTCTCACAAAAACACGTTCCCAGACCCATCCCTAAGCAATGTAACATTTAAAACATTCCAGACACACTGCTGTATTTTGCATTATGCACCACACTTCGTGTTGTACTGTGTTGTGGTGCCCAAGCCACACTGTTCCAGATTTGCATTTCACGAAAGTAAATCCTAATTTCCCTGACTCTGCGACATATGTAATACATCATGCAACCCAAGGTCTCCTTCATCATTCAGTCTATTATACACATTACAACTCAAGTTCACTCACTTTGTCAAAATAAGTCATTCCTTTGAAATGAATTATAATAACTTAAAAGAAAATAAACTAAGATTCATTTTTTTCATGTCTCTTTATCCAACCCAGGATATCTACTTTAAACAACCACTCAAAATGTATTAATAATAAAGGCTTTCTCTGACTTCATGATCTAAAAAGCTCCCAGTTAATAGCAGTCACTGATTTTCAGCTTTCCTCCCTGGTAGACTGACCATAAAAGGCTGAGCCTGGCTTGTCTGATTTATTGGTACCATCATAGATTGTCAATTACTCATAAGCACTGCAAATGCTGAAACATTACATGCATAGGAACACTACACTAAATTATGGATGGCAATGTTGAGAAGTGTAATATATGAGGTCCCACCAGCACAACCTAGAGAACAACCTTTCAAATAAAAGTCTCTGTTTTAATGAGCACCAAAGGCCCATCCACATTAAACATATGAACTCAAGAAAAATAAATCAGAGAATCACAATTTATGAACCAAAAAGGGTGCATAAAGTTTGGGAGGAACCTAATTGCTGAGTTAACAAAGCAAAAGCAGTTCAGCATGTTAATAGCACAAAATACAATATAGTGCCAATTTAAGTAAACTCAAGAAGTCTAGTACTCAACTAAAAGCCTAATATCAGTACACTAAGATATATATACATGCAATGAGTAAACTGAAGAGTAGTGTCTTGAGTGGATTCCCTAAGGCACAAGACTAAATTATTTCTCTAACTTAGAGTGGTAGAGGGAGGCTTTGGGGGGTAGCACAATCAGGAATGCAATTCTGGGACCTCTTTGCTCTGTGAATATAAATCATTAAACAGCAGACAAATGATTTAACACTAATACGAACAAGGGTTCCCAGAGAATTAAATTTCTCTTCCCACAAATGACTCAGAATAAAAGTGAATTGGGCCATTCCATCAACTCCCCAAATGCCAGGAAATATGATGCCAGCACAAAATAAACATCGTAAGAATTGACATGGCTGTCTCCAGAACGATCCATGCCCTCATGAAGTTCCTCAATCCATATGCGATCTTTCCCAAATAGACTAATGAACTCAGTGGTCATCTAGTATACAGAGTCCCCAAAGGCCAGTCCCACCACCTGGGCTCACCATGATGCCGTCTTAAGCATTTTAGAGCAAAAACCAAGGTAGAAGATTACCAAATGTGCTTTCTTAGGAAGGGCCATCTTTTATTCTGAGATTATGCACTTCCTAATAATTCATATAAAAATTATATTTCTTGCCAGGCACAGTGGCTCACGTCTGTAATCCCAGCACTTTGGGAGGCCAAGGCAGGCGGATCATCTGAGGTCAGAAGTTCGAGACCAGCCTGGCAAGATGATGAAACCCCATCTCTACTAAAAATACAAAAATTAGCCAGGGATGGTGGTGCACACTGTAATCCCAGCTACTTGGGAGGCTGAGGCATGAGAATCACTTGAACCCAGGAGGCAGAGGTTGCAGTGATCCGAGATAGCAACACTGCGCTCCAGCCTGAGCGATAGAACGAGACTCTGTCTCAAAAATAGATAGATAGATGTATAATTCTTTTAAAAATAATGACCATAAGTTTGTCACTGTCAAGGTCCTTTTAGTTTAATTTCTTAATTCAGCAAGATATAAAGTTAACAATTCTGTGTTGGAACCCAATTTTTTAAAATTTATTAGCTCATAAAACTAACAATCGGTGAAAAATCCTCAATAAAATACTGGCAAACCAAATCCAGCAGCACATCAAAAAGCGAATCCAGCAGCACATCAAAAAGCTTATCCACCATGATCAAGCTGGCTTCATCCCTGGGATGCAAGGCTGGTTCAACATATGCAAATCAATAAACATAATCCATCATACAAACAGAACCAAAGATAAAAACCACATGATTATCTCAATAGATGCAGAAAAGGCCTTCAACAAAATTCAACAGCCCTTCATGCTAAAAACTCTCAATAAATTGAGAGTTTTGATGGGATAAATGGGAATAAATTGAGGTATTGATGGGACGTATCTCAAAATAATAAGAGCTATTTATGACAGACCCACAGCCAATATCATACTGAATGGGCAAAAACTGGAAGCATTCCCTTTGAAAACGGGCACAAGACATGGATGCCCTCTCTCACCACTCCTATTCAACATAGTATTGGAAGTTCTGGCCAGGGCAATCAGGCAGGAGAAATAAATAAAGGGTATTCAATTAGGAAAAGAGGAAGTCAAATTGCCCCTGTTTGCAGATGACATGATTGTATATTTAGAAAACCCCATCGTCTCAGCCCAAAATCTCAAGCTGAGAAGCAACTTCAGCAAAGTCTCAGGATACAAAATCAATGTGCAAAAATCACAAGCATTCCTATACACCAATAACAGACAAACAGCCAAATCATGAGTGAACTCCCATTCACAATTGCTTCAAAGAGAATAAAAGACCTAGGAATCCAACTTACAAGGGATGTGAAGGACCTCTTCAAAGAGAACTACAAACCACTGCTCAATGAAATAAAAGAGGACACAAACAAATGGAAGAACATTCCACGCTCATGGATAGGAAGAATCAATATCATGAAAATGGCCATACTGCCCAAGGTAATTAATAGATTCAATGCCATCCCCATCAAGCTACCAATGACTTTCTTCACAGCATTGGAAAAAACTACTTTAAACTTCATATGGAACCAAAAAAGAGCCCGCATTGCCAAGACAATCCTAAGCCAAAAGAACAAAGCTGGAGGCACCATGCTATCTGACTTCAAACTATACTACAAGGCTACAGTAACCAAAACAGCATGGCACTGGTACCAAAACAGAGATATAGACCAATGGAACAAAACAGAGGCCTCAGAAATAATACCACACATCTACAACCATCTGATCTTTGACAAACCTGACAAAAACAAGAAATGGGGAAAGGATTCCCTATTTAATAAATGGTGCTGGAAAACCAGCTAGCCATAGCAGAAAGCTGAAACTGGATCCCTTCCTTACACCTTATACAAAAATTAATTCAAGATGGATTAAAGACTTAAAACGTTAGACCTAAAAACCATAAAAACCCTAGAAGAAAATCTAGGCAATACCATTCAGGACATAGGCATGGGCAAGGACTTCATGTCTAAAACACCAAAAGCAATGGCAACAAAAGCCAAAATAGACAAATGGGATCTAACTAAACTAAAGAGCTTCTGCACAGCAAAAGAAACCACCATCAGAGTGAACAGGCAACCTACAGGATGGGAGAAAATTTTTACAATCTACCCATCTGACAAAGGGCTAATATCCAGAATCTACAAAGAACTTAAACAAATTTACAAGAAAAAATCAAACAATCCCATCAAAAAGTGGGGGAGGGATATGAACAGACACTTCTCAAAAGAAGACATTTATGCAGCCAACAGACACATGAAAAAAGGCTCAACATCACTGGCCATCAGAGAAATGCAAATGAAAACCACAATGAGATACCATCTCATGCCAGTTAGAATGGTGATCATTAAAAAGTCAGGAAACAACAGGTGCTGGAGAGGATGTGGAGAAATAGGAATGCTTTTACACTGTTGGTGGGACTGTAAACTAGTTCAACCATCGTGGAAGACAGTGTGGCGATTCCTCAAGGATCTAGAACTAGAAATACCATTTGACCCAGTGATCCCATTACTGGGTATACACCCAAAGGAGTGTTAAGTCATGCTGCTATAAAGACACATGCACACGTATGTTTATTGCGGCACTATTCACAATAGCAAAGATTTGAAACCAAGCCAAATGTCCATGGATGATAGACTGGATTAAGAAAATGTGGCACATATACACCATGGAATACTATGCAGCCATAAAAAAGGATAAGTTCATGTCCTTTGTAGGAACATGGATAAAGCTGGAAACCATCATTCTGAGCAAACTGTCACAAGGACAGAAAACCAAACACCACATGTTCTCTCTCATAGGTGGGAATTGAACAATGAGAACACCTGGACATAGGAAGGGGAACATCACACACCGGGGCCTGTCATGGGGTGGGGGGAGGGGGGAGGGATAGCATTAGGAGATATACCTAATGTAAATAACGAGTTAATGGGTGCAGCACACCAACATGGCACATGTATACATATGTAACAAACCTGCACATTGTGCACATGTACCCTATAACTTAAAGTATAATAATAATAATAAACTGACAATCTAAAAATCATCATCTTATACTCTAGGGCAGCCCAACTTTATTAATCAACATATACCCAGTAAGAATCAAGGAATGCTGGCTCTGCTTATTTTGCTACTTGATTATGGTTGGAGGAGAGAGCCATGCAGTATAACCTAATTTAGGGGACTGGTCCCAGCTTCCTGTAAAATGAATCAAGTAAATGAATGAGAGTCTCTCAAGCATTCACGCTTGAGCAGTTCAGTCATCTGGAATGCTATGGTGGTTTAGGCTTCATTTTCCACCTGGGTTGATATCTCAGACACACTGAAGATCCTTTCCACACTCTGGACTGACAGTTTCTTGACCTCCGTTATTTAGTTTCCACTCCACATCAGCTACCAATAGGCAACAAACCTTATTTTCACTTGTACAATGGGACTACCCTTTCCTTTGATCTTATAGCAAGGCAGGGGACCCAGAGGACACAATAATTGACAAGTGGTGATTGGACATGGCACCTCCCAAGGCTTAGTCAACCGAAGAGCACTTTGAAGTGAGCTTCATATTCCAGAAAAAGAAAGTTGATGGACCTCTTGCATCTTATGCAACCAAGGTTATGCAGGCAGGTGCCAGGGGCCTCTCATGCTGAGATGTACCGAATATTTTCAATGGGGGTTCCTAAGGAAAAAGAAAACATCCACTGCATGGCAAGATAGCAGATTATTTTTGGAAACTTAAGAATGATCAAAGAAAAAAAAAACAGGACTTCTTAAAAGAAAGAGAGAAATGGAAAAAAAAAAAAAAAAAAAAAAAAAAAAACCAAGCTTAATACCAGGAGCACAACCTACACTAGGGATCAAGGGGACTTCAAAGTCACACGAGGAGGCTGGGCACTGAGAATGGAGAGAAGCCCTTTCCTTTCTGCACCCACCTTCACTCGAGTCTGTTTCTCTGCCTGGGTGCCCTCCCTTCCCCAGCCCACCTCTTTAAGTTAACATTTTCTCCACCTTCCAAGACTCAGTTAAAAACCATTTCTTGGCCGGGCGCAGTGGCTCATGTCTGTAATCCCAGCATTTTGTGAGGCCAAGGTGGGCAGATCACTTGAGGTCAGGAGTTCAAGACCAACCTGACCAACATGGTGAAACCCCATCTCTACTAAAAATACATGCCTGTAATCCCAGCTACTCGGGAGGCTGAGGCAAGAGAATCGCTTGAACCTGGGAGATGGAGGTTGCAGTGAGCTGAGATTGCACCACTGCATTCCAGTCTATGCAACAGAGTGAGACTCCATCTCAAAAAAAAAAAAATCTTTTAATAAGCCTTCCTTCCCCTTGGCAATAAATTTTCTCTCTCTCTCTTCAGCGTAACCACAGCATTATATCTCTCTTGTAATAGTAGTGCCTATCATTTTATCCTTTGTATTGTGATTTAAGATATAGCACTATTTCTCCTAACATTTTGAAACAATCACAAGAGCAGATCTATGATTGATTCATCATTGTATACAGCTGATGTTCAATAATGACTTGCTGGTAGAAAAGTGAATGAATAAATAGAAAATTGCATATATTTACTTTAGTCTTCCTGCAATTCCACGGAAATCTCTGCCTCCAGGGTCAAATAAGTCAATAAAACACCAGAGAGCAGGGAGGCTTTCTCTAAACATAGTATGGAATTTGACCATTAAGGTGCATTTTTAATTCTCTATTTCTTTGGGGGTGTTTTGTTTTGTTGAGTGAGACACTGCACTCTGTTGCCCAGGCTGGATTGCAGTGGCTCAATCTCTGCTCACTGCAGCCTCAATCTCCTGGGCTCAATTGATTCTCCCACCTCAGCCTCCCAAGCAGCTGGGACTACAGAAGTAAGCCACCAAATCCAGCTAATTTTTGTTATTTTTTGTAGAGATGGAGTTTCGCTATGTTGCCCAGGCTGGTCAGCCTTCCAAAGTGCTGGGATTACAGGCATGAGCCACCATGCCCTGCCAATTCTCTGCTTCTTTTTATTTTCTATATAGTATACCTGGGCATCTGAGAGGTGGCTGGGAAGACATATACAAACCTACTGGCTGGGGGATGCTAATAACTCATAATTACAAAACTTCCACCTTTGGTAACTACAACCACTTCTAGATTTTCAAACTCTGTTCACACAGACACACAAAATATTATCTCATTTGACACTCACCACTACTCTGCCAGAAGAAAGATAAAAGCATCACAGGCATATTCTCCCCAACGGAGCTGATAAAGAGGAAAAAAAAAACTGAGATTCTGAGAGATGCAGTAACTCATCCCAAGTCATACAGATGGCCAGTGGCAAGGCAAGTTTCAAATCTAGATCACTCCTTTGCCAGAGAAAACACACCTGGAGACATTCACCAGGGGTAGGGCAGGAGTGGGGCAGGGTCCACAGGCTGAAGAGAGCAATGTTGGGTAATGGGTTTTGAGAAGGCAAAGTAATCCACACGAAATAAACAAGAGATGAATGTGAACATTCTCCCAATGTAGCTGCAGTGCCAGACCTCACTGACACACCCATCCCTGTAAGGGACCCAGGCAGTGACTCTGAAGACCATTGGCGTGTCCATACAGGTGTTGATCCATGGGCCTCAAGGCACTTGAAATAGATGAAGTCATACTTCAGCGTAGCAGTCCATCCATCTATTCAATAAGCATCATGGGGTGGCTTATTCTCCATGGGGCTGTAAAGTCCTATTTCTGATTTCAAAGACTGTAAATGAATGATTTGTAAGAGAAGAGAACAGAAGTTCTAAGAGTTAGGTGGGACGCAGTGGCTCATGCCTGTTATGCCAGCACTTTGGGAGGCTGAGGCAGGTGGATCACTTAAGGTCAGGAGTTCAAGATCAGCCTGGCCAACATGTTGAAACCCTGTCTCTACTAAAAAATACAAAAAATTAGCCAGGGTGGTGGTGCACACCTGTAATCCCAGCTATTTGTGGGACTGAGGCAGAAGAATCGCTTGAACCCTGGAGGCAGAGGTTGCAGTGAGCCAAGATCGTGCCACTGTACTCCAGCCTTGGCGACAGAGTGAGACAAGAAAGACAGACAGACAGAAAGGAAAGGAAGGAAAGAAAGGAAAGAAAAGAAAGAAAGAAAAGAAAGAGAAAGTTCTAAGAGTTAAACTCCTCTCAGCTCTACATGGTGGAGCCAGAAATGCCATACATGTTTTCTGACTCTGAAATCCTTGCTTGCCTCTCTGCTTTTACAGGAAAGGGAGACTGAGACAGGGTGAGGTTAGCATGACTTAAGCCACACGTGGGGCAGAGAAGAGGTAGGATTTATGAGAGCTAAATCCCATGTCTGCATTTTGGCCATTAAACAAGGCTCTCTTCTAAGAAGGGGACACAGTGGAGACATTGCTTTCCTTCTCTTTATACCAAAAGAGCCAAGAATTCAAAGCCCCATCCAGCCAAGCCCTCTGTAACTGACCAGCCCTCTCGGCTGTCAGCAGCACCCCCCAGGGCTGCCCTATACGTTTGCATGGCAGACATCTCCAAGCCAGAATCATAGAACTTCTCACCAATAGACAGTTGCTCATTTGCCTTGAATTCAACAACTAGTTGTCTTTTAATCACTTTATGTGGTAGAAAAATGAATTTCAAAAAAGATACATTCTGGGCCGGTGGCAGGGGCTCATGCCTGTAGTCCCAGCACTTTGGGAGGCTGAAGGGGGCAGATGCGTGAGCTCAGGAGTTCAAGACCAGCCTGGGCAACATGGCGACACCCTGTCCCTACAAAATATACAAAACATTAGCTGGGCGTGGTGGCATATGCCTGTAGTCCCAGCTACTCACAAGGCTGAGGTGGGAGGATCATCTTAGCTGGGGAGGTCTAGGCTACACCGAGCTGCACTCCAGCCTGGGTGACACAGACCCCGTCTCAAAATAAGCAGGGCAGTTGGGGGAGGATCCTCCGTTAGCAAAAAGCAAATAATAGGTGCCCAATTTACAAATAATACTCTATTTTCACTCTGTATGAGGAGGTTCTTTGCCTGACTCTAGATATTAATCTGTAGACAGATGATTCTTCTCCCCGTTTCCCTGTGAATGATGTGTCTTGCACACTGTGGTATCCCTCGCATCTAGCACAGTGGCTGGCATGCAGCAGAAGCCCTATATTTGTTGGATGTTGATGTTCACCTGTGTTCATGAGTAAAAAGGCTGCTATTAACCTGCTGCCCTTACAATACTTATCCTGGAAAGACCCCCTGATATCCAGGGTGGCTCCCTAGGCTTAGGAAAGCAGGGGCCAGTGAGTGGGGGTTGCCTGTGTGTTTTCCCAGCAATTCCAATGACAATGCGCCTGGATGTTGACTCATCTAATGTTAGATGTTAGTCCTAAATATGGCAGCCCACACTGATGAGCACATTTTTATGTGCCTCCTGCAAGAGACAATTGTAGCAGCCACATATAGCCTGGCCTTGGGACACCTGGACAGTAGGTAGTGTGCAGAAGTCTGCTGCTTCAAGTCACCATTCAGGAAAAGCAGCAAATGGCACTGCAAAGCCTCTAAGACTGTGCTGCTGTGGTGCTGTGACAGGAAAAGTGACAAGGAGGAAACGCAGAGTCATCATCTATTGAACATCCACTTTGTGCCAAGCACTTGGAAGTTGCTGTTATTACCCCCACATTTCAGAAATTAGAAAATTGAGGCTTCCAAAGGTCAGGTAGTTTGTCTAAGTTTCCTCAGCTGAGATGCAAATTCAGGTTCATTTTAAGCCACATCCCACATTTTAAAGGCCACTACATGGTATATATAATTCTGTTCTTGCTTTTTGAGGGCAGCACTTTGCCCAGCGTTGAGTGTGTGGTATTCCTGTCCTAGTGGCAGGTTGGTGGTCCATTGAGTATCTAGTGAAACAGTTCCCCCGAAGACACCGGAAACCAAGATTGTGGCATTTCCTTCAATATGCATATTTGCTCCATCCCGTCTCCCTTCCTTAATCTCTCATAATTTTTATTTTTCTTCTGACTTCCTGTTCCTTTCTGCCTATATCTTGGCCTTGCAATGACAGCCCTATGACCCTTAAAGCTACATGTGCCAAGTCATGGATCTAAAGAGCTTAATTTAACTAGGTCCTGGGATGGCCAAGTTCATGGCTGACATCATTTCTCAGAATCCAGTGGGGCATAGCCCTGTTGGCTGCAATGCATCAGGACATGGTGTGAGAGTCCAGAACCAGGAACTGACCTTGCCCACTAGAGGGACAGGCTTGGTGGGGAAAGCCCTACTGTAGGTGCTTCCCTTCTGGAAGGCTGAGTGAATGCTCCAGGATGCATAGCATTAGAGGTTCTATAAAGCTGGTGGCATCAAATCATTCTAATGGAGGGAAAAGGTGTCCTAATGATGTGAACAGAGGAGAATGTAGGAAATCAAAGACAGTGGACAATGCTTGGAGAACAACAAGGAGTTAGACTCATGGATACCTGCCATCAGGCAACAGGGGAACAGCCACTGGGCTCGTGACCAAAGCCAGGATCTCAGATCCTTGAGAGCTTAGCAAAGATCAAGGTAGAAGCCCAGGGGTACAAGGGCTGGCAACTGGGCAAGTTATCAAAACCCAGATGAGGGTGAGAGGTTGGAACAGCAGACTACAGCTCAGGGTGGAGAGAGCACATCTAGGGCTAGAGCCTGTTAGGGGTTTTCCTCCACCAGCCAATCCTCCAGCACCAACCAGGTGTCCTGCAGTTCAATTCAATTCTAACCCTAACAACCAGAGTTAGCACCAGACTCCACAGATCTAAGCGGCTCAGTCCCATAAAATCGCCTTCCCTTCAGACGCCAGCTGCAAGTCTGGGTGCGCAGGTTACCTGGACTTCTGTCTGCCTCTGCTACAAAGTCAGGGGTTCCCACAACCTCCTTCCTCAACCTCAGTAATTGGCTAGAATTGTAATCACCCAATGGGTTCACCTTGCCCGCTCCCTAGACAGAGCAGATTTCTCAAGACAGGGGAACTGCAATAGAGAAAGAGTAATTCACACAGAGCCGGCTATGTGGAGGACCGGAGTTTTATTATTACTCAAACAAGTCTCTCCAAGCATTCAGGGATTAGAGTTTTTAAGGCCAGCTTGGTGGGTGAGGAGAAACCAGTGAGCCAGGAGTGCTGATTGGTCAGGTAGGAGATGAAATCATAGGGAACCTATGTAACAAACCTTTACGTTCTACACACATATCCCAGAACTTAAAGTAAAATAAAAATAAAAAGGAAAGAAATCATAGGGAATTGAATTTGTCCTTTTGCACTGAGTCAGTTCCTGGGTCGGGGCCACAAGATCAGATGAACCAGCCAATCAATCTGGGTGGTGCCAGCTGACCCATCAAGTGCAGGGTCTGCAAAATATCTCAAGCACTGATCGTAGGAACAGTTTAGGGAGGGTCAGAATCCCATAGCCTCCAGCTGCGTGACTCCCAAACCACAATTTCCAATCTTGTGGCTAATTTATTAGTCCTACAAAGGCAGTCTAGTTCCCAGGCAAGAAGGTGGTCTGCCCTGGGAAAGAGCTGCCATCGTCTTTGTTTTAAACCATAAACCAAGTTCCTCTCAAAGTTAGCCCAGCCCACGGCCAGGAACAAACAAGGACAGCCTGGAGGCTAGACACAAGATGAAGTCGGTTAGGTCAGATCTCCTTCACTAACTCAGTCACAATTTTGCAATGGTGGTTTCAGAATGACTCACAGAACTCAGGAAAATACTATATTTCCTATTACCATTTATTATAAAAGATGCAAATGAGCAGTCAGATGAAGACGTGCATAGGGTGAGGCCTGGGAGGGTCCCCAGCACAAGAGCCTCTGTCCCCATGGAGCTGAGATGCAACACCCTCCCCGGAAGTGGATGTATTCATCAACTCAGAAGTTTCCTGCATCCCATCATAGAAGGGTTTGGTTTTGGGTTTTTGTTGTTGTTGTTTTGTTTTTTGTTTTTTTGTTTTGAGACAGAGTCTGGCTCTGTCGCCCAGGCTTGAGTGCAATGGCATGATCTTGGCTCACTGCAACCTCCGCCTCCCGGGTTCAAACGATTCTCCTGCCTCAGCCTCCCTAGTAGCTGGGATTACAGGCACCTGCCACCATGCCTGGCTGATTTTTGTATTTTTAGTAGAGACAGGGTTTCACCATGTTGGCCAGGCCGGTCTGACCTCAGGTGATCCGCTTGCCTCGGCCTCCCAAACTGCTGGGATTACAGGTGTGAGCCACCGCACCCGGCCCATATAAGGGTTTTTATGGAGATTTTGTTACACAGGCGTGATTGCAGCTGCTAGTAACTAATGGGACTCTAGTCTCTCTTCCCTCCCTAAAGCTCCAAGGGTGGAGCTGAACGTTTCTAGCTCTAATCACAGTGTGGCCCCCCGGTCACCATGCAGCCATCCAGGAGCCCCTCTGTCTAGAGTCATTATTAGCATACCGAAGACACTCTTATTGCTCAGGAGATTCTAAGGGTTTTAGAAGCTGTGTACCACGAACCAAGGACAAAGACCAAATATTTTTTATTATGCCACAGAGGCAAATGTCCTACTACCAAAATAAAGGTCAGAGCCACACAGGTAGCAAAGACGACTTATAGCTGCATCCTCCAAACTGATCCAGAGCCTCAGCAAGAGAAAAGGACAGAGGGGAGCCTGTACATGTGAGGCTGAGGCAGGAAGATCACTTGAGCCCAGGAGTTCCAGGCTGTAGTTCTCTATGATTGTAACTGTAAATGCCACTGCACAGCTGCCTGGGCAATATGATACCCTGTAAGGCCCTGAACGACGTGGGAAAGATGCGGGAGCTTAACTGGTGATGAGAGGCCAAGAAGAGTTGAACTTAATGCAATTCAACCAGGACACCTGGTTGGTGCTGGAGAATTGGTTGGTGTCTGGAAAAGCCTTCTGTTCACATTGCATCAGAGCTCCTGCTAAGTCATGATTTTCATCATGGGTTCTCTGCTTTCCCCCAGATACCTTATAAAAATTAACAATAAATAGGTTTATTATTGATCTTTTTAGATTGATGAATAAATTCATATTTTAAACTTAAAAAATCAATAATTATTGAGCTTCTATAGTTATGTTCTGAAGTTATGGTGGATTAATTTTTAGAAGGAGCCCCTGCCTGCAAGGTTTTTTATTCTATTTAAAGACATGAGCCCTGTGCACTGCTGTTTCTTAATCCCAGCTACTTGGGAGGCTAAGGCAGGAGGATCACTTGAGCCCAGGAGTTCCAGGCTGTAGTTCTCTATGATTATAACTGTAAATGCCACTGCACTCCTGCCTGAGAAACATCAGATTGTCTCTAAAAAATAAAAATAAATTTCAAAAACTGAAAAAACAATTTTTAGTATATAGAGACATGAAAGGAACATACAAAAAAAATACCATTTCATTCTAGAAGGGACCTTAGAGCTTCTACTAGTTTTCTATTGCTGCTGCAATAAATTACACAAATTTAGTGGCTTAAGACGATGCACATTTATTATCTTACAGCTCTGGAGCTCAGAGGCTGAAATGTTCTTACAGGCTAAATTGAGGCGAGGCAGAGCTACCTTTCTTCTGATGGCTCTCTAAGGGAGAATGTTTCCTTTCCTTTTCCAGCTGTAGGAAGCCACCTGCATTCCTTGGCTCATTGCCCTTTCTCCACCTTCAAAGGATATCGCTTCAAACTCTATTTCCATCGTCCTGTCTCCTACTTCTGACTCTGACCCTCCTGCCTCCCTCTGGTAAGGACCCCTGTGATGACACTGGGCCCACCCACATAATCCAAGATAGTCTCCCCATCTCATGATTCTCAATTGATCACACCTGTAAAGTCCTTTTTGCAGTGTAAGGAACCATACACAGGTGCCAGGGATAAGGATCTTTGCTGGGCAAAGGCAGTATTCTATCTATCACAAATCTCTCCTAACATAACCACCCTGATTTTTTAATTTTTACTTTATTTTTATTTATTTATTTTTAAGATGGAGTTTCGCTCTGTCACCCAGGCTGGAGTACAGTGGCATGATCTCAGCTCACTGCATCCTCCGCCTCCCAGGTTCAAGCGATTCTCCTGCCTCAGCCTCCTGAGTAGTTGGGATTACAGGCAGGCGCCATCTCGCCCGGCTAATTTTTGTATTTTTAGCAGAGACAGGGTTTCACCATATTGGCCAGGCTGGTCTCCAACTCCTGACCTCAAGTGTTCTACCCACCACGGCCTCCCAAAGTGCTGGGATTACAGACATGAGCCACCGTGCCCAACCTGATTTTTTTAGACAAGAATATTTAAGCATGGGTTGGCCAAATGACTTTCCCAAGGCCATGAGTTTAGACTAGAACTCAGGGTATCTGAGTCCCACCAACATGTAGTTCCCAGACAGGTGTTCTTTCTACATTAAGTTGCCATGAAAAAATGAGTAATACAAATTACTATATTGGTGAGTGCAAATTACATGCCCTGGAGTATTATGTTCATAAGTACACAGAATTGCAGGATCAAAGAGTTAGTGCCCAGAGGACCTCAGAAGTCTTCCTGTCCAACCAGTCTGATCCTGCCTACATTCATATATTTCAACATCTCCAGTTACCGGGAGCTTTACACTCTTGCCAAAGCAACACACAGCCCATTCCTGAGGCTGCTAGTTGTTAGCAAAGTGTGTCTTGAATAATTGGATTGCCAGCTTCAGCGTGTGGACAATGCACACTACAATCCAGCCAGCCCCCAGGAGTGACCCACACAATAATGGAAATCCCACAAACCCAGATGGACAAGAAGTCCAGGCCCCCTCCCTGGGAAATCTCTCCCTTGAAACAGACAAAAGTAGCAATCTGAGTACTTACTCCAGCCTCAAGGGCCATCCTTGTATTCCCAGCTTCCTGCTGGAAACAGAACCCAGACAGTGCCTGTGACCAACATTGCTAGACACACCTCCACACACACACTTTTTTTAGTATAACAGAGCGGTAACAGACACATACCTTGACTGCATCTTTAGGCTCCCTTTCAGTTAAGTGTGGGCATAAAGCTAGTTTTCATCAATGGAATGCAAATGGAAGTCATGTGCACTACTTTGGGGCCAGGATTTAAGAAACAGGTGTTCCTCCTTCATTCTTTTTTATCCCCTTCTACCTGAATGCAATGTCTCTGAGGACCTAGATAAATGGTGCTCCGGCTTCTGAGTCACTGCCCAGAGGAGAGACACCTGCTGACCACAAACAGTGCCCTTAGACTGCTGTGTGAGCAAGAAATAAAATTCCATCGCATTTGAGCCATTATACAATTTGGGGTCTAATTTGTTGCAGCAGCTTCACTTAAAATAACTAGGACTGTATCTCTTCAGGCAGAAGTATTATACAACTGCTACCTGAACAGTGTCACTGCCACTGGCTGTAGCCAAAGGGCAAGTTCTGACTATTCCCACCAGCCAGGCAACTATTGTTAAGTCTGTAGAGGCCTTGGGAGGTGGCATGGGAGACTTAAGTGGCCTCCATTATCTTCATCCATGTCCCCATGCTTTGATAGAGACTACAGATTTTTTTTTTTTTTTTTTTTGAGACAATGTCTTGCTCTGTCGCCCAGGCTGAAGTGCAGTAGCCTGATCTTGGCTCACTGCAACCTCCACCTCCTGGGTTCAAGCGATTCTCCTGCCTCAGCCTCCCCAGTGGCTGGGATTACAGGTGTGCACCACCACGCCCGGCTAATTCTTATATTTTTAGTAGAGACGGAGTTTTGCCATGTTGGCCAGGCTGGTCTCGAACTCCTGACCTCAGGTGACCCGCCCGTCTCAGGCTCCCAAAGTGCTGGGATTACAGGCATGAACCACCATACCCTTACAGTCGATTTCTTAATATAACATAAAGTGCTACTCAACACTCCCTCCCCCACCCTGACACACATACATACATGCAATACCCTCTAACAAGACGCCTGCCTCAAGTCCCTTTCATGTGGAAGTTCTAGACCCACCAATGTCACAACTGATAAGAAGTCTGGAGAAAAATTCTACTCACCATCACTGCCACCTGCATTGTGTCATCACTTTTGGTCACTTCGGAGTCATGCAGTGGTCATCACCTCACACTGACAGTGTGAACTAAGAATAGATCTCAGATCAGTCTGCAGGGATTCTGCCAGTGCAGGACAGCCAAGGTCCACCCCACCAAAACTGTGCTGTAGCTCCTTCCATTCATGCATATAGCCTTTTTCCAGAGGTATGAGCCTGACACCATGGACTCAGAAGCACCGGTCCCCTCTGACCACCCGATTCTATGCAAGGGTCTCACCCCTCAGGCAACCGCCTGGCCTTTCCTGCTGCAGGGCCTTATATCAGCCCACCTTTTCCACCCTAATAGCTTTCCATAACTTTGACTCTCAAGGAGGAAATTTCCCCAGGCCAAGTTTCTCTATCCAAAAAAAAAAAGTGTCGAGCGCTATAGCTCACGCCTATAATCCCAGCAGTTTGGGGGCCGATGTGGGTGGACTGCTTGAGCCCAAGCATATAAGACTAGACTGAGCAACATAGCAAGACCCCATCTCTACAAAAAAATGCAAACAATTAGCCAGGCAAGGTGGTGTATGTCTGTAGTCCCAGCTACCTGGGAGGTTGAGGTGGAGGGATCACATGAGCCTGGGAGGCTGACATTGCAGTCAGCCGAGATCATGCCACTGGACTCCAGCCTGGGCGACAAAGTGAGAGCCTGTCTCAAAAAATAAAAATCAATTAAAAAACAAAAAACACTAAATCCTCATTTCACATAGGACCAGGGTTCTGGAGAACAAGAATTTATCTACATGATAGTCCTCATAAAAACAGAAAAACTTTCATGACCCCAGACAAGGTGGTCTTTTCCCTGAGCCAAATATTATAATTCCTTTGACGAGTCCTTGAGAAATAAGAAAAAATGTAAAAGAAAGTACTCTGTGACTGCTTGAGCTCCCAGCAAACGTTGGTCGTCTTTGTGGCCACTGTGTGCAATCTCAAGTCCCCACACTGTCCTCACCTCACCTCGCAATGTGCCCAAAGACAGAAAACAATGAGGGATGGAGGAGAGAGCACGGGCTCCTTGGAGGAGGAATCCTTGCTGGACACGGAGCAGATGAGTAATCTGGGTGTGTGACAGGTGAGAAATCCAGCGAGGAAGAGAAGACGCATAAAGGCAGAATCAGAGAAGGAGGGTGGTCTACGAGGATGTGAGTCTGCCCAGAACTGAAGGTGTCCATATTTTGGGAAATAGTAAATAAACCATTTTTAAAAGTCAGAAGGAAAAGTTCATTGACTATTTAGAACATTAGGACTCAATGAATTCTGAGCAGGTGAGTATTCTGACATAAACACCAAGGAAGATAAATTTGGTATCAATGTAATTGGGAAGGACCAGGAAGAAGCTATGGGATAAATTTTGAAATGGGGAGGTGAGGGAATGAACTAGAGCAGTGAGAAGAAAACCTCAGAGAAAAGAATGTATGGTAAACATTTCCAGGGATTCAGTGACTGGCTGAATTCAGAGATTCATCCATTTCTAAAATTTGGCACTTGGATAACTAGCACAATAACTTGGCATCCATGGAAATTTGGAGAGGCGAGGCTGATTTGGAGAAGGGATTTTTTTTAGATATGTTGCATTTGAGCAATTAAAAAAAGATCCTAATACAAATGCCTGGTAAGCAGCTGAAGATATGGAACTGAGATTTGATTGAAAGAGCAAATACAGCTGTAGAATCAGGAGCTACTCCCATGGTGGTAATAAACAAGAAACAAAAATAAATGAACTTTCCACCCATTGGGCCAAATAGCTAATTGAATGACTAGAGAAAAGGTAAGAGAACGCATATTCAATCAAAAATCAGGACCAGGAACTGTCCTAGGCACTGGGAATGCAGAGCTTCATTTAGCCTCCAACAGAACAGACTGATCCTGGGGCAAAAAGTCTTTGTGCTGGTCCCGATGCCCAAATATAGATGAACTATTGGGCAATTACTCTCAGCTCAGGCATTTCTGCATCCCACACCTGGCTGAATTAGAGGAAGGATAACTCTTTTCTCTCAGAATTCACTTCCTCTGCAGACCTCATGTTTCCTGATCTTCATGAAATCTTATGAGAGATATTTTAGCTCTACATAGCCTCTGAAACAGGCATAATTACCCCCACCATCTTGCCCATTGTTCTCAAACATTGGAATTTATCCAATGTTATAACATCTCTTTTTTTTTAAGAGAATTACCTTTAAAAAAAAATGCCTTTCAGAGTATGCATTTAGAAGTTTCAAATAATTGTGCCGGGTGCAGTGGCTCACGCTTGTGAGCAGCGGGTGCGGTGGCACATGCCTCCCTGCATGTTGGGAGGCCGAGGCAGGCAGATCACCTGAGGTCAGGGGTTCAAGACCAGCCGGCCAACATGGTGAAACCCCATCTCTACCAAAAATACAAAAATTAGCTGGACATGGTGGCGCACGCCTGTAATCCCAGCTACTCGGGAGGCTGAGACTGGAGAATTGCTTGAACCCATGAGGCAGAGGTAGCAGTGAGCCAATATCAGGCCACTATACTCCAGCCTGGGTGAGAGAAGATGACTCCATCTAAAAAAAAAAAAAAAAAAAAGAAGTTTCAAATAATTGTAGATACATATGGTCCAGCTCACACATCTCCCTCTATCTCTGTCTCTGTGTTCTCTCTCTCTCTCTCTCTCTCTCTCTCTCTCTCTCTCTCTGGGGTGGAGGGCGGGGGACTCCCACTGAGCAGTTTCTTGTTAGGAACCAATTGACCTAACGTCCTTCCCTACCGGAGGTAGAGGCTGACAAGTCAGAAAATTGTGAGAGCTTGGCCTTTGGCCTCCAAGTGTCCAAAAAAAAAAGAAAGAAAGAATGAAGAAAAGCACTCAGGCTCCATATGTTCCAGACTACAAAGTTTATCTTTTTTAATTAATATTTCTCTTTGTCCCAGGAGATGGAAAGGGCTGATAATATAATTACATGAATGCTTTTTATTTTAGTGATGCTTCTGTTATAGAAAAGTTGCTTTTTTTTCTCAAGTTTGGACTCAGGTTTACCATGTGGTCAGCACTCTGTAGTCAGCCTCTAGAGTCCTTCACTCTCTTTTCACTCGTTACAGAAAGCAAGGAAATGTTGGTCATTGCTGTGGCATTAACACCTTGAGAACTTCCTGGCCCTGGCACTAGCACTCACATATAAAGAGAGCCGTAGCTCGTGCATATTTTGATTCTCTATTTTAAAGAAAACGGGTAAAAAAAAAAAGGTTCGAAAAACAGGAAAACGAGTCCTTGAGTTTTTCTTTTCTCATAAGAGTTCCCCAGGCTTTTCAAAAGAACATTATTAATATATCCTCAGTGGAGCCCTTAGTGATCTGCAATGACTTCAGTTAAGAAAATGTGTTTTTCCATGACCAACCACAATTTTTTTTTTTTTTTTTTTTGAGACAAGAGTCTCACGCTGTCACCCAGGCTGGAGTGCAATGGCATGTTCTCAGCTCATTGCAACCTCCACCTCCCAGGTTCAAGTGATTGTCCTGCCTCAGCCTCCCAAGTAGCTGGGATTACAGATGTGCACTACCACACCTGGCTAATTTTTGTATTTTTAGTAGAGACAGGGTTTCACTATGTCGGCCAAGCTGGTCTCAAACTCCCGACCTCAGGTGATCCACCTGCCTCAGCCTTCCAAAGTGGTGGGATTACAGGCGTGGGCCACCGTGCCCTGCCCCAACCATAATTTTGAGTTTGCTTACGTGTGGAATGAGAGGCCTTGATAATCATTGTCGTGAATATATATTTGGCCAAGGTGACTTTCTCTTGAATATAATTTTTAGAGCAGGAAGTGACCAAGAAAGAATGTATGTAAGACCCTGAAAACAAAATTTGCTCTTTATTCAGTGTGACTTTGTCCATTCAGAGAAATACGGTCTTCTTTCAGAACAGCGTTTTCCTCCTAGAGGCTGAGACCAAGAGTGATTAGGAGGCATTCAATCTTGTGTCCTACAACACTGCTACTCAGTCCATTCACAAATTATAACTGGTCTGTGATCAGAAACTAAGAGAGAGTGACTACAAACTTTTATCAGAATTTGACATTGACACGACATCCAAGCGCGTGATCAGTAACTTAATTGTTTCTTGAACCAAGATAGAGGCCAGCTTGAACGTGAACATCATCTGTCTCATGATGAGTGGCATGTGGTGTGAGCCACACAGTGATATTGGACTGTGATGGATGGGAAAATTTTTTAAATAATAAAACAAATAAAAAGGAAAACTAGTTTTCACCACAGATAGTTTGAGAAGCACTGGCCTGCAAAGCTATTGGTTAGATGTCCACACTATGATACAGTTTGGGGCTTCCAGAATTTCAAAATATCTGATTTAAAGTTTTCAAGAAGTTTGAAAACAAAAACAACTGAATGAAATATTTATTTTCAGGGAAACTGAAAAGATGAAATTTTAAAGCAAAAGAGTGAAAAGAGATTCTGAGTTGTTCCCATGTTTTCTTCATCTGCGGAAATGTTTAGGGCATATACACTTTTATGTTACATTGCATGTAAAATAAGTTATATGCAGGGCAAAACAATGGCAACCTTGTTTATAATAGCAAAAGACTGGAAACAACCTGACTGCCATCAATAAATGGCTGATTAAACCAAGTGTGACACCTTCATGCAATAAAGTATTTTGCAGTTGTTAGAAAGATCGAGACATATTCTACCTGTTCAGATATGGCAAGATCTCCAATATATAGTAAGCTTTTTAAAAGGCACGGTGCAGAACAATATACATGATATGATACCATTTGTGTAACAGTAACAACACAAACAAGTGTGTTGGCTTTTAGATGCATGAATTACTTTGGGAAGGCTACAGTAGTTGCCTCCAATTACTAGGTTCCTGATAGATAAAGAAAGCAAATTTGTCTTACCTTTCACCTTTGCTCTTTTATATTATGTGTAAGTGGTATCTATTCCCAACAATATATTAAAAGTAATAATTTAAAATATCAAAAACAAAAATGAAAAATAAATTATTCATGTTCAATCATACCCATAAACTGAAACAACATCTGCCTTTAAATCTTCATGCAGGGTCTGGCACAGTGCCCTACATTCAATATTTGTTCAGTTGTTGAACTGAAAGTAATAGCTCATACAGAATTTAACAAGATGCCTTTCTAACCCCCCCCACAAAAAGGATTATTCAATATTTATCATTTAAATTTGATATGTTTTCAAAGAATCAAATCATTTTAGTCAAAATGGACCAACTACATTATGGAAACAGATGAAACTGCTAAAGGTGCTGAAAGACTGTAGAATCAACTTCAGAATCAAATACTTTCTGCAAAAGGATAACTCACCTTTATAGATATAACCAGTAAATTAAGAAAATTTTAAGCCCGGGCGCAGTAGCTACTGCCTGTAATCCCAGTACTTTAAGAGACTGAGGCAGGAGGATCACTTGAAGTCAGGAGTTCAAGACCAGCCTGGCCAACATGGTGAAACCCCGTCTCTACTAAAAATGCTAAAATTAGCCGGGCATGGTAGCGTGCACGTGTAATCTCAGCTACACAGGAGGCTGAGGCAGGAGAATCACTTAAACCGAGGAGCAGAGGTTGAAGTGAGCCGAGATTGCACCACTGCACTCCAGCCTGGGTGACAGAGTGAGACTCTGTCTCAAAAAAAAAAAAAAAGAAAAGAAAAGAAAAGAAAAGTATACACCTAAAATTATATGTATGTGACCAGGGAATACAGGTATTAGATGTCATCCATGGGCTGCTCATTCATTTTTCATTAATTTGACATAAATCCATGGATTTCCATGTTTGTTCAGATACTATTGGAGAAAATAACATTGTATTGGCTGAAAAGGTAATAGTAGGAAATAAAGGGAATATTTGGAAATCAGGTTTTAGGAACCGCCTAAGGGAAGTATAGGACTATACTATTTAGAATATAGCACATGGAAAATAACAATGAAGCTGTTTTAGGTAACATAATAAATATTCACCTGATCTTATTTCTCTATCCTTTTCTGCCAGGTACAGGCACATCTTAGTTACATAATAAACTATTGTGATCTCGGCTATATTTGTGTTAGTTCTTTGGTGTTAATTCCAGTCAGTCTTCTCACATCCCTGAAACAAGCTCATATTCTCATTAGACATTCTCTGGATTTTTCTAAAAGGTTCAATTTTTCTCCCAGCTAAATCATTTGTTTATCCAGACGTTCCATTTAGGGAACAGTAAAAGTGTCCAACAAAAGTCTTCATGCAATTCTCGACCCCCACCCCAAATACAAATGTGTGGCTACAGGTCATTCAATTTCCTTAATAAGGAAATAACATCAGGTCACTCTAAAAAGAAGGAAGTGAGGGGTTATTTTAACTTAGTAATTACTCCTCTTCGCATAAAGACAAGATTTTAAAACATGGGAACTAACCCTAAGCACATGATGCCAACCTCAGCAAAAATACTTCAGGAAAAGCTCAACGTTTTAAAAGAAAAATTCACTCTTTATTTAAGGAAACTCACTGTACCCTCACATTCTCTTCCGGGGAGCCCTTCCAACAAAGCTGAATCTTGCTCTTGCTCCAGGAGCTCATGGATTGCATCATCTGCCAGCAAAATATATATTAATCTGTCCAGGCCTCCCAACTCCAAGGAACACAGGGAAGTGACAAAGATAAGGAAGAAAGAGCTTATTTAAAAAAAAAAAAAAATCCCAAAGGTTTATAGGCATACAATCCATTCATAATACTTTAAAGAGAAAACTATACCCCAGGAAAAGGGTTTTTGCCTCCTCCATTTCTCACATGTCCTTCCTGTAGCTCAGCCTTTTGAATGCTCTTAATGAATGATCATTTTAACTTGATTTCACTTAAATAAAAATACCTGTTACAGTTGGCCCTCCATATTCATGGGTTCTATATTTGTGTATTCTACCAACTGAGGATCAAAATTTTTTTTAGTAAACGGATAGTTGCATCTGTACTGAACATGTACAGACTTTTTTCTTGTCATTATTCCCTAAACAATACAACTATTTACATAGCATTTACATTGTATTTGATATTATGAGTAATCTAGAGATGATTTAAAGCATAAAAAAGGATACGTGTAGGTTACATGCAAATACTACACAATTTTATATAAGGAACTTGAGCATTCATGGATTTCGGTATTTGTGGGGGCTCCTGGAACCAATTCCCCATAGATACCAAGGGATGACTGTATATCAGTTAGCTACTTCTGTGTAACGAACTATCCTAAAAAATCAAGTGGCTTAAAACTATCCCCCAAAATTCAGTTACTTAAAATAGCACTTGTTATTTCTCATGAATCTTTTGCTCAGCTGGCCAGCTGATCTTGGCTCATGCATCTGTGGTCATCTGTGGGTCAAAGGGTCATCTGTGGTCACATATGTGGGTCATCTGTGGGTCAAAGGGGCTGGCTGGTTTAGGCTGGCTGGTTTAGGATTACTTGACTCTTTTCAATGTGTCAGTCATTTTCAATGTGACTTCACATTTTCACTGTGTCAGTCACTTGACATTTTCAATGTGTCAGTCATTTTCCCCCAGCATGCTATTTCAAGGTATTTTTTATGGCAGCAGCAGGGCCCAAGAAAGGAAAAAGAAGTGCCCAAGTGCTTCTTCAAGTCTCTAGTTGTATCAAGTTTGTTTTATCCCATTGGCAAAAGTCACATTGCCAAGCCTAGAGTCAGTGTGGAAGGCCACTAGCAAAGGGCTTGGATACAGGGAGGTGTGGATACAGGGAGGATCCATCAGTGCAATCAATCTGTCATTCCAGAAGGCAACACAGGGTGGTATCTTAGAAAGCCCCCCAAAATGACCCCAGCCTGCAGGCCAGCAGGTGAAAATAAGGAATAAGGACCAGCCTGGTTGAGGTGTGGCATGACTGGCTGGGGTATAGGAGAGACGATCTCCTTTCATGCCACGCCTGGCGGTTGGAGTGCAGGAGCATGACTCTTCCACCCAGAAGTTGGAGAAAGATGACCACTGCTCAACTTAGGAAGTAGTCACCCAAATGGGGAGGAAAAATACACCCTGAGGGAAGAGAGACAAAATGTTCAAGTTGGGAAGAGAACAAGAAGGATGGCTTTGATATAATGTGCCGAAATCCAAATTCCTCCTGGTCCAGGGCCTAGGACACCTGTCAAGTTTCCAAAGTTGAGGGTGGCTATAATGAGTTGAGTAAAAGCTTTATCTCTAGAATCTACACCATGAAAGGTACAGAGAAGTTATGCTTAATGAGGAAGTCATAGCGTCCCAAGGTCAGGGAAAGCTTTTCCCTGGTGATGACCAGGGCAGGATAGAGAAGTTGCTGCAGTGAACGAAAGAAGAGAACAAGGCACCATGATAGGTGCAC
Source organism: Homo sapiens (assembly GCF_000001405.40). NCBI lineage: Eukaryota > Metazoa > Chordata > Mammalia > Primates > Hominidae > Homo > Homo sapiens. The sequence goes on along the minus strand of NC_000009.12, from coordinate 84,437,652 downwards.
CCTGACCAGCATAACGATAGCACAGTGGAGAGGAAGGATAGGAGGTAGCCAAGAGGAATGGTTGTGAGCACACATGAGATGCTCTGTAGGTTCCCTAAATGATGCAAAGGCATTTGGGGCTGGGGTTTTAGTAAGTGAGGTGGTGGGTAATGAATGAACTACAACAGTGCTTCTCAAACTACCTGTAGGGAAGGATGAGTTTCTTATACTTGCAAACTGTTGTAGACTCAGACTTTTGTAAATACTACAAATTATCAAAAAAATAAACATTATTTTATTTATTTTTTGAGATGGAGTTTAGCTGTGTCACCCAGGCTGGAGTACAGTGGTGCAATCTTTGCTCACTGCAACCTCCGCCTCCCAGTTTCAAGCGATTCTCATGCTTCAGCTTCCCGAGTAGCTGTGACTACAGGCATGCACCACCACGCCTGGCTAATTTTTTGTATTTTTAGTAGAGATGGGGTTTCACCATGTTGGCCAGGCTGGTCTCGAACTCCTGACCTCAGGTGATCTGCCTGCCTTGGCCTTCCAAAGTGCCAGGAGTATAGACATGAGCCACCATGCCTGGCCCAACAAAATAAACTTCAGAAAAGGCACAAATACAAACAAAATACAAGACCAGCTATTTTATTACTAGATTCAACACACATAAAATTACTCTGCCAAATTTCAAAGTTTCAAGTGCTGCCTCTCCATCTCAGTGCTAATGTCATTGGAGACTGGTAACCAACAATCTGCCAGCTGGCTCGGGTCTGTGTTCCACACTTAGAGTAGCAAGGAGTTAGACAGCTGTCAGGCTTTTCTTTGCTGGTATGAAAACAATAACTACCAGGTTTGAGTGTCTACTGTGTTCCAAGCTCTGTGCTCAGAACTTCCCATATTTTATCTTTATTCTCTCAACGTTATTGTCCCCATTTTAAAAATAAGGGAACCAAAGCCAGTGAGGCTAGGAACTGTACAGCTGCTGTCAGTGACCAAAGTAGGGTTCTCTTTTGTTGATGGCCTGATTTTTGGGGCTTGGATAAACACAGATATAGATAGAAGCACTTACAGTACTCTCCACTCTCCAAGATTCAAGTAAGTGTAGGAGGTGCCCAGAAAAACCTCCAAAATAGCTGATTATAAATTGCCTTTGATATTAGCTTGTCTCTGCTGCTGCTATTTTTTTCCGCCCTAAATACAGAGACTTGGGAAGTTTTGCCAGATTTCTTACAGCGATCAGCTCAGTACTGAGAAGCTCGTCTGCACTTACTCTTCACTGTAGTTTGCCTCATAAGTGCATGTGAAAGCCCTTGTGCCCCCCGACTTCAAGTGTTCTGGCTAGAATTTGCTTTGTGATCTTTGAACCAGGTGGGATTAGACAAAATTATCGTGTTAGGGCTTCACCACTGTGACAGGCTGCTGACTGTGATTCTAGGTTTAGTGGAGGTTTTGTGTTGTGCTGGGCTGAGTTCGGTTGTGCTGTGCTGCGTGTGTTTTGCTTTCATTTGTCTACTCAGCTAAATTAGAGTGAGTTAAGCCTGAACTATTCATCTCGCCTTATCTACAAATTCAAGTTCCAGGATGCTGGGAAAACTTACCCAGAGGATGTCGGGCCTTGGACTTCCCAGAACAGTGGACAGCAGTGTTCCCTCCCAACCTGCCCGCTAAAGCACTCATATGAGAAGAGGGTCTTGGCACCAAGCCATGGAACATAGTTTTCAGGGCTAGAGCCCAACACAATCAGGAGATGAGGAAGGGAGGTTGGGGACCTCCACTGGTGATTGTCTGGGTTGGCATGAACAAGAGAGGAGATGGTTCCATGTCCACTGTGAAGCCCTTCACAACGCCCCATACCGAGTGGGCCCTCCCTCCCTTGTGTTATTGCCACAGCTTTGATGTTGTCACCTGCCTCCCTTGTGTTATTGCCACAGCCTTGATGTTGTCATGCAGTTCTTCTCCTAGAATAGGGCACTGATGCATTTACATCTCACTATGACCTGAATGTTTGTGTCCCCCCCAAATTCCTATGTTGAAATCCTTTCCTCCAAGGTGATGGTATTAGGCAGTGGGGACTTTGGGATGTGCTGAGGTCATAAGGGTGGAGCCCTCATGAATGGGATTAGTGCCCTTATAAAAAAGACCCAAGAGGGAGGCTCTCTCTTTTTCTCCAACGAGGACACAGCAAGAAGTCATTGTCTATGAGCCAGAAAGTGGGCCCTCACCAGACACCAAACCTGCCAGTGCCCTGACCTTGGACTTCCCAGACTCCAGAACTAGGAGAAATAAAGCTCTATTGTTTATAAGCCACCTGGGTCTGTGGTATTTTGCTATAGCAACCTGAACAGACTAAGACATACACTCAACTCTCACGGGTATCTTTTCTGACCAGAGACTTCTTACTGTTTTATATCCAGTAAAATGCCTGGTCAACCACAGGCACTGAAGAAGTAGACAAAAGTGAACCCATGCTAGCTGTATCCTAGGAACATCAACCAGGGAGGTCTTCTCATGAGCAAAACAGGCAAAAGTGCTACAGAAATCTAGACTGCATTTTAAGATTAAAAAGTAGAAATCAAAGGTTTAGAAAACATCTGAGCTCTACAGGTCAAAGCAATCTTGTCCCTGGAGTTCTTTTATGAACTCCACAAAATAAACCACCATAATGAATTGAAAGAAAGAGAGAGAGAGAAAGGAAAGGAAAGGAAAGGAAGGAAGGAAGGAAGGAGAAGGGAAGTGAAGGGAAAGGAAGGGAGAAAGAAAAGAAGAGAAAAGAAAAGAGGGAGTCCCTGTCAATGTGATTGTCAAGAATCAAGCCTACTTAGAAATGGGAAATGTGTGCTTGCCATCACCAAGAGCCAGCTGGGCTAAACACAATCAGTCTGCTTTCAAGAACCATGCCATTCTCCATTCAATTTAAAACAGTTTTTAAAATTCTGGGCCCACAAAGAAGATTAAATTCACATATAAACACAAAATCTCACCACACCTTGCAAGATTTAAAATTTAAGTAAACAAACTATTTTCAGATAAAGATAGCCACTTAGGCAATGAGAAACAAATGCTTTTCAAAATCACAAAAGGTTTTAGCCTAGGACTGGTCACCCACCTACTCTATCCCCATAACTTCCTGCCCAATAACTTCAGGCATGGACTTGATTCTGGGGCTGGCTTCTGTGATAAAGAAACAAAGAGGAAATGTGGAAACCCAAGCCCCATTAGGAATGGTGTCCAATAGGGATGCTGGTCAGCTTAATACTTACTGTCAACGTGGGGGCTGAGTTGAGAGCGTAGAGAATCCTTGAGTTATAGTGAACAACTTTGGAGATATCTTCCTAGCATTTACCTGTATCTGCTGAGAATTAAGACTCCCACAGATGAACCCCATAGCTACATTAGGACCATCTGACTCTGCCACCAGCCATAGGTAATGGCCTCAGGGCTGGGGACCTGGCCCAAGCTGGGTCAATCAAGTTTCTCTCCCAGAAATCTGAAACTGGAACCCAGATTGCATGGCTAAGATCTTCTTGGTAAATTTTATTTTCTGCTTAAGCCAATTTTAAGTGGGTCTGACACAAAGAAAACTTGACCAAGTCTGGAGTTCATCAACAAATCCAGGAGTGTGTTCAAGGAGCAAAAACCCAATAGGCTTTTCATCATGGTGAGTGTGTTCAGATTGTTTTGCTGGAGAAGGAAGAGATCCTAACATCTAAAATTTTTAGCAGAAAATTATTTCTCCATTACTTTAAAAGGGCTGAGTTAACAGCACTACACAGCAAACTTCCTCCAACAAGAGTCTTAAGAGCAACACCAGGCCAGGCGCAGTGGCTCACGCCTGTAATCCCAGCACTTTGGGAGGCCGAGGTGGGTGGATCACCTGAGCTCAGGAGTTCCAGATTAGCCTGGCCAACTTGGGGAAACCCCATCTCTACTAAAAATACAAAAAAATTAGCTGGGTGTGGTGGCGCATGCCTGTAATCCCAGCTACTCGGGAGACTGAGGCATGAGAATTGCTTGAACCTGGGAGGCAGAGGTTGCAGTGAGCCGAGAATATGCCACTGCACTCCTAGGTGACAGAGTGAGACACCGTCTCCAAAAAAAAAAAAAAAAAAAAAAGAGCAATACCAGTTATCTGTATGTTTAAGTCCAAATTTTACCAAAATATATCTGAAGTACCCAAAATAGGTACTATATTTTTTTTCTTAACCTTAAGCTAGAGTCATATGAGTAATCTTTCATTGGACTTACCAAAACATATTGTTTGGACTTTTTCATTATTATTTCCGGACACACCATTTTATTGTGATGGAGAAAACTTTGAACCTACTTGTAATTCCAGTGTGTCTCATATCAGATGAGAAAAGGCAAGTATAAACTGAGCAGCAGTGCAGTGTGTATTAATATTTCAATATGGTTTAGCTTTAGTCTTACATATCTGGGTAAGAGGTGGGTCTTAATGGTCTCCATTTACCTGTTTGATGAGGTAAACTGCAACCTGAAATGTGTATCTATAAAAATGCTAAGTGTCTTTTTTGATCTCAATCTGCTTTTTGTTTTTCTTGTTGCTTTCTTTCCTGGACACTTGTGTTTCTGCTAGGATAGATTTGATTCGATGCTTCCTTTCACCTTCCACTCACATGGTCTCTTCTAAGTGATGGCCACTCTGACCACTTTTAGAGTCAAGATGAACTCAATCTTTCCAAGAGACCTCAGCTAAAAGTATGGATCTCTTAGGTCAGCAAAAATTCATTCTTCCTCAAACTCCATGTGGCTCTGCCCCATTAAGCCTTTACTAGGCCAACTAGAGATTGTATTCTTAACATCCCTAAGCATAATACAGACATCAAAAGTGAGAGGAAATTGATATTGACTCTTCCTATTCTAGTTTCTAAAATATCCCTTAGATTGCAAAGACCCAAGCAGAGGCTGGCTTCCATTCTAAAGATGACCAAATACAGTTAGTCCTAAAAATTAACATTATACCATAAGTATCATCTTTGTGCAGGGCTGCTACAGACCTGTGCCTTGAAGTGCAAATTAGAAAAAGTATTTTTGTGCAAATTATAAAAGATGCCACTATAGACAGCCACTGCCTTCAGGGGCTGAGCTTGGCAAGTGGCCTAAAGCCAACTCCAACTCCCACTCACCCTCTCAGCCACATTATGAAGGGAACAAATAGTACAACCATAGGCTTTGACTCTTTTGTTGTGGTTCAGAAGCTATCTTTACATATATTTTCAGCTATGCACTTAAGAGGTAGTGTAATAAAAGTGTACAATTGCTGCTAACTTATGAACTTCAGAAATTTTAAAAGTTACACACTTTTGAGATTGTTGGTTTTAAAGTTTTTTCCCAATAGACGCTTTTGCATAAACATAGAAGGGAAATGAGCAAGAAACTATATTTTAAGTAGTTCTCTTTCATGGGGAGGATATATATACACAAAGCAAAATGCATAATGTGTACTAATCCTAAGTTTACACTTTAGTAATTTTTTTTAACATGGGTATACACTCCATACCAGCTCTGTTCAAGATACAGGATATTTCTAGCACCTCACAAGGTTTCCTCTTGACACTGACCAAGAAATCATCCCTTTCCAAGGCAATCACCTGACTTTCACCAATTCTGATTCATGTTATGGGCCCTTGGACTTAAATAGAACCATGCCATCTCTACTCTTTTGTGCCTGACTTCTTCTGCTCAGCACAGTATCAATGAGGTTCTTCCACACTGTAGCATGTATCAGTAGTTGGTCTTTTTTGTTGCTATATAAAATTCCATCATATGATTATACCACAATATATTAATTCTCCTCTTAATGTACATTTGGGCTGTTTCTAATTTGGAGCTATTATGCATATAAATTCAGTGCTTCCTTCTAGTTCAATGAACAGAAGTTTATATTTTTACTCTATGTTATTCCACAAAGGAGTTTGTTTACACAATAAAATAATAGTGGAGAAACACAGTGAATTAAAGTAAGGATAAAATAGCATGCCTGGGCAGATAAGAATAATATGCAAACTCTCAGGTCTTTATAGTTCCATAATCAGGTTTCACTTAGACTCTGAGCTTCCTGGAAGCCAAAATACAAAGAGATATATGGTGAGTTATAGAATTTTTGTAATAGAATTAAAAAATCAGTTAGTCAGGGGAAGCAAATTTTCTGTTGGCACTAAGTTTCAAAAAAAGTTATTCAGCCAGGTGCGGTGGCTCATGCCTGTAATCCCAGCACTTTGGGAGGCCGAGGCAGGTGGATCCCCTGAGGTAAGGAGTTTGAGACCAGCCTGGCCAACATGATGAAACACCATCTCTATTAAAAATACAAAAAAAAAAGAAAAATTAGCTGGGCATGGTGGTGCATGCCTGTAATCCCAGCTACTCGGGAGGCTGAGACAGGAGAATCACTTGAACCTGGGAGGCAGAGGTTGCCATGAGCCAAGATCGCACCACTTCACTCCAGCCTGGGCCACAAGAGCGAAGCTCCATCTCAAAAAAAAAAAAAAAAAGTTCACCTTTATGGTAGGAATTAGGAATTATTAAGAGAGGGAATCAATAATGCTCTCAAGGCAAGCTCTACAAGAAATATATTGGGCCAGGCATAGTGGCTCACGCCCTTGGGAGGCCAAGCACTTTGGGAGGCTGAGGCATTTGGGAGGTCAAGGCGGGTGGATCACTCGAGGTCAGGAGTTCGAGACCAGCCTGGCCAACATGGTAAAACCCTGTCTCTACTAACAATACAAAAATTAGCCAGGCGTGGTGGCAGACACCTGTAAGTCCAGCTGCTTGGGAGGCTGAGGCAGGAGAATCACTTGAATCTGGTAGGCAGAGCTTGCAGTGAGCTGAAGTCACATCATTGCACTCCAGCCTGGGTGACAAGAGTGAAACTCTGTCTCAAAATAATAAGAAACTTTTAGATATCATTTTCATCTAGTGCCCATAAGAGTTGATACCAACCCAGTAGGTTATAAAATAGTATCATAGTCAGTGGTTTTGAATGTGGGTGTGTACTTTTAAGGAGAAAAAAGTATATTAGAATATCACATACCCTAAGCCAGGGGTCGCCAAACTACAGCCCACTGACCAAACGTGACCTACCACTTGTTTTTGTTTTTCTGAGACAGGATCTCACTCTGTCACCCAGGCTTGAATGCAGTGGCACAATCAAGGCTCACTGCAGCCTCGGCCTCCTGGGCTCAAGGGATTCACCCACCTCAACCTCCCAAGTAGCTGGGACTAAAGGTGCGCACCACCACACCCAGCTAACTTTTGTATTATTTTGTAGAGATGGGGTTTTGCCATGTTGCCCAGGCTGGTCTCAAACTCCCGGCCTCAAATGATCCACCCACCTCAGCCTCCCAAAGTGCTGGCCACCCCGTTTTTATAAATGGCTTTGTTGGAACACAGCTACACCCATTCATTTACATACTATCTGTGGGTGCTTTCCTGTTACAATAGCAGAGCCCAACAGTTGCAACAAAGACCATCTGGTCCACAAAGCCTGACATATTTACTATCCAACCCCTTACAAAAAGAGTTTGCCAACTCCTGCCCTAAATTAGTAGTAGGATAGAATTTCGGATATTATTTGCTTCTTGGTTATTGCTAATGCCTTTGTGTAGTCTCCACCCCTTCAGTACAAGTAGGACCTGTGACTGACATCTACACAACAGAATATAGGAAAAGTAAAAGGATTTTGCAGGTATAATTAAGGTCCCACATCAGTGATTTTTATTTAATCAAAAGAATGTGGAAGGCTGAGGTGGGAGGATCGCTTGAGCTCAGGAGCTTGAGACCAGCCAGGACAACATAGAGGGACCTTGTGTCCACTAAAAATCACAAAACAAGACAAAAATCAGCCAAGTGTGGTGGCAAGCGCCCACAGTCCCAGCTTCTTGGGAGACTGGAGCAGGAGGATCACTTGAGCCCAGGAGTTTGAGGCTGCAGTGAGCTATGATCGTGCCACTGCCCTCCAGCCTCAGTGACAGATCAAGACTCTGTCTCAAAAAAAAAAAAAAAGAGTGATTATCCTGGTTGGGCCTGACTTAATCAAGTGAAAGTTCTTAAAAGAGAGACTGGACCTTGCCTGACGTCGGAGACTTCTCTCCCTTGTTAGCTGGAAGAAGCAAGCTGTGTGTTGTGATGGGGTCTATTGAGAGGGCTGTGTGGTGGGAACTATGAGTAGCTTCTGAATTCTGCCAACAGCCAGGTGAGCTTAAAGGAGGACCCCATGCCTTGAATGAGACTGCAGCTCTGGCCAACACCTTGATCACTGCTTTCTGAGACCCTGAAGCAGACACTCCACTAAGCTGTGCCTGGACTCCTGGCCCATGGAAACTGTGAGATAAGAAATGTGTGTCATTTTTTGTGGGTTTTTTTCCCCCTTTATTAGAGGAAGTCCCACTCTGTCACGCAGGCTGGAGTGCAGTGGTGCAATCTTGGCTCACTGCAACCTCCACCTCCCAGGTTCAAGCAATTCTCCTGTCTCAGATTCCTGAGTAGCTGGGACTACAGGCACACACCACCAGGCCCAGCTAATTGCGTGTGTGTGTGTGTGTGTGTGTGTGTGTGTGTGCACGCGTGTGTATTTTCAGTAGAGACAGAGTTTTACCATATTGGTCAGGCTGGTCTCGAACTCCTGATCTCAAGTGATCCACCCACCTCAGCCTCACAAAGTACTGGAATTACAGGTGTAAGCCACCACGTCCAGCCAAAATGTGTGTACTTTTAACCCACTAAGTTTAAGTTACTTGTTATGTAGCAACAGAAAGCTAATAGAGGCCGGGCACGGTGGCTCACACCTGTAATCCCAGCACTTTGGGAGGCTGAGGCAGACAGATCACCTGGGGTCAGGAGTTCGAAATCATCATGGCCAACATGGCAAAACTGTGTCTCTACTAAAACTATGAAAATCAGCTGGGAGTGGTGGTGGGTGCGTGTAATTCCAGCTACTTGGGAGGCTGAGGCAGGAGAATCGCTTGAACCTGGGAGGCAGAGGTTGTGGTTAGCTGATATCGCATCACTGCACTCCAGCCCGGGCAACAGAACAAGACTCCATTTCAGAAAAAAAAAAGAGAGAGAGCGAGCTAATAGAGCCACCTAGTCTTCCCACTTTTTTCTACAATACACATATGGTTTAAACATGAGAAACTATCACAGTTTGTATAAAGAATTCTTAATTTTAAGAAAATTAACTGGGCATGGTGGCATGCACCTACAGTCCTAGTTACTTGGAAGGCTAAGGCAGGAGGATCACTTGAACCCAGGAATTCGAGGCTGAAGTGAGCTGTGATTGTGCTACTGCATTCCAGCCTGGGCAACAGAGCAAGACCTTGTCTCTTTGGAGGGGGGAAAAAATAGAATAAGAAGGAGAAGGAGATGAAGGGGAGAAAGAGGAGGGGGAGGAGGAGAAGATGAAGAGGAAGAGGAAGAAGGAGGAAGAAGAAGATGGAGGAGTAGAAGGAGGAGGAGAGGAAGAAGATTTTTTTTTAGAAGTGCACACTAGTTCGAACTAAGGTTCAAATGATGTGATGCCTGGAATTTGCTTCGAGATACTTGGCAGGGCATAATGGGACAGTATAGATGAGATGAACCATCACTGTTGAAACTAAATTCATGCATTTGTGGAGATTTGTTCCCTATTCCTTCTACTTTTGCATATGTTTGAAATTTTTCATAATAAAGGTTTTTAAAAATTACACTTGTACATACAGAATTAACTTTAAAAGATGTTTCTAGTTTCTTCTAGAGGAAAACTAAACAAGTTAAATGTCTAACATAGGGAGCTGGTTACACTAATCACTAAAGATGTACAATATGTTTATATGCATCTTTTGATTGCATAGAAAAATGATGCCATTAACATTTTTCTATGGTCATATTAATTTGATGTGCAAATAAAATACTTGTAAACAACAAAACACATTCACAAAACTTAGGGTTTTTTTGTTTGTTTAATTCAACTGAGTAAAGTCAGTCCCATCAGACAGTGATTAAATCCAGTCTAAGTGCCCTGGTGACTCCTCTTGATGGAAGGAGTGCAGTGGAGGTGTGTGCAGGAGGGGAGAGGCTATGAAGCCACCCAGTGATCCTCCCTGCCCTTCATCGACCCCTCAGCCTTCTGCTGGACAATAGGCTACTTTTAATCCACTTTAATGTTCTGTTAAGTCTCCAGATCCGCTTTGAACATACAGAGGTTGGGCAAGGAAGAGGGTGGAGCCAAGCAGGTAATTCAAAATCTTAGTGCATCTTAAATAAATATCATCATGATTCTCAAGAAAGATTCAGGCTGTGACCACCTTCAGGGACCTCCAGTTTTTACTGCAGCTCATATGGCCTTAGATTCTCATATTATCACCAAGAGATTTATTCATTTTCCTAAAAATCATAAATTCTCAGTACCAGCATCTATCTTCCTTGGTTCCTTTGTCAGTAAGATTAGAGGACAAGCTACATTCCACACCAAAGTGGCTCTAGGGTCCATTTCTTACAATCAAGATTTCAGATCACATTAGGGCAAAGTGTTCAAAATCACAATGAGATACCACTACCTGCCTATCTAAAATTAAAAAGACTGACTATACCAAGTGTGGCACAAAGTATGACTAGAACTCTCGATACAAAGTTTGTCTACTACCTGGTACAACCACTTTGGAAAACTGTTTAGAAGTCCCTACTCAAATTCAGCACAATAAATCAATCAATGTAAAATAAAGTTGAGCACATGCCTTCCCTATAAGTCAGCAATTCCACTACAAGGTATATCTCTAACAGAAATACATGTATGTATTCATGGAAAGAGATGTTTTCATAGCAGCACTACTGTTTTCCAGAGACAGGGTCTCACTATGTTGCCCAGGCTGGAGTGTAAGGGCTATTCACATGTGTGATTATGGCACACTATAGCCTCAAAATGCTGGGCTCAAGAGATCCTCTTGCCTCAACCTCCTGACTAGCTGGGACTACAGGTGCACAATGTCATGCCTGGCCCACGGCACTATTTTTATTAGGCAAGACCAGAAACTTCCAAAATATCCATCAATAATAGACGAACAAATAATACTCATATAATGAAATTCAATGCAGAAATGTGAATGAAGTACTGCTATAGGCAACAATATGGATGAATCTTATAAAAACTGTTGAGTAAAAGAAGCCAGTCATAAAAATAGTGTATTTCAATTTACATAAGATTAAAAACAGACAAAACTCATTAATGGTGTGAGAAGTCGGATTATGACTATTTTGGGGAAGAAGAAAGGGATAATGTTGGGGGCATTTGGGGGTACTCATGGAGATCTGTGTCTTTTTTTCTTTTTTTGAGACAGTCTCACTCTGTTGCCCAGGCTGGAGTGCAGTCGGACTATCTCAGCTTACTGCAACCTCCACCTCCCAAGTTCAAGCAATTCTCCTGTCTCAGCTTCCCGAGTAACTGGGATTACAGGCATAGACCACCACTCCCGGGTAATTTTTGTAATTTTAGTAGAGACGGGATTTTTACCATGTTGGCCAGGCTGGTCTTGAACTCCTGACCTCAAGTGACCAGCCTGCCTCAGATTCCCAAAGTGCTGGGATTACAGGCATGGGCCACCATGCCCAGCCAGATCTGTGTCTTTATCTGAGTGGTCATTACACAGTATTCACACTATGACCATTTATTGTGCTGTTTCACAGCTATAAAAAAAAAAAAACAAAAGATTTCCACTAAACAGTAATACTATCACATCATATTAGATCATTAATAACCGGCCAGGTGCAGTGGCTCACATCTGTAATCTCAGCATTTTGGGAGGCTGAGGCGGGTGGATCACTTGAGCCCAGGAGTTCAAGACCAGCCTGGCCAACATGGCAAGACCCCATCTCTACAAAAAATTAGCCATGTGTGGTGGCATCCACCTGTGATCCCAGCTACCAGGAAGGCCTAGGTAGGAGAATCGCTTGAGCCTGTGGAGTCAAGGCTGCAGTGAGCGGGAATCACACCACTGCCCTCCAGCCTGGGCAACACAGCAAGACCCTGTCTCAAAAAAAAAAAAATCACTAATAATCTTCAAATAACAAGGAGAAAAAGGAACTAACATTCTTAGGCACCAAATATGTTACCAGAGATGTGCTCTGTACCTTATACACGTTATCTTCAGTAATTCTCTCAGTAAATTTTCACAATAGCTATTAGTACTAAACCCATTTTATAAAAGCAGGATTTAAGACTCAGAGAACTTAAATAATTTGTCCTAGATTGCAAAGCTCTTAAATAGCAGAACTTAGGTTCAGATCTGGGATTGTTTTGCACCAAAAACCCAGAGTTGTTCCACCACACCCCACATAATTCCTTACATGGCCCTGGGCTATTAGTGCCTTTGACTTTTACCAATAAAACAACTTCATAAAACTTGCGCCCTCATAAATATCTCATATAAACTAAGTAGCCCAAGGTGATTTCTTAGGAATATTATTGCATTATGCTCTGTTGCCATTTACAACCCAGGAAATGTTCCAGAGCCTTTACTACTAAGACCCAAAAGCAGGGGTACAAGTTCCCTGATTGTCAAATAACATTTAATTGCCTATGTCAAATAACATTTAATTGCCTACGACAGCCAGAATACAACCAAACAACCTGCTAAGCAGCTCTTCTGCAAAGAGGCCTCTACCAAGGCCAAGTTACTCTTTTAAACCTTTTCTTACTCTAGCTGTTTTATTATTCATATACTTTTAATAGCATCTAAATGATTGTTGTATAGGCCTACTATAGCTTCAGTTAATGCTCAAGACATGACAAGTAGCTCCCTTTTAAATTTTTAACCAGAAAAAAAGTTTATGAAAAGCACATACGCTTCTGAAACAATACCACTCTGTATCCAAACAGAAATCCAGGCAGTTTTACAAGGCGGCCTGCAAGGTTTTACTAGGCCCCATCAGTATTTGACGCTCATTACAACTACAAAAACTGAAGCCTTGGTGACTATCTACAGCCAAGTAAGTGATGTTTTCTGACTTTAAAAGGCCATTTTCAGGCAGTATTATAAAAGAAGATGAAGAAAACACTGTCTTTTTCTCCTTTTAACTGGACAAGAAAACCACATGTGCAGTAGTTGGAGTGACACTAAATAGGACACTAAATGTCAACATTATGCAACTACTGAATACATCTACTTAAACTACCAAAGTTGATGCGCTTAGTTTAGAAAGAGCTAATGGCTTTTATTGAAGGGAAATGAGTTTTGTTAAATGTATCAACACTGCTAACACATTAATAATTGAACCATAAATCTTTCCCACTATTCCATTAGACATACTCTATCATACAGACAATGAGGAATTTAATGCTTCAGCTTTTACATGTAGGAACTAATAGCAGAATCCCTCCCAAATTAGATTGTTGGATTCCTGAAAAATCTTCCGGGTAGGACAATTCCTAGCTGTAGAACAGTAAGACCTTTTGAGAAAATCAAGATTGAGGGAATATGGTCCTGAGTGAATCTTTTATAAATATTTTTAAGTGTACTAATCTACAATGATAAAGCTAGCCAGCACATTGTAGTCAATAACATTTTTACATGTCTTGAATTAACAATAACGGCCTCTCTACAATTAATCTTCATTCCCTATCTCTTGGATCCATTGATATTTATTAAGTTCTCCTTTCTTCAAGTTTCAATAAGATTCACTGTGCTTGTTTGGAACAAGCACAGGCTAAGGCTAAGAGGCAGCTATAGGCTATAGGCTAAGAAAGTTTTTCCTGTCTTCAGTTTTCCAGCCCAGTACATTTTTACCATTCAGATTTTTTTTTTTTTTTTTTTGAGACAGTCTCACTCTGTCCGCCAGGCTGGAGTACAGTGGCAAGATAGCTCGCTGCAACCTCTGCCTCCCAGGTTCAAGCAATTCTCCTGCCTCAGCCTCCTGAGTAGCTGGGATTACAGGCATGTGCCACCACACCTGGCTAATTTTGTATTTTTAGTAGAGATAGGGTTTCACCATGTTGGCCAGGCTGGTCTCAAACTCCTGACCTCATGTGATCGGCCCACCTCAGCCTCCCAAAAACATTCAGATTTTACAGCTCAGAGCTGTGGCCATCCCAGTCCCCCAAAGAGCTACCTGCCTTGGTCTTAGAAATGCATGGATTTTTTTAATAGAAAACAATTAATTAATTTAATAGATTTAACAGATAACATTAATTGATTTATGCATCCAGATGAGTAGATTTTTTTTCATTTCTCTCCAGTCTCAGAAGTATCGGTCCAATGTCAATATACTCAATTCCCCTCCTGCCTCCTCACCATATCTTGATAGTCCACCTCAGGGATCAGACTCCCCTTTCCATTTCCTTCTGTCTCCTGCAAAAACTCTAGCTTTATCTGCTGTGATGCTCCCCCTAATGTGTAGCTTGGTGAGGCAGTAGTACCCAGTTATTCAATCAAACACTAACCTAGGTGTTGTCATAATTAATAGATTGTTTTGTAGATGTTAACCTCTGCAATCAGTTGACTTTAAGTAAAGATTACCCTCAATGATGTGGGTGGGCCTCATCTAATCAAGGAAGTCCTTAAGAGCAAAAAGTAAGGTTTCCCAGAAGAAGAAATTCTGCCTTAAGACTACAGCATGAATTTCTGCCTGAGCTTCTGACCTACTGGCCTGTCCTATAAATTTCAGGTTTTTTTTTTTTTTAGACAGAGTCTCACTTTGTCACCTAGGCTGGAGTGCAGTGATATTATCTTAGCTCACTGCAACCTCCGCCTCCCAGGTTTAAGCGATTCCTGCCTCAGCCTTCCGAGTAGCTGGGACTACAGGCGAGTGCCACCATGCCTGGCTAATTTTTTGTATTTTGGGTAAAGATGAGGTTTCACCATGTTGGCCAGGCTGGTCTTGAACTCCTGACCTCAAGTGATCCTCCTGCCTCAGCTTCCCAAGATGCTGGGATTACAGGAGTGAGTCACTGCGCCAGGCCGAAATTTCAGATTTTGAACTTGCCAGCCCCAAAAACTGCATGAGCCGAGGCCTGACTGATATACCAACCTTCCTACCTTCTCTATTCCTACTGCTGTTATTTATCTCAAAACAAAGAACTCATGAGAAGGGGAATCTCCCAGTTACTCCATAGTAAATTTTATATACCTGCTAATATTTCATGAAAGGGAAATTTTAAGTTGTGTAGATATTGCTATAATTTAACATCATTTCTTCCACTTTCAAGCTGGCTTACTATTTGAATAAATTGCCTCATTACTTGACTGGAAGCCAACATTGAGAAGACTTCATTCACTCAGTTGAGAAAAGGTGCCAATTCAACCAGAAACCTGTTTTCTCCCACCAGCATGAAACTGCTTTTGCAAAGATTAAGACAGTGAGAGAAGCCTAGCATGGCTTCCTCCATATTGCCTCTAGCCTCACAGGATGCCTGGCTTCTCATTCCTGGCTGTAAGTCAGGGAGGAATTTAGTTAATAGTTTAACTTTGAAGAAAGGATGATAATAGCCCCTCCCTAAAACTGATTCCTTCTGTGTTGGGGAGTGAAATTGTCCTTGTAAGACTAATGAAAAAACATAAGAAAATGTTTTTTGCTAAAATGTAGGCATAGTTTTGATAATTCCTTACTGCTCAGGAGTCATGTGGCCAGAGGTCACAAAATTTTTGACTTCCCCAGTTGCTCCTATAGATAACATCACTATTGTAGAACCTACGATTGGTCTTTTGAGATATTTTCAGACTGACCCAACCTGGATTCATGATTCATGACTCAACGGGTCCTGTGGTACCCACCCCCCAACCACCCCAAGGCAACCTCAGTGCACAAGGGCCATTTTCCACACCCCTATGATTGCATTCCCCAGCCAATCAGCAGCACCCATTCCCTAGTCCCATGCCCACCAAATCATCCCTGAAAAATCCTAACTTTCAATCCTTCAGGGAGACTGATTTGAGTGATAATGCCAGTTTTCCACATGGTCAACTTCAATGTCAATTAATCTCTTCTTTACTTCACTACCACAGTCTCAGTGAATTGGTTTTGTCTGTGCACCTGTCAGGACGAACCCATCAGATGATTACAAGAGTTGAGCACATCTGGGAAATTCAAATCAACTTCCTCAGTCCAAAGAACAGTGGGAACACACAGTCAGGCATGGGGATCACTTCCCACAAGAATGCCTATGTACCAAGCATATCTCCAGCTTGCCCTCAAAAATCTAGGTAACATATGGCTGTGCAAACAGAAGTTGTATTTTTCTAGCCTCTGAAGAAGAAAAAATTTATAGACTTTAGAAATCTAAACCCCTTCTAGGAAGTTAAAATATATCCTATAGGAATGAAAGAAAATATCTCAGAATTGTCATACTGCTTGTGATTCAAGAATTTTATCAAGTTTTCTATTTCTAAGAGTTATTTTCTTCAAAATGCATACAGCAGCTAATCTGAAGGGAAAGGACAATATAAAACTTTATCTTCAACAGAAAAATACCTACAAGTAATCATTATTACCATGTCATTTGGATGGGCGATTATTGATTTGAAAACCCACCAATAGGACTGTAAACTAGTTCAACCATTGTGGAAGTCAGTGTGGCGATTCCTCAGGGATTTAGAACTAGAAATACCATTTGACCCAGCCATCCCATTACTGGGTATATACCCAAAGGACTATAAATCATGCTGCTATAAAGACACATGCACACATATGTTTATTGCTGCACTATTCACAATAGCTAAGACTTGGAACCAACCCAAATGTCCAACCATGATAGACTGGATTAAGAAAATGTGGCACATATACACCATGGAATACTATGCAGCCATAAAAAATGAGTTCATGTCCTTTGTAGGGACATGGATGAAATTGGAAATCATCATTCTCAGTAAACTATCTCAAGGACAAAAGACCAAACACCCCATGTTCTCACTCATAGATGGGAATTGAACAATGAGAACACATGGACACAGGAAGGGGAACATCACACTCTGGGGACTGTTGTGGGGAGGGGGTAGGGCGGAGGGATAGCATTAGGAGATATGCCTAATGCTAAATGATGAGTTAATGGGTGCAGCACACCAGCATGGCACATGTATACATATGTAACTAACCTGCACGTTGTGCACATGTACCCTAAAACTTGAAGTATAATAATAATAAAATTAAAAAAAAAAAAAAAGAAAACCCACCAATAACAAATACGGTTAAGGAGACCACTCCACCCACCATGAAACTTGTCAGGACTTACAACCAGAAACTATCATTAGTACTCTTCATGAGAAGAGCCACCAGCCAACCCCAGTCAACCAAAGGATCCTTTGTAGAACTGGCCAGATCGAATACTGGTGCCACTGATCAATGAATAGTGAAAGGAAAATTTAAAATCCCTCCAGCCTCTTGTAAGAACGAAATATCACACAGAAACAGAGCAGAGGTGAAGGTCCCATAATCTTTCAGTCCCTGAGGAAAAGGGCATCCATACCAGTGACCACCCCTTTACCACTGCCTCACTCACATGCACACAAAACTTCAACACCATCTCACTTGAGACTCTTGACCTCTGCGGGGGCCCTTGATAGGTGAAGTTTCTTTGCCCAGTGCAGATGCACCCCTGATGGTAGGAAGAGGGCAGATGCTCAAACTGCCTCCTGTGACTATTGTGGATGCTACAGGAAAAGGAAGCCCAGGGCTCCAGCAGATGAAGTCTCAGGTCTCCTGCTGTATTTACCACCATCATTTGTCTTTGACTGGAAGAATCTCAATGAGGAGCAGCTTAAGAATCAAATGGGCTTGCACGGAGGATGAAGAAACTGCCATTTGGGAATTAAATGCAATTGGATTTTTGCAAAACCCTGAGCCTTCAGCAATACATGGAGAATGATTTATTGGAGTCATGACTATGAGTGAAACATTATGCTTGGTTATATAAACACAAATAAGCAAGCTCCCCAACCTCAGGGGGCTTATATTTGGCAGAGAAGGCTGACACATCCACAGCAAAAAGATGGTGGGGAAAATTTGCTTAATTGAGGAAAATGAGCCTGTAGAAACCCACAGGTGGAAACAATTTCAATAAGAAAAACTGAAATTAAATTTTGTTGGTTTCCCCCACAAACTCAAAAGGAAGGATAGGGGGCACTTGGAACTCAGGGAAGAAAAGAAATGGAAAGAAGTTACACAGAAGGGAGAATGAGCCCCTGCAATGTGGCAGCGGGCAGAGGCCCCAAGAAAAAGAGAAGACTGAGCCATGTGCCCCTCTGTTCTCAAGCCTTCAGTAAAAGTCTATAACACAGCAATCCTCTAGAGAGTGCTGTGGGACAGGAAGAAAAAAAAGGACTGGACTGGGTCAACGCTTGGGGCACACAAGACAGACAGGACCCTTTTTTGCCTCTGGGATGTGAAAATCTTAGAAAATGTATTTGGAGGATTGTGTTTGAATATTAAAGAAACAGAGACCAGAGGACTTGGCAACCTTTGTGTTTCACACATAGAAATGGTAAAGTAATAAATTTTAAAATGACAGTGGGAGTGCAAAGGAAGGAAATGGCTTTGACATTGTGTAACACTGAGCTAGGGAATGAACCAGGGTTCATGCTTTCTCTCATAGTCCTGTTGTGATTTCATGCTGGTCTCTCTGCTTAAAACACCTTCTTAGGGTTCACCCAAATGCCACCTCCTTCAAGGAAGTCTTTGTGACTCTTTCAGGCAGACATGGGTTAGATAGTTCAGGCTGCTATAACAAATTAAACATTAGAAATTTATTTCTCACCGTGGTGGGGGTCCCAGATCAGGGTGCTGGCATGCTCAGAATCTGAGGAGGGCCCTTTTCCTTGTTCACAGATGGTGCCTTCTCACTGTATCCTCACACAGTGAAAGGAACAAGCTAGCTCTCTGAGGTCTCTTTATAAGGAAACTTATCCCATGCATGAGGCCTCCACCCCCATGACCTAATCACCTCCCAATACTATCACATTGGAGGTTAGGGTTTCAACATATGCATTTTGGGGGGACATAAACATTCTGACCAAAGCAGCAATCCTCCCATACTGTCAGTCACTTACCTCAATTAATTCCATGATCCAACTGCCTAATAAATGCTCATTCCCTGAACAGCCTCCCCTCTAAACAGTAATCTAGACTCAAGAATAGGAGCTGTGTGTCTTTCTATCTGGGTCACCTCAATGCCAAGCACATTAACTAGCCCACAGCCAGTGCTGAATCAAAGTTTCTGTAAATGAGGAGTGGGCAGTAAATGGGAGAGAGGAATAGTTTAACTGCACTGTGAAAGATTATTCTGGTTTGATTAAACAGAGAAGAGATCAAAGACACTCTAAGAAAAGGAAGCACAGGAAAGAGGAACATAAAAGGAATGGTCTGGTTCAACATGGTGGCCGGAATGAATGCACGCATCTCTGTTCTCTTCTGAAATCCCACTGACTGCAAGGAATTTTTTAAAAACTGTGAATTCGGTCAGGTGCAGTGGCTCATGCCTGTAATCCTAGCACTTTGGGAGGCCGAGGTGGGTAGACTGACTGAGCTCAGGAGTTTCAGACCAGCCTGGGCAACATGGTGAAACCCCGTCTCTACTAAAATACAAAAAATTAGCTGTTCATGGAGGCGTGTACTTGTAAATCCCAGCCACTCGGGAGGCTGAGACAGGAGAATCACTTAAACCTTGGAGGCAGAGGTTGCAGTGAGCTGAGATCGTGCCACTGCACTCCAGCCTGGGCGACAGAGCAAGACTCCATCTCAAATAAATAAATAAATAAATAAATAAATAAATAAATAAATAAATAAAAGCACGGAATTCATAACACAAATAGGATTAGTATTGTCAACGTATCTCTGACTATGGAGCAGCTAGAGCCTAGATACTTCTACTCAATTACACCAGGGTGCTGCTGTCTCTCACCTTTGGCAGGAGATTAGAGAGTTGTTCCCTGCACAGATCCTGAACAAGAATCTCACACTCTAGGACACTCGACCCTCAATGCACATGCTATGTGCTCCTTTGCCATGCAATATATCAATTATGTGTACACCATGTACTTCCTGTACCCGATACCAGATCCTTCAGCAACTCCAGCCCAGATCCTGGCCACCCCCCCATGGAAAAGTCCAGCTGGGGGCTGATGACCACTAGAGCCCACCAGTTGGCAAATCCATCCATGCACCCAAGTTCACCCAGAAGTTTAATCATCTTTCTCGTGACCTACTATTAAATAAAATTTTTGAAAGCCTCACTTTATTCCCCCTTTTAATACAAATTTACTTACGCCATGCAGATGTCTAGTATTCATTTTAAAACATCACTTAAGGATGTTTTAGATTGTTTAAAGTTTAACCAGAGAAGACATCCAAAGCAAACAGGAGAAACCTGACCCAAAACCATTTACTGGGGCTCGAGCATCCCCAGAAAGAAGCACAGAACTAGAGTCCCAATTACAGCAACAGATGGTTTGGTTTGTAATAAAGAAATTCCTATAATCTGTAATTTTGTTTTTAAACCAGAGTTTCCTTTCTAAAGAAGCTTAGAAAACCTCTACAGAGACTATAAAAGGACTTCTGGGTAAAGATGAGAGGTTGACAATCTCCTAATTCTTACTAAAACAAATACTTTATTTTAAATCAAAAGAAAATGTTATCCAAATTCCAACCAAGGAAAAGTAATATAATTTCCTGCCCTAAATTTCAAAAGTGGCTGCAAATGAAAGAAACAGAAGATTCTCAAAAAACTTACGGAGTCTCTGGGGTCAGTTGGAAAATGCTCCTAGTTCTTTACTTCCTACTATGTCTAGGATTTTACATCCTTGTCCCTCGCCATGTGACGCTGCTGTACCTCCCACTGGAGTTAAGCTATTGATGCACGCAGAGGTTTTAAATGTGCTTGTGTGTTGGGACTCGGTCTTTCATGCTCCTGTGATCCCAGCAGGTCACAACTCCCTTCCATCCTGGGTTCCAGAACAGAGACATGGAGCATCCTGGAACCCATCTGAAGCCTGGGTCCAGCCTGGCCCTGCCAAGCCCAGCCTACACCCCACAGAGTGGAACTTACCTGCAGACTCCTGAGCAGGAAACTCAACTTGTGTTGTAAGCTGCTGAGAGTTTGCAGTTGTTTGTTCCATCGCAAAAACTATTACAGGTTCCTAACTTAATCCCCATCTTTTATATGCAATATAAAACTATTAAAGAAAAAAGGTCCATAGACAAAAGTCTCAAATTCTCACTTATACTTGATTTGTTTTTGTTGTTGTTGTTGTTTTGAGATGACGTTTTGCTCTTGTCGCCCAGGCTGGAGTTCAGTGGCACGATCTTGGCTGACTGCAACCTCCACCTCCTGGATTCAAGTGATTCTCCTGCCTCAGCCTGCCAAGTAGCTGGGATTACAAGCGCTTGCCCCCACACCCAGCTAATTTTTGTGTTTTTAGTAGAGATGGGGTTTCGCCATGTTGGCCAGGCTTGTCTCGAACTCCTGACCTCAGGCAATCCACCCGCCTCAGCCTCCCAAAGTGCTGGGATTACAGGCGTGAGCCACTGCACCCGGCCTAATTTGGAGAGAAGCAAATTGAGTGGAGGTGTAGCAGCCCAGGGGAGGGGAGGGAGGAAATCCTCAAGAGGAGAAGCATTGAGCTGCCACTATAAAATAGCAGGACCCCAGGAGAGGCAAGAACACCATCAGGGGTAAGTAGGGAAGCGTTACCCACTTGGGGTTTCTGTCCTTCTTGGGAATAGGACGCTCCTAGGCAGAGAGAATCCTGGCATAGGACAAGCCAAGGCCTCCAAGGGAGGCTTTACAGAACCTCAGCAGAGCTCTCCTCCACCCCCAGCCACACAACCCCACCCCCTTGTTATACACAAGCCACAAAAATACACAGAAAATAATATTCGGTCTTCAGACTGCAAGTCAGAGAGAAAGACAGATCTTAGAAAAGGCAGCAAATTCAAGAGAATTCATTTATACTATATTATACTCACCAAAAAATGGACAGAGTGGTTTATGCCAAGCGTGATCAAGATAAAAATAAATGGCACAGGGGCTAAGCCAGCATGAAAACACAAGAAAAAGAGATAGAGGGAAGGAGGGAGGGAGAGGCAGACAACATAATTGAAGAGAAAATAGGCTGGGTGCGATGGTTCACGCCTGAAGCTAGGCGGGAGGATCGCTTCAGCCCAGGAGTTCAAAACCAGCCAGGGCAACAACGGGAGACCACGTCTCAAAAATAAAAAAAAAATTAAAAAAAAAAGAAATTAATTTTAAAAAAGAAAAGAAAATATAACCAGAGGAAAAGAAGGCTAATTACCTGTAAGTGATTCCCACTACAAAAGAATTTAAAGAAAACATGAATTTTATAAAACAATAAAGTCAAAGTGAATAAGTAATGAAGGGAAATGAAAGGGAGGATGGTGAAACTAAGGAAACAGAGGGATCAAAACAGCATCATTATAGAAATAAGGAGTAGGAATTGTGAGGAGAAGACAGCAACCAAAATCAAAATTACCTACAACAAATAAAGGCTTGAGCCTATCACAGCAAAGGAAAGCAAAGCTATAAAAGCAATTGAGAGTATTATACAGGAACAAAGACAAAAATGGGTGTCCTTAAGATAAAGAACTTGATAAATGGAATAAGAAGATAGAACAAAATAGAAGATTCCCGTAACATGAAGGGAGAACTAAACGTGAAGAATAACACAAACTGGGCCAGGCGCAGTGGCTCACACCTGTAATCCCAGCACTCTGGGAGGCCAAGGCGGACAGATCACCCGAGGGCAGGAGTTTGAGACCAGCCTGGCCAACATGGGGAAACCCTGTCTCCTCTAAAAATACAAAAAAACAAGCAAAAAAAAAATTAGCTGGGCATGGTGGTGCATGCCTGCGATCCAAGCTACTTG
Source organism: Homo sapiens (assembly GCF_000001405.40). Classification (NCBI taxonomy): domain Eukaryota; kingdom Metazoa; phylum Chordata; class Mammalia; order Primates; family Hominidae; genus Homo; species Homo sapiens. Next base: position 84,414,817 of record NC_000009.12, on the reverse strand, counting down.
GGAGGCCAAGGCAAAATAATTGCTTGAACCCAGGAAACAGAGGCTGCAGTGAGTGGAGATCAACAGAGCAAGACTCCGTCTAAAAAAAAAAAAAAAAAAAAAAAAAGAATAACATAAACTGATATAATGTGATTAATAATGTCACACGTTCTCAAGAAGAAATTAAATCCCAACGATGAAGAAAGGTTCCTTACCACATCCGGGAAGAAAAAGAAGGGACCCATAAGGGGTGAAAAAACCTGTACTCAGGCTTCCCCAAACAATACCCAGTGGTAAAAGGCAAAGAGGTTCTAAGAAAAGAGACGACCCCAATTCTAACATACACAGCCAAGTAATCCCGCCAGCATGAATTCAAAGATGGACCTTTCCTAAGAGAAAAGAACAGAAGAAACGCAGCAGCCACACATTATTGGGGAGATGGCAAAGTGGCTCCACAAAACCCAATCAGTCTAAAACTGAATGGAGACACTGTGATGTTAAATGATGTGACACTTGATAGAAAGTGTGGCCTGGGAATTGTACAACTAGACAAGTGCTCCTTATCTAGAATAAAGCTAAGAGGAAAATCCCAAAATAAAACACCCATAAATTGTTCTTGAAAAAGTTACTAGGTAATGAAATCCAGCTGATTAAGAGAGGAATCAATATTTGAAAACACACATACACACACGGAATGGGCCGGGCACCATTCCATCAGAATATAATACGCCTATAATACCAGCATTCTGGAAGGCTGAGGTGGGTAGATTGCTTGAGCCCAGGAGTTTGAGACCAGCCTAGCAACATGGTGAAACCCCTTCTCTACAAAAAATACAAAAATTAGCTCAGTGTGGTGGCACACGCCTGTGGTCCTTGCACCAGATGGAGGTGCAAGGATCACCTGAGCCCGGGGGGGCTGACGCTGCAATGAGCCGTGATTACACCACTGCACTCCAGTCTGGGAGACAGAGCGAGACTCTGTCTCAAACACACACACACACACAAAGGAATGCAGCCGGATGTGGAGGCTCACGCCTGTAACCCCAGCACTTTGGGGGGCCAAGGGCGGGTGGATCACTTGAAGTCAGGAGTTCAAGACCAGCTTGGCCAATACAGTGAAACCACGTCTCTACTAAAAATACAAAAATTAGCAGAGTGTGGAGTGCACCTGTAGTCCCAGCTGCTCGGGAAGCTGAGACAGGAGAATTACTTGAACCTGTGAGGTAGAGGTTGCAGTGAGCCAAGATCATGCCACTGCACTCCAAGCTGGGTGACAGAGTGAGACTCCATCTCAAATAAATAAATAAATAAATGGAGAAGCCTTGCTGTAACAATCGGTGTTGGGCATTTGCCTGTCTATTTAAACATCTAAGACCAAAGGACTCAAGTAACTCTGGTTACAGAAGAGAATGTAAATAGTCAGCCTTGACCATTTAAAAACAATCGCATGAGTAATGAGACTTCAGAGGAGGCATGAGAAATGAAAAGATGCATATTTCCTGATTTGTCACAGTACAAATTCAACTTCTGCATCCAAAATTGAAAACCAGAATTTTAACAAGCAAAACAATCCCTAATCTTTTCATCATCTCTTTTCTTCTTAATTTTATCAAAATATTTTAGGACCTATTATCACCAGTGGTAAAGAAATATGGGTCTGAATTTCAGCAGTTCCTGCAGTCTCATTTCAGTTCATTTTCTTCAGTTAAATTCCAGTAAAACTGAATTTAAAATATTTTTAAATATAGCTTCCATTTTTATAAAAGTGCTTCAGTCTCCTTCGTGGTTTATGAAAAAAAGTGCTTTCATTTATATAAAATTATTTCTCTATTTTTTTCTCTATGAGTATGTCCACAAAAACATGAGGAGAGAAAAAAGATTTAGAAATGATGAGCACCTAATATAAATGAGGGTAATTTTAGATCAGGGGTCTGCAAACTATAGCCTGCATACAAAAATCTAGCCCTAATAAAGTTTTATTGAAACACAGCCACGCCTATTTGTTTACATGTTGTCCATGATTGCTTTCACGCTACAGCTGCAGAGCTGAGTTGTGACAAGAGACCATCTGGCCTATTTTAGCAAAGACTAAAATATTAACAACCTTGGCCAGGTGTGGTGGCTCACCAAGGCGAGAGGATTGCTTGAGATCCAGAGTTCCAGACCATCCTGGGCTACGTGGAGAAACTCTGTCTCTACAAATAAATACAAAAAATTAGCTGGGCATGGTGGCATGCACCTGTGGTCCCAGCTATTTGCGAGGCTGAGGTGGGAGGATCGCTTGAGCCTGTGAGGTCGAGGCTGCAGTGAGCCGTGATCATGCCACTGCACTCCAGCCTGGGCCATAAAGTGAGACCCTGTCTCAAAACAAGTAAAAGTAAAAAAATATATATTTTATGACCTCTACATGTACAGCAAAACCTTGCAGAACCCTGCACAGAGATGGTGAAATTGGGAGTGGGGTGCTTGTTTTTTTTGTGTTTTACTTTCTTCTTGTTATATTTGCAGAACATTTTTCAGTAAGCATTATAATTTTTAACAATGAAGCCATTTTTGTATTTTAGAAAGATTACCCTCTACTCACATATCAAGGTACTAGTCTGCTATAGATAAGAAGTTAGGCCAAATGACCTAGCTCACCTAGGCTTCACTCCCTTCTAGAACAAGGCTCTTCCATCAGAGAAGTTCGTGTTCCTCTGAAGCCTCGAGACAGAGCGAACTGGCTGCTGTAGGAATCTGTGCAGGTTTGGCAGGTGCCTGTTGGAAGGAGCCAGTTATGTCACTGGTTTTGGCAAACAATTTGAGAACTCTCCAAATAAGACTATGGATCAGGGAAGGCAGAGGAAGAGGGGAAAAAAAAAAAAACTTTCTATTTAGCATTTGCCAGAATTACAACCTTCAGTAAATACCACATAACTCATTAAGAAATTCCTCACTTACTGAAACTAAAATGGAAGCGGCCCAAGAACCAGAAGAAAAGCAAAACGAAGCAGTCCCGCTCATGTGTTTCAAATCTATTTCTCAACTGCATGCTAATTTTTCTGTGCCCAAATAAAGGCCTGTTCTCAAGGACTCAAATTATGAAATGTTTCTGATTCTACACAATCCAAAGAATAGTCAGAGGCTATGAAATACCATCTGATCCACTTGTGAGAGACCCTGTCACACTGAAGACCCCGAGACAAAAGCAGCAACCACCCACCCGTGACCACCACTTTGAGCCTCTGCCCTTCGGCCTCTGGGCCTCCCCACTCCAAGGAGCTTTCCAGCAAAAAACCTCCCTGACTATTTAAGCCACCAAAGCAATCCCAGCATGGGATGAACGCCCACCCCTGCTCTGCCTATCACCTCACCAGGCATACATTAATTAATTATGGAGCATTCCAAGGGCACAGGGGCATCATTCTGCAGGATGAGCTATCAGCCCTTAGAAACCAGGAGAAAGATTAAGACCCATGAATTAAGAGTTTTCATGATTCAAGATGTTTTCTGTCTTGAAATAATTAATAATGTTGATTTTATTCCCTCATTGGGTAAATGTGCTTATTCCAAGAACAGTAAATCTCCGCAATTCCAATAGCAATCAGAATAAAAAGCGTTCCAACAGAAATTTTCTGCTTCCTTTCTGATTAGAAAGCAACTTTATTTTTTAGGGAAAGGCAAAATCTGTATTACAGATCATTTTTACTAAAAATGCTAACTAATCAACTCACTATACCTGAAAACAGAGAACTATGAAAAATTTTTCTTCAGGCCTCTTCAGGTTTCTTACACAATCAAAAGGTTTAAAACTCAGGTTTGATAGGTAACAATAATCAAATTATTATTTTTTAAGACAGAGTCTCACTCTGTTGCCCAGGATGGAGTGCAATCGCACAATCTTGGCTCACTGCAATCTCTGCCTCCCAGGTTCAAGCGATTCTCTGGCCTCAGTCTCTTGAGTAGCTGGGATTACAAGTGCGTGCCATCAGGCCCGGCTAATTTTTGTATTCTTACTAGAAACAGGGTTTTGCCATGTTAGCCAGGCTGTTCTCGAACTCCTGACCTCAGGTGATCTGCCTGCCTCAGCCTCCCAAACTGCTGGGATAACAGGTGTGAGCCACCACGCCCGGCTGTCTTTCTTTAAAAAAAATTTTTTTTTAACTGTCCTTCTGGTCTAAGTTAGTTGAACATTCAACACAAGTCGAAGTTGTCTATGAAAAATGCTTATAAATTCTTACGAATCAAAAAGAAGATATTTCTTCTGAAGATTTTTTTGCTCAAATATTGCTGTTCCTTCCTATTTCATTATCAGTCATCCAGATTTTCAGCAAAATCAAGGCTATTCTCCCAAATGCACGTAATATTGTTTTGCACTGCCTTACCACCCATCACAATCTCACAAAATCCCGTTTTCATTTATTGTATTTATTTTTTTAAGACAGGGTCTGGCACCGTCGCCCAGGCTGGAGTACAGTGGCACGATCTTGGCTCCCTATAGCCTCTGTCTCCCCAGCTCAAGTGCTCTTCCTGCCTCAGCTTCCCTGAGTAGCTGGAACTACAGGCATGTGTCATGGCGCCCAGCTAATATTTGTACTTTTAGTAGAGACAGGTTTTCACCATGTTGCCCAGGCTGGTCTCAAATTCCTGAGCACAGGCCATCCACTCACTTAGCCTCCCAAAATACTCGGATTACCGATGTGAACTACCTCAACCAGCTAAAAACTCTTCTAAAAAAAAAAAAGAAAACCACCACCCCGACCACATGGCAATTAGTTTTTTTTTTTGAGACGGAGTCTCCCTCTTGTCGCCCAGATTGGAGTGCAGTGGTGCAATCACGGCTCACTGCAACCTCTGACCCCCTGGTTCAAGCGATTCTCCTGCCTCAGCCTCTCCAGTAGCTGGAATTACAGGCCTGCACCCCAACCCCGGACTAATTTTTGGGTTTTTAGTAGAGACGAGGTTTAACCATGTTGGCCTGGCTGGTCTCGAATTCCTGACCTCAATTGATTCACCCACCTCAGTCTCCCACAGTGCTGAGATTGTGTCCGGAATTGGTTGGTGGGTTCTTGGTCTCACTGACTTCAAGAATGGAGACGCCGACCCTCGCGGTGAGTGTCACAGTTCTTAAAGGCAACGTGTCGAGTTTGTTCCTTCTGATGTTCGGATGTGTTCCGAGTTTCCTTCCTTCAGTGTGGGTTCGTGGTCTCGCTGGCTTCAGGAGTGAAGCTGCAGACCTTCGTGGTGAGTGTTAAAGCTCACAAAGGCAGCGTGGACCCAAAGAGTTAGTAGCAGCAAGATTTACTGCAAAGGGCAAAAGAACAAAACCCCCACCCTGTGAAACAGGACTCCAGCGAGTTGCCGCTGCGGGCTCGGGCAGCCTGCTTTTATTCTCTTATCTGGCCCCACCCACATCCTGCTGATTGGTCCATTTTACAGAGAACTGATTGGTCTGTTTTACAGAGAGCTGATTGGTCCCAAAGAGTTAGTAGCAGCAAGATTTACTGCAAAGGGCAAAAGAACAAAACTCCCACCCTGTCAAACAGGACTCCAGGAAGTTGCCGCTGCTGGCTCCGGCAGCCTGCATTTATTCTCTTATCCAGCCCCACCCACATCCTGCTGATTGGTCCATTTTACAGAGAGCCGATTGGTCTCTTTTACAGAGAGCTGATTGGTCCGTTTTGACAGGGTGCTGATTGGTGCATTTACAATCCCTTAGCTAGACATAAAGATTCTCCAAGTCCCCACCAGATCGGCTAGACACAGAGCACTAATTCGTGCATTTACAAACCTGGAGTTAGACACGGGGTGCGGATTGGTGCATTTACAAACCTTGAGCTAGACACAGAGTGCTGATTGGTGTATTCACAATCCCTTAGCTAGACGTAAAGGTTCTCCAAGTCCCCACTAGACTCAGGAGCCCAGCTGGCTTCACCCAGTGGGTCCTGCACGGGGCGGCAGGTGGAGCTGCCTGCCAGTCCTGTGCCTTGCACCCGCACTCCTCAGCCCTTGGGCGGTAGATGGGACTGGACGCCATGGAGCAGGGGGTGGCGCTCGTCAGGGAGACTCCGGCGGCACAGGAGCCCACGACGGGGGTGGGGGGAGGCTCAGGCATGGCGGGCTGCAGGTCCCGAGCCCGGCCCCGCGGGGAGGCAGCTAAGGCCCGGCGAGAAATCGAGAGCACCGCTGCTGGGACGGCCCTGCTGGGGGACCCTGCGCACCCTCCGCAGCTGCTGGCCCAGGTGCTAAGCCCCTCACTGCCGGAGCCGGCGGGCCGGCCGGCGGCTCTGAGTATGGGGCCCGCCAAGCCCACGCCCACTTGAAACTCTAGCTGGCCCGCAAGCGCCGCACACAGCCCGGGTTCCCGCCCATGCCTCTTCCTCCACACCTCCCCGCAAGCTGAGGGAGCCGGCTCCGGCCTCAGCCATCTCAGGAAGGGGCTCCCACAGTGCAGCGGCGGGCTGAAGGGCTCCTCAAGCGCCGCCAGAGTGGGCGCCCAGGCAGAGGAGGCGCCGAGAGGGAGCGAGGGCTGCCAGCAGGCTGTCACCTCTCAGGATTACAGGCTTAAGCCGCCACACCTGGCCGGCAAATAATCTTTGTAAAGAAAAAACAGAAAACTCTTAGACATATTTCTTTTTCTTTTTTTTAATTGAGACAGTCTCTGTTGCCCAGGTTGGAGTGCAGTGGTACAATCTCAGCTCACTACAACCTCCGCCCCCGGGTTCAAGGGATTCTCCTTCTTCAGCCTCCCCAGTAGCTGGAATTGCAGGTGCCCGCCACCATGCCCAGCTAATTTTTGTATTTTTAGTAGAGACAGGGTTTCACCATGTTGGCCAGACTAGTCTTGAACTCCTGACCTCAGGTGATCTGCCTGCCTCAGCTTCCCAAAGTGCTGGGATGGGATTACAAGCATGAGCCACTACGCCCGGCCCCCAGTTCCTTTTTTGCCCTTCCATCTGGTACTATGTGAGGACATAGCAAGGAGGCACAGCATGAAGAATGGGATCTCGGCAGACACCGAATCTGCCATTGCCTTGATCTTGGCCTTCCCAGCTTATAGAACTGTGAGAAAATAAATTTCTGTTTTTTATAAATTACCCAGTCTTGGGTATTTTGTTATAGCAGAACAAATGAACAAAGACATACACTGAACATTTTGAATGATATGTTGTAGAGACTCTTGATTTTGTTTTTCTCTAAAAACTGTGATTTTTTTCTGATAAGCAGTTAAATTACTAACATGTCATATTGATCCTGTCAAGCCTTGGGATTTGGCTTTCTTAAGGCAGGTCTATTTCATCTTTGCTCTCAGCCCTACAGCATGTCCCTTATTCCTAGGACATAGTGATTTCCCCTAAGGTGAGTGTTGTTTTGGGTCTCAAATGTTCCGCTCTACTTTAGTTGAATCAGAACTCCAACATCTCCCTAACAGATCAAACTTCTAAAATCACTGTTTACCTCTCAGTCCCCTAGAAGCTGTTCTCAGCTAGACTTTGCAGAGTCTGAGTCAATAAATATGCAACTAAAGATCTTGCCAAGGACCTGAAGGAAGCTCCTATACAGATTTCTGATTGTTTCTCTTCAATTGCCTTCTCTCTGGTATCAGACCTGCAAGTTCAAGCAGTCTTAGCTACCCTCACTTTCTGTCTTCATTTTCTCCACCAGGCAAGACTTCAACTATCTGGTTGGGCTCCATTTCCCTACAGTTTGGAAAATGTCTCAAGCAAAAAGTCAGTATTGGTTAGGCATGGTGGCTCATGCCTGTAATCCCAGCACTTTGAGAGGCTGAGGCAACATGGTGAGATCCCATCGCTACAAAAAAGAAAAATTAGTGGGGCATGGTGGCTCATGTCTGCAGTCTCAGCTACTCAGGAGGCTGAGGTAGGAGGATCACTTAAGTCCAGGAAGTCGAGGCTTCAGTGAGCCATGATCGCACCACTGCAAGACAGACTGGGTGACAGAGCAAGACCCTGTCTCAAAAAAACAAAATACAGGCTGGGCATGGCGGCTCATGTCTGTAATCCCAGCACTTTGGGAGGCGAAGGTGGTTGGATCACCCGAGGTCAAGACTTCAAGACCACCCTGACCAACCATGGTCAACATGGTGAAGTCTCATCTCTACTAAAAATTAGCTGGGCGTGGTGATGTGCACCTGTAATCCCAGCTACTCGGGAGGCTGAGGCAGGAGAATCGCTTGAAACTGGGAAGCAAAGGTTGCAGTGAGCTGAGATCACACCATTGCACTCCAGCCTGGGAACAGAAGGAGACTCCATCTCAAAAAAAAAAAAAAAAAAAAAAGGCAGCATGAAAATGGACCTCACTTTGTGTGCTGTCTTTCAAGAATTGCAGTCCTGTGATGTCTACTGTCCAATGCCTAACAATACATGTTCATATATTTTGCCCAGCTTTATAATGCTAATAGCATAAAAATAAACCTGTTGCTCTGTCTTGACAAAGATTGAAAGTACTTTATAGGGCCAGGCCCATTGGCTCACGCCTGTAATCCCAGCACTTTGGGAGGACGAGGAGGGCGGATCGCCTGAGATTGGAAGTTCGAGACCATCCTGACCAACATGGAGAAACCCCATCTCTACTAAAAATACAAAATTAGCCAGGCATGGTGGCACACACCTGTAATCCCAGCTACTCAGGAGGCTGAGGCAGGAGAATCGCTTGAACCCAGGAGGCAGAGGTTGCGGTGAGCCAAGATCGCACCATTGCACTCCAGCCTGGGCAACAGAGTGAAACTCTGCCAAAAAAAAAAAAAAAAAAAAAAGAAAGAAACAAAGAAAGAAAAGAAAGAGCTTTGTATTTTAACACTTCAGTAATTTTCACTTTTCTAGAATAACAAAGACCTCTAACGCAAAAGTCATCAAACACCAGTTTAAAATAAGTTCTAAATTGGGAATGAGAAGACCAGGTTACTCCATGAGTTCTTTTACTGCCTAGTTGTCATTTAAGCTCCCTGATCCTCAGTATTCAACTCTGTAAAAACAACAAGCTGAGCTACACGATCACTGATGTCTCTTTTAGCTCTAGTGTAATACAATTCTTCTATTCCCATTACGTACATTAGATTAATGGGTTGTACTACTTCAGGAATCAAATCAGCGGTTCCTCATTAAGGCAAATGTTTTTTTTGTTTTTTGTTTTGTTTTGTTTTGTTTTGTTTTTTAGAGACAGTCTCACTCTGTCACCCAGGCTGGTGTGCAGTGGCATGATCTCAACTCAATGCAACCTCCACCTCCCAGGCTCAAGCAATTCTATGCTTCTCCCAAGTAGATGGGACTACAGGTGTGCACTGCCACACCCAGGTAATTTTTGTATTTTTAGTAGAGATGGGGTTTCACCAAGTTATCCAGGCTGGTCTCGAACTCTTGAGAACTCTCGAACTCTCAAACTCTGGCCTCAAGTGACCCAACCGCCTCAGCCTCCCAAAGTGCTGGGATTCAAAGCCTGAGCCATCATGCCTGGCCAGGCAAGTCGTTTCTAAAGTTCTCAGTTCCAACAGCCTATTGAGAAACTGTTGAGCCTCCAAGCTCTCTGGAAGTCCTCTCTGATGCTTGAACAATGGTGCATGGAGGTACAGGTTGGTACAGAGGGTGAGAGCCTGTGAGCAAGATAGAGGAGCATGGGTGGTGGACTAAGTAAGACTTCAAAGCCCAAGTAACCCAGCTTCCAAACTCACAATGAGTTCCTATCACTTCTGAATCTGTTGCCTCATCTGTGAAATGGCTAAAATGATCCTGCCTTGCAGGGGTATTCTGGGGGTCAAATAAGATAATGCATGAGTTTGGGGTAAACCTGAAAGGCTTTTTTTCACTGATATTTAAAGATGCATAGGAAGTCCCTTAGTGGCCTCTGAGACATGGCGACTCATACATTAAGGTTTCAAAAGTCTTCCTCACCACCTAATCTCCACCATCTCTGCTACAGGGATGGGGAGCAGTCGGTGTTCAGCAGAAACCCCCAAGGTGGCACCTTGTCACCTATCCCCTTCCTTAAGAAGTAACCAGATTGTCATGTGAGACCAAAAAGAAGAGAAGAGTTGGATCAATTAACACTATGTCAAGAAGGAAGCGGAATAAGTCTATTGGATTTTGAGGAACACAGCTGGGGTCAGGGGCATGCACCTATAGTCTCAGCTACTCAGGAGGTTGGGGCAGGAGGATCTCTTGAGCCCAGGAGTTCGACACCAACCTGGACATCATAGTGAGCCTCTTTAAAAAGGAATAAAATAAAATAAAATAAAGATATTGAGGAATGCAAAAGAAAACATCTCAATCCTGGTCTCTTCAATCTGTCTGCCTACCCACCCAGTGTATTCTCAGAACTAAAGAGATCCAGGGCTTTGGATCCCAGGAGGAGGTCCCCTGAGCCACTTATGAGGACTGGCTCCAGAGGAGAATGACTGAGAACTCCAGAAAACGCACTGAGGAGCGTGTTACCCTGGACTGAGTGAGTGTGTGGAGAATTGCCTTTCTTTGAAGGCCCCAACTTTCTGGACTGGGTCATAGGGCAAAGACCACGGGGTCCAATGGATGGATGGAGGACAATTTGTGTTCATCAGCGCCCTCAAGTGGCGGTGATGAGCAGCTGCAGAGCTGCGGACCAACACTTAGTTTTTTTTTCCCTACTTGAAAATTGAACTTTGGAGAAATTTCCTTTTAGACTGCAAAAGATTCAAAAGGTTCACAGATGATCCTTAAAGGAGAGAGGACCGACCCCAAAAGTGTGATAATGAGCTTTTTGCCAATCTAGTGGATGGTGTGTTGTAGATAAGTTCATACTTACTACATGCATGAAGACCAGGGCTCAACACATGGTAAATACTTAATTAACCATCATTATGAATAAATGAGAGCTTAATCAAATAAAGATTAAGGTATATATGATGGGGACATGACTTCTTAGTTAAAATGCTGTCGACTAAAATGCAAGCTCCAAAAGGGTAGAATTGGGCCAGGCGCAGTGACTCATGCCTGTAATCCCAGCACTTTGGGAGGCCAAGGCCAATGGATCACTTGAGGTCAGGAGTTCAAAACCAGCCACATGGTGAAACCCCGTCTCTACTAAAAATACAAAAATTAGCCGGGTGTGGTGGTGGGTGCCTGTAATCCCAGCTACTCAGGAGGCTGAGGCAGGAGAATCACTTGATCCCAGGAGGCAGAGGTTGCAGTGAGCCAAGATCGTATCACTGTACTCCAGCCTGGGCTACAGAGTGAGACTCAGTCTCAAAAAAATAAATAAATAAAAGGTAGAATTTTTGTTTGTTTTGTCCACTGCTATACTGCCAGCATTTAGAACGGTGCCTGGCATGCTCAACTTGATGAATATTTGTTTAATTGAATGTTAAATGAACTGGGTGGAGGACAAAGTCCAGGCCTCTTGTACCATGCCACACAGCTGTGTCTCAGGCCCTTTACTGTCCAATGTATTTACCACCAGCATGAAGAAAGACTGGGAAGGCTTGTTTGCCAAACCGGCCAAAACACCAAGCAGGGAGAAATAGTCACTATGCTGGATGACTTGTAATATGGTTTGGCTGTGTCCCCACCCAAATCTCATCTTGAATTGTAGTTCCCATAATCCCCACCTGTCATGGGAGGGACCCAGTGGGAGGTAATAGCATGGTTACCCCCACACTGTTTTTCTCATAGTCAGTGTGTTCTCATGAGATCTGATGGTTTTATAAGGGGCCCTTTGCCCAGCACTTCTCTCTCTCCTGCCACAATGAGAAGATGTGTTTGCTTCCCCTTCTGTCATGATTGTAAGTTTCCTGAGGCCTCCCAGCCATGCCGAACTGTGAGTCAATTAAACCTCTTTCCTTTGTAAATTACCCAGTCTTGGGTATTTCTTCACAGTAGTATGAGAATGGACTAATACAACTTCTATCAAGATCCAAACAAAAAGAACTCAAACTAGAAAACTGGGCTGAAACCAACAAGATAAAATGTAATTCATACAAATTCCCACATACACAATGAAAGAATATCAAATGTGCAATTTCAGGATGGAGAAGGCCTGCTTTGTAGCAGTCCCTGATGAAAGGCCTGGAAGGCCGGCAGCCAGGCCTGTATTAACAACACTTGACACAGCTGTGAAAAATCCTTACACGGTGGCAGATACCTTCATTGGAAGAGGGTGTCCAGAATAGGGACAAAGTGGCAGGACAGCTCTCCAGTGCTGCCTGTAGAATGTCACATTCATCTGGGGTGTCACAGGGCTCGGGCCCAGAAATGAAGGGAGGGACACTAAAAATTGCTGTGGAGAAGAGATTAATGGAGGGACATGACTTAATGTTGTCTTCAGCTATGTATAGGGCTGGGCACGATGGCTTACAACGATAATTCCAGCACTTTGGGAGGCCAAGGTGAGAGGATCACTTGAGCCCCAGAGTTTGACACCAGCCTGGGAAACATAGTGAGACCCCATCTCTCCTAAAAATAAAATAATTAGCCCAGCATGGTAGCACTTGCCTGTAGTCCCAGCTACTAGGGAGGCTGAGGCAAGAAGATCACTTGAGTCTCAAAGGTCAAGGCTGCAGTGAGCTGCATTTGTGCCACTGCACTCCAGTCTGGGCAACAGAGTGAGAAGACCCTGTCTCAAAAAAAATGTGTGTGTGTGTGTGTGTGTGTGTGTGTGTGTGTGTGTGTGGTGTGTATGTAACTGCCCTTGGTTCTGGGCACACCCAAAATACAAGTCTAGGACTGTACTATACGGAAATTATGAGGAAGCTTTAAAAGAGCTTTCCAGGCCGGGTGTGGTGGCTTACACCTGTAATCCCAGCACTTTGGGAGGCTGAGGCAGGCAGATCACTTGAGGTCAGGAGTTGGAGACCAGCCTGGCCAACATGGCCAAATCCTGTCTCTACTAAAAATACAAAAATTAGCCAGGAGTGGTGGCGCATGCCTATAATCCCAGCTACTTAGGAGGCTGAGGCAGGAGAATTACTTGAACCTGGGAGGTGGAGGTTGCAGTGAGCCAAGATTGCACCACTACACTCCAGCCTGGGAGACAAAGTGAGACTCCGTCTCAAAAAAAAAAAAAAAAAAAAAAAAAAACAGAACTTTCCAGTTACCTAGAACTGTTCAGAAATAGTATTAGCTGTGTTAGAAAGTTATGGTTCCTTCTCTTTCAAAAAAAAAAAAGAGAGGAGAATGAGAATTTCTATTTATTAAGTGCCTGCTGTATACAGTGCCAGACCAGAAAATGCATATCTCCTTTCTTCTTTCTTCCTGCACGTATTATTAATACAGAATTCTTACATCCAAAACTATCTGTATCCATATCCATAGATGGGTGGTTAATTAGAAAAAAAAGTTAAGGCAAGGAATCATAAAAGATTATACATACATACCTTAAATATTTAACTTAACCCGCCAGAATGCGTTTTTTTCAACTTTGACATAGAACCAAGTCCTGTCTTTGAGAATTGACCTACTAATTGGAGTCTGCATGGTCTCCTTTCATAAACTCCAACCATGATTTCCAGTTTCCATTTTTTTGTTTGTTTTGTTTTTTTGTTTTTTGTTTGTTTGTTTGTTTGTTTTTGAGACAGATTCTCACTCTGTCCCCAGGCTGGAGTGCAGTGTGGCAGGATCTCAGCTCACTGCAACCTCTGCCTCCTGGGTTCAAGCGATTCTCGTGCCTCAACCTTCTGAGTAGCTAGGACTACAGGTGAGAGTTATCATACCTAGCTAATTTTTGTATTTTTAGCAGAGACAGGGTTTCCTCATGTTGGCCAGGCTGGTCTTGAGCGCCTGACCTCAGGTGATCCACCCATTGTGGCCTCCCAAAGTGCTGGGATTACAGGCATGAGCCGCCACACCCAGCTATTTCCATTTCTTTAAAGTGGAGCAAGAACTTAAACTCTGTTATGCAGCAATCTGAGAGGAGACTTTTACCTGGCTTTTATTGTTTTTCGCAGGCCTCTACAATCATCTCTTAATTTAAAAGACAGTTTCTTATCAGCTCACAAACTTCAAGCCTTTACATTGCATTTAACCATTTCAGAGAAAGTAGAGACAACTCCATTCTTATGGCATTCATATTTCCTCAATTTACATAATGTTTGATTAAATTATATGATTCTGTTATTTGGTAGAGCTGGCCTGGGCAGGCCTGGGAGAGAACATGACTGTGGCTTGGCTCCCTCTCAGCTGCTGGACAAGCCCGTGTGTAGTTCCCACAGTGCCTCCTACCAACCCTGTGCTGCAAGCCACAGGCACCCATCAGCTCACAGGGTGGACGGCAAGCGAGTCAAGCTGCAGGGATGGTTCCATGGAAATCTGTTGAGAGCCTCCACTCTACCTTTCAATGCTAGAGTGTTCTGACCTTGGAGAAGTTAAGTGATTCACCAAGGGTCAGGTGGCTAACGATCCTCTCTACTCCAAACCTACTCTTTCTTCACTGGGCCACTGGAGAGTCTGAGTAAATGCTGTAACCACTCGATGGATTCTTCCTACCTGCTGCACAGAAAAAATCAACCCACTGGACAACAGCATTGCAGTAGAGAGAGTTTAATTGACACAAGGCCAGCTCACGCAGGAGAACTGGAGTTATCACTCAAATCAGTCTCCCTGAAGGCTTGGAAGTTAGGAGCTTTATGAACAATTTGATGAGCAGGGGCTTGGGAATGGGTGCTGCTGATTGGTGGGGATGCAATCATGGGGGTGTGGAAAATGGTCCTTGTGTGCTGAATCTGCCTCTGGGTGGGGCCACAGGATCAGCTGAGTCATGAGTCATGAGTCCAGGTGGGGTCAGTCTGAAAGATATCTTGAAAGATCAGGCCGCGTTCAGTGGCTTACACCTGTAATCTCAGCCCTTTGGGAGGCCAAAGTGGGCAGATCACCTGAGGTCCAGAGTTAAAGACCAGCCTGGCCAACATGGTGAAACCCCGTATCTACTAAAAATACAAAAATTAGCTGGGCGTGGTGGCAGGTGCCTGTAATCCCAGCTACTCGGGAGGCTGAGGCAGGAGAATCACTTGAACTCAGGAGGCAGAAGTTGCAGTGAGCTGAGATTGAGCCATTGCACTGCAGCCTGGGCGACTCCGCCTCAAAAAAAAAAAAAAAAAAACTTAGGTTCTACAATGGTGATGCTATCTACAGGAGCAATTGGGAAAGTCATAAATCTTGTGACCTCTGGCCACATGACCCTTGAGCAGCAAGGTATTATAGAAATTATGCCCTTCTTATCAGAACTCAGGCCTCTCATAATCCTCACATTGTGGACTTTTGTTAGTTTTACAAAGGCGATTTAGTTTGTAGAAGGGATATTATCATCTCTGCTTTAAGGTTAAACTATAAACTAAATTCTTCCCAAAGTTAGCTTGGCATACGCTCATGAATGACCAAGGACAGCTTGGAGGTCAGAAGTAAGATGGAGTCAACTGTATCAGATTTCTTTTTTTTTTTTTTTTTTTGAGACAGAGTCTCGCTCTTGTTGCCCAGGCTGGAGTGCAATGGCATGATCTCGGCTCACTGCAACATCCGCCTCCCAGGTTCAAGCAATTCTCCTGCCTCAGCCTCCTGAGTAGCTGGGATTACAGGCATGCACCACCACACCCAGCAAATTTTGTATTTTTAGTAGAGATGGGGTTTCTCCATGTTGGTCAGGCTGGTCTCAAACTCCCAACCTCAGGTGATCCGCCCACCTCAGCCTCCCAAAGTGCTGGGATTACAGGCGTGAGCCACCGCGCCTGGACTTAGATTTCTTACCGTCATAATTTTGCAAGAGCAATTTCAATACCAAATGTACAGTAGTCCTGATCCTGTCAAAGGACTCCAGTACTGAGGAAAGGGTGAGCTGAATAATCTCCAAGGCCCCTCTAACTCAGAACCTGTGAGGATCTCAACTTCACTTTTCTGCAGGGCTCTGTGTGTGTTTCAGGCTAAAAAGTTGTGCTATGTTTTAAATGTCCAACCCCTTCAATGGATCTTTGCAAATGCATGTATTGGGAGACATTAGGAGATAACCTCAGAAGCCTAGACCTCAAATCAAATGTCAAAAGACATTTTTGAGCTAATTCTGGAGGAATTTGAGTATGGGTCAGAATTATATGATATTGAGAAGTTATTATTTATTTTCTCTTTTAAAAAACAATTTTAATATTTTTAAAAATATCTTTATTGAGATGGGGTTTTACTATGTTGCCCAGGCTGGTCTTGAACTCCTGGGCTTAAGAAATCCTCCAGCCTCAGCCTCCCAAAATCCTGGGATTGCAGGTATGAGCCACCATGCCCGGCCTGAGAAGTCATTATTAACATGTAATAAAGGCACAGAAGAAATGCCCCATGTAGGCGGAAATGACTAGAAACCTGGATATTTGCCTTTTTCAAGCAAAAATTTCAGCAAAGACAAACACAAAAAATGAAAGTATGATAATTTTTCTATAGCAAAATCTTCTTTTCTCCCCCTTGGCATGTGAATAAGAGCTATGTGGCAAAATCTTGATAATTGTTGAATCTAAGTAGTGGATAAATAAGGATTCATTATACTATTCTCTTTACTTTTGTATATATTTACATTTTTCAATAATAAGAAGAGTTTCGAGTTTACATCTGTGTCCACCCCCCATGGTTATGACATTAGGGTCAAAAGCACCTTCGGAGCCCTCACCCTCACTCCGCATGGGTGGTAAAGGCTGGACTGGAAGGACGGGCCTTACCGGGCACAGCATCTGCTTCCTGGCCCGGGAAGAGCCAGCAACATCTTGAGGAAATAAATGCATACAAAGATCAACAGCTTGAAGGGGTGGATTTCAGGGCCCGTGTGCTTCACAGTGAGTCATCACTTCCACAGTCACAATTTCTCACTTAGAAGGAATCCAAAAAAGCACCCCTAACCATTGGATTCCAAACTTCATTGGGTTCTTCTGGGGTTTATTAAACCCACAGATTCCGGGGCTCCCAACTAGACCCATAGAATAGACTGAGCAGTGGCGGGGCCCCGGAATCTGTGTTAATTTATTTCTCTGGTGATTCTGGGACAGCCCTGAACTGGGGGCCTGGGAGCCTCTGAAGTGGATCAACGTCCCAATCCCACAAAGGAGAACGTGGCCCAGAAGGGCTTTGTAACCGGCCGAAGGTGACATCCCTGCGGCTTCCTCCCTCACTTTTCACAGCCATGCCCTCCCTGAGAGACCCCTCAGAAAGAGTGGGCCCCTGGAAACGCGCCAGCACAGGAAAGAAGACAGCCAAACACTCTCCATGAATGCACGCCCCGTCCTTGGCCTGGGGGACTCGCAGCACCCCTGAGCACCCGTGCCTGGCAGATGCAGCCACGCTCCTTGCCTTCAGGTCCCTCACACGGTGTCAGGCCTAAAGCAGCCCAGCTTCTGCCTCTGATCCGGCCTCTGTGATATTGACCCCTGTCTCCTGCTAAGCAGCTCTTAGATGGGAGATGTTCTAATGGGAAAGAAGACAGGGAGGAGCCAGAGGATATCTGTTACAGCCATTACTTTCCACTCAGGATCCTATTTTGCATCTTCACTCGAGGCCTATAAATTGAACCTTGAGGGCGGGTCCCAGAAATCCGCAGCTAGAAGTTCATAAAACCAGGTCGGGTTGCCTTGGGCCAATTAAAGTGAAACACTGCCACCAAGTGGCCATTCTAGGTCATCACAGGCTGCCAGCTCCTTCCAGAGCACCTGCCTCTCTGCCAGAGACAAACAGCATGACAGAGCAGGTGGGCATGCCCTTCCCTTCTTTTTCTTAAAATTATTTTACTTATATTAATAGAAATACATTCACATGGTATAAAACGCATAAGGTCCAAAGTGGTCCTGGTGGTTGCCTCCAGAGCTAATGTAGATCCAGCTGAATGCCTCGTTAGGGGTCTCCATTAGGTCTTTAACCCTGTTATGCCTGCCATCTCACCAGTATCGTCTGTTGCTCCTTGTCCATAGGGGTTCTGTTCCCAAGTGCCCAGTGCTAACCTGCCTCTTGGAGTTTACTACAAATCTGGGTTGATTCAGCAACACCAAAGACCTGAGGCTAAATAAATTCTGCAACTCCTACCAGCCTTCCTGGTTCTGAACAACCCTGAGTATCCACCCATGGGTAGAGTGATAATCAAATGAGCCTCAGTTATCCTGAGAGCCCAGGTAAGCAAAACTGTTACAATCCTGAAATGGGTGGTCAAGGGAGCTAATAGAATCTCCTTTCAAGATCTTTGCAATTGGATTAAGTTACAAAAGTATGCCATGTATAACAGTGAATCTCTAATGCCACAAAAGACAAAGCAAAATTAATTAATATGGGAGCCTGAGGACTGCCTTGCATTTGAAACTCACTTTCCAATGTACGTTGTTTGTGTTTTGCTATGACTATTTAATTCATTCATATAAGGTGTGTATATTTTACACCTATTTAGGTGAGCCACATGTGCCACACTTGCTACTGCTTTTAACATAATGGTAACTTGGAGATTATTAGACAAAATATTTCCATTAGCTGCTGTTTTGTCAACTGATGGTTTACATAATTAATTGGACCTATAGCAAGTTTTAACTTTTGTCCTTGTTACATAATGGATCATTTTGAAATCAACTAGGAAATTGTCCTTTAGTTTTTAATGATGGGCAAATGAAAGTAATGGCACTCAGCAGTATTTGATTTTAAGGAATCAGTCAAACAATCGTGGTTTAGAATAATTGAAAATGGAAAAGCCAGCATGTGTACAGGGAGGATCGTAGAATGTTAGAGCTGATGTCTAAGAGATGAAACCCTAGCACAACTCCTTTATTTTATAAGATGGGAACCTGAGGCACAGGAAGCTGAAGAGGCTCACCTATGGCCCTTCACTCATGTCTCAAGTCTGCCACATGCTCCCTCCTAGGGGTACTGGCCAAGAGTTCCAGGTCTCTAAGTAACTCAGCAGCTACCTGGCTGTGAAACTCCAAGACATCATCCTACTGTCTCCAAGCCTCAATTTCCTCACCAGCAAAATGAGGAGACTGGACGATACAACATCTGTGATGCACCAATTTCCAAAAGAAACCCTTCCATACTCATAACATTCAACATTAAATATGCATGAATCAATCGATGCACACAGATTTGCAACACTATCTGTTAAACAGAAACTAGCCACAGTCTGTCAACACTGGTTTTCAGCGAGACCCTGTCATCCACCATGGTCTGCACTTTCATCAGTCCAATCGGGCTGCAGCTGTAATGCAATTTCCTCCACAGCTGGGCTTGACCCCAGGCCAACTTCCTACCTGCAAGTCCAGGTTGGTGGTAAGAAGCAAAATTCTCTGCAGCTGACTGAGGCTTCTTTCCCAAGTATTTGCTTCTGGAGATCTGTGCAAACACATTCACAGCTAATACGGTCCACTGGAAAGAATAACCTATCCTGGGAACCACAGGTGCCTCCATCAGAGTGGACAGGAGAGCCAGGCAGAACCTAGGTTCACAAAAAAACTCCAAGCGGTATCACTCAGCAGTCGTAGCTCCACTGGTCAAGATCAACCTACCCTACAATTCCACTCAGCTTCACTCCACCTCTCCTCACCTTCCTCCCAGCTTCCACTGCGAAAGAAAAAGTTTGGGCCAGGTGTGGTGGCTCACGCCTGTAATCCTGGCACTTTGGGAGGCCGAGGCAGGTGGATCACCTGAGGTCAGGAGTTCAAGACCAGCCTGACCAACATGGTGAAATCCCATTTCTACAAAAATACCAAAAAATTAGCCAGGCATGATGGCGGGTGCCTGTAATCCCAGCTACTTGGGAGGCTGAGGCAGGAGAATCACTTGAACATGGGAGGCAGAGGTTGCAGTGAGCCAAGATCGCACCATTGCACTCCAGCCTGGGCAACAGAGCAAGACTTCGTCTGAAAAAAAAAAAAATAAGGAAGGAAGGAAAGGAAAGAAAGAGAGAGAGAGAGAGAAAGAGAAAAGAAGAAAGAAAGAAGAAAGAAAAAGAAAGAAAGAAAGAAAGAAAGAAAGAAAGAAAGAAAGAAAGAAAGAAAGAAAGAAAGAAAGGAGAGAGAAAGAAAGGGCACCTCAGCTCACACCTGTAATCCCAGCACTTTGGGAGGCCGAGGTGAGTGCATCACTTGAGGTCAGGAGTTCGAGACCAGCCTGGCCAACACGGTGAAACCCCATCTCTACTAAAAGTACAAAAATTAGCCAGGAATGGTGGCAGGTACCTGTAGTCCCAGCTACTCATGAGACTGAGGCAGGAGAATCACTTGAACCTGGGAGGCGGAGGTTGCAGTGAACCAAGATCGTGCCACTGCACTCTAGCCTGGGTGACAGAGCGAGACTCCATCTCAAAAAAAAGTTTAATATATAATATCCTAGATAAGTGTCTTTAACACTTGTCTAGGATGTTATATAGGGACCACTGCAATGAGGTCTTGCAGTGGAGAAAAGAGACTGAGCTTGAACCTGACTCTAACAAGGACAAGTGGGGATTTATAGCCAAAAAGCAAATGGATGAAAAGTTACTAAGGAAAAATCGCCGAGGAAAGGGGATTTCTGGCTAAATTGTCTTGATAGGATTATTGCTGAAGACAGTCCAGGGTGATAAGATATAGAGGGTAAGGGATAAGGACAGATACCAAGGGTAGGGGGTTGTTGCTTAATTCACTTGGCAGGTTCTTGCTCAAACTGGATTCTACAAAGACAAAAAGGGAAGCTTGAGGTCCGCCTAGTCAGAAAGGACTCAAAAGGCTAAACAAAGTTTTGGTCAAAGGAGAGTCTTTGTCCCTTCTCTCCAGGTTCTACCACCCACACCTTTCTCCCAGGTTTGAGCCACTCACCCCACCTCCTGGGATTTTTGCTTAAATTGCCTATGGATAGTTGATATCCTTAAGTGCCAGCTTTTATTAATCAAGAGTCTGCATGACATGGGTTAGGAAAGCAACTGAAAAAGATGAAACAGAATGCTTCAGAAGGAGCCCACTTTCTGTCACCAGAGCCAAGCCTTCCCTGGGGAACTGGGACTTGGAAGTGCTGAGTCCTCTCCCCAAGGTCTGAATGGGCCCAGCACATCTGCGACCCCACCCAAAGCAGGGAGCAGGTCCCAGCTGCCTGTAGACTTTCGCCATAATGGAAGGTTAGGAGGTGGGAAAAGGGAAGAAAAGTGTCCCACAGAGTATGAGCACACAGCATGGGGGAGCGGAAGTCCGCCCCAGCCCCACTGAGTCCAAGCCCTGTGCCCTGCCAGGAGAGGGAGCCCTTCCCGGAAGGAAGCAACTTCTCTTCTGCTCCAAAGAGAGCTCGACTCCAAAGCCGCATGACCCAGGGCTGCAGTCGCCCTTTTGAAATGTGTCTATCCAAAGGGACGCTTTCTCCCAAATGCACACGTGAAAGCCAGCAGGGCGCTGGCTCCCTGGTGCCCCGACCGCCCCCCTGCAGCCTCCCCGTGGGCGCCGTGCTCCCAGCGCCTGTGCCCCTTGCAGACCTTGCGGAGGTGAGGTCGCTCCTGCCCTTCTCGCAGGCACAGGACCAGGCGCAGGGAGGTGCCAAGCAGTGACCACACAGCCCCGACCCTGGGAGGTGTCCCACAGCACACAGAGCCCCCACCCCTACCCCGATTGACAACCAGGGCATCGCCCTGGGGTGAGCCCAGGGCTCTGAGAGGTGAGCCCCTTCCCAGAGCTTAAAGACCCGGAAATGGCCAGGCGCAGTGGCTCACGCCTGTAATCCCAGTACTTTGGGAGGCCAAGGTGGGCAGATCACGCGGTCAGGAGTTCGAGACCAGCCTGTCCAACATGGTGAAACCCTGTCTCTACTAAAAATACAAGAATTAGCTGGGCATGGTGGCGCATGCCTGTAATCCCAGCTACTCAGGCGGCTGAGGTGGGAGAATCGCTTGAACCCGGGAGGCGGAGCTTGCAGTGAGCTGAGATTGCCCCATTGCACTCCAGCCTGGGCAACAGAGCGAGACTCCGTCTCGAAAAAAAAAATAATAATAAATAAAATAAAATAAAAAATAAAGACCAGGAACTGAGACGTCGCCAGGCTGCAAAGGCAGTTGGTGGCCTCAGTGGGACCTGGACTCAAGTACTCCACCTACACACCTGCCTTTCCTGGTGCAGTGTGATGCTCCAATAAGGGCTGTGAAATCCGCTTTGCAGGTAACAGGAGGTAGGCTGAAAACGGGAGTGAGTCACAGGTTTCCGCCTCCCTCCCCGTCCCCAACCCATCGCAGGTTATGTTGGTCCTACCTCCCCGCTAGTCCACCTCTTCCTGTTCTTTTGCTACCTCCACCACCACCACGGTCCAAGCTACCAACAACTCTTGCTTGGAAGGATGTAGCGTCCTCTTCAGATGCAAACATATATATAAACAAATACACGTGCTCTTTACCTCTCAGAGTCATTGCGAAGTTACATGAAATAGGTATGTGTGAAAATACCTAGCCCAATATCTAGCACATTGTAGATGCTCAACAGACGTCCTTTTACTGTAAAAGAAAGATAATGCCAAGGATTAATTAAGTTGTGATATTAATAAAGGCAATACAAATAAAAGAAAAGGCTGGGGGAAGTGGCTCATGCCTGTAAACCCAGCACTTGGGGAGGCCGAGGCAGGAGGATTGCTTGAGGCCAAGAATTCGAGACTAGCCTGGGCGTCACAGTGAGACTCCCATATCTACAAATAAATAAATTACATAAATAAAAAGGAAAGAGGCCAGGCGTGGTGGCTCACCCCTGTAATCCCAGCACTTTGGGAGGCCGAGGTGGGTGGATCACCTGAGGTCAGGAGTTCGAGACCAGCCTGGACAACATGGTGAAATCCTATCTCTACTAAAAATACAAAAATTAGCTAGGCATGGTAGTGGATGCCTGTAATCCCAGCTATTCAGGAGGCTGAGGCACAAGAATCGCTTGAACCTGGGAAGCGTAGGTTGCAGTGAGCCAAGATCGTGCCACTGCACTCCAGCCTGGGTGAAAGAGCAAAACTCCATCTCAAATAATTAAAAAAAAAAAAAATATTCTCCATTTGGAAAGGTGCTCATCATTTGAAGTCCCCTAATTAAGAATCCACACTCCAGGGCTGTTTGCTCAGCAATAATCAGAAGAATGGTCATCATAAATCCGTATTTCTCTTAAAGAATTCCTGTGCACCAGGCTTGAGGAAGTTAGAGTGGTGATCTCCCCTTGTTCTGTGGTGTGCTGGAGCACTCCCGAGAAGCCCCCCCTATCCTCATAGGGCTCCCCCAAAGGCTGTCACTAACAATTCAGGAGAAAATTGCCAGTAGTAGTTTTTAGCCCTGTAAGGTTAGAAGTTAACCTGCAGAAACTGACACATTGTTTTGACTTTGTGACATGGTGGAAAAGCAAACCTCAAAGCCATGGTGGCTTCCCTGCACCTTAGCAAGTTAAAGTCGTACATCTAACCTGACAATCGGATGGAACACCTATTTCCCACGGACTACACAAATCCCTCTCCTTCCAATGCTCTCTGAATCAGTGCTTTTGTTTCCCTGCTGGTTCCCTCATTAAAGAATTAAATCAAACCTTGATGCCTGGTTACTATCTGTCTGTGGGAGAACTATGTTTCCAACACTCCAGAGGGAGCCCTGTCAAGAACTTCGAATGCTAGTAGCTAAATGTGCACCAGGAGGTTTGTGATTTTGAAACCACCTTTGCAAATTTATGACTGAGACAGTAAAAGAGATCTAACTTAATCAATTCCACCTTGCTTCTAACCTCCAAGCTGTCCTTGTTCGTTCCTGGGGGTAGGCTGAACTAACTTTGGGAGAAACTTAGTTTACAGTTTATAGTTTAAAACAAAGACGATAACAGTCCTTTCCCAAAGCAGACCTCCTTCTTGCCCAGGGACTAGATTGTCTTTGTAGGACTAAGATTAGATACAAGATTAGAAATTATGGTTTATGACCAGGCGCAATGGCTCATGACTGTAATCCCAGCACTTTGGGAGACCAAGGCAGGTGGATGACCTGAGGTCAGGAGTTCTAGACGAGCCTAGCCAACATGGTGAAACCCTGTCTCTACTAAAAATACAAAAAAAAAGATTTCCAGGCGTGGTCCCATGGACCTGTAATCCCAGTTACTGGGAAGGCTGAGGCAGGAGAATCGCTTGAACCCGGGAGGCAGAGGTTGCAGTGAGCCAAGATAACACCACTGCCCTCCAGCCTGCACAACAAGTGTGAAAACTCCTAAAAAAAAAAAAAAAAGAAAGAAAGAAAAGAACTTATGGTTTAGGAGTCACACACCTGGAGGCAACAAGATTCTGACCCTCCCTAAACTGCTCATAAGATCAGTGCTTGAGATATTTTGCAGACTCTGCACTTAATGGATCAGCTGGCACCACCCAGATGGATAAACTGGCTCATCTGATCTTGTGGCCCCCACCCAGGAACTGACTCAATGCCAGAAGACAGCTCTGACTCCCTGCGATTTCATCCCTGACTAATCAGCACTCCCGGCTCACTGGCTTCCCCCCACCCACCAAGTTGTTCTTAAAAACTCTGCTCCCCGAATCAGTCTGGGAGACTGATTTGTGTAATAATAAAACTCTGGTCTCCCACACAGCCAGCGCCGCGTGAATTACTCCTTCTCTATTGCAATTCCCCTGTCTTGATGAATCGGCTCCATCTAGGCAGCAGGCAAGGTCAATGCCTTGCGGGGTTATCCTTTCATATAGATGTTTGAAATTATGTGTCCATGGATGAAAAAGCGCTGCCCAAGAAATGTGATTGGCAGTGTTTTTCAACCATTTTTAGTATTATTGCACCCTTGAAAGAGCGCTTTTAGACTTCTTCCCCAACCACCCTCCTTCCCCTGAAATTTTAATACAACAGATGTACTATCATAACCACTTATCTCCTGTGGCCCCTTGAAGGGCCACAACCCATTGTCATAGCTAATATTTTTTCACACCTCATTCAAGATCTATGTGTTCTCCAAGGCCCAAGGGGGGATTTTAAGTTCTACCCTACTACCCATTTCACTTTAGGGAAGTTACTTTTTTTCTCATAAGGCTGTTGTGGGATGCAAAAACTGGGAGAAAGATGTTTAGGTGTTTAGGTGTGAAGGTCACGCTTTCTCATACAGTACAGTTGTCCCTCAATATCTGTGGAGGATCGGTTCCAGGATCCCCTCAAAACCAAAATCCAAGAATGCTCAGTTCCCTGATATAAAATGGCCTAGTATTTGCATATAACCTAAGAACATCCTCCTATATACTTTCAATCATCTCTAGATTATTTATACCTGATATCATGTAAATGCTATATAAATAGTTGTTATACTGTATTGTTTATTTGTATTATCTTTATTGTTGTATTAGTATTTTTGTTTTGTTTTTAAAGTATTTTCTGTCTGAGGTTGGTTAGACCCATGGATGTGGAACGCACTGATGCTAAGGGCTGACAGTAATTAGACTGTAACTCCACCAATGCACCACTCTCACTCCCACTCATCCTGACTTAGACTTTTTCTCTTTTTTTTCTTTTGGCATTTCAGGTCAGAATACCTTGACAATCTTTTCTTAATAATGCATTTTGCTAACTATAAATTGTTCATTTCAATGTAATGCTATGCTCCTTACTGCCATCTAAAAGACCACCAGGATGACTAAATAGTAAAAAGGAGAGGTTTATTGGCAATGCCAGTTTGAAAACTAGGAAGGGGATGTCTCCAGCATGGACAAAGTTGCTCTCTCTTCAAAGAAGGGAAGGACATCTTGCGTTTTATGCCTCACAGGGTCCATGTCACACAACAGAGTCATACGTATTCAGCAGGTTTGCTGGGGGTGAGGTGGGGGACGCTGTACATATTTATGAGGGAGGCTGAGCACAAGCACGATGGGGAAACATATGTAACGTACATCCCATGTTCACTTTGGGCCAGGGCTTTAGCTTTAAAATGAGGTGGGGTTTGACTCTTTATATCAAAAGAACTATAGGACACAAAGACTATTTGTGCATGGCCTCTAGACACTGGCTGAAACTGGCTTAAGGTCTGCAGTAGCTTATCAGAAAATATTTGTAAGGCCTGTTCTTCGTCCAATCAGAACTGTAGTGGTCTCAATTGTAAATCAGAGTTAGGAGGGATCTGAAAGCTCCTGTTGTTAGGGAGTTTAGAGCTGTAGGAATTTAGAAATTTGCCATGCCAGCCAGGCCCCGTGCCCTTGAGCAATAGGTAACTTTGTTTCCATAAACTTAGGGTCCATCTTAGTTGATAAAGGGGCATCTATCCTCTCCAAGTGCCAGCTTCTATACACGTGCTCCCTTGGACTCTCTCTGTAAGTGACAACTTCTCTATGGGAGATAATTCCAGTTCCATAACAAAACATACTGTACAGGCTGGGCGCAAGGGCTCACACCTGTAATCCCAGCACTCTGGGGGGCCAAGGCTGGAGAATTGCTTGAGGTCAGGAGTTCTAGACCAGCCTGGGCAACATAGCAATACTCTGTCTCTACAAAAATTTTAAAAATTAGCTGGGCATGGTGGTGCACACCTGTAGTTCCAGCAACTCCTAGGCTAAGGCAAGAGGATCACTTGGGCTCCGGAGGTTGAGGTTACAGTGAGCTATAATCTCACCACTACACTCCAGCCTGAGCACAGAGTGCGAACTTGTCTCTAAAAGTAAATAAAATAAAATAGTGCTCTGTAGAAAACAAGAAGACCTCCTACTAAGATAACACTTCTACCAAATAATTCTACTAAAATAATAGTGGCCTTGTAGTGATTAAGTCAACCTCTTGAAAGATTTAGAAGGAGCAAGATTATATGAAAACAAAACAAAACAAAAAAAAAACAGCTTGAAAGATAATCCTCAGCTGGGCATTAATCTCAGCATTTGGGAGTTTGCAGCGGGCTGATTGCTCAAGCTCAGGAGTTCAAGACTAGCTGGGCAACGTGGCAAAACCACATCTCTACTAAAAATACAAAAAAATTAGCCGGACGTGGTGATGCATGCCAGTACTCCCAGCTACTCAGGAGGCTGAAGCGGGAAGATTGTTTGAACCTCAGATGTGGAGGCCTCAGTAAGCTGAGATCACACCACTGCACTCCAGCCTGTGCAACAGAGTGAGACCTTGTCTGAAAACATAATAATAATAATAACCCTCATAAAGCTTAGGCCAGTCACAGTGGCTCATGCCTGTAATCCCAGCACTTTGGAGGCTGAGGTGGGCAGATCACTTGAGGTCAGGAGTTCAAGACCAGCCTGGACAACATGCAAAACCCTGTCTCTATTAAAAATACAAAAATTAGCCAGGCGTGGTGGCGCATGCCTGTAATCCCAGCTTCTTTGGAGGCTGCGGCAGAAGAATTGCTTGAACCCAGGAGGCAGAGGTTGCAGTGAGCTGAGATCGTACCACTACACTCCAGCCTGGATGACAGAGTGAGACTCCATCTCAAAAAAAAAAAAAAAAAAAAAAAAAAAGACTTAGTCAAAATTACTTACAAGTTATGTGATTTTGTCCTGGAAATGTGAAATGTTTTCTCATTCCAGATTTACAGAGCCTTAAATTTATAGATGTACCCTTATTAGGGACAAGACTTAAAGGTGTGTCAAAGGACAACATTACAACCAATTTACTTTTAAAGATCTCAACTGGCTTGTGTTTTATTTATTTATTTATTCTCCTGCCTCAGCTCCCCCAGTAGCTGGGGCTACCGGTGTACGCCACCAAGGCTGGCTAATGGCTTTATTGTGATCCTAGAATCAGGCAACATTTCATTCCATAAAATAGAGTAAGTGTTCAGATGACCTGAGTGGAAGAGATTTGCTTTAAAGACAGAGAAGGGCTGAAAAAAGCAGAAGCAAAAAACAGAGAGTGTATTTGTTGTTTCAAAGCTACTTTTCTTATAAGGCAGGAGAGAGAAACAGAACAATAGAAAAAGAACTAATTAGCTTACATCAGGTCACTCTAAACAACCTTTTCCATGTAAGGGTTAGGCAGAGGGAGCTTCATTGTTACGCAACTGAAGTTTTAAACTGGCCCATTTGGGAAATTGTTATCTGTACTGATTTTATGAAAGCTCAGATAAATTAATTTAGGTTGGGTGATGTGCAACTTTAGCATGAATTACTCTGTTTTTATTTTTAGTTGTTGTTGTTGTTTTTTTTTTTTTGAAGAGATGGGGTCTTGCTATGTTGCCCAGACTGGTCTTAAACTCCTGTGCTCCAGCAATCGTCCCACCTAACCCTCCCAAAG
Organism: Homo sapiens; assembly: GCF_000001405.40. NCBI lineage: Eukaryota > Metazoa > Chordata > Mammalia > Primates > Hominidae > Homo > Homo sapiens. The sequence continues at coordinate 84,386,710 of NC_000009.12, read as the reverse complement.
TGCTGGGATTACAGGCATGAGCCACCACACCTCTTCCATTTTTATTTTTAATTTGGTCAGCTGGGGCCTAGTGTAGGAACTTAGCCCAAAACAATGGCCTCCTCTGATTTTTATCTAACAGATAGATACCATTGTATGTGAGGGGAAAACCTCACCTTCGACCTCTGGTAGTTCACTAAAAAAATCAACTGACAGCAGATTAGTAAGAGAAAAAGGCATACAAATGTATAAGTGTGCACAGGAATATTACAAAATTTAAAAACTCAGAGAAATAATCAGGTGGTTGATGCTTTTATTTATTTTTTTATTTTATTATTATTATTTTTTGAGACCAAGTCTCCCTTTGTTGCCCAGGCTGGAATGCAATGGTGCGATCTCAGCTCAACACAGCCTCTATTTCCCGGGTTCAAGTGATTCTCCTGCCTCAGCCTCCTGAGTAGCTGGGATTACAGGCACTCGCCACCACACCCAGCTAATTTTTGTATCTTTAGTAGAGACAGGGTTTCACCATGTTGGCCAGGCTGGTCTCGAACTCCTGACCTCAGGTGATCTGCCTGCCTTGGCCTCTCAAAGTGCTGGGATTACAGGTGTGAGCCACTGTGCCCGGCCACTTTTATACCATCTTGAGCTTACAGAAATAATGGGGGCTTGGCGCTTGGCTGAAGAGATCGTGGTGCCAAAACAGATTATGAGAGGGGGAAAAGAAGAGGCCTGGCTACCAAAGGAGGTCTTGTTATACAGATGAAACCTCACAGGTAGCAGCCCTCAGAGATAATAGGTGGTAAATATTCCATTCAGACATTTAAAGGTGTTAAACTCTCAGTTGATCTCGCCTAGATCTGGACAAGGGGAAAAGGCCTAGATCTGGCCTCAGAGAAAACCTGGCTGCCTCCATGCAGATTTTCTCTGCAGAGGCAAATGAGCCCATGGTGGTGTCTGCAGTAGGAAGAAAAGGATGTGGGAAAGGCTCTTCTTATCCTTCCTTATCCCCCTGGTTATCAAAGAGATGTTCTTTCCCTTACTAGAGATTAAACCTGAAAAGCTGGTTTTTTAAAAAAAAAAAAAAAAAGCTAGGCAAAATTTCAAACATTCTGTGAATCAATGAATTATTCAAACAAAAAGTCATGAGAATGTGACCAGTCCAGTTATCTGAAAGGTTTAAATGATCTGAAAGCACTTGGGGAAAGTATGTTTTCTTGAAGTTATAAATTAAACCAAGGAATAAAAGAAAAAGAAGTCAATCCAGTCCTGACTTTCTCAGACCAGACATGTTTGGTTTTCTTCTCATTTCTTCAGTCCTGTACACTCAGGTGTCTCCCAAAAGGCTTTCTAATCCATTTGCGTCTTCTACAGTGTTCATTCTAAAACAGATCACTTTAGGCGGGGCATGGTGGCTCACACCTGTGATCCTAGAGCTTTGGGAGGCCGAGGCGGGCAGATCACTTGAGGTCAGGAGTTCGAGACCAGCCTAGCCAACATGACAAAACCCTGTCTCTACTAAAAATACAAAAAAAAATTAGCCAGGCCTGGTGGCACCCACCTGTAGTCCCAGCTACTCAAGAGGCTGAGGCCTGAGGCAGGAGAATTGCTTGAACCTGGGAGGTGGAGGTTGCAGTCAGCCAAGATCATGCCACTGCCCTCCAGCCTGGACGTCAGAGCAAGACTCCATCTCTAAAAAATAAAAATAAATAAATCAGATCACTTTAATATGGGGGATCTTCTTGAGTGGCTACTGAGCCCAACAGTAATCTACATGCATTTCCAGGACAAAGTGGAAATTGAAATCGGATTTTCTGCAATCAGGATAATGTCCCTTCTAAGGACAAGCAAAGGGAAATATATAATGAGTGAAAAAGTACAGCTACTATCTGGGATCAATGATTATCTAATGTCCCTGGTGCCAAAGTTGAGAAAGTCTGGTTTCTCCTAAAAGTGCAGTTCACATGGATAGCTTGATTTTCCAAGGCTTTGACATCCAGGAACAAAGGAGTAAATGTGGGACCTGCTTTCAAACATAGTACAGGTCAGATGTATGGATTCCTGGCAACTCTAAAAGTATGTGATTTGTAGCATTTTTGGCTACTGGAACCTACCACAAAGCTTAATCCTGCCCTAAACCAGGGTTCCAATGTCCTGATTTTTTCCTAAAGTAAGATTTCAATTAAGTTTTTTGTTGTTGCTGTTTTGTTTTTGTTTTGAGACAGAGTATCACTGTATTATTGCCCAGATTAGAGTGCAGTGCCGCAATCTCAGCTCACTGCATTCTCTGCCTGCTGGGTTCAAGCGATTCTCCTGCCACAGCCTCCTGAGTAGCTGGGATTACAGGCATGTGCCACCATGCCCGGATAATTTTTGTATTTTCAGTAGAGACGGGGTTTCGCCATGATGGCCAGGCTGGTCTCGAACTCTTGGCCTCAAGTGATCCGTGCGCCTCAGCCTCCTAAAGTGCTGGGATTACAGGCGTGAGCCACCACGCCCGGTCCTAAGTTATTTTTAAATCTTAACTATAACCAACTATAAACTAACTGTAACTAAAAACTAGGAAAAATAATTGTGTATTTGGTTAAGTTACAGTCCTTCAACCTCAGTGGAAATAATCGAATGGGGTTACTTTCTCCTGATAAAGAATTAGCAGCTGTCGGGGTTGGGAATGTGGGTACCAAGAGGAGCTTTAGTCTGTGAGTGACAGATTCTCACTCCTTAAAGAGCCACTATTGCGTTTGTTACTTCTGGCACAATGTATCACCTAATGATGCTTTTAAAGTCCAAAATTTTCAGCTGATTGCCTTTTGTCTGCACCCTAATACTGCTACCTCTCGGAACCTAATCAAAATCAGGACGTGCTCGAAAATTATTTCCTGGACTGTTTTTGACCAATTTACAGTGAACACAGTCCCTTAACACTCTGCACCAAATGAAAATAATAAGGCATGATTTGCTCTCAGACTTCACTCACTGCTTTAATAATGTGCTTAAGCCCTTCAGAGGGACAGATATGACCCCAGAGTTGTATGAAATAGTCTTGCTTTCAGATGAGCTCTTCAGATCCAGTCTGAGTGAACCCCATGAAATTAGAAGAGAGAGCGTCCAGTGTGTCCCTCCACATTGTCGAATTCCATCGCCTTCCCTGGAGGGTGTTACAACAGACACCTGCTGGAAGGCACCACCACGATTCCACAATTCCCTCCCGTGTCAAGCAAGGGCCTGCAGATAGCAATCCCAGTATCACAACTTTGAATCATCAGTTAGATTTTTTTCATTTTGCATTGAACTTCTCATCAGTAGCAGCTGCAAAGGTTATTCCCTCCCATCTTACAGATAAGGAAGACTGAGCTAAAAATAGGTTAAGTGCCTTGTCCCAGCAGTCACGTGATTAGTGAATGTGGCCAGTAGAAAAGTCTCCTTTCTCCTGGCTGGCTAGGTACATACTCTCACAGACTTCCAAGAAAGAATTGTACTTCCTAAGAAACATTTTGGCAATATCTACCTGAAATGTTCTTGCTAAAATGCATTTCCTTACCCTGTCTTCAGCAGCATCCACCTAAATAACAAGTAGAGAAACACTCTCTAAAAGAAAAGATGTTTACTTGGAATAGAGCGTTGCAATGGAGATACACGTGTCATAGCAAATTGTGTGCATATTTAGGGAGGTAAGAAAAGACAAAGGTTTTTAAAGAAAAAACGTGAGAAGGATTACATAATCGTTTTGAAATAATTATCCTTGGCTATAAAGATCAATAACAAGGGTGGCACCAGTCCCAGGCTGGACAAGCAGTTGCTGGGCAGATGTCCTCGCAGAAGTATTTTTTGTGTAAAGTTGAGATGGCCTTTGTGCAATGCTGTGGTTTTGCAAAGTCTTTTGTGATCATTTTTGCCATCAGGTATACAAGCATGAGAACTCTCTTTTCATGGCCTTCCCTGGCTGGCTGTCAGGGTTTTTGTTTTTTGTTTTGTTTTGTTTTTTTAACAACTTCCACGGTAATAAAGTAGGCAAAGAAGAATTGCCTTTACAAGTTACTGAATTTCTAATCCTAAAATTTGCTAAGCCTTACACATAACCATAAGGGTAAAGATATAATACCCATTTTGGAGGGGAGGGGGGAGGGATAGCATTGGGAGATATACCTAATGCTAGATGACGAGTTAGTGGGTGCAGCGCACCAGCATGGCACATGTATACATATGTAACTAACCTGCACAATGTGCACATGTACCCTAAAACTTAAAGTATAAAAAAAAAAGATATAATACCCATTTTGTAAATGAGAAAACTGAGGTCTGGAGAAGGGACCTGGACATGTCATTTAGCTGTGGATTCAGACTCAGAGCTGCCTGAGTCCAGAGCCCAGGCAATCTGTACACTCTACTACCTCCTTCTATTATTTTTGTAATTGAGACATAACATCCGCATAACGTACACATGTTTACATGTCACTATCACCCAAATCCAGGGACAGAACATTTCCATAGCCCTAGAACCCCCCTGTGGGCTTCCTTCCAGGACAGCCACCCTCCTGCCTCCGGATACCATTGTGTTCTTTCTCGTCCTTCAGCAGACTGCAAGGTGCTCGAGCAGGCACCAGTTAAAATGGGCTTTAAAACCACATGCTCAGCTGGGCACGGTGGCTCACGCCTATAATCCCAGAACTTTGGGAGGCCAAGGCAGGTGGATTGCTTGAGGCCAAGAGTTCAAGACCAGCCCAGCCAACATGGTGAAACCCCGTCTCTACTAAAAATACAAAAATTAGCCAGGCATGTTGGCATGAGCCTGTAGTCCCAGCTACTCGGGAAGCTGAGGCACAAGAATCTCTTGAGCCCAGGATACAGAGGTTGCAGTGAGCCAAGATTGTGCCACTGCACTCCAGCCTAGGCTCGGAGTGAGAATGTCTCACCAAAAAAAAAAAAAAACACACACACTCAAGGAACCTCTGCAGGGAAGCCTCAGCCTGGCCTCTTGGCAACAGCTAAGGTTGTGCCTGGCTGTTGTCAAGATAACACACACTTATTTATCAATGCCAGGTACTGCGTTAGGTGCTAGGCAAGCAGTGATGACAAAGTCAAGTTGGTCCCTGTTCTAAAGTCACTGAGAGTTCAAAGATGAGCTGATATTAAACAACCACACCAAAGTGTATGTGCACAACAGCGGTAAGCAGTGTGGCAGAGCACAGGCTAGTCTGAAAGAAATTTGGGGAGGTCAGGAATGGCCTTGCTAAAGCTGGAAAGTCCCATGGTTGGCATTGACCAGGAGCAGGATTGGGGTCCCTTGGCCAGAAGAAGTGGAATGTGCAAAGGCCCTGAGGGGAGGAGGCATGCACCAAATCACATAGGCCCTAAAAGGAGCTCATGAGGGCCTGAGCATCCCTAAAAGCAAGGAAAAGTCATAGAATTTCCTTCACAAGAGGATGGGATTGGTGACACATCCCTGGGAAGTCACAGAAATGTCAAGGGGGGGACTGGAAGACCTGAAACAGCAAGTAGGAACAAGGTCAGCAAAATGTCACTGAGCAAAATGTCACCTGTGCCCTGGTGTGAGGTGGCCTGAGTAGACACAAGTTACATATGTGACCCACAATCTCAGGTCTTATTTATAGAAAGAGACTGTTCTATAAACAAAGATCAAAGAAAGAGTTTACTCTCCAGGATTGTTTATTGGGAAGAATTTCTTATAACCACATCCAGGAAAGTGTCATCCATCTTGATGCTGGCATTTGCCACCATATTGTTTTTCCTATAAAACTAGTGCTGGTAGGCCGGGCATGGTGGTTCACGCCTGTAATCCCAGCACTTTGGAAGGCTGAGGCAGGCAGATCACCTAGGTCAGGAGTTCGAGACCAGCCTGGCCAACATGGCGAAACCCCATCTCTACTAAAAGTACAAAATTAGCTGGGCATGTTGGTGGCGAAACCCCATCTCTACTAAAAGTACAAAATTAGCTGGGCATGTTGGTGCATGCCTGCAGTCCCAGCTACTCGGGAGGCTGAGGCAGGAGAATCGCCTGAACTTGGGAGGCAGAGGTTGCAGTGAGCCAAGATCGCGCCACTGCACTCCAGCCTGGGTGACAAGAGAGAAACTCTGTCTCAAAAAAAAAAAAAAGAAAAAAAACTAGTGCTGGTAAATGTTTAACAATTGATTCTCCCAAAATAAGTCCCTATGTGTATGCACACATAAACATATGTATATACCTAAGATTATTATAAACTCACTAATATGAAAGATATATAGCACACAATTTACATAAAATAATAAAATATACATACTCTTTATTTTTTAATTTTCTTCTTAAAATATGCATACTCTTTTTTGTTTGTTTATTTGTTTGTTTGTTTGTTTGTTTTTGAGACAGAGTCTTGCTCCGGTCACCCAGGCTGGAGGGCAATGGCGCGATCCCAGCTCACTGCAATCTCTGTCTTCTGGGTTCAAGGGTTCAAGTGATTCTCCTGCCTCAGTCTCCTGAGTAGCTGGGATTACAGGCACCTGCCACCACACCGGGCTAATTTTTGTATTTTTAGTAGAGACAGGCTTTCACCATGTTGCCCAGGCTGGTCTCAAACTCCTGACCTCAGGTGATCCACCAGCCTTGGCATCCCAAAGTGCTGGGATTACAGGCATGAGCCACTGTGCCCAGGCATTAAAATATACATACTCTTTATTGCAATTGCTATGTAGTCAACTGATTCCCACAGAAGGCTTTCATTTATTTTTGCCAAACTCCTCTCCATAGGCAACCTGTGGTTGTAATATGACTCTGATTTGGCAAATGGCAGCTTAACAATCAATTCATGAGATTCCTAAAAATTTAGCAATCTGTTTGGAAGAATCTGGAAGCTACAACAAGCAGCCCTCCCAAGCCCTCAGTACTGGCTTCCAAATGTTCTTTTGGTGACAAAGGCAGCAAGAGTTGGAATGGGCTCAGGAATTCAGGAATGGTCAGAGGGAAGCTCCTGATCCATAGTTCCTGTCAGGTTTCCACATGAACAAGTCCTCAGAATCACCTGAAGTACATGTCAAAAAATACAGGAAAGAAAAAAGAAGAAGGAAGGAAAGAGAGAGAAGGAGGAAAAGAGAGAGAAAAAAAAAAGAGACAAAAAAAGAAAGAAAAAGAAAAGAAAGAGAGATGGAGAAAAAGAGAGAGAATGAAAAATAGAGAGAGGGAAAGAAAAGAAAGAATGAGAGAAAGGAGAAAAGAGAAGAGAAAGATGCTCGTAAGTTGCCACTCCACCCCAGCTGGTAAAAAGCTGAACAAACTGAAAAATCAACAACTCTTCTTAGACCCTTAAGAGAAATGAGGTCACAAGGCAAATGGCTACCCCTAAAATTAAAGAGACAGGTGAATACAGAGGATCACAGCTTACTAGAGCAGAAAAGAAATCTCCAGGTCCTGGCTCAGGATACCTAAACTGAAACTGACGAATTGCTGGAAGATCAATATGGACAAGTCTGAGAGATAAAAACTCCAGGGAGACCCAGTCTGGGGAAGTGGGGAACTTTTGTGAGTTTCACCTCCTGGAGCTCTACCAGGCTGTCTTAGTGAATATAGAAGAAAAATTCCCTCATGCTTCCACCAAAGCTAAGAAAAAAGAAAACATTTTGAAATACATCAGAGCATTCTCTTCTTAACAAGAATATCTTGCTAAACTATTTTACCGTGCCTAACCTGCTGGGGTTTTACCAGAGCCTAATCTACCTAGGGGAAGGGAAATACCCAGCCTAGCCACCCTGTCCCACTTAAAGGGGTGGGGTACTAGAGGGCACTGAGAAACACACATGAAGTTCAAAGTCCAGAGACACAGACTCATTAAAAGACTACAAGGGCCATATGCAGAAGGGCAAATGAGCACGAAAGACAGAGAGAAAAAATTGGGCCATACTCATCTTTTTTTCAGGAGCCCCATTCCCAAGATAACTAACCTACTTTCACAATAATGGCATTAATTTACTCATTACCTAATTACCTTTAAAAAGCCCCACCTCTTAATCTTATTACAATGTAGATTAAGTTTCCATACATAAAATTTGGGTAATACATTCAAACCATAGCACCCACATATTTGGTAACCTAGATGAAATGAACCAATTTCTTGAAAGACACAATCTGCCAACACTCGCACAAGAAGAAATAGACTATCTGAATAGGCCTATAACTATCAAAGAAATTTACTCAATAATTAATAACCTTCCAAAACAGAAAGTACCAGGCCCTAATGGTTCACTGGCGAATTCTACCAAACATTTAAGGAAGAAAGTTTACTGATTCTCTATAATGTCTTTCAGAATTAGAAGCAGAGGGAATGCTTTCTACCTCATTCTGTGAAGCCACATTTACCCTAATATCAAAACCAAAGACATGACAAAGAAAACTACAGAACAATATATGTCATGAATATAGATGCAAAAATCTTCAACAAAATATACCACAACGACACGGGATTTATCCCAGGTATGCAAAGCGGGTTCAACATGCAAAAATAAATTAATGTAATTAATCACATCAACAAGATAAAAGAGTAAAATCATATGATCATATCAATAGATGCAGAAAATCATTTGATAAAATCCAATATCTATTCATAATAAAAACGATTAGTAAACTAATAATAGAAGGGAACTTCCTCAACTTGATGAAGAATATCTATAAAAAACCCACTTAGTGGTGACAAACTTGAAGCTTTCCCACTAAAATTAAAAACAAGGCAAGGATTTCCCCTCTCACCACTGCTTTTCAGCATTGTATTGTAAGTCCTACCTAACGCAATAAGTCAAGAAAAGGAAATAAAAGGTATGCAGATTTGGTAAGGAAGAAATCCATCATTCTTTGTTCATAGATGATTGTCTATGTAGAAAATCTGAAAGGATCAACCAAAAAAAATCCTAGAACTAATAAGCAATCATAGCAAAGTTATAGGATACAAGGTTAATATACAAGAAGTTAATCACTTTTCTGTATACCAGTGATACAGTTTGGAAGTTTTTTCCCTTCCAAATCTCGTGTTCAGCCAGGTACAGTGGTTCATTCCTATAATCCCAGTTCTTTGGGAGGCTGAGGCAGGAGGATCACTTCAGCCCAGCAATTGAGCTCCTTCGTATTTATCCAGAAGAGCTGAAAATGTATATCTACACCAAAACCTGCACACAGATGTTTATAGTAGCTCTATCAATAATTGCCCAAACTTAGAAGCAACCAAGATGTCTTTCAGTAGGTGATGGATAAAATGTGGTACATTCAGACAATGAAATATTATTTAGCACTAAGAAGAAATGAGCTATCAAGCCATGAAAAGACATTAACCTCCTTAATGTGCATTTTGGCTTCTTAATTGCACATTACTAAGTGAAAGAAACCAATCTGAAAAGCCTACATGTTATTTGATTCCAATTATATGACATTCTGGACAAGGCAACACTGTGGAGATATTACAGTCCATAGATTGTAACAAGTGTACCACCCTGGTGGGGGATGTTGATAATGAGGGAGGCTGAGCATGTGTTGGGGCAGAAAGTATATGGGTAATCTCTACTTTCCACTCAAGTTTTCTGAGAACCTAAAACTGCCTTAAAAAATAAAGTCAGGCTGGGTACGGTGGGTCATGCTTATAATCTCAACATTTTGGGAGGCCAAGGTGGGTGTATGACTTGAGCTCAGGAGTTTGAAACCAGCCTGGGCAGCATAGTGAAACTTCATCTCTCCAAACAATACAAAAATTAGCCGGGCATGGTGTCACACTCCTGTAGTTCCAGCTACTCTGGAGGCTGAGGTGGGAGGACTGCTTGAGCCCAAGAGTTGGAGGTTGCAGTGAGTTAAGATGGCGCTACTGTACTCCAGCCTGGGTGACAGAGTGAGACTCTGACTCAAAAAATAAGTAAGTAAAGTCAAGAAATTAAAAAAAAAAGAAAGAAGGGAGGGAGGGAGAGAGAAAATTAACTCAGGTGCCTCCCCAGGATATTGAGATATCATTGCCCTGGGGGGCCTTCTCGCCCCCAACAAGGACCCTCTTGCACCCATGTTTGGGAACCACTGGCTTATGTGAACAGACCCCTGTCATTTATTATCTCTGTGACCCTATGATGTTGGGAAAATTCCTTCACTCTGGCCTCAGTTGTATTACCCACAAAACAAGGGTAATCGCTTCTTCATGGAATTCTAGGAGGGATTAAATGAGGATTCAAGGTATGTAAAGTACTCAACATTGTAATTCCTTTTCCTATCCCTAAGGAATAAGGTTTTGGTCTAAGGGCATTTAGGGACTCACCTAAGATTTTTAATGAAGAAAATGATGTGACTTGCTTTATCTAGAAAAATCATTGATTAGAAAAGTAATTTCATCAGCTATATGGAGATCGATGGAGGGAGGATAAGAGAGCCAGCTTGAGGCCCTGGGAAGAGTTCGTTGACAGCTTCTTGCAGTAGTCAAATGAGAGATAGTAAGACCTGAGGTAGTGGAATGGAAAAAGAAGGGACACATACATTTGAGAAAAACTTAAGAGGTAGATGGGACAAGTTTGGTGACTCAGAGTCAGCCTTGATTCTTGTCTCTCCTTCACAGCCCACATCTGCTCTGATAGCAGGTCTTATCTCCCCTACCACGACACAACCAGTTCTGCACTGCTCAGCCCCGGGCTCTCAGACTGTTATGATTAGCATCTAATGTTCTTCTTGCTTTCAACCCTAATCCATTCTCTACAGAGCAGCCAAAATGTTATTTAGAAATGTAAATAAAATCACATCCACTCCCCATCTCAAAATCCTCACATTGAATAAAATCAAATTCTTTAATCTGGCTTTCAGGACTTGGCTCTGATTTCCTCTCCCACCTCATTGCCAATGTTCCCCCACTTCTGTGCTCCAGCCTTTCTGTTTTTCACCAGCTAAGCTCAGGCCCACCCAAGAATGCCTGGAACTACCACTTTTCTATGCTGAGAATTCTTTCCCTGCCCTCCCATCAACCAAGCCCCTCCCTGGCCTCATCCCTTCCCCATGTCCCAAATATAGTGCTCCCCCCATAATTGCCAGCAACAGTGGTTCAACATCAGTGCAAAATAGTTGTCCATTATCTTAAGAAATTGAACACTCATGTCAATATCAGGCTTAATTGTATACCCCAAGAATTATTGCACATGTGCACAAAAAACATATTCAAGAATGTTCTTAGCATTGTTCATGATAAAAAGAACTGGAACAATTCAAATGTTCATCAGTGGAAGTTTGGATAAGTAAATGGTAGCATTGATACAATGGAATACTATACAGCAATAAAAATAAATAAACCGGCAGGGCACAGTGGCTCACACCTGTAATCCCAGCACTTTGGGAGGCCGAGGCGGGAGGATCGCCTGAGGTCAGGAATTCGAAACCAGCCTGGCCAACATGGTGAAACCCTATCTGTACTAAAAATACAAAAATTAGCTGGGCATGGTGACTGTAATCCCAGCTATTCTGGAGGCTGAGGCAGAAGAATTGCTTGAACCCAGGAGACGGAGGTTGCAGTGAGCCGAGATCGCACCACTGCACTCCAGCCTGAAGTGCAAAGCTCCATCTCAGAAAAAAATAAAAAAATAAAAATAAGTGAACCATAGCTACAAGCTTCAACATGGATGAACTGAATCTCAGGAAATAATGTTGAGGAAAAAAGTGAATTAACAAGTTTCAGAATACACATAGTATGATACTATTTTTTATAAAGTTCAAAAATAAGCAAAACAAAAAATGTATTTTCTAAGGGTACATATATGGTCATCAAATCTATAAAGGAAAGCAGAGATAACTTTCTGACAAGTTTAGGAGGTCACCTTAAGGAATGGTACCCCAAGCACCTTAAGTTGGTTACTTTCAACTGTTCCTAAATGCATGATGCAAATGCCACTTGGAATTGCACCAGCCTTCTTCTAATTCTCGATGATCAGAAAGTCCTTCCTAGACTGGGTTTCAATAATGCCCAGCACAGCTTGATACTGGATTAACAAAGTATTATCATCTCCAGGCAACCAATTTGCTGCAACTTGCCAGCATTAGCAGCATTTTAATCTATAAATAGAGATTTAGATCTCAACCGCATGAGAACAAGACTTCACAAACAAAGAACTCTGCTTTGAATCAGATGTTAGAGAACCCCTTCCTGAGGTTCCTCCCCTTCAGAACCATTTTCTTCTTCCCTTGCTGTGTGACTGTCAGAACCAATCTCAAAAAGGATTTTTCTTGGCAATGTTTGCTTTCTGTTAATTTCTCCCACAACTCTTATTAAAATATCCTTCTTTGTTGGGAGATGGGAGATGTGAACAAGCTTGAAAATTCAAAGTGCTAGTGTTAGGCATCTGAGTGCAATTCATTCACTCATCACAGTGTTATTGCCCCCTTATGATGTGTAAGGAGCTGTGTGGGGAACTAAGGAGAACACAAAGACAAACGTGACATTGTCCAATTTTTCAAAGAGTTTTTAACCCAATAGAAGGAACAGACGTGTAAATATTAATAAATTGCAATAGTACAAGGCATAATGTAACCATTCACACAGGGGCTAGGAACTTGGCTCATAGTCATTCTGTGTAAACTTGGGCACGTGACCTAATGTTTCCAGGCTTCCTTTTTTTTTTTTTTTTTCTTTTTTTTTTCTTTTGAGCTGGAGTCTCACTCTGTTGCCCAGACTGGAGTGCAGTAGTACAATCTCGGCTTACTGCAACCTCTGCCTCCTGGGTTCAAGCAATTCTCTTGCCTCAGCCTCCCAAGTAGCTAGGATTACAGACACCCACCACCACACCTGGCTAATTTTTGTATTTTTAGTACAGACAGGGTTTCACCAAGTTGGCCAGGCTGGTCTCAAACTCCTGACCTCAAGTGATCCACCTGCCTCAGCCTCCCAAAGTGCTGGGATTACAGGCGTGAGCCACCACACCCAGCCTGGGCTTCACTTTTGTTATCTAGAAAATGGAATAGGCCAAGTGCCGTGGCTCACGCCTGTAATCCCATCGCTTTGGAAGACCTAGGCAGGTGGACCACGTGAGCCCAAGTTAGAGACTAGCCTGGGCAACATGGTGAAACTCCGTCTCAACAAAAAAATAGAGAGAAAGAGAGAGAGAGAGGAGAGAGGAGACAGGAAGGAAGGGAAAGGAAGGGAAGGGAAGAGAAGAGAAGGGAAGGGAAGGGAAGGGAAGGGAAGGGAAGGGAAGGGAAGGGACTTGTCTCATATCATTAATGAGAGGAATGAATGAAACATGCATATAAGGAATATGCTACAGGACCTTACCACTCAATGATGAACCATTCCTGTCATTACAAAGTACCCTGGAAATACACTGAAGGGGCCAATTCAGAACGTCTTGTGCCTTTGAGGACAAAAGATTTTACAACACTGTAGACTTGAGTTAAGGCAACCATTTGGAGACAGTACAGGGTGGGTTAAGAGAATTCCAAAGTGCTAAAGGGTCCACTGCACCCCACGATCAATCTGTAAAGGCAGTAGAAGGCCAGAGAGGACCAAGAAGGCTGTGGGTAGGAATTCAGCCACGATTCCATAGACAAGGCATTAGCTCCTAGGTCCAGCCAGAGAGCTCAGCAAACAGTCCGCTCTGAGTAAATGCGAGCATTCTCTTTTTCTAACGAAATCCTTTCCCTCTGACCCTGTATCCCTTGTATTTGAAATAAGAGCAATCTCCAGGGCTCTGCCTGTCTCTACCCCACCTGCTCAGGCACATGATGTTAACCAGGTTCTGATTAGTAGACCATTTACCATCTTAGTATTTTATTTTAATAAATATCAATATCCTCCTCTGGTCTGGCATAAATAAATCACTGCCACCTTGTTCTTCCAGCCATATAAATTCTATTTTGCACTTTTTTTTTGAGTGACAGAGGTTAAAAAAATAGAATAAAATTATGCCTTAATTATGCTGTCAAAGTTTTCTCCAACATTTATCAGGCCTACAGGGGTGGACGAGAACCAGCATGAGGCAAGGCTATGTTTTCAAAGATTTAAAGATGCATAAAATTAATCTTTCATAAGAAACAGATGTACTGTAACTAAATAGAACGAAGAGTTTTATGAAAACGACAAACCCTAACTATAACCCACCAGCAATGCTAAGTTGAAAGCTGAGAGTGTCATGAGCAAAAATAAAGATAAATTAGGGCTACTAGGGGAAACTAAAGATCTGACATCGCCTAAAACCAGGCCAGACAGGGCTTGTATTTAGAGCTCATTAGTTTTGCTTAAGCTAATCCAAAGCAGAAGGTGGCCCTAGAAGCACATAGGCCAAGAAGACATGGGTTCAGTTAGTTTACTCTCAGTACAGCAGCTGAGTGCTGATTTTAAAATGTAAATTTGGAGGCCGGGAGCAGTGGCTCATACCTGTAATCCCAGCACTTTGGGAGGCCAAGGCGGGTGGATCACTTGAGGTCAGGGATTTGAGAACGGCCTGGCCAATATGGCAAAACTCCGTCTCTACCAAAACTACGAAAATTAGCCAGGCGTGATAGAGCGTGACTGTAATCCCAGCTACTTGGAAGGCTGAGGCAGGAGAATTTCCTGAACCCAGGAGGCGGAGGTTGCAGTGAGCCGAGATCACAGCCACTGCACTCCAGTCCCGGCAGCAGAGTGGGACTCTGTCTCAAAACAAAAAAAAAAAAGTAAATTTGATCATGCCATGCCCTACAGAGTCCATCTTCATCTGACTTCATCTTCTACTCCCTCTCCCCAGCTCCTCCACCCTGACCAGGCTGCAGTACTTCTGACACAACTTCATGCTCCCACGTTAGGGCGTTTTTAACAGTTCTTGCCAGTACTTTGACCACAGATATCTTCTTGCACAACCTCAGTGAGTTCACCCTATGAATACTGAGAAATATGAGCCCTCCTGCCCCCTGGCATTTCAAAATCCCTTCCTCTACCCAACTTTTTCCTTTTTTTCCACAGCACTTACCACTTTTAGCATAATACAGTGAACCCATTTGTTATATTTGCTGTTTCTTTTCTCTCTTAAAAGTATTTTTTTAGTTTCTTTTTTAAATTTTAATTTTTAAAAAATCTATGAGGGAAGCAGAGCAAGTTGGCAGAATAAAAGGCTCCACCAATTATCCCCTCCCCAAAAAAAAAACTCCTTAAATGGGAAAACATTCCATGCTTATTCATAGGAAGAATCAATATTGTTACAATGGCCATACTGCTCATTGAATTTATAGATTTAGTGCTATTCCTATCAAACGACCAGTGATATTCTTTACAGAACTAGAAAAAACTATTTTAAAATTCATATGGGCTGGGTGCTGTGGGTCACAACTGTAATCCCAGCACTTTCGGAGGCCAAGACAGGTGATAATCTGAGGTCAGGAGTTCAAGACCAGCCTGGCCAACATAGTGAAACCCCGTCTCTACTAAAAATACAAAAATTAGCTGGGAGTGGTGGCCCACTCCTGTAATCCCAGCTACTCGGGAGGCTGAGGCAGGAGAATCGCTTGAACCCAGGAGGCAGAGGTTGCAGTGAGCCAAGATCACGCCGTTGTGCCCCAGCCTGGGTGACAAGAGTAAAACTCCATTTTGGAAAAAAAAAAAAAAATCAAAGGGTACCAAAAAAAGACCTCAAATAACCAAGGCAATTCTAAGCAAAAAGAATAAAGCTGGAGGCATCACGCTACCCAACTTCAAACTATACTACTACAAACTATACATCAGGGCTACAGTAACCAAATAGCATGGTACTTGTACAAAAACAGACAGATAGACCAATGGAACAGAATATAGAGCCCAGAAATGAGACAACACATCTACAACCATCTAATTTTCGACAAAGTCAACAAAAACAAGCACTGGGGAAAGGACTCCCTATTCAGTAAATGGTGCTAGAATAACTGGCTAGCCATGTGCGGACTATTGAAACTGGACCTCTTCCTTACACTACATACAAAAATTAACTCAAGATGAATTAAAGGCTTAAATGTGAAACTAAGAACTATAAAAACCCTGGAAGACAACCTAGACAATACCATTATGGACATAGGAACAGGCAAAAATTACATGATGAAAATGCCCAAAGCAATTGCAACAAAAGCAAAAATTGACAAACGAGATCTAATTAAACTAAAGAGCTTCTCCACAGCAAAATAAACCATCAACAGAGTAAAAAGACAACCCACAGAATGGGAGAAACATTTCGCAAACTATGCATCTGACAAAGGTCTATTATCCAGCATCTATAAGGCACTTAAATTTTACAAGAAGACAAACAACCCCATTAAACAGTGGGCAAAGGACATGAACAGACACTTTTCAAAAGAAACATATATGTGGCCAACATGCATGTGAAAAAAAGCTCAACATCACTGACCATTAGAGAAATGCAAATCAAAACCACGATGGATACCATCTCACACCAGTCAGAGTGGCTATTATTAAAAACACAAAAAGTAACAGGGGTTGGTGAAGTTGTAGAGAAAAAGGAATGCTTATACACTGTTGGTGGGTGTGTAAATTAGTTCAGCCATTGTGGAAAACAGCGTGGCAATTCCTCAAAGATCTAAAAAGAGAACTACCATTTGATGCAGCAATCCCATTTCTGGGTATATACCCAAAGAAATATAATCCTTCTATTATAAAGACACATGCACACATATGTTCATTGCAGCACTGTTAACAACAGCAAAGACATGGACTCAACCTCAATGCTCATGAATAGTAGATTGGATTAAAAAAATACAATATCTATACACCATAGCATACTATGCATCCATAAAAAAGAATGACATCATATCCTTTGCAGGAACATGGATGGAGCTGGAGGCCATTATCCTTAGCAAACTAATGCAGGAACAGAAAACCAAATACTACATGTTCTCACTTATAAGTGGGGACTAAATGATGAGAACATATGGACATAAAGAGGGGAACAACAGACACCGGGGCTTACTGGAGGGTGGAGGGCTGGAGGAAGGAGAGGATCAGGAAAAATAACAAATGGATAATAGGTTTAATACTTGGGTGATGAAATAATCTGTACAACAAACCGCTGTGACACAAGTTTACCTATATAACAAACCTGCACATTACCCCTGAACTTAAAAGTTAAAAAAAAAAGAACCAAAAAATCACATGAGCCCTCAAAGTACCCCCACCCCTCCATTCCACGCTTGACCCCAGCAGTAGCATGGTGCGGAGCGCGTCTCTGGGCACTGAGGGAGGGAGTAAACAGCAGTTGTAAGGCATTGAACTCAGTGCTGTTCTGTTAGAGCAGAAAGGAAAACTAAACCAAACTCAGCTAACACCCACCTATTGGGGGAGCATTCAAACCAGCCCTAGCCAGAGGGGAATCGCCTATTCCAGCTGTCTGAACTTGAGTTCCCACAAACCTCACCACTGAGGGCTACAGTGCTCTGGGACTCTAAAAAACCTTAAAGACAGTCTAGGCCGTAAGGGCTGCAAATCTTAGGCAAAAAAAAAAAAAAAAAAAAAGTAAATGTGATCATGCCATGCCCTACAGAGTCCATCTTCATCTGACTGCATCTTCTTTTTTTTTTTTTTTGAGACAGAGTTTTGCTCTGTCGCCCAGGCTGGAGTGCAGTGGCATGATCTTTGCTCTCTGCAACCTCCGCCCCGCTCCGGGTTCAAGCAATTCTCCTTCCTCAGCCTCTTGAGTAGCTGGGATTATAGGTGCCCAGCACCATGCCCGGCTAATTTTTGTATTTTTAGTAGAGACAGGGTTTCATCATGTTGGCCAGGCTGGTCTCAAACTCCTGACCTCAAGTGATCCACCTGCCTCGGCCTCTCAAAATGCTAGGATAACACATGTGAGCCACCACGCCTGGCATGACTTCATCTTCTACCCCCTCTCCCCAGTTCCTCCACCCTGACCAGCCTGCAGTTCTTCTGACATGACTTCATGTCCTAGGGCTGAACTGGGCCCAGAGACAGTGGACTTGGTGGGGGGGCAGGGGTGTGGCATGTGACATACTGAGACACCAGCTGGGGTGCCCCTCCTCTAACTCCAGGCTGCACAGCCCTCCGCTGCATAAGACACTCCTTCCTTCCTCTTGAGGAGAGAAGGAAGAGTGGGGAGGACTTTGTCTTGCATCTTGGATGCCAACTCAGCCACAGCAGGATAGGGCACTGGGCAGAGTTGTGAGGCCCCCATTCCAGGCCCCAGCTCCCAGATGACATTTCTAGACACACCCTGAGTCAGAAGTGAACCTGCCACCTTGAAGGAAAGGACCCAGTCCGGCCAGCATTCAGCATCTGCTAAATGAAGAGCGCTTGGGACCTGAACAACCAGCAGCGATACCCAGGTACTGTATCAGTGTGGGGGAAAAGAAGAGAGATCAGACTGTTACTGTGTCTATGTAGTAAAAGAAAGACATAAGAAACTCCATTTTGATCATATTAAGAAAAATTGTTCTGCTTTGAGATGCTGTTAACCTGTAACTTTAGCCCCAACCCTGTGCTCATAGAAACATGTGCTGTATTGAATCAAGGTTTAAGGGATTTAGGGCTGTGCAGGATGTGCTTTGTTAACAATATGTTTGCAGGCAGTATGCTTGGTAAAAGTCATCTCCATTCTCCGTCCTTTATTAACCAGGGACACGATGCACTGTGGAAAGCCACAGGGACCTCTGCCCAAGAAAGCCTGGGTATTGTCCAAGGTTTCCCCCCACTGAGACAGCCTGAGATATGGCCTCATGGGAAGAGAAAGACCTTACCATCCCCCAACCCGACACCCATAAAGGGTCTGTGCTGAGGCGGATTAGTAAGAGAGGAAGGCCTCTTTGCGGTTGAGATAAGAGGAAGGCCTCTGTTTCCCGCATGTCCCTGAGAATGGAATGTCTCCGTGTGAAGCCGACCATTCATTCTACTCTGAGATGGAGAAAACCGCCCTATGGCTGGAGGCGAGATATGCTGGCAGTGATACTGCTCTGTTACTCTTTGCTACACTGAGATGTTTGGGTAAAGAGAAACATAAATCTAGCCTACGTGCACATCCGGGCACAGTACCTTCCCTTGAACTTATTTATGATGCAGATTACTTGCTCATATGTTTTCCTGCTGACCTTCTCCCCATCATCACTCTGTTCTCCTGCCACACTCCCCTTGCCGAGATAGTAAAAAATAGAAATCAATAAATACTGAGGGAACTCAGAGACCAGCGCCGGTGCAGGTCCTCGCATGCTGAGTGTGCGGGTCCCCTGGGCCCACTGTTCTTTCTCTATGCTTTGTCTCTGTGTCTTATTTCTTTTCTCAGTCTCTCGTCTCCACCTGACGAGAAACACCCACAGGTGTGGAGGGGCAGGACCCCTTCAATCAAGGGCCTAGGGTGAGCCTCTGAAACTTGCTAGCTTCAGATACCAGCACAGCCACAAATGGGCAAAGCACCAGGCAGGCTTTTGGGGTCACATATTTCAGGACCTGGCTTGTGGATATCTCTGGACCTGCCCTGGGCCAGAGGGGAGCCCATTGCCCTGAAGGGTGAGTCCCAGGCCAGGCAGCATTCACCACCAGCTGACTTAAGAGACTTTGGGCCTTAAGAGAATATTGGCGGTAGTATGGCAGTACTTCCTGTGGAGTACTCCCCGTGGCCTGCGGTGGTGGTGGCTATGAAGTGAGGCTCCTCTGCCTTTGGAAAAGGGAGGGAAGAGTGGGAAGCACTGTGTCTTATGGTTTGAGTGCCAGCTCAGCCACAGTGCAGGTAGACTTCTAAGGTTTTCATTCTACTCCCTGAGGCCCAGACAGCACCTCTGGACCCACCAAAGGCCTGGGGGAGCTTGCTGACCTGAAGGGAAGGACACAGGCCTGACTAGCCTTGTCACCTGTTGACTGTAGAGCCCCAGGGCCTTGACAGAACATAGGCAGTAGCCAGGAAGTGGTTACAGAAGGTCTTGGGTGAGACTCAGGGCTGTGCTGGCTTCAGGGCTGACCCAGCACAGTCACAGTGGTGGTGGCCACAGAGGTGCTTGTGTCGCTCCACCCCCAGCTTTAGGTGGCTCAGAACAGAGAGAGAGATTCTGTTTGTTTGGGAGAAAGTAAGGGAAGAGAACAAGAGTCTCTGCTTGGTAATTCAAAGAATTCTCCTAGATCTTGTCCAAGACCATCAAGGAAGTACCTCTACAAGTCTGCAAGAACCACAGTGTTGCTGAGCTTGGGGTGTCCCCCAAAGCAGATATAGCTTAGATTACAACACTCTAGACCTTTCAAATATCTGGAAACCCTTCCCAAGAAGGACAGGTACTAACAAGCCCAGACAGTGAAGACTACAATAAACACTTAACTCTTCAATGCCCAGACACCAAAGAACATCTACTAGCATCAACACCATCCAGGAAAACAAGACTTCACCAAATGAACTAAATAAGCCAACATGGACCAATCCTGGAGAAACAGAGATATTTGGCCTTTCAGACAGAAAAATCAAAATAGCTGTGTTGAGGAAACTAAAAGAGATTCAAGATAACACAGAAGGGTCAGAACTCTATCAGACAAATTTAACACAGAGATTGAAATAGTTTAAAATAAGCAGAAATTCTGGAGCTGAAAAATGCAACTGGCATATTGAAGAATGCATCAGAATCTTAATAGCAGAATTGATCAAGCAGAAGAAAGAATTAGTGAGCTTGAAGCCAGGCTGTTTGAAAATACAGTCAGTTTACAGCCATACCACCCCGAATGCACCCAATCTTTTTTTTGTTTTTTTGTTTTGAGATGGAGTTTCACTCGTGTTGCCCAGGCTGGAGTGCAATGGCACGATCTTGGCTCACCACAACCTCTGCCTCCTGGGTTCAAGCAATTCTCTCACCTCAGCCTCCCAAGTAGCTGGGATTACAGGCATGTGCCACCACGCCTGGCTAATTTTGTATTTTTAGTAGAGACAGGGTTTCTCCATGTTGGTCAGGCTGGTCTCGAACTCCCAACCTCAGGTGATCCTCCCACCTCAGCCTCCCATAGTACTGGGATTACAGGTGTAAGCCACCACGCCCAGTCTTCGAGCACACCCAATCTTGTCTGAAAATATACAGAGACAGTAAAAGAATAAAAAACTGGATATCCATATGCAGAAGAATGAAACTAGAACCCTATCTCTCCCCATATACAAAAATAAATCAAAATGGATTAGACTTAAATCTATGAAACTACTACAAGAAAAGTTTGGGAAAAATCTCCAGGACATTGTTATGGGCGAAAATTTCTTGAGAAATACCCCACAAGCACAGGCAACCAAAGCAAAAGTGAACAAATGGGGTTATATCAACTTAAAAAAAACTTCTGCACAGCAAAGGAAAAATAGCAACAAAGTGAAGTTTTGCAAACTACTCATTTGACAAAGGATTATAATCAGCATATATAAGGAGCTCAAACAACTCTATAGGAAAAAAAATCTAATAATCCAATTTAAAACTAGGCAAAAAGATTTGAATAGACATTTCTCAAAAGAAGACATTTAAATGGCAAACAGGCATATGAAAAGGTGCTCAACATCACTGATCATCAGAGAAATGCAAACCAAGATTACAGTGAGATAGCATCTCACCCCAGTTATAATGGGATATATCCAAAGACAGGCAATAACAAATGCTGGTGAGAATGAAGAGAAAAGGGAACTCTTGTACACTGTTGGTAGGAATGTAAATTAGTACAGACACTCTGGAGAATAGTTTGGAGGTTCCTCAAAAATCTAAAAATAGAGCAACTATATGATCCAGCAATCCCACTGCTGGGTATATACCCAAAAGAAAGGAAGTCAGTATATTGAAGAGATACCGGCACTCACATGTTTGTTGCAGCACTGTTCACAATAGCTAAGATTTGGAAGCAACCTAAGTGTCCATCAACAGATGAATGGATAAAGAAAATGTGGTTCATATACACAATGGAATACTATTCAGCCTTAAAAAACAATGAGATTCAGTCATTTGCAACAGCATAGATGAAACTGGAGATCATTATGTTAAGTGAAATAAGCTAGGCACAGAAAGACAAACATCGCATGTTATCACTTATTTGTGGAATCTAAAAATTGAAACAATGGAATTCATGGGCATGGAGAGTAGAGCATGGTGACCAGAGGCTGGGGAGGGTAGTGGGGGTCTGCAGGGGAGGTAGGGATGGTTAATGGGTACAAAAAAAACAAAAAGAATTAAAAAGACCTACTATTTGATCACACAACAGATTGACTATAGTTAATAATTACTTAACTGTACCTTTCAAAATAACTTAAAAAAGCGTAATTGGCCAGGCACAGTGCCTCACACCTGTAATCCCAACACTTTGGGAGGTGAAGGCAGGAGGATCACTTGAGGCCAAGAGTTCAAGACCAGGCTGGGCAACATAGCAAGACCTTGTCTTTACAAAACAAAGGTCAGGCGTGGTGACTCATGCCTGTAATCCCAGCATTTGGGAGGCTGAGGTGAGTGGATCACCTGCCAACACGGCGAAACCCCATCTCTACTGAAAAAATACAAAAATTAGCCGGGCATCAAGGGTGCATGCCTATAAGCCACTCGGGAGGCTGAGGCAGGAGAATTGCTTGAACCTGGCAAGCAGAGGTTGAAGTGAGCCGAGATCGTGCCATTGCACTCCAGCTTTGGTAACAGAGCAAGACGCCATCTCAAAAAAAAAAAAAAAAAAAAAAGAGTGTAACTGGATTTTTTGTAACACAAAGGATAAATGCTTGAGGGGATGAATAGCCTATTTTCCATGATGTGATTATTACATATTGCATGCCTGTATCAAAACATCTCATGTACCCCATAAATATATACACCTACTATGCACCCACAAAAATTAAAGATAAATTTTTTTAAATCTATGAAAAAAGATAATTTTAAAAATCAAAGACAAACTTTGGTCAGTATGGAAATCAGGCCAGTCTTGGTGGCTTAAGCCTGTAATCCCATCGCTTTGAGAAACCAAAGCAGGAGGATCATTTGAGCCCAAGGGTTCAAGACCAGCCTGGGCAACATAGTGAGACCCCCATCTCTACAAAAATAAACAAATGTTAATCACATGTGCAATTTATTGGAAACACAGTGGGACATGGGTATCCCAACTTCCCATTCTGACTCAGAATGTCTGGGGTGGGGCACAGCCATCTTTTATCTTTTTCTCTGTTAGCAAAACACTTAGATGATTCTGATAAATGCCCTAATCCCATCTACTAGTGAAACTAATAATAATATGGATGTGACAGGATTCAATTCGTGAATATTGAGTGCCTGGCACAGAGGAAGTGATCATTATTTCTGTATTCCCAGCCCTAGAGCACCTTGCTTGCTGTACCGTTTTGGTTGAAAAATAGTAGCTGAATGAACAATGGGAATAGTCCAGTAAAGAGGAATCTTAGTCATCAGTGTACATAATAAATACTTGAAGGTTATGAAGAATACAGATCCTTGATTCCTTCCCATAGACATTTTCCTGCCTTGACTTATTGATTTCTCCCCTCTTGGTTCCTCTCCTACATCACTGCCTGTGCCTTCTCAGTCTCTTTTAAGCTCCTGTACCTTCGTTCAATCTCCTAATATAAGAACATCCCAGATTAGTCCTAGGGACCCTTGTTCTTCTTTATTTACATACTAGTAGATTTCATCATGTTCCATAGCTTTAAATATCATTTAAGGGTTTATGAACTTGAATGGGAAAAAATATTCTATCTTCACTAATCTCTATCTGAAAGTTAATATTTCTTTCATTCGTAAATAAAGCAATGGTACTGTCATATCTGGAGCTCTGTCACCATTCACGAACATGTTCATATTACATTACAGTTATTCCAGACATCCAAAAATATTTTTATCTTTTTTACTACTTGCAAATATGTTAGTTATTAGATTTATAAATCTGTTATTTAATGTATTAATACAAGAGTTATTATATTACTTTATCACAATTTTTTAATACCTACTTATATTTTAATGCAGTTTTCCTTTGCAATCTTATGTATTTTATTTTATGCACTTAAAAGCATCATTCTGAGAAGAGGGCTGTAGGCTTCACCAGACTGCCAAAGCGGTCCATGGCATTTAAAAAGTTCATCACCTTTGATTTAAATGACAATCAGTCCTAAATTTATTTATTTATTTATTTATTTATTAACTTATTTATTTTAATTTTTTTTTTTTAAACAGAGTCTCACTCTGTCACCCAGGCTATAAGGGCAGTGGCCCGATCTCGGCTCACTGCAATCTCCGCCTCCCAGGTTCAAGCAATTCTCTTGCCTCAGCCTCCCAAGTAGCTGGGACTACAGGCATGCACCACCACACCTGGCTAATTTTTGTATTTTTAGTAGAGACAGGGTTTCACCATGTTGGCCAGGCTGATCTTCAACCCCTTACCTCAGGCAATCTGCCCACCTCAGCTTCCCAAAGTGCTGGGATTACAGGTGTGAGCCACAACGCCTGGCCAAGTCCTAAATTTCTATCTTTAGCTCTGACTTTATTATAGCTCCAGCCTCCTTGGCATCTCCACTTGTGTGTCCAGTAGCATCTCAATATTAACAGATGAAGCCCTGGGGCTCTCCCCCAGACTTGCCCCTTTCCCAGTCTCTGCCTCATTATCAGCCTCCCAATTGTTAAAGTTCGAACTCTAGATCCAAGTTACTGCATTCCACTTTCACTCACCTTCAGAACAGCATCTGAAATTCTCTAGTCAACAAGTTTTAGTAACACAAAAAACACTAATAAGTCGGGTTGTCCTGGGAAAAGTCAATTTGGTTCTTTTAATTAAAATAAGGGACACGAAGTACTGGAACACTAAGATGCATTTCCTCAGCAAACCTCCAAACCCTTTCCCTTAGCTGTTACTAAAAATTAATTTTTATTTATTTATTTATTTATTTATTTTTAGAGACAGACTCTTGCTCTGTCGCCCAGGCTACAGTGCCATGGCGCAATTGCTCACTGTAACCTCAAATTCCTGGCTCAAACGAACCTTCCGCCTCAGCTTTCTGAGTAGCTGAGACTACAGATGTCAGCCATTGTGCCCAGCTTATTATTTTTTTTTTTTCCACAGCTGAAAACTCAGAAGTTCATATTGCCTCTTTTGGGGGGAATCTACCCTAGGGGCGTACAGATCAGGGTGGGATAGGCAGATCCTCTAAGATAGGTTTATCACGCCCAGGCAGTACGCATCCTCACAGGGGACAAAACACTCTCGCGGGAGAGCTGGGCCTGAATCTGTCATCCCGAGAGCCTTTCACCTGACAAATCAGAGAGGAGGCACGAGGGAGCACAGAGATCATCTATGGCTTCAACGGTAGGTACAGAGAACAGCATTTCTTTTTCTGAAAACAGGAAAGACATTTTAAGTTGGAAATCCTGTTTCCTGACTTCTTCGTGTAACTCAATAAGCATGTGATGGCTCATATTCTGAAATAGCCTGTAACCCTATTTGCATGTTTAACCTTTTTTTGAGACGGAGTCTCGCTCTGTCACCAGGCCGGAGTGCAATGGCGCGATCTCGGCTCACTGCAACCTTTGCCTCCCAGGTTCAAGCAATTGTCCTGCCTCAGCCTCCCGAGTAACTGGGATTACAAGCGCCCACAACCACACCCGGCTAATTTTTTTGTATTTTAGTAGAGACGGGGTTTCACCATGTTGGCCAGGATGGTCTCTATCTCCTGACCTTGTGATCTGCCCACCTCGGCCTCCCAAAGTGCTGGGATTACAGGCCTGAGCCACCGCACCCGGCCTGCATGTTTAACCCTAAAAATCGTTCTGGTTTGGGATTAATTGTTGACAATCAGCTCATTTAGCAAGTGTTTCTTGAGGGGAAGAAAACTAGCATTTATGAAGTACCTACTATATTCCAGGCACTGTGTTGGTTTATTATTATTATTATTTATTTATTTTGAGACAAGGTCTTGCTCTGTCACCAAAGCTCACCATCACAGCTCACTGCAGCCCTGACCTCCTAGGCTCAAGCGATCCTTCCACCTCAGCCTCCTGATTAGCAAGACTACAGGTGCGCACCACCATGCCTGGCTAATTTTTTATTTTTAGTAGACACAAGGTCTCACTATGTTGCCCAGACTGGTCTCAAACTCCTGAGTTCAAGCAATCCTCCTGCCTCAGCCTCCCAAAGTGCTGGGATTACAATTATAAGCCACGGCACCCAGCCTGTGTCAGTATTTTAAATGTCTTATCTCATTAAATCCTTGTAATGAAATGTTGGAGCTCTTATTAATCCTGGACGTTTTTCTCTTGTTCACTCTACATATCTAACTTCCTGCCAACTCACATTTTTATCTCCTGCTTGGCTTCTAATTCCAATTATCTTCTCAACACTTTAACGACCCCATGAGAACCTCAAACATCTCCAGGGCTCCCCATGGACATCCAACAGCCAACCTGTATGATTGGTTATCTCAGTAAGTGACAGCCAGGTTATCTTCAGTGGCTCTGTCTCTCTATCTGTCCCTGTCTTCCTTTCCATGTTGCCACAACCCGTGGCCTAGTTATTAAAATCACTGGTCTGGACTCCTGCAAAATCCTCCTAACTGGCATCCCAACTTCCAATCTGGGCCCTTGACCATATCCGTTCTCCCCTATTCAAAACCTCCCAGCGGCTTCCCATGGTTCCTAGAACACAAATGCCTTAAGGGTCACCCCTGGCACTTTAACTTTATTTTCTGCTGGTCTGGCCACAAAGCCTTACAGGTTCAAGGTTCCTTCCCACGTCAGAGTCTCCTCCACACTCACAGAGATTTAACAACATTAGTCTTAAGACTTCTTTTTTTTTTTTTTTTTTTTTGAGACAGAGTTTTGCTCTTGTTGCCCAGGCTGGAGTGCAGTGGTGCCATATTGGCTCATTGCAAACCTCCACTCTCCTGGCTCAAGCAATTCTCCGGCTTCAGCCTCCCAGGTAGCTGGGAATACAGGCACGTGCCACCATGCCCAGCTAATTTTTGTATTTTTTGTAGAAACACGGTTTCACCACATTGCCCAGGCTGGTCTCGAACTCCTGGGCTCAAAGCAACCTGCCAGTCTCAGCCTCCCAAAGTTCTAGGATTACAGCCGTGAGCCACCACCCAATCTAGTCTTAAAACTTTCTTGATATTTAATACTTTATCTTTTCTTAGGCTCCTACCTGTCTTGTAGCTTTCAGTTTAGTCCCAAAGATGTTTAAATTTGGTAATCCTTTTTTAAACTTTGATTTATATTTATGCATGCTTTCTCCCTAATATGCCCACAAATGGGATAGTAGTATAAATACTGTTCTGTACCTTTTATTGCCTCAATATTTTCCAAAATACTTTTGTGTCAGTTCTTACAGATGTGCCTTATTCTGTTCCTTACTCCCTCGTGGTATGAATATACCACAATTCAACAATTTCTCTATAAGCTATTCTAATGTTTTTCTTTTATTAATACTACAATGAACATCTTCGTAGCTGTGTGTTTAGGATTTGTGTATTTCTATAAGACAGATTTCTAGAAGTGAAATCTTAGATCACACAAGTCATGTATTTTTATAAGATCATCAGTTTGTCAGGTACAGTTGCCCTAAACCAAATCCTAGATTTGGGAGAGGTATTAGAGGGCTCATGGCCCAATGTGCTCCATAACAGAAGAGTAAATCTTGGAGCAACAATGCCTAGGTGGCAACCGGAGATCAAAACAGAGCAAGAAGGAGAGGACGGGGCTGGAGATGCTGACTTGGAAACAGAAGGTGCTGTCATTCCAGCACTTTAGGAGGCGGAGGCAGGCGGATCACTTGAAGTCAGGAGTTCGAGACCAGCCTGGCCAACATGGCAAACCTCCATCTCTGCCAAAAATACAAAAAATTAGCCAGGTGTGGTGGTGCTCGCTTGTGGTCCCAGCTACTTGGGAGGCTGAGGTGGGAGGATCACTTGAGCCTGGGCGGCAGAGGTTGCAGTGAGCTGAGATTGCACCACTGCACTCCAACCTGGGTGACAGAGTAAGACCCTGTCTCAAAAATAACAACAACAAAAATAATTCTTAGAAAATGTCTTCTTTCCAGTTCAGTATTTTGCTGAATCATTCGAAAAATTTATTCTTAACAACAAAAGGTTGTTCTCCCTCACAGTGAGGGTGAACTTGTATAGTTTTCTGCATAGTGCTAGGCCCTGAGGAGAAAAATTCAAAAAGTATTTGCTTTCAAGAATTTCATAGACCATCAGAGGAAATTAAGTCTATAGTAAATGCACGTGATAGCAATAGCTTAGACATACCCTTAGAAGGACCCTGTATGGCAGATGCACCTGAGTGTGTTCTGAGCTAGGGAATCTCAGAGTGGCCAACCTGAAGATTCATTCCTTATCTATGAGGAACAGCTGAGCCTTCAGCCCGCACCATGGAACACAGGTCATACAGGGGATTGAGGTCCTGAGTTTCGGGTTACATGAAGGCTGCCAGGTGGGGGTTGTTGGGGGAGGGTGTTAAGTGAAAATGCTGTATAAACTGCATGCTGTTTGCAAGCAGTTGTGGCTATCTTGTCCAGCTACTTCCACTGGACTGTATGTAAGGCTGTGCAGCCCACGGCCACTGGACTCTCTCCCCTGTATGGAAGCCCCTAATAGAACCCCATGCCTCGTTTGCTGGCTCTGAATCTCCCCTGGCCTCTGAACCTGGTGCCTTCCCTACTGAAGCTAATCGGGGTTCAGCAGAACAGAAAGTAGATAATTGCTGTGAAGTGCATTTAGATCTAGGAACAATTCCATCTTGCTATCTGGTTTAATCTTCAAAGCCACAACTATATCTCAGCTCGTAATAGGGGAATCAATGAGGGGATGAAATGGAGTGAGCCCTCATGTGAGTTTTAGGATTCTCTGTACATCTGCCTCATTCCTCTTTAGCTTGGAAAGATTTGGATACTCAGACCCCTGCATCTAGACCTGCCTTTTGTTCCTTCTGGTGATGCCAAAGGCAGACAGGGCAGTGGGAAAAGTCCACATCTTCAAGGCAGAAAGCCCTGGATTGGGTTATCTCACGGCCATAGTTTCTAGCTGTGTGACCCACAGCTCGGTGTTCAACTTCTGAGCCTCATGGGCTATTTTAGGCCCTTACAGAGTAGGTGTCACATCACTGTTCACTGAATTTGACTCCCACTGAGTAGGACAACCCTTTTGAGGAGGCAGTGCTGCCTGGGGCTCACCCCATCTCTTGCTGAGATGGTGCTAAGCATAGTCTCCACTTCCTGCCCACTTCCCCAGTCCACTCCCAAGGATTGAGGCTCTCAGACTTGGTCGGCTCCTTTGTGATCAGCCATGCCCATTTAGACCAACAGGAGCGGCAGGCCAGGGAATCCAGATTCCTCCTTACTTCCTGTAATTAATACAAGCAGAAGAGTTATAGGAAAAACCCTGACCTTGCTGTGTCAAGTGACACATCACACATTATTACATCAGTCCTCTCTCCCAAGCTTTTGACAGCCGTTACACTTTCCTGACTCAAAACAGTCTTGGAAGGAGAAAAATAGTATTCATTTCACAGGCTGTGCACCTAAACCCCATATTTTTACTTCTCGTGAATGAAGATTGTGAAATCAAGCTTAGAGCAAATTTTCATTCAGTGGACAAATCAAAACCCAAGTTTGATTTTTGAACAATTAAACTGATATCTATTAAACCCCTACCCATGCACTAGGACTGCTGTACATGCTTGAGCTGTGTCAATGAATAAAACAAAGTTCCCGGCCTTCATGAAGCTGACAGTCTAGCAGGGAAGACAGGAAACCAATGGCATAAATGAATGCACTATAGTGTTTTACAAGGGGATGTGTGCTATGGAATCTATTCTGGAAGAATTACGATAATAAAAAATGAAAAAATTGTATTTATCCTTTATAGGATTCAGTAAACAAACATTTGTTCACTAATTCTGGGAAATAGAATCAGGGCGGGTCTCAGTTTCATTTTGATAAATTTATTTTATTTTATTTTATTTTATTTATTTATTTTTTTGAGACAGAGTCTCACTTTGTTGCCCAGGCTGGAGTGCAGTGGCGTGATCTCAGCTCACTGCAACCTCTGCTTCCCGGGTTCAAGTGATTCTCCTGCCTCAGCCTCCTGAGTAGCTGGGATTACAGGCACATGCCACTAGGCCCAGCTAATTTTTTGTATTTTTAGTAGAGACGGGGTTTCACCATATTGGCCTGGCTGGTCTCGAATTCCTAACCTTGTGATCCACCTGCCTTGGCCTCCCAAAGTGCTGGGATTACGAGCGTGAGCCACCTTGCCCGGCCTCATTTAGGTAAATTTAAGAAAAATAGGATTGGTGTATTGTCTACTGAGAATGGGAACCATCACATTTTATCTTAGCTGGATGGAGCCCCAGGGATTTAGCAGATAGTCACACTGAACAATACCTTCCTGCCCAGGTGTGCGTCACCTTTCTCCCCATAGGCCACAGATTTGAGGCCCTGCCCACTTTTCTTTCAGGTTCATGAGGAAGCCCAGTTTCGGAGCCCTTAACTGACCTCCTCAGGCCTTGAGGATGGGTTAATGATGGGAGGAGGGCCTGAAACTTTGGTCCTGATGCCTTGATGGGTCTCAAATTATCCCATGCTGTAAGTCTAGAATCCCATGGGCTGAACTGGGTGGAAGGGGGAGGTGAGCTATATAGCTATCTATGGCTATTACGACAATAGTTTGCACTTATTCAAGAAATAATAGGTGCTGGGTGCAGTGGCTCATGCCTATAATCCTAGCACTTTGGGAGGCTGAGGCAGTCGGATTGCTTGAGCCCAAGAGTTTGAGACCAGCCTGGACAATATGGTGAAACCCCCATCTCTGCAATTTTTTTAAAAAAAATTAGCTGGGTGTGGTGGGGTGCACCCGTAGTCCCAGCTACTTGGGAGGCTGAGGTGGAAGGATCACCTGAGACCAGGGAGGTCAAGGCTGCAGTGAGCCATGATTGTACCACTGCAATCCAGCCTGGGTGACAGAGTAAGAACCTTTCTAAAATAAAATAAAATAAAATAAGAAAAGGAAGAATAGGGCACTTACAATGATAATAGCTAATGTATTGAGTATTGAGTGTTTTAAGTACCCAGCCCCATTCCAACAATTGCACAAGTATTCTCGTTAGATCCTCACAAAACCCTAAGAGGCTCTGAGAGTCTGCATAAACTGCTCAAGTTCCCAATCTAGAAATAGGGGAATTAGGATTAGAACCAGGCAGTCTGACTTCAGAGCTCTTACAAAAAAAAAGAAATCAAAATATATATAGACCAAACCGAAAATGACAATATGTACTTTTTATCACCCCACATCAGAAGTTCATGATATCTGGTGGACCCATGTATAGTAAATTGTTGATTTGGATTAGTATTGGCCTGACGTGTTTTTTTCCCCCAAGACATGGTCTCACCCCATCACCCAGGCTGTACTATAGTAGCACGATCATAGCTCATTGTAATCTTGAACTCCTGGGCTCAAGCAGACCTCCCACCCCAGCCTCCCAGTTAGCTGGGACTACAGGCATGCACCACTGTGCCTGGCTATTTCTTTTTTCAGAGGCAGGGGTATCACTATGTTGCCCAGGCTGATCTCCAACTCCTGGCCTCAGGAGATCCTCCTGCCTCAGCCCTGACATCTTTATTATGCGTTTTACTGTTTCCCCTGTGGCAATATGTCATCTGCACACTGTGAATTTGGCTCCATACGACGTCCAGCACCCCATAAGCTACCCAACCAGTGATTTAATTCCAATTGATTATCCCTGCTCAAAGGATCACAAAATCATGCTTTTCAAATTCTATCATTTTTATATTTGTTGCTGGCATTGATATATAAGGTATAGCTTCTTCTTAACAACTGGGGCTATTTAGTTACCCTGAATGCAATTCCTTATGAACAATATAAATGCTTATTTTCTCCCTTTTTAGGTTTTTTTCAGAGTTTCCTTTTTTCTTTCTTTCTTTTTTTTTTCTTTTTTTCTCTTTTTGAGACAGGGTTTCACTCTATTGCCCAGGCTGGTGTGCAGTGGCACGATCTAGACTCACTGCAACCTCTGCCTCCTGGGCTCAAGCGATCCTCCCACCTCAGCCTTTCGAGTAGCTGGGATTACAGGCACACGCCACCATACCAGCTAATTTTTGTATTTTTAGTAGAGACAGGGTTTCGCCATGTTGCCCAGGCTGGTTTCTAACTGCTGGGCTCAAGCCATCTGCCTGCCGCAGCCTCCTAAAGTGCCGGGATTACTGGCGTGAGCCACTGTGCCCGGCCTAGAGTTTCCGTTTTTAAGTATCATTATAGACTCATGAATTTTTGAAGGTTTTATGTGTTTCAATCGATTATAAACATTGTTCTTTCCCAGGCCACTCCTATATCCTTTGGCTATAAACTTAGGTAGGTTTAAAAACTTCATTGTTTCTAGCACAAGAAGTCCTAGGTGTAACCTGTGGGGTTCCTTTCAGGGGGGATGGTATTTACCAGCCAGGCTTTCAGAGCTCTTAGATACCTACCCTCTGCATTGCCTCCATGCACAGCCCTATGCCCCATGCAGGAGAGCCCATGGTTCACAAAACAGTGTCCTCTATGAGGGTTGGCCTGGCAACAGGACAGTGTGGCCTGGGACAGCCTCGCTGAGGAGCTAAGATCTGAGCAAAGAGAAAGAGCCAGTCCAGGGGCCAGTCCAAATTCAAGTGAAAATGTCCTGTGGCCAGAACAGATCTGGAGGACTTGGAAGATTTGTGAGCAAAGAAGAAAGAGAACAAGATGAGGTGAGAGCCAGGCATTGAGCCACATTCCTATACTAACAAAGAACAGTGACACCAATATCTCAGTATGTACAGCTATCATAAGAGGAAGCCGATAAGTAGGATTTTTTCTTTCAGTAATTAGAATTTATATTTTGAGTGAATGAATGGGATTTACCTGGAATGATTGGTTTTGATAAGTTTTGAATCATGCTAATGAATGCTAACAAGGCAAATAAGTAAAACTAAAATTAACAGGAAAGCATACAAACTGAAAGCATATAAACCTACATAGGTTTACATAGTTTGGTGTATTTGTGATTGTGATTGTTACATTACATGTGTAGGACATAGTTCTTTTCTGTTTATAATTTTTGTTTTTGGAGACAGAGTCTTGCTCTGTCACCCAGGCTGGAGTAGAGTGGCTCAGTCTCGGCTCATTGCAAGCTCCACCTCTCGAGTTCAAGTGATTCTCCTGCCTCAGCCTCCCAAGTAGTTGGGATTACAGGCGCGCATCAACACGCCTGGCTAATTTTTGTATTTTTAGTAGAGATGGGGTTTCACCATGTTGGCCATGCTGGCCTCGAACTCCTGACATCAAGTGATCAGCCCACCTCAGCCTCCTAAAGTGCTGGGATTACAGAAGTGAGCCAGTGTGCCCAGCCTGTAAATTGTTTTTAGTACAGTAGATGGAATAGAATTCAATATCATTATTTCCCTGTTCCCAAGTTATACTTCAACTTACAGATGTTTTACCATGTTGTTTAAGAGCCAAGACACCTCAAGCTTCCACCAGTATATGAAATAACTGAGTAGACGTGAGTGAGGCTTAAAATATGTAAACTCAAGATGTGATTTGAAATCTTTACTTTTGGATTTACAGCAAATGTTAAGGACAACTTACATTTGGGATACATATTTGGGGTACATACCTAAATTCTTTTTTTTATAATGTCAGACATTGATAATCTTTAAATTTAATGTCACTAATAATTACTCAGCATTTTTATAATTCTGACCCAATGGCTTGACCTGATAATGACAAATCTCATTGTTGTGTCAATAAATAAGAAGAAACCCCTAAATACTAAAAAATCTTAATCCTAATAATCCTCATCAATAGTTAAATCTTAATCTTCATACTAAAAATCTTAATAAACTCATCATCTTAATAAGGTTTTTTTTTTTTTTTTTTTTTTTGAGACAGAATCTCACTCTGTCACCCAGGCTGCAGTTCAGTCGTGCGATCTTGGCTCACTGCAACCTCCACTTCCCAGGTTCAAGCAATCCTTGTACCTAAGCCACCAGGGTAGCTGGGATTACAGGAGACTGCCACCATGCCCCACTAATTTTTTCTTTTTTTGATTTTTAGTAGAGACAGGGTTTCACAATGTTGGCCAGACTGGTCTCAAACTCCTGGCCACAAGTGATCTGCCCTCCTTGGCCTCCCAAAGTGCTGGGATTACAGGTGTCAGCCACCACACCTGGCCATAATCTTAATAAATTTAATAATCTTAATATACCAAAATTTTTAATCCTTATCAATAGCAGAATTATGTGTGTGTGTTATATAAATCCATCTCAACTCTGAGCTGAAATAGCAACATTTTGGCTGGGTGCAGTGGCTCATGCCTGTAATCCCAGCACTTTGGGAGGCACAGGCAGGCGGATCATGAGGTCAGGAGTTCAAGACCAGCCTGGCCAACATAGTGAAACCCCATCTCTACTAAAAATACAAAAAATTAGCCAGGTGTGATGGCGGGTGCCTGTAATCCCAACTACTTGGGAGGCTGAGGCAGGAGAATCACTTGAACCCAGGAGGCGGAGGTTACAGTGAGCCAAGATCACGTCATTGCACTCCAGCCCAGGCAACAGTGCGAGACTCTGTCTTAAAAAAAAAGCAAAATTTTTTGGAATCTGTACTTAACCACATAGAGGGAAATCTGCAGGATAATATATAGTTTGAGACCATTTCACTATCCACATACATAACTTATTAAAAAAATGCTAAATGTATATGTTTACATATATGAATAATTCAAAAAGCATCTCTTTTTGTAACTTTTTGTTTTCATATAATGTTAAATTTGTAGAAAAGATCCAAGAATAATGCAAAAAACTCTCATTACAGTTTCACCATTAGCGTCTTGCCTCATTTGTTTTATTTATTCTCTCTCATACTCATATACATTTACATGTTTTTTTTTTTTCCTGAACCCTTTGGGAGTAAAATCACAGACATTATATCACTTTATTCCTAAATACTCCAACGTGTATTTCCTAAGGACATTCTCTTACATAACCACAATACAATTATCAAGATCAGGAAATTTAATATTGATACATTACTTTTACCAAATTCAACTTTTGCCAATTGTCCCTACGTTGTCTTTTTTTTTTTAATTTAATTTAATTTAATTTAATTTTTTTTTTGAGATGGAGTCTCACTCTGTCATCCAGGCTGGAGTGCAGTGGTGCAATCACAACTCACTGCAGCCTTGACCTCCTGGGGCTCAGGTGATCTTCTCACTTCAGCCTCCTGAGTAGCTGGTACTATAGGCGCATGCCACCATGCCCAACTAATTTTTTCCATTTTTTAAGATTTGGGGTTTTACCATGTTGCCCAGGTTGGTCTCAGACTCCTGGGCTCAAGCAATCAGCCCATCTCTGCCTCACAAAGTGCTGGGATTACAGGCATGAGCCACTGCACC
Organism: Homo sapiens; assembly: GCF_000001405.40. Taxonomy (NCBI): domain Eukaryota; kingdom Metazoa; phylum Chordata; class Mammalia; order Primates; family Hominidae; genus Homo; species Homo sapiens. Next base: position 84,351,381 of record NC_000009.12, on the reverse strand, counting down.
CAGCCTCTGCATTTTCTCTGAACATTGCAGGCAGATACTAATAAAGTCATGTACCTTGAAACATCATTTTAGTCAACAAGAGACCTCATATACAATAGTAGTCTCATAAGATTATAATGGAGCTGAAAAAATTTTATCACGTAGTGACATCTTGATGATCCTGACCCTGTGTAGGCCTAGACTAATATGTGGGTGTTTATGCTGTAGTATTTAGCAAAGAAGTTTAAAAAGTTATATATATGCTGATAGAATAAGACTATAAAGAAAATATTTTTGTATAGCCATACAATGTATTTGCATTTGCATTTTAAGCTAGGTTTTATTACAAGAGTCAAGAAATTTTAAAAATGAGAACATTTATAAGGTAAAAAAGTTGACTGGGCACCGTTGCTCATGCCTGTAATCCCAGCACTTTGGGAGGCTGAGGTGGGAGGATCACTTGAGGTCAGGATATACCAGCCTGGCCAAGAGGGTGAAACCACCTCTACTAAAAATACAAAAATCAGCCAGACGTGGTGGTGCGTGCCTGTAGTCACAGCTACCTGGGAGGCTGAGGCACAAGAATTGCTTGAACCCAGGGAGGTGGAGGTTGCAGTGAGCCAAGATCGCACCACTGTGCTCCAGCCTGGGTGACAGAGCAACACTCTGTCTCAGAAAAAAGTTATGGTGAGCTAAGATTAATTTCTTATTGAATAAAGAAAATTTTTAAATAAATTTGGTGTAACCTAAGTGTATAATGTTTATATAAAGTCTACATTATTGAACAGTAATGCCCTAGGCCTTAACATTAACTCACCACTAACTCACTGACTCACCTAGAACCTAGTCCTGTAAGTTCCATCCATGGTAAGTGCCCTATAGAGGTGTACCATTATTTATTTATTTATTATTTTTCATTTTTTATTTTTATACCTATTTATTTATTTATTTATTTATTTTTGAGACCTGGTTTCACTCTTGTTGCCCAGGCTGGAGTGCAATGACGCAATCTTGGCTCACTGCAAACTCTGCCTCCTGGTTCAAGCGATTCCCCTGCCTCAGCCTCCCGAGTAGCTGGGATTACAGGCATGCACCACCACACCCGGCTAATTTTTGTATTTTTAGTAGAGACGTGGTTTCACCACATTAGTCAGGCTGGTCTTGAACTCCAGACCTCAGGTGATCCACCTGCCTTGGCCTCCCAAAGTTGCTGGGATTACAGGCATGAGCCACCGTGCCGGGCCTACCATATTTTTTACTATACCTTTTCTATGTTTAGATATATTTAAATGCACAAATACTTACCATTTTGTTATAATTGCCTACAGTATTCAGCACAGTAACATGCTGTACAGGTTTGTAGTCTAGGAGCCACAGGCTATACCATATAACCTAGGTGTGTTTTAGGCTATACCATCTGGATTTGTGTAAATACACTCTGTGATGTTTGCATGATGAAAAAACTGCCTAAGGACTCATTTCTCAGAATGTATCCCCATTGTTAAGTAACACATGGCTGTGTTATTAAAAAAGATTGTCATCTCTGGAAATCTTCCAGACTCAAGAATGCACTTCCTGGAAGATTCTTGTTTATCCATAAGTTGCATGTTGCCATTCTGCCATTCCTATAACCCATATCAATGTTTGTTCTTTGCTCCCTTCGTGAACCTCATTCAACCACATGTAATGGTAACATACTTACCCTACTGAACACTGACAGAGCCCTAGAGGCTCAACTCAAGGTTTTCAAAAAACTGGCTACTGACAGGTTTCCCATGGACCCGTGAGTGTATGGATGCTGTCTTAGTCTGTTTTCTGCTGTCATAACAGAATTCTACATAATGGGTAATTTATAAAAAACAAGTAAGCCGGACGTGGTGGCTGATGCCTGTAATCCCAACATTTTGGGAGGCCAAGGCGGACAGATCACTTGAAGTCAGGAGTTCAAGACCAGCTTGGCCAACATGGTGAAACCCCGTCTCTACCAAAAATACAAAAATTAGCCAGGCGTGGTAGCAGGCACCTGTAATCCCAGCTACTCAGGAGGCTGAAGCAGAAGGATCCCTTGAACCTGATGTCAGGCCTCTGAGCCCAAGCTAAGCCATCATATCCCCAGGGACCTGCGCTTATACATCCAGATGGCCTGAAGCAACTGAAGATCCACAGAAGTGAAAATAGCCTTAACTGATGACATTCCACCATTGTGATTTGTTTCTGCCCCCAAAACATTGCTCTTAACTCCACCACCTATCCCAAAACCTGTAAGAACCAATGATAATCCCACCACCCTTTGCTGACTCCTTTTTTGGACTCAGCCCGCCTGCACCCAGGTGAAATAAACAGCCTTGTTGCTCACACAAAGCCTGTTTGGTGGTCTCTTCACACTGACACGTGAGACACCCGAGAGGCAGAGGTTGCAGTGAGCCGAGATCGCCCCACTGTACTCCAGCCTGGGCAAAAGAGTGAAACTCCATCTCAAAAAAAAAAAAAAATACAAGTTTATTTAGCTCACAGTTCTGGAGACTGGGAAGTCCAAGAGCATGGCACTAGCCGCTGGAGAGGGCCTTTGTGCTGCATCATAACATGGTGGAAAGGCAAGTGAGCACAGGAGAGAGACAGAAATTCAGGAGAAACTCATCCTTTTTATCAGGAACCCACTCTTGGGATAACTAACCCACTCCTCAGATAACCACATTAATCCATTTATGAGGGCAGAGCTGTCATGACCTAATCACCTCTTAAAGATCCTACCTCTTTATACTGTCACATCAGTGATAAAGATTCTAACATACGGACTTTGTGGGACATATTCAATCCACAGCAGATGCTTACTACATGATGCTAGACACTCTCCTTGTGGCACCTCAGTTTATCCTCATGACAGACCCATGAGATAGCTGTAAACATAAACCTCATTTTGCAGGCAGCAGTAGATGATTACAGGGGTTACTAGTAACTAGCCCAAGCTTGCAGCTAGTGAGTGTAGAAGTAAAGCCTGAATTGGAAGCTAATCTAAGTTCAGAGCCTGCATTTTTTTTTTTTTTTTTTTGAGACGGAGTCTTGCTCCGTCACTCAGGCTGGAGTGCAGTGCTGTGATCTCGGCTCACTGCAGCCCCCACCTCCCAGGTTCAAGTGATTTTCCTGCTTCAGCTTCCCAAGTAGCTGCGACTACAGGTGTGAGCCACCATGTCCGGCCTGAACCTGCATTCTTAACAGTTATGTTATACTCATCTAAAACAAGCCCATAGATTATTCTTGGCCAGGCCAGGAGTAGGGTGAGCTAGGCAAGGTGCTTATAATGCAAACTTTAAGGAGGAATTTATTTTCAAGTGCCAACCCTGCACTTGGTCCAGAGAGTGCCCCCTTAAATTTTGCACCCTGGGCTCTTTACTTACCTTCTCCTGGTCCTAGTGTTGGCTCTTGGAGAGAGCTGACCAGTGCAAACTTGTGCGCCCTAGAAACTCATTTTTGAACTCACACATATTCCCTGGGACACATGGGAATGTAGGAATTTCAGTTTTCTTCCTTTGTGTACCTTTGTTCAATGAACATTCTATTCAGCCTTGAGCTGACGCTGTTCCAAGCACTACGCTAAGCACCAGGAAAGAGCAGAGACTAAGATGGGTAAAATTCCTGCCCTTCTATAGCTTTCAGTTCTATGCATTCATTTCTGGTGGAATCAATATAGCAGCCCGACACCTGTGCCTTCTCAGGAATCCCCTCACCTAAGCACTGGCACACTTTTTGAGGATTTCAAAGTGCACAGATGGATTAAACTCTGTTTTCCTGACAACCCCATATTATTAGCCTTTCACCATTTTATTAGCCTTTTTTGCATATACTTTGCTTGTGGTTTGTTTTCCTCACTAATAGAGTGAGCATGTTGAGGTATTAATTCAGTTGTGCTTCCCCTGGGTTTCATTTCTTTCCAGAACTGGGCTCTTGACAAGACTAGGTTTCACAGGCATGGGCTCAAATTATGGCTTTGCCACTTATGAGTTGTGTTGCTAGAAAAGCCACTTTATCTCCCTGAGCTTCATGTGTTTCATCTGTGAAATGGGGATATTAATACCTCATGTGAAGACTTGTTATGAGGATAAAATGGAAACAACATAAGTATCTTAAAGGTATGTTGCAGCATTCAACAGTCACTAGTTCTCTTCCCTTCTTCCCTTTTTTTTTTTTTTTTTTTTTTTTTAGACAGAGTCTTGCTCTGTTGCCCAGGCTAGAGTGCAGTGGTGTGATCTCAGCTCACTGCAACCTCTGCCTCCTGGGCTCAAGATATTCTGCAACTGTGCTCCTGGGTTCAAGCTATTATCCTGCCTCAGCCTCCTGAGTAAATGGGATTACTGGTGCCCACTACCACGTCCGGCTAGTTTTTTGTATTTTTAGTAGGGACAGCATTTTACCATGTTGGCCAGGCTGGTCTTGAACTCCTTACCTCAAGTAATCCACCCACCTTGACCTCCCAAAATGCTGGGATTACAGGCATGAACCACTGTGCCCTGCCCTTCCCAAGATTCTCACTAAAGTGATACAGACAGCCAAATCATCCTTTAATTGCAGACAGGTATTACCTATGTGGCAGATTCTATGGCCAGTCTTTGGCTGTGTTAAGTGCTCTGGCTGGCCTTTCCTGGTATATAGTGTAAATGTCAGGGAAAAAACCTAACTGCAAGGAGAATTTTGTTGAAAAACAAATCCTGAAGCATTTCCTATGTCAAATACACATTTTCATTGCTTTCCTTTTTCCCCTCTTGGATGATCTGAACAATTGACAGTTAATTAGACTAAGCCTTATAAACCTCCCAGGATTACATTTTTATTATTAACATTAATATTATTTGATTTATTTATTTAACTACTTCAAGTTGTATAGACAAAGGTTAATCTGCACTACATGAAATGTTCTTCAGGGAGGAAGACAGGAGTCTGGAACATATAACACATCATGCTCAACATAGGACAAGCATTCTACACAATTTTTACAAATTTTCTCTTTACTCCTTTTGGAAATACCGTCACCAAGAGTGACTTCACTATAGAACTGCATGCATAAGGCAGGAAAAACAATCTATTGCCATGTAATTACTTATTTTTCCTTTCATATTTTAATAAAAATGGAGGACTTTTGTGTTTTGGTTTTCTTTAATGAGCTTGTGCGTAGACAGTCCATGAGTTTGCAAATTTTTATAAGCTGAGTTTTAGAGAACAGAACGGGGTATAGGAATTATTTGACTGAAAAGTCTAGTGATTTGGTTGCTACACAATGGTTTCAAAGTTTAAAATTGAGTTTGAGTGACAACGCAATGAAAATAATTCTGAGGAGTTAAGAGACAGTTTTTTAGTTCTTGGCACAAGCTATTTCTCACAAATAATGACTCTGCATGACTGGGGAATTGTTTAAAATGTAGTCTTGTAAAACTGAAAAGGCCTTTCATCTCATTTTCTGATCACAATTTCTATTTCCTAATTGGACAAAATGAGCCATAGCTTCTACCAAGGTGTTACCACTTTAAGTGATAGCCCCATAAATCAAACTAATTCTGGTGCTGCAAGGAGTCAGAATTTTTACTGGTTCTGAAAGCTCCTTAAAGATAGGCTTCAGAAACATACAATTTTAAATTACAAGTTCTCTGGATATGACCATTGTTTTGGCATTTTAGTATCATGGTTGTATATACAATTTACTCTAATTAGGTGTCAATTTTTCCTGCTGGCAGGTACAGTTGGAGAATGGATGAGGGAGGTCACTGTATCTTTTAATCAACACTGTCTAGTGTTGTGACTTGCACAATGATATGCTCCCCCAAATGTTGTTGCATTCTTTTCAAATTTTGTCTGCAGCCAAGGAGAAGAAAACACATCGTTACATTTCTAAAAGTTCCTAAAGCAGTGTCTGCAAGAATGTCAGGCATTGGAGTCACGTTTCTGCAATTAGAGGCTTTAAATGATAGAATGAAGATGTCTGTCTTTTGCTTCAGAAAGTAAGGATCATCCATAACCTTCAACTAGATTGAGTCTTGAGTTGGTGAAGGTTTTAATATCAGGTTGCACCAACTGGTTTCTTCCAACTAACGATTTCTCAAGGAAAGTTTCCCAAATATTTGCTGTCTATTTATCTGTACTTCTCTTGCTCACTTCCACTTGGATTTTTTTTTTTTTGCCTTTGGTAACACAATGACTACTACTTATGGCACATTGCAATGATGGGGAAGAACTAATGAAAATCCCCAAGTCTCATCAATAAGAAGCACGAAAGAGCTAAATCATAAAATTTGGGTGATGTTGAATTATGTGTCAGGCACTATTCCCTGTGTATATTAACTCATTTTATCATCTCAGCACTGTTTCTAAATGGGTATGTCGATGAAAAGAGTTGAACTCTGTTAAATATTTGAAGACATTTATTCTGAGCCAAATATGAGTGATCATGGCCCATGACACAACCCTTGGGAGGCCCTAAGAACATTTGCCCAAGGTGGTCAGGGCACAGCTTGGTTTTATACATTTTAAAAAGGCATGGGACATCAATCAAATACATTTAAGAAATACATTGGTTTGGTCCAGAAAGGCAGGACAACTCAAAGCAAGGGGAGGAGGGGGTTGGGCTTCCAGGCTATAGGGGAATTTAAACATTTTCTGGTTGACAATTGGTTGAGTTTGTCTCAAGACCTGGGATTCATAGAAAGGGAATATTCAGGCTAAGATAAAGATTGTGGAAACCAAAGTTCTTCTGAAGTTTTATAGTGGCTGCCCTTAGAGACAAAGGATGACAATGTTTCCTTTTCAAAATATGTCAAAGAAACATGTTTTGGGGTAAAATATTTTTATTTTCTTCCTTGTCTCATAATGTTATGCGAGTCAGGTTTGAAAGTAAGTCATGATATATAGGGTTAAATAAAACCCATCTGGGCCGGGTGCGGTGGCTCACACCTGTAATCCCAGCACTTTGGGAGGGCAAGGCAGGTGGATCACTTGAGATCAGGAGTTCAAGACCAGCCTGGCCAACATGGTGAAATTCTGTTTCTACTAAAAATGTAAAAATTAGCCAGGCATGGTGGCACACGCCTGTAGTCTCAGCTACTCGGGAGACTGAGGCAGGAGAATCACTTGAACCCGGAAGTCGGAGGTTGCAGTAAGCTGAGATCTGCCACTGCACTCCAGCCTGGGCAACAGAGCAAGACTCTGTCTGACCAAAAAAAAAAAAAAAAAAACCCATATGATGAGAATTTATGATTTGTAGGGCATGACTCCCCAGACCCCTTAGATCATAATTTGGGCAAGATAAAAAAAAAATCAGAGCTTAGTCCTCAGGTACTGTTATCTCCGTTTTATGAAGGAAGAATCTGAGATACAGAGAACTCAGCTACTTGCCCAAATTCCCATGGCCAGTAAGTCTTCCCACCTCAGCCTCCCAAGTAGCTGGGACTACAGGCACGTACCACCACACCTGGCTAATTGTTGTATTTTTTGTAGAGACGGGGTCTTCCTACATTGCCCAGACTGATCTCAAACTTCTGGGCTCAAGCGATTCTCCCATCTTGGCTTCCCAAAGTGTTGGGATTATAGGCATCAGCCAGGTAGTGGATATTTTGTCTTTGAGCCGTGTGGTATTTGTCACAGCTACTCAATTCTGTCCTTATGGGATGATAGCAGCCTTAGACAATACATAAATCAATGGCCATGTTTCTGTTTTTACAAAACTTTATTTATAGACACTGAAGTTTGAATTTCATATAACTTTAATGTGTCAGGAAATATTCTTCCTTTTAATTTTTTTCAACCATTTAAAAATCTAAAACCCATTCTTAGCTCTTGGGCCATATAAAAGCAGCAGAAGGTTAGGTGTGACCCTCAAGCTGTGGTTGGCTGTAGTTATGAGGTAGAGTCCAGGATTTGAACCCAGACCACAGGTTCCTGCAAGCCTTTAATCATTATGTATACACTGTACAGTCTGTATCATGATAACAAGAAAAGAAAAATAACTCCCACAGTCTGAGCTATGTGAGATATGCAAAATCTATCAGGCCCAGAGAGACTGGGCCTCAGTCACTGATAAAGAGAAAACAAAAATAACTCACACAGTCCCAGCTATGTGAGCAATGCAAAATCTATCAGGCCCAGAGAAACGGAGGGTTGGACTTCAGTCACCACTCAACCCTGTGCCCGGGGGCAATTTTTTTTTGCTTTTGTTTTTTGTCTTTTGTTTTTTTTTTGAGATGGAGTCTTGCTCTGTCACCCAGTCTGGAGTGCGGTGGCGTGATCTCGACTCACCACAACCTCCACTCGACTCACCACAACCTCCACCTCCTGGGTTCAAGCAATTCTCCTGCCACAGCCTCCCAAGTAGCTGGGACTACAGGCATGTGCCACCATGCCTGGCTAATTTTTGTAGTATTTAGAAGAGACAGGGTTTCACCATGTTGGCCAGGCTGGTCTCGAATTCCTGACTTCATGATCCATCTGCCTCGGCCTCCCAAAGTGCTGGGATTATAGGCGGGAGCCACTGTGCCTGGCCAGGGGCAATTGTTTTAAAGGAATTTTGTTCCTGACTGGCTGCCTTTCTGTTCCTAGAATGTGTGATACAAATAGCAATGTATAGCCAATCAATAGCTTATGTTATTTTAATGTAAATAATTGGTAAACAACTCAGAAACTCCTTCTTTTCCTTTAAAATTCACTTGTGGCCAGGCACAGTGCCTGTAATCCCAGCACTTTTGGAAACCAAGGCAGGTGGGAAGATTGCTTGAGCCCAGGAGTTCAAGACAAGTCTGGGCAACATAGTGAGGCCCCCAGTTCTACCAAAAAAAAAAAAAAAATTTAGCCATGGGTGATGGCACCTGTCTGTAGTCCCAGCTACTCGGGAGGCTGAGACAGGAGGATAGCTTCAGCCCAGGAGGTCAAGGTTGCAGCAAGCCATGATCATGCACTCCAGCCTGGGCAACAGAACACACACACACACACACAAGAATCTACTTGTAACTGCTACTAAGTGTATATTCAGAGCAACTTGAATATGTGCTCCCAAGTTGCAATCTCAAACTTAGACCAAATAAACTCTATACTTACATTAAGTTTGTCTCCGTTTTTTCCTTTAGGTTAACAATAATAAAAGTAAATCATTCTCTTTATAGAAAACTCAGCAGCATTTGAAGGAGAAAAAAAAAACACCAACTGCCCATAAAATTAAAAACCGAGAAATAACCACTCATAATACTTGGTATTTTCTTACTTTTTCTTTTTCTTTTTCTTTTCTTTTTTTTTTTTTTTTTGAGACAGGGTCTCACTCTGTCATCCAGATGGGAGGCAGCGGTGCGTTTTCGGCTCACTGCAATCTGTGTCTCCTGGGTTCAAGCGATTCTCCCGCCTCAGCCTCCCGAGTAGCTGGGACTACAGGCGCACGTTATCACTCCTGGCTAATTTTTGTATTTTTAGTAGAGATGGAGTTTCGCCATGTTGGCCAGGCTGGTCTTGAACTCCTGGCCTAAAGTGATCCACCCGCCTTGGGCTCCCAAAGTGCTGGGATTACAGGCGTGAGCCACCGCACCAGGCCTTTTCCATTCTTTTGTCCACAGTTTTGCAGTATTTTAAATTGTACTAGGGGGGAAAATCCCTATTTTAAAAGAATTCTACAGCTAATATTTTCATAAAGCAAAGTGAATTGCTTTATGAAAACAAAGCACTTCTATTCACTTTTGATAATTGAATAGCTGGTCACCTTTCATTTACTTGTCACATATCGGCATTTCTGTAAGCTGGATTTTTGAAAGCAGCCCAGTCTGAAGCAGGGATGTAATAAAAGGTTTTGGAATTAACCAAACTTGAATTTGAATTCTCATTATCCCTTTATTAGCTAAATGACACTAAACAAATTGTTAACTTTTCTGTACTTCAGTATAGAATTTTGAGTTGTTCGGAAGAAGAGCCAAGACCCTTACCTACCTACCTATCTGTCTATGTATCTATCCATCTATCCATCCCTGGTATACAGTAGGTGATCACTGAGGGCGGCATGACCTTATATCCTGTGTTCACTCACCCTCCACCCCACCACCACTCCTAGTCTTTAACACCACCCACAGGAAAACAGAGGATTTCACTAAGCACTATAGAGAACGTGTCCTTTTCTGGCTGGGCACGGTGGCTCATGCCTGTAATCCCAGCAATTTAGGAGGCCAAGGCAGGTGGATCACTTGAGGTCAGGAGTTCAAGAACAGCCTGGCCAACATGGTGAAACCCCGTCTCTACTAAAAATAAAGTCAGCCAGGTGTGGTGGCATGCACCTGTAATCCCAGCTACTTGAGAGGCTGAGGCAGGAGAATTGCTTGAACCTGGGAGGCAGAGGTTGCAGTGAACCGAGATTGCGTCACTGCACTCCAGCCTTTTTTTTTTTGAGACTCCATCTCAAAAAAAAAAAGAAAGAAAGAAAGAAAAAGAAAGTGTCCTTTTCTGTTTTGTGCACCACAAGAGTTTTCTCCCCAGGAGTGCAAATAGGATGCCAAAAATGGGGATAAAGGAAAAGATTAATAAGGTGGGCGGGCCAGCACTAGATGCCTCCACCCCGCCAACCCGCCCGCCTCTCTGCCCCACCCCAACCAGGTGTCAGCCCTAGTCATTCAGGAGATTATTGCAGAAGTTTCCAAACTGAAGCAAGCTGTGCCCAGGTCCCTGTAACAGCAGGTGGCTTTCTGACATCAGCAGAGACTGGTGCTTTTTCCCAGGTACAAAGGACCTCCAGACCAGAGCCAGCCAGCAGCAAAAAGAGCATGGAGCTGAGGAGTACAGCAGCCCCCAGAGCTGAGGGCTACAGCAACGTGGGCTTCCAGGTGAGCAGAGCTTTCCTCTTATGTTAAAGGCCTTCAGTGGAAAAGCTGCCCTTTCCTTAGCCCCTTGGCAAGTTTCTTACCTAAGCAGGGAGATTATCAGGACAATACGATTTTTAACGGCACACTTTAAGCCCATTATTTTTTCTTCTTGGGCTCTTCTGGGTTGACAAACCTGAAAAGTCTCTTTTAATCGATGTGTTGTGATCCCTATGGTCACTTAGAAACAAGACAGCCTTCTTCTCTTGCCTTTTTTCCCTTCTGGCTCACAGCAGGGGTCCATTATTTATCTTCAGGCACTTTTCCAAAGAACTGGTGAGAAGGGAAAAATGGGGGAATTTAGATCCTGGCTGGGGTAGTGTCTCAGGGTTCCTTTTACTCAAGCCAAGTCCTGGAGCCCCTGTCAGATGGCCCCGGTACCTGCCCCAGAGCAGCTGGATTACGCAAATCAGTCTCACTTCATCAACCAAAACTCACTGAGTGATTAATGCTGCTCAGCCCGAGGCTGGGTGCCCGCAGAGACATAGAAGGAGACCTGTCAGAAACACCAGGCTATTTTGACTGGGTCTGGGATGGGGATTTCCAGGGCTGTTTTTAGGTGTGCTTCCTTTCCTTAGCTGACACTCAGCATGGGCGCTCTGGAGAAGATGGGAAGCCTGCACCGGCAAGTGTCAACAATCCCTTGGACTTTACGGTCTGCTAGATGGGCAAAACAAAACTTTGAGGTGCTAGCCAAGAAAGGAAAGAGGGAGGTAAAAGGGCTTTGACAGGAGTTCAGACTCCAGCACCCACAAATTCCTGTAACTTCCCAGAGCCCAAGTTTGATCATCTGTCCCATGGTCACAGTGATGCCCATCTCCATGAGTAGGCATCGGGTTACCACTTATAGGTCACAAGTGTAGGAGAGGAAACAACTTCATCTACCCTCTTAGGTTGAGTGCCTGAGGCCTGCAAATTAAACCAACATAAAACAGATTAGCAGGAGAAAAGGCACGCAAATTTTATTCATATTTAAAATCTCACATGTGGCTGGCAGTGGTGCCTCATGCCTGTAATCCTAGCACTTTGGGAGGCTGAGGCGGGCTGATCATTTGAGGTCAGGAATTTGAGACCAGCCTGGCCAACATAGTGAAACCCCATCTCTACTAAAAATACAAAAATCAGCCGGGCATGGTGGTACATGCCTGTAGTCCCAGCTACTCGGGAGGCCGAGGCAGGAGAATCACTTGAATCTGGGAGGCAGAGGCTGCAGTGAGCCAAGATCGTGCCTCTGTACTCCAGCCTGGTTGACAGAGGGAGACTCAGTCTCAAAAAAATAATAATAATAAAATAAAATCTCACATGTATGAGAGCCTCACATAAAAGAAACGGAAAAACCTAATAGACTCAGGAGCTTATATACCATTAAAACAAAGCACGGCAAATAGTGAAATGACTAGACAAAGGAAAAGAGGGTTATGCTTTTAGGGACAATAAAGTGGGGGTGGGAGGTGGAAATAATGGAAGATAAGGGTTAATTTATCGAGGTTTGTTCATGCAGATTTATCTCAGCGGCATCTCTGTCTTTGGTGATAAGGGTTGCTCTCTTCCTTGTATGAGCAAGCGGGACACCTGTGCAAGGGAAATATCAATAAATGTGCTGCTTTTAGGAAGATGGGGGATGGGGGAGGGCAGAGAGCTCTTTCTGTGTCTGCTTTCTTTTTCATAGCCTTCAGTTCAAAATATTCTTGTGCCAAAATGTGGGCATTTGGAGGGTGGCACATCCTGATCTCTTCTCTAAGGGCTAAGTGAGGGGGAAAAGCATAAAGCATGGGCCCATTCTGATTCCAGAGAATGGAAAGGATGGAATTGGATAGAGTCAGAGGAAGTATGGCAGCAAGAAAATATATCTGCAATAGAGAAGGTCCATGTCACAGCAACTGGCTGCTCCCAGGGAGGAGGGCACACAACGGTGGTGATCCCTCACTGTCTTCTAGCAAAACTGCTGTTTTGTGGGGGAAACATCCCCCTACACCTGCCCCAATAAAAAGAAGGAAAAATGAAAGGAAGCTTCCTCCTAGTTCTGTAAAATTTCCTGTCATCCTTACTCATTGGATTGATTGAAATTTGAATTTCTACATTTCAAAATCAAAATAGTGAAGACAATTTGTCTTTCAAGAGAATCAGAGGCCTCATAACTCCTGCCAAGTTAATAAGTATGAGTCTTACCTTGTTTGACATTCAGCTCTCCTGCTACATTATCTTCTTTAAGGAAAATTAATTGATTGTAAAATATGTGCTACTTCACTCGCATTATTAAATATGCATTAACATGCCACCAGGACTTCCAAATAAGTTAGGATGCTTACTTATTCACCTTGTCCTAGTCTGTGAATTGTGCTAGAAATTCATTTTTCTTCTTCAAATATTAAGAGTGCCCTTGGTAGACCAAAGTTCTAATTTTACTAAGTAGAACTACTTTCACAGCTTGAAATGCTGATATGGGTTCCCAAAAGGCCTGTGCCTGTAAGACCTGGTGCAGGTGCAATGGTTATGCATATCTATGGATTACCTGGACAGGCTCTCATCTGGACTGTTCCTCAAAGAAGGGAGCACCAATTGCTGTTTTCATGGAGCTAGTACTCCAGTGGGAAAGGTTAAACAGGAGCACAAAGTCAGTGATATGGGTTATAAGAGAGAAATGATCTCACCTCCAAGAAAGGATTTCACAGCTAGAGCACACTTCATACATGAGAGTGGATTTTGTAACCAACGATAGAAATGAATGTTAGGGTTTTTTTTTTCTAATCTCATTTTATTGTACCTCTAAACGTTTTCTATGAATAAGGAACTTATTTCTCATATGGCTGAGGATGGAAATGACTTCATTCAACAGTAGTTGCAAATAAGACGTTTGCTATTTATGAAGGAAGTTCGGATTGGCATTTAAAGTATTGCGTGTATGTGGAATATCTAAGGATTTCTTATTTTATTTTAAAATATTTTTTAAACCTTAAAACAGTCAGCAAACTGGCTCTTGATTTTGTGCAAGATGTTCCCATCAGTTCAGGAAAAATAACTGCCTGAAAGGACAAAGTACACACACACACGTGTGCAAACACTCACACCCACATACGCATACACACACGCGCGCGCACACACACAGGCTAGCATCCCCAGGCCTCAAGGTTCTAAGCAGGGCATCTCAAACCCAGCAGAGTATCATACCAACAACACCCACACCTAAAAACAGTGACTGGGTTATTTCTATTTATTCAGTAGAATCATCAACTGCCCCCTAGATATGGCCGCCTCTAAGAAGGGATACCAACTCAAGAAAGAATAATATGCTCTTCTTGCCCTCAAGGAGAAGGACAGGCAGAAATAAGCATGCAATTACAATATAATTGATGTTAAGGAAAATGGCGGAGGTTTGCACCAAGTGCATTGTATTCTTATATTTATTATTTTTTATATTTTGTCTTGCTATCTTACCAGGGCTGGTCTGAAACCCTGGCCTCAAGCAATCCTCCTGCTTTGGCCTTCCAAAGTGCTGGGATTACAGTCATGAGCCACAACACCCAGCCAGCACCAAGTGCATTGTAAATAATATATAGCTGGAGCTGAGCTGACTGAGGAGTCTGTGACAGCATCACCAAAGGAGGGAGAATTTGATTAGGGCTTTAAGGATGGTCAGGTCACAGTAGGAGGTGGGGTGGGCAGAGCACTGCAAGCAGAGAGAACTATCTGTACAGACTCAGAACCCTAAAGGAGAAGAGCACATGAGCCTGGGATGGAGGAAGGGAACACGGTATAGGGAAAGGGGGCAGGCTGGCATCAGGTCAGGTGGCCTCTGCGTGTGCTAAGGCATTTTAGAAGGAATCGCTCAGAATTTACGCAGTCAAATTGTGATTTTTTTTTTGAGACAGGGTCTCACTCTGTCACCCATGCTGGAGTGCTATGGTATGATCTCAGCTCACTGCAGCCTCAACCTCCCAGGCTCAAGCAATCCTCCCACCTCAGCCTCCTGAGTAGCTAGGACTACAGACATGCGCCACCACACTTGGCTAGTCTTTGTTTTGTTTTGTGTTTTAGAGATGAAGTCTCACCCTGTCGCCCAGACTGGAGTGCAGTGGCATGATCTTGGCTCACTGCAACCTCCACCTCCTGGGTTCAAGCAATTCTCCTGTCTCAGCCTCCTGAGTAGCTGAGTTTACAGGCATATGCCACCACACCTGGCTACTTTTTTTGTATTTTTAGTAGAGACAGGGTTTCACAACGTTGGTCAGGCTGGTCTCAAACTCCTGACCTCAAATGATCCGCCTGCCTCAGCCTCCCAAAGTGCTGGGATTACAGGCGTGAGCCACCGTGCCCGACCTAATTCTTGTATTTTTTTGTAGAAATCGGGTTTCACCATGTTGCCCAGGCTGATCTCAAACTCCTGAGCTCAAGTGATCTGCCTGCTTCAGCCTTCCAAAGTGCTGGGATTACAGGTGTGAGCCAACTGCACCAGGCTGATTTTTTTTTTTTTAATATTACTTTGGTGGCCCCATTGAAAGTGCTTGGAAAAGGAGAGGGATTTGTGTGTGGCTGGGACATCCGTTGGGAAGTTACTGTCATAATCCAAACCAGGCTAAAGGCAGTGGATGCAGACACTGGGACGGAGGTACTAATACTGATGAGGTGACCCCTCCACAATGAAATTCAGGAGTAAAGATGAGGGCCTAAATGCTGCTCTGGCTCTGAAGATTTCTGTTTTCTCCTCTGTAAAAGAGCATAATAATGGTACCTATCTTGGGATTGTTGAAATAATTAAATAAGCTAATATTATATATGTATAATGGACATTTTATACACACACACACACACACACACACACACACACGTATATACATACTTGTGAAAACAGTGCCTGGCACATAGTATGAACATAACAATAGCAGCTTTTGATGCTGAGCAGCTTAAGGAAAGTGTGGAGTCAATGTTTCCAGCTTGGGATGTCAACTTGGAAGTGATTCCCTTTGTTTATTTATTGCTGTTGTTTTAAATAGAGACAGGGCTTCACTCTGTCACCCACGCTGAAGTGCAGTGGCACAATCATAGCTTATTGCAGCCTCAAACTCCTGAGCCCAGGCAATCCTTTGACCTCAGCCTCCTGAGTAGCTGGGACTACAGGCACGTGCTACCACAACTGGCTAAGTTTTTTTATTTTTTATATTTGTAGAGACAGGGTCTTGCTATGTTGCCCAGGCTGGCCTCTAGTGATCCTCCCATCTCTTCCTGGGTTTCCCAAAGTGCTGAGATTACAGGTGTGAGCCACCTCACCCAGCCTCGGGCAAGGCTTTATTTAGGTAGAAAATCTAGGAATAAAGTTAGAGCAAAAAAGAGAGTGAGTTCTCTTTGAGGCCTGTTGGTTGAAATTAAGTTGACTCCAGGCATCTTCATGAAGGGGTAGATGAAGTAGGAAGCTTGTAGCATACGTTCACCTGGAGCTCAGAAGAGGACACACATTTGGGAGCTGTTAGCATAGATATGAGCGCGGATAAGACCACTGTGAGGGAAGCCTGGGAAACAGTAGCGCTTAAGGAGTGGGGAAGTTAGAGATGTCAGAGAATGAAGCAGAGGGCCACAGGGAGAGAAAGAGCAGCAGAACCAGGAGAGGGGCGATCTGGAGAAGTCAAGGGAAAGTAGAACCACAAGTCAACAGAAAAGACTCCGAAAGGACAGAGGAGTCTATAGAGTGAGGCCACGGGTTCACTTGACTTGCCAGCTAGGAGGTTACTGGTGACGCTAGGGTTGGGGAAGGAGGAGAAGTTTGTGTTATGAGCGGGAGTTAGGCTAGGAAAAATGGTAGCAGAATGAACGCTCTTCTGGTGCAGTGGTGGTGCTAGGGAGGGGCGGGGAAGGGGAAGACCTAGGGCAGGCAAAGGCAGTTGTGGGGAGGTGTTTTTATGTTAAAAAAAAAAAAATTCGTTGTGAAATACAACATACAGAAAAATACATAAAAACAAATATACAACTTATAAGGCGAACTGTCACTCAGGTCAAGAAACAGGATATTGCCATCCCTCAGGGTCCAGCCCTACACATTTCATCACTGCTGCCTCCCTTCCCTGGGGTAAACCCAACCAGGGGTGACTACTGACCCAAATGTGGGGCAATTACTTCCTTGCTTTTCTTTATACCTTAACTTCTAATTATGAATCCCCAAGCAGTACCTTTGCCTGGTTTTGAACTTTATATAATAGAAACACAAAATGTATTCTTTGCTTATATTGAAACTTTTTTTTTGTTTTTTTGAGACAGAGTCTCGCTCTGTTGCCCAGGCTAGAGTGCAGTGGCGTGATCTTGGCTCACTGCAACCTCTGCCTCCCCAGTTCAAGCGATTCTCCTGCTTCAGCCTCCTGAGTAGCTGGGAATACAGGCATGAGCCACCAGGCCCGGCTTGTATTTTTAGTAGAGACGGGGTTTCACCCTGTTGGCCAGGCTGGTCTCAAACTCCTGACCTCACGTGATCCACCCGCCTTGGCCTCCCAAAGTGTTGGGATTACAGGCGTGAGCCACCATGCCTGGCCATCAGCTCTCTAAGATTCACATGGTGTTGCATGTAACTGCAGCTCATCCCATTTCATAATGCACAGGATTCTGCCATGTAAATATTCCACAACTTATACATTTTGCTGCTAGTGGACATTTGCGTTATTAAGTTTGGGGTTTTTGGAGCTTCTACAAACATTGCAGCTAGGGACACTGTTATCCATGCCAGGGGGAGTATCTGTAATAAATTTACTCTGGGGTTGTACTTAGGAGTGGAATTGCTAGGCCACTGGAATAAACATATACTTTCAACTTTGCTGATAGTGTCAGATTGGTTTCCTAAGTGATTTTACCAATTTGCATGCCTATCAGCAGAGTGAGTATTCCCATTTCTCATCATTATTCAGCTGACCTTTTAATGTCAACCATTCTGGTGGGTGTGTAGCAGTATGTCATTGAGTTTAATTAAAATTTTCCTGTTATTGGTTGTTAGATGCCAACTTTTTAAATATTTGCTCAACTTTCTTGCCCATTTTCTCTACTGGATTTTTTCCATTTTTATTTGAAAGAGTTCCTTAGATGTTCTGGTTACAAGCCTATGAAAGGAAATTAAATTTTGGGACCCCAAACTCATTTAACCAAAGGGAAAAGTCAAGCTGGGAACTGGGTCACGCATACCTATCTCCCCCTTTTGGTTCCTAAATAAGATGGCTACAAGATGAAAAGCTACACGCTTCCCCCATGTTTTGCCCACAAGGAAATTCCTGGTGAGCTATAAAAACTTCACCATGGCAATGTAATTGATAACTTATCTTTACAGGTGCAGTCACCCCAGATACAAATGCATATCTGATTGTTCCCCTACCCCATTTCGTCTGTATTATCTTATGTAAAATGCAGATTCTCCACATTTTTCCTTTGCCCCCTTTGTTTACATGAAAACTGTGTGCTTCTCACTATCCCGCCCTTTCTCCTTTAAATTTGGAGCCCTCAAAATCATCTCTGGAGAAAGGGATAGACCTGTCTCCCAGGCAGTTCCTTAACTTTGGCAAATAAATCTGCTAAAATGATTGAGACTTGTCTCATCATTTTCCTCGATTGACAAGCCCTTTGTCAGTTATGATTTGTAAATACCTTCTACCACTGTGAAGCCATCTTTTACTCTAATGGAATATTCTGAGGAACAAAAGTTAATTATATTGGTCCCATTTAGGAAACATTGGGACAAAAGTTAATTATATATGGTCCCATTTAGGAAACGTTGCTTCTCTTTCCTGTATCTTGTCTAAAATATCTTTTCCAACCTGCAAAATCATGAAGATTTTTTTTTCGAACAAGTGTAACTCTTTATTAAGATAAAATTGTTTTTATTAAAGAAATAGATAAAAATGATTAAGTACAATCAAATGGCTCCAAAAGCCTTACAATGAAAGCAACAGTCCTGCCAGTTGTTCTTTCCAGAGGCAAGCACTTCTCATTCTCTCAGTTTTTCCTTCTGGTAGTTACCTTCATGGGTTTTTCCAATTATTATTTTTTTAGTTTTTCAAGTGAATGCATATATTAATACATGAAATTTTTAAAAGCCTCTTCAGTTTATAATGCATCCTACCAGTCCCCTACCCTATCCCTCCTAATTCTCCAGAGCAATGACTTTTAACTCTTTTAGCAATGTCCTCTATTTTTTTCTCACATAACTACTTAGGCATTTCTTGATTGTTTTATACATTATATAGTGATTTCTTGATATGACAGATGAGGATTTAGCTCTTACACCATCACTGTCTTCACTTTTCCTCCCATATTGTCCCAAAGTAGTTACCAGATTTAGAGGCTAAGCAGTCATCACTTCATTATGACAATGTCCATATTGCTCATTGTTGAGAACAACAGGGTATTATGCTCTAAAGTCATTAGGATATTTTCTAAAAGCTTATACTTTCATTCACATTGAGGATCTCTATTCCCCCTGAAATTGAGTTTAATGTATAGTGTAAGGTAGGAGTCAAGTTTGCTTTCCACACGAACATCCACTTATTTTGGCATTATTATTTTTTAAATTTACTTTTAACACCACTCAGTGATCATCAACATTGCTTTAAAAAAGAACCTTTTCCCCACTCCACAGATATTTTGCCACGTGTCCATATTTGGGAGAGGCTTTTTGGAACAGGGCAACTGAAAGATTTTTCCAAACTCAGAGGAGATGGGGAAGAATCCAAAGAGATGGAAGTTAACAGCAACAGAGGTCAAAACAGTTCAGAATTTCTAAGAGGAAAATGCAGGAATGTTTTTTAACACATTTATTAAAAGGCATCTCTTGGAATCCCAACTCAAGTTTCCTCCTCCCTGTGAATAAGCAATCAATCTTACCACAGCTGCTCTCAGAGGCACAGAACCCAAGCTTGCTCTGAAGTTAGTTGGGTGGAACTCACTTACGAAAGTCTTGGGAGAGGACTAGGCTGGGGAAATGGGCCTCACTCTGCACAAACACACAGGAAAGGCTGAGTTACTCCATGAGTAAGCCAGTCAAGCAGGTTTGGAGAGTTTGTTAAATGGAGTTTACAATTTGGGAGATCATGTAAGTGTAAGTCCATCAGGGATCCAAACCTGCTGGAGTACAGGTGTAGACTTCTTGTCAAGCACGTACTTTGAATACAAAAGTTCTAAGGTAGGAAGTAACTATGTTATGTAGGGAAGAAGAATATTGTTTCTCCTTAACCCACTAGCCTGGGAAGTCAATATGAATCACATTGAGTACTCTTTCACATTGCTCAAGAGGCGCTCGGCTGGAGCTTCCTATATTCAATTAAAACACACACACACAAAAACACATGACAATAATTCGCTTTTGGGAAGGAGGTTAAAAAAGAAAAGTATATTCTCTACTCTTTCCTCAAGTTTGCATGATCACACCTAGACTTATTTTTAGGGGAAAACAGTGTAGGGGATTGTAAACCAAGTCACTTCCATGGCATCTCAGAGAGAGAGGGTATAAGGATTTAGTTTTTCCTCATTCAAACACTCCTGAAGTGATTCCCCTTGAAATTGAGGAGCCACTTACTCATCAGTGTTGAGGCACTGGAAAGAAAATAGAAAATAATTAATAATGTAGATAAAGATACATTTTTGCTGAGGGCTAAAGCAGAACTTTCTAATATGTAACACTAGCCAGATATGTAATTTAAAACTTTTCTGCAAGCCCATTAAAAATGCAAAATAAAGTAGGTATAACTCTTCACCTTATTTTAACTATATTTTATGGAACCTCATATATTGAAATTAATGAAATAATTTATATTTGTTTCATACCAAGTCTTTGAACATCCAGTGCATATTTTAAACATATAGTACATGTCAACTCTAATGCTACATTTTTATCAGAAATACTTGATCTGTTTTTAGATTTCATAAAATGTATATTTGTAAAAAGTAGATTCATAATCAAGTTGTTCTAAACATGCCTGTTTTTCAATACATGGATCTAATGTTCAGTTTTTAATTTAAATTTAAATTAGTTAAAATTAAATTCAGGTCCTTAGTCATATTAGTCACATTTCAAGCACTCAGTAACCACTTGCCACTGATGGTTATTCTATTGGATCACCCACGTAAGCATGTGTTTTTGGTTTTAGAGTTCATACACACACACAGATCTGGTTATCCTTCCTCTTTAAGGACCTGACCACCAGATTTATGCCAAAAAATTAAAGTAACAACTTTACATTTATTTCTGTAATATCAGTAGTAATATCTCCTCTTTCATTCATGAATTTAGTTATTTGTCTTCTCTCTTTTTTTTCCTTGGTTTCTTTTTTCCTTGACATTTCCTTGTTGGGAGGTTTATGGTTAGCAATTCAATCTCTTCACTTGCTATTAGTTTTTTTGAGCTTTTTTTTTCCCTTAAGTAAGTTAAGAACCAACTTTTGGTTTCATTGATTCTCTCTTTTGTTTTTCTAGTCTATATTTCATTTGTCTCCACGATAATCTTCATTATTTCTTTCTTTCTGCTAACTTTGGATTTAGTTTGTTGTTCTTTTTCTAGTTCATTACAGTAGAAGATTGGATTATTGATTTGAGATCTTACTTCTTGATAATATAAGCAATTACAATTATAAAATTCCCTGTAAGCACTGCTTTAGCGATATTCATAAATTTTCGTATATTTTCATTTTTGTTATTTATTTATTTATTTGTGATGAGGGCCATGCTATGTTGCCTAGGCTGGCCTCAAACTCCTGGGTACAAGCAATCCACCCACCCCAGCCTTCCAAGTAGCTGGGACTACAGGCATGCATCACTGTGCTCAGCTTTATTTTTCTTTCTTCTTCTTTTTTTCATGAGACAGAGTCTCACTCTAAGCTTTATTTTTATTAATTCTCTTTTTTTTATAAGACAGAGTCTCACTCTGTCACCCAGGCTGCATTTTAATTATTATCAAACTATTTTCTAACTTCCCTAATGATTTCTTCTTTAATCCATTGGTTATTTAGGAGTGTGCTTAATTTCCTCATAATTTATAAGTTTTCCCCAAATTGTGGTTGGGGAAGACACATTATCTTTCAATATTTTTAAATTTATTGAGATTTGTTTGGGCCTAACATGTGATCTAGCCTGGAGAATGTTCTACATGCACTTGAGAAGAATGTGTATTCTACTTTTGTTGGTGGAGTGTTCTGTATATGTCTATAAGGTCTAGTTGGTTTATATACCACTGTTCAATTCTTGTATTTTCTTACTGACCATCTCTCTAGTTCTAGTCATTACTGAAGATGGGGTAATGAAATATCCAGCTATTGATGAACTGTCTACTTCTCCCATGAATTCTGTCAGTTTTTGCTTCATGTGTTTTAGAGCTCTTTTATTATATACATATATGTTAACAATAGCTCTTTGATAAATTGACCCTTTTGCCATTTAAAATGTCTTTTGTCTCTAGTAACAATTGTTGTCTTAAAACCTATTTCATCTGATATTATTGCCACTCAAGCTCTCTTTGGTTACTATTTGCATGTTATATCTTTCCCATCCTTTTCTTTCAACCTATTTAGGTCTTTGAATGTAAAGTATGTCTCTTGTAGACAGCATATATTTGGATCATGGGATTTTGTTTTATTTTGGTTTGTTTGTTTGTTGGAGATAGGGTCTCATTCTGTCACCCAGGCTGGAGTGTATTAGGGCAGTCATGGCTCACTGAACCCTCAACCTCTGGAGCTCAAGCAATCCTCTCACCTCAGCCTCCTGAGTAGCTGGGACTACAGGCACCTGTCACTGTGCCTGGCTAATTTTTGTTTTCTGTTTTTTGTTTTTAGAGTCTCACTCTGTCACCCAGGCTGAAGTGCAGTGGTGTTATTTTGGTTCACTGCAACCTCCGCCTCCCAAGTTTAAGCAATTCTCCTGTCTCAGCCTCGCGAGAAGCTGGGGTTACAGGTGCCCACCACCATGCCCAGCTAATTTTTGTATTTTTAGTAGAGATGGGGTTTCACCATATTGGTCAGGCTGGTCTCAAACTCCTGACCTCAGGTGATCCACCCGCCTCAGCCTCCCAAAGTGCTGGGATTACAGGTGTGAGCCACCACACCCTGCCTAACTTTTCTATTTCTTATAGAGATAGGGTTTCACCATGTTGCCCAGGCTGGGATCAAGCAATTTGCCCACTGTGGTCTCCCAAAGTGCTGGGATTACAGGCATGAGCTACCACACCTGGCCAGATCATGTTTTTTTTTTTTTCCTTTTTAATTTTATTTTCAGATCATGGGTTTTTAAAATCCGTTCTTCAAATCTCTGCCTTTTAATTAAAGGGTATAATCCATTTATAGTTAATGTAGTTACTGATAAGATAGGATTTATATTTTTATTTTGTGTGAATATGTGTGTGTGTGTGTGTGTGTGTGTGTGTGTGTGTGTAGTCTTTTCCCCCTCTATTACTTCCTTCTTTTGTGTTAAATAGATATTTTCTAGTGTATTGGTTTAATTCTTAGATTGGCTTGTTGTTTTTCCCAACAGTTACCACCACCTCAGGCAGCTACCTATGTTAAACAATTGCCACCAGAGAAACAGTACTGGGTGAACTCTGAGTCTGATCAACTAAAGATGGGGGATTTTATTTTATTTTTCTTTCTTTTTTTTTTTTTTTTTGAAATGGAGTCTTGCTCTGTTGCCCAGGCTGGAGTGAGGTGGCACAATGTTGGCTGACTGCAACCTCTGCCTCCTGGGTTCAAGCAATTCTCCTGACTTCCTGACTTAGCCTCCCTAGTAGCTGGGATTACAGGTGCAAGCCACCATGCTCGGCTAATTTTTGTATTTTTTGTAGAGGTGGGGTTTCACCAGGCTGGTCTCAAACTTCTGACCTCAGGTGATCCACCTGCCTCGGCCTCCCAAAGTGCTGGGATTACAGGCATTAGCCACCGCACCCATCCAAGACAGGGAGGAGTTTCTAAGGAAATGCAAAATAGATCAAATAATGGCAGTTATCTGAGAGTTGGACTTTGGGGTAACTCCAATCTCATTTTACCCCCTTCAAAACGGCTAGACTCCTAGTTTTCATGATTGCAGGGTTGTTGAGGCTATCATGAGTCTGTGTAGAAGGAAACAGAACTAGGATAATTTAAGACACCACAAAGCATGATGTTCTGAGATTCTGAGTCATTTTATTTGAAAAGCATTCTCTGGATTGCTGCAAGTCTTTTTTTTTTTTTTTTTCGGTGTTCTGAAAAAGTAGTTTTGACAGTTTTGTCAGTGTGGTGAATGGTACCAGCCACATTTCTAGACTAGAATGCTTTGGATGATCAGTCAGGAGTAGGACAAGAGCCGAGGTTTTCAAGATTACAGCCATCACTACTGCCTTTTACCAAAACTGGGGAAAATAATTGAGGCCCCTAATGGTCACAGAAAAAGGAAAGGAGAAAGAGATTGAATTCTGTTATTTCTACCATAAGGGTCCCAAGAGAGATGCCCTCCTAATTTTATTTTATCTTATTTTATTTTTCCCCTCTTGATTTTAAGAGAGTTTTTTTGAGGTGCTATGTTTTTTGGGTGTTTTTGTTTTTGTTTTTTGAGACAGAATCTTGCTCTGTCACCCAAGCTGGAGTGCAGTGGCATGATCTATCTTGGCTCACTGCAACCTCTGCTCCTGGGTTCTAGCGATTCTCCTGCCTCAGCCTCCCGAGTAGCTGGGATTACAGGCGCCACCATGTCTGGCTAAATTTTTTGGTATTTTTAGTTGAGATGGGATTTCACCGTGTTGGCCAGGCTGGTCTCAAACTCCTGACCTCAAGTGATCTCCCCACATTGGCCTGCCAGAGAGCTGGGATTACAGGCATGAGCCACCACACTTGGCCTGAGGTGTTATGTTTTGATTGAACAGAGAGTAAGACCTGGTTGTTGTTGTTGTTGTTGTTGTTGTTGTTGTTGTTGTTGTTGTTGTTGTTTTTAATCCATCTATAGGCCTAGACAGATTGCCACAAGGATGTCATGTCAGGAATGATTGGAAAATCCCCAATTCAGCCATGAAGCCACAGGCTTTAATTGGCTCACAAGGCAACATGTTCTGCAAGCATATCCCCAAACTTCAGAGAGTAGGCTGCAGGGAGGTTTCAGAAAAATGCTCTTACTTCAGTTAGGATAGAATCAAGACTGGTTCTCAAGCTCTAGGTTTTGTTTTGTTTTTTGTTTTGTTTTTTTCTTTTGATAACCTTGGTACCAATAGGCTCCAGTTTTATTTTTTATTACTGATGATAAAATCTCCACTCCAGTTAATTACTTTAAAACGATAGTGGTGGTCCCTGCTGAACCATCTTGTTCAGACATTGTTGATGTTGAATGGAGAAGCTGGGCCATGGATGCTTCCTGAGCTCTTATTAGTCAGATTAAAAAAAAAAATTCAAAGGTGAGTGTATCTGGAATTTTATATAGAATAGAAATGATTAAGCATGAATTCCAAATCTGTATTATTCCACAGAAGTTTGGAACTCTCTTATGATTGCAGATACATGCAGACAAAAGCACAACACGATTTCCACTCAAAGCCACGATTCTGGATCTTTGATAGCTGCTACTTCTACCCCACACAAGGACTAGGTATTTAACCTAGTCCTTATAAGAAGCCACTTACAGCCTTGGCATGATTAGTTCTCTTCTTTTTCCTTTAAAAGGACATTTAAAAAATAAAATAAAATGGTATGCATGTCTTGTGTTGTTTGAAAGTAAAATGGAGATAGAGATTTCTTAGGAAAATGCTGTGAGTCACCTGGCTAAGGAGTCACCGGTCAGTGTTCAGAAAGGAAGGGGATGATTACCAGGAATGGGTGAGTCAGGAAGCCAGGAAATGCACCTGAAGACTTCTCAATCTTCCTTCTAATATCCTGGTTCAAAACTTTGTTTTTGTTTTCATTTTCTCTGAGGGCCAAAACTCTTTGACATAAAGTATGGCAATTATTGATTCAACAAAAATTTATTGACATTGTGCCAGGCATTATGCTAGGAGCTGGAAACAGAAAGCTAGTTTGGTTAAAATTAATTAAACAATGGCAAACCAACACAGCACAGTCTGTGAAAAGTCTCATTCATGGCAAAACGTGATCTCACCTACTTTCAGGGTCAGGGAGTCACTCCATCTTCCGAACATTTCAAATGAACATTTAAAATTTTATATACTTTTATGATTTCATTCATTTATTCAACAAAGTATATTGAGCAACTGCTCTGTGCTAGATGGAAGGAAAATACTAGGTAGGGCACAAAAGATATAAATCCCCAAGCTAGCATGTCAAGCATTATTTTTTTTCATGTTACATTATGTGGAAAAATCAAGGCCTAGAATGGGAAGGTAGGATTCCAAGACAGGACTCCATTAAAAAAATAAATAAAAGGTAGGAGAGGCATGAGCTGGGAGATAAAAAGAGTAGTAAAGAAAGGCAAACAGGAATAGACACCAGTTCTCTTGATTTACCTCAGGGATCCTCATTGATTGCAAAATCTTGGTTTCTCAAATCCAAAACCAATGATAAGTTAAGCTTAAAACTACATTTGTAAATTCTGTGGACTCAGGAACATTCCAGAATAAACTAGCCAGCAACCTCATAAGGGGTTGTAATTAAAGTAATGGTAAACATTCCTCCATAAAACATGGCCCTAAAGTAAGCCATTCATGTGAGTCAAGGTTGCTTTATACCATGGGAGAGGGTCAGCTGTAGTCCAAAAGGGGCCAAGACAGGCAAATCTGCTTATTTAATGATCCAGTTGCCTTACTCTCCTGACCTGCTCAACTTTGACAGAATACCAAAGGTTCCAAACAGCACAACCTATGAAGATGTACGGTCATTCACTGACGGGTGCTATTCCCCTGTCAGTTTCCCTGCCTTTCAATCACATTACTTTACAGTTTCACTAGCTTTTAAGACTTTTTTTTTTTTTAAGACAGGGTCTCACTGTGTCACCTAGGCTGGATGTGGAGTGCAGTGGTGTGATCTCAGCTCACTGCAACCTCCGCCTCTGAAGCTCAAGCAATCCTCCCACCTCAGCCTCCCAAGTAGCTGGGACTATGGGTGCATGCCACCATGCCTGGCTAATTTTTGTATTTTTAGTAGAGACAGGGTCTCACCACGTTACCCAGGCTGGTCTTGAACTTCTAAGCTCGAGCAATCCACCTACCTTAGCCCCCAAAGTGCTGGGATTACAGGTATGAGTCACGGCACCCAGCAAAAAACTTTATTTTTCTAATTTAATTTACTGAGCCCTGATTTTCGCATCTGCCAAACTCCATTGTTCGGAAACATTTGCAAGGAGGAAGTTAGTTAGAGAGTACTGGCCTAATTTGTGCAGCCAGGGAGGTTTGAAAGAAAAATTGCTTAATCAAGGATCTGACCCATACAGATAAAACAAGTTGGGAGCACCGGTCTATTTACATGGTGTGCTGGGTCCAGCAAGGAGAGGATAGAGAGACAAAGGTGCCCACAGTGACATGTTTAGGAGCCAGCAAATGTTAGGCTTCCTGTTGGCCCACATAATCATTTCCTTGTTCCCCTACAAAGCATGAGGTCTTTAGGTCAGAGAAGAGGAAGAAAGAAGTAGGAGAGGAAGGATTTAGAAAGCACAGCAGTGGGTAGGAGAGGTAGCTTGTAATGCTTCTAGTAGTGACTGTACTGTACAAGGCCTAGACCTTGGCGAGAGATCAGTGGCCTCTCATTAAGGAGGACATGGGAGAGGGAGGAAAGTGATGAGCTTCTGAAGAAAGCCAGATTTGGAGGGGAGGGGGATGTCATTGGGGAAGGTCAAGGGAGGGTGATAGATGAGGGGTGTTAAAAATCAAGTACTGGGGTGGGGCACAGTGGCCCGATTATATCCTTGTTTTTCTTTCTCATGCCTGTAATCCCAGCACTTTGGGAGGCTGAGGGGGTCGGATCACGAGGTTAGGAATTCGAGACCAGCCTGGCCAACATGATGAAACCCCGTCTTTACTAAAAATACAAAAATTAGCCGGGCACAGTGGCACACGCCTGTACTCCCAGCTACTCTGGAGGCTGAGGCAGGAGAATTGCTTGAACCCAGGAGGTGGAAGTTGCAGTGAGCCGAGATCATGCCACTGCACTCCAGCCTGGATGACAGAGCAAGACTCCGTCTCAAAAAAAAAAAAAAAATCATGTACTGAATCATAAAAATGACAAAACATAGGTTCTTCAGGTGAAGAGTTGAGGCTTTAGTCAGTCTGCCTGGATTTTCCAGGCCCACCATTTAGGCAACTCATCTATTTCTCTATACCTGTTTGCTCATCTAAAAATAGGTATACTAATACTCCACATCATATACTTGCTGGGAAATTCAGGTAATGTACTGGTGCCTAGCAAATGCTCAAATATCAGCTATTAATCAACCATTTAGTTGGGGATGCTGGTACAGGCCAAACCAAATCTTGAAACCTAGATGTAAAATCTGCCTCTTCCTATAGCAAATACCGCAATCCATTTATGTGAGGACTATGGAAGTTGCCAGCATGCCACTCTGAGTAGTCATCATGTCAGCAAAATATAAAAAAATAAATAAATAAAACCTCAAATCCCTTAGGTCCCTGCCAGCCCAGGAGAGCATGGCTGTCCTTGTCTTGCCTCATCAAAGGACTTTCCAAAGTTATTTTTCTAACATCTTGAGTCATTCTGATCTATTTCCTATTTAGTCAAATGTATTTCTTAAATGTTTTATATACTGTAAATTCATTCTTTCTTTTTTTTCTTTTTTCTTTTCTACTCTGTTGCCCAGGCTGGAGTGCAGTGGACAATCTTGGCTCACTGCAACCTCCACCTCCTGGGCTCAAGCGATTCTCATGTCTCCCAAGTAGCTGGGATTACAGGCATGCAACACCATGCTGGGCTAATTTTTGTATTTTTAATAAAAACAGGGTTTTTCCATGTTGGCCAGGCTGGTCTGGGACTCCTGACCTCAAATGATCCTCCCACCTCAGCCTCCCAAAGTGCTGGGATTATGGGCATCAGCCACCACACTGGGCCTCATTCTCTGTGCTTCTAATTTGAGTAATTTACATTTATTTACTTAGCACTCTTTGGAAAGAAGAGCTTGATGGTCAAGGTGATTTTAGAAATCACCAAAAAGTAACATTTTTCCAAATGTAGACCTGAGTTTGATTTCATAGAACAGGAAGGAAGATCCCACGTTGTGATACCTGCTGCATAAACCAATGATAGCAGAAGCAAAACATGACTTTGAATTAGCTTAGGGGCTATTCAAGATGTTCCAAGATGAAGGTGTCATTAATGATGTCCAATGTCTCTTTACACTACCTTTATCTCTCCCTCTCTTTTTCTTCTTCTTCTATCTTATTCCAACAATAGAATTTAATAAAGAGCTGAAGCCATATTTCCTGTTCTTGAATTTAGAAGTCAATCATTTCATGACCACTCTGACCAAATTGCTTCACAGACAGGTGTTGTTAGCCTCTTAATATCTTTTACTGTGCTGTAAATAATATGTAGTATATAATGTTTCTTCTTGTTGTTGTTGTTGAGACGGAGTCTCGCTCTGTCTTCCAGGCTGGAGTGCAATGGCATGATCTCAAGTCACTGCAACCTCTGCCCCCTGAGTTCAAGCAGTTCTCCTGCCTCAGCCTCCTGAGTAGCTGTGATTACAGGCGCTCACCACCACACCTGATTAATTTTTGTGTTTTTAGTAGAGACCGGGTTTCACCATGTTGGCCAGGCTGGTCTCAAACTCCTGACTTCATGATCCACCCACCTCAGCCTCCCAAAGTGCTGGGATTATAGGCATGAGCCACCACGCCCAGCAGTGTATAATGTTTCTTTTTTTTTTTTTTTTTTTTTTGAGACGGAGTCTCACTCTATTGCCCAGGCTAGAGTGCAGTGGCGCAATCTCAGCTCACTGCAAGCTCTGCCTCCCGAGTCCAAGTGATTCTCCTGCCTCAGCCTCCTGAGTAGCTGGGACTACAGGCGCCTGCCACCACGCCTGGCTAATTTTTTTGTATTTTTAGTAGAGACGGGGTTTCACCATGTTAGCCAGGATGGTCTCGATCTCCTGACCTCGTGATCCGCCCTCCTCGGCCTCCCAAAGTGCTGGGATTACAGGCGTGAGCCACTGCGCCCCGCCTATAATGTTTCTTAATCTCACAAATTTTGAGGATCAGGAACCCTAAAGGAAAAAGACTTCCCACTGTTGGTCTAGTGTGCCCATTGTGAAAGCATTTTTATAAACAAAAAACAATCTATAATCACCTTGCAGTCTGAAAGTTGCTGCCTTCAGACAGACTAGGAGTTTGCCTATTAAAAACAAATCAAAGAAGCAAATGAGAGTAAGAATAATCTTGGTTTCCACTGATAGATTCAATGAGATTATATCCTTGTTTATCTTCTTTCTCATCTACTGGAAGGTGTTGTGCTGGTGAGAGGATTTCCAGTTCACCGTGGCTAAACAGGTCACATCTTTAGAACTTCAAACACAGTGGACTTTGTTCCAATTAACTCCTAGAAGTAGCACCTTGAACTTTTTAGTAGTCTTTAGCACAACTATAATTAAGTAATCAATTGTATAATTCATGGTTGAAAGCTTTTCTTTCTTTTTTTTTTTTTTCTTTTGAGATGGAGTCTTGTTCTTGTCGCCCAGGCTGGAGTTCAGTGGCACGATCTCAGCTCACTGCAACCTCTGCCTCCCCGGTTCAAGCAATTCTCCTGCCTCAGCCTCCCACCACCACCCTCGGCTAATTTTTGTATTTCAAGTAGAGACAGGGTTTCGCCATGTTGGCCAGGCTGGTCTCAGACTCCTGACCTCAAGTGTTCCACCCTCCTCGGCCTCCGAAAGTGCTAGGATTACAGGTGTGAGCCACTGCGCCCAGCCGACAACTTTTCTTCGAAACTCCCTGAGAATAGGGACCACATATGCAATCCCCCACACCCAAAGCAGTGTCCGTCCCATAGTAGGTGTGCAATAAATATTTGTTGGACAGAGCCCCAGGGAAGCACATATAACATTCAGAGTTAAGCATAAAAGGCTGATACAGCACAGGAAAGGAAGGAGGAACAGTTTAAGTAGAAGGAGGAAAATAATAAAGTGTGATATCACAAAAGTCAGGGACAGATCATTTTGAAGAGGAAGTAGTCTATGGTGCATGATGAAAACTGAATTTAGGGACATGGAAATCATTGTCTTTGGCAAGGGTGATTTCCATGGAGTAGTAAATGTGCAGGCCAGGCCAGGCACAGTGGCTCACGCTTGTAATCCCAGCACTTTGGGAGGCCAAGGCAGGTGGATTATTTGAGGCCAGGGGTTCAAGACCAGCCTGGCCATCATGGCAAAATCCTGTCTCTACTAAAAATACAAAAAAAAAATGAGCAGGGTGTGGTGGCGTGTGCCTGTAGTCCCAGCTACTCAGGAGACTGAGGTATGAGAATCACTTGAACCCGGGAGGTTG
Organism: Homo sapiens; assembly: GCF_000001405.40. Taxonomy (NCBI): domain Eukaryota; kingdom Metazoa; phylum Chordata; class Mammalia; order Primates; family Hominidae; genus Homo; species Homo sapiens. The sequence goes on along the minus strand of NC_000009.12, from coordinate 84,320,133 downwards.
AGGTTGCAGTGAGTCAAGATCATGCCACTGCACTCCAGCCTAGGCATCAGAGCGAGAATCTGTCTCAAAAAAAAAAAAAAAAAAAAAAAAAAACAGTGCAAGCCAGGCTGGAATGAGTAAACATAAGTAAAAAGTACAGCTAGAAGATGGACAAAGGATACTTATCTATGAATTTTTGGCTGCAGGGCAATAAAAAATTAATAAAGGTGCAAATATTAGCGTTCAAGGGGGTCAGGGGTTAAGTAATATCGTGTATGGGAAAGCACAGCACCATGGCTGGCAGAGTCATGAGTGAAGGCGTGGTCACATTGCTCTCAGAACAGCTTCTCTGTGAGTGACTTTAGACTTCTCTGGTCTCCTTCCCAAATGCATAGGAAGTTCTTATGGCAGTGTCTTTCTCTACTCAAACAAATCAGCCTAAGTCAGAAAAAGGCAAGGAACAGTAACGGGAAACTAGAGCCAGTTTGAAATAGTCACACATTAATAAACACAAATGATCAACACAAGTATCAAAAGCAACAATAAGAGTGAAAGATAACCCAACAGCCGCAAGGGTAATGGTATCTTGGAGTGGACAATTCTGCATTTGTGACTTTTTACAAAATAATTTTTATGTTTTTATTTAAAAAAATAGAGAGACAAGGGTTCACCATGTTGCTCAACCTGGTCTCAAACTCCTGAGTCCAAGTGACCCGTCTGCCTCAGCCCCCCAAAGTGCTGGGATTACAGGTGTGAGCCACTGCACCCAGTCCATGATGACTTTTAACTAGCCCCCAGCTCTGGAAACCCTGTATTTAAGGAAGAAATAAAAATATACATCAATGCATTTGGAACAATTTAACTCAGGCCTTTTGGTCTTATTCTTGATATGGTTAATGTCATAGATAAATAAAGCTGAACACTCATTAAAGTGATGAAGATGGATTTCAGTGAGTAATAAACTATTGCAGTAGGGAAGAGGGCCCAGCGTGACCTGAAGTAGGAAATTGGCCTACTTATCCTACCTCCTACGTTTTCTTTTCCTTCCCCTTCAAGTAGCCTTCTAATGATTTTTTCTACTTTGGCAGAGGACATAATGTTTATAATTTGTTCTAGAATCATAATCCCTGGAATCATCTTAGATTTTATTATCAAATAGATTCAAAATGTACTAACTCTCTTTTTTTCATAATTTCTCCGTTTATCATTTGTATGGCTTCTTCCTCTAGCAGTTTCTTCAAGAAAGCTCATGGAAACCATATTCCTTTTTCTTTTTTTTTTTTCTGAGACAGGGTTTCACTTTTGTTGCCCAGGCTGGAGTGCAATGGCACAATCTCAGCTCACTGCAACCTCCGCCTCCCAGATTCAAGAGATTCTCCTGTCTCACCCTCCCGAGTAGCTGGGATTACAGGCACAGGCCACCACGCCCGGCTAATTTTTGTATTTTTAGTAGAGATGGGGTTTCATCATATTGGTCAGGCTGATCTCAAACTCCTGACCTCAGGCGATCCAACCTCCTCAGCCTTCCAAAGTGCTGGGATTACAGGGGTGAGTCACCACGCCCGGCCTGGAAACCATATTCTATGAGGACTCACATGTTTAAACTTTCTTAAAACTCTTATTATAAACCTTCCTTTAAGTTTTCTCCTTCGGGTACAGCACTCCCTCTCTTTCCCCTTTCCCTGACATTCCCATACATATGGGTTTCCTCTGCCTCCTGGCTCACAAAGTTCCCAAGGGAAGAATGTTAACAGTGTTCTGAAGCCATAGACATTGCTAGTGTTACAGCCACTCACAGCAGCATACAGAGACTTGACTTCTTGCACCCAATCCAAAGATCCCTCAGCATTGAAAGGTAACAGTGAGCCCCAGGCTGCCCACTGGGTCTCTTGCCACAGGTACTGCTGCTCCTTACCTGGCCTCTAAACCCACACAGGCAGGCAGGTAAAACAAGAACATCTCTGGGGAATGGTCTAGCTAGTGCCCATTAACTCACACTAAGGATTATGCACACCCGAGACTTGAGCCAGAAAGTTACATGAACCAAGTGAGTCAAGACCAATAGATAACGATCAAGGACTTCTAAAATACAGTCTTTGAAAATGCAATCATTCCTAGGCAAAATCCATGCAGTCGAAGAATAACATTTAGAGAAAGGGCCTTAAAACATTTGACATTGGTAGATGGTAAGAGTAAAAAAAGAGTTGAAGTGGGGTATGATCCCAAACAATTTTGAGAGATCAGATTCACCAAACAGATGTTGATTTTGATAAGTCTAATTTCAAATACAGAGGACAACACGACTGTAAATGCCCCAGAACAAGCGAGAAGCAAACTAAACCATGAAATTAACTTAATAGTCAATGAGCACTTACTATGTGTGCCACTGGATGGAGCCACCCAACTTTGTTAGGTAGGTACTGCCTCCATTCCCACAAGAAGCAAGACCACTGAATGAGTGCAAGACCACTCATGCAATTTGCTCTGGCAACCAGGCCAGAGCAAATTCTATAGTGAAGAAAGGCTCTCCTAGCACAGTGGTGGTACCTCTGCAGCAGAAAAACCCCCACCACAAGAACTGAGAAATGGAAGCCAGGCTGTGTGATTACAGCACAGTGCCAGGGAGAGGCTGAAGAATGTCAAACCAGCCATGATGACAAGACATGTCCACAGAGGCAGGAGTCCCCACCCATGTTACTCAAAGGATATATTCCACTTAAAACCAGCGTACAGGGCAGGAAGACCACTATTGTGGCTTGAGAAATGACCACAGAGCCTAGGTGTAGCTAAAAGTGGCCACAAGCTTCTCTGGAACTTTCAACACTTCTATAATTTATACCTTTGTCTTTTAATATCTGGAGTTCAAATCAGGCTTTCTAAGTTCTAATTTCCAAACGGAATTTAATTCCTAGGCACACTACTGTGTCTTTTGATCTTCACCAGGCCCAAAGAATCACTCCTCTATAGGCACAAGATGGTCTGGGGAGGGACAGTCTGGGCTGAGATTCTACCCCAGCCATTTCTGGCTACACAACCCAAGTCAAGTGATTTACTTATCTTTGCCTCAGTTTCCTCATCTGTGAAAATGTGGATCATGGTACCCACCTCATAGGCCTCTTGGAGTTGTTGTTGTTGTTGTTGTTGTTGTTGTTTTGAGACGGAGTCTTGCTCTGTCGCCCGGGCTGGAGTGCACTGGTACGATCTTGGCTCATTGCAACCTCCACTTCCCTGGTTCAAGCGATTCTTCTGCCTCAGCCTCCCAAGTAGCTGGGACTACAGGTGCCCGCCACCACGCCCAGCTAACTTTTGTATTTTTAGTAGAGACGAGGTGTTACCATATTGGCCAGGCTGGTCTCGAACACCTGACCTCATCATCCGCCCGCCTTGGCCTCCCAATGTGCTGGGATTACAGGCATAAGCCACCACGCCCAGACAAGAGTTTTACACAGTGTCTCCTGCCTACTAAATACTGTATCATTTGGTGCAAAATAAAAGCAAAAACCAAAAGTAACAAGAGAAAAGTTAGTTTCATCCCAATAAAGTTGAGGTGGATGGTACAGAGCCGGGGTGAGCCTCCTGCTCAAGGCTTCCAGGGACCCAAGTTCCTCCCAACTCAGCACCCTGACATCACAAGGATGTGGGCCTTGTATCCATGGTCCAGTTGGAACCATCCTCACACTGGGCAGCAAGACAGAGGAAATGACAAAAAGGAACAAGTGCACCTGCCAGCCATCCCTGGCGGAACATTCCCCGAGCTGCCCCCAACAGGGCACCCTTTCTACTTTCATTTCGTTGCCAGAACTTAGTTGCAAGGGAAGCTTGGATATGTAATCTTTTTCCTAGGTGACCATGTGTCAGCTAACATTCTTTGAAAAGGGATACCACAAATAGGGGAGTCATTTTAGAAATTTCCAGTGTTCTAGAAGTTATTATATGGTTTAGAAAGTGAATGAAAGGAAGAAAATAAAAATGCCTCTGTCCATCTCTGCCTCCCTCTAATAGCCACATAGAAAGTGCAAGATCAAAGAAATGGTGGGAAACAAACCCCAGGCACAATGTACTCCTGGTTACTAGGCTGTCCCTTCAAAGGGGGCTCAATCAGGACCCTCATCTTTTAGCACACCTAACAACTAAAACTAACTAGAGAAATTAAATGTGTAAGCTGTAAACGGCCTAGACATACTCACAATGCAATTCCCTCACCTTTCTTACACATTCAACAGAGGGATAGATTTTACCATGAGAACGCAGTCGTGGTTGTAGGGCGTTAAGTGTGCAAAGGTATTTAGTAATGTGAGTTGCTAAATAAATGGAAAGAAACATTGAGCTAAGACATTATCTGGGGCCCCATATCACAGCCCCACGACTCTAATTTAAAAAGAAGAAGAAAGACAGTTGTCTTAATGGTCATTTTCCAGGTACCAGTCAATATCCACAATAACCCCACTAATTCTGTTGGAAATCCTCAAGTGGGAGATATTGTTCTTCCAGAAAATACTAAAAGGCCAAGGCGTATACTCTGTTGGGGGCCAAATAAGACTATTACACAGTGGAGAACAAAACCACACGTGCTCTTGTTGCCACTTAAAGGAGTGCCCACTCTATCCCTCAACACACACACCTTCCACTTTCATTAACTTTAAAAACGTAGGATCCACCCGTGTTCCACCAGTAGTTTTCAGATCCTGCCACCAGGTGGCAGGAGGAATCAACGTCAAGAAGCTGAATCTCCTAATAGAATTAGAAAATGTCAGGATTCCGTAAGGATCCGCAAGAACCCCAAATCCAAACTGTGTTGTATGAATGAGGGAGTTAAGGCTTGAGAGAATGTGGCCTGCTCAGTAGGGACCCTAAGGACTAGCCCCTCAGTGACCTGTGTTCTGTTACTCCACCAATTCATGTTTGGTTTTATTTTTAACTTAGTATTAAGGAACATTTTAGCATCCACCAAAGTAGGAGAATAATAAAATGATTCTCCGGGTACCTGTCAGCCAACTTCAGCAATTAGCAACATTCTGTCATCTTCCCATACTATGTATATTTTTTCTTTTCATGCTGTTTGTTTGTTTGTTTTTTGAGACTGAGTCTCGCTCTGTCGCCCAGGCTGGAGTGCAGAGTGGTGTGATCTCAGCTCACTGCAACCTCTGCCTCCCAGGTTCAAGCAATTCTCCTGCCTCAGCCTCCCAAGTAGTTGGGATTACAAGCACCTGCCACCACGCCCAGCTAATGTTTGTATTTTTAGTAGAGACGGGGTTTCACCATGTTAGCCAGGATGGTCTCAATCTCCTGACCTCGTGATCCGCCCACCTTGGCCTCCCAAAGTGCTGGGATTACGGGCGTCAGCCACCACACCCAGCCCATGCTGTATTTTTATACCAAGAACCCAAGGGTACTACATTGCTGTGCTAATGCAACATTAAAATTACTGTGGGTCATTAATTCAAAACATTGTTAGTGTCTGCTATATGCAAAGAACTGTAGGATATAAGCAACTGTAACAAAAAAGGAAGTATGGCACAATACTTTGATGCATGAATCTTGTACTGTAACTTTTTTTTCATGTTTATTCATTCTTGTGTTTCAGTAAGTAGAAAATGCAATACAACTTGGAATTGCAATATTTGCTGGATTCCTGGGGCCAGTCAGAGATCTAAGTTAAAATTAGAGTCATACACTTGGTCTTTGAAGATGCAGTCATAGTCGTTGGGCTAACAGAAGGCATTTCCTGACACCATTTATCCATTACCTCACTCTAGAAAACGGCAAGTTGAAATGAGATGGGAGAAATATTAGATACCTCAAAAAAGATAAAAGAGACAGGAGACAGGTCCAGTGTTTGTCACTTCTGGAAACAGCAGCTGAGGGGTCCGGACGGCCCTATAAGAGCAAATCTCGTTCAGTTCCTTAAAGTAAAATCAAGACAGCCTCACACACACACAAAAAAGGGCATTTTTCTTATGACCATTACTGCCAGAGATTGCTTTAAACCAAAAAAAACCCATTTCAACATTTCGTAAATCTAACATCTAAGAATAAGGCTATTCAGCCTATGGTTTACCACGTTTTAGTTCATTTTATAAGTTGAAAATCAGTGTGATGTGATAGAAAGGAGAGTGGAAACCTGCCCCTGGTCCCAGCTCTGCCTATTGGAAAGTTATCAGGCCGAGATGAGGGCAATTGTCCTCATTCCTCTCTTCCCCTGGACCACTTTTGTATCAGAACAAAACAAAGCAAAAGTCATATGTTTCTTTTCTTTACTTTCTTTTCTTTTCTTTTTTTTTTTTTTCAGGTAGAGTCTTGCTGTGTCTCCCAGGCTGGAGTGCAGTGGCATGATCTGCCTCTGGGGCTCAAGCAATTCTCCTACCTCAGCCTCCCAAGTAGCTGGGATTATAGGTGCACAACACCACGCCCAGCTAATTTTTATATTTTTAGTAGACACAGGATTTTGCCCAGGCTGGTCTCCCCTCCCACTTCGGCCTCCCATCATGCTGGGATTACAGGTACGAACCACTGTGCCCAGCCGATCATCTGTTTCTTTACAAGCCCAGGATTTGTCAGCTGTTTGTTGAATCGGATGCTTCATCTGAACACCTAATCTTTGTTTGTCTCATCCTCCAAATTCCTCTAGGTATTTTTCATGAAAGAACATCTGTCTTTTGGCTGTAACTTTTTATTTTTTCAATCTGCACTTTTTTCTTAGAATGAAGAAAACTTTCTTGAGAACGAGAACACATCAGGAAACAACTCAATAAGAAGCAGAGCTGTGCAAAGCAGGGAGCACACAAACACCAAACAGGTACAGCAAGACTGTGGTGCATGACTCTAGTACCATGGCAGCCGCTGCGCAACAGGCACCTGAGAACAGTGGGCACAGAAAGCATGGCGCCCCACTGGCACGCAGAGGAACAGATTAAGTGGTAATTAAAGTGTGTGGGGGCATAGTCGTAAAGAAAACACACACGCCCAAACAAAGAGATTTTGTTTTTATCCACCTGTCCTCAGAGTTCCCTGATGGGAAGCATCACTTCACTATTAGGAGTTCCAAGCTCCATCTCAAGGAAAAAGGCATTGGCTTAGACAAAAGCATCTGAGCTTTAACGTAAATGACAGAAACAAGAGGAACCCTCTACTATGGTTCTGAATCTGGGTCCATCATGCACTCGCATTCCTTAGTAGCTTTATACCAGTCCGAGGGACTCTTGCTTAATTTCACTTACATGTTGAATTCTGGACAGGAGTTTATTTAAAGATGGCTTCCTGTTGCCAAAAAGGTGAACAAATTACCCATGTAGGTCACCCCTTAAAAGGTAATTCAGGGCCGGGCACGGTGGCTTATGCCTGTAATCCCAGCACTTTGGGAGGCTGAGGTGGGCGGATCACTTGAGGTCAGGAGTTCAAGACCAGCCTGGCCAACATGGTGAAAACCCATCTCTACTAAAAATACAAAAATTAGCTGGGCGTGGTGGCGTGTGCCTGTAATCCCAGCTACTCTGGAGGCTGAGGCAGGAGAATCACTTGAACCCAGGAGGTAGAGGTTGCAGTGAGCCGAGATGGCACCACTGTACTCCAGCCTGGGCGACAGAGCGAGATTCTCAAAAAAAAAAAAAAAAAAGGAATTTGGGGTGCCCACTAGTGTGTCATTTTGTGAGGAGTTTTCTCGTGGTAAAAGAATCACTTTTTTTTAAAGTAGACAATTTGGAAAACTTATTGTAGCAAAATTTGGAAAACCAAAAAAGGCTTATAATTCAAGAAAAAAAGTCAGTGCCTAACATTTTGGAACACAGCCTTTTTTAATGCAAACATACACCCACATGCATATGTCATCTGTATTGGAATCATACCATGCATAGTACAGTGTTTGGTAACTGTCTATTTTGCTTAATTGATTGTAAAAAATGTTCACTAAGTATTCTTCAACAAACAAAAAAGAAAACAATACTTATGTCCACATAAAAACCTACACATGGATGTTTAGAGCAGCTTTATTTGTAATTGCCAACACTTGGAAGTAACCAAAATGTCCTTCAGTAGGTGAATGAATAAATAAACTGTGGTACATTCAGACATGCAGTGTCTTTCAGCGCTAAAAAGAAATGAACTATCAAGCCATGAAAAGACATGAAGGAGCCTTAAATGTACATTACTGGGTAAAAGAAGCCAATCTAAAATGGCTACCTATTGTGCGATCCCAACTATACGACATTCTGGAAAATGCAAAACTATGGAGACAGTAAATAGTGCTTTCAAGGCATCAGGGGGTGGTAGGGACAAATAAGAAGTGTGGGGTTTTTTGTTTTTTTGAGATGGAATCTCGCTCTGTCAGCAGGCTGGAGTGCAGTGGCACAATCTCAGCTCACTGCAGTCTCCACCTCCCGGGTTCAGGTGATTCTCCTGCCTCAGCCTCCCGTGTAGTTGGGATTACCGGCACCCGTCACTGTGCCCAGCTAATTTTTTTTTTTGTATTTTTAGTAGAGACGGGGTTTCACCATGTTGGCCAGGATGGTCTTGATCTCCTGACCTTGTGATCCGCCTGCCTTGGCCTCCCAAAGTGCTGGGATTACAGGCATGAGTGACCACGCCTGGCCATAAGAAGATTTTTAGGGCCATGAAACTAGTATGCCTGATACTACAATGGTGGATACATGCCATCATACATGCGTCCAAACCCATAGAATGTACAAGACCAAGAGAGTCTCACTGCAGACTTTGGGTGATGGTGATGTGTCCATGTAGGCTCCTCAGTTGTAACAAATGTACTTCTCTGGGTTCATTTGATAGTGGGGAAGGTGAGGGTGGGTAGACAATACATGAAAAATCTCTATAGTTTCAGCTCCATTTTGCTGTGAACTTAAAACTGCTCTTTTAAAAATATTTTTAAAATATTTTTTTCATAAAAACAAAAATTTAGATATTTTTCAATTATAAATGAGGATATGAAGGCTGAGGAGTAGCTACTGGATTTGATAGCAATGGGCCTTGGGTGACATTGGCAGGATGCATTCAGCAGAAGCACAATCACAGTGGGTAGAGAAGTGGGCAGGGTGTGAGGAAGTGACCTCCAAAGAGTAAACACAACTCTCTCCAGCGGCCTGGCTGTGAAAGGAAAGAGCGGTGCAGATGTCCCATGATTGTGGGAGTCAAGGGAGATTTGTAGTTGTTGTTTTTAAAACATGAGAAAAGATGGAAAAATAAGAGCCAACAATAGTAATGTTAGATATACCATAGATAGCAGGTAACTTGGGGTACTTTCACTGCAAGAAAATAATAATGATGACCATTTAAATCAAATATTTACCAAACATTGACTATTGGCTAAGCTGGGAATTAGATAGAAATAAATAAATAAGACTCAACTCCAGCCCTTCCTCAGAAGCTGCAGCTTGGACTCAGCTGGTCTCTCTTACAATTATCCTCACACCTTCCTTGTTCCTAGGGTCCAGCCCAGAAAATGAAGGTAATCTGAATCAGAAGAACAATGGAGTTTGGCCTCGTGGAATTATAGGATTTTTGAGAATTCTTTCATCTCAGACACACACTAATGATTTATTTCTATGATTTCTGTTAAAGAGAATCAAAGGCCACATTGGATATGACAGAAGACAAGTGCTGAGATTTGACATTATACTTCTTAGAGCACACTCAAACTGCTCCACCTCCATCTATTTCCTCCCCCACCAGCTTCTGTACCATTGGTTACAAGAGCCAGGCTTATTATTTGAGACATTATTGGAGACTGGAGACAGGTAGGAAATCCTCTGCCATCCTGGAAATAGGATGGGTCATGGATATTTGAGAGCTCAAACTGTACCTAGAAAGATTGTCCATGAAAAAATGGGATGGGTCAGAGATATCCTACACTCAATTAATTAGAGCAAGGGCTAGCTGAGTAAGGGAAATAGTCCCCTTTAGCCCAACTGATAAAAGGATCCTAGTTCCCAAGGGGAGGCTTATTGGCTCTTGAAGGTGCCAAGCTAGTGTTCATATTCACAGACCAAGCCTTGGGCTGCCGGGGAAATAAATCCAGCTTTGGTCTCAGTCATTTGGAAACCGGGGCTGGCAGAGTACTAGGGGAGATTTATGCAGCTCCTGGTATTAACTTCATTTAGTACTTGGCTGAAAACAGAGATGGGGTTGGTTGATTACAAGAGAGACAGGAGCAAAAAGCACAAATATGAGCCTGTTCCCTTAAGAAAAGGAGAAAATACCAACAGCTCCTTTGGAAGGAAAGGAAGAGTTCAGTATGAACCTGGCATTTTTTGTGTGAGATTATAAGCCGGGAAAAAAAATGTCTGTGCAGTAGATAATAGGAGCCATCTTCTTGCATAATAATTTAAAAGGACCTATTGAAAGTTCTTTGCCCGAGTTCTGAGCAATGAAACCAGGGTCCATTATGCCCAGGATGCTCATTATTCCATCTCTGCTCCAATGTTTGATTTCCAGGATGAAGAACAGGTCACAGTTGAGCAGGATTCTCCAAGAAACAGAGAACACATGGAGGATGATGATGAGGAGATGCAACAAAAAGGGTACAGTCTTTAAAACAGGGAAATAACCAAGCCTACCTCCCGTTTGGTTTTATTACTTTGTTTTATCCCCATTTGATTTCTTTTTTTTTTTTTTTTTTTTTTTTTGAGATAAGAGTCTCACTTTGTCACCCAGGCTGGAGTGCAGTGATGTGATCTCGGCTCATTGCAACCTCCGCCTCCCAAGTTCAAGCGATTCTCCCATTTGAGCCTCCCGAGTAGCTGGGACTACAGGCGCATGCCACCACGCCTGGCTAATTTTTGTATTTTTAGTAGAGGCTGGGTTTCACCATGTTGGCCAGGCTGGTCTCGAACTCCTGACCTCAAATGATCCACCCACCTCGACCTCCCAAAGTGTTGGGATTACAAGCATGAGCCATGGCACCAGGCCTCCCATTTGATTTTTAACACTTATTATAATTTATTAGAGATTGTCACCACCCATCCATCTACCCTCCCTACCCAACACCCCTTCCAGAAAAATTAATGAAGCTTTAAGATGATCAATGTGGCCAATTCAAACTGCTGATGTTCTGGGAACCCAATATGCAGATTTAAATTCACCCAGGACAGTCTTCTAATTAAAAGTGTAAATTACCAAATAATTGCTCCAGTCCATACGAATGCAGTTAATTCATCTTCTCAATGTCAATCAATAGCAATTGATCGCTCAAAACCCAATCCACTTTAAATCCCAACAAACGGTTTCTCTTACCTTGTAATAGCCTCAAAGTATTCCAAGTTCTTACAACTCCGTAAGGTAGGAGACGCAAGATTAGTATCTTTATTTTTTGGACCAGAAAAATGAACCTCAGAGAAGTGACTTCCCCAAGTCAACTAGGAGAGGAAGAGAATTAGGTCACAATTTCAGCTTCTGATTCCTAGTCCAGGATTGTCTGCCACCTATCATAACACTACAGTATTTGTCCATCTTCTATATTCCTACTTAAATTTGATTTGCATTCCTATGTCTCTGAGGAAATTTTTCTTTTTTCTTTTTTAGAGGCAGGGGCTTACTCTGTTGCATAGGCTGGAGTTCAGTGGTGCTAATTTTAAATCTAGAAATAGATTTTAAATTTTTTTTTTGAGATGGAGTCTTGCTCTGTTGCCCAGGCTGGAGTGCAGTGGCACAATCTCAGCTCACTGAAACCTCCATCTCCCGGGTTCAAGCAATTATCCTGCCTCAGCCTCCCGAGTAGCTGGGATTACAGGCATGCACCATCGTGCCCGGCTAATTTTTGCATTTTTAGTAGAGACAGGGTTTCACCATGTTGGCCAGGCTGGTCTTGAACTCCTGACCTCAGGTGGTCTGCTTGCCTCAGCCTCCCAAAGTGCCAGGATTACAGGTGTGAGCCACCACGCCCGGCCAGAAATATATTTTAATTTAAATCTATTCTGTCCAGCCTGGGCAACAGAGCAAGGCCCTGTCATGAGATCTGTCAAGCTCACTGCAGCCTCGACCTCCTGGGCTCAGGTGATCCTCCCACCTCAGCCTCGCAAGTAGCTGGGACTACAGGAGGAACTTTGTTATATGTATCAGAAGATATCTCTGGAGTTGGCCAGAATTAGGGTTGGCAGCTCTTGTCACATATACATCATCCCAAATATTTACCATATCAGAAACATAGCAAAGTTTTATCCTTCATTTTACTTTATGAGTCTCTGACCCGGAGGTACTGAGAAATTCTCTTGGGTGGTCAGAGGTACTCAGGTTTCACTAATGTTAATGAGACTGAAACAGCCATCAGGAGGTTGGGAATTATTCAGCCTAGATAACCAAATGACCAAAGTGTCTACTTTCAGCTACTCTGCTTTATGCAGAAGTCAGATTGCCACAATGGACTACACACATTCCCTGCAATTAAAGAACCTGATAGAGTCAACCTACAGTATGTGAATGTACCCTATTAAATGTCACCCTCTGCTGCTGCTGCTTCTTAATATATCTTCAACTGAGAATAATACATCATTAGCCTTTCCTAAATCAGACCGTGAAAAAATGTCTTCACTACACTTTTATTCACCCAATATTTTCTAGAGAGCACTGTTTCTAACTCTCAGTATACATATTCACACACATACATAATGATGAACATTTCATGAAGTGATACCTATTGTTCTTATGTATGAATGATACACTATGATACTTTTGATATTTTTATTCTTTCTTTTTGTTTTTGTTTTTGTTTTTTTTTTTTTTTGAGATGGAGTCTCGCTCTGTCTCCCAGGCTGGAATCCAATGGCGCAATTTTGGCTCACTGCAACCTCCGCCTCCTAGATTCAAGCGATTCTCCTGCCTTAGCCTCCCGAGTAGCTGGGATTACAGGCCTGTGCCACCACACCCGGCTAATTTTTGTATTTTTAGTAGAGACAGGGTTTCACCATGTTGGCCAGGCTGGCCTCAAATTCCTGACCTCAGTTGATCCACCCGCCTTGGCCTCCCAAAGTGCTGAGATTACAGGCTTGAGCCACCGCGCCTGGCCTTTTTTTTTTTTTTTTGGTTGAGACGGGGTGCAGTGACACAATTACAGCTCACTGCAGCCTTGACCGCTCGGGCTCAAGTGATTTTCCCATGCAGCTGGGACCACAGGTTTGTGCCATCACACGAAGCTTTTTTTTTTTTTTTTTTTTTTTTTTGTAGAGACAAGGTCTCACTGTGTTTCCCAGGCTGGTCTGAAACTCCTGGGCTCAAATAATCCTTCTACTTTGGCCTCTCAAAGTGCTAGGATTACAGGCATGAGCCACCACACCTGGCCTCCTTCTATTTTAATAGTGGTTACTATGTGGGCTTCATAACCCGCTAATGCATCCCCAACTCAGAGCTGTAAAATACTGTTTCAGATAAGCAATATTTACTCCCATTTCATTCATCTATCAATCAATACATGTCTGTTGAACATCCTTAATATCCAACGTTCTACTCATAGTGCTGTATGGCTCATAGACATCTGTTCTCCAGGGTCTCTGGCCCTGGGGGACTGAGAAGTTCTCTTGTGTGGTCACAGGCACTCAGGTTTCACTAAGGTTAATGGGTTGGGAATTATTCAGCCTAGATAACCAAAAGACTGGTTATTAACCAAATAACCAATATTTCCTGCTACTGGAATGGGTCAGTAATGGGTTCATAACAAAACACAATCAAAGAAGACAGTAAGAATAAAGTTCAGAGGCATGTATCTGTCTGAGAAAATGCAAGAAGACTTTTTAGAAGTCAAAAGCTTGAGCTGTGCCCCAAAGCTTGAGAGGAAGCTGACTTGGAGGTGCAGGCGAGACTGTTGGAAGGCGGGGTAGTGGAGGCACTGGCCAAGGGGAGTGCAGGTCTCCCAGCTTGGGGCCACATCCTTTGAGGTCCTGGAGTTTGGGAATCATCTATACGGGAGGAGAAATGGTCATTTTTAGAAGTGCTATCCCGTGGCCTGGAGGGGACAATGGGGAAATATGCAAGAAGTTCCTTCCACCCAGACTCAAGTGGGAGAAGGAGAGGCCTCCAAAGAAAGAGGCATCACACAGGAACGAGAAGATCCCCAAAGAAGGAGAGGAGAGCCATGTGGCTATGACCCTGGCCTCCCAGCTCACTCCTGGGGAACTGCTGGACACGATCCTCCTCCGAAGACATGACCCAACCTACACATTACTCACACACTACCCACCCAGCCCATAACAAAGCCCTGGATGGAAATAAAGACATTCCAACAACTCCAGAGCTTTCTGAGAAAGCTGTGACAACCCATTGGTTAATAGCCCTAACATCCAGGAAATCCTACTTTGCATTTTAAGCACACCCCATGAGGTCCATCAGTTTTGGACTAACGGGGATGGTGATGGGGGACAGAGCACCACCAACTTGCTCAAACTTTGCCAAACCAAGAGGGATGACAGAGTTCCTTGGCTTTTTATTTTCTAACAATAAACACGTAATAAACATTGGTTAAAAGCTAACAGAGGATCTCATAGTGTGCCAGAAACACTCTCTTCCTGTGACTATTTCAGCTTTGGTTAGATATCCATCTCCCCTGCTCTGTTCCCAGGAGCATGTTGTCTGCACCTCTCTAATCCCTCAGGGCTTGGCACACTTATTCAATGATGGTGATCACTGAATGGTCATGATCATGGCTGACTCTAGTCTAAAATGAAATGAGTTTCCCATTTCTATTTTGTAAGACATACGCCTCACACATGTGTTTGTTTGCCTTCTTAGTTTACAAAGCTTAATCTAGCCTCACCATGCAGTTTATTTCATGTTTTTGGTGTTTACTTCTCCCTGCCTTTTTGCTTTTATGTTGCAGGTGTTTGGAAAGGAGGTATGACACAGTATGTGGTTTCTGTAGGAAACACAAAACAACTCTTCGGCACATCATCTGGGGCATTTTATTAGCAGGTAAATAACAAAGATGGTTAGGGATACCACTGTCTTTTTTTTTTTTTTTTTCAGGGATTCCCCCAAATATTAACTTTATGTGGAAAAAGATTAAACCTTTATTTTCTCTGGGACCTCACTGAATCATCGGGGGTGGTAGAGAAGTAAATCAAGAAGCCCTTTATAGGGGAAGCCTATGCAAATTGTTTCCCTACCCCGTTTATGAGGCCAGAAGCTAATTTTGTTTTTCTTTGAGATGGAGTCTAGCTCTGTCTTCCAGGCTGGAGTGCAATGGCGCCATCTCAGCTCACTGCAACCTCTGCCTCCCGGGTTCAAGTGATTCTCCTGCCTCAGCCTCCTGAGTAGCTGGGATTACAGGCACACGTCACCACACCCGGCTAATTTTTGTATTTTTAGTAGAGACAGGGTTTCACTGTGTTGGCCGGGCTGGTCTCGAACTCCTGACCTCAGGTGATTTGCCCGCCTTGGCCTCCCAAAGTACTGGGATTACAAGCGTGATCCACTGTGCCGGGCCCAGCAGCTAATTTTTGGACTCACTTACTCTCCTCATTCTTATAGCCTTTGTTATTGTCAGGTGGATTTGAGGAGGTGTGTTGGTTTACACAAATCCAGAAAACACAAGTGATTAATGCTTTATATGAATACAACATGAGTAGCCTAGGGCCATCTAGCCCACTCGCTTGCCTGAAGGCAGGACAAGAATGTCTCCTGTTTTTACTCCCTCCAAAACAAAGAGCTCCTTGGCTCACTTTATTTGTTTTTTGTTTTGGTTTGTTTTTGTTTTTTTTTTTTGTTGTACTGTTATTTTTTGTTTTTCTTGAAGCTGAGCACACTGAACTTGGCCCATTTTAAAGAACACTCCTGTCTATAAAACGTAAGCACCCTGATCCAAACCACAGACATTAATCCCAGGCTGCTGCACAGCCAAGGTCAGCAGTTTTGCTGGTGCTCAGACAGTTGGAATAGGGAACAGTAGGGTTGGTGAGCTTTCTGAGTACTGGGCCAGATAGTATTTTAGGCTTTTCAGTATTTCAGACATAAGGTCAAAACCATGCCATTCTGCCACTGTAGTAACAAAGCAACCATAAACAATACATAAGTAGACAGACATGGCTGTATTCCAAAACAACTTTATTTCTAGAACACACATACAAACTGTCAACTGAAGAATCAATCACGAGGTTCAAACATTTGGAAAGGAAAGTCATAAAGGGTTGCAGCCTGCAAGGTGGCCATTCTGACAAGCTGGGAAGCGTAGTCTCCAACAGAAGCCAGAAACAAGTACTTTGAGGGAGGGAAGAATAAGACAGGAATTTATGCTGAAAGGATTGGCTAAGCATAAGTATTCAATAAGCTATAGGGGGAGTCATGAATATTTATGAAAGGAGACACATGCACATGCACAATTGAGATTTGTGCCTCTTTATGGAGCATGTGTATTAAAAAATAGCAGTGTTACCATGACCTGAGGGTGGAGTTTTCAGCCCTGTGAAGTCAAAAGGTAAAGCAAAGAACACAAAAACCCTCACTGTGCATCCTCCAAGACTGGCCAGAACCACTCCAGAGTCAGCGGTCTCATATCAAGAGGAAATGCCTTGTAAAACTGGTGAGCTGTCACGTCAAAATTCTAAAGAGGCAGGGCACGGTGGCTAATGCCTATAATCCCAGCACTTTTGGAGGCCGAGGTGGGTGGATCACCTGAGGTCAAGAGTTCAAGACCAGCCTAACCAACATGGTGAAACCCCGTCTCTACTAAAAATACAAAATTAACCGGGCGTGGTGGCACATGCCTGTAATCCCAGGTACTCAGGAGGCTAAGGCAGGAGAATCACTTGAACCTGGGAGGTGGAGGTTGCAGTGAGCCGAGATCGCACCATTGCACTTTATCCTGGGCAACAAGAGCAAAACTCCATATCAAACAAACAAAAACTCTAAAGAGGGAGAGGGAGTCTGGTCACCACCTCAGATGATTGGCTAAAGGCGATAGAGAAATGAGTCTTCCATTTCTTGTTTTCCAGAGCTAGTTTCTGCTGACTCCTTAGGAAGGAATTCTGGTTAAAGGTTAATAAGGAAGGGGCATACTGAGGCACATCTGACCTCCCATCCTGTCATGGTTGGGAACTCAGTTTTTAAGGTTTTTCTGGGATCCCCTTGGCCAAGACAGGCTCGGTTCAGTTGGTTGGGTGACTTAGGACTTTATTTTTATTTCTCAAAACACACAAATATAAACGTTCTTGCCACCTGCAAAAACAAGTGGCAGGCCAGATTTAACCTGCAGAACATCTTTGCAGACCTTTAAGAATAGGAAACCTTATTCTTATCCTAGAATCTGCTCTTCAAAAGCAGCCAGCTTGGTAATTGCCCCTACCTCTTTTCCTTAGAGACTCTGTGTCACTTAGAGAAGTAGTCTGTTGTTGGTAGGTCTATTCCTTCACTCAAATTTAGGCCAAATCTGAACTGCAAACCCCAAGAATCAGTACCTCTTTGCCAGTCGTCACTTCAACACTCGGCCTTTCTCTGATAGTAGCTCACCTGCCGAGACTGAATGCCAGTGGTAAAAATGGCCAGTACTTAGAGGCCCAATGATTGAGCATCAAGATTCAAGAACTCAGAAGGTCCTGTAAGAATAAAAATACCTAGCACCCTGTCCTCCTAGCATTCATGGTGGTAATTTTTGAGACTTGCTTTGAAAAATATCAAAAGACCCCATCAAAGAAGCCAGTAGCCATATCAAGAGCACTCCTGCATTCAGTGATATTTAATGATATTAAACCTCCCCTCACCTGCGCCAGAACAAGGCTGGAGCCTGGAGGCGTGTCCCAGTGGTTAGTGATGTTCAGTGTCTGTTTTTGCTTCCTGGACAGGTTATCTGGTTATGGTGATTTCGGCCTGTGTGCTGAACTTTCACAGAGCCCTTCCTCTTTTTGTGATCACCGTGGCTGCCATCTTCTTTGTTGTCTGGGATCACCTGATGGCCAAATACGAACATCGAATTGATGAGATGCTGTCTCCTGGCAGAAGGCTTCTAAACAGCCATTGGTTCTGGCTGAAGTGGTAAATGCAATTGGTTCTCTTATTTCAGTTAAGAGAGATAGTAGTCCTTTCCAACACCGTTTCAAAAATTTGTTCTGAAATTGCTTCCTCATTTATGGGATATGGAAGCTAGAAACACCCTAGGAAGTAATCTGTTACAATGTCTTCATTTTACAAACAGGAAATCAAAGCCTAGATGAGGCAATGACTCATTTGAAATGTATCCAAATGTCCTCACAAACTGCCTTAATGTCAAGTGTATTAAATGATAAAATGTTGTCCAAAAGATGTTGAGCATATTACGTTCCATGTGCTATATTAGGAAGAGACACCTCCATGCCTACGTATTAGGAAGTAGTTAGAAATATAGGATAGAGTGAAAGTTTTGTCATAGCAGGATGGCTTTCACTCTCCCTCTGACCTGTCAGTGGGAGGGCACCATGATCAATCAGTAATGTCTGTCCTGGCACAAGATAGGGAACAACACAAATGCCATCTAATCTCAGTACCTGTAAATAAAGAATTGGGTTATAAGTACAAACTGATGGAGATTGCTGATTATGTGTCTGTAAAGAGCTTTTATTTTTACCAACTTTTTTTCTTACACAAGTTGTACCCATTCTCTTTACAATTTATTTACAAAATGAGGATCATAGAACATGGGAGGCTGAGCACTCTTTTTCATGACCCATGGGGCTATGGTCAAAATAAAACTTAATTTTTTTCATTCATCATTCTTCCAATTTTATTCAATGGGAGATATCTACCCTATATTTTATAAAACTGCCAAAAGCCCATGACCCTTCTGAACACTCTTAGTAATAGTCCAATGTTTACAGCCTTTTCTTTTTTTTTTTTTTTTTTTTT
This sequence comes from Homo sapiens, assembly GCF_000001405.40. Lineage (NCBI taxonomy): Eukaryota > Metazoa > Chordata > Mammalia > Primates > Hominidae > Homo > Homo sapiens. The sequence continues at coordinate 84,301,353 of NC_000009.12, read as the reverse complement.
TTTTGAGACAGAGTCTTGCTCTGTCACCCAGACTGGAGTGCAGTGGCACCATCTTGGCTCACTGCAACCTCCGCCTCCTGGGTTCAAATGATTCTCGTGCCTCAGCCTCCCAAATAGCTCAGCCTCCCATGTACCGCCATACCCAGCTAATTTTTTTGTGTTTTTAGTAGAGACGGGTGTTTCACCATATTGCTCAGGCTGGTCTTGAACTCCTGGCCTCCAGTGATCCTCCTGCCTCAGCCTCCCAAAGTGCTGGGATTATAGGTGTCAGCCACTGTGCCCAGCCTATTTTTTAAATTTTTAATTGTTGTGGGTATGTCGTAGGTGTATATATATTTACGGGGTATATGAGATATTTTGATACAGGCATCATGGATATTTTTTAACATCAGAATATGCTGTCCCCTACAGTAATGAGAACTGTGAACATGACCCAGTGCCCTAGTTTTCCTCCCTAGCCTGGGCCTGAGTGTCCCCTTTCTCCTTGTTACTTGCTCCCCTGCCAGCCTCAAAGCCAGGATCAGCCTGGCTACCTGCTATGGATATGAAGCTGGCCTTCTTGGGAGGAAGGGCCTGTGAAGTGTTAGAGAGACCCTTTCCCATAGGACCCTGTGTCCTGCAGCAACTGCTCAGAGCTTTTCCTTCAGCCTCTCTCTGAGGGACCTCCTCTCCCTTCAGGTGGCCCCCTGAGCAGGACCCAAGACCAGTTCTCTCCCTCAAGACTAACGTGGGATCTACCAGGAAAATTCACACATCCTTGGCCTATTAAACTGGGCTTGTGCAATCCCAACACTGCAGGCTTTCTGGCTCTGCTGTGCAAGCCGTGAGTCCTGAGTCAGATTTGTCATGCTTGCTGGGCTCCCCAGAGGAGCCAGAACTTGCCCTAACGTCTGATCTCCCTCTCGGCCGCTGGTGAGGTCCCCCAAGGGCAGATAACATATTCCAAGTTCTTCCTTAAATGGAAGCAGGTAACACCTCACCCATCCCCCAAAACAAAGGTGAAGAATCCCAGTAGCTCTCTTAAAGAAATCACCAGACATTCCTCTCCAAACATGCTATCTCCTCTCTGGCCCCTTTGTGCATCCTTGAACAGGTGAAGGGCCCAAGAGTTGTAGAGTAAGGAGACCCAGTACTTAATTTTTTAGCTATTTGCCTTGATAGCCACAATCAAAAAAATCTGTTGCAGTTTCTAAACGCACAACCTACTGGTGCCAGAGTATATTCATCTTGTTTCTATGTTTCTTTGTTAATTTAAGCCTGATGGCTGGGAGTGGTGGCTCGCACCTGTAATCCCAGCACTTTGGGAGGCCGAGGCGGGCAATCGCCTGAGCTCAGGAGTTCAAGACCAGCCTGGCCAACATAGTGAAACCCCATCTCTACTAAAAATACAAAAATTAGCCAGGGGTGGTGGCAGATGCCTATAATCCCAGCTACTGGGGAGGCTGAGGCAGGAGAATTGCTTGAACCCGGGAAGTGGAGGTTGCAGTGAGCCAAGATCGCTCCATTCTACTCCAGCCTGGGCAACAGAGCAAGACTCCATCTCTCAAAAAAAAAAAAAATTAAGCCTGATTATGATTCTCAAGTTAGCACAACAAATGATGCCAATGCCTCCTTTCCCCTTCTCTTAGGGTGATCTGGAGCTCCCTGGTCCTAGCAGTTATTTTCTGGTTGGCCTTTGACACTGCCAAATTGGGTCAACAGCAGCTGGTGTCCTTCGGTGGGCTCATAATGTACATTGTCCTGTTATTTCTATTTTCCAAGTACCCAACCAGAGTAAGTATCCAGTTGATCTTTTAGGTTCTTTTTTCTTTTTCTCCCCATGTGTAAATTGCTCAAAATACTGATTGTGAGAGAATTTAACTATTGTTCAGTACTTTTCTTACCTTGATGGGATTATTTAACGTGACCAGGGTGCCCTATCTTCCTGAACTTTCATGGTACTGTTTGTTACTATTTCATGCTCCATTCTCAGTAATTTTCCAGTTACATAACCAGTGAGACGTTCTCTCCCTGTCAAGTCTAATTTCTTCTCGCATACCCTCCATCAAACACACAGAGAAAACTCATCCATTTTGATCCAGATTTCCCCAGACCAGTAAAAAATCTAATAGTCCTCCATTGGATCCTGCAGTTCATCGAAGTCCCATGCAGTTTGGGCATTTATACTCCAAAAATTTGTCCTTATACAATTTTCTTTTTAATATTGAACTCAACTCTTATCCTAGTTCTGTCCACTGGTAACCCGTGAAATGGGCAAGAATTCTGAGACATCAAATCTCTCATATGTAACTCAAGATGGCAAACTCTGGAAGACTTTACCATTAAAAGCAAGACCCAAGGAAAAAAACACAAATCAGAGACCAAGTTCAACTAATATGATCCAAGTTCTTTGCCCTGCTGAGGGGAACATCTCCATTGTCTATGCCTCCGATGCCATAGTTCTTTTGAAGCCACTCAGCCCTGCACCACAGATGAAAGCAAATGATCGTCCATTCCTGCTGCACATCCTGGGTCTGCATTTGAGTTTATTGGTCTCTTTTACAATGAAATGAGAGCCTCTTGACAGGGCAATATTTTACTTAATTCACTTACAGGTTGTCAGATCAACAAACCTTGGACGCACAGAGAAATCATGTTCTGCCTTTCCATTTTCCAGATAGGGGAAATAATTACATGTATCCAGTACTTACAGCTTGACTAGGATGGCCAGATTCTGCCTTCTTTAATGGCCCTTCTTAGACTACTGTTTCTATCCAAGTAATTTATCAGGACATAATGGTTACTTAAATACTTTCCTGGACTGAAGACTTGAAACTCAGTTTTAGGGAGAAGGAATGCAATGCTGAGTTTGTTTTTGTTTTTTTCTTGAGATGGAGTCTCGCTCTGTTGCCCAGGCTGGAGTGAAGTGGCGCGATCTCAGCTCACTGCAATCCTTGCCTCCTGTGTTCAAGTGACTCTCCTGCCTCAGCCTCCCGAGTAGCTGGGATTACAGGCATTCACCACCACGCCTGGCTTCTTTTTGTATTTTTAGTAGAGATGGGGTTTTGCCATGGTGGCCAGGCTGGTCTCAAACTCCTGAGCTCAGGTGATCTGCCCATTTTGGCCTCCCAAAGTGCTAGGATTACAGGCATGAGCCACTGCGCCTGGCCTGAGTTTTTTAAGTTATGGTTCTATCAAAGGGTTCTCTGCTTATGACAGCTGTAGCCTCCCAAAGAAGGTGGGTGACAGGCCACATCTGATAGTGTGTTCAAGGAAATAGTGATCCATTAGACATTCATGCCACGGCCTGCATTAATTTTCCTACTAAGACATATCACTTGATCTTTCTGTATAGGTTTACTGGAGACCTGTCTTATGGGGAATCGGGCTACAGTTTCTTCTTGGGCTCTTGATTCTAAGGACTGACCCTGGATTTATAGCTTTTGATTGGTTGGGCAGACAAGTTCAGGTAAGTTTGGTTCAAAAGAACACTTTGCTTTTATGGTGCTTTTAACATTGGAGGTAATCCTCAAGACGTGTCAGAAATGGGTTTATCTGTCTGCATGAGTTGTCTCAAATTTTAATTCTGCATCATGGGTTAGACAAATAGTTTTGCTTATGTTGAATATGTTAGTCTGTCTGGTTTGTTAACACTACTGCTGTTCTGTACCTATGTCATCGTTCCCTAATCCATTGCCCACATCCTCCTCCCCAGGAACTATCATACTTCTTAGATGTTTCCACAGACAGAGAAACAGGCTTCCTTTGCATCCAGTGCTAACTAATGCCACCTACAAGCCATGTATGGCTCCCAACACATTGCCACAGTTGGCTCATTCTGTAGCATTCTAGAGTCAGACTGAATGTCAGAAATGTCAGGAAATTTGTATCCAGGAATATTTCAAAAATATGCTTCTACACCATTCATTGGAGGGGGCAAAGCTGAGAACATTAACTTTCCAAGTCTATCCAACACATTTGCTGGGTCCGTCCTCTGAGAGCCTAGCATTCCTGTGCACTGTCTAATTTCCAGTCATGTGGTTGGAATGAAATCTCTTTTTCTTTCTTTAACTCAGACTTTTCTGGAGTACACAGATGCTGGTGCTTCATTTGTCTTTGGTGAGAAATACAAAGACCACTTCTTTGCATTTAAGGTAAAGTCAAACCTTTTTTCTATGTAGTCGCTGCTATTTCAGCGGCTTCTGTCTTTGTAGATGTTCAGATAGAACTTAACTGACCAAAAACCAGGTATATACCTACTGCGCTGGTCAGAGGTGTGCAATACATCACTGCTCTTTTCCACTGACAATGTTATCTGAAGTTAGTGGACTGCACGCATTTTACCTTGTTACTATGGAGTTAAGGGAAACATCTAGAGGAAGTCAGAACTATTCAAATACTAGGGAATGGGGCTTGTAGCTTTATCTGAGATACTTAGGAAAAATCAAAAGGGTAATAGCACCTTCGGCCTTCAGGGAAAAGAATATTATGTTCCCAGCAACAAGTAGGCATGTGGCAGTGAATGGCTGATGGGTCCAGGATCAGTGACAGCTCTGTATTCGAAAGCCCCTCAGTCCCAGTCCTTGGGGCAGCCGGTCAACCACATCAACCTCTGTTTTAGAGCCATCCCCGTGCTAAACGTTTCTCATCTCTCCTTCAGCATAGCCTTTGCCTAGGCAGGACTAGGGGATAGGCCTTCTCCTAACTAAAGAAGGAACATTATTTTACAGGGGAAAGGCAGCTTGGCCCCATGGCTGGCCACAGTCAGTTCCTTCTTGAGGCTCCCACATGCCCCAGGAAGCCCATCCTCCTCTGGGAAGTCCCTACAAACACTTGTCAATGAGTCAGAAACATGCATTCGGGTTTTCCTTCAGCTTTCTTTTTTTGTGGTGTGTTGTTATTCATACACTTCTAAATTGTTTTCTCACTTAGAGACTCCAAATTTACCTCCAAATTACCCCAGCTTCAGTTAGGCCAACTTTTAGGCTGAAAAAAGATTCAGCCTAAAACGTTAAACCAGCAGTTTAGTGGCAGGCTGGAGAAGAGAACCTCTGCTGTTTGTAAGAAGCCTGCAGTTTATACAGCATTTCACTTAGCACCCTCCCCCAGCAACCTCTACCTGGCAGTTTAGCTGGTTTGATGTTTTAGGGCTGAGATAACTCAGCCATCTCTGAAAGGCCAAATGTTTATAGAGTGAGATAGAAATATACTCATATCATGAAACGAATTCAGAATTGGAAAAAATAAAGTCATAAAGAAGGAATAACTTGCTACCCAGACTATACAGGTGTTTTCAGGCCTTCCCCCTCCCCTCTTCCAGGGCAGTGGCCCCTATTCTTTCCTGCCAATGCAGAATCCTCTGCTAACATTCCAGAGATGAGCCTCTTTAACTCCCTCAAGCTTTCAGGAAGGCACTGCCTACCCATTAAAGCCAATAAAAGGCTCATCGTGAGTGAGCTCTGAATACTGGCACAAAATGTCTTTTAATATATATTATTAATGGATTTTTTTCTAAATTAGATCCTGTACAAATTGTCCTCGGTCATTCTGTGCCTCTGGTAGCAGCTTTCTCTGGCCAGTTAGCCGGGGAACAGTAGGGAGGGGGTACAGTAGGATGAGGCTGAGGAGGGACCCAGCCCACAGCTCTTTGTGGTCTATGCAGGGTAGAAACTGCTCTCTGTGGAAACATTGGCTGCACTGAAGGCACCCAAAGAGCATCAGGAAAATAGGATCTAGGAAAATGCAATGGTTTTTTGTTTGTTTGTTTTGTTTGTTTGTTTGTTTGTTTTTGTGAGATGGACTCTTGCTCTGCCATCCAGGCTGGAGTGCAATGGCACAATCTCGGCTCTGCAACTTCTGCCTCCCAGGTTCAAGCAATCCTCCTGCCTCAGCCTCCCCAGTAGTTGGGATTACATGAGTGTGCCACCACGCCTGGCTAATTTTTGTATTTTTAGTAGAGACAGGGTTTCGCCATGTTGGCCAGGCTGGTCTCAAACTCCTGACCTCAGGTGATCCGCCCGCCTCAGCATCCCAAAGTGCTGGGATTACAGGTGTGAGCCACCGAGCCCAGCTGGAAAATACAATGGCCTTTAACACAGAACTAAAGTAGCTTCCAAAATGCAGTCACTTTTTAGTAATTTGAAAATCTATAGGTAAAATCACTATTATTTTAAAAGCTAGAAGAATGAATGTTTACTGCATAAGGTCATGACAGACCCCTATTGACTTCAGTAGGGGGGGCACCATGTTTGAGCGGCCAAAGAAAAGACCTGGAGCCAGCAAATGAGACATAGGGTTTATTGAGGGGGACTCACATGCAGGGCAGTCCAGTGGCAGCAGGCTAGAGAGGAGAACCGCTACTGTTTGTAAAAGGCAGGCAGTTTATATAGCATTCTCACTTAGTAACCTCCCCCAGCAACCTCCACCTCCCAACCTTCATTTAACCCAAAACAAAGGGCCTGGATCCCCCATATGGCCTGCTTTCCACGGAATGGGCCAAGGGTTCAGATATTCCTTATAGATAAGGAATGAATCTTTGGAATGGCCGCTCCCAGGTTCCTTAGTTTGGAACTCCAAACACACACGCTTAGACCATAGGGTCATTCTCAGGACATGCTGAAGTTATTGCTGTCAGGTGTGTCTGCCATCCAGTAGGAGGCACTATGTGTCAGCACCTACCATGCCTTACCTGATCTCTACAGCTACTCAGAATAAGGCTCTGAGGTTGCTCACAATTTATCTCAACTTAGGTTACTCTGCTAACTAGTGGTGAAGCCCATGTCTTTTTAGCACCAGGACAAGAATATTTTCTGACAGCCTTCAGTGTATTGATCTAGGTATTACAAATCCCCCCAAACTTCATTCCTTCTTTGAGCAAAAAAAGCTCACCATAGAAGACAGGGGAAAAAAGTCAAAGTCCTGTGACAAATTAGAATAAAAGACTGTAGATAGGGAAGCTGCCTGATTAAAGTTCAAGAGGAGTTTCCCATATTTTTATGATGTTTCAGAGGGAGAAAAGGAGACAGAGAGGAGGCCTGATATAAAACCTGCTGGTGCAGCTGGACCCATCATTAATCCATGTTTGTTTCTGTCCCCACAGGTCCTGCCGATCGTGGTTTTCTTCAGCACTGTGATGTCCATGCTGTACTACCTGGGACTGATGCAGTGGATTATTAGAAAGGTACTGGGGCTGGGAGGGACTGGGTTATAGGTGTAGAGCTGATTATCTCAGGCACGAAGTCCTCAAGGCCTTTTATGCAGGTATTTACGAAGTGCCTTTCTCTTCCTACCATTATCCACCATCACCACCTAAGTGATTAGATTCAAAACCTCCAATCCTAAATGTGTCCATGGAGGGAATTTTATCTCAGGAGCTTCTAATAGGGTTTTGATTTGCAAAGCACTGGATATCTTCATGAAACTATAGCAGTTACTTCTTTAGCGGAGGAATTGAGGTCAGATACTGCTGGGGGAAATGATGTTATTCCTTCATCTTGGTTAACCGCCCTGTGCTTATCTTTTTTTCTTTTTTAAGCTACTCCTTAATTGTATGCTACCTTGCTTAAGGAGGTTACAAAAGTAGACACTTCTGGTTTTGGAGGTGCTAGAGAAATTGAAGCAAAAAGGAGAAACAGCTTTTCACTCCTGAGGGAGTTTCATAAGCATGAGCGTGCATGCATACACACACACATACACACACACAGCTGAAGAGTTCATGTCCTTCCTGCTGCCCTAGCCTCAATGAGTCCTATGTTCATGTGTTAGATCAGAGGACAAGGAGCTCCGTCAGCTAATTTGGATGCACCACACACGAGCACAGAGCAGTGCAGGCAGTGCTTGGGGCACAGCCCCAGCCCTCCTTGATCCCAATAAATAAATCAAAATGTACAAAAAGGAAGAGAAGAGAGAGAGGGAACCAGAATACAGGTAGTAGCAGAGTTCAGAATGACAGCAAGAACTCCAGGGCCCATAATTTCCTGTTTAAACCCCAAAACATTCAGAATTGTTATGCTCTTGTCTAAACTAAAAAGCAAGGAGAGAGAATGCAACAGGAAGTCCTCATCCACCATCTCTAGTTGAAAGGCCAGTACAAAAGTGGAACCAAAAACCACGTTCATTTCAATTAAGTAAAAAAGACCAAACCTCAAATACATCCTGCTACATATGGGTGACCTTTGACAAAACAACTAAACTGTTCTGTGCTTTGGTTTCCTCTTTAATAAAATGAGTATAATTACATAGGACCTCTCTCAAAGAGTTATTGTAAGAATTAATTGCATTTTCTGGACTGTCAAGGGCTTAACACAGTGCCTGGAATGCAGTAAAGCCTTCCATAAGCATGTTAGCAATTGTCATTTATTACTTGTATACAATAGACCTATAGAAATTGATTTGTATAATGTTCAAAGTATACGCAATGACTCAGACTTACTACTCCAATAAGAGGATTTGCTTGGCCTGCTCTAGGGGCTCAATAAGTTAAACTTACCTTTAGCTCCATCATTAGCTTGCTGACAAATGTTGAAGCCCTCAATATTTTACACCAGTTTAAGGATTTTAATCCCTACTTTGAAGTTTTGGGTATACAAAAAGTTCTTTGCTGACTTTGTCCCTTTCTTCCTTTTAGGTTGGATGGATCATGCTAGTTACTACGGGATCATCTCCTATTGAATCTGTAGTTGCTTCTGGCAATATATTTGTTGGACAAGTAAGTTGTAATATCAACAGAACAAAACATCTGTTGAAATGGATCGTCTCTTTCCAAAAAGCCAAATAAGAAAATAACACAATGTTCTTTTAGTGTAGAGAAAATGGTGTCAAAATAAGAAACCCCCAGTATTGGCAATGTCCGGATTCCAGGGGGAGAAGAGAGAGAGACAGAGAGAGAGAGAGAGAGAGACAGAGAGAGAGACAGAGAGACAGAGAGACACAGAGAGAAATTCCTTTTAACAGTCTGGGTATGGTATGTAGAATTGGGTTCTTGAGAATGTTTATGAAGAGGATGGAAGGTTGTCATTTTATTAAGGCATAGACATAGAGCTTCTCATATAGATTCTCAATAAATCTGAATTTAGTGATTGTGAGGTTTCTGGTCAACTCTTCAGAGGCTGGTAGCTCTTCCACTTGAATGGATTTCACTATCTCGAAATCTCCAAGCTACAAACAGCCTCCCATTCTAAACTATAATGCCTGTGGCAATGGAGGAGACCAAGAAAGCCTTTCCACCAACAACCATGCAACTGCGTAAATACTTGAGCTTATTCTCAACTTGTCTGAACTGGCCAATATTCTGTCTTTGCTGAGCCTGAAGAAAAATGCTTTTAGGTTTTTCTCTTCTCATCAAAAATAAGCTTTTAGACTTCAATTTTCACCTCCCTGTTCCATCACATGGAGAAACGCTCTTTTGCCTGAAGCCCATTTAAGCAAATAAATATCATGCCAAGGAGTGTCCCTCAAAATAGCAGCATGGCTAAGGGGTGGATCAGTAAGAAATTGTAATAAGCCCCTCATCACTCCAGATATGCAGCTTCAGGCAGAATGGAGTCACACGCCACGAAAACCAGGTATGAACGCTTGCCAGCACCACTGCCCAAGGAAACTGAATTTGAAGCAAAAATCAAGTCACTCAGAAAAACACATAGCCCCAAATCCCAGGCTTACAACTGCTCCTGGCAGGCTGAAACTTCTTGTTGGTAAGCCAACAAGAAGCACGGGCCTCTACTCTAAAGACTATGCTTACGGCTGGGCGCAGTGGCTCACGCCTGTAATCCCAACACCTTGGGAGGCCAAGGCGGGCAGATCACCTGAGGTCGGGAGTTTGAGACCAGCCTGACCAACACGGAGAAACCCCGTCTCTACTAAAAACACAAAATTAGCTGGGCATGGTGGCGTATGCCTGGAATCCCAGCTACTCAGGAGGCTGAGGCAGGAGAATTGCTTGAACCCAGGAGGTGGAGGTTGCAGTGAGCCGAGATCATGCCATTGCACTCCAGCCTGGGCAACAAGAGCAAAACTCTGTCTCAAAAAAGAAAAAAAACCTATGCTTACTAGCCTGGAGCATAGTCTTTAGAGTGGGGGCCCATCCCATGCTTCCTTCCCTAGGAGTTGAAATTATTATAATTACAGTCATAAAATCTCTCAGGACTAATTAGGGCACCATCTTGAGTTGATTGCTCCTACCTGTGGGGTAAGAGGGCTCCCGCACAGGGTTCCTATTTAGTCGGTAAATCGAGGCTCCACACATTCAATCTTACAGAACAATTAGAGATAATAAGGAGAAAATTGTAAAATTGCACACAAGCTTCTGTGATGTTCAATTTGATACTTAATATGCTAAAAGTACAGCTATTATCTATGGAGAGCCCCATGCCGCAGGCTGCCTGTCCTCCTTAATGGGATTCAAGCCTTTACAACTACACTCTGTCTGCTTCTTCCTTTCCACCCATCAGAGAGGGGTCTCTGATTCTCAATTACAGAAGGGCCTGCGGGCACCTGTTCTTGTTATTGCTGAGGTTGTTTGTTTGTTTGTTTGTTTGTTTGTTTTTAATGCTTGTGTCTATTTCTCTGAGGTCAGGAAACAGGTTTAGGGTCTGTCAAGGTGAAGTTGGAAGACAGGAAGCCACAGTGGCTTAGAAATCACCCATCCAGAAGGTTAGGCCACTGCATAGAGTCAGTTGGCCCTTAGAAAAGTGCACCAAGACATCACAGAGTCCAGTCCTAGGCTGGGTGGAGGCCTTCTATGTCTAGCCTCACGAATTTTACAAAATTTATACATGACCACATATGGAAACTGATCTAGAGTTCAAATAACCCAGACGTCGATGGTGTGGGTTCTCAAATTTGAGCATGCATTGGAATCACCCGGAAAGCTTGTGAAAATACAGATTGGTAGCCCCCACCCTTGGAGTTTCTAATTTAGTAAATCGAAATAATTTGCATTTCTAACGAGTTTCCAGGTGACGCTGATGGAGCTGGTCTGAGGTTCACTCTTAGAAACTGTCTGCTTTAAAGAATAAAATTGTGAGTAGATTGGCATGCCTTCCCCTGCCCCCACACAGATTTAAAAAGGAATCTGGTCACCCTTCTTTGTCTCCAGACGGAGTCTCCACTGCTGGTCCGACCATATTTACCTTACATCACCAAGTCTGAACTCCACGCCATCATGACCGCCGGGTTCTCTACCATTGCTGGAAGCGTGCTAGGTGCATACATTTCTTTTGGGGTAAGAATGTTTTGGAATTATGAAAACACCAACCTCTTCTTTCTTTATTATTGTTATTTCTTTTCTTTTCCATTGCTGGTGGAAAAAGGAGGCCAAGAGAGTGTCTTTTTTTGCCATATGGCAAAAGTTGGTCACAGTTGCTTTGGCATTTGAACATAGGGATCCCAAGGAGTTTCAGGGCTTCATATACCTGCTGCCTAAATGTGAGTTCTATCTGCAGAATAAAAACAGAAAAATGCAATCATATGATAAAGTTGCTTTGGTTGAAAATTTAAATCTGTTAAAAAAAAAATTATTACATCAGTCAAGGTGATCTGGACTGGGAGTCAGTAAACTATGGCCCATGGGCCAAATCCCAATTGCTCCTGTTTTTGGAAATGAATTATTGGAAAGCAACTACTTCTATTCATTTGTCTCTGGCAGCTTTCATGCTACAGAGTTGAGTCGTTGTGATCCACAAAGACAACAATATTTATTCTCTGGCCCTTTACAGAAAAACTTTTCTGACCCCTGGTCTAGAGCAGTGATTCTCAAACCTTTCTGCACGTTAGAATCACCTGGGAGCTTTTAAATTCTCTAATGCCCAGGTCCATATCTCAGAGTAATTAAACTACAGTTCCTTGGGATGAGACCCAGCCATCAATATTTTTTAAAACTCTCAGATTCTAATGTACAGCCAAGTTTGAGAGTTGGCAGTCTGTAGTATAAGGCTAGAGAATGTTATAACTGGTGCGTGCACCCCGACCCATAGAGCTTACAAGCCACACATAGACACAGTCCCCAATATTGAAACTGAGTAACACAGCCCAGTCACTGTGTGACTCAGGAGACTAGGATTTCTTACAAAATAAGTGGGCTTCATTGTAGGTCTTCATCCAGGCCTCGGAGTGCCAATTAGTAGGAAGAGGCAAGAAGAAAGGAGCAAAGGACACCTGTGGAGCAGCTTGAGTGGATCATCTGGGGAATGCCATCCCCACTGTAGAAATGCTGCCTCAAAAATGTTCTGGGGGGAACAGGAACAGGGAGGGAGGTGTTGATCCTGGAATTCTGAAAATATGTGGAAGAGAATCCAGAAACCATGTGAGGGCAGGTAGGAAGGGGAACGAGTGGACCTGCAATAAAGAAAACAGAAGTCGTGTACAGATTAAAGGGCCACCAGATCAATGAAGATTGTGTAAAGGCACCAAGGACCTCAGGAGAGCAAAAGGAAGATGGAGAGAGGAGAATATACACATCTGCACATGAATCATGAGTCCCTTCTCCACTCCCCATCCCCTCCCCATCCCCTATCTAAAATGATGTAATGAGGCTGGGCATGGTGGCTCATGCCTGTAATCCCAGCACTTTGAGGGACCAAGGCAGGCAGATCACCTGAGGTTGGGAGTTCAAGACCAGCCTGGCCAACATGGTTGAAACCCCATCTCTACTAAAAGATACAAAAATTAGCTAGGTGTGGTGGTGGGCTCCTGTAATCCCAGCTACTCAAGAAGCTGAAGCAGGAGAATCGCTTGACCAGGGAGGCGGAGGTTGCAGGGAGCCAAGATCGCACCACTGCACTCCTGGGTGACGGAGCAAGACTCCATCTCAAAAAAAAAAAAGTTGTAATGACATACATGCTTTAGGGGCTCTCTGAACATTCAAAAGGGCAACAGAGAGGTAGAGGAATCTTCCTTGAAAGTTTCCACAACACAGGATTAATTCTTTTCTGAAACGATCAGATTTTGGTTTTATGCTTCTCCCCAGGGATGTGGTCAATTAGCACAAATGTCTCCCTTATCCCTCAGCCTCTCAAGGTGATGCCCGCGACTTGGCTCAATGAGCTAGAGTGGCTCTTCCAGACCTCCAAAGAAACATTGTCTTCTGGAATAGAAACAACCCCTGCCCTGTTTCTTCCCTTGCGGAGCTCTTGGACCCTTCCTCTGAACACAAGAAAAAAGCTAATCCCAGGTTTGCCTTCTTTCTTCTGAAATTGCAGGTTCCATCCTCCCACTTGTTAACAGCGTCAGTTATGTCAGCACCTGCGTCATTGGCTGCTGCTAAACTCTTTTGGCCTGAGACAGAAAAACCTAAAATAACCCTCAAGAATGCCATGAAAATGGAAAGTGGGTAAGTGTGACACATTCACCTAATTAATGACTACCCAAGCCGGGGCGGGGGACTCCAGGAGTCAATGTACAGCAAAAATTTGATAACCGGAAAGCACAGTGAATTACAATATTAAAGTTAGTCCAAAGACTATTTAGACTTCACAGAAAAAAGTCTTATTTTATTTCCTTTTTTTGAGTCTTGCTCAAAAAAGACTTTTTTAAAGTTGCTCTGTCACTCAAGCTGGAGTGCAGTGGTATGAACACAGCTCACTGCAGCCTCAACATCCCAGGCTCAAGTTATCCTCCCACCTCAGCCTCTTAAGTAGCTGATACTACAGGCATGCACCACCACTCTCAGCTAATTTTTTTTAGAAACAGGGTCTCACTATGTTGCCCAGGCTGATCTCCAGCTCCTGGGCTCAAGGGCTCCTCCTGCCTCAGCCTCCCAAAGTGCTGGGACCTGGCCAAAATCTTGTTTAATACTTGACATAAACCTCTCTAAATACCTAATGTCAATACATTTCCATATCTGTTTGTTGTAAAGATATTTCTTTATAAATATAGCAGAGTGTTTATGGAGCCTTGGTTTAGACAGAAAGCCATAGGATGACCATTTCTGGAGGTTCCTCCTATAAGAAAGCTGGTTCCTTTTCTTTTGCTCTGTGAAAAAGAAAAAAAAACAGAGTGGAAAAGACTAAGGGATTTAGGGTGTTCAAGAGTATTTCATTAAATAACAGAATTCATCAGCAACCAACATGTGTCTGAAATTCACCCATACTTGTATGTAGATAAAGTCAACCATGAGCGAAAAAGCAAGTTACCAAAGAATACAGCGTAATTCCACTTGTAAAGTTACTCAGTGTGCAGACTTGCACAATGTTGTTTTTTTGTTTGTTTGTTTGTTTGTTTTGACAGGGTCTCACTCTGTCACCCAGGCTGAGCTCAAGTGATCCTCCCACCTCAGCCCCTTGAGTAGCTAGGACTACAGGCACGCAGCACCACACCCAGCTAATTTTTGTACTTTTTGTAGCGACAGTATTTCACCATGTTGTCCAGACTGGTCTCAAACTCCTGGGCTCAAGCAATCTACCTGCCTCGGCTTCCCAAAGTGCTGGGATTATAGGGTGTGAGCCACTGCACCCGGACACACAATGTATTTTTTAGGGAATACAGACATGTAGGAAAACTGTATAGAAAGGGGATGATGAGTGAATTTCAGGAAGACAGATACCTCTGAGATTAGAGGGGAGGATGAGATCAAAGAAGAGTACACAGGGGGATTCAAAGTGATGGTGGCACTCCATTTTTAAATGAGGTGATGGATTTACAGGCTTCCTTGGATCATTGGTTTGTTGTTGGTTTTGAATCATTAGCTTTTATACCATTTGTATTTTATAACTATTCTCTGGCAGCTACTTGTAATAAAAATAATTTTTAAACTTGTAATTTTTTATCATTTTCCAATTTTTTATTATAAATGTCCCCAAATTTAAAAAGTAATGTAAGTTACCCAGAGACTCTGGAGGCTAAGATAAGAGGATCGCTTAAGCCCAGAAGTTCAAGACCAGCCTGTGCCATGTAGCATGACCCCGTCTCTTAAAAAAAAAAAAAAAAAAAAAAAGCCAAGCATGGTGGCACACATGCTATTCAGGAGGCTGAGGAAGGAGGATCACTTGGGCCCAGGAGTTGGAGGCTCCAATAAGCTATGATCACACCACTTTACTCCAGCCTGAGACACAGAACAAGACCCTATCTCTTTAAAAACAAGAACAAACATGGTTAAATACTCATATGCCCACTTCATGATGTCATGGGATTCAGGTGAGTATTTTGAGCAAGGCAGGGGCCTTAGAGTTTGTCTCTTATCTAAGCTCTGATTATGCTACTTCTGCACCAATGGTGTCCATCCCCTGACAACTCCTTGGTAATTCTGGAATTGCTATTTCTTGATAAAGTGATTCAGGGAATCTTCTAGAAGCTGCAACACAGGGAGCATCCTCCTCCATCTCCCTGGTGGCCAACATCGCTGTGAATCTGATTGCCTTCCTGGCCCTGCTGTCTTTTATGAATTCAGCCCTGTCCTGGTTTGGAAACATGTTTGACTACCCACAGCTGAGTTTTGAGGTATAATCACATCACGCCCCTGCCCTCTGTTTTGTTTCTGCCTATCTTTGTTTAAAAATAAAATAGGTTTGTAAACAGCCCACCCTAACCTCAGTAGACTCTTCCACACCGTAGAAGCTTCTCATGCATCCCCCAACTTCCCACCCACCTTTTCTCTGTCTCCTATCCCCCTCCTTCCCCACAACGACAGTCAGTCTCTCCTGGCCCCTTCCCCAAGAATCCAGCTTCCTTCAAATGACCGATTTCTAGCCCTGATTCCTGATGGGTAAAGATGGGCAAGGGAAGAAGGAATTTCTTTGCCTAAAGGAGACAGAGGGGTCAGGAACAGTGTTGTCACTGAGGAGGCAAAACTGAAAGCAAATCACTATTCTAATCAAGTGTCTACTTTTGGTTTCTGTAGCTAATCTGCTCCTACATCTTCATGCCCTTTTCCTTCATGATGGGAGTGGAATGGCAGGACAGCTTTATGGTTGCCAGACTCATAGGTTATAAGACCTTCTTCAATGAATTTGTGGCTTATGAGCACCTCTCAAAATGGATCCACTTGAGGAAAGAAGGTGGACCCAAATTTGTAAACGGTGTGCAGCAATATATATCAGTGAGTAAATATTTTAATTTCTCAGTACATTTCTTCATCACATACCTGCATTCGTCTATTACTTATGCCTCTGTGTGTCAAGCACTATGCCAGGCACCTGGGATAGATTAGAGAGCAAAACAACCTAAAATCCATTGCTCATGGAGCTTATAATGTACATAGCACTTCCTAACTTTCAGTTATGTTGAATTAGAGTGTGCGTGTGTGTGTAGACACAGCTAATCATTGCCACTATAATCATCTACTTTTGAGGACTGTGGACACAGACCCAGAGTCACATGAGCTGGGACTGCAATCAATCAACCAAAATTTTTTGAATGCCTTTTATGTGCAATGCGCTGAGTACTGAGGCCATAGCAAGTCATGGGGCCCCTGGCCTCATAGTCTAGTGGCTAACAGTCTAGTGATCTTAAAGCACTCTCCCTTTGAACTTAATGGATTCTGTGAGCTCTGAGAAACTGTCCAAAAGTAACATGCCTGGACATCCTCGAGAGTTAGTGTAGCATCATCACTGCTCTCCACGTGGATGAGGGAGAGAAAAGGCTCAGAGTCTGTGATCTGAAAGCCTTGAGACAAGCACCCATAATTATGTCAGGACTTCAGGTCAATAGCTTGCAAGGAGGCATTCACATCTGCCTGGCCTTTGGTGGGATGAGGAACTCAGGTGAGGTCATGTTTGTAGTTGAGTTTGCAACTTTCTTCCCTGGAGAACAGAATTGTCACACTGGAAACTCTTAAGGAAATGATGAACATTCCTGAGCACCCCTAGTACTCATTGAAACAATCCATTTGGAATTAATGTTCCAGGCATGTATTTGGTTTAAAAATGAAAGGGGAGGAAAAGCAGCCTGCCTAAGGTTCTGAGTCTGCTCACCCACAAACAACACTACCATCCTTCCCAGCTTCCCAAAGAACAAGCCTGCAGATTTACTCCCACATAGCACATCAATATAACAGCCCACTCCTGGGGAGCACTGATTTATATTTTACAGCTGGGGCATTTTGACCCAACACATCTGACATGAGCAGGGACTCTGTAGATTTCCCTGTTCTCGCATGTTCATTCTTCAACTAACCTCCCAGTAAAGCTTGGCCAATTATCCTCATTGTTTAGATGCCACCAAAACCAGTTTGTTTCCCTGCCAAAAGTAAACAATAGGCTAAATTAAGTGAAATGTTTTCTATCCCCAATTGCCAGTTGCCAGGAGAGAATCGTTTTGTTAATGAGCAAACCGGGCTCTGCGTTCTGGCAGCACGAAGCAATTTTGTGGAAAGGTTATTACGAGGGTAGAGACAGAACAGTAGAGCTGATTGAGTTTAGGGGTGAGCCCAACCAAAGGCAGGCACAGAGAGAACATTTGGTAACAGGAGCTCAGTGGCCTCTGCTATTGTTGAATCATGATGGGAAAGGCATTTTGTTTCTCCAAATTTCTAATTTGCAATCAACAAAATGCAGATGAGTCCCAGCAATTTTTGCTCACAACCTAGAAGTGGAGAAGGGCATCCCAACAGTCTCCTGGAAAAGGTGCCACAGAACAGAACGTACCATGTGGGTCCGTGAGGCAAAACCCCAGTGATATCCACTGAATTATGCCCATGCCAACCTCCATCTGAGATAAGAGGGAGAGTACTATGCAGCCCCCATGCCCCTAGTATGAGCCCCTTATTGCATCACTTTCTCTTTCCTAAAGATAATACTTTGCCTGTTTTTATTCATTTGTTTACATGTAACACATACCATAGTATAGAATTCAAAAGGTCCAAAAAAAGATAAAGGAAAAAGTAAGGCATCCTTCTTATTTCTCTGGACCTCTTCTCCCTGGAACGTATACTCACTGTTTTTAACCTTGTCCTTTGCACTTAATAATGTGTCTCAGGTACCTTTCCACATCAGTGCCTGTGACATAGTATTCTATTGTATAGCACACCGTAATTCATCTTAACCAGTCCCATGCTGATAAGCAGTTATCTGTTTTTTCACTATCAGAGATAGATAGTGTTAAAATGACCATCCTGTACGTATGGCATCTTTGCCTGTGCAGACACAAGGAGAGCTGTGAGGTGTGTTATTAATATTTTTCTAGTACGGTGCATCTCTTTTCATCACATCATCTTGCACATTTGTGGGCAAAGTCAACCTGGAATTATCCCAGACTCCTTTTTCTCTTCTAAAACCCATCATGGCCACATCTGTGTATCCCCTTCTCAGTTATCCCTGGAAAGGGGAAAGAGGAGTTTGAAGCTCCTTATGTCATCTTTCTCCCCACAATCTCTTAATAAGCATGCCTGGTTTTGAAGCCAGCTGAACTGAACTAAATGAAAAGCACTAGAATAAAAGTGGGGAACAAGGACAGCTTTTCCAGGAAGGGTAGACTGCATACCTACTTGAAATATTTTTTTCCTGTCAGCTATATGCGCGCTGATGGAAAATATCAACAAAGGAGAGTTCTCAGAAACCATGAGAGAGAAGAGGGGCCTTGGAATCAACAAAAATCTTACCATGGCCACTTGAGTCTTGAATGAGTGTAGCATTGCTCGGTTTGTTCTTTGAACAAAATCATAGGGTTTTGAGAATATTGGAAAAGTATTGCTTCAGTCACGTGGGTACCTTTGTCAGACTGGGTGTGCCTCTGGTGAACAACAGAGTACACGGAATCTTCTGAGCTTCCTATAGTCAGTCCTCAAACTGAGGAAAAATTGTCTGGCCTAAGCAGCATCTCTTGAGTCACAGG
This sequence comes from Homo sapiens, assembly GCF_000001405.40. Taxonomy (NCBI): domain Eukaryota; kingdom Metazoa; phylum Chordata; class Mammalia; order Primates; family Hominidae; genus Homo; species Homo sapiens. Next base: position 84,282,612 of record NC_000009.12, on the reverse strand, counting down.
GCCACGCCCTTGCTTTCACGAATTCATCTTCCATCCTCTGACTGCCCCGTGAAAGGGATGTTCCTTCTCCTACCTCCAACTGGGCATCCTAACTTTCCCACGGAGTGGTCAGAGTTGTGGTACACACACCATGGCCAGACTATAAGGAAGCTCCTGTGATAGCTGAGAATTTCATTTTTACTAACATAATTATTTTTAAATTATATCCTTTTCACTGAATTATAATTTATATACCAACTTAAGGGCTCAGTTTTGATGTCACCTGTGTAACCACAACTATAATCGACATATAGACTATCATCTCTGTCACACCTTTAAAAAAAAAAAAGGTTTTCCTCATGGCCATTTGTAGTCAACAACCCCACTCCCATCCCCATCCGAAGACCTAGTCCCAGGCAACCAATAGCCAGTCTTTCACTGTAAATTATGTTTGCATATTCTAGAATTTCTTTTATTTTTATTATTATTTTTGAAATGGAGTCTCACTCTGTCGCCCAGGCTGTAGGGCAACGGTGCGATCTCAGCTCACTGCAACCTCTGCCTCCCGGGTTCAAGTGATTCTCCTGCCTCAGCCTCCCGAGTAGCTGGGATTACAGGCACACACCATCATGCCTGGCTAATGTTTTTTTTGTTTGTTTTTTGTATTTTTAGTAGAGGCAGTGTTTCACCATGTTGGCCAGGATGGTCTTGAACTCCTCACCTCAAGTGATCTACCCGCCTCGGCCTCCCAAAGTGCTGGGATTACAGGCGTGAGCCACCGCACCCAGCCCTAGAATTTCATATACATGTGCTCACTTAGCATTCATGTTTTTGCATGTATTTCCTTTTTATTGCAAAGCAGCATTTCATTTTTATGGGTATCCACAATTGTTTATCCATTTGCCTACTGAATGACATTCAAGTTGTTTCCAGCATGAGGCTATTTAATAAAGCTGCCATATATATTTATGTACAATCTTTTTGTGGCATGTGTTTTTGTTTCTCCTAGAAAAATTGCTGGGTCATTCAGGCAGAGCAAGTAAACTTAAGAAGAAACTTCCATACTGTTTCACAAACAGACTGTGTCATTTTACAGTCCCACCAGCAGTGTATAAAACTTCTAGTCACTTCACATCCTTGTCAACACTTTGTATTTTTTAATTTTAGTGGAGGCATAGTAGTATCTCATTGTGGCTTTATTTTGCATTTCCCTGGTGATCAATGATGTTGAACATCTTTTCATGTACTTTTTTGTTATTTGCATAGCTTTTGTGAAGTATTCAAATCTCCATCCATTTTTCCTTGGCTGTTGGTCATCTTATTGAGTTATAACAGTTTTTTATATAGTCTGAATAAGTCCTTTTTCAAGTAAATGTAATGTGAATATTTTCTGGGACCAATTTTTTATCTCCAGCAACTAGTCCTGTCCCTGGCACACTGTAGCAGATGGCCAGGTCATATGGAATATTAGAAGGTATTATTGACCAGGAAGCAGCATTTGTAGAAGCCAAGGCTACCAATCATAAGCCCTTTGTAGAGAGTCACTGAGTCCACACAGCCCCCTTCCATCTTCCCACAAAATTCAAGTGGAGATGGTAAAAGAGGTCTAGGGAGTAATGGGTATTTGATACCATGGACTGTGCATTTATTTGTCAATATTGAATTTATGGTCAAAATGAAGCCCAGTTGGATGTCAGATTTGTTAAGCCAGCTCAGATTGTGTATACATATGTGTTTATGCTTGCTTACAGATTCGTTCTGAGATAATCGCCACTTACGCTCTCTGTGGTTTTGCCAATATCGGGTCCCTAGGAATCGTGATCGGCGGACTCAGTAAGTGAAAAGAACATTCTTCAACAACACAGATGTGCCATAGACATACTTGGATCCCCATTTTGCTCTGTACTGTTATGTCAGAAAAAACAAAGGCCTTTGCAACAGTCATGAGTCCTCTGGGGTCTATTTTTTTAATCTCTAGTCTGCAATATAGTTTTCCCTTGCACACCCAAACTGACCTCAGGAAAAATTTTCTCAAACATACAGATGCTTCTCCCAGCCCAGGGGTGACCTGTAGGCTTCACCTTACATGCCAATGCCAATAGGTTTATGATGGGCACCTGGAGAAGGATTCTGAGAGCCATTGGAAGTCCAGTGGAAGAATGCTGTGATTTCTTAGTGGTGTCTGCCACGGGCATAGAAGTAGATGGTGACAGTTGAGTTGCACATCATCTCCTTAGTCTATGCCTCCTGCCACTCTTTTGCCTTGCCATGACCTCAATAAATAGCCCTTTGGATGAAACTTAGGAGGTTTTTCTTCTGTGGAGAATGAGCCTTTGAGCCTTTTGGCAAACAAGCCTCTTCCCTTCTTCCCACAGCAGAGAATTTCTCTGTATGTGGAGTTTATTACTAAGTTCTTGAATCTTGAATTTCCCAGCTAAGTTAAAGAAAAAAAAAAAAAAGTCAGCTGACCTGAGCCCAGCCTCAGAACAATTTTCAGAGGCTAAGAGTTTTAATCAGTACTTCAACATTGATCTCACATCCCTCCTTCCATGTTTCCCAGCATCCATGGCTCCTTCCAGAAAGCGTGATATCGCCTCGGGGGCAGTGAGAGCTCTGATTGCGGGGACCGTGGCCTGCTTCATGACAGCCTGCATCGCAGGTACCGCACCCTGTCCTTTGTGTCCCAGTGCCCACAGGATGAATGGCAGCTTTCAGGACAGGCAGTGCCTCCAGCTTGCATGTGCAGCACACGCTGCCACAGAAAGCTGAGAGTTAGAGCTGCTCTTAAGCATACTGTAAAGTTAAATGTGTGCAGTGTGGTGGAGGAGCTAAGAACAGAATGAGGGTTCAGTGACTTCCTTAATTAATAAAATAAATGGGGCCGGGTGCAGTGGCTTACGCCTGTAATCCCAGCACACTGGGAGGCCAAGGCGGGCGGGTCACCTGATGTCAGGAGTTTGAGACCAGCTGTCAGGAGTTTGAGACCAGCCTGACCAACGTGGCGAAACCGCATCTCTACTAAAAATACAAAAATTAGCTGGGTGCGTGCCTGTAATCCCAGCTACTTGGGAGGCTGAGGCACTTGAATCGCTTGAACCCGGGAGGCAGAGGTTGCAGTGAGCAGAGATCATGCCACTACACTCTAGCCTGGGCAAAAGCGCAAGACTCTGTCTCTAAATAAATAAATATATAAATACATAAATAAAACTAAAAAATAATAAATAAATGGGACTCTGTTCCACTTCTAGGCATACTCTCCAGCACTCCTGTGGACATCAACTGCCATCACGTTTTAGAGAATGCCTTCAACTCCACTTTCCCTGGAAACACAACCAAGGTGATAGCTTGTTGCCAAAGTCTGTTGAGCAGGTATTGTATTCTTGATTATAATTTCTTTATACTCCATTAATAATCAATCAAATCACACCTAAATATCCACTTACTTTTTTTTTTTTTTTTTTGAGACGGAGTCTTGCTCTGTCTCCCAGGCTGGAGTGCAGTGGCGCAATCTCCGCTCACTCATCGACTTAATTTTATAACTTTATGACTCTATTTAAAAGTAAGAACTTATGCAGTGATTCTAACCACCTTTCACTCTGACTTTTCTCAGATAAGGCTAGCAACTATAACACTAGCTAGTGCTACTCAAGCATTTAATATGCACCCAGCTGTGTGTTACGCACTTTGTATGAATTAGCTCACTTAAACCTTGCAACTACTGTATAAGTTGGGCACTATCTTTTTTTTTTTTTTTTCATTCCACAAAATTAAGGCTTAGGGAAGCTATGTCTACTCCAGCAAAATTAGCACAAGTACAAGTGAGATACAAAATTCAGGCTGATCTTCCTGCTAAGCCTATGCCCTTAACTGCTACCCTCTGCTGGCTCCCCTTCAAGGGGATCCAGGCTGTCCAGACAACACGATGATCGTCTATGGTGAACAAGAAACTACCAGTGACCCATGCCAGCCACCCCCACCCTGTACAGTTTTAATTTGCAAAATCAGTGTTCCCACACAAGGTGCCATCCTTAATGTGCAAGTGTTTTATAAGGATTGATTCTATCCTATCTTTGCTTGTTATGGAGGAAATAGGGAAAGTTCTTGAGGACACCCAGAATTTAGGAGCCAAAACAAATTCCCCAGTGTCTCTGTCCTTTAATCCACCCTAACCAGAATGTGAGCAAGAAAATCAGCTTCCTGCCCTGAACTATTTTTAATGTCATTGTCTGCTCACCTACTGTTTCTGCCATCTATGGCTCATGTAACTGTTTCTTTCCACTTTCCACCAGCACTGTTGCCAAGGGTCCTGGTGAAGTCATCCCAGGAGGAAACCACAGTCTGTATTCTTTGAAGGGCTGCTGCACATTGTTGAATCCATCGACCTTTAACTGCAATGGGATCTCTAATACATTTTGAGGTCAGCCACTTCTCCAGTGGAACTCTGAAGTACAGATGCTGAATTTTCTGCTTTGGAAAGAAAAAAAAAAGAAGCTATTGTCCACAGATTGATGCTTCCATAATGGAATCAGCTTTAATTGCAAGGAATGAAGAAAAACAAGAGTGGACCTTCAAAGCTACAACATTTTCCTCCTCCCCTCCCTCCCCACCAGCCCCTTCCCCACCAAGAACTGCTATGATGTCCCAAAGTGAGGTGTTGTTGATTCCAGTCTCAATGGGATTTTCTGACTTTAATGTTTGCAAGGCATTTCACCAGAATACAGCTATAAACGGCCGCTCCCAACAACTGGGCTCTGACTCACCCACACCCACTTAGTGTCCACTAAGTAGTCCAGGGTGACTCAGTTTAAGCACATCTCAGGTGAGGTCACTCTGCATATACCTTGGCTTACCTGAAATAGCCTGAACTTGAATCTCACATAAGGGAAAACTAGTCATCAATCACCAACTCATTGACTACCCTCAGGAAGTCCTGCAGAAATCAAGAGTCCTTGAGGAGAACACGTGGATCATACCAAAACCAGGGTTTAAATCCATTCTGCTTAAGAGTTCTATCAGTCAGTTTAACCATAAATTACGCTACAGAAACAAACAACCCAAAAACCTCAGTGGCTTACAGATTTATTTTTCACTCACATGTTTGTAATGATCCATCTTGGTTGTAATCCATATTGCTTCAGCACCCAGTCTAAAGGAGCAGCCTCTAAGGGGGGCATGTTGGTCTTAAGAGGGAAAAGAAAGGTGGGAACCACATGATGGCTCTTTCATCTTCCGCTAGGAAATGATACCCTTTACTTCCATGACATTCCATTAGCCAAAACAAGTCCTGTGACAGGCACGATGTCAGTCACCACAGTTAAATTATCCTGTCATAGGGAGGGATAGTGAATATTTTGCAGAAGTAATATGATACACCATAAGGGTACATAATATCCATGTCTCCCTTCAAGGAGCCATCCTGTTGTAGGCCATAACGGTAGGCCTATTCATCTGCACATTTGGTAATGTATTCCTGGTGACAAAGCAGCTACTCTTCAATCAAAAGCCGTGTAAGAAGCAGTTGAGGAAAAAAAGTCCTGGTTGAGCTCTGAAAACCTTGCGTTGATAATTTCATTGACCAGGATGGCATCAGTATCAAACTTGAAGAATGGGTGTCAGTGTCTAAGAAAAAGATTCCAGAGACAATGGTGGTGTGCTCTTTAACGAAATGCCCATCACCACTGCTCTTAATAGCATGAAGACCACATGCTGTGAGAAAACACAAACATCAATTACCAAGTCAAGAAACAGACACTGAATGTGAAAAAGGTTTTGAAATACCTTAAGTAATTTATTTTGTTTCTATTTTTCCTTCTGTTTGTGTACAAGAGTAATTTAAAAGAAAAAGCTATGTGAAAATAGTTGGGGTTTTTTGTGTGTTTTGTTTTTTGTGGTGGTGAAGGAGGAGGCCTAATGTCCAGAGGACTGTTTATCCCTGAAGTATGATATACTAAAATATTTCTTATTATTTGTATCAATTTTCCTTGGAGCTCAATGTGCCCTTGCAGTCTTCAGACTTTATTTTAGGAAAATATATTTGCATGTTTTCCCCCCATTCTCAATGTTTGGTGTCCTGGTTCATCATACCCCACAGAATGTTATGTTTATGTATCATACCATTCCTCTGTGGACATGCATTTACTTTGTTTACAGGTTTTGGTTTGGGGGTTCTCTTTTTCCTACTCTGGACAGTGCATGTACATTTACTTTGCATGCTGGTGCTTTTTTTTCTATAGCAATAGTGTCTGATAGACATATGCAAGTCACATGTAATTTAAGATCTAGTAGCCACGCTAAAAAACAAGTAAAATTAATTTTAATATATTTAACTCAATACATTGGAGATATTATTTCAGTAAGATATTTTTCATTCTTATGAAACTAAGTCTGTCTGGTTTGCATATCTCAGTTGAGACACTAAAGTTTTACTGATAATACTTAATCCATGTTTAGATTTCATAAAATCTAAATTTGCAAAGTAAATTTACATACCCATGTTGGTCTAAATGTGCTTAAAAGTTTTCCAATAACTGAAATGAGTATCAGTTTTAAATTTAAAAATTTGTTACTTGGTTACTCCATATTTCAGGTATTAGTGGCTACCATATTGGTCAGAGCAGATTCATAGGATGATTTCCCAGGTTTGAAGTGTGTGTATATTTCTGGTATTATAAGATGTCAGACTGGTTTTTGGAGAAATATGTTGTCTTAATTTTTACCTGCTTTGATATGACCTTTCTGTGTGTACGTGTGACATTTCTTTATAAATGCAACATGTTCACATAGGTCCTACGTTGATTCCTTATTAATGCTGTGCATCCTTGAACTGAGAAAGGGGGTGTTATTCCTGAGCTATATTATAAGAGGATAGTAAAGGCCAAGGACCAGGAAAATGAGCTGGTTAAGCCTCTTGAGCTTGTTACCCCCAGAAACCTCACCAATACCCTGTGAACGTCGTAAGTGGCCCTTCTCCCAGTGAAACAACCTAATGGAGGTTTTTGGTGCATGGTGATGTTTTTATTCCTCTTTAGTAGACATAGAAGCTGGAGGCTGCTTGTCTTCCCCAGTTTCTCCTTCACCCATGTACATATAGTGGGCAAAGATGGCATGCCTATGTTTTTCAGCTGTTTGAGCCCGCTCACTGTTGACAGATTGTTGCTGTTGGTCTGTGCTCCCCAACCTTGCCTCAAGCCAGGGCTGCAACATCTCCCTGGGAGAACTCCGTACTCTGTCCAGTCCACCCATGAAATCCAAAGCCCCTAGCCGCCTGTGTCTTCCCACTGGTAGTTTTCGCTAACCTGAAAGCCCCTTTTGGTATACAGTATTATGGTTCCAGATATGAGTGTTTCCTCATTTCAATGAAGATGGAAGTTTACTGCTGCTTATTCTCCGTGTTGTTTTCTATTGGTTTGCAAAAAACAGGGAGAGGGGCAGAAATGATATTTCTCTTCGCAATCCAGAAACTGGTTATAAACAAATTCTCTGACCCTGGAGAGGCCTTAGGGTCTCAGCCAAAAATAGATTTGAGTCATGGGATACACAGCATTGTCTGATTTTTTTTTCTTCCCATTGGTAAAGTCAACATATCCCAGCAGTTAGGTCTAAGTGACAGTCTCTGTAACTATGCAGATTACTAACAGGCATTCATTTTGCAAATGCTCCCACTTGATTGCTTTCATATTTCTGTAGTTTAATTAGGCTGGTAGGGCACTGTGAACAGCTTAAGATGTGCACTTGTCCAATAAGACTGATTTCCAGTTACAGAACAATTCCAAAAATCAAGTATGCTTATAAAGAAGGTATTATAAGCCAACAAGGACACAGTGTGCCAGGAAGGATTAAGTTACCCTGACTGTACGGGAGTGGGGCAAGGGGAGGCAATCACTCACATTTTACAAAGGTAGGAGCGTAGGACTCAATAACTGTCTCTGGTACAGGTACACCATGTGGTGCTAATGAACCATATGGTCCAAAGAAAGGCTGCTCTTTACAGCCTGTTACTTAATTTTGTTTTAAGCTCAAGCAGGAAGAAAAGCGTAGACTTTTCTTTTTCTAGCTCTAAAAACTACACAACCTTGTGATGACAATGATATTTTCCTTTATATCACAAAGGCAATGTGACTGCTCCTTGGTTATAGAATGAGTACTTTAAACCTGTTTATTAGTGGGCTACTTTGCATTTTCATTCCAGGAAACTTTGGAGATTAAACAGTGAACCTACATCAAGTCAGCCCTTCTTAACCATTATGCATTTTGCAAAATGGAAGGACAGTGGCTGGTATTAGGGATATAGCCTATAGCCACAGAACAGAGAAAAGTACTCAAGTGACAACCTTGAAATTTAGTCCTCTGGCCACTGACAACCAACCACTTTGCCATGAGAAACCAGGATTAGGAAAAAACTGAAGTCTTACAAGCCATATGAACACAAAGAATTAGAGCCTACCTCTTCCAAGTACTGGCCATGCTTCCAATAATATTCATAAAATAAGAGGATAGGAAAACCTTAGGTCATTCAGAAATGCTTCATCTCTCCTTCCACCTTCTGGTCATGCAGAACTGGCAAACCCACAGATCACTATGGCCAAGAGCAGAGTTGGGGCAGTATTCCCTGGTCTAAATGAAATCCTTTCAACTGCAGGGTGCCTATCTCATTCCATGATTATTTGTCCATATGTCTAACCTCTAGAATACTAGTTCTTATGTATCTTCAGTACCTAGTACCTGGCATTCGGTAGACATTCAGTAAATATTTGTTTAACCAATGAATGAGTGAATGAATGAGGACTGCAAAATAGCTAACCTTCACACAAGCAAGAACAGTTGACTGGCTAACTTACAGAATCTCATTAAAAATGCACACTTGTCTTAAACGTTGCAAATTGAGAAATTGAAAATCTTCCTCTCCTATAGTCAGTCAGTTAGTATTTTGATGTCAATGTGAATTTTTCTCTATATATGATAAACAATACAATAAGCTATAATATCAGAGTGGATGAGTCTTCTCTCTAGCCCAATGCCTGAATCACTTTCACATTTCCCCCTTCCTCTTAGCAAAATCAGGTAAATAATTTTGCTTGTCTTATAATATCAACTGTGTTGTACAATGATTAGCAAACAAAGTTCAGGAGATTGGCCTTCTTGATCATGTGCAATGCAAGCCTACAGTTTAGTAGTGTTGACTATGTTGATGCTAAATGGAATTATTAGAAGTATCCCAAAAGCCAACATAAATAAATGCATAAATAAGTGTAGCTGGATTCTCTCTATATGAGCAATTGTTCTGCTATCATATTTGGAAAAGCTCTTCTAGGAAACAGAGAACAAGCTGGTTGCTGCTTCTAGTAGGTATGGAAATGTGATCCAGCAGCCAAGAGCCCAGCTCTGGAGCTGGACTGCCAGGGCTCAAATCTTGGCCCCACCAGTCACTAGATTCATTACCTTGGAAATTTATGTAACCACTCTGTCTCAGTTTCCCCATCTGTAAAATGCAAATAAACATACTTCTCCCTCATATTTTTGTGAGGATTAAGTACATTCGCATGTAAAGCACTTAAAAGAATACCCCACAGAGAAAGGCTATAAAATACTTTCTTTTTCTTCGTTGAGATATAATTTATGTATGTAAATGCACAGATTCTATGTAAACAGTTCGATGCATCTTGACAAATGTGTACACTCACATGACAATCACCCCAGTCAAATGTAGCTCACTGACTTTCTTAGAAAGTTCCCTAGTACCCCAATCTCACCCCTATCCCTCCAGGCAAGCCTGATTACTTTTCTTTCCCCTATAGATTAGAGAGAATTTCATATAGATGGAATTATACAATGCATGCTCTTTTGTTCCTTGTTTTCCTCACCCAACATAATGTTTATGTTTTATCCAGTAGGTTGTTCTGTCTTTATTGCTGAGTAGTAGTTCACTGTATACCACAATTTTTATATCCATTCTACTCTTGATGGACATTTAGGTTGCTTTTAGTTTTTACAGAATATTTGTTTTTGAAGAACTTCTATTTTCCACACATTCTTTAGGTATTTCAGAATATGTTACGCTCTGGAAATATGAATTGGGATGTGCAGGTGTGATTTACCCACACGGTAGTTTGTTTCCTGTGGCCCTTTCTCTCCCTCCTAATCTTCAGAGCCTCTTTACTTATCTGTTGTTCTTCACAGGGATTTAGAAAATTGTTGGCTTCAGGCCACAAAATGGGAGACCAGTGATGACTGAGTCTCAAAAGGGAATAACAGGGCAACCAGAGCACCGTGCGGTCACTGATGGTTGAATAGGATTTGATTAGCCGGGCCCTGTGCCACGTAACAGCCGGTTGCTGCATTTTGAGAAAAATCACTTGGCTTTTCTTAGTCTCCAATAAAAGTAAGAGTTACATTCGCATTTGACTTCGTATGTTCATAGTACAGGAACATGAATGAAAACATAAGAAACAAGAAATGTGAAAAACACTTGGAAGTTTGAAAGTAGTGCAAGAAAGCCTGACGTACGTGAGCGTTGAGCTCTGCCCGCTCTGAAACCGATTTTGCCTCAAGCAGCTTGCGAGTTACAGAAGCGTCCGTTGGCTGAAAATTCGGCTGAAAATTTTGTTATTCAGTGGCTACAATAAATGTAATCCCATTTATGGGAAAGGCTGGCCGGTTCTTGAAAGTACTTGTGCGAAACAAAGACCCTAATTCTCATTAGAATTCACCCATCAAAACTCAATGCCGCAGCCCGTTCTGACAAGGACATCTCGAGTTGAGGATTATTTGCTGTCTTTAACCATCCATTTATCAGTGTCCGGCCCGGGAAAATAGTTTATCCAGAAAGCGAGGGTCTCCCCCGCTACTTAAACCAAATGGAACCAAACAGAAGGAAACAATTTGTTCTCGGGGACTCAGTAGAGTCCTCCGTCGCAGTCTGATTTGACTACTCTGTTTCCATAGCAACAGACGAGGCGTCCTCGAACCAGCGAGACGTGCGGAACATGATGTGCTCGCAGGAGGCTGCAGCTGGGCGCTCAGGAACGCTGTTTTGTTTTGTTTCTCAAAAGCCACTGAAGTATTCAGAAAGAATCCAATCAAAATTGCATTTAAAATGGGTGGGGAGGGGGTTGTTCTTTTCTGGCCTTTCTGATGACATGAGGATGAAATTAATTTCTGAAATGCGTTCTCCTTCCTCTTACCAGTAATACCAGGAATATGCTTGAGGGGAATTTTAATCAGGTTAAAGGTTTTTACCTGTGCCTCTGCTGAGGTGTATAGCACAGACAGCGACCAGAAATGAATGGCAAGGAAACGCACAGATCCCGATAGTCTCCCCAGCAACTGGCTGGGGATCTGTATGGGCCTGAGAGGACAAAGGCAGAGATTTGGAATCTGGAGGTGGCTCCAGAATATCCTGTGTTGTCTCGCTAACTAGATTAGGAGAGGCACTCAGGAAGGCATTTTACCTCTTCCTCTTTTTATAATAGCTTTTGCAAAATGCTTCATTGCAAACGTAATCATATTTGTTGTAGAAAAATTCATCATTTTAAGAAGAAAATAAGAACTTTACCCATGTCCCATTACAAAAATATATCTAGTGCTAATAATCCATGATGTATCGCCATTCGATGTCTGTGTGTGTGTGTGCGTATGTATGTGTAACACTTTTTAAATGAGATCACACTACTGTGATTTATTTTGAGGAAGCTTTTCCCCCTCCCCTTTAGTATGTCAAGAACATTTTCCCACATTAAATATTCTTTTACATCATCATTTTAAAATCACTGAAGGGCATTCCATTATATGAGGAACCATAATTTAACTTATCCCCTATGGTTGGCCATCATGGATATTTCCTATATTTTATGACTATTAACAAATGAGCAATAAATATTGTAGTCAAATACTTGCACAAATTCATGACTAGTGATGATTTTTTTTCTCGCGAGACATACAAAAAGTGCAGAGACACATAGAGATTTGTCTGCCAACAGCATGTTTCCTATCTTATGCCAGGCCTCTGGACAAAACCAAATGATCAATCATGGAATAGATAACATATTTCCAATACAAAGTCAGACTATTTCCAGTACTCAAAAGCTCAGATTCTGCTAGCAAGGAAGAAAGTCACTGACATTGTACACAACAAAGACACCCAGTTATATCTGTCCACTTAAATAAAAAGATGGTAGTTGAAACCAGTCAGCAAGCCTGGGCTTATGTGTGATTTCATACACTAACCACTGGCATCCACTTTGTATTAATAACAACCTTTGGCAAATGACATACCAGGTTATCCTCATTGGATTAAAGATGAATTTTCTAGTTGCAGTGTTGGAACTATAAACGGTTTATGTCTTCAGTAGCCTTTTACACTGACAACACAGATGCTTTGGGTATGAATAAGACAAAAGCAAGTTTGCCCGACCATCCTTGCCCTGAGTCCAGGAAGAAAAGAGAAGTCCTAGCCCTCAGAGAATCAAAAATTATGGTACCAGTACAGTTGGATACAAGGCTGACAGCTGGGGAGGGGTGAGCACTGTGTAGATCTCTGAGGAATTAGGTTTGTTTACCCAATCAGGGGATAGCCAGCAATTTCACCAGCAAAAGCTGAATCCAGAACTGTGTGTCCTACACCATCAGCTTACCCACAGGGGCAACCATAGATTCTCCTTTGCGGGGAGGAGGGTAAACTCCCTGTACTCATGGTTCACAGACAGCAGCATACTCTATACATGGTTCTGTTCCTTGCTCTTTTTTTTGTTTGTTTGTTTGTTTGTTTGTTTAACATATCCTAGGGCTTTTTCCAAATCACTACATAAAAACTTTCTTCATTCTTTTGTATATATCACATGCCTCTACTATAATTTATTTCATAGTCTATTTATTTAGTGTCCCATATTTTACAAAAAACAAAAACAAAACAAAAAAAAGCTGCAGTGGCCAGGCGCGGTGGCTCACGCCTGTAATCCCAGCACTTTGGGAGGCCGAGGCGGGCGGATCACGAGGTCAGGAGATTGAGACCATCCTGGCTAACACGGTGAAACCCCGTCTCTACTAAAAAAATACAAAAAATTAGCCGGGCGTGATGGCGGGCGCCTGTAGGCCCAGCTACAGGAGAGGCTGAGAAGTGAACCCGGGAGGCGGAGCTTGCAGTGAGCCGAGATCGCGCCACTGCAGTCCAGCCTGGGCAACAGAGCGAGACTCCGTCTCAAAAAAAAAAAAAAAAACATGCTGCAGTGAATAGCCTCTACCTATGTCGCTTCCCACAGGTGTGACTATACGAGTATATTGCACAAGAGTGAAGTAGGCAAAATTTTCTCCTATAAAGGAGAAATTGCTAGAAATGGAACTGCTGAAACTTAGTGCATGTACATTTGTAATTTTGAAATAAATTGACAACTTGTCCTCCATGAAGATTTGACTAATTGATATTTCCACCAACCATACACAGTGCAGTATTTAACTAAACTTTTAGTTTATAAAATGCAAAGGAAATGGTACCTCAGTGTTGTTTTAATTTACATTTCTCTTGTTTAATGAGGTTGGACATCTTTCTGCATGTTTAAGAGCCATTTGCCTGTCCTCTTCTTTGAACAGTCTATTCCTACCCTTATTCATTTCTGTATTGGTAAGGTTGTCTTTTCCTCAGACATTAATAGGTGCTATTTATCTGTTAGGAAGCATAACACTTTATCTGTGGCATGAATTGCAAATATTTCCTCCATATTGCCATCTGTACTTTTATTTTTTTGTAGTTCTTTTTTGCCATGTAGAAGTTTCCACATGTAAAGTAAATTTATCTGTTTAGGCCAGGAGCAGTGGCTCACACCTATAATCCTAGCACTTTGGGAGGCAGAGGCAGGAGGATTGCTTGAGTCCAGAAGTTGGAGACCAGCATGGTGAAACCCCATCTCCACAAAAAAAAAAAAAAAAAAAAAAATCCAGGCTTGGTGGCAAGCGCCTGTAGTGCCAGCTACTCAGGAGGCTAAGGTGGGAGGATGGCTTGAGCCCCAGAGGTGGAGGTTGCAGTGAGACATGACCCCACCACTGCACTCTAGCCTGAGAGACACAGCAAGACTCTGTCTCAAACAAACAAAAAAAATTTCCATACTTAAATATATCAATCTCTTTTATTATGGCTTCTAGATTTTGTGTCATAGGAAAGCCATCCCCACTCTAAAGTCATAAAGAAATTTTCTCATCCTTTCTAGTAGAACTTTTGTGGTTTCACTTTTCATATTTGTCTTTGATCCATTTGGGATTTGTCCTCCTAAATGGTGTGAGATATGGCTTCAGATTTTTTTTTTTTTTTTTTTTACATTTTTTTCTAGATGGTTGTCCCAATATCACTTATTGAATACTGGTACAGCTGGCCTCAGTAACCATAGGTTCTGCATCCTTGGATCCAACCTTGAATAGAAAATGTAGCTAGGCCTGCAATGGTTATGTCTGTACTGAACATGTAGAGACTTTTTTTCTTGTCATTGTTCCCTAAATGATACAGTACAACAACTATTTACATAGCATTTACATTGTATTAGGTATTGTAAGTAATCTAGAGATGATTTACCGGAGGATGTGCCTACATTATATGCAAATACTATGCCATTTTATGGCCTCCTGGGGTTTTGGTATCTGAGGGGACTCCTGGAACCAATCCCCCAGGAATACCAAGGGATGACTGTCATCCCTTTTATCATTAAGTCCCCTGTATTGGGATTATGTGGACTTTCTGCTCTGTTCTATTGGTCTGTCTGTTTGCTCCAGTGAACATTAACTGTTTGATCTTTAAAATGAAGATTATAATATCTACCTGAGAGAACTGGCCTTAAGAATTAAATGAGGCCAAGCATGGTGGCTCATGCCTGTAATCCCAGCACTTCGGGAGGCCAAGGCGGACAGATCACCTGAGGTCGGGAGTTCGAGACCAGCCTGACCAACATGGAGAAACCCCGTCTCTACTAAAAATACAAAAATTAGCCAGCCGTGGTGGCGCATGCCTGTAATCCCAGCTACTCGGGAGGCTGAGGCAGGAGAATCGCTCAAACCCAGGAGGCGGAGGTTGCGGTGAGCTGAGATCGCACCATTGCACTCCAGCCTGGGCAACAAAAGCGAAACTCCGTCTCAAAAAAAGAAAAAAAGAATTAAATGAATGTGTAATGTTTGGCCCATAGAAGAGTTCAATAAGTTTCTGCGGAAAATTTTGCCTACTTCACTCTCATACAAAGAAATGCAGATACCCAGATTGTTCACAGATAATCATGGTTCAAAGATTAGCTTTTTCATTCCACTCTGAACTAAAGGCTCCTTTACATAAACTAAAGGCAGATAATGATTTTATCAATGATCTCCATAATAGGTTTAAGGTGGTTTTAGTGAGTTGTTCACTAACCTACTTTGAAATGAAATTCCTAGGGCCATTAATCCCCTGAAACTTGTTTGCCAAAGCAAATTACCAGACAAGACTGGGTTTGAATCCTGGTTTAGCCACTTATCTCTGAGATTCTGTTTCCTTATTATCAAAAGAGGGATAATTATATCTCCTCCTATTCTGAAAAATATTGAGATAATAATATAAGAAAAGTAGCTAGTACTGTGCTTGTCATATAGTATATGTTCAGCAAATGTAGCTTTAACAAATTTTTGTTATCATTATCATGTTCTTTGTTGTAATCATTAAAGATGATGGTTTTGGGTGGATGAAGACAAAAGGAGGGTAATAAACACTAAAACAGGAAAGAAAGAAAGAATAATCAGAATACTAAAATCAAAACTACTTCCAAAACTAAGGTGTATCGATAGAAGGATAGAGGAATATACAACAACGATAAACAATAAGTGATAAATCAGGTAAAATGTTAATGATAGAATCTAAATTTACACAATAAAACTCCTTCGAATTTGCCGTATGTTTGAAATTTGTTATAGTAAAATATTAGGAAAAATTAAAGGCTACCATTGCTTACTCCCTCTAGTCCTAATTTCACCATAACCCCCAAAAACGCTCAAAGGTAAAGGATAATTGATTTTCCTTTAATCTTGATATTTCATATAGAGTGGAGAACTTGTCATTTGCCTCCTGGCCAATTTTTCAAGCTGTCTTTGTGAATGTGATTCACTCCCTTCCCCTAAGATTCATACTTTCTATTTCCTGCTGGTCAAACTGACAGCTCCAATTTACACACACCTGCCATGAATATACTAATGTCCCAGAATCTCCCCTCCCTTCCTGTTTCTCTCAAGCCACCAACTCCCAGAGTCCAAACAGCTTCGTACCAGGAAACCGTAGAGTGGAAGTTGGGGTTTAGAATTGAAAGCCCTGTTTCCAAGACATTTGGAAAGCGAAAGTCAACTGCAGTTTTCTCCTGTTGCTATGACACAGGTGAACGTAGAGTCGCTAGCCTGGAAACTGACAGACAGGGATCAGGATGCACTGGTTGCCATGGAGAGAAGAAAACTAAGGATGTTTTCTCCATGCCCATTGGTGCCTGGCATATCAGGTGACCAGAGCTGCCAGAGAGTGCTAAGAGCCCCTCATCAAATCATTAACCTGTAAGTTCACATTCAGTTGTGTGCAATGGGTCTGTGGGCCCAGCTTCATAAGAGATTGTGCGGGGAGAACAGAAATGCCGGACATTTCAGCATCCTAGACAAATAAAGTATCTAAACCAAACCCTGTATTTTTTAATGACTTGTTCATATTCTTTTTCAAAGGAAGGTTTAATTTACTCCATTTTGAAATGTTGTTCAACTTTGGGCAATCAGCATCCGCTAGTTCAATATTTGTCAAAACGCTGTTCCCAAGCCATCTGTTAAATCAGAAGAATATCTGGGGTGTGGAGCCCAGGCATCTGCAGTTTTAACTACATCCCTAGGCAAACTGATGTTTGACAAGTACTGCTCTAGTCTAGCTATCTAACTTTAAAATCTCAGAGCAAAACAACTCTAGCCAGTAGCATCCAAACTTTTCACTGCCCCATATCCTTTTTGTCATGTCCCTCCATCTCCAAGGCACCTTAAGAGTCCCATTCTTTGAGAGGTGTTTGTCTGCCAAACAAAATGTGTGTATTGGAGAAATCGGCCGGGCACGGTGGCTCAAGCCTGTAATCCCAGCACTTTGGGAGGCTGGGGCAGGCGGATCACCTGAGGTTGGGAGTTCGAGACCAACCTGACCAACGTGGAGA
Organism: Homo sapiens; assembly: GCF_000001405.40. Taxonomy (NCBI): domain Eukaryota; kingdom Metazoa; phylum Chordata; class Mammalia; order Primates; family Hominidae; genus Homo; species Homo sapiens. The sequence goes on along the minus strand of NC_000009.12, from coordinate 84,265,465 downwards.
AACTCCATCTCTACTAAAAATACAAAATTAGCCGGGTGTGGTGGCGCATGCCTGTAATCCCAGGTACTTGGGAGGCTGAGGCAGGAGAATCGCTTGAACCCAGGAGGCAAAGATTGCAGTGAGCCGAGATAGCACCATTGCACTCCAGCCTGGGCAACAAGAGGGAAACTCCATCTCAAAAAAAAAAAGAAAAAAGAAATCATTTTCCCCCTTTTTAAGTCAAAGACTTACATGACTGCCAGCCTGATTAGATGAGAGAGGCAGTGTTAAAATATTATATTGACAAAAATGTACTTCAAACCAAGGAAAGTTTATCTTCACCTGCAGATTCAGCTCAGGTGGATGTATATTGCTCATTAGAGTTTCAGAGCTAAAGAAAGTAGCTCAAGCTCACTGGCACTTTCAGAGATAAAGAAAGTAGCTCAAGCTCACCGCTAGTGTCTTTTTGGAGAGCAAGTGATCTGGGCATCTCAAATTGTGATCTACAGAAACTGTTAAATAATTCCATTGCATCAGAGAGCCTGTTCTGAGATTCTGCAGACTCACGTTAAACAGAAGGAGTAACAGGATCCATCCTCCTCCTAAGGAATTTAAACTTATTTATTCATTCATTTACTTATAACCACCCTTTCCCCAGTGTGGACAGAACTTAAAGTGATTTGCAAAGACCCATAAAATAATCTGAATTACAAATTGATGTAGCACAGCCTGCTACTTGTCTCCTAATAGCCCATCTCCATTTCCTCTGCAGTATTGAGACTGCTCATTTTCAGCCAAAATACATGGTTGCCCACCTTTCCCAGCTGTTCTCATAGCTAGGTGTACTCAGGTGACTAAGGTCTGGTCAATGGGATGTAAATGTCAGTTGCATGCGCAACTTCTAGAGAGCATCCCTTAAAAGAAGGTTTAATTGTGTCCCTCTTCTCTCCCATTCTCCTTCCTGCTGGCTGGATGTTGGACATGATAGCTGGAGCCACAGCAGCCCATCTTGTACCATGAGTTGAAAGCTGGGTGTTGAGGACGGCAGTGCAACACATAAGAGGTCTGGGTTCCTAATAATTCTGGAGCTGCCATTCTAAACTTGGACCACCTACTCAGAGAGAAAAAGAAGCTTCTCTCTTATTTAAGCTACTGGTATTTTGTGTTTTCCATTCCCCACAGCCAAGCTTAATCCTCACTACTAATGCAAGTGAGACAAAAAAAGAAAATGGCAACATATAATAGAGTAAGAAATAAACAACACAAAAATATATACCATAAAAACCATATATATTTGCTATTAATGAGTCGCAAATTTAGATTCAAGCCTTCTAGTGGTTGACGTGGCTTAAAACTTTTAAGAACACAGCTCTTGGGATCATATGCTTATTTTTTAAATTTCTCAAAAGAAATACTACTATTCCTGATGTTAAAAACAAACAAATTTATTCTGAATTTTTATAAAGAGGGCATCTATCATTTAATGTAATTAACAACAACTGAAACTACTTCCTTATAGTAGAAACAACGTGTTTCGTGATGTTCTTCAGTATAGGTCAGGAGAATCAAAGTGAAGATGATTTGAAATCGCCCCGTGTAGCTGTTCATGTGCTACACTAAATTGAATTCTTTCTTTCTTCATCCCTTGCAAACACTAGCTAGGCAGTGACTTACACAGGTAACTGGTGGGAGGATAAGAAAGTGGCTTAAGAAGCCAAATTGTTATAGAATCAACCCACATCAGTGTTGTCTACCACCAGCTCCAGTACCAGCATCACCAACGAGAAAAGGATAGAATAGCCATGTCCTCCCTTCCACAAAGGGTACCCCATTCAACTTTTCCATTTTTGGCTTATTTTCTCCTTTAATACATTCAATGTTACTTACATTTAAATTTTCTAGGTTATTTTAAACGTATTAAAAGCCATGTAGGCTAGGCACGGTGGCTCATGCCTGTAATCCCAGCACTTTGGGAGGCCGAGGCGGGCAAATCACCTGAGGTTGGGAGTTCGAGACCAGCCTGGCCAACATAGTGAAAACTCTTCTCTACCAAAAATACAATAATTAGCTGGGCATGGTGGCGGGCGCCTGTAATCCCAGCTACTCAGGAGGCTGAGGCAGGAGAATCACTTGAACCCAGAAGGTGGAGGTTGGAATGAGCTGAGATCCTGCCACTGCACTCCAGTCTAGGCAAGAGAGTGAGACTCTGTCTCAAAAAAATAAATAAATAAAAATAAAAGCATGTGTCTTTGCACGCACATGCATGTAGGAGGAGGAGAAACTCAATGTGTGATATTTTACTTCTACTGTCTGCATATTTCTAAATATAAAATACAGGTAGATATGAACAAAACTCAGATACATAAGGCATAGGAAACAAAAAATATAAATATTTAACTTAGGATTCATGCACCTCAACTGTGAATACAAAGTGGCAAGCATCAGCAATTTATGTCTCATAAAGGAAACCAGAATGGATCCCAACCCAGAGGCAGTGACAGGCATCCCTGAAGCCACGGGATACATTTTCAGCAAATTTAAGCACTTAAGTGAGATGCTTGCTGATATAGATCCTCATATTTGCTCCATCGATTCTAGGGCATTTCAAGGAGGATCCTGCCACAAAGATTCGCTGGTCAAACCTGGTTCTCTTCCTTGCCTTAACCTGTTAAAGGGATGACGTATGAACATACTGTGTGGGGAATGAGTGGTGAATTTGCACCACCTATGGCAGACAATTACACACTTTGCATCCAACATGGTTCCTTTATAACTTATGACTAGGTTTTGCTAATATATTCTTTCCTATAACCCAACACTGGCTTTGAGAAAAAGAAGTCTACGCTAATTTTTGTTTGTTTGTTTTACCTTAAGCATTACCTATTTTCATGATGCAAATACTGTACCTACATCGGTGAAGTAGAGGGGTGCGTGGATATCTTCAGGATAGCCAGTCATTCCGAATAATTCTAGTCCCACCCGAACAGAACACAAAATGAAGTCCTCTTTATCCCCCAGTAAGAATGGCTGAGCATCTTTTCTCATCTTTAATCTAAATTAACTGCTCAATTCACCTGGGCAGCCACAGGCGAAAATCTCAGAAGTTTATCACACTGGTTTAGTTATTATCTCCCTAACTACTAAAAGCCACTTTTAATTTACATACTGAATGCACACACAAGTTATTTTTCCTACAAATGGAATCTCTAATTAGGATCAGCTTCATTCGAAACTGGGCAGCAAATGGGAAAATGAGAGGATTAGAGAACATCATTAATAGCAACTGCAAATAACCTTTTAATCAATTTTGAATATTTCCCTCTGAGGACTCACTCTTCCACTTATGAAACAGAAAATTTTGGCCTGCCATTAACAATAATCTCGACAGCATGCATAACAATAGTAATAATGGGCATTTTAAAAGTCAACCAACATGTGGATAGATATTTTTCATTATGAAATGCTTTCATTTGCATTTTTATCTCCTTTGATCTTACACCTGCCGTGTGTGTGTAGTAAGGTGTTTTTACTTCATTTCACAGACACAGGGCAAAGGGGTTAAGAGTGTGTCAGGTTACTTAGGTTTGGGTCTCAGTTCTACTGTTTATCACCTGTGTGGCCTTGGACAAGTTACTCAGTGTCTCGGAACCTCAGTAAACTTACAAAATGAAGACAAAAATGTCTACCACAGACAGACGGTGTGAAATGCGATCACACTAGTAAAATGCTCCATTAGTGGAGGATGGGTTCAGTGCTCTTCCCAGGGATGAGTAGTTTAATCTGCAGAACCAGGAAGAACCTGGGATCCAGATCTGGGGCTTGCCTGAAGCAAGAATCAATTTCAGAGCAGAATCAAGATTGACATTTCCAACACTTAACCTTTTTCCATTTCTGCTGTCCTATCAGCTACGCGAGCGCTCTTAAAGAATAAAAGGAATATGGAAACTCCTTTGGGACAGGGGTGCAACACAAATATTTTATGATCAATAGAAGAATCTATAAATAATGAATAGAACCCATAGAATCGTGCTGTCAATCCAGAAGCCTGGAAATGATTGTCACAGATTGCTTTTGCAGCTTGGGCACAGCGGAAAGCAGCCTGGCCACTTAGGGGACGAGGCCTAATGCTGAAGTCCAGAGCTGGCCACAAGGTGGCAGGATGTCACCAGCGAGCATGCTCAAGCCCAAACTTCCTGGAGCAATCTCCTTGTTCCCGCCCAGGCTAGGGCACTGATTGACGCCTGAAGCTCAAGATGACAACTTGAAATATTCCAATCAATATCAGCCCGAAATCTAATGCCAAAAATTCCGTAAATGCCATTCTTCTGCCTAATTGCTCAGCTCTTAGACAAGACAGTAAAACAGGCACGTCATCCTCCATGTACAAAAAGAAACTTCAAGGTGACCGTGAACTTATTCCAATATAAATGACTAACTCTTTTTGCATGAATTCCAATTTTCAAATGTACTAAAAAAAGTGAGAAGCTTTGGGTGTCAGAAGCAATCCTCCAGAATTCCTGGAGCTCTCCTATTATAATGTTTTCCTACAAAGATGAATATATCTAGCCAGGCACAGTGGTTCATGCCTATAATCTCAGCACTTTGGGAGGCCAAGACAGGAGGATCACTTGAGCCCAGGAGTTTGAGACCAGCCTGGGCAACACAGTGAGACCTCGTCTCTACAAAAAATAAAAAAAATAGCTGGGCATGGTGGCATGTGCCTATAGTCCTAGTGACTCCGGAGGCTGGTGCAGGAAGATCACTTGAGCCTAGGAGGTTTAGGCTGCAGTGAGCCATGATCTCACCACTGCTCTCCAGCCTGGGTGACACAGTAAGACCCTGTCTTTAAAAAAAAAAAAAAAGACTATATGTTCAAAAAATACTCAAATCTAAATTATTTCTATACAACTCAAATGCCACCAACCATTTTTAAAACCTGAATTTTCCTACCAACCTATTTCTGAGCTACCTTCTCTCTTTTCCTCTCCATAAAAGTGAATGTCTAAAGGATGATACAATAATTTAAATAACAGCCTAACTTTATACAAGGTTTTATATAGACTTGTATTATTTTAGAATCAGACAATAACTGGGAGATTATCTATTTCAATCTTTCATTTTCTTAAGAAAGAAACTGGTGTTGCCAGAGGTTAATAAATTTGCCAAATATGACACAGCAAGTTAGGTCAGAACTGAGACCCAAACTTTGGTCATCTCTCAAGATAGTTTGGACTAACTATGACCATTTATTTAACTGTGCCTGGAAAGTCATGACTTTCCTTTAGCCTGTAGAACAGCAAGCCAATAACAAGGAAGAAAATATCAGTTCAGTATTTTGCTCCATAATTCCAGCAGTTCAACTTGGCTTTGTACTAGAAACAATGATTAGGACAAACACTATCTGAGGAGCATCAAGATGAATACAATAGTAAAGCCCTAAAAATCAAATAAAATCCCTAACAGGTCACAGCCATTCAAACGGGATAGAAGATTGAGGAAAATTCAAGCAGAAGGAAGAAGATGCCTCTCCAGGGATGCTGGAGACCCTGAGCCCTCTCTCACAAGATGTGACTATAAAGTAATGCGACTGATTTTAAAAGAAACACAACCAGAGCTTACACATCTAAGTGAGCCCTGTGTTGCTTGGGGAGCTGCGTTTTTGTGGCAAGGATGCTGCCGCAGCTCAGATATTAACTCTTGTTTGGGAATTGTCTTCAGTGTCTTCTTTAGCACGTTCTTCTAAATGTTGATCACACACACAAATCTTGGTCATGCGAGAGTGGAGTTTTTTCTAGAAAACTTACAGTGTCAACTCTTGGAAAAAGGTGGCGGGTCAAGGTAGATCATCATATTTTGGGATAAATCTGAGTTGCATGTATTAAATAGTAACTGGGTTCATTTTCCCTTGTGGCTTAAACATTGGACGGTGTGCTTCATCTAGAGAAAAAGATTCACCCACATGGAGTCAGTCAAGGAAAAACCTTAAGGAGCATGAACAAATCTTTGTGTTACTGACTTCAAAGAAAGGCCTCTTAATTCTAGTTCTTAATAATTTTATGTCTGTTGATAAGCTACTCTTCTGTCTCTCAACCCACATCTAAGCTCTTCTAAAGGAAAGGTCAATTATTAGATCAAATCATATGAAATTACTGCTATTTGACCATATTTAATGTACAAAAATCATGTCTTTCAAGGTAATCCATTTAACAGCTTTATATCTTAATAGAGGCCAGGTGCGGTGGCTCATGCCTGTAATCCCAGCACTTTGGGAGGCCAAGGCAAGTGGATCACAAGGTCAGGAGTTCGAGACCAGCCTGGCCACCATGGTGAAACCCCATCTCTACTAACAATACAAAAAATTAGCCAGGCATGGTGGCAGGCGCCTGTAATCCCAGCTACTCGGGAGGCTGAGGCAGGAGAATCGCTTGAATCTGGGAGGCGGAGGTTGCAGTGAGCCAAGATCACCCCACTGCACTCCAACCTGGGCAACAAGAGTGAAACTGTCTCAAAAAAAAAAAAAAAAAAAAAAAAAACTTAGTAGAGTGGTAAAAAGCAGTTCAAACGTGTTATCTAACATCACCCTGCTGCTGAGATGGACAATACTGAACATCGATATTGAGATCCTAGAGCATGTGATGTTAAACAGCCTCACAAGAGCCAAACGTCAGTTTTCTCTCTTAATAGTCCTATTTTTTATGCATTTAGGTTTTTCTCACCATCTAATTTAAACTGCACATCTTGAGGGTATAAAATATTCTGCCAAACACACCCACAAACAGCCTTTCACAATCAGGGCTATTCTGTAAAAACCATCCGTCTTACCCCAAGCAATGATGATAATGTGATTACCTACATATTGGAAAGCAGGTCTGCCAATTTGGTCCCTCTAGGTCCTGGGTCTCAGCCAGACAGGCCAGCTGATCTGATTTGTGCCTAAGCGATTTCACTAAGGAACAGAGTGTACCCTCCGCCTTTTCACCTCCCTCCCGCAGGGCAGATGTGACCCGGCCGATCACGGTTGAAGTTACTGTGCAGTGAGCCTTCTTTCCCCCTCTAGTTCTTCTCTTTGCTTTTCATTTCTTCGTTATCCTGCATTTATCATCAAAACGTGATCAGAGAAGCCCCTGGCCAGTTCTGCCCCTTCCCCCCTTGCTACACACCAGGGTGGACATTCATTTGAATATTCAGATTCATCCTCCAGTGTCTCTAATCTGCCTGGGAGAAAGGACTCATTGGTTAGAGCATAGAAATTTCTGGTTATTATTTCAGCATACAAATGTCATTTTATGTTTGGGTGGGTCTGCAAAAACTGTGTGACGTTTATTTGCCTCTTACATGATATTCTTCTCAGTGAAGAAAATACATCACTGATAAAATCTGGCCCCATGGGGTTTACCCGGTCATCAGCAGAGCTATCAAGACCCCGCGTAGAAGAGGCCTGCTCCGTGCTTCCCACCCAGGACTCAGCATCGGCCTGAGCAGAAAACCTGCACCGCCCTCCCAATCCCCTCCCCTACTCTTTTTCAGCAATCACTATCAGTGGGAAGTCACTCTGCACATTCAATTACATTGTGACAAATCTTAAATTGTTCACCTGCGCCTCAAAATGAAAAAAAGTGGGGCTACAACGCTATGGAATTATGGTCTCTGCTGGGGTCTTCCTAGTAAGTCCTAGGCCTGGCAGGAGGTGTTCACACGTCTTTTGTTAGCAGCTGGGCTGACCTCGCCTCAAGGCTCTTTTTCATTATTGCTGCCTGGAAAGGTATTTCCTGTTTTTTGGGTTTTTTTCTTTTAAAAAATATTTTTTTAATGAATCTTTCGTGATCACGAAAGCAATCTCTTTTCAATATCAGAAAATTAGAAAATGTTAACTGGGCCCAGTGGCTCATGCTTACAATCCCAGCACTTTGGGAGGTGAAGGGGGGAGAATCACTTAAGCCCAGGAGTTTGAGATCAGCCTGGGCAATATAGTGAGATCCCATCTCTACAAAAAATTTAAAAATTAGCCAAACATGGTGGCACACATCTGTAGTCCCAGCTACTCAGGAGGATTGCTTGAGCCCGGGAAGTTGAGGCTACAGTAAGACATGATTGCACCACTGCACTCCAGCCTAGGCGACAGAGCGAGACTCTGTCTCAAAAAACAAAGAAAAAATTAGAAAGTGTTGATGAGAAAAAAAGGAAAATCAAACCATCATATTCTTATTCCCCCAAGATTACCACAGTTAACCCCAATGTGCAAATCCTCCCACACTTTCTCTCTGTACATATATATGTATTTTATATATACATATACAGGTATACTCTTATAAGTATATATATATATACATATATAAAATCAGTCATCTTTCCATGTCAATCAATTTTCTTCTTATTTAATGCCTTTCCAATTTTCTCCATTGTCCCCAAAACATCTGTTATTTTAGGAGTTTAGCTAAACCACATCCAATCCAGGACCACACGCTGTATCTGGTTGTAATGTTTTTAAAATCTCTTTAAATCTAGAACACTCGTCTCTTACTGCTCATCACTGATTGAAGAGTCTAGGCCAGTTGTCTAGTTAAAGACCCAGCCTCTGGAATTATTTGCCTTGTTGCTTCCTTAGATGTTCAGTTTTTTTGGGGGTGGGGGGTGTTGTTTGTTTTGTTTTGTTTTGAGACAAGTTTTCTGTTTGGTTTGTTTTGTTTCTTGCTCTGTCACCCAGGCTGGAGTGCAGTGGTGCAGTCTCGGCTCACTGCAACCTCCACCTCCCAAACTCAAATGATCTTCCCACCCCAGCCTCCTAAGTAGCTGGGACCACAGGCTGGAGCTACCACACCCAGGTCCTCAGTTATTAAGCTTGTTCTTCCATCTCTATATTCCCTGTGAACTGGAAATCAGATCCAAGGGATTAGATTCCAACATTTCTAGGCTAGAATCCATCCGGAAAGCTGTGGAATGCTTTACACTGTCCCACATCAGCAGACACTTCACACTCAGTTGCTCACCATTAGTAACGCTCCCATTGCCCACTGGGTAGGGAGATGATAGTCTAATCTATCTATCCAGGAAGTATCCTTTGGGGTGTTACTTTGGCAAATTATTTTCCAGACTTTAAACCTTTGTAGCCAGTATCCTGATCCAAAAACCATACCATAAGTAACTAGTAAAGAACAGACAGGACCAGTTTGAGATCAAAGCCAGGGAGGAGTAAGTGGGGAAGAGTGAAGGTACGAATTTGCTTAGTGTTCACAGCTGGAAGGAAGACTCACTGTTACAGTTTTCACGGTGCCCTCTACCTTCCAAAGTAATTGATAGACATTACGGAAGCTTGGTGTACATCACAAGCCCCGAGGACTCGAGGGAGACTGAGCAACTGGGAAAGTCAGCACCGGGTGTTGTGTCATTTTTTTTTTCCTGAAAAGCTCTTCTCGGGAGGTCCTCAGGGATTCTGATTTCTCTTTTAACACTCATTAGTCAAGGTGATAATGCCAGGCTCACACATATAAGTTCTCCAGAAATAAGAACTGCCTGTAATCTTCCTCAGAGGAGCCTGATCTAAGTATCTACTTGAGCTACAATCCCATAGGGTTGGATATTGTCACAGCAACGAAACACCAGCAGGGACCTTGATCCCATCTCCCCACCTACCTACTTTAATCTCTGTCTCGGTCCTGGGGAACAACAATTCTGTGATAAGGACGTCATGCAGGTGAAGTTGTTTAATAGAGCTATGGTTGCTGAGTTCAGTGCTAGATAGGGGACCCCAGATGGGGCTCTCTCAGGTACACATCCCATCAGGCACCCACTGTCACTGTGATTTGGTGGTCTTGTTAGCCATGCACAGTATAGGTTGTGCTGTTTGCTTTTTTGAGGTAAGAGGGGCACCGTATTTCAGACAGCAGGAAAAAACCTGAATTTGTCAATCCTATACATACAACTGCATTTATACTCAGGAGAAATATACCTCTGAAGAGGTTTGCCTCTGTGCCTTTAAGCAAGACATTCGCAGAATAAATCAGAGCTGAGGTGGCTCTGTCTGAGACTGTCAGGATGGCCCAATTTCCAGAATAATAACAGAGATGTGCTTGGATAAGGCAAATTGGCTCAGGACATGAGAGGCAGAGAAAATACATAACACAGCCCTTGGCTAAGCGGAAACTCAATAACTACCGTCTGAATGATGCAGCCAGGTAAATCTCCTAATGGACACCAAGTTGAAAATTAAAAGGAAAAAGAAGAGCACAGTGTTTAGAAAAATGGGTCCTACAGGCTCTTCTCCCTGCTGCTTCGATGCTAGGAAGGTTCTTCTAGACTGCTTTTAGTACAAGAAGCTTGTACAACCAGTTCGGCTGGAAGTGTGCCTGCCACCCTGCCACGGCCCTCATTAGATGACTCTGACCTGTTGAAAAGCTGAAAATAGAACATTGAGCCATTTTCTCTGCAGCTCAACTGTTATAATTGTCTGTCTTTCTAAATATTAGCAGTACCCTAGTTATACCGTCATTTTAAAAATACTTGTCCATTTTTACCTTTTCTTAACACCACTGACCACCACACTACTTTTCTTCAGGGAAAGGTTTTTTATGTAAAGAGAGGAGTGACTTTCATTTTATTTCCTTTCTCCCTAGACAGCTAGAGATATTACTTTAAAAACAAATTCTTGAGGGCTTTTATCCTTGGTTTAAATCACCTGGAAAAATCAGTAGGGAAGAATAGAGTATTTCCTTAGTTACCAATTGGCTGTAGTAACTAAAGCCTGCAAAAATCCATCTCACACTTCCTATTAAAATTTTATAAGCATTAAAAATATTCACTTGGATGCTGTATGGTGTTTTTTCTTTTGCGACCAAGCTGAATTTTTTTCACTCTGACTTCTATAGCCTGGCTGATTTTTCTTATTTACTTACTTAAAATTTTTTTAAATTAATAAGTGAACTCCTGGCAGGGAACAGGGCTCACAACTGTAATCCCAGGGCTTTGAGAGGCTGTGGCAGGAAGATAGCTTGACACCAGGAATTTGAGACCAGCTTGGGCAACATAGTGAGATCCCATCACTAAAAAAAAAACTTTTTTTAATTAGCCAGGTGTGGTAGTATGTGCCTGTAGTCCTAATTACTCAGGAGGCTAAGGCAGGAGAATCGCTTGAGACCAGAAATTCAAGGCTGCAGTAAGCTACGATCACACCACTGCACTCCAGCCTGGGTGACAGAGAGAGACCCTGTCTCCAAAAAAAAAAAATAATAATAAATAAATAAATAAATAAATAAGCGAGCTCCCAGTTCTGTTCAATAAACCAATGGCCTTTGAATTTTCCAATAGGAGTCTCTTCCGAATCTGGAACCAAGCCTTGGCAACACAGAGTGTTGGATGGACAACACACATAATAAACTGTTTACCCTGAAATGCATGTTTCAAAGGCTTCTCTGCATTAGATGACAGACTTCCTACAAATCATAACTAATATTCATGTCAACTTCCCTTTTCCAGCTTTAAAGCTGATACAAATGCCCTCTCTGGTATCTGTGGACTAACATTTCCCTAGCCCCTAGTTCTCACTTTCTATGTGCTTAGCTTAAAGGGCCTGACTCCAACTGGACTGAATATTTTTTTGCAAATCTATGGGCTTTTGAACATCGGACTTTTCAGGAATCTTATTTAAAGCACAAATTTCCAGGCCTCACCTTCCACAGACTCTGATCTGGTAAATCTTAGTAGGATCCATGAGTCTGCATTTTCAACAAGCTTCTGTCCCCACCCCAAGTAAATGGTCCTTGGAATGCACTTTGACCAACATTTCTCCAAGAATGTCAATCTCCAAAGCTTTTGATTAATGCTGTTTTCATTCATTTAGTCAACAAATGGTGGCTAGGTACCCACTATGTGCAGGATGCCACTTGAGGGACAGATAAATTTCATATGGGCCCTGCCCTCAAGAAACTTACAATCTAATGGGAGAAATGAGACGTGAACATCAATAACTAACCAAAGGAGTAAGAGGTGGTCCTGAGAGAGACAGATAAAATATTATAAGAGTTCAGAGGAGAAAGAGGTAACATTGAGATAGAAGGGATAAGGCATGGTTTTATGGAGAGATGAGGTATGCATTAAACCTGAAAGTACAAAGTATTTGGGCACATGGAGGTAGAAAAGCAGAGTCACTGTCAAACATAGCAGGCGCGAGCAAAGCCACAACGTGGGGGAGGATGAGGCTGTGTAGGGAAGAGGGAGGCATTTAACTTGCTTGGAGCACAGGGTGCAGGCAGGGGCAGAGAAGCAAAGGAGCTTATAAAAGAGAGTTGTAGCCAAATCCTGGAGGGCTTTGAATGCCAAGTCACAGAGTAGGGTCACGAGTAAGAGCTTTAGGTATACCCGGAAAACGGGTGACTGTGAGCCGAGTTGCAAGTAGCCACAAGCTGCACTAAGCAGGTAGCAATGTGGCAGCTGTGGGCATTCTTCCTAGACGGAGGGAAAAAAATCTACTGAGCTCTTCTCTGTAAGAATCCCTCAACCCTACAGTCCAGCCAGAGCATCATTCATTATTTCTCAAAATATGATGTCCAATGTAAGCTCACACCTTGCCTTGTAGTAACCCATTAATGTTAGAAAAGGGCTAGCGCTTTTACCTGTGGGTTTAACCATCACAAAGCCTATAAGTGCTCCTTGAGAAGAAAGGATGAGAACAAAATGCAAGGTGAGAGTGCTCCATGCTCTCACACTTTTCTCCTCTCGAGAACACTACTACTTCTCCACACATGCTCCAACACACACATACACACACACAGCCAAAACTTAGGGGAGATGGCTGGCTGAAAATAAGGGCACAGTGGTATTAAGACTAGACCTTCCCTGGTCAAATTTTCCATACCCTGTTTAATGAGTAAGTTTTATTTACAGTTGGCCCAACGTAGCCCAGGTTCTTTATTTGTAGATTCAGCCAGCCTTGGATCAAAAATATCCAAGAAAAATAAAAATAAAAACAGCAATACAACAACAAAAATTATTACAAATAATAAACAATACAGTCTAACAACTATTTATATAGGATTTACATCGTATTAGGTATTATAAGTAATCTAGAGATGATCTGAAGCTTATGAAAATATGTGCATAGATTATATGCAAATACTATGCCATTTTATATCAGAGACTTGAACTTCTAAGGATTTTTGTATCCTCAGAGGTCCTGGAACTAATACCCCATGGATACAGAGTGTATTACAGCACTATGTATGACTCTTTGTAGACTTTAAGGGTTTTACAACTTCCCCGATATCTACCCAGGAAAAAAACAGACCATAAATACTAAACATCTCATTCTTTCTGCAGTCGTAATAGTTCTATCGCCAGCACTTCGCCACCACCACCCCTAGATCGAGGTCCCCAGCTCAGGAGCTGACTGACCATCTGCATTTCAAACAATCACATGAAAATCCATAATTAGGAGGCTAATGCCTTTGCATGCATTTCAGAATCACCAACAGCATAGATTACATGAGCAAATTGCGTCAATAAATTCAGCTGCCACCCTATTTTTCACCCGAGTCTTATCAGAAATACAAAACAACATGTGCCAGAGATAAATGAATTACAGTCAGAAGCAGGGACCCAAGAAAAGCAGGGGGACAGTGGGATTATTTGCCCAGGTGAAGGGTCATTTATCCAAGAAATCTAATCAGAGGCAAATAGCATATACTTTTTCAGGGAAGGGGGAGGGCAGGAGGGTTTGTTTCTGCTTGCTTTGTGACAGCAGCAAAACCTCTAGCAAGTGCAATATGTCTCCTGTGACCTTTTTGCACATCTAATATTCTCAGCAGCCATTATATGAGGAGTTAGGAATCCAGTGCCCACTACTCTCCTCTGGGTTTCCTCCCTACAGAGAGAATAGGCCAACAAATGAAACAGATGTCTTAGCTGCCTACCCTGCAGCCATGCTGGCCCATTCCTTGTGTGACCTGATCATTGTGGATCTTGCTTTAGGAGAGGACAGGAGGAGCGATCTGAATGCTTGTCACCTTGGATGAAATGTGAGTCTCATCACAGACATATCCTTGACTCAGTCCTCTTCACAACAAGCTCTGTCTGCCAGAGTTGCAGCTGCTCTGTGCGTCCTCCCCACAACCTAATGCAGAGCCACAGGACATGCAACACCCCTGAAAATCTGACCCAAGTAAGATACAACAAAGGTGTTTCTTGCTCTGCCTCGGTGGAACACAATGGTTTTGTCATTCCTCTTTCAGTCTCATTCACACACTGTCCCCACAGTGGTGCTGCCATCCTGGGGTGACTCCAATGCAGGTACAAGCAATGGCAGATCAAAAGGTAATATTGTCTCCCTACAAACCAACTCCTTGGAGACCCAGAGGCAGCCACAGGTCAAGGAAATAGCTCGTGGCTTAAGCTGAGAGATCCAGGCACAGTGATAAGGGATCTTTAGCAGGAGACCAATTTGCAAGCTGGTTTTTGCTGAGGAGACAACTAGCACCTGCAAAAACTGTCCCTTGTCTCCTGGGGTATCTGAGATGTCGGCCAAGGCTTCCTCCCACAGGCATAGCATAAGTGCTCATGGAAATAACCCCACACACATACACACATACATATGTGGGCATATATACACACACAGACTCACACAGAGACAAACTGCTACTGGATGGAATCAGGGCTACTCTAGAGTGATGCTCTGGAGGGATACCTTGAGCTGGGACCTCGGATTTCAGAATCCAGGGAAAAGGCTCTAGAACTGTGCTGTTCAGTATGGTAGCCACTAGTCACATGTGGCCACTAAGTGCCTGACATGTTGGCTAGCCTGAGTTGAGATCTGAGATCTGCTTTAAGTCTTAGCATGAAATAATGTAAAATATCTTGTTAATAATTTTTATATGATCAAATGTTGAAATGACAATATGTTAGATTGTATGTTTCCTATTGCTAGTGTAAATTCGTGGCTTTAAACAACTTTTAAAACATGTAAAATATATTTAAACAAATGTATTATCGTACAGTCCTGGAGGCCAAAAGTCTGAAATGGATCTCACTAAATTATAATCAAAACATCAACAGGGCTGCATTCCTTCTGGAGGCTCTGGGGAGAATCTGCTTTCTTGCTTTTTGCAGCTTCTAGAGGCCACCTGAATTCCTGGGCTCATGGTCCCCCGCTTCCTCCGTCTTCAAAGCCAGCAACATCCCATCTGTCTGACCCATTCTTCTGAAATCAAACCTCCTTCTAACAACAGCCAGTAAAGGTTATCTGCTTTTAAGGACTCATGTGATCATATCAGGCCCAGATAATTCAGAATTATCTCCCATCTCAATGTCTTTAACTTAGCCGCATCTGCAAAGTCCCTTTTGCCACATAAGATAACATATTCATGGCTGGCAGGGACTAGGACGTGGACATGTTTGGGGGTCATTATTCTGCATACCACATGGATATATTGGGTTAAATGCCATATGTTATTAAGATTATGTTCACCAGTTTCTTTTTCTCTTTTAAAGGGTCTCCTAGAAATTTTTAAAATTACATGTGTCTTACATTACATTTCTACTGGGCAGTGCTAGCCTAGAGTCTTTCTGATCACTGAAATTCACTACATGGACCATTTTAGGGTGCCCAGACCCTCTCTGGAGAACAAGGGCACCACCCTAAGGTGAACTCCACTCCCAGAACACAGCCACATGGCATATACTCAGGGCTGTGCGAGTCTCCTATGCCAGTTTGCCATGGAATTATCACTAGTGTCCCTGCTTACTCTCAAAATGTCCAGTTTGGATA
Source organism: Homo sapiens (assembly GCF_000001405.40). Taxonomy (NCBI): domain Eukaryota; kingdom Metazoa; phylum Chordata; class Mammalia; order Primates; family Hominidae; genus Homo; species Homo sapiens. The sequence goes on along the minus strand of NC_000009.12, from coordinate 84,249,735 downwards.
ATACATTAAATGATCACTGTACTCTTGTGTTATATTTGAAAATGGAGCTGCTCAATCATCCATCAAGGGGAGCTTTGAATCAATTTTCTAGGGGTGGTGATGGGTTTGCATTGATCTCCACTCCCCACCCCCCTGGCCTTCCCCAGGCCTCCTTGTATGTAAGGGCTCCATCAGCTTGCTGACAGGTACGCCCACATCCACAGGCCATGAGCAAACTGATTGGATGCCAGCTAATTCACTTCTTTTTTTTTTTTTTCTTTTTTCTGAGATGGAGTCTCACTCTGTGGCCCAGGCTGGAGTGCAGTGGTGCAATCTCTGCTCACTGAAACCTCCATCACCCAGGTTCAAGCAATTCTCCTGCCTCAGCCTCCTGACTAGCTGGGGTTACAGGCACGCACCATCACTCCCAGCTAATTTTTTCGTATTTTTAGTAGAGGCGGGGTTTTGCCACGTTGGCCAGGCTGGTCTCAAACTCCTGACCTCAAATGATCCACCCACCTCGGCCTCCCAAAGTGCTGGGATTACAGGCATGAGCCACCACGCCTGGCCTGCTTCTGAGTTTTTAATGACATTTTGTTGTCATTTTATAATTACAAAAATAACACACTAATTATAAAAATAAAATAAAATATTACAATAATCTATAATGTAGAATATTTTAAAGTCTCTTATCATTTTCCACACATACCCTGGTAGATAACCACTATTCACAGTTCTCCAAATGACAGGATTGGTTGAAAAGTCTCAGTTCAGTGACGAACAAGCGTGAAGCTCGTTTTCTGCTCTTGGACAAACTCTCCAATCCCATTCATACCAAGAAGACTGCATTTAGCCCAATCAGTTTACACGCCATCATCCAGTAATAAATAAATAAATAAATATATATATATTTAATACTTTAAGTTCTAGGGTACATGTGCACAACGTGCAGGCTTGTTACATAGGTACACATGTGCCATGTTGGTTTGCTGCACCCATCAACTCGTCATTTACATGGGGTATTTCTCCTAATGCTATCCCTCCCCCAGCTCCCCACCTACTGACAGGCCCCGGTGTGTGATGTTCCCTGCCCTGCGTCCATGTATTCTCATTGTTCAGTTCCCACCTACGAGTGAGAACATGCGGTGTTTGGTTTTCTGCCCTTGTGATAGTTTACTGAGAATGATGGTTTCCAGCTTCATCCATGTCCCTGCAAAGGACATGAACTCATCCTTTTTATGGCTGCATAGTATTCCATGGTGCACATGTGCCACATTTTCTTAATCCAGTCTATCATTGATGGACATTTGGGTTGGTTCCAAGTCTTTGCTATTATGAATAGTGCCGCAATAAACATACATGTGCATGTGTCTTTATAGCAGCATGATTTATAATCCTTTGGGTATATACCCAGTAATGGGATCGCTGGGTCAAATGGTATTTCCAGCTCTAGATCCTTGAGGAATCGCCACACTGTCTTCCACAATGGTTGAACTAATGTACACTCCCACCAACAGTGTAAAATTGTTCCTATTTCTCCACATCGTCTCCAGCATCTGTTGTTTCCTGACTTTTTAATGATCGTCATTCTCATTGTATGAGATGGTATCTCACTGTGGTTTTGATTTGCATTTCTCTGATGACCAGTGATGATGAGCATTTTTTCATGTGTCTGTTGGCTGCATAAATGTCTTCTTTTGAGAAGTGTCTGTTCATATTCTTTGCCCACTTTTTGATAGGGTTGTTTGTTTTTTTCTTCTAAATTTGTTTAAGCTCTTTGTAGATTCTGTATATTATCCCTTTGTCAGATCAGTAGATTGCAAAATTTTTCTCCCATTCTGTAGGTTGCCTGTTCATTCTGATGATAGTTTCTTTTGCTGTGCAGAAGCTCTTTAGTTTAATTAGATCCCATTTGTCAATGTTGGCTTTTGTTGCCATTGCTTTTGGTGTTTTAGTCATGAAGTCTTTGCCCATGCCTATGTCCTGAATGGTACTGCCTAGGTTTTCTTCTAGGGTTTTTATGGTTTTAGGTCTTACATTTAAATCTTTAATCCATCTTGGGTTAATTTTTGTATAAGGTGTGAGGAAAAGATCCAGTTTCACCTTTCTACATATGGCTAGCCAGTTTTCCCAGCACCATTTATTAAATAGGGAATCCTTTCCCCATTTCTCGGTTTTTGTCAGGTTTGTCAAAGATCAGATGGTTGTAGATGTGTGGTATTATTTCTGAGGGCTCTGCTCTGGTCCATTGGTCTATATCTCTGTTTTGGTACCAGTACCATGCTGTTTTGGTTACTGTAGCCTTGTAGTACAGTTTGAAGTCAGGTAGCATGATGCCTCCAGCTTTGCTATTTTTGCTTAGGATTGTCTTGGCTATGCGGGCTCTTTTTTGGTTCCATATGAACTTTAGTTTTTTCCAATTCTGTGAAGAAAGTCATTGGTAGCCTGATGGGGATGGCACTGAACCTTGGGCAGTATGGCCATTTTCACGATTTTGATTCTTCCTATCCATGAGCATGGAATGTTCTTCCATTTGTTTGTGTCCTCTTTTATTTCATTGAGTAGTGGTTTGTAGTTCTCCTTGAAGAGGTCCTTCACATCCCTTGTAAGTTGGATTCCTAGGTATTTTATTCTCTTTGTAGCAATTGTGAATGGGAGTTCACTCATGATTTGGCTCTCTGTTTGTCTGTTATTGGTGTATAGGAATGCTTGTGATTTTTGCACATTGATTTTGTATCCTGAGACTTTGCTGAAGTTGCTTCTCAGCTTAAGGAGATTTGGGGCTGAGACGATGGGGTTTTCTAAATATACAATCATGTCATCTGCAAACAGGGACAATTTGTCTTCCTCTTTTCCTAATTGAATACCCTTTATTTCTTTCTCTTGCCTGATTGCCCTGGCCAGAACTTCCAACACTATGTTGAATAGGAGTGGTGAGAGAAAGCATCCTTGTCTTGTGCCGATTTTCAAAGGGAATGCTTCCAGTTTTTGCCCATTCAGTATCTGAGCCCATTCCAGTTTCAACTTAAGCTTTTTGTCTCTAGTTAACACTCAGTGAAATTCAGGAAGTATAACTATTAGTGGTCAGTTCAAGCAAAGTCTCAGTCCAGGGTTCATGCCCCATCCAGGAGAAGTTTTTTGAAGATGCTTGAGATACAGAAGGGAGAGTGGGGCCTGCTCTCTCATTCCTCTTCTCTTTGTTCCAGCACTACTTCTGGATTCTGAGTCCAGAGTGCTCACCATTACACCATGGAACCTCACACTATGTTCCAACACTGCTTCCATGGTGTGTATTCCAGTGCTTTTATGTGTGTATATATGCATGTGTATGCATGTGTGCATGTGTGTGCATGTGTGCATGAATGTATGTGTGTGCCTGTGTGCACATGTGCATTATGAGGGCACAGTTTCCTTTCTGCTGACCATCACTACCTCTCTGTGCAGATGCAATCATTGAAAGCTGGTGCTGTCTATTGGGCTGTTTGTCCTATAACAAGGATTTCTGCCCAGCATGTTCTTAGTTAGGCAACATGAGCTACCAAGCAATGGTCACTCATCGGGCACAGGGCATGGCAGCATTGCTTCTCCTCTCCTCTCTGCACCCCCCAGTGTTAGGCACTGTACCCCTTCAGGACTGTATGCCTTCCCACTTGACTGCAGAGGTTCCCCCTCACCCAGTGTCTTCATCTTCTGCGCTGGAATGTTCCACCTGCTCTGCTGTGTTTCCCTGGCCTCAGCTCACCAGCATCTCCAACCCACAGTTATTCAAGGGGCTTCATTTCTTGAGCCATCAGCAACTCCAGGAACAATCTGGGCCCATGTCCTGGGTTCCAGGGTGTGACAGTTAATTATATATGTCAATATGACTGGGCCATAAGGTGCCCAGATATTTGGACAAACATTATTCTGGGTGTTTTGTGAGGGTGTGTTTGGATAAGGTTCATATTTAATTTTTATTTTATTTTATATTTTTTGGTAGAGAGAGGGTCTCACTATGTTGCCCAGGATGGTCTCAAACTCCTGACCTCAAGAGATCCCTCACTTCAGCCTCCCAAAGTGCTGGGATTACAGATGTGATCCACTGCACCCAGCCAAGGTTAACATTTAAATCAGTAGACCAAGTAAAGCAGATTGCCCTCCATGACATGGGTGGGCCTCGTTCAATCAGCCGAAGGCCTGAATAGGTCCTTCCTGGAGTAAAAGATAACCCTTTCTGCCTGATGGCTTTGAACTGGGACATTGGCCTTTTTCCTGCCTTGGACTCAAACTGAAACGTGAGATTTCCTGGGTCTTGAGCTTGCCAGTCTTCAGACTACACCTAAGCCATCAGTTCTTCGGGGTCTCCAGCCTGTCGACTCACTTTACAGATCTTAGGACTTGCCAGCCTCCATCATCACGTGAGCCAATTCCGTATGATAAATTTCTTGTATGCATATTCACAACCTATTAATTCTGTTTTCTCTGGAAAACACTAACACTCAGGGTTACCCTTAAGCCTCAGGAGCAATTTCAGCAACCCCTCTTTTGAGGGGTAATGTGTCAACTATCTCCCCTCCCCTGGAGGGCTAGAGGAGGAATATTACTACCCCAGGAATCCTGCGGCCTCTGCCTGCTCCCCTCTCAAGCTGTCTTTGTAAATGGAGGGAGTGGTGACATAAGTTCTTCTGGAACCCATCTCAGAAAGCCTGCATGGCCACTCCATGCTGAGCTCCCTCTGCTGTCAGCTGAAGTTGACTCCCTGGTAATCAGGGTAAACCCAGAAGAAACAGAAAAGGTTCTCCCCAAGCATTCACACTCTCCTATGTTTACCGAACATATTTTGCTTTTCTACAAGCTTCCTTCTGGGGACAAATTCTCTTAAGTCTTTGCATTTAGAGTAATTATACACCATTACTTCCACTGTTAACTAAAAATTGCATATGATTCTCCATATTTGTGTAATTGTGACTTAAGGCAAAAAAACTTTAAAAAAAAAAAAGAGTAGTAAAGGAAGAAACAAAACTAGGCAAATCTTGCACAGATTATTCCCATCATAGACAAGCAAGCTATAAATTGTTCAAGGGGAAAGTGATGCCCAGACCACTAGAAGGCTGCCTTTAGCAGCACTCACTTGCTGGCAAGACCAAAACAAAAAAATAAAATTCCTGAGAAATATCAGAAGATGGAGTCAAAAAAATTGCCCAGAGAATATTAAAACAAAACAAAACAAAAAGATGGACTAGAAGAGGGAAGGATAAGTCTTCCAGGAAATCAACCCAAGAAGTCAAAAATTCAATGAATAAAAGTTCTAAGAAGAGAATAGAAAAAGTAGAGGGAATGAAATTATGAATAATCATGCCGATAACAGTAATACATTTCCAACTGAAAATTCTCAGCATAATGAATGAAAAATAAAAGAGTCACGAAAATGCAATTTCAAAACCAAACCTTAAGATTCTCGAAGCTTCCAGAGAAAAATAACAACTCATGTGCAAAGAATTGCCCATCAGAATAACATCAGCTTGAAGATGGAAGATGGAGCAATGCCTTCCAAATTCTAAGTGAAAATCATCCTCGGCCTAGAATGCTATTCATACAAATGATCAATCAAGGAAAATGGAAGAAACGATATTATTAGATATGTTCTCAAAACTTACTTTCCCTGCACCCCTTTTGAGGAAGCTAATGGCAGATGCAGCCTAACAAAACAATGGCTGGTCCATAGAGAGCATCTTCTGCACCAGGCACTATTCGAAGTACTTTATGTGTATTAATTGGTTTACTCCTTGCCATACCCCTAGGAGGTGAGTACTCCTATCATCTCCATTTTACAAAGAGGGAACTGGGCACAGAGAAATTAGGTGATTTGCTCATAAATCTCACAGCTAATAGTGGTAGAGAAAGAGGGAATTAAGCTAAGAATGAAGACATGGGACGTAGGAGAAAAAGATTCTACCAGGAAAATGCACAGCAAAATCACAGGATGATGCAGAGTGTAGCTCAAGATGCCCACTGAGTACTCGTCATCCAGTTTGGAGCTGAATGATGAAGACTGGGAGAGAAGTCCGATACAAGGAGGAACTGATTGATATTTAATAAATTTTCTGATATAGCTGGCTTTTGGAAAATGAAATTGAGCAATGTGAGACAGATCTGGTGGGATATAACCATAGAAAACTCTACAGCTCTACAGCTCCGACATAATAATGTCAATGCCAATATTGGATTTTGTAAAAAATATTTGGATACAAATAAAATAGGAAGAAGGGAGAAAGCATGTGGGATGAGGGGCAGAAGGAAGACACCGTGTAAGAAAGCTAAATCCTTCTTAGGATTTAGAGACAAACAGGGAGGGAATAGAAAACATCTAAAATCGATAAATCAAGAAATGACAGTATATGCATGTTCTTCAGTTAAATGACAGAAAATAGTGGAATAAACAGTTAAAGATTCTTTAAGGTGTTTGTCTTTGGGAAGTGGGACACAAGAGTGGAAAGGGATGGGAAATTTTACCTAGTTTTTAAAAATTTACATTATGAATCAAATTTTATTTTTTTTCAATTATATACAGAGAAAAAGATGACCCAAAAGAAGCAGGGAAAAAGACTACCAATCTCAAATCAGTGGGGTAAGACCTATTCTGGATTTCCAGAATTCAGATATGTTAATGACTTTTAAAAGATGTTTACGTAAAAATCTAGTGAGACATTAAAAGGCTTAAAACATATATAGTCATTAAAAACATTTTACTTAGAATAAGCATATCCTGCAAATTAATTGACCAACTATATGCACATGGTCTACGGAGTTAGCATTTAGGTTACATGAGGCATGTTAGTTCTAAATTTTTCTTTTAGACCTTTTTTTATTTTTCAAAATTTTCTTCCATTAAAATGGATAGCTTTCTAATGAGACAAAAAGTTTAAGGGAGCTTTTTGTTAGGCCTTCGATAATGTATTTGTGTTTTAAAACTAGGTTCAGACACTATTGTGATAGAAACAAAAATTTAATTAAAAAGGAAAGAGTTGAGAACAATTAATATTTAAAAAGAATGGAAAGGAAAAATGTCCCTGTATCATACTAGAATATTTTGATTTTTCTAAGTGACTCAAACCCAACATAACACATACCAAAAGAACTGATTTCACATGCTTTATGGTTCCACATGTTGCCTCAAATCGAGAGGCCGCAGGCTGAGGACTGGAACTCCTGTTACCTAGAGACTGTTCAGCGGGATGGTATATGTGGTATATGTGGTAGCAGAAAATGGAAAGAAACACTGGGCTGCCCTTACCCCGTGTACAATTTCAAGAAGCAAGAGAGAGAGAAGAGAGTGAAGGGAGGGCAGCGCTCCCTCCCTTCGGAGCTGTTCCCTATGCACAGACAGTGAGCCTAAGAAAAGCAACCAAGAGGCCCCACAAATGCATCATTCCACTTTTTGGTCCCGCTGCATGGCTGTTCTGCAGAGGACTGCAGGGAGTTTCATGTCAGAAGGTGACTTGATTGAACCCTCTTTCCTCACTTGTAATTTACTTAAATGCCAAAAATCTTAAAGCAGGCTGTCAACAGCTCCATGTAACATTTAAAGCACATGACCTCACTTGTGTCTCTGACTCTCCTTAAGTACTTTAAAAACACATTATCATCTCATCTCATTTTACAGCCGAGTCTTAAAGAAATGCCATTTCTTGAAATGAAATGTTACATGAATCACAGCTGCAAAGTGCTGTGATGGGGCCGGCCTGATTGCCTGACATCCCACAGAACACACAAAGGCAAGAAATATTCTGCTCTCAAAACAAAGGGAAGACATGTCTGTCTGTCACAGAATTCCCGGCATCATGGAGTACCCTGAAAGGGACACAGACATTTCTGCTCAAAAGTAGAATGCAGATTTCTGAGTCGTCCTGGTATGTTCCCCAAATCACCACACAGCTACTGGGTCCAAGTTTGGGGAAGACTTTGACAACGCTCCTGGGAGCTGGGTTGTCTTTCAAGACCATGAGACTGCCTGCAATGGAGGCATGTGGCTTCAAATTGCCCCTATAAAGTCTGGTCCAACAGTCAAGAGCACTGACCTTAAGGTACCTTGGGTTAAGAGTCTGAAAAAATGGCAGAATTGAGCCTGAAGCTGATCCTCTAGTATCTTTAGGCAGAAACTTTCACAGGGGATCTTGGTCTTCAGTGATAACCCATAGCAACACAGGACAAGGGCAGGCTCTGAGGAACCCCCCAAAGCACTGGAAACCAAGCAGTGCCAGCCGCCATGGCATAAAACCACACCAGATGTCTTATGCTATAAGCCATCATAACAGGCCCCAGAATAGCCTGGTGATTCCCAGGCTTGTACCCAGCTCCTGAACTTGTCTTCCAAAGCCACCATATTCTGACATTGATAAAATGTCAGATATCTGATATTGATTAAAACCTTCCCCTGAGTCTTACCTGTGTCCTGGATCAAATTCAAATGTCTTGCCAAGGGCTTTCCTCTCCCCCAACACTGCCTCTATCCCTACCGCCCATTATGCCCCACCAGCTGTCCAAAGCTGCAGCCTGGTTGACTCTCCACAACTCACATCCTCCACCATCTCTGAGCTTGCTTTCCCAGGCCGTAGTCTTCCAAACTACACAGTAGCTTCCATAGCCTCCTTGAGTAGGTTGCAAGTACTCACCTGTCCACTGAGTCCCTGTGTTCCATGGCATTAGAGGCATTAAATGGTGTCACAGGTCATGTCTTGATTGTCTAATTCTAATGCAATCCCTCTCAGGCACCTGTTCTCCTGAGTTGGTGGAACATTCAATGTCTGTCCCTTCTCCAACCTCACTTTCCTTCTCTCTGATCATCAGGGGTCTACAGGTTCCAGAGGTGGGTGGGGAACTCTCAGCATCTGGCTTCTCTGCTACCCTTGCTCCTTGCAGAGGGCTGGGGGATCCACTGTTGTTCTGTCACCGGTGGGCCCCATAACCAGCTTCCTGAGGCCTGTGAAGCCCCGCCCCAGGCTCCCAGGCCACTCCAAAACATTCTCTGTCACCCCAGGTCGGTCCTGACACCTGAAGGGCCAGGCTCAGTATTCCTAGGTTCTTTCCACTCACACCTGAACCCTGGTCCTCTGCAGGCTCTAAATTCCACCTCCACCCTGGGGCCAGCCTGCTTTCCCAACCCTGGAAATTCAAAACCTTCATTCACTTGCCTTTTCTTTAATAAAAGGGCTTAATTGCCAGTGAACAACCATTTGATGGTCCCAAGGGACCAGACCCTAGACCCTAGAATAGGAAAGAGTTGTTTATATCTCTTAATGGAGGAAGGAGAACAGAGAGTTAAGTTTGTTTAAATGCACCGTAAGTACAATGGGGCAATCTCGGCTCACTGCAACCTCCGCCTCCCAGGTTCCAGCGATTCTCTTGCCTCAGCCTCCCAAGTAGGTGGGATTACAGGCGCCTGCCACCAGGCCCAGCTAGTATTTTCGTATTCTAATAGAGATGGGGTTTCACCATGGTGGCCAGGCTGGTCTCAAACTCCTGATCTCAGGTGATCCGTCTGCCTTGGCCTCTCAAAGTGCTGGGATTACAGGCTTGAGCCACCATGCCCAGCCCATAAGTGCAATTTTTAGATAGCACTTCCATAAAACAGAATTCTTTTGTAATGCATGTATTTATTTGTCAAACATTTATGGAGCCTGCGATGAGCACAGCAAAATGCCAGATGATAGGAATACAGACAAGAGAGACACAGAACCTACCCTCAAGATAGGTCTTGGAAGTATCTGGAAAGCAGCCATAAAAGAGATTTCTCCCACCCACCATGATGAAAACCTGTTTATTATCATTTAAAACCACTTATTACTTGTCTGTATGCAGATAGCATATACTTCCATGTCTTAAATTACCTGTTGGTTACTTTACTTTTAAAAGAGAGGATCGTAAGTAGAATATCTTTAGGGAAAAGCCCATTAGTACCCAACACCAATAATCACATGAGTTTTCACAAGCCTGTGGTTGTACAACTTAAAAATCCTTCACTCACATCATTTGATCCCTCTTGTAGAATTACAAGCCTGCAAGTCCCATGATTACATTTTATGAAGAAAGCAAGCCAAGCCCAAAGAAGTTAATTAATTTCCACGGAAGGGGCTAATCCACAGGGAAAAGGCCCAGGTCTCTCACCAGTGAATCATTTATATCCATAAGCAGCTGCTCACCCTCAATTCAAAACTGTGTTCCTTACTGGAAGCTAACAGGAAGCTGGAGGTGTTGAGCTGCTGGGAAAAGGGGAGTGAATGCTTGGGGGTGTTGTGGTCATCAGAATGAGATTTACCCAGGAAGCTGAGAAAGCTTAAGCTTTCAGCCGTGCACTTGTGCAAGCTCCTTAGAAAGGTAACCCTTCCTGTACATTCCAATTAAGAGACTGCAATTTCTCAATTTATAATTTGTTGGGATCTGTTTTCTCATTTGGAATCAATATTTGTTGTTTTTCAGATACATTTTTGCTGAACTTTAAAAAATTCTTTTTCTTAAATAGGGTCCCCCAACCTGGTTTCTCCTCTGGTTCTCAGTCCTACAGTTCTGTGTTTGTTCAGTGAGGTGAGGGTGGTTACAGGGCACTGAGACACAGAGAAGGGAATCACAGGCCCCTAACATCCCTCATCTTGTTGGAGTAGGTAGATAGACAGATAGGGGCAGGGCAGGATAGGGTCCTGAGGAATGTCAGGCAACAGTTAGGTGACTGTCATGCAATTGTCAGGCAGCTCTTCAAGAATGATGGTCCTGGCTGGTGCCAGAGAGGGGAAAATTTCCTAACAACCAGGAAACATTTTGAGCTCATGGGCAACAACTTCCCAGTAAGATCCTGAGAATTGAGCAAACATGTCCAGGCATGTGCAGTAAGAGGAAACATGGCAGAGTTTGACTGGTATAAGACCTTCCTCTGGGGGCGCTAGACCAGTAAGGAAAAATTGCCCTAAAAGAGCATGTGCATAGCGTCAACCACCAAACAGTGCATGTGGTAATTAGCCAACAGCCCACCCAAGGGGAAGGACGAGGGCAGGAGACTGGGAAGAACCAAGAAACAGTAGCTCTATAAGAGCCCTAAGCCAACAAGCAGGCGGGGTGCTCAATCTTTTGAGTTCCTTGTTTGGTTTCTTCTATATGTACTTTTCCTTGCTTCAATAAACTCTCATCTCTGCCTTCAATCTGCTTCTGTCTCTTGGCTGAATTCTTTCTTCCAAGAAGACAAGAATCAAATACTGAAGACCCCACCTGGACCCACCACCGGTAAGAACCTCACTCACTCCAGAGGGAAACCTCCATATAAATAGCACCTAAAGTTAATAAAAACACCTATTAATTTACTTCCTATATGTCAAAGAATAAAACAAAGACTACCAGAGCTTAAGGGAAAAATTGCCAAGCTAGGGAAAACCCACCAGTGAGTAAAGTAACTGAGGAATTCACAGAGAGGGGAAAGTCAAGGGATTCTAAGTGTGAAAAAGGAGGTTTTATGATGGTTATGCTAATTAAGGATTGAAAATTCTGCAGAGAATAGAATGTGCCCTTCCTTTAGATGCCCCCATGAAGGCTCCAGTCTCAACCTTCCCCTCCCTCCTGTCTTCTGCCTCCTGAGCACCCGGTGTCTTTCCATGTGGTTCTATGTGGCATGGTATGCCCTGCCTCTGTCTGTAGGACCTGTGGGTATAAGAAACCTTGTTTTCCTGAGCCTCTCCACTGCCTCCTCTTATGGCCACACCTGACTATCATTGCATAAAAGAACATGAAACACTTCTATTATTAACATCTGGCATTGGTGGAGTACACTTGTTGCAAATATGAACCAATTACATTATCATCCTAGGGGAATTAACACAGAAACAGAAAACCAAATACTGCATATTCTTTTTTTTTTTTTTTTTTTTGAGATGGAGTCTAGCTCTGTGGCCAGGCTGGAGCACAGTGGCGTGATCTTGGCTCACTGCAACCTCCACCTCCTGGGTTCAAGCGATTCTTCTGCCTCAGGCTCCCAAGTAGCTGAAATTATAGGCATGCACCACCATGCCCAGCTAATTTTTGTATTTTTAGGAGAGATGGGGTTTCACCATGTTGGCCAGGATGGTCTTGATCTCCTGACCTCATGATCTGCCTGCCTTGGCCTATACTGCATATTCTTTCTTATAAGTAGGGAGCTAAACACTGGGGACACACAGACACAAAGATGGGAACAATAAATACTGGGGATTCCAAAAGTGGGGAGGAAGAGAGGAGGTAAGAAGAGGGAAGAGTTGAAGAACTACCTATTGGGTACTACATTCACTACTTAGGCATAGGTGACAGGATCATTAGAGGCCCAAACCTCAGCATCATGCAACATATCCATATAACAAATCTGCAGGTGTATCCCCTGAATCTAAAATTTAAGAAGTAAATTAAAAATTTTTTAAATAAAAAACATTAACTGAAGTTCATGATTTACATTAGGGGTCGCTTCTTTTGTTGTACAGTTCTAGGGGTTTGACAAATGCATGTCATATATTATAGTGTCATCCAGAATGATTTCATTGCCCTAAAAGTCCCCTCTGCCCCTATTTATCCCTCTTCTCCTCTCCCTGAAATCCTAACAACCACTGATCTTTTTACTGTCTCGATAGTTTTGCCTTTTCCAATAAACAATTAGATTTTAATTCTTCTCCCGTGGAGGAATTGAGCTTATGTCTGCCCCTCTTAACTCTTTTTTCTCACTTGAATCTGGGTAGGCTATGACTAGGGCAGAAATGACATTATGTGGCTTTTGAGGCTACATTAGGAGAGGTCATTCAGCTTCCACCAGGTTCTCTTTAGATGCTCACTCTTCGATTCTGCCATGCTGTGAGGAAGCCTAAGTTGCCTGAGGACAGACCTTTGTGGAGAGGAACTGAACTTTCAGGTGACCCCAGCACCAACTTGCCAGTCATGTAAGAGAGCCACCTTACAAATGAATCCTCTAGCCCTAGTTGAGCCAGCCGAGCTGATGCTACATGGTACAGAGATGGCCTGCCCCAGCCAAGCCCTGCTCAAATTACAGACGCATGAGCAAAATAAATGTGTTGTTTTAACCCACTAAGTTTTGGTGTGGTTTGTTATGCAGTGACAGATAACCAGAACATCCAGCTATCCTCTAGGGACAGAAGATATGTCTTGTGTATCTTTGTATTTGAAGCTGCAATTGGAAGGATGAAAGTTTCTTGATATTTGTTGTTGATGATCATAAAATCAAAATCCAAGGCAAGCATGGTAAATCCCCAAATCCAAGAGCAAAAGTATCACAGAACTTGGAATCTGGAAGGAGCCTTAGCAATCATTTAGCCCAGTTTCCCCTACATGATGGAAAGACTGAGGCCAACAGATGCTAAGTAACTTACATAGGTCATATCACAAGTTAGTGGCCGAACTGAGACTTGAGCCTGGTGCTTTATGTGGAAAAAACAAGATTAAAACAAATAAAAACAAGTTCTACTTCATGAAGCAAGCGATTTACTTATGGATTCACCAACCCAAAGGGTGTTCATCTAACCATAAGTTTAAAAATGTTAAAGAAGGATCAAATTGGAAACTGCAGGGTCATATAGGATTAAAGGAACACTTACATATCTAGGGACCATTTCCCTAACACCTACATTGATATTAAAGAGGGTTTTTTTTGCCCTCACTACGCATTTTTCTTAGGTGATAAGTCGACTAATATCAGCCAACTGGAAAACTGTTATTTTATATAGCACCATTTTAACCTTTGATTCTCACTAACAAAGGGCCTTTAACTGTGTTGGGAGATGATTCTCCGTGAGCCTATTTCATGACCAAGGCATTGATCACCCTTTGCTCTAAACTATCTTTTCAGGGATATTTAGTGAACAGCCTTGGGAGACAGAGGTAGCACCTTCCTCCAGAGCAAAGGGCAATCAACTTACTGTTGATTAGAAAAGATTTGTGTTCTCTGAGCTCAGGGCTCCTTTCCTGTAATGCAAACACTGCATGTGCGACGTCCATCTGGGCTCATCTGTGTCACCCCCATGAGACTCAGAGGCAAGGGGCACTGAGGCAATATGCTGCTTATGCTGCATGGCTGTGAGTAATGAAGTCCTTTGTCTCTGGCCCGGGAGTCCCACATCTGCTGCCACCATCCAGGAGCTTATTAGCTTGAAAGCAGGGTGCAATCTCAGATCCTTTGCAGTCTTGACGTGCTTTCTTTTTGTGTTAGAAATGAGGCCAGATCAACAATAAGAGGACAGAACTTTGCAGGTGGAAAGAATGATTACATTCATTGGTGGGTATAATGAACCTCACAAAGTGTTAGCCCCCTATTTTAGCATCTGACAAACTTGTACTTTCTTTCTCAGGGATCAGCTGTACCTCTACCTTAATTCCTTTAAATCTAATAGGGCTAAAATGTCAAAACACTAAGAGACCAGCAGAGGAGGTTTACCACGGAGTGGTAAGCACCACTAAAGCTCTAGTGGCTTAAGCTGCCTAGGCCCTTCCAAGGTCCTGAGAAAAGCTCTAACACACATGGTCATGTGTTTTATAAAGTTTGCAAAAATAAGATTTTTAACCTCAATTGTTCATTTCCATGGGCTTTTTCTACTCTGACTTTTCCTCCATCTCATTACATTTCATCGAGGGTGGCTTTGAAGTGGCCACAGGTATTTTGGGATACCATTGAAGGGGACCTGGCAATACATATAGCTTGGGTTTAGCTTGAGACATACTTACATGCTTCACAGTCACATCCTGTATGGTTTAACCATCCTCTGTAAGGATGGCTTCCAGGAATACTCCTACTGTCTGCTGTGCTAATACACCTGACATGGCATGAGGCTGCTGGCCAGACACTGCCAGGAAATGGAATGGCCCCACAGCACCTGGCACTGTAAGGATGAGGGTATTGGAGGAAAAACAAAGACTGAGATTCTCATAGCCAGAAGCCAATCTAAGAAATTCTTCTAATCATCAGATGTGTAAAACTGTAAGCAGAAGACTGTTGGTCAAATTCCTCTTATTAGGAATACTGAGTGCAGCAGATACAGTAATAAATCTATCGTACAATTTTTTGTGTGTTTATTGGAAATTGTGCAAAATGGAATTTATCAGGATTCTTGCATTTTGGGGGCACAAACAGTGGTACAAACAGTGGCTGTGTGAGATATTACATCTAAAGCATCCCAAGGTGTCAGATTGTATCTTAGCATATCCTATGTATCCTATCCCAACAAAGTCTGACAGTTCCTGATGAGATGGCATGCAAATTTGCCACTAATGTTCAAAAATGGCCTGGAAAAAAAAGAAGAAATTAGTGCTCCAGCAACAAAACTCCTACACATATTCATCAATTGACCAATGGATGTAGTCTAAATGTAATTTGACTACCTAACTACGTAACACTATTCAACTTAGTGGCAATTTCAAAATGCATCTGAATCAGTCATGTGGAACTTATTTTCAAATTAATTTTATAGATTTTACATATTGTGTTCAGAATTACTGATTATACCAAAATAAATACAGCAGGAAGGAAACATCTTGGCGAAAGTCAATAATGTAAATTGAAAAATGAAAATTAGGCCGGGCATGGTGGCTCATGCCTGTGATCCCAGCACCTGGGGAAGTTAAGGTGGGCAAATCACCTGAGGTCAGGAATTCCAGACCAGCCTGGTCAACATGGTGAAACCCCGTCTCTACTACAAGCACAAAAATTAGCCAAGTGTGGCGGCGCATGCCTGTAATCCCAGCTACTCAGGAGGCTGAGGCATGAGAATCGCTTGAACCCTGGGAGGTGGAGGTTACAGTGAGCCGGTGAGCCGAGACTGCGCCACTGCACTCCAGCCTGGGTGACAGAGTGAGACTCTATCTTAAAAAAAAAAAAAAAAAAAAAGAAAGGAAAGGAAAGGAAGAAAGAGAAATAAAGAAAGAAAGAAAGAAAAAGAGGAAAAGAAAAAAGAAATTTAGCAAAATCAAAGCGTCAACAGTTGTCTTGCTATTATAAGATAATGGATATTAAAGAAAATATTAAAATCCTATAGTGGTCAAAATCATGGAAATCCATAAAATGAATCACAATAGCTGATAAAATATACATGAAAAAATAAAATAGAAAAGATCAAGACGATTAGGAGAATTGGCCACTCTAAAATGGAAAAACAAAGGAAGAAAGATGGAAGATATTGAAAGGACAATGCAATTTGTACAGACAATGGAGCAACGTGGGAACCACATCTGCTTCATTTTAATGAATTTGGTAATTCTGCTTGTGGTCTTTACGATGAGTTATCTAGCTAAAAACATAGGGGGAAAAAGTATTGTAGAGTTGTTATCAGCCTATTCAGTTATTTTCTGCACTTTCTGAAGCTTGTGTTATTTTTCAATTTTTTAAAATTTGTAGTTTGTTGTGATTTCTTTTCCAATCCTAAGGATCCACTTTGATCACTAATTTTGTATTTGTAGTTTTGTACTATTTTTCTTCAAGGAGGCCCCAGAATTACATAAGCTTCAGGCCCCACCAAACCCTGGACCCAGCTCCAGAGGCAGCTCCTGCTGTTTCAAGTGCCCTTTATTTCCTGTCAATCAAAGCAAAAGAATATTCAGACATTATCCTCTGCCCAAAAGAGAGGAGATTTGGTTGTCTGAAAGATTCTGGGCCAGAAGAGAGACAGATCCAGGTGGTCCCAGAGGCTCACTTTGTAGGAGTTTGATGAAAGGTGCCAACCAGATTAGTAGCTTTAAGAAAAAAAAAATAGAGTATATCAGCAAGTGGCAGCTGCTTCTCGTACCTTTCAGGAGGACTCAACAACAAACAGTGAATTGAGGGTCAGGATGGCTGGTTTGAAAGCAAAGACGGGGAGAAAGAAAATTATGTCAAAGCAGGTGCTTTCTGCTGTGTTCCTTAATCTCCATCAACCTAGTTCCCTCTCAGGATTGAAAAAAACAACTCTTTCCTGCTAGTGAAGTTTAAAATACAAAAAAGAAAGAAAGAAAAAGAAAAAAAAAACCAACTCTTCCTCTACTCAGATTCTAGGGCCAATTGCTTTATTAGTCAGGGCCCTTACTGTAGACAACGGTATCCACCTAAATTAGTTTAAATGCAAAGGAGTTGCTAAGGATATAAAGTGCTCTTAGAATTGTTGGAAAGGCTGGAGAAAGGCTGCAGCTGTAGGGCAGCTGCCTGGATCAGCAACTCCCACTTGTGGAGGAGCAGCTCCCTTGGTGGCTCGGTTTGGTGGTGTGGTTTTGGAAGGTGTCTTTGAATCCCAGTCTAGGGTCACTTTCAAGCAGAACTCTGGTCAGTGTATCTCACCTAAGAGCAGTGGTGATAATCTGGAATTCTCATCTTTTGCTGTTAGAATGGAAAAGATCTTTCCAGAGTTGTACCAGTAATGTCTGACCCCCTTTGGGGATTTTCTAAAGGACTCCTCATGATAAAACCCAGCTATATTGAGCAAAATGTGTCTGGAAAACATCAAAGAATCAGGCAGTGCAATAGGCAGGAATATCGGTCCTGACTGAGACTAGAAGTATTGTGGGGACCGATAGCCACAATAAGAACAAGGATACAAAGATAGAGGCATCTGAGTTCCACCACCTACGTTATTATGGCTGAGCCTCCCCTCATTGTCTTTTATCAGGCTGTCTCTGACACTGCCACTGTTGTCAATAAAGCTGAAAAAAAAATTATGCCATAAACAGGAAAATTTTGAAAATGTTCAAGTTTACCACTGGAGGTCTCTTCCAAAGCAGTGAGATTCAGTAGTTGACTACTACCATTTCGAATTCTTTTTTTTTGTTCCAGCCCAGGCTGGAGTGCAGTGGCATGGTCTCAGCTCACTGCAACCTCCGCCTCCCGGGTTCAAGCAATTCTCTTGCCTCAGCCTCCCAAGTAGCTGAGATTACAGGTGTGTACCACCATGCCCAGCTAAGTTTTGTATTTTTAGTAGAGACAGGCTTTCACCATATTGGCCAGGCTAGTCTTGAACTCCTGGCCTCACGTGGTCCACCACCTCAGCCTCCCAAAGTTCTGGGATTATAGGTGTGAGCTACCATGCCTGGCTTGAATTATTTAATATTATAATTTATTGCCTGTGTTTGGAACATATGACAAATATCCCATAAGTGCAATAAAATACAATAGGTTCTCTGGGTTCTGAAGAGGACTGCTGCTACAGACAAGTTCAACTTCTGTAATTGTATAAATTCTTCATGATACAAGATTAGCAGCATCTCCAATAACAATAGCTTCTAATTATTGATTGGGGGTATTTTCATGTCCTTTACAGAGATTTTTATACATAGGTTAGCTCAGATTACTTCCTAAGTCTGTTTCAGAGAAATGATACAAACACATGGTCCTTCTCTGATTGGCTCATCAATGCCTCTACCAAAAGACCTGAGAATATTTGGTTCAGTAATTTCTCTCATGGGAGAAAGTATAACATTTCTCTGCAGAATTCTCTCCTCAGTGTTGAGCTTGTTTTCCCTTCTGGGAAACTTCTTCCCTTACAGGAAAACACATCAGCAAAATTTTTCTGGCTTTGCTACCTCTGTAAGCTTCCCTAGGCAATAGTAAATACTATCTTCACTAGAATTCACTTTTCTGTCCTGGCACTGAGTCCTACAGGCACTGCTTGTGGTGGTTTTACTCTGTCAACTTAGCTAAGCTGGAGCTATGCTTCCCAAAAGTCCTTTCCCCAGATGGTTCCAAGTGAGGATTGCACACAAGGAAGATTTGCATGCGGTTTGGAAGCTACATAACAGCAGCCGTTATGCTTTAAGTGCCTTGGAGGCCCCAGGGGCTGATCTGCTGGCTAGTCTTGTTAGCATGGGGCAGAGGCAGGGCACACAGCTCCTTCAGCTCCCACTAGATCAACTCCTTCAGCTTCAACTAGTCCTGGGCCAGACACATGCACAGCTCCATAGCAAAAGGCACCGATTGTTTGATAGGTCATCAGCACCACTGGAGTTAGACATCAGTGAAACACAGATTCAGGCTCCAGTTTGCCCTTTTGCGTTCTACTTGACTATTTCCCTCTGCTTCACAGCCAGCTTTTCTTCCCAACTGCCTGCCCTGCTGACCTACAACTCCCTCAGGCCAACCACAGCTCCCCTTCATGGCCCCTTGTTGGTGATTTTTCTATGATGCTACCCAATCTCCTTTCAGAACTATACTTGCTTAGCCCTTGCACAGTTGCATAAAGTCTAAGCTTTATAACAAATCCCTTATTCATACCACTCATAGTGGTTGTACTTCCCAGACAGAGCTCTGATGCTCTACTGCCAAGTACGGTGACAGGGAATAGAATGACAAATGAACCAGAGGAATTCTACTCGAAATCTCAGCTAGTTAATGACTGCAGTCAAATCAACATTCTCTCAAGAGCACTGGCAGAAAGCAAATCAACACACCTGACACCCTTGTTCCTAAGTCATCGAAAACATTCCCTTTTTTATGCTTTCTGATCCAGCAGTTCCACCTCTAAGAATTTATCTCAAGGAAATAACCATAATACTTTGATAAATTATTTGGTGAACCTTTCAAGGGACATATGAGTTAAAATCGATGGTCCCTGAACTGCTACGTCAAGATGGTTCGTTCTGCTGACCGCAGAACTTTTTGCTTTGCTGAGTGTACAGAGATGAATGACTCTCAACTCTGGACATCATAAGGGACATTTAGAAACTGTCTGGGAAAGAGAAAAAAAGAGAGAAGAGGCCAGTGTCTGGAAAGGAGAATGGGTACAAAGCACAAATATCAAATGGCTAAGTTTCTGTTTCTCCATGAAACATTCATGTCTTCTAACTCACAGTGGAGTTGGCTCTGTTTGGAGGTAAGTCAAAGCTCTGAGCCCTGCTTCAAAATGCACATAAGGCAAAAATGGGAAAAAATAGAGAACTTTGGGAAACAGTCTAAGTGTTGAACAATTGGGAATTATTTAAATGAATTGTGTCATTTCTACAAAAAACATACCAAGACATCATCAACTGTATTGTAAAAGAATGTTTAATGATATGAAAAAACAAATCTGAAGTGAAGAGAGCACATTTCAAGTAAAATGTAGAGTATTAACCCAGAAAAAAGACAAAGTGACCAATGAATGCCGGCAGCCGCTACGGTACATAAGGCCGATTTTTATTTTCTTCTTTTTATTTACTTATAATGTCTTAAGTTTCTATCATAAACATGTATTTCTCTTGTAACAAAAAAGCAGCTGTATGCATATTTTTGTAAATTGGGTGAGATTTATTGAGATGGAGCAAAGACACTCCCCAGCTTTTAGGGGCCTGTGAGCCCCGCCAAGTATGAAAATAAAGGAAAATCTTGAGTTCCTTGAAAGGGGAATTCCAGGTACCTAGCTAGCTAGCCGTGAGAAGTAAATGAACAACTCGGTAAGCAACGAGGTAATTAGTGGCCTAAAACAATAGCAAAGGAAGTTGGAGTCAGGAGACATTTGGTGCCCCTATCAAAACTAAAGGTAACATCTGAACCTGTGTTTCTGAGTTGTTTTTCAGAAACCCAGACTCTCACCAAACAGATTCAAGTAGACCCCAGATAAGAGGGAGCTGAGGATTGAACTCTGACCACCATTCTGTGTTCTAAATTTCTTCCTGAGGGATTTGGAGGGAGTCATACCCATGAGACAGAGCTAACATTTATTTTTCTGCTGACCTCAAATTTTTAAATAGAGCCTGTCTTCCTTAACCAATTGCAAATCAGAAAAGCTTTGAACCTACCCGTGACCTGGAAGTCACTGCTTCAAGATCTCCCACCCTTTTAGGCCAAAACCAATGTGTAACCTCATGCATTGATTTCTAATTTTGCCAGTAATTTCTGCTTCCTGAAATTTACCCCTGCCTTTAAAAATCTCTTCCTGCAAGATATAGGGGAGGTCAGGATTTGAGCATTATGGCCTGGTCCTCCTTGTTTGGCACCCTGCAAACCAACAGCTTCCTTTCTATCACTGCAGAACCTCAGTGTGGATGTCTGGTCTTACTGTGCTGGGTGAGGAGACCCCAGCTCAGTTTTATAACTTGATACCCAGAATAAAGGCTCAATGGTAGGAGAAAAACAGTAAGTTGACTTAGGCAAGGATTCATGGTCCAGAAATTGCTATTTGGATCCAGCTGCATCCCCTCACCGTCCCATTGCCCTCAGGAGTTGAGGCACCCTCCTCTCCACCCCCAGTAGAATCACAATGGGAACGGCAGAAAAGGCTTAACACAAGAGAGGCGGCTCATTGTCCTCAACGGGAGGCAATCTGAGTTCCTACTGGACTCTGTCAAAGGCTGACAATTGACTCTGGGGAGCAACTTGGCACTCTTTAGCAGACTGAAGGCGCACTTCCAAGTTTATACCCTAAAGAAACATGTGCTTAAGGACTTGTGCATTAGAGTGTTTATTCACTTTGGGGCCTTTTTATTGGATTTTTTGTTGTTGTTACTATGGAAAAATCTAAACATGTATAAATGTTAACAGAGCAGTTTAATAAATCCCCACTTTCCTGTCACTCTGTTTCAATAACAATCAATTCATTGCAATATCATTTCATCTAAACCCCACCCACTCATCACCACTCCTGTATTATTTCAAACCACATCCCAGACATTCTATCATCTCATTCATATTTCAGTAAATATATATATATACTGAATATATATATTCAAAATTCTCAGAGAGAGATATATATATATATACCTCAAAAATAAAGAATCTTGTAAAAAATAACCAAAAATAGGCCAAGCCCGGTGGCTCACGCCTGTAAATCCCAGCACTTTGGGAGGCGGGGGTGGGTGGATCACCTGAGATCAGGAGTTCAAGACCAGCCTGGTCAACATGGTGAAACCCCGTCTCCACTAAAAATACAAAAATTAGCCAGGCGTGGTGGCACACGCCTGTACTCAGGAGGCCAAGGCAGGAGAATCGCTTGAACCCGGGAGGCAGAGGTTGCAGTGAGCTGAGATCGCACCATTGCACTCCAGCCTGGGTGACAGAGCAAGACTCTGCCTCAAAAAAAATAAAATAAAATAAACAACAACAACAAAAATAACCAAAATATTAATAAACATAAACTATATAACCATACTAACCAAAAAAAAACAATTATTTCATAACATTTTTAATTATCAGGTCAGAGTTCAAGTTTTTGATTTTTTTTCATAAATGAGAGAATTCTTAAGACAATTGGTACTCTGAAAATGATGGGATATTTAACGATATTTTTATTTGTTTTGAGACAGAGTCTTGCTTTGTCACCCAGGCTGGAGTGCAGTGGCATGATCTTGGCTCACTGCAACCTCCGCCTCCCAGGTTCAAGCAATTCTCCTATCTCAGCCTCCCGAGTAGCTGGGACTACAGGTGCATACCACCACGCCTGGGTAATTTTTGTATTTATTTTAGTAGAGATGGGGTTTCACTATATTGGTCAGGCTGGTCTCGAACTCTTAACCTCAGGTGATCCACCTGCCTCGCCCTCCCAAAGTGCTGGGGTTACAGGCATGAGCCACTGTGCCTAGCCTTAATGATATTTTTAAATGTTACATTTTTTTAGATATAATAATGATTTTGTATTAATGATTAAGCCTTATGCTGAAATATTTATGGCTAAAATGATATGTTATCTGGACGATTTGCTTCCAATTGGAGTAACAGGGGTACAAATGAAGCAAGACTGGTCATGAATTGGTCATTATGGAAACTGATAGACACGTGAGGGGTTTTTTATACTGCTCTCTCTGCTTTTTTATATATTTTAAATGTTCCATCATAAAAAGTTTTTAACCAGCCTGGCCAACGTGGTGAAACCCCATATCTTCTAAAAATACAAAAAATAACCAGGTGTTGTGGTACACGCCTGTAGACCCAGCTACTCGGGAGCCTGAGGTAGGAGAATTGCTTGATCCCAGGAGGCAGAGGTTGCAGTGAGCCAAGATCACACCACTGCACTCCAGCCTGGGCAACAAAGCGAGACCCTTTCTCAAAAAAAAAAAAAAAATAGAAAAGTTTTTAAAAAGCAGATTTAAACAACATATTGTTTACACATAGAAAGATAAAAAGGATAAAAAAAGAGAAAGGGAAAGATAAACACAAAATTAAGGACATGGTTATGTAGGGTTGGGGGGTGCAGAGGGTTGTTAAATGTAAATTACTGGAAATGTTCTAGCTCTTAGTTGTGAGTGACTTTTATGTTATTTTCTAAATTAAAATATTACATGATAGGTAAAAGACAGTGGTCACTTATGCACCATGACAATACTGTGGTGTCCCAAACCAAGGATTATAATTGGTTCAATTCTGTGCACCTGAGGGCCAAAGGAAAAGGAGAAAAATTGCATAGTGACCAATACACAGACACACACACACACACACACGCACTCACACACTGAAAGAGTAGCTCCAAAAACAATGCTTATCTCTACTACATGTAACACTCTGAAGTCTTCTATTCTATTTTAGTTCACTTGTTTAAAAATGCCAGTCAGGATTCAATAAACTGGTTTCCTGACCTTGTATGACCCACAGTATGCAAAACACTGGACCATGTGATGATGAGGGCCTCTTCAAATTCTCACACTCTAAAATGCTTAAGTTGGTTTAATCTATTCAATAGGCTCTACAGCTGATTACAAATAGCAGCAGTAAAAAAGGGGCTTCTTCTGTATTTCTATCTCAGAAAATATAGGGGACTGCTCTCTTGCACTGGCCTCCTTTTCCAGATCTCTAAATGGTGGAGGGCCTTGGGACTCAGTACTCTTTCTGCACCCAAGCCCAGGGGATATCATCCAGTTCCTAGACTTTATAAACGATTTATATCCTGGTGACTCTCAAATTTGTATTTCCAGCCCTAACCTTTTCCCCGAACTCCAGATTCTGACATCCAGCTGCCTACATAACATCTCTACCAGGATATCTGTTACCTCTCTTAAATCCATACTCTATATTTCTTTTTTTCCTTTTTTTTTTTTTTTTTTTTTTTTTGAGATGGAGTCTTACTCTGTCACCATGCTGGAGTGCAGTGGTATGATCTCGACTCACTGCAACCTCTGCCTCCCGGGTTCATGTGATTCTCCTGACTTAGCCTCCCAAGTAGCTGATATTACAAGCACATGCCACCACGCCCAGCTAATTTTTGTATTTTTAGTGGAGACGGGGCTTCACCATGTTGGCCAGGATGGTCTTGATCTCCTGACCTGGTGATCCACCCGCCTCGGCCTCCCAAAGTGCTGAGATTACAGGTGTGAGCCACCGCGCCTGGCTCCATACTCTATATTCTAAGCTGAGTAATAATGACTCTGTTGCTGATCCTCAGGCACAGACTAAAAGCCCTGCAGTCATCCTTGACTTCTCTCTCACACACCCCACATTCAACTCATCAGTAAATCCTCCCTCTCTATACCTTCCAGGCATATTCCAGATCTGACCACAACTGACCACTTCCTACTGACCACTGCAACCACCTTAGCCCACTCCGTCAACTCACTCTCAGAGTTCCTGGAAGGAACTTACCTCGAATGTATTCCTTTTACACCTAGAATGTTTTTCTGCCCTTCAGACTTCATCTTGTGCCACTCACATCTCCAGAACAGAGGCACATGCCTCTGCTTTCTAGCAGAGTAATAAGAAGAAAGCCTGTCCTAGGTAGGATTCTCCAAGAAATTGAGATGGAGCAGGGCTTCCCTCTTAGGGGCCTGAGATCCCCCCACCCAAGCATGGAAATAAAGGAATATCTTGAATTCCTTCTAGAAAAGATCCAAGCACATCGCTAGCCCTGAGAAGTAAATAAGCGACTTGATAAGGAACAGGGTACTCTAAAACAAGAGCCAGGGAAGCTAGAAGTATGGGATATTTGGTTCCCCTAAGAAACTAAAGATAACATTTTAACCCATGTCTCCAAGTTGTTTTTCAGAAACCCAGACCCTCACCAAACAGATCTGCAGGCAAATGGACCTCAGCTAAGGGGAAACTGAGGCCTGAACCCTGACCACCTTTCTTTGTTCTATATTTCTTCCTGAGGGGCCTGGAGGAAGTCACACCCATAGGTCAGAGCGTACATTCTTTTCTGCTGTCCCCAAATGTTTAAACAGAGCCTGTCTTCCTTAACCAACTGCAAATCAGAAAAAGCTTTGAATCTACCCATGACTTTTAAACTCCTGTTTCAAGATATCCTGCTGTGTTAGGCTTGATAAAAGAAAAACTTTAACCAGATTAAATTTAAAGGAGTTTAATTGAGCAATGAACGATTCACAAATTGGGTGGCCTCCAGAGCCACAGCAGATTCACAGAGACTCCAGCACAGCCATGTGGTGGAAGAAGATTTACAGACAAAAAAAGGGAACTGACGTACAGAAATTGGAGGTGAGGTGCAGAACAGCTGGATTGGTTACAGCTCAGTGTTTGCCTTATTTGAACACACTTGGAACACTCAGCAGTGAGAGTGGTTGAGGTACGGCCGCTGGGATTGGCCAAAACTCAGCTATTGTTACAGGCGCATACTCCTAAGTTAGGTTTTCAATATTGTCTACCTATTAAACTAGGTCGCAGTTCATCCACAAGGACCCAACTACAGAGGTATGGAGTCCTTCTCAGGCCATATTTAGTTCGCTTTAACAGGCTAAAACCAATGTGTAACCTCCATGCATTGATTTACAATTTTGTCTGTAATTTCTGCTTTCCTGAAATTTACCCCTGCCTTTATTGCAGTGGCGCAATATAGGCTCACTGCAACCTCCACCTCCCGGGTTCAAGCGATTCTCCTGCCTCAGCCTCCCGAGTAGCTGGGATTACAGGCATCCGCCACCACGCCTGGCTAATTTTTGTATTTTTAGCAGAGACAGGGTTTCACCATGTTGGCCAGGCTGGTCTCAAACTCCTGACCTCAGGTGATCTGCCCACCTCAGTCTCCCAAAGTGCTGGGATTACAGGCATGAGCCACCACGCCTGGCCGCATTTTTCCAGAGTCTTGAAAGGACATTTGCACAGCACTAGAGAAACCATTAGCCTCAGGAGAAGTTTTCTCCCTCTATTTCCCAATCCCTTGCTGCATTTTCCATCTTCCTACTGCAGTGACTCTTCACTCTAGGACACTAATACCCTCTTCCCACAGACACTCTCAGTCACCTGACTTGCTGCACATGTCACACCAGTAGGGGGAAAGAAGTTAGTAAACTAAACAGCTTCTATCCGCCAGGTCAGTTTTGTCTTTGCAAAATCCCCCATACTGCCCCTTCCATCCCTGTACCCACATGGAGAACCTTCGCCAGCCAAGTCACAGCATTGGCTTCTGTGACATTGCAGTCCCCATGCCAGTCAGGAAAAGCACTATGAAGACTGGGGTGACTCTGCTCCAGTTGGAGTCAACAGTAGATGAACCCTCACTCTGTGCCAGGCACCACGTTAGCATGGGTCATGTCAGTTCCACCAAACTGAGCAGGACACAGCCCTCACGCTTCAGAAACTCCTAGAGTTTATGGGGAGTGATCACAAACCACACTCACGCGAACACACACACACCAAAAAGATATAAGAAAAGTGTAAAGTGCTAGGGGAATTTAGAGGTGAGAAGTCACATTTAATTGGAGAGAAGCTTCATCTGTAAGATAGACCTGTGTCTTTGTAACCTCTATATAAACAGAAGACAATATTTATGAAACATAATCATTTTTTTAAAAATTGAATTTCCCATATTGATTATGCCAATTGCACCTGTCATAATGAGGAAATGCACTCAAATTTCCCGAAGTTTATGTGAACTATGTATGGACTTCATTTCCTAGCTGAGACACTTCAACCAGTGTTTGATGAGACTGTCACAAGGGACATGGGATCCTAACTACAAGCCATCAGGGAATGCATTGACTACTTCCTGGTTCTTATTTTTATAAACACATAGAATTTTTAATGTTCCAAGTACTATTCTAAGCACTTTGGAAATATTTAGTCACTTAATCATCATAAGCACCCAAGAAGTAGGTTCCATCACTATTCCCATCTTACATATGATAAAACTGAGGCACAGGTCAATTATATAACTTACCCTAAGTCATATAGCTAATACAAGGTGGGGTTGGGATTTGTACTCATGTAATCTGCATTCTTAACCACTAAATTGCTTATTGACTTGATTACAACAGTCCTCTAGGTTTGATCTATGGTGGAAGATGATTTGGCATCCATCTCTCATGTTTCTGCACATTTTTGAGCAGAGGCAAAACTCCCATTGTTCCTATTATTTCAAGAATGCTTGAACAGTAAAGAGTCTTTAGAAGATAGAGATATTGTCTCTGCTGGACCAGAGGGCAGACATACTTACTGCCTATTATAAAAGATTCAGACTCCCTGAGCTCAGGGTTCCTCTCCTATAATGTAACTAACAAGTGACATGTGGCCTTCTTTGCATCACTCTGTGGGAACTGGGGCTCAGGGAACCGGCGCAACTGCTGACACTCTGGCTAATACTATAGCTGTAAATGATAAAATCCTCTGTCTCTGATCCAAGAGTCTCCTGTCTTCTGCCAGCAGCCATGAAACTGTAGTAGGTGAACTTGTTAGCTTGAAAGTAGTGTAAAATTGCAGACCCTTCACAGTTCTTGACCACCTATATCTCCAGTATGAACACAGATTTGCTTCATAGAAAACCTTCTAGAGGAGGCAGTGTTTAAGCCATGTCCTAAGTGATGAAGAGGAAGGATTTCCTGGCAGGAGAATGGCATGTAAAGTCAGGAAATAGGAGTGTGCATGATACTGCAGGAAGGGACTAGGCTTTGTGGCTCCAAGTTCCAGGCTATCCAGTAAGTTCTCCATTGCAGAATAAACCTGTTTTTAGATAAATATCCTTCCATGGCTCCCAGCTTCTCTTTAGAATCCACAGCATGGTTTCATTTTTTTCACTTTCTCACATTGGCCACCCATGAGCTAAGACAGCACATGCTATAATTTTCATTCTTCCTCAATTATCTCTGATTGTCTTGCCCCTGGATATCAGGCTTGCTAAAGATGAACATCTAGGTTCTAGCAAGAGCTAACGAAGTCTGTGACAGCTTAAGTCAGGGAGGGTTGTCTTGTTCACTAGGAGCACCAAGGCCTCCTCTGCACACCAAGGGAATGCCGCCATTAGACTGATGTTTGTGCCCTGAGTTACAAATTTTACCCTAAACATCTGTTGTAGTAAGACATCTTGGGCTTAATAGATGTCAACTGCAACCTCCGCTTTCTGGACTCAAGCAATCCTCCCACCTTGATCTCCCAAGTAGCCAGGACTACAGGTACATACCACCATGCCCAGCTAATTTTTGTATGTTTTGTAGAGATAGGGTCTCACTATGTTGCCCAGGCTGGTCTTGAATTCCTGGGCTCAAGCAATCCACCCACTTTGGCGTCCCAAAGTGCTGAGATTACTCTTAATGGGAATGTTCACATATAAAATATTATATCCAACCTGCATGTATAAAAAAATCTCCTAACGATTAAAATGGAGGACTTAGTTTTTACTCCAGCAATATGCTTATGTCTGATCTTGGGGTCCCCCAGAAGCAGAGCCTAAGAACAGGTGTCTTAGTCTGTTTTGTGCTGCTATAACACAATATCACAGCCTGGGTGATTTATAATAAAAATTACCACCCTCCCAGTTCTGTCGCATCTGCAGAAGTTTATTTGGCTTATAGTTCTGGAAGCTGGGAAGTCGAAGATCAAGGAGCCCACATCTGGCAAGGGCCTTTATGCTGTGTCATGCCATGGCAAAAAGTGAAAAGGTGAGAGAGAGAGAGATCAAACTCACAGCCCAAGCCCTTTTATAATCAGCATTAATCCATTCACGAGGGTACAGCCCTTGTAACTTAAATACCTCCCATTACGCCCCACCTCCCAACATTGTTGCTTTGGAATTAAGTTTCCAAGACATGCGTTTTAGGGGACACATTCAAACCACAGCACAGAGATTTAGATGAAATAGCTTAATTCTACTGGGAAAACCCTAGGAGCCAGTGTAGTGTACATACCTCTGTGTTCTGCCCCCTGGGAGTGAAGGGGTACAGTACTTGCATACCAATTGTTGTCAGTCTTTGGTTGAAGGCTGCTAATTCTTTTTTGTTTCTTTTTTTTTTTTTTTTTTTTTGAGATGGAATCTCGCTCTGTCGCCCAGGCTGGAGTGCAGTGGCACAATTTTGGCTCACCTCAAACTCCACCTCCTGCGTTGAAGCGATTCTCCTGCTCAGCCTCCCGAGTAGCTGGAACTACAGGCACCCACCACCATGCCGGGCTAATTTTTACATTTTTAGTGGAGATGGGGTTTCACCATGTTGGCCAGGCTGGTCTCAAACTCCTGACCCCAGGTGATCTGCCTGCCTCGGCCTTCCAAAGTTTTGGGATTACAGGCGTGAGCCACTGTGCCTGGCCTGAAGGCTGTTAGTTCACCAACACTTCTGCTTCCTGGGCAAAGAAAGAAGACTGGTGGGTGGAAGCCGGGCAGCACCCACCCAAGTGGTGAGGCCAGAGGGACGTAGGGAGGACACTGCTCCACACTGAAAGGCTTCTGCTGCCAAGCAAGGGCCACTGGGCCAGGCACACACACTCACCCTCTCCTAGAAAAGAAAGTCATAAGAAAAAAAAAAAAAAACAGCACTTTAAAATTGTATCTTATAACGAATGACTAAAAACTCAGGGCTCAAAGTTGTGTTTTAAAAAAAGTTTTCTAGAAAGATCTTTACTGTGCTGTGAACAACAGAGATGTCTCTGGCTGCCCCTCTGCCAAAAAGCAGTTGCTTGAGCAGCATGCCCAGCTGTGGAGGCAGAAGAGAGAGGTGCTGGAGAAGTTGTCTCCCTTGTTCTGCCAGTAGCTGGTCCTCCACTGCCTTTCACTTGTGTCCAACAAGGGCATAGGTCACGTGAGTGATTATCCTTCAACCGAGAGGTAGTTGGTCCCTGAAAGACTGAGGGTGGGGTGAGGAGCTATATCATCCATACATAAGGTCATTCCCCTGGTCTGCACCATGACACACAGTAGTCATGCCTTGCAGAGACAGCAGACCCTGAATGAGCAAGTCAGGGGATGTAGCTTGGCCTTCATGGCTGCCTCCAGGATTTGTTTAAAAGGATCTAGATCCAGACTGGCGCAGTGGCTCATGCCTGTAAGCCCAGCACTTTGGGAGGCTCAGGTGGGCAGATCACTTGAGGTCAGGAGTTTGAGACCAGCCTCACCAACAATGACAAAACTCTATCTCTACTAAAAATACAAAGATTAGCCGGGCGTGGTGGCATGCACCTGTAGTCCTAGCTACTAGGGAGGCTGAGGCAGGAGAATCATTTGAAGCCTGAAGATGAAGGTTGCAGTAAGCCGAAATCACACCACTGCACTCCAGCTTGGGTGACAGAGTGAGACTCTGTCTCAAAAATAAAAATAAATAAATAAAAGGATCTAGGTCTAGACTTGGGGAGGGATTCCTGAGGCAGGGAAAGTTCATGCCTAAGTGGGTACAATGTGTTCAGTGAAGTTGCTTGAATATCCCTCACCTTCTCCCGTACACAAATAGGGAAAGCATCAGCCAAAGACAATTTGCAGGGGCAGGGGGCAGGGAGCAAAGGGGAAACATCGAGACAACCTGTGGCCTTCAGAATTCACCTTTGTGAGAGGAGGGCTCCACAGGGTCATCACCGTCCCTTGCCTGCTCAGGGCTCTCAGCAAAGGTCTGCAGGCACCGCAGCAGCAAGGGCCTTCCCCCCCAGCTGACCACCGTTGTGCTACCTGCTTCGTGATTTGTCCATATGTAGCACCACCACCTGAACAATGGATGATTAGGTACTCTTCTTCAAACTCAGTCCTTTTTATACACACACACATTTGTTAACAAAGGAAATCTGACCTCATTACCATAAATGAAAATGCAATCTCACTGACCACCCATGAAAACTAAGCAATATTATTAAATTCTAGCCAGATCTTCTTGCCCACCATCAGCTAGA
Source organism: Homo sapiens (assembly GCF_000001405.40). NCBI lineage: Eukaryota > Metazoa > Chordata > Mammalia > Primates > Hominidae > Homo > Homo sapiens. The sequence continues at coordinate 84,218,819 of NC_000009.12, read as the reverse complement.
GTTCCGAGGGCAGATCTTGCCCACCATCAGCTAGAGTTTCGAGGGCCGCTCTTGCTCTCTGTTGAAACAGGACACATGGCTCGCTCTTTGATTCATGGGAAGGACTGAAACAGACCTGGGAAGAGAGTGTCTTTCTCAGTCTATGCGATATTGTTATTTAATGCCCTGTCAGTGCTTCTGACCTAGCTCTGGGAGACACCTGCCTCCTTCTAACATTCTGGGTTTCGCTGGCTCACTACGTACTCCTCCACATTGCTGGCAGGGATTCCAAATGCCTAGAAAATTTGCAGAAGAAGTAGGTCAGCACCCAAAGCTGAAGCCCTGCCAATGCCCCAGGGTGTGAAATGCAGACACTGGTCTCCAAAGGACACTGAAGAGAAAGGTTTCCAGTCTCCTTCCCCAGGGAGGAAAGGAGGAGTGAGCCACCAGAGAAAGGAAACCGGAATGGAAGAGAAAGAGGGTAAGAAGGGGCACAGAGTGAGCAAGACAGGATGATGGAGAGGAGAGCACACTGCCCCCTCCATGGAAAAGCAGCAGTAAATGTCATTCATTAGCAGGAACTTTCCTCTCATTAAAGCAGTTCAACCCTATTGAACACAGAGCCTTCCTGTCTGCTAATTACTGCAGTATTGACTGCCCTGGGATCCCATCAATGCAGCCATTTGGACTCAAAATTTAACCTGCAAAAAAAGATTCACTCTTAATTGAAACCAAGCTGACCTTTTGGAAGGCTTATTTCTGGAAGAAAAGAACTGACTTTTTAAGATTAATAAATCCTAGTAAGTTCCATAACCACAAGACCAGTGGGCACGTGCACTTGAATATCTGATAGCGTACCCCATAAGAATGTTATAAAAACCTATTTCACATCTTCTGGAGCCTGGAACGTGAGATGAACAGATGGGAGATGACTCTACAGAGGGCATCTCAATGGGCACCCCCACTGACTTGAGAAATGGAACTAGCCCTTGTGGGCAGAGGGCCATGGCAATTGGTTTTTGTCCCAAGAACCCATAGGAAACACTGCAATGCAAGATGTTGAATTTAGGTTGGGGTGGGGCTGATGTGGTAACCACAGAGAGAACTTAGGGTGTGGGGATGTCAATAATGCTTGGAATCTATGCCCACACCGATGGGGTTCTGCTTTATATATTTGTAAGAATGCACCAAACTTCCAGAGACAAAAGATAGTTTGAACTTATGGAAATCCGAGACTCATCTTCGCCTTTGAGCTACAACTGGTAAAAGGCAGGAGACAGGCAAAAATGGAAACCAAAATGTCCTGGAGATACTAGTGGAATTAAGGGTTTCATGTTCAGTGTACTTGACCAGAGATCAGAAGGATTTCTGGCTTCAAGTCTGCTTGAAACGGAGAGCAACAATGCCTTCTCAGTGTAGATTGATTTATTAATTGTTTTCACACGTTAAATTTGATGCTCACAATAATTTGGTGGAGCAAATACCTGAGATAGCAGGTATTATTGTCCTCATTTGACCAACAAGCCTCCAAAGACTTGACTCCAGCTGGGGTCGCCATTCCAGTTCTACCTGCTGGCTGTGTGACCCTGGACAGGTTACTTAACCTTCTCTGTGCCTCATTTTCTTCATCTGTTAAATAGGAATAAGATAGTACTGATTTTACAGAGTTGGGGCAAGGATTAAATGAAATAATATATGTAAAGTGTTTAGAGATGTTTTGGTATTTAATACCAATGAATATCAATGAATGTTAGTTTTTATTGACTAAGTTGTCAGACCTGGAATTTTAATCCAGATCTTCTCATACCCAGACAGATCATTGATTAAGAGCAAGAACTTTGCAGTCTAGCAGATCAGTGTGCAAACCTCTATTGCACAACCTAACTTTAAGATTCAGTTTCCTTATCTGTAAAATGGGAAAGTGATCATAATACCCATTGCATACTTGCTGGGAAGATTGTATGTGCTCAACATTTGGTAGTTGTTTTCCTCATCTTTATCATTCTTTGTTTTCCACTCACTCACAGAGACACTGACAAAACAAACTGGATACATAAGAGCACTGCATGATCTGAAGACTGCAGAATTGTGAGATTACATGATACAGTTATCCTACAGTAGAGCAACTTTTAAGTTAGATCATTTAGGAATGTCCTGCTAAAGATAGAAGGCTGGACCTACTCATCCACTTTTGCTCCCTCCTGAAATCTCACTAATGACACTAAAGATATTTTTAAAACTTTATAAACCCACAAGGACAAAGAGAAAGCGGAGGAAACATTAGGAACAAAATGTTGAAAGCTGGGAACCAGAGGGGCAAGGATGACTGACACCGAAAATCAAGAAATTCTAATCCTGATCAGCATGGAGAAAACCAAGAAGCAACCTCCAAAGGCCCTGAACTCATCAGCTTAGATACTCGCAAGAGTGGGCATGAAAGTGAGGCTAAACAGAAGATGCTCTAGAAGGAGTCATACTCTTAGATGCCATTCCCTACTCAGCCTGGCCAGGTGACTCATCTCCCAGCACTGGCAAAAGACTGAAGGATTTCTTTTCTGGAAAGGAACATCAGCCATAGTTGAAGATGAAAATATTGTACTGAAAAAAAAGGAGATTAAATGAACATTTATGTGTCAATGCCTCACAAAGACACTTCTAGAACTGTACCATGGAATGTAGTGCCACTAGCCATAAAATGAAATAAAACCTAAAATTCAGCTCCACACTCACACTAACCACATTTAAAGTGCTCAATAGCCATATGGGACATGCAGGTCTAGAGCATTCTCATCATCACAGAAAGGTCTATTGGCCAGCACCGGTCTAATGCCCAGATCAGATCCTTACATGAAGGATCTGATCAGCCCAAGGGGAAAGACTCAAAAATACTGACAGTGGTGGTTTCCCAAACAAAACGGCCAAAATTTTTAAACCCCTAAAATCAGTAGCCTCCAATCAGCTTATTACAACCCTCCTTTGAACTGAAACCAAGTACCCTCAGCTAGATGAAGAACACCTCTATCATGAGAGTAGAATCCAAAACAAACAGAACAAAATAATCTGAAGAAACAAACAAAGCAGGGAGAATCAATCTTCAAGAGAACGGTTATTGGCTGGGCTTGGTAGCTCATGCCTGTAATCCCAGCACTTTAGGAGGCCAAGGTAGGCAGATCGCCTGAGGTCAGGAGTTTGAGACACCCAAGGTCAGTCTCAGGTGGTGCTATCCCAACTGCAGACACCAGGCCATGCCTGCTTGCCCTTGGTGGGGGAAAAAAAAAAAAAGCTGATAAAACTACTCAGCACAACTATATGTTACTTTTTGTGAAAAATTAAAGATAAATTTTTTAGCCTAAACTCTTTAATCTCGAGGGATAATTTTAAGGGCAGATCTGTGAACCCAGAGAGTAGAGTCTTGAGGCACAGAGGGTTCCTGATCAAAAAGGGGGAAAATGGAAGGGAAAAAGGAATCTCTATAGCTGTTATTCATTTCCTGAACCAACATTGTACTTGAGGAGTAGATAACTTGTTTTTTTGTTTTGCAGGTCCACAGGTAGAGGGGAATGTTGCCCCAGGATGGCTAATACTTGGAGTCTCACCGATACCTGAGTTAGACATTTAGAGGATGAGATGTGAGACTTTTGAGCTGATAAGATTTAGCTGAGATTTTGGACTTTGAGTTGACGCTGTAATGGGTTGAGGCTTTGGGTGAAGTTGGAATGGGGTGAATGTATTTTACATCTGGGATGGATGTGAATCTTTGGGGGACACAGGGTAGAGCGTGGTAGGTAGAATAGTGGCGTCCCCAAGGATTTCCATGGCCCACTCCCTAGAATCTGTGGATATGTTACTTTACATGACAAAGGGGCTGAAAGTGTGATTAATTTAAGGCTCTTGCAATGGAAAAATTGTCCTGGGCTTTCCACGTAGGCCTGATGTAATCAGATGAGTTATTATAAGAGGGAGGCAGGTGTGTAGGGTCCAGGAGAGAGATATGATGATGCAAGCAAAGGTCAGAGAAAGTAAAAGAAATTTAAGATGCTACTCCGCTGACTTTGAGGGTGGAGGAAGGGGCCATGAGCCAAGGAATAGAGGTGGCCTCTGGAATCTGGAAAAGTCGAGGAAACAGATTCTCCCCAAGACATTCAGAAGGAATATCTTCTGCCAACACCTTGGTTTTAGACCTGCAAGACCTATTTCAATATTCTGACCTCCAGAACTGTAAAATAATTACTTTGTGTTGTTTAAGCCACTACATTTATGGTGATTTGCTACAGCATCAATAGGGTACTAATATAGAGGCCTTGAAACTTCTGCTTTCATTTTCTTAGAAGTTGGCCAAGTGAAAAACGTCTTACCATCCTGATGGGCGGGAGGCCACAAGAAGTAAAAAGGATCTGGGGAATAAGAGACAATACATAGACAGAAAAAGAGATCCAAACAGTCCTCAGTCTTTGTAGCTACCCTTTTGAGGCAGCAGGCATGTGAGTAATGCCATCTTGAAGCCTCCAGTCCCAATTGAATCATCACAGCCATACCCCATGGAGCAGAGACCAGTTGTGCCGTGCCCAGATTGCAGAACCATGAGCAAGCAAATGGTTGACATTGTGTTAACCTATCAAGTTTTGGGGTGGTTTGTTAGGTAGCAATAAATAATTGAAACAATATGATATCCTTTAATGCTGATCACTATCCTATGAGGTAGGGACCAATATGATTTCCATTTCACAAATGTACTAAGGCTTAGAGAGGTGAAATGAGTAACTTGTCCTAAGTCACAGTTAGGAAGCGGAGCCAGGATTTGATCCTAGGCACTATGACTGCAAAACCTATGCTCCGAACTTTGAGGATTTCATATTCTTAGCCATCACTTTTAGTTTTAAGCATCATAAATTCACTTGAACTACTTTATTTATTTATTTATTTTTTCAAGATGGAGTCTCACTCTGTCACCCAGGCTGGAGTGCAGTGGCGTGATCTCAGCTCACCGCAACCTCTACCTCCCAGGTTCAAGAGAGTCTCCTGCCTCAGCCTCCCGAGTAGCTGGGACTACAGGCATGCACCACCACACCCAGCTAACTTTTGTATTTTAGTAGAGACAAGGTTTCACCACATTGGCCAGGCTGGTCTCGAACTCCTGACCTCGTGATCCTCCCGCCTCAGCCTCCCAAAGTGCTGGGATTACAGGCGTGAGCCACCGTGCCTGGCCTACTTGAACTACTTTAATAGAAAAAGTTTTATAATAGCAGAAAAATCAGAAGAGCGAGACTCTGAGACTAAGCTTTGACTGCTGTTAGAACTTGTGTGCGTGTGAGACAGAGAAATGTGTTTCTTTCTCAAAGTATCCATTTCCTTCTGTTGGATGGGCTGGCTTTCTCCAAAAGTTGAAAAGTTTTAGGCAATTTAAAAATGGCTGAATTATGTCAGGAAATATAGCTCTAGCAGCTCCTAGACTCATATATCCTGACTTTGCCATCAAAGGAAACCTGATTAAAAACTCTTGGGGAAGGATTTTAATTGGTCTAGGATGGGCCAGGTGTTCACCCTTGGACCAAAAAACAGCTCAAGGGATGAGATCTTTTTAAAAGGTGGCAGTTCCTATTTGATGCACATAATTTACATTCTAGGAAAGAGAACATTCCAGAGAAGGGTGGGTAGCAGTGTAGCAGTTTGCTGATCTAGTCAGGCAGGCAAAGACACGCACTGCAGAGAAGGTTAGCTTCAAAGATGCAAAAACTATGTCAATGAAAGACATTTGTATATTAGAAAGGGAAAGGGGAGTCAAAATTCAGTTGCCTTTTTCTTTTTTTTGACAGGTTTTCACTTCATTGCCCAGGCTGGAGTCAATGGCGCAACCTCAGTTCACTGCAACCTCCCCTCCAGGGCTCAAGTGATTCTCTTGTCTTAGCCTCCCAAGTAACTGGGACCATAGGCCTGTGCCACCATGCCCAGCTAGTTTTTGTTTTGTTTTTTGTATTTTTTGTACAGACAGGGTTTTACCACGTTGCCCATGCTGGTCTCGGACTCCTGGGCTCAAGCAACCCACCCGCCTCGGCCTCCCAAAGTGCTGGGATAACCGTGCTGGGATAACAGGTGTGAGCCACCATGCCCAGCAGAACTATCCTTTTTAATGTAGGCTATCTGCTCCAGAGAAATTTCTATTCTACATGAATTCAGTGGCATGGCCTTAGATAAAAGTCTTTGAGAAACTCTCCCTCTTGGTTGTATTTATAGAAGCCTTCCTAGTAATGTGGAATCAGTCAAACAGAACCAAGCTAATACAATAAGCTTGACCCTTGGCAACCAGAAGGCTCCTGGTAGAAAATGGCTCAATGTAAGCGCAGACAGGAAAAATGGCTGATAAGCCACATAAAACCCAGAATTTCCAAGTCAGAGGCACCACGGAGCTCATCTAACCTAACCTGGAGGTGTTGACAAGCAGTGATTCATGAATATGCAGTATCAGTGTGAATACACAGAAACGTCACCAACTACTTCCTTAAATGGAAATTTTGTAAAGACTCTTTCCATACAACCAGCATCCAGGCCCCCTCATAAACTAAGTTACTGAAAAGAGAAAACTCCTTGCTACTTTATATAATCTGTGAAGCCCAAAGACAGAATTTTAGTCATAGATGTGTACACATAATAGGCACTAAGTGGCTAGACTTGAGGTAGCCCTCCCCATTCTAGTAGATCTTAATAGTCACTAATAAAAATCTACACATACACATATTTTACTTGTCAGTGTATATTAATGTATTCATAAAGACTATCAGCTCAAGTAAATTAATCATTCCTCTCACACACAACCCTTAATTAATCCAATGATCACATTCTTGAGCAAACCTGTAATTAAATACAGATTTCTGGAGGTTTGAACAGAGTCTATTAAAAGTTTGTTCCTGTGACCTGTTGATGGGCGTTGAGAACACCAAACATGAAAGAAGCTGTCTTCTTTTAAGTAAGCAAGGTTTATTTGGATCAGAGTGTATGAAGGATGAGACGAGTTTCCAAGTTCTGTACCATGCCCTGAGCCAGAGCGTACATTTCCCAAGCAATGCTCTCCCATACTGATTAGAGCTTGACAATATTTGCATCTGGTACTTGTATGTAATGAGTCCTTCCTCTCTGCTCATGTTCAATCACTCTTCTCTTTCATCAAGATGTTCTCTGTCCATCTTCATCATTGTAATATAAAATTTGGCTCTTGAAATCTAAGTGTTCTCCCATGTTTCATTAGCATTCCTTCTATGGTTTCATGGAATTCTTGTACATGATTCAGACATTTTTAAAGCTGCCCAAAACTTTTTTTTTTTTTTTTTTTTTTTTTTTTTTGAGATGGAGTCTCGCTCTGTTGCTCGGTCGCCCAGGCTGGAGGGCAGTGGCGCCATTCTCCCGCCTCAGCCTCCCGAGTAGCTGGGACTACACGCGCCCGCCACTACGCCCAGCTAATTTTTTGTATTTTTAGTAGAGACGGGGTTTCATCATGTTGATCAGGATGGTCTCAATCTCCTGACCTCGTGATCCGCCTGCCTCAGCCTCCCAAAGTGCTGGGATTACAGGCGTGAGCCACCGCACCTGGCCACTGCTCAAAACTTTTAAACCTTTGATTAGTTATATACATGAATATCTCCAAATACACAAAATTCCTTAAGAAATAAATTCTTCAAAATCCCAAGCAATTTTTATAAACACTTAAAAATATGTGCTATCATGGCCAGGCGTGGTGGCTCATATCTGTAATCCCAGGGCTTTGGGAGGCCGAGGCAGGAGGATCACTTGAGGTCAGGAGTTCGAGACCAGCCTGGCCAACATGGCGAAACCTTGTCTCTACTAAAAGTACAAAAATTAGCTGGGCATGGTTGTGGGCACCTGTAATCCCAGCTACTCAGGAGGCTGAGGCGGGAGAATCACTTGAACCTGGGAGGCAGAGGTTGCAGTGAGCCAAGATCACGCCACTGCACTCCATCCTGGGCAACAGAGCAAGACTCCATCTCAAAAAAAGAAAAAGAGAAAAAAAATGTGCTATCTGCTTAAGGATTTCTCATCCTGATTTTTAAATATTAAGTAAATGCTCAGCAATGTTTATAGTTATTTTGAATAGTCACTACCTACTGTTATCAATTAAGAGGGGTATTTCCAAGTGATTACTGGATGTTGTAAACTCAGTGGTTTTAGAGTGACCACATGAAATGGAAATTATAACCAGCTACACTTGGAGACTTTTGTATATATAGGTACACTGGGACAGAAGTGAGAAGCTCACCCATATGCAGGCTTTTCCACGAAGGTCAGAGAGGAGTGGAGAAAACGGGGATATGAGATTGATGGTATCATACACAAGAGACTGGAGAGGTCAATGGATGAAAGAAGGCTGTGGGCAGAAAGCAGAAAGAATGGGATACCATAGGATGCTAGAAATGTATTACTTTAGGAGCTACCAAATCAAATGCCTCCAGGGATTACACTTATGAAAAAAAGACAAGTGGGCCAAGGGAAATTATAAGGTGAACTGAAACAGATAGGCCTCAACCCAAAGGCATTTAAGCTCATTTTTTTTTGTTTCAAGATGGAATCTCACTCTATCACCCAGGCTGGAGTGCAGTGGCATGATATCTGCTCACTGCAACCTCTGCCTCCTGGGTTCAAGCGATTCTCCTGCCTCAGCCTCCTGAGTAGCTGGGACTACGCCCAGCTAATTTTTGTATTTTTAGTAGAGACGGGGTTTCACCATATTGGCCAGCATGGTCTCAATCTCCTGACCTCGTGATCCACCCGTCTCAGCCTCTCAAAGTGCTGGGTTTACAGGCATAAGCCACCACACCTGGCCTAAGCTCAATTTCTAAAAAAATAATGAATGTCAACCAAAACAGAATCTATGAGCCAAATTCAGCTTGCCAGACTGACTTTTGCATTAAACAATAGCTATGTCAATAGTTAGCTGTAGTGGCAGAGAGTATAGACTCAGGAGCCAGACTATTTGGATCAAATCCTCCTCCACCACTTACCAGCTGTGTGACCTTCAGCAAGTGGCTTCACATCCTAAGCCTCAGTTTACTCAGGTGTACTATCAGGGAAGGAACTACACTTGTTCACAGGTAGGGGTGATCATATGCCCAGGTGGGCCTAGGACGGTCCTGGCATATAGAATATTTTTATAATGATTAGAATAATTAAAAGAATAATTATTAACAGTGTCCCTTTCACTGTCAAAACTGTCTGACATATAGGGTCATGGGAGGGTTAAAGAGATCATAATCTATGTAAAGTACTGACCATTGTGCTTAGGATATAGAAGATGCACCCAAAATAATTGACAATAGCTTCATGTAAGACTAGTTCTGTGCAGAATTAGGAGGGGAGAGAAGTTTGTCTTCAGAGTTGTCCTAGGCCCCAGCCTCATGCTACCCAGATTCCTTCACATTGGCATTTCACATGTGCCTGGACCTTTCTTAGTGACCTCAAAAAGCTGTCTCTGATCCACTCTTTCAGGACTCCCCTTTAGGGTTCAGCAAGCTGATCTCCCAGACAGACTAGTCCAGGCCTTGCCAGGTTCCCAGGAGATTTATGTACTGCTCTTCCTAGGTAAGTTGAGATGAAAAAGGATTAATGGGGACTTCAGGCTGGTAGAAGGAGATGCTTTTGGGTAGCTTTCAGTATTTCTTCAAACAACATTACACTAACAGCCCCTTGTGAACTTGAAGCCTACCTTGATTTCTCCAATCTATTGTATATATATATATTTTATATATATATATTTTTATATGTATAAAAAATAGATTGGAGTATTTATATATAGTATATATAAAATAGAGTATATAATATATATTATATATATTACATAATTATATATTATATATAATATTCATAGCCATTCATGAGGGATCCACCCCCATGACCCAACATCTCCCACATTCAACATTGGGATCACATTTCAACATGAGATTTTGAGGAGGCAAATATCCAAACCATATCAGAAGGTTTCTCCACTCTCATGTCTCATGTATAGGCTGGAAAAGCTGGGGGCTGCTTGAGCATCTATCCTCAAGCATCCTCTCCACATGGCTAGGCTGGGTTTCCTATGCAGTATGGTGGTCTCAAAGTAGTTGGACTGGTAGTAGGTGGTCCGTGCATTTCCCCAAGAGGGAATATTCCAGGAGACCCAACAGAAGCTGCAAGGCTTCTTATGATTTGGAGGTTAAACTATGTCAGTTCCACCATATTCTATTGGTCAAGAGCAAGTCACGGGCCAGCCTAGATTCATTAAGGTGGTGGAATAAGTTCCACCTCTCAGTGAAGAATGGCTTGTAGGGAAAGAAAGAACTTAACAGTATTCATCTTGGAGATAAACTACCATACCATCCACCCATCTCTCTCCACCTTGTTATGAATGGAATTCCTAATGGATTCAAAGTAACTAGAAGAGAGGATTCTGAATGCTCTCACCACAAAGAAATGATAAATGTTTGAGGTGACGGATATACTAAATACCATGATTGGATCATTGCATAGTGTATACATGTATTGAAACATCACCCTGTATACCATAAACATGTACAAGTATTATGTATCAAATAAAAACAAACAAAAAATAATGAAATGGAAGACTTAGAAAGTAGCATCTGACTAAAATTTCCTGAATGATCAGTCTTACATTTTTAAAAATTGTTATTATATCAATAATATCTGTTCATTATTAAACTAGCAAATAGAAATAAGTAAATAAAAAATAAAAGATTTCCATGACCCAGAGAAAATCATTCCGAGGTAGGTATGGGTAAAATTAACATTTACCAGATTAGAAAGCCTGCAGACGTGATTTTTCAGCTCTTCCCCTTAAATACCAACTTAGTGCAGGAAAGCACTCAATGTTACCCAACTTAGTTGAACAGGCAAAGAGCCAGCCCCCAGATGTCAGGAAAAATATAGGGGCTTAGCAATTGAATGGGATGGAGGAGACAAATGATTTGAGCAGATGCCACGTTGAAGTTGTGAGAGGAAACATCTGCTGTCCCATTTGCTAAGGTATTTGGTAATCAGGAAGATGGTGTAAATGCACAAACGGAGCAACATGTATTGATATGCAGAGCATGAACACTGATGTCAATGTTTTGTAGCTAATTAGACGGCGAGTGTTACATTGTGTCTCTAATTTTACAGAATGAAAGCAGAATGTTCCTCTCCATCAGAGTTTACTGGCAATTTTCAAGCCGAGTGTGGCCTCATTCCCATTCGTCTGACAGCATAATGAGCAGCAATGAACCACACAGTAACCAAGCCTCAGTTCCTTACATTATACAGCCCAGATGTCCAGGCTTCATTAGTTTTAAGTGTCATAATAAAGTCACATTTCTTTGTGATTAAAAAGTGATGGTGCCTCGGGTTCCCACTGACTCGGCCTGAGGAAGTCCAGTTCTTCTACCAGCTTCCTCTTCACCAGCATTTCTGGGAATCCCAAGGAATCATTTCGCTTGTCAGGATGCTGTTTTCATGGCTCACTGCAGCCTCAGCTACTGGGGAGGCTCTGGCTGCCGGTGGTGGCTCCCGGGGGGTCCCTGGATCTTCCTCTTTCCAGCTGCTGTTTTCTGCTGTACCATTCTGCTCCCCAAAATGGACTCCTCTGACTTCCCATCATTGAATGCAGAAACCAAGCCGTAAGGTTTAAAAGGGGTCTTATGGGGGGTTGGAGTTTGGAGTTAATTTAAGGGAGTTACAACAAAAGAGAGAAACAGCTGGATAGCAGATCGATTCTCTATGGTTCACAGGCAGTTTCCCTTGCTTGCCTCCTCTTTGCCTGATCCTCTACACACATCAAATAGATAGTCCTAGCTTACCATTCCCACTAGAGGCGAACTCAATACTGTTCTATTCAGCATCTGGACCTCAACCTCCACAAGAGCGCAAGACAGGCGAACTCCCCGCCCCCCCTCACCCTATTCCAGCCTGAGACTTGCCTCCTGAACCCTTTTCTGGTCCCAGGTCCTGCTGTTTTACAAAGCTGATTGACAATGGCAACGTCCTTCAACTGGACATTATTTCCAGGAATCCTATTCAGTCTTCTGTAACATTGCTGTGAGATCCAGGTTTTGGTGTGACCAAACCCAGTGTGACGGAATGCAGTGCTTCTCACCCTCTTCTCCAGCGCGACCCACCTTACAGCTGTCTCAGCTCCTGCCTGTCATGAGCAGCAGCTTAATATTCACACACACACACCAGACACACACACTCGCACACATCATATACACACACCACACACATCCTACACACACACCACAACCCCACACACACACACCACCCCACACACACCACACACACACCACCCCACACACACCCTCCACACACACCACCCCACACACACACCGCACACACACACACCACACACACAATTCACACACACCCTACAACCCCCCACACACCCCCCCAACCACCCCCCACACACACAACCCCACACACACCCCACACACACCCCACACACAACTCACACATATCCTACATACACACACCACAACCCCACACACACACCACATACACCACCCCACACACACCACACACACACACCACACCACACACACACCACACACACACACCTCACACACACCCTACACACACAACCCCACACATACACCACACACACACCACACACACACAACTCACACACACCCTACACACACACAACCCCCCCCACACACCACCCCACACACACCACACACACGCCACACACACTCACCTCCCAAGAACAAGCAAGAAGCACAGAGATTGGAATTCTTACAAAGAAAAGCAATGCTTCCTGCCACTACCAAGCTAAAAAGCACCAACCACATCCACAGAGAGACTCATTAGAACACCCACCCATTACTATTGTCCAGCAGACCCCCCAAGGCGGGACTTCAAGGACTGAACTTCAGGAACCCTAGGCCCAGGCCTTTGGGTAAGTTCCTAATGTTCACATCTTCCACAAGGACAAAGCAGGGGTTCTTGCTTCCTGATTAAACATTCACTGTGATGGTGTTCCCAAATAATAGCGCAGACTGCTTGAAAGGTAAATTTAAACCTGTAGGGTAAACGCACCTGGCAGCAATAGCTTAAGCATACCCTTGGACTGACTCTGCATGGAAGGTATACCTGAAGGTGCATTCCAAACTATGGGATCGGGGAACAGCCAACCAGGAGAGTCGTTCCTTATCTATGAGGAGCAACTGAGCCCCTAGCCCACCCGTGGGACACAGGTCTTACAGAGAACTGAGACCCTGAATTTTGGCTTAAGTGAAGGTTATAAAGGGGAGGTTGTTAGGGAGAGGGTGGTCAGTGAAAATTCTACATAAACTGCATGTTATTTGCAAGTGGTTATGGTTTTCCTGCCCAGCCCAATGCCACTGGACTGTATGTAAGGCAGATATCTTGTCCAGCCCACTGCCACTGGACTGTTTCTGCACATAAAGCAGTTATCCCATTCAGCCCACGGCCACTGGACTCTCTCCCCTGTATGGAAGCCCCTAATAAAACTCCATCTCCTTTGCTGACTCTCGGTCTCTTCTTTGGCATCTTGATCCCGGTGCCTTCCCTATTGAGGCTAACAGGGGTTCAGCACTAAAAACCTCATCCCTTGGAGAAGGAAAATTTCATCCTGGAAGCTTAAAATTGTACGGCTGTTATGTTCAGCTCATATCTACCTCTTAGAGAGAGAGAGAAAGAAATGGCCTTTCTCACTTATAAGCTTAAAATATAAACAAAACAAATGTATTCCAACTTGATCTATATTAACTCTCAGGGGCTGGTCCCAAAGAAGAGGAAAGTTCCCATAAAAACAATTGGGGGGCACTTTTTCGGAAACAATTTCTTATTGATACATAATAAATATACATAGCTTCAAGGTACATGTGATAATTTAATACATTTATATAATTTGTAAGTTTGATCAAGTCAGTGTAGTTGGGATAACCATCACTTTAAACATTTGTCTTTATGCTGGAAATAGTTGAATTATTCTCTTCTAGCTATCTTGAAAGGTAAAATGGCTTATTGTAAACTATAGTTACCCTACTGATTTATTGAACACTAGGTTTTATTTCTTCAATCAAACTGTATATTTTCACCCATTAATCAACTTCTCTTCATGCCCTCCTCCTCATTACCCTTCCAAGCCTCTGGCAACCATTATTCTACTCTCTGTCTTCATGAGATCCACTTTTTTAGCTCCCACATATGAGTCAGAACATGTGGTATTTGTCTTTCTGGGGAAGCATGTTTTTTCCCCTATTTTTTGGTGGGGGGGCAGGCACATTTTTGAAAGGTGTTGTTAGACCACCCAGCTAAGAAAGGTACCTTAAGGACCAGACATCTGTCCAACACAGGGGAGCTTTGGATTTTTACTGCCTGTTCACCTGACTTAACCCCAGTGTTCTCTCATGGACATTTGCACCTCATTGGGCACTCCTTCCTCTCTTCTCTTCTCTTCTCTTCTCTCTCTTCTCTTCTCTATTCTCTTCTCTCTTTCCCTTTCTTTCATTCTTGTTCTCACTTCCTTTTCCTCCTTGTGTATAGACAGTTCTATTAACTAGCTGAAAAACATAGCTGTCCAGCTAGTGAGTAGGTAGGATCCCTGCCTCACCATAAATTCCTGAGCCTTGAAGAAACAGCAGGGCTGCCAAGCCTGGAGGTACCATGTAAGCTAAGATGGTAGGCATGGGAGAGGTACCTGGATGACAAGAGGCTCACCCTCCAATGCTTGGCAGTGAGTAAGACCCCAGGACCTTTTTAAACCGGAGGTGAAAATAAAAAGCTCTAATAATGACCAACATTGAGTTTTCCACCAGAAGAAAAACTTGAGAGAATTAAGAAAAATTTAAAAATAAAACCTTTCTTACACACCAAATCCATAATCTGAGAAGCACATGGAATTACTTTTGCATGTCCTCTGTGCTCTCCAAACTTTGAACCTACCCCCAAATCAAAATCATCAACCCATCCTGATGAAGACCTGGGACCAGTCCGGGTTCTGCATTAACAAATGATATCATTTTTGAGGTTCTCAACGCCTATTTTGTGCATTGTGTTGATAACCTGCTTTCCCTAGCTGTTTTCCCTGAATTGCTACAAATTAGGAGCAATTACAGATAAAGAATGTACATTCTTTTTTTTTTTTTTGTTAATGGACTATTTTTTAGAACAGTTTTGGGTTCACAGCAAAATTGAATGGAAAGTACAGAGAGTTCCCATATACCCCTTAGCCCACACATGCACAACCTCTCCCACTGTTAACATCCTGATCCACAGTGGAACATTTGCTACAATTGATAAAGCTGCATGGATACATCATTATCACCCAAAGTCCCTAGTTTACATCAGGTCTTGGTGCTAAGCATTCTGTGGGTGGAGACAAATTGTATAGTAGCATGTATCTACTATTATATCACCATGCAGAATCATCTCATTGCCCTAAAAATCCTCTGTGCTACGTTTACTCATCCCACTCTCCCCCCAGTCCCTGGCAACCACTCATTATTTTACTGTCTCCATGATTTTGCCTTTTGTAAAATGTCATATGTTTGGAATCATATAGTATGTAGTATATTCAGATTGTCTGCTTTCACTTAGTAATGTGCACTTAAGTTTCCTCCATGTATTTTCATGACTTGATAGCTCTTTTTTTTTTTTTTTTTTTTGAGATAAAGTCTCGCTCTGTTGCCCAGGCTGGAGTGTGTGATCTCGGCTCACTGCAACCTCCACCTCCCGGGTTCAAGCAATTCTCTGCCTCAGCCTCCCGAGTAGCTGAGATTACAGGTGCCCACCACCACTCCCAGCTAATTTTTTTGTATTTTTAGTAGAGATGGGGTTTCACCATCTTGGCCAGGCTGGTCTTGAACTCCTGACCTCGTGATCCACCCTCCTTGGCCTCCCAAAGTGCTGGGATTACAGGTGTGAGCCACCGCGCCCGGCCTGATAGCTCATTTCTTTTTAGCACTGAATAATACTGCATGGTCTGTATATACCACAGTTTATTTATTCATTCACTACTGAAGGCCATCTTGATTGCTTCCAAGTTTTGGCAATTATGAATAAAACTGCTATAAACACTTGTGTGCAAGTTTTTGTGTGGGCATAAGTTTTCAGCTCATTTGGGTAAATACCAAGGGGCATGATTACTGGATCTTATAATAAGACTATGTTCAGTTTTGTAAGAAACTGCCAAACTCTCTTCTAAAATGACTGTACCATTTTGCATTCCCATCAGCAGTGAATGAGAGTTTCTGTTGCTCTACATCTTCACCAGCATTTGGTGTTATCAGTGTTTTTTATTTTCACCATTCTAATAGGTGTACCATGGTATTTCACTTTTGTTTTAATTTGCAATTTTGTAATGACATATGATGTTGAGCATCTTATCATATGCTTATTTACCCTCTGTATATCTTCTTTGGTGAGGTGCCTGCTCAGGTCTCCTGCCTATTTTTTAATTAGTTTGTTCATTTTATTATTGTGGGGTTTTAAGAGTTCTTAGTGTATTTGGATAACAGTCATTTATCGAATATATCTTTTGCAAATATTTTCTTCCTGTCTGTGACTTGTCTTCCCATTCTCTTGACTGTGTCTTTTGTAGAAGTTTTTAATTTCAATGAAGTCCAGTTTACCACTTATTTCTTTTTCTTTCTTTTTTTTTTTTTTTTTTTTTTTTTGGAGACGGAGTTTCACTCTTGTTGCCCAGGCGAGAGTGCAGTGGTGCAATCTCAGCTCACTGCAACCTTTGCCTCCCAGGTTCAAGCGATTCTCCTGCCTCAGCCTCCCAAGTAGCTAGGATTACAGGTGTGCACCACCATGCCCAGCTAATTTTTTGTATTTTTAGTAGAGACAGGGGTTCATCATGTTGGTCAGGTCTTGAACTCCTGACCTCACGTGATCCACCCACCTCAGCCTCCCAAAGTGCTGGGATTACAAGCATGAGCCACCATGCCTGGCCAATTATTTCTTTTATGAATCATGCTTATGGCACTCTATTTAAAAAGTTATCACTATACTCAAGGCCATCTAGGTTTTCTCATGTGTTATCTTCTAGAAGTTTTATTGTTACGCATTTTACATTTAGGTTGATGATCCATTTTGAGTTAATTTCTATGAAAGGTATAAGTCTATGTCTAAATTCTTTTTTTTTTTTTTTTGCACTTGGATGTCTAGTTTCTCCAGCACTGTTTGTTGAAAAGACTATCTTTCTTCTATTGTACTGCCTTTGCTCCTACATCAAAGATCAGTTGACCGTATTTGTATGGGTCTTTTTCTGGGCTGTCTATTCTGTTCCATTGATCTATTTGTCAATACCACACTGTCTTGATTACTGTAGCTTTATAGTTAGTCTTGAAGTCAGGTAGTGTCAGTCTTCCAACTTTGTTTCTTCTCCTTCAATATAGAATTGACTATTCTGAGTCTTTTGCCTCTCTGTACAAACTTTCCAATCATTGTCTATAACCACAATACAGCTTCCCAGGATTTTGACTGGGATTGTGCTGAATCTATAGATCAAATTTTAAAGAATCAACATCTTGATGATATTGAGCCTTCCTATCCATGAACATGAAAGATCTCTTCATTTATTCAGTTATTATTTTATTGTACATATTTTGTTAAATTCATATCTTAGTATTTCATTTTGGGGAGTGCTCACATACAGTCAGCCCTCTATATCCTCAGGTTTCCATCTGTGATTTCAAACAACAGAACAAAAAATCAAACAAGCAGATCAAAAATAATTTTTTTTAAAAAAGTACAAAATAAAAAATAATACAAATTTAAAAAGCACTACAGTATAATAACTATTTGCATAGCATTTTCATTGTATTAGGTATTATAAGTAATCTAGAGATTATTTTAAATATACAAGAGGAAGTGTGTAGGTTATATGTAAATATTACACCATTTTATATAAGGGTCTTGAGCATCTGAGGATTTGCTAACATTTTGTCAAAGATTTTTCCATCTGTATTTATGAGATATATTGTTTCGTAGCTTTCTCGTAACGTCTTTGTCTTGTTTTGATATTAGAGTAATGCTACCCTCACAGAATGAATTAGGAAGTTTTTTTCTGGGGTTTTATCTTCTGAAAAGGATTGTATAGAATTGGTATGATTTCTTACTTAAATATTTGGTAGAATTCCCCAGTGAATCCATCTTGTCCTGGTGTTTTCTGTTTTGGGAAGTTTTTAACTATTGATCCAATATTTTTAATAGATATAGGCCTATTCAGATTGTCTGTTTCTTCTTGTGTGAGTTTTAGCACATATGTCTTTCAAGGAATTTATCCATTTCATCTAGGTTGTCAAATTTGTAGGCATAGAGTTGTTCATAATATACCTTTATTATCCTTTTGATACTCATAGGATTTGTAGTGATGTCCTTTCTTTCATTTCTGATATGAGTAATTTCTGTCTTCTCTCCCTCTCTCTTGCTCTCTCTCTCTGTCTCTTCCCCCCACCCCCTCTGTTTTAGAGACAGCGTCTTGCATGCTGTTCAGGCTGGCCTCAAACTCAAACTCCTGAGCTCAGGTGATCCTCCCACCTCAGCCTCCAAAATAGCTGGGATTAAAGGCTTGCATCACCATGCCTGGCCATTATCTTTTCTCTTTTTTTCTTAATTAACCTGGCTAGAGACATCAATTTTATTGATCTTTTCAAAGAACCAGCTTTTGATTTCTTTTCTCTATTGATTTCCTGTTTTTAACTCCATGGATTCCTGCTGTAATTTTTATTTCTTCTGCTTACTTTGGGATTAATTTGTACTTCTTTTTTTAGTTTCCTAATACGGAAGATAGATTATTGATTTTAGATCTTTTTTCTAATATATGCATTCAATGCTATAAATTTCCTGCTAAGCACTGCTTTCTCTGCATTTCACAAATTTTGATTTATTCAGTTATTCTATTTTTACTCTTATTTAGTTCAAATTATTTTTTAATTTCTCTTGAGATTTCTTCTTTGATGTATGTGTTATTTAGAAGTGTGTTGTTTCATTGCAAGTGCACAGAATGCAAGAGTTGAGGCTTGGGAGCCTCCACCTAGATTTCAGAGGATGTATGGAAAAGCCTAGATGTCCAGGCAAAAGCCTGCCAAAGGCCAGGCACGGTGGCTCACGCCTGTAATCCCAGCACTTTGGGAGGCCAAGGTGGGCGGATCACGAGGTGAGGAGATCGAGACCATCCTAGCTAACACGGTGAAACCCCATCTCTACTAAAAATACAAAAAAAAAATTAGCCAGGTGCGGTGGTTGGCGCCTGTAGTCCCAGCTACTCTGGAGGCTGAGGCAGGAGAATGGCACGAACCCGGGAGGCGGAGCTTGCAGTGATCCGAGACCGCGCCACTGCACTCCAGCCTGGGCAACAGGGCGAGACTCCGTCTCAAAAAAAAAAAAAAAAAAGACTTCTAAAGAGGTGTATCCCTCATGGAGAACCTCTATTAGGGCAGTGCAGAGGGGAAATGTGGGATTGGAGCCCCCATACAGAGTCCCCACTGGGCCACTGTCCTCCAGAACCCAGAACGATAGATTCACCAACAGCTTGCACCCTGCACCTGGAAAAGCTGCAGGCACTTAATGCCAGCCTATGAGACCAGGCACAGGGGCTGAGTCCTGTAAAGCCACAGAGGCAGAGCTGCCCAAAGCCTTGGGAGCCCACCCCCTTCCACCAGTGTGCCCTGGTTGTGGGACATGGAGTCAAAGGAGATCATTTTGGAGCTTTAAGATTTAATGGCTGCTCTGCTGGGTTTCAGACTTACGTGGGGCCTGTAGCCCTTTTCTTTTGGCCAATTTCTCCCTTTCGGAATGGGAATGTTTACCCAATGCTTGTGCCCCCATTGTATCTTGGAAATAACTAACTTGTTCTTTATTTTACAGGCTCATAGGTGGAAGGGACTAGCCTTGTCTCAGTTGAGACTTCAGACTTTTGAGTTAGTCAATGCTGGAATTAATTAAGACTTTGAGGGACCGTTGGGAAGGCATGATCGTATTTTGCAACGTGAGAAGGATATGAGATTTGGGAGGAGCTGGGGTGGAATTACATGGTTTGGATCTGTGTTCCTACCAAATCTCATGTCAAATCGTAATCCCTAATGTTGGAGGTGGGGCCTGGTGGGAGGTAACTGAGCCATGCAGGTGAATTTCTCAGGAATGGTTTAGCATCATCCCCTTGGTACTGTCCTCATGGTCATGAGTGTGTTCTCATGATATCTGGTCATTTCAAAGTGTGTGGCACCTCCCCAAACCCCTCCTCCCGCCATGTGAGATGCCTTGCTACACCTTTGCCTTTGGCCATGATTGTAAGTTTCCTGAGGCCTCCCCAGAAGCCAAGCAGATGCCAGCATCATGCTTCCTGTACAGCCTGTGGAACCATGAGCTAATTAAACCTCTTTTCTTTATAAATTACCCAGTCTCAGGTATTCCTTCATAGCAATGCGAGAATGGACTAATACACCCACACAATGAAAAACAGGAAAGATTTCATTTGGAGGATTCTATAAACACTATGTCTTGTGACCACTAATGGTCCATGATATTATTTTACTTCTTTCCAGCCCAGTCTGATAAGATTACAAACACTGAAGTTCAGTTTGCACAGAAAAGAGGACATTTTTTTCCTTCATGTCCTGCTTGATGAGAACATCTATGA
Organism: Homo sapiens; assembly: GCF_000001405.40. Taxonomy (NCBI): domain Eukaryota; kingdom Metazoa; phylum Chordata; class Mammalia; order Primates; family Hominidae; genus Homo; species Homo sapiens. The sequence continues at coordinate 84,198,196 of NC_000009.12, read as the reverse complement.
ATAGTGATCACTGTACTCTAAAAGACAAGGGTATACACTCACGGATGGCTTCAGTCTGAGAAGTCTTCAATAGGGTGGGCACTGGTGAAATTGATATTTTCTTTCCTCCCAATATATACAGTGGGAGAGATTTTTATTCATTCAAACATTCACTAAGTCCACTGCTAGTCATTGGGGATAGAAAGAGTAAGTTCCACCATTGTCTTAGGTAGCTAAAGTCCAGTAAAGAGATAAACATGTAAATAATAAATCCATCAGAGAGAAATCACACCAAGGCTAGCAAGCAGATACAAGATGTGAATGTATAGGAGAGATATACTGGCTTCCCCCAATTTGGAAACCACATTTAGAGATTATCTACAGGTCCCACTATCTGCTAAGAACCTACTATTTACCAAGTCCTATACTAAGTTCTTTGTATAATCCTATTTCATTCTTTTAACAACTGTGCAAGGTAGTTATGGTTATTTTCATTTTCCTTAAAGAAAAACTGAGACTTCAGCAAGGATTATGTAACTTGCCTAAAGTGAAACATTTACAAATTAGTGGAGCCAGAATTTGCACTAAGGGAAATTAGGAAGCTTTTAGTCATCCAAGCAAAAAATAATAGTGGTCTACACTTTTTCCATGGAATCAACTTGCTTCCTCAGGTAGTATATGTGGTACCTAGGTCATCCAGATACTTATTTTACCACTGAAAGAATATGAATCCTAGGCTTTCCAAGCTGACTGACCTTGACTCTAGAATGATCAAGCCAAAAATATTTTAAAACCTTCAAGCTCAGCAGCCGCCTAGAAAAGAAAAAAAGGTGCTTGCTTCTCATTTTGGCTTTTCCATCAATTAATTGTTCAGTAAGGATCCAACCATGCCCACAAATTAGAGAAACAACAAATAAATATGTCTAAGAAACCTGAAACAGAGGTTTGGCATTCCATGTGGCACTTCAGAGCCACTTCATTAAATACAAAGCCATGTTCATTTAAATTTGTCAATATCTCTCTGATCAATGGACATGGAATAGACTCCTCTGAACACATTTATTTGCTGCCTTTGGAGCAGAGCTTTCACTTGCCCCCCACTTGAACATGGTTTATCTTTTCACTTTCTCTACAGTGTTCTTGGAAGCACAAAAGTTTTAAATTTCATGAAGTCTAATGTATCTATTTTTTTTCTTTTGTTGTTTGTGTTTTTGATGTCATATCTAAGAAACCATTCCCTCATCCAGGGCCACAAAGATTTGCTCCTGTGTTTTTGACCTCTTGATCTTACCCATACAAAAACAGATTCCTCACGGTTCCCCAACACTGATGATGGCATGTTGAAATTTAATCACCAATATGATGAAATTACAAAGTGGGGCCTTTGGGAAGTGATTAGGTTACGAGGTCAGAGCCCTTATGAATGGGATTAGTGTCCTTATAAAAAGAGGCCCCAGAGAGCTAGCTTGCCTCTTCCACATATGAGGACACTGGTAGAAAGGCCACCTATAAACCAAAAAGCAGGCCCTCATCAGACAGTAAATCTGCCAGCACTTTGACCTTTGACTTCCCAGTTTTCAGAACTCAATTTCTGTTGTTTATAATCACCCATTCTATGGTATTTTGTTATAGCAGCATGAACAGACCAAGACAGGAGCATACCTCAATTCTAATTTTTTAGTGGCAATCACAATGTGCTTGATCTTTTTTTCTGGTTCCATGGGACAGGCATTTGCACCAGGTTGCAAAAAAGTTTCTGCAAGACTGGCTATGAAACAGCTGCTATTATGGCCAAATCCCTTTAGCACTTCTAGTGAGAAGGGGGTTGGGGCAAATGCCTAGTCCTCACCTACCCCTTAGATATTGTGAGATTTTAGGAAAATAAGAACCAGCCACCTCTTTCCCACAAAAAGGTTGGGGACTCTTTGAAGACACAAAAAGGTGAAAATCTTTGCTTTGTACTTTTCTTGGATTCTCTGCTTCAGGTTGAGTGTCCAAGTGAAGAATTGCTTTCTTGAATCCAGGGGGCCACGTCGGGGGTTCTCTCTGTCTTGATAGTGACTATATCCCAGCCATGATATCATATGAAACCTTCCACTCCCTGCTCAGGTATGCTATTGGCTAGCTGGTGGCTGAGTTTTTCATATGATTATGGTGGCTGAGAATTCCCATGAAATGCCATCTGCAAACTAGGGAACCAGGAAAGCCAGTGGCGGAATTCAGTCTGAAGCTGGAGGCCTGAGAATGGGGTGATTTCCAAGGCAGGAGAAGATGGAGGTCCCAGCTGCAGAACAAAGGGCCTCTTTCATGTCTTTTCAGAGCCTGATAACTCACTTCTTTTTATCACTGAATAATATTATATTGTATGAAGGTACTACAGTTTGTTTATCCATTCATGTACTGAATGACATCTTGGTTACTTCCAAGCTTGACAATAATGAATAAAGCTGCTATAAATATTTATGTGCAAGGTTTATAAAAGCTTTTATTTTAGGTTTAGGGATACATGTGCAGGTTTGTTATATAGGTAAACTTATGTCACAGGGTTGGCTGTACAGATTATTTTGTCATCCACCCTAAGCATAGGACCTGACAGTTATTTTTTTCTGCTCCTCTCCCTCCTTCCATCCTCCACCCTCAAATAGGCCCCAGTGTCTATTGTTCCCCTCTTTGTGTCCATATGTTCTTATCATTTAGCTCCCACTTGTGAGAATATGCAGTATTTGGTTTTCTGTTCTCGCATTAGTTTGTTAAGGATGGTGGTCTCCAGCTCCATTCAGGCTCCTGAAAAGGATACGATCTCATTCTTTTTTATGGCTGCATGGTATTCCATGTTGTATATGTACCACATTTTATTTATATAGTCTACCATTGATGGGCATTTAGGTTGATTCCATGTCTTTGCTATTGTGAATAATGTGTGCAAGTTTTTATGTAGACATAATTTTCAATTCATTTGAGTAAATACCAAGGAGTATGATTGCTAAATCTTATGGTAAGGGTATGTTTCATTTGCTAAGAAACTGACAAATTGCTACCAGCAATGAGGGTTCTTATTGCTTCACATCCTTATGAGCATTTGGTATCCTCAGTGTTTTGGATTCTCACCATTCTCTTATTTCTTAATGATTTTTTCACCCTTCTTATAGGTGTGTAGTGGTTATGACAGCAGCGGCCATCACCACACTGGCTGCAGCAGGGAGGCCCAGCTGTGGCTGCACATTCCATGGAGCCAGTGGGAACCCCACTCCATCTGAGTTGGGGCAGGAGCTCCTCAGGTGCCACTGTAGCCACCCAAACCATAGCTGCAGACCCAGGCCTCCTGCTCTACAGAGCAGGCAGGAGCCATCCCCACCCTCCTGGGTAGGGCTACAGCCGCCCAAACTGCAGTTGTGGATCTGAGCTCCCTGTGCTCTTGGGGGAGGGCTGGGAGCAGGCAGGATCTGCCTTCCTGAGTGCAGCTGTGGCTGCCCTCCCAGGCACAGAACCCAGGCATCTCTACAGCCTGCACCCTCAGGTCAGGAAAGGACTGTCCCTGATGCCCCAAAGGCTCAGGGATGTTGGCTCCCACTGCCTGGCTTCTCTTCTCTCCCTGCACCTGCTCCACTCTCAGAGTAGGGTTGGGGCCAAGTCCTGGGGCCTTGAATGGCAGCAGGAGGCAGAGTCCTGGGTGGAAGAAGGCAGGTACTTGTAAGGCTCTACCTTCAGGCCAGGGAAGACCCGAAGGCTGGGGACCAGGCTGCCAGTCCCACAGACCAGAGTGGGGACTTCTGGTGCCTGTTCCACCCATCCATGGCTACCCATGGACCAATCTGCATGCACTTCCTCCCCTCTGAGGTCCATAAAAGCCCTAGGCTCAGCCAGAACACGGCAGAGGACAGCCAGAGGAGGAAGAGGGCAGAAAGAGGACAGGACCACCAGCTACAGAGAGGAGTACCCTCTCTGCTGATAGCTGGAGATGACAGGACAACCAGTAGCAGGGAGGAGCTACCCTCTCTGCTGAGAGCTGCAGAGATGACCTGCTAGCAGAGAGGAGCCATCTTCTCCAGGGCCTCCTCTCTGCTAAGAACTGAACACTTGAGGGATGACCTGCCTACAGAAAGGAGCTACCCATTGTGGGTCTCCTCTGAGCTGTTGTAACACTCTATAGCTCATCTGCGTCTTGTTCACCCTTCACTTGTCTGCATACCCCATTCTTCCTGGATGCAGGACAAGACCTTAAGTAAAGGCACCATAGCCACAGAGGTTTCTGGCCAGAAAACTGACACCCCAAATATCCTGTAACTGTGGTATTTCATTATTGTTTTAATTTCCAATTCCCTGATGATATATGATGTTCAGTATCTTTTTATATGCTTATTTGCCATCTGCATATCCTCTTTGGTGAGGTGTCTGTTCAGATATTTTGTCCATTTTTTACTTAGATTGTCTGTTTTCTTATTGTTAACTTAGAGCATTTTTAATGATGTAAATAAATATCTATTTAAATATTCTCATTTCAATTGACTCATTTGGTCAGAATAATCTGATATATTGACATGAATCACAAATTGCAGGGGCAACGTAGGAGTGGGGATGAATGGAGAAAGAAGATTTCAATTAAGTTATTGATATCAGCTCCTCCTTCGATTGTTTTTATACAAACGGGGTGCCTATTTGCAAAGCTGGAAGTAGAAACAGAGTCTGGCATCTGTTGTCAAACTTAAGAGACCAGAGACTCTGATCTTAAAATAGGGCTCTGTGGATTATGATAATCCACCCCCAAGAAGGAAAGAAAGCAGTGCTCACACCCCCAGCTTCATACCTCAGTTCCTTACCTGCTTTGCTAAGATTTACAAGAAAAGGGTAGTAAAAGACAGTATTTTTTTTCTATTCATTAATACCAAGGTAAACTGATCAGAACATACATCATGGTGACATGTCTAAGTCTGTTGATTTATGATTATTTGCAAGACATGTGAACAGCATATAATGTGAAAAAAAAGATGCTAGCATTTGTCTAGCAAAACATTAGCAAGCTATAAATGGGTCCTAGTCTTTGTCCCAGTGACCAAAGAGAGAGCTGTTCTCTTGCTGAGATTCTTCATCTTTCTCTGACAGATTTTTCATGGAGATTCTGTGTTCTGATGGAGGGGTTGATATCTTGACTTCCTGCTGCAGAATGATATGCTCCACTTCAGCACAGAGCCTGTAGACGTGGCCTTCTTTGAGACCTCCGCACTTCCCCACCATTCAAGTGAGCAATCTACCAGAGCATACAGCCTGCAGGGAAATGGGTCAGAGGCTCATTTCCTCAGGACATTTGCCTGAAACCTCCTGAGATTTCTTTTTCGAAAGAAAGAAAGAAAGACAGAGAGAGAGAGAGAGAGAGAAAAGAGAGAGAGAGAAAGAGAAAGAAAGAAAGAAAGAAAGAAAGAAAGAAAGAAAGAAAGAAAGAAAGAAAGAAAGAAAGAAAGCCAAGTTGCACAATTTCTAATGCTTCAAATCTCTTTGTAGACAGGAGCCAAGTACCCCCCAAAATTAAAGTGGGTCAAAAAGCAAGGCAGAGGCAGAGCACCCTGTCAATCCCCTCAAAAATCTCACAATAGAATTTGCCAGAGACCAAAATCGGCTTTCCACACATCCATGTTTTGATGTTTTTTTAAAAAGATACAACCACTTTGAACAACTTTTTGGCACTTTCTTCTAAAGTACAACACACACCTCCCATACAGCCCAGCAATTGTACACTTCAGTATTTACCCAACAAAAATGAAAGTGAATATCTGCACGAATATCCGCACAACATTGCATACATAAATGTTCACAGTAACCTTATTCAAAATAGCCAAAAATGGAAACAATCGATGTGCCCATGAACAGAAAGCTAGATCATTTGTGCTCCATCCACAAAATGGATTACATCTCAGCAATAAAAAGGAACAAACTACTGATACATGCGGCAACAGGAATGATCTCAAAGACATTGTGCTGAGTGAAAAGACCAGACCGAAAAGAATACATACTGTGTGATTTCATTTATGTAATGAATGCATAAAAGCAGGCAAAACTAATCTGTGGTGATAAAAATCCAAACAGTGGGAGTTTTCTGGAGGAGGGTAGATTGGGGCAGGAAATGAGAAAACTTTCTGGGGCAACGGAAATGTTCCTTATCTTGGTGGGAATAGCAGTTACATGGGAATGTACATAAGTCCAAACTCAGAAAACTGTATATGTAAAATCTGCAAATCTTATTGTATTTAAATTATACTTTAGGTTTTTTAAAAATAGATATATTGGGGGGAAAAGAAAGTGAAGAATCCCCATTAAGCTGAAAAGAAGGGGAATAGTCCACAGTTTCTGTGGTAATTTAAGCTCCATATTTGGTCTGTGTGTTCAAATGAATTTTTATTACCAAGGGATTATTGAAAGTCATCATCACCAGATGACAGGAAAAAGAAAGAGCAGACAGACCATCCAGAAATAATGTTCCCCATGATTTTTTTAAAGTGCATTTTTCAGTCATTATCTTGAGAGAAAACAAGCAGCTGGGTCTCTCAACAAAGAGGTTTAATAGAATACTGGGAAAAAAGAGAGGAGAAATTGAGGCGAACAATGCCTGTTTCAGTGCCAGCCACACAAAACCAAGCCTTGCAAGGTGAAGCCGATATCTCCTCTCTGCCAGTAACATCATTAGAGGACTAACATTCGATAATGAAGGGTCCCCTAATTATTGGTGTGATTTGAGGCATATTGTTCAAAACATTCTAAAACCTGAAATTGCAGCAGCAAATGCGTTGATGGCCCTCACCCTCATCTGTGAAAATAGATGTAAATGCAAAAGGAAAGAAGATCTGTGGCTCTTCGGGTCCCTGTGTGCATCGTCAACGTACTAACTCTTGCTTCTTTCTACCTTGTCACTTCAAATTCATCTGGGCTCAAACTGCTGGTTTCAAAGTTTCCATCTGACCTCCAACCCAGTTTGTTCATCTCTTTCTGTCTTTCCCGTATTACACAAAATTAGCAAAACACAAGTAATAGATGATTTGAGAGGACATCACAGAACATTCTGAAAAGCAAAAATAAGGGAGGCTTGGGTTTTGTTTAGCAGATTTCTCTCCTCACCTACGACCACACACATATATGCTGTTTAATTGTAAAATTCAGATGTTGGATGGTGGAGAGGGTAAGCCCAGTAACAAAGAAACACAAAGATGCCTTCTAAATTCTATTTAATCTAAATTAACTGCGTGGCCAACAATACAGGTGCTGCTTTTTCCTTAAACACATATATTAGCAGACACAGGCTAAACAAATTCTGTTTAGTGGGAAATGAATTATGTAAATGTAATTTATAGCATTACTGTGGGTTTGTAAATTTAATCCACTCAAACGTAGAAAGGTTTTCGTGCAATGAATATTTCTGAGGTTGTTTAATATGTTAAAATAAATATTGAGCAGCTGACAGAAAAACATGTTCTCTGCATCCCAAAAGCTGTTTTGAAACAATCATTTAAGTGCCTACTGAATATTTACAATCATGAGTTTTTAACTCTTAGGTAAATTTTCTTCCTAAAATATATTCAGGGTGCCAACCATTCAAGCAGCAGGCAGATTCGGATGGCAGCAGATCAGAAATGTGCATGCCAAGAACACTTTGGGTAAATAAGTGCCACAGTATGAGATGAGGGTGGAAGGGAGGGCTTTTTTGTAAAATAGGCCTATTTAATGCCACCTGGAAGGCTGCGAAAAAACACAGATACAGGCATACTTCAGAAATAGTGCAGATTCAGTTCAGACCACCAAAATAAAGCTAATAATTTATTGTGTGACAATAAAGCAAGTCATACAAATTTTTTGGTTTCTCAGTACATAGAAAAGTTATTGTTGCAGGACTTTTCCTTAGTTCAGCTAAAGATGGTCCTTGTCACATGACCATGAAAAATTAGCCTTGCAAATAACTCGAAGGGTGAGAAAAATGGGATTTATCAGGCAAAAAGGAAAAAAGGGAAAACAGGACTCTCTGCAAAACCAGAGTCATCAGAGTCCTGCTAGTGCACTTCCCGCCTTGCAGATTAAATCCCAGGTACCACACCCCAGAACAGGAGAGAGAGGCCAGGCTCCTGCCCACTGCAAAGGGCGAGAACTTCCCACAGCTCCGCCCCAGTACACATTCCTCCCAGTGCGCAGGTCGCTGGAGGTTCTGCCAGGGAGCTCTTCCCACCTGGTTGTCTCATTATGTTTAAACTATTCTGTGGTCGATTAAGTATGCAAGAGCATTACATCTAAAAAAATGTACACACCTTAATTTAAAGATACTTGGTTGCTAAAATTGCTAATGATCATCTGAGCTTTCAGCAAGTCATAATCTTTTGGAAGGTAGAGGGTCTTGCCTTAATTTTGATAGTTGCTGACTGATCAGGGTGGTGGTTGCTGAAGGCTGGGATGGCTGGGGCAATTTCTTAGAATAAGACAGCAATGAAATTTGCTGCATCTATTGACTTTTCTTTTCATGAAAACTTTTCTCTGTAGCATGCAAGGCTGTTTGATAACATTTTACCCACAGTAGAACTTTCAAAATCGGAGTCAACCTTCTCAAACACTGCCACTTCTTTATCAACTAAGTTTATGTAATGTTTTAAATCCTTTGTTGTCATTTCAACAATGTTCATTGCACCTCCACAGAAGTAGATTCCATCTCAAGAAACCACTTTATTTGTTCACCCATAAGAAGCAATTCCTCATCCTTTCAAGTTTTTTCATGAGACTGCAGCAATTCAGTCACATCTTCAGTCTCCACTTCTAATTCTAGTTCTCTTGCTACTTCCACCACCTCTGCAGTTCCTTCCTCCACTGGAGTCTTGAATCCCTCAAAGTCATCCATGAGTGTTGGAATCAACTTCTTCCAAACTCCTGTCAATGTTGACAACATTTTGATCTCCTCCCATGAATCACACTTTTCTTTTTTTTTTTTTTTTTTTTTTTTGTTTTGGAGATGGAGTCTCGCTCTGTCACCCAGGTTGGAGTGCAGTGGCATGATCACAGCTTACTGCAGCCTTGACCACCTGGGCTCAAGCAATTGTCCGACCTCAGCCTCCTAAGTAGCTGGGACCACAGGCACATGCCACCATGCCTGGCTTATTATTATTATTATTATTATTATTATTATTATTATTATTATTTGTAGAGATGAAGTCTCACTATGTTGTCCAAGCTGGTCTCCAACTCCTGGGCTCAGGGGTTCCTCCTGCATTAGCCTCCCAAAGTGCTGGGATTACAGGCCTGAACCATCATGCCCAGCCCATAAATGTTCTTAATGGCACCTAGAATAATAAATCCTTCCCAAAGGTTTTTTATACACCAAGATCCATCAGAGAAATAGTGATCTATGATAGTTATAGACTTACAAAATGTATTTCTTAAATAATACTTGAAAGTCAATACTACTCCTTAATCAATGGGCTGCAGAATGGATGTGGTATTAGCAGGCATGAAAACAATATTGATCTCCTTGTACATCTTTCTCAGAGCTCTTGGGTGACCAGGTGCATTGTCAATGAGCAGTAATATTTTGAAAAAAAATCTTTATTTCTGCTGGGTAAGTCTCAACAGTGATCATAACCCATTCAGTAAACCAAGGTGTAAACACATGTGCTGTCATCTGGGCTTTGTTATTCCACTTACAGAGCACAGGCAGAGTAGAGTTAGCATAATTCTTTTTTTTCTTTTTCTTTTTCTTTTTTTTTTTTTTTGCGATGGAGTCTTGCTCTGTCACCCAGGCTGGAGTGCAGTGGCGTGATCTTGGCTCACTGCAAGCTCCACCTCCCAGGTTCACGCCATTCTCCTGCCTCAGCCTCCCAAGCAGCTGGGACTACAGGCACCCGCCACCATGCCTGGCTAATTTTTTGTATTTTTTAGTAGAAACGGGGTTTCACCGTGTTAGCCAGGATGGTCTCGATCTCCTGACCTCGTGATCTGCCTGCCTTGGCCTCCCAAAGTGCTGGGATTACAGACGTGAGCCACTGCGCCCGGCCGAGTTAGCATAATTCTTAAGAGCTCTAGGATTTTTGGAATGGTAAATGAGCATTCACCTTTAGGTCACCCACTGCGTTATTCCCCAACAAGAGAGTCAGCCTGTCCTTTGAAGCTTCAAAGCCAGGCATTGACTTCTTCCCTCGAGCTATGAAAAGTCCCAGATGGCATCTTCTTCCAAGATAAGGCTGTTTCATCTATACTGAAAATCTGTGGTTTAGTGTAGATGGTGAAGGTGGTGATATAGTTTGGATATTTGTCCTGGCCCAAATCTCATGTTGAATTGTAAGCCCCGGTGTTGGAGGTGGGGCCTGGTGGGTAGTGGCTGGGCCATGGAGTGGAACCCTCTGGGCTTGCTACCCTCCTCAAGAAAGTGAGTTTTCACAAGATCTGGTTGTTTAAAAGTGTGTAGCACCTCACTCTCTTCACTCTCTCTTTCTCCTGCTTTCACCATGTGAAGTGCCTGCTCCCACTTGCCTTCCACCATAAGTAAACACTTCCTGAGGCCTCCCCAGAAGCAGATGCCACCACGATGTCTCCTGCAGGGTCTGAAGAACCAGGATCCAATTAAACCTCTTTTCTTAGGAATTACCCGGTCTCATGTATTTTTTTTTACAGCAATGGAGAACAGCCTAATACAGGTGGCTTCATCAGTGATCTTAACTAGATCTTCCGGATGACTCGCTACAGCTTCTCCATCAGCACTTCCTGCTTCACCTTGTGCTTTTATGTTACGGAGATGGCTTCTTTCCTTAAACCTTGAGAACCATTTCTTCTGCAGTTTCTTTGCCTCTCTCAGCCTTCATAGAATTGAAGAGATTTAGGGCCTTACTCTAAATTTGGCTTTGGCTTAATACTTATGCCTAGCATTCCATTATTGGAATGCTAAGCATGTAGGGGTTACTTATATGCTACTGCTCAAGATCATCGCCAAGGTCTGATTGCAAAAATTCAAAAAATTGCAACCTCAGGCATAAATGGGTTAAGGGAGTGTTGTGGCTGGTTTTATCTTCTATCCAGACCACTGCAACTTTCTCCCTATCGGCAATAAGGCTCTTTCGCTTTTGTATCATTCGTGTGTTTGCTGGAGTAGCACTTTTAATTTCCTTCAAGAACTTTTCCTTTGCATTCTCCACTTTGGTTGTTTGGTGGAAGAGGCCTAGCTTTTGGCCTGTCTCAGTTTTTAACATGCCTTTCTCACTCACTAAGTTTAAGCATTTCTAGCTTTTGATTTAAAGTGAGAGACATGGGACTCTTCCTTTCACTTGAACACTGAGAGTCCATTGTAGGGTTATTAATTGTTCTAGCTTCCATATTTTTGTGTCTCAGGGAATAGGGACTCTGGGGGAGAGAAAGAGAGATGGGAGAACAGGTGGCAGAGCAGTCAAGTACAACAGTACCACCAAATATGATTGATCGTAGATCACCAGAACAGATATAACAAGAAGCAAAAGCTTGAAATATCGTGAGAGTAACAAAAATGTGACATGGTGGCATGAAATGAGCACATGCTGGTGGAAAAACGATGCCAACAGACTTGCTCCATGCTTGGATGATACAAACCTTCAATTTGTAGAAATGCAATATCTGTGAAACACAATAAAATGAGGTATGCCTCTCTTTGGGGAGCTTTATGCTACCCCAAAACCCTCACCATTCATTGGTCACCTTGCTGAAGCATTTATAATGGTGACTCGAATATTAAAGGGAAAAGGAGAGAGCAATTTAGAAGTGTTTTCTTTAAGAGGGTAAACACGACTTTAAACAGGTACTTTAAAAAATAATTTCAACTTTTACCTTAGATTCAGAAAGTACATGTGCAGGTTGGTTACATGTGTGTATTGCATAATGCTGAGATTTGGGGTATGAATGATCTCATCACCCAGGAGTGGGCACAGCATCTAATATAGGAAGGTTTTCAGCCCTTGTCTCCCTCCCTCCCTTCCCCTCTCCTCTCTAGTAGTCTGCAGTATCTATTGTTCCATCTTTATGTCCACAAGTATCCAATGCTTAGCTCCCACTTGTAAGTGAGAACATGCAGTATTTGATTTTCTGTTTGTATGTTAATTCACTTAGGATAATGGCCTCCAGCTGTATCCATGTTGCTACAAAGGACGATTTCATTCTTTTTTATGGCTGCATAGTATTCCGTGGTGTATATGCACCACATTTTCTTTACCCATTCCACCGCTGATGAACCCGTAGGTTGATTCAATGTCTTTGCTATCAAACAAGGTACTTTAAAAAACATAACTAAAGAGTATGAGACAAAAATTACTCATACTGCTCTTTGGGAGAGAAGAGAGAATGTAAAGTCCTAAACGTAGTATTTATAAGATTACAAGCCAGGAGACTGGGGGGAGCATCAATTTTTTACTCAAATATGGATGCCACGTTCCCTGCTTTCCCAGAAAGGCTTTTTTTGTGGCCATCAGGTGGATTATGGGTATGGGAGCATTTCACAGACTCTAGCATCTTGACTAGGAAGGTTAGTTGCCTTTTTATTTGGGAAGTGATCGTTGCTTCTCAGATTAATAGTATCAGGTCAGAAAGTTCCTTGAGGAAAAAAAACGCAGCCTCTGTGAATGGTTTCTACATGAATTTTCTTCCTCAAGTTCCTACTACTGTTTTTGTAGCCCTGTCTTGGAGCACTTGTTGTAGACTTCTCAAAAGAAGCAAAAACTTTTTCTTACTCATGTATCCCCCAGCCAGAGTCTTGGATATATCTGGGGGCTATATCTATCCCCCAGAGTCTTGCATCAGGCCAGGCACTCATGGCAGGCAGTGGGGAATTAAATTAAGTCTAGCCTCCCAATCCCTACCCTCAGGATTGGGTTATTCCCACAGCTTTTATTCTGAAAGGCTTCTGACTTCTAGGACCTAAAGAGAAGGGAAAGGAGATCCAGGCAAAAATGTCTGTGCTTTAGGCAGATGTCTACTTGGAGTATAGAATTTTGAGCCCTTACCTCTGGGCTTGCTTGCAAAGACGCAACAGAGGCAACAGGAGCAAGAACAATGTCCTGTGAGCCACAGGGAATTCGAATGTTTCCATAAGGAAACACAGCTCGCTATGCCCATCCAATTTGCAAAATCCATTTAATTAACCTTTCCAAGATGGGTGTAAGCCAGAAAAAATTGACATAAAAAGACAAGATGTTGATAAAGATCAAAAACTTCTTAAAGCAAGGGTTAATGTACTCAATTGGATCTATTAAATGTTGAAATCAAAGACTTTTCAGAGGCTCTGCCATCTTGAAATTATAATAGGATTAAATGAGAAAACATGATTTGATACAAAACTTCTCTCCATACATACAGCTTTTTAGGAACACGTTATGCATGAAAATGAAGCAAAGTTTTATTGCCCAGGAAAAGTCACATACTGCTCTTAAGTAGGGTCCCCTTGGGCTGCAACAGTATGACTTTAATAGGACTAGATATGATGGGTAGTACTAAGAACGCACTGCACTGTCCAATAGAGTGGCTAATAGCCACGTGTGGCTCTTTAATTTTTAATTAGTTTAAATTATATTTAAAATTCAGTTTCTCAATTGCATTAGCCACATGATGAATAATCAATAGCCAGGTATGGCTACTGGCTGCCTTATAGCACAAAGAGAGAACATTTCCATCACCATGGGAAGTCCTATCTGGCAGCGCTGACCTATAGCAAACATGAAATGACAACTTTCGACATCAAGGAGAAAGTATTTAATACTTAGTATTCAGAGCTTAGAGAAAAGCTTACTAGACATCAAAGAGATTTTAGAGACAACACTGAATACATTAAAGTGATGAAGATTAGATTTACCTTAAAATACACAGATGTCTTTAAATGAGTTGCACTTACGAGTAACCGATAAGCTTTTAAAAATAGCTAACATAAAAATAATTTTCCTAAAGGATGTTTAAAAATAGTTCACCCTTAAAGTTGGCTTCCTCTAGTTTTTATTGGTCAACATCTTAGCATCTGCAAAGTGTTTTACAATTTAATGTGCAGGCTGTTGGTCCTGAGAGTCACTGTATGTGGTTGTTCAGGTTATATACCCAACAGCTCCGGGGACATCATTCGCATAGGCTGCCACGTGAACTCTGGAAGACTGCAGCATCCAAGCTGCACAGAAACATACAGCAGCTCTGGGCTCCCTCACAGCAATTCTAATTTACAACATTGTTTGACATCACACAATCAGTAATTAGTAAGATGAGGATTTGGAACTTAAATTTTTCTATATCCAAAAATTCCTTTTGACCACAGCATTCTAGCTCCTGAATAGGTAATCAAATGAAGATTAACACCAAAAAAAAAGTGTGCTTTTGTTTCCATAGAGTGGAGCTTCACCAGGAACCCAGTTGCTTTGCTAGAATTGGAGATGTGAGACACTGATAGCATTGGAGAGCTTCTTTTCAAAGACACACTTTTTTTTTTTTTTTTGAGACAGAGTCTCGCTCTGTTGCCCAGGCTGGAGTGCAGTGGCTTGATCTTGACTCACTGCAACCTCTGCCTCCTAAGTTCAAGCGATTCTCCTGCATCAGCCTCCCGAGTAGCTGGGATTACAAGTACCACCACCACACCCGGCTAATTTTTTGTATTTTTAGTAAAGACAGGGGTTCACCATGTTGGTCAGGCTGGTCTTGAACTCCTGACCTCATGATCCACCCACCTCAGCCACCCAAAGGGCTGGGAATACAGGCATGAGCCATTTCGTCTGGCAAAGACACACATTTTTTTTTTCATTTTTTTATTATACTTTAAGTTCTAGGGTACATGCGCACAATGTGCAGGTTTGATACATAGATATACATGTGCCATGGTGGTTTGCTGCACCCATCAACTCGTCATTTACATTAGGTATTTCTCCTAATGCTATCCCTCCCCCAGCCCCCCACCCCTCAACAGGCCCTGGTGTGTGATGTTCCCCGCCCTGTGTCCATGTGTTCCCATTGTTCAACTTCCACTTATGAGTGAGAGCATGCGGTGTTTGGTTTTCTGTCCTTGTGATAGTTTGCTGAGAATGATAGTTTCCAGCTTCATCCATGTCCCTGCAAAGGCCATGAACTCATCCTTTTTTATGGCTGCATAGTATTCCATGGTGTATATGTGCCACATTTTCTTAATCCAGTCTATCACTGATGGACATTCGGGTTGATTCCAAGTCTTTGCTATTGTGAATAGTGCAAAGACACACATTTTTAAGGGATAGAAAGTAACTTTCATTTGAACATTTTCCTTCCACCCAAATGTTGAGGGTAGGGAACAATGTAAATCTGCCTTTGTCCTGAGTATCCAAGAAGAGATAATGCTCAGATGAAAATGTTTCCAAGCCAGGCCCGGTGGCTCACACCTGTAATCCCAGCACTTTGCGAGGCCAAGGCAGGCAGATTGCCTGAGCTCAGGAGCTCGAGACCAGCCTGGGCAACACGGTGAAACCCTATCTCTACTAAAATACAAAATATTAGTCAGGCATGGTGGTGGGCGCCTGTAATCCCAGCTACTAGGGAGGCTGAGGTAGAAGAATCGCTTGAACCAGGGAGGCGCAGGTTGCAGTGAGCTGAGATCACGCCACTGCACTCCAGCCTGGGCAACAGAGTGAGACTGTGTCTCCAAAAAATTAAAAAAGAAAATGTTTCCAGCCTTTTGTACACACACATTTATGTGTGTTTAGAAAACAACATTGCAAACAATCCTATAAATAATAGAGTAGTACAGTGCCCGTCTCTCAAAGAACTCAGGAAACGTGGAAGGCATTATCTCATTAAGGCTGACAGCTGCCTCACTGGTGCCAGGGAGTAGTAACCTCAATTGAACTTTCACATGCTTTAGCTACCAGAGGGAGGGAATGAATCTAAATTATCCACGGAGGCTGGTCAGCTCTGTGGCTGAAATAGGACACTGGAAGCTGAGGCTGCAAAGCTCTTGTAACCAGGACTCCTGCCCAGCCCTCAGGGCACAAGATCAGCTATGAGGGGGCAAAACTCATTTCTTGGAAGTTTAACCAGGAGCACTCAGACTGGCCAGAAACTGCTGGGGTGGCATCTTTAGGTCTGGGAGGGCCAGCCAGGAAAGGAAGGGAGAGCAGGTAGTAACACACACGCAGCAGGGGAAGGACAGCTCCAGCAGCTGACAGTGCCTGCCGCCACAGACCTCTCCTCTGGTTCCAGAGTGTTCCAGCCTCATGTTCACTGCTCTTTTGTGATCTGAATCACCAGCCTTGAAATGCCAGAGGGCAGCTCTCTCTCTCTCTCTCTCTCTCTCTCTCTCTCTCTCTCTCTCACACACACACACACACACACACACACACACAGGCTGTAGGGCTCTATCCCTCACCCAGTCTGCTGATGACTACACCAGACGCTCCCAGTGCCCCATTCATATCCTGTCACCTGTACCACTGCTGGGCACACAGCACCTTCCAACACCAGCACCTGCATTCATTTGCCTCAGGGCTTTCACTGGCTCTTGGAACCAGCTTGGCTGCCGAATAATAGGCCAGTAGTGCCATGGAATTAACACCGTGAGAGCAGCCCTTGTCCAATTATAAACACCCCAGCTCTCTTGGCACATGGTGTTTCCCCACTGGCTTCAGCTTCGGCTGCCCACAGAGGTGACTTGCTTGAAAACACACCATTTACCGGCTCCCTTCCCCAACCAGTATCACTTCTCCACTCCCCTGCCTGTATTTCCTTCAGTAGCTTGTTTCAGGATCTGCTTCTAGGGAACACAAATTCAGATGACAACCCAGCAAAAAAATCCTCAAAGCCACAGATGCCCTTTCTGTCTCTGCTCTGCTCTCCCTCCCTCTCACCCCTAGGCCGGGGGGGCAGGCTTCTCTTTTGTAGCCCCTGTGGACAACTTATAGTTGGCTACTATGCACCAGTATTGCCACTGGGATGTTTTTCCCTGGCATCTGTTCTGATTGGTCAGTGCCTGCATTAAATATTTTGATGATCACCCCTGACCCTATGTCACATCCCTCATCTACCATCAAGCCACCAGGATTGTGGCTGTGCTGTCACAGGTGAAAGGACTGTCTTCTCTATACTCAGGAAAACCCTCTGAACTGGGTGTCCCACTCTCAGTTCTTGATGTATTAAAGCTGGGACATAAAAGTTAAAGATGCCATCCAGCTGGGACTAGGAATGGGTCAGGGGCAGGGTTTATTACATAGCACCAAGACTATGAGAGGTAATGCAAGAGAAAAAGGGCTACAGAGTTGTCAGGAGATGCAACATATGTAATAACACTTAGAAGAACAAGTACTGGCCTTGAAGGTCATGGATCTATTCAACAGAACATCCAGTCTCCCACCAAGCAGTAAGGGTGGGGGTGGGATCGGGATCCAGGTGACCTCTTGCCCTGACCCTTGCCCAGTCTATACTGTGTATAGCGTGGACACTCTGCAGGCTACCTCAGTGTCAAGTTCACTGTGAAAGGCAGCCTAAGATGCAGGAAGAAACTCTGACCTGCAGCCAAGCAAGTAGACCTTAGGCAAGCCTCTTAATCATGCCCTAGTTCCACATCTCTCAAATGGAAAGACACCAAATGTCACCTACTCTGTGAAGCCTTCCTTGATGGGGACAATAGAGAGAATCAGACTGAAGGTGCTATGTTCTGATCGTTCACCCTAAATCTGGTCCCACTGTGGCCAGCTGGGCAATCCTGGACAGGTACTTCACCCCTCTGTGCCTGGAGAGCCTCATCTGAATAATGGCAGAATGGTACCTATGTCACAGAGTTACCGGAGAGAAGTAAATTAAGTCACTAAGCACATGCCTCGCAGAGAAGCTTGGTATGTTTTAGCTAATATTGCTGCTGTTGTGATTGTTAACCTCTAAGTTTCCACGGCGTTTGGGACACACCGCCACTCTAGCACTAAAAAACTGGTGTTATTGTAGGCCCAGAACTTTGGGAGGCCGAGGCGGGTGGATTACTTGAGGTCAGGAGTTTGAGACCACCCCGTCTCTACTAAAAATACAAAAATTAGCCTGGCATGGTGGTGCACACCTGTAATCCCAGCTACTCGGAAGACTGAGGCAGGAGAATTGCTTGAGCCCGGGAGGCGGAGGTTGCAGTGAGCCAAGATCATGCCACTGCATTCAAGCCTGGGCGACAGAGCAAGACTCTGTCTCAAAAAAAAAAAAAGAAAAAGAAAAAAAGAAAGAAGCGGTGTTGTACTCCATCCTCTCCTCTGGTTGGATATGAGTGTCATTCAATTTTGGATCCCCAGCGTCTGACCCAATGCTTAACTCAACTCAGTACAACGTAATGGGATAATGTTTTGAAAAGTATCAAGGTATTTTTCTCTTTTGCTTTTCTGAATGAGAGTCCATCTGCCCGTGGGAAAATTAGGATTTGTTACAGAGGTAAAGTACAGAGTCATATGCAGCTTCTAGCAGGCAAATCAGGATTTGGCAGCAAGATAATAGCTGTACAAGTCAGGCTACCTCGTCCAGAGAGGATTTTCCAAATCCTTTTATGTCCCAGCTTTAATACATCAAGAGTCGAGAGTGGGGCACCCAGCTCAGAGGGTTTTCCTGAGTGTGGAGAAGACACTTCTTCCAGCACAGCCACAATCCTGGTGGCTTAATGGTAGAAGAGGGATGTGACATACGGTCAGGGGTGATCATCAAAATATTTAATACAGGCGCTGACCAATCAGAACAGATGCCAGCCAGAAACATCCCAATAGCAATACCGGTGTATAGTAGCCAAGTTATAAGCCATCCACAGGGGCTATAAAAGAGAAGACTCCCTCTGACCCAGGGGTGAGAGGGAAAGAGAACAGAGACAGGCAGACACATCAAATGGTCAGACATGTTCTCCTAATTTTCAGGAGAGAGGCCAAGTCTTTGGCAACAAGTGAGGGAAGAGTGTCTCTCAAGCCAGGGTTTGGCCACACCAAGTCTGTGGTACTGTACGGCCAGACAGAGGAGGATCAAAGTGCTCTGTTGAATAGATCTATGACCTCCAAGGTCATGTCCATGTTCTTCTAAGTTTTATTACATATGTTGCATCTTCTGACAACTCAGTAGCCTTTTTTCTCAGGCATTACTTCATAATCTTGGTGCTATGTAATAAATCCTTCCCCTAACCCACTCCTAGTCCCAGCTAAGGGCATCTTTAACTGCAGCCAGCTATCAGAGCAAACCTATAAAAGTGTGCCAGGTAATATCCAGAATCTACAAAGAACTTAAAAAAATTTACAAGAAAAAAACAACCCCATCAAAAAGCGGGAGAAATATATGAACAGACACTTCTCAAAAGAAGACATTTATGCGGCCAACAAACATATGAAAAAAAGCTCATCATCACTGGTCATTAGAGAAATGCAAATCAAAGCCACAATGAGATACCATCTCACACCAGTTAGAATGGTGATCATTAAAAAGTCAGGAAACTAACAGATGCCAGAGAGGATGTGGAGAATTAGGAACGCTTTTACACTGCTGGTGGGAGTGTAAATTAGTTCAACCATTGTGGAAGATAGTGTGGCGATTTCTCAAGGATCTAGAACCAGAAATACCATTTGACCCAGCAATCCCATTACTGGGTATATACCCAAAGAATTATAAATCATTCTACTATAAAGGCACATGCACACGTATGTTTATTGCAGCACTGTTAACAATAGCAAAGACTTGGAACCAACCCAAATGTCCATCAATGATAGACTGGATAAAGAAAATGTGGAACATATACACCACGGAATGCTATGCAGCCATAAAAAAGGATGAGTTCATGTCTTTTGCAGGGACATGGATGAAGCTGGAAACCATCATTCTCAGCAAACTAACACAAGAAGAGAAAACCAAACACCACGTGTTCTCACTCATAAGTGGGAGTTGAACAATGGGAACACATGGACACTGGGAGGGGAACATCACACACTGGGGCCTGTTGAGGGGTGGGGGGCTGGGGGAGGGATAGCATTAGGAGAAATACCTAATGTAGATGACGGGTTGATGGGTGCAGCAAACCACATGGCACATATATACCTGTGTCACAAACCTGCACGTTCTGCACATGTATCCCAGAACTTAAAGTATAATTTTAAAAAAAGTGTGCCAGGGGTCCCCAAGATCACCCCCTAGTTTGATGACTCACTAAGAAGATTCACAGGACTCAGCGAATAGTGATAATCATGGCATATTAGTCTATTCTCAAGATGCTATGAAGAAATACCCGAGACTGGGTGGTTTATACAGAAAGGAGGTTTAATTGACTCGCAACTCTGCATGGCTGGTGAGGCCTCAGGAAACTTACAATCATGGTGGAAGGCACCTCTTCACAGTGCAGTAGGAGAGGGAATTAATGCCAGCAGGGGAAATGCCAGACACTTATAAAACCATCAGATCTTGTGAGAACTCACTCGCTATCATGAGAACAGCATGGGGAAAACTGCCCTCATGCTTCAATTACCCCCGACAGGGTCCCTCACATGACACACAAGAATTATGGGATTACAATTCAAGATGAGATCTGGATGGGGATGCAAAGCCAAACATTATCACATGGCTATGATTTTTTATACCAAAAGGATGCAAAGCGAAACCAGCAAAGGGAAAAGACACATGGAGCAAAGTCTGCAGGAAATAGAAACAGGCGGCTAAAAGTCCTCTCCCAGTGGAATTGCACAGGACATGCTTATCTCTTCCAGCAATGAGCAGTGATAACACTGGTAAAATGTTGTCTACCAGAGAAGCTCAGAAGAGACTTGACACCCAGGGCTTTCATCAAAGCTGGGCACACAGGCATCCCTGGCCTAGTAGATACCAAAATTCCAGACTCCCAGAAGGAAAGCAGGTATCCTGCATAAACGATGTTATTGGTACAAACAATTTAGGCACTGTGAGCCTCTATTATCAGCTTTGGAAACGGTGGGAACCCCCTCAAAATCCAAGTTCCCTGACACCAGCCAAGGAACAACCTTGCAAGCAGGTCTTTCTAAAGACAGCAGCCTTGGGGTTGCTATGTTAAGTGTTTTCTGCAGTAAAGGTTATAGGGTTAAAAAGTAAAGATAGCTCAACAGTGTCTTTTTTGTCACTATTCTCCATTAAGTGGGGCTATGGGCTGACTTGAGTCCTCCCAAAATTCATATGTTGACACCCTAACCCCCAATAACTCAGAATGTGACTGTGTTTGGAAACAGGCTTTTTAAAGAGGTAGTTACATTAAAATAAGGTCATTAGGGTAGACCCTAATCCAATAGGACTGATGTCCTTATGAGAAGAGATTAGGACAGAGACGCAGGCAGAAGACTGTGTGAAAACACCGAGAGAAGACAGCCCACTACAAGCCTTAGAAGAAACAGCACTGCAGACACCTTGATCTCAGGATCGTGAGGAAATAAATTTCTGTTATTTAAGCCCCACAGTCTGAGGTACTTTGTTATGGCAGCACTAGCAAACCATCCAAGTTGGCAAAATGGAATCTGAGCTTGGATAACCCACAACAGGTCATTATTTATAACTATTGAAAATGTGGTCATTTAAAAAATAACAATAAGTTGCATTTATTGGATTTCCCCCATACTATATTCACATGCCATGCTGTAGCTAGAACAAGTTGAGGCAGACGGGTTCAGGGCGCCACCCAAACCCCTTTAGCCAACCCCAGAGGTCACTTCAAACAAATCCTGAATACACCATCAGCCTCCTGGGTCTCTCCACCGCAGAACTGTGTGCAGGTGCCCCGTAGGCACCGGACACACCTGAGAGTCAATGTTCCAGAGGTGACCTTCCATTCATGACCTTCCTGTCAGAAGGGACAGGAGTTGGTGGTTTAATACCCTGGTTTCCTCTTTTCAGCAACACACTTCTGAGGTGCACTCAGCAGACTCTGAGACGTCCACACAGGGCTGAGTCCACAGTGGTAATGTGCTGCCAAATGCTCCTTGTGTTGGTGATTTCCTCAAATCGTTCTCCATTAACTGCTTCTGCCCTCCATGTTACGGATAGAATTGAAGAAAAAACTCAGGGTTTCTCAATGCCAAATCCAAGAACATGTTCCATGTGATTACTTAGAAAGCATTTCACCAAAACGTTTTTCCTCAAGTATATTCAGATATATTCTACCCATCCTTTCTTTCTAGACATTACTATCAGTTGTCTCCATTTCAGCCCCTGGTGTATGCTTATGACCAGGGCACATTGCCTTGTGGTTAAGGATGTGAGTTTTGGAATCAGAGATTCTAGGTTCAAATCCCGCATCCTCCCCTATAGAATGCCTCTCGGAATTGATGGAGAAGAACAAGCAGCGTGGCAGCCACAGAGCAAGCACTGAATGTATGTGAGGTTCCATTATTGTACCATGAGCAAGAGGTTCCATTCCAAGCTGGGGGGAGGGAAGGTGGGATCCTTCCAAACTGCCGTCTACCTCAGTGACTTTCTCTCTCCAGCACTGCAGGATGAGAGGCCAAGGAAACACTGTCCTGAAACCATCCTCGCTCTTTTCAAGTGTTCTGCAGAGAGGGCACTCTGCCCCATCTTCTGCATTCCACCTGGGGCTGCGAGTCCCAGATGCCACTCTGTAAATATCAAGTGCCTCCTAATAACAAAACTCAAAATCTGGGAGGGCAGACAGACCACAAGGAGCAGGCTGACGAGCACTTTCTGAACCTCTTCAGTTTGTTTATGTCTCCAAGGCCTGCTTTTAGTCTCAGCCAATGTTCATGTAAAAACTTTCTCTCCACTGGAGATAATGATGCTTAAAAGACTCATGGCAGGAGGGACTCTGTGGGTGGAGCAGTCAAAAGAGCAGAGTTTTGGGGGTCAGAGAGACCCCAGTGAAAATCCTGGCTTTGCCCTTTAATAACTGCTTTGTCTGGTAAGTTTCATCTCTTCGCTCAAGTGGAGATGACACTGCCTTCTTCACAGGGCTGCAGCCACAATTACAGATGGCAGTGAAAAGGGCTTTGCTCATCAACTGGCCTAAAGGACTGTTTTTATGACAGATAAATCCCAAAACTTAATGTTACTTATTTCTAATCTCTTCTACTTTAGCCCTGGAGAAATGTTGCTGAAAAGGAACAAAACATCTGATTAGACTTTATTTCTTTTTTAAATCTTTCTTTCTCTATTTCAGACTTTAACTAATGGGAAAGTGGCCACAAGTATGTTGAACAGAAAAGGAGAGAGAACAAAGGGTTTCGATAACCCACAAACTATACCTGCTATTCTAGGTGGGCCGAATTTTGTCCAGCATCAAGTAGACAGATACTCAAAATGAAAAATATGCTTTATTTGTGGATGTCAGAAAAGATTTAATTAGAGGCAGCTTTAAAAACTGGGTGATTAGGGTCAAGCAATTTCATTGACACATTAAATAAGACTTACAGTTGAGTATCATGCCAAAGTTAACTACTTAGAACTACCAATATGTACGAAATCTGGGTAGATGAGACTGCTGGTATTACCCAATATCTATTCTCTTCTTCCACAGCAAGAGAATTTTTAGCTGAGCATATGAACTCCCAGAATAATAACTGCATTTCTTACCCTCTCTTGCAGATAGGTGTGGTCAAGTTATTAAGTTCTAGGCAAAGAAATGTAAGAGGAAGTGGTGTATGCAACATCACAGAAGTGTCCTTATAGGGAAGCTTCTTTTCCTCCTTTCTGCTGGCTGGAATGGGGACATGATGGCTTGAACTGGAGAAGCCATTCAATGTTCCCTGGTATTATGAATAATCACACCAGCCCCTAGACCATTTACTCAGACTTTCACATGAAAAAAATAAATTTCCATCTTTGTTCCACCACTCATTATTTTGGATTTTCTGTTGCTCACAGCTGATTCTAATCCTAATTCAGTCTGGGTGGCATGAATATACAATTGGCTGTGAATTGTTGAATTTCTTGATTTTTTTAATGCATCAAAATCAGGCATTAAAATGCATTGGCTTGGTTTTCTGTATTTGCTGTTTCTGCTATTAACAGAAGTCCTGCTTTATGAAGCAACAGGAACTGCCTTGGTTATTGTTTATATAAAATTTGCTTTGCATGTACAAAAATCTCATTTATCTTGCCATCTGATACTTGGTAGATTTGGGTGTTTAATGGATCTTTGTTACCAAATATTTTTTCACTCATTGTATACAGATGCTGCTCTTGGGCTATAGCCATCCTTCCTAACAAGCAAAAATCCTCAGAAGATATTTCCAGGTTTTTTTATTGAGGATGCGGGTGGTGATGGATAGCTCATCTCCCCGAAGTCATCCAGTAACCCAATTCTACAGACACTTTTTTTGTTGTTGTTGTTATTTGGATCAGGGCTCCATCTCCTCATTCCTCTCCTTTGTTTTATTTTTTGCTTTTTTGCAACAGAAACAGAGATCTGAATTACATTAATAAAATAGAAAAACAGAGTGTCTGCCTGTCCTCCCCCTCTCCCTCTCTTCCTTCCTTTTTTTTTTCCTCTCTCTCTCTCTCTCTTGACTTTGAGTGAAATATGCCTTTCTAAGACTAAGGCAAATGAACTTTTGGGAGGAAGAGGATCCAAATACATAAAACTTTGCATAATCTCTCAAGGGCTGGTGAGCCCCTGGGAGTCTTTTCAGGAACACTGAATTAAGGACCAGTGTCCTTGAGTTTATTCCAGAAAGCTGGAAGCGCTCCAGTTTACAGGTAACCTCAAGCTCTAATACAATTATCCCCCATTCACACTCTCCCTTTGTGATTTGTCAAATACCCGAATACCATTACTTTCCACTTCGGTTTAAATTGACTCACTTTTGAAACTTAAGCTTCACTAATATCCATGAAATCACAGATACGGTGTGCAATTTATATTTTTTCTAATACATGTTAAAACACATGGCCATTAAAATAAAAGTATGTGCCCATGTGCCATTGTTTTAGGTTGGGTTGAGACTAGGACTAGAGTACAAATCATCTATTTGAGAGGTGTTCCCAAGAAGCACCACTAGGGGGCCGGGGAAATAAGTGTGAAGAGAGGAAAGTCAATCCAGGGAGCATTACGGTCTTTGGGGTTGCATCCCTGCGGACCCCCTAAGAAAGCTGGAGAATGAGCCTCAGAGTTTTACCCACCATCTTCCCTTCGTCATTCTTTGAAAGCTACTCTCGTGGATGTGACCATTAACTCCTACCACTGCAGGCCCGCTGTGAAGGTGGGCAAGCCAGCTCCTGCAATCTGAGTTACAGACATTTGCAGTTAAGAAGCCGTCAGCACAGGCCGGGCCGGGCGCGGTGGCTCACGCCTGTAATCCCAACACTTTGGGAGGCCGAGGTGGGCGGATCACGAGGTCAAGAGATCAAGACCTTCCTGACCAACATGGTGAAACCCCGTCTCTACTAAAAATACAAAAAATTAGCTCGGCATGGTGGCGGGCGCCTGTAGTCCCAGCTACTCGAGAGGCTGAGGTAGGAGGATCGCTTGAACCCGGGAGGCGGAGATTGCAGTGAGCCGAGATTGCGCCACTGCACTCCAGCCTGGTGACAGAGCGAGACTCCGTCTCAAAAAACAAACAAACAAAAAACAGAAGCCATCAGCACAGCGAGGAACTGCAAGTGCCTAGGTAGTTTGCTTAGGGCACTAACCATATCTGCTTCAACTACCTAATACATCTTGCATCCCACCATTAGGATATATGCTGCATGTTGGACAATCCTATACAAAGGACCTGAAACCAATGTTTTTTAGCATAAGAGGACAATTTGGTCAGGTGGAGTAGGCATCTAGCTACATATTATAATTTTTTAATGTCAGAAAACGTCCCCTCCACAAATAGATCTCCTTTTGAAACTCCTCCCCCTCCACTTCATCCTTTCTTCTCAAAGTAAGGTGCTAAAGTCTTTTCGCGGGAAATGTTATCTGGGAAGAATAAGATGTTAAGTCATTAGCAGCCAACAGTTTAGATGTCATTAGCTTAACAAATGAGATAAAGCCGAAAGGCTCTAGCTAATATTTGTAATTATTTATATCACATTTGCCTTCCCCACTGAGAGCGTAAATCCCACAGGGGCAGAAGCCAAGGCTGTTCTGTTCACTGCCGCATTCCCAGAATTTAATGTTGTGCCTGGTACACAGCAGTCCTCAGTCAACATTTATTAAATGAATGGATAGAGGAATAAATAGAGAGTAAGAGATATAGCAGATTCTGACAGAAGAAGAGAAAAGGGGGAAAGAGCTTATACTTCTCTTAAATTGGCAGAAATTATAAGTGGAAGGCAGGTGGGACAGGAGGAAGACATCAAGGAACTTGGTAGAGAGGAGAATTAAGTGCTGCAAAAGTCTTCACAAGAAAGTTTGCCCATTTCAACTCAAACACCAAAAACTAATTCAAGAAATAAAATCTTATATCTTACCTTCATGGCACAAAACATTTCTAAATATTAGAAAATGCTGTTGGAACAACTCAATGACATTGTTTTCATTAAATGTCACAATCTTGATTTATGTGCTACATCTTTGTGAACTCTGGAAAATTTTAGGATGACTAAAAAAAGATGTGATAAATTAAATTCCTCTACTCATTCGGCCTATATATATTGGGCACTTAATCAAATCACCATATAAAGGAGGTGGTGGAGGAGCTCTCTGAGCAGGCTTTGTGTGGGAAACCCCGCAGATGCTATTTAAAGATAGATCCCTCGATCCCATCCTAGATCTCTAATCAGAATCTCCAGGGGTTGCACGTGGAAATCCGAACTGTTAAATACCCTGTGTTATTTGGATGCAGGCTATCATTGCAGGTCAGTCAACCCACATTTGGGGATCCTTTCTACAGAGGATGCAAAGATGCTGCTGCTGCTGCCATTTTCATCAAGGAGTTTGCAATCTCAAGTGGATTTTTAAGACATAGATAAAAGTAACAAAATATAAATTAGACGACAAGTATGGCAGATCATTGACATTCTCTCAGGGAGACTTCATCTGGGGAGCCGGATTTGATCTAGATCATGACAGATAAACAGATGTACAATAGGGAGGCCAGAAGTGGGGCTGAGTGGATTTGAGGAAAGAATTTGGTGAACTTCTAAAACTCAACAAGAAGTTTGTTTTCATTATTGTAAGATCACAGACACTGGAAGAGACCTTTGAGATGCCTGGACTTCTGTTCACAAGGAAGGAAGGGCTCTGAGGGATAAAGAGAGCAGTACTGACAGCATGCACTGAACTTCCAGGCGCAGGCTCTCCACCCCGCCTCCCTGCCTCCTGTTGGTCTGACCACAGAGTTAGGAATGTGTTTCTGTTACTCGGAGGGACTGCTTGGCTCATGTCCTGGAGCATGCACTGCCATATGGGACCAGGTGTCAGGAACGGCCTCCTGGGGGCCAAGCAGACCATAGGGCCAGCTGGCAGGCTTTCCACCTCTCAACAAGGCCCTGTTTCATTCTGTCCTGTCACTTACAGAAGCTCCAGGGACAACAATGTTGGGGAGGGTGAGAAGAACACACACACACACACACACACACACACACATACAAATATGCACACACACCCCCTCAGTGAATGAGTAACTGCAGAGACACTGAGACGCTGCCATTGCCCAGGCTGGAGTCACGTACCAGGGACTTTCTGTCAGAGACTTCGCATATTTGGGCTTGTGACAAACTGCATGTGCTCATCCACATTCACCAGCAAGAACCTAATGGGCCTACCTCTTCAGTGGTGCCAGGCCATCCGGACACACTAGCAGGGGTCCACCAATGAGCGTTCTGTGTCCCAGCCAATGAGGGCTATTCTCGGAGATAGAAAAACCACTTGATCCAACCTGGCTCCTCTGATTTAAGGCATTGCTGAGGTAGCAGTGGCTGCACTTCTACGAACCGTAAAGACTCAGCGAAATTCTTAAAGTAAGACTTGTATTGAAACGTAACATTAAAAAAAAAAAAAGTTCACAAATTATAAGCAAATCATGTAACCAGCCCTCAGAACAAAGAAATAGAACAATACCAGCACCCTAGGCTAATCAGTAGGATGATTTCCAGCACAATTTACTAGTTTTGCCTGTTTTTGAAATTTATCTCAATTGAATCATATTAATACATTATATTTTATCTTCAACATTTATGATAGGTGAATGGTTAACAAGAAATTGCCAGCAAAGTTCCCTGCAAGTTTAAAGAACTACAAGAGTAGAAATACAGTCACGTGCCACATCATGATGTTTCAGGCAAGGATGAACTGCATATACAAGGGTGGTCCCATAAGATTAGAATGAAGCTGAAACATTCCTATCGCCCAGTGCCATCATAGCTGTCATATTTAAAAACAAACAAAAAAATGTTAACTGTAAAACAGTCTCAGGCAGGTTCTTCAGGAGGTATTCTGGAAGAAGGCATTGTTATCACAGGAAATGACAGCTCCATGTATGTTCTTGCCCCTGAAGGTTTTCTAGTGGGACAAGATGTGGTGGTGGAAGACAGTGATATTGATGATCCTCACCCTGTGTAGGCTTAGGCTAACGTGTGTGTTTGTGTCTTCATTCTTAATGAAGAAGTTTAAAAAGTGAAACAATATTAATAGAAAAAAGCTTATAGAATAAGCATATAAAGAAAGAATTTTTGGACAGCTGTACAATGTATTTGTGTTTTACACTAAGTGTTCTTACAAAAGAGTCCAAAAATGTTAAAGTTTATAAAGTAAAAAAGTTACAGCAAACTAAAGTTAACATATTATTGAAGAAAAACATTTTTTATAAGTTTAGTGTAACCTAAATGTCCAGTGTTTATAAAGTCTATAGTAATGCACAGTCATGTCCTAGGCCTTCACATTCACTCACCACTCACTCACTGACTCACCCAGGGCAACCTCCAGTCCTGCAAGCTCCATGCATGATAAGTGCCTTATACAGGTGTACCATTTTTTATCTTTTATACCATATTTTTACTGTATCTTTTCTGTGTTTAGACATACTAATACTTAACCATTGAGTTACAGGTGCCTGTAGTAATCAGTATGTAACATGCTGTACAGGTTTGCAGCCTAGGCTCAATAGGCTGTACCATACAGCCTAGGTGTGTAGTAGGCTCTACCAGCTAGGTTTGTATAAGTTCTTTCTATGATGCTCCTAAACAACACAATCGCCTGACTATGCACCATATATCCCCATCATGAAGTGACATATGACTATATTTAACAACAGAGTTTATTCTAGTGTAGACTAGGAGAGCTGTCTGGCTCAGACTTCACTCTCAGGAAGAATCTCAAATTTAGATCTTTGACATCATCTCCAAATGATGTTAATGTACATTTAGAGATAGATACACCAACAGGGCTGGAACTTTAGGCCCATCATACAATTTTAAAGCTCTGTTCCATTTCTGGACTATATCTTCTATCATGAATTATTATTGTAAAGAAATCTTACTATTTGATGAATTCAAAATTACCTTGAATTTTTGTGTTAAAAGCACTAAATATTTAAATGCAAACAATATATATTATATATACTGCTATTTTGGTAACCTTGTGTTGGCTTTCTCCATTTTTAAAGTCTCAGAAAATTAGAAGTGGTCCAGGCTTCACTTAACTTCTAAAAAAGGCCCTGCTTAGTGACATCGCTGGAGGTTTTGTTGCCAGGCTCAGGGGAAGGGCGTGTGCTGCCAACAGAGCCCCCGAAGATGGAGAAATAAGGAGATTGGCTGGGAAGGAACTGATCCCATCCCATTCCTAACAAGTCCCTGCCAGTGAGAAGTCACTTCGTAGTCCTTTATTTTTTTTTTTCATGACTATTATAAAAATAAGTTCCTATAGTACTTGGAAAGACATTTATGAATCTTCTTACTTTTAATTCAATGGGTCATCAGACTTTCATCTTTGCCAAATCCCCTTTATGCCTTCAATTTTTGCCCATGTTTCATTGATATCTAGATACATAAGTGCACTTTCCTTCTGAAGTGTCACACCACGACGCCACCACCTCTGGGGTGTATTTCTCAATGTGAGTTCCTTAGATCACCTTCGCTGGAGGGACCCAGGGTGCTTGTTCCTCATGCATATTCCTGACCCACCCCAGCTCTCCTGAAGCAGAACCTCTAAAGATGGGGCCCAGAAATATGCATCTTAGGTTCAACACCTGCGGCTTCTGCATCACCATATGTTCCTCCCTTAAGGCAGCGGTCCCCAACTTTTTTGGCACGAGGGACCAGTTTCGTGGAAGATAATTTTTCCATGTACAGGTTTGGGGGATGGTTTCGGGATGAAACTGTTCTACCTTGGATCATCAAGCATTAGATTCTCATAGGGAGCACACAACCTAGATCCCTCGCATGTGCAGTTCACAATAGGGTCCGCACCCCCAAGAAAATCTAATGCCGCTGCTGATCTGGCAGGAGGTGGAGCTCGGGAGGTAATGCTCACTAGCCCACCACTCACCTCCTGCTGTGCAGCCAGGTTCCTAACAGGCCACAGACTGGCACCGGTCCATAGCCTGGAGGTTGGCGACCCCTATTTTAAAGAACTGCCTAGATTTCTGCCTTTCTAAAAACATTCATTAGGCCGGGCGCGGTGGCTCACGCCTGTAATCCCAGCACTTTGGGAGGCCGAGGCGGGCGGATCACGAGGTCAGGAGATCGAGACCATCCCGGCTAAAACGGTGAAACCCCGTCTCTACTAAAAATACAAAAAATTAGCCGGGCGTAGTGGCGGGCGCCTGTAGTCCCAGCTACTTGGGAGGCTGAGGCAGGAGAATGGCATGAACCCGGGAGGCAGAGCTTGCAGTGAGCCGAGATCCCGCCACTGCACTCCAGCCTGGGCGACAGAGCGAGACTCCGTCTCAAAAAAAAAAAAAAAAAAATTCATTAACATATTTTAGTAGCATGCATCCCCAGTTTACATGAAGATCCACTACTGATAGGAAAACCGCATTGGAGCTAATAATGCTCAGAGAAGCAGTTAAATATGAAGGTTAAAAGCTTGATGCCTTGTTTAAGATCCAGCTCAGTTACATCCTGGCAGCATGTCCTGGAAACTCAACCTCTCTAAGCCTCGGTTTCTCACTTGTAAAATGGGAAAACGACAGCACTGCTGTGGTTTGGACGTCTGTCCTCTTTAAACTTCATGTTGAAATGTGATCCCCAGTGTTGGAGGTTGGGCCTAACGGGAGGTGTTCGAGTCGTGAGGACGGATCCTACATGAATAGATTAATGTCCTCCCTCTTAGGTGACTGAGTTTTCACCCTACTATTAATAGTTCTTGCAGAGCTTGTTGTTAAAAAGAGCTAAGTACCTCCTCTCCTCTCTCGTTTCCGCTCTCTCCTTGTGATCTCCGTACACACCCGCTCCCGTTTACCTTCCATCATGAGCGGAAGCAGTCAGAGGCTCTCACCAGAGGCAGATGCCAATCCTGAACTTTCCAGCCATCAGAATAACGAGCCAAATAAACCTTTTTTCTTTATAAATTACCTAGCTCCAGATACTCCTTTATAATAACACAAAACAGACTAAGACAAATACCTAACTCAGAGTCCTTGTGAGAATTAAATTAATGTTCATTAAGCACTTAGAGTGTGCCTGACACACAATAAATACTCAATAAGTAGTCCCTATTCTAATCTTTATGACTACTTGCAATTTAGGCTTTTAAAGTAAATATTAAAATTACACAGTAACACCTGATATTCAAGCAATGTAACCAGATTTTAAAGTTTTACTAAAAAGTGAAATGGTGGCAAGGCACGGTGACTCATGCCTGTATTCCTAGCACTTTGGGAGGCCGAGGTGGGCGGATCACTTGAGATCAGGAGTTCAAGACCAGCCTGGCCAACATGGTGAAACCCCATCTCTACTAAAAATACAAAAAACAAAACAAAACAAAACAAAAATTAGCTAGGCATGGTGGCGCATGCCTGTAATCTCAGCTACTCGGGAGGATGAGGCAGGAGAATCGCTTGAACGCAGGAGGCGGAGGTTGCAGTGAGCCAAGATCGCACCATTGCACTCCAGCCTGGGGAACAAGAGCGAAACTCCGTCTCAAAAAAAAAGAAAAGAAAGAAAAGGGAAGGGAAGGGAAGGGAGGGGAAGGGAGGGGAAGGGAAGGGAGGGGAAGGGAGGGGAAGGGAGGGGAAGGGAGGGGAAGGGAGGGGAAGGGAGGGGAAGGGAGGGGAAGGGAAGGGATAACATCCAAAGCTTACACACATGTAAGCTAACACTTGTCTGTACTGCTCCTGGGAAATGTACCAGCATACTCCAGGAAAACAACTTGGCCACAGAGCCTTCCAAGTTGATTTCCTGGCTGTAGGTCTCACACATACATTGTTAAATTGACCCCCCATGGGAATGTCATAATTTTGATGCTACTGTGTCACTTTTACTCAATTTCTGATTATTCATTTCCAGGAAAAGAGTACAATTGACTTGTGTATATTGACACATCTTGAAATCTTGCTAAATTCACACATTGTTTAGTCACTTTTTTGAAGATTAGGATTTTCTTCATATTTGTTATCTTCAAGTAAAGACAGTTTGACTTCTTCCTTTCCAATATATATGACTTTTACTTCTTTTTCTGGACTTTTTACACTGGCTAGGACCTCCAGTACCATGTCAAATAGAAAGGGTGACTGCAAACATCCTCGCTCTGTTTCCATTCTCACGGAGAAAGCATCCAGTCTTTCACTATTAAGTATGATGTTCGTTGTAGGCTTTTGTATATGCACATTATCAGGGTGAGGAAACGCTATTGTATTCTTAATTTCTTGAGACTTTTTTTTTCATGAATGGGTGTTGAATTTTGCCAAGTTTTTTTCCTGCATCAATTGTGATATAATATGGCAAGTTACATTGTTTCATTTCCAAAATTTAAACTAACCTTATATTCCTGGGATAAATTCACTTCATCATAAGGCATTATCCTTTTCATACATTGGGGGATTAGTCTTGCCAATATTGTGAAGATTTCTCCATCTATGTTCATACAGGAGAAAATGTGTTTTTATTTTCCAATGTTTTGGAGCTTGCATTCTTCTAGCCCTAAGGTATTGCAGGATAGAGAGCAAATTGCCCAAGATCAAATTGCATTTTCTCTGTCAATATCACCACTGCATTAGTCTGTTCTCTAAATGCTATAAAGAAATACCTGAGACTGGCTAATTTATAAAGAAAAGAGGTTTAATTGTCTCACGGTTCTGCAGGCTGTACAGGTATGATGCTGGCCACCTGCTCGGCCTCTGGGGAGGCCTCAGAAAATTTACAATCATGGCAGAAGGTGAAGGGGAAGCATGCTCATCTTACAAGTCTGGAGCCGAAGGAAGAGAGAGGGGGGAGGTGCTGCACACTTTTAAACAACCAGATTTTGTGAGAACTCGCTCACCATACAGTACCGAGGGGATAGTGCTAAACCATTTATGAGAACTCCACTCCACGATCCCAGTCACCTCCTACAAGCCCCTCCTCCAACATTGGGAATTACAATTGAACATGAGATTTCAATTGCAATTAGATATGGTTTGGACACATTTTCTATGGTAAGTAGAAAAGTTAAATATACTAAAGGAAATACAAATAACAAATTAACATTTATGTTAAAATTTTTGGCCAGGCATGGTGGCTCACTCCTGTAATTCCAGCACTTTGGGAGGCCAAGGTGAGCAGATCACTTGAGGCCAGGAGTTCGAGACCAGCCCGGCCAACATGGTGAAACCCTGTCTCTACTAAAAATACAAAATCAGCCAGACATGTTGGCACATGCCTGTAATCCCAGCTACTCAGGAGGCTGAAGCATGAGAATTGCTTGAACCCAGGAGGTGAAGGTTGCAGTGAGCCGAGATCATACCACTGCATTGCAGCCTGGGCAACATAGTGAGATTCATCTAAAAAAAAAAATTGGCCGGGCATGGTGTCTCATGCCTGTAATCCCAGCACCTTGGGAGGCCAAGGCAGATGGATTACTTGTGGTCAGGAGTTCAAGACCAGCCTGGCCAACATGGTGAAACCTCATCTCTACTAAAAATACAAAAAATTGGCTGGGCGTGGTGGCGGGCGCCTGTAGTTCCAGCTACTCGGGAGACTGAGGCAGGAGAATCACTTGAATATGGGAAGCAGAGGTTGCAGTGAGCCAAGATCATGCCCCTGCACTCCAGCCTGGGTGACAAGAGCAAAACTCCATCTCAAAAAAAAATTTATATAATAATTTTATATAATAATGGTCATGATAACACTATGCAGCTTAGAAAGCAGTTTTGCATGCACTATCTTATTTGACTCTTATTATAACATATGTTCAGTATTATTATCCGATTTTGCAAGTGAAAAAACTAAGACTAAGAGAGTTTTCAGATCTTTCTTAATGGCCACTCAGCTAGTAAGAATCAGAGCTCCCAATTTGGGAACAGAAAATAATTTTTATAATCATAGACAGAAAGAATAAATTAACAAATTTATAAATTCTCTATATTTTAATTGCAAAGTCTGAATCTTGGCTTAATTAAGTCACATTTTTATGGCTTGAAAACAAGTGTTTTCATATTTTAAAAAATAAACATTCACTGTGCTTTGCTTCTGGTGTAAGATGATGACATATTCAAATATGCTTAAGGAAATACAAATACAATATTATTTTTGGCAGCCATTAATTGTTCTAATAAAGACAGAAGAAATTAGTTCAAACAAAATAGGAGAGTCGGCAGTGTTTGAATCATTATGACTAATGTAATTAATCTTCTTCAATATATTCATTAGCCCTAATTTGGTCTTTAGGACATAGCTCCACACAAACTGCTCTTTCTGGTCTTAAATTACATGTTCCCGATTCTCTGAGCCACTTGATCTCCAGAGTAAACAGCTGCTTATTTCTTTAGACTCTTCTTGGAAACTCCACTCAGACACTGACAGAGTCGTCCCCTTGTATGTTTGGAGCCAAACCACAGGCTACCAGAGCCCCTGTATGCTCCCCTAAGTCATAATTCCCAGACCCCATTCTAGAATTTCTCAAGGGGCCATGGTTTTCAAACTTGCATGTACATAAGAGTCACCCGGAAGGCCCGTTAAAACACAGCTTGCTGGGCCCCACCCACAGAATGTTCAGTTCAGGTCTGAGGTGGAGTCCAACAATCTGCATTTGACAAGTCCCCTGTGATACTACTGGTCCCCTGACCACACTTTGAGAGCCTCTCAACTAGATGGATGATTGGGCCTTTAATTTTCCAGGTTCCTTATTTTTCCCCAGAAGAACAGAAAAAATAGGGAAGTTTTCAGGAAAGGTGTTAGTTAAAAGCTAGTCCTGGAAAAGCTTGTTTCTTTGCTCTGTAACTACAGGTTTACAGCAGGGCCTTGCCTCTATGAATTTTATATCTCTTTTATTTGGATATTTTAATGTAAAATCTCTTTTAAAGAGACAATATTAAGAATCTCTCTTTTTTTTTTTTTGGTTTGCCAAATGAAAGAATACACACACGCACACACACACGCACATACACACACACACACAAATATAATATTTTATATTATACGTGTGTATACGAGTACACACAACAGTACCCGTCTATTAGAGGTAGAATTGTGAATAATGTATTTTTCTTTTTGCGATCAGCATTTTTGGTCTTTACTTGTTAAAACAAATATAGTTTACCTATGTCATACAAAAATGCAGCTGGTAAAAATCAATTGAGTAAATGGTTTTCCCAGGTATTTTAATAGAGGCATAAGGAATAATCAAAATTTCTTCTCTCTTCTCTACAAGCTGAAGCATTTAAGAATGTATCCATTTTTTAACAAGATTTAAGACCTACCTTCTTCCTGACTCTCTACATTACAGTTCACACTTGGAGCCCATTAGTAAATCAAGAAGTAAAATGTCAAAGTCTGAGACCTCTCTGGTCCCCTCTCTCGTCTGTATCCAGACTAAGGTGGTCTCCCCAGCTGATTACTCCCCCAACCATCTTGCCAGGCAATGCTGGTCCCTTCACCCCTTTTTCCCACACCTTCTCTTGGAACTAGAAGTGGTGGACAATTTGTGTATGTGATGTCTTCAGAATCTGCTATGCACTGAGGAAGACCATGGCACTCCATTGAGCCCATTTTCATTCACAATCTCAAGGAAAAGTTTATCCCATCAATTCATACGTTTCCCCAAATTACCATAAGAACAGACTAAGTTGTTCAAAAAAATAACCAAGATAACCTCAGCTTATGAGTGAGAAAAAAATTTTTGCCTACTTACACTTTCATATGTGTTGGGGAATATTTCATAATATGAAAAACAACAAAAGCTAATTTTTGCCACATTCTGCTTCCTTGTCTATACAAAACAATATTGGTTTTTCTTTTTCACACCTACTAATTGTAAAGCCTTCTTTTTCTTTTTCTTCTTCTTCATGGACTTTTAAAATTGCAAAACACGTTATTGAGTTGAAAATTAAGGAAAGGTTTTGATATTTCACATGCCATTATTTTTTCCTCCTGACCAATTCCCTGTAAAAATTCAAATAGCAAGGATGCTTCTTCTCTGGCCTACATAAGCATGTAGATCTGAACTGTGTAACAGTGGAAAAGTCATATCCTCTTTATTATTGTTAATTCATTGCCAAATTAAAATGCATGCAGCCTCTTCTTCTTACCAAATTGTGCCTCGAACAAGATAATAATTCTATTTTGTAGAATAAAAACATCATCCAAATTAAGACAAGGTTTTTCTTAATGACCTAAAATATGTGTTTTCTCTGAAAAGAGAAAGAAATTTAAAAGGCAATGACAACACGGTGTTTTTCCAGGAGATAGTAATTAGAAATGAATTAGAGCTTCCAAAAGAGTGAAAACAAGAAGGCCCCTGTTTACCTCTTACACTAACTACAGCCCAGGCTTATGAGCCTTCATTACTCGAGAGTCATCTCTCAACCGTATCCTACAAATGAATGTGATTTGTAGCTTTAGCTCAACCGGGATTTGAGAGATGAGTGGGTTGTTTTGGCTTTTATTTTTCGAATCTTAAGAGAGACAGTTTCATTCTATCTAAACCAATTTCAGCATCAAAAAAAAAAGAAGCAGCTCCACTCTGCATACTCTCCTGTTGTCCCTTTTAAAGCTATTTTCATATTATTCCGAGAACTCTCAAGCAAACTCACTGAGACTCCAATGTCCATCTCTGTAATTTTGAACAGAACTCATTCCTGGTAGCTTTTTACTCTGGTTATTGTAGTTTGTCCAAATGGAGAAAGCAATTTACAGAAATAAACATGTATATACAAAGTCTGAGACAATAAGAGCACAACCTTCTGGAAGGTCCTGTTCCCTCTCTTATCCCTGAGGGATTTAGTCACTCCCTCAATACTCTCACATATTCTTTTGTAACCATCAGTCCAGCCAACCTCAGCCATCCAACCCCAACAAAGCCACATGAAAAGAGATGAGGAGAGTTGAAAATGAGGAGATGTCATAAACCAACCGGGCTAACCTGGTAGAAGAAAAGGAAAAAGTAAAGCCCTCCTGGCTCCAACCCTGACAACTCCAGCAGAGGCAGGAAAACTGAAAGCCATGTGCTGGAAAGAAGAAAAAAATAAAAGTCAACCAAATGGAACAGAAAGGTGCATAGCTGGGAAGTAGGGAATGGAAATGGCAACTTGAAGAGAATGATGGTTAGATAAGACCTTAGGGAGAGAAGTGTATGGGAAGGTAGGGAAATACAACCCATGAGGGAGGAGGGAAGGACAAACTAGACCAGCAAGGCAGCTGGGGGAATCCATTGAAAAGACACAGTGCTCACCAGACATCCCCAGTGGCACTCATTATTGCTTACTGGAGTGTCAGCTTATTGAGTTATGTGTTTATTTTATTGTTTTTTTTCTAAGATGTAATACATTATTATAGGAAGCTGTCCTTCAACAGCCAGTTTGGAATAATTTTAATTATTCAATTATCTAGAAAATTCACTTTTCCATGACCCAATCCATCTATAATTAATTTTGTAGTTTCACTTTTTACAGTAGAAGTTCTCTTAATATAGTTCCAAGTCTGCAAATAAAGAAGCCTCTCTATTTTCTTAGAAAAACATCCTGACGGGTGCCCACAGCACACTGAATCTACGTGGCTCCAGCCAATTGAGTTTTACATTTACCAAGGATTGGTCATATGGACCTATTTATGCCAGTACTATTGTAATTATGTAACCAAATTTTAAAATATATGTAAACTCATGAAAATTGGTGCAAAAGGAAAAAGTTCTCACATAAACTAAATCGGATGCCTTAAAAAATTAAATTGCTATTTTTTAAATTAGAAGAATTCACAGGGATCTAGTAAGAGTCTGCATTCAGTCTGTTTTCTTAGTGTCTTTAAACACCCTATTGTAAAGAAACAAAGCCAGGAAATTATAGAAAATATAGGGGAATTTCCAATCCACAGATCCGAATTCAAAGCAAAAGCCTTGGTCTTACATCAAAAGACTGGTAAATTGCCATTCATGTATGCATTTTATGTTAACCTATTTAAGGCAAGTATAGATCATTCCATGACAGCCAAATTGAACCAGCTTTTTTCATTTATTGGTCCCAGTGGCTCAGAGAAAAGAGCTTCCACTACATTTATTTTTAAACTCTGTGAATACATGTGTTCCCTCCACCCCACCAACAACTTTTAATCTTCAAAATGCACAATGGTGCTGGTAAATTTCTTCGTGTTTTATGCATAGAATGGAATTTTACTCATCTGACCATGTGCTGAGGAATCTTTTTGTCCTTATGGTGAAATGTGTTCTTCTTTTGTTGACAGTCCTGAAAGTGGAGCTACTCCTGTGTTTTTTGCACAGGTGGGATTCTATTTTAACAATGGCTTCATGCCCTTTTGTCACCAAAGTCTGCTTATCTTGAGGCTGTCTTGGGGTAGAGATGGCGGTTTTCCTTTAGCTCTTGGGTTTTCTTTGCAGACGTGTAGGTTAGAGGAAGGGAGGTGTGTGTGTCCCACTGCTAC
Organism: Homo sapiens; assembly: GCF_000001405.40. Classification (NCBI taxonomy): domain Eukaryota; kingdom Metazoa; phylum Chordata; class Mammalia; order Primates; family Hominidae; genus Homo; species Homo sapiens. The sequence goes on along the minus strand of NC_000009.12, from coordinate 84,159,346 downwards.
CCCATGCCCAGGTTCCTCTCTCTCCTGAGCACCTCTCAACATCACTTTGCCTTTGGAATCAACATCCTTTGCTTGGTTTGGTTTCTAAAGTGAACTTATAAGTTCGGCACAAACATTCCAAGCTTCATCCAAACCAGGCATGAAAAGATTTGAAATGGTTCTTTTCCTGGCACCGTTCTTTTATTTTACCCCTGTCCATAATTAAGTGAATAATAAACTTGGAAAAGATGTAAATTGCTGTCATGGGCGTTCTGCAGCAATTTTCATTCACTCAGAAGTGGGATTAAATAAAAGACCTTGAAAATATAATGCATTTCTCTTTATCTCGTGACGCAGTATAAAAATATCTAAGAGAAGAAGGGCAGAAAATAGAAAAAAAACTGCAGCCAATTATGTAAGAGCCACACTCTCCATTAGGTAGAAGTCTGACCACCAAAGTATTAAACGAAACTACCAGGCAGTGGCTTCTCTTGTGAACTGGACACCAGTTAGATCATTTTTTAACAGCCTCTGCCTCTATATAAGATTATTTTCTGTAATAATCACTATTTTCTGGAGTGGGCTATTTAGTTTTAACTTTTAAAAATTTTTTTAACTTTAAAGATATCTTTTAAAATTAAAGATATTTTAATTTTAAAGATACTATATTTAAAATTCCATAAAATATTTCATGTATGAAATAAAATTTGCATTTGTCAAACAAAAACATTACACCTCACAGTTCACCACTCCATTTCACTGTTTAAAGTGCAAATAAAAATTCTGTGATGTGTGAAATGAATCTCTGTAAAGGACTCCTCAGCCTACCTTTTAATAGAATTGAATAGAAATCTATTTTCTGTGGTTAAGCGTGGGCAACAAGCTTTCCCACCAAAAATGGGCATTTTCCTATACAAATGCTTTTACTCAAAAGTAGTTAAAGTTGTAAATATATCTGCCCCACAATGGATAAGCGTATGGCTCCCTCATTCAACATTAACTGCTGCAATTGTTTAGAACTTAGTGCAACAAATTGTGTGTGTTTGTGTATGTAGGAGTATGTTATCTTTGACATTGTTTATAATTGCCAGCATATGGTAATAATAAAAAGCAGACCAAATTTTAGTTGATTTTGTATTGCTTTTAAGTTCTTCATAAACCATGTGCCTGCTCATTGTCTGTACCTGAGGCAAAGTGCTCCCACAGCTATGCCCCTTTGTATGACACTACCGCCAGGCAAGGGCACAACTGTAATCTGAGGTTATACAAGGAAACTGCCCAGACACAAGGATTCCACTTCTGGTTGAATCTAGACAGAGAAATCAGTAGGGTACCTCACCTCCAGAATATCAGTGAGAACTGGTAAAGTGTTTGTTGGATGAAATTTTTTAAATGATATAAAAAAAAGTCCAGTCCTTTCAGAGGATGATAATTTTTTAAAATGAGATTCTAATTCTCACGTCTTGATTAAATGAAACATGCTTTTTCCAGGTCTTCACTTTCCATTCTGGATTGTAAATATTTGCTGAGTGAACAAACAAATAGATGTTTGGGTGAGTTCATGAGAGGAGAGCTACTATTTATATATCTACTTGAACTCATGTCTCTCAATTTGCTAAAAGAAATGGTAATAGGATTATCTACTCAGAGGGTGCTCCAGAAACAAACAGGTGAACTGAACAGGTAACCAAAAGCTCACCAACAAATTTCAAGTCCAGACCTGGAATTGTGTACATGATATTCAGAACACAGAAAGGCGTCCCAAGTCTAGGATGGCCAACTTTTCAGTAAATGCCAGAGAATGACAAACAGCACCATATCTTGTCCTATAGCCCTCTTTGCTGCCATAAGGAAGAGGGCCAAGAAAGAAAGAGAAATTAACTGAGCCTTTTACTTTGGAAATGCCATGTTAGCCATGAAGACTTAATGTTTCAGATATGTCCTGTGTTCTTTCACTTGACCATAAACTCTAACCCTGGATCATTTACAATCAGTGAGGACAAGCATCTGAATTTAGGATCAACCAAAAGAACCCATTCCAAAGGTTTTCCTCTGCTGCTGTCAGAATACAGGAGTTTTCTCCTTTTTATTCTAATCCTCCCACTAGCAGAGAATAAAGCTTTTTCATTTCTTATTACCTTTATTCTGTTAATCTAACTCTAAGACTCTTTACAAAAGGAAGGAAATTGAGAAGAAACTTATTTCAGAAGAAAAGTTACTCCATAAAAAAAAGACATACACACATACAAAAATAATAAACTCCAAAGGTTTTTTTTGTAATGCATGTGTTTCCTTAAGTTGGGTAGTGGATACACAGGAATTCATCAAATTATTCTCCATAATGTTTTTAATGTCTTAAGTGTTTGATAATAAAGAAATCTGCTCATTGTAATAAATTCAAGTAAGATGAGTTTTTAAAAAGTCAACAAAAAAACTTACCATTCAGAAAAAACTAACATTTGGTGAGTATTATTCTGTGTGTGTGTGTGTGTGTGTGTGTTTGTGTATTAGTAGAAGAATGTATGAATGCCTAAATGGACATAATTTCACACAAATGAAGTCATAATAGAAATGCCATTTATTTATTTATTTATTTTATTTATTTATTTTTGGAGACAGAGTCTCACACTACCACCCAGGCTGAAGTACAGTGGCATGATCTCGAGGCTCACTGCAACCTTCACCTGGTGGGTTCAAGTGATTCTTGTGCCTCAGCCTCCCAAGAAGCTGGGAATACAAGCACATGCCACCACACCCGGCTAATTTTTGTATTTTTAGTAGAGACGGGGTTTCACCATGTTTTCCAGGCTGGTCTTGAACTCCTGGCCTCAAACGATTCACCCACCTCAGTCTCCCAACGTGCTGAGATTACAAGTGTGAGCCACCACACCCAGCCTAGATGCTATTTATTTAAAATATTAACTTAAAATTTTCTTCAGTTAATCAGAAAAAATTAAATTAAAACTGAAGGGGATTTTTTTAGCCACAGGAAAATTATTTACTAAAAGCTTAAAGAGAAAAAATACAAAAAGACCCAAAACATCAGACGCTTCATTTTTTTTTAAATAAAAGTGAATCCCATAGAAAATATCAATTGCCTCAGCAATGAGTGTTGAAAAAAGTGATTACTCTTACACTTCCCATTTCTCATTTTTTTCAGACTATTTCTCTATGATCAAGATTATAACATTTACATCCATCTTTATAACCATAATTCCCATATTTGTTTAATGTCATTCTGTGATTAAATGGATTCCAAGTTCACCAGGCCCTTCGCTATGGCTGTTCTTTTGCTGGGTTCCCATATTTACATCTTCCATGGCTAGATTTCATCGTCACATACTTTTTCAAGTAGAATTCAGTTCTTCTGTCTCTGAAAAAATCTTTGGCCATTACACTTGAATGATAACTTGCCTCAGTATAACATTTTGGGGGTTCACAATTCTTTCTTAGACATTACAACAGATTTTTTTCTGGAATGCAGTGTTGCTGTGGAAACATCTCTGGCCTGATTTTTCTCTTCCTTGTAAATGACTTGCATTTTCTACCTGGATCCATGAGCAATTTATTCTCCATCCTTGAAGCAGACAACTTAACTAAGACATAGTTCAGTGTCAGCCACTCTGTAGCCATTTTTCTTTGAACCTTGTTCAGGAAACTTTCTTCCTCTTATGTCTTTGAAGAGTCTGCACACTTCATTTGTTGGGCTGTGTCCTCTAAGTCCACCAATTATTCTTAAATGTTTGATTATCTTTGTCTGCCTTCAATATGTATCTAATTTCTCTTAAATGTTTCACTCTTGTTTTCCTCTGCAAGCATTGTGATTATTTCAGGCCCTTTCTCTGTCGGTAATTCAGTTTATTGCCGTGTCTGTTCTATTCCCTGATACATCAGATGTAAGTGTCAGGTCTATAATGGTATTGATTTGTTCTTCAGTTTCTTTCTTTAGGTTTTCCATCACTTCTTCTTCTTCCTGTTCTAATGTCCCAGCATCTCATTTCTGAGTTCTTGTTTTGTTGAATTTGTGATCTTATTAAGCTCTTTTATTGAATAAATCTCTCTATTCCGTGAGCTATGGTTTCTTACAGACTCGATTCTCTGGGTGTTCAATGTTATATTCCTTTCATCCTCTCTTATTTTGGGGGGAGCGTGGTATGTTTGCCCAGGGCTTGCTCTGATGTGGTGTGGGTAAATTCTTATCAGCTCTCTTCCCATTGTATTGGAGACCACATTGTGTTCACCTCTGAGCTAGAGTTTGAGGAGACTGTGTCCATGTTTCCGTTACCTGCTCTCCTGGGAGTGGAGGTGAATGGCCAGCTGGATCTATGTGCAGCTTTTTTGGGGGGGATCTGAATTATTTTCTCTCTTCCAACATTTGATTTGATATACAGTCCCAGGCCTTGCTCCACCTAAGTGGGGACATGTTCTATTTCCATAGGGGAATATCCTTCTGCTTCAGATGGATTTCCGGTTTGACACGAAGCGTTAGAACCTAGACTCTGTCAGAGAGAATCAGCCCCTGTTCCTGATGTTCCCCATTTCACTGACATATCTCTCCTCAGTAGCAAGTCCTATTCTTCCAATCCAAAGAGGGAACATAAGCTATTTGTGATTTGGGAGCTTGGTATTTAATAGTTGGGTGAGGGGGTCCTAGAAGAGGTTAGAGGATAGAACCTCACTTACGGTTTTCGAAGCACCTCCCCAGCCACACACAGACACAGATATTCACACCTGCTCTTAGTCCTTTAGAGAGCCTGGCATGTATAAATCCCCCTGGTCTGCTTGTTCAGAGCCTTCAGCCGAATCCTTCCTCTCCAAATTGAGCAACAACACTGGGCATAAGAATTTTCAGTATTTTACTGAGTCATCTGTTTTGGGGGATGTGGACAGAGTTAATAACTGAACAACTCAAAACCTACATTCTTACTGTGTCAGGGTTCCCTAGGCCACCCCCAAGTTCAATGACTTGCTTATGATCTTATTATTTTATTGAATAAAGCCAAGGACACCAGTCCTTTAGGACTCACAGGACTCAGCATATATTTGTACTCATGGCTAAGATTTATTACAGCAAAATCAGCAAAGGGAAAAGGCTAATGGATGAAGTCTGGAGGAAACCAGGAACAAGCTTCCAAGAACCGTCTCCTGGTGGCATTGCACAGGACATGCTTATTTCTTCCAGCAATACCCTGTGGCATGCACTGTCTACCAGGAACACATACCTGAGCCTAAAAGAACAGAGTTTTTATCAAAGATTGGTCACACAGGCACATAGGACCCATATGACTAACTGCAATCCCTGACATTTCATGTTCCCAGAAGGAAGGCAGGTATCCAGCATAAACCACATTGTTTGTATAGTAAGTCAATCTTATCATTTAAGGAAAGTTTTGCATCAGTGTAGGGAAGTTTTTACTAACCCAGTTCCCAGACACCAGCCAAGGACCAACTTTGCAAACAGGCTTTTCTAAGGCCAGCAGTATCAGGCCGGCTATGCCTTTCAGCACACATACCTTGGTCACTATTTTTCAAAATACAACATGAGATGTACATCTATCTGAGTCCATTTAAACTTTAATGTCCCCACTGTTTCTTCCATATACTCTTTATATACTAGAATAATGGGAGAAAAGTCAAGAAAATCTATAAAACTACAGCATGAAGATTGCCGTTAGAGTCACCCTTCCACTTCCTAACTGTCTTAATTCCATCTCCACAACTTCACATTCATTTACTCACATTGTCTTTGACTGAAACAAACAAGAAGAAAAAGAAAAACAGCAAAGCAATAAATTTGAAGTCTATTTTTAAAGTTTTGTAAAATCTCCAGCTCCAAAAGAGGTAAAATCAATTTTAGCTAAATTTGATGCTTTAATCAAATCTCAGACATCCTAATTAACATGTGACATAAAATCTAAATTTACACATGAAATTTCTAGGTAGTCAGATATGCAATAATATGTGCCAATATTACCTCTATAACTTTTCTTAGTTGAGTATAGTTTCACTATTTGAGTAGCCAAGAGGTTGTGTCCAAGCAAAAAACAAAAAAAGAGCTAGAGTGTTTCTTTTTTAAAATCTGGAAGAGATATACTTTGTTTCAATACATCCTACTCAGTTAAATGACTCATATTTTTATGTCATTTGCTTATCCACAAAATAACCTGAGATGTATGTAAGAAAAAAAGATGTATGTATAGTTTCACTATTTGAGTAGCCAAGAGGTTGTGTCCAAGCAAAAAACAAAAAAAGAGCTAGAGTGTTTCTTTTTTAAAATCTGGAAGAGATATACTTTGTTTCAATACTTCCTACTCAGTTAAATGACTCAAAATACTTTTATGTCATTTGCTTATCCACAAAATAACCTGAGATGTATGTAAGAAAAAAAAAGCCTCTCCCTGTTAAGTCATTACCTACATATTTTTAAAGTATCTTATCCTCAAAATGACTGTGATACTTCTACTCTAGAAGCTGATATGATATATATATTTATATATAAATATTAGTATATATTATATATATATATATATATATATATATATATATACTTTTAAATCTTCCTGGGGGGGAGAGAAAGAAAAAATATTTAATTTATGGCATCTAAATATTAGAGATCAAATACACATAAATAGAGCAAATCAGGTGTACCAATATCTGCATGGTGTACATAAATGGAAATGTATGCATATTCACGCATTTCACCAATTATTTCAAACCTTAAGGTGAGATTCTAGTTCCAGAACAGCAACTGGCTAACCTGAAAAAATTTAATAACCACTCAGTAATGAGGAATTAGATATGGTCCCTTTACCACACCACCCACATCTCTGTAACTTCTTAAACCATTTCACAAACAGGTCTCCAAAACCTTCTATTTGCTCTCATAGAAACCAGTGGTCATTGGTTCTGAGATATATACAAAGGGCCAAAGGTAAAAGGCTGAATAACTGATTCTTACTAGAGAAAGGAAATATTACTCAGCTTGAATTTCCTCCTCTTCTTCCTGCAAATTGAAATTCTTGCTCTAATCAGGATGTTTCCAAACACATACGAAATGGACAAAAAGGGAGAGGAAATTAAGTATCCCAGGATGTGCTGTAGGCATGTAATGAGACCCACAGCAGTTTCTAGGACCCAGTGATCACCTTGCTATCACATATTTGCTCTTATTGTAACACATTTTCTCCTAACTAGTTACAATAAAATTAATAGAACTAAAATGCTCATCTCTGTTTTCCTTTGCCCTCCATTTTTCCCTTTCTCTTTTTGCTTTTTTATAAGCTCAGAGAGTTATAGAAAAGGGGGTTGCTTTGGTTACCATTAAATCAATCTCACCTCATATCCTTTCACAAGTATAAAATGAATTCTGAGTGATTCTGATTATAGCAACTGTACCCTAGCCCTGATCAAACCTAATTACAATTTGATGCAGGGCCCCATCATTGTTGCATCTAGGTAATGGAGCCTGTATTCCAGCCAGCAGTGCCTCGTTAATGAATAGGAGAGATGAGAGGCCTACACATTGTCTCCAGTGACCTCTTCTGCATCGTAGAGAGCGAACTGCATTGATAAACACACTAAGATGGGTTATTATCCATTATTCAGTTTTACAATTAGCGAACACCTGGCACCAGGGCAGCCAGGAGCTCTTTGCTTCCCATTTGTATCTATGCAAGCGCCAACTCTGACACAATATAGTATGCCAATTTCCCTTCATTAAAGGAAAGAACTTGTAAAGAAAGGGCTGAGGGAGGCTTAGGGAGGTGCTGTTGCTGTTTTTAAGTCTCCTTACTGTTTGAAAGAGACAGATATTGGCAGAAATCCTGTTAGAGATGGCTTTGAGAGGGGTGGCCTTTTAAATATTGTCCTTTTGTGTTAAGAAGAACTTAGAGACCAGTGAGCTCCCCACCAGTTCCTGAAGGCCATTGCGTGTCCAGATTAACAAGACAATGAGGAGCCACAAAGAACAAAGAAATGCAGCGTTGCCGTCTTCGAACCTGTAGAAAAGGAAAACCCATTGCATTTTGTTGAGTCCTGGCTACCTATGGACTTTCGGTTCTCTTCTGACTTTACAAATCTTTATTTCCAACACTCAATTCCCTTTAAGGAAAGCTGCCTGTCTTTGGTGGCAAATACATTTCAGATGTTTTTATCTTTATGTGAGTTATTTAATTTATGATCATTCTTTTAAAAGAAAAAAAATATCCAGTGAAGATTTTTTTTTTGCCAGCAGCAGTTAACAGGCAAGTTTTGAGCCTCCAGGACAGATGACTTCTATATTTGAGATGTCACTAGACGCATTTTCCATATCCTAACAACTTCATAAGCTGTGGGGGAAGGTAGGAGAATGAGAAAGGGAGAGGGATCACAAGGTAGTGGGGCGTGTGGCCTTCATGTATGCTTTTAAAGCAATTTGGAGCCTCTAAAGTCAGCTTAAACTGGGGTTCCCAGGAATCCCTGGAAAAACTGGCTGCCCTTCCAAACTCACCAAAGAACAAACTGGAATCACAAAAGGCAATTTGGATTAACATCTGAAGATGGAATATTGAGTTTACAGGTTCTCTACCAGAAACACACCATGGCTCATAGGCATTATTGGCAGCCTTTGAGCCCAGGGGCTTGTTTGGAAATGACAGCCTCAGCCACCACATAGGTCCCTCAGCAGCCAGTGCTCAAGGCCCTGCTCACATTCTTCCCTACCTCTCATCTCTTTCCAGCACCTAAAAAACAAGATGAACACCACAAAACACAACAAAAAAGGATGGTTGCCTTCCGAGAAGTGTGCAAGGGCCTTCAGTTTTACAGTTACAATAATGAAAGAAGACATGGTCTCACCAAAGCTTGAGTTGGCACCCAGGGATTTCCTCAAGTCTACACAAATATGGGTGGCTTAGTCAAAGACTTGCCAGCTTCCATTATTCTATTATTGTGTCTTTTTTTAAGTTTATTTTTTATTTTTATCTATTTAAGGGATAAAATTATAGATTTCTCTTTTTTGTTTTGTTTTGTTTTTTGAGATAGAGTCTCACTCTGTTACCCAGGCTGGAGTAGAGTGGCGTGATCTCAGGTCACTGCAGCCTCTGCCTCCCAGGTTCAAGCAATTCTCCTGCCTCAGCCTCCCGAATGGCTGAGATTACAGGCACACGCCACCATGCCTGGCTAATTTTTGTATTTTTAGTAGAGATGGGGTTTCACCTTGTTGGCCAGGCTGGTCTCGAACTCCTGACCTCAGGTGATCCGCCCACCTCAGCCTCCCAGAGTGCTGGGATTACAGGTGTGAGCCACCGCGCCCAGCCACAAGTATAGGTTTCTTACATGCATATATTGTGTAGTGATGAAGTCTGGGCTTTTTGAAGTCTGGATGATTACCTCTCAGGTAATTTTTCAAACTTCACCTCTCCCCTGCCCTTCCACATTTTGTAGTCCCCAGTGTCTATTATTCTACTCTGTACATGTATGTGCACTCAACGTTTAGCTCCCACTTACACGTGAGAATGTGAAGAATTTGACTATTTCTGAGTTATTTCACTTAGGATAATGTCCTCCAGTTGCATCCATGTTTCTGCAAAAGATATTGTTTCATCCTATTTTATGGCTAAGTAGTATTCCGTAGTATGTATATACCACATTTTCTTCATCCTATCCTCGGTTGACAAATACTCAGCTTGATTCCATATCTTGGCTATTGTGAGTTGTGCTGCAATTAACATGGACGTGCAGAAATCTCTTCAATATATGGATTTCCTTTCTTCTGTGTATATACTCAGCAGTGAGATTGCTAGATTATGTGGCCTATTTTTTGTTTTTTGAGGAACTTCCATATAGTTTTCCATGATACTGGTACTAATTTACATTCCCACCAAGTATATACTAACATTCTCCTTTTTCCACATCTTCATCAGCATTTGTTATTATATTTTTGATAATAGCACTCCCATGTTTTAGTACTATTCACAATAGCCAAGATATGGAATCAAGCTAAGTGTCCATCAGTAGATGAATGGATAAAGAAAATGTGGTATATCTTCACAATGGAATATTATTCAGCCATAAAATGAATAAAACCCGATTATTTGCAGCAACATGGATGACCTGGAGGACATTACATTAAGTGAAAATAAGTCAGGCACAGAAAAACAAATATCACATGTTCTCATCTATATGTAGGAGCTTAAAAAGCTGATCTCAGGGAGGAAGCAATGATAGATGCCAGGGCCTGGGAAGGGTAGCAGGAAGGAAAGGATGAAGAGAGGTTGGTTAATGGGTACAAAAATACAGTTAGAAAGAAGGAATATGGTTTAATGTTCAAGAGCACAGTGGGATGACTATAGTTATCAATAATTTATTGTATATTTCAAAATAGCTAGAAGAGATTTAGGATGTTCTCAACATAAAGAAATGATAAATATTTGAGGTGATGGATACCCCAATTACCTTGATTTGATCTTACACATTGTATGCATGTATCAAAATATCTCATATACTCTATAAATATGTACAATTATTATGTATTAATTGTTTTTAATTCCATGAAGCCATCACTTTTCAACCATCAAACTAGCAAAGTTGTTTTGCAAGAGTTTGATGGGTTGAGCACCCTCATACATTGCCAGGCTGGGTGGGTGGCTCACGCCTGTAATCCCAGCACTTTGGGAGGCCGAGGTGGGTGGATCACCTGAGGTCAGGAGTTTGAGACCAGCCTGGCCAACACGGTGAAACCCCTTCTGTACTAAAAATACAAAAAATTAGCTAGGCGTGGTAGTGGGTGCCTGTAATCCCAGCTACTCGGTAGGCTGAAGCAGGAGAATTGCTTGAACCCAGGAGGTGGAGGTTGCAGTGAGCCGAGATTGCACCTTTGTACTCCAGCCTGGGCAACAAGAATAAAACTCCCTCTCAAAAATAAATAAATAAATAAATAATAAAAATAAAAATGCATTTAGAAATACCAATACAGTTAGAAAGTAAAACTATCCAGTAATTTCTCCTAGAATTATGAAACTCAACCTTTAGTGTGCCTATAAATCTCAGGAGCTCTTTTTCCAAGGCAGATTTTTGGCCCCTGACTGCAGAGATTCAGATAGTGCAGGTCTGGGTTAGGACCCTGATGTGCATTAATGCCTGGTTATGGTGGAGGTGGCTAAGGTGTCACACCATAGCAAGAGCTGCTCTAAAGAAATCTCTTCCAAGGAAGCAATCAGGAATGTGGAGAAACATTTATATGCAAAGCTCTTTTCAGCTCTTCTTTATAGTGTTGAGAAATTGTAAACAACCTATATTGACATAGATAAGGACACAGAATGTAATTATGATATATTCTTAGATTATTATACAGCCATTAAAAATGATCTTGGGGGGGGGATATTTAACAATGCAGGAAGATGCTAAATGAAAGAAATCAAGACGCAAAACTATGAATACACCAGCTATATTACTTGAAAACAACTACATCAAACCACTAGTAGTGGCTATGTCTGGGTAGTGGGATTCTGAGTCATATTATCTAGGTGCCACTTTTTATTTTCTGAGTTTGAAACAATGACAAGTACTGCTTTCATGATCCAAAAATAAATAAACTTTAAAAAAATAAAGAAGTCATAAATCTCTTCTCTGTTTCCAGCCAGAAATATACCCAAATCATTCCATACATAGCTGCCCCATCTGCTCTTTTTTAGGCCCAATTAAGGAAATCTTCTAGAATTAGACAGTTGTCATTTATGTCAAGCCTATGCTGTCCCTGTTGAAATGTAAATCTGCTTCCTTTATGGACTCGGAGACCAGTTGTTTTCTTACTTCCTGAAAGGGTTGTTCACAATGCTGCCCAAGCTGGTTTGTGTCTATTTATGTCCCGAAGGTCTCCTGGGAAGGAAATGTGTAAACTATCATTGACAAGGAAATGCTGAGGGAGAAGGCTAGTGATTGTGACCATCTAAAAGGGATAAATTCTGGTTTCTGGGGAAGGATGACTGTGAGGGCCAAGGAAGGCATTTTCCAGATAAAGGCCTACTCAATAGACTTTTGGAAGCAATTAATGAGTACCATTTGAAAACATTTGCCTAAAATTCTTCCCCAAGCACGAATTGCAAGGCAATCCCCTAAATCTTACAAAACAATTATAAAAGAATGCTTCTTAAGAAAAACAAAATTTAATGGCCAAGGCCTGACATCTCTCACAGGGAATATGCAATAAAAGCTACTATTGTGGGCAGAGTATCTCTTTCATCCATCTTTTCTTCTTCCTTCCCAGTGCTCAGGCCCTCATCACCCCACACGGCTCAGGTCCTAACTAGTCCTTTTGTTGCCAGTCCTAGGTCCCTGATTTGGTTGTCGCAGTCTTTTGCTCAAAAGCTTTAACAGGAAGTTACTACATTTGGGAAAAAAAACTCAGTGGACCTAAAAATAGATGTTCAAAAGCATGTGGGGAATCCAAAGAGCCTGCCCTATTTCTAGTAGCCAGCCTGTCCGTTTTTCATTCAACACCCATCTCAATACCACTAATAATCCAGTTTTATTTATCTGGGTGTGTCTGGCTTCAGTCCAACACTCAGCACACAGGAGGCACCTAGCATACATTTATTCAAGGAATAGAACTGACCGCCAGTTCCTCTGATGATGGTGAGCCCCCTCGTATGATCCCCATCCCATGTTTTCCAAATAGAAGGAACTTAATCTCTATTGGTCAGATTTGTCTGCCCTTGTATCCATTATTCATTCAATAGCAACAAATGTTTATTGAGCAAATCCTTGGTGTCAGGTATTGGAGATAGAGCAGTGAACAAAATAGACATAGCTCCTGTGTTCACAGAAGTTACACTGTAGTCAGAGGTGATGGGGCAATTAATCAAATAATTGCTTAATTGGCTTTTAAATTATGCTTTTGGATACAGATAAGCACTATGATGAAAATAAAAGTGGGTTCTGTGATACAGCCTAAGCAGCAAGGACAATCATAGCTGGTCAGGGCAGGTTTTTCTGAGGAAGTGACATTTGAACTAAGGCCTGAATGATGAGACCTAGGAAACACTCATCCATGTAGCTTCTCTATAGTTGCAACTTTTTTAATTGAGGCAAAATGTATATTGAGGAAAATGCACGTATCTTAAATTGATAATTGAATGCGTTTTGCTAAATGTACACACCTGTGCAATCCACCATCAAGATAAAAAAAAATTTGCATTACCCCAGAAAGTTATCTTTTTTCCAGTTTTATTGAGGCTTGCTTAACAAATAAAAATTATATATATTCAAGGAGTACAGTGTGCTGTTTTGATTACCCCAGAAAGTTCCTGCATCTGCTTCCCAGTCATTCCCTGCCCCACTCTCAGGGCACCCACTGTTGTGACTTTTATCATCGTAGCTTAGTGTTGCCTCTACGTTAACTTTATAAAGTGGAATCATGCAGGATGTGCCCTTTGTTCCTAGCTTCCTCCTTCAGTATAATGTGCTTGAGACCTATCCATGTTGTTATATATATCAGTAATTTGCTCTTTTTGTTGCTGAGCCATATTCCATTATAAAACTAAACCACAATTTGTTAATTCATTCTCTTATTGACAGTTATGCAGGTTGTCTTCAGATTTTGGCAATTATTCATAAAGCTGCCATAAATATTCTTTGTTTTTCTTTTGAGACAGAGTTTCGCTCTTGTTGCCCAGGCTGCAGTGCAATGGTGTAGTCTCAGCACACTGCAACCTCTGTTCCCAGGTTCAAGCAATTCTCCTACCTCAGCCTCCCATGTAGCTGGGATTACAGGTGCCCACTACCACGCTAGGCTAATTTTTGTATTTTTAGCAGAGACGAGGTTTCACCATGTTGGTCATTCTGGTCTCAAACTCCTGACGTCAGGTGATCCACCTGCCTCAGCCTCCCAAAGTGCTGGGATTACAGGCGTGAGCACCCAGCCTTTCCTGCCATAAATTTCTTATACAAATTTCTTATATAGTCTTGCTATAGATGTATTATTTTATTTCTCTTGGGTAAATATCTAGGAGTAGAGTTGCTGGCTCATAGGTAGGTGTATGTATAACTTTTTTAAACAGGCAGACAAAAGGCTTTCCAAAGTCATTAATAACACACCCTGTTCCCACCTGCAAATTATGAGAATTCCAGTTGCTCCACATATTTGCCAACGTTTGTGTTGTCTGACTAATTTTAGCTACTTTTAAAATGTGGTCACTCACTGTGATTTTTAATTTGCATTTCCTGATGACTGATAACGTTGAACACCTTTCATATGCTTAGTGGCCATTCTTATTAGTTTGTTTACAGAGTGTCTGTTCATGTCTTTTGCCTATTTTTTTTATTACATGGTTTTTATTTTGTTACGGATTTGTAGAAATTTTTAATATATGTGGATAAATGTCCTTTCTCAGATATGTCTCCACCCCCACATCCACCATATGTGGCTTGCCTTTCATTTTCTTAATGGTACTTTTGATAAGCAGAATTTGTAAAATTTTCACGATGTCCAATACATCAATTTTTTTTATGTTTGGTGATTTCTGTGTCTTCTCCAAGAAATGTTTACCTACCCAAGTTTGAGAAGACTTTATTTTTATTTCATGAAAACTTCATAGTTGTAGTTTTTCCACTTAGTCTCTGATCCATCTTGAACTAATTTTTGTGTGTGGTATGAGATAGGGATTAATATTCATATTTTCATATATTTATCCTGTTGTTCCAACATCATTTGTGAGAAGATTATTCTTTCTCTACTGAATTACCTTGGCACCTTTGTAAAGCTCAATTAGCCACATACGCATGGGTCTATTTCTAAACTCTATTCTGTTACATTGATTCATATGTGTATTCTTACACCAATATCACACTTAATTACAAAGTTAGAGAATACTTTGAAATCTGGTAATGTGAGACTTCTAACTTTTTTTTTTTTTGAGACAGGGTCTCATTTTTTCACCCACGCTGGACTGCAGTGGTGCAATCTTGCCTCATTGAAGCCTCGAACACCTGGGCTCAAGCAATCTTCCCACCTCAGCCTCCTGAGTAGCTGGGACTAAAGGCATATGCCACCACACCTGGCTAATTTTTTTTTTTAATTTTCTGTAGAGATAGGGTCTCACTATTTTGCCCAGGCTGGTCTCAAACTCCTGGGCTCAAGCTGTCTGCCCACCTCAGCCTCCCAAAGTGTTGGGATTACAGGCATGAGCCACTGCACTTGGACAAGTCCTCTAACTTATTTTTTCTTTTACAAGATTGTTTTGGATATTCTAAGTTGTTGAATTCTTACATAAATTTTAGAGCATCACTTCCGCTGTACTGTATTGGTCAAAGCATTCATAGAGCAGCCCAGATTCAAGGGGGCAGAGAGGAAACGAATCTGTCTCCTAATGGAGGGATGGCATGAATACACAGAGAGGGAAGGAATTGATGGTAACTACTTTTCAGACATTCTGCCATCTAGCCACAATAATTTGCATCCCTGCCAAAAGTCAAATACACTAACCCCCTTCAAAGATCTCCAAAATCTCATCTCATTATAGCATCAACTCAAAGTCCATGACCTCATCGCCTGAGCCCCAATGAAGGCAGAACTGCTCAGGTGCAACTCCTTGAGTACAGTTTTGCTCATTAGAACTATGATCTACATGACAAGTTATCTGCTTCCCAAACTCCCAACTTACAATGTTGCTGCAAGGAAAGATAACCACAACAGACACCAATGTTCAGAAAGGAGGGAAATAGGCCCACAGCAGTCACTGGTCCATAGAAAGTAGCCATATGAAATTAACTCTCTGTGCCCTCCTGCCATTTCCCACACACACAGGCCCCAAATGCTTGTGGCCAACCTAGAGCAGAGCTTTACAATGAGTGTGCCACAGTGGGAGCCACGACCGTGTCACAGGGTGCTGCTGGCCACCTCCAACTTGGGGCACCTAGTCTAGTGTTTCTCAAAGGGCAGCCCCAGGGAAGTGGGCCCTGGTGGGGGAAGTACAATGAATGACACAGAGACACGCAGACTTCTTGTCCCATTGTAATAGGATGTGAGAAACCAAAGAGATGCCCTCTCACCTGGCTCAGCAGCCCCTTACAGCACACCTCTGTCCCCAGGGGCAGGGGCTGCTGCAGCCGCTGGGGAATAGGCGGCAGGTCTGGGAAGGCTAAGCTGAGGCTACTGGCACACCCGTCAGGTATGGCCCCAGGCTTTGTCTTCACATTGCCTATACTTCTACCCATTTTTGGCTCCCGTGCCCTCTTCTTCATGGTGCCTGAGCACTAACAGAGCTTCATCATTATCTTGAAAAACTTGCTATGAAAAATTTCTATCAGACTTGAAATCCATTCACACTACCACAAGAAATTCCAGTAACATATTTGTCAATGAAAGCAAAGAATGAGCTGTTAGATTCCTTAAATAAAATTTTAATTGTAAATTTTAGAATGGTTTAAACATTAAACCATTAGATTTAAATAAATTAAACATTTTAAATCCCTGGCTTGTGCAAAGTATAAATAGTGACTACTGACACCTTGAAAAGATTGCCATAAAAAAAAATCTTCATCAGGATTTCCTCACAGATATTTTAAGATTATAAATTAATATTACAGCTATGTTCTTATTCAGCAATAAAAATGAATGAGGTACAGATACATGCTACAACATGGATGAACCTTGACAACATTACACTAAGAAGCCAGACACAAGAGACCATGTATTGTATTATTCCGTTTATGTAAAATGTCCAGAATAGGCAAATCTGAAGAAACAGAAAGGAGACTAGTAGTTGCCCAGGGCTGGGGGATGGAGGGAATGTGAGTGATTGCCAATAGATACAATTTTTCTTTCCGGGGTGATAAAGTGTTCTAAAATTGACTGTGGTGATGGACACATAACTGTGAATATACTAAAAACCATTAAATTCAGGAGACTGAGGCAGGAGAATCGCTTGAACCTGGGTAGCAGAATTTGCAGTGAGCCGAGATCACGCTACTGCACTCCAGCCTGGGCCGCAGAGTAAGACTCTATCTCAAAAGCAAACAAACAAACAAAAATCATTAAATTGTATACTTTAAATGAGTGAGTTGTATGGTGGGGGTATTCGTTTTCTGTGGCTACTGCAACAATTTACCACAAACGTGATTGCTTAAAACAACAAAAATTTATTCTCTCACAGTTCTGGAGGCCAGAAGCCCCACGGCAGCATCAAGGTGCTGGCAGGGCCCCTCCCGCCTCTTCCACCTTCTGGTGTCTGCTGTCAATTCCAGGCTTATAGCTGTGTCATTCCAATCAGACAGCATCTTCCAATCTCTCAGCTCCGTCTTCACAAAGCCTTCAGTGTGTATCAAATCTCCCTCTTGAAGGACACAGGTGACTGCACTTAGGGCTTACTCTTGTAATACAGGATAATATTCCCATCTCAAGATTCTTAACTTTATTATGCTGTAAAAACCCTATTTCCATATAAGGTAATAGTCACAGGTTCCAGGGATTGGAATCTGATATCTTAGGGAGTGGAGGGATCATTTTTCAGCCTGCAAGAGTATGTGAATTACATCTCAATAAAGCTATTTTTAAAAACAGGCACAGTATAATATATAAATTAGTATACATTTAAAAAGTTATATTCATGTTATAGATTCAAGAAGATTTGAAAGACATACCAATCGATCGAAAACTTTGTTTTGATCTTGAATTGACCCAAACGGATC
Source organism: Homo sapiens (assembly GCF_000001405.40). Taxonomy (NCBI): domain Eukaryota; kingdom Metazoa; phylum Chordata; class Mammalia; order Primates; family Hominidae; genus Homo; species Homo sapiens. The sequence goes on along the minus strand of NC_000009.12, from coordinate 84,141,703 downwards.
AACAGTAAAAGACATTTTATTGAGGCAAATGAAAAAAATTGAACATGAACTGGATGCCAGATAATACTGAGAAATTATTTTTAATTTATTGGAACTGAGAATGGTATTTTGGTTATTTTTAAAGTCCTATCTGTTAGAGATTTGCATTTTAGTGTTTTCAGATGAAATGAAGTGATTCCTGGGATGTGCTTTTAAATATTCTAGGAAAAAAAAAAAAGGAGGATGAGGTAGATGAAATCTGAAAGGCAAATGTGGATAGCCGTTTAATCTGGGTCCTGGCTATGCGCAAGAGGCGAGCTGGTCATTATGCCATTCTCTTTATTTGTATCTGTTTGAAATTTTTCCATAATAAAAGTTACATTCGTGGAAACAAGCTCAATTTTCTCATTTAAAATTTTGAGCAGATTTTATTTGGAAGTTTAAAACACATACAATTTCTTCTAATACTTCATACATATTTTCTTATAATTCTATAACATTAAAAACTGCATTTAATTTTTAAATAAACCTCACAGAGACGCTCTGAAATCCCCTCCAGTTTTACCCCAAATGCTCTTGAAATCAGGTCATTTTCTGTGTGCCCTGACGGAAAAGGTTGGAAAGGCTCGCCCTAGAGAAGCTGATTTTTTGCGAAGGGCGGATAAATACAGGTTTTCAAAATCTTCCGTTTCCGAAAATGCGCAGGGCGCTCGCTCTCTTCCTCTTCAGCATCTTTTAAAGCGCTTTCAGAAAACAAAACGCTTGCGATTGAAGCAGCGCCCGCAGCTGCAGCGCGGGTTTCAAATGCCCCACTATTTTGAAAGAAGACCCGCACACACGCTCTTTGTGTTCTTTTTTGTTTGTTTGTTTCCCAAAGGAAAAGCTAAATCCACCCCAGTGTTTTCATACATTGAAAATGAAAGGCTTGGGGGCTGCCATCGAGCCGACGGAAGAAGACATTTGGCAGAGAAGGCCCCTTCGGGGCTTTCGTTTCCCCCAAACCCCAGTCAATTCGCACCGTGCCTGCCGGGACGCGGCCATCATCGGGGACTTGAGCGAGGACGCGAAGCCGTGCCCGTCCTGGCGGGGCCGCTTTGCCTGGGGAGCCAGGTGTAGGGTGCAGAGTGCTGGGGGCGGACCGGCGTGGAGGGCGTGGAGACGGCAGGTGTCTGCGGCTCCTTTGCAGCCATAAAATCGACCGGGGCTGCAGCCGGCTGGGGCGCACCCCCTCTCCAGACCCCCGGATGCACCCCGCAACCATGCTGCCCATCATTCCTCCCCTGGTGCTTAAGTATTTGCTTACCTCTGAATTTGGTTGTTGGTTGGCTGTTTGACTCACAAAGTAAAAAAGTTTCAAAGAGAACCAGAAAGGTATCCCTGGAAATTCCGTCTCTCAAGGTCCCAAGCCTAGCTTTCCCATGGAGGAAACCAGCGCTACCAGGCTCTTTGTCACCCTTCTAGATATTTCTATGCCTATACACATGTGTATACACATGTATTCAAGTAATCACACACATTCTGCCCCCACTTCCAAATGCTTGCACCACACACACGCTGAATGTTCTTAACATCTTGTGTGTCTTACCTTGTATTTTTACCCTCAAGTTTGTATTGTGGAGATTATACCCTCTCAATATAGAAAGGGATGGCTTGCATTGGGTTTTGATTATTCAATGCTTTTTTAAGGCTATGTATTTCCCAGTATGGATGTATCATAATTTATGTAAGCAATTCCATATTGATGTGTATTTGAGTTGTTTCCAGAGTCGTGCTATTCCAAGCAAAGCTGCCATAGATTTTGCAAACCCTCCAAGCTTTTATGCAAGACTACTCTAGTTTCCTTTAAAAGAAAGACATACACACCATGCTTACATAAAAAGAGAAGGCAACAAAAATCCCCTTTCCAACACACTTAGAATCTGACATTCTTTTAACAGAAGTAGCTGCTCCCCCGACAGAATCAAAACAACGCGGTAAGGATTCGGGCTGTAGAGCTGGCTCCCGTCTCATAATTCCTACTCCCATCTCAACAGATGGCTTTGTAGACAAACCACTGAGGCTCCAGGGTATAAGGATTTCTACCAAGGATATGTTTTCCTTTACCCTCTGACCCTGAGCCAGTTCATAGAAAACCCAGCTTTATTGTTTTTGCAGCCTTTCTTCCCTCAACAAACATCAAGGCTCTGCCTCCATTCCAAGCTGGCATTTCTCCCAGAAAATTGCTCCAGTGTACCTCACGCCTGCCTGGCAATGAATGCAAGTCAAGAAATTGCAAGCAAAGACCTTTAGACAATAGAAACGAAACCAAAGTGCCAGGGGACAAAAGAACGGGAAAGAGACCACTCATAAGGGAAGTGAAAGTGTTAGGCCTTGCATTATCATGTCGTTTGTCCAAATCACCTTTTGCCAACATTCGACCAAATCAAAAGGGGCCACAAGTTTCTCTCAACAACAGCCAAAAGAAATTCATCCAATAATCAAATTCCTCCAGCAGCAAGAAAGAATATCTCATGGTCACACACACACAATGTTTAATTCATTTGGGCAGATTTGGGAGAAAATGAGCTTAAATTAATAAAAAGTCAGGATGATGGACTACTTAAGGAATACAAAATGCAATCCTGTGAGCACTGAACTAGGGCAAGTGCACCATCCACAGAGCTGACCTTAAGAAAATATGCTTTATATGAAAACTGACGTGTCTGAAGTCTTTAAAAATAGTTTATCCTATAGAGCAGATTGAACATTTCCATATGAGGTTCTTCTTAATTTGAGTCACCAGACATCTTTCCTGCCCATTTTATATTAATTAATTCATGTTCCAAATCTGAAAATGCATATGGTTCTATTTTAATGCTTCGATACAGCAAAAACACAAATACTTCAAACACCCTAAAGACAGCCTTTTACTAGTTTGGAGGCTGTTTCTGCATGAAAAGTTAGCACAGTCATGCATCGCTTAATGAAAGGCATGCATTCTAAGAAATGCATTGTTACGGAATTTTGTCATGTGCCAACATCATAGAGTGCACTTTTCCAAACCTAATTTTATAGCCAACTACACACGTAGGCTAGATGGTACAGCCTATTTCTCCTAGGCTACAAATCTGTACAGCATGGGACTGTACTGCATACTGGAGGCAACTGTAACACAATGGTAAGTATTTGTGTATCTAAACATAGAAAAGGTACAGTAAACACATGGTGTTATAATCTTATGGGACTATATTATAATCTTATGGGAACATCATATATGTAGTCTATCAGTGACTAAAATGTTGTTATGTGGTGCATGACAGTATTGCAATTATGTGTCTTACTAAGGGGGTAGTCAAGGCTCAGAGACTGACCCAGCTGCTTTCCTAAAGGCTACTCAGGACAAGGGCTTTGTTATTAGACAGTGCTATTAGACTGGATGTACTTTCCCCAGATTGCTCAAGCTTTCATCCATAGTAAGTGATTATACACTGGGCTCCTTTGAGTTTAGGTACATGGAATGATGTCATGTCCTTGGCACAAGATAGCGCTGTCCTCCTGCAAGAGTTCACACCAGCTTGCAGTGGGGTAAAGTGGGGGCAGCAGAGGGAAGGAACTCAAGGACCTCAGAGACCTTTGGGCCCACACTTTTCAGAAGCCTTCTGAAATGGCAGAGCAAGTCAGGACCTGCCAAGGTATGATTCAGAATTGCAGCACCCCAAAGCTAGCAAGAAACTTGTAGGTCACTAACTCACCCCAGCCCATCCCCCGAAGCCCAGTAAGGGCTATACAGTTGGGTAAAGGCAGGACCTGGGCTAAAACTCAGGTATGTTCTTTTTTAAAGAGATAGATCTGGCTATGCTGGCAGGCTGGAGTGCAATGGCTATTCTCATGTACACTCAGGGCTCACTGCAGCCTCAAATTCCTAAGCTCAAGCAATCCTCCCAACTGAGCCTCCCGAGTAGCTGAGACTACAGGCACGCACCACCACACCTGGCTAAACTCAAGTATCTTGACTGCCAGATTGGCAGCCTGTCTCTTACAGCAGTGCTTCTCCAACTTTAACATGTGTATGAATCACCTGGGGAGCTTATTAAATGTAATTCTGATTCAGATCGAGGGTAGGGTACGAAATTTTGCATTTTGAATAAGCTTCCTGTGATGCCAGTGTTGCTAGTGGAGGACTAATTCTCTGAGAAGCACATTATTACATCTCCATTCTTAACATTTCTCAATCACAGAAAAATCCAGAAAACAGTCCCTCCTGCACTGCCTGGGATCTGAAGAAAGACAGTCATTTTCTTAATCTCTTTTTATTATTATTATTATCAAATTGACTTCAAACAATTAAGTCCCAGCCTTCTCCACTGGAGAGGTCCCTGAATTTCTGCCTAGCCACTTAGTGGGAAGGGAAAGAAAACTGTAAGACTAATATTCCCATCCTTTCTATCAGGTGAGTTTCCATCTAAAGCAGCAGCTCTCCAAGTGTCATCCACAGACCAACAGCTTCACCCAGACTCTTGGTAGAAATGCAAATTTTAAAACTCTAGGAGTGAGTCCCAGAAAGATGTGTTTTAACAAACCTCTCCAGGTGATACAGATACAGTCTCAAGTCCAAGAATCAGTGAGGTAAGACTCATAGCCAAGAGCAGCCAATCAGTGCTTGCAGCTCTGTATCAAGGAAGGGGATTGTATCCAAAAAGTGCTCGCAAAACAATCATCCTCCAGCTCCAGGACATGGACCACTTTGGAGCAAAGAATTGTATATAATCATAACCCAAACCAATGAGTCTGCATGATTATGTGGCCCACCCATGGTGTCTCTCTTCATTGAACTCAAAGATTCCCGAAGCATCAAAAAAGACACTCAAATTTGCTCCCTCAAGGGTTCCTGTCCTTCAGGAAGTACAACCGTAGTGTCCTTGGAACCACGTGTGTGGTCATAGCCCTCTCTGCCTCACACCCCTGGGTGGAGTGCTTTATATACCTGGCTCTCTCCACCAGATAAGATGACAGCTTCTTGCCATGTTCATCTGTGTGTGTGTGTACACGTGTACCCGTGTGTATGTGCCCGTGTGCCCGTGTGTGTAAACTCCTCAACTATATGTTCTTGGAACAGACACCATCTCAAGCTCCATCCTGTCAAACAGGCTGGGACACCAGCAGGTGAAGCTGATGCAGCCGACCTGTGTTCTGCCATGGTAATATTATGGAAATCCTGTAAATATAATCCCACACCTTCTACCGTCTATGCACCTCCCTCATTTTTTAAAATGAGAAACAATAAGAAAACCTCGTGAAAATGTTTGCTGTAACTTTTAAGCTTAATAAGCCCAGCCCTAATAGAACATTCGCTTCTTTGTCTGGCATATAAAGTTGTGATTCATCTGTACGCAATTCCACCTTGTTTGTTATACTGTTGCCATGACAACATTTTTCAAGTACCAAGTAAATTGTGGAAGAGCACATACAAACAGCACACTCCTATAGGTAAATACTTCATTACTATCTGCACACACATTTCATTCACTGCATCCGCTCTCTCCTATCTCAATAAACGCAGCTCTATTTACATCCAGTTTTTGAATTCTTTCCTCCCAAGGATATGTGAAAGCTTTGCTCCACCTGAAAAAGTCTAAATCAAAGACGATTTGGGTTTGAATATTTTAAAATATTTTTCTTTTTCCACAGTTATTCTGGAGGGGCTATCGACACAACAGAAGTTTTAAATATCAAACCAAGAAGTTAATATCCAAAGTTCTCTCCAACCCAAAGAGCAGACATTTCTGCCTTCCATCTCCATGCAAACCGCACAACACCCAGACACCAGTGGTGGACTTTGAGAGTTGACATCCTAGTAGTTTACATGCTTGTTGGGCATTTGTGTACTTATAGCCATACGAGCTCTAAGCCCCAAGTGGCCAGGATGTCTGTATCATATCTTGAGATGTGCTTAGATACAGATCTGTATCTCATCTTCACCTCTCCCATATCAACCAATGCAATGGTTCCATGGATAGATGCATTGGAATCATTTGGGAGCTTTCAAAAGTAGATTCCTGGGTGCCATACCTGGGAACTACGTTCTGAGTAGGTCTATAAAATGGCCATAAAAATTGTCCTTACTCAGAGGACTGTTGTGAGAATTATATGAGATCAAAAATGCACATAAGGCTGGGCGCCGTGGCTCACGCCTATAATCCCAGCACTTTGGGAGGCCGAGGCGGGCAGATCAAGAGGTCAAGAGATCAAGACCATCCTGGCAAACATGGTTAAACCCCATTTCTACTAAAAATACAAAAAAATTAGTTGGGTGTGGTGGTGCGTGCCTATAGTCCCAGCTACTCGGGAGGCTGAGGCAGGAGAATCGCTTGAACCCGGGAGGCAGAGGTTGCAGTGAGCCAAGATCGCACTACTGCAATCCAGCCTGGTGACAGAGCGAGACTGTGTCTCAAAAAAAAAAAAAAGGACATAAAGCCTGTAGCCCTAGGCTTGGCATTATAGGCAATTAATAACTGACAACTGTATTTATTGACAGTAAAACATTAATGTTAATAATGAAGGACTACATGGGTAGGATCATAATGAAATCTGATGAAGGACCCCTGTTTGATAGTAAAGTGCTTGTAGGAATGTATTAGTCAGTGTTCTCTAGAGGGACAGAACTAATAGGATAGATGTATATATGAAGGGGAGTTTATTAAGGAGTATTGACTCACACGATCACAAGGTGAAGTCCCACAATAGGCCATCTGCAAGCTGAGGAGCAAGGAAAGCCAGTATGAGTCCCAAAACTGAAGAACTTGGAGTTCGATGTTCGAGGGCAGGAAGCATCCAGCACGGGAGAAAGATGGAGGCCAGAAGACTAAACCAGTCTGCTCTTTCCACATTTTTTTGCCTGCTTTTATTCTGGCCACACTGGCAGCTGATTAGATGGTGCCCACCCAGACTGAGGGTAGGTCTGCCTCTCCCAATCCACTGACTCAAACGTTAATCTCCTTTGGCAACACCCTCATAGACACACCCAGGAACAATACTTCGCATCCTTCAATCCAATCAAGTTGACACTCAATATTAACCACCAGAAGGAATGCATACCCCAAGCCAGGACACTTGCGAGAGTGGAAGAGAGTGAGTGCTGTTAACAATTATACCAGGACCACAAGCATAAACCAAAAGGTCCTTGGCAAAAGGGATGTGTGATGTTCCTACCACAAATCCTTCTTTACAGTTAACACACCTGGTTAGGTTTCCATGGATAGGGCTGGCTGTTTGATTAGGTTAACAGCTGATCGTATCATCTCTTTGGATATGGTGATACAAATATAACATCCTGGCATGGGCTTTTATACTCTGCAAAAATGTATAGACTGGCACTAACATAAGGTGTTCAGACAAAGCTGAGTTTATTGCTTACCAAGGTAAAGGAGAACACCAGCTCTATATTACTTTGTGTTTAGGATATGGGATGTCAAGTTTAGAATTTACTGAAAATTGGAAATTTAAAGTTTGGTTTAAGGTGGGTCTTTCAACTGGGGAGATAAAGAGGGCATGATTAGGATTGGGTAAGGATGACACAATAGTCCAGGATTGGTGGAAACAGCAAGGTGAGGAGTTTTAAAGCAAGTGGTTCAAAGAATCTTTAGTCCATTGAAGAGTGTATGGGCCTTTTGGGAAATTTCAGTAATGGACAAGGAACTCTGCCTGGGTAAGAGTCTCTCGGAGTTTTAAAATTATGATAATGAAGATACTGGACTAGCAAAGTCATGTTAAGGTAGACAGTAAGTTATATGGGGAATAGTTTGAGTCCTCAGTGTCCAAACTGTGCGTAGGGGGCCAGGGGTGGATGGTTTTTGTACTCAACCTTTCTAGAGGCCAACTGGGCAACAAGTGTAAGGGGTCTTAAAAACATTCCCACTTTTTTACATTGTAATTCTATTCCCAAGAATCTAAGGAAATAATCTGAAGCATGTACAAAAATTTACGTAATGAAGATGTTCACTATGGAGTACAATTATTTATTAATAATAGCCCCAAATTGGAAATAACCCAAATGACTGATAGCAGGTAAATTGTGGCACATACATGTGGTAGAATTTTTGAAGCCATTAAAAGTTTACTAAAATAGGCCAGACACGGTGGCTCACACTTGTAATCCCAGCATTTTGGGAGGCCGAGGCAGGTGGATCGCTTGAGGTCAGGAATTAGAGACCAGCCTAACCAACATGGTGAAACCCCATCTCTACTAAAAATACAAAAAAAATTAGCTGAGCGTGTTGGTGCATGCCTGTAATCCTAGCTACTTGGGAGGCTGAGGCAGAATTGCTTGAACCCAGGAAGCAGAGGTTGCAGTGAGCCAAAATCGTGCCATTGCACTCCAGCCTGGGTGACAGAGTGAGACTCTGTCTCAAAATATATATACTAAATATATTAAAATATCATATACTAAAATATATAAAAACAATGGAACATGCCTGTACTATATTTGTTAAGAACAAAAGCAGATTATAGACTCAAATAAACAAACAAAAAAAAACCCTGCTAGAAGAATATATACCAAACTTACTAAATATAGTACATCAAAATGATACTTCTGGGTAGTTTATTGACAGTTTCAATGTCCTTCTTTTCACTTTTCAGTGTTTTATATATAATTTAACTGAGAATGTATTACTTTTATAATCAGAATTTGTATGTAAGCAATAACATTATGATAGAAAAACAAAATACAAGCACAAAATTTTTAAAAAACAAATAAAAACTATCTGTAATTTTACACCAAGACGTAATTGTACTGAACCTTGTGGTGTACATTCCTCTAGATATGTTTCTATGTGTTTGAGAAAGTGGGACTTTGCTATTATGAGTTAGTACGGAGGGGAAAAAAAAGCACTTTGCCCCCAAGATAAACAAATAAAAATACAGAATCACTCTATCTAGCAGCAGTCCCCAAAACAAAGGAAACCTCATCCCTCTCCTGTGTGCTGACTTCTCTAACAGTGATAATTTTTTTTTTTTTTTGAGACTGATCTCGCTCTATTGCTCAGGCTGGAGTACAGTGGCAGATCTTGGCTCACTGCAACCTTCACCTCCTGGATTCAAGGAATTCTTGTGCCTCAGCCTCCCGAGTAGCTGGGATTACAGGTGCCCACCACCACACCCGGCTAATTTTTGTATTTTTAATAGAGATGGGATTTCACCATGTTGACCAGGTGATCTTGAACTCCTGACCTCAAGTGATCCACCTGCCTTGGCTTCCCAAAGTGCTGGGATTACAGGCGTAAGCCACTGCGCCCGGCCATAAACAGTGATAACTTTATCCCTGCCTTTTTTGTTGCTGACATCTACAAATATATGATGTTCCTCACAGATGTGATAGTTGTGTGAGAAAACTATTTTTCTACCATGACTACACTATCTGCAACCTTGGTAATCTTGTGGGGAATTTTCTTTAAATGCAACATTCTATCTTTTATTCAGCAGGCAAATTCTTCTAAAGTCTAAACTCCTTTGCAAAAAATTTTCAAATAAAAGTTACCTTTCTTTATGCTTTTTTTTCCCTAGTTTTCCTTTCATGTATACCTAATAAATATATGTATTTAGAAAAAAAAGACATATGTGACCTTTTTTTCAATTAAAAATATATCCTGGCTATCTTTTATGTCTATAAATATAAATTTGCCTTTTTAATGACCGAATGGCATTCCAATATTTGGATATTGGACATTATATGTAACCAGGACACTACTGTTGAATTATGTTGTTTTAATTTACAAGAAAAAAAACAAACAACCCAATCAAAAAGTGGGTGAAGGATGTGAACAGACATTTCGCAAAAGAAGACATTTATGCAGCCAAAAGACACATGAAAAAATGCTCATCATTACTGGCCATCAGAGAAACGCAAATCAAAACCACAGTGAGATACCAACTCACACCAATTAGAATGGCGATCATTAAAAAGTCAGGAAACAACAGGTGCTGGAGAGCATGTGGAGAAATAGGAACACTTTTACACTGTTGGTGGGACTGTAAACTAGTTCAACCATTGTGGAAGTCAGTGTGGCGATTCCTCAGGGATCCAGAACTAGAAATACCATTTGACCCAGCCATCCCATTACTGGGTATATACCCAAAGTATTATAAATCATGCTGCTATAAAGACACATGTACACGTATGTTTACTGCAGCACTATTCACAATAGCAAAGACTTGGAACCAACCCAAATGTCCAACAATGATAGACTGGATTAAGAAAATGTGGCACATATACACCATGGAATACTATGCAGCCATAAAACATGATGAGTTCATGTCCTTTGTAGGGACATGGATGAAGCTGGAAACCATCATTCTCAGCATACTATCGCAAGGACAAAAAACCAAACACCTCATATTCTCACTCATAGGTGGGAATTGAACAATGAGAACACATGGACACAGGAAGGGGAACATCACACACCGGGGCCTGTTGTGGGGTGGGGGAAGGGGGGAGAGATGGCATTAGGAAATATGCCTAATGTTAAATGACGAGTTAATGGGTGCAGCACACCAACATGGCACATGTATACATATGTAACAAACCTGCACGTTGTGCACATGTACCCTAAAACTTAAAGTATAATAAAAAAAAAAAAGAATTATGTTGTTTTGTTTTGTTGGCATTATAATAAAAGCCAGAATAAACAGACATCCATACATTTTTGTGTCTTCATCTAGGATAAATTCCTTGAATCAGACGTCTAACTGTAAGGATGTATGTATTTTAAGGTTTTCAATATATACTGCAAAATTATCCTCCAGAAAGGTACACTTACAATTCTCCCAGCAATGCATCAACATTTACCCAGTGACCTTCTCAACATTAGGTATTAGTGCATGTTTTGGTATTCATCAATAAGATAAGCTTAAATGGCATTTTATTTACATATGTACTTATTAGAAATATGAACTATTTCTTCATCTCTTTCCATTTGTATTTTTTATTTTGTGAATTGTTTATAACTTCTCCTGCTTTTACATTGAGATATTCGTCTTATTCTCATGTATTTATAAATGTCCTTTATATGTTAAAGATATTATTTGTCATATATTGTTATCCAGTTTTTTGAAATTTCTTTTTTCAAAATTTTATTTATAATGCTTTGGGTGTGCATTGTAATTAAAAAGAAGTTTTAAATCCAGCTATTGTTTCCTTTATGGCTTTCTGCCATTGGTGTTATATTTGGAAAAGTTTTTTTAATACCTCTAAGTTACAGGAGTTTTCACTTATGACTCTGTGAGTTTTAATATTTAATTTGCAAACTTGTAATTCTTTTTTTTTTTTTTTTTGACACAGAGTCTTGCTGTGCAGCCCAGGTTGGAGTGTGATGGCATAATCTTGTCTCACTGCAAACTCCGCCTCCCGGGTTCAAGCGATTCTCCTGCCTCAGCCTCCCAAGGAGCTGGGACTACCCGTTTTTGTATTTTTTGTAGAGACGGGGTTTCACCACGTTGGCCAGGCTGGTCTTGAATTCCTTACCTCAAGTGATCCACCCGCCTCAGCCTTCCAAAGTGCTGGTATTAAAGGCATGAGCCACCACGCCCAGCTGTAAATCTTTATTTCTAAATAACATATATATCCTGATTTTCCTTGATTCTTCAATTTCAGATACATCGGGCACAAATTTTATGCACCTCCTCAGTCCCTTGGCCGCCTCTTTGCCTTACCTACCACCACTGGCCAGTTCTGCCACTTGGGGCTAACTGGTCACTTGCCTTGGGAATGTCAAAACCTTCCCTGTGGGCACAGCTGCACACCCAGGTCAGAGTTTCTGGCTCCTCCCTCTATTTCAGGACTTAGATGAAGCACCACACTGTACAGCATGGTTCCTGCCATCCCTGGCAGCTTCCAAAGATGCCAAATGATACCATCTGGATGTGCAGAAGAGTGAACTCCCATGGAGTGAACTTTGACCAAGGGAAAGCAAGAGATGGGAGGGATCTGGGCACATAAACTCCCTCGCCTTCCTCCTCATAGATTGCTGGGAAATACGGTCACTCCTTGCAACCCATCTTAAAAAAGTCTTGCATGCTGTGTGGATCTACCTGACCATCGGCCTGCTTTGTCTCTGGGAGTATGTCAGTCTATCTCTCGATCTCTTCCCTTGCTTCACATTCCTTTTGTGCTCCTTCTTGATTCCCAAGTCGTGTGGCTCTCAAATAAGTCACCAAACCTTTCCGTCTTACCTTGGCCCTTGTTTACTAAGAGAGCCTCCCACTGCTTCTCCCCCTCTGCCTCCTCCTCTTTGACCTTCTTCCTAGAATGTTCATCAGCTTTCTTTTCCAACCTTTCCGCTGAATTTTTAAAATTCATGTTAACATTTTTTAAAGACCTTTTTTAGTCTCAAGTGTCCTTTCTTGTAGCATTCTGCCTTCATTTCACTAATGCAATATCTTTTCTTATCTCTCTGAAGATATTGATAGCCTCTTTAAAGTTTTATTCTGCTTTCTGCCTTGTCTCTGTTACCTGAGTTTCTTTTTGATCTATTTTAACTCTTTTGTATTGAATAGTTTCACATTAAGATATTTCCTTAAACATATAATGATTCTTAATCACTCATTAATTTTTTTACTTTTAAAAAGCTGATTGGAAGGTTTGTGTTTGTGAAAGGCTTATAGAATGGTGGCCCTTGGGCCAGGCGCGGTGGCTCACGCCTGTAATCCCAGCACTTTGGGAGGCCGAGATGGGTGGATCACGAGGTCAGGAGATCGAGACCATCCTGTCTAATATGGTGAAACCCCGTCTCTACTAAAATACAAATAATTAGCCAGGCGTGGTGGCGGGCGCCTGTAGTCCCAGTTACTCGGGAGGCTGAGGCAGAAGAATGGCGTGAACCCGGGAGGTGGAGGTTGCAGTGAGCCGAGATCGCGCCACTGCACTCCAGCCCGGGCGACAGAGCGAGACTCCATCTCAAAAAACAAAAAAAAAGAATGGTGGTCCTCACCACTGAGTAATTGGCATGGACCCAGCCATGTCATTAAGGAATACAAATGTCTATTTCTGCAGGTCTTTTCTCTTAGCTTGGTCACAGTTTCCAGAGAGAAATGTTCTACTCTGAGGGGCACAGGCCTGGCTGCCCGCCTCCTGGACACTGAGCAGGAGAAAGGATCTTGTTCTCATCATTCTCAATGACTGTTTTTAGTAGGACCCCCCTCCGCTCGCCACCACCCTCAGCTACCCTTAGTGTCCAGTCTACATCTCTCTGTCTTAAGGTCTCCGGAGAATACAACTCTGAGCCCTTCTTCCAAGTCAGAGAGGGAGAGTTGTTTGAGTGTGGGAGGTGAGGAGAGAATCTCAGGGTCTAACTGCTCTTGATACAAACTTCAGCAGTACACCTTGTTTTCCGCACACCCATATCCTGACTTTTATGGGTACCTGCTTTTGTCATTGCTGAGCTTTTCTGGGCTTCAGTGGTGCACATTAATCTGTTCTCTGCTATTCCATCTACTTTCTTTCTTTCTTTCTTTCAGAATTGCATTGATTTCTTTAGTCTATTATGGTCTTCTCTCTAATTTTCTTTCTCTTTTAAAGTTTCTATACTTTTGTATTTCCTTACCATTATCTTAGTGGAGTTTTGGACTCTTTTGAGCTAATGCACATAATCCATTTTCATATTTAACCAGAAGTCCTCAATGCCTATCCTACCACATCTATCAAGACAATCAAGGGATTTCTTTTTACCTGTAGAGATAATTATATTGATCCTTAAAATAATATTCAGCTATCCTTGCAATTCTGGGATAACCTCTATTTGGTTATAATGTATTATTTTCTATTGAAATTCATTTTATTTTCTTTTTTGAGTGTTATATTGATTGATTTTGGTATTGGAATTCTGGCAGCTTAGTGAAACAATTTGGACAGCTTTTTAATCTACATCTATGCTAGGAAATAAATTTACACTGCATAGAAATTATCTGTTCATTGACAGTTTAAAAACACTTGCCTCTAGACTTCTAGACTCCATGCCTTTTTAAGGTAAATATTTGAAAATTTTTAAAATTTTTGATTATACATTTTTCCTAAGAAACTGTTCACTCAACTTTTCAGAAAATATTTAAAAATTATACTGAATGAAAGAAGCTTTACTCAAGAAAGCACATATTATTTGATTCCATTTATATTCAGTTCTAGGACAGGCATAACTAATATAGGGGGAAAAGATAGAAGAATTGTTTCCTGGAAGAAGGGGGGTGGGTAGGAGCAGAAAAGGACTGGGAAGGGACATGAGGTAAGTTAGTGGGGTAATGGCAATGCTGAATAATTATTGTGATAGAGGCTTGGGTTACACAGGTGTATGCATTTGTCAAACTGAGTGAATGTACACCCAGATTTGTAAACATCATTGTATTTTACATTAAAAGAGAAAACTATTAAGAAATATTGAACTCTAGTTAATGATATGAGTGCTGAAATATTTAGGGGGAAGTGTACAGGTGTCACAATTTACCTTGAAATGCACCAAGAAGTAAGATGGATTGATAGGTAGATAGAGGAATGGATGAATGAATAGATAATATAGATAATGTGATAAAGCAAGTACAGGAAAATCTTTTTTTCTTTTTTACTTTCTCTGTTGCAGGCTGGAGTGCAGTGGCATGATCTTGGCTCACTGCAACCTCTGCCTCCCGGGTTCAAGTGATTCTCCTGCCTCAGCCTCCCGAGTAGCTGGGACTACAGGCGCAAACCACCATTCCCAGCTAATTTTTGTATTTTTAGTAGAGACGGGGTTTCACCATGTTGGCCAGAATGGTCTCGATCTCTTGACCTCGTGATCCGCCTGCCTCGGCCTCCCAAAGTGCTGGGATGGTAAAATCTTAATGGTAGAATCTAAGTGGTAGATATATAGGTGCTCACCATAAACATTGCTTGACTTTGCTCTATGTTTGAGAAATTTTATAGCAAAAAGTAAAAAATTTTTAAAGTAAAAAAAAACTTAGCATAGAAATGTATGTAGTAATTATATTAGTTTTCTATTGCTATGTAACAAATGAACATAAATCTAGCATCTTAGAACAACATGCATTTTTAAAAAATTTCTTTAATTGTATTTTAAGTTCCAGGATACATGTGCAGGACGTGCAGGTTTGTTATGTAGGTAAACGTGTTTCATGGTGGTTTGCTGCACCTGTCAACCTCTCACCTAGGTGTTAAGCCCCACCTGTCAACCTCTCACCTAGGTGTTAAGCCCCACATGAACATGCATTTTTAAATCTCACAGTTTCCATGATCAGGAGTCCAGACACAGAGTGGCTGGGTCCTCCACTCAGGATCACATAAGGCTGCAGTCCAGGTGTTGGCCGGGTTACATTCTCATCTGCAGGCTCAACTTAGGAAGAGTCTGCTTCCAAGCTCATTCAGGCTGTTGACAGAATTCATTTTCTTGCAGCTGTATGACTGAGCACCGTGCTTCCCACTGCCTATTGGTGGAGGCCATCCTTAGCTCCTAGAGGCCACCCACCGTTCCCTGACTTGAGGTCTTCTCCAAAGGCAGTCCACAACAGGACCGTTTGCTTCTTCAAAACCAGCAGGAGGATTTCTTGCTAGCTGATAGAGTTTGGATGTTTGTACCCTCCAAACCTCATGTTGAAATGTGATCCCTAATGTTGTAGGTGGAAACTGGTGGGAGGTGACGGGAGCATGGGGGCAGATCCCTCATAAAGTGTTTGGCACCATCCCCTGGGTAATAAGTGAATTCTTGTTCAGTTAGTTCATGCGAGATCCAGTTGTTTAAAAGTCTGGAAACTCCCCTCCCCACTCTCTCACCCCTCGATCTCCTGCTTGTGTTCTCACCATGTGATGCACCTGCTTCCCCTTCATCTCCTGCCATGAGTGGAAGCTTCCTGAGGCCTCACCAGAAGCAGATGCTGGCACCATACCTCCTGTACACCCTGCGGAACTGTGAGCCAATTAAACCTCTTTTCTTTATAAATTATCCAGTCTCAGGTATTCCTTTATAGTAACATAAACAGACTAACACACTAGTCTGCTAAGATGGAGTCTTACATAATGTAACCAAATCAAGGAGTGATAATCAACCACCTTTCTTTCCCATATTCTGTTGGTTAGAAGCAAGTCATAGATTCCACACACTCAAGGGGAAGGGATTATACAAGAATGTGACCCATAGGGGGTCATCTTAGGGTGTATTCTATCAAAGATAAGCAAAGCTAGACACAAGTAAAAATGGTAAGGATAGATTGTAATCGCCAATATACGACTGCACTAGAGAAGAGGGTCCCACATGAACAGAACTCAACTTCAGTTTGTACAAAGATGATGACATTTTAAAGGGAGAGCAATGGAGTAGGGAGTGGAGACAATGGGGGCTCAGCAGTTAGGGAAGCGAAAACATTTGCAAAGGGTTGTTCAGTGTAAATGCTGATTGGGCCAGCTGTGTCTGCTAGCTGGCAGTTATCAAAGTCAGGATTGCGTCCTTCCACAGTCACTGGGAGACAGAGGCCCTGTTCTTCCTGATGATAGTATCTCAAAGGAATGGCTTTCAGGTCCTTGAGAAAGACACTCCTGAGTTGCAGGAGGTACACACATATCCCAAGGGACAGAGGAAAGATTCACAATAAGCCCTTTTTAGTGAATGCTCTAAGAAAGGATGATCAAGGGCCTATGGTCAGGTGTCAGCTGGAACAAACAGTCAATTCTTTTGTAGCCTTGAGCTCTCCCAAGCAGGCACTTTAAGGGAAGCTAAAGTCACCTAGAGATGTGGCCTTGACTGGTGAGAAACTAAGTTAATGCTTGCTTAAATCTTTTAATGTGAGTGGGGGGCTGGATGACATCATTTGTATTGAGTGTCTGTAGTTTTTACAGGCCAAGATAGAGGCCTAGCCAAGAAGGGGATTCAGAGGACTCTGGCTAGAGTTTAGTAAGAAGAGAATGTTTATCAGTTGAACACACTATTTTTCACTTTACCTTTTAATCTCCTTATTGGTGGTGGTTCTATTTCCTTTCTCTTTCTTAGCGGGGCTTATTTTCTGCCTTTTCTCTTTTACTCATCTTCTTTCCATCCACCAAGATTTATGTTTTGGCTCAGAAAAAAATATGAAACAAATAAAAAGCTGACCACTAAAACAAAAGGTAAAGAAAAAAGGTAAAGGAAGAAAACAACCCACAGCGATAAACACAAAGGACAGTTTCTATTCTGCGTTTTTTCTTTAATTTTTTTAAAATGTGATTTTTAAAATAATGAAAAGTTAATTTCATGGCACAGGGTATCATAAGAGTGAAAACTTGTTTACTTAAAAAGAATAGAAAGAAGAATTTATGAAAAAGAATAGAGGGAAGCAAACCAAAGTACTTGAAGCCCTAACCAAATTAATCAGCTCCTTGAGAAATGTCCATTCCAGAGCCATCAGTAATTAATTTAATTGTTCTTATCTTGATTTAAAAGGACAGCAAAGCAATTTTTAAATAATCTATTTGTTGGCCACAACAAACAGGATCATAATTGAATTTACCAATCTCAGAATTACATTTCTAATCTGTGAAGTATGAGTTAACAGTAGAGTAAGATGAAACATATGTAACACAGTTTCCTTCTCTGTGACAGTGAAGGTCACAGGAGATACAAGGCCGAATTCAGCAATGAGTAAAGCTTTCGGTTTTGAGTGTTCTAAACCAGAGCACTGCTCTAGGGGTAGTAATTTGCATCTAGTTAGCAATCAAATGTTTATTGATAATAATGATTATTAAATGAAAGCTTATATTCCCTAATAAAAATGTTAGTTTGTGAATCTTAAAGTTTAAAAAGCACTCCTTTGAACTGTATGTGAACTTTGTAAAGTACTTATCAGTAGCACCACCTTTTATAAACGAAGCTGACCCACAAAGGGTGTGAGATTTGCCTAAGTCACAGTTGGTGAGTTCAGAACTAACATGCAAACTCCTGTCTCCCTCCAAGATTCCACTCTCTTTCCAGTCTCTCATCTGCTTCCTACCTTCTCATACATTCTTCAATATCAATTTCATAACTTCCCTCTCTCTCATTTCTATACCAAGAAAAAAAGAGTCCAAGAATGATCTCTAACAGTTAGGGTTTTTAAGTAATACCAAGGTCACTTCCCACTGGAGAGGAATTTTCACATTAGATGCAAAGAGAACTCCTAAAAGAGGCTTCCAGCCACAGTTGTGTGTGGGGTGTGTGTGTGTGTGTGTGTGTGTGTGTGTGTGTGTGTGCAGGCATACTCAGGCAAGTACATTAGAAGAAGCCTAGCAGCTGCCTGATAGAGAAATATGAGTAGCAAAGGGATAAATCATGCCACATGTCAAAGCAACAACTAATTTCCAACCCAAACTCTCTGGACTGTTTTGTTTACCTAGTGCCTGCATATATTCCCAGCACACTTCCTGCCCGTTAGCACTCATCTTTAACACCACACTTAGAGAGGGGCCTCTTTCAGGAAACTGAAGCCATCATTCATTATTGATTTTATAGAAGGATTATAAATAAACTCAACATATGGTGCCATGAACTCAGTAAACTTAATGTCGTTAGAAATTCATTTTGGTTAACTTCTAGTCCAGCCCCATTCAATAGAAATATAGTGCAAGCCACCTATGCAATGGTTTATTTTCTAGTATACATTTTAAAAAGTAAAAAGAAACAGGTGAAATTAACTTTAATACAATATGTTATGTAACCTACTATCTCAAAAATATTATTTCAATATAAGAAAGTATTAATAAGATATCTTGCATTATTTTTGTACTGTTTTAAATCCATTGTGTGTTTTACCCTCACAACACATTTCAGTTAAGACTAGCCACATTTCAAGTGCTCAGTAGCCACGTGTGGCTAGCAGCTACAATTTTGGATAGCACCAGTCAAGACTTAGTTAAGAATAACCCATGTGTGAACTATAATATGAAAATTCATTTTCCAGGTAAAAGAAGAAATTGTAGATTTGAAAATCTGATTCCTGCTGACTACAGTAAAATTTGTATTAGTAACAAGTGTTCCAAATCCCTCAAATATCAGAATGCACTGAATGCAAATGAAAGTATTCCATGATCTATATATAGTGAACAAACCTCAAAAGCTTTTAAAAACAAAAAACAAAAAAACTTTTTCTGTGTTGAAGCAAAAAGTCTCTAACTGTGGCCAGGGAACAATTTAACCCAGGTTGCAAGCTAAATGCATTCAGGATCCAGTCAAGTCACATAAATGAATGGGAACCAGTGTGCTGTATGTAAGACAACAGAGTGATGGGAACTGTGCCAAATTAGAAAATTCTTGCTTTGTTTAAACATACTCAAATTGAAAACCTGCATAAATACCACTGTGTCAAACAAAACATCTGTGAGCCAGATTTGGCCTGTGAGATATCAGTCTGCAACTCCTCATTCAACGGGACAAAAAAAGTGAGCATCACAAAGAAAGGATTTGTTTTATTCCCTGAAGGGGTAGGTCTGTCTCCCTGGTTACATTGCCAAAAACAACATTTTCTCCTCCCAATAATAGTGGTTTCTGTGGTGTAAACATGCCTCCCACTTGGAGTTATCTGTTAGAAGTTCAGTCTTTGGGATGTCCAAGAAATGGGAAAACTCACAGACATAAATCCTCCACTGGAGTGTTATGAAACCACTTGAAGAACATGAGCCTGACTTGGTCACTGCTGTGAAACCAAGAGCAGTTTGAGTGCTGGTCACTGCTACACTGTCCCTGCTGACCAGCCAGGCAGCTCTCAACTGTGGAGCTGTGTACTTCAAGGTTATGGGTCCTTTACCTACCATCCATCTTTCTCTAACTAGACGCACTCTTTTAAAGATAAAGAATATTTCACATATACACAAAAATATGTTAAGCCATCTGTCTTAAAACAAAAAATTGGCTTTAGTTCTGAAATTTCTTGAGAATATGTGATAAGGTTTGCATTAGAATAATTATATTCGCATTTTAGAAGGATTACCAAGCAGGTAATCAAAACACACTTCTCCTAACTGCATAGATATACAACAGAGTATCCTCAAAAAGAGAAAGTACCCTTTTAAAAACATACCATACCATTCTTTGGGTGTTCATAATGTAGTTCCTTTTGACAAAGTGACTTCTAATCAGGATGTTGTCATCATGGCAGAAAGAGCAGCCACCTAATTTTAATTAGAAGGGAATACTTTGGACCTCATTAGGCTCATTCTTTTCAGGGAGTGTATTACTCTGCTAGGGCTGCCGTAACAAAATACCACAGACTGTGTGGCTTAAACAATAGAAATTTATATTCTCAATGTTTGGGGGCCTGGAAGTCCAAGATCAGGGTGCCAGCAGGGCAGGGTTCTTCTGAGGTCTCTACCCTTGGCTCGCAGATGGCCCCTCCTGCTGCCTCTTCACAAGGGCGTCCATCTGTGCGTGCACGCCCCTGGTGTCTCTCCCTCTTCTTATGAGGACACCAGTCACATCGGATTAGGTCCCCACCCTAACAGCCTCATTTTAACTCAATTACCTCTTTAAAGGCCTAATCTCCAAATCTGGTTCCATTCTGATGGTCTGGGGGTTGGGGCTTCAACACATGAATTTTGAAGGACACAATTCAGTCCATAACCGAAAGTAACATTTCTTGACAACGAGAACAGCTAACATTCATTGAGCATTTCTTACATGCTACCAACCGTAATCAACACTTTACGTGTTTTAACTCATTTCATTCTCACAACACCTCCATGAGCTAGATCTTTGATAATCCCCATTCTGCAGGTCAAAAGGTTGAGGCAGAAAGAAGATAAGTAACCTGCCCAAGATCTCACGGCTGCTAGTAAGCGGCAGAGCGAGGGCATGAATGTGGACACCTTAGCTCCCAAAACCAAGCATTTAACCAATTTATTACAGATAAAAATGTTTTTACCAGCAGAGAATCTGCTACTCTGAAATGGTTACCAACGGTCTGGTATTCTGCCTGTTATGGATTAAACTGTATCCCCCAAAATGTATGTGTTAAAACCCTAACCCCCCAATGTGACTGTATTTGGAAACAGGGCCTGTAAAAAGATAATTAAGGTTAAATGCGGTCACGAAAATGTGGCCATAATCCAACAGGACTGGTGTTCTTATAAGAAGGGAAGAGATACCACAGAAGAAAGGCTATTTGAGGCCCCAGGGAGAAGACAGACATCTGCAAGGCAAGCAGAGCGGCCTCAGGAGAAACCAAACCTGCGAACATCTTGATCTTGGACTTCAGCCCCCAGAACCTTGAGAAAATAAATTTATGTTGTTTAAGTCATCTGTGATACTTTGTTATGGCAGCCTGAGCTGATACATACACTGCCTCAATCCCTTTTTCAAGAGCTAGTGTGGTAAGGGTCTCTGATAATCACAGATAACCTTTAAGAGTCTGATCCCAGGAGATTGTCAAGTCAGTAAAAATTCTTGAAGAAAGGGGCTTCTCAGGACACTGGACCCTGGAGTTTGAAATGTTTTATAGAAACCTTTAAGCCCTGCTTTCCATGCCCAAGTAAGGATATGAGCTTCTAGATTCTGCATTTGGATTAAGAGTTAGGAGAACCTGGCCGGGTGCAGTGGCTCACTCCTGTAATCCCAGCACTTTGGTAGGCTGAAGTGGGTGGATCACCTGAGGTCAGGAGTTTGAGGCCAGCCTGACCAACATGGTGAAACCCCGTCTCTACTAAATACAAAAATTAACTGGGTGTGGTGGTGGGTACCTGTAATCCCAGCTACTTGGGAGGCTAAGGCAGGAGAATCACTTGAACCCGGGAGGCAGAGGTTGCAGTGAGCTGAGATTGCACCATTGCACTCCACCCTGGGCAACAAGAGCGAAACTTCTCTCAAAAAAAAAAAAAAGAATTAGGAGAACCTAATGTTTGTAAATTTCATGAAAGAAGAAGCCCATAAGTTAAGAGTATAGTTTCTGAGAATAAAAAGGAAGTGGCAAAACAAGAATGGAACTTTTTGAGCTTGTTAAGACCCTAACTCACAGGAACCATATCCCTGCCTCCCAGCATGTTCCTTAATAGACCTATCCCATTAGGAATGTTGGAGCTCACAGGAAGCTGTGCGGAGATAAACTGCATCTGATCTCACCCAACATAATGACCTCACTTCCAATAAAATGTATAATTCTTTGCTGGTTAAGTTGGGCATTTACTTTAAAAGTTAAAATGCTTGTGGGTGTGTACTTTCTTCTGACAAATATGAACCCACCTGACACCCTGTGGAATTGAACTGTGTTTGTATTTTGAGCAACAGGCCTCACAAATGACAAATGTTTGAAAAACAAAAAAAAACTCATACAAAGGTTAAACCTGCTGTAATATAAAAATGGGATATATGCTGTTATCTATAAAATTCTAATATCTTGCATTTCTTGACAAATTTTATCAACAGTATCTTTATTGTTGTTTAAACAGTCTAGTAACCTGACTTCAATTGAAAAGATAAATAAACCAGAGAAAGACCCAGTGTAGACCAAGGAGAAAGACTGCAGCCTGAAGTAAGAGTGTTCATGCATTTATTCAATGCATTTAATCACCAAGCTTTATTAACAGCCTGTTATGTGCCTCTGTGCTGGGTACAGCCAGACTGAGTTGAACAAGCCATAAGAAAAACCAAGGAGAAAATAAAGTGAGCTCCTAAGACATGAGAGCAAGAGCAGCAAGTTCTAGAAGAAACAGAAGTAACTTGACATGACTTACTTGAAAAGGATACCCTTGCAAACTGGGTAACAGCACAGAGAAATTAAAAAAGAGAGGACAGGGCCAGGTGCGGTGGCTCACGCCTATAATCCCAGCACTTTGGGAGGCCGAGGTGGACGGATCACCTGAGGTCAGGAGTTCAAGACCAGCCTGGCCAATATGGTGAAACCCCGTCTCTACTAAAAATACAAAAATTAGCCGGGTGTGGTGGCACGTGCCTGTAATCCCAGCTACTCAGGAGGCTGAGGTAGAAGAATCATTTGAACCTGGGAGGCGGAGGTTGCAGTGAGCCAAGATTGTGTCACTGCACTCCAGCCTGGGTGAGAGAGTGACACTCCATCTCAAAAAAAAAAAAAAAAAAAAAAGAGAGAGAGCAGACAGCTGGGCTTGCAGAACACAGAGGACATGAAATGCTTAGGAAGAAAATCAGCCCAGACAAGAAGAGAAAAGTGGGCTGAGACACATCTAACATTCCAGGCTTGAAAACTTTACCAAGTTATGGGTAAAAAATAATTTACATATCTACTTTTTTGTCCACAATTGAGTTAATTACTTAGAGATATTTGTGATGAGTTCTATAGATTTCTTTAGGCTGCTTCGTTAAATCCACATAAACGCTACCGTACTTATGATGGTGTTTTACCCAGCATAAGTAAATTGAAAATATTGTAAGTCAAAAATGTACTTGATATACTCAACCTACCGAACACCATAGCTTAGCCTAGCCTATGTCAAACATGCTCAGAACACTTACATTAGCCTACAGTTGAGCAAAATCATCTGGAAACACAGAATACTGTAGATTGTTGGTGATTTACAGTGGTGATCATGTGTCTGGCTGGGGGCTGTGGCTCATTGTCACTCCCTGCCATCACAAGATAGTATCATACTACATATTACTAGTCCAAGAAAAGATCAAAAATCAAAATGTGAAGCACTATTTCTACTGAATGTATATTCAGTATGTAAAGCCAATTGTAAAGCCAATATTCACACAGAGAGAATAGCTCAGCAGAGAGAGACTCCATTTGTTTGGGGGAAAATAAGAGGAGAGAATAAGAGTCTCTGCCTCGTAATCAAAAGAATTCTCCTAGATCTTAACCAAGACCACCAAGGTGGTATCTCTACAAGCCTGCAAGAACCACAGCATTACTGGGCTTGGAGTGCCCTGTTAAACAAATATGGCTGCAGTGACCAAAGATTTAGATCACAACCTACACATTCTCTTAAATATCTGGAAAGCTTTCCCAAAAAAGAACGGGTGCAAACAAGCCCAGACTGCAAAATTTACAATAAGTACGTAACTCATCAATGCCCAGACACCAACAAATATTCTCAAGCATCAAGACCATCGAGGAAACCATGACCTTACCAAATGAACTAAATAAGGCACCAGCAAGACAGAGATCTGATACCTTTCAGATAGAAAATTCAAAATAGCTGTTTTGAGGAAGCTCAATTAAATCTAAGATAACACAGAGAAGGGTAGTCAGAATTCTATCAGATAAACTTAACAAAGAGATTAAAATAAAACAATCAAGCAGAAATTCTGGAGTTGAAAAATGCAATTGACATACTGAAAAACGCATCAGAGTCTCTAAACAGCAGAATTGATCAAGCAGAAGAATTAGTGAGCTTGAAGACAGGCTATTTGAAAATACACAGTCAGAGGAGACAAAAGAAAAAAAAGAATAAAGCATGCCTACAAGATCTAAAAAAAATAGCCTCAATAGCCTCCTTGAGGAGGAGGTAGAGAGAGAGATCTGGGTAGAAGGTTTATTGAAAGAGATAATAACAGAGAACTTCCTAAACCTAGAGACAGATATGGATATTCAAGTATAAGGAGGTGATAGAACACCAAGTAGGTTTAATCCAAATAAGACTGCCTCAAGACATTTAATACTTCCAAATGTCAAAGATAAAGAAGGATCCTAAACACGGCAAGAGAAAAGAAACAAATAACCTACAAAGGAGCTCGAATATGTCTGGCAGCAGCCTTCTCTGTGGAAACCTTACAGGCCGAGAGATAGTGGCATGACATATTTAAAGTGCTGAAGGGAAAAAACATTTATCCTAGAATAGTATATTCAGCAAAATTATCCTTCAAACATGAAGGAGATATGAAGATCTTCCCAGACAAACAAAAGCTGAGGGATTTCATCAACAACAGACTTGTCCTGAAAGAAATGCTAAAGGAAGTTCTTCAATCTTAAAGAAAAGGATGTTAATGACCAAGAAGAAATCATCTGAAACTACAAAACTCACTGGTAACAATAAGCACACAGAAAAACACAGACTATTATAACACTGTAATTGTGGTATGTAAACTACCTTAAGTAGAAAGACTGAAAAATGAACCTATCATAAATAATAACTGTAACAACTTTTCAAGACACAGACAGTACAACAAGATATAAATAGAAACAACAAAAAGTTAAAAAGCGAGGGAATGAAATTAAAATGTAGAATTTTTATTAGTTTTCTCTTTGCTTGTTTGTTTATATAACCAGTGTTAAGTTGTCATCAGTTGAAAGTAATGGGCTACAAGTATTTGCAAGTCTCATGGTAACCTGGAATCAAAACACACACACAAGATACACAAAGATAAAAAAACAAGAAATTTAAACATACCACCTGAGAAAATCACTTTTACTAAAACAAAGAAAGGAAGGAAGGAAGGGAGGAAGGGAGAAAAGGAGGGAGGGAGGGAAGGAGGAAGACAAAACAACCAGAATATAAATAACAAAATGGCAAAAGTAAGTCCTTACATATCAATAATTACATTGAATGTAAATGAACTAAATCCTCCAATCAAAAAACATAGAGTGGCTAAATGGATAAAAAATACCAAGACTCAACAATCTGTTGCCTACAAAAAACACACTTTATCTGTAAAGATACACACAGACTAAAAATAATGGGATGAAAAAGATGTTCTATGGGATGAAAAAAGATATTCTATGTGAATGGAAACCAAAAATGAACAAGAGTAGCCATCCTTATACAAAACAAAATAGATTTCAAGACAAAATCTGCAAGAAGAAACAAAGAAGGTCATTATTTAATGACAAAGGGGTCAATTCAGTAAGAGGCTATAACAATTATAAATATATATGCACCCAACACTGGAGCACCCAGATATATAAACTGAGTATTATTAGAGCTAAAGAGAGAGATAGACTCCTATACAATAACAGCTGGAGACTTCAACACTCCACTTGCAGCATTGGACAGATCATCCAAACAGAAAATTAACAAAGAAACATCAGGCTTAATCTGCATTTAATCTGACCAAATGGAGCTAATACATATTTACAGAACATTTTATCCAGTGGCTGCAGAATACATATTTTCAGCACATGGATCATTCTCAAGGATAGACCATACGTTAGGCCATAAAACAAGTCTTTAAAATTTCAAAAAAAAAAATTGAAATCATATCAAGTATCTTATCTAACCACAATAAAACTAGAAATCAATAATAAGAGGAACTTTGGAAACTGTACAAACACATGGAAATTAAATACTATGCTCCTGAATGACCAGTGGGTCAATTAAGAAATTAAGAAGGAAATTGAAAATTTTCTTGAAACAAATGAAAAGGGAAACCTATCAAAATCCATGGGATGCAGTAAATGCAGTACTAAGAGGAAAGTTTATAGTAATAAGCACCTACATCAAAGTAGTAAAAAAACTGAAAATAAACAACCTAACAATGTATCTTTAAAAACTAAAAAGCAAGAGCAAATCAAATCCAAAATCAGAAGAAAAGAAATAAAGATCAGAATAGAAATAAATGAAGTTGAAACTAAAACAAATATAAAAGATCAATGAAACAAAAAGTTGTTTTTTTGAAAAGATAAAACCAACAAACCTTTAGCCAGACTAAGAAAAAAAGAGAAGAGCCAAATAAATAAAATCAGAGATGAAAAAGGAGACATTACAACCAATACTGCAGAAATCCAAAGGACCATTAGAGAATATTATGAGAAACTATATGCCAGTAAGTTGGAAAACCTACATAGAAGAAATCGATAAATTCCTAGACACATACAACCTGCCAAGATTGAACTATGAAGAAAACCAAAACCTGAACAGAGCTATAACAAGTAATGATTTAAAACAATCAAGCAGAATTTAAAACAATATAAGCCATAATAAAAAGTCTTCCAGCAAAGAAGAGCCCAGAACTCAATTACTTCATTGCTGAATTTTACCAAACATTTAAAAAACTAATACCAATCCTACTCAATCTATCCTAAAAAATAGAGGAGAGGGGAATATTTCTAAACTCATTCTATGAGGCCAGTATTACCCTAGATAATGACACATCAAAAAAAGAGAGCTACAAGTCAATATCCCTGATGAACATTGATGAAAAAACCCTCAACAAAGTATTACCAAACTGAATTCACCAATACATTAAAAAAATCATTCATCATGATTATGTGGAATTTATCCCAGGGATGCAAGGATGATTCCACATATGCAAATTAATAAACATGATACATTATATCAACAGAATGAAAGACAAAAACAATATGATCATTTCAGTTGATGCTGAGAAAGCATTTGATAAAATTCAACATCCCTTTATGATAAAATCCCTCAAAACACTGGGTATAGAAGTAACATACCTTAACAAAAGAAAAGCCATATAAAGCAGACCCATAGCTTGTATTACTGAATGGGAAAAACTGAAAGCCTTTCCTCTAAGGTCTGGAGCAAGACAAGGATGCCCACTTTCACCACTGTTAATTCTACATAGTACTGGAGGTCTTAGCTGGAGCAATTAGACAAGAGAAAGAAATAAAGGTGATCCAAAATGGAAAGGAAGAAGTCAAATTACCTTTGTTTGCAGATGATATAAATCTTATATTTGGAAAAACCTAAAGACTTCACCAAAAAAATATTAGAACTGATAAACAAAGTAAAGTTGCAGGGTGCAAAATCAAATGCAAAAATCAGTAGCACTTCTATATGTCAACGGTGAACAATCTGGAAAAGAAATCAAGAAAATAACTTTATTTACAATAGGTACAAATTAAATACCTAGCAGTAAACTTAACCAAATAAATAAAAGATCTCTACAATGAAAAGTAGAAAACATTGATGAAAGAAATTGAAGAGGACACCAAAAAATGGAAAGATATTTTCTGTTCATGGATTAGAAGAATCAATATTGTTAAAATGTTCATACTACCCAAAGCAATCTACAGATTCAATGCAATCCCTATCAAAAATACCAATCACATTCTTCACAGAAATGGAAAAAAAAACATAAAATGTATATGGTACCACAAAAGACCTGGAATAGCCAAAGCTATCTTGAGCAAAAAGAATAAAACTGAAAGAATCACATTACCTGACTTCAAATTATACTACAAAGCTACGGTAACCAAAACAGCATGATACTACATAAAAACAGACACATAGACCCATGGAACAGAATAGAGAACCCAGAAACAAATCCATACTTCTACAGTGAACTCAATTTCAACAAAAGTAGCAAGAACATACATTAGAGAAAGGACAGCCTCTTCAATAAATGATGCTGGGAAAACTGGATATCCATAGGCAGAAGGAGGACCTCTATCTAGGCTTCTATCTCTCTCCATATACAAAAATTAAAATGGGTTAAAGGCTTAAATCTAAGACCTGAAACTACTAAAAGAAAACATTGGGGAAACTCTTCAGGACATCAGACTGGGCAAAGATTTCTTGAGTAATACCCACAAGCACAGGCAACCAAAACAAAAATTGACAAATGAGATCACATCAAGTTAAAAAGCTTCTGCACAACAATGGAAACAATCAACAATGTGAAGAGATAACCTGCAGAATGGAAGAAAATATTTGAAGACTATTCATTTGACTAGGGATAATAACCAGACTATCCATTTGACAAGGGAATAATAACCAGGAGCTCAAACAACTCTATAGAAAAAAAAAAAATCTAATAACCCAATTAAAAATGGGCAAAAGATCTGAATAGACATTTCTCTAAAGAAGACATAAAATGGTAAAGTGTATTTGAAAAGGTGCTCAACATTGATCATCAGAGAAATGCAAATCAAAACCATAATGAGATACAATCTCACTCCAGTTAAGTGGCTTTTATCCAAGACAGGCAATAACACATGCTGGAGAGGATGTGGAGTAAAGGGAACCCTCATTCGCTGTTGGTGAGAATGTAAATTAGTACGATCAATATGGAAAACGACCTGGAGGTTCCTCAAAAAAACTAAAAATAGAGCTGCAATATGATCCAGCAATCCCACTGCTAGTTATATACCCAAAAGAAAGTAAATCAGTATATCAAAGGGATATCTGCATTCTCATGTTTATTACAGCACTTATGTTTATTATAGTCACACTAGCCAAGATTTGGAAGCAACCTAAGTGTCCATCAACAGATGAATGGATAAAGAAAATGTGGTACATATACACAATGGAGTACTATTCAGCCATAAAAAAGAATGAGATCCTGCTCATTTGCAATGACATGGATGGATCTAGAGGTCATTATGTTAAGAGAAATAAGCCAGGCACAGAAAGACAAACTTATTTGTGGGTGCTAAAATATTTAAAACAATTGAAGTCATGGAGATGGAGAGTAGAAAGATGTTTACCAGAGGCTGGGAAGGGTAGTGGGCAGGGGGAGGGAAACCAGTGGGGATGGTTAATTGGTATGAAAATATAGGTAGATAGAATGACACTACCTAGTTGATAACACAACAGGGTGACTACAGTTCAACAATAATTTATTGTACCTTTAAAAATAACTAAAAGAGTATAACTGGATTGTTTGTAACACAAAGAAGGAATAAATGCTTGAGGTAATGAATACCCCCATTTTACCTGTTATGTGATTATTATGCATTATATGCCTGTATCCAAATATCTCATGTACCTCATAAACATATACACCTACTATGTGCCCACAAAAATTAAAGAGAGACTATGAATGAAAAGCAGGAACACATGGGTTGTATTGCTGTGGACAGAAAAAGTCATGTTTTGTATGATGCTGACAAGTCATGAGTCACTGGGTACACCCAGGAAGATAATAAGTTTCCAGAGGCAAGAAAGCACTTGGGGAGAGAAAACTGCCTGGCTAATTAGTTTGCTAGAAAGGCAGGCACATTATCCCGCCTGGGAGTCCAACAGCTGTGCATGTCTCACTCTACCTTCTGAGCGGGCGGTAATGACCACAAGGCTGGCTGACATCAGGGACTGGTCAAGAAAACAAGTTCTGGGGCCTCTGGGACCAGCACTCCATTGTCTTCATTCCCCAAAGCTCATGTCTGGCATGCACAACACAGCCAGAAACTAAGTTAAGCCCTGGAGAAGGCCCCAAGGTTGAAATTGTGGGAAGAATTTGGATTGACCTGCAGAAAACAATGAATGAACAAAAGGTACAATGGGAGTCTAATATCTCCGTCTATAGAAGAACAAGTTTACATATTTGTAAAAATATATATATTATTATTATTATTTAATCAACTCCCGCTATAACATGTTTGTGGTTGATTGGTTGGTTGGTTGGTTGGTTGGTTGGTTAGTTGGTTTGTCGGTTGGTTAGTTGGTTTGTCGGTTTGGGTTTGGTTTTTACTTCTTTGGACCTAACAAAGGATATGTCATATTCACATCATTAACAGTGAATATGACAAATGGACAGGAAAGACAGACAAGCAGAATGTGAAAGAGTCCTGCCCTCCCCTCGAGCCTGCCCACTCAGCCCCTCACCACCACTGAGATTCACAGCTGCAAACCAAGCAGCATGGAGCCTTTCAGAAGGAGCGTGTCTACCCAATGGCGTCAGACTCTAGCAGTTATACACATTTAATTTTACGCATTTAAGAGAGGCTTGACATGGGCTGAAGAGAGGAGCTCTGGGGATGTGAGAAAATCTCCTGGGGGTCCCGGAGAGAGGGATATAGAGGAAGCTCAGAGTTTGAAAGAGGGGCAAGAGAGAAGGAGGCTTTCCAAAGCTCAGAGAGGCTGGAATAAACTCCTCATCACCACAACACTTTAGAAAGCCAGGAGGACCAAGTAGAAGAGACTAAGAAGGACATGGTCAGAGTTAGTCAGGAACTGAGAAAATGAACTGCTTCGAGTAGAGGGCACCCCAAGAAGAGCCAGGAACAGCTTCATCATGATGTTTGAGAATTTTTTTAAATTAATTTCATTTTTTTCTTCAGCCTACTTCAGTTTAATGAGAATTTTTTTTAAAAAAACAGAAATGTATTCTCTCATAATTCTGGAGGCCAGAATTTTTTTAACAGTTTTCAGTTTGAGAATTTTTCACAGTTAAAATTAAGAGTTGGCAGAATGCAATATGGTATCCTACTATATCCTGGAGCAGAAAAAGAACATTAATGGAAAAACTGGTGAAATCCAAATAAAGTCTAGCATTTAGTTAATAGTAAGGTGCCAATGTTAGTTTCTTAGTTTGGACACATGTACTAAGGTAATAAGATGTTAACATTGGAGGAGGCTGGGTAAAAGATATTGGGGACTCTATACTATGCTTGCAACTTTTCTGTAAATCTAAAATTATTCCAAAATTAAGTTATTTTAAAAATTAATCTTTGGCATTTTTAATGGTTAAACACCAAAGTTATCTGATAAACATTCCAAGAAAAATTTATTCATAGCCTCTTAAGTCTTACTTTCAACACATCAAAGGGTTCTGGAATATTTGTACTGACATACAAAACCAATCATCTTGTTACAGAAACTCAAATACTTTTCTGGTAAACTTCTCACCTCTACTACTCCAACTAAAATTCTAACATCCTGTGGTAGACTGCAAAAATGGCCATAATTCTTCACCCCTCCCTATATCCACACCCTTTGCAATGTGACTTAGAAATTACAGAGATTGGTTGCACAATGATGTGAATGTGCTTAACACCAGTGGATTGTACACTTAGAAATGGTTAGGGTGGTACTTTCTTTTTTTTTTTTTTTTTGCGGCAGAGTCTCACTCTATTATCCAGGCTGGAATGCAGTGGCGCAATCTCGACTCACTGCAACCTCCTCCTCCTGGGTTCAAGCGATTCTCCTGCCTCAGCCTCCCAGAGCGTTACATCTTATGTTATATGTATTTTATGACCAGTTTAGAAAGAAAAAAAGGCTTACTGATACATACATACTCTCTGTTCAGCACTCTCACCCTTTCTCACCCAAACTTAACTTCACAACAGGAAGATTTTGCTCTGAATTCTCAGAAGAAATTTCTGCTGATACCAGCTTCTGGTTTAAAATAGAAAAAAAGGAATACATAAAATTTTCCTCTACCATTGTATACACTACCTTGATCTCAAGAAATTAAAGTTATTCTGGAAGCATCCCCCCTCATTTATTTCACCACTCTCAGGAAACCATGCCTCTATAGAAACGTCTTTACTACAAACTCCTAGATGATGTCTTTTCTCTCTCCTCTTTTGCACAAACACCTCCTTTAAACCTCACCAGTGATCTCACGGTGGAAAGCCAAAAATCATACTGAATTCTAAAAGACTGATTAAATGCAGCCTTTACTAAAGCTCAAATAAAAGTATGCTCGTACAATCCGCCAACACTCCAGCTCTGTGTAGTGGAGTGTGTCATGGAGTCACATTCCCAGAAACACCAACCATTTTTAAAAAAAAAGAAAGCAAATTTTGAAAAAGCACTAAAATCTTCATGAGTTTTTAAACTCAAAGGCTAAAGGATTCACAGGTGCCAGGGATCTATACACACATATACATACATATATACACACACATATATATGTGTATATAGATACACATATATATACACACACGTGTATATGTGTGTTTACATATATGTATAAAGACTAAAGGTCCCAGGAGGAGGAGAGTGAATTTTTTTCTTTTTTTGAGACAGAGTCTCACTCTGTTGCCCAGGCTGGAGTGCAATGGCATGATCTCAGCTCACTGCAAGCTCCACCTCCCAGGTTCACGCCATTCTCCTGCCTCAGCCTCCCGAGTAGCTGGGACTACAGGTGCCCGCCACCACGCCCGGCTAATTTTTTGTATTTTTAGTAGAGACAGGGTTTCACTGTGTTAGCCAGGATGGTCTCGATCTCCTGACCTCAGGCAGCAAAACATCTTTAAAATCTGTTCTCTCCATTTTTGTCTTGTCTTCCCCACAAATGGCAGTTCTCAAATCCCAAACAAAAACTTCTTGGATATTCCCAAGCAGCATTTCATCTCCAACTCTATCCACTTCCAGATATGTTCTTTTTTCTTTTTCCAATAGTTGGGGCTTTTGTTTGTATGTTTGCTTTTACCTTTTCCAGTATGAATCTTATGGTCTTACCTGTTGCTTCTGCTCTTTCTGCTCAGATTGTAAAATAAGGCCCAGGAGGGAAAGACAGGCAGAGGAAATTGTCCAAGGGCCAAAGCTCCAGTTTTCTTTTTTGAGGAGATGGAGGCTGTGCTTCCATGTGCACAAATAACTTTAGTCCCTGTATACCCTGGCTAAAATTGATTCTAAGAAAGTAGACATATAGAGGAAAATGGATAAACAACTTAAGCTTCATGGTTCATGTGAAAAAACTTTTAGATAAGAGTTACATTTAAACTGTACCAAATCTATTTCCCAGAAAGTGTGGTTGTTAAGAAAAAAGCCCAAATGAGCGTAATTAAAGGT
Organism: Homo sapiens; assembly: GCF_000001405.40. Taxonomy (NCBI): domain Eukaryota; kingdom Metazoa; phylum Chordata; class Mammalia; order Primates; family Hominidae; genus Homo; species Homo sapiens. The sequence goes on along the minus strand of NC_000009.12, from coordinate 84,108,384 downwards.
GTTTTCAATGGAGCAGGGCTTGACATTTCTCATCCCACACAGAAGAAAATGAATAGTGGTGCTGTCACCATTCAAAAACAACGATTTCTGGCACTTGTTCAATCAGATTCTCACCTTCTGATTGCAACAACACACAACCTCCTTTCTGCACCCAAGGTGGCAGGAAAACCTCTTTCCTTGACACACCCAAAGGGGCAAGACACACCCAAAGGCCCTTCTAGAGAAGAGGCCAGCTGTTTTACAATACTTTGTAGGAAATACTGGCTGCATAAACTTTTTTCATTTGATTTGAAATGGCAGTTGATCTCATTTTATACATTAAAATAATTCCTCAGGAGATGATGTCTGCCACCTATGCCACTCTCCAAACCACATTTTTAGCCTCTTCCTGTATGCTGCAGTTATTGAGAGCAATTAATGCTCCCCTAAACCAGAGTACACCAACCTGTGTCCCACCAAATGGATTGAAGCCTCAAAAACTATTGAGCTGCCTCCAACTCAATGGCCTGGGCTGCCTCCGGCTTTGAAAAGCTGTCCACTTATCCCAGGGTACCTCGTAAATCCTACCTTTTTTTCAAGTGCCATCACTTTCCAAAAGTTTATAAGCACTGACCTTTACATACTGTTTTTGGGCTCAGCTGCCCCTTCTGTCTGGAAAACCTTTTTATCTCTGTGATTTACACCCATCTGATTTCCTCCTCCAGGAACTCTTCCCTCATTTGACCTAAACCACTATTTGGTACGTCTCCTCTATGCTCTGAAATACCCCCTACCTCCTATGCCTAGATTCCACATACATGTGTAGAATTATCTGTAGCCACTAATAAGTAATTCCCCTACTGGATATTGCTTTGAGGACAAAGTCGTCATGACTGTTGCTACTCTACTCTTAAATGAAGTGAGGCTGAGTTTTTCAATAAGCTTCTGTTGCCATCTTCTCCATCTAGGGAAAACCTGTATACTTCAAGGCACCACTTAGGTCTCACCTTGCTGACAGCCTTTCTGCTTGATCTCAGCTCCAGTGAGAGCCAAGCTGTGGTGCTTTGTGCATGCTCCGTCATGGCACTGCATGCACTGTGTTCTAGTTTGATGTGCCTGTCTTTCCCTCTCATTAGACTGCAGCCTCATTGGCACCAGCACCATGTCTTATTTATAGTTGAATATCCAACACCTAGCAGTGCCTGGAATAGAGAAGCCTCTAAATGAACACTCTCTTTCCCAAGAAGATCAACCATAATTCTAGATAAATCACCAGGAAGTGAAGACATGTCAACGTTTTTGCTGCTTTTATAAACCCTTAAAACAAATTTCTCGCTCCATGCTCTAAACCGGTGGTTCTCAACCGCAGAGTACATCAATATCACCTACAGAGCTTGTTTAAACAGGTTGCTGGACCCCATGCCCAGAGATTCTGATTTATTGATCTGAGGAGGGGTCCAGGAATTTGCCTTTCTAACAAGCTTCCAGATGATCCCGAGGCTCCAAGTCCAAGAATTACATTTTGAGTAGCTCTGCACATAGCAAGCCATTGGATAATGCAAACAGATCTCCCCTGTGTCTTATCAAATGCATACATCTGATACTGGACTGAATGAATAATCTCAAAGAGAAACTTACCATATAGTGATTACATATTCTAGGTCAGAAGGAAAATACTCTAACTGTTTTCCACCCAGTATTCTTATCAGTTTTTGTTGCTGTTGTTTTTATCACATGGTCCAAAGGGAATTAACAATCAACTGGTACCTACTATGAAAGAGAGCTGGGTACAGAGTTGAAGAATGCAACCCTGAGGTCAGACTCCCTGATACCAAATCCTGGCTCAGCTTAATCTCTGTGCTCCAGCCTTCTCTTCTGTAAATTGGGACTTCTCTTACATGGTTGCTGTGAAGCTTCAATAAGTTTATACATGCAAAGTTTATACAATGTCTGGCACATAGTGCTAAAAAAGCATTAGCTTTCAGCATCACTCATACTCTTAAACATTACTGTTTTTATGCACACTATCTAATTTAATCTTCACCACAACTCTATAAACAGCTTGCCTATGGTCATACAATTAAAAAGAGCTAAAAATGGTATAGAAATCAAGGTTTTGATTCCAAAATTCATGGAATTGTTTTCTAACTCATTCATATGTGTGACGGCTTCTTAAAAGGCAGCTTCTTGGGTCCCATCTGACTGCCCAGATTCTAATCCTAGTACACGGGGGATGCAGAAGTCGGCATTTTAAATCGGCACACCAAGGAATTCTGCATCTGATGCTGGTGGTCTAGGGATATTTTCCATACACTGCCTGCCTTGCAAGATGAATGTTAGAATTAGCAAGAACAAGTGCAGGACAGAGCTTTAGAAACTAAATACTGAAAAAATGTCTATTATTATTATGGAATTAAATTGATTTTCCTCAAATGTTAGAGCTATATAAAAATAAAGAAATCATGTTAGAACACAGTTGTATGGCTGGGTGCAGTGGCTCACGCCTGTAATCCCAGCAGTTTGGGAGGCCAAGGCAGGTGGATCACCTGAGGTCAGGAGTTCGAGATCAGCCTGGCCAACATGGTGAAACCCCATCTCTACTAAAAATACAAAAAATTAGCTGGGAATGGTGGTGGGCGCCTGTAATCCCAGCTACTTGGAAGACTGAGGCAGGAGAATAGCTTGAACCCAGGAGGTGGATGTTGCAGTGAGCCGAGATCGCACCATTGCCCTCCAGCCTGGGCGACAACAGTAAGACTCCATCTCAAGAAAAAAAAAAAAAAAAAGAATACAGTTGTATTAGTCTGTTCTCACACTGCTATAGAGAACTGCCAGAGACTGAGTAATTTATAAAGGGAAGAGGTTTAATTGACCCAGTTCCGCATGGCTAGGGAGGCCTTAGGAAACTTACAATCATGGCAGAAGCAGAAGCAAACACATCCTTCTTCACATGGCAGCAGGAGAGAGAAATGCTGAGCAAAGGTGAGGGAAAGCCCCTTATAAAATTATCAGGTCTTGTGAGAACTCACTCACTATCACACGAACAACATGAGGGTAATCACCCCCATGATTCAATTACCTCCCATGAGGTCCCTCCCATGACAGACACATGGGGATTATGGGAACTACAGTTCAAGATGAGATTTGGGTGGGGACACAGCCAAGCCATATCAACAGTGGAGAACTAAAAGCTATTGCTCTAATTTGACCAGATAAATGAAAACTAAAATTCTGTGGAATCAAATGATTTCACAAAGATTAAGAACTCAGTTTCGAAGGCCAGGCGCGGTGGCTCACGCCTGTAATCCCAGCACTTTGGGAGGCTGAGGAAGGCAGATCATGAGGTCAGGAGATGGAGACCATCCTGGCTAACACGCTGAAACTCCGTCTCTATTAAAAATGCAAAAAATTAGCCGGGCATGGTGGCGGGCGCCTGTAATCCCAGCTACTCGGGAGGCTGAGGCAGGAGAATGGCGTGAACCTGGGAGGCGGAGCTTGTAGTGAGCCGAGATTGTGCCACTGCACTCCAGCTTGGGCGACAGAGCGAGACTCCATCTCAAAAAAAAAAAAAAAAAGAACTCAGTTTCTAGAGTCAGATAGACTTAAATGTCACCCTCAATTCTGTTTCTTATTACTGTGTGATATTGGGCAACTTATTTTACATCTCTGAGCCTCAGTTTGCTCATTCGTAAAACAGAATACCTACCTCAGAGGATTGTAGTTAATACTAAGTGAAATAATGCATGTGAAGTACCTAACCCTGGGCCTGGAACGGAACAGATTCTCAATAAGCTGTGCCTTTGTTATTCCTATAAACACCCATAGCCAGTTAACAGGAGTTGGACAGGAAAGGGAGGATGTTGTATTTGAAAATAGAACAGCTTTATCCACTGATATTAAAAGGTAAAGAAAATGACAGTATTTTAAAATGTAACCCTACTTAGGAATGTTTAGTGTTTACCATTTTCCCTCACATGTGTGTAAATCTCTGCAGCACCACATCTCTGTAAGACCTGAGAAACATGATTAGTGTGTGCCCTAAGAGGCTCTTCCCAAAAGAGCTCTTCATGGTCCCCAGAGTCTAAAGCAGAAATGGACATTGGCACTTGCTCAGCAGCTGCAGAGAAATGAGAAACCTTCTGAGAAAGTGCTTTCACTCACTGTGGCTTTCTCCTCAGTAAATAGCCCCTTCCCACAACCATTACAAACCCATACATTCTAAAATGTCTCATAAATCACTAGAAAGATCCTGACTCCAGTGTCTCCTTTCTATGGACACAGGGAAATAACAGGAATGAAAGAACCGTTAAACAAGAGCACTCACTTGCCCCTGTTTGGTTAACACTGTCCATAAGCAAATTCTGAATCCAGGATTCATGTATGTGTTTCTTTGGAAAACAGAAATGCAGAAGTAAAAATTAATTCTAAATGCTTAAAAAGCATGAGTTGAAATTGCCTAAACATTATATGCTTCTGGCATGTCATGAAAGTGATCTGGTGTGACATAATTCTTAGAAAACACTCCAATGCAGACAGAACAGAAATGCACTACTTGAAAAGAAGACAAAGAATTGTATTGTGAGATCAGCTCTTCTGTCAAGTGAGTAAGTGGGGCTGTTCATTGGGTACAAAGGATTCAGTTAGCCCTAATATTCTAGAATTCTAAGGTTATTTACTCATATATATTTATATATGTGTGTACACAGATACACATGTACATATATAAATATTACCTGGTTCCAGGTGTATGATAGAATGGTGTGATACTACTTTAAATACACCAGAATTATTTTTTTTTATTTTTATAATTTCAACTTTTATTTTAGATTCAGGGGTACATGTGCAGGGCTGTTACCTGGGTATATTGTGTGATGCTGAGGTTTGGGATACAATTGACCCCGTCACCCAGGTACTGAGCATAGCACCTGATACTTTTTCACCCCTGCCTCCCTCCCCCTCCCCAGTGTCTATCGTTGCCATCTTTATGTCCATAAGTACCCACTCTTTAGTTCCCACTTATAAGTGAGAACATGAGCACACCAGAATTCTCTCTCCTTAGCATTAAGTTTATTCATAAACACCAAGATGTTTCTTACCAAATGGAAAAAGGAAATTATTTAAAAATAAAACTACCTCCAAGAAGTATCATAGTATTTTGTTAGGTTAAAGGTTAGGCTAAAATCCTGAAAATGCTGCCATTGTGGAACTCGGAAAATGTTACCAGGTTTTTAAAATTACATTTAATATGTCACGCAATTTATACAAAGTCTTGCCTTGGAAACAGGGGGGAATAGGTTCTAGGACCTACCCCCAATACCAAAAAGTGATGCTCAAGTTCCTTATATAAAATGAGAAAGTATGCGCATGCTCCCGTATACTTGAAATCATCTTTAGATTACTTATATACATAATACAGTGTAATGCTATGCGAATAGTTGTTATACTATATTGGTTTTTATTTATATTATTTTTATTTTTGCATTGTCAGCTCTCCCCACTGCCCCCCGGAATATTTTCCATCAGCTGTTGGTTAAGCAAGAGATGGAGACCCACTCATGCAGAGAGCTGATTTGTACTTATATTTTGTGTGTGGAATTTGTTGTGCTTTTTTTTTTTAAAAGAGATATCCCTCTTGTAAAACTACACAAAGAAGTCCAAAATTGGAAGTGTAAACGGAACAAAAAGGGGAAGAGAGCTCGGAATCCGCCTTCCAAAAAGGCACACAGACCGTTTATCCATTAAATCTCAGGTTGTCGCAGCTTCCTAAACAAGCCCTTTCTTCTTCCTCCCAGCCCCCCCAACCCCAACCCCACCCTCTGTCATCTTCAATATATAAAAGCTTTTTTTTTTTTTTTTTTAACCTATGAAAGGGGACTGGCACCGCTGTCCAGGCGCCCGACTCTTCCACCTGCTCCCGCGGAATTGCGCTCAGGCCTGGCCTCTCGCAGATCGCGCTCCCGCGGCCACGAGCCCCGGGGGAAGGTGACACTTCTCCCTCCTTCTTTCCCTCCTCACTGTCCGCAACATTAAAAGAAGAAAAAACAAAGGGGGTCGGGGGGGAAGCACAAGGGATCCCCTCGTGAATGGCGTCCCGGTGGCAGGTCTCTTTCTGAGCTGGGGTAAACATCCCAGTGGAAAGCGCCAGCCCCGGGGGTCTCCCACAGAAACCTGCACTCATTCCCAGGCAGAACAGGCAGCTGGACTTGGAAATGGCAGGAAAACAGAAGCTCTAACTAGGCGACTCAAGATGTCATCTTTTCCTGCGAACTGGAAACTGCACAGCACAATCCCAGTGGTTCCCAGGGACAATGGGACGCTCACAGAACGTCCTTCTCATCCTGCGCGGCTGACAGAGCCCCTGCCTGGTGCCCGGCACAGGGGCGGGGGGAGCTAAAGTGAATATCACCAGTTTTCCAGTTAAAAGCGCCTCCTATTTAGGTTTACAGATTTACTAGCCAAAAGACACTTTCAATTTGTCCTGTGCACTTTTGTGCTCTGTGGTCAACCTTAATGTCGAATCGACTGCCTGCCCCTGTCTCCCCACCTAGCTTCATTCCGATGAGATGAGTGTTCAAAGAGGAGCTAGACAATAATTTTAATATCTATTTTAATGTTTGTATTAACCCAAGAGAAATACAAAATAAACCTTTAATAGGGGGCGGGGGAGAGAGTTCATTCCCTAGGCAAATACCGTGCCAAAGTTCTGACCTGTACAGGTGCCTAAGCATTTGCTGCCAGAGGTACTTTCTGGAAAAAAAAAAAAAAAAATAGAAGAAAGAAGAAAGAAAGAGGAGGAGGAAAAAGAGGAGGAGAAGGAAGAGGAGGAGGAGAAACCTACAAAACAAATACAAGTTAGCTGTAGTCTCTCTTAGAAGATAAATGGCACAAAATCTTCATTTTATATTTTGCACATTTTCCCCTGAATCCTTCTATAATCCCAAACTTCTCAGCAAACCAAACATTTGAACAAGAATATGATAATGAACCATCATTTCTTAATGTGGGAAGCTGGTTTTGTTTATGAATATGCACAGAACATCCTTGCCCTGGGAGATGCTTGTGTCTGAAATGTTTAGTGAGAGCTAACCAGGTCTTTGGGCCGGCCTAACTTGGTGCAAATAAAATTTGAACTCCATGTGTACACAGGCTTAAGAAGAGAATTTTAAAGAAAAAATGTACTGTTGTGTTCCAGATGGATTTGGAACCTTCTTTACATTCCTGATTATCCAAACTTTATGTTTTCTGGAATATGCCTGATACATGAATGGAGAAGGTTTGCAAGATGATTTCAAATGTTAGGACTGGAAGGAACCTGAGAAAATTATCCATTAAGCCAACATTCTCATCTTTGCAATCAGGGAACCAACATCCTGAGAGTCTGTGACTTGGAACTAAATGCGTAATATATAAACAACCCTTAAAGACAGGGAAAGCCTGGAAGCCACCATTCAGGTCTAACTAGACAGTAGCAGCACAACCACGTAAAAATCCTCTCGGCAGTCCTCCTTCCACATTGACAGGGAGGAGGCTACCCGAGAGCCCTATGTCTATATAAAGCATCGCACTGCAGAGTCCCTCCCTGATCCTTGCTCTCTTCTTGAATACTTGCCCTTCAGTCTTCTAATGAGGCCCTTCTAGGTGGAAGCAGAGGACTAAAGCACTAGGATGCTGTGGTCCAGGCAGTCTCATATGCACCATATACACAATGTGCACTTAACCCTCTTAACCTGCAAGAGGTAGGAAGCTTTGTTTGAATGTTAGTAATATATTTGGCACCAGTAATGAGAGGAGAACTGAGAATGGGTAATGAAGAGTAAACTCGAATCAAAGCAGAAGCAAGCTGTCTCTTCCTGTCTTGCAGGCATAAGCCTGCTCATGAGCATCATGAAGGGGAAGGGGGAGAGAGAGACCGCAAAAGGGGAGGCTTCTCCAGTGGAGTTCCATTTATTTTTTTTACAAAGGTTAAAAGGGCTTCTTTTGAAACGGAGGCCTAGAATTTAAACCTCTACACCAAAAAAGACATGACATTATCTGAAGATATTGCCTAGTAACCCATTGTGCAATCAATATTCATCTAAAAGAGGTGAGTTTTCTCTCCAAAATAAGTATTTTTATTTTTGTTTTTGAGACGGAGTCTAGCTCTGTCACCAGGCTGGAGTGCAGTGGCGCAATCTTGTCTCACTGCAACCTCCGCCTCCCACGTTCAAGCAATTCTCCTGCCTCAGCCTCCTAAGTAGCTGGGATTACAGGCATGCGCCACCACACCCAGCCAATTTTTATATTTTTAGTAGAGACGGGGTTTCACCATGTTAGCCAGGATGATCTTGATCTCCTGACCTCATGATCTATCCACCTCAGCCTCCCAAAGTGCTGGGATTACAGGCCTGAGCCACTGCGCCCGGCCAGAACTAAGTATTTTTAATGTAGATTATTTTGGTTTAGCTAATGAGAAGAATTAGAACTCATCAAAAAATGTTGGTTTCAACAGACTTTTTGTTGATCTCTACTAAGATTCTTTGTTCAGAAATTTGGACTCCTGTTGCACCAGGAAATCTTTGGTTTCTGAGAAGCAGAACAATATTTACCTGGTTTGAAGCTGTGGGTGAGGTTTCTTTTCCTCAAATGAGGCCAGTGTTTCTTAGCCTGTAACACCCTAAATCTCATTAGAACTTGCCACCAGACCCCTCCTCTACTCATCCTTTCTCTTCTCTTCCTCTGGGCGGACCTGGCTGCTGGTCCTAGTTGTTTTCCTAATGAAGCCAGCTGTGTTAAGGCACAGCTTAAAGGAGTCTACTTTTGTAATTTGCACTGTCTCAAACTAATTATTATACTTAAATCATCTAGAAGTGTGATTTATTCATTCACTTTTTAAAGCCATTGACTGTGCTGATGAGCAAAGTGGAAATTAGTAAAATTTCCCTGTACATCACATCAGTTCTCTGTTAATCTATGTTCTGAGAAAATTAAGAATAATAAACTTTTATCTAAGCACCTCAAATGTTACATCCTAGGGCAGTTAAAAAGCAGAGGGATTGATCAACCATATGAATCAAAGGCAAAGACTGTGAAAAGTTCAAAATTAATAATGTTCTCTTTGAGCGGAAAATCTATCTCTTTTCGAGCATTAGAGTCATTAAATTGTACATTTCTGATTTTGCTAATGAGTTCAATTATATTTGAAATATAGATTAATTATCCTAAAAGCATTAATCAATTTGGCAAGGACACCTCAATAATGATGCAGTCTCTTTATTCCTTCAATATTCCATCATAGTATGATGTAATCTCTTTATTGCTTCCCCCATAATCGTAATCAAGGATTGATACAAATGATTCTTCCCTTCAGTTAATTCGAATAGAACATTTCTCTAGTACTTTCAGTTGATAGGATGGTAAATAATTTTTAGACTGAAAGTTGAAGTGGATTGATTAGAAGCAATTTTTTCTGTTTTGCACAATAAAAAGATGAACTACATGGTTCGCCAAGCCAATTTGCAGAGCAACCTCTTCTCTCTAATTGCTGCCAGACTAATGTAGTAGAAGCCGAGTCCTAGGAAGTAGAGAAATCCATTTACCCAGCCATGACATTTAAGTAGCAAACACAAGTAGTGGATTTTTCCATTATCCTTCATTTCAACCCTGCTACATTCCACCTGTGACCCTTATGTGCTGAGGGCAATGTGCTTTCATACAATTTGGTAACTCTAATAAGGGTCCACTTCAAAATGTTTGAGAGCAGGCTAAAAACATTTTTTAGAAAAGCATAATTAAGTTCATAACCAATCTCACTAATTTCTGATAATGTATTGAAAAGCCAAATTATTTGATAAATGCTCTAATAAATGTACATCTTACCAGAGGAAAAATACCATGTTTTCTCTATCACAAATAGCTCCCTGTTCACCAGTAGTCCCAGCACAGTTCTTTTACTTTGTGTCAGACTTTCAACAGCAAGCAGGCAAGTTTTCTGAAAACCACAGGGGCTCCATTGCTGTATGCCCTTCCCAAAAGAAACAGGAAAGCCTCTTTAAATAAAATCCATATTGAAATTCATATCAAAGAAGAAAAAAAATTCTGTACTTTTATTTTTTACGAATCTCCTAAGACATGTGAGTCTCAGCCAGAGTTTCCTCAGGTAAATTATTATCAAACTGAAATACAGAAACTCCCAGGGATGTGTCTTTTCTGTGGTATGTTCACCATCCTTCCTACTGCAAGTACTTGGAATGGAGTAGATGGCCCATAAGGTTTGCTGAATGCATCATTAGGGTAAGCCTGGTAAAAGTTAAAACCTTAAAAAATGCTTGTTTCTAAATAAAAACAGAGTAGTAGGAATGTTATAACATGCTACAGAGTACATATTATATTATAGGTAAAATAATAATCAAAGGTGTAGAAAGTAAAATCCACTGTTAATCTTTTTTTTTTTTTTTTTTTTTCCCCAAAATAAGGAATGGAGCGGTCTGGTAGTACATGAAGGGAAAAAGGTTGACACTTCCCACTGGGAGAAGTCAAATTTACCCCTCAGCAATGTGGCAGTAAATGGTTTTTTGTGTGCTGTTGTTTTTGTTTGTTTGTTTGTTTTTAGATAGGGTTTTACTCTCTTGTCCATCTGGAGTGCAGTGGTACAATTTCAGCTCACTGCAACGTTGGCCTCCCAGGTTCAGGTGACCCTCCCACCTCAGCCTCCAGAGTAGTGGGACTACAGGCCTGTGCCACCACATCCAGCTAGTCTTTGTACTTTTTGTGGAGACAGGGTTTCGCCATATTGCCCAGGCTGGTCTCTAACTCCTGAACTCAAGTGATCCTCCGACTTTGGCCTCCCAAAGTGCTAGGATTACAGGTGTGAGCCATCACACCCAGCTGCAATGGTTCCTTTCAGGCTAAATAATTCCCTTTAGGTCAAATTCATTTGCCTCATCTCATTCAAGTGTATTGAGACTGTACTTATGAAACCTGGTGCCTATCATAATCCCAAAAAACAAGACCCTAAATATAAAGATTGAAATCCTGAAAGCCAAATTCTGGGGAAGGGATTACTGCATTTTCAGTTGTATGCAGGATAGTTGCTTCGTGTTAGTTTCATCACATTAGGTGAAATTATTACTTTATGTGTTAGTCTGTTCTTGCATTGCAATAAAGAAATACCTAAGCCTGGGTAATTTATAAAGAAAAGATATTTAAAAAAAAAACATGTTTGCTTAATGAAGGATGCATGTTTACAGGGTGCTTCCACTTTAAGGGTGGGGAGAAGACCAAAACAGTATTTTTTTTTTCCTTTGAGACGGAGTGCAGTGGCACCATCTCGGGTCACTGCAACCTCTGCCTCCCAGGTTCAAGCGATCCTGCTGGCTCAGCCTCCCAAGTAGCTGAAATTACAGGCAACACGCTACCACACCCAGCTAATTTTTATATTTTTTAGTAGAGACAGCATTTCACCATGTTGGCCAGGCTGGTCTCAAACTTCTGACCTCAGGTGATCTGCCCACCTCAGCCTCCCAAAGTGCTGAGATTACAAGCATGAGCCACCACGCTGGGCCCCAAAACAGTATTTTTAAATGAAGCAAAGTCAGTTTTATTTCACTTCCCCCCACAAAAAAGGAGTTACTCTTGACCTCTAAAAAAAATAAAGCAACTAAAAGAATTTAAGATTTTTACCTCTGATTGAAATTTCTTCAGTAATTCATCACCACCACACTTGAAAGCAATGCAACACATTCACTTCAGAGTTGAATTCAGAAGCCGATGCCACAAAAAGCCTCAAGTATAGCATCTTCAGTTTCAAACAACCCTGTGCAATACCACAAAAACAGAGGACAGTCCTTGCAGAATATGTTATCTGAAAACTAAATGTTTTACCCCTTTATTTTGTTGCTTGCTTAAATTGCTTTGGTAAGAGATTTATCTGCTAGAGAACTTTCCGATATATATTTAATAGCCTGGATATAAAAAGTATCAAGTTGAAAGTTAGAGAGAAAAATGCTAACCTTACTTCTTAATGGACAGCAGTCCACCTAGTCAACAATATCCTTTAAATACAAGTATATTTAAAATTAGGTATGCCAGTCTCAGGCTGAAAACAAGTTTAAAATCATGTAACACAAGCATTAAGCTTCTTCTTGACAAAGTAGTGATGTGAACTGACAACATTTAGATACTGCGATTGTTTCTGCAAAGTAATTTCTACAAGGAGGGAAACTGTCTTGGTAAGATGAATACAACTCTTTTCTCAGATGAGATAATTTGACATTAACAAGGCCTGGTTCTTTCACATTCATCTTAGTGCTTCAGGTTTTGAAAACTACTTTAAAGATGCCCAGATGTTTTTCCTAGAGATCAGACACAGCTGCATAACTTTTCATCATCAACAAAATCAGAGGCAGTAGGAGGAAAGTGTTAGGAACACAGGCATCAGAGCCACACAAGCTGGGTTCAAGGAATACTTCTGCCATGGACTAGCTGTGTCACTTAGGGCACGATAATTAAACTCTCTGAGCCTCATCTGTAAATAGGGAGAGCAGGGAATCTGAGGATTAAGTGGGATAAAACATGTCAAATATTTAGCATAGTGGACATATCATGAATGATTACTGTTGTTATTATCACACAGCAAAATCCTGCATGGGACGAAGAGCTAGAATCTTACATTTAGGCCTCAAAAGGCATAATGCTCCCAGTTGGAACCACAGCTATTTTTCCTCCTCAAAATCTTTTTCAGAATATGGCAAGATTTAAATAAATAACTAATTAAACAGTCACCTGTTTCTGAAATTTTTTCATTGTCCTTTGGCTTCTGCCCTTGTCTCAATTATTTCTAGATTGCCTCTCTTTCGAAGAAGTTTGTTGCATACTCTAGAGAAACATTTAATATAAGTCCAAACCAAATGTAATTAGTAAAATAATCTTCACATCATATCACACATTCCAAGTCAAATGTTCAAATTATTCTATTTGGCCTATGCCTCTTTTGCAGATAATTGAGAAATGACTGCTATAGCAGTACAGACATTCAGGATTAAAATGTGTGTACTATCCATTCAAATGAGACAATACCTACCCCTTTAAGACAAAGTCACGCCGGGCACGGTGGCTCACGCCTGTAATCCCAGCACTTTGGGAGGCCGAGGCGGGCGGATCACGAGGTCAGGACATCGAGACCACGGTGAAACCCCGTCTCTACTAAAAATACAAAAAATTAGCCAGGCGCAGTGGCGGGCGCCTTGTAGTCCCAGCTACTCGGGAGGCTCAGGCAGGAGAATGGCGTGAACCCGGGAGGCGGAGCTTGCAGTGAGCCGAGACTGCGCCACTGCACTTCAGCCTGGGCGACGGAGCGAGACTCCGTCTCCAAAACAAAAAAAAAAGTCACATCACCAGAAATACTCATAACTACTTTAAACTGGGTCATTCCCACTAGTAAGTTAACATACCTATAAAAAGCTGCTTCTATTAAAATGTGGGGTTGTGAGGGGTTTTTTCCCAGTTTAAGATGCTATGCAACTGGAACCTTAGAGAAAAGGTAAATTTTGTATAAGAAAATAAAAACACAGAGAGAAAGAAGATGAAAAGTATAGAGAAAAGGAACCATTGAAGATGAAAGAGAGAGAAAAGAAGGCTAGCTTATGCCTAGGCCTGATGGTGACCATAAATTCAAGGCATCTCAGGTGGGAGGAGTAGCAGGCATCCTTCAACAAACTGTACCTGGCTGCTGAACAATGCTGAGTAATATCCAGGAGCTGTACATCAAAGTAAAATAAGTCCCAGAAATCCAGGTCCCAGAAGGGTTGTTTCTTTCTTTCTTTCTTCCTTTTTTTTTTTTTTTTTTTTTTTTGGAGACGGAGTCTTACTCTGTCAACCGAGGCTGGAGTGCGGCGGCACGATCTCGGTTCACTGCAACTTCTGCCTCCTGGATTCAAGCGATTCTCCTGCCTCAGCCTCCCCAGTAGCTGGGATTATAGGTTCCTGCCACCACGCCCCGCCATGTTGGCGAGGCTGGTCTCAAATTCTAGGCCTCAGTTGATCCACCCGCCTCGGCCTCCCAAAGTGCTGGGATTACAGGTGTGAGCCACTGCACACGGTCAAAAAGCATTCTTGATTATAAATTGTGCCAAGAGAATTTAAATATATTCAGTGACTATAGTCTAGGGATTTACAATAAAAGACTTACTTTACAATTGAAGCTATATAATGTAAATTAAATAATAACTGTGAAGGTTCTGTGTGAAGTGCAGCCACACAAGTGTATTGTTCTTTATTGGCATGCATTACAATGTAAAAAATGTAGAAAGTGACATAGAGGATGAATGGGCTGTTCGGGTTGGGGAAGATGGACTGAACTATTTTTTCCTAATGAACATAATCAGCTTTCAGCTGGGTAAAAAAGCCCCACAAGTGTTCAGGCTATTAAATGATTCTCACCAGCCACCTGGTCATGATACAGCTAATGAGAGTGAGCGGGTAAAGACTCAAGGAACTGTGAGTCAAATTACGAAGTTTTATTAAAATGTTTCTCCACGTGTCTTCAATTATTTAGATCCAATCTAATCTTCCTTCAAAATTAAAGTCTGGGGTTCAAGCTAATTTATGTTACTGAACTTTTAAAAATAGATGTTCTTTCTACCTGTATGTACCATCATGGAAGGGCATGGTATGTTTCCACAGCACTGTTGTTGAAACACAACCATTTTTCTAAACTTATTACAATAACATGCAATGGAAAGAGCATTACTGGAGCACTGTCCCTGAAAACTGACATTTAGAAACCCTCCAAATTACCTTCTTCCCCACTGTCCTGCCTCTCCACTTCTGTAACTGCATCTTCAGCAGCTATAGCCAAGCTCCCTTTCATTTCTCCTAAACCCCATGGCAAGTTGGACACAGACAAAGTGAAGACTCTAGGTCAAAGTTGGAGAGAATGACAATAGATATTCAGCTTCTTGGATAATTATTACAGAACTGTCCCTAAATCTGGAATGTCAGGGGCCATTCAAGAAATAACCCATCTATGACATAAAAACTATCTATCGGGTACTATGCTTATTACCTGGGTGAAAAAAATAATCTGTATACTAAACCCTGTGACACCCAATTTACCTATGTAACAAACCTGCACCTGTACCCCTGAACCTAAAATACAAGTTAAAAACAAAAAGAGGCTGGGCACGGTGTATTATTATAATAATAATACTTTTTAATGATTTTTTTAATGATGAAGCTGTTTTTAAAAAACATACCAAAAGCAAAGTCCTGGCTCACAATATAAACTTAAAAGACAATGACTCTTATAGTCACATAGGAAATAATGGTTAAGTTTAATGAACGAAATAAACCAAGGTAGTTGAGACTGTTCAATATATGCAATTCTATACATTTGTTAACAAATTTAATTACTTTGATGAATAAGTGAGCTGTGAAAGAGCTGCCTTGTAATGATTGCGATATTTAATTGATCCAGCTTGAACTAAGAGGACAAGGCTGAAACACTTTGGATCAAAACAGAAGCTTCACTGAGGTAACTTAATGTGCACTGAGCTTTGTCGCCTGAAAAGAAGAATAAAAGAACTTTAATCTTAACTGTCTACTCCAGAAAAGCATTCTGAATGACGTGGGACCAACTAGGGAAATTCATGTCTAATGCTGCTGCTGCTGTTGCTAAAAAGCTTCTGTACAGCAAAGAAAACAATCGACAAAGTGAAGAGATGCCCTACAGAATGGGAGAAAATATTTGCAAACTATGCATCTGACAAAGCATTAATAACAAGAATATAAGAGGAATTCAATTTGACAGCAAAAAAAAAAAAAGAATTTGATTATAAAACAATGGGCAAGACATCTGAATAGATATTTCTCAAAAGAAGACATATAAATAGTCAACAAGTAGATGAAAAAATGTTAAACATCACTAATCATCAGGGAAATGCAAATCAAAACCACAATGAAATATTATCTTACCCGAGTTTAAATGGCTATTACCAAAAAAACAGAAAATAACAAATGCTGGCGACAATGTGGAGAAAAGGAACTCGTATACACTGCTGATGGGAATGTCAATTAGTACAGCAACTATGAAAACAGTTTGGAGGTTCCTCAAAAAACCTAAAAAGAGAATGCAATCCCATTGCTGGATATATATGCAAAAGAGAGGAAATTAGTATATCAAAGAGATATCTTCACTCCCATAGTTATTACAGCACTATTTATAATAGCCAAGATAATGGAATCAACCTACATATCCATCAACGAATGTATAAAGTAAATTAGGTATAGATACACAATGGAATATTATTCAGCTATAAAAGAAATGAAATGCTGTCATTTGCAGCAAGATGAATGGAATTGGAGGATATTATGTTAAGTGAAATAAGCCAGCATAGAAGAATAAATATTGCATGTTCTCACTCATATGTGAGAGCTTAAAAAAGTCAATCTCATGGTGGTGGAGATTAGAATGGTGGGTACTGGAGGCTGGAAAGGAAGGAGGAGGAAGATGAAGAGATGTTGGTAAATGGGTACGAAAATATAGTTAGATAAAAGGAGTAAGTTCTAGTATTCAAGAGCACAGTAGGGTGACTATTATTAACTATAATTTACTATATATTTCTTCTATATTTCAAATAGCTAGAGGAGAAAATTAGGAATATTCCCAACAGAAAGAAATTATAAACGTTTGAGGTGATGGAGATTTCAATTACCCTTTGATCATTACACATTGTATGCATGTATCAAAATATTACATATATTCCCTAAGTGTATACGATCATTATGTATGAATTTTTAAAAAATACAAACAATATACAAAAACATAAAGTGAAAAGTGGCATACTCAACCCATTCCCATCACCACTCCAACAGGTAATCATTCTTATTACTTTCTTATAATCCTTCTGAAGTTTCTTTATGCATTTAGAAACAAATGTGAATATATATGTTTATTTACTTCTCTTTTCCCACAAAAGGTTGCATAATATATAGTCTTCTGCACTTTTTTTGCTGAAGAATGCAATTATTTGTGTACAAGTTTTATTTTGCCTGTTTATAGTCATACTTCCAATTGAGAAACCTCCATATTAGGATGTTCATTCTCCAAAAAATTAATCTATATAAATTCAGGCAATTCTACTCAAAATCTCAACAATAGTTTTTGTAGACTATGACCAACTGATTTTAAAGTTCATCTTGCTCTCCCTGGTGTGAAAATATACTATAAAACTACAGTAATTAAAACAGTATGCTACTGATAAAGAGACAAATAGACTGATGGGTAAGAATATAAAGTCCTCCCAGCCTGGGCAACGTGTTGAAACCCCATCTCTACAAAAAATACACAAAAAAATTAGCCAGGCATGGTGATGCGTGCCTATAGTCCCAGCTACTCAAGAGGCTGAGACAGCAGAATGGCTTAAACCTGGGAGGCAGAGGTTGCAGTGAGCTGGGCTCACGCCACTGCACTCCAGAGCGAGACTCTGTCTCAAAAAATAAATAAATAAATAAATAAAAAGAAGAAAAATTAGGCTGTTATCTAATATCAAACATAAAGATAAGTTATTTTATCAATTGTATTAAAGATGTCAGTATTATAAACATATATACAGGTATACCTCTTTTTTTTTTTTTTTTTTTTTTTTTTTTGAGACAGTTTCTCACTCTGTTACCCAGGCTGGTGTGCAGTGTTGCAATCATGGCTCAGTGCAGCCTCAACTTCCCAGGTTCAAGCAATCCTCCTCCTGAGTAGCTGGGACCACAGGTGTGTGCCACTGTGCCCTGCTAATTTTTTTATTTTTTTGTAGAGACGGGGTCTGACTATGTTGCCGAGATTGCTCTCAAACTCCTAGGATCAAGTGATCCTCCTGTACCCACCCCATACCTCATTTTATTGTGTTTCACTTTATTGCACTTTGCAGATACTGCATTTTTTTTTATAAAGATTTGTAACAACCCTTCATTAAACAAATCTGTTGGTGCCATTTTTCCAACAGCATGTGCTCCCTTCATGTCTCTGTGTCACATTTTGGTAATTCTCACAATATTTCAAAGTTTTTTATTATTATATCTGTTATAGTGATCTGTGGTCCATGATCTTTGGTGTTACTATTGTAATTGGTTTGGGGCACCATAAATGACACCCACATAAGACTACAAACTGTCTGTTCAGACTGCTCCACCAACCAGCCATCTTCTCATCTCTCTCCCTCTCTCCTTGAGCCTCCCTTTCCCCGAGACACAATAATATTGAAATAGGCCAATTTGTAGTCCTGCAATTGTCTCTAAGTTCAAGTGAAAGGAAGAGTTGCACGTCTCTCACTTGAAATCAAAAGCTAAAAATGATTAAGCTGACTGAGGTTAGCATGTCAAAAACCAAAAGAAATTGAAAGCTAGGTCTCTTGTACCAAACAGTTGCCCAAGTTGTGAATGCAAAAGAAAAGTTATTGAAGGAAATTAAAAGTGCTGTTTCAGTGATAGCACACAAATGATAGGAAAGCAAAACAGCCTTATTTCTGATATGGAGAAAGCTGTAGTGATTTCTGTAGAAAATCAAACCAGCCACACTATTTCCTTAAGCCAAAGCCTAATGCAGAGAAACGCCCTAACTCTCTTCAATAATATGAATGCTGAGAAAGGTGAGGAAGCTGCAGTAGAAAAGTAGGAATTCAGCAGATGTTGGGTTCATGAGGTTTAAGGAAAGAAGCCATTTCCATAACATAAAAGTCAAGGTGGGGAGTGGGTGTAAAAAACAAAAAAGTGCAAGGTGAGGCAGCAACTGCTGATGGAGAAGCTGCAGCAAGTTATCCAGAAGATCTAGCTAGGATCACTGATGAAGGTGGCTACACTAAACAACAGATTTTCAAAGTAGACAAAAGTCTTCTATTGGAAGATGCAATCTAGGACTTTCATAACTAGAGAGGGGAAGTCAAGGACTGGCTTCAAAGCTTCAAAGGACAGGCTGACCCTCTTGTTAGAGAATCATGCCACCAGTGACTTTAAGTTGAATCCAATGCTCATTTACCATCCCAAAATCCTAGGACCCTTAAGAATTATGCTAAATTGGCCAGGCGCAGTGGCTCACACCTGTAATCCCAGCACTTTGGGAGGCCAAGGCGGGTGGATCACCTGGGGTTAGGAGTTCAAGACCAGGCTGGCCAACATGGTGAAACCCCGTCTCTACTAAAAATACAAAAATTAGCTGGGCATGGTGGCAGGCACCTGTAATCCCAGCTACTTGGGAAGCTGGGGCAGGAGAATCGCTTGAACCCAGGAGGTGGAGGTTGCAGTGAGCCATGATGGTGCCATTGTACTCCAGCCTTGGCAACAAGCGAAACTCTGTCTCAAAAAATAAATAAGTAAATAAAAATAAAAGAGTTATGCTAAATCTACTCTGCCTGTGCTCTATAAATGGAATAACAAAGCCCAGATGACAGCACATCTGTTGGCATCACGGTTTACTAAATATTTTAAGTCCACTGTTGGGACCTGCTCCTCAGAAAAAAAAAAAAAAAGATTATTTTCAAAATATTTCGGCTTATTGGCAATGTACCTGGTCACCCAAGAGCTCTGATACAGATGTATAAGGAGATTAATGTTGTCATGCCTGCTAATACCACATCTACTCTGTAGCCCATGGATCAAGGAGTGATTTTTACTTTCAAGTCTTATTATTTAAGAAATATATTTCATAAGGCTCTAGTGGACTTAGATAGTGATTCCTCTGATGGATCTGAGCAAAGTAAATTGAAAACTTTCTGGAAACGATTCACCATTCTCAATGACATTAAGAACATTCGTGATTCATGGGAGGAGGTCAAAATATGAATATTAACAGGAGTTTGGAGAAAGTTCATTCCAACTCTTATGGATGACCTTGAGGGATTCAAGGCCTCAGTGTAGGAAGGAACTGCATATGTAGTAAAAATAGCAAGAGAACTAGAATTAGAAGAGAAGCCTGAAGATGTAACTAAATTGCTGAAACCTTACGATAAAACTTGAAAGGATGAAGACTCACTTCTTTGGATGAGCAAAGAAAGTACTTTCTTGAGGTGGAATGATGAAGGTGCTGTGAACATTGTTGAAATGACAACAAATAATTTAGAATATTACATAAACTTAGTTGATAAAGCAGCAGCAGGGTTTGAGAGGATTGACTCCAATTTTGAAAGAATTTCTACTGTGAGTGAAATGTTATCAAACAGAATTGCATGCTAGAGAAATCTTTCTTGAAAGGAAGAGCAGACTGATGCAGCAAACTTCATTGTTATTTTAAGAAGTTGCCACAGCCACCCCAACCTTCAGCAACCACTACCCTGATCTGTCAGCAGCCATCAACACTGAGGCAAGATCCTCCACCAGCAAAAAGATTACAGTCCACTAAAGGCTCAGATGATTGTTAGCCTCATGCATGCATTTTTATGCAGAAGGAAACTAGGAGAATATATTTGTAAGCTTGTGGCAAGGAAGATTTTCTTAAGCCAAATGTGAAAAAAATGAAAGATTGGTAGACTTGCTTCCAAAAACAGAAAAACTTAACCACAAAAGACATAAACCAAGTTTTTAGGACAAATGAGAAACAGGGAGAAAACATTTATAACATGATGGCCTCCCTCATCACTTCTATTCAAGTCCTAGCTAGAGCAATCAGGCAAGAGAAAGTAATAAAATGCATCCAAATAGGAAGAGAGGACGTCAAACTATCTCTGTTCACAGACAACATGATTCTATACCTAGAAAACCCCCATAGTCTCTGCCCAAAAGCTCCTTCAGCTGATAAACAACTTCAGCAAAGTTGCAGGATATAAAATCAATGTATAAAAATCACTGGCATTCCTGTACACCAACAAGCCAAACCAAGAGCCAAATCAGGAAGGCAATCCCATTCACAATTGCCACATACACACACGCCTGCAAAACAAACAAACAAAAATAAACCTAGGAATACAGCTAACCATAGAGGTGAAAGAGCTCTACCATGAGAATTACAAAACACTGACCAAAGAAATCAGAGAAGACACAAAAAATGAAAAATCCCATGCTCATGGATATGAAGAATCAGTATTATTAAAATGGCTATACTGCCCAAAGCAATTTATAGATTCAGTACTTTCCTATCAAACAAGTCCATTCTTCACAGAACTATTTTAAAGAAAGGCTATTTTAAAACTTATATGGAACCAAAAAAGAGCCCAAATAGCCAAAGCAATCCTAAGCAAAAAGAACAAAGCTGGAGGCATCACATTACCCGACTTCAAACTATGCTACTAGGCTACGGTAACCAAAACAGCATGTTACTAGTACAAAAACAGGCACATAGACTAATGGAACAGAATAGAGAGCCCAGAAATAAGCCTCACATCTACAACCATCTGATCTTCGACAAAGCTGACAAAAACAAGCAATGGGGAAAAGGCTCTCTATTCAAGTGGGATCTCATTAAACTTAAGAGCTTCTGCACAGCAAAAGAAACTAACAACAAAGTAAACAGACAACCTAAAGAGTGGAAGAAAATATATGCAAACTATGCATCTGATGAAGGTCTAATACCCAGCATCTATAAGGAACTTAAATAAATTTACAAGAGAAAAACAATCCCATTAAAAAGTGGGCAAAGGACATGAACAGACACTTCTCAAAAGAAGACATGCATGCAGCCAACAAGGATATGAAAAAAGCTCAATATCACTAATTATTAGAGAAATGCAAATCAAAACAATGAGATATCATCTCACACCAGTCAGAATGGCTATTAAAAAGCCAAAAATAACAGATGCTGGAAAGGTTCCAGAGAAAAGGGAACGCTTATACACTGTTGGTGGGAGTGTAAATTAGTTCAACCATTGTGGAAAGCAGTATGGTGATTCCTCAAAGAGCTAAAAGCAGCTGATCCAGCAATCCTATTACTGGGTGTATCCCCCGGAATATAAAGCATTCTACCATAAAGGGACATGCATGCAAATGTTCATTGCGGCACTATTAACAAAAGCAAAGACATGGAATCAACCTAAATGCCCATCAATGACAGATTGGATAAAGAAAATATGGTACATATACATCATGGAATATTATGCATCAATAAAAAACAACAAGATCATGTCTTTTGTGGAAACGTGGATGGAGCTGGAGGCTACCATCCTTTGCAAACTAATGCAGGAACAGAAAACCAAATACTGCATATTCTCACTTATAAGTGGGAGCTAAATGATAAGAACACATGCACACAAAGAAGGAAACAACAGACACTGGGGTCTACTTGATGGGGGAGGGTGGGAAGGTAGAAGAGGAGCAGAAAAGATAACTATTGGGTACTTGGCTTAACACCGGGGTGATGAAATAGTATATACAACAAACCGCTGTGACACATTTACCTATGTAACAAACCTTCATATGTACCCCCGAACCTAAAATAAACGTTTATTTAAAATAACATGTATAGGTAATCACTGTACAAAGGTCAGAATCACTACCTGAGGCCCGAATATCAGCACAAGATAGTGCCTGAAACAGTCATAAGAAGAGGCCCCATTCCCCCATTCTTTCTGCCCAAGTGGAGGTTTCCAGTTTAGGTAAATAAAGGGATTGTGGCAGGTGCGGGGGAACATGTACAGCAAAAGATTATTATTCCAAAAGTAAGTTAATATTCCAGAATATAAAAGATACAAATGGCTTAGTAAATATATGAAAAATGCTCACTCTTACTCGGAATCAGTGAAACGTACATTGAGAGATCAAATGAATAGCACTTTCTTTACCCATTAGATTATGAAAAATGTTTAGAGGTTTAAAATAGCTGGTAATTTTGAAAATGCTTCCACAAATGTCCAAAGCGGAATGAAGAATTTTGTTGCAGTATTATTTGTAATAATAAAAAGTCAAACAATATGTATGTCTGTAAAGAAAGGAATAGTTAAATAAACTTCAAATATCAACATAACGGAATCTCAAATAGCAATTTTTAGGTAGATTTAGACCCTGCTAAACATGGAAAGTTCTCCAAATGTACACTTAAGTGAAAAAAGTAACTTACAGAATACTATATACAGCATGATAATTTGTGCATATATATATATGATTCTACATGAGCGTTCAAACGTAAATGTGTAGAAAATTAAATATCTCAAAGGATACACACCAAACCGATAGATACAGTGTTTCTGGGTTTTTGTTTTTTTTTTTTGCCAAAGAGAGAAGTGAAATGACCTCACAGGAGGAAAGGTTAAAAAGGAGATATCTTCTTTATATAATTTATACCCCTTGACTTTTTATAAGAATGTATAAGGTATTACATGTACAAATAAAAAGTATACGTTGACATTTTTTAGGAAGTGCAAAGGAATATAACTTGCATGCATATTTTCAAAAGACAAAAGGCAGATTGGGAAAAATATTTGTAACATAAATTAAAAATGGGATTAATACTGTTCATACGCAAATAATACCTATACATCAATTTTAAAAAGAAGCCCAATAAAAACATTTAAAAAAAGAAGAAAAAGAAAAATCAGTAGGCTGGGTGCGGTGGCTCATGCCTATAATCCCAGCACTTTGGGAGGCTGAAGCAGGTGGAACACCTGAGGTCAGGAGTTCGAGACCAGCCTGACCAACATGGTGAAACCCTGTCTCTACTAAAAATACAAAAAATTAGCTGGGCATGGTAGCAGGTGCCTGTAATCCCAGCTACGCAGGAGGATGACACAGGAGAATCGCTTGAACCCAGGAGGCAGACATTGCAGTGAGCTGAGATCGCACCACTGCACTCTAGCCTGGACAACAAGAGTGAAACTCCGTCTCGAAAAAAAGGAAGGAAGGAAGAGAGTGAGGGAGGGTGGGAGGGAGGGAGAATTAGTAATAGAGTGGCACAGAAAAACTCACAAGAGAATAACTATAACCAAAAAGGGGCAGGTAAATGGGAAAAAAAGAATCACTGTAAATGGCAAATAAGTGTAGTATATTTAAAAAAAAAAAAAAGTCTTATGAGTGATAAGAAAAAAGACTTATAGGGTTAAATTTCCCCAGACCAAATTACCCAAAGGTAATGAAGTTTAAAATGATGAGAAGCCACCAAGCATCCCATAGGAGCAGATGACAAATCAGGACCATCAGGAAATGTTTAAAAAAATGATCTTCCAAGAAATTAGGATTTATGGAGAAGAGGTGAGAAGCAGCAGCCAGGAGCAGCTTCAGAAAGAAGATGTCAGAGAGAGCAGGGGTAAACAAGATAAACTCTTCTGTGTGTTAGCTATATTCTTGGCTCCATTTTGTTGATTCTATTCTTGTTTTCCTTTCTTATTTCACTCCGGTTTTCATAGGCCATTTTGTTGTATTTTATTCATCTTGTAAACTGCCTTTCATGTCTGGAACATTTTTGAGAACAGATCATCAAATGAATGGATGATTTATTCATCAAATGGTCAAATGAATGAATGGTTGAATATATTGTGACTGTTTTCAAGAAAAGAAAGGTCCTTGAAGTAATCTAGAAGGATGAGAATACCAGACATTCTGAGTAAAATCTACTTTAGAATCACTGCACAATAACCTAGGCCTCAGATTCCCAGAGAAGGGGATGTATGAGGATTAAGTGTTATACCAAGCACTTAAAGGAGTGCTGGTCCTATGTCAGCAGAACTCATAGCACTGTTAAAATACATAGTATACCAAAATATTATTATAAGGGAGGTTTTATTATTTATTTTATAAGGATAGGCTACCTGCTATAGCAAATGAAAAAAAAATGTATAATGGCCCAGATTCAATAGAAGTTTATTTCTTGCTCATGGAAACAGTACTGAGCAAGTGAATAACTTGGCAGAATAGTCATTCAGGGAACTCAAGCTCATAGAGTCATAACATCCTCAACAAGTGGCTTCCAAGGTTGCCCTGGGAATCGCATCATTCCAACCAGCCATTAGGAGAAAAAAGCAAGGTACATGTGGGAGGTTTTTATGAACCAAGCTGGAAGTAGTATGTATCAATTTTGAATAAAACTCAGGCATGTGACCAAACCTAACTGTACGAAGGGCACATAGTCTAGCCCAGAATGAAGAGGAGAACAAGGACTCGGGTGAGTCCCTAGTCTTTCCTGCCATACACCTAAAGTGAGACTTAAATAAGGGACCTCAATAAATTCTAAGCTCCATCCTGTGATTCTCCTTCTCAGGAACCTGGGAAAATGTACCAAACACCTCTTCAAGAATTACTTTGGTGGTTGGGCACAGTGACTCACGCCTGTAATCCCAGCACTTTGGGAGGCTGAGATGGGTGGATCACCTGAGGTTGGGAGTTTGAGACCAGCCTGGCCAATATGGTGAAACCTCGTCTCTACTAAAAATACAAAAAAAATTAGCTGGGTATGGTGGCATGTGTCTGTAATCCCAGCTACTTGGGAGGCTGAGGCAGGAGAATCGTTTGAACCAGGGAGGTGGAGGTTGCAGTGAGCCAAGATCATGCCACTGCACTCCAGCTTGGGCAACAGAGTGAGACTCTGTCTCACCAAAAAAAATAATAATAATAAAATAAAATAAAATAAAATTCCTTTGGTAAAAAATTCCAGATGAGAATTCCATCTCCCAAAACTCCACTATTAGAGGCTTTTTCAGAGAAGTCTCCTATTCCAATATAGAAGAAGGAAAGGGAGAAAAAAAAGCTTACCCCTGCAGTATATTTTAAGAGGGTCACTGCGGTCTTCAGGGGAAATCAGAGATGAAAGGTTGACTGTGCTTGTAAATAGGGAAGATTTTTCTGTGCAGCCTTGTGCATTGTTGCAGAGAATGTCACGCTGATGTCAATCTTTGTTAAGCCACTGATCAATCCTTTGCAGAGGCACATTTTTTAAAAATATTACTTCTATTGTTCACTGTGCCTTGCTCTGGTAAGGCTATTTCCACTCTGAGTAGGAGATAAAAGAACAGCTGCACCACATCTCTTAACCATGAACCTTACCAGGCACCCATTTTGCTAAAAAGAAAAAATCAATTTTTAGTTTTACAAGAGAGAAATAAAGCCCATTTAAAAGAAAATGTTTAGAATGTCTATTTAAATGCAAATTGAACTACAGCATTTACATGTGTCAATTAAAGTCCCTCCAAGAATTTTCTTAAAATATTAGCATTTGCTCATGTGAACTTTTTATTTTAAAGAAAGAGACTCACAATTAAAAATTGTTCTGAATATCATGGCAGTTGCTATAAAAAGGTAGCTCATTATTAGCTCTGGTAACGTTTGACTTGAGGGACTAATTTATTTTCAGCATGAAAAACATGATGGCTCCTTTACCCATCCAAGAAAGGTCAAGACTTTCAACTCAATGTGACCTCCCATGATTTTATCCTGCTTCCACCCACCCTAGACAGAAGAGCCAAGTTGAGCAGTGATTGCCTGCCACCCACAACACAATCTAAGAATATTAAAGAACTAACATTTGCTGAGGACCTACAGTGATGCCAATCATTTTCTTCTTCGGCTTATGTCTGTCAGCTTCCACAGTTACCCTACAGAGAGGGAAATGGGTAAACATTATTATTCTATTTTACAGATGAGGAAACAGGCTCAAAAGAATACCAATTTACCCTCAGTATTACAATGAGTAAATTGCTAAGTTCACAATTCAAAGCCAAGTGGATGTTATTCCAAAACCCACAGCCCTCATTGCTCTTCCAAGCTAGCTCACATATGTCCAGGTCAGCTAGGCTCTTCCTAATCAGATGCTCTTTCCTGCCTGCATGGAGGCCAAGTGCTCTTGGGGTTGTACTGCAAGTAGTGGGTCCTTTTCAGTGGAGTGACTTTTGTAGGAAAGAAAAAACAGCAACAACTGACCCTGCAAAGAAACTCTACCTAAAAACCGACATCATGTAATTTGCCTGGCCAGCCCTTTAAGGCTGTCCATCCCCTCTTCCAATCAGGAAAAGTTCCCATGTTATTTTATTATACCCAGATGGATATGATTGGCCTTACTAGATGTACAAGACAGTATGAGAGGATTCAAGGAAAGTCTGCCTACTCACACCCACCACTTACCTCTCCCCAAAAGCTTCCTACATCTGCTCACTGATCCCAGAAATTACTTTAACAGATGATCAAGCCTTTAGTTCACAATTAGAGAGAATGATAGTAGAAGGGATATGAGGTAAGGGAGGCCAGTTACCTTAAATTCACACAAAAACTGCACCGGACAATAGCAAATCTTTTTGTATACAATTCTGACATAAGAAGAGGAACATTGACAAATAACACAATAGCATGCTGCTGCCATTGATTTTTATCTAGACCATAACAGACATCACTAATGGAACCCAGCCCAATTTCCCTCTGAGCTTAGACAAAACAATCACCTCAACACAGCACTCTAATCATAGTTGATACATATGATTAGACCCAATATACCCATTCCAGGAATAAAGGGATGCAGGAATCCTTCTGCATGAGGAAGTGCATAAAGTGTCATGAGGTTGGCAAAGCCTGTGGAAGGAAAAGGGTGTGTTCTCCATGGTGCATTTAACCAACTTCCCAATTTTGTTTGGGATCAGTAACCCAAGATTCACAACACTGCTCACAGAAGGCATCATTGGCAGGTAAATTGTAAGAGTGCAAATGCTGGTGGGGAAGGGTAAGTGTTGCCTCCTTCCTGAGTTTCTTCTGTAACAGCCCAGCTACCATTACCATTGGAATAAAACCAATAGGTCACAAGTATTCATATGTTTACCACAAAGACTGCTGTGATCGTAAATTACCTACCTTGGAACCTCAAAGACAAAACTAAAGAGTTACATATAAGACTGCCAGTTCCAGCCCAGCGTGGTGGCTCATGCCTATAATCCTAGCACTTTGGGAGGCTGAGGCGGGTGGATCACAAGGTCAGGAGATCGAGACCATCCTGGCTAACATAGTGAAACCCCGTCTCTACTAAAAATATAAAAAAAATTAGCCAGGCTTGGTGGTAGGCGCCTCCCAGCTACTCGGGAGGCTAAGGCAGGAGAATGGCATGAACCTGGGAGGCGGAGCTTGCAGTGAGCTGAGATCACGCCACTGCACTCCAGCCTGGGCGACAGAGCAAAACTCCATCTCAAAAAAAAAAAAAAAAGTGCCAGTTCCAGGTAAAATTGAATAAGCCCACTCTACTCTGTCTCACCCACTCGATAAAAATATAAAACCTGGAAATAATGCCTGGAGAAGCTATTTGAGGAATCAGAAAAGTAAATAGTAGACCAGTGGGAGGACGGGTAGATGAGTTCCTGTTTTTCCACGAGTATCACTCAGCCTTGACACAAGGCAAGCCAAAACCCAGAAGTAGGTACCAGGAAATAAACACAGACAACTCCAGGAGAAGCCTTCAAATTTTGGATAAGAATGGTACAGGAGACTCCTAATACTCAGACAAAGTGGGAAAAAGCTCCCATTTTACTTTCTTTTTAAAAAAATTTTTTTCCAAGCCAAACTGTATCCAGCCTTATTAAAGATACTTTTCATAAATAATCATGGTATTTCAGGCAGGATGGGAGCAGACAATCATTAACAATATACAACAATTTTCAAACTCCCTTCTTCCATGGACTACCAAAAGTTGGAAACCCACTATAAAACCCAACGAATTAGCGGGGCAGTAGTAGTGTGCACCTGTAATCCCAGCTACCCAGGAGGCTGAGGCAGGAGGATCACTCGAGCCTGGGAGGCAGAGGTCGAGATCGCACCACTGCACTCCAGTCTGGGTGACAGAGTGAGACCCTCAAAAAAAAAAAAAAACAATGAAGTCTTCATCTGATGCTCTGAACAGAGAAACTTTAGAGGTTTAGAGTGAGGACTGACATTTCACATTTAGCATGTTGTTTAACAACTTTTCACAAGCCAATCCTGACTTTCAGGAAGTGAAATGAAAACGGCAGAATTTATCCGAAGATCCACAGTCTAGAAATGGAACCCCTGCTCTTTTGAGGGGTGCCATCTCAGTGGCATCACTGGAAAGTCCAGATTGCCTGACACACTGGTAACCAATTATTTGGGGTCAGGTCCCAACAGATGTCTGGGTTTGAGGGAGTTAAGTCTATGCTGAAAGGTGGAAAGGGAGAAGAGGACATAAAAACGAATTTGTTTTTCATACCACTAGGCTTTTGTGCCAAGGTGGCCATGTGTGTCAAAGTCAGGAAATCCCTCCCTTGGGAGCCAAGAGGAAGTTTCTCAAAGCAGGCGCCTGTAGTCCCAGCTACCCAGGAGGCTGAGGCAGGAGAATGGCGTGAACCCAGGAGGCAGAGCTTGCAGTGAGCTGAGATCGCACCACTGCACTTCAGCCTGGGCAACAGAGAAAGACTCTGTCTCAAAAAAAAAAAAAAAAAAAAATACAAAAAAACAGAACGGAAAAGTGTTCTCCCCCCATCAATCCAGCTTCAGAGACATTCCATGAGTGACACATGCCCCATCCCCCAAAAACAACAAGGAAGTGTTCTGTGTGCTAACAACATAGCTTAAGAAAAAAAAAAGTAAAACAAAATTCTGCGCTTTTATAAAACTTGATTTTAAAAAATAGTATTTCAAACTGTACAGTCACCAGAAGTACACAGTAATCAAAAATGCAGACACTTCACTTGGCATCTCCAGTGCCTTCAGCTTTCTGGGCCTGCTCTGTTTGGCATCTCCATTTTCTGCAGGCTTATTCCCCTCCTTGCCAGCATCAGCTTTTCCTTTTTTCCCTTTGGGTATCTTTTCTCCCTTTTTTGCAGGGGCCTTTTTAGGCTTGGGCTCTGGCTTTGGAGGAGCAGGTTTAGCAGAGACAACCTTGCAGATCTTCTCTGTGGTTTGTCCTTCACCTTGGCTTTGTCTCCTTTAGCACCCCCTTCAGCCTTCCTCTTGGGCATGGTGGTGGTGGGACATAGGCGGTATGCCGGCTTTGGTCAGTCTGGGGATTGTTGCCCCCTCTTCTTCTTCCTTTTTTTTTTTAATTTTTATTTTTGTTGGCACATAGTAGGTGTACATATTTATGGGGTACATCAGATATTTTGCTACAGGCATATAATGCATAATAATCACATCATGGAAAACGGGGTATCCATTTCCTCAAGGATTTATCCTTTGTGTTAAAGACAATCCAATTATACTCTTTTCGTTATTTTTAAATGTGCAATTGAATTATTTCGACGATAGTCATCTTGTGCTATAAAATACTAGGTATTATTCATTCATTCTTTCAAAGTACTTTTTCTATCCATTAGCCATCCCCACTTGCCCCCAATCCCTCACTACCCTTCCCAGCCTCTGGTCACCATCCTTCTACTCTCCATCTCCATATGTTCAATTGTTTGGTTTTTAGATCCCACAAATAAGTGAGAACATGCAATGTTTGTCTTTCTATACCTGGCTTATTTCACTTAGCATAACGACCTCCAGTTGCATCCATGTGGTTGCAAATGACAGGATCTCATTCTTTTTAATGGCTGAATAGTACTCCATTGTGTATATGTACCACATTTTCTTTATCCATTCATCTGTTGATGGAAACTTAGGTTGCTTTCAAATCTTGGCTATTGTGAACAGTGCTGCAACAAACATGGAATTGCAGATATATCTTTGATATACTGATTTCCTTTCTTTTGGGTATACACTTCTGGTATACACCCAGCAGTGGGATTGCTGGATTATATCGTAGCTCAACTTTTAGTTTTTTGAGGAACCTCCAACTTTTCCACAGTGACTATACTAGTTTACATTCCCACCAACAGTGTATGAGGGTTCCCTTTTATCCACATCCTCTCTAGCATTTGTTATCGCCTGTATTTTGGCTATAAGCCATCTTAACAGAGATAAGATGATATCTCATTGTGGCTTGATTTGCGTTTTTTGATGATCAGTGATGCTGAGCACCTTTTCATGTATATATTTGTCATTTGTATGTCCTCTTTTGAGAAATGTCTATTGAGATCCTTTACCCATTTTTTAAATGGGTATTAGATTTTTTCCTATAGAGTTGTTTGAGCTTCTTATATATTCTGGCTATTAACCCCCTGTCAGATGAGTAATTTGCAAATATATTCTCCCATTCTGTGGGTTGTCTCTTCATTTTGTTGATTGTTTCCTTCACTGTGCAGAAGCTGGGATCTCATTTGTCCATTTCTATTTTGGTTGCCTGTGCTTGTGGAATATTTCTCATGAAATCTTTATCCAGACCAATGTCTTGGAGAGTTTCCCCAGTGTTTTCTTTTAGTAGTTTCAGTTTCAGGTTTAACTCTTTAATCCATTTTGATAAGCCTTTAATCCATTTTGATTTGATTATTTGATTGGAATCAAAAACCTTAGAAATTTGCCTGATGTTCTATTCTACTGCAGCCAAGCTGGCACTTAAACCATAATATAAAGTCCTCCCAATCTCCCTCCTCTTTTCCATAGCAGAGGAGCCTCTCCCTGTAGCCACCACCATCAAGTTTCATTCTGCCAGGCCACCGCCGACGTTCACTTAAAACCCAAGGATTCTGCAGTCAGCTTGTGGTGAATGCTGCCAGGCCTGGGACTCACCCTTCAGGGAAGTGGGTTCCCCTCTGCTCCAGGGCAGGTCCAGAAATGCTGTCCAAGAGCCTAGGCCTGGATTCAGGGACCCCAAGAACCCACTTGGTGCTCTACCTCACTGTGGCTGGTACCTAAGGTGTAAGACAAAGTCCCTTCACTTTTCCCTCTGCTTTTCTCAAACCAAAGGGGTCTTTCATCATAGCCACTACAGCTAGGAATGTGCTGGGTCACACCTGAAGTCAGCACATCTAGAGCCCAAGGCCCACAGCGTACTACCTGGGTATCACTGCTGGTTATTCAGGGCCCAGTTGCTCTTTGGTCAGGAGGTAATAAATCCTGCTAGGACTGGCTCCTTCCTTCAAGGCAACAGGTTCCCTTTTGGCCCAGGGTGTGTCTAGAAATGTAATCCAGGAGCTAGGGCCTGGAACAGGGCCCTCATAGCTCTGCCCAGTGCCCTCTCCTACTATGGCTGAACTGCTATCCAAGATGGAAGACAAAGTCCTCTTTATTCTTCACTCTCCACCCCTTAAGCAGAAGGAAGGAGACAATGTCATTGCTACAAGCTGCACTGCCTGGTGTTAGGGGAGGGACAGTGCAAGCGCTCCTTTAGCTGCCCTGACTGGTGTCTTCCTAGGTCACGTGCCACTTTAGTCCTGTGGCTCTGAGCCCAACCCAGCACTAGGAGTTGCCTAGGATTTGCAGTTCTTGTGTCCTAGATTGTCTTTCAAGTTTACCTATGACCCCAGAGCACTTTGGGCCCCAGTGGCAAAGCGTGCCAAGAAATTTTAGGTCCAACCAATGGGATGAGTGGTTCCCCTCTGGCTAGGTCTGATCCAAGTTCTCCCTCGGTGCACCGGCACTGACTGAGCGCAGCACGGCTTTACTCTCTGCTATGACAAGACAGTACTGAGTTCAATGTAAAGCCCCCCAGTCACTGCTCTCCCTCCTCCAATGGCACAGACTCTCCACACTACAAGGCTGCTGCCAGGGGATGGGAGAGGCGTGGCATCAGCATTTCAAGATTTTCTCTCCTGCCCTCCTCAATGTCTCTTTCAATGATATGAAGTTAAAGACAGGTACTATGATTGCTCACCTGATTTTTGGTTCTTATGATGGTGCTTTTCTGTGTGCAGATAGTTTTTAAAATTTGGGTTCCTGTGGGTAGTAGGAAGGATGTAGGCTTGTAGTCCGCCATTTTTCTCCACCCGCCTATTTTTTTTTTTCTTTTACAATCTCCACGCTATCATGTCCTGGCCGCCAGGAAATCCTCCATTCGTGGCAGTAGTGGCGTTAATGGCAGCAACAGCAGCAGCAGCAGGGTCCACAGGTACCTAAAACTTTGTGGAATGGAAACTTTCTTCTCTCCTCAGAGAAGCTGTGGTCCCATGAGGATGGATCAACTCAAACAGGAGTTGATTTTTTTCTTCTATTTCCTCCTACTGCTTAGCCCCAGATGCGGGTGCAATTATGAGACTTCTGTGGCAAACTATGATCACAAAATTCCAGCTTTCTGCCTAAAAAGACAAAAATAGGGCCAGTGAACTGGAAAGGACCACAAAGATCATAGAAAGGAAGGAGATCAGGAAAGTGACCACATGACATTGTTTATGAGCTCATTGACTCACTCTCAAACTACACATGTGGGATATCATAGACTTGAGAACTAAACTATAGGATAGACCACTGCTCAGGTCCCAGATTGACCAATGGATGGTGCACACATGAGACAGATTCAAATAGCACTTCAAAACCTTTGAAAGCAGAACTGACATTGAAACCATAACCCACAGAAGAAAGGTCAGAACTTACAGCCTGTATCCAAATGAGTGAATTGCCTACTAAAGCAAGAAGACCAACATTATCCATAGGATTTAAACAAGACCTAGAGTCTCATAACATATTATCATATTATTCAAAATTTCCAGGATATAATCCAAAAGTAATAAGCATATAAAGAATCAGGAAAATCTCAACTTAAGTAACAAAACATGATTAACAGACACAAACATCAAGATTACACACATATTGCAAGTATCTGAGAGAGATTATAATGCAGCTAATGCAAAAGTGCTCCAAGAAGTATGGCAAACACTCTTAAAGCAAACAGAAAGATAGAAAATCCCAGCAAAAAAAAATAGAAAATAGAAAGAAGAACCAAATAGAAATTTTGGGGCTAATAAATACAATAGCCAAAATTTTAAAACTCACTGAAAGAGCTTAATAGCAAATAAAGATGACAGATGAATGCATCAGTGAACTTGAAGATAGATCAATAGAAATTGTTCAACAATAGAAAGAAAAAAAATTAAAAATATAATTGAGTGGAGCCTCTGTGACCTAAGGTGCTATACCAAAAAGCCTAACATCTGTGTTACAGGAATCTCATCAGGAAAGGAAAAAGGGTGTGGGGCTAAAAAAATATTTAAAGAAATAACAGCTAAAAATTTACTACCTTTGGTGAAAGACATAAAACATAAAACTTACAGATTTGAGAACCAGTAAGCCCCAGCCCCAAAAGAAATACATGCCCAAATACATCATAATCAAATTGCTGAAAACAAAACACTAGGCCAGGCGGGGTGGCTCACACCTATAATGCCAGCACTTTGGGAGGCTGAGGCGGGTGGATCACCTGAGGTCAGGAGTTCGAGACCAGCCTGGCCAACATGGCAAAACTCCATCTCTACTAAAAATACAAAAATTAGCCAGGCGTGGTGGCATGCGCCTGTAGTCCCAGCTTCTTGGGAGGCTGAAGCAGGAGAATCACTTGAACCCGAACCCGGGAGGCAGAGGTTGCATTGAGCCAAGATTGCACCACTGCACTCCAGCCGTCAAAAAAAAAAAAAAAAAAAAAAAACCTAAAGACAAGGACAACAGTGCACTACTTATAGGTGAATAATGATTCAAATAATTCCAGATTTCTCGCTGGAAACCATGGAGGCCAGAAGTAAAATGACATTTTTTTTTTTTGAGAGGGAGTCTCCCTCTGTTGCCCAGGCTGGAGTGCAGTGGTGCAATCTCAGCTCACTGCAAGCTCCGCCTCCCGGGTTCACACCATTCTCCAGCCTTAGCCTCCCAAGTAGCTGGGACTACAGGCGCCCGCCACCACGCCTGGCTAATTTTTTTTTTTTTTTTGTATTTTTAGTAAAGACGGGGTTTCACCGTGTCAGCCAGGATGGTCGATCTCCTGACCTCGTGATCCACCCACCTTGGCCTCCCAAAGTGCTGGGATTACAGGCGTGAGCCACCGCACCCGGCCCAGTAAAATGACATTTTTTACAGTGCTGAAAGAAAATAGTTGTCAACACAGAGTGAAATATCCAGTGAAAATATCCTTCACAAATGACAGGTTTTTTAAAAAATAAATGAATAAATAAAGGACATCTCAGGCAAGAAAAACCATGATAATTTACTGTCAACAGACCTACTCTAAAAGAAGTGCTAAAAGAAATTCTTTAGACAGAAGGAAAATGATACCACAAGGAAATGTGGAAGATTAAGAATGAAGAAAGAGCAACAGAAATGTTAAATATCTGGTTAAGTATAATAGACAAATCTCCTCTTGAGGTCTTTAAAATATGTGTGACAACCAAAAGCAAAAGTTACAACAATATCTGATGAGGTTTTTATTGTATGTAAATGTATTAGATAAGACAACTATGACATAGATTGTGGAAAATAAAGAGATGCATATGGTGGCAAGATTCTACATTTCACTTTGTGTTGGGGTCCCTACAACCACACTCAGGTTCACTGATTTGCTAGAAAGATTCACAGAACTCAGAAAAGCTGTTAATGATCATGGTTACGGCTTATTACAGCAAAAGGATACAGATAAAATCAGCAAAGGTAAAAAATGCATGGGGCAGAGTTCAGGAGAAACCAAGAGCAAGCTTCCAGTTGTCTTCTTAATTTTCCCCACAATGATGTGTGAAAACACATATGGCTGACTGCCAACCAGTGCCAGGATTTGGTGTCCAGGATTTGTTTTGGGGGTTGGCCACATAGGCATGAAACATCCATATGACAAACCTTACTCAGTCTCCAGCTTCTACAGAGGTCAAACGGATACAACGTGGACAAGGCCCCAGTCATAAATCACACTGTTGGCATAAACTATCTGGCAAGGCCCAAGGCCCAGGTATACAAAGATACTTCTATCAAACAGGATATTCAAAGGGCTTAGAGATTACCTCCCAGAAGCTGGTCAAAGGCCAGTCCTTTTTTGGGAATGTTCAGGCCTTGAACATTGCAAGCCTGCTGAATTAATCCTTTACTGAACATACTTGAAGAGGTATAATATTGATTCTAAGTAGAATGTTATGAGTTATGCTATTATATATTATTATGATGTTATTATAATCCCTAGATCAACTACTAAAAAGAAATACCAAAAAACGGTCAAAGACAAAATGAACAAATTAAATAGAATACTAAAATTTGTTCAACTATCCCCAGAAAAGAAGCTGAAAGGGAAATAGAGAAATAAAAATCAGAGGAAAAACAGAACACATATAATAAAATAGTAGGTTCAAATTTAGATATTTCAATAATTACATGTAAATGCTAAATTAAGTGTAAATATTCTAACTATATCAATTAAAAGACAGAGATCAGAATGGATATAAATGGATTTAGAAGTCAATAAAAACATGAGATCACATGTTGCCTACAAGAAATGCACCACAAATATAAAGATATAGGTATGTTAAGTAAAATAATGGAAAGAATATACCATTCAAACACGAATTAAAAGAAAGCTGGCATGGCGTTATTAGTAACAGACAAAGTAAATGTTAGAGCCAGGGATAAAGAGACATTATACAATGATAAAAGGGTCAGTTCATCAAAAACACATAACAATCCTAAATGTGTATGCACCTAACAACAAAGCAGGCTGGACGCAGTGGCTCACACCTATAATCCTAGCACTTTGGGAAGCCAAGGTGGGCAGATCACCTGAGCTCAGGAGTTTGAGACAACCCTGGGCAACGTGACAAAACCCCATCTCCATGAAAAATACAAAAATTAGCCAGGCGTGGTGGTGCACACCTGTAGTCTCAGCTACTTGGGGGGCTAAGGGCAGGAGGATCACTTGAGCCTGGGAAGTTGAGGCTGCAGTGAGCTGTGTTCACACCACTGCAATCCAGCCTGGGTGACAAAGTGAGACCTTGTCACAAAACAAACAAATGAACAAGTAAAAAACATAAAGCTTCATGAACTAAAAAGTGAGAGAACTAAAAGAAGAAATAGATACATCCAAAATTATAATTGGAGACTTCTATACTTCTCTCTCGCTAATCAACAGAACTAGTAGATATAAAATTAGCAAGGATATAGAACAGAACAATACTATCAACCAACTAAATCTAATTTCATTATAGGACATTTCATTCGACAGGTAGATTGTACATTTTTTTCAGATACTTATGAAACATTCACCAAGACAGAGTGTATCCTATAGATTTCAAAGAGTTGAGTCATGCAAAGTATGTTCCCTGACTGTAATGGAATTAAGCTAGAAATCAATAATAGGAAGATAACAGGAAAATCTACAAAACACTTGGAAATTAAACAATATACTTCTAAATAATCCATGGGTCAAAGCGGAGTTATCAAGGGAAATTAGAAAATATTTTTAACTGAATAAAATAAAACTACAATATATCAAAAATTATGGAATGAAATTAAAGGAGAGCTTAGAGGGAAATTTAAAGCATTAAATGCTCACATTAAGAAAGAAGGTCTCAAATTAGTTCATTTAAGCTTCTACCTGGAACAAAATAAATCCAATGCAAGCACAAGGAAGAGGATAAAAAAGTTAAAAGCAACAATCAATGAAACGGAAAAAAGAAAAACAGTAGAGAATATTAGTGAAACAAAGAGGTAGTTCCCTTTAAGAGATCAATACGATTGATAAGTTTCCATCAAGACTAAAAAAGAAGATCAATAAAACGGATAAACCTGATATGGTCTGGATTTGTGTCCCTGACTAAATCTCACGTAAAATTGTAATCCCCCTGTGTTGGAGGAGGAGCCTGGTGGGAGGTGATTGGATCCAGAGGGTGGATTTCCTCCTTGCTGTTCTCGGGTTAGTGAGTGAGTTCTCACGAGATCTGGTTGTTCGAAAGTGTGTAGCACCCCCACCCTCGCTCTCTCCTCCTCCTGCTCCAGCCGTGTAAGGCATGCCTCCTTCCTCTTCACCTTCCACCATGATTGAAAGTTTCTTGAGGCCTCCTCAGCCATGCGTCCAGTATAGCCTACAAAACTGTGTGAGCCAATTAAACCTTTTTTCTTTATAAATTACCCAGTCTCAGGTAGTTCTTAATAGCAATTAGAGAACAGACTAATACAAACTTCTAGCAACACTGACAAAGGAAAAAACAGAGAAGTCACAAACTACCAACATCAGGAATAAAAAGGGTGACATACCGTAGAAATTAAAAGAATAATAAGAGGATGTTGCAAACGATTCTACACACATAAATTCAATAACAGATAAAATGGAGCACTTCTGCAAACCACAAACTAACAACTCACTCAAGATGAAATAGAAAACCTGGGGAAAATTGAATTAGGAGTTAAAAATCACCTGAAAAAGAAATCTTCAGGCTCCAGGTACTTAATTGATGAATTCTACCAAAACCATTAAAGACGAAATGGCCAGGCATGGTGTCTCACCTCTGTAATCCTAGCACTTTTGGGAGGCCGAGGCTGGTAGATCACTTGAGGTCAGGAGTTTGAGACCAGCCTGGCCAACATGGTAAAACCCTGTCTCTACCAAAAATACAAAAATTAGCTGGGAGTGGTGGCACGCACCTGTAGTCCTAGCTACTAGGGAGGCTGAGGCAGGAAGATCACTTGTAACCCAGCAGGCAGAGGTTACAGTGAGCCAAGATCGTGCCACTGCACTCCAGCCTGGGAGACAGAGCAAGACTCCGTCTCAAAAAAAAAAATTAAGAAATAACACAGATTCTTTTTTCTTTTTTTTTTTCTGATGGCATCTCACTCTGTCACCCAGGTTGGAGTGCAGTGGCGCAATCTTGGCTCTCTGCAAGCTCCGCCTCCCGGGTTCACGCCACTCTCCTGCCTCAGCCTCCCAAGTAGCTGGGACTACAGGCACCCGCCACCACACCCGGCTAATTTTTTTGTATTTCTAGTAGAGACGGGGTTTCACCATGTTAGCCAGGATGGTCTGGATCTCCTGACCTTGTGATCCGCCCGCCTTGGCTGGGATTACAGGCATGAGCCACCGCGCCTGGCGAAATAATACAGATTCTAAACAAACTTTCCCAGAAAATAAAAGAGAAGGGAACACTTCCCAACTTATTTTATCAGGCCAGCATTACTCTGATACTAAGTCCAGACAAAGATATTACAAGAAAATAAAATGATATGCCTTATGAATATTTTTGCAAAAACACTCAATAAAATATTAGCAAATTTAATCCAACAAGATATAAAAAAGAATAACATACTTGTTCAACATGCAAACATCAATCAATGTAACCCATCATTATGACATTCTAAAGAAAACCACATGATCCTATCAATGTATGCAAAAATATCACTTGGCAAAATTCAATATTCATTCGTGATTTTAAAAACTCTCAGCAAACCGAAATAGAGTGGAACTTCCTTAACCTAATAAAAGGTATTGTCAGTGGGCTAAATTGTGTTACCCCAAAATTTATGTAATGCCCTAATCCCCAGTACCTCAGAATGTGACTGTGTTTGGAGACAGAACCTTTAAAGAGGTAACTAAATCAAAATGAGGCCGTTAGGGTGGACCCTAATCCAATCTGACTGTCGTCTCTATGAGAAGAGGAAATTTGGACAAACAGAGAAGCACCAGGGATAAGCCCGCACAGAGGAAAGACCATATAAGGATATAGCGAGAAGGAGGCCGTCCACAAGCCAGGAAGAGAAGCTCCAAAGAAAATAAACCTGCCTACACCTGGTTCTTGGACTTCTAGGCTCCAGAAATGTGAGAAACAAACTTCTGTTATTTAAGCCACTCAGTTGATGGTACTTTGTTATGGAAACCTTAGCAAACTAATACAAGTACCTACAAAATATCTACAGCTAACATTATATTTAGGGATGAAAGGCTGAATGATTTTTCTCCCAAGATCAGGAATAAAGCAAGAATGTCTGCTGTCATTGCTCTAGTGCTTACGAAGAGGAGAGTTCAGGTGATTTATCAAGGTAGCCCATTCCAGAGATGTTATCTCCTCAGGTCAATACCCCCCAAGACCAACTACACACACACACACACACAAACACACACACATATACACATACACCTGTTATCTGGATGTCTTAGTTAAAACTAATTTTCACCCACAATATCAAAATAGTTGCCTCAATTCACTTTAAGTGTCCAGAAGCAGCTTGGGCATAATGAGGAAAACGGACAGGGAATCAAATTAGCAGCAGGATTATGAGGTCTGCATAAAAGAAAACTTAAAAAGGAAAGAAGAATTTCAGGGCACTCATATATGAAAATTACAGCCTGCACATCCCTGCAGTGTTATAAAGGGTCAGAGTGCATTTGATGGAGCTTTCTAACCATTATGTTCTCTGGTCATAATATAATATCTGTATTCTAATTAAAAAGGAGAAAAGGATGATTATTTAAAAAGCATAAAGCTTCTTAGAAACCTCAGTTTCTGGCATTTATTTGAAGGTTTCTACTCTCCCCACATATAATGTATCTGAGCAATTTAGAACTATATCTAACAGGCTCCACTTCACATCTACTCTTGCAAGAAAACGGTTTCATGCAAAATGTGAAAATTGCAGCCGGAGCCATTATGTAAGCTACTTAACCTATAGTAGGGGAGGTCTACATGCTATATGTTGCTCTGGATTGTCATGGAAAAAAAAGGTTCAAAAGAAAATAAGGATTATGTTCTGAGGCTGTTTTTCCCTGAGGCTCTTTAAACAATGCCTCTATCTGTTCCCCATTTTCCAATTGTCTTTTCCAGAGATGTGGCAATAATTTAGTTGTATTATGTGCTGTCACTTCTGCATTAATAAACACCAGGACCTGCTGAGTAATTACAGAATAACCTCATAATAAAATGCAGTGAAGAGCTCTAATTAAATGTTAATGTTGCTTAAAACTATCCTACTTTAAAATGAAAATTTTCCATCCATGTATCCTAATGAGTTATCAGAATGCATTACTCCCAAATAAAATGTACAAACGAGAAGGTAAACATAAAATATTACCACCAGTAGGCATGTGTGTGGAAACATTTATAATCAAAATTAATATACTACATTAAAATTACTGAAATATAAATGCATACCAAAATGCTGTAACAACAATGGGGGAAGATTTTTATGAAAGCTCATGCTTCACTTTGAAAGGGAAAAATGCCAAATTATTCTTCAGTCACGTAGTAGGCAATAGAGGTTAAAGCTACTTCTGAACATGGGACTAACACAAGTTAAACTAAGAACATCTACAACTTCTATAAAATAATAGAGCTAAAAGAAAACTCACTGTCTAATTGAAGAAACAAGGACTTCCATTTACTTTATTCTTTAAAATCTGCCAAGAAGGGGTTCCCCTCCCATATTATGTTGCTCTGCTTCTTCACCCACACATCATCCTTCTGGGCATTTAGTGTGCTGACCTAGGTAGACATGGTGAAAATCTATTACTCATAGGTATCTATATAAACCCATTACTCTTTTTGTTTTTTGTTTTTTTTTTTTTTGAGATGGAGTCTCACTCTGTCACCCAGGCTGGAGTGCAGTGGCACAATCTTGGTTCACTGCAACCTCCGCCTCCCATGTTCCAGCGATTCTCCTGCCTCAACCTCCCAAGTAGCTGGGATTACAGACGCCCACCACCACACCCAGCTAATTTTTTATCGTTTTGGTAGAGATGGGGTTTCACCACATTGGCCAGGCTGGTCTCAAACTCCTGACCCCAAGTGATCCACCCACCTCGGCCTCCCAAAGTGCTAGGATTACAGGCGTGAGCCACTGTGCCCCGCCCAACCCATTTCAATTTTCATATCACAGGAAGAAAGTCACAATCATTCCTCCTTCCTTTACATTGCCGGAATAAACAAGTCAATCCATTTAGTCTTTGGAAAAGACCTATCCCCCAACTCTTCTGCCATTATCTGCTGAAATCTGCTATACATTCATCTCACATTTCTGTCAAACCACTTATACTGCTACTTCTCATAGGCCTAATTAATATTCTTTCATGTAATCAGTCTTAAAATACAATCACAAACCTAGTATAGTATTACCTAAAGAATTCTGCAATATGTATTCCTGTTTTGTACTTCCTGTTAGCTTACTCTTTTTCTCCAAGATGAAAAACTAAGAAAAGTTTTATCATTGACAAATTTGAAATCTTTGTTTCCATTACCAGGCTCTTGCGTTATTAGGGATATGTGCCCACTTCAGTGACCTGAGTCCTGGATATCTCCCACACTTGACCTTCCAAGAAGTGGAATCCCTCACACCCACTTATAATACAAGCTGTTGATGCTGCTATTGATAAAGATATTTGTTTACTGCTGACTGTGATGAGATATGTTGGGACCTTTTCTTCCCAGTTTACACCAAATACATAGAAGAGGTGACTTTTCCTAGCGTTCCTCAGATTCTCTTTGGCCATGGCTATGTCTCTTTGGAACAAGACTAGATGCTCTAAGAACTTCTGCTGAACAGCTTGTACAGCCCGAGAGGAGAAGGAGGGAAGGCAAGGAGACATCCAGGGCCTGGCTGAGACATCTCATGTTCTCTCCCATCCCTGGGAACTTCCCATCTGTGTGCAGGGGATTGTCTGTGTCATGAAGAACCAACATGGCACTGACCACCAATCAGTCACCAGACACCACAAAGAGTTGTCGGCAAATGGCGAGACCTCCCCTGCTGCCCCTTGGAGAACAGGAAATAGAGTCACTCGGCAGTTTTCAGGAGGATAATACTTCAGGACACAAGCTTTGGAGTCAGACAGACTTGAGTTTGCATCTCAGTTCTGATGCTTGCTAGTTGTGCCCCCTTGAGCAGTTTGCTTAATCTCTCTGAGCCTCCATTTCATCATCTATGCATTGAGAATAATGCTCACCTCACAAGATTATTATGAGAAATAGGTGAGCAATATATGACAAGCACTTGGCATGCTGAGTGATTCAAGTATTTAATTAGTGGAAGCTGCTATTATTACTACTACCGCCTCTATTAATGGTGTC
Organism: Homo sapiens; assembly: GCF_000001405.40. Classification (NCBI taxonomy): domain Eukaryota; kingdom Metazoa; phylum Chordata; class Mammalia; order Primates; family Hominidae; genus Homo; species Homo sapiens. The sequence continues at coordinate 84,065,713 of NC_000009.12, read as the reverse complement.
TTTCCCCGCAAGTAGCAACACCTCCTGGCTTCTATAGTAACACTGATGTTCTTACCTTGAAAAACTTTCAAGTCATCTTGGCCTCTCCCTCAGTCCCCACATCCAAAGTCACCAGGTCTTATCAATCCATCCTCTCCTTTGCATCTCCATTGCCACTCCTCTAGTTTATAGCTTCACTAACTCTCACCTTGACCTTCACTCAGTAAATGTCTATTAAAGCACCTACTGTGTGCTGGGCATGGTGTAAAATACACACATGTAAAATATCTCAAAATATGTATAATCTGGTGGTATGGCAAGGAAATACAGACATTTAGACAGGTAACCAGAATGCAAGGCCAAATGAAACAGCATGGAATATTTAGAAAGGTTTCACATACATATGATTCAACAACAACAAAAAAGATGTACAGGAAGGTTTCACAGAGGCATTGCCCCTTGAGGGGAAACTTGAACAATTAATAAAAAGAAGAAAAAAAAGGCATTACAGTCTGAGAAAACAGCATGAGCAAACACAAGACCTCAAGAATTATGTCACGTGGAGAAAATGCTGAGTTATACAGTGGGACCAGAGTGGGTGGGGAGGACAGAGCCACAGCTGAAGTCGGAAGCAGTCAGTCAGGGGAGTGGAGTGCTTCCAATTCCCCTTCAATGTGGATTCCTCCTGCCTCAAGGTGGATTCCCCTTAAAAGTCTGCCTCCTCCCCTAAAGGCTGTACAGCTATAGACAAAGTACTTACCTTCCCTGAGACTCATTTGTAAAATGCAGACAACAAAATACCTACTTCATGCTGTTCTTGAGGGGATTAAATGAAATAATGTAGGTAAAGAACTTTACACAATGCCTAGACTATAGTAGGCACTTCACAGATGGTAGTTACTGTTTTCCTAGGAAGCTGTCATGGACTGAATGTTTGTGTTTCACAAAAATGTGTATGTCAAAGCACTAACCCACAGTCTGGCTCTATTTGGAGATGGGGCCTCTATGGAACTAAGGTTAAATGAGGTCATAGGGTGTGACCCTGGAGTCTTGATTCAAAAGGATTAGCCTTTATAGAAAGAAACACCAGAGAGCTTGCTCTCTCTCTCCATGAGCACCACCAAGTAAAGGCCACATAAGCACACAGTAAGAAGGTGGCCATTTGCAAGCCATCTGCCCTCACCAGAAACTGAACTGGCCAGAACCTTGAACTTCTAGCCTCCATAACTGTGAGGAAATAAATTTCTGTTGTTTAAGCCCCAAGTCTATGGTATTTTATTATGGCAGCTCAAGCTGACTAGTACGGAGGCCTTGAATGGCATTTTAAGGGGTTTATTCTTTATTTTGTGGACAATGGAGATGCCTTAAACATTTCTGAGAAGGCAAGAATTAACATTTATATCTGACTATCTGAGAGTTGAAGAGTAATGGGGATGTCCTCTTTACTGACCTCCTGCACCCTGCCCCTGCCTCTTCCCATCCATTCATGACAACCAGTCTATGATTAATATCTCCAATATGGCTCAGATGAGCTGCTCAAAATGTTGGCCTATAGAATACAGCCTGGATCCCTTAGTTTGGCATTCAAGCTGGGAAGATCAGACCCTGGCTTTTGCCACATTTGTGTCTTTGCTCAAACTGTTCCTTCCACCAATAATATTATTTCCTACTGTTTTCAGACAGAATCCAATTTATCCTTTAAGACCAATGCCCATGCCACTTGTCTTATGATGTCTCCTCTCCACTGAACCCCTACCGTTTATGCCTCTAGCATGTCACGGTGGTCAACCTCTCTATTCTAAATAATGTTGTTTATAGCTCCTCTAGTAGACTGTAATGACCTGAGGTCAATTTTTGTGGCTTTCACATTACATGGCACAGAAAAGAATTTGAAGGAGGTATGAGGGAAAATCTATAAAGCAGGAGAGAAAAACATTAGGCTTACATAGGAGAGAGACAGTCTGGAAGAGAAGAGGGTTTTTGAGAGCAAAAACTCTTATTGAAAGGAGAATTAGAGTCACTTGATGTGGGTGTGCATTGTGAAACAGATGAATTTCCCTGCACCCCAATTCCCTACAGAGTCTCCATCTCCATTATACTCCCATACACGTGAATTCTCTGAAATTCCCATGAGATACTAGATGGGAAAGATGGTTATTGGGTGACAATAATCATAATCATAGTTAACATCTGTTGAAGACATACCTGGTGCCTGGCGCTGGGCTACAGTACAGGTTTTCAGTATTCCATATGTTATGTTCTTTTTTAGTCCTGAAATGCCTGTCTTTCTGTTGATATAATGTGGCCATTTAAGTGTTCTTTTCATCTGAAATTTTATTCAGAGATTTATCCAGAGGATTATATGCTGCATTAAAACAATGAGTTCAGTCAGGGAGCATTCATTTAGAAAGTTTCTAACCCTATCCCTCCTCTGTTTAAGACTAATATTAAGACCCTTACTTAAGACTCAGGCACTTACATCACTGTAGTTTTAATTCCAACTTTCTGGCTTACTAATGAGGAAAAACAACTTTTATTTTGATTTTGAAAACATCTATTAAATCCCTATAAAATATCTTGGTTTTTTTAAAAATACATCTGAGATAATCTTTCCCTACACATATTTTAAAAACCTTAAAACCTTTTCCTTTTTTTAAAATGTTTTATTTCCATACGTTTTGGGGGGAATGGGTGATGTTTGGTTACATAAGTTCTTTGCTGGTGATTTGTGAGATTCTGGTGCACTTATCTCCAGAGCAGTATACACTGAACCCACTTTGTAGTCTTTTATCCCTCACTCCCTTTCCACCCTTTCCCCTGAGTCACCAAAGTCCATTGTATCATTCTTATGCCTTTGCATCCTCATAGCTTAGTTCCCACTTATGAGTGAGAACATACGATGGACAAACAACTTTTTTATGTCATTAGTCATTTCTATATTTGCACCCCAGTCTATCAGAGTCACTGGTGAAAACTGGCAAAGGGTGAAGGAGAACTCAGAGAGGAAGAGGCTAGGTGCCCAGGATTAATCCCAGCCCTTGGCATGGAGCCTGCCTGCCTCCTTTTTCCCAGGACCCAGTTCTGTCTCCTTCCCTCCCCTCTATTCCTCCAAGGCCAGCCCCAACCTTTCCTAAGATTTTTATTTTATCTAAAAACTTCCCAATAATTCTACTTGGAGATACTTAAGCCAGGAGGACAAAGGATACACAGTCACAAGCCTGGCGTACTCGCAAGTGAAACAACACCCAGAGACAAAATTTATTTTTAAATAAAATATGGAGATTTCTGGTTACATGAAATAAATATACAAATTACCAGTATTCTCAATGGGCTTCGATGTGTGCAGTTAGTAGCCATGCCCTTTGCTGAGAACTCTACTTGCATTATCTATGTCAGTCCTCATGGAGGGGGGTGCTGAATAATTACTATCTATCTCCTTTAGCAATGGGAAGGGTAGGAAGTTACCCTGGGTAGATGGCGCAGGACACTGAGAGTCCTGTTTTAATTTTGACACAAGGAAAAGAGATTTTGCTATATGCCCTCAGCTAGCTTAGGTAGGAAAGGGAGAATCTCCCTTCTTATTTTAATCAATATGTGACTGATTTAAAGGAGCCTCAGAGGCCTTTAGCACTAACAAGGCCCAATCTCTAGGAATTTAAGAATGACAGTGAGTCTGGCACTGTGAGGAGCCTGATGCATGATACCACCGGGGCGCTGAAAGAACACGGCTTATATCACATCTCACACCCTGCCTAGAGAAAGCCACTTTTATTCTAGGCCAAATTCCAAAGTGAAACTGGCAATGGATTTGTTATAATGTTAAAGTTAAATAAAATTGTTCCCAGTAATACAATCACTTTCCTGCTTTTGAAATCTTTATTGTTTGTTATTACAAAAGCAAATAAAACACACAGAGACTGTTGCTGTGCACACCTGCAGTTCTTATTGCAAGCTCCCCCAACCCTCCCTGAGGGCTTTCTCTAGCAGCAGAAATTAGCTCACTACTGTGCAGGGCAGGCAGGTGCTGCCAGGCTGTAAGCCAATCCCTGTTCCCCCCATAACGAATGGGAGATGGAGGGTAAATTGCCCCTCGGGTGGGACAACCTGAGGTGTGTTCTACACAGTTTTCAGAGGCCCCCAGTGGAATGCAGATCCAGTTGCCCCCAGCAGTGACCTGCTCTGAAGTAGTTTCCTTCCTTTCCCTCTCCCTTCACCTCTGTCATCAGGGCTTCCTGGGATCACCTCCCAAATAAACTACTTCTGCATAAATCACTATATACATCTGAGAAAGCCCAACTCAAGACAATTGCTGTAGTTTGAATATATATACATACATATATATATATGTATGTATATATATATAGTTTGTTTGTTTGTTTGTTTGTTTTGGAGATGAAATCTCACTCTGTCGCCCAGGCTGGAGTGCAGTGGTGCGATCTCGGCTTACTGCAACCTCCACCTCCTGGGTTCAAGCTATTCTCCTCCCTCAGCCTCCCGAGTAGCTGGGACTACAGGCATGTGCCACCCCACCAGGCTAGTTTTTTTTATTTTTAGCAGAGAAGGGGTTTCACCCTATTGGCCAGGCTGGTCTCAACTCCTGACCTTGTGATCCGCCCAACTCGGCCTCCCAAAGTGCTGGGATTACAGGCATGAGCCACCACACCTGGCCCAGTAGTTTGAATATTTATCCCCTCCAAAAGTCATGTTGAAACTTAATCCCCAATGTGGCAGTATTGAGATAGGGCCTTTAAGAGGTGATTGGATCATAAGGGCTCTGCCCTCATAAGTGGATTAATCCATTCATGGATGAATGGGTTAAAGGGTCAATGAATATATGGGTTACCATGGGAGTGGAATGGGTTGCTTTATAAGAAGAGGAAGAGGGACCTGAGCTCACACATTCACACGCTCATCCCTCTTGCTGTGTGATACCCTGCCCTGCCTCAGTTCAGAGTCCCCATCAGCAAGAAGTTTCTTACCAGATGTGGCCCCTCGCCCTGGGACTTCATAGCCTCCGTAACTGGAAGAAATAAATTTCTTTTCTTTATAAATTACCCAGTCCGTTTTCCATTGTTATAAGCAACATAACAATGCCCATATATGAGTTTGCTGAGGCTGCAATACCAGAGTACCACAGACTGGGTGGCTTAAACAACAGAAATTTATTTTCTCACAATTCCAGAGGCTGGAAGTCCAAGATCAAAGTGGCAGCAGGGTTATTTCTTCTGAGGCCTCACTCCTTGGCTTATAGATGGCCATCTTCTCCCCTTGTGTTTACACAGCCTTTCCTCTATTGTGTCTTTGTCCTCATCTACTCCTCTTATAAGGACACCAGTCATATTGCATTAGGGTCCACCTATATGACCTTATTTTACCTTAATTATGTGTAAAGACTCTTTCTCCAAATACAATCACATTCTGAGGTACTGGGATTAGAACTTCAGCATAGGAATTTGGGTGGGAACACAATGCTGCCCCTAAGAGCCCAGTATAATCAAAACAAAGTTATATCAAATATTTATTGAAAACACATGCTTGTGTTGACTTCACCCAGCCAGTGAATGAGTCAAGCCTGGTAGGCTGTGGTGGGATGTTTGCTCTGAATCTGCATAGGCTTGTCTTCCAGAGACACATTTATATTCTGATACTATAAAGCAACCATCAGCATTAAGGGAATTGCCCAGTTAGGAATTTAGCATAGATTAATCCAGGCTCCTTCATTCTAACTATTTCTACTGCCCTCTAGGGTGACCAACTCATCTTGGTTTGTCTGGGACTGTCCCGATTTTAGCAATGAAAGTCCTGCATTTCAGTACTTTTTCCGGGGCACAGCAGGATGGTTGATTATCCTTAGTCTCTCATATTTGAGAAATGCGGGGATTTGGGGGAATCAGGAGTAGATAGAAAGAGAGAGAACAGATGACCATTTTGTTTGTCAGGCTGGGTTGGATTGGATGACTTCTGAAATTGTTTCCCGTTTCATTAGTATGAAGAAACAAAGATGTTATCAACTCCTTGGATATTTACCTCTGAAATTCAGTAGTTGGTGAGAAGGTGAGACCAAACATGATAAAAATAATAACTCTAGCAATATTCCAAGAGAAGCTGAAAGGAAGGTGAGAGAGCAGATAACTCCTTGGGAAAAGGTGTCCTCACACTTCCAGACAGAAGAGATCCTCTCTTCTTCTCCTGCCTCACTCACACACTCATGCTCCTCTCTGATTTCCGGTTATACTGGAAATCATCTGTTAGACTTGTCTGCATGCTTCTTTTTCCTACTAGATACCAAGTTCCTTGAGAGACTGGGTCTTATTCATCATTGAAGACCCTGGCACCAAACAGGTATAAATAATTACCTTTTTTCTTCGTATATTTTATTCACAATACATTGTGCTCCCAAAACCAGCATTACCTCCAGTGGGTATCAGGAGTGCCTGGAAAAGAACATTATTGAATGGGTGATCTCTTCCATAATAATCAAACTAATCCTATTACTGATAGAATTACTGATTAACAGTGCCCTTTCACCCCTTGAAGCTTAGTATTTGTGATAGATCTACACTGTGTCTTTCCATTTGATTCATGCAAGATCTACATTATTAGATTGTAGCCATTTCTCAGCCAAGAGTAATTCTGTTGCTTCAAGCTATACATCTATTCTAATAGATAGAGGTGTTTTTTGTTTTTGTTTTTTACCCAATCTTGTCTGAGGTTTTCCATTGTTTTTGCTAGATAAGTCCAACATTTATTAAGTACCCACTGAATATTTTGCATGAATACCATTGATTTATTCAAAAAAATTGTGTCGGATATTTTAGGACTAATTACAGTGGCAGTGTGGTATTATACAGAATCTCTGCCTTCAAGCAATGTCTGATCTATTGAAGGAAATGAGACATATATACATGAAAAAATAACTGATTGTGGATCTTATGTAAAGCAGTAAATTTAATGTGCCAAATGAGTAACATAGAAAATAAATTCCCTGAATTATAATTATTTTGTTTGTGTTGCCAATTATACTGTGAGTATATTGAGAATATATTATTTTATAACCTCAATACCTGCTTTTAAGAAGACATCTGATTTTTAACAAGTTTCCAAGGTGATTCTTCTTTTTTTTTTTAGACAGAGTCTCCCTTTGTCACCCAGCCTGGAGTGCAGCAGTTTGATCTTGGCTCACTGCAACCTCCGCCTCCCAGTCTCAAGCAATCCACCCCCTCAGCAGCCTCCTGAGTAGCTAGGACTACAGGTGCATGCCACCGTGCCCGGCTAATTTTTGTATTTTTTGTAGAGACAGGGTTCACCATGTTGCCCAAGCTGGTCTCAAAGTCCTGAGCTAAAACAATCCACCCACCTCAGCCTTCCAAAGTGTTGGGATTACAGGCGTGAGCCACCACACCCAGCCTTCCCATGTGATTCTAATTATGCTGAAGTTTAAGAATCACTACTGTGGACAATAGGAAGAGATTAAAGAATTTGGGCAATAACATGGCATGATAGAGATATTTGATGAAGATTCATCTGGTGGAGTGCAAGATAGAGCAGAGCATGGAGAAACTGAAGATAGAGGAGACAGAAAGAAAGCTGACTGCATTTTTCCATGCATGAGATAATAACACCGGAACATTAGGAATAGTATGAAGGAAAGATCGGGTAGGCATGGAAAACATTGAGAAGGAGGAATCGCTGAACTTGGTGACTGAGTGTTAAAGAAGAAGAGGGGGAATGAAAAATAATTTCAACATCTTTAACTTTAAAAACTGGAATAATAATAACAGTAACAGCTAACATATATTAATCACTGTGGCAGTCACTGTGGCCTGGCTGCCTCTACAACCATGCCCAACTCTCTTCTCTTATTACAGAAGCTGGAAAACTAGATCGTCACTTTCTTAGCCTCCTTCAAAGTCACGGGAGGACATGTGACTTAGTCCTGGCAATAAGATGTAGGGAGAAATCTTTTGGAAGGCTCCTGGGAACTGGGAAAGCTTTTGCTTTCCTGATGCAAGAGACAGTCGATGCCACCCCTGCCTTTTCCCCTTCATTTTGCCTTGATCCCTGGAGCTGCAGCAGCCTGGTGACCTGTGATAGCCATGAAGATGAAAAGCTGACATGGGAAAGATGGCAGAAGGGAAAGAGAAAAAGACATGCAGTCTTTGGTGGCACCACTGAACTGCTGCAGCAAGGCTGGAACTTCCCACCTCCAGAATTCTACTTATATAAGATAATTATGAGCCAGATGTGGTGGCTCATGCCTGTAATCCCAGCACTTTGGGAGGCCAAGGCAGGTGGATCACCTAAGGTCAGGAGTTTGAGACGAGCCTGACCAATATGGTGAAACCCCATCTCTACTATGTTGTGGCATGAGCCTGTAGTCCCAGCTACTCGGGAAGGCTGAGACAGAAGAATTGCTTGAACTAGGGAGACGGAGGTTGCAGTGAGCCAAGATTGCACCACTGCACTCCAGCCTGGGTGACAGAGGGAGACTCCGTCTCAAAAAAAAAAAAAAAAAAAAAGATAATTAAATGTATTTATTGCCTAAGCTATTATTAATTGGTGTTCTGTTACTTGCAGCCTAATACAACCAAACTGATACAAGCACTGACTACATTCCAGGCATTGGTCTAAACATTTAATTCAATGCTTACAACAACTTGATGAGGGATGTGTTATTATTACAAAGAGGAGGTAAGGAGGCACCAGGAAGTCAAATAACTTATCCAAGTCCACATACCTAGTAAATAGCACAGCAGGGATTTAAAACCCAGCAGTCAGCCTCCAAAGCCCTCAATTGTAATCACTATATATACAGTTTCTCAATAATCGTGATAGCACAGATAGAAAATAAGGAGTTGGGAACAGGTGTTAATGGCTGGAAATCTGAGTAGAAATATTCATCAAGGAGTTAGAAATGCCAAGTCTGAGGCAAAAGAATATAAAGGATATTATTTAGAATAAGGAGCCATCTGCATTAAAATAAGAGTTTATTTAGAGCCTACAGCGGTTCCAAATCCTCCTTATCTACAAGGTGAGATGAATAGAACCATAAATATATAGCATGGCCTGAATACTCTTTTGTTGACAAAATGCCTTTGACTATCCAAAAACTGGCTCCCTTGTTACTGCAAACGTTTAAATTCTGGCCTGTGAATACAGTAACATCATTTAAAGGAATGCTGTGAAGTGGGGTCCAAGGCTGCTCTCCACTCCTGGCTGCCAGGGAAGATTTTTGGCTACGCATAGCAATTCTCCATTGTAAGCCAATGCCAAACATAGCGTCAATCTTCCAGCCAGCTGCCAGTTTGCAAGGCCATGGTGACCCAGCAAAGCTACCCAGAATCTGAAGTGGGCTTCCAGGGCTGTTGACCATTCTATCACCTTCAACATCAGGGCAGCCTGTCCTCAGAAATGAGAACGGATGCTGTTTACCTTTATTCCACTGGTATTCCGAGTAAAAAGTGAGGACCAAAAAGCGAGAGGGAGGGGGAAACAGATAACATTAATTCCAAATAATAAAAATAATGGTAATAAGCTTGCCGTTTTTGAGCACTGACCCTGTGCCAGGCTCTGTGTGGAGTGAATGCCTTTCACGGATTATCTCACTTGAAGCAAATTAATCTTGTGTCTGCTTCTATTTTAACAGACTCACAAGGTCTGTCGCCCAGGCTGGAGTACAGTGGCGCGATCTGGGCTCACTGCAAGCTCCGCCTCCCGGGTTCACGCCATTCTCCTGCCTCAGCCTCCAGAGTAGCTGGGACTTACAGGCGCCCGCCACCACGCCCGGCTAATTTTTTTGTATTTTTTTGGTAGAGACGGGTTTTCGCCATATTAGCCAGGATGGTCTCGATCTCCTGACCTCGTGATCCGCCCGCCTCAGCCTCCCAAAGTGCTGGGATTACAGGCGTGAGCCACCATGCCCGGCCCAGACTCACAAGGTTTCTAAAGAAAATCGTGGTTAATCACTGAAGATACTGTGGCATTTGCCAATTATTGTTGTCGTTGTTGGCTTGCTTGGGGTTTTGTTTGTTTTGTCTTCTTTATTCAAAGGCCTAACAAAGGTCAGCTGGAATATTCCACTGATGCCCATGGACACTGCAATAATTTTCAAACAAGGCTGACAACCAGAGCAATAGATCAGTCCTGTGGAAAACAGATTGGCCTACCTGGGAGAACTGAGAGGGCAATATATGAAAAAGAAACATCTATGAACTTCCTATCACCAACTTTGTCAGGTTGGTATTTACATAGTTCTAGAAATGGGGCCAGTGTAATCCTTATTAATGCAATACAAGGATATAAATGCTCAGTGGCATTGGAAAAGAACTTAAAAAGGGAAAGATGTCTACACTACAGTCCTGGTATTGGTTAGAATGTTTTGTACTTTCCTTGGTGATGAGCTGCAATTAACCCAGTTCTGATCTGGACGTGCTGATCTTCATCACAAATCACCGATGACACTGGAACAATTTCACTGTCATTAAATGCTTAAATGATGTTACAATCACCTAAACAACTAAAGTACACAAATTAAAGCTTTAATTTATAATCCTTTTGCAAAAGCACTCCTGTTAGAATTTAATTTAAGATTTCTGTAGACTCACACTCTAAGTCCAATCATTACAATTAATCCAATCTCTCTAATCAAGGATGCATGTCTTTACTTACTCTCCCTAAAAGTAATGAAGATTATAAATGAATGAATTTCATTACTGTTCATGATTTTGGTCAATTGTTCTCAGTTTCTCAGTCTCAGGTCATTTCTCTCTGGGAGGCTATTTGAAAGATAAACAACTCTATATTTAGATACTACCAACGACAATAACAACAACAACAAAAGACAAAAAATACACATCAGGCTTATTGCAGAGATAAGAATGAGACAAGCCGAGTCATCATTGAAGTGGTCAGCAGTCCAAGGCCACTCATCTTTCATAATCAGCAGCTGTGAAGGGCTTTGCCAAAGGGCAAGGGGTAAGAATCGCTCACGGCCTCAGAGAAGTGGTTCCCTTGCATTAGTGGCTAAATCCAGACAGACCAGAATAAAACCCGCCGGTGAATCTGATCCAGTATTTAAAAGTGCACAAGCAGGAAAGTACTTAGCAAGTCCCTTCATAATTCTGCAAAAGTTTATTCTTTGTCCCAAAAGAAAATGAGGAAGTGTATTCCCCCCTCCTAGACTTTAAACTCAGGATAAAGAGATACTCCTAGCGGAGTATCTGGTGCATGATGGGAGATTAGTAAATGTTTGTTGAAACTAAAATTAACTAGCATGTCCTATCATTGAATCTGCATAACAGCTTGACAGAGTAGGTATTGTTGTCCTATTCTGTAATAAAATTGAGGAATTAAGAAAGATCAGTTTGGTAACTTGTTAACAAGGAATGAAGCCAGGACTCAAACTCAGGTCTTTCTGGCTCCAAAGTTAGTGTTCTTTTCATTATGTCATGCTGCTGCAAAACACCTGCTTTGCTAACTTAAGACCCTTTCTGTTTCTTTTCTAATTATACAATGCACAACACTCTTCTATAAATGTAAAGCCCCCTTCTATTCCAATCTCCTTATTCTCTGCAGATGATCTCATTGTTCCTTTATTCAAAATGTGGTGGTGCTTCTTCTACATTAACATCACTTCCTGTCTCTTCCCTATCTTTGCTTCCTTCACTGCTGTCCCAGATTAAAAAGTGACCTTCCTCTATTTCAAGGTGAAAGCCCCTCTTTATGGCTCTTAATCTCCCCAGTCTGACCACATTTTAATACTTCTTCATTCTTTCTTCTGTGACTTCTTCCTGCCAGTGTATAAATGGTTTGATGTGCTTCCCATCTTAAAATACACACACACACACACACACACATACACACACACACACACACACACACACCCCACCTCCACTCACCAGGCTATCCCTTGAACTACATTCCTGTCCTTCCCTCCTTCCCTTCACTACCAAGTTTCTTTTTCACAGCCTTCATCTTCTAACCATCTCATCATGTACAGAAAATACTCTCTTGATAACAATTGAAAAATCAGATCTACAGATTTTCTTAGTTTTCATTCTCCTCAGATTCTCTGCAGCAAGCCACTACCACCAATTCTCATTTCTTCACGTGATCTTCTCCCATGATTTGTATAAAGCTGTTCACTCTCAGATCTGCCTCTCATTCTCTGACTCCTCTTTCCTCTTCTGACCCCAGAGGTAATTGATGCCTTTGGTTATACCCAGAGCCCATTTCTTCCCTCCACATTCTCTCCTTTGGGTATTTTACTCAGTCTTTTATAACAATCTTCAGTTTTGACTAGTGCTCCAGTCCACATTTCCAACTCCTGTTAGATATTTCCATCTGCCTGTTTCCTACTGACACCCCAAACTCACTATGCTCAAAATATAGTCATAATCTTTTTTCATACATATTTATTACATTGTAAATACTATTATCTCAGTCATTATGGAAAAAAATTACCATGTTAAGGTTGCAGTGTTCAATGCTACAAAGGCCAAATATTAATCATAGAGGCCTAATAGTCAAATAGAACTCATTTTTTCTTTTGTTTAAAGATTATTTTCCAAAATTAATGCATTTTTCCAAAAGTAATGCATATGCTAAAAAGAATAATTCAAAAAATACAAAATAGTATATTACATACGTAAAAAGTAGGTTGTCTTCATCCCTGAACACCTTAAATCGAATTCCCTTCCTCAGAAGCAGTATTATTGGTTTTATCAGTGTTATCAGTTTGCTATAGAAAATGTGCCAGAAATATTCCGTGTATTTTCAAGTATATATGTATAGATGCCTGTCTTAGTTCATTTTCTGTTGCTTATAACAGAATACCTAAACCTCGGTAATTTAAAAAGAAAAGAAATATATTCCTGGCCAGGCACAGTGGCTCATGCCTGTAATCCCAACACTTTGGGAGGCCCAGGTGGGCAGATCACCTGAGGTCAGGAGTTCGAGACCAGTCTAGCCAACACGGTGAAACCCCATGTCTACTAAAAATACAAAAATTAGCCAGACATGGTGGCGGGCACCTGTAATCCCAGCTACTTGGGAGGATGAGGCAAGAGAATCACTTGAACCTGGGAGGCAGAGGTTGCAGTGAGCCAAGATCATGCCACTGCACTCCAGCCTGGGTGACAGAGCAAGATTCTGTCAAAAGAAAGAAAGAGAGAGAGAAAGAGAGAAAGATAAAGGATTGGATTCCTTCCAGTTATGGAGGATGAGAAGTCCAAGGTAGTGTGGCTGCATCTGATGAGGGCCTTCTTGCTGGTAAGGACCCTCTGTAGAGTTCCAAGGTGGCACAGGGCATCCCATGGCAAGGGGACCAAACATGCTAGCTCAGGTCTCTCTTCCTCTTATAAAGCCACCAGTCCTACTCTCATGATAACCCATAAATCCATTAATTATTTGACTTTCTCATTAGGGGGATAAGGGAGTCAGGGGAAATGTAGTGGGAGGACAAGCAGGAGTGGAACAGTCTTGGATTTTGCTAATGAGGGCTACCTGGAATAGTGTGAAGACCTCTGCAGAAAGATGCTAAAGATGTACGAATATATGTCCAAGGGATACTGAGATACTGAGGTCATCATAAGTGACCAGCCAAAGGAAGTCATTCAACCCTGTCAAGGCACCTGCAGGTGGAGATCCCCAGCAATGTATCTCTGAAGAAACCACTAAGGTGCCCCAAGGAAGTCTGATCACTACTAAATTCAGACAGACTCAGCCTAATACCTTCAAAGTCCAGGGAATAACAGTTGAGACCTTTCCTATTCCTTGCCTCTTTAACCTTGGATGTGTCAGATATCATAACTACTGGGAGCAGGGAGTAAGAGGAGGTACAGCCCAAACTAAACTAATTTTACCTGATGCATAAGCATAAACCCTCAACAAATTATTGCACGTGTGCCCCAAGACTTGTACAAGGAGGTCCATAGCAACAACATTTGTAAAAGCAAAATATGGAAACAATCTATCTGCATGTCCACGGATACATGGATCCAGAAGATATGATCTTTTCCTATAATGAAATATTATGCAGCAAAACAAATCAAGTATAGCTACATACATCAACATGGATGAATCTCAAGAATATAATGTTTAGGAGGAAGGAAAGAAGGAAACAGACACAAACTGTACAATTCCATTTATATAAAGTTCAAAAACATGCAGCACTGAACAACATATTCTTTAAGAACATATACAGACTGGGCCGGGCGCATTGGCTCACGCCTGTAATCCCAGCACTTTGGGAGGCCGAGACAAGTGGATCACTTGAGGTCAGGAGTTTGAAACCAGCCTGGCCAACATGGCGAAACCCCATCTCTACTAAAAATACAAAAATTAGCCAGGCACAATGGTGGGCGCCTATAATCCCAGGTACTCAGGAGGCTGAAGCAGGAGAATCGCTTGAACCCGGGAGGCGGAGGCTGCAGTGGGGTGAGATCACACCATTGCTCTCCAGCCTGGGTGACAGGGTGAGACTCCATCTCAAAAAAAAAATAAATAAAAATAAAACATATACAGACTGCTACAATTAATTAAACAAGAAAGCAAGAAAATATTAAACATAAAATTCAGGGGGCTCCTTCTGAAAGAGGGAAGTGGGGTGAGGAAGGACAATGGGAATTCTAAAATGCAGGGAATGATTCTAACTCTCAAACTGTGGGGTGGGTGGAGATGCTTGTTTTTGTTTTATCATCATTCTTTAAACCTTAATAATTTTCCTCATTTGCATATAAGATGTTACCATTCACTAAAGACCTTTAATAAAAAAATCAATTTTCTACAGGATCCTGGTTTTTTCCTTTACAAATGTTTTTAACCTGTTCATTATTTAAACAAATTTTAGAAAAATATAACTATATATTTTAATTAATCTGAACATATCTTAGTTTTCTTTCATTTTCATAATCATGTGGAATATCCATAAAGTACCTAGCACAATGCCCAGCAAATGGGATCTATTTTTATTTGCCTTCAACTCACCACTTACTTGTCTTTGGGGGATTTAAAATATCCAATCCAAGAGTAGCGAGGGAATTTATTTGCTAAGTATAAGTGATTTTAGTAATACTGAGCAGCCGTAAACCATCTTAGGCCGTGTCAGCACAACACCCAACTGAAGCAGGAAGGCTGGAATTATCACACTACCCTTACAATGCCAGAAGTCCAGTGGGAATTATCTTCTCATCAAAGTGAGTAAGTCTGTCCTTCCTGCTTGCAGCATTTGTGTTCACCTTGACAACCTATCACTGCCTGCCTGCAACCTCCCCACTCCAGAACCCTCAGTCATTACCTTCAGCATACTGGGTCAATGTGGCCATAGGTCCATTAACTGAGCACTACTCTGTGCCAGGCACTGCTGTCTCTTTTACTCACCAACATCCCACAGGGATAGTGTGTATTAATTCTATTTTACAGAAGAAAACAGGCTCAGAAGAGATAATCTGTCCAAAACCACTGTCCGCAGCAAGTACTAGAGGCAGAATTCAAGCCCAGATCTCTCTGACTCCAAGTGCAAACTTCCCACCTGGTACCCAGCAATCTTCACCACAGGCTTCCCTTGACTATCTAATTTCCCAACCAACCCTCTTCTTTGTTAAGTAGGCAACTCTCCTTAATGCCTCCTGAATAAGTCAGCTCAATTTGTGTCTATGCTTTTCCTTATGCTATTTCCCTGCTGCAAACATCCTCTCCTCCTTTCCTCTACTCACCTAAACACAACACTTCTTTCACCTTCATTTGGAACTGCTCTCCTTGGGAAGCCTTCCTGAACCAACTCAACTCCCAAGTGGTCTCATTTTCTCAGAATCCTTTCTATCATCTAGTTGTTTTATTAACTAGACTATAGGTTCCACATGAGTCAAAATGGTACCTTCCTTTACAGCATTTTGTTTCACTTTGTTTGGGGTTCTCCAGATAGACACACCCAGTGACTGCTAAATAAATGAAGAAACCAGTGATTTGGGTACTCTACAGACACAAATATAATCCCTGGGGCAGTAGTTCCAAGAAGACTCCAAGTCTCCCTTGAGGCTTTTTAAATGTACAGATGCCAAGCTCCATTCCAACAACCTCACAAGGCAGAATCTCCCAGGACAGGGGCTGGGGAGAACTGAGTATCTATATTATTTACAGACAATTTTTACGTGCACCCTCAGATGAGAATCTTAAGCGTTGTTGCAGTTCAGGACCATGTCCATCCAGATAAACACACAAGGAATAGCCATATGAAGACAAGTGTACCAAAATGCTAAGAAATGTGTGTTTATAAGACAATCAAGAAATCTATTTTCTGATAGGCATGACTGTTCTAAGGGAAAAATAAGGAAAAGGAGGAAAGAAAGAAGAGATGCAGAGAAAGGAAGGAAGGAGGGAAGGAGAGAGAAAAGAGGGGGAAAAAGAAGGGAAGGGAAGGAGAAGGGTCATAGTCTGCTTGGGCTGACACAATAAAATGCCATAGGCTGGGTGGCTTAAACAACAGAAATTTATTTCCTCACAGTTCTGGTGGCCAGAAGGTTGGGATTGGGGTGCCAGCATGATCAGTTGCTGGTAAGGGCTCTCTTCCTGGCCTGAAGATGGCTGCCTTCTTGCTATGCCCTCACATGGCAGAGGGTGTATCTCTCTCTTCCTCTTCTTATAAAGCCATCAATCCTATTGGATTTGTACCCTCACCCTTATGACCACATTTAACCTTAATTACCGCTTAAAAACCCTATATCTAATATAATCGCAATGGGGGTTAGGGCTTCAACACATGAATTTTGAAGGGACATAATTCAGTCCATAGCAGAAGGGAAGAGAAGGGAAGAGAGAGAAAGGATGTGGGCTGTGACTTTATGAAATTTCATAGAATCTCAAGGCAGCCCATTCTGCATTTGAGCAGTCCTGCTTGATAGGACTGCTATTTTGTGCCAAAATCCATCCCTATTACTTTAACCTCCGTGGTCCAAGCTCCTCCCTGACAGGTCTTACATGGCTAGCCTGCCCAGGGATTGCAAAGGCAAATACCTACAAGGCCAACAAGGATACCTAAATGAGTGAAGGCAGCAAGGTGTTAGACAGCAGGAAGTGGTAGGAACTCAGCTGAATTATAGAAGGGGCACCCTACCTAAAAGAGGTAGCAGATAATCATCCCCATGCAGCTTAAGCGACCATTGACAGATCCTCCCATTTATCAATAGAATTGGGATGTCTCACAATTTTTAAGTATTGACCATTGTTGTTGTTTGTTTTGGTTTTTTGTTTTTGGTGGGGGGGTTTTAGTGCTAGTCAAGCCTGGCTTCCACAGATTAAAATCCTCAGCTCTTCGACCACTTCCTCCTTAATACAGCACCAGGCCTCTTCTGCCTATAACAAAACACCGCTTTTCTAGTGCCATCTAATTAACAACAGAAAAGTGCTTCTTTTTTTTTATTTTTTATTTTTATTTTTTCTTTTTTTCTTTTCTATTTTCTTTTTTTAATTTTATTATTATTATACTTTAAGTTTTAGGGTACATGTGCACAATGTGCAGGTTTGTTACATATGTATACATGTGCCATGTTGGTGTGCTGCACCCATTAACTCGTCATTTAGCATTAGGTATATCTCCTAGTGCTATCCCTCCCCCCTCCCCCCAGAAAAGTGCTTCTAAATGCTGCCTTCTAGTAAGAAAATCTGAGACTACCATCAGATTTCATAGTGGCTACATCACATTGTGCACACTAGGTATTTTTAATACATGCTATGGCTAAGCCATGTTTCCCCCCATCATAAACTTCTACAGTTGTATTTCTTGGACCTAAATGTGAGACTTTTAAGTTATTACCATTAAATTTACCTTAACGGTTTCTGTTGCCCTAGGCTGTCAAACACATTTTTTGGATTCTGATTCTGTCATCCAGTGTATTTCCTATCTCTTCCATATTTGGTGGGAGGGAGTCCTTTCTCTACTCATTCAAATCATTGATTTAAAAAAAACTGTGGAACAAGAACAGATCACAGGGAAAGCTCTCTGACACACTACTGAACTAAAAACCACAATCTCATTAACCCATTCGATACAATCAGTCAACAAGAAATGAATCTTAATTGTTCTTGATTCTAGACTATATTATTAGCAAAGATTCTGTGAGAGAATGTGTCAAATGCCTTGCTGAACCCTAAATACAGTAAATGCATATTCCTGTTTTCTCTAGTAATCTATAACATTTCATTCGTTCATTCGACATACCTCTCAACACTTACGATATTCACAACATCGAGCTAAACCCTGAGAATGCAGCAGTGAAGAAGACATTCAAATCCCTGAGTCCATGGAATTTACAATGTGGCAACAGAGATAGTCATTGAACAACAGTGTTCACAATTAATTATTAAATTATAATTATGATACAAAAATATTGGTGATTAAATTGTATAATGTCTAGGGGTATAGTTAAAATAAGGTTGACCGTGAGTTGATAATTATTTAAACAAAGTGACAAAAATGCAAGGACTTATTATACTATTCTCTCTACTTTTTTCTGTGTTTAAAATTTTCCATTAAAATTTTTAAATTATAGTTATAGTAAGTAATATAAAAATGTATGGAGTTTTAGGAGAATACATAACAGTGAAGATCTAAACTAACCTGATGAGGCAGAGAAGTTTTCCCTGAGGAATTGACTTTTAAGTGTAAATTGGAAGAATAAGTACGTATTATCTAAATTGAAAGGGAAATGGAAGAGAAGAAATCTTTCCAGGAAGACAGAATGGCATGTAAAAAAATTACTTTAAAGCAGGAAAGAACAGTATATGTTCAAGGAAGAAGCCCACTGTGGCTGCAGTACAGAAGATAAAAAAGAGTTGCTTGGTTTAAGAAGTGATCAAGTAGACAGATGCCAGATTATGGGGACCATTTGAACAATGTTTTTATCCTAAGAATAATAAATATTTGCCAAACAGTTCTAGTTACATGATCAGATTGGCACTTTTAGAACAGCACTGTATGTGTATGTATGCTCCTATAACCAGTAGTTGAACCTAGAAATCATTCATGTATATCTATGAGTGAATATATGTATATACACACACACACACATTATGTCACTATACATATTATTTTGAAATTAAGTTGTATAATATATATTTATTTTTTAATGGGAAGGTAAACTTTTTAAAAAATGGTTACCTATATGGGGAGGGAGAGAAGGGGGTGATAGAGGGGAAAGAGCTAGAAACCAGACTTTTTAAATATATCTTTTTTATTCATTTGGCCTTGAAATTATGTCAGTGTATTTCATAATTATAAAATAAGTTAATTTTAAAAAATAAACTTCTAAAAGTTAAAGATAAAGTAAAATTATCTGTGTATTGCATTTGTAGCATGACCACAGAAAAGAATGTTTTCGAGTGTTTTAAAACATAATACTTTGTGAGAATTTTATGTAAATCAAAAAAAATACAAAATACATAATCCTTTAGAGGAGAGGCTTCGAGATGACTGACTAGAAGCACCTAGTACTTGCCACTCCCATGAAGAGGAAGCAAACCAGCAAGTAGATAATCACACTTCAAATAGCTTATCCAAGAGAGAGCACTGTAACTCAACAGAGAAGAGATGGGAAGCACTGGAAGCAAGGAAGGACAAAGTGAGGCAGCTTCTTTGGCCAGGATTGGCTGAGAGTCTGGAGAGGCTCCCAATGTGGGGAAAGAGTAAATGAGAGACCCCCAGAAGTCTGCATTCGCGCCACAGATGCTTATAATCCCAGCCACAGGAGATCCTCTTGGCTCTAATGGGTCCTGAGACTAACATAGGGAGCTGCCTGGAGCCCTTGCAAAGGCATGGCTCCAGAAAGAGAGCTCACGCTGAGTTCCATAAACCCCTGAGTCCTCAGCAGCTGCAACACCCTGCCATTTTGAGAGCCCAGGACCCAGCAGACTGTGTCCTGCCCTGCTACCAGGGGTCAAGGCAGTAGCCACAGGCAGCGACTCCACCCCCACCCCCAGCAGAGGGGCAGTTACACATTTTCATGTGCCCTGAAGACAAATTCCACTGCCTGCAACCACTGCTACAGGCTGCTATGGGGCCAAAGTACCAGCAAAGTCCACACCTGCACCCCCCCACCCCAGCTGCCAGCATATAGGCTGCTTCCAGGGTAAACAACCCCGCCCTCCCCCACAGCACCACCACTGCCATCCCCTAACTGAGCATTCCAACAGCCTGGGGATCACCCTGCCCCTGCCTACCACAGCCAGCACCCTGCAGTCATCACCTGGGGGACTGAGGGCAGGTTCACCCAGTCTGGTTTGAGTTCGATTCCCTCCTCCCAGTAATCAAGTATACCATCCAGGGGCCTGGGGATCACCCATCCACACTGTCTAGGGGCCTGGGATCACCCAGCCCAGTCCACCACTGGTGGCACCTGAGCACTCCACCTGGGGTCTGAGGTCCGGTCCATTCAATCTGCTGCTACCACCACAGCTGGCACCCACCTGCATATGCCACCTGCAGGTATGGGGACCAGTCAGCCGAAGCTGCCACACTCACTACCAACACCAGTGCAAACTGCTTCGGTCCCAAAGAGTTGTCTCACCACTGCTACTGCAATTGCCCACTGTTCCTGCTGCCCAGGAAGTCATCGACCTGCCCACCAACCTGACCCACTACTGCCATTTTTGGCACCCAAACAAGCCACCTCGAGGCCCAATAATTGGCTTACCTAGACCCACTAAAAATGGTGCCAGCATATACAACCCTGGGGCCCAAGGACAGGCCTGCTCAGCCCATCACTACCACCACTGAGGCCCAAAGACTGGCCCGCCTGGCATCCCAGTCCCCAGAAAATCTTCTCCATAGCCTCCACTAACCACCACGACCTAAGCCACCAAGGAAACCACAGTATTCACTGATGCTGTTGACAGCTGAAAAAATCATAGAGACTAAACGAAGTCACAGACTCAGAATCAAAGCCAAAGTGCTCTAGCCAACGAACACCATAGATATATCTTCAGGAAAAAGTGCTCCCCTGTGAAAGCAAATTTTAAACATTGGAATAAGTGACTATTATACCAGATATGCAGATAACAACATAAGAACACAGGAAACATGAAAAAGCAAGGAAACATGACACCTCCAGAGGAACACAATAATTCTCCAGCACCAGAGTATAATCCAAACAAAATTTCTGAAATCTCAAATAAAGAATTCAAAATATTGCTACTAAAGAAGCTCAGTGAAGGATTCCTGGGCAAGATGGCTGAATAAGAACAGCTCCAGTCTGCAGCTTCCACCAAGACCAATGCAGAAGGCAGGTGATTTCTTCATTTCCAACTGAGATACCTGGCTTATCTCACTGGGACTGGTTAGACAGTGGGTGCAGCCCACGGAGGGCAAGTCAAAGCAGGGTGGGGCATCACCTTACCCGGGAAGCACAAGGGGTCAGGGAACTCCCTCCCCTAGCCAAGGGAAGCCGTGAAGGACTGTGCCATGAGGGATGGTGCTATCCAGCCCAGATACTATGCTTTTCCCACGGTCTCCACAACCCACAGACCAGGAGATTCCCTGGGGTGCCTATGCCACCAGGGCCCTGGGTTTCAAGCACAAAACTGGGCCGCCATTTGGGCAAACACTGAGCTAGCTGCAGGAGTTTTTTTTTTCATACCCCAGTGGCACCTGGAATGCCAGTGAGACAGAACCATTCACTCCTCTGGAAAGGAGGCTGAAGTCAGGCAGCCAAGTGGTCTTGCTCAGCAGATCCCACCCCCACGGAGCCCAGAAAGCTAAGATCCACTGGCTTGAAATTCTCACTGCCAACATAGCAGTCTGAAGTCAACCTGGGACGCTCGAAGATGGTAGGGGGAGGGGTGTCCACCATTACTGAGGCTTGAGTAAGTGGTTTTCCCCTCACAGTATAAACAAAGCCACCAGGAAGTTTGAACTGGGCGGCAAAGCCACTGTAGCCAGACTACCTCTCTAGATTCCTCCTGTCTGGGCAGGGCATCCCTGAAAGAAAGGCAGCAACCCCAGTCAAGGGCTTATAGCTTGAACTCCCATCTCCCTGGGACAGAGAACCTGGGGAAAGGGGTGGCCATGGATGCAGCTTCAGCCAATTTAAACGTTCCCGCCTCCAGGCTCTGAAGACAGCAGCGGATCTCCCAGCACATCACTCGAGCTCTGCTAAAGGACAGACTGCCCCCTCAAGTGGGTCCCTGACACCCGTGCCTTCTGACAGAGAGACACCTCCCAGCAGGGGTTGATAGACACCTCATACAGAAGAGCTCTGGCTGGCATCTGGTGGGTGCCCCTCTGGGATGAAGCTTCCAGAGGAAGGAGCAGGCAGCAATCTTTGCAGTTCTGCAGCCTCTGCTGGTGATACCCAGGCAAAGAGAGTCTGGAGTGGACCTCCAGCAAACTCCAGCAGACCTGCAGAAGAGGGTCCTGACTGTTAGAAGGAAAACTAACAAACAGAAAGCAATAGCATCAACATCAACAGAAAAAATGACCATGCAAAAACTCCACCTGAAGGTCACCAACAGCAAAGATCAAAGGTAGAGAAATCCACGAAGATAAGCAAAAAACAGAGCAAAAAGCCTGAAAATTCCAAAAACCAGAATGCCTCTTCTCCTCCAAAGGATCACAACTTCTCGCCAGCAAGGGAACAAAACTGGAGAGAGAATGACTTTGACGAACTGACAGAAGTAGGCTTCAGAAGGTGGGTAATAATAAACTCCTCTGAGCTAAAGGAGCGTGTTGTAACCCAATGCAAGGAAGCTAAGAACCTTGAAAAAGGTTAGAGGAATTGCTAACTAGAATAACCAGTTTAGAGAAGAACATAAATGACCTGATGGAGCTGAAAAACACAGCATGAGAACTTTGTGAAGCATACCCAAGTATCAATAGCCAAATCGATCATGCAGAAGAAAGGATACCAGAGATTGAAGATCAACTTAATGAAATAAAGCGTGAAGACAAGATTAGAGAAAAAAAGAATGAAAAGGACCAAACAAAGCCTCCAAGAAATATGGGACTATGAGAAAAGACCAAACCTACGTTTGAATGGTGTACCTGAAAGTGACAGGGAGAATGGAACCAAGTTGGAAAGCACACTTCAGGATATTATCCAGGAGAAATTCCCCAACCTAGCAAGACAGGCCAACATTCAAATTTGGGAAATACAGAGAACACCACAAAGATACTCTTTGAGAAGAGCAACCCCAAACACATAATCATCAGATTCACCAAGGTTGAAATGTATCGGGGTACCACCCCCGATAATTCAACATAGGTTCTTTTCTATTTTCCTAAGTGTTGGCTGGTCTGAGAAATAAAGGGAAAGAGTACAAAAGAGAAACTTTAAAGCTGGGTGTCTGGGGGAGACATTACATGTTGGCAGGTTCTGTGATGCTCCCTGAGCTGCAAAACCAGCAAGTTTTTATTATGGATTTCAAAAGGGGAGGGGTGTATGAATAGGGTGTGGGTCACAGAGATCACATGCTTTAAGGGCAATAAAATATCACAAGGCAAATGAGGGCAGAGCAAGATCACAGGACCAGGGCGAAATTAAAATTGCTAATGAAGTTTTGGGCATGCATTATCATTGATAACATCTTATCAGGAGAGAGGGTTTGAGAGTAGACAACTGGTCTGTCTAAAATTTACTAGGCAGGAATTTCCTCGTCCTAATAGGCCTGGGAGCGCTACAGGAGACTGGGGCTTATATCATCCCTTAACAGCAACTGTATAAGACAGACATTCCCAGAGCAGCCATTTCAGAGACCTCCCCCTAGGAACGCATTCTCTTTCTCAGGGCTGTTCCTTGCTGAGAAAAAGAATTCAGTGATATTTCTATTTGCTTTGGTAAGAAGAGAAATATGGTTCTGTTCCACCCGGCCCTCAGGCAGTCAGACCTGATGGTTATCTTCCTTGTTCCCTGAACATCGCTGTTATCCTGTTCTTTTTTCTTTTTTCTTTTTTCTTTTTTTTTTTTTTTTTTTGAGATGGAGTCTCTCTCTGTCGCCCAGGCTGGAGTGCAGTGGCACTATCTCGGCTCACTGCAAGCTCCACCTCCCACGTTCACACAATTCTCCTGCCTCAGCCTCCCAAGTAGCTGGGACTACAGGCGCCTGCCACCACACCCGGCTAATTTTTTGTATTTTTAGTAGAGACAGGGTTTCACCATGTTAGCCAGGATGGTCTCGATCTCCTGATCTCGTGATCCGCCCACTTCGGCATCCCAAAGTGCTGGGATTACAGGCGTGAGCCACCGCGCCCGGCCTCCTGTTCTTTTTTCAAGGTGCCCAAATTTCATATTGTTTAAACACACATGCTTTATGAACAATTTGTGCAGTTAACACAATCATCACAGGGTCCTGAGGCGACATACATCCTCAGCTTACAAAGATGGCGGGATTAAGAGATTAAAGTAAAGACAGGCGTAGGAAATCACAGGAGTATTGATTGGGGAAGTGATGTCCATGAAATCTTCACAATTTATGTTTTTCTGCCATGGCTTCAGCCAGTCCCTCCGTTCAGGATCCCTGACTTCCCGCAACAGAAATGAAGGAAAAAATGTTGGCCAGGTGTGGTGGCTCAGGCCTGTAATCCCAGGACCTTGGGAGGCCAAGGCAGGTGGATCACGAGGTCAGGAGATCGAGACCATCCTGGTTAACACAGTGAAACCCTGTCTCTACTAAAAATGCAAAAAATTAGCTGGGTGTGGTGGCAGGCGCCTGTAGTCCCAGCTGCTCGGGAGGCTGAGGCAGGAGAATGGCATGAACCCAGGAGGTGGAGGTTGCAGTGAGCCGAGATCATGCCACTGCACTCCAGCCTGGGCAACAGAGCAAGACTCCGTCTCCAAAAAAAAAAAAAAGAAAGAAAGAAAAAAGAAAAAATGTTAAGGGCAGTCAGAGAGGAAGGTCGGGTTATCCACAAAGGAAAGCCCATCAAACTAACAGCAGATCTCTCTGCAGAAAACCTACAAGCCAGAAGAGAGCAGGGGTCAATATTCAACATTCTTAAAGAAAAGAATTTTCAACCTAGATTCTCATATCCAGCCAAATAAAACTTCATAAGGGAAGGAGAAATAAAATCCTTTACAGACAAGCAAAGGCTGAGAGATTTTGTCACCACCAGACCTGCCTTACAAGAGCTCCTGAAGGAAGCACTAAACATGGGAAGGAAAAACCAGTATCAGCTACTGCAAAAACAAACCAAAATGTAAAGACCATCAACACTATGAAAAAAACTGCATCAACTAATGGGCAAAATAACCAGCTAGCATCATAATGAAAGGATTAAATTCACACATAACAATATTAAACTTAAATGTAAATGAGCTAAATGCCCCAACTAAAAGGCACAGACTGGCAAATTGGATAAAAAGGCAAGACCCATCAGTGTGCTGTATTCAGGAGACCTATCTCACATGCAAAGACACACATAGGCTCAAAATAAAGGGATGGAGGAAGATTTACCAACCAAATGGATAGCAAAAAAAAAAAAAAAAAAAAAAAAAAACACGGTTGCTATCCTAGTCTCTGATAAAACAGACTTTAAACCAACAAAGATCAAAAAAGACAAAGGGCATTACATAATGGTAAAGGGATCAATGCAACAAGTAGAGCTAACTATCCTAAATATATATGCACCCAATACAGGAGCACCCAGATTCATAAAGCAAGTTCTTAAGAGACCTATAAAGAGACTTAGACTCCCACACAGTAATAGTAGGAGACTTTAACACTCCACTGTCAATATTAGACAGATTAACAAGACAGAAAATTAACAAGGATATTCAGGACTTGAACTCAGCTCTGGACTAAGTGGACATAATAGACATCTACAGAATTCTCCACCCCAAATCAACAGAATATACATTCTTCTCAGCACCACATAGTGCTTATTCTAAAATCGACCACATAATTGGAAGTAAAACACTCCTCAGCAAATGCAAAAGAACAGAAATCATAAAAAAACAGTCTCTCAGACAACAGTGCAATCAAATTAGAACTCAGGATTAAGAAAATCACTCAAAACCACACAACTGCATGGAAATTGAACAACCTGCTTCTGAATGACTACTGGGTAAATAATGAAATTAAGGGAGAAATAAATAAGTTATTTGAAACCAATGAGAACAAAGACACAACGTACCAGAATCTCTGGGACACAACTAAAGCAGTGTTTAGGGGGAAATATATAGGACTAAATGCCCACAGGAGAAAGCGGGAAAGATCTAAAATCGACACGCTAACATCACGATTAAAAGAACTAGAGAAGCAAGAGCAAACAAATTCAAAAGCTAGCAGAAGACAAGAAATAACTAAGATCAGAGCAAAACTGAAGGAGATACAGATACAAAAACCCTTCAAAAAAATCAATGAATCCAGGACCTAGTTGTTTGAAAACATTAACAAAATAGATAGACTGCTAGCCAGACTAATAAAGAAGAAAAGAGAGAAGTATCAAATAGATACAATAAAAAATGATAAAGGGGAGATCACCACTGATCCCACAGAAATACACTACCATCAGAGAATACTATAAACACCCCTGCACACATAAACTAGAAAATCTAGAAGAAATGGATAAATTCCTGGACACATACACCCTCCCAAGACTAAACCAGGAACAAGTCGAATCCCTGAATAAACCAATAACAAGTTCTGAAATAGAGGCAATAATTAATAGCCTACCAACCAAAAAAGCCCAGGACGAGATGGATTCACAGCCAAATTCTACCAGAGGTACAAAGAGGAGCTGGTACCATTCCTTCTGAAAGTATTTCAGAAAAAGAGGGACCCCTCTCTAACTTATTTTATGAGGCCAGCATCATCCTGATACCAAAACCTGGCAGAGACAGAACAAAAAAAGAAAATTTCAGGTCAATATCCCTGATGAACATTGATGAGAAAATCCTCAATAAAATACTGGCAAACTGAATCCAGCGGCACATTGAAAAGCTTATCCACTATGATCAAGTCGGCTTCATCCCTAGGATGCAAGCCTGGTTTAACATATGCAAATCAATAAACATAATCCATCACATAAGCAGAACCAATGACAAAAACAACATGATTATCTCAATAGATGCAGAAAAGGCCTTCAATAAAACTCAACACCTCTTCATGCTAAAAACACTGAATAAACTAGGTATTGATGGAACGTATCTCAAAATATTAAGAGCTATTTATGACAAACCCACAGCCAATATCATACTGAATGGACAAAAGCTGAAAGCATTCCCTTTGAAAACCAGCACAAGAAAAGGATGCCCTGTCTCACCACTCCTATTCAACATACTGTTGGAAGTTCTGGCCAGGGCAATCAGGCAAGAGATAGAAAGGGTATTCAACTAGGAAGAGAGGAAGTCAAATTGTCTCTATTTGCAAATGACATGATTGTATATTTAGAAAACCCCATGTCTCAGCCCAAAAACTCCATAAGCTGATAAGCAACTTCGGCAAAGTCTCAGCATACAAAATCAACGCGCAAAAATCACAAGCATTCCTATACACCAATAATAGACAAACAGAGAGCCAAATCCTGAGCAAGCTCCCATTTGCAATTGCTACAAAGAGAATAAAATACCTAGGAATGCAACTTACAATGGATGTGAAGGACCTCTTCAAGGAGAACTACAAACCACTGCTCAAGGAAGTAAGAGAGGACAGAAACAAATGGAAAAACATTCCATGCTCATGGATAGGAAGAATCAATATCATGAAAATGCGCATACTGCACAAAGTAATTTATAGATTCAATGCTATTCCCATCAAGCTACCATTAACTTTCTTCACAGAATTAGAAAAATATGCTTTAAATTTCATATGGAACCAAAAAAAGAGCCCATATAGCCAAGACAATCCTAAGCAAAAAGAACAAAGCTGGAGGCATCACACTATCTGACTTCAAACTATACTATAAGTTTACAGTAACCAAAACAGCATGGTACTGGTACCAAAACAGACATATAGACCAATGGATCAGAATAGAGGCCACAGAAATAACACTACACATCTACAACCATACGATCTTTGACAAACCTGACAAAAACAAGCAATGGGGAAAGGATTCCCTGAAACTGGACCCCTTCCTTAAATCTTACAAAAAATTAATTCAAGATAGATTAAAAATTTAAACGTAAGACCTAAAACCATAAAAACCCTAGAAGAAAACCTAGGCAATACCATTCAGGACATAGGCATGGGCAAAGACTTTATGACTAAAACACCAAAAGCAATGGTAACAAAAGTCAAAATTGGCAAATGGGACTAAAGAGGTTCTGCACAGCAAAAGAAACTATCATCAGAGTGAACAGGCAACCTACAGAATGAGAAAAAAATTTTGCAATCTATCCATATGACAAAGGGCTAATATCCAGAATCTACAAGGAACTTAAACAAATTTACAAGAAAAAAACACACAACCCCATCAAAAAGTGGGCAAAGGATATGAACAGATACTTCTCAAAAGAAGACGTTTATGTGGCCAACAAACATATGAAAAAAAGCTTATCATCACTGGTCACTAGAGAAATGCAAATCAAAACCACAATGAGATACCATCTCACGTCAGTTAGAGTGGCAATCATTAAAAAGTCAGGAAACAGAGGCCGGGTGCAGTGGCTCACGCCTGTAATCCCAGCACTCTGGGAGGCTGAGGCAGGCGGATCACGAGGTCAGGAGATCAAAACCATCCTGGCTAACATGGTGAAACCCCGTCTCTACTAAAAATACAAAAAATTAGCCAGGCATGGTGGTGGGTGCCTGTAGTCCCAGTTACTCAGGAGGCTGAGGCAGGAGAATGTCATGAACCCCGGAAGTGGAGCTGGCAGTGAGCCGAGACCGCGCCACTGCACTCCAGCCTGGGTGACAGAGCGAGACTCCATCTCGAAAAAAAATAAAGTTAAAAAAAAAAAAGTCAGGAAACAACAGATGCTAGAGAGGATGTGAAGAAATAGGAACACTTTTACACTGTTGGCGGGAGTGTAAGTTAGTTCAACCATTGTGGAAGACAGTGTGGCGATTCCTCAAGGATGTAGAACTAGAAGTACCATTTGACCCATCAATCCCATTACTGGGTATATACCCAAAGGATTATAAGTCATTCTGCTATGAAGACACATGCACATGTATGTTTATTGCAGCACTATTCACAATAGCAAAGACTTGGGACCAACCCAAATGCCCATCAATGTTAGACTGAATAAAGAAAATGTGGCACATATACACCATGGAATACTATGCAGCCATAAAAAAGGATGAGTTCATGTCCTTTGCAGGGACATGGATGAAGCTGGAAACCATCATTCTCAGCAAACTAACACAGGAACAGAAAACCAAACACCACATGTTCTCACTCATAAGTGGGAGTTGAACAATGAGAATGCATGGATTCGGGGGGTGGGTATGGCAAGCATCACACACCAGGGCCTGTCAGGGGGTGGGGGCCTGGGGGAGGGATAGCATTAGAAGAAATATCTAATGTAGATGATGGGTTGATGGGTGCAGCAAACCACCATGGCACAGGTATACCTATGTAACAAACCTGCACATTCTGCACATGTACCCCAGAACTTAAAGTATAATAATAAAAAAAAGTCTCCCAACAAAGAAAAGTCCAGGACCAGATGGCTCCACTGCCAAATTCTACTAAGATTTCAAAAAAGAATTAACACCAATTTTCTTCAAACTACTCCAAAGAGTTTAAGAGGAAGAAGTTCTCGGCCAAGCGCGGTGGCTCACACCTGTAATCCCAGCATTTTGGGAGGCCCAGGAGGGCGGATCACGAGGTCAGGAATTTGAGACCAGACTGGCCAACATTGTGAAACTCTGTCTCTACTAAAAATACAAAAATTAGCCAGGCTTGGTGGCACACACCTGTAGTCTCAGCTACTTGGGAGGCTGAGGCACGAGAATCGCTTGAACCTAGGAGGTGGAGGTTGTGGTGAGCCGAGATTGAGCCACTGCACTCCAGCCTGGGCAACAGAGCAAGACTCCATCTCAAAAAAAAAAAAAAAGGGGAAGAAGTTCTCCTTAAATCATTCTATGAGGCAAGCATTACGCTGACACCGAAACCAAATAAGAACAAGGACGCCAACAAAAAAACTAAAGGCCAATATCCCTGATGAACAGAAATGCAAAAATTTTCCACAAAATACTAACAAACAAAAATCAAACAGCACATTGAAAAAAAAAATGCCCAAGTGGGATTTATCTTAGATATGCAAGGGTGGTTCAACACACAAAAATCAATAAATATGATACGTCACATCCACAGAATAAAGGACAACACCATATGTTTATCTCAACAGATGCAGAAAAACAATTTATAAAATTCAACGTCTTTTCATGATAAAAACTCTCAAAAACTACACATGGAAGGTGAGAGATGAGGTAGATCTATTTAAGAAAAACTACACATAGAAGGAATATACCTCAACATAATAAAAGCCATGTATGACAGACCCACAGCTAGTATCATTCTGAAGAGGGGAAAACTGAAAGACTTTCCTGTGATCTGGAACACGACAAGGATGTCCACTTTCACCACTGTTATTCAGCATAGTACTGGAAGTCATAGCTAGAGCAATCACACAAGAGAAAGAAATTAAGGTCATTCAAATTGGAAAGCAAGAAGCCAAATTATCCTTGTTTACAGATGATATGATCTTATATTTGGAAAAACCTAAGGACTCTACCAAAATACTGTTAGAACTGATAAATTCAATAAAGTTGCAGGATACAAAAGTAACACACAAAAATCAGTAGCACTTTTATATGCCAACAGTGAACAATTTGAAAAAGAAATTAAAAAGTAATCCCATTGACAATCGCCACAATAAAATTAAATACCTAGGAATTAACTGAAGAAGTGAAAGACCTCTACAAGGAAAACTATAAAACACTGATGAAAGAAATTGAAGAGTACACAAAAAATCGAAAGATTCTACATTCATGAATCAAAAGAATCAATAATGTTAAAATGTCCATACTACCCAAAGCACTCTACAGATTCAATGCAATTCCTGTCAAAGTATCAATGACATTCTTCACAGAAATAGAAGAAACAATCCTAAAATTTATATGGAGTCACAAAAGACCCAGAATAGCCAAAGCTATTGCATAAAAACAGACACATAGACCAATGGAACAGAATAGAGAACCAATAAACAAATCCACACATCTACAGTGAACTCATTTTTGACAAAGGTGCCAAGAACATACATTGGAGAAAGGATAGTCTCTTCAATAAATAGTGCTGAAAAAACTGGATATCCTTATGCAGAAGAATAAAACTAGAGACCTCTCTCTCACTGTATACAAAAACCAAATTAATATGGATTAAAAACTTAAATCTAAGACATCAAACTATGAAACTACTATAAGAAAATATTGGGGAAAACTTCCAGGACATTATCTAGGCAACAATTTCTTGAGTAACACCCCATAAGCACAGGCAACCAAAGACAAAATGGACAAATGAGATGGTTAAAACGCTTCTGCACAGCAAGGAAAACAAACAACAAAGTGAAGAGACAACATACAGAATGGGAGAAAATATTTGCAAACTACGCATCTAACAAGGGATTAATAACCAGAATATATAAGGAGTTCAAACTCTATAGGGAAAAATCTAATAATCCAATCGGAAGATGGGCAAAAGATTTGAATAGACATATTTTAAAAGAATGCATACAAATGGCAAACAAAAGACATATGAAACAGTGCTCAACATCAATGATCATCAAAGAAATGCAAATCAAAACTATAATGAGATACCATCTCACCCCAGTTAAAATGCCTTATACCCAAAGGACAGGCAAGAACAAATGCTGGAGAGGATGTAGAGAAAAGGGAACCCTTGTACATTGTTGACGGGAATGTAAATTAGTACAGCCACTATGGACAACCGTTTGGAGGTTCCTCACAAAACTAAAAATTGAGCTACCATGTGATCCAGCAATCCCACTGCTGGGTATACACCCAAAAGAAAGCAAATCAGTATATCGAAGAGATAGCCACACTCGTGTGTTAGTTGCAGGACTGTTTACAATAGCTAAGATTTGGAACCAACATAAGTGTCCATCAACAGATGAATGGATAAAGAAAATGAGGTAATTACACACAATGGAGTACTATTCAACCTTAAAAAAGAATGAGATCCAGTCATTTGCAATGACTTTGATGGAACTGCATGTCTTTATGTTAAGTGAAATAAGCCAGGCACAGAAAGACAAACATCACATGTTCTCACTTACTCGTGGGATCTAAAAGTCAAAACAATTGAACTCATGGACATAGAGGGTACAGGGATGGTTATCAGAGTCTGGGAAGGGTAGTGGGGAGAGGTAGGGGAGGTGGGGATGGTTAATGGGTACAAAAAAATAGCTAGAACTAGTAAATAAGACCTACTATTTGTTAGCACAACAGGGTGACTATAGTCAATAACTTAACTCTACATTTTTAAATAACTTAAGAAGGTAATTGCACTATTTGCAACTCAATGGATAAATGCTTGAGGGAATGGATACCCCATTCTTCATGATGTGCTTATTTCACATTGCACGCCTGTATCAAAACAACTCATGTACCCACAAATATATACACCTACTAGTGCCCACAAAAAAATAAAAATTAAAAAATTGAAAAAATACTAAAAACAGAGCTACTATATGATCCAGCAATCCCATTGCTAGCTATATACCCAAAAGAAAAAAGATCAATATATTGAAGAGATATCTACACTCCTATGTTTGTTGCAGCACTATTCACAATAGCCAAGATTAGGATGCAAACTAAGTGTCTATCAACAGATGAATGGATAAAGAAAATGTGGTAATTATATACAATGGAGTCCTACTCAGCCATAAAAAAATGAGATCCAGTCATTTGCAACAACACAGATGGAAGTGAAGGTTATTACGTTAAGTGAAATAAGTCAGACACAGAAAAACAAACTTCGCATGTTTTCACTTATTTCTGAGTGCTAAAAACTCAAAACAGTTGAACTCATGGATATGGAGAGTAGAAGAATGGTTACCAGAGGCTGGGAAAGGTAATGGGGAGGCTGGGGATAAGTAGGAATAGTTAATGGGTACAAAAAAATAGTTAGAAATAATGAATAAGATTTACTATTTGACAGCACAACAGGGTGACTATAGTCATCAATAATTTAATTGTACATCGAAAAATAACTTAAAGATATAATTGGATTGTTTGTAATACAAAGAATAAATGCTTGAGGGGATGAATACTCCATCTTCCATGATGTGGTTACTGCTTATTGCATGCCTGTATCAAAGTATCTCATGTAGCTGGGTGTGATGGCGTGTGCCTGTAGTACCAGCAACTCGAGAGGCCGAGGTGGGAGTGCCACTTCAGCAGAGGAGATCAAGGCTGCAGTGAGCTGTGATTGCACCACTCCACTCCCTCCTGGGCAACAGAGCGAGACTCTTTCTCAAATAAAATAAAATAAAATAAAATAAAATAAAATAAAATAAAATAAAATAAAGGAAACTATCAGTACATTCTCATGGTATATTTTATCTTTAACAAAATTAAAGTGATTAAAACTTTCCTGCCCTTCACCCTGAAAACATCTGTAAAAATAACAATTTCTGTAGCAATGAATGTCCTCAGTGCCCATATGATATGCTCTGCATATCATTTTCCACTAAAAGAAGTAAGGGTCCCTGATAGTAATGGTCGATTCGAGGTCTGGGGCAGTAAATGTTGAAGATGAGCTTGGAGGCCAGGCGCAGTGGCTCACACCTGTAATCTCAGCACTTTGGGAGGCCAAGGCAGGTGGATCACCTGAGGTCGGGAGTTTGAGACCAGCCTGGCCAACATGGTGAAACCCCGTCTCTACTTTACTTCTACCCTCTGAGAAGGTGATTTATTACTTATGTGGGAGAACGCTCAAAATCTGGTGCTAGAATGGTAACAGTGATTTTTAAGTGTTCAAAGAATTTGCATACTGCATCTCACTTGAGACTCTCAAGACTCACCCCAACTTTACCAGTGAGAAAACTAAGGCTCAAAGAAATTAGGCAATTGTTAAGAACAAATGCCCTAAAAACCATACCCTAACAGCCCAAAACTCCCTGTGACCCTGGAGCAGACCTGCCTTCTTCCAACTGACCACTTCCTCCAATATTAGCTCTGGGTCACCAGTCAGCAAAAATCCTTATTAAAAAGTTGAAAGTTGAATGTCTAATTATAGTACTGCAATTCACATTAAGGTGTGGATTTTAATAGATTGATTTTAAAAGGCATTTTAATAAACTAATTTCTTAAATCTCTGGAGTGGTAGGAAAAGGGAAAGGATTGTTTTTGTTTTGCTTCATTTTTGTTTTGTTTTTGTATTGGCATACTCAGGATGATTTCGGAGAGAAGATCTGGTCAGGATGTTCCTTCTCCATACACCTTAGCTACATTTTTACACCATTACAGAAAGGCAGGAGTCAGGAACTTGTTCCCCCTTCTGAAAGTTAGCTAACTCCAACTAAAAGCTAAAAAATACTTGATAGACTTCTTTTCCATTCCTCTTCCATTTTCTAGCTCTACTTCCCCTACCTCCACTCAGAGTTAAATGTTAAAAAATTTAAAACTTCTTGAATAAATAGCTTAATAATATTTAGTGGCCGGGTGCAGTGGCTCACGCCTGTAATCCCAACACTTTGGGAGACTGAGGCAGGCAGATCATGAGGTCAGTAGATCAAGACCATCCTGGCTAATACAGTGAAACCCTGTCTCTACTAAAAATACAAAAAATTAGCCGAGCGTGGTGTCACACACCTGTAGTCCCAGCTACTCGGGAGGCTGAGGCAGGAGAATCGCTTGAACCCGGGAGGCAGAGGTTGCAGTGAGCCGAGATCGCTCGCTCCGCTGCACTCCAGCCTGGGCAACAGAGCTAGACTCCATCTAAAAAAAAAAAAAGATTAAATAAATTTGGGCTTAGAGAACTCTGTTTCATTTTATTAGCATCGAGGTCCCATAAAATTGACATAAAGAATCAGGTAATCACAGAAAACCAATAACATCAAATACATAGTTAGAGTTGATTTATATTGGGTCCTAAATGCGTTATAGATCTGCTGTCCCAAATCCCAAAGCTGCAATGAATACCAACAGCATGAATTTACAAAGACATAAACAGAGTACTACCAAATTTACTGGATTTATTTATGGGATAGTCACCTGTCTCTCACTCCTAATTATCAGAGACAGTTCCAAAAACTTAGTATCCTATTGTTCATTCCAACATTTGAGAAATATTTAAAATCATCATCAAGGAATATTTATAAATAATTCACAGAAGAAATACAAATGATCAGATTGACAAAGGTATTTCTTAAATGATAATATTTTGTATAAGTATTTGAGAGGTTTAGAAGTCCTGAACTCTTAAATACTACAGGTAATAATATTAACTGTAATAATTTTTTAAAGTAGTAATAGCTGCCACTGAGTACTTACTATGTGTGAGACACTATGCCAAATATTTTAAAACAATGTATTCTTCTATTATCTCCATTTTATGGATGAGGAAACTGATGCTCAAAAACATTAGGTAACATACCCAAGGTCACAAAACTAGTAGAAAAAGAAAACAGAGCAAGAAGGCAATTAGGCATGAGGTATCAAAAGCCTTCAAAATTTGTGTATATTTGGAGCCAGCAATCCTCCTTGGAGTTTATCATAAAGAAAGAATTATAGGCCAGGCTCGGTGGCTCACGCCTGTAGTCCCAGCACTTTGGGAGGCCGAGGCAGGCGGATCACAAGGTCAGGAGATCAAGACCATCCTGGCTAACATGGTGAAACCCCGTCTCTACTAAAAATACAAAAAATTAGTCGGGCGCGGTGGTGGGCGCCTGCAGTCCCAGCTACTCGGGAGGCTGAGGCAGGAGAATTGCGTGAACCCAGGAGGCGGAGCTTGCAGTGAACCGAGATCTCACTGCACTGCAGTCTGGGTGACAGAGCAAGACTCTGTCTCAAAAAAAAAAAAAAAAAGAAAGAAAGAAAGAAAGAATTATAGAAATATAATACAATTTTGGCCAGGTGCGGTAGCTCACACCTGTAATTGCAGCACTTGGGGAGGTTGGGAGTTCGAGACCAGCCTGACCAACATGGTGAAACCCCATCTCTATTAAAAATTAAAAAAATTAGCCAGGCGTGGTGGCAAGCACTTGTAATCCCAGCTACTCGGGAGGCTGAGGCAGAATTGTTTAAACCCAGGAGGTGGAGGTTGCAGTGAGCTGAGATCGTGCCACGGTACTTTAGCCTGGGCACAAGACAGGGAGACTCCGTCTCAAAAAAAAAAAAAAAAAAAAACCAGAAAAGAAATATACAGTTTTATTTATTTATTTATTTATTTATTTATTTATTTATTTATTTATTTTTTTGAGACGGAGTCTCGCTCTGTCGCCCAGGCTGGAGTGCAGTGGCGGGATCTCGGCTCACTGCAAGCTCTGCCTCCCGGGTTCATGCCATTCTCCTGCCTCAGCCTCCCAAGTAGCTGGGACTACAGGCGCCCGCCACTACGCCCAGCTAATTTTTTGTATTTTTAGTAGAGACGGGGTTTCACCGTTTTAGCCGGGATTGTCTCGATCTCCTGACCTCGTGATCCGCCCGCCTCGGCCTCCCAAAGTGCTGGGATTACAGGCGTGAGCCACCGCGCCCGGCCTTACAGTTTTATTTTTACAACAATGTCCATTGTAATATTATTTATAAAAATGAGAAGTGCAAACAACCTAAAGGTCCAACAAAAACCAAATGGCTAGTTTCCGTATATCCTGCATTGATGTAACAGAACACTATGCAGCTATTTTAAATGATGGTTTAAATGTATATTTATTGGAACAGAAAATCTATTCCCACGTTACATGGAAAAAGCAAAATACAGAGAAGTACATACAGTATAAGGTTTTACTTTAAATAGCATAGGTAGAAAAAAGTTAAGAATAATATACTCCACAATGCTACATCTTGTGGTAAGATTTTAAGTGATGTATTTCTTTACTCTTATATACTTTTTAATATTTCTACAACAAAAATTAACTACCTATATAAACATTTGTTTAAAATGTCCTAAGAAAACTCTATATACTGCCCATGGGAATGCAAAACAATGCTATCATTTTGGAAAACTGGCATTCCTTATCAAATTAAGCACAACTGTGATATAATCCTACCATTCTACTCTTCAGTATGTACCTAAGAGAAATGAAAGTCTATGCCCACACAAATGTTTAAAGTAGCTTTATTAACAAGAGCCAAAAACTGAAAATAATTCAAATATCCATCAACAGGTGAATGGATAAACAAAATGTGGTACATCCGTACAATGGAATACTACTTAACAACAAAAAGGAATGAAATATTGATATATGCCTGGATATACAACATGCTTAACCCTCAAAATCATTATGCTAAGTGAAAGAAACCAGACACAAAAGAGTACACATTACAGACATATCTTGGAGATACTGCAGGTTCAGTTCCAGAGCACTGCAATAAAGCAAACATCACAATAAAGCAAGTCACACAAATTTGTTTCCCAGTGCTTATAAAAATTATGCTTACAGCCTGGTGCAGTGGTTTATGCCTATAATCCCAGCACTTTGAGAGACTGAGGCAGGTGGATCACTTGAGCCTAGGAGTTCGAGACCAGCCAGGGCAACATCGTGAAACCCTATCTCTACAAAAAATACAAACAATTAGCCGGGCGTGGTGATGCATGCCTGTAGTCCCAGCTACTCGGGAGGCTGAGGTGGGAGGATCACTTGAGCCTGGGAGGCAGAGGTTGCAGTGAGCCGAGATCATGCCACTGCACTCCAGCCCAGGTGACAGAGCGAGACCCTGTTCCCCAAACCCAAAAAAAACTATGTTTACATGATACTGTAGTCTATTAAGTATACAACAGCATTTGTCTTAAAAAAAAATGATACCTTAATTTTTAAATACCGTATTGCTAAAAAACGCTACTGATCATCTGAGCCTTCAGCAAGCAAGTAATAATAGTTTGGCTGGTAGAGGGTCTTGCCTTGATTTTTTTTTTTTTTTTTTATTTTAGAGACAGGGTTTTGCTCTGTCACCCAGGCTGGAGTGCAGTGGTATGATCATAGCTCACTGCAAGCCTCAGACTTCTGGGGCTCAAGTGATCCTCCCACATCAGCCTCCTGAGTACGTGAGACCACAGGTGTGCACCACTATGCCCAGCTAAATTTTTATTTATTTATTTATTTGTAAAGGCAAGGTCTCCCTTTGTTGCCCATGCTGGTCTCAAACTCCAGGCCTCAAGTGATCCTCCTACGTTGGCCTGAAAAAGTGCTGGGACTACACACATGAACCACCACGCCCAGCCGTGCCTGGATGTTGATGGCTGCTGACTAATCAGGGTGGTGGCTAAGGCAATTTCTAAAATAAGACAACAATGAAGTCTGCCATATTGACTGACTCTTCCTTTCATGACAGATTTCTCTGTAGCATGCAATGCTGTTTGATAGCATTTTACTTACTGTAGAAATTCTTTCAGAATTGAAGTCAATCTTCTTAATCCCTGCCACTGCTTTATCATCTAAGTTTATGTACTGTTCTAAATCTTGTGTTATCATCTCAACCACGTTTGTAGCATCCTCACCAGAAGTAGAGTCCATCTCAAAAAATCACTTTCTTTTCTCATCCATAAAAAGTAACTCCTCATCCTTTCAAGTTTTATTATGAAATTGCAGCAATTCAGTCACGTCTTCAGTCTCCACTTCTAATTCTAGTTCTCTTGCTATTTCCACCACCTCTGTAGTTCCTTCCTCCAGTGAAGTTTTGAGCCCTGCAAAGTCATCCATGAGAGTTGGAATCAACTTCTTCCAAACTCCTGTTAATGTTGATATTTTCACCTCCTCCTATGAACCATAAATGTTCTTAATGGCATCTAGAATGGTGAATCCTTTCCAGAAAATTTTCAATTTACTTTGCTCAGATCCATCAGAGGAATCACTATCTAAGGCAGCTATAGCCTTATGAGATGTAGTTCTTAAATAATAAGACATGGCCAGGTGCGGTGGCTCATGCCTGTAATCCCAGCACTTTAAGAGGTCTAGGTGTGTGGATCACTTGAGGTCAGGAGTTCAAGACCAGCCC
Organism: Homo sapiens; assembly: GCF_000001405.40. Classification (NCBI taxonomy): domain Eukaryota; kingdom Metazoa; phylum Chordata; class Mammalia; order Primates; family Hominidae; genus Homo; species Homo sapiens. Next base: position 84,026,629 of record NC_000009.12, on the reverse strand, counting down.
GGCCAACTTGGTGAAACTCTGTCTCTACTAAAAATACAAAAATTAGCCAGGTGTGGTGGCGCACGCTTATAATCCCAGCTACTCAGGGGACTGAGGCATGAGAATTGCTTGAATCCAGGAGTCAGAGGTTGCAGTGAACCAAGATCATCCCACTGCACTCCAGCCTGGGTGACAAAGTGAGACTCTCAAATAAAAAAGATGAAGAAGAAGAAAGAAGGAAGAAGAAGGAAGAAGGAAGAAGAAGGAGAAGAAGAAGGAGAAGAAGAAGGAGAAGAAGAAGAAGAAGAAGAAGAAGAAGAAGAAGAAGAAGAAGAAGAAGGAGGAGGAGGAGGAGGAGGAGGAGGAGGAGGAGGAGGAGGAGAAGGAGAAGAAGGAGAAGAAGAAGAAGAAGGAGAAGAAGGAGAAGAAGGAGGAGGAGGAGGAGAAGAAGAAGAAGAAGAAGAAGAAGAAGAAGAACAACAACAACAACAACAACAACAACAACTTGAAAAATTAAGATCAAGGAAAAATTATTCCTTAATCCATGAGCTACAGAATGGATATTGTTTTAGCAGGCATGAAAATATTAATCTCCTCATACATCTCCATTAGAGCTTTTGGGTGACCAGGTGCACTGTCAAAGAACAGTGATATTCTGAAAAGAATATTTTTTTCTGAGGAATAGGTCTCAACAGTGGGCTTAAATTGTTTAGTAAATTACGCTGTCAATAGATGTGCTGTCATTTGGGCTTTGTTGTTCCACGTATAGAACACAGGTAGAGTAGACTTAAAATAATTCTCCTTCTTTGAGATAGAGTCTCACTGTTGCCCAGGCTGGAATGGCACAATCATGGCTCACTGCAGCCTTGGTCTCCCCAGGCTCAGGTGATCCTCCCACCTCAGTCTCCCAAGTAGCTTGGACCACAGGCACACCCACACCTGGCTAATTGTATATTTTGTAGAGACTGTTTTTCGCCATGGTACCCAGGCTGGTCTTGAACTCCTAGACTCAAGTAATCCACCCACCTCAGCCTCCCAAAATGCTGGGATTACAGGTGTGAGCCCTCATACTTAGCCAACGTAATTCTTAAGGGCTCCAGGATTTTAAACATGGTAAATGAGCATCAGCTTCAACCACATGTCACCAGTTGCATTGGCCCCTAACAATAACGTCAGCCTGTCTTTTGAAGCTTTAAAGCTAGGTGTTGACTTCTCCTCTCTAGCTGTATAAATTCTAGACAGCATCTACTTCCAATTTAAGGCTGTTTTGTCTACATTGAAATTTTCTCCAGTGTAGCCACCTTTATCAATGACCTTAGCTAGACCTTCTGGGTAATTTGCTGCAGCTTCTACATCAGCACTTGCTACTTTAGGTAGTACTTTTTAAGTTATGTCAGTATTCCATTTTATGGATATACCATATGTCGTTTATTCATTCATCAGTTGATAGACACTTGAGTTACCTCCACTTTTTGCCTACTATGAATAATGCTGCTATGAACATTCATGTGCTTTGATATATAAATCATACATACTGTTTTGTTGCATTTATATGAAATTCAAGAACAGGCAAAACTAATCTACAGTGGTAGATGTCAGAAGAGTAGTTACCCAGGGGCAGGCAACTAGTGTTTACTGAAGAAAGGTACCAAAGAAATTTTCAGGAGGAATAGAAACATCACATATTTTCATGTAGGTGGAGGTCACAAAGAGGTAGGTAACTTAAAAGTCATGGAATAATGAGATACCACTTCACATCTATTAGAATAGCTATAATCAAAAAGATAATATTAATTAATTTTAATGCTTAGTAATAATTGGCCGGGTGCAGTGGCTCACGTCTGTAATCCCAGCATTTTGGGAGGCCATGGCGGGCAGATCACTTGAGGTCAGAAGTTCAACAATGGCCTGGCCAACATGGCGAAACTCTGTCTCTACTAAAAATACAAAAATTAGCTGGGCATGTTGGTGCGTGCCTGTAATCCTAGCTACTTGGGAGGCTGTAGCAGGAGGACCCCTTGAACCTGGGAGGCAGAGGTTGCAGTGAGCCAAGATCATGCCATTGCACTCCAGCCTGGGCAAAAAGAGTAAAACTCCATCTCAAAACAACAACAACAAAAAACAAAACAACAACAACAACAAAACTTAGTAATAATTGTTAGCAAAGATGTGGAGAAATGGAAATCCTTGTACATGTTAATGGGAATGTAAAATGGTGCAACCGCTCTGGAAAACAGTTTGGCAGTGCCTCAAAATATTAAAAGTAGAGAACCATATGACCCAGCAATTCTCCTGGTATGTAGCGAAGAGAAATAGAAACACATGTCCACAGGAACACAATTGTTCATAGCAACATTATTCATAATAACCAAAAGTAGAAACAGCCTAAATTTTCATCAACTGATGAATGGATAAATAAAATGTGGTACATGCACAAAATGAACACTATTTGGCAAAAAAAAGGAATGAAGTGTTGATACTTGCTGCAACGTGGATGAATCTCGAAAACATTATGCCAAATGAAATAAGTCAGTCACAAAAGATGACACATTGTAAGATTTCATTCCTATGAAAGGGCCAGAATACTGTAGTGAGCCATGATGTCACCACTGCACTCTAGCCTGGGTGACCAAGCAAGACCTAGACTCAAAAAAAAAAAAAAAAAAAAAAAAAAAACAAGGGCCAAAATAGACAAATATTAAATATATGGAAAGAGCAAGTAGACCAGTGGTTCCCAAGAACTGGCAGGGTAAAGAGAAAGGGAGGACAGGAGCGACTGCTAATGGGTACCAGGTTTCTTTTAGGGTGATAAAAATTTTCTAAAATTAGACTGTGATGATAGGTATAAAAATCTTTAAATATAGGCCACATGTGGTGGCTCACGCCTGTAATCCCGGCACTTTGGGAGGCCAAGGCAGGCGGATCACCTGAGGTCAGGAGTTAGAGACCAGCCTGACCAACATGGAGAAACCCCATCTCTACTAAAAATACAGAATTAGCAGGGCCTGGTGGCGCATGTCTGTAATCCCAGCTATTCGGGAGGCTGAGGCAGGAGAATTGCTTTAACCCAGGAGGCGGAGCTTGCGGTGAGCCGAGATTGCGCCATTGCACTCCAGCGTGGGCAATAAGAGGGAAACTCTGTCTCAAAAAAAAAAAAAATCTTTAAATATACTAAAAACCATTGAACTGTACACATTAAACAGGTGAATTTCGTGGCACGTTAATTATATCCCAATAAAGCTATTTTTATTAAGCCATTGAGCAATACATTTAAAATTTGTATATTTAAACATATGTAAATTATACTCTAAGGTATTGATCAAAAGACATATTATGAACCACTAAAAATAAAGTAAGAAGATCTAAGTAATAGAATCGTGGAATTTTATGGAAGGATGAGGTCTTGGAGGTCATCTGGTCCAGTATTTTGACTGGATAAATAAGAAAACTGAAGTTTGGGGAAACATGACTTGTCTATTCTCGATGGCACAACTGAAAAGAAAGTCAAAGAGTAAATTTGATGATGGGTTGCCAGGATATATACTGAATATCCAAAAACAGGTTTCTAGTATAACATGTATAGATTGCTATATTCAAACACAGAAGTTCCAGAAAATACCTGCGCTCGCGTATATAAAGCAATATTTGTTGGAAAGTATTAACTGGTCTTCTTAGCATGGCCTGTCTGACACATTCTCTTTTATGCAAGTCCCTTAAGAATAAGACTTCAAGACTGGGCGCGGTGGCTCACGTCTGTAATCCCAGCACTTTGGGAGGCTGAGGTGGGCAGATCATGAGGTCAGGAGATCGAGACCATCCTGGCTAACACAGTGAAACCCCGTCTCTACTAAAAATACAAAAAAATTGCCAGGCGTGGTGGCGGGCGCCTGTGGTCCCAGCTACTCAGGAGGCTGAGGCAGGAGAATGGTGTGAACCCAGGAGGAAGAGCTTGCAGTGAGCCGAGATTGCACCACTATACTCCAGCCTGGGCAACAGAGCGAGACTGTGTCTCAAAAAAGAGAAGAATAAGACTTCAGTGGAAAAGGATGTAAGAACAAACATCTTTTATGTGTGCCACTTTAAACCATTCCACTTTCCCTTTCCAGTTGTTATCCATTTCTCTGGATATTGTTCTTTTCCATTGCTTCTGATTGAAAACATTTTAAAATAGTTAGAAAGAGTTCCAAAGAAGTCAAATAATATGTAGCAATTAATGACTAAATATAAGGAATGCAAAGTTGGATAATCCAGAGCAAAGATAACTTGATTCATTTTAGAATCATCTTTCAAACATAGTTAATTAGGTATATACTTAACTAAGTATTTCCTGGGTCTCTTAAAATGAAATTCTTCAGGATGCAATATTTCTGTCACCTCCTAGGATATCTGTAAATATGGCCTTAGAATTTTATACCAATAAATTTAGAGAAAAAACAAGACCATGAAGCTGTAGAGTGGATTTCCTGGGATTTATTCCCTGCTCCATCACTGAATAACTTATTTGGTTTAGAGATATCTATTAATATTTGGTCTCCTTGGGCCAATGTTCCCAACTCCGTAAAATAACATGATATAGGATTGTTCTAAAAATTAAATGAGATTTGTTTCTGTTTAAGACGATGGAAGAGCTATAAGCTTTTTGTTAGTCCCTCTGAAACTTTATTAAAATGACAGTAAAAGTTATTTTCAGGGTATAAAAGTGCAATATTGAAGAGAAAGAAAGGAAAGCCATCAGCAAACAAGTGATTTTATCAAGCTTTTGGAAAACACTGAGTTTGGAGGACTGATCACTGATAAAGGAGGAACCACTACTTAGAAAATGAGTGCATAGCCAGGAGCAATGCCTATAATCCCAGCTATTTGGAAGGCTAAAGAGGGAGGATCACTTAAGGCCAGAATTCGAGACCAGCCTGGACAACATGGCAAAAGCCCGTCTCTACTAAAAATACAAAAAAATTAGCTGGGTGTGGTGTCGCATGCCTGTAAACCCAGCTACTCAGGTGGCTAAGACAGGAGAATTGCTTGAACCCTTGAGACGGAGGTTGCAGTGAACTGAGATCGCGCCACTGCACTCCAGCCTGGGCAATAGAGCAAGACTTTGTCTCAAAAAGAAAAAAAAATTAATAAAAATTAGCTGGGCGTGGTACCCAGGAGACTGGGGCAGGAGGACCCCTTGAGCCCAGGAGTTAGAGGCTGCAGTGAGCTACGATCAAACCACCGCACTCCAGCCTGCGTGACTGTGTGAGTATGAGTGTGTTAAGTGGAAAAGACTCCCCAATGGAAGAGTACACCAATCTTACCTGGAGAAACTTCAAATGCTTAGATTCAGAAAATTCAGTTAGGATGAAAAAGAGGAATGAGACCTGGGAATGAAAGCAGGGTTATTATTTAAAGCATGTGCTATGGTTTGAATGTCCCCGCAAAACTCTTGTTGAAATTTAATTGCCTGGCTGGGCACGGTGGCTCACGCATGCCTATTATCCCAGCACTTTGGGAGGCTGAGGCTGTTGACCAGCCTGGTCAACATGGTGAAACTCCGTCTTTACTAAAAATACAAACATTAGCTGGGCATGGTGGTGCACGCCCGTAATCTCAACTTCTCGGGAGGCTGAGGCAGGAGAATTGCTTGAACGCAGGAGGTGGAGGTTGCAGTGAGCCAAGATCATGCCACCACACTCCAGCTCCAGCCTGGGTGATGGAGCAAGACTGTCTAAAAATAAATAAATAAAATAAAATAAATAAAAAGAAAAAGAAAAAAAGAAAGAAAGAAATTCAATTGTCCATGTAACAGTATTAAGAGGTGAGACTTTAACAGATGATTAGGTCATGAGGGCTCCACCTTCATGAATGAACTACTACTATTATCATGGGAGTGAATTTCTTATCTCAGGAGTAGATTCGTAATTAGAAGGAGGGGGTTTGGCCAAATTTCCTTTCTCTGTCTTGCGTGCTCACTTCTGCTTTCCATGTTTCTGCCCTGGGATGGCCCTCACCAGATGCCAGAGCCATGCTCTTAGACTCCCTAGCCTCCAGAATTGTGAGATGAATAAACTTCTTTTCTTTACGAATTACCCAGTCTCTGGTATTCTGTTATATCAATAGAAAATGGACTAAAACAGCCTGTATAATATGGAGTATATAAAAAGCGCCCACTCCACTCCCACAAACCAGTAAGCAAAACATCCATCAAGCAGGTGATTGTTCTCCAGGCAGAAAATAATAGTAATAGGCCAGGTGCTGTGGCTGACGCCTGTAATCCCAGCACTTTGGGAGGCCGAGGCGGGCAGATCACTAGGTCAGGAGATCCAGACCATCCTGGCTAACATGGTGAAATCCCGTCTCTACTAAAAATACAAAAAATTAGCCCGGCGTGGTGGCGGACGCCTGTAGTCCCAGCTACTCTGGAGGCTGAGGCAGGAGAATGGCGGGAACTCGGGAGGCGGAGCTTGCAGTCAGCCGAGATCGCGCCACTGCACTCCAGCCTGGGCGACACAGCGGACTCCGTCTTAAAAAAAAAAAAAAAAAAAAAAAGGAAGAGAATAATAGTAATAATAAACGTAAACACAGTTTTCTATAAAGAAGTTTATTGAACCATCTAGGAAGAATTAGGGCAGCTAAACGGGGCACTGTTGGCCAAGAAGCCCATTCAAGTATGAAAAGTTCAAAGTCAATCTTTCTATTGCTTCATTCTTTTTTTTTTTTTTTTTCCCCGAGACGGAGTCTCACTCTGTGGTGTGATCTCGACTCACTGCAACCTCCACGTCCCGGATTCAAGAGATTCTCCTGCCTCAGCCTCCCAAGTAGCTGGGACTACAGACACCTGCCACCACGCCCAGCTAATTTTTGTATTTTTAGTAGAGACAGGGTTTCACCCTGTTGGCCAGGATGGTCTCGATTTCTTGACCTCGTGATCTGCCACCTCGGCCTCCCAAAGTGCTGGGATTACAGGCGTGAGCCACCGCACCCAGCCTATTGCCTCATTCTTAAAAGTGGACAGATTATCAAAGATTGCCAGACTTTTAAGGAAAATCTGTAATGTGAATGAGAAACACAAAAGAAAAGAGAGGAATGTATTAAGAGAACTAAAGATAAATTCATAAGACAATTCATAAAACATAAACAACTTTTTTAAAAAAAGATTAGGCTGGGCACGGTGGCTCACGCCTGTAATCCCAGCACTTTGGGAGGCCGAGGTGGGCGGATCACCTAAGGTAATCAAGAGTTCAAGACCAGCCTGGTCAACATGGTGAAACCCCATCTCTACTAAAAAAAATACAAAAATTAGCCAGGCGTGGTGGTGTGCACCTGTAATCCCAACTACTCGGGAGGCTGAGGCAGGAGAATCGCTTGAACCCGGGAGGCAGAGGTTGCAGTGAGCCAAGATCTCACCACTGAACTCCAGCCTGGTGACAGTGCAAGACCCCATAAAAAAAAAAAAAAAAAAAAAAAGATTACTATGTATCCTCAAAAATATACAGAAGATACTACATTTATGAAACAAGAACCAGCTGCTATTAAATTTTTAAATATAATAATTCAATTAAATAACAGAAAGAGTTTTGGGAGATTAACAATTTGATGGCTGAAAAAAATAGAGGTTAGAAGGTAAGGTCAAGAAAGTCTTTCAGAAAGAAGAAACAAGACAAAAAAGTACACCAAGAAGAAAGTTAAGGCCAAGCACAGTGGCTCACACCTGTAATACCAGCACTTTGGGAGGCCAAAGTGGGAGGATCACTTGAGTCCCGGAGTTAGACCAGCCTGAGCAACATAGGGAGACCTCCATCTCTACAAATAATTTAAAAATTAGCTAAGCTTGGTGGCACATGCCCATAGTCCCAGCTACTTGGGAGGCTGAGGTGGGAGGGTCACTTGAGCCCTGGATGTTGAAGCTGCAGCAAGCTGTGACTGTGCCTCTGCATTCTATTCTAGGCAACAGAGCGAGACCCAGTCTCAAAAAAAAAAAGATGAAAGTTAATACACATGAAGACCAATCCAGAAGCCCAATATTTAACTAAAATGATAATTCAAGAAAAAGAAAATGAAAGGATTTTAAAATTAATAATACCAGAAAAACTCCCAGAATGATAGACTGGACTCGGGAAGCTGAGGCAGAAGAATTACTTGAACCTGGGAGGCAGAGGTTGCAGCGAGCTGATATCACGCCACTGGACTCCAGCCTGGGCAACAGAGTGAGACTCCATCTCAAAGAAATAAATAAATAAAAACACACAAAAATGGAAACATATTCCATTTTCATGGATTTGAAGATTTAATATTGTTAAAATGATAATACTACCCAAAGTAATTTACAGGTTCAATACAATCCCTATCAAAATTATAGTAACTGTTCTTCAAAGAAACAAAAAAAGCAATCCTAAAATTTACGTAGAACCATGAAAGACCCCAAATAGCCAAAGCTATCCTGAGCAAAAAGAACAAAGCTGGAGGCATCACACTACCTGTCTTCAAAATATACTACTACAAAGCTACAGTAACCAAATCAGCATTGTACTGGCATACAAACAGACACACAAACAAAAGAAACAGAATAGAGAACCCAGCTATAAATTCACATATTTAGTCATTTTCAACAAAGGTGCTAAAAACATATATTGGGGAAAGGATATGTTCTTCAATAAATGGTGCTGGGAAAACTGGATATTCATAAGCAGAAGAATGAAAACAGATCCCTATTTCTCACCATATACAAAAATCAAATCAAAATGGATTAAAGACTTAAATCTAAGCCAGGCGCGGTGGCTCACGCCTGTAATCTCAGCAGTTTGGGAGGTCGAGGCGGGCGGATCACAAGGTCAGGAGATCGAGACCATCCTAGCTAACACGGTGAAACCCCGTCTCTACTAAAAATACAAAAAATTAGCCGGGCAAAAGGGAAAAGGAAGGCAAGGCAAGGCAGGGCAGGGCAGGGCAAGGCAGGAAAGGGAAAGGGAAAGCAAGGCAGGACAGGGCAGGGCAGGGCAGGGCAGGAAAGGGAAAGGGAAAGCAAGGCAGGACAGGGCAGGGCAGGGCAGGGCAGGGCAGGAAATCCCAGAAACAGTGGATCCAAGTTAAAAGAAAAATGGAAGATAGTCAAGATGAGAGTTGAGCAGCAGGCTAGAAAATACTGAGAATAATTAAACAAATTGACTCCAAAAAAGTTATTTAATACCCAGTGTCCAGACGTCCAGACATTTTTTTCTACTACCATTCTCCAATAAAAGAAGACATTACTGATTCTAGGTCTGGAGAAGGAAATATAAAAGATAAGTCTTGAGCATCTTGTAATACCAGAAAGTAAAGTACTTTAAAAAATGATGGGAGTGGCTGGGTGTGGTGGCTCACACCTGTAATCCCAGCACTTTGGGAGGCCAAGGCAGGTGGATCACTTGAGGTCAGAAGTTCTAAACCAGCCTGGTCAACATGCCAAAACCCTTCTCTACTAAAAATACAAAAATTAGCCAGGCGTGGTGGCAGGCGCCTGTAATCCCAGATACTCGGAAGGCTGAAAAACGAGAATCGCTTGAACCCAGGGGTAGCAGGGGTGGAAGTTGCAGTGAGCTGAGATTGTGCCACTGCACTCCAGCCTGGGCAACAGAGCAAGGCTCTGTCTCAGAAAAAATAAAATAAAAAATAAATGATGGGAGTATGTCAAAGGGACACAAGAACCAAGGGAAAGAAGATCCCAATTGCCAAAGCTGAAACAATTTGAACAACAAAATTTAAAAAGTACTACTGAATTATAACCCAAATTATAAAATATATATCCATGAGTCTATATTCATATAAATCATTGAATAAATTAATTTATGAGGGAAAAGAAACAAATCTCTGTTTCAGAACAATTTCAAATAATTTATGTAGATACTCTGTCCTCAAGGAAGGAGGAACATAAATGGAACACAAACCTTCACTCCTTAAGTATAGATTACACACAGTTACTTCCTTCCAAAGCATTCAGTGTGGAAAGGCTGGGGGAGAGTGGAAGAATAACTTTACTGTAGAAAAACGACAAACACTATCTCATCCAGGTGATCAAGGTCAACATGAACAGTGATTAAATATGTTGATAGTATGTACCCTTGATATGATATAGTAAAAATGACACTTTACCTGTGTGGTCTTCCTCCCAGAAACCAATTAGCCAGTATCATAATGAGAAAAACATCACACAAATTCCAATAGAGGGGCATCCTACAAAGTACTTGACCAATACGCCTCAAAGCTGTCAAGGTCATCAAAAACAAGGAGAGTCTGAGAAACTGTCACAACCAAGAGGAGAGTAAGGAGACATGACAACTAAAGGTAATATAGTATCCTGGATGGGATCCTGGAAGAGAAACACATTAGGTAAAACCTACATACAATATAGACTTTGGTTAATAATGTAACAATATTGGATCATCAGTTGTAACAAATGTACCATACTAATGCAAGATGTTAATAATAGAGCAAACTGGGAGTAGAGTATATAAGAACTCTCTACTATCATCTCAAATTTTCTGCAAATCTAAAAAGGCTTTTTTTTTACAGGAGGTATCTAGAAAAGTAAGAGATGCAAGAGATTTGATATTGTCCTTAAGAAGTTGGAAGAACTTAAGGATGAGAAAAAGGTGTGAATACCCCCAAAATGGACAGCAAATAACACCCCCCATCACCCAAAAAAATCTCTACAAAAAGACTGGTAATGCCAATATACTACACATAACAACCTGTGCAATCACCAATATTTAAATAGTTGTAATAATGTGATCACTGCTTGACGTTTAACCTTTAGAATAAGCTTATAGAGGAAACAGATGTCATAAATCAGATTAATTAATAGAATGCAAACTTATTCAGTCTGATAATGTTGAAGTATGAGGAGACATTAAGCATAAAGAAAAGTTAGGAGTACTAATTAGACTATTTTGTAATATGAGTAGTCAGGAGAAATGGCCTATAGTTGTAATAAGAAATCAAAGTGTAAGTTCACCATTTCATGGTTTTGTTTGTTTATTTGTTTGTTTGTTTTTGAGACAGAGTCTCGCTCTGTCGGCCAGGCTAGAGTGCAGTGGCACGATCTCGGCTCACTGCAACCTGTTTCCTGGGCTCAAGCAATTCTGTCTCAGCCTCCCAAGTAGCTGGGATTACAGGCGTGTGCCACCACACCCGGCTAATTTTGTATTTTTAGTAGAGACGGGGTTTCACCATGTTGGCCAGGCTGCTCTCAAACTCCTGACCCCAGGTAGTCCGCCTGCCACGGCCTCCCAAAGTGTTGGGATTACAGGCACGAGCCACTGCACCCGGCCCATCATTTCATGTTTTAATAATAGCCAATAAAGAAAACCAAAAAGAGTTTTGTAATGGATGGAAAAAAGAGATGCAGGAATCAAGTGAGTTAAAGCTTTATCAGAGCTAACTTGACAGGTAGAAGTCTAAATAATGGAAATTCCCGTATTATTTAAAGAATGAGGACAATCAATAGATACACTAAAAACAGACCTTAATAGGCAACATCGGTCTCCCTGGGGAGCAGAATAGGAGTGGGACGTGGGAAACAGTGAAAAAGAGGATTGCTACTTTTTATCATGGTCTTTCTATACTATGTAATTTTGCGATTATGTTTATGTATTGCTTTGATAAAAGGATTTTAACTTTCTAAAGAAACATTCTTTGTAAAGCATTTAGCACAGTGTCTAACACTCAGCAAGGAGCTCACAACCTTGGCAAAAATTCTTGGATCCATGCATGGCACAAAAGCTTCAAATCCTACTTTGGTAAAAAACAGTAAACAGAAAACAAAGAACGCCATTTCTCTACTCACATCCCATTTCTAGCACCAATTCTAGAGTGTTTTTCCAACACCAACAACGAATTCTCTGATTCTCTGGACACAAACTGGGTGTCCAATAATTCAACTCAATACTGAATTCAATTCAATTCAATACTAACTACCTGGAGTTAAAGCAGACCCCACAGGTTAAGAGCTCAGTCTCACAAGACTGCTCCCCACATCCAAGTCCAGGCCACCTGTACTTATGACCAACTGGGTATAAATCAGGGGATCCCACAAGCCACTCCTTGGGTTCAATAATTTATTAGAACATCTCATAAAACTCAGAAAAACAATACTTAAATTTACAAGTTTATTATAAAGCAAACAATTCAGTGAAGGAGGGGTCAGAGCTTCCATGCCCTCTCCAGCTGTGCTACCCTCCCAGCACTTTGATGTATTCACCTGGAGGCTCATCAAATCTAATTATTCAAGTTTGTATACAGAGGTGAGTGGGTGGGGCAGAAAGTTTCCACCTTCTAATTACTTGGACTTTCTGGTAACCAACTTGATCCTGAGGCCTTTTTGGGGCCCCACCCTAAGTCGCTTCATTAGCATAAACTCAGATGTATTCAAGAGAGGCTCCTTGTGAACAAAAAGGACACTTATGTGAGTTATTTTACAACTCTATTAATTGTAGATAACTGATAGCAATACAAAACAACTCTTGCCTTGTTCATAGTTTTTTAAAACTTTTGTAGAAATGGGGTCTCACTATGTTGCCCAGGCTGCTCTCCAACTCCTGGCTTCAAGCAATTCTCCTGCCTTGGCATCTCAAAGTGCTGGGATTACCCATTTGAGCCACTGTACCCGGCCTTCTCTTTGGCTCATGTCTGTAATCCCAATACTTTGGGAGGCCAAGGTGAGAGGATTGCTTTACGACCAGCTTGGCACAGGGAGACCCCATCTCTACAAAAAGTAAAAATAAATTAGCCAGGTGTGGTGGTGTGTGCCTGTAGTCCCAGCTACTCAGGAAGCTGAGGTGGGAGGATTGCTTGAGCCCAGGAATTGGAGGCCGCAGTGAGTTATGATTATGAGTTATGATTGTATCACTGCACTCCAGCCTGGGCAACAGAGTGAAATCCCATCTCCAAAAAATATATTAAATACATAAATTTAATTAATTAAAGAAAGAAGAGAAATAATCCCATATTAGGCCTTTTATCAGCCAGTGTGATGGTACCAAGTAGGATGGAAGTAATAGTAGGAGAGACAGACGCAGAATTTCTAAATGGTTTGTTTTGGTTCTGCTTCATCAGTTAATTCAGAATTGTTGGTATAAACTTGTCCTTACATAACAGATAAAAGTATTTGCCTTTGGTGCTGAGTAGTGCATTTCAATTAGCTAGTGACTATGAATTATAATATTAATTCTGTGGAACAGTTTATGTAAAGTAGTGTTATTCTTAATACTTTGGAAGAATTCAGTGGGGAAGTCATGAAAGCTGGGAATTTGTGGGAAGTCTTTAAATCATAGATTCTATTTTTAATTCTTAAATTTTAGAAATATATTAAATCACACACCATAAAAATCACCGCTTTAAAGTAAACAATTGAGTGGGTTTTTTTTGTACACTCACAAAGTTATGCAACCATCACCACTATCTAACTCTAGAACACTTAAATCATCCCAAAAAGGAACTCCGTATCCATATCCATATCCATTTGCACAGGAGTCCTCAACCCCCAGGCCACAGACCGGTAGTGGGCCATGGCCCTTTAGGAACCCAGCAGCACAGCAGGAGGTGAAAGGTGGGAGAGCAAGCATTACCACCTGAGCTCCACCTCTTGTCAGATCAGCAGGGGCATTAAATTCTCATAGGAACTCAAACCCTATTGTGAACTGTGCATGCAAGGGATCTAGGTTGCATGCTCCTTATGATAATCTAATTAAAGCCTGATGATCTGGGTGAAACAATTTCATCCCAAAACCATCTGCCCTTCACCCCCAATCAGTGGAAAAATTGTCTTCCATAAAACCGGTTCCTGGTGGCATAAGGGTTGAGGACCACTCACCATTCATCCCCATGCCTCTGCTCCCCAGTCCCTGGCAACCACTAATCTGCTTTCTGTCTCAATGAATTTAACTGTTGTGGATATTTCGAGTTAATCTTATACTAGTGATTAACACGGTGATTAACTATTATGGATGTTATGGATATTATGTGTACGAACATTCACGTACAAGTTATTCTGTGAGCATACCCTTTCGATTCTTTTTTTTTTTTTTTTTTTTTTTTTTTTGAGATGCAGTCTCGCTCTGTCGTCCAGGCTGGAGTGCAGTGGTGCGATCTCGGCTCACTGCAAGCTCCACTCCCAGGTTCATGCTATTCTCCTGCCTCAGGCTCCCGAGTAGCTGGGACTACAGGCACCTGCCACCATGCCCGGCTAATTTTTTGTATTTTTAGCAGAGACGGGGTTTCACTGTGTTAGCCAGGATGGTCTCGATCTCCTGACCTCGTGATCCCAAAGTGCTGGGATTACAGGCGTTAGCCACTGAGCCCGGCCCCTTTCAATTCTTTTAGGTAAGAATGAAATTGCTGGATCACATGGTAACTCTGTTTAGCGTTTTGAGGAACTGCCACACTATTTTCCAAAGTGGCTGTACCATTTCACATTCCCATCAGCATTATATGAAGGTCCCAATTTTTCCACATCCTCATCCTAATTGTCATTGTCTTCTTTTCAATTATAGCCATCCTAGTGGATATGAAGTAGTATCCCATTACAGCTTTTATTTGCATTTCCCTAATGACCAATAATCCTGAGCATCTATTCATGTGTTTACCAGCCATTTGTGTACCTTTGAAGATATAGCTATTCAAATACTTTGCCCATTTTTTAATTGAGCTATTTGTCTTTTTATTCCTGAGGTGTAGAATTTTTTCTATTCTGGATACAAGTCCCTTATCAGATAACATGATTTGCAAATATATTCTTCCATTCTGAGAGAGTTGTCATTTCATTTTCGTGATAGTGTCCTTAGATCACAATTTTTAAAAATTTTGAGGATCTCCAATCTGTTTTTCTTTGATTGCTTGTGCTATACACGTTATATCTAAGAAACCATTGCATCATCCACGGTCACAGATTTACATCTATTTTCTTGTAAAGAGTTTTATAGTTATAGTTCTTACATTTAGGTCTTTATTCCATTTTTAGCTTATTTTTGTATATAGTATGAGGTATAAATTCAACTTCATTCCTCTGCATGTGGTTACCCAGCTGTCCCAAATAACTTCAGCTCTTTATGTTTTCCTTCCTTCTTTGTGCTTAATTTGCAGTTTTTGTAACTTACTGGGATAAATGCTCAGCTTATTGATGTTTGCCCTTTATTCTTTTCTAATAAATTAAGATACGAAGTTCCCTCTAAGGACAGCTTCAGCAATATTCCATAAATTTTGATGTTTTATTATTATAATTAAAATATTTTCTAATTTTCATTGTTTTTTTCCTTAACCCAAAGTTCCTTTGGAGTATGTTTTATAGTTTCTAATCATGTGGTGCAAAAATAATTATGGTTTCTGCATTGTTGGAATTTGCCATTTGATACTGGAATAGATCTTAAATAAATGTGGTTATGTTATACATCATTTTAATGGGCATTTTTTGCTTTATTGTTTTTGCTAATGACTTATTACTTGCTGTTTATGTTGATTTTAAACTATGGAAATGATGTTAGACAAAAAGCAAATTTGAGTGATTTTCTTATCTGAGTTCAAAATGCATAGTGCCCGGCCATGGGAAGTTGACAACAATCAATTGAGAGCAATCATGGAAGCCGATCCTCCTATAACTGCCCATTTCTCCATTGGGTTGTGATGTACCACAAAAAGTGGATTTTATACAACAACCGGCGATGGCCAGCTCAGTGGTTGGACAGAGAAGAAGCTCCAAAGTACTTCCCAAAGCCAAAGTTGCACTAAAAAATGGTGATGGACACTGTTAGATGTCCTGCTGCCACTCTGATTCACTACAGGTTTCTAAACCCCAGCAAAACCCTTCCATCTGAGAAGTATGCTCAGCAAGTCAATGACATGCACTGAAAACTGCAATGCCTGCAGCCAGCATTGGTCAACAGGAAGGGCCCAATTCTTCTCCACAACAACGCCCAGCCATACATTGCACAACCAATGCTTCAAAAATTGGACAAATTGGGCTACAAACTTTTGCCTCATCTGCCATATTCACCTGATCTCTTGCCAACCGACTACCACCTCTTCAAGCATCTCGACAACTTTTTGCAGGGAAAACTCTTCCACTCTTCCAGCAGGATGCAGAAAATTCCTTCCAAGAGTTTGTTGAATCCTGAAGCACAGATTTTTATGCTACAGGAATAAACAAACTTATTTCTCATTGGCAAAAATGTGTTGATTGTAATGGTTCCTATTTTGATCAATAAAGATGTGTTTGAGCCTAGTTATAATGATTTAAAATTGTCTGAAACCACATTACTTTTGCACCAACCTATTAAATATATGAAATGTCTAACCATTTTTTCTAGCTTACTTTAATTATGATCAGAGAATATACTCTGGATCGTTATAATCTTTTGAATCTTATTTAGACTTGTATTATGGTATAGCAGATGGTCAGTTTTTGTAAATGTTCCACATGTACAGTAAAAATGTGTACTATAGGGCCGGGTGCAGTGGCTCACACCTGTAATCCCAGCACTTTGGGAGGCCGAGGCGGGTGGATCACCTGGGGCAGGAATTCGAGACCAGCCTGACCAACATGGTGAAACCCCGTCCCTACTAAAAATACAAAAATTAGCTGGATGTGGTGGCAGGCACCTGTAATCCCAGCTACTCAGGAGGCTGAGGCAGGACAATCGCTTGAACCTGGGAGGCAGAGGTTGCAGTGAGCCAAGAATGTGCCATTGCACTCCAGCCTGGGCAACAGTGAGACTCCATCTCAAAAAAAAAAAAAAAAAAAGAAGGTACCAGGCATTTGTTTTCTATAAATGTTGACTAGGTCGTTTAATTGTATTTTCTGTATCTCTGCCAACATTTTTGATTGAGTGTGTAATCTTTCTTTATGGTTGTGGATTTTCTATTTCTCCTTATAATTCTCTGATAAATTTAGAAGCTATTATTGAATTATATGTCTAGCATTGTTAAACCTTCCTTGTGAATTAGCCCTTTTATCATTAGCAACTGTTTCTCTTTACTAAGTCTTTTGACTGAAATTCTACTGTTTGATATTATTATAGCCACAGCAACTTTCTTTTGATGTTTAGACATCTTTTTATAACCTTTCCTTTTTATCTTTCTCTATCTTTGCATTTTATGCATCTTATAAATTGGCTGTATTATTATCTTGTTTCTCTTTTATTAGAGGATTTAGCCTATTTACATTTAATGCAATTTCTAATAGATTTGCCTTTAAATTTACCACCTCACCAACTGCTTTTCCCCATATGCCACTCTTTCTTTGTTATTTCCTCTTTCCTACCTTCCTCTGGGTTGAGTGCAATTTGTTCTGTATTATCAAATTTTTGTCCCATTAGCTTGGTGGCAATACTTTTAAGATCTTAAAAATCTTTTAGAGTGGTTACCCTGAGTATTATAAAAGCAACTTTGAATATTCGAGCTTAATATATCTGTAGGCCAGGGTTGGAAAGGAAAAATAAAAACTTTAAAAAAGAAAAAAAGTTTAATGTAAAACTACAGCTTAATCTTTTCTCAGAAAATAAGGCCATTAAAACATTTTAACTTGATTTATCCCTCTCCCAAGTTATATGCTTTTTTTTCTTTTTAAAATTCAGATTCTCACTCTGTCACCCAGGGTGGGCTGCAGCGGCGTGATCTTGGCTCACTGCAACCTCCACCTCCTGAGTTCAAGCAATCCTCAAGCCTCAAGCCTCCCAAGTAGCTGGGATTACTGGCATGCACCACCATACCCAGATGATTTTTGTATTTTTAGTAGAGACAGGGTTTCACCATGTTGGCCAGGGTGGTCTGGAACTCCTGGCCTCAAGCAATCCACCCACCTTGGTTTCCCAAAGTGCTAGGATTACAGGTGTGAGCCACTGAGCCTGGCCTGTTTTAAAATCACTATTCATTTATGCTGGGTGCAGTGGCTCATGCCTGTAATTCCAGCAACTCGGGAGGCTGAGGCAGAAGGTTCGCTCGAGGCCAGAAGCTCAATATCAGCCTGGACAACATAGTGAGACCTTGTCTCTATAAATTTTTTTTTAAACTTAGCTAGGTATGGTGTTATGCACCTGTAGTCCCAGCTACTAAGGAGGCTGAAGCGGGAAGATTGTTTGAGCCCAAGAGTTCAAAGCTGCAGTGAGACATGATCACATCACTGTACTCCAGTCTGAGTGACAGAGTAAAACCCTGACTCCAAAAAAAAAGAAAGAAAAACAATCACTATGCATTTAATCCATATATTTACCCTTTTAATTCATATTCCTTCTTGCATCTCCAATCTTCTATCTGGTAATGTTCTCCCTCTGCTTAAAGGCAATTTTTGTGTGTGTGCAGGATTTGCTAGGGGGAAATTCTCATTTTTCGTGTGAAATGTTTTAGTATTTTTGCTTTTTGTTTTTTGAGACAGAGTCTCACTCTGTTGCCCAGGCTGAGTGCAGTGACACGATCTCAGCCAACTGTAACTTCTGCCTCCCAGGTTCAAGCATTTCTCCTGCCTCAGCTTCCTGAGTATCCCAAGTAGCTGGGATTACAAGTGCACACCACCACATCCGACTAATTTTTGTATCTTTAGTAGAGACAGGGTTTCACCATGTTGGCCAGGTTGGTCACAAACTCCTGACCTCAAGTGATCCATGGGCCTCAGCCTCCCAAAATGTTGGGATTACAGGTGTTAGCCACCATGTCTGGCTGAAACGTTAATTTTTCCTATTGCACCCTATTTTTAAGGACAGTTTTGCTTATTATAGACTCTAGGTTAGCAGTTATGTCATCACTTTGAAAATGTCAGTCCATTATCTTCTGATTCCCATTGTTTGTATTGAGAAGTCAGTTGTCACATTTTGGTCCTTAGAAGGTAACATACCTTATTTTTGTCACTGCTCTACAATTTTTCCTTACTTTTCAACTGTATTAGTAATATTTGTATGCGTATTTTTAAAATTTATTTTGCTTGAGGTTTGCAGAGCTTTTGAAATCTATAGCTTGATGATCTTCATGAGTTTTATGAAATTCTTAAGCATTAACTCCAAATATTCTCTACTTTGCTCTTTCTAGAACTCCAGTTGCTTAATGTTAGCCCTTCTGTTACATTGCTTTCCGGTTCTTTTCCATCCTTTTGTCTCTGTATGTATCATTCAGAATTTTTTTCTTCTGACCAAACTAATTTCACTATCCTCAGCTTTGTTTCATCTGGTTTGAAACTCATTCATCAAAAAAAAATTTTTTTTTTGAGACAGAGTTCTGCTCTTGTTGCCCAGGCTGGAGTGCAATGGCACGATCTCGGCTCACCACAACCTCCGCCTCCCAGGTTCAATTGATTCTCCTGCCTCAGCCTCCCGAGTAGCTGGGATTACAGGCATGCACCACCACCCCTGGCTAATTTTGTATTTTTAGTAGAGATGGGATTTCTCCATGTTGGTCAGGCTGGTCTTGAACTCCCGACTTCAGGTGATCCGCCCGCCTTGGCCTCCCAAAGTGCTGGGATTACAGGTGTGAGCCACAGCACCCGGCCTCATCAAATTCTTAATTTTAGCTCTTGCTTTTTTGCTGTTGTTGTTGTTGTTGTTGTTAGAATTTCCACTTAGGCTAGGCACTGTGGCTCACACCTGCAATCCCACTACTTTGGAGGCCAAGGCAGGTAGATTGCTTGAGCTCAGGAGTTTGCGACCAGCCTAGGTAGAAATGGCAAAACCCCATTTCTACTAAAAACACGAAAAAATTATCTGGGCCTGGTGGCGCATACCTGTAGTCCCAGCTACCCAGAGACTGTGGTAGGAGGTTCGCTTGAGCCCAGGAGGTCGAGGCTGCAGTGAGCCATGATTGCACCACTGCACTCCAGCCTGGGTGAAAAAGTAAGACCCTGTATTTAAAAAAAAAAAAAAAAAAATCTATTTAGTTTTTCAGTTCCCAGTTAACTAAAACTTTCAATCTTGTCTTTTTTCAAGCATACTACATTGTTATTTTTAAGTCTAAAAATAACTGAATGTCTGAGAGCTTCATGTGGTGCCTACTAACTCCAGAATTAGGTAGACTAACCCTCCAAGTCACAAGCAGTACTGGAGCCAGGACAAGGGCCAACCAATTAAGACTTAAGAATGAACAAGCAAAGAACATATATGGTCAACCCTCACACCCATGGATTCAACCAACCATGGATCAGAAATATTCAAAATTAAAATGCATCTGTACTTAACATGTACAGACATTTTTTCCTTGTCATTATTCTCTAAACAATACAATATAACAACTATTTACATAGCAGTTACATTGTATTAAGCACTTTAGGAGGCAGAGGCAGGACAATTGCTTGAGGACAGGAGTTGGAGACCAGCCTGGCCAACATGGTGAGACACTATCTCTACAAAAAAAGTTTAATTAGCTGGGCGTGGTGGCATACACCTGTGGTCCCAGCTACTCGGCAGGCTGACACAAGAGGATCACTTGAACCCAGGAGGTCAAGGCCGAAGTAAGCTGTAATTGTGTCACTGCACTCTAGCCAGGGTGACAGAACAAGACCCTGTCTCAAACAAAAAAAAAGAATTATAAGTAACCTAGAAATTAAATTATTTAAAGTATATGGGAGTATGTGCATAGGTTATATGCAAATACTGTGCCATTTTATATCAGAAACTTGAGCATCTGGATGTTGGTATCCGTGGAAGGTTCGAAACCAGTCCCTCATGGATATCAAAGGGCTACTGTACTCTGAAAGCAGAGTCACTCCCAAGAGAAAGAGAAAGCTCATCTGATTATGCTTATTTTTTTCTTCCCATTTGCTTCTCCCAGGAACTCTTAGGATCGTTCTTTTTTGTGTTAAATTATTAGGCCGGAGATTACCGTGCAGGTAACTTTTAAGTGTCTGGTTAGCCCCACATAAGCACAGACCTATGGCTACAAATTCTCAGGGAAAAGAACACATTTTCCCCCACCCAACCAGAATCTAAACCAAGTCATCCAAGTTTTCTCAGTCACTCTTTACTATAGGCCAGATTTTTCTAATCTATTCTTTTTTTTTTGAGATGGAGTCTCACTGTCGCCAGGCTGGAGTGCAGTGGCACGATCTTGGCTCACTGCAGTCTCCGCCTCCCAGGTTCAAGCAATTCTCCTGCCTCAGCCTCCCGAGTAGCTGGGACTACGGTGCGCACCGCCATGCTGAGCTAATTTTTTTGTATTTTTAGTAGAGACAGGGTTTCATCATGTTGGCCAGGATGGTCTTGATCTCCTGACCTTGTGATCCGCCTGCCTCAGCCTCCCAAAGTGCTGGGATTACAGGCTTGAGCCACCACGCCCGGCCCTAATCTATTCTTTCACTAAAGAGAGCAGCTCTTTGAGATGCTGTGTATGCATAGATGTCAGGGCTTTAAGTACCATGCTATTGGAATGGATGACGGGAAATCACAAAAGATATTAGGCAACAGAAGATGATCAGATTTGATGAAATATTACTGGAGCTACAAGGTAAACCCCTCAACCATACTGTCAAGCAGCTTATATTCCAACAGAACAATGGTTCTCAACTGGGGGCATCTCCAGCTCCAGTGACTATCTGGCAATGCCTGGAGAGATTTTTGGTTGTCACAGCTGGAAGGATGCTGCTCACATCCAGTGGGCAGAGGCCAAAGATGTTGCTAAATATCCTACAATGCACACAGGACAGCCCCATAAGACTTATCCTACCAAAAACGTAGCAGCAGAATAACAGAGAAACAAGCACAGTAAAAACACACATAATATTAGTCTGTACAACGTACAGGAGAGCATGCAAGTGGGCAGGGGAATTCATGAAACACTGTAACAGGCACCTAAAGCTTAAACTGAATTGGAAATGATTTAGGAAGGTAGGGGGATCAGGCACTATAAGCATGAGTATGAAAGTAAGAGGTATATTCTTCCACATGTTTAGTGCACTACAAATAACTTGGTACCCCTAAAACTCAGAGGCAAAGAGTAATGGGGCAAGATAAGGCTAAAAAAGAAGTCAGGGGCCAGATCACGAAAGTCCTTACTTACTCAATGAGGAGTTTGGACTTCACCCTATAAGTAATGGGGTGGGAGGAGGTTGGTATTAAAGGTTAATGAAGAGAAAACAAGAAGAAACTTATTTTCGAAAGATCACTCTGCTAACATTATGGAGTACGGTTTGAGGGCAAAATAAGATAAAAGACCAATTAGTAAACCACTGCAGTAATCCAGGCCAGAGAAGACTAGAAACAGGATGTACCAAGAACCAATATAGTAGCATAGATTGATAAAAAGTACGATAGCCAGTCTTTAATGACAATATGAAAAGAAGTTCTAATCCCAATTTTCAAGCCCCATTCACAGAGATGAGAGTATAGAAGGAGAAAATTTAATGAAAAGATAATGAAAGATAAAGCTATCCCATTCAGATCACTTATTAAAAAGCTATGCAAGTATATAGACAAGATTATTACTAGGGCATATATTAGCAATATCTGTGTCCTGGTGCTTTGAACCCTGATACAACAATGAAAATATTTTAAAATCTTTCTCTTCTACTTCTATTATCATACATCATACATGTATTTATCTTACTTCCTGATATTTCGTTACATTATTTTCAATAAAATAAAACACCAATGTATTTTGTTATTTAAGGATTTGTTTAATGTTTTAAAATTCAAAGCACTTTAAATTATTTTAAGACAAAAGATTAATAAAAACAACATTACCTTTCAAATACAACTTTATAACAGCACAGTGGAAGAATGGTAAACAGTCCCTCTTTTTTTTAAAAAAAAATCAGTACTTAAAACCAAAGGAAGGCTTATATGTACAGCTAATTCAGAAAGGGAACAATGACACCTAAAGACATAGATAAATGCTTCATTTTAATCCAATAAATGTCCTACCTACTGGATCTTAATAATGATGTTTTCAATATGCCATTTAAAATAAACTATCCTTGAAAATAAAGTTTTAAATCATTCAATATAATCTATGAAATAGCATCTAGTTAACTAGATTACCTTAAATATACCAAATATTATAATCAGCAAAATAAAAACCAGTAAATCAATTTGTATCTGAAAGCCTGATGTTCTGATCTACTGGATTTTAATTTTTTTTCCCTAAGATTAACAATATAAACAAATCTTTTGGGTACTCAACATATTATGACAAGCTCAGGCATGTTCAGGGTGGTATGGCCATAGACAGTACCAACATATTAGAAGGAAATTACCTATTTATAATTATTAACTTTCAAAAATATGACTCACCACCGAACACCAGTACAATATTTTAGCAATCATCTTATGTGACGTGACAAGTGGAAAACAAATTTCTCAACAATAGTGGGTCACCATATTCCTCCATCTAACAGTTACTTTTAAAAAAAGTAAACTTTGGAGGCCATGACGGCAGGAGTGAGAGGCCAGGAGTTTGAGACCAATCTGGGCAACATAGCAAAACTCTGTCCCTACAAAACAATAATAGTAATTATAAATTAGCTGGGCATGGTGGTACATGCCTATAGTCCCAGCAACTCAAGAGGCTAAGGCAGGAGGATCGCTTGAGCTCAAGAGGTTGATGCAATAACCTATGATCATGCCACTGCACTCTAGCCTGGGCAACAGAGCAATACCCTGACATTAAAAAAAAAAAAAAAAAGATTAACTTATTTTCAAAAGCTCCACATATAACAAACATGATTAAACACTTTAAAATTAAACTGAAATAAGCTATGAAATTTCATTTTTCCTTTTTACACAAAGTATCATAAGTAAAATTGTGAACAAATTCTAAATATTTCCTTGTTGTTTTTAATTGTTCCTAATACTATTTTAGTTTAATTATTTATTTAACCGCTTCTTTAGATTCTCAAGGTGTTCCATATTAACATCTTGTAATGCCAGTACCATTGCTTTAGACAAGGAAGGATTAAATGAAATAGTCATTAGACAGCACAAATCTATTAGATCTCTTTGACATTTCTGCAACCCTTCCAGGAACTTTTGGTATTGAAGAGGATCCTTTTTTGACTGTTTCATTTCTGGTACTGAGAACCCTATCAAGCTAGTAAGTATTTCATCCACAAAGTCTACATCTAGATATGCAGTACCATCAGACACCTTTGCAGTTATACTCCAAATACCACCAGAACTTGAGAGATTTCCAGTTAAGGTTACAATAAATGCTTTCACTTTCACTGTTGTAACTTCCTTTGGTTTGCTGGCCATTAGAACAGACAAATAGACAAAGGGTGGAGAATACAAATCCATGGCAATAGAAAGATTAATGCTATTCTCTGATGATCTTAAAGAACAACTCTGTAAATTACAATCATTTTCATTAGAAATTTGTGAATTCCTTTTCTGTACATAGTTGACCACCTCTCTATTTAATATTTTATTATTTAAGGAATGGCTATCTGAACTGCTGGTTTGTTTTATTTTATTATCTGTCTCTAAGTTCTTTTCTTTATTTGTAAAATCATGGGCTAAGGGTACATTACAATGAACTGAAAAAATACTCCTGTTTTGGTCTCTAACAGATGGACAACCAAATGATTTGTCTTCATTAGTCATTTGTTCAGATACATTTTTTTCACTCCAATTATTGTTTCCATTTTTGCAAGTCAAAGAAAAGTTATTCGTAGTATTAGGATTATGTGAAAATCTCTCTATACTTCGATCGGCATTTCTGTTAAAAGTCAATGGTTGCAATTCCTTAGTTTCCATCTGTTCTTTCTGGACAGTTTCTTCTAAAAGCAAGGCCTCCTCCAGTGAAAAGTCATCTAATTCTCCATCCATTACATGTATAGATAGGTTTGATGGTTCCTCTTTTGGTCTTGGAGAAATAACAAATTCTGGCTCAAAACTTGACTGTCTTGTGGGAATGGTATTTGAGGAACTACCTGTGGTGAAACATCGTTCTGAGGAAGTGTCATTATTTGCTGTAAGCTCATCATTTTCATCAAGACTTGCCAAGAGTTCTTCATCAGAAGGACCTAATGCAGGATCTAGAACATCTGTAACTCTGGGAATGTTTTCGTTAGAATTGTTTGGTATGACTGAAACTACAAGATCAGGTTCCCCTATTAATCTTGCAAGTACTTTTTCTTGGGCATATTCTTCTAAAAGAGCATCTACTTCACCTCCTAACACTTTCACGTTTTCTGGTTTCAATAAGAGAACACCAAGACGGAAAGATATATTTCCATAAATCAAAATTTTTGTACCTGGAGGAAGATCACTATGAAGAATTGGAATAGGCTGATATTCCATTCCCTGTATTTGTACGATTCCATCAGTTAGCTGCAGCATCAACATTCGTGAAGGCTTTGCTTCCCAAGGTTTTGGGGTTACTTGTGCTTCAGCTGTAACTAGATCATTTGTTGTATTCTTTCCTCTCAACTTCTGTATCTGGGAGTATGCAGGCTGACTTACATCAACCAAGGAATTAATCTGCAGAGCATAAAATCCATTTAATTCTCCTTTTGGAATTTCTAAAATGCCATCGGGTAAAAGAGGATGCTCCAAATCCCTCAGATCAGTAAGGAGCCACTGCTCAAACACTTGTTTATTCATTTGGGCCTGACTCAAGTTAACATTATTATTTTCTTCTTGAATCCAGTTAATACAAGCTTCCAGCCACATCGGAGGTACTTTAACATGCCATGCAGCTAAAAGCCAAGTTTCAGCTCTTAATGCAATACTAGTCACATTCATTTCTTTTAAATAAAAGAAATAATATGCATCTATTACCTGAAAACAAAAAACAAAAAAATTTAGATAATTCAGTATATTTGAATACAGCTTCTGTAATTCTCTACAATGCACAGACAGGCACACCCTTTAGATTTTTCACTCTTCAGCATCTTACATGGTCGAAATTGAAACACTACACATAATCAGATGGTAAAATGAGAAAATCAAAAGGTTTGAGACAGCTATACCTAGGTTTGAAAGCTGGCTCTGTCAAGTTACAAGATATGTGACCTAATATAAAATTCTCAACTTCTGTAACCAGTTTTTTCATCTATAAAATGTCAACACTACCATCTATCTTATAGGATTGTTAACAGGATCACATGAATTATATTTGTAAAGCATAATGTCAGACCTATAAAGGATATTCAGTAAACAGTAGTTACATTAGCCTCCCTTATCTATGGGGAATATGCTCCAATACCCCCAGTGGATGTCTGAAACTCTAAATATTATCAAACTTAATATATATTATTTTTTTAAATCCGATGACCAACCAGCTACTAAGTGACTAAAGGGTGGGTAGCATAAACAGCATAGATATGCTGGACAAAGGGATGATCCAAGTCCAGGGTATGATTTCATCACACTATTCGGAACAGCACTAAATTTAAAACTTATGAATTATTTCTGGAATTTTCTGCTAAATATTTTCAGACCTTGGTTGACTGCAGATAACTGAAACCACAGAAAGCAAAACCACGGAGAAAGGGAGACTACTGTATAATATATTATAATTGATCTAATAATCACATTCTAATCATTTAAAATTTAGTTAAGAAACAATGTTCACTAATGTTCTTTATGTATGTGCAATAGTTCTAATTTAACTCTATTAAAACATACCACTGTGTCTGTCCATTTAGTACTTGAATATGTGGTCTAAAGATAAAATTATAACAAATAACAGCAGACTCTGAGCTGATAGATGTAAAGCATCTTATTTGTTGGGCTAAATATTTTCAAAAGTCTGGCCAGGCAAATATATAAATATTTAACTTCTGATTTTCTCAGTATGATAAAGCAGTAGCAAAACAGTAAAGCCCAATCAATCATGTGTTCACAAAAGTATACTTTGTTCCTTCTACAGATGAAGATATTTATGAAGTAGAATATATTAAAGTTTTACTATGTCCATAAGAAAACTTACCACGAGGAACAGCAGCACAGGATTTGATGACAGAATTTGGAACTGGTTGTTAGTGGATTACTTGAAACCTCCACTGCTCAGAAATGGCCCTGGGAGATAAGACAAAAAGCAGTAAGAGTTATAAGATGAAGTTGTAGAAAGACAGGACTATTTTCTTAAGTGCAAGAGTTTGATGGTATGGTTCATGGGGATCAGAAACAAGAGACCATGAGAAAGTTACACATTCTCTCTAAGCCTGTTTCCTTTTCTATATACTTACCTCATAGGCTTACTGTGAAAATTAAAGAAGATAGGAGGTATAGTATTTGATGTTAAGAGTACATCTCTGGTGCTAGACTATATCATAAACTCTTACTTATAACCTCTGACTCTAAACAAGTTACTCAACTTCATGATATCCTACTTATCCTTATCTGATTTGTAAAACAAGAATAACAGGATTTTCCTCAGGCTTGTTATGAAGATTAGATTAATATGAAAAAAGCAGCACCTGGCACACAGCGAGAACTCAGTAAATGTATACTATTATTAGACTTACAGTGCCTACTACAGCAACTGGCAAAAAGCAGCCACTCAAAAACTATACTTATTGTTATTTTATTTTTTTTTATTTTATTTTATTCTATTCTATTTTATTCTATTTTATTTTACTTTTTTGAGACAGAGTCTTGCTCTGTCGCCCAGGGTGGACTGCAGTGGCGCAATCTCGGCTCACTGCAACCTCTGCCTCCCAGGTTCAATCGATTCTCCTGCCTCAGCATCCCCAGTAGCTGGGACTACAGGTGTGTGCCACCACACCTGGCTACTTTTTGTATTTTTAGTAGAGACAGGGTTTCGCCATGTTGGCCAGGCTGGTCTCAAATTCCTGACCTCAAGTGATCTGCCCACCTCAGCCTCCCAAAGTCCTGGGATTACAGGTGTGAGCAATCGCGCCCAGCCATTATTTTAGACTGAATGACCAATTCCTACATTGGATAAGTTCTACACTGCTCTGAAATTACTGAAATGAGACTTTTTTGTAGGTTCTCAAGAAAATAATATATACCTACCTGAGATTTTAGGGGTTTAAACCCTGAAAATGCTAATACAGCTCACCTTAAGCTACTGCTATAACAAAACTATTTTACATTGCATCCCCAAAAACAGCTGAAAGAAATGCAGCACATGTCTGAGAAATGGAAGGAACTAAAACTTCAGTTTATTATTGATTCTAATGCTAGCAGTTGAACATCTTTTCATATTTCTCAGTGACATGGATTCCTTATCACTGCCTCTAAACAATTTCTCCTCTTTTGTTCTGTACTTCTGTCCTAGCACATAGTAAATGTATGTAAGTGCTTGCTACCATTAAAAATTTTTAAATGTCCCATAAAAGAAGACATAGAAGCATATAGTTCTCAGGAACCTATAAACAGTGGGTACATTATTAATTTAATTTAATGGATGATTAGAATTTAAAGGACATGGGGAAGTTAAGGTCATAATTATAGAACTGATTAATCTTTATATTAAAGAAAATGAGAGTATAAACATTTTTTAAACTATATGTAAAAAACAATGTAAAAATTCAAAAGTACAAAAAGTCTTTACTTGTTGTGATGAAGATAAACTATGCAGGTCAAATGAGCAGGTCTCTTTAACAAAGAAACCAAATCTCCACGCCAGCTCTCTGATTTACCAAATGGAAATACTTCCTATCTTGGCTGGGCATGGTAGCTCACGCCTGTAAACCCAGCATTCTGGGAGGCCAAGGTGGGAGGATCACTTGAGCCCAGGAGTTCAAGACCAGCCTGGGCAACAAAGCAAGATCCCATCTTTAAATTTTTTTTTTTAATTAGCCTGAGCATGGTGGTGCATGCCCGTAGTCCCAGCTACTAGGGAGACTGAGGTGGGAGGACTGCTTGAGCCCAGAGGTCGAAGCTACCATGAGCTATGACTGCACCACTGTACTCCACCTGGGCGACAGAGCAAGACCCTGTCTCTCAGAAAAAAAAAAAAATACTCCCTATCTTATTAAGAAAAGCAAAGTATAGGTGATATGGTTTGGGTCTGTGGCCCCACCCAAATCCCCAGTGTTGGAGGTAAGACCTGGTAGGAGGTGACTGAATCATGGTGATGGATTTCCCCCTCAGTGCTGCTCTCATGATAGTAAGTGCTCCTGAGATCTGGTTGTTTAAAAATGTGTGTGGCACAGACGAGGAGAAGAAGCCCCTATGCCAGTTTTCCATGTGACACCCTCCTCCCAGTGGGTGCGGAGCCCTCCTCACTCCTCTCTGACCCGCCCTGTTACACAGCCCACCAGGGTCCAGGGAGGCATTTGTTCTTGCTTTAAGTCAGGAGTAACAAATAATTTCTTTCTTTTTTTTTTTCAATTAAGGGAAAAAAAGGGCCAGGCACAGTAGCTCGTACCTGTAATCCCAGCACTTTGGGAGGCCAAGGTGGAAGGATCACCTGAGGTCGAGAGTTCGAGACCAGCCTGACCAACATGGAGAAACCCCATCTCTACTAAAAATACAAAATTAGCTGGGTGTGGTGGCGCATGCCTGTAATCCCAGCTACTCAGGAGGCTGAGGCAGGAGAATTGCCTGAACTTGGGAGGCAGAGGTTGTGGTGAGCTGAGGTTGCGCCATTGCACTCCAGCCTGGGCAACAAGAGCGAAACCCTATCTCAAAAAAAAAAAAAAAAAAAAGGGGGGGGTGTTGGACTTACCTCTACCTTTAAAACCACCCAGAGCCCTGCCAAAAAAAAAAGGGGGGGGGAATCCACCTCTATCTTTAAAACCACCCAGAGCCCTGCATCCCGCCCCATGTCCTATGTTGTTGCTAATGACAATATGATGTTTACTCTGTTATTCAAAAACTATTTTTATGTAATTAATGTATGCTTTGTTTATAAATGCCTGATTAAAAAAAAAAAGTGTGTGGCACCTTCTCCCTCTCTGCCCTCCCCCTGCTCTGGCCACATAAGATGCACCTGCTTTGCCTTCACTTTCACCATGATTTTAAGTTTCCTGAGGCCTCCCCAGCCTGCTCCTGTACAGCCTGCAGAACCATAAGCCAATTTAAACCTCTTTTCTTTATAAATTACCCAGTCTCAGGTATTTCTTTACAGCAGAACAAGAACGAACTAATCTAATAGGATATATAGTATGCTAACTTTTGTATACAAAACAAAGGAAAATAAGCACATTATTACTTAATAAACATAAAGTACCTCTAGATGGATATACAAGAAACTAGACAAAAATTTAAATATTTAGCTACACTCAATAACAAGAGTAAGATCTTCGTGGGTCAGGAACAGATGGCAAACTTAAGAGTGGTTAAGTGGGCACTAAAGCCGTGCAGCCCCCAGGAAAAGGGCACTTAGCTAAAAACAGTGTAGCTAAAGATACAAAGCTCCAGAAATCCAGCATGCCATGGATGGGACAGAAGACCAGAAACAGACTCCTTGCTGGAACTGGGCCAAAAAAAGTTCCACCCAACACCTACATGTGGCGGGAACAGAGTTACCCTGAGAATAGACACTGGGCCTGCATAACACATATAACACACGTAGTGTGGTCCAGAACTGGGCTATTCACTAAGTAAAAACCCAAATTCCTAATGAAACAGCTGACCTAGAGCTATGTCAGCCAGAGGGACAGGTGGAGTAAACTCTAAAGCCACACAAAAAGGGTAAAACACACACAGGAAAAAACAATCCAACGTGAGCCTGCAAGCCAAAATTATAATACACTTTAGGAAAATTACTACCAATCAGCAGACAGAGCAAATAGAATTTACACCTGAAGACAGTTTTTTAAATGAAACATCTTAATTTTTTTTTTATCTCTTTGAGCATACTAAATATACTTAAGTGGGACTAACATCCTAAAAGAAGAATAGAAGATAATTAAATGATCACGGGCATTTATAAAAAGAATCTACTGCAAATCTTGGAAACAGAAAATGGTCTCTAAAATTAAAATCAATAGATGGGATAAACATCCAGCTAACAACAAATGAGGAGATAACTTATGCATTAGAAATTACCTAGAACACGGTATAAAGAAAGATTAAGATATTACCTGCTGGGCGCAGTGGCTCACGCCTGTAATCCCAGCACTCTGGGAGGCCGAGGTGGGTGGATCACCTGAGGTCAGGAGTTCAAGAACAGCCTGACCAATATGGTGAAACCCCGTCTCTACCAAAAATACAAAAATTAGCCGGGCGTGGTGGCATGTGCCTGTAGTCCCAGCTACTTGGGAGGCTGAGACAGAAGAATTGCTTGAACCCGGGAGGCGGAGGTTGCAGTGATCTGAGATCGTGCTATTGCACTCTAGCCTGCGCAACAGAGTGAGACTCTTGTCTCAATTAAAAAAAAAAAAAAAAGATATTACACAATGAGGAAAAAAGAACTAAGAAGTAGGGAACATAGTTCCAACAGTGAAATAATTGCAATTTCAGAAAGAAAAAATAGAAGAGGTGAAGGAAATGTTTTTTAAAAAGTAATGGTTGAGGCCGGGGCAGTGGCTCATGCCTGTAATGCCAGCATTTTGGGAGGCCAAGGCAGGTGGATCATGAGGTCAGGAGTTCAAGACCACCCTGGCCAACAATGGTGAAACCCCATCTCTACTCGAAATACAAAAATCAGCTGGGCATGGTTGCACGCACCTGTAATCCCAGCTACTCGGGAGGCTTAGGCAGGAGAATGGCTTGAATCTGGGAGGCGGAGGTTGTGGTGAGCCGAGATCTCGCCACTGCACTCCAGCCTGGGTGATACAGTGAGACTTCATCTCAAAATAAATAAATAAATAATGGTTGAAATTTTTCCAAGATATTATTTTCTAGGTTGAAAAAACTCTCTACTGCTAATCAGTATTTTTTTAATCTACACTTATACACAGTAACATGGCAAAATACAAAACATTAAGGATAAAGAAAAGTATCAGAAGACCTAACAAGCTGGATGTAAAATATAAGATAACAAAAATGTGGGAGCTAGACGTGGTGGTTCATGTCTGTAATCACAACACTTGGGAGGCCGAGATGGGCAGAACGCTTGAGCTCAGGAGTTCAAGACCAGCTTGGGCAACATGACAAAACCCCATCTCTACAAAACATACAAAAATCAGCCAGGTGTGATGTCACCTTCTGGTGGTCCCAGCTACTTGGGAGGCTGAGGTGGGAGGATCACTTGATCCCAGGAAGTATCTGGTCAATCTTTGACAATGGTGCCAAGACTCCACAATGGAAAAACGATACTCTCTTCAGCAAATGGTGTTGAGAAAACTGGACATGCCCATGTAAAAGATTAAAGATGGACGTTATCTCACACCATATACAAAAATTAACTCAAAATGGATTACAGGTCTAAAGGTAGCACCTGAAACTATAAAATTCCTAGAAGTAAACATAGGGAAAAAGCTTCATGACATTGAAATGGGCTATGATTTCTTGGATATGACACCAAAAGTACAGGTAACAAAAGCAAAAATAGACAAATGGGACTACATCAAACTGAAAAACTTCTGTGCACCAAAGGACACAATCAACAGAGTAAAAAGACAATTTATGGAATGGGAGAAAATATTTGCAAACCACATATCAGATAAGGTGTTATTACCCAGAATATGTAAAGAACTTCTCAACTTGATAATTAACAACAAAAAATAATCCAATTTGAAAATGGGCAAAGAGCTTGAATAGACATTTCTCCAAAGATATACAATGAGCTGATAACAGTGGCTCACACTTGTAATCCCAGCACTTTGGGAGGCGGAGGCAGGTGGATCACTTGAGCCCAAGAGTTCAAGACCAGCCTGAACAACATGGCGAAACCCCATCTCTACAAAAAAAAAAAAAAAAAATTAGCCGGGCATGGTGGCGCACGCCTGTAGTCCCAGCTACTCATGAGGCTGAGGTGAGAGGACTGCTTGAAGTCAAGGCTGCAGCAAGCCGTAAGTGTGCGACTGCACTCCAGTCTGGGCGACAAAGCAAGACCCTATCTTAAAAAATAATAATAATAATAATAAAAAGATATACAATGGTCAATAAGCATATGAAAAGATGCTCAACATCACTAATCATAAAAGAAATACAAATCAAAACCACAATGAGATCTCATCCTCATACCTGTTAGAAGTGCCAATATCAAAAAACCAGAAAATAACAAGTATTGGAGAGG
Organism: Homo sapiens; assembly: GCF_000001405.40. Classification (NCBI taxonomy): domain Eukaryota; kingdom Metazoa; phylum Chordata; class Mammalia; order Primates; family Hominidae; genus Homo; species Homo sapiens. Next base: position 83,993,629 of record NC_000009.12, on the reverse strand, counting down.
ATGTGGGAAAATTGAAACCCCTGTGCACTGTTAATATTATTATAAAATGGTGAAGCTACTATGGAAAACAGTATAGAGCGTCCTCAAAAAATTAAAACTAGAACTACCACATTATCCCACTTCTAGGTGTATATCCAAATGAACTGAAAACAGGATCTTGAAGAGATATCTCACAATCCACGTTTGTTGCAGCATTGCTCACATTAACGATACAGAAACAATCGAAATGTCCACTGATAGAAGGATACACAAAACATAACATATACATACCATGGAATGTTCAGTATTATAAAAGAAGTAAATCCTATCATATGCCACAACATAAATTAACCTTGAGGACATTATGCTAAGTAAAATAAGCCAATCACAAAAGGACAAATACTGCATGATTCCACTTACATGAGGTACCTAATATAATCAAGCACACAGAAATGGAAAGTAGAATGGTGTTTGTCAAGTGTTGTGGGGAGGGAGAAATGGGTAGTTTCAGTAATGCAAGATGAAAAAGTTATAGATAACTGTTGCACAACAATATGCACATAAGTAACAATGCCATAAATTGTATTCAAAATTTGTTAAGAGTGTAATTTTTTTTTTTTAGGCTACTCAAGTAAAGCACTGGAAATGGAGAAGGAATAAAGAAATCTATAATTGGTTGTGATCAATTAGTTGTAAACATCACTGCAATCAGACCAGTAGGTAAATTTATTTGATGTGCTTTTCACTACAATTTTAAAAAGAGAAAAAGATGGAAGAGAGAAAAAAGGAATAATAAAAGTACCCCTATTTGCCAATGACATGAATATTGATGAAGAAAATGCTAAAGAATCTACAAAAAAGCTCTATCACCTGAGTTAGCAAGATATAAGGCCAATATATAGCACAAAAGTCAATTTTACTTTTATATAATTGATCTTCATTCACAGATTCCTTATTTGCCTACTCACTAAAATTTATTTGTAATCCCAAAATCAATATTTACTGCACTCTCGTGGTCATTCATGAACATGTGCAGAGCAGTGAAAAACCTGAGTCACCCAACATGCACATTCCCAGCTGAGGTCAAAGTGATATTGTGCCTTTTTGGTTCAGGTCTCATACAATAAACAAGTCTCCTTTTAGTGCTCTACTTAGTGCCATGTTTTTATGCTTTTTTTTTTTTCCAGTAGTTTTGATGTTTAAAATGGATCCCTGGCACAGTGCTCAAGTGCTACCTAGTGTACCTAAGCACAAGAAAGCTGTGATCTGTCTTGTGGAGAAAATATGTATTTTAGATAAGCTTATTCAGGCATGAGTTACAGCACTGTTGGCTGTGTAAGTTCAATGTTAATGATTCAATGATATATATTAAATGAGGTGTCTTTAAACCTTCAAATAAGGTTGCCAACTGCACAAGCAACGGACAAAACAGTGTATTTTATAATAGCACCTAAAAGGCAAACACTATGCTGAAAACTATAAATTACAGATTAAAGAAATTAAAAACAACCTAAGCAAATGGAGAGATATGGATGTGTTCATGGATTAGAAGAGTTTACCTGGTTAAGGTTTTAGTTCTCCCCAAATTCATCTATAGATTCAATGCAATTCCATTCAAATCCCCAGCAATCTTTTTATAAAAAATAACAAACTGATTCTAAAATTTATATGGAACGGCAAAGGAACTAGAATTGCCAAGACAATTTTGAAAAAGAAAAACAAAGTTGGAGGATTCACACTATATAACATCGACACTTCATATAAAACTACAATAATCAACAGTGAGATGCTGACAAAAGGATTAACATACTGGAAAATAGGAAGAAAGGACAGTCTACAAATAGACACACATATATATGATCAATTGATTTTCCACAAAGTTGTAGAAGTAATTCAACAAATAAAAATTACCTCAAAATGGATCACAGAGCCAAGTGTAAAAACTAAAACTACAAAATATGTATAAGAAAAGTTTGCAGAAAAAATCTTTGTGACCTTGGTTTCCTAAAAGTTTTCCTAGAAAAATGACACCAGGCTGGACGTGGTGGCTCATGCCTATAATCCTAGCACTTTGGGAGGCCAAGGTGGGAGCATCACCTGAGGACAAAAGTTCAGGAGCAACCTGGGCAACATAGCAAGACCCCATTTCTACAAAAAATTTTTAAAACAAACTGGGGTATGGTGGCATACATTTGTAGTCCCAGCAACTTGGGAGGCTAAAATGGAAGGATTCCTTGAGCCCAGGAGGTTGAGGCTGTAGTCAGCCATGTTTGTGCCACTGCACCCTACCCTGGACACAAAGTGAGAACCTGTCTCTAAAAAATATTAGTTAAAAAAAAAAAAAGAAAAATGACATCAAAAGCATGATCCATGATGCATAAAAGAAAGAAATTTAAAACGTCTGTTCTATGAAAGACACTGTTAGGAATATAAAAAGACAAGACACACACACATGCATATTAGTCTAAAAGAAACATCTAATTGACAAGAGAAATATCCTGAATATCCAAAGAATTTTTAAAATTCAGTAAGAAAACAAATATCGTCCAGGCGCAGTAGCTCAGGCCTATATTCCCAACACTTTGGGAGGCTGAGGCGGGTGGATCACCTGAGGTCGGGAGTTCGAGACCAGCCTGACCAACGTGGAGAAACCCCGTCTCTACTAAAAATACAAAATCAGTTGGGCATGGTGGGACACGCCTGTAATCCCAGCTACTCTGGAGGCTGAGGCAAGATAATTTCTTGAACCCAGGAGGCGGGGGTTGTGGTGAGCCAAGATCGTACCATTGCACTCCAGCCTGGGCAACAAGAGCAAAACTCCGTCTCAAAAAAATAAATAAATAAATAAAAAGAAAGAAAGAAAGAAAACAAATATTAAAATGAGCAAAATACTTTTTATTGATACATAATAACCTACATATATATGGAGTACACATGATATTCCGATACATACATACAGTGTGTAATGATCAAATCAGGGTAATTAGGATATCTATCACTTCACACATTTATCATTTCTTTCTGTAGAGAACATTCCAAACCTTCTCTTCTATTTTGAAATAATAAATTATTGTTAACTATAGCCACAATGCAGTGCTATCAAACACTAGAACTTATTCCAATTGTTTTTTTTTTTTTTTAAGACAGCATTCTAGCTCTGTCGCCCAGGCTGGAGTGCAGCGGCGCTATCTCGACTCACGGCAACCTCCGCCTCCTGACTTCAAGCGATTCTCCTGCCTCAGCCTCCCAAGTAGCTGGGACTAGTCACGTACCACCACGCATGGCTAATTTTTGTATTTTTAGTAGAGACAGGGTTTCACTATGTTGGCCAGGCTGGTCTCGAACTCCTGACCTCGTGATCCGCCCACCTCAGCCTCCCATGCTGGGATTACAGGCATGAGCCACTGCGCCCGGCCTCTAACTGTATTTTTACACCCATTGACCAATCTGTCTTCCTACCCTTTGCCCCCCTACCCTTCCCAGCCTCTGGTAACCATTGTTCTACTCTCTACCTTCCCGAGATCAACTTTTTTTAAATCCCAAGAGTGAGAACATGCAACATGTCCGTGCTTGGCTTATTTCACTGAACATAATGTTCTCCAGTTACATCCATGTTGCTGGAAATGACAGGATATCATTCTTTTTTATGGCTGAATAATATTCCGTGTATATATACATTTTCTTTATCCATTCGTCTGCTGATGGATTCAGGTTTTTCCGTATCTTGGAAACTGTAAATAGTACTGTAATAAACGCTGGAATGCAGATCTCTCTTCAATACATTGATTTCCTTTCTTTTAGTTTATACTTTGTGGTGAAATTGCTGGATCATATGGCAGATCTATTTTGATTTTTTTGAGGAACCTCCATACTGTTTTTTACAGAGGCTACACTAATTTATATTCCCAATAAAACTGTCCTACCATTCCCCTTTCTCTTTATCCTCACAAGAATCTTTTTTATTTTATTTTATTTTTTTTTTTGTCTTTTTGATAGCCATTTTAACTGGGGTGAGACGATATCTCATTGTGGTTTTGATTTGCATTTCCCTGATTCACGATGTCGAATATTTTTTCATGTACCTGTTGGCCACCTGTACATCTTCTTTTGTGAAATGTCTATTCAGATCATTTGCCCATTTTAAAAATCAGATTATTTGGCTTTTTGCCATTGTTTCAGCTCCTTATATATTCTTGTTATTAATCCCTCGTCAGATGGATATTTTGCAAATGTTTTCTCTGATTCAATAAGTTGTCTCTTTACTCTGTTGGTTATTTCCTTTGCTGTACAGAAGCTTTTTAGCTTAATATAATACCATCTATTTTTGCTTTTATTGCCTGTGCTTTTAAGTTTTTACCTCAAAAAAATCTTTGCCCAGAACAATGTCCTGAAGCATTTCCACAATGTTTTTGCCTAGTAGTTTCACAGTTTCAGGTCTTACATTTAAGTATTTAATCCACAAAATAAGAAAGAGATTTGAAAGGATACTTCAGTCCAGGCATAGTGGCTCACACCTATAAGCCTGGCACTTTGGGAGACCAAGGCAGGAGGATCACTTGAGCCCAGGAAATAAAGACCAGCCTGGACAACATACTGAGATCTTGTCTCTACAAAAATATAAACAAAATTAGGTGGGCATGGTGGCATGTGCCTGTGGTCTCAACTACTCAGGAGGTTGAGATGGGAGGATCACTTGAGCCTGGGAGGTCAAGGCAGCAGTGAGCCAAGGTCACACCACTGCATTCAGCCTGGGTAACAGAGCAAGACCCTGTCTCAACAAAAAAACAAACAGAAGGCTAAAAGAAAAACGATATGGAAACTTCACCAAAGAAAATATGCAGATGGCAAATAAACACAGGAAAACAGTTCAATATTATTAGACATCAGGGAAATGCAAAATTAAAATCAAAGGTGATATCACTACACATGTAAAATAAAAAATAACTGACAATACCAAGTACTAGAATTCTCATTGCTAGTGAGAATGCAAAATGGCACAGCCACCGTGGAAAAGAATTTGGCAGGTTTCTACAAAGGAAAACAGTTGGGCAAGGTGCAGTGGCTCATGCCTGTAATCCCAGCACTTTGAGAGGCTGAGGAGGGCAGATTGCTCGAGCCTGAGAGTTCAATACCTGCCTGAGCAACACAGCAAAACTCTGTCTCTACCAAAAATGCAAAAATTAGCCAGACATTGTGGTGCATGCCTGTAGTCCCAGCTACTCAGAAGCCTGAGGGAGGAGGATCACCTGAGCCTAGGAGGACAAGGCTGCAGTGAGATGTGATCATGCCTCTGCTCTCCAGCTTGGGCGATAGAGCAAGACCCTGTTTCAAAACAAAACAAAAGGAAAACAGTTTAGCATTTTCTTAGAAATCAAAACATATACTTACCATACAACCCAGCAATGCAACTGCAAGGTATTTACTCAAGAGAGTAAATAATTTTGACATCCATTAAAATCCTGTATGTGGCCAGGTGTGGTGGCACACACCTGTAATCCCAGCACTTGGGGAAACTGAGGTGGGAGGGTCACTTGAGGCCAGGAGTTCAAAACCAGCCTGGGCAATATCTCTATCTCTCTATCTGTTACAAAAAATTAAAAAACTGAGTGTGGTGGCACATGCCTGTAGTCCTAGCTACCCAGGAGGCAGAGGTAGGAGGATCACTTGAGCCCAGGAGGTTGAGGCTGCAGTGAGCCGTGTTTGCACTACTGCACTCCAGCCTGAGTGACAGACTGAGACTCTGTCTCAAAAAAAAAACCCACCCACATGTCCTTCATTTGGTGAACGGATAAACAAACTGTGATAATATCCATACAATGGAATACTATTTAATAATAAAAATAAATTATGGACACAAGGAATAATATGCATGAATGTCAAATTCAGTATGGTAAGTAAAGGAATAATTCCATTTATATGACATTCTGGAAAAATGCAACACTATACAAACAGAAAACAGTTCAGTGGTTGCCAAAGGCCAGAAATGTGGAAAGAGGTTGACTACAAGGGGCAAAAGAAAATTTTTGGGGTGATGGAATTGTTCTATAACATGACGATGGTGGTGGTTGGTGGTTACATGACTGTTATCTGTTTATCAAAACTCAGAACTATACTCCAAAAAATATGAATTTTACTGAAGGTAAATTATACTCCAATTAAAAAACTGAAGGTAAACACCAAAAGAATAGAAATGTAACAACTAACTTTCAAACTAGCTGAGGAAAATATAAAGAAAACAATCTAAAAGAAGGCACAAAAGGAGCAGAAAAGTGATAAAAATAGAAACAATAAGAAGGCAGGCCGGACGCGGTGGCTCACGCCTGTAACCCTAGCACTTTGGGAGGCCGAGGCGGGTGGATCATCTGAGGTCAGGAGTGTGAGTCAACATGGTGAAACCCCATCTCTACTAAACATACAAAAATTAGCTGGGCGTGGTGGCACGTGCTTGTAATTCCAGCTACTCAGGAGGCTGAGGCAGAAAATCGCTTGAATCCAGGAGGCAGAGGTTGCAGTGAGCCAAGGGTTTCCCACTGCACTCCAGCATGGGTGACAGAGTGAGACTCCATCGGAAAGCGAAGGGAAGGGGAGGGGAGGGGAGGGAAGGAACCCAGCCATGGCTCTTAGTTGCACCAATTCAATAAGGTTCCTATTTCCTCCAGTAAAATTTAAATAACACAGTGCTGGCAAATGGACCTAGTATAATTTTCAAAGGTGTTGTAAAAATGTGATGACAGACATTAGATTAAGTAAACTGAAATGAGGACAAAGTGTACTTTCAGTTGACTTTGAAACTTCAAAAGAAATGAATCAGTAAGAAAAGAAGACTGATTGGTTATGAACTGAAAAGGTCAAGGCTGGACAGAAAATAAACAAGAATGAATTTCAGAGATATTAATCCTATATTTCCCAGCAGGTACAGATGTATAAACAGAGAAGTGAAGACTTTGCTGAAAATAAATTAAAACCTATTTTGTAAGACTTAAAATTTTTTTAAAGATATCAATAAAAAATGTACTTCTACATCTACAATGTTATCTAAACCTCAAAACAGTAATTTTTTGATAGAAAGAGTATTCTCATCTATTTTTGACAATGATGAAACTGAGGCATGAAGATTAAGGCATACATATCATACCCAACAGCAGACCCAGAACTAGAACATAAATTCTGCTAATCTCCATTCTTTTACCTTTTTCTGTCAACTTAAGTGGAAAGAGGAAGTAAAACCAGTCCCTCAATTCATCTATAAAACCCACTTATGTATAAAATCCACATATAAACGGCCATTCTATAAGAGTGGTTTGCTGCTACTATAATGAACAGAATTCTCAGATCTCACGTAAATAACAAGCCCATCTAATGCATTCTAAATTGTTTCATTTACAAAATCAAATGAAAGAAAAACTTAAAAATATCACCTACACCTACTATATTTATCTTTGTGATAGCTTCGACATAGTGCTGCGGTTAAGTACTACTTTTCCTTTTGCTATAACCCTACTAACATAGCACATAAAATAATTTTTACATTTTTTGAATATTACAAACTGATATTCTAAGGCTTATGTATCAGTTTATTTTTTAATTTTTTTTTAATTCCAAACTTGCTCTTCCTGGTATATGCTATTGTTTTGGTGGGTTTTTTTTGGAGTCTTGCTCTGTCGCCCAGGCTGGAGTGCGGTGGTGCAATCTCGCCTCACTGCAAACTCAGCCTGCCGGGTTCCTGCCATTCTCCTGCCTCAGCCTCCCAAGTAGCTGGGACTACAGGCTCCTGCCACCATGCCCGGCTAATTTTTTTGTATTTTTAGTAGAGACGGGGTTTCCCCGTGTTAGCCAGGATGGTCTTGATCTCCTGACCTCGTGATCCACCCGCCTCGGCCTCCCAAAGTGCTGGGATTACAGGCGTGAGCCACCGCGCCCGGCCGTATGTGCTACTGAACACCGCAAGTGGCAAAACTCCTTTCAGCCAAGAGTTGGGATGAATTCTGAAAAACACTGCTCAGTGAACCCCAACAACTAAACTGTTCCATTAAATGTGTCAGTCCTAATTAATAACTCTAAGAACCACTCTCAACTTCTGAAGCTGACATACTATGAATTTACAGTAATGTTATCATAACTGGGCAAAGAAAAAAATTCCATTGACTAAACACCCAAAAGATAACCAAGACACCTGTAAAACACAAGCAAATGTGATAAGAGATACTTAACACTGTACAAGCATTCCAATACAACTATTCTCAAATATTTTACCAAAAAGTCAAGAACTTTAGGGGAAATAAAATAACTGCTAACATACATCTGTTACACAGATTTCATCACTTAACAACAAAGTAGAAAGTAGGATTGATCTAGGATACAGATATAATTCCTACAACTGCATGTCTTAATTATAATAAAAAGATGATGTGTAATAGGTTATTTTTCCTACAGATTAGAAAGAGAAGCTTATTAAAATGTTTAATCAAATGGAAAAATATTATGTAAGATCTATATTATAAAGTTTAGACTGGATATTAATAATTGAGACCTTTAATAATTTGGTAAATTATATTAATGGCATCTAGTCCTTCAGATAATTCCTAAGGTTTTCATCCCTTCTTTGCTTAGGAAATTGGGTAACCATAGTCACAAGCAGGTAGAAGCAGCTCAGAGGCAGAGGTTAGCAAGGGCAGCACAAATTCCCATGTGCAAAGAACAGCTCCTGATCCTAAAGAACTCCACTGTCCAAGAAAATAATAATAAATTTGGAAAACTGTCTTTTAAATTATACAGTAAGATATGTTCGGGCTGGGTGCGGTGGCTCACAGCTGTAATTCCAGCACTTTGGGAGGCTGAGGCAGGTGGATCACCTGAGGTCAGGAGTTCAAGACCAGCCTGACCAACATGGAGAAGCCCGTCTCTACTAAAAATACAAAAAAATTAGCTGAGCCTGGTGGCGCATGCCTGTAATCCCAGCTACTAGGGAGGCTGAGACAGAAGAATCGTTTGAACCAAGGAGGCAGAGGTTGCAGTGAGCCGAGATTGTGCCATTGCACTACAGCCTGGGCAACAAGAACGAAACTTTGTCTCAAAAGAAAAGAAAAAAAGATGTTCAAAACTGGTAATCCCAGCACTTTGGTAGGCCAAGGCGGGTGGATCACCTGAGGTCAGGAGATCCAGACCAGCCTGACCAACATGGAGAAACCCCATCTCTACTAAAAATACAAAAAAATTAGCCGAGCTTGGTAGCACATGCCTGTAATCCCAGCTACTCGGGAGGCTGAGGCAGGAGAATCGTTTGAACCCAGGAAGCAGAGGTTGCAGTGAGCCGAGATTGCGCCACTGCACTCCAGCATAGGCAACAAGAACGAAACTCAGTCTCAAAAAAAAAAAAAAGGTATGTTCATACCATATTATCCACTTCTTTTACTTTCCAGAATTAAGGACATAATCATAAATAAGGACAAAGAAAAGCCATATATTTAAGGAGATAATATCCCCGGTACTGTGATTTGATCTTTACAAATTAAGTGAATATATTAAATTATCACATATACCCCAAAACTATGTACATCTTTTATGCATCAATAAGTAACAAAATAAATAAAGACAAAGATTTATGTGGCAGAGAGTTTACCACTGAGTTTTTATATTTTGAAAAAAACAAAATGTTCAAAATGGGAAAAAAAGTTAAATACATAGCACTACCACCATGAAATGAAAAGCTATGAAATCTTTAAAGAAACCATTTTTAAGAATTATTTAATGACAAAGAAATACATTCACATTTTGTTGGGAAAAAGAACACATATAAAATTACATACAGCTTAATCCCCATTAATTTTATAATCAGGAAAAAACATTTTTAAGAAAGCTGATTAGCATTGTATGAATGATAAACTTGGCTGACCACACTAATCTGCATTCTAGATCTGTACTGCCAGGAACTGAACAAAAGAAAATAAAGTGGGAAAATTTTATCACCTACCACGAAGGTCTAGGCATATTTGATTTACAGATTAATTTTCAGTCAGCCTCATATATTCCAATTTTTTTTTAATAAAAAGCGAGGCAGGAGTGTCATCCTTTTGGACCTTACGTGTGTCATTCTGACAATAGCTGAGACTTAAAAGCACTAACGAATATTTAAATCTACTCCACAGTTCCATTATCTTCATCTAAACAATAAAGGTAAGTCTACATTTTAATTCATTGAGGATGAGTTCAAGGTAATCCTGGAATTTTTGAGAAGATACTCCGAAAATTAGGGAGGAAAAATTTATACCGTATATGACTGAAATTAGAAGAAGTAATCAGAGGAGATTTTTATGGATCCTCCATAACCTAAAGTAAGGAAAAGACAGAAAGAGAATCTGGAACCCCATTTTGCTATGTGACCTTGGATATGTTCCTTAGCTTCTCTTAGTGCTAGTTCATTCGTTCACAAAACAAAGATAACTAACAACTTGCTCAAAGAACTCTAAAAAGTATTAAACTGCCAGCACAACGTTTAGCACACAGTGGGGAACTCAGGAAATAGTAGTTATAAATACTATTTTAAACAATAATGCAGCTGGATAGTGTACATTCTCAATTATATTAGCCCATCTAAAGTAAATCCCCCATCTAAGTAATATTGGGTCTAAATTCACTGAGTCCAAAGTGATCACTACACCATTACACCATTGTACCAATTACACAAGACTGGAGTCAATGAATGTATTGTTAAGTTCTTGAATGAACACAGGTATAAAATTATTGGGTTGAAAAGTCTTAATTTCAAACAGAGAATAAAAGGATGGAGAAAAAAGACTTTCCTGTTATTTAAAGAGCAAACCTAAAAATTAAAAAGACGTAAAGAAGAAATCAAATGGGGGGAAAAATAGCAACCATCCCACAATGGCATCTAGAGGGGATGAATAATTTACACCAGTCGGGGTCCAGTCTGGACAATGAAACTGGGAGGAAGAGGTTTTTTTTTTTGTTTTTGTTTTTGTTTTTGAGACAGGGTCTCGCTCTGTCGCCCAGGCTGGAGTGCAGTGGCGCGATCTCGGCTCACTGCAAGATCAGCCTTCCGGGTTCACGCCATTCTCCTGCCTCGGCCTCCTGAGTAGCTGGGACTACAGGCTCCTGCAACCACACCCGGCTAATTTTTTTTTTTGTCTTTTTAGTAGAGACGGGGTTTCACAATGTTAGCCAGGATGGTCTCGATCTCCTGACCTTGTGGTCCGCCCGCCTCGGCCTCCCAAAGTGCTGGGATTACAGGCGTGAGCCACCGTGCCCGGCCGGAAGAGGTTCTTATATAGGGCTGCTTACTTGTGATTCCCACTCATCATTCCTTATCAAGAAAATGATGACTGCAACATAAATCCTAATTTGAAAGAAAGCACAGCATCATCATTACCGTACCGCTATTTGTGCATATTAGTGTCAGTGACATGTCTCAGGTTTTAAATGACAAACTCAATTAAATGTTGCAAATACTAACTGGCGGATTAAATCTCTATAATCCAAGTATCCTAAGCCCCTACATAAACTCATCAGTTTTGAATATTTAATAAAATTCTGAACTTTGTGTTTTAGAACTGAAATGCGAGTTAAGTTTTACCTACCCAACAAGACTATACACTCTTCATGGTGGGGACCATTTAAAAAATTATATTATCACTTAAAGAGAACTTTTATAAATTCCACAATCCCGGACATTATGTTCTAACAGCATGTGTTAACGTATCCTCCCAGAATGTAAATACTGGTGTTTGTCATGAAATCCTCAGTGCGCCCTAACAAGAGTTTTCCTCTAATCAGTCAAGTAAAAGATGCTGGGTGGATGCAATCATGGCCATTTAAAAGAATGCTGGTATATATGTTTTGCAAATTACCCAAGAAGGAAACATTATAACAGGAATGAATCAGCACAAATTCATCAACACTAAAATATATGCATGTATTCGGCCAATGGTGGATTTCGCTTTATGTGCAGATTATGACACCTTTATGCTTCAAAATGAGTTTGGGATTGTGGGCGGAGGCTGGAAGGTTGACGAGTAAGGATGTGGAAAGCGGGTACTACCAGGGCTGGAGATTTCCCAGGGCTGTCACCGATTGAAAGTGACCTTATGTGCCTTAACAAAGGAAGTCATGAAAGCTTGGCACAGGAGCCTTAAAAGTAAGGAACCGAATACAATGCAAGTGTGCGCTGAACCCGCTAGAACAGGAGCACGTTTGAGGGCAAGGGTTTTTGTCTGTTTTCATCACTGCCACAAGGCAGGCGCTTTGAATGGAACGTGGAGGTCTGCAACGTATTCAGCGATACGCATTCATTTTAGGAGACAAGGGCAATACATATTGCCTAAAAATTTTATCGGAATAAACTACAGCGACGACACTACAAAATACTTCCATCTCAGGTCCCATTACCCAAGAGGAAAGTCTCAGAACCGAGAGCCCTGTGAAACCGCCTGTGCCCTCTCGGCGAGAAGTTCTCCAGTACTCCCAGGCTCGCCCCGCGTTTCCCCGGCTCCCGCCCCGGCGCAAGGCAGGCCGAGAACCGCCAGCTGCGCCCCCGGGCCCGGCCTTGACTGACGGGCGCCCCGGACCATTACAAACAACGGGTTTCCGAAGCGTGGGCCCGGCCCAGCGGACGCAGACGGCCCGCACTTACCGCGCCGCAGCTCGTCCCACAGCCCACAGACCACAGCCCGGGGCGGGGTAAGGGGCTTCGGGCACGAGTGTGGGCTGTGAAAACACGGGCATAAGTCTGGGCCGAGCACCGACCTGGGCGTCCCGCATTTTCCTCGCGCAACATCGGTCCCTGGGCAGCGCAACTGTAAGGACAGGAACCGCCGCGGCGCGCTCCCAGTTCCTTTTTTACCTCTTCCCGCCCGATTTGCCGCGCGCTCGCGCCCCTCCTCCAACCCCAAAGGACTCCTTCGGGGCTGGAAAACGCCCCTTCCCCGCCCCCTCCCTGTGCGCGTGAACTAGGCAGTTGTTAGATCTCGCGAGAGGTTCGCCCCCTAGCCGCCCCTCCCCCCAGCTAGTGAGTGCGCGAACGAGAAAGGAGGAGGGCGCTCCAGGCGACAGCACTGCAGACGCCATTATCCTCTGTTTCTCTGCTGCACCGACCTCGACGTCTTGCCTGTGTCCCACTTGTTCGCGGCCTATAGGTAATTGGAGTTATTGGAGCTTGGGTATTGCTGATTCGGGTAAGGGTTGGGGCTCCCTGAAAGGCTGCGTTTACTTTTCCCAAGCCCGGGTTTTCTCGAGCCCTTAGTGGCCTCCCAGCCCGAAGGGAGGCGCTGGCGGGAGGCGGGGTTGTCGCCTCCTCCGTCGCCTTGATTGACGTGGCCTCGGGCCAATCGCTTCGCCCTCGCACCATCGCTGAAGCCCTGGCAGCCAATAGGGCGCGACGGCGGGGAGGACGCGAGAAGGCGGGGGAGGGGAGCCTGCGCTCGTTTTCTGTCTAGCTCCGACCGGCTGAGGCGGCGCGGCAGCGGAGGGACGGCAGTCTCGCGCGGTGAGGAGCCGGGTTGGGGGAGCGGCTCGTGGAGGTGAGGGTCGGAGCCCAGTTTTTCCGCTTGAGGGAGGCGTCCTGGGAGCCGCTTTGGTGTTTGGCCGCTTCTCCGAGTGGGAACGTTGCCCGGTGTCCCCTCCCCCACCTCCGCCATTTCCCTGAGCGTGTATCCGCAGTCCGCGTTGTGGTCCTAGAGACTTGGGGATTCGTGAGGCATGTGCCTCTAGGATGAGCTGGAGCTATGTGGCACTGGGAACTAGGGACCTCGTGGAGGAAAGGAGGCCGGTGCGGGGAGAAGGTCGCGCCGCCGCTCTCTTTGTGTGAGCCCCGCCTCACCTTGGGTCTCCCGGCCCGGGGTCGGAGCTGGAGCGGCGGGGATGGAACGGTCAGGGCTGCCTCGATGGCTTTGTCTCGGGCAGTGGGGGGAGGATGCGGGGGATGAGACCTCGGGACCGCGTGGTGGGTGGGGGAGGGGGTCGGCGCTCGGCTCCGCCTAGTAGCACGTAGTCGCCATTACGCGGGCCGCCATTTCCTGTCGGATCCGGGTGAGGAGAGGTGCGGTGCTTCTGCTGTCGACTTTCGCTTTTTCCCGTCCTGTTACCCGGCTGTTTTTGATCTCGGTGCCGGGAGGCGGGGAGGGGAGGGCGCGTTGGCGCTCGGCCAGTGGAGCACATACTTAGCGGATTTTTGAGGCCTGGGGACTAGTGACTGCAGGACCCGAAGGGTGAACGGCAAGCGGCAACGTTATTCTTACAGATAAGCCCTGCTGTTTTTGCTTAAACTTTCTTATCCAACTCTTCTCCCACCACACCTCAGAAATTGCGTGCTGGGCCGGAAGGATGTCGTTTCAGTTGTCGTTAGGAGAGCAATAAGTCGACCAACGGTATGGGAGAATGGGAGGCATAAATGTGCCTCGCTTGTTGGCTCTTTGCTGTCTAGCCAACCTTCTAGTAGAGGCCGCTTGTCAACTCCTAGTCCCGACAAGAGGGAAGCTTAAAAAGGCTGTTTGTAGTCCTATCGACCGTTTTGGCACGTAGACACTTTAGTTTTCGTGTTACAGGCATGATTGTTGTGTTGTACTCCCTTAAGCCTAATTTAAAATAATCCGCTAGTGACTGTTAGTTTTCAAGGGCTCCATTTGTTTCGCTGATTAATAATAGACTGGTATTGTGGTAGTTTGGGTCTGGTCCTATATTAGATTTTTGGATTTATCCCTCCGGTAGATTGTTCTGGTTGTTGGATGTGTTCGCAATTGCCGTTGTATTTGTAAACTTTAGAGATGTCACATAAGATCGCTTCAAGCATGAGTCGAAAGAAATAGGAAAGCAATTGGAAGTTTTAATATAAAATTAGTTTTCCCAGTGAATAAGATGCATTGTAACTTTTCATAAATGTATGCTTTGTGGATGACATTTATCTTTTCAGGGTTTTGGGAATGTGCCGTATAAAACAATTCATTGCTGTGGTGGGACTTAATCCAGTGGCTAAAAGTTATTGTTCTAACTTAGCAAAAAATGAAACCAGGCTCCCTTGAATTTTGTATTTTTTAGGCAGTCATTTGAATTGTGAAACCCTAAAATGAAGAATCAAGTTTTAGAAACAGCTGGTTTTTTGGGTTCAAATCAGTATTCACTGTGATCGGAAACAAATATTCAGTAATAAGAATAAACAAAAGCAAAACTGATTTGTGTTGGTTCTTATAGGCTACTGCAGCACTGGGGTGTCAGTTGTTGGTCCGACCCAGAACGCTTCAGTTCTGCTCTGCAAGGATATATAATAACTGGTACGTTCTAGAAGCAATGTCTTTTTTTTTTTTTTTTTTTTACAGCTTGCTTTCCAATAAGCCAAATGTACTAGCTGCTTTATTTTTCCACAGATTGGTGTGCCCGTTTAATAAAAGAATATGGAAACTGAACAGCCAGAAGAAACCTTCCCTAACACTGAAACCAATGGTGAATTTGGTGAGAAGAAATTTTAGTTTTAACAGTATTTTTTTATCCTGTTAATAAATTGCCTTTTTCTGTTAATTATTGCCTTAGGAGTGTGTGGTGAATTTTTGGTATTACTGTTTATGTAATTCTGCGATTATCAGTAGTTACATCTTAGCTTTTATTTATGAAGTAGAAGTAACTGATTTGCATATAAAGAATTTTTCTTGCATTTTGGGATTTCAAATCCTTTGAAGTATTTTGTGGCAGTATTTTGTGTTTGGTGCATTTTACTAGATGGAAGCATAACGTTCAAGTCTGTAGCAATGCCTTTGGTCTTTTCAAAACATGCCTAAGATTAGCAACAAGTCTCTTGAAACAGAATGGAGTTACTTTGGAGACTTCGCTGCTTTCTTTGAAATGTGAACTGTTAATTTTTAGGTAAACGCCCTGCAGAAGATATGGAAGAGGAACAAGCATTTAAAAGATCTAGAAACACTGATGAGATGGTTGAATTACGCATTCTGCTTCAGAGCAAGGTATAAATTTTATTCTTGAAAATTTGAAGGTGGTTCATACTCAGGTAGAAATTAAGGTCTGGTTTGGCTTTCTAGAAAGTCAAAGTTTTACAGATTGAAGAATATAAAACATTTGGTTCTTTCTAAACAGACTTGAAGGCTCTGGTGGTTTTCTTATTCCACTAACAGTTAAGATTAAAGCCCTTGCTGTAGTGAACCGCCACTACAGGTCAAACTAGGAGGAGAGTGTGATTCTTAAAGTGTTAATAGATTAAATCTTAATTATGTGTGGACTCCTTAGGAAACTGCTTGGTTGGCAGTTTATTGTTTGATCACAGGTCACAATATGAAGGTACCTACTAATACTAAATTAATTGACTTATTTTACCAAAGGGTGCTATAAAATCTGTGCTTAGTTTTATTTTATACTTGGTGTTATTTCTGACATTGAGTACTCCAAACTATCTAGTCCTCACAGCACTTAGAATTATATTTTGATTTTTGGTTTGGTTTTGGCCTGGTCGTTTTTACAACCCCAAATAGATTTTTATTCTTATAACAAACAGGTTAGAGGATTTTTTAGCAAAATCTAAGAGCGTAGGTAGCTATTAATTTTAGGGAAAGGCAAAATAATTTTTTGTCTTTGTATCTTCTCCAGAATGCTGGGGCAGTGATTGGAAAAGGAGGCAAGAATATTAAGGCTCTCCGTACAGACGTAAGTATTAAGAGTTTAAACTACTACACGAGCAGCTTCAGTTTATATGTCTATAGAAATTTAAAGATTTACATCCTAGAAATCATTTCATAGTTTAGCTACAAAGACATTTGTAATAATTTATTATTACAGAATTGATTTCGAAGTTATCCATTCCTGTTTTAACAAAAGCCCAGATTGAGCAGGGTGGGGGGGTGGTTTCTTTCAAACCTCTTCACATTTTAATAAGAGTCCACCAAATTATTCACTTCATCAAGCAAGATAACATCTTAATTAGAAATAGCGACAAAGTGTAAAAATCCTTGATTGCACCATTTCCTGTGTGTGAATCAATTACAGTATTACTGAAAACCATTGCAGGTGGCTGGTTAAATCCAGAAAAATTTTTTTGTTTTCTTTGGGAAGAAAAATGTCCATCTGTTCTTTAACAGCTTGCACATGGAGCACAAAGAATTTAATGTTGAGGTTGCATGATTTAAATATGGGTAAAGAATAGAGTAGGCACTTAATCTTATAATTGGGAAACTGTTCGTCAATGCCTATGATTTGTTTGAGTCTTCATTTTACAGTGGGTTGACTCTTGTGATTAGACACATTAAATGTTGGCAGTGCCAGAAGTGAGCACATTTATAGGACTTGGCTACACCAAAATTTCTAAATTTTTTTTCTCATAGTGTACACATTTCTTAATGTTTTTCTTGCTAAAAATGAGGCAAATAACTTTGTGTCGAGTACTTATTTGACAGTATTTCATTTCTCTCTTGGTCGCAGATCTTTGTATGTTCCTCTTGATTACTGTAAACTGAACTTGAAAATTTGTTTAAAATTTTACAAACTTGCCTGTTAGGATCTAGGAATGCATTTCAAAACCTCCAGAAAACCAAACCAGTCTTATTAGTTAGGGTTTTTGGTGGTGTGGGAATTTTTGTTTTGTCTTTTATAAACCTCTCTCCTCTTAATCCAGATGTTCTGTATAATTATCTGGGTTATTAATTTCCCCATTTCCTCAAGAATTTCAGTAAACTTTGAGTCAGGTTTTGTGTCTACCCTCATGAGCCAGCCTGCTACTGAAACATCGTTTGTTTTTCTTAAAAAATAAAAAAGGCTAGAACCATCATTTGAGGTCCTTAATGTTAAGCCACAGTCAGATTTAGAGAAGTCCATTATTGTGTTAGTCTTCAGAACAACTTAAGCTTGTTTCATTGAGAGTATGAGTATAGTTTGTATTAAATTAAAATTTATTGCTTTTCCCCCTTTTCCCTCTCCTTGTTTTTTTGGCCATATATCTCCGTTGCCCATGTACTGGATCGACTTACCCCTGCGTTGCCCACCATGACGTTGGCCCATCCGCCCCTGAACGCCCATGTGAAAACCCTGGTTGGCTATGCCCAAAAATGTGCTCGTTGCCAAACGGGTACCATACTTGACAACTTCTGATTGAATGCCCATGCCCAATGCCAACATCCACGAACGCCAATGACCAATGCAGTACAATGCCAGTGTTTCAGTCCCAGACAGCAGTGGCCCCGAGCGGTATGTCCCAACAGTTTATGCCTCACTGCCTGATTAGAAAGAGAGAAATGTATTTTATTACCTGCCTTTTATATAATTAAATAGTATCCCCTTTAGACGGTGTATTGTTTTTCAAGTTTCTGTCTTATTTTCCCCATTAAGTCTTTTTGTCACTGAACTTTTACCGTGAGTTGCCCACCCAAACGATCCACTAATTTTATTTCGATGGAAGGAGCACAGCTTCAAGTGTTGCATATTTGCCGCATTGTAAATCAAATTGTTACCAAAATAGTCTCTCGCTCTGTCTTTGTGGCCCACCTTGCTTCCCAACATTGCCTGTTCATAATTTTTTCTGATGAAATGCTAACTCTGGTTCACTTTCCTTCACTTCTCATTTGTGTTGTCTTTGTTTTGTCTTGCATTTGTATTTGTTTTCTTGCAGAGCCCATTAGTGATCTAATTTCTAACTGGTATTCATAACCTTACTCCAGATACAATGTTCACCACTTGCATATTCCCCCACTTTGCCTAAGAGAAGGTGTGCCAGTTTTACCAATGTAACAGCAAGGGTATCCTTAACTCAGTGGTGGCGGGGAACATAAATATTCAACTCTGCTTCAGTTCTGGTCAGTTTATTGCCCACTTAATCTGAGCCCTTCCAAAAGCCCATTCTCTCTGTCTCTCTGCAAGTCTCCTAATATTGTTATCATGTCTGTATTGGGTATAAAACAAAATGCATGTGAGAAATCTATAAATAGGCTACTTTAAATGGGGAATATTAAATAATCATGTGTTACATCTCTGTGAAAGTTTGTATGATTTGGTGACAAACACAAAACTCATTTTTCTTTTCCACCTTTTTTGTACTATCTGGTATTTGTGGTGTTTGACAGCATATTGAGTATCAGTGCTGATATTGAAACAATTGGAGAAATTCTGAAGAAAATCATCCCTACCTTGGAAGAGGTAGGCTCATTTTTTTTTAAATGTATTTGACAATATGAGGGGGGAATGTTTAAAGTATGTTGTATTGGGGTATGATGGGGGAGGTGGAGAGACAATGGATATGACAGTTTGTAGCAGTATCTTAACCTGCTACATAATTTTGTACATGCGTAATTTGTTTTTTTTTTTTTAAAAAAAAAAACAGGCTGGCCACTCCTGGAGTAAATGTGAACTTAACCTGTGGTCATGTGCTTTCATGGGTTTAGTATGTATTTTATGGGCTTTAGTTATCAGAAAGATTTTTAAAATTAGAATATTTGTGGGAACATGTTGAAAAGGAGAATTAGTTAGATTTAGTTAGGATTTTAAGACTCTACATAATTCACTAGGTGTATATAGAGAAAAATATTTTATGTTTTGAATCGTCTTAATGTTGAATAAAGCAGTTTCTCATTATTTAATAATATAGATTTAAAATATGTTGTAGTAGCTTTACCAATATATGCGACAATAGCCTGATCACGCTAGACACTTAACCTATTACTCTTATTTTTCTACTTTCAGGGCCTGCAGTTGCCATCACCCACTGCAACCAGCCAGCTCCCGCTCGAATCTGATGCTGTGGAATGCTTAAATGTATGTCATAGTGCCATTGAACCCCACTGAAGTATGGAGCCTGGCCCATAGGATCGATTATATTTTTAACATAGTGTGCTTTTCCCATCTCTATAGAAAAAGGCTTAAAAACATGATACATGAATGGTCTTACAACTCACTGTTGACCCTGCTCCATGCTGCAGTGGGAATTAACTACATTTGCAAAGTGCTTTGCAGTCATTTTTATTATGGTGTTATTTGAATGTTAATAATAATTTTGTGGTAACAGCGACATGCTAAATGGCTGCAGTGTGGGTATGGTGTTGCAGGACCTGAAAATAAAATAGTTTTTTAAGGTGGTGCAGAATGTCCTTTTTGGGCCTGGCTATTGAGGATAATAAGCACATAACTGGTAAAGTTATTGAAATATAAATTCAGGTTGCTCACTGCAACAGTATATTATTGTTATGCTTATAGCAGATAAGTGTGTATTGGGGAATTGTTGATTTGAGACTAAAATTTTATAATTCTCCCTCCACAGTACCAACACTATAAAGGAAGTGACTTTGACTGCGAGTTGAGGCTGTTGATTCATCAGAGTCTAGCAGGAGGAATTATTGGGGTCAAAGGTGCTAAAATCAAAGAACTTCGAGAGGTAAAAAAAAAAAAATTCTGCCGTATTCTTTGCTGGAAAGTAAATTTTCATATAGACTTGTTTCTGTGAGCTTCTCTCGCTTCCCCTCTCAGTTCCCTCCAAAGATTGCTTATCGCAAATGACAAAAAATGTCTGGCACTGCTAGACATGTTATTTTGTCAAAATTTTTATACCATTGCAAAGCCCTGTGATAATTAATGAAGTTTTTATATTGTGGGGGGTTAATTGTTGAATTCAAATGCAATTTTCACTGAACCTAGGAAAGCTAATTTTCTTCTAATTATTATTATTTTTTTTTATGATCTTACTACAGAACACTCAAACCACCATCAAGCTTTTCCAGGAATGCTGTCCTCATTCCACTGACAGAGTTGTTCTTATTGGAGGAAAACCCGATAGGGTTGTAGAGTGCATAAAGATCATCCTTGATCTTATATCTGAGGTACTTCAGAACACTTTTTGTTTACATTTGATTTTATGAAACAAAGTGATAACCTTCTGCAAAAGTAGCTTCAGAGCATTTAGTCTAATAGTCTTTATTTGCCCTTTCCCTAGCAATTTTCTATCACCTGGCTTCAGCCATCACTTTAATTTAAAAATGGTTTTGAAAAAGTGGAGAGTGGTAATTTGTTGGTGGTATTTCTATAGCCTTTGAGCCTTTGAATGAATTTCCTATAGTGTTGCTTGTGTCTTTGTAACTATGCTGCAGGGCTTCCTATCTCAGGTGCCTCAGTATGGATTACAGGCTTGCCAAGACTGATCTCTTCAGCCCTTGTTGTGAAATGTGCATTGTAGTTTGTCATGTGTAAAATGGGAGGGCTTTGTGGTTTCTTACGATCTAAGTGTAAGAGCAAGCTATTACTTCTCCCTGTATAGGCAATAGAACTCACTTTTGTTTAGCATTTGCCAAAAGTATTGGATTTCTTTGGAATCTTTACTTTGCTACTTTTAGCGTTGACATAATTCCTGTTTCTGTCTCTAGTACCTCCTGATGGGGGAATGACTTACATTTTGTTTGATGATGATGTTAGAAGGATTGGTATGAAGCAGGACTCTTTTTCTTCAGTCTGTAAGTTTGTTCCATCTCTGTTTTTAGTCTCCCATCAAAGGACGTGCACAGCCTTATGATCCCAATTTTTACGATGAAACCTATGATTATGGTGGTTTTACAATGATGTTTGATGACCGTCGCGGACGCCCAGTGGGATTTCCCATGCGGGGAAGAGGTGGTTTTGACAGAATGCCTCCTGGTCGGGGTGGGCGTCCCATGCCTCCATCTAGAAGAGATTATGATGATATGAGCCCTCGTCGAGGACCACCTCCCCCTCCTCCCGGACGAGGCGGCCGGGGTGGTAGCAGAGCTCGGAATCTTCCTCTTCCTCCACCACCACCACCTAGAGGGGGGTAAGTTGTTTTTTTTGTTGTTGTTGTTTTTTCTTCCCCCATCTATGAATTATTAACCTGCAAGAGGCTGCACTTAGTGGTAGACAAGGTAGACTTTGATTTGATATGTGTGGCATGTAAGCACGTTTAGATTACAACAAGTACTATGCTTGCAGAGACCTCATGGCCTATGACAGAAGAGGGAGACCTGGAGACCGTTACGACGGCATGGTAAGAACTTTGGTTTATTACCAGTGTGTTGGGTATGTGAGGGTTGTCACAATGTAGTTCACGTTTTGTTGAAGGTTATAGTGATTAAAAAGTTTTTCTTACAAGTAAATTTTGTTTGGATTACTAGTTAAATAATTCTGTTATTTGCTGCTGGAGGATTACGACTTTATTGAGCTTTGTTCCCCTCGATTACAAAATTGCTGCCTATATATGTACCCTCTTTTGTTTTAATGTAACATGCAAATTAGGCATATTAAAAACAGCTCTATAACAAAATACAATGCGGGTTCATGTTAATGTTTTTATCTCTAACAGGTTGGTTTCAGTGCTGATGAAACTTGGGACTCTGCAATAGATACATGGAGCCCATCAGAATGGCAGATGGCTTATGAACCACAGGTTGAGTATCATAGTTGTTCGTGTGTATATCAGTGATAATTTAAGATGCTTACCTGCTCTCCAGTAAGTTTTTTATTCCCCTGAGGATACTTACTGAAAATAGGATACAGGAGGACTTTGGTTTCCTGAAGAGGGATTTTATGAGATTAAAATACTTGAATAGTGAAGCTGGGTGCAGTGGTGCTCACTCATAATCCCAACTACAAAAGAGTCTGAGGCAGGAGGATCACTTGAGCCCGAGAGTTTGAGACCAGCCTGGGCAACATAGCAAGACTCCATTTTATTAAATGAATTTTTTTAAAGTACCGGTAGTAATTACAACGGCAAAGTAATTTTCTATTTTTTTCTTTCTGTTTTTAGGGTGGCTCCGGATATGGTAAGTTCTCTCCTTTGTGAAGTCAAACATTAATTTCATACTTTTTAAATGAACTTACTGCTCATTATTTAAATCAGATTATTCCTATGCAGGGGGTCGTGGCTCATATGGTGATCTTGGTGGACCTATTATTACTACACAAGTAACTATTCCCAAAGATGTAAGTATCTTTAATACTACCAGGAACATTTTATCACTTTTATGATTATTCCTCCTTTCTGTATATTTTTTAATTCAGAAGGTTTTAACAAAAATACACATTTAGGATTGAGGTTATGTTAATGGGCTTTAGTGAGCTGGGTTTTCAGCTGTTTGAGTCTTGTCAAGTGATCAGTGCTATTAATAAAAGTAGTTAAGTAGGTTTTGAGCCCTTAACTAACTAAGGGAAACATTAGTAAGTGTGACATAAATACATTATAACTCAAACCTTGACAGGTTTAGGGAGCGTTAGATCATCAGTTAAGATTCTGAATGAATAAAATTAATAACTTCATGCTCCTTGAAAATACAGGTAGTAAATGTTAAAAGTATATCGTAAACACATACTTTTAAAAAATCTTTTCAGTTGGCTGGATCTATTATTGGCAAAGGTGGTCAGCGGATTAAACAAATCCGTCATGAGTCGGGAGCTTCGATCAAAATTGATGAGCCTTTAGAAGGATCCGAAGATCGGATCATTACCATTACAGGAACACAGGACCAGATACAGAATGCACAGTATTTGCTGCAGAACAGGTCAGTTTAAGTTTAGCTTTGTGTTAGCTTATACATACTAAAACCTTTAAAAAGCTTTTCTTCTCAATTGATTTTTTTCTTTTAGAAGCCATGGTGTCTCAACCTTTTGGGGACCTAACTTCTAAACATTCTAATAGTTTGCCTTAATTTTTCTTCTGCTTTCTTACTAAAAATGAAGACATTCAATACTAATCTTGCTGGAAGAAGCCTTAACCAAGCAAACTTCTCATTTCTCTGGTGAAAACTGCTGCCAAAACCACTTGTTAAAAATTGTACAGAGCCTGTAGAAAATATAGAAGATTCATTGGATGTTGGCCTAGTTCTGTGTGGAAGACTAGTGATTTTGTTGTTTTTAGATAACTAAATCGACAACAAATCACAGTCTGCCATATGGCACAGGCCATGCCTCTACAGGACAAATGATTGGTGCTGTAAAATGCAGCATTTCACACCTTACTAGCATTCTTTGTCTTTTCTACCAAATATTAACAACTTTCAATTCCGTTTTCTTAATTCTGTTCTACTAATGTCCGATTTACTACTCATCATTTTTCTTGACACTTAACATTGCTTTAATTTGTAATTGCTAATGGTTTTTGAACTCTTCTAATTGTAATGGACGTGTTTATCATTTTAATTTAGCATTGAAATTGTCTTGATGTTGATTAAGATGTTACGAGCAAAAATTCTAATTCGCACTTTTTTTTCTTTTCTTTTATAGTGTGAAGCAGTATGCAGATGTTGAAGGATTCTAATGCAAGATATTTTTTCTTTTTTATAGTGTGAAGCAGTATTCTGGAAAGTTTTTCTAAGACTAGTGAAGAACTGAAGGAGTCCTGCATCTTTTTTTTTTTATCTGCTTCTGTTTAAAAAGCCAACATTCCTCTGCTTCATAGGTGTTCTGCATTTGAGGTGTAGTGAAATCTTTGCTGTTCACCAGATGTAATGTTTTAGTTCCTTACAAACAGGGTTGGGGGGGGGAAGGGCGTGCAAAAACTAACATTGAAATTTTGAAACAGCAGCAGAGTGAGTGGATTTTATTTTTCGTTATTGTTGGTGGTTTAAAAAATTCCCCCCATGTAATTATTGTGAACACCTTGCTTTGTGGTCACTGTAACATTTGGGGGGTGGGACAGGGAGGAAAAGTAACAATAGTCCACATGTCCCTGGCATCTGTTCAGAGCAGTGTGCAGAATGTAATGCTCTTTTGTAAGAAACGTTTTATGATTTTTAAAATAAATTTAGTGAACCTATTTTTGGTGGTCATTTTTTTTTTAAGACAGTCATTTTAAAATGGTGGCTGAATTTCCCAACCCACCCCCAAACTAAACACTAAGTTTAATTTTCAGCTCCTCTGTTGGACATATAAGTGCATCTCTTGTTGGACATAGGCAAAATAACTTGGCAAACTTAGTTCTGGTGATTTCTTGATGGTTTGGAAGTCTATTGCTGGGAAGAAATTCCATCATACATATTCATGCTTATAATAAGCTGGGGATTTTTTGTTTGTTTTTGCAAATGCTTGCCCCTACTTTTCAACAATTTTCTATGTTAGTTGTGAAGAACTAAGGTGGGGAGCAGTACTACAAGTTGAGTAATGGTATGAGTATATACCAGAATTCTGATTGGCAGCAAGTTTTATTAATCAGAATAACACTTGGTTATGGAAGTGACTAATGCTGAAAAAATTGATTATTTTTATTAGATAATTTCTCACCTATAGACTTAAACTGTCAATTTGCTCTAGTGTCTTATTAGTTAAACTTTGTAAAATATATATATACTTGTTTTTCCATTGTATGCAAATTGAAAGAAAAAGATGTACCATTTCTCTGTTGTATGTTGGATTATGTAGGAAATGTTTGTGTACAATTCAAAAAAAAAAAAGATGAAAAAAGTTCCTGTGGATGTTTTGTGTAGTATCTTGGCATTTGTATTGATAGTTAAAATTCACTTCCAAATAAATAAAACACCCATGATGCTAGATTTGATGTGTGCCCGATTTGAACAAGGGTTGATTGACACCTGTAAAATTTGTTGAAACGTTCCTCTTAAAAGGAAATATAGTAATCTTATGTATTTTTTTGTGTGAAGTGTTTTTCTAGCATTTATAAGTGAAAGCTGGCAGGGGTGGTAGTTGGGCTCATAATTAACGTGGTAATTTAGCAAAATGAGAGCCTAGTCATCCAATTTTTTTTTTCTTATAGTCAGCCAGAGCTTTCCTCATTACCTATGAGAAATTTTGAGTGAGTTACTTGGTTCCTTTCTCTAAAATAGCTTTAGTTTGATGTTTGAGAATATCGGAGATAATGTAAAATAACTGCAGAGTATGGTTCCCGGCTCATATTTCTGAAGTACTACTTATTAACCTCCAGCTGTCCAGAAAGCTTGAAAACTGTTTTTGTTTTGTTTTGTTTTGTTTTTTGAGACAGTGTCTTGCTGTTTTTCCCAGGCTGGAGTGCAGTGGCATAATCTTGGCTCACTGCAACCTCCATCTTCTGGGCACAAGCAATCTTCCTGCCTCAAAACAGATGAACAACTATATAGGAAAGGAGTCATGAATGTAATTATTGAATTTAGGTCAGAGGCTTGTGTATAATAAAAGTAACAGTTGGGCAGTTCTAGAATTCATGTAAGTATTAATAGTATGAACAGAATAATGTCTTTTAAGGGAAGTAGAGTTGAGTGACATTTAGTTTGGGGAGGGACGTAGAGTGATCTTTTGATTAATGAAGAACATGAAGTAAATGTCAAAATATTACTTAAAACTAGTGAATGCTACCTGTGGTATGGTTTCCCCAGTGTGGTTGAGTTGGGGTTGCTCAGGGTGAAATGAGCCCTTACCCCTAAAGAAAAATGACAAGGACACTTTAGTCAAATTGTTAATCCTACTGAAGGAAAGCATCCCTGGAGAGAACACTGGCTTCCAAAGCTTTTATCTGTTACCTGTAAATGAGTTATGTAACACATGGACCATTAGCTGCAAATGTTTTCACTTTTGCATTTTACAATAATTTCAGACCTTAAACACATCATTCTACTGAAGACTTAATGGATTGAAGAATATCTGGTATTGATATCTTTGATATACAGCTTTGGGAGGGAGAGGGGCCTTTTGCATTGCCACTGCTATTGATTGGTAAATGGTATTTAAAATTTGGGTGAGAATTGGGACAGGTTGGGAGAATTTTCACAAAGGGTGGGAGAAGTGAACATAAGCTCTTTAATTAAATGGAATATTGAGACAATTTTGTAAGAAGTTACTGGTGTATAATGCTGACTTAGTTTCAAAAATTTAGCCTAACTTTTTGTAAGTTAATTACCAAAATGCCAACAGACAGAAACCAAGTTGTACTAGTTATCTCAAGAATTTAAAACCTTTCCCTACTATTCAAATTTTGTTTGCCTTTGTTTTATTGTACTGAGACATATAATGTAAAATACTAAATCTGATCTAATAGCAAAGAAAATCAAACCAAACAGCAAAATTTCCTTTTAAAAAACCCTTTCATTAGTTTTAAGGTTTTTTAGTACTCAATTACTACCGTTCCACGTGAATTAGGTAATGAATTGCTTCAGATTGCTGTGATTCGAAGTAAATTTAATTAGCCTCGGTGCAGTGGCTCACACGTGTAACCCCAGCATTTTGGGGGCCAAGGTGGACAGATGGCTTGAGCCCAAGAGTTTGAGACAGCCTGGGCAATATGGTGAAACCCCATCTCTACAAAAAATTAGCCAAGCATGGTGGCGCGTACCTGTAGTCCCAGTTAGGAGGCTTGAGGTGGGAGGATCGCCTGAGCCCGGGAAGTGGAGGCTGCAGTGAACCTTGATGGCACTACTGCACTACAGCCTGGGTGACAGACCCTGTCTCAATCCAGTAAGTTTTTATGTTAAAGAGAACCAAAAAAAGGAGAAGAATTTTTGTTTTTAAAAAGATGGTCTGGCTGTGTCGCCCAGGCTGGAGTGCAGTGGTGCTATCTCGGCTCCTGGCTCAGGCCATCCCCAGAGACCTTCCTATATTTCAGACCGGGGCAAGAGCAGTGGGAGATGATTAATGAGAGAGCAGAAACTCCAGATGGGTTGAAAAGGACGCCAAAAGCACAAAAACAAGGCACTAGCCTCACTTCTAATTTGAAACCCTGCAAAGTGTTCCTATGACCACATGGGATAGAAAGCACAGAAGACCGAGAGATACACAATGTTTGGCACAGAGATGATCTGAGATTACAGACACAAACACCCCACAGAATTTTCCTTTGATTCCCAGATGTCGTAAGAGGGACATCACTTGAGAACCAATGGGACTTGTGATGGGGTCATTATGGTGAAAGATAGGGTTACTGCATAGTAGCAGCTGTAAGATAAAGAGCCCAGCTAGTGGCTGGATACAGATGGCAGAATAGCAAAAGATTTGCAGTACCAGTGAAAGCCAAGGCGAGATAGTCAAGGAGAGACCACTGAATTGAGTGCCAGTTATATTAGCTTTGGCGCACACCTATAATCCCAGCTGCTCAGGAGGCTGAGGCAGGAGAATTGCTTGAATCTGGGAGGCGGAGGTTGCAGTGAGCCGAGATCGTGCCACTGCACTCTAGCCTGGGCAACAAGAGAAAAACTCCGTCTCAAATAAAAAAAGGAAGACCAGTTTTTTCTGCTATCAGTGGGAATGGGAATTTATGAGAAAACTCACAAGGCATATCTAGGAATTTACCCTGGAATTACCAAGAAACAGGAGAGTTAAGACTAATGCAATCAAACCATAAATTCTAGGTGGAGGTGATCTCACTTGGAATGGGCCTTCAGATCATTTATTCATACTTTGTGTCTCAAATTGGTACCAATTCTGTGTATAGTTCAGACTCTGGAACTCGGGATCAGGCTGACACTGCTGAGACTGCATCATGGTTTGACCAATTTTCCCTGCCCTGTGCTCCTTTCCTCATTCTGCTTCAACTGAGAGCACTCTCGAAGTGAATCAATTGCACAAAAATCCCTGGCTTAGGCTCTGCTTCTAGGACTTGATCTAACACAGTTAAGCTGAAGCTAAAGCAGAAATGTACATCACCCACATATCCTGGACTTGATTGTGATGCAGCAAATAATGAGACTGGGTTGTCTCCCTCAGAAGAGGGGGTGAGAAACTTATGAAGAATAACTGCATTATACTAGTATTTCTGAAAGTACATGAGAAAAAAATTCTTGAATGCTGAACAGCTAAAGGGTGAATTATAATGGACATCTTATTAATACCACATCAGTTTCCCCTTTCTAATTGCACACAGTTTTCCTTGAGTTTTTCTCTCTCCATTGTACATAGGCTTGAGGAGAAAGAAATCCTGGTCCTTAACGGGTTATTTTGTCACCCCAGAGGGTGGACATTTGATTTAGGCTTGGCCAACCAGACTCTTTCTCCTGAGATTTTCAATCTTGAGGAGAATGATGCAAGCAAGCTGTAATGCTTATAGGTTTTTTTGGGTTTTTTGTTTGTTTTTTGAGATAGTCTCCCTCTGTCACCCAGGCTGCAGTACAGTGGCATCTCGGCTCACTGCAACCTCCGCCTGCCAGGTTCAAGTGATTTGCCTGCCTCAGCCTCCGGAGTAGCTGGGACTACAGAACTACAGCCACCACACCGAGCTAATTTTTTTTTTTTTTTTTTTTTTTTTTTTGAGACAGAGTCTTGCTCTGTCACCCAGGCTGGAGTGCAGTGCTGTGATCTCTGCTCACTGCAAGCTCCGCCTCCCGGGTTCTCGCCATTCTCCTGCCTCAGCCTCCTGAGTAGCTGGGACTACAGGTGTCCGCCACCACGCCCGGCTAATTTTTTTGTATTTTTAGTAGAGACAGGGTTTCACCATGTAAGCCAGGATGGTCTCCATCTCCTGACCTCGTGATCTGCCCGCTTCGGCTTCCCAAAGTGCTAGGGATTACAGGCGTGAGCCACCGCGCCCCGCCTTTTTTTTTTTTTTTTTTTTTTTTTTTTTTTCAGTAGAGACACGGTTTCACCATGTTGGCCAGGCTGGTCTTTTTTTTTTTTTTTTTTTTTTTTCCTGAGATGGAGTTTCGCTCTTGTTGCCAGGCTGGAGTGCAATGGCGCAATCTTGGTTCACTGCAACCTCTGCCTCTGGGATTCAAGCAATTCTCCTACCTCAGCCTCCCATGTAGCTGGGATTACAGGCAGGCGCCACCACACCCGGCTAATTTTTGTATTTTTAGTACAGACGGGGTTTCACCATGTTGGCCAGGCTGGTCTCAAACTCCTGCCCACCTCGGCCTCCCAAAGTGCTGGGATTACAGGCGTGAGCCACCACACCCAGCACAGACTGGTCTTGAACTCCTAAACTCAGTTAATCTGCCTGCCTTGGCCTCCCAAAGTGCTAGGATTCAGGCATGAGCCACCATGCCCAGCCTATAGTTCATTTTTTAAATAGCACTAATTAGAAGACAACTTTGGGCAGTTTCTGCTCTCAAAACTCTAAAGCTGCCGGTTTTCTGTTTATGAGTCTGGTTACCCAGCCTTCTCTTCCATCGTGTGAGCTTTCTCATAACCTTTCAAAACATTCCTCTCACCGCAAAAATAATAACTGTGAGGTAATGCATTTACTAATTAGCTAGATTTAAACATTCCACAATGCAAGTATACTTCAAAACATCATGTTGTACGTAAGTACATATAATTTTATTTGCCAATTAAATTTTTTTTTTTTTTTTTTGGAGACAGTCTTGCTCTGTCGTCCAGGCTGGAGTGCAGTGGCGCGATACTAGCTCACTGCAACCTCCGTCTCCCAGGTTCAAGTGATTCTCCTGCCTCCGCCTCCTGAGTAGCTGGGACTACAGGCTCGTGCCACCACGCCTGGCTAATTTTTTGTATTTTTAGTAGAGACAGGTTTTCACTGTGTTAGCCAGGATGGTCTCACATCTCCTGACCTCGTGATCCGCCCACCTCGGACTCCCAAAGTGCTGAGATTACAGGCATGAGCTACCGCACCCGGCCTTAAAATTTTTTTTTTTTTAATTTTGCTTAGCCATTCAGTGGCTATTACATGCAGCCCTTCAATTAAAGAGGTTTATCTTATACAGGCAGCATTGCTAATTTAAGGGAGGACAGCAACAAAATAATGGATGACAGCTCTTGCTCCACCTCAGCTGCCACTGCTGCCAACCAGTTTCACTAGACCATAGTTACGCCATGTCTGGGGCTGATCAGTCATTTCCTAGAAAGTGCCAGGCTCTACCTCAAGGTTGAACAGGCAGGACAATGAGTAACATACCTGGGCTCTTTTTTTTTTTTTTTTTTTTTTTTTTTTTGAGATAGGATCTCACTTTGTTGCCCAGGCTGGAGTACAGTGGCAGGATCTCTCCTCACTGCAACCTTTGCCTCCCAGGTTCAAGCCATCCTCCTGCCTCAGCCTCCTGAGTAGCAGGAACTAGAGGCGCGTGCCACCATGCCCAGCTAACTTTTTTAAATTTTTTGTAGAGATGGGGTTTCACCATGTTGCCCAGGCTGGTGTTGAACTGATGGACTCAAGACAATTTGCCAGCCTCGGCCTCCCATAGTGCTGGGATTACAGGTGTTAGCCACCATGCCCAGCCCATACCTAGGGTTTCTGGCTTTTCCTTCACTTTCAGACTTGGATAAAATGCCACACCTCACAGGGATACGACTTCCTGAGTAACCACCAAAGGAGCTGGATGATGCAACCTGGAATTATGGAGGAGTTAACTCCCTGTGGGGCAAACTGTAACCAATGGGAATTTGTTTTCCTTCCTCCCAAAAACTGCCCTGAGGCAGTTTGTCCAGAAAGTTTGTCGAGAGACTTCCCCAAAGACTGTGCCAGCACTCCTACTGAGTGACTAGCTGTGTCTCTCTGAGCTCACCATGAAGCAGTGGCAGGACAATACAGTGTCCCCGTCAATGTCCACACCCAAAGATTGCACCTCATAGATTAAATATCAGCACTTAACCCCTGCCCCAGATTCTGTTTTCAAGGGAATCCAAGTTAAATAATCCTTTGTACCTGTTTATTTTTGTACTGTTTTAAAATAATACTTAGCTCTTCCTCCTAAGTAGGAAATATTAACTTCACTAATTAAAAGCAAAATATGGGCTGGGCACAATGGCTCACGCCTGTAATACCAGCACTTTGGGAGGCCAAGGCGGGCAGATCACGAGTTCAGGAGTTCAAGACCAGTCTGGCCAACATGGTGAAACCCCATCTCTACTAAAAATACAAAAATTAGCTAGGCATGGTGGCACACGTGTGTAATCCCAAGCTACTCAGGAGGCTGAGGCAGGAGAATTGCTTGAACCCAGGAGGTGGAGGTTGCAGTGAGCTGAGATCACGCCACTGCACTGCACTCCAGCCTAGGCGACAGAGTGAGACTCTTTCTCAAAAAAAAAAAAAAAAAAAAGCAAAATATGGTTCAAAAAACTCTAACTGGCTTTGAACTGTAGTAATAATGTTAATGATATATAATGGGAAACAATAGATTTATTCCATTATAATTTAATATTTTAAATCAGAAATTGAAGTAATTAATAGGCATGGTTTTCACAGAAAGATTCCATTCTATCCCTAAGTCATATCCTATAAATAGGAAACATTCCAAACTCAGTAAGGAGAGAGTAGGAAGAGCTTTCAATGACACTAAGAAAACCAGGAAAATATAAATGCCCTGCAAGCCAATGGACAATTTCAAGGAAGTGCTCAATCTTAAATGCTAAATATGGATAAATCAAGAAGAAAAGGAACAGAAAAATTACACTGTAGTGAGCCATATCTCTTTTCTGCTATGGCTTCATGGGGATTCAGTCTGTCATTTTGTGTATATAAAAAGAAATAAAAATAAGAGATGTCTTACCTCCACAAAATCCATTTCACTTCTATGCATAACTCTTTGAGCACATATGGGAAACTATGTCCTCCCACTAGCGATGTCTATTGTCCATCCACTGCTCTAGGCAACTTTTGCAACTTCCTCTGTTGCCCAGGCTGGAGTGCAGTGGCACGAACACAGCTCACTGCAGCCTCGACCTCTTGGGCTCAAGCGATCCTCTTGCCTCAGGCGCCTAAGAAGCTGAGACTATAGGCACATGCCACCACACCTAGATAATTTTTTTTATTGTTTTTTGTACAGACAGGGTCTCACTATGTTGTTGAGGTTGGTCTCAAACCCCTGAGCTCAAATGATCAGCCCGCCTCGGCCTCCCAAAGTGCTGGGATTACAGGCATGAGCCACCACACCTGGCCGACCCTCCATTTCTTTAATGCTATAGCCTATCATAGAAAATAGAAGATATAGCAATAATCATTCCCAAGAGCTTGACATGTAATTTAGCTAATCAAAAATGATGACTCTCTTGATGACTGGAATAATCTAACTTGGATACTGTTCAAGGGGGGGAAAGTTATATGGACACATCATTGATCATGTCTTCCTCCTTTGTTAACCTTTAAAATGCAAGCTTAGAGGTTATTTAGAGGTCATCACTATCTCTTCAAAAGCCTACCCCTGCAAGGCATAGTAGCTCACGCCTGTAATCCCAGCACTTTGTGAGGCCGAGGCAGGCGGATTACTTGAGCCCAGGAGTTCGAAGCCAACCTGGGCAACACAGCAGACCCCATCTCTACAAAAAAATTAAAAATTAGCTGGGTGCAATGGTACATGCCTGTAGTCCCAGCTACTCAGGAGGATCACTTGAGCTGGGGAGGTCAAGGCTGCAGTGAGCTATGACTGCACCACTGCACTCCAGTCTGTGTGACAGAGTAAGACCCTGTTTCAAATAAATAAATAAAGCCTATGCCTACAGGGTACAGCTTCTGCCAAAGATTTATCTATCTCTA
Source organism: Homo sapiens (assembly GCF_000001405.40). Classification (NCBI taxonomy): domain Eukaryota; kingdom Metazoa; phylum Chordata; class Mammalia; order Primates; family Hominidae; genus Homo; species Homo sapiens. The sequence continues at coordinate 83,960,325 of NC_000009.12, read as the reverse complement.
TCAGGAGATAGAGACCATCCTGGCTAACATCGTGAAACCCCCGTCTCTACTAAAAAAATACAAAATATTAGCCGGGCATGGTGGCGGGAGCCTGTAATCCCAGCTACTCGGGAGGCTGAGGCAGGAGAGAATGGCCTGAACCCGGGAGGCGGAGGTTGCAGTGAGTGGAGATCGCGCCATTGCACTCCAGCCTAGGCGACAGAGCGAGACTCCGTCTCAAAAAAAAAAAAAAAAACCAAAGTCGGGTGTGGTGGCTCATGCCTGTAATCCCAGCACTTTGGGAGGCCGAGGTGGGCAGATCATGAGGTCAGGAGATCGAGACCATCCTGGCTAACCGGGCATGGTGGCGGCTGATAGAACCGGGGCGGGGGGGCGGCGGGGGGCTGAGGCAGGAGAATGGCGTGAACCCGGGAGGCGGAGCTTGCAGTGAGCCGAGATCGGGCCACTGCACTCTAGCCTGGGCGACAGAGCGAGACTCCATCTCAAACAAAACAAAACCAAAAAACAAACTCAGGTTGCCATCAAAAGGACTGCAGCAATTCCAGGCCTTACATTCAAGGTCAATCAGGTCCAGAGGGAGCCTGAATCACTTCTGAAAATTCTCCTGGAAGAGTGAGGAAAAGCTTTTCTGCAAGCATTCTGCAAATCTTGCAACTCACTGAGGTGAACTGGGAAATATGCATAAACCTAATCCAGTTGCTGGCAAGAGGGTGATATTACCAGTCCTGACTACCCTTGAGTCTGAGGATGCTAAACTAAGCTACAAGGGAGTGCAGTTGAGAGATGGATTCCTAAACAGTATCACAGTATCTATTGGGAAGGAAAAAGCAGGAAAACCATGTTCAGTAGGTGAAGAACTCACTTTTTTTTTTTTTTTTTTTGAGACAGTGGGTTGCCCAGATTGGAGTGCGGTGGTGCCATTTCAGCTCACTGCAACCTCCGCCTCCCAGGCTCAAGGGATCCTCCCACCTCAGCCTCTGGGAGTAGCTGGGACTACAGGCTCCAGCCACCTGGCTAATGTTTTCTTTTTCTTTTTTTTTTTTTGTAGAGACAGGGTTTTGTCATGTTGCCCAGGATGGTCTCGAATTCCTGGGCTCAAGTGATCCTTGGCCTGCTAAAGTGCTGGGATTACAGGCCTGAGTCACCACGGCCAGCCCAACTCATTTTTGTATTCTCAGCATCTTGTAGACACACTTAAAAAAACAAAAACAAAAATCCCAGACACACACAGTTTTGATTTATCTCAAAGTTGAGTGAAGGAGGCATGTTTTATTCTTGTGTATACTACTTTTAGTGCTTAAATACCTTGAACATAGGCAGGAATTTGACTTTTTGGGTGGGAGGGGGAACGGGGGGGGGTCTCACTTTTTCTCACAGTCTGGAGTGCAGTGGCACAATCTCACCTCACTGGAATCTCTCTGCCTCCTGGGCTCAGACGATCCTCCCACCTCAGCCTCCCTAGTAGCTGGGACCACTGGCGCATGCCACCACACCCACCTAATTTTTTGTGTTTTGGGTAGAGACAGGGTTTCCCCATGTTGCTCAGGCTGGCCTCGAACTCATGCACTCAACTGATCCACCCACCTTGGCCTCCCAAAAAGCTGGGATTACAGGCGTGAGTCACCACATCTGGCCGGCATTTGACTTTTTTCTATCAATAAACCTCAGTGAGAGAAAAGGGTCTAAGTTATTTACCCTTCTGGATTATTTTGCAGATTGCTAGATTTCCTTGCTAAATCAATTTGTCTCCCAAGACTTAGGTGCTGTGGTAGAAAGGAAAAATCCCAAGCCAACAGACTTACATTTCCTTAACAACTGTATTAATGTACTAGTGACTTTTTCTGGAAAACGTATCATAGTGGAGTCCTTAAAGTTCCTTTTTCTTACCAAAATGAAGAAACTGGAGTGATGAAGATCTGCTTTTCTAGGGTAACAGCTGTCAAATTTAAAAGCTCCATTTGGGGCCAGGTGTGGTGGCTCATGCCTGTAATCCCAGCATTTTGGGAGGCCAAGACAGGCGGATCACCTGAGGTCAGGAGTTCGAGATCAGCCTGGCCAACATGGTGAAAACCTGTCCCTACTAAAAATACAAAACTTAGCCGGGCGTGGTGGCGGGCACCTATAATCCCAGCTACTCGGGAGGCTAAGCCAGGAGAATTGCTTGAACCCAGGAGGCGGAGGTTGCAGTGAGCCGAGACTGTGCCACTGCATTCCAGCCTGGATGACAGAGTGAGACTCCGTCTCAAAAAAAAAGCTCCATTTGGGAGGCCGAGGAGGGTGGATTACCTGAGGTCAGGAGTTTGAGACCAGCCTGGCCCACATAGGGAAACCCCATCTCTACTAAAAATACAAAAATTAGTCAGGTGTGGTGGCTGACACCTATAATCCCAGCTACTTGGGAAGCTGAGGCAGGGAGAATCACTTGAACCGGGGAGGTGGAGGTTGCAGTGAGCTGAGATCATGCCACTGCACTCCAGCCTGGGCGACAGGGTGAGATTCTGTCTCAAACAAACAAATTTAAAAGCTCCGAATCCTCCAAAAATACCAAGATTTTCCTGTCGGTAACTAGAGATGGGTACTGATGATTATTTTTAATAGGTGATTTTCAAAGATGTGAACGTTATCCATGGAGATTTAAGTCTCCAAAAGGAAAAAAAATGCATACCTTTATACTAAAACTTCATCACCAGTCAAATTTGGATCATCACTAAATTGGCTTCTACACCTCTCTCCTAATATAAGGTACTTGTGTAAGTTTGCAGTTGTGAGACACTTATTTCCTCATTTTTAATGTCTTCTCAGTAGGGCCACTGATATAGTCACTATTTGACTGACCAGAATGGTTGGCACTGGTGATTGGCTCATAAAGTGCCCTCGATTTAGGGGGCTCAATTATCAAAGGTTTAAATCCTAGCCCAAACCATTGCTGTGATGGGGGTTAATCAATGAACCACTCAGCTTCACTTGCAAAAGCGGGATCACAATAGCCGCTTTCGTCATGACCCAGCCTAGGTGAGATTTAGTACTTAAGTACACTGCCAGGCACACAAGGTTAATTTAACAATTTAACACATTTGTTTCCTCATCCATTTCTCCAAACCTTCCAACTAATCCTAACGTTCGTTCGGCCAAATGGGCCAGGAATTCACTTAAACAAAAACAAAAAACAAAACAAACAAAAAAACACTCCCTGGGGCTTGGGGAAGGAGGCACCGCCGCCCATGTCGCAGTCTGGGGGTGGCTCAGTCCTCAGCACCCAGATCTACGGCCATAATGCTCTTCGAGGCCAAGGAGCCCGGATGCGGGGCGTTGCCGAAGGCGTCTTGCTCAGGCTGCGGGAAAGGAGAGGGGTGGGAGCGGGGTGGGGGCATCGCGACCCAGGGCAAGGCGGCGAGTCGCCGTCTTCGAGTCCCACCTGTCCGAAGCGGGGTGAGAAAAGGCAAAACATGGCAAAGCCATGCACCTCCCAGGGTGGGCAACTCACGGCCGGTGAACGCCGGACCCTTAGCAGTTTCCAGACCTTTGGAACCGGAAGCGGAGCCTGAGAGCGCGCCCGAGAGGGCGTGAACGGGACCGCTTTCCCGGAAGTGCTTGCGGCCTCTGCCCAGCGAGCTGCCCCGGGGTCTCTCTGGTTTCCTAATCAGGGCAACGCCGCGGGAGAGAACCTTTACCTTGGCTGCACTAAGTTCTCGGTGCCACTCCCTGGCAGGGCGGGACCTTGTTTAGGCCCTGTGATCGCGCGGTTCGTAGTAGCGCAAGGCGCAGAGTGGACCTTGACCCGCCTAGGGCGGGAAGAGTTTGGCCCGCCGGGTCCCAAAGGGCAGAATGGACGGGCTCCTAAATCCCAGGGAATCCTCTAAATTCATTGCAGAAAACAGTCGGGATGTGTTTATTGACAGCGGAGGCGTACGGAGGGTGGCAGAGCTGCTGCTGGCCAAGGCGGCGGGGCCAGAGCTGCGCGTGGAGGGGTGGAAAGCCCTTCATGAGCTGAACCCCAGGGCGGCCGACGAGGCCGCGGTCAACTGGGTGTTCGTGACAGACACGCTCAACTTCTCCTTTTGGTCGGAGCAGGACGAGCACAAGTGTGTGGTGAGGTACAGAGGGAAAACATACAGTGGGTACTGGTCCCTGTGCGCCGCCGTCAACAGAGCCCTCGACGAAGGTTGGTGCCATACTTGCCATCGGACCTAACGGCCTTTGAGGTTTCCATTTACTTGGGGTGTGTGTAGGGGAGTTCCAAGGAGCGGGTTGGGAGATGGAATAATGGAAAGCGAACCTGAAGTTCGTTGCAAGTCCTTATGCTTAAAATAGAAGTATGAAAAGGGGCATATTTTAGTGGAAAATGATGTTAATATTTATCATTGCAGCATAAAAGTTACAGTAGCATAAAAGTCAGTTTTATAAAGAATGCCATTTGAATGACACCTGAAGAACAAAAGGACCGATGTTATAAAGCAATTTACTCAGAATACATCTGATGTAATATTGCAATAGTTAGAAATGGGTGAATAAGTACAGATGAACAAGTAGAAAATGAGTTTTGCTTTAGATTTTTTATTCTTCCACTTTTGGTGCATTCCTATACCACTCATTTGGTTTCATATTAATTCCATGTTGTAAAAGCAAGGGTTTAATGCATATGGAAGTATGACATTGGTCCTCTGAATTTTATTTTTTCACTAAAGGGATACCAATAACTAGTGCCTCGTACTACGCGACAGTGACCCTGGATCAGGTTCGGAATATACTTCGTTCTGACACAGACGTTTCCATGCCTTTAGTAGAAGAGAGGCATCGGATTCTCAATGAAACCGGGAAAATTCTGCTGGAGAAGTTTGGAGGCTCTTTTCTCAACTGCGTCCGAGAAAGTGAGAATAGTGCGCAGAAGTTAATGCACCTGGTGGTTGAAAGTTTTCCTTCTTACAGAGATGTGACTCTGTTTGAGGTGAGTTGCTTCTGTTGGGGATTTTAGAAGTCTTAATCATCTCAGAGTTAACTCTTTTACTTCCAGAACTCATTTTAAGAATAAAAACTTAAATTTTTAAATGTATTCCTTGTGGAAGAAACTAACAAAATCAAGTAGTGTTTCAAAGTCATTTCTTATGTTTTCTTTTGTTTGTTTGTTTGAGACAGAGTTTTGCTCTTGTTGCGCAGGCTGGAGTGCAGTGGCGTGATCTTGGCTCACCGCAACCTCTGCCTCCCGGGTTCAAGCGATTCTCCTGCCTCAGCCTCCCGAGTAGCTTGGATTACAGGGATGCGCCACCAAGCCCGGCTAATTTTATGTATTTTTAGTAGAGACGGGGTTTCACTATGTTGGCCAGGCTGGTCTCAAACTCCCGACCTCAGGTAATCTGGTCGCCTCAGCCTCCCAAAGTGTTGTGATTACAGGCGTGAACCACCACGCTGGCGTCATTTCTTTCCTTTTTTTTTTTTTTTTTTTTTTTTTGAGATGGACTCTTACTCTGTCACCCAGGCTAGAGTGCAGTGGCGCGATCTTGGCTCACTGCAAACTCCGCCTCCCGGGTTCAGGTGATTCACCTGCCTCAGTCTCCCGACTAGCTGGGATTACAGGTGCCCGCCACTGCGCTAGGCTAATTTTTGTATTTTTAGTAGAGACGGGGTTTCACCATGTTGGCCAGGCTGGTCTTGAATTCCTGACCTCGTGATCCACCCACCTCGGTCTCCCAAAGTGCTGGGATTACAGGCGTGAGCCACTGTGCCGGGCCTTTTTTTTTTCTTTCCCTGAGATGGAGTCTTGCTCTGACTCCCAGGCTGGAGTGCAGTGGCACTATCTCAGCTCACTGCAACCTCCGCCTCCCGGGTTCAAGCGATTCTCCTGCCTTTGCCTCCTGAGTAGCTGGGACTACAGGCGCATGCCACCACACCTGGCTAAGTTTTTTTGTATTTTTAGTAGAGATGGAGTTTCATCTCATTTCTTATGTTTTCTAATCAATATTTCATTCTTTACTTCCTTTTTTTTCCTTTTAAAATGTTTCAAACCTAAAAAACATGGAACCCTCCATGTAATGTTCTCCTTATGGAAAATTAAGTATTTTTAGTACTTCAAGAAGGTTACTTTATTGGTTGAAGATCAGAATGTATACTAACCTCTCCCTAATAAAAAGTATTTCTGGCCAGACTCGGTGGCTCACTCCTGTAATCCCAGCACTTTGGGAGGCCTAGGTAGGTGGATCAACTGAGGTCAGGAGCTCAAGACCAGCCTAGCAACATGGTGAAACCCCATCTCTACTAAAAATACAAAAATTAGCTGGGTATGGTTGCACGCACCTGTAGTCCCAGCTACTTAGGAGGCTGAGGCAGGAGAATCGCTTGAACCCGAGAGGTGGAGGCTGCAGTGAGCCGAGATTGCACCACTGCACTCCAGCCTAGACGAGACAGAATTAGACTCTATCTCAAAAAAGTATTTCTTGAAAAGTTCAGTGTACTGTATATATATTTTGTGTTTTCTTTTTCATACACAGTGTACTTGAACAAATGATGATCATTTTGTTGGACCCTCACAGGCTGCACCCGGATTTTGTTTTTGTAAAATTCTTTTGGAATCTTTTGAACCTGGGAGGGGGAGGTTGCAGTGAGCCGAGATTACGCCACCGCACTCCAGCCTGGGTGACAGAGCTGGACTCCATCTCAAAAAAATAAAAGAAAAAATAAAAGAAATTGGCTTGGCGTGGTGGCTCACACCTGTAATCCCAGCACTTTGGGGGGCCAAGGCGGGTAGATCACAAGGTCAGGAGTTCAAGACCAGCCTGGCCAACGTGGTGAAACCCCGTCTCTACTAAAAATATAAAAATTAGCCGGGTGTGGTGGTGGGTGCCTGTAATCCCAGCTACTCAGGAGGCTGAGGCAGGAGAACCACTTGAACCCAGGAGCTGAAGGTTGCAGTGAGCTGAGATCATGCCACTGCACTCCAGCCTGGACGACAAGAGCAAGACTCTATCTCAAGAAAAAAAAAAAAAAAGAATTCAATTGTATTAGTGTGTTCTCACACTGCTATAAAGAACTGCATTTCATTTATAGCACAGTGCTTTGGTTTTGCTTTGCTGAAAAGTTCAATTTTTAAAAAATGTACCAGAAAGTGGCAGTATCTTGGCTCACTACAACCTCCACCTCCTGGGTTCAAATGATTCTCCTGCCTCAGTCTCCCAAGTAGCTGGGATTACAGGCATCCGCCACCATGCCCAGCTAATTTTGTATTTTTAGTAGAAACAGGGTTTCACCATGTTGGCCAGGCTGGTCTTGAACTCCTGACCTCAAGTGATCTGCCTACCTCAGCTTCCCAAAGTGCTGGGATTACAGGCTTGAGCCACCATGCCCAGCCAATCTGATACTTTTTTTTTTTTTTTTTGAGACAGAGTCTCACTCTGTCACCCAGGCTGTAGTGCGGTGACACCATCTCTGCTCACTGCAACCTCCGCCTCCCAGGTTCAAGCGGTTCTCTGCCTCCGAGTAGCTGGGATTCCAGGCACCCACTACCACGCACAGCTAATTTTTGTTTTTTTTTTTTTTTTTTCAGACGGAGTCTTGCTCTGTCACCCAGGCTGGAGTGCAGTGGCGCGATCTCAGCTCACTGCAAGCTCCGCCTCCTGGGTTGACGCCATTCTCCTGCCTCAGCCTCCCTCGTAGCTGGGACTACAGGTGCCCGCCACCACGCGCGGCTAATTTTTTTGTATTTTTAGTAGAGACAGGGTTTCACCGTGTTAGCCAGGATGGTCTTGATCTCCTGACCTGGTGATCCGCCCGCCTCAGCCTCAAAAGTGCTGGGATTACAGGCGTGAGCCACCGCACCTGGCCTAATTTTTGTATTTTTAGTAGAGACAGGGTTTCACCATATTGGCCAGGCTGATCTTGAACTCCTGACCCTGTGATCCACCCACCTTGGCCTCCCAAAGTTCTGGGATTACAGGCGTGAGCCACAGCGCCTGACCTAATCTGATACATTTTTAAATGAAAATTGGTACAGAAACCATTTCTCATGAGTACTTGTTTCTAACATACAGTTTTACAGAAAAATCCCCAAAATGGGCCAGGCATGGTGGCTCAAGCCCATAATCCCAACACATTGGGTGGCTGAGGTAAGAGGATTGCTTGAGCCCAGGAGGTCGAGACCAGCCTGGACAACACGTGAGACTCCATTTCTACAAAAAATTTAAAAACTAGCCAGGCGTGGTGGCATGCCTGTGGTTCTAGCTACTCAGGAGGCTGAGGCAGGAGGATCGCTTGAGCCCAGGAGGTGGAGGCTGCAGTGAGCTCTGATAGTTCCACTTTACTCCAGCCTGGAAGAGCAAGACCTTGTCCCCAAAAAAATAAATAAATAAAAATAAACAATTTGCACAAACTAGTCATGTGTTTTTAACGTATACCTATTTACTGAGATTATCATTCATTTTTAGACATGAACAGATTAATAAAGTTAACAATTTTTAATTTAGATAGATTTAGATCAGTGATTTCCCAACCTGGCTGTGCCCCAGAATCACTTAGGAGGCTTAATTCAGATATATTTCCAAAACACCACCCTCAAAGAGCCTGATGAATAGGTGAAAGAAGAGCTATTTTTTAAGCTCTTCAAGTTACTCTGATTTAGAGTAATGCAGTAACTTTGTAAAAGTTCTAATTAGCAAATTGGCTTTCTTATGACTATTACTGTTACTGTGACATACTGATAAATATAAAAAACATAAGCTTTTTGATATTTCAATAGATAACATTTTATTTTTTATTTTTAGTTTTTTTGTTGTTGTTTTTTGAGACAGAGTCTCGCTGTCACCCAGGCTGCAGTGCAATGGCGCAATCTCGGCTCACTGCAACCTCTGCCTCCCGGGTTCTAGTGATTCTCCTGCCTCAGCCTCCTGAGTTAGCTGGGATTAGAGGTGCGCACCACCACGCCAGGCTAATTTTTGTATATTAGTAGAGATGGGGTTTTACCATGTTGGCCAGGCTGGTCTCGAACTCCTGACCTCAGGTGATCCACCCGCCTTGGCCTCCCAAAGTGTTGGGATTACAGGCGTGAGCCACCATGCCAGCCTTTGTTTTTTGTTTTTTGTTTTTTGAGATGGAGTCTTGCTGGCGTGCAATGGCACAATCTCAGTTCACTGCAACCTCCGCCTCCCAAGTTGAAGCGATTCTCCCACCTCAGCTCCCGAGTAGCTGGGATTACAGGCACCCGCCATCATGCCTGGTCAATTTTTATATTTTTGTAGAGGCAGGGTTTCACCATGTTGACCAGGCTGGTCTTGAACTCCTGACTTCGGGTGATCTGCCCACCTCGGCCTCCCTCCCAAAGTGCTGGGATTACAGGCATGAGCTACCGCACTTGGCCTATGTTGTTCTTAACTTTTGTAATCCTTGAACTTTCTATTTATTCATGATAAAATTATGGAATAATTTTTTCAAAAAACTTAACTGTCCAGGTGCGATGGCTCTTTCCTGTAATCCTAGAACCTTGGGAGGCCAAGGTGGGTGGATCACTTGAGCCCAGGAGTTCAAGACCAGCCTAGGCAACATGGGGAAACCTCATCTCTGCAAAATAACAAGAAAATTAACTGGCCTTGGTGGTGAACACCTATAGTCCCAGCTATTCAGGAGGCTGAGGTGGGAGGATTGCTTGAGCCCAAGGAGGTCAAGGCAGCAGTGAGCCGTGATTGAGCCACTGAATTGAGCTACAGCCTAGGCAGCAGTGAGGCCCTGTCTCAAAAAAAAAAAAAAAAAGAAAAGAAAAGAAAAAAATTAACTCATGGTCATAGAGCTTTTTATTGACAATTATTTTATAAAGGTACGATTTAGAAAATATTTAAATCACAAAACAATATCATGAAACATGTAAGCAATTGTTATTTGGAGATTTACTAGTAGTTTTAGTGATACCAGTTAATATTTTAGAGATCCAGAATTTGATTACAAAAATCATTTGATTTCTAAAACCATAATGAGCTTACCAAGAAAATGTTTTATAGAGATGGCCAGGCGTGGTGGCTCATACCTGTAATCCTTGCACTTTGGGAGGCCGAGGCAGGTGGATCACAAGGTCAGGAGTTCAAGACCAGCCTGGCACACGTGGTGAAACCCCGTCTCTACTAAAAATACAAAAATTAGCCAGGCGTGTTGGCGCCCATCTGTAATCCCAGCTACTCGGGAGGCTAAGGCAGGAGAATGGCCTGAACCCGGGAGGCAGAGGTTGCAGTGAGCCGAGATTGCACCATTGCACTCCAGCCTGGGCAACAGAGCAAGACTCCGTCTCCAAAAAAAAAAAAAAAAATAGGAAAATGTTTTACAGATTACTTGAATTTATTTTTGATTCCTCCCTTAAATCTTTTTGTTCTTTTTTATATTAATATATTATTATATCTATTATAATCTATTCTTTATATATACTAGTCTGCTACCATGGAAACAGCAGTGACATGATAATTTACATGTTTTCTTAGATGCTAGCACTGATTTTATTTTTATTTTTTGTTTTTTTCCATGTGGGTTGCTATGTAAGTTTGATTTCTAGTTTTTTCCATTTTGCTCTATGAATCTTGTTAAAAATAGCAGATAATGGCTTCTATCTATTATAATAAACTTGATGGTGTAGTAATTGTGTTTAATAGACATTTTTATAAGTTAAGTCTTATGTCTTGCTGGGTTTTTTTTTTGTTTGTTTTTGTTTTTCCCTTGAGACAGAGTTTCATTCTTGTTGCCGAGGCTGGAGTGCAATGGCGTGAACTCGGCTCATCACAACTTCGGCCTCCCGGGTTCAAGTGATTCTCCTGCCTCAGCCTCCCGAGTAGCTGGGATTACAGGCATGTGCCACCATGCCCGGCTAATTTTGTATTTTTTTTAGTAGAGACGGGGTTTCTCTATGTTGGTCAGGCTGGTTTCAAACTCCCAACCTCAGGTGATCCACCCGCCTCGGCCTCCCAAAGTGCTGGGATTACAGGCATGAGCCACTGCACCCAGCCATGTCTTGTGTTGTTTTATAAACTAGACTTGAACTAGAAACCTGGTTGCCATATATAAATCCAGTTTATATAGAGGAACAATTGCCAAGTTGTCATATTTAGATAGGTTTAGGAATATAGGGTGATAGCATAATGTAGGAATGTTTTAAATTGTGATTTGTTCCTTCAGCCCCTTAATTTAATTTAGAGACATTACACCATTTTCTCAGAAAATGAGAATGTATACTTGCTCTGGAAAACAAATTCTGACTTTTTTTTTTTTTTTTAGTATTTATTGATCATTCTTGGGTGTGTCTTGGAGAGGGGGATTTGGCAGGGTCATCGACAATAGTGGAGGGAAGGTCAGCAGATAAACATGTGAACAAGGGTCTCTGGTTTTCCTAGGCAGAGGACCCTGCGGCCTTCCGCAGTGTTTGTGTCCCTGGGTACTTGAGATTAGGGAGTGGTGATGACTCTTAAGGAGCATGCTGCCTTCAAGCATCTGTTTAACAAAGCACATCTTGCACCGCCCTTTATCCATTTAACCCTGAGTGGACCCAGCACATGTTTCAGAGAGCACGGGGTTGGGGGTAAGTTTATAGATTAACAGCATCCCAAGGCAGAAGAATTTTTCTTAGTACATAACAAAATGGAGTCTCCTATGTCTACTTCTTTCTACACGGACACAGTAACAATCCGATCCCTCTTTCCTTTCCCCACATTTCCCCCCTTTCTATTCGACAAAACCGCCATCGTCATCATGGCCCGCTCTCAATGAGCTGTTGGGCATGCCTCCCAGACGTGGTGGCGGCCGGGCAGAAGGGCTCCTCACTTCCCAGACGGGGCGGCCAGGCAGAGGCGCCCCCCCCCTCCCGGACAGGGCGGTGGCCGGGCGGAGGCGCCCCCCACCTCCCTCCCCGACGGGGCGGCTGGCCGGGCGGGGGGGCTGCCCCCCACCTCCCTCCCGGACGGGGCGGCTGCCGGGCTGGGGGCTGACCCCCACCTCCCTCCTGGACGGGGCGGCTGCCGGGCGGAGACCCTCCTCACTTCCCAGACGGGGCGGCTGCCGGGCGGAGGGGCTCCTCACTTCCCAGGCGGGGCGGCTGCTGGGCGGAGGGGCTCCTCACTTCTCAGACGGGGCGGCCGGCCAGAAACGCTCCTCACCTCCCAGACGGGGTGGCGGTCGGGCAGAGACACTCCTCAGTTCCCAGACGGGGTCGCGGCCGGACAGAGGCGCTCCTCACATCCCAGACGGGGCGGCGGGGCAGAGGCGCTCCCCACATCTCAGACGATGGGCAGCCGGGCAGAGACGCTCCTCACTTCTTAGATGGGATGGCAGCCGGGAAGAGGCGCTCCTCACTTCCCAGACTGGGCGGCCGGGCAGAGGGGCTCCTCACATCCCAGACGATGGGCGGCCAGGCAGAGACGCTCCTCACTTCCCATACGGGGTGGCGGCCGGGCAGAGGCTGCAATCTCAGCACTTTGAGAGGCCAAGGCAGGCGGCTGGGAGGTGGAGGTTGTAGTGAGTCGAGATCACGCTACTGCACTCTAGCCTGGGCAACATTGAGCACTGAGTGAGCGAGCCTCTGTCTGCAATCCCGGCACCTCGGGAGGCCCAGGCGGGCAGATCACTCGCGGTCAGGAGCTGGAGACCAGCCCGGCCAACACGGCGAAACCCCATCTCCACCAAAAAATACAAAAACCAGTCAGGCGTGGCGGCGAGCGCCTGCAATCCCAGGCACTTGGCAGTCTGAGGCAGGAGAATCAGGCAGGGAGGTTGCAGTGAGCCGAGATGGCGGCAGTACGGTCCAGCCTCCCCTCGGCATCAGAGGGAGACCCTGGAAAGTGGGAGACGAGGGAGAGGGAGAGGCAAATTCTGACTTTCTTAAATGTAGCTTTAGAAGTTTTAATTTATTTAGTATAATAAAAATAGGTCTGGATCTGTTACAATAGGCATATCTTAAGGTTAAGCAATATTAGGTTATTTCTTGTTATGACAGGGTATCATTGGCATTTTCTTAGTAAATAAAAGAATCTGTAGTGTCATCTTAAGGAATTTTTATATAGAGCCTTTCCTTAAACTTTTAATCTCGTATTTATTTGTTTATGTCATTTACAAGTTAAAATATTCTCCTCCAAGGTGGTCAGGATATATTTTGGGAGCTAGTAATATTGATAAACATTTATAAAACATTATTTAAGGTTATTACTATTGGTATTAGGACTAGTAGTTGATTGTAATTATCTATGTTTTTCCATAATCTAGGCTGATTTGCATTTGTAGATTTACAGAGTGTTTTTGGGGTGTTGTTTTTTGAGATAGAGTCTCAGTTGCCCAGGATGGAGTTTAGTGATGTGATCACAGCTCACTGCAGCCTCTACCTCACAGGCTCAAGCAAACCCCCTGCCTCAGCCTGGTGAGTAGCTGAGACTACAGGCACGTGCCACCACGCCTGGCTAATTAAAAAAAAAAAAAAATTTGTAGGCCAGGCATGGTGGCTCATGCCTGTAATCCCAGCACTTTGAGAGGCCAAGGCACACGGATCGCCTGAGGTCAGGAGTTTGAGACCAGTCTGGCCAACATGGTGAAACCCCATCTCTACTGAAATATGAAAATTAGCCAGGTGTGGTGGTTGTAGAGACAGGGTTTCGCCGTGTTTTGTAGAGATGGAGTTTCATCGTTTTCCAGGCTGGTCTTGAACTTCTGGCTTCAAACAATCCTCTGGCTTTGGCCTCCCAAATTGATGGGATTACAAGTGTAAGCCACCACACTTAGCTAGAATTTTTTAGTTAAATTATAACCCACTAATGCTTGGTTAAATTTGTCTTTTCTATGTATAAATATAATTGGCTATTTTATTTTCATATTTGGACTTACATATCAACTTTGAGCATTTCCAAAATTGGTAAATATGATCATTTTCTAGCTGTTGATCAATTAATGTCTTCATAAAATAAGTTAATCATATTATCTGAAAGGAAACAGTTAAAAATGAATGTTGTGGTTCTCTTCAGACCTGAGCTTATGGATGATTATTCTTTGTATGTTGCTGTATTTTTTTTTAATTATTATTATTTTTGACAGAGCCTTGCTCTGTTGCCCAGGCTGGAGTGCAGTGGTGCGATCTCGGCTCACTGCAACCTCTGCCACTCAAGTTCAAGCAATTCTTCTACCTCAGCCTCCTGAGTAGCTGAGACTACAGGCGATCGCCACCACACCCAGCTAATTTTTGTATTTTTAGTACAGACGGGGTATTACCATATGGGCCAGGCTGGTCTCGAACTCCTGACCTCGTGATCCTCCTGTCTCAGTCTCCCAAAGTGCTGGGATTACAGGCGTGAGCCACCATGCCTGGCCTATACTTGGCTGTATATTATACAATTAATGTGAATTATATTGCAATCAGAAAAACAGACGTGTTTTAATTTAAGAAACTTTCAAAAGGAATGCTATCTACACATTTAAAATAATAAGCCCTTGGGCCAGGCACGGTGGCTTACACCTGTAATCTCGGCACTTTGGGAGGCCGAAGCGGGCAGATCACAAGGTCAGGAGATCGAGACCATCCCGGCTAACACAGTGAAACCCCGTCTCTTCTAAAAAAATTCAAAAAATTAGCCGGGCGTGGTGACGGCGCCCGTAGTCCCAGCTACTCGGGAGGCTGAGGCAGGAGAATGGCGTGAACCCAGGAGGCGGAGCTTGCAGTGAGCCGAGATTGCACCACTGCACTCCAGCCTGGGCGACAGAGCAAGACTCCGTCTCAAAAAATAATAATAATAATAAGCCCTAGGATTATATTGCAGAAATCTGTATATGAAGTAATGCCATTGAAAAAGAATAGTAAGTAGTATCAAGATTACATAAATTGTATTTTATGTGCCTTGAAAAATGGGAAGCGAGTTTGGAGTGATAGAAAATTTAATGTTCATTAAATCCTTTTGTTTCTTGTAAAAGATCTATGAATTTTTTTTTTTTTTTTTTGAGACAGGGTCTCCCTCTGTAACCCAGGCTGGAGTGCAGTGGTGTGATCACAGTTCACTGCAGGCTTGACCTCCCAGGCTCATGCGATTCTCCCACCTCACCTCCTGAGTATCTGGGACCATAGATGTGTGCCACCACGCCCAGCTAATTTTTTTTTTTTGTAGAGTTGGAGTTATGCCATGTTTCACAGGCTGGTCTTGAACTCCTGGGCTCAAGCAATCTGCCCACCTCAGCCTCCCAAAGTGCTGGGATTACAGGCGGGAGCCATGGTGCCCGGCCAATCTATAAATTCTTACCAACAAAGTAAGATTATTCTGCCTTTTAAAAAATGTTTCAACTGCACCTTTAAAAAATAGCATATATAAAGCTTTCAGATACTCAAATAACGTTTATATTCTCTTCATTCATCAGGGGAAAAGAGTTTCTTTTTACAAACGAGCCCAAATCCTTGTAGCAGATACGTGGAGTGTATTGGAAGGAAAAGGAGATGGCTGCTTCAAGGACATCTCCAGTATCACCATGTTTGCTGATTATAGATTACCTCAGGTTCTTGCTCATCTTGGAGCCCTGAAATACTCTGATGACCTACTGAAGAAGCTTCTCAAAGGTTTGCAACTTTAAGTCATTCTTTGTTATACTATGAATTGTTGGATCTCGGTTTAGTTTCTTTTACAAAAGGTCTCCTTTGCTTTAAAAAAAAAGTACTATTTATTGTTCATAGTATATGTAAAAAGGAAAATGCAAAGACAAAATGTAGAGAAAATGATTTTTCTTTTTGTTTACACTGTGAAATGTGGATATTGTAGAAAATTGTGCTATTTGAACATTATAATTTCATAGCCTAATGAAACCTAAATTTATGTTACATGAAAGTATGTAACACTGATAGTTCATCAGTTATAGTATTTGAAGAGTGTTAAGCTGAAGAGCACACTACATGGTTATATGAAGGTAGGTTGAAAGATAGGTAATATGAATTGGCTTTTGAGTGAAGAGACTCCAAGGTCTGCACTGGGATATCTTGCACAAGTCACTCACTTCCTTAGGCTTATTCGCCATTATTGGATATGATTATTGATATCAAGACTAGGAGCCTTATGATATATAAGCTTAGGTAAATTGGGTTGAAAAGTTTGTGTGAAAATTAGCTTATAACATTTCCTTGTATGAGGAAAATAATTATATGATTTTCATGTTAATTTCTCTTTTAGGTGCAAAATTTTCTGCTACTTTTTTCTTTATTTTATTTTATTTAAAAAATATGTTGCCCAGGTTGGTCTTGAATTCCTGGGCTTAAGCAGTCTTCTCACTTCAGCCTTCCAAAGTGCTGGGATTACAGGCGTGAGCCACTGCACCTGGCCTCTTTATGTTTGTTTGTTTGAGACGGAGTCTCACTCTGTTGCCCAGGCTAGAGTGCAGTGGTGCGATATTGGCTCACTGCAAGCTCCGCCTCCCAGGTTCAGGCCATTCTCCTGCCTCAGCCTCCCGAGTAGCTGGGACTACAGGCGCCCGCCACCACACCTAGCTAATTTTTTGTATTTTTAGCAGAAACGGGGTTTCACCGTGTTAGCCAGGATGGTCTCGATCTCCTGACCTTGTGATCCACCCACCTCGGCCTCCCAAAGTGCTGGGATTACAGGTGTGAGCCACCACCCCGGCCTTATGTATTTTTTTAAAAGAAGTAGATTCTATGATTGAATAATTTCCTCTTGTGAAATAGATTTGAATCCCCCAGATCAGAATAACACAGAATATAAAGGTACCATTATTCCTATGGTTGGCTCTACTGGGTTTTTATGCTGCCATGGGCAATCTGTTTTGTCTTCCATTTCCTCATTTGAAAAAGAACATGCTATTTTTTGTCATCATGCCCATGTCAAGGGTCACTAATTGTTGGATACCTTTAAAAGGGACAACATTTAGCAATCAGGGCTTATTTTTCATATGGCCATATTAAGCTGCTTTTTTTTTGTTTTGTACACACTGTTCATTCCTGTCTCTGAGTATTCTCTTACGTGGTTTCCATCGTCCAGTGTTCTTTCTTTTTTTTTTTTTTTTTTTTTTTTTTTGAGACGCTCTGTTGCCCAAGCTGGAGTGTGGTGGCGTGATCTCGGCTCACCAGAACCTCCGCCTCCCAGGTTCAAGCCATTCTCCTGCCTCGGCCTCCTGAGTAGTTGGGATTACAGGCGCATGCCACGATGCCTGGCTAATTTTTGTATTTTGAGTAGAGACGGGGTTTCACCACACTGGTCATGCTGGTCTTGAACTCCTGACCTCATGATCCACCCTCCTCAGCCTCCCAAAGTGCTGGGATTACAGGCGTGAGCCACCACGCCCAGCTTCTTTTTTTCAATTCAAATCCTATACATCACAGAGGCTTCACTCAAATGCTGTCCTCACTTATAGTGATTTGTCCATCTCCTTCTCAGTTTTTATGGCACTTAATTGTCTCTGCTACTATGAGAAAAACCCTAGTGAGAAGGGATCATCCAGCATAGTTGTACAGAGATGTCAGAATTTTCTTCTCCCATCCATTTCAACTCCAGAGGCTCTTTTCCAATATCCACTGGCACTCATTACTGCCTCCATTTATGCCTTGCTTCTAAAAGGGTACTCTCCTATCCGTAGCTAGTTTGATACAGGGTGGACAAATTCTTTTGCCACTTAGTGCATTTAAGTAAAATTTGGATTTTGTTTTCCAAAAGGTATGTTACTGCAAAACTAGACCAAAAATAAACAAACTGTAAATGTAATGTAACAAACATAAGTATAGTGTACTCATTTTTAAAAACTACCTTAAGTGAAATCTAGGACCAGCTTAATTTGACCAGGTGAGGTAGGACCTTCCTTAACTGGCTTCCAATGGTACTTCCAAACTTGAGGATTTGCTACATTTATATTCTTTCCCTTCTCCCCTCATCTGGGTATCTCAGGGACAACCCTTGGAAGTGCCACTTAGATTTCTGTCCACTGTCTTTAACCCATCTCTTCACCAAAGACGTAGTACTTGGCCAATTATAAAGACTAACAATGCAATTTAACTAAAGTTAGCTTTTCACTGTGATTCCAGGGCCAGTTTTTAGACCAAATACCTGGGCCATATTACCTTCCCTGACTCTAATCTATGTCAGTCCACTTAAATGTCTTTTTCTGTCTGAAGTCCATGTTCTATCCCATACTGTAAGTTGCTGCATTAGTTATTACATTAGTTTCCTAGGGCTGACATAACAAATTACCACAAACTAGATGGCTTCAAGGAACAGAAATGTATTGTGTCACAGTTCTGGAGACTGGAAGTCTGAAATCAAGATGTTGGCAGGACCATCCTTCCTCTAAAGGCTCTTGGGAATAATTCTACCTTGCCTCTTTCCAGTACCTTGTGGCTCCAGCAGTCCTTGACATTCCTTGGTTTGTAGCTGCATCACACCAATCATGGCCTTCTTATCCTTGTGTCTCCTGTCTCTTTGTATCCTCTTTTCTTCTTTTTTTTTTTTGAGACGGAGTTTTGTTCTTGTCGCCCAGTGCAATGGCGCCATCTCAGCTCACTGCAACCTCCTTCTCCCGGGTTCAAGTGATTCTCCTGCCTCAGCCTCCTGGATAGCTGGGATTACAGGTGCCCACCACCATGCCTGGCTAATTTTTGTATTTTTGGTAGAGACAAGGTTTTACCATGTTGGCCAGGCTGCTCTCGAATTCCTAACCTCAGGTGATCCACCCGCCTTGGCCTCCCAAAGTGCTGAGATTACAGGCATGAGCCACTGCACCCGACCTGTATCCTCTTCTTTTCTTGCTTGCTTTCTTTTTTGTTTAGAAACAGGGTCTTACTCTGTCACCAAGGCTGGAGTGCAGTGGCATGATCATAACTCACTGCAGCTTCAAACTCCTGGGCTCAAGCGATCCTCCCTTCTCAGCCCCAGCCTCCTGAGTAGCTGGGGCTACTAGAGGTGCATACCACCATGCCTGGCTACTTTTTCCATTTTTTGTAGAGAAGGGGTCTCACCTTTCCTTCATTGGATTTAAGGTTGATCCTAATCCAGTATGACCTCTTCACCTGATTACATCTGCAAAGTCCCTATTTCCAAACAAAGTCAAAGTCACAGGTACCAGGTGTTATGACTTGAATGTATCTTTTTATGAGCCACAGTTCAACCCACTACTATTATCTATTGCTGTGTAACAAATTACGCTAAAATTTAGTGGTTAAAACAACAGACATTTATGATCCTGGGTCAGGAACCTGAGTGCTGCTTAACTTTGTACCTCTGCCTCAAGGTTACAGTCCAGCCGCCAAGTGGAGCAGTGTCTTACCTGATAGCTCTACTCGGGTGGGAGCGTCTGCCTCCGTGGCCACTCTGTTGGCTGATTTGGCAGTTTTAGCAAGTTGATAGTCAAATTTGGAGGAAATGATTAACAGCAAAACTGAAGAGGAAGGTATGGGCTTCTATGCTAGCACCTGGGGCAAAGTAAGGAAATGGAGGAACCTGGTTAATCACTGTTTCCCCACCTGTTCCACTGACCAGTGCCTAAGCCCATGGGAGAGTTGGATGGAGGGGGCATAAGTAACACTACTTAAGGTCACAAGATATCCTGGGTACTGTGAGACTTTGTGCATGGGTGCAGTTTGGTGGCCAGAGGCCAAATACAGCTTGCAGTTGTGTTAGGTTTGGCCTGAAAAATGGCCTAGCAATTTTTAATTAGTTTCCAACACTTGAAAATTAGGAGATTTCACATAAAAATCAAACTTCCTGACTTCTCTCATAAGAAAAATATGGAAACACACAGTACCTTTGCATAGTACTATGTACACTACCTCGCTCACTACAGTTTGCATCTGGCTGCTGCATATAGACATGGGTCCATGAGTCCTACTCTAGTCTCAGTGGTAAGACACAGCCAGTGCCTACCTTGCAGGATCAGATATTCCCAAAATAAATATTTATTTATTTTGGAGATACGGTTGGTTCTGTTGCCTAGACTGGAGTGCAATGGCGTGATCTCGGCTCACTGCAACCTCTGTCTTCTGGACTCAAGCGACCCTCCCACCTCAACCTCCCGAGTAGCTGGGACTACAGGCAATACTACCATGCTGGGACTACTACTCCTGAGTAGTTGGGACTACAGGCACATACCACCATGCCTGGCTAATTTTTGTATGTTTTGTAGAGACAGGGTTTTGTCATGTTGCCCAGGCTGGTCTTGAACTCCTGAGCTCAAGTAATCCTCCTACCTCAGCCTCCCAAATTGCTAGCATTACAGAGGTGAGGCACTGCACCCAGCCTACAATAATTTTATTTCTGGTATCAAACCCAATTTTAAATTCCATCTTTTTAATAACTAGCAGTCATAGTTTTAAATTTATGGTTACCACTTACTCATTTATCAAATATTTATTGGGGAGCTAGTATGTGCAAGGTGCTATGCTAGCTCCTGGGAATATTGAGACAAGCCAGATATGGCCCCTGTCTTTGTGGAATTTAACTTGTAATTTAAAATCAGTGCGAAAGTTTTGAAATGATTTAAATTACCAAAAATAACGTCTGAGATTTACAGTTTTAAAATGAGTACCATTTAAATACTCTGTTTTGTTCTACAGGAAAGTTCAAGTAGATTATGTATCATTGACTATTAATTTTTCTTACTGCTTTTCCCCCTTGCAGGAGAAATGCTCTCATATGGAGACAGGCAAGAGGTGGAAATCAGAGGGTGCTCGCTTTGGTGTGTTGAGCTGATCCGGGATTGTCTTCTGGAGCTTATTGAACAAAAGGGTGAAAAACCTAATGGAGAGATCAATTCCATTCTTCTGGATTATTACTTATGGGACTATGCCCATGACCATAGGGAAGATATGAAAGGAATTCCGTTTCATCGCATACGTTGCATATATTATTGACCTCAAGTGTAAACTGATCCAAAGAAAACCCCCTGCGTTTTATATCATATCATCTGTACAGTTTTGCTTTGATATTTAGAGAACATGATCGAGGTTATAGGAAATTGATTGCCCATTCTCACTTGAAAAATACTTCCTAGGCCGGGCACAGTGGTTTATGCCTGTAATCCCAGCACTGTGGGAGGCTGAGGCGGGTGGATCATCTGAGGTCAGGAGTTTGAGACCACCTGGCCAACATGGTGAAACCCCATCTCTACTAAAAATACAAAATTAGCTGGGCGTGGTGGCACGTGCCTGTAATCCCAGTTACTTGGGAGGCTGAGGCAAGAGAATCGCTTGAACTCAGAAGGTGGAGGTTGCAGTGAGGCGAGATTAGGCCATTGCACTCCAGCCTCAGCAACAAGAGTGAAACTTTGTCTCAAAAAACAACAACAACAACAACAACAACAACAAAACTTCCTAGGCCAGATGTGGTGGCTCATATGTATAATCTTAGCACTTTGGGAGGCCAAGGCAGGAGGATTGCTTGAGGCGAGGAGTTCAAGACCAGCCTAGGCAACATAGGGAGACCCCCATCTCTACAAAAATTTAAAAATTAGCCTAGCATGGTGGCACGCTCTGTAATCCCAAATACGCGGTAGGCTGAGGCTGAGGAGGGTGGATTGCTTGAGCCCAGGGGTTTGAGGCTGCAGTGAGCCACAGTCACGCCACTGCATTCTATCCTGGGCAACAGATGGAGACCTTGTCTCAAAAAAAAAAAATTCCTGACATCGCTATGTATTCCCAACTTTATCATTTGTCTGCCTGTTTAGTTTTGACTTATGTTTTTTTTTTTTCCCCCCTGTGGACATGTAGTTGACGGAAATCGTGAAGGAACTTTAATATTTTATTTAAATTTCCCAAAACTAATCATGCCTTATGTGACTAATCTTCAGTGATAATATTTCATCTACTGATATATTTTCTTGAGGTGTGTAATTTTCAGTATACCTTAATCATTTGGTATAAAAAAGAGAGAGGTTTTTGATATATGAATGCTGTTCTTGTAAAAATCAATCTTGACACTTTATTTTAAACTTTTTATTGGTAATGACAGTGGGTTTTGTACATCATGATTTTCAATTTAGGATATCTGTCTAATTTGTTTTTTCAGAGTAACTATATTGGAATTCAATAAAAATATTCAAAATTTTTCTTAAACCTGGAATGGATTATTTCATTAAAATAGAATTTACTATATATAATTTTAAAAGGTTTACTGTAAGTTAGATTATTTACCTTCTGCTGCAGAACTCTCATTACCTGTCAAGTACTCATTTCCCACCACCCCCGCCACATTCCTTCTAACAGAATCTTGATTTTGTTAGGTATCTACCTTGTCTGCTTGCTGTGACTTCAGAAAAGTCAGAAAAAGATGCCCTTTTCCCAAGCACTTTACTGCCATCTGCTGGAAATTTGTCATAATAACCTTACAAATGACTGTGAGTGAGGCCTCCTGGAGTTGTGCACTACACAACTTGCACAACCATAGGAGTGGTCCTGTGTCTATCCCTGTCCTGTATGACTCAGGGGATGGTGATCCCATCCCCAGTTCTGGAGGTAGATCTTGTATGAATGGTTTACTATTCCTGGTCACTTTACTCTCCTTGCCTGTGATTGCTTTGATAATGGGTATATAATCTAGTTCTGGACAGTGACACTGGATGACAAGTCTGCTGGGAAGCTTCTAGAAAAGGATTCTTCACTTTTAAGAAAGAGATATAGGACAAAGTTCCCTTTTCTTCCTCTGAGCAATGCTTTTAGCATGATACCTGCTATCATGCAGGTAGCCATTTTGTGGAGCTAGAGCCCAGCTATACTTTCCATGCCTGAGCCCATCCTATCCATGGACTTCATACTTGAGATAATAAACACATTACCTTATTATTTCCAGCATCTTGAATTAGTTTTCTGTAACTTGTACCAGAAAGCATCATAACAGTTTCCAGTGTAATCTCTGGGCCTCTGCTCCTGCCACCCTTCTGGCACTTCCTGTCTTCCCTTCCCCCTTTCCCTCTTCTCCTCCCCTTTGCTTCTCTGCCCTCCTCCTTCTTCTTCCCTTCTTTCCCCTCCCCCCTCTTTTTCTTCTCCTTCTCCACTCTCTTTTTTTTTATTTTTTATTTTTTATTTTTTTAGAGATGGTCTCACTGTCACCCAGGCTGGAGCACAGTCGTGAGATCATAGCTCATTGTAACCTTGAACTCCTGGGCTCAAGCAATCCTCCCAAAGTGCTGGGACCACAGGCGCATGCCACTATATCTGGCTAATTTAAATTTTTTGTAGAGATGGGGTCTCACTATGTTGCTCAGGTTGGTCTCGAACTCCTAGGCTCAAGCAGTCCTCCTGCCACTGGCCTTCCAAAGCACCGCGTTTACAGCTGTGAGCCATGGTTTCCCAGACCCAGCTGCCTTTTCTCTTCTGCCACTGAGCATAACCTGGAATCAATCCTGGATGCCTGCATTCTAATCTAGCCAGCAGGATTGAAGCAATAAAGAAGAGTAGAAAGAAAGGGTTGAAGCCAGGTGCAGTGGCTCGCTCCTATGGTCCCAGCCACTGTGTGGTGGGGAGGAACTGAGGTAGGAGGATCCCTTGAACGTAGGAGTTCATGTCCAGCCTGGGCAATGTAGCGAGATCCAGTCTCTTAAAAAAAAATAAGGAAGAAACAAAAAGAGTTGACAAGAAAGGCTCTAGTAGCCACCACATTCCATTTTGGTTTCATCTTACTAGAATTTAGTCACGTGACCACAACTAACTGCCAAGAAGGCTAGGAAAGTGGCATGTATTATGGGCATTGGATACCAGCTAAACTGTGTAGAGAGTATGGATGGGCCTGGGCACAATGGCTCATTCCTATAATCCCAGCACTTTGGGAAGCCAAAGGCGGGATGATCGCTTGAGCCCAGGAGGTCGAGGCTGCAGTGAGCAATGATCACCACTGCACTTCAACCTGGGCAACAGAGTGAGACCCAGTCTCGAGAAAAAAAAAAAGTATGGGTGGATACTGGGAAACAGCAAGAAGTTTTTGCCACCCATTAAGTGGATTTTATAGTTTTCTTACCTGATACAGACTAAGAGCATTAAAATAACATTTTGCCTAATGGCTTTAACAGCCATGGATGATTATTTTTCAGATCTATTATTTCATTAGGGATTGCAAAATGGTAGTGTTCTAGTTCTAACATTTTTGGTTTTTGGGGATTTGTGTGGAGATAACATCCCTCTTGGATTTCAGGGTAGTCTGGGGGAACATAATTAACATGGGGCTAGCTCCTGACGTTCCAGAAGAGAATGGAATGTAGAATTAAGTTCTGAAAGTGTTTTCAGTTGTGTTGATTCATTCTGCACACCCTTTTAAAGGTAATGAAAATGTGCACAGCCTCCTGAAACTCCCTGGCACAGTCCTCCATTCAGAGAAGTCTTTTCTAATTCTTTGGTGACTCAGTTTCCTTTAGTAGCCTTTGATTTGCCATCAGTTATAAAATATTTTGTTTTGTAAACAAATTTCAATTATTTTTCTTCAGAGGCCTCCTAATGATTTGCCTCACTCTATGAACTCAAGTTGTTTAGCCAAGGCACCTTGTCAATGCTTTCCAACCAAAGTAAACAGGTTAGATTTATTACTTGTAGCATGGGGTGACTCAGTAGGAGGATTATTTGGGGCAGGGTCTAAGGAAACTGTTCTGTTGAGATTGGATACTCTCAGAAAGCAGGATCAGTTATACTATTGGCTGCTCTACCATTGACTGCCTCAAATTTTTTCTATAGGGAGGGCAGACAAGAGTAAGGATAAAGCTGTCATTGGTAAAGAAGTCAGCAGTCACTCATTTTAGTGGAGATAGGATGTTTGGGTACTTTGTACGGCACGATGCCCTTGTATTTTTCTGTGGTTAGGCAAAATTCTGAAGTGGCCTTATTTAGTCTTACTTTATCATGGTCTCTGAGTAACCTTTCTGATCCAGTCTCTAAAAAAAAAAAAAAAGAAAGAAAGAAAGAAAAAAACAAAGGGTTGACAAGAAAGGCTTTGGTAGCCACCACATTCCACTTTGGTTTCATCTTACTAGGATTTAGTCACGTGACCACAACTAACTGCCAAGAAGGCTAGGAAAGTGATTATGTCCAACAGAAGACTAACTGGTATAGCTGTGGGTGCCAGGCCAGCTTTTTATCAGGGGCTGCTTTTTTTCCTTTATCAACCTTAAACTTCTCCCTAATTAGCACCAAGGCAAATTAATAGATTTTGTTTCATTCAATTCAGAAATCATGTATTGAGCTTCCTCACAGTGTCCCCTCCCCTGAAGCTGAATGGATAATGGCTTAGTCAGGCTGGCACCCCAGTCTGCCCCAGATGCGGATTTAATGACTGTATATGACCTAGGGGATCAGCTTTGAGGCAACTAGACCTTCCTTTTCCTTGCAACTCTGTGACCCGTCTTTCTCGAGGTGTGCTGTTTTTTGCTTTAGTTTAAAATTTCCAGCTTTTTGGTGGGTGCTATAGTCAAATACAAAACCTAAACAAGTAAGGGAATTGATCTATTCAGGCTATTACAATAGGAAAAGCACTCCAAATCCAAAGATCAGAGTCTCTTGGCAGGGTGGTTTTGCCTTAGACTTTTATAGAGAGGAGTATACAAGTTACAGGTGGAGGACTTACATGTGGGATTGTTTTGCAATCAGAAGTCTCAGTCAGTTGCCAAACAGGAAATATTTATCTCTGTGTCATGCTGGTTTTAGGTGGACAAAGAGTTCTAATAGAGAGACAAAGAATGAGGAATTGGGCTGAGCATGGTGATGCACATCTGTAATCCCACCACTTTGAGAGGCCCACACAGGAGGATTACTTGAGCCCAGGTGTTCAAGACCAGCCTAGGCAACATAGCAAGACCCCGTCTCTACGGAAAAAAAAAAAAAAATTGTAAAAAAGAATGAGGAATTGAAGGGTCTGTGTCTGGTCTTGTCCCACTGGGATGGGATAATCTCATGGGATACCATATACTATGGTGTATGCAGTTCATGGGTGACCAAATCATTGTTATGTGATGCATGCCTGTAATTTGTAAAATTCCTTGCAGGTATACAATTTATTGATTAAACAATTGGAAGTTTGGAGAAATATATTATTGTGCCATTCATCTAAATTTCTCTTTTTTCCATACACTGTGTATCTTTTCCTTTCTTTTATCCCTTTGGGTTAAGGATGTTTTAGTTTTAAATGAAATAAATCAAACTAAAACTAGCATAGTGAAAAAGCAATTGTAGTGATCAACAAAATAAGCCCAGGGATAGAGCTGGCTTTAGCCATGATCATGTAACTAGTTACAGTCTAGGGATTAAAATGCACAAAGACCATACCTCATATTTCTTTTCTTTTCTTTCTTTTTTTTTTGAGATGGAATGTCACTCTTGTTGCCCAAGCTGGAGTGCAATGGTACGATCTTGGCTGAGATCAGGAGAATCACTTGAACCTGGGAGACAGAGGTTGCAGCAAGCTGAGATTGCATCATTGCACTCCAGCACTCCAGCCTGCGCAATAGAGCCAGACTATGTCTCAAAAGAAAAAAAAAAAAGGAAAAGGAAAAGAAAGCACTAATCCAACTTCCTGTCTGGAGACAGGACAAACCTAGGAATTCTCTCCCTTTCTTCGCCATTCCCATTTTGCCACTCTCAAGATAGACTAAGAGTCAGTTGATATAGAATACTAACCTGTATTTGGTTGCAGGAGTAGAATGCAATTATTAAGGCTCAACAGCTTTGTTCCTTTTTTAAAAAAACATAAACATGTTGCTTTGGCCGGGCGTGGTGGCTCACGCCTGTAATCCCAGCACTTTGGGAGGCCGAGGCAGGAGGATCACAAGGTCAGGAGATCAAGACCATCCTGGCTAACACGGTGAAACCTGTCTCTACTAAAAATACAAAAAATTAGCTGGGCGTGGTGGCGGGCACCTGTAGTCCCAGCTACTTGTGAGGTTGAGGCAGGAGAATGGCGTGAACCTGGGAGGCAGAGCTTGCAGTGAGCCGAGATTGCGCCACTGCACTCCAGACTGGGTGACAAAGCGAGACTCCATCTCAAAAAAAAAAAAAGTGTTGCTTTGTTTTTTAGAGGCAGC
This sequence comes from Homo sapiens, assembly GCF_000001405.40. Classification (NCBI taxonomy): domain Eukaryota; kingdom Metazoa; phylum Chordata; class Mammalia; order Primates; family Hominidae; genus Homo; species Homo sapiens. The sequence goes on along the minus strand of NC_000009.12, from coordinate 83,933,367 downwards.
GTCTCACTCTGTCACCTAAGCTGGAGTGCAGTGGTTTGATCACTGCTCACTGCAGCCTCAACCTCCTGGGCTCAAGCAATTCCCCCACCTCAATCTCCCAAGTAGCTGGGATTACAGGCGTGCACCACCATGCCTGGCTAATTTTTATTTTTTGTAGAGATAGAGTCTCACTAGGTTGCCCAGGCTGGTCTCGAACTCCTGACCTCAAGTAATCCTCCTGCCTCAGCCTCCCAAAGCATGAGCCATTGTGCCCAGCCAAGGCTCAATAACTTTGACGAAGCCTGAGTCAAAGTGAGAAGAAACAAATAGGTCACAATGGTATTTAGAGAGAAGCCTAGAAATACTTTGAGAACCAAAAATAGTATTTTGAAAGCAAGTAAAAAAATATAAAAAAAACTATGAGTTCATAGTTACCCTCCTTCTACCACACACGTGCTCCAAAAAAAGAAACCGTATTGTTTGATTTTGAAGGTTGGTAGGGACCAATTTGTAATTCTGAAAATTGGTAAATAAAAAGGAAAAAAGCATTTATTCTGTTATTCCTGTACTAACTGCATTTCAGGATAATCTGATAGAGGAAAAGCTCTTCTTTATAGAACAATACCAGCTAATAAATGCAAAAAGGAATATTAGAACATTACCATTGTGCAATCCCTAACGAAATAATAGATATGGGAAATGATCCTCAATGGCTTCTAGGTAAAATGTTAATGAGGAACTTTTTTTTTTTTTTTTTTTTTCCCAGACAGAGTCTCCTTCTGTTGCCTAGGCTGGAAGTGCAGTGTGGTGCCATCTCGGCTCACTGCAACCTCCGCCTCCCAGGTTTAAGCAATTCTCTTGTCTCAGTCTCCTGAGTAGCTGGGACTACAGACATGTGCCACCACACCTGGCTAATTTTTGTATTTTTAGTAGAGATGGGGTTTCACCATGTTGGCCAGGCTGGTTTCGAACTCCTGACCTCAAGTGATCCACCCGCCTTGGCCTCCCAAGGTGCTGGGATTACAGGCATGAGCCACCATGCCCAGCCGATGAGGAACTTTTTAATGGATGGATTATACTGAAAAATATCTGTACTCATCTATAATCTTAACATCACCAAAAGCAGGATATGCAGACATTACATGCCTCCTGGTGTGTTGCAACAGGAAGTACATATGCCCATCTATGAATTATTCTTGCCAGAAGAATTGAACCTGAATCTAATCAAGAATCTAGATCTAACTTACTGGTTAACAGGAAATGTAGGAAACAGAGGAACAAGTTAAATGAAAATACAGTATATGATCAGCCAATTCTAAAGTGTGAGAAATCCTATAGGACAAATAGCAGCTTGCTTGCTTGCTTGCTTTCTTTCTTTCTTTCTTTCTTTCTTTCTTTCTTTCTTTCTTTCTTTCTTTCCTTTCTTTCTTTCTTTCTTTCTTTCTTTCTTTCTTTCTTTCTCTCCTTCTTTCTCTTCTTTCTTTCTTTCCTTCTCTCTCTGTCTGTCTCTTTCTTCTTTTAAGACTGGGTCTCGCTCTGTCACCCAGGCTGGAATACAGTGGCATGGTCACAGTTCACTGTGGCCTCAACCTTCTGGGCTCAATTGATCCTCTCACCCTCAGCCTCCCAAGTAGCTAGGACTACAGGCACATGCTACCACAATCAGCCAGTTTGTAAATAGTTTGTAAAGACAGGGTCTCCCCTTGTTGCCCAGGCTTGTCTCAAACTCCTGGCCTCAAGCCATCTTCCCGCGTCAGCCTCCCAAAGTGCTGGGATTACAGGCAAGAGCCACCACACCCGGCCTCTTCCACTTCTTAAAAGGACACTAATTCCATCATGGGGTTCAACCCTCATGACCTCATCTAAATCTAATTACCTCCTAAAGGCCCTACCTGTAAATACTATCACATTGGGATTTAGAGTTTCAACATGAATTTTGGGGAACACAAGCATTCAATCCATAGCAATAATCCCCAAAACTGAAAGTTTCTCAAAGAGATATTTATGCATACATGTTCACAGCAGCATAATTAACAATAGCCAAAAGGTGGAAGCAACCCAAGGGACCAACAGTGGATGAATGGATAAACAATTTGTGATACATACATACAATGGAATATTAATTCAGCCTCAAAAAGAAAGGAAATTCTGATATATGTAACAACATGGATGAAACTTGAGGACATCATACTATGTGAAATAGTCACAAAAGGACTAATACTCTATGATTCCACTTCTATAACCTAGAATAGTCAAATCCATAGAGACAGAAAGTAGCATGGTGGCTGCCAGGGGTCAGAGAAAGAAGGAAATAGTGAGTTATTGTTTAACGGGTGTAGAGTTTCAGTTCTCCAAGATGAAATGAGTTCTGGATATTGGCTGTACAACAATGTGAAGGTACTTAACCATTTTATGTATGTATGTATGCATGTATGTATGTATGTATTTTTGAGATGGAATCTTGCTCTGTCGCCCAGGCCGGAGTGCGGTGGCATGATCTCGGCTCACTGCAACCTCCGTCTCCCAGGTTCAAGTGATTCTCCTGCCTTCAGCCTCCTGAGTAGCTGGGATTACAGACATGCGCCACCATGTCCAGCTAATTTTGTATTTTTAGTAGAGATGGGGTTTCGCCATTTTGGCCACATAGTCTTGAACTCCTGACCTCAGGTGATCCACCCGCCTCGGCCTCCCAAAGTGCTGGGATTACAGTGTGAGCCACCACACCCAGCCAGTACTTAACAATTTTAAAGTGTACAGCTCAGTAGTGTTAAGATAGTCAATTTTATGTTATGTACATTTTACCACAATTTTTTTAAAGGTGAGGGTAATTGTTATTGATTAAAAGAGAATTAAGGTACATATCAATCAAATGCCATATATGGTCCATGTTTGGATCCTGATTGCAGCCAATCAGCTGTAACACAAACAACAAAACTTGAGATTCATTATATAGAATACTGCAGCTCTGCTCAGCTCAGCCTCTGGGGAGGTGTGTTGACTTTGTCATCTGACAGATGGAAGCTTCAGTCTTGCCTTTGTCACTTAACCATGTAGGCTTGAGCAAGTTACTTGTTTTCTGTTTTTAAATTTTTTTATTTCCATAAACATTCATTGACTCTCTGGGATGTGCTTATTATCTATTATGTATTAGACATTGACTGTGCTCAACAATAGAGACATAAGGCCGGGCGCAGTGGCTCACGCCTGTAATACCAGCACTTTGGGAGGCCGAGGTGGGCAGATCACGAGGTCAGGAGATCGAGACCATCCTGGCTAACACGGTGAAACCCCATCTCTACTAAAAATACAAAAACATTAGCTGGGCGTGGTGGTGGGTGCCTGTAGTCCCAGCTACTTGGGAGGCTGAGGCAGGAGAATGGCGTGAACCCGGGAGGCGGAGCTTGCAGCGAGCTGAGATTGTGCCACTGCGCTCCAGCCTGGGTGACACAGCAAGACTCCGTCTCAAACAAACAAACAAACAAACAAACAATAGAGATATAAAGATAAATAACAGGTTGGGCACAGTGAATCACACCTCTAATCCCAGCACTCTGGGAGGCCAAGGTGGGAAGGAAGGCTTGAGACCAGGAGTTCAATACCAGCCCAGGCAACATAGAGTGACCCTATCTCTACAAAAAATTCAATTAGACCGGGCGCAGTGGCTCACGCCTGCAATCCCAGAACTTTGGAAGGCCGAGGCAGGTGTATCCTGAGGTCAGGAGTTTGAGACCAGCCTGGCCAACATGCCAAAACCCCATCTCTACTAAAAATACTGGGCATGGTGGCGGGGGCCTATAACCCCAGCTACTCAGGAGGCTGAGGCAGGAGAATCACTTGAACCCAGGAGGTGGAGGTTGCAGTGAGCTGAGATCATGCCATTGCATTCCAGCCTGGGTGACAAGAGTGAAACTCTGTCTCAAAAAAACAAAAACAAACAAACAAAAAACAAATACAAAAAAAAATAAAATATTAGCCAGGCATGGTGGTGTGCACCTGTATCCTAGCTACTCTGGAGGCTGAAGTGGGAGGACCATTTGAGTCCAGGAGTTCAAGGTTACAATGACCTGTGATCAAACCACTACACTCCAGCCTGGACAACAGAGTAAGACCTTGTCTTTTAAAAAAGTCATAACGTTTAACTCCACCATCCAGAGATGATGGTGGTTATCATTTTAGTGAATTTTGTTGAAAATTTTTACATCTTATGATTTTTTATTTTAGTCTTAAAAATTATTTTATTTTACAGACAGGGTCTTGCTCTGTCACTCAGGCTGGAGTACAGTGGCTCAATCATAGCTCACAGCAGCCTCCCACGCTTGGGCTCAAGCAATTCTTCTGCCTTAGCCTCCTAGGTAGCTGGCACTACAGGTGCAAGCCACTATGCCCAACTAATTGTTTTTTTTTTTTTTTTTTTCTTTCTTTCTTTCTCTTTCTTTCTTTCTTTCTTTCTTTCTTTCTTTCTTTCTTTCTTTCTTTCTTTTCTTTCTTTCTTTCTTTCTTTCTTTCTTTCTTTCTTCTTTTTCTTTTTTTTTTTTTTTTTTTTGAGAAGGGATTCACACTGTGTTGCCCAGGCTGGTCTTGAACTCCTGTCCTCAACTGATCCTACTGCCTCGGCCTCCCAAAGTGCTGGGATTGCAGAAATGACCCACTACACCTTTGGCTTTCTTCTAATCTTCTGCCTTCTAGGTCCACATGGTCAACCTATGGTTTTGTCCAGCACCAGACTGGACAAATGTGTAAGTTAGCAATGCAGACATCATTGAAGATTTTGCAGGGGAGACAGAGGAAGGGGTTTGAATTGCACACTTCACAGCAGGAACATAAAGGCCACCACTGGGTGGGCGCGGTGTTTCACGCCTGGAATCCCAGCACTTTGGGAGGCCGAGGCAGGCAGATCATGAGGTCAGGAGTTCGAGACTAGCCTGACCAACATGGTGATACCCCGTCTCTATTAAAAATACAAAAATTAGCCAGGAGTGGAGGCGCTTGCCTGTAATCCCAGCTACTCAGGAGGCTGAGGTGGCAGAATCGCTTGAAACCGGGAGGCAGAGGTTGCAGTGAGCTGAGATTGTGCCATTGCACTCCAGCCTGGGTGACAGAGCGAGACTCTGTCTCAGTCAATCAATCAATAAATGCCTCCGTTAGCCATTCCCAGTGTCCCTGGGATTCCCTTATCAGTTATTCTCTGCCTCCTCTCTGCTTCAGCTTCTCCCAACACCACCCCCTTCCCCCATCTTCCTCATTCCTTCTCAAGAGCAGTCAAATAATTCTTCCCCTTGTCTCATATGAGCAACACCACCCTCCTCTCTGAAGCTTGGGTACCAACCAAATCAGGCTTCCAAGGCTTATCTTCCACCTAGGGGCAGGCTAGCAAAGCATCTTCTCAGCAAAACTTTGTCTGTCCACATATAGATTTCCCATTCCAGCTGTTAAGGAATAGTATTCTCCATGCCATCACAGGAAGGCTTTAGGCAAAGGACAGACAGTGAGATTCATGTCCTAGATAGATCAGTGTAGAAGGTGTGGAGGGTGGATTTGTAAGTGCAAGACTGGAGACAGGGGGACTAGTTGGTAGGCTGTTGCAGTAGTCTAGGTGAGTGATTGTGAAATCTTGAACTAGAGTAGAAAGGATTTGAAATATTCAGATGTAAAACAAGCAGAATTTGGTGATTAGAATAGGGAATGGGGTGGAGGCGGGGAGGAAATAAAGGTAGCCTCCAATGAATCCTGCCTCCTAGTATTCATACTTTCATGCAACCTGTCTCCTGAATGTGGGATAGACCCAGTGACTTGCTTCTAATGAACAGAATGTGGCAAAGGTGATGGGATATCCTGTCTACAATCAAGTTATAAGTGACTCTGACTTCTCTTTTGCTGATTTTCTTTCCATGGCTCATCTTACATGCTCAATGTGATGCAGAGGGCCACCTGTTCAAGGAACTAAGGGGAAGGAACTGAGGGCAGCCTCTGGCTAATAGCCAGCAGGAATGTGTCCCTCAGTCCAACAACCCTCAAGAACTACCACCAAACACTATAGAAGCTTGGAAACAGATTCTGCCAGTTGACCCTGAAATGTTCGTGGCCCTGACTGACACCTTGATTGCAACCTTGTGACAGCCCTGAAGCAGAGGATCTAGCTAACCCATGCTCAGATTTCTGACCTATAGAAGCTACGACATAAGAATTTTTTTTTTTTTTTTTGAGATGGAGTCCTGCTCTGTTGCCAGGCTGGAGTGCAGTGGTGCAAACTTGGCTCACTGCAACCTCCGCCTCCGGGGTTCAAGCAATTATCTGCCTCAGCCTCCCAAGTAGCTGGGATTACAGGCATCTGCCACCACACCCAGCTAATTTTTGTATTTGTAGTAGAGACGGGGTTTCACCATGTTGGCCAGGATGGTCTTGAACTCCTGACCTTGTGATCCGCCCACCTCGGCCTCCCAAAGTGCTGAGATTACAGGTATGAGCCACCGAGCCCGGCCAAGAAATTTGTTTTAAGCCACTAAGATCTGAAGAAATAGTTCAGCAATAGATAAATAAGGTAATAGGTGTATAATAGTGTTTAGTAGATGAAAATGTCATTTTTCATCCATTTTCAGCCAGATTGTTACCTTAGACCAGAATATTTCAAATTGCAGGCTGCAATCCATTAGTAGGTCATGAAATCAATTTAAAGGGTTGTAATCAACATTAAGAAAAATTGGGCTGGGTATGGTTGCTCATGCCTGTAATCCCAGCATTTTGGGAGGCCAGGGCAGCAGGATCACTTGAGGCTAGGAGTTCAAGACCAGCCTGGGCAACACAGCAAGAATCCATCTCTACAAAAAAATAAAAAATTAGCTGAGCATGGTGGCCGGTGCCTGTATTCCCAGATACTTGGGAGGCTGAGGTGGGAGGATTGCTTGAGCCTGGAAGGTTGAGGCTGCAGTGAGTCATGATTGCACCACTGTACTCAGCCAGGGTGACAGAGTGAGACCTTGTCTCAAAAAAAAAAAAAAAATTGAAGTAGAATAGGGCCAGGCATGGTGGCTCACTCCTGTAATTCCAGCACTTTGGGAGGCTGAGATGGGAGGATCACTTGAGGCCAGGAGTTCGAGACCAGTCTGGTCAACATAGCAAGATCCTGTCTCTAAAAAAAAGAAAAGTAGAATAGAATAAAATAAAATACATAGAACATTGCACTTAGTAAAGGTAAGTATTGTTTCCCAAAACTTTTGTTTTCATTCATTTATTTATTATTTATTTATTTATTTATTTATTTATTTATTGAGATGGAGTCTCGCTCTGTCGCCAGGCTGGGGTACAGTGGTGCAATCTCGGCTCACTGCAACCTCTGCCTCCAGGATTCAAGTGATTCTCCTGCCTCAGCCTCCCGAGTAGCTGGGATTACAGGCTCGTGCCACCACACCCAGCTAATTTTTGTATTTTTATTTTTATTATTTTATTTATTTTTTTTTGAGACGGACTCTCGCTCTGTTTCCCAGGCTGGAGTGCAGTGGCATGATTTTGGCTCACTGCAACCTCTGCCTCCCGGTTTCAAGTGATTCTTCTGCCTCAGCCTCCCGAGTAGCTGGGACTACAGGCACGCACCACCACACCCGGCTAATTTTTGTATTTTTAGTAGAGAGGGGTTTCACCATGTTGGCCAGGCTGGTCTCGAACTCCTGACCTCAAGTGATCCACCTGCCTTGGCCTCCCAAAGTGCTGGGATTACAGGCATGAGCCACTGTGCCTGGCCTTGTTTTCATTTATACACATACCTGTGTATTGAGTCATGATGTCAAGGGAATTTCTGATAGTGGCTCAGTATCAATCAAATTCGAAAGCCAGTGTCCTGGGCTTGCTTTTCAGATTGGGGTGATGGATTATTTCCTAGTCTTCCAAGGTTCCCCTCATGATTGGTGGAGATTGTGGTTGCCCAATTTGACCATAGGGCCAAGCAAATCCACCTGGCACCAGTTGACAGGACCCAAGCAGTATGTTTCCTTAGGAAAGCTAACATTCTCTGCACTAAGTTAAGGAGCCAAAGGCAAAATGATGGCACAGAAACCACCCCTCCCCCTTTTTTTTTCTCAGACGGAGTCTCACTCTGTCACCCAGGCTGGAGTGCAATGGCATGGTCTCGGGTCACTGCAATCTCCGCCTCCTGGGTTCAAGCGATTCTCCCACCTCAGCCTCCTGAGTAGCTGGGACTACAGGGCCATGCCACCATGCCCGGCTAATTTTTGTATTTTTAGCAGAGACGGGGTTTCACTATGTTGGCCAGGCTGGTCTCGAACTCCTGACCTCATGATCCGCCCGCCTCAGCCTCCCAAAGTGCTGGGATTACAGGCGTGCACCACCGCCCACCCCCATTTTTAAAGAAACCCCATTTTTAAAGTATAAAGCTTCTTTTCTCCCCGCCAGAGAAATTAAGGGAATTCATCAAACATTATAGCAACATTAAAAGAATTTAAAGTGGGAGAAGAGGTATGATCTGTGGTTTCCTTAATACTTCCTTTAATACTTCCTTTCTTTCCTGGATCCAGCTTTTCTCAAAATATGGGTGAGGGAAGATGATTTAGGCGAAAAGGGCACATATTTCTTTATTTAATTTGGTCTAGCTGTAATCTTCTGTTTGTTACTGCTTTTCTGGTAAAGTGGACTGGGCATGGATGTTTTTCTCTGTAGGACAAGCAGCCCAAAGCTGGTCTCCCATGGGACATATGCAGAGTTCTTCAGTGGACCTGAAAGATACAGTTCCCTTAAGGAGAAGACCTAGTTCCCTTAAGAAGATCCAGCACTGGCTCAATTACTTCTGCTAATCCCAAGCCCAGCTCCTCCCACTGCCTCTTACTGATGGGGACTTATCTGCAGGAGACAGTCCTCAAGACAATCTTCATGGGGCTCAAGCTTGGGTACCCTCCAAAGGATCCCCTGGACCATGAGCAAATCACAGCTTCTCCCCCTGCTAAACTGCAGGAACACAGACTGCTCTACTACAGCAACATCTCAGTTGCTTCGCTCCATTCTTGAGAAGAAGATCAGCTCACTTCTTCCCCTAGTTGCTCCCACCAGAAGGCCAGGTTTCCTCTTCTAGCACATCACACAGGGTTTGCCCGTCACTCTTAGAGCCTCCTTTGACTTAGGTGGGAGGCCTCTTACTCTCCAACCCACAAGGCCCAAGACCCCTTGACTCCACTGCCGAGTCTTTCTTACAGATACTTAAAAAAGAGATAGGATTGGAATTTGAATGGAATTAGCTTAGTCCTGCTATAAATCCTAGGGAGGAGGGGTTGGCAATGACTGGCATTCACTTCACAGTGTGGGGAACTTAAGTAACTCCTTTTCTCTAACTCTGGACTCAAGACATCAATTTGGGGACAATGGAAAATGCCCCATTCTAATGCTGTTGGGCATTTGCTGACCTCCTCTCTGCAATTGTGTGGCCTCTTGAGAACTTCTGTTGAGACTTCTGGGTATTCCTAGACTTAAATTGTTACGTACTATTAATTATTGAAGTTTTGTCAGCAGACCAGTCTGACTTACCAATTCACAGTCATGATGTGAGTTTTTGTTTGTTTTCAAAGAGTTCTAAAAATGCAACTTGGCCCTATAGTCAAATTGGGCAACCACAATCTCCACCAATCATGAGGGGAACCTTGGAAGACTAGGAAATAATCCATCACCCCAATCTGAAAAGCAAGCCCAGGACACTGGCTTTCGCATTTGATTGATACTGAGCCACTATCAGACATTCCCTTGACATCATGACTCAATACACAGGTATGTGTATAAATGAAATCTTAGAATTTTAAAAATTATGTATTATTTATTATTTTTTTGAGGTAGAGTCTCATTCTGTCACCCAGGCTGCAATGCCATGGTGCAACAACAGCTCACTGCAGCCTTGACCTCCCAGGCTCAAACCATTCTCTCACCTCCACCTCCAGAGTAACTGGAACTGCAGGCATACTCAGCCACACCTGGCTAAGTTTTGATTTTTTGTAGGGATGGGGGGTCTCATTATGTTGCCCAGGCTGGTCTCAAACTCCTGGGCTCAAGTGACCCTCCCAGTTCAGCCTCCCAAAGTGCTGAGATTACAGGTGTGAGCCACTGTGCCCAGACTGAATTTTTAAAATTTTAAATAATTCAGTTAAAAGAAAAAAAAATAAAAACTATAAATAAAATAGTCAGCTTTTTTCCCCCACCTTCATTCCTATATTTCATGAGAGAAGGAAGGGTTTTTGAAGATGCTTAGATTGTGCTACTAAAAACAGGAGGCATTAAAGCATTTAAAACTAAATTGGTAAAGTTAAATATTACCATACGACCCAGCAATTCCACTCTTACGTCCATACCTAAAAGACCTGAAAACAGGCTCGGCGCGGTGGCTCACGCCTATAATCCCAGCACTTTGGGAGGCCAAGGTGGGCGGATCACCTGAGGTCGGGAGTTCGAGCCCAGCCTGACCAACATGGTGAAACCCCGTCTCTACTAAAAATACAGAAAACTTAGCCAGGCGTGGTGGTGGCACATGCCTGTAATCCCAGCTACTCCAGAGGCTGAGGCAGGAGAATTGCTTGAACCCATGAGGCGGAGCTTGCAGTGAGTTGAGATAGCGCCACTGCACTCCAGCCTGGGCAACAGAGCGAGACTCCATCTCAAAAAAAAAAAAGGAACTGAAAACAGACATCCAAATATTGTATGTGAATGTCCATAGCAGCATGGAAACAGCCCAAATGTCCACCACCAGCTGAAGAATGGATAAACAAAATGTGGTATGTCTATATCCATACAATGGAATTTTTTCAGCCCTAAAAAGTCCTGATAGGGCCGGGCAGGGTGGCTCATGCCTGTAATCCCAGCTACTCCGGAGGCTGAGGCAGGAGAATCGCTTGAACCCATGAGGTGGAGGTTGCGTTGAGCCTAGATGGCGCCATTGCATTCCAGCCTGGGCAATAAGAGCGAAACTCCATCTAAAGGGCCGGGCGTGGTGGCTCACGCCTGTAATCCCAGCACTTTGGAAGGCCGAGGCGGGCAGATCACGAGGTCAGGAGATCAAGACCATCCTGGCTAACACAGTGAAACAAACCCCGTCTCTACTAAAAATACAAAAAATTAGCCGGGCGTGGTGGCACGCGCCTGTAATCCCAGCTACTCGGGAGGCTAAGGCAGGAGAATCGCTTGAACCCGGGAGGTGGAGGTTGCAGAGAGCCGAGATCACGCCACTGCACTCCAGCTTGGGCGACAGAGCGCGACTCGGTCTCAAAAAAAAGAAAAGAAAAAAAAGAAAAGAAGTCCTGATAGATGTTACAACATGACTGCATCTTGAAAACATTAAGCAAAAGAAGCTAGACACAAAAGGTCATATACTGAATGATTCCATCAATAAAGAAATGCCCAGAATAGGTAAAGCTATCACAGAGTCAGAAAGTAGATTAGTGGCTGGCTGGGGTTGTGGGGAGAGGGGAACCAGAAGGAATGACTGCTAACTGGTTTGGGGATTTTCTTTTGGGGTTATGAAAATGTTTCTGAACTATATACAGAGGTGATGGTTGCACAACACTGTGAATGCATTAAACGCCACTGAATTGTGAGTTTTAAGATGGTTTATGTTAGGCAAGTTTTACTCAATAAAAATAAAAATAAACTGAATTGGTAGCTAAGATATTGAAACACGGTGTGGAATCGTTCTCACTCATTTCACGAACCCGTAGAAAGATGCTTGCGCTCAGGCCTCACAGACCGGTCCCAGCGCGTTGGTGGGACACAACTCGGATTTGCAGGCAAGCCCAGGGGCCGGCCCTTTGCGGACTTCCTGGGGACGCAGGACTCCTGCGCGGCGGGCTTGGAGGCGTGGCCAGGATGGGGGCGGGGCCAGGACGCGGCATCCAGGAGAGGACGCGGCGGGAGGCGGGCTTCGCCGGTTGCCAGGAGAACTCGCGACAACAAAAGACGCGGACGGCGGCTGCGCGGTGTGGCAGAGCGAAGCTGAGGAGTCCAGCGCTCGCCGACAGGGGCCTGGGCTGTCCCGAGCCGGTCAGTGCTCGGCGGGCCTGGCGGGCGGTGCGGGGAAGTGGGGCGCCCTCCCTTCGCGGTGCCCGCCCTCCAGCCCGCCGCGCCCGCCGCTCCCGCGCCCCCAGCCGGCCGTTGGGACTAGTAGGCTCCGGCTTGGGGTCGGGGCCGCCGCGGGTGGGTAGCGGAGGGTGGGCGGTTGGGGCGCCAGCTAGGCCTATGGGGGCGTCCGAGGGGTCTGGGGTCGGGGCTGGGAGCCGGCGAGCGACTAGAGGCAGAGCGCCCCTTCCGGAGGAAGTTGGGTCAGCCCTGAGGAGCGGGTCCCGGGGAACACCGATCGACCGGAACGCGGGACCCGGCCTTTCAGAGCGCACCCTGTGTTCGTCTCGTGTCGCTGCACGGCGTGAGGTGCGACGCGAGGGCCACCACCACCGAGCGCTTTGTTTTATCGCAGGCGTCTTTTTCCCACCGTAGAGGTTGAAACTTGGGCGCATTTCCCACCGTAGAGGTTGAAACTTGGGCGCATTTCCCACCGTAGAGGTTGAAACTTGGGCGCATTTCCTACCGTAGAGGTTGAACCTTGGGCACATTCAAGCCCGAGAGCTCCCTCCCTCGGAGGCAGGTGACTATAAAGAGCAAAGCGCCCAGATTCTTTCTTTGAAACACCTTTTAAGTAACACCTTTTAAGTCTCCAGTGTTGAAAATCCTTGTTGTTTGCCCTTCTTTACTCTTTTGTCGTCTTTACGCATTTGGGGCCTTTTCTGAGCTCCGTATGCGATTTACTGTCCATCTACTGGCAAGTTTTTTATGAAAATAATTAACAAACCACACATTTAAGACAACCACTGCTTTCTGGGAAATCAAGGGTACGGGATGGCAACGGTTTTTGGAGACACTCATTCCTGACCAGTGACATGACATGAGGGATTCAATATTTCTCTTGCCTTTGCTCAGATTTCAAAAACCCGTTGAGTATACTTAAATACGACCAATCAGATTTTGCTTTTTTTTAAATCATTTATTGGCAACATAATACGTATGTTTCTGATGACTATAATTGATCAGAATCTGAAGTATAAGTGCTATGGATTGTGTAAAAACTTTATTTCTTGTATATTGATGTTTTACAAGCCCTATGTTTGTGGACCATTACTATTGTTTGTTTGTTTTGTTTTGAGACAGGGTCTCGCTCTGTTACTCAGGCTGGAGTGCAGTGGCACACTGCAGCCTCAACCTCCCGGGCTCAAGCGATCCTCCAATCTCAGCCTCCCAAGTAGCTGGGACTACAGGTGCGTCACCACAGCCTGGCACATTCTTGTATTTTTAGTAGAGACAGGGTTTCACCATGTTGCCCAGGCTGGTCTGGAACTCGTGGGCTGAAGCGATCCACCTGCCTTGGCCTCCCAAAGTGCTGGGATTACAGGTGTGAACCACTGTGCCCGGCCCCATTATTATTTTTTTTAATGCTTAGAATAAGTTTCAGTTGCCTTTATAACCAAATTCTTTATAGATATTACCATTAAAAACCCCAAGAAATGAGGCTGGGCATCGTGGCTCACATTTGTTTTGTTTTGTTTTCAGGAGGGATCCTCTCGCTTCAGCCTTCTGAGTAGCTGGGATTACAGGCGCACGCCACCATGCCTGCCTAATTTTTGTATTTTTAGTAGAGACAGGGTTTCTCCATGTTGCCCAGGCTGGTCTCGAACTCCTGGGCTCAAGTGATCCACCCGCCCTGGCCTCCCAAAGTGCTGGGATTACAGATGTGAACCACCGTGCTGGGCCATGGTTTTTTTTTTTTCAAGGGTAGTGAATATTATCAATTCATTGTTGTTAGTGTTATTAATAAAATATTATTTCAGTCTAGTTGTCTGTGTTACTTAATGGTAATCTTCAAGACTCAGCAGCTTTTCCAAAGAACCTAACCTCACCTCAAATTCATTACTTTTCATCATCTGCACTCAAACATTGTCATAGATTACTTGTTAAATTTTGTATAAGCTTTATCCTTCCAAAACTGAACATTTGTATGTAAGTTTTTATGCGAACACAATGTTTTCATTTCTCTTGGGAGTGGAATTGCTGGATCATTTGATGGAGTGGAATTGCTGGGTCAAGAGATAACTGTATGTTTAACTTTTTGCAGAAATGTCAGTCTGTTTTCCAAAGTGGCTATACCATTTTACCTTCCCACAAATAGTGTATGAGGGTTCTAATTTCTTTATACCCTGCCAACACTTATGATCTGTCTTTTTTATTATAGCAGTGCTAGTGGATGTGGATTGGTATCTCATTGTGGTTGTTGTTTGTTTGTTTGTTTGTTTGAGACAGTCTTGGTGTATCGCCCAGGATGGAGTGCAGTGGTTCGATCTCAGCTCACTGCAACCTCTGCCTCCTGGGTTCAAGCGATTCTCCTGCCTCAGCTTCCCTAGTAGCTGGGATTATAGGCGCCCACCACCATGCCCGTCTAATTTTTGTATTTTTAGTAAGGACGGGGTTTCACCATGTTGTTCAGGCTGGTCTCGAACTCCTGACCTCAGGTGATCCTCCCACCTCGGCCTCCCAAAATGCTGGGATTACAGGTTTGAGCCACTGCGCCTGGCTAATTTTTGTATTTTAGGTAGCAATGGGGTTACACCATGTTGTCCAGGCTGGTCTTGAACTCCTGACCTCAGGTCATCCTCCCACCTCAGTCTCCTAAAATTCTGGGATTACAGGCATGAACCACTGTGCACCTGGCCTCTCATTGTGATTTTGATTGCATTTTCCTGATAGCTAATGATGGTGAGCATCTTTTCATGTGCTCATTATTCATTTGTATATCTTCTTTGAAGAACTGCCTTTTCGGATGCTTTGCCTATTTAAAATTTTTAAAAAACTTTTTGAGTTATAATATTTATATATTCTAGTTGCAAGTTCCTTGTTAGATATATGTCTTGCAAATATTTTCTCCCATTCAGTGAGTTGTCTTTTCACTTTCTTGGTAGTTTCCTTCGAGGCACAAAGTTTTTAATTTTGATGTCGTTTTTCCTTCCCTCCCTCCCTCCTCTCCCTCCCTGTCCTGCCCCCCCCCCATTTCTCTCGTTCTCTCTTTCTCTCTCTCTTTGAGACAAGTTCTTGCTCTGCTGTCCACATTATAGTGTTGTCCACGTTATAGTGCAGTGGTGCAGATACAGCTCACTGTAACCTCTGGCTGCTGGGTTCAAGCCAATCTCCCGCCTTAGCTTCCCAAGTAGCTGAGACCACAGGTGCGTACTACCATGCTGAGCTGATTGAAAAAAAAAATTTCTTTGTAGACATGGCGTCTCACTATATTGCCCAGGCTGGGTCTTACTTATTTTTTAATCTATACTTCATCTTTATTTTTTGCTTTTATTATTATTTTTGTTTGACAAAATCATTGTACATATTTATGGGGTACAGTGTGATTTTTCAGTACATGTATACAATGTATAATGTTCAAATTGGTATTTTTTATTTTATTGCTTTTGGTGTCATATCTGAGAAATTATTGCCAAATCCAAGGTCATAAAGAGTTACTCCTGTCTTTTAAGAGTTTTGTAGTTTTACTTCTTATGTTTAGGTCTATGGTCCATTTTTGGTTAACTTTTGTATATGATATGAGGTAGGGAGTCCAACTTCATTATTTTATCCATTGTCCCAGTGCCATTTGTTGAAAAGAGTATTCTTATACTTCAGTTGAATTGTCTTGGCATCTTTGTTGAAAATCACTTGCCCATGAATGTGAGGGTTTATTTCTGGATTCTCAATTCTATTCTGTTGATCTATATGTCTGTCTTTATGCCAGTACCACACTATCATGATTACTGTTGTTTGGTTTTGAAATTAGGAAAGTGTGAGTCCTCTTACTTTGTTCTTTTTCAATATTGTTTTGGTTATTCTCTGTCTCTTGAGTTTTTCTGTGATTTTAGGATCAGCTTGTCAATTTCTGCAACTAAGTCAGCTGACATTTTGATAGGTATTGCATTGAGTCTGTAGATAATTTGGGGAATACTGACATATTAATATATCTTTCAATTCATAAACATGAGATGTTTTTTCATTTACATCTTGTGCTTTCTTCTAACAGTATTTTATAGTTTTCAGACTATATGTTTTACACATCTTTTGTTAAATTTATTTCTAAGTATTTTATTCTTTTTGATGCTATTGTAAATGGAATTGTTTTTTACATTTATTTTTAAGAGTGTTCTGCCACAGGAAGGGGAACATCACACATTGGGGCTTGTTGTGGGGTGGGGGAAGGGGGGAGGGATAGCATTAGGAGATATACCTAATGTAAATGACAAGTTAATGGGTGCAGCACACCAACATGGCACATGTATACATATGTAACAAACCTGCACGTTGTGCACATGTACCCTAGAACTTAAAGTATAATAAAATATATATATTTAAAAAAAAAAGAGTGTTCTGTCGTGCGCGGTGGCTCACGCCTGTAATCCCAGCCCTTTGGGAGGCCAAGACAGGCGCATCACGAGGTCAGGAGATCGAGACCGTCCTGGCTAACACGGTGAAACCCCATGTCTACTAAAAATAGAAAAAATTAGCCAGGCATAGTGGCGGGTGCCTGTAGTCCCAGCTACTCTGGAGGCTGAGGCAGGAGAATGGTGTGAACCCGGGAGGTGGAGCTTGCAGTGAGCCCAGATCGCGCCACTGCACTCCAGCCTGAGCGACAGAGCGAGACTCCGTCTCAAAAAAAAAAAAAAAAAAAGTGTTCATTGTAAATGTAGTTACCAATTATTTGTTTATATATATTTTTAGCCAGGAAACTACAGCCATCAATTTAAATTTTAATGTATTAATTCTAGCAGAGATCTTCAGAAATAAGTACAACATAATATTTAGAAGTAGAAAAAGCAGTTTTTCTGTTAGTTTTGATTATTTTTGAATACAAATTTAGTTTTAAATTTATGTTGACTTATTGAAATTCTTAAAACTATTTTCATGGATTTATTTCTAATAATTGTGGCAAAGAGGAGATGCTATTTTTCAATGCATAGCTATAAAATCTAGTACTAATGTTTGTTTTTAACACATGTACAGGCTGGGCACGGTGGCTCACGCCTGTAATCCTGGCACTTGGGAGGCCGAGGCGGGCGGGTCACCTGAGGTTCGGAGCTTGAGACCAGCCTGGCCAATATGGTGAAACCCTGTCTCTACTAAAAATACAAAAATTAGCTGGGTGTGGTGGCGGGCGCCTGTAACCCCAGCTACTCGAGAGGCCTGAGGCAGGAGAATCACTTGAACCTGGTAGGCAGAGGTTGCAGAGAGCCGAGATCTCACCACTGCGTTCCAGCCTAGACTCCATCTCAAAAAACAAAAAAACGTGTGTACAGTTCCTTACTTATCTCCTTGCCTTAATTTTCTAACTCCCTGGTTATTTAATATTTAGATTAATGAACTGGGAAACATTATTACTGTAGAAATAAAGGCCCAATGGAATCCCATGTACTTATCACCTAGCTTCATCATTTATCAACTCATGGACCCCACACCTAGATTATTTTGAAGCAAACCCAAGACATACTAGTTTGTCTACAAATTTACGATGTATTTTACAAGACAGGCTTACTCTTTGTAACTGTGTTGTATTGGAACAAAACCTGTTCTAATTGACTTTGCTTTAGAAGGTGGTTAGTTTATTGGGATACAAGGAATCAGTAATTAAAATTTGCTTTTTATTTTTGTTGCACAGGAATCCAGATCTTACATAAGATGGAAGTCTCTCACACTAGATACTGAACATTAAATAGAAAATCTATTTAGTAAAATCTAAGTTGCCATGGAAGAAATACCAGTAAAAGTTGCTGTAAGAATTAGACCTCTGCTTTGCAAAGAAGCTCTTCATAATCATCAAGTTTGTGTGAGAGTTATTCCAAACAGCCAGCAAGTTATCATTGGGAGAGATAGAGTCTTCACTTTTGATTTTGTTTTTGGCAAAAATTCCACTCAAGATGAAGTTTATAACACATGTATAAAGCCCCTAGTGTTGTCACTCATTGAGGGCTATAATGCAACTGTTTTTGCCTATGGACAAACTGGATCTGGGAAGACATACACCATTGGAGGGGGCCATATTGGTAAGATTCTTATACTCTTTGACTTTTATTTGTGACGCTAGAAAGAAGCAAAAATATGACCAATACCTGACACATGGTAGGTGTTTAGCATATTGATTGAATAGTGAAGGAATGAATCATGTAATCAAATGTGATCATAAGATCATCATCTTTGAAAGATTCGTTTTTAAATATTGAAGTTTCATTAAGCAATCTAACTTAGGATTATATTTGCTTGAGGAAAGAAGTTTAAAATAGTTTTCAGTGGTCAGCCCTTGTTATTTTGAACAGAATTTAAAATAGAGATAAATGAGTTAACATGATTAGATTTTGCATTCTTTAACAAGCCAGTTGTAAATATTAAGAGTCCCGCAATCAGGACTTAGGGACCGTAGGAAAAATTTATTATGTAAAGTATCTTTTCTTTTTCATATTCTAGCCAGATTTCTTTTTTAAATTCTGAATATTTTAGGACATAATTTCTCCTGCTTATAATTGTAGTTTGGAAAAGATGGAATCATAGGATCTCATATAGAGCTGAAGGGAACCTTGGAAATCATTTTAGTTAAGTGTCTGGTAATAGAGTGGGGGAATTGACAGCCAAGTCCTCTGTTAAGATTGTTTACTGTATTTATATTTTTCCACTAAAAACAAACTTTTGAGTAGTGCACATATGCATCATTGTCTAAAGTTTTAGTTAGTATTCTCTGTATGAATAGTGGCTCTCAATATTTTTCTATTTTCATATTTCACAAATGTAAAATATATGGCTTTCAGAAACTTTTTTCTCTAGCTGTTCAGATATGAGCTGAAACAATAAAAAAATAAAAAATTTTAAAAAAGAAACTTCTCTCATTAAATGCATGGATGGGAGGTGGCTCAGAGGGTGGTTGTGTAGTTTCAGGAAATCTTTATTGCAAAGATTAAAATGGAGGAGCCTTAAGAAGCCAATACTCTCCAACTAAAAGAAAACAATCTGTATATTCTGCAGGATTAGGAGATCACAGATACTAGATTGTTTCAGCGTCTTACAATAAAAAGAATTCAGTTTTTCTAGTATAAATTGTGGCTTTTCTTTAGGATTGTAGGGTTTTTTTTTTTTTGATTGGCAAATGTTTTATAATCCTAATGATCCATTATGTGCTTTATACCAATAGGAGTTATAAATGTTCAGAAGCTGGTGACTTAATTATAGCTATCTTTTTTTTTTATTATTAAGAGACCATGAGTACTATTTTAATTTTGTAAGGGAAAAAGTTATTGAAGTTATCTATTGTCCTAACATATTTTAATTGCTCTAAAGTTCCCTCTATCAGAAGAAATAGAGGACCATTAAGAACATTTTGGATGGTGTTTTCTTTCTACTTTTTTTAAATTAAAGAAATATTTATTATAAGAAGGATTGCAAGTGTTGCATAAGAAATGAAACAAGTGACAGCTCCTCTCACCCCAAAGAAATAAGTTTGATGCATATTACTCACTTGTGTGGTTTTTTGGGTTTTTGTTTGTTTAATGAGATATTATACCTGTGATTCTGTAACTTTCTTTTTGCATTTAACAATGTAAAATATCATTTCAGACCAGGCGTGGTGGCTCACGCCTGTAATCCCAGCACTTTGGGAGGCCGAGGCAGGCAGATCACTTGAGGCCAGGAGTTTGAGACCAGCCTGGTCAACATGATGAAACCCTGTCTCTACTAAAAATACAAAAATTAGCTGGGCGTCGTGGCACATGCCTCTAATCCCAGCTACTTGGGAGGCTGAGGCAGAGAATCGCTTGAACCTGGGAGGCGGAGGCTACAGTGAGCCAAGATCGTGCCACTGCATTCCAGCCTGGGCAACAGACCAAACTCTGTCTCAAAAAAAAAAAAGTTGGATTTATTTTTTGATGTTTTAGTGAGCATTTTATGTTTCCCAGAATGTCTCTATAGGACACCAATTCTGGGTCAGCTTTTTGGTTATAGACCATGCAAATAATGTTTTCTTTTTACCCCTCCAGTGAATATTTATTGAGCATCTGCAGTGTCTAGGTTACCGTGCTGGGCACTAGGGCAGAATGAAACTCTCTTATTTTAAAATGTATTTTACTTTATTTTAAAAACCTTTTTGTAGAGACAGTCTCACTTTGTTTTTTGTTTTTGATTTTGCTTTCAGATAGGGCCTTGGTCTGTCACCCTGGCTGGAGTGCAGTGGCACAATCACAGCTCACTGCAGCCTCAACCTTCTGGGCTTACGAGATTCTTCCACCTTGGCCTCCTAAGTATCTGGGACTACAGGGACATATCACCACTCCCGACTAATTTTTTTTTTTTTTAATTTTTTGCAGAGACAGGGTTTTGCCATGTTGTCCAGGCTGGTCTTGAACACCTGAGATCAAGTGATCCGCCCTGCCTCAGTCTCCCAAAGTGCTGGGATTACAGGTGTGAACCACCACGCCTGGCTTTATTTTTAAATATGATGCTTATTTAGCTAATATTCATTTTCCTGCTTTTCAGAACGTTGGAATTACCTTTACAAGGTATAGCCTTTTCCAAAAACTTTTGTGTACTCTTTAAATACCATATAATAGCTAAATGAGAGTTGTTGAGGTATAAAACTTTGCAGGTTTTCTTTTGGAAATGGTTTATTTCAGGAATATAAGACTAACATTGCAAATTTTATATTTAAATTATCAAAATACATATTGGAGCTTTATTATAAATATTTGAAATTAAGCTTTTTGATACGTCTTTTAAATTGTGCTTTGTTATCTATAGATGTGGGGAATAACTGAACTATTTCTGGTCAATTATTTATTCTGGATAATCAAGATTGCTTATCTATACTAGAGTTTGAAAGGTTTAGATATTTCCTACAGGCTAGTTCCTATAAGCTCTTAAAAGGGAATCTTCCTTTGTACTGTATTAGAAGAAAACCCACAACTTAACTTTACTTGCCACATGATGGCAGTCTTGCCTCTTAAATTAGGGGAAAGGCAGCCATCAAAGTTGATGGAAACTCGGATTTTCAGAACGATTGTTGCCAAAAACCAGAACTTTGGTAATCTTCAACTTGGAAGCAAGTTGTTTTTAAGTTTCATTTGTAAGTCAACTCTTTGTTGCTTGGAATACATTTTCCATGGAACAATGCTAAAAATGATGGGCAGTTTTCTAAATTAGCCTACAGAAACTTTTAAAGTCTCAGCTTTTCCCTCCACTTATTTTAAATTTATCTCATACACTTTTTTTTTACTATTTTTACAATTGTAATAAAGTACATATAAAGATCACCAAACTTACCATTTTAACTACTTTCAAGTGTAGAGTTCTGCAGCATCAAATATACTAATTGTTAATGCAATAATAACCAGTATTTCCAAAGTTTTCATCACCGAAACAGAAGCTATGTACCCATTAAGCAATAGCTCTCCCCGCATTCTCTGATAATCCCTGATTTACTTTCTGTCTCTTTTAGTTTGCCTATTCTAGGTATTTCATGTAAGTGGAGGCCAGGCGTGGTGGCTCACTTCTGTAATCCCAGTACTTTGGGAGGATCACCTGAGCTCAGGAGTTTGAGATCAGCCTGGGCAACATGGTGAAACCCCATCTCTACTATAAATACAAAAAAACCAGTCAGACGTGGTGGTGTGCGCCTGTAATCCCAGCTACTGGAGGCTGAGGCGGGAGAATCACTTGAACCTGGGAGGCAGAGGCTGCAGTGAGCTGAGATCGTGCCACTGCACTCCAGTGTGGGCAACAGAGCAAGACTCTGTCTCAGAGAACAAAACAAAACCAAACACATAAAAGTGGGCCGGGTGTGGTGGCTCACGCCTGTAAGCTCAGCACTTTGGGAGGTCGAGGCGGGTGGATCATGAGGTCAGAAAATCGAGATCATCCTAGCCAACATGGTGAAACCCCATCTCTACTAAAAATACAAAAATTAGCCATGTGTGGTGGTGGGCGCCTGTAGTGCCAGCTACTCAGGAGGCTGAGGCAGGAGAATCGCTTGAACCCAGGAGGTGGAGGTTGCAGTGAGCCAAGATGGCACCACTGCACTCCTGGGCAACATAGTGAGAGCTTGTCTCTACAAAAGCAACAAAAAAATTAGCTTGATGTGGTGGCACATGCCTGTAGTCCCAGCTACTTCAGAGGCTGAGGTGGGAGGATCGCCTGAGCCCGGGAGGTCAAGGCTGTAGTGAGCCATGATTGTGCCACTGCACTCCAGCCTGGGTGACACAGTGAGACCCTGTCTCAAAAAAGAAAAAGAAAAGAAAAAAAGAAGTGGAATCATACAGTATTTTTCCTTCTGTGTCTAGCTTCTCTCTCTTAGCATGTTATGTCACCTATCAGAACTTCATTCCTTTTTCCAACATTCCATTGTATGTATATACTGTGTTTTATTTATCCATTCTTCTTTTGATGGACATTTGGTTTGCTTCCCCCTTGTAGCTCCTGTAAATAATGTTGCTGTGAACACCGATGTAGAAGTATCTGTTTGAGTCCCTCCTACGCCTATTTGTAAAGCTGCTCTAACTCCTTTTTGAAACAAGTGGGAGCAGAAATAAATGTTTACTCATGATGTTATGGTACCGGTCTGTGTTCTGGTTTGTAGAAGCTGTGGGCTTAGGTAGTGCTGGAGGAGAAGAGGTGTAGAGATGTTTCTTTCCTCATTCTTGAACTGAGGGTCTAGGCCTGGGCATAACTGGCCTTTCTGCACCTGTCTTCTGCACACATTCTCTGTCGCCATCAACTCTGGCTTACGTCCCTGTCTTTTCTTGTTGTCCCTTTCTACTCTCAAGCTCCTTGCACCTTTTCACCCCATCCAGAAATCTCAGAACAGATACACTTGGTGACGTGAAGAAATATGATACAAGAATTTTTTTTAAAAAGCATTCTTGCCAACGTAAATGAATTGTGCTCCAGTGATTGGGATTCCACCCAGACCATAATAAATGATCTAAAGAGAAAGATATTTTAGTGCAAAGGACTGTGAAATAGATTGGTCTTACCTAGGGTCAGTTTCCTGCTTTTTACAGCTCTTTTCTGCTTTAGAAATTATATATCATCTAAAAGCACCAACATTTTTATAACGTGGCTCCCACTAGTAGTAGTGAATATCCAAGAGGTGGAGTGGCTTTGGGCAGGGGAAGCCCTTTGTGTAGAATGATGTTTTATGAGCCAAGGGCCACCTCTCTGGATCTAGTATTTAATGAACAGTGAATTGGGAAAGATTATGTATGTAAGTACGTACGTATGTATGTATGTATGTATGTATGTATGTATTTAGAGAAAGGGTCTTGCTCTGTCACCTAGGCTCTGTCTCCTGGCTCACTGCAACCTCTGTCTCCCAGGCTCAAGTAATCCTCCCTTCTCAGCCTCCTAAGCAGCTGAGACCATAGGCATGCAACACGATGCCCAGCTAATTTTTTGTATTTTTTGTAGACAAGGGGTCTTGCCATGTTGCCCAGGCTTGTCTCAAACTTCTTAGCTCAAGCGGTCCACCCACCTCGGCCTCCCCATGTGCTGGGATTACAGGTGTGAGCCACCACAGTATGGCCTATTTATGGAATAAAATGCCACCCCATATAGTTTTATCATTTATATTAAAATATACATTTCTACCATATCTACCTGCTTTGAAATCCACCTGTGCCACTTAATGTCTGTTTCATTCCTGGGACTTTTCAAATATATTTTCTTATTAAATCTTTTTTTTTTTTTTTTTTGAGACAGTTTCCCTCTGTCGCTCAGGCTGGAGTACAGTGGCACTGTCTCAGCTCACTGCAACCTCCACCTCCCAGCTTCAAGTGATTCTCTTGCCTTAGCCACCCAAATATTTGGGATTACAGGCATGGGCCACCACACCTAGCTAGCTAATTTTTGTATTTTTAGTAGGGACAGGGTTTCACCATGTTTCCCAAGCTGGTCTTGAACTCCTGGGCTCAAGTGATCTGCATGCCTTAGCCTCCCAAAGTCTGGGATTACAGGCATGAGCCACTGCGCTTGGCCTCTTTCAAGTCTTTTCTCAGATGTCACCTTCTGAATGATGCCCACCATGACCTTCCTATTTAAAGTTGCAAGCATCTCTCGGCTGGTAGTTACACTTCTAGTCCCCCTACCCTGCCGTATTTTTTTTCCTCCAGGTACAATTAACACTTTTTAATATGCCATATAATTCACTTATCAGTTATTCTTTTTTGCTATTGTCTGTCTTTAGCAGAATCTCACCAGGGAAGGGATTTCTTTTCTCCCTGTTTTGTTTATTGGTGGATTGCAGAGTCCTAGAAAAGTGCCTGGCACATAGTAGATACTAAATAAATACTTGTTCAATGAATACATGAATAAATTCTTGGTAAGGGGATACATGTGAAAACTGTTACTTGTTAATTTTATAGTTGTGGTTTAAAAGAGTTATAATAGCCTGGTGGTGGGCATCTGTAATCCCAGCTACTCAGGAGGCTGAGGCAGGAGAATTGCTTGAATTTGATAGTCGGAGGTTGCAGTGAGCTGAGATTGCACCACTGCACTCCAGCCTGGGCAACAGAGCAAGACTCCGTCCCCCCGCCAAAAAAAAAAAAAGTTATAATATATAGAAATGTAGTAAAATAAATTAACTATAAATTTGGGGTTGTAGCTTTGCTTTTGTTTTAAGTTCCAGATGTGCTTTCTTTTTCTAAATTTTCAGCTTCAGTTGTGGAGGGCCAAAAGGGTATCATTCCTCGAGCTATTCAAGAAATATTTCAAAGCATCTCTGAACATCCTAGCATTGACTTTAATGTAAAAGTATCTTATATAGAAGTGTACAAGGAAGACCTAAGAGATCTTCTAGAATTGGAGACATCCATGAAGGATCTTCACATCCGAGAAGATGAAAAAGGAAACACAGGTAAAGTAGCACACTTAATCAGTTGCCTTCATTAGCAAACAGACATGCTTTAATGCTTTAATTAAGTTTCTGGATATATTCCAAGGAATCTTTAAAAACAGATGCAGAAGCAAAATGAATTTATTTTTACTTTTAAATTGAACAGCTTTATTATTAATCCCTCTCTCTCTCTTTTTTTTTTTTTTTTTTTGAGATGGAGTTTCGCTCCATCAGCCAGGCTAGAGTGTAGTGGTGCGATCTTGGCTCACTGCAACCTCTACCTCCTGGGTTCAAGTGATTCTCCTGCCTTAGCCTCCCGAGTAGCTGGTATTACAGGTGTGCACCACCATGCCTGGCTAATTTTTGTATTTTTAGTAGAGACGGGATTTCACCATGTTGGTCAGGCTGGTCTCGAACTCCTGACCTCGTGATCCGCCTGCCTCAGCCTCCCAAAGTGCTGGGATTACAGGCGTGAGCCACTGCTCCCAGCCTATTAATCTCTCTTAAATCACTCAGATGAAAAAGTAGTTCAGACTGGTTGGTAAGGTGAAGTTATTAATTTGTAATGCAAGATACTGATTTCCTATCATTGTTTCCCTCTAGACTGACTTCAGATGAGACTGTGATATAGGCTAAATTTGTTTTTGTATCTTTCTTCCTCTCAGCTCTACCATGAGATTGGAGGTGGCTTTTGCTTTAAGTGTTTATCAAAGTTGACCCAGAACTTGCCTTTCTTTTCTTTGATTTTTGTCCCAGCACACATACTTCTTCCTCTTTTTTTAAAGTTGAGAGTTTATATTTTTGTTTTTTGATATTGACATTTACCTGTTTTTTTTTGTTGTGTTCCTCAAGGTCTGACTTTCTGCATTAGTAGCCTGTTAATTTCATTAACCAATACCCATTTGTTGGAAATGGGAGAAGGTTAGAATGGGAGGCTCAAACTGCAAATATTTTAAAGAATAACAATTTATGCTTTTCTGGTTTAAAAGCTAACATGTTCATCATAGAGTATTTTGAAAACAGGAAAGTATAAGGAAGAAAGTTAAAAGATTATCTTTAATCCTAGCGCCTAGAAATACCAACTTCTCTTTTTGGTGGGTTTCCTTCCAGAATTATTTTTCTATGTACATATTATTTATTTATTTATTTATTTATTTATTTATTTATTTATTTATTTATTTTTGAGATGGAGTCTTGCTCTGTCACCCAGGCTGGAGTGCAGTGGCGCGATCTGGGCTCACTGCAAGCTCCGCCTCCCGGGTTCACGCCATTCTCCTGCCTCAGCCTCCCGAGTAGCTGGGACTACAGGCGCCCGCCACCATGTCCAGCTAATTTTTTGTATTTTTAGTAGAGACAGGGTTTCACCGTGTTAGCCAGGATTGTCTTGATCTCCTGACCTCGTGATCCTCCCACCTCGGCCTCCCAAAGTGCTGGGATTACAGGCATGAGCCACCATGCCTGGCCCATATAATTTTTTAAAAATGTATACTTGCAACCCTACGCACAGTTTTGCATTTTAGATTTCACTTAATATTTATATTTTGAATATTTTCACATATGTTTAAATATTTTTCATACTTATGACTCTTCATGTTTATATGGTAATTTGTCTTATGAATGTGTTTATAGTTATTTAATATTCCATTGTTGGACATTTAGGCTGTTTCTAGGTTTTAACTATTATTAATAATATTGCAGTGACTATTCTTTTTTTTTTTTTTTTTTTTTGGAGACAGGGTCTTACCTCTGTCAGCCAGGCTGGAGTGCAGTGGCATAATCACAGCTCACTGCAGCCTAAACCTCATGAGCTCAAGTGATCCTCCTACCTCAGCCTCCCGAGTAGCTGGGACTAACAGGCGCCCGCCACCACGCCTGGCTAATTTTTGTATTTTTTTGTAGAGACGGGGTTTCACCATGTTGCCCAGGCTGGTCTTGAACTCTTGGGCTCAAGAGATCTGCCTGCTTTGGCCTCCCAAAGTGCTAGAATTACAGGGGTGAGCCACCATGCCTGGCCTATTCTTGGATGTCTTCTTCCCCTAAAAACCATATTTAGTGGAACCTTCCTGGAGAACCTGCCAGAGGAGGGAATTTCCTAGCAGTTAGGAAAGTTAGGAAAGTAAGATGGCTTTAGTCATTCAAATAGCAGGCTATAGGAGGCAGCAAATCTTGCATCTTTATAGCCCTGTCCTGGCATTCCTGCATGGTTGAGGAAATTGTATTTGTTTTTGTTTTTTAAGAAGAAACTATATATGGTAGCTTATGGTCTTATTAGATAATTCAGTACAGTTTATCTCTTCTGGATAGAATTCATACTGATGTTTTGAGCTCCTTTATCTTATGGAATACAATTATTGAATGTTTTCATCTTTTATTAAAGAGTTACAAAAATAATACATGCTTCTTTGTAAAATATCAAGCAGGATAGAAGTATATACACTTCACCATCACTCTTGATAAACTTGATCAAAATACTTCATATCTGATATCAATGCTGAAAAAATTTTGGAAGGATGTTACAAATGATCTTAAATTACAGTATGTCTTACATAATGTCCCACTTACAAGTAAAGTGCATTTGTTTGACATATTTCTTTAGAATCTCTGTGTGAAGCAGTGATGTCCATGCTGGCTGCCACACAATTAGTACACGTGGGAAGCTTTTTAAAAATACTGATTTCTGGGTCCTACTTCACAGGGATTCTGATTTAATTGGTCTGAGATGGTACCTGGGCATTGGCACTTTCTTTTTATAAAGCTACCAGGTGATTTGCATCTGGATTCGAGAACCATAGTGCTAACTTATAGCCTAACACTGGAAAAATTTAATGAAAGTTTTACTATGACTTACAGGACTTTAAATGAACTGGGTTGTTTAAAAAGTGTCATGATGGAAATAATGAAACTGAAATGATTATTTTTTAAAGAAATAGTGATGTGACAGTATCTGAGTAAAGAGGAATTATGGCAATATAATTTGAGCATGAAATCAGGAGCTTTTCTTCTCTGATTCAATTCCTAAGTCCACCTACTTCTCTTTGAAATATTTTTGGATATAGGCCGGGTGCGGTGGCTCACGCCTGTAATCCCAGCACTTTGGGAGGCCGAGGCAGGTGGATCACGAGGTCAGGAGATCGAGACCATCCTAGCTAACACAGTGAAACCCCGTCTGTACTAAAAATACAAAAAATTAGCCAGGCGTGGTGGTGGGCGCCTGTAATCCCAGCTACTCAGGAGGCTGAGGCAGGAGAATGGTGTGAACCCGGGAGGCGGAGCTTGCAGTGAGCTGAGATTGCGCCACTGCACTCCAGCCTGGGGACAGAGCGAGACTCCATCTCAAGAAAAAAAAAAAAAGAAATATTTTTGGATATAAACAAATAATGCGGGTAGTAAATGTAGGTTATTTTTAGTTCATTCTGCGATTGAAATAAAAACTTTTTTTTCTTTTTTGAGTATGGTACATTATGGTGTTCAAAGTGTTTTCTTTTAATTGCCATCTCATCTGTTTACCTTGCACTCTGATGCAAGGTAAACAGATACCTGTTTTTAAAATGAATAACCAACTTTATTTATAAACCATACCTATTTTTAAAATGAATAACCAACTTTATTTGTATTGAATTTTTTACTCTTCATTGATTATGACCTCACGATACCAAAAAACATAAAAGCTAAGGATGGCTTGATTATTAACAAAACTGAAAAAAAAAACGAATGCCTTTTAATTGATACTAATTAATTCTTCTAATCTACTGATTAACTTTTTTGAATTATATATTTGATTAATTTATAAAAGATTAATCTAGGCCAGGTGCAGTGGCTCACACCTGTTATCCCAGCACTTTGGGAGGCCAAGGCAGGTGGATCACCTGAGGTCAGGAGTTCAAGACCAGCCTGGCCAACGTGGTGAAACCCCATCTCTACTAAAAATACAAAAAAATTAGCCAGGTGTGGTAGCGCATGCCTGTAATCCCAACTACTCGGGAGGCTAAGGCAGGAGAATCACTTGAACCCGAGGTAGAGGTTGCAGTGAGCCAAGATTGTGACACTGCACTCTAGCCTGGGCAACAGGCCGAGACTCCGTCTCAAGAAAAAAAAAAGGATTAATCTATTAGGCTTTACAAATCAAAAGACTGGAATGAAGGGTTTTTCTTTTGTCAGTCATTTTAAGGAATTGAGTGTGACTCATGACTCAAGATAAACTAGATTGTTTTTTCAAAAAATTGTAGCTTTTAGAATATAAACATCAAAATAAGTGCTGTCTGTTAAAATAGTTTCTTTGGGAGATTATCCAAAATTATTTGATGATGTTGCTGATGTTATTATTATTATCTGAAATGCTGTTGACTTTTTAAAAAAGGGACTATCTTGGCCAGGCTGTTTAGCAAATGGTAACTGTTAACTATACTAGGTTTTGATGAAAACTTGGCTTAAAAACATGTTATTACTATTTTAAGTGATTGTTGGGGCCAAGGAATGCCATGTGGAGAGTGCAGGTGAAGTGATGAGTCTTTTGGAGATGGGGAATGCAGCCAGACATACAGGTACCACTCAAATGAATGAGCACTCCAGCAGATCACATGCAATTTTTACAATCAGCATTTGTCAAGTTCATAAAAATATGGAGGCAGCTGAAGATGGATCATGGTATTCCCCTCGGCATATTGTCTCAAAGTTCCACTTTGTGGATTTGGCAGGATCAGAAAGAGTAACCAAAACGGGGAATACTGGTGAACGGTTCAAAGAATCCATTCAAATCAATAGTGGATTGCTGGCTTTAGGAAATGTAATAAGCGCTCTTGGGGACCCACGCAGGAAGAGTTCACATATTCCATATAGGGATGCTAAAATTACCCGGCTTCTGAAAGATTCTCTGGGAGGCAGTGCTAAGACTGTCATGATCACATGTGTCAGCCCCTCCTCCTCGAATTTTGATGAGTCCTTAAATTCTCTCAAATATGCCAACAGAGCACGGAACATTAGAAACAAACCCACTGTAAACTTCAGCCCCGAGTCAGACCGTATAGATGAAATGGAATTTGAGATTAAATTGCTTCGAGAAGCTTTGCAAAGCCAGCAGGCTGGTGTCAGCCAAACTACCCAGATCAATCGAGAAGGGAGTCCTGATACAAATAGGATTCATTCTCTTGAGGAGCAAGTAGCTCAGCTTCAAGGAGAATGTCTGGGTTACCAGTGTTGTGTAGAAGAAGCCTTTACCTTCCTGGTTGACCTAAAAGATACTGTCAGACTAAACGAAAAGCAGCAACACAAACTGCAGGAGTGGTTTAACATGATCCAAGAGGTCAGGAAGGCTGTCCTCACCTCATTTCGAGGAATCGGAGGCACTGCAAGTCTGGAAGAAGGACCACAGCATGTTACAGTTCTCCAGCTGAAGAGAGAGCTTAAGAAATGCCAGGTACTTAGACATCACTTATTTATTTATTTATTTATTTTATTGATACATAATAGATGTACATATTTTGGGGGTACATGTGTTAACATATTTAGACATTGTTATGGATAACTCTTTTAAGGACTAAATTTATTTGGGCAAGTAAATTCTAAGAGTGATTTTGGAATTTCAGGTTTTTTTAAAAAATGATTTATATATGGAATCCCACTTGCCTCTCTTACTTTGTTCTTTCTACCCTCCCCTTTCCTATTGCTTCCTCCTCACAATTCATACCCTTCTTGGCTCCTCCTCCTTTCTCCTTTGGTTAAAGTGTATTTTAATTTGTTATATTTATTAAATAGAACTTTGTGGACCTGGTTGTCAATTTAGAGACTGAAAATAAACTTGTTTCGGAAATAAAACTTAAG
The DNA here is from genome assembly GCF_000001405.40 of Homo sapiens. NCBI lineage: Eukaryota > Metazoa > Chordata > Mammalia > Primates > Hominidae > Homo > Homo sapiens. The sequence continues at coordinate 83,902,655 of NC_000009.12, read as the reverse complement.
TTATCTTTTACTGAGTTTTTCTCCCTCTCTTGGTCAGTAGTTCTTGAAAGAAAAAAATACTTCATCTCTTGTGTTTGGAGTATAGGTTTTAAAAAAAACCAACAAATTAGCATATTTATTAATGTTTAAGGAATGTAGGTATATACATGTATACATGTTACATGTACGTGTATTGAGTTCAGATTTACATTTCCCCACTTTTCATTCAGAAACTGTTTATTGTGTGAAGATTGTATGTCGTGGGAATAGTGGAGGACAGGACACACCTAGTTACTGCTTGCTTGGGTGGAGTTTGCAAGCTAGTGAGCAAATGAATGGTCCTTCAGTTGTTCCTGAGACAACATGGTTCCCAGCTTCCATGGTTCTGTCCATTTTTCAAAGTAGAAAAACTTAAAAAGATAGCTTTTTAGTTAAAAAGGAAATATAGTTAAGTATATTTCCTTTTTTTTAAGCTCTAAGCTTATTTCTCTATCTAGCTAGACATATTTCCTCAAAGCCTTTTTACATGTAATATTATAAAGAAGGCATTTGTATTATCCTCTGTTACAGCAGTGCTCAAGTTCTCAAACTTTTTGATCACAGGACGACTTCTTTACACTTTTAAAGCGAGATCCCTCAAAGAGCTTTTGTTTATGTGGGTTATATCTGTTGATATTTACTGTGTTAGAATTAAAACTGAAAAAATCTAAGCTATTTATTCATTCAAAACTAACAGTAACCCAATTCCATGTTAATATAAAGGGCATTTTTAATGAAAAATATTCTCTAACAATTTTTTTTTTTTGAGATGGAATCTTGCTCTCTCGCCAGGCTGGAGTGTGGTGGTGTGATCTTGGCTCACTGCAACCTCCGCCTCCCAGGTTGAAGCAATTCTCCTGCCTCAGCCTCCCGAGTATCTGGGACTATAGGCACATGCCACCATCCCCAGCTAATTTTTGTATTTTTAGTAGAGACGGGGTTTCACCATGTTGGCCAGGATGGTCTCCATCTCTTGACCTCATGATCCGCCCGCCTCGGCCTCCCAAAGTGCTGGGATTATAGGCATGAGCCACCGCACCCGGCCAACACACAAAAAAATTTTAGTAAGAGTAGAATTCCTTTACATTTTTGCAAATCTCTTTAACATCTGACCTAATAACAGGCAGTTGGATTTTCTTATCTGCTTCAGTATTCAGTTTGTTGCAATATGTTTTGGTTGAAGTTTGTAAAGAAAATTCAGCCTCATAATTGTATAGTTTGAAGGGAGAAGTATTTCACTGATTTTTTCAGATAATTGTGGATGTTCTTCTTTCCTATTATACCAAACTCAACAAGCAGAAATTTCTAGTTACTTGAAATATGAGATTTGAAACTATCTTGTTACATTAAGATCTATACATTAAAATGTACTAGTCTCAGCCAGCACAGTGGCTTATGCCTGTAATCACAGCACTTTGGGAGGCTGAGGCTGGAGGATTGTTTTGAGCCCAGGAGTTTGAAACCAGTCTGGGAAACAAAATGAGACCCCTGTTTCTACAAAAAATCAAAAAACTAGCCAGGCATGGTGGCATACGCCTGTGGTCCCACCTACTCGGGAGGCTTAGGTGGGAGGATTACTTGAGCCCAGGAGTTCAAGGCTGCAGTGAGCTATGATTGCACCACTGCACTCCAGCCTGGGTGGCAGAGTGAGACCCTGTCTCTAAAAATAAATGAATAAATAAATAATAGCATAAAAACAGGTAAGGTAATACTTTTTAAATCTTTTTTTTAGTTCTTTATTTTTTTTTTTTCTGAAAGGTAATAACTGTCTAGGTAGAGCAGGACCTTCCTCATTAGTATAAGAAACTGGTGGAACAGGAAGTACTGGTAATTGGAAGCTTGAATGTTGGAGTTGGTTTATATAGGAGTTGTGATATATACATATATATACACGTATATATATACGTGTATATATATCACAGTTTCTTTATCCATTCGTTGATTGATAGGCATTTGGTTTGGTTCCACAATTTTGCAATTGCGAATTGTGCTGCTGTAAACATGCGTGTGCAAGTATCTTTTTTGTATAATGACTTCTTTTCTTCTGGGTAGATACCCAGTAGTGTGGGATTGCTGGATCAAATGGTAGTTCTACTTTTAGTCCTTCAAGGAATCTCCACACTGTTGTTCATAGTGGCTGTACTAGTTTACATTCCCACTAGCAGTGTAGAAGTGTTCCCTGATCACCGCATCCACACCAACATCTTATTTAGTGAGATTTTTAAAATGCCAAGCCAATATGTGGAATGAGGCTCTCGACAAATAATTTTCTGTTTATTTCATTTAAAAACTACTTTATTATTTACATATCCCAAATGTACTTAAAAATCGGCAAATTTACTAGAAACCAAAAAGTAAAACTGTTTAATCATTTTTAGACATCTTCAAAATATATCTCTTCATAATGAAAGTGTACAAAATCAGCAAATCTGCTTCATTCAAATGCCCTAATGTATTCTTATAACCCTATATGTCAATTTGGAAAATGTGAGCTCTTTGAGTGATCCACATTAAAATCTCATAGCAGTTCTAGCAAACTTGTAAAAATCTTAGTGAAGGTACTCTAGAACCAAAACAACTAGTTTTTATATACAGGAAGTAAAAATCAGGAAAATCTTCTGTCTTCATGGTAATGAATTCCTGTGTTATAGCAATGGTAGGTTCTCTCAACTCTTTCTGCCTTTCTTAGAAAGAAATCAGAAAAAGTTGAAAATGAAAAAAAATTTATGAGACATCATCAAGCTATAATCAAATCACCATTTTTGTGTTATCATATGGGGTTTCTTGATTATTTTCTGTGGTGAATGTCACTTGTGCTTTCTTTCCCCACTAGTGTGTGCTTGCTGCTGATGAAGTAGTATTTAATCAGAAGGAACTGGAGGTGAAGGAACTGAAGAATCAAGTGCAGATGATGGTACAGGAAAACAAAGGGCATGCTGTATCTTTGAAAGAAGCGCAAAAAGTGAATAGACTGCAGGTAGTTTCTTAATGCATCTAGCTCTGTAGATTTTCTTGAAATAGTACCTAACTAAACACAGTAGCATTTTAAATGATAAATGGGAACTTAAAAAAAGGATGTTCATTTGAAGAGTTCTGAACATAGGCACCTGAAAGAATTATTAGTTTTTCCTTTAAATCTGCTTAAATGGAAACATTTTTATTGTTAGCCTGACTTTGGTTTTAGAAATATAAAGATAATACCCAGGAAATTAATTTATAAATCATATCATGGTTATTTTTCCATACTTTTCCTTCCTGTTGTTTGCCAAGGTATTAGGAAATGCAATATTGTTAGGAGTTGGATGGTAAATACATAATTTAAACTTTAAAATGTATTAAATTATCCTCTTACACCTCGTGAGTGATTTGCTTTTTAACTTTGCTTACATCTTTCAAATTTTCTATCTTAGCTTTCCTATTATATTAACATGGATATGTCTACAGTATAACATAGTATGCCTCTACATATTAAACTCCCTGGCTGTGGCTTCTCCCATCACCCCAAATAGTTAATATCATTTAAAGCCTTTAGCTTCCTATCAGGGAATAACTAATGCCCCGAGAAATAATCTGATCCAGCACACATCAGATTTTGATTTTTACGTTGTTTGATTTTTGTTTTCTTTTTTAACCCTTCTAATTGTATTTTGTTGTTGTTTGTTGTTGTTGTTTTGTTTGTTTTGAGACAGGATCTCATTCTGTTGCTCAGGCTGGTGTGCACTGGCACAATCACAGCTCACTGCAGCCTCGACCTCCCAGGCTCAAGTGATCCTCCCGCCTCAGCCTCATGAGTAGCTGTGACCACAGGTGCATGCCACCGTGCCCGGCTAATTTTCTGATTTTTTTGTGGAGACAGGGTCTCACTGTGTTGCTCAAGCTGGTCTCGAACTCCTGGGCTCAGTGATCCTACCACCTCAGCTTCCCAAAGTGCTGAGATTGATTACAGGTATGAGCCACCATGCCTGGCCCTAATTGTATAATAATTTAAAAACATAAAACTAAAGTATATACAAAACAATGCATATTAATCAGTGATTTATCACAGAGAGAACAGCTGGGTAACCACCACCAGGTCAAGAAATTGCTAACTGCCAGCGCCTCAAAATTTTTAGTGCCTCCTTACAATTATTATTCCTCCCTCTTCCTCAGAGAGCCACTCTCTTGACTTACATGGTAATCATTTCTTTGCTTTTCTTATGGTTTTACTATCTAAATATGTATCCTTCAACACTACAGTTTAGTTTTTGGAATTTTTATTAATTTATTCAGTATAGCTTATTCAGTATCTGGCTGCTTTTGTTGAACATTGTTATGATTCATCCACTTTTTAATCATAATATTTTTTCTGTAAATTCTAATATTTTATCTGTAATGTGTGACTGTGGTTTGTTTAGTTTTATAGCTACATAGGATTTTATTGTATGACTATACCACAATTTATTTTCTGTTCTACTGTTTGATGGACATTTGTGGCTTTCTGTGAAATTTTCTCGTGAATTTTCAGTGTCTCTCGGTGCACATGCACATATATTTCTTTCAGATTTGTGCCTAAGAGTTGAATTGCTAGGCCATAGGGTAGATATATCTTTAACTTTTGTAGGTGATACCAGATTGTTTTCCACTTTATACTCCCACCCAGCATTCTCACTATTCCATGTGAGCATTCTCACTGTTCCATGTGCTTCTCAACATTTGTTATTAATTTTTAAATCTTAGCCAATCTGGTAGGCATGTAGTATTTTATTGTGGCTTTAGTTTGCATTTCCCTGATGACTAGTGAGGTTGAGCATTTTTTTCATATGTTTTTGGCTATTTGGATATCCTCCTTTGTGAAGTACTCATTCAAGTCTCTTGTTTGTTTTTCTATTGAGTTACCTGTCTTCTAGATTAATTTGTAGAAGTTTGTTGTATATTCTGGGTGTGAGCGCTTTGTCACTTACATGATTGCAAATAATTTTTCTGTGGCTTGCTTTTTACTCTCAGTGGTATCTTTGATGAAGAGTTCTTATTGTAATCAAATTCATCAATCTTTTCCTTTATGGTTAATGGTATTTGTTCTCTATTTAATAAGTTTTTCCTTTCCCCAGTTGTTTCCTCTGAGGATACTTTCTATATTATCTTCCAGAAGCTTTATTGTTTTGCCTTCCACATTTAGCTGTATAGTCCTCCAGGAATTGATTTCTGTGTATGGAGTAAAGTAAAGATCAAATTTCATTTTTTAAACATATAGATATTCATTTGTTCTAGCATCATTTATTGGAAACCATCTTCTCACAACTGTTTTGAGTGCTATCTTTATCATAAATCAAGGTCCATTTGTGCATGAATCTCTTGTCTATTTCTTGGCCTTCTATTCTGTTGGTTGATTTGTATCTCCTTGAGCCAAGATCACATTTCTTATTTATTGTAGGTTTATAATAAGTCTAGATATTTTGTAGAGCAAGGCCTTCTGCTTTTCTTCTTCCCTCCCCACTCCCCAGATGTCTTGGTTGTTCCATATAAATTTTATTTTAATTTTTAAATTTTTAAAATAATTACTTTATTGAGATATAATTCACATACTATAGAATGCAGCCCTTCAAATATACAATTCAATGATTTTTTTATGTATTTACAGAATTGTTTAACCATCACACCATCTAATTTTAGAATATTTTTATCAACCCAAAATGAAAATGAAAATATTGTATCCACTAGCAGTCACTCCTCATTTTCCTCCTTTCCTCAGCCCCTGGCAAAAACCACTTTACTTTCTACTTCTATGGATTTGCCTATTCTAAACATTTCATACAACTGGAATCATACAGTAAGTGGCCTTTGTGTGTGACTTCTTTCACTTAGTATGCTATTTTCATTTATTTATTTTTCGTGATCAAATAATTTTGTATGTTTCTGGGATACAGTGTAATGTTTTGATGTATGTATACATTATAGAAAGATTCAATCAAGTTGGTTAACATTAATTAACATTAAATTACATTTATATATGTTTAGAATTAATGAACATATTTTGATTGAGTCTCCTAATCCATAAGCATGGTATTGTTCTCCATTTACTTAGATTTCCTTTATTTTTTCTCAGTAATGGCCTACATTTTTTTGTGCAGAAATATTGCAAATAATTTATAGATTTCTTTTTAGGTACTTGATTTTTTTTCTGTCACTATAAATGGAATCTTTAAAAAATTTTATTTTTCAAATTCCCTAATTGTTGGTATGTGGAACTGTACTAATTTTTAGATATTAATACATTATATATCCAGCAACCTGACTAAACTCAGTTTTTGATAAGGAGTGTCTACAGTTACCATCAAGTGGGGAGCCTTCAAAATTCCCAAGATAAATGGAAAAGATCCAAACTTTTTGGAAGTAATTTCTTTTTTTTGTTGTTTTTGAGACGGAGTCTCACTGTGTCACCCAAGATAAGAGCGCAGTGGCACAATCTCCGCTCACTGCAACCTCTGCCTCCCGGGCTCAAGCGATTCTCCTGCCTCAGTCTCCTGTATAGCTGGGATTACAGGCACCCGCTGCCATGCCTGGCTATAAACTTGTGTGTGTTTTGTTTTTTTTTTTTTTTTTTTTTTTTGAGACAGAGTCTCACTCTGTCATCCAGGCTGGAGTGCAATGGCATGATCTCGGCTCACTGTAACCTCTGCCTCCTAGGTTCAAGTGCTTCTCCTGCCTCCACCTCCCTAGTAGCTGGGACTACAGGCATGCACAACCATGCCTGGCTAATTTTTTTTGTATTTTTAGTAGAGACAGGGTTTCAACATGTCAGTCAATCACTCCTGACCTCAAATGATCTACCTGCCTTGGCCTCCCAAAGTACTGGGATTACAGGCGTTAGCCACCGTGCCCGGTCTATACTTGCTTTTTAATTCTAATATTTTATCTGTAAATTCTTTTGGATTTTCATTTATAATTATGTCATCTGCAAATAGTAACAGTTTCATTTCTTCCTTTATAATCCTTTCACCTTCTGTATCTTTTTCTTCTATATCTTCTATATTGTATACTTTAAATAGTTGGATTCTATAGTATGTGAATTTTGTCTCAATAAAGTTATTATAAAAATACCTTCTTGTATTTGCTGGGATCTCCAATGCAGTGTTGAATACAAGTGGTGATAGAAAGCATCCTTGTCTTGTTTCCAATCATAGAGGAAAAGCTTTCAAAATTTCACTCTGAAGTTATTATATTTTCTATAGGTATTTTTAATTTACCCTTTCCCAAACTAAGGAAATAACTGAGAATTTTTATTATGAATGGATATTGATTTTTATCAAATGATTTTTCTTTATCATATGATTTTTCTTCCTTATTCTGCTAATATGGTGAGTTACACTGATTGACCTGATTTTTTTTTTTTTTTTTTCGAGGCAGAGTCTCACTGTGTCACCCAGGCTGGAGTGCAGTGGTGTGATCTCGGCTCACTGCAAGCTCTGCCTCCTGGGTTCATGCCATTCTCCTGCCTCAGCCTCCCAAGTAGCTGGGACTACAGGCGCCCGCCGCCATGCCTGGCTAATTTTTTTTTTTTTTTTTGCATTTTTAGTGGAGACGGGGTTTCACTGTGTTAGCCAGGATGGTCTTGGTCTCGATCTCCTGACCTTATGATCTGCCCACCTCAGCCTCCCAAAGTGCTGGGATTACAGGTGTGAGCCACAGTGCCCGGCCGATTGATCTGATTTTTAACCAATCTTTTATTCCTGGAATAAACCCTTTTTGTTGTTGATGTTGTGATGTACTGTTGTATTGGGGGTTCCCCAAAACCACCCTCAGATTGGATGATGTACTATGAGAACTCAATATATATTCATTCTCCTGGCTAGGATTTATTACAGTGAAAGGATGCAGAGCAAGATCAGCAAAGGAAAAAGACACATGGAACAAAGTCTGGAGGAAACCAGGCACAAGCTTCCAAGACTTGTCTCTCAGCAGAGTCACAGAGGATGTGCTTAATCCCCCAGCAATGAGTTGTGACAACACCTATAAAATGTTATCTGGCGGGGAAACTAAGTAGACTCAGTGCCTATGGGTTATATTGAGGATGCGTGGGTCATGAAGGCACCCTTTGCCTAGCATGAACCAAAGTCCCAGACTACAAGGAAAGCAGGTGTACAGCATAAACCACATTGATAGTGCAAACAGTTGAGCACAGTGAGTCAGTATAATCAGAGTGTTTAAGAAACACTCCCAAAATCCAAGTTCTCAGACATCTGACAACCTCATAGCAGGTCTTCTAAAAGATAGCAGTCAGGTCTGCTATGTTAACTCTTCTGCACAATTGACCTAGATTTGGTTTGCTAGTGTGATGTTTATATTTGTCAGTAAGTTTGTCCTATATTTTTCTTTCTCATAGTATTCTTGTCAGATATTGTAACAAGTTATGCTGGCCTCATAATATAGATTATTTAATTCCCCCTATACCTGGAAAGGTGTGTGAAAATTGGTATTATTTCTTTCTTAAATGTTTGGTTGAATTAGCCTGTTAAGCATTTGGGACTGGAAATTTTCTTTGGGGGTATGTTTTATGAATTAAATCATATTAGTATTTTCTTTTCCTCCAGTTTTGATAAGGTTTATTTTTCTAGGAATTTGACCATTGTATATAATTTTCAAATGTATTGGCATAAGTTTGTTTATGATAGTCTTTTATTCATTAATATCTTTATTAATGAATAAAGGGGACTGTGTAGTCACATGTCCCCTTTTTCATTCCTGATTATTTGTGCCTTCTCTCACTTTTTTTTCTTGCAGTTTCACTAGCTAGTAAAATTACCAATTCATTAGTCTCTTCAAAGAGACAATTTTTGACTTTGTTAATCCTCACTAGTGTATGTTTGTTCATTATTTCATTAGTTTGTTCACTATTTCACTAATTTCTGCCCTTTATTATTTAATTCCTTCTACTTTTGGGGTAACCTCCTGCTATCTTTTTAACATCTTTAGATGAATATTTAGTATATTGATTTTTAGCTTCTCTTCTTTGTGAGTGCAAGTCAAGATAAGCTTACATATTTCTAAGCTTATCTTGACTTGCACTCCACATTGAGCTCAAAATGTTTCCTAATTTTCATTGTGACTTTTTTTTTGACTTGTGAATAACATAGTTATTTTATTTACAGGACATGGGGGATTTATTTTTCTTTAATCAATTTTTATTGCATTGTGATCAGATAACATACTATCTCTGATTTCAGTCCTTTGAATGTATTGAAACTTGCTTTTTGGCTCAGAATAAGGCAAATGTTTGTAAATGTTACAGAGGTACTTGAGAAGAATATGCATTCTGCAGTCATTGGGCACTGTTAATCCTATTATTCAAATCTACATTTTTTACTCACCTTTGAAGTCTTTTTGTTATATCAGTAATTTATAAAGTGATGTTAAAATCTCCCACTATGACAGACCTCAACTCTGTCACCCAGGCTGGGGCACAGTGGCACGATCATGAGTCACTGTAGCCTCGACCTCCTGGGCTCAAGCAGTCCTCCCACTTCAGCCTCCTGAGTAGCTGGGACCACAGGTGCACACCACAATGCCCTGCTAATTCTTGTATTTTTTGTAGAGAAGGGGTTCTTCACCATGTTGTCCAGGCTGCTCTCAAACTCTTGGGCTCAAGTGATCTACTGGCCTTGGCTTCCCAGCGTGCTGGGATTACAGGTGTGAGCCACTGTGCCCAGCCCTACTATAATTTTGGATTTGTCTTATTTCTCCCTGAAGTGCTGATAGTTTTTGCACTACAAATATTGAAGCTGTGTTATTAAGTGGACACAAATGTAGAATTGTTATACCATCCTGGTGAATTGCTCTTTTAATCATTTTTACCTCTTCTTATCTAATGAGTTTTGCCTTAAAGCTTACCTTGACATTACTATAGCTACACCAGCTTTCTTTTGATTAATATTTACATGGTATCTCTTTTTCTATCTTATTTTTAATCTTTCTGTGTCTATTTTAGATATGTTTCTTGTAAGCAGCATATGGTTAGATAATCTTAAAATCCTTTCTGATAGTCTTTATCTTTTAATTTCATTATTCATTCATTAATTTAACATAATTACTGTTTTGGTAAAAATCCACCATTGTGCCTTTTATTTATCCTTCCTCCTCTGTGTTCCTTTTTCCCTCTTTTGGATCATTGGTTATTTTTTCTTTTTCTGTTGTTTTCTCCACTAACTTAGAAGTTATAGTTTTACTCTTTTTTTAGTGGTTATCCTAGAGAGTATACCATGCACCCTAATATTAATTGGTACTTTTATCCTTTTCCCAGGCAATGTAAGAACTCCATTGAATCCTTTGATGTTGTATATTTTAATTATCTGAATACGTGATTTTTAAGTAAGGTTGCATTTTTATTGCTCAGCATTTATACAATGAAAATGTAAGGTTTTTTTTCCTATTTCAACATTGTAGTACATGTGAAGTATTAAGATGAATGACTGTTTCTTATTTACATAAATTTGTGCTTGTAAAACAAAGATTGACATTAGAGCTTTCTAGATTTGATACACTTCAAAAATTTTCTTTAGAGGATACACAAAAAATACTAAACCACATATACACAAACACACACACACATTCCTGATACACAATTTGTTCTGCCTTTGATTTCCAAGTTCTCCTTCCTCTCAGGACTATCAGTTGGCTATCTTCTATCTGTCTGCTTTTGGCTTCCTTTTTCACTAAGGCTTTCACTTCCCTGCACTTGTTACCTCCTTCTGCCTCCTTTGCTGCAAACTCTGCTGCCTACAATTCTTTCTCCACTTTTTGAACTTTCTTGTTTCTTTTTACTTCTTGGATTTCACTCAGAAAGTCCATACTTTAATAAAGATAGCTAATCAAAGTGCTTCAGGTTGGCAAAGCATCCAGTCACAGTGGATGGCGTGTTATCTTTGAGTATTTGACTTTTGACTTTTTTGGCTGTGTTTGTTGCTCCTTACTATTAAAAAGGTTTTACCACTCAGAACAATGTTAGTTACTTGTGAACACCAGAGAGCTAGTCTCTGGATAAATGAGAATTGACTGTATTATTAAAGTAGTTATGATTTTGGTCAATGTAAAATTCATTTTTAATCATAATCTAAATGTACTGAAGTGCTCTATATTAAAAATTTTCATCTCTCTTCTACAAAGAATGAAAAAATAATAGAACAACAACTTCTTGTGGATCAACTGAGTGAAGAACTAACAAAACTTAACCTGTCAGTGACTTCTTCAGCTAAAGAAAATTGTGGAGATGGGCCAGATGCCAGGATCCCTGAAAGGAGACCATATACTGTACCATTTGATACTCATTTGGGGCATTATATTTATATCCCATCAAGACAAGATTCCAGGAAGGTAAAGTCCAAACAATCTTTTCCTTATTTGGAGATTAAAAAAATTTTAGCCATGTGTAATATCACAGTGTATTTATACAGTCTCAGCAGATTTTTTTTGTTTGATTTTATGGAATTTTGTGTATACCTTTTCTTTTAAGCATACTTCTTTCTAATAAAAAAACTAATAAACAAGAGAATACACAGTTACATTTGGAGGGAATAGTTGGATGGAGATAATGTCCATACTTCTTCAATGTGAAAAAGGTATCCTTTGCCATATTTTCAGACATGACCAAGTTTAATATCTACATGAATTTATTTCTTCCTTTAACCACACAAAGTTGAGATGTTAGAGGATATTTATTTCAACTTGTTTGGTCTGTCATTTTTGAAATAATATTTATATGCTGTTCAGTCTTACCAAGTAGACATAATCAAGACAATATAAATATCAATATAAATTTTAGTTTGTGTGTGGTTGGTAAATATATACACACACAGTTTTAAGAATTATCAAAGAATCTCTATTATGGAAAAGACGTAATTAGCAGATTCATGAGTTTTGGTTTAGCAGGTTCATGAATTCTGGTTTCTGTTTCCTCATTTTATGAAGGGAAATGATTTGTTCACGTGAGATCCATCTGGTTGTTACAGTCAGAGGGATAAGAAATGAAAGGCAAGTGATACATGAGCAGTGTCATGGACTTTGCATCAGGCAGCCTTGGGTGGTATGAATACTATAATAGCTCTGGACATTTGGTTTTCTTTGTAAAAAGAAATTTTAAAAGGAAATTACAATCCCAGAGAATGAAGTTGGACTCTGAACAAAGATTTTATTATTTGCTCCTTAAATAATTCCCAAACTCTCACAAAAGAAAACTAGATGCCTGCCAGTTATGGGATAAAATAGCCATGTCTAGTACGTTGTATTTGTTAGATCAGTACTTCTTGAGTTGGTTCTTCTTAAAGAATTCCCCTCCCTCATACCCCATTGGGAGGCCACCTAAAAAACTTTACGCCCATCTATCATGATGCTGATGTGACAGATGATCTAATTAGGTGACTGACAGCAGAAGCACAAAAATCAGATATAAGATGATTTTCAGAATCAGGTAGGATTTTTTAGGAGAGAATACATGACGGGGGCCTATTGTCAAGTGATTAAATCCTAAACACTGTGTGATACTCATATTCCACTATATGTTATAATTTTAACAGCTTATAATAATTTATATTGATAAATGGACTGTCTCCTCTAAGATTTTATTGCCTTTTGAGAGAAGTCATCTTGAGATTTGGTTACAGAGATGGTGCAGAGGAAATATTTTGTAATAGAAACCAGAACAAAGGTATAAAGGCAATTTCTAATTTATTGTTGTTGTTTTCCAAGGTCATTTTTTTTTGAGAATTTAAAGTGCATTTCCAATAGAAGAATGTTGTACTATAGAAAACTCCCAGGCTAGCCATACGATTTTATTTGTCCTATGACATATATTAAATATTTTTCCTAGAGCCTTAATTCAGCTATACCTAACTACCATGTATAAAGAATAAGTATATACATTGTGGTATTCAGATTAGGAATATTGCCCTGGCAGAGGGAGTGGAGACGGCTCTGGGTTTCTTCCTGTGGTAGGATTTGGATTGGAGGGGATGCAGACCTTTGGCGGCAGCACCACAGTTCTCCAGGTGTTCTGAACTGGGAAGATGGGGAAGAGGGTACATTTGTTGGGGTGTGTCTGTGTTGTGTTTAAGAGCTAGGATGTTTTCCATGCGTTCTTTTGGTTTCATTTTTGAATACTGTTTTCTGTAAGTGAAGATAGAAGAGTTGTCCAGAAGAGAAGGAGCTGTGTGGATTCTGAAAGAAGTATTTGTCTGTGAGGCACAACAGTATTGTTAAATTAATTTTGACCTTTGTTTGAGGGGAGCATTTTCCAGTGATTGGCTATTTTAAGAGTGCCAATCTAATAACCCCTTTAAAAGCACTTAGAGTAATAGGATAAAATTAGACTTTTAAAATATCACTTTTTTTGTTGTTGGGTGGGGGAATCACTTGCAAGGTCCACACAAGTCCGCCTATGTACTCTCTGGATCGAATATTTGCTGGATTTCGAACACGAAGTCAGATGCTGTTGGGTCACATAGAAGAACAAGATAAGGTCCTCCACTGCCAATTTTCTGATAACAGTGATGATGAAGAATCAGAAGGCCAAGAGAAATCTGGAACTAGGTATGTTAAATATACACTGATTTAATAAATATTTAGAATTATATGCTGCAATAAATATAGAAGTGTAGGTTTTTTCCATTGGAGTATATCTTTTATGTTTAATAGAAGAGTAGGTAACTTTTGCTAAAAGTACTATCATCTAATGTGTTATGAAAATAGTATTTGAACACAAGTCATCAGTCTTATAACTGAAAAATAATTTTGCTTTTAGAGCTTTTATAGTAATGAGATTCTAATTTTCAGAGGTTTTTTTTTTTTTTTTTTTTTGGATTTCCTTATTCTGCTGCCACGTTGGCAACAAACATGACTTTTCTACTGGATTCAACATGGATGGGGGGGGCATCCTTTTATTTTGAGCAATATTAGTAACATTCTGTTTTTATATGTAACTAATAATTTTTTTAACATTACTTTCACTTTTCGGGGAAACTAATTTGAGGGCAGATTAGAAAACACGAACAAATAAGTTAACTTTCTGATTTTTTTTTAAGATGTAGAAGTCGTTCATGGATTCAGAAGCCAGACTCTGTTTGTTCCCTTGTTGAATTGAGTGATACTCAGGATGAAACACAAAAGTCAGATTTGGAGAATGAAGGTACATAGATCTTCTTAAATAATGTAGACCTAATGGTTATAGGACACTTATCTTTTTCCTCAGTTGATAATTTAAGAAACATCCAGGAATTCTCAAAGACCAGAATTTGGTACAAATGCTTTCCTAGTTGGTAGAACTTCTTTTATGTTCTCTGTTTTACCTCTTTTACTCTTTTACTCCTTAATAAAAAAAGATTTTCTATCAATTAATTATAGCGAGAGATATAGGCTAACTCCCTCAGAATAAGGATTTTTATATTCAGACCTGAATTGATATGCTTTGTATTCCTGATGATGTTAAAATACAGTATAAATAATTGTACTAGGTGTCTACTCCTTCACTGGGACTTGTGCCTAACATCAATGATGTATTTGGCATTAGAGCCCAATTAGTGTACTGGGTGTTGGTAATGTTTTAGTACACAACTGCTAAGAATTTTTATGCATCAATAAGTGCTGGGATTACAGGCATGAGCCACTGTGCCCAGCCGGTAGTAGGAGATTTTGTTAACTCATCTCTCTTGGTCAATGCGTGGTTGACCCACAAAAAATAAGGGAATAGGGATAATACAAGTGCTACACTTTGAAAATATAGAGCATCTCTTTAAGAACCTATACGTGGCTTTATGAGCCAAAAATTTAAGTATAACTAAAATAAATTTCAAAATGTGGAAATAATAAAGGTAAATGCTACTCAAGCAGCCATGCTTGAGCTGTTTGTTACTGCTCTGCAACCAGGAAAAAAACTTACGTCGGAATGTAAATGAGCTTACACTAGTTCCTTCCTTGAGAAAGTCTGGCTATGAAAAAAATGTCACCTGAACTAAAGCAGTGTGCTTAGTGACATAGTTGATTTACATTCTGGTGCAGGACAGTAACAAACAGTGCTAGACCACACTCTGAGTAGCCTGGTATAGTCTGCATTCTCCAATTACAGTAAAAGTAGAAGTTGATAGGAAACAAATTCACCCCTCTCTCCATCTGGAAATTTTATACCTATCTCAAATAACTCATGTTAAAGGCAATGAAAAACTGTGTGTCTGAACTTATGGGATATTAAGAAAGAATATATACATACATGTATTAATTTGTAAGAAAATAAAAACTCTTACTGTAAGCTGGAATGCTAGAGTCCCAATTGCTGTGTATTTTTTCCCCTTTTTCCTCCCCTTCCTTTTTGTCTCTTCCACTGCCACCTCTAAATTGCTTTTGAGTCTGCTTTTCTTTTTTTAACTCTACTTCTGTTGAATATTTTACCAGCAGATAGTTTTATTTCTCCATTTTTTTTTAAAGATTTAAAGATTGATTGTCTCCAGGAGAGTCAAGAATTGAATTTGCAAAAATTAAAGAATTCAGAACGCATACTTACTGAAGCTAAACAAAAAATGAGAGAACTTACAATTAACATCAAGATGAAGGAAGATCTGATTAAAGAATTAATAAAAACAGGTAATAGTATCTTGTGAACCAGCTTAAATGAGAAAGAAAACTTCTTAAAATTGCTTCTGATGTGGTAACAGTTACTTTAGTTTTTGAAGCTCAGGTCTATCCACTTAGCTTGGATTGGTGTAACAAGGTGAGTTTTTAGGCCAATATGTGGAGGTTAGTTATCAGAAGAATTTTGTTGTTTTGGGATTTCACCTCTGAATTGTTCTAACTGGTGTGAACTCTGCATTGTGCTGAAATTCTGTGGCACTTAATGTACCAGTTACAACATGTTTATTTTATTTTTTTGAAACAGGGTCTCACTCTGTCACCTAGGCTGGAGTGCAGTGGTGCAGTCATGACTCACTGCAGCCTTGACCTCTGGGGCTCAACCAATCCTCCTACCTCAGCCTCCCAAGTAGCTGGGACTACAGGCGTGTGCCACCATGCCCAGTATGCGTCAGTAGTTTTTATAATTTTTTTTTGACAGTGTATTAGAATTGATAAAATATAGTATAGATATTTTATCTATAAAATAGATAAAATATAGTCCTGTTATTATTAGTTGGCAGAAGCAGCTGCTATTCAAGAGAAGTCTTCAGTGAGAGGGCATTGAAAAGTAAGCACTCACTGACAACTTTTGTTAGTCACCATCTCTGAGGATTTTTAGGAAAGCTCCAAATTGCCCTTGGTTCTAATGAGCAAGAAAAGGGTCTTCTCTGTATAAGCTCTGGTATCCTCTATTTTAAAACAACCACGTTGGGTATACCAGGCTACAAACACATGCTTGTTTAATGAGATCCATAGTAAGATAACCTTTCTGAAAGAAAGTCATTGATTCTATTGGGTAAATATCCTCAACTTCCACAGGCAGTACCCTGAAATCTTGGGAATGGAGAAACCATTCTAGATCAGCTCCTAGATACTCCTAAGAGGGGTCAACTGGTGTTTGATCCTGCCTGTGGGGAAGCAGCATGGCCAAACTCATTTAAACATCTGCATAACTGGAGCTAGGATGATGCATAGCACATATGTCACTAGGAATGAGAAAGGAAAAAGCTTTGGGAAAGTAGCTAAGCAGAGGATGCTTCTTAAAAAATGTCAAAAAAAAAAAACAACACAAAAAACTTAATGCCCTTAATGCTCTCTCACTGAAGACTTTTCTTGAATAGCAGCTACTTCTGCCAACTAATAATAACAGGACATCTATACTATATTTTATCAATTCTAATACACTGCAAAAAAAATTTATAAAAACTACTGATGCGTACTGGGCATGGTGACACACGCCTGTAGTCCCAGCTACTTGGAAGGCTGAGGTAGGAGGACTGATTCAGCCCCAGAGGTCAAGGCTGCAGTGAGTCATGATTGCACCACTGCATTCCAGCCTAGGTGACAGAGCAAGACCGTCTCAAAAAAATAAAATAAACATGTTGTAATTGGCACTGTATATTTTTTTAGTGGTTCATAAAATATTGGTGTGTTGAACAATTAATGAATAGTCCAAAATGATTTGTTAAAATATAGTAGTTGTATGTATTTTAAAGTTAGTCAAGTAATCATAAATTAGAGTCAGAGGACAGTTCACACTGCATTTAGTTAAATAACTTTTATAAAAAAATGATGAGTATTTTTGGATAGCAGTATAACCAGCTATATAAATAGTATAATAGGCTGGGCACGGTGGCTCACGCCTGTAATCCCAGCACTTTGGGAGGCCGAGGTGGGCAGATCATTTGAGGTCAGGAGTTCGAGACCAGCCTGGCCAACATGGTGAAACCCTGTCTCTACTAAAAATACAAAAATTAGCTGGGCATGGTGGCGTGTGCCTGTAATCCCAGCTACTCAGGAGGCTGTGGCAGGAGAATTGCTGGAACCCAGGAGGCGGAGGTGGCAGTGAGCTGACATTGTACCACTGCACTCTAGCCTGGGTGACAGAGCGAGGCTCTGTCTAAATAAATAAATAGTATAATAAACTGTCTCTGGTGATTATTCATCCTCTGAGCTTTAGACTCCTGTTTTCTACTGCCACGAGTTTGCCAGTCTAGTTCAGGGACGGTTGCCTATTCAGAGCAAATCAAAACCAAGCTTTTAGGGTCACTAGCTGGATTTAGAATCAAGAGATATAGAAATATCTTTATTCTATTTTTTCTCTTCTATATATTAATAAGAAAAGAATTTAAAAGGAATTAATCTTGAATAAGTTCGGGTTAGTGAAAAAGGAGAGAGTTAGCTTTGGATGAAAAGATTCTTAAGAGACATAACAAATCAAATGTATTGTGGACCTTGTTTAGATCCTGATTTAAATAAACCAATTGTGAGACACATTTTGAGGCAATTGGGGAAGTCTGAATATGGACTGATTGGTGTTAATATTGTTAGTGTGATAATGACTTTTTGGTTATGTCCATATTTTGTGTGAATGCCGATTGCAGTATGTATAAGTAAAAAGAGGAATTTAACAAAATGAAGTATGTATAGGTGAGATGAATGACATTTGGGATTGCTTTATAATATTTAAGCAAAGTAAAACAATAGGCATATTTGAAGCAGCTGTGACAAAATCTTGATAACTTTTAAATCTGGGTGATGGCGGTTCATTTTATTATTTCTTTTGTTGTATTTTAAAATTTTCATAATAATTTAAAAAAGGAATTCAAGCAGACAGATTATTGGTAGCAGGAGGCTGGAGTATACTAAGCAAGAGGACAAACAGTCACTCCAAATATCCTTCTTAACTGAGTTTGATGCCAGCAAAGCTCAACTACAAATTCAGAGGACCAGAGATGTCACTCTAAAACGCCAAACATTGAACCAGTGAGACTGACTGGCAGCAGATGGGAACAGTCATTAAGGAACTAATTATTAAGAGGCCTGATGGCAAGCTGTGTTTGATGGGGGTGGGTGGGGACAACTGGGTTTTTAATGCTATGCCTTAAATAGTATCACTGCCTGGCTGGATTTTAGAGTAGAGTATTTTTATGTTTTGGATGTTTAACTTCTTTTTACATAATTTATACTAATAATAATTATTATTACGGTTAAGGTAATGATGCCAAGTCTGTAAGCAAGCAGTATTCTTTGAAAGTAACAAAGCTAGAGCATGATGCAGAACAGGCAAAAGTCGAACTGATTGAAACACAAAAGCAGCTACAGGAGCTGGAAAACAAAGATCTTTCTGATGTTGCAATGAAGGTAAAATTACAGAAAGAGTTTCGTAAAAAGATGGATGCTGCAAAGCTGAGAGTTCAGGTAATTTAAAAAATGTAATTGAGAAAACTTATTTAAGCTTTCTTGCTTCTGAGGATTCTTGTACTGAGTTAGGAAAGAAGTGGGATTCAGTTTATACCAGCAAGAGAAACTGGGTATCAACTTTTCTTTTGTAGTGTGCTGGTCGATTTACATATTTTACAATCTGGGTAGTATATTTCTTAATTCAAGAAGTATCTTCTTTCAATCATCATATCAAAAAACCACATGGTAAGAAATAAACGTAACCACGAAACAGTGTTTATTTCTGAAGGACAAAGGATTAAATAATGATTAAATAATACAAATAAAACAGCTGGTACATATATGACACTTTGTAGACACTCAACAAATGGGAACTATTTCGAGATATGGTTTTCCCAAACCATAACTGATTGGCTTAAGAAAGGTTAATAACTTTGTGTACTGCAACTCATCCTTAACTTCCTAATGCCTGGTTTTAGCTTTAACTTTAGAAATAGCTACAGTTAAAAATTCTATTCTATGAGAAATATTCCATCACATGGAGATTTTGTGTGATGAAGCCATTTCCAGGTGCTTTGGAGATAGTCACAGTGCTTTGTTAGTCTGATCATAATGAACTTTCTAGGATGTGTCCTCTATTTCTTTATCTCTCATGGTCTACTGCTTTCTTTCATGTTATAGAAACATTTTTATATTTTTCCATTTTAGGTAGAGTTGTAATTAACCTATTCACAGCATTATTATTATTATTATTATTGAACTATGCCACAGTTATTTGCTTTAAACAAAATAGATGTTTACAATATACCTCTGGTGTGCCCGGTATATTGTAATATACCAGTATATTCTGGTGTGACAGGCCTGAAAAGTCCCTCCTGGGGTTTCTGATGCCACCTCAAACATCTGGATATTTCCACTAAAAATTGTTACCTAAATAGTTTCTCAAGTCAACATCAAGTTAAAATAATATGACTTGAATATTTGAACTGCTTAAAGGAGGACATAGGGTGGTTATCTATGTCACACCTTCCATTTTCCTTCAGCATAGTTATTTCCACTTTGGAATTCACCTTTCCATGCTTTGCTTCCTGCTGTATATCCTTTTCTGCTAAGAGTACTGATAAGGAAAGAAAATGAAAGGTGTAGAACTTTACCTCAAAAGAAACATCTGATACAGCAGAGGACAGAAAGAAGACATAGTTTTAGAAATTTTGTACCTTTGACATATCCATGCACTACTCATGGGGATAAGGATGATAAGGAGGATGAGGAGGACAGTAGTTACCATTTGAGGGCCTATACATACCAAATGGTTTATACGCATTATTTAATCCTTTGAAGTGGGCATTTTTAGCCATTTTACAAATGTGGAAAGAAAGGTTTAGAAAGGTAAAATAACTCAGTCAGAGTCCCATAGTGGTGATGACAATACCGGTTTTCAGTTCTCTAACATATCATACTTTTTTTTTGAGGTGAAGTCTTGCTCTGTTGCCCAGGCTGGAGTGCAGTGGCATGATCTCAGCCCACTGCAGTTGCCTCCTCCCAGGCTCAAATGATCCTCTTGCCTCAGGCTCTCAAATAGCTGGGATTACAGGTGCCTGCCACCACACCCGCAAATTTTTGTATTTTTAGTAGAGACGCAGTTTCACCACATTGGACAGGCTGGTCTCAAACTCCTGACCTCAAGTGATCCACCCGTCTCGCCCTCAGAAAGTGCTGGGATTACAGGTGTGAGTCACCACACCCAGCCATATCATGCTGTTTTAAAATATTGAAATACTAGTATTATTATTGGTATAAAACAGTTATTTCAATTTTTAAAACAAAACATTTTTAAATTAAAAACTTCTAAAACCTATATTTTTAATGTCTTTAGGTATATGTAGAGCGTTACATGCTGCATTAATAGTTTAATGCTGACAGATGCACTTTTGAGCAACTATGAAATAAGTGCAAAAGACAATGGCAACAGTATCTCACTCTTAAGTAAGACTTTCAGGATGTACACTGATATTTTTAATATTATGTGAAAAAGACACTAAAATGCTGGTATTATAATTTTTGCTGCAGTATTGTAATTACTGTCAATTGTAAGTGGCAAAGCCAGTGTCCAAATTTAGGTACTGGAAATGGCAAAGGCCTGTGGCCTCCAAGCCAGTGGTACCCAAAGTAGTCCATCTGCCGATTGTTCTTGTTCTGTGATGAGATAAAGGTCAGTCATTGCACAGCTTCCTTGATCAAAAAAGTCTCACATGAAAACGTCAACCGAATCTAACAGTATGCTGAGGAGTGCAAATTGACAACAATGTCTGTGAACTAGCACTGGTCCACAGATCACATTTTGAGTAGCACTGCTCTAAGCAGCAGTGCCTCTTGGATACTTAGTTTAATTAAAACAAAACTTGCCTATGCTAACACTTTATTGCCAAAATAAAGGAAATAATTAATTGTGGTCTGCATAATTTATGAATGACATCCCTTTACCTTTTTTATGCCACCTAATTGGTATTTAGTGCAATGCTAATCACATTATACAAGTTTAATACATGTTTGTTTGGTCAGGACTAAATTGTAACACAAGTATTTTATATTAGTGGTGTGAACACTTTGAAAGTCTAATGCTATCTGTACGTAATTTTAGTTAGATGAGAAGGAATTTAAGATAAATGTTAAAATAGTAATTATAATGGTTGGTCACTCTCAGGGAAGATGTTATCAGCTCTGATCATCCTAACTCAGGGATTAACGATTTAGGCTATAGCTGTAGCTATAAAAACAAGAGCACAGTAGAATGCTGTGCAGCCACCTGGAACAAATCTATATGAAAAGACCTCTGAGATAAGTAGGAAAAAAGGGAGACAGTAGTCTATATAGAATACATATGCAGCTATTTGCATGCATATGCATTGCATACATTTTTTTCTGGAAGAATATTTAAGAAATTGATAATTTTGTGTTGGGAAGCAGGACAGGTAGATTAGGGGTATATGATAAGAGTGACTCTTAAAATATAAATTCAGTTTTATACTGTTTTAACTATTTTTTAAATTAAAATACTTATTAATGAAAAGCAAATCATCTGTTTCATTTGTTTGTTGTCCACATCAGGAAGTCTCATGATTCTTTATACTTTTAC
Organism: Homo sapiens; assembly: GCF_000001405.40. Classification (NCBI taxonomy): domain Eukaryota; kingdom Metazoa; phylum Chordata; class Mammalia; order Primates; family Hominidae; genus Homo; species Homo sapiens. The sequence continues at coordinate 83,880,694 of NC_000009.12, read as the reverse complement.
ATATGTGATGCAAATTATGATGGTTTCCCTAATTGCAAAAATGGAAATGTATGATAGTAAGCAATTGTTTGTAAACCTGTCAAAAATAAATGAAAATCTAGGGAAAATTTCTTCTTTTACCATCAAATGAAAAGATTAAGTTTAGTTGAGGATTGTGAGAGATTCAGTTTTTCATTTTGAAATATTCCATATGATCTCAGGTCTTGCAGAAGAAGCAACAAGATAGTAAGAAACTGGCATCACTGTCAATCCAAAATGAGAAACGTGCTAATGAGCTAGAGCAGAGTGTAGATCACATGAAATATCAAAAGATACAGCTACAAAGAAAACTACGAGAAGAAAATGAAAAAAGGAAGCAACTGGATGCAGTAATTAAGCGGGACCAGCAAAAAATCAAAGTAATATTGTCATACATTCCTGCTAAGTATAATATGAAATGTTAAACGGCTCAGAGCTAACGAATCCATGGTCTTCATTCAGTTGGCTTGTGAAGTATCTATCCTTGACCTGCCCTTCACTGCTGTCCTTATTCACTTTAAAGCTTTGTTCATCTACGTAGTAAAACCTACTTATTGAATTTTGAGTACTGTCTTGAAGGCTTTGACTTCACAAAAGAAGGTACAATGATAATTTCTCTTAGTAGGATCCTAACTTTAATTGAAGCTGTCAAAAACATACATTTATAAAGCCAACTTTCTAAATAATACCTATCATTTGAATAGGATTTTCTGTTTTCAAAGTGCTTTGACATGCGTTGTCCATGTGGCTACACAGAAAAAGTACCAGGTAAAGTGGTACCATTTCATTCACAGTGAGCAGAAAAATGATCAGACCTGTATGCACAGCAGTTCTAGAATAGATTGGGCTGGGGAAGAACTTAGTGGTGTCAGCCTAGGCTCTTTGACCAGGCTATCATAGGTTCAAATCCTAGCTCACTCAGTTGCTGGCTGAGAGATTTATTGAGAAAATAAATTTTCTCAAATTTCTCAAAAATTTTACCCTCTCTGAGTCTGTTTATTCTCATCTAAAATGGCCTTAATCCTACTTGTCCCACAGGGCTTTTTTGAAAAAGATGATGATGATCATAATAACAGACACTTATCTAGTACTATGTGCCAGGCTCTGTTCCGTTGAAATGTTAAGCTGAACCCAAGGCATGGGACATAATTGGAGATTTCCTAGATATTTTAAAAATTAAGATTTTATTTTTTTAGAGCCGTTTTAGGTTCACAGCAAAATTGAAAGGAAGGTGCAGAGATATGCCATATACTCCCTGTCCCTGCACATGTTTAGCCTCTCCTGTTATCAGTATGCCCCAGATTTCCTAGATTTTCAACAATGGATATAACCTATTTTCCGACCTTAAAAAAAAAAATCACAGAATTCAGCAATGGAAGGGAACTTAAAGAGCATTTAAACCAAGTTACTCATTATTTATTATTAATTTTTAAGTTGTGGTAAAATATATATAACATAAAATTTACCATTTTAACTTTTTTTCCTTTTTTTTTTTTTTGAGATGGAGTTTCACTCTTGTTGCCCAGGCTGGAGTGCAATGGTGTGATCTCGGCTCAACACAACCTCCGCCTCCTGGGTTCAAGTGATTCTCCTGCCTCAGCCTCCTGAGTAGCTGGGATTACAGGCGTGCACCACCACGCCCGGCTAATTTTGTATTTTTAGTAGAGATGGGGTTTCTCCATGTTGGTCAGGCTGGTCTTGAACTCCCGACCTCAGGTGATCTGCCCGCCTCAGCCTCCCAAAGTGCTGGGATTACAGGTGTGAGCCACCGTGCCCAACCCATTTTAACTGTTTTTTAAGTGTATAATTCAGTGGCATTAATTACATTCACAATCTTGTGCAACCATCACCACTATCTATTTCCAAAACATTTTCATCACTCCAGACAGACACTCTGTAATATTATGGAATAGCTCCTCATTTTCCCCTTCCCCCAGCTCTTGGTAATCTCTAATCTACTTTCTATATGAATTTGCTTATTCTAGATACTTCATATAAGTAGAATTATATAATATTTTACCTTCTGTGTCAGCCTTATTTCATTTAGCATAATATTTTCAAGGTTTGTCTACATTGCAGCATGTACAAGAACTTCATTCCCTTTTATTGCCAAGTAATATTCCATTGTATGGATATGCCACAGTTCTTTATCCATTCATCCATCAATGGACACTTGAGTTGTTTCTACCATTTGGCTATTGTGAATAATGCTGCAGTGAACACTGGCATACAAATAAGTCTCTGTTTTCAATTCCTTTGGGTATGTACCTAGGAGTATGTACCTAGGAGTAGAATTTCTGGGTTATATGGTAAATCTGTGCTTAGCTTTCTGAGAAACCACTGTTCTCCATAGCAGCAGCATCATTTTACATTTCCACCAGCAATGTGTGAATGTTCTAATTTCTCCTCACTTTTGTCAACACCTGTTTCTTTCCTTTTTTTAATTATAGTCATCTGAGTAGGTATGAAGTTGTATCGTTGTATCTCTTTTTTTTTTTTTTTTTTTTTTTTTTTTGAGACAGAGTCTCTCTGTTGCCCAGGCTGGAGTGCAGTGGCGTGATCTCGGCTCACTGCAAGCTCCGCCTCCTGAGTTCACGCCATTCTCCTGCCTCAGCCTCCCGAGTAGCTGGGACTACAGGCACCCGCCACCACGCCCGGCTAATTTTTTGTATTTTTAGTAGAGACGGGTTTTCACTGTGTTAGCCAGGATGGATGAAGTTGTATCTCATTGTGGTTTTGGTTTGCATTTCCCTAATGACTAATGATGTTGAGCATCTTTTCATGTGCTTATTGGCTGTTCATAAATCTTCTTTGGAGAAATGTCTATTCAAGTTCTTTGTCCACATTTTAATTTGGTTCTTTGTCTTTGTTGTTGAGTTGTATGAGTTCTTTACATATTCTGACATTAAATTCTATCAGATACGTGATTTCCAAATATTTTTTCCTATTCTGTAGGTTTTCTTTTTACTTTGATAATATCCTTTGATATGCAAAAATTTTTAGTTTTGTTGAAGTCCAATTTATCTATTTTTTTCTTCTGTTGCTTGTGCTTTTTGGTGTCATGTCTAAGAATCCATTGCCTAAATCCAAGGTCATGAAGATTTATGTTTTCTGCTAAGAGTTTTATGGTTTTTGCTTTTATATTTAGGTCATTGGTCCATTTGGGGTCAGTTTTTGTATATGGTGTGAAGTAGTGGTCCACATTTATTCTTTTGCATGTGGAACTCCAGTTGTACCAGTACCATCTGTTGAAGAGACTGTTCTTTCCTCCATTGAATGGACTTGGCACCCTTATCAAAAATCAGCTGGAGTGGGAAATAGGGAAATGCTGATGGGGAAACGGGGAGATGTTGGTCAAATGGTACAAAGTTGCAGTTATGTAGAATAAATAAGTCTAGAGACTTAGTGTACAGCATGATGACTATTGTATACTGGAAATTTGCTAAGAGAATGGATTTCAGGTACTCTTACCACAAAAAAAAAGCCAAAATGCTAACTATGTGAAGAGATAAATATGTTAGCTTGACTATAGTAATCATTTCACTATGTATATCAAAACATCATGTTGTATACCTTACATATGTACAATTTTGTTTTTTTGAGACAGGGTCTCACTCTGTCACCCAGGCTGAAGTGCGGTGCCATGATCATAGCCCACTGCAGCCTCCAATTCCTGGGCTCAAGTGATCCACCTGCCTTAGCCTCCTAAGCAGTGGGACTACAGACGCACACCACCACACCTGGCTAATTTTTTTCCCTACTTTTTATAGACAGTGTCTTGCTATATTTCCCAGGCTGGTTTTGAACTCCTGGCTTCAAGTGATCCTCTGGTCTTGGCCTCCCAAAGTATTGGGATTACAGACCTGAGCCACCATGCTTGGCCCCAATTTTTATTTTTAAAAAATCAACTGGCCATAGATATATGGTTACTAAACTCTCAGTTCTATTCCATAGGTCTATATGTCTATCCTCATGCTAGTATCACACTATTTTGATTACTGTAGGTTTGTATTAAGTCTTGAAATTGGGAAGTAAGTCCTCCCACCTTGCTCTTCTTTTTCAAGATGATTTTGGCTCTTCAGAGCCCCTACAGTTTTCCATGTGAATTTGAGGATGGGCCTTTCCATTTCTGCAAAAAAGGCCATTGGAATTTTGATAAGGATTGTTGAATCTCTAGATTGCTCTGAGTAGTATTGACATCTTGACAATATTAAATTTTCTTATCCACGAGCATGGGAAGTCTTTCCATTTGTTTAGGTCTTCATTAATTTCTTTCAGCAATGTCGTAATTTTTAGTGTACCAGTAGTATTTTACCTCTTTACTTAAACTTGTTCCTAGATATTCTTTTAGATGCTATTATAAATGGAATTGCTTTTTAAATTTCCTTGACACTATAAGATAACCCAGTGAAGAGTATGAGTTTAATTGCAGCTATGGAAAAGTATTCTATACTCACCTGGGATGGAGTATAGAAGTTAAGAGGGCAAAAATCAGAGCCATGAGGAACTCCCATATTTAAAAGAACTGGTAATAATAATAATGATATTCATAATAATGGTAATAATAATTATAGCAATAGTTAACATTTATTGAGATTTATATTCAGGCAATACTTTGCTAAGCATGTACGTGTCATCTTTTATCCTTTTTTCTTATTTTCAACTTTTTTTTTCTTCTGGATTTGTCTTTAAATATCTTAGTTTTTTTCATCCTAAAATTATCCTCCTTCAACCTTTTTCCCATCCCTTTCTTACCTCCCCTTTGTAACCAAACTTATTGGAAAAGTTGACTGCATTTGTTTCTGTTACTTCTACTTTCATTCATTCTCTTATCCTCTCCAGCTGGCTTCTGGCTCTATCACCCACTTCACAGCTCTTGAGAAGTTCACTAGTGCTCTCTCTGTCACTAAAGTCCTTATCTTAATACTGTGCATCCAGCACAGTTCAGCACTCCCTCCGTCTTGAAGTGTTTTCCCCTTGCTTTTGTGACGTTATACCTTCCTTGTTTTTTCCTCTCTTCCTGATTGCTTGTTCTCTGTCTTGGCTAGCTCATCCTACTCCACCGGTCCTTTTAAATATGGGAGTTCCTCATGGCTCTGGTCTCTGCCCTCTTCTATACTCCATCCTAGGTGAGTATAGGATACTTTTCCATGGCTACAATTAAACTGAAAATTTCCAAATTTAATGCTTAATCCCAAGTCTGTTCTTTGAGCTCCAACCTCTTCCCTAGGTTGTCTTATAGATGAATTAATGATCTTCCTTACTTACCTTTCCATGATTCCCCACTCCCTGCTCTCTTCATGGGGGAAAAATGTAGTTCTCCAATGTGCCTTACATGATATATCAGTTGGGTGTGCTAGAAATTTAGGCATCATCATTGGCTCTTGCGTCTTTCTTATGCATATCCAATGAACCATTAAAGCCTTCAGAGTATATCTTTAAAACACCATGAATCTGTCCAATTTTCATTTCTTCTGCCAACAACTTAGTCTGTTTTGTTTTAGCTCTTTTTCCAATGTGAAGATCAGGCCAGGCTGTTCAGTGTTGTGGTCTTTGGGTTTTAACTCCTCATCTCTCATAGGCCATGGCTTAAACCAGCAAGACATAGCACTCTCTAAATCCATGCTTAGGGAAAAGAAGACACTGTCTTCTTCAAAGAGTAGAAGTCTGCTGAAATGCAACTCTGCTTGTAACTCAAACTTTTACCTTCTTATCTAGTGCACTTTTTTTTTTTTTTTTTTTTGAGACAAGGTCTTGCTCTGTCATCCAGGCTTGAGTGCAGTGATGTGATCATGGCTCACTGTAGCCTTGGCCTCCTGGGCTCAAGGAATCCTCCCACCTCAGCCTCCCAAGTAGCTAGGACTGCAGGCACATGCCAGCGTACCTCACACACTTTTTAATTTTTTGTAGAGATAGGGTCTTACTATATTGCCCAGGCTGATCTCGAACTCCTGGGCTCAAGTGATCCTCCTGCCTCAGCCTCCCAAAATGCTGGGATTACAGGCATAAGCCACCACACCTTGCCACCTAGGGCACTTTTATTCCATCTTGCCACATCTCTAATTTTAGTGAAATGACCCATTTATGGGGGATATCAGGTATTCCAGAAAAAGGAACAGACTTTCCCAAAGATACATTGATGTATCCTCTACTTAATGCAAAAACAGAAAACCTGCTTACAGTCCTAAAGGATAAAATTTGCTGTCTGTTTGGAGCTAACTCTCTGAGACTCCTGTCTCTTTTCTACTTGACTAAACCATTTCCAAAGAATAGTACAACTTCTGCATAGGTTCTCTTCAGAGCGGTAGTTCTTAACTGAGGTCCATGGATAGGCTTTGAAGAAAAGATATGAGAATTCCTGAAATTGTGGGTGGTGGTGTGATCTTAAGCTTTTTAACCACCCATTTCCTCATCTATAAAATGGATTTTATAATAGTCCCTATATCATAGGATTGTTGTGAGGGCTAAATGGGATAATTAAATAGATATAAAAAGTCTAGCACAGTGCCTGGTACACAGTTATTTTAATATGTATAACAAAGATTACAATGTAAGGAAAAAGGCATTGTCTGGAGCAACATGTGGAAGAGGGAATTAGAAGTACTCCTGTGTCCTTTTTTTTTTTGACACGGAGTCTCTCTTTGTTGCCCAGGCTGGAGTGCAGTGGTGTGATCTCGTCTCACTGCAAGCTCCGCCTCCCGGGTTCATGCCATTCTCCTGCCTCAGCCTCCCAAGTAGCTGGGACTACAGGCACTTGCCACCACACCCGGCTAATTTTTTTGTCTTTTTAATAGAGACACAGGGTTTCACGGTGTTAGCTAGGATGGTCTCGATCTCCTGACCTTGTGATCTACCCGCCTTGGCCTCCCAAAGTGCTGGGATTACAAGTGCAGTATACTTTTAAAGTGTATGTGGACAAACAGAAATACTACGTAGAGAGTCAACTCCAAGTATAAGGTCTCTTTATTTAAGGTAGCTTTATTTCATCATCCTGAAATGTCTAGGGCTATCACAGGGGCTAAATTATAGCTATGAACTAGAACTAGGGAAGCATCAAGAACTATGGGTGGTAAACATAATAGAGTCCAAATTCACTCATAACTCAGATGGGTGTAACATTTTTCTTTATTTAGTCTATAGCACCTGTCTTCTTTGTGAGTGCACTTCTCTTATATCCATGTCATGATTATTGCTGGAAATATGGTGGAAACTAATCAAATGTTCTCTCTGTTCAAACCTTGTTCTAAAAATCTAAACACTTCCTTTAAATACTTCTCAGGTCTTTTGAATAAGAAGGCTCAGTCTCTTAGCCTCCTCTTCCCTATGCTTCTCTCCCTAAGATGACAGCCAGTGTATGTTGTAGTTGGGTGTATAGCCTTCTTTTATCCTATGCCTTGGAGTTGAGGATTGTGACCAGCTGGAAATTGTGCTCCCTTGTCCACCTTACCCTGCCTAATCTGCTGGCCCCTGATGATGAAACCCCTGGCTGGTATAACTCGCAGTTTGATCTTGCTTCTGGTTTAGAGCATGGGGGTGCTTTCCCTTCATCTCATCTCCCACTAGCATTATAAGCCCCTACTGAGGCTACTAGGCATTCTGTCTAGCTTGCTAGCCCAGTGGCCTGTCCTTATACCTAGTTTGGGAGCCAGTTCCCCACAGTGACTACCTACATTAGCTCTCAACTCAGGATCCAAGCCACTTGAGACCAAGGAGTCCAACTGGGGTCTCTTTCCTAATCGTACCTCTCTGCTTTTTCAGCAAGGCTGGGCAATTGTATATGGGTGTGGGGCTTCTGCACTGCAGTCTGCATTTTCTCTCCTGAATAGTTTAGGAGCCCGTCTCTCCCCATTGATACCTTTACTTATCATCCCCCTTTCTGGACCAAAACTCAGACAGAGGACAATTGGGAAACAAGTCTTCCTTACTGTCTCTTTTCTCCTTTCTGCCATTCCCAGGGCTGGAGAGCACTAGGCTTTTCTTTTACTTCCTATCAGTGCTTCTGAAATTACTTGTGGAGAAGGTATAATTTTTATTTTGTTATAAATTTGTCACAGCCTAACACTTTTATAAAACATGAATTAGTAGAAAAGTGAAATTTAAAATATACAAATAAAAGTCCATTTTAAAAATTGTTAGAGTCATCAGACATAAAATTATTCTGTCAAATTGCTATAAAAGTATCTCAGCACTTTCAATTGTGTACTTATCCATCACAGACCAGTAACAGAGAGTATGTGAACTGTCCAGCTTTGACTCATGGCCTCCTTCCTGTCCTGCTAAGCTTTAGTGATGGACAACATCATTTCTAAACCCCTAGAAGGCACCATGAACATTGCGCCTTTTGTTTTGTTTTGTTTTGTTTTGAGACGGAGTCTCACTCTGTCACCTAGGCTAGAGTGCAGTGGCGCGATCTCAGCTCACCGTACTCTGCCTCTCAAGTTCAAGCGATTCTCGTGCCTCAGCCTCCTGAGTAGCTGGGAATACAGGCACACGCCCGGCTAATTTTTGTATTTTTAGTAGAGACGGGGTTTCCCCATGTTGGCCAGACTGGTCTTGAACTCCTGACCTCAGGTGATCAGCCTGCCTCAGCCTCCCAAAGTGCTGGATTACAGGCATGAGCCACCACTCCTGGCCAACATCGCACCTCTTGACTTGACCCTTAAGATGTGGATGGAGGCTGGGCGTGGTGGCTCATGCTTGTAATTCCAGCACTTTGGGAGGCTGAGGCAGGTGGATCACCTGAGGTCAGGAGTTCGAGACCAGCCTGGCCAACATGGTAAAACCCTGTCTCTCCTAAAAAATAAAAAAGAAAATACAAAAATTAGCCAGGTGTGGTGGCACATGCCTATAATACCAGCTACTCAGGAGGCTGAGGCATGAGAATTACTTGAAACCTGGGAGGCGGAGGTTGCAGTGGGCCAAGATTATGCCATTGCATCCAGCCTGGGTGACAGAGTGAGACTTTGTCTAGAAAAAAAAAAAAAAGATGTGGATGGAAACTAATTTGGAAAATGCACTTCATAAGACCATGATCTGTCTTCCAAGTCTATTCTCATATTGCAAACTCCCATTTTTGAACACTAGAAATTGAACATTACTTTTCTTTTTGCATTTCTACATAATAAATTTTAATATACTCACAGCAGATGGATGTCTTGGGTGGAGTAACTATGAAAGTAATAAGCTCAGAAAGGCAGAAGAGAATAACCCACTTATAAATTTCAGACTCTTATCCTTGTTACACTAATGTGTAACACTCACGAAGAATGAAAAAAATGCTCAGTTTTGTTAGTAAATCCTAATTTTTGCAGTTGTATTGCCTCAGTAAGAGCTAACATTCCTTTCTTCTTAGATATGCTAATTATCCTGGTCTGATCACTATACGTTATATGTATTGAAATAATCACTGTGTACCTCACGAAAATGTACAATTATTATTTGTCAATTAAAAATTAAGGCTGAGCATGGTGACTTATGCCTATAATCCCAGAACTTTAGGAAGTTGAGGCTGGAGGATCACTGGAGGCCAGGAAGATCACTAGAGACTGGCCTGGGCAATGTAACAAGACCCCATCTCTACAAAAAATTAAAAAAAAAAATTAGCTGGATGTGGTGGTACACACCTGTAGTCCTAGCTACTTGGGAGGCTGAGGTGAGAGGATTACTTGAGCCCAGGAGCTTGAGCTTACAGTGAGCTATGATCACGCCATTGCACTCTAGTCTAGATACAGAGTGAGACCCTATCTCTAAAAAAATTTTTTAAACAAAAAAATCCACACATTATTTTCTTCTCAAATAGAGCCCCAACTGTCATCTACTCATTTTCTCTTTCTGTGACTAAGGAAGTAAATGTTAAGAAAATGTGGCTGGATGGCTTGAGCCCAGGAGTTTGAGGCTGTGATTGTGCCACTGCACTCCAGCCTGGGTGACAGAGCGAGAGCTTGTCTCCAAAAAAAAAAAAAAAAAAAAGAAAATAATTGTCATCAGCATACTTAATGGTCAGGTGTAAAAGCAATAAGGTGTTTTCAATTTCTTTTTCTATAGGAAATACAATTAAAAACAGGACAGGAAGAAGGTCTAAAACCGAAAGCTGAGGACCTTGATGCATGTAACTTGAAAAGGAGAAAAGGTTCGTTTGGAAGTATAGACCATCTCCAGGTTTGTCAATTCTATTTAGTGTTTCCTGGTTTCTCTTCAATCTGATGGTTGTCTAAATAGAGGTAAACTCACACCTGTAATCCTAGCACTTTGGGACGCCGAGGTGGGTGGATCACCTGCGGTCAGGAGTTCAAGACCAGCCTGGTCAACATGGTAAAACCCCGTCTCTACTAAAAGTATAAAAATTAGCCGGGCTTGGTGGCAGGCGCTTGTAATCCCAGCTACTTGGGAGGCTGAGGCAGGAGAATCGCTTGAACCCTGGAGGTGGAGGCTGCAGTGAGCCGAGACCATGCCACTGCACTCCAGACTGGGCAACAAGAGCAAAACTCCCTCTCAATAAATAGATAGGTAGATAGATAGATAGATAGATAGATAGAGAGATAGATAGATGTAAAAACTGGTGGACTCTGAATAAAACCTTCAAACACTAGATGCCGCCCAAATGCAAAATTTCTAGTATTTGTTTTGAAACTTTATTATTTTTCTTTTCTTAAATTTTAGATTCAGGGATACACATGCAGGTTTGTTACATGGGTATATTGTGTGATGCTAAGATTTGGGCTTCTAATAATCCTGTTGCCCAAGTAGTGAAACTTTTATTATTACAAAATTATGTTCTCATCCAGAAATGTGCTGTATTTTTTGTTTTTTCTTGCTCTCAGCAGAATCAATATATTCTTATTTTGGTAGAAATGAGTTGATTTGAATGTTGTAGAATATAAACATGAAATCCATGTTCACTGGACTGTATTTATTCCCATCTCATGAAGACGAGTATATTTTATTTTTTTTGAGACAGAGTCTCGCTCTGTCACCCAGGCTGGAGTGCTGTGGCATGATCTCAGCTCACTGCAAGCTCCGCCTCCCGGGTTCACACCATTCTCTTGCCTCAGCTTCCCAAGTGGCTGGGACCACAGGTGCCCACCACCACGCCTGGCTAATTTTTTGTATTTTTAGTAGAGACGGGGTTTCACCATGTTAGCCAGGATGGTTTCGATTTCATGATCTGCCCGCCTCGGCCTCCCAAAGTGCTGGGATTACAGGTGTGAGCCACCGCGCCCAGCTGAAGACAAGTATATTTCTAAAAATCAGAACTCTACATTCAAAGAAAACCAAATTGTATATGTACTTTATATATTAAAAAGCCATTATTTTAGTGCCACCTTTTAAAAAGAAAGTCATAATCCACAAACTAATTTTGAAGTTCAAAGAAATTGAAATTTTAAATTTTATGTAAGCAAAAAATACTGTATTTAAAATACCTAGAATGCAATTATCTCTACCTTACTTTAGAAAGATTTATTCTCTCTTCATAAATTTTACATTACATTTTCTTAGTGACATTTAATAGTGACATGGGTACATTCCCATACACACCCATTCCACCCAGAAATGTCATCACCAGTTGTAATTTTTTAGGTTTTTTCCTTTTAAGTGGAGCTTAAAAAGAATCTCTTATTCATCTTTCAAACCCCACTCACAGTTTAAGAATGTTTGTAGAATATATTTAAGTTACTTGCTAGACTTCCTAGGATCTCCTACCGGAGTATTTAAGGATATGACAAAATTAACATTTTTATAGTTGCTCTTTCTCTTCCTAATAATTGTAGAGCTACTATAATATTTTAGGCTCCAGTGTTATCTGGACATGATAGTGCTTATAAGATTATACTATTAATATATTGGTATTATTGGAAGACCGAATAGCTATGCATCTTCTTTGTCTTGGCCATTTTGCTCTCTTTTTCTCATATATATTCACTGTCTCATTGTATGATAGATTTCCAGAAACCCTTTCTATAAGGTTCATGAAGGACTAGGAAATAATACTATATGGATTTCTTTTCCTATTTATTTGTTGTTTTGGTGGCAGTGCTTCATTACCATGTCCACTTGGTAGAGTTCCTTTTAAACAGTCATATTCCATCTATATTTATGTTTGTATTTGTTTCCGCATATCCTTAATTCAAGAGAGTACTCAGATGTTTGTTTTGGAGATCTTTTCAGCAATTTTTTATTTTTGTTTTTTTTCTTTTTTAAAAATAATTATTTGAGGTTGACAAGCTACAATGCAAATTGGCTTTCCTTCCATCCTCCATCATCTGTGTCTTCCACTGTGTGTATTCATTTATTCACTTCATTGACTGACTGAATCAGGCATTCATTCACTCATTCATTTAACATTTTATTGAATGCCTACTGTGGCCCAGGCAATATACCAGCCATGTGGATAGACGGGTAAAAACTACAGCCCCTGCAATCAATCAAGGAGCTCAAGCTGGGGAGATAGATACGTAGGGCAGCCACCAGTGTAAGTGCTGTGATGGAACTGTGCACCACTACAACAGAGTAAAAGATTCCAGCATGTTCTTAATATAGGCATAGAAAATTATCAGCCCTTTCTTCGTCAGGCTAAAAAATCCTAGACTGTTTAACATATCTGGGGAGTAAATTTTAATTCTTTATAAAACAACATAGCTACATCTTGACTAGAACCACTGATGTCTTTAGGATCTCAGACGGCTACCTGAGTTACTCTGAGTGATAGTTTTTAAATGTTCATTTAAGAGATTTCAGCCAATCTGAAATTCTATTATTACCATATAATTTTTATGGCAGAAGGAAAAACAAGTAACTTTTTTTTTAATTTTAATGTAGAAATTGGATGAGCAAAAGAAATGGTTAGATGAAGAAGTAGAGAAAGTTCTGAACCAACGCCAAGAATTAGAGGAGCTGGAAGCAGACTTAAAGAAACGGGAGGCCATAGTTTCTAAGAAGGAGGCTCTGTTACAGGAGAAGAGTCACCTGGAAAATAAGAAATTGAGATCTAGTCAGGTATTCTGTTTAATACACTACTTGATTCTGGTTGTAAACCACTCCCTACTCCCCACTAGGATGGCTATAATCAGAAAAACATAATAAGAAATGTGTGGGAGGAGGTGGAGAAATTGGGACCTTCATACACTGCTGGTGAAATTGGAAAATGGTGCAATTGCTTTGGATAACCATTTTGTAGTTCCTCAAAAGGCTAAACTTACGGATACTATGTGACCCAGTAATCTCACTCCTAGGGATGGGTGGGAGGGTGGGTGGGTGGATTAATGGATGGATGGATGGATGGATAGATAGATAGATAGATAGATCTATCTCTGTATGTATTTCTCCATGAGAAATGAAAGCATGTATCCACACAAAAACTTGAACATGAACATTCATAGTAACATTATTCATAATAGCTAAAAACTGAAAACAACACAAATGTTCATCAAGTGATGAATGGATAAACTGTGATTATCCATACAATAGCGTATTATTTGACAATAGAAGGGAATGAAGTACTGATACATGCTACAACATGGATGAACCTTGAAAACCTATGTTAAGTGAAAGAAACCAGTCACAAAAGACCACCTTTGTATAATACCATTTGTATCAAGTCTCCAGAATGGGCAATTCCATTTCTGTCCAGAGACAAAAACTAGAATAGTGGTTACCTAGGGTTGGTGGGGGATTGCGGGGGAAATAGAATGCCTACTAATAGGTGTGGGGTTTCTTTTTTTGGGGGGGGGGTGAATAAAATATAAAATTGATTGTGGTGATGGTTACATAACTGTGAATATATGAAAAACCATTGAATTATATACTTCATTTTTTTTTTTAATTTTTTGAGACTGGAGTGCAGTGGCGCGATCTGTGCTCACTGCAACCTCTGCCTCCTGGGTTCAAGCGATTCTCCTGTATCAGTCTCCCGAGTAGCTCGGACTACAGGCGCACACCACCATGCCCAGCTAGTTTTTGTATTTTTAGTAGAGACTGGGTTTCACCATATTGGTCAGACTGGTCTCGAACTTCTGACCTTGTGATCCGCCCATCTTGGCCTCCCAAAGTGCTGGAATTACAGGCATGAGCCACCATGCCCGGCCTTGAGTTATATACTTTAAATTGGTGAACTGCATGGTATGTAGATTATATCTCATTAAAGCTATTATGTTTTTTGAAAAGCCATAAAAGGGAAAAGACAGTAGAGGAGATAACAGAGGACAAAAGATTACAAAAAAAGAAAAGATGGAAAGCAAATAGATGAGAGCTTATTAACTTAGCAGAACAGAAGATGCTGCATTCCAAGTACCTAGAGAGACACAAATGAGAGCCAGGCCAAGACCCTACATATATGCTATCACCACACATCTTACCAGCTTTTTAATACCTGACTCTGAAATGTGATGGGCATTTTAGGAATGCTTTAGATGTTTTCCTTTTTTAAAAATAACAGTTTTAGAGAGATAAAATTCACATAGAACATCAAAAAGACTCAGAAATGAAGGGACCAAGATTTTCAGAAGGCAGGAGTAGCATAAAGATGAAAACAGGGCATAGTCATGAAACTATTTTTTCTTACTCTGGGACCGATTTATTTTCTGAAGATTGAACCAGGCACAGCAAAGGTTGTGATAAGTCAAAAAAACTCCAGGTAGGGAATGAATGCAAGTCTGCATATGAATCGTGAAACATCTATTTCCTAATCTCTACTTGGATCTAAGAATGCTGGCAGCCAGATTTATACTTCCTAGCCGGAGATTGGCATATTTTCTGAAACATCTAAAAAGATATGAAAACTCTTAAATTTGGAAGCCCCCACTTAAATAAGTGGCCCACGTATATGCTGTTACCACAAATCTTATCTGCTTTTCGATACCTGACTCTGAAATATGATGGACATTTCAGGAATGCCACTATTAAAGACAGAAAACAAAACAAAAGGAAAAAATAAACTCAGAGACATTAGAGATAGAGCAAGAAGCTGAAAAAAACTTCACAGAAATCTTAATATCCTCAATGTGGTAAAAGATGACTATCTATAAATAACTACAAGTTATTAAAAACATGAAAGAGCTCTTGGAAATTAAAAGGGTTGGAGGATAGGCAGGGCGCGGTGGCTCACACCTGTAATCCCAGCACTTTGGGAGGCCAAGGCGGGCAGATCACTGGAGGTCAGGAGTTCGACACCAGCCTGACCAACATGGTGAAACCCTGTCTCTTCTAAAAATACAAAAATTAGCCAGGCGTGGTTGTGGGCACCTGTAATCCCAGGTACTTGGGAGCTGAGGCAGGACAATCACTTGAACCTGAGAGGCAGAGGTTGCAGTGAGCCGAGACCATGCCATTGCACTCCAGTCTGGGTGACAAGAGCAAAACTCCATCTCAAAAAAAAGGGTCAGAGGATAAAGTTGAGGAAATATTCCAAAAAGTAAGTAAAAATATAAGTTAATAGAAAGTAGGAGCAAAACATTTTTAATTGGCAGATAAATCCAGAAAGCCCAAGATCCAAGTAATGGGAATTCCAGAAAGATACAACAGAGAAAACAGAAAAGAGGAGAGTATCAAAGACATCATATAAAAAATTTTCTCAACACCAGTAATGTGAGGCTCTAGGCCTCTCACGTGCAGAGACACATATAGGCTCAAAATAAAGGGATGGAGGAAGATATACCAAGCAAATGGAAAACAAAAAAAGGCAGGGGTTGCAGTCCTAGTCTCTGATAAAACAGACTTTAAACTAAGAAAGATCAAAAGAGATAAAGAAGGCCATTACATAATGGTAAAGGGCTCAATTCAACAAGAAGAGCTAACTATCCTAAATATATATGCACCCAATATAGGGGCACCCAGATTCATAAAGCAAGTCCTTAGAGACCTACAAAGAGACTTAGACTCCCACACAATAATAATGGGAGACTTTTAACACCTCACTGTCAACATTAGACAGATCCATGAGACAGAAAGTTAACAAGGATATCCAGGAATTGAACTCAGCTCTGCACCAAGCAGACCTAATAGACATCTACAGAACTTTCCACCCCAAATCAACACAATATACATTCTTCTCAGCACCACATCACACTTATTCCAAAATTGACCACATAGTTGGAAGTAAAGCACTCCTCAGCAAATGTAAAAGAATAGAAATTATAACAAACTGTCTCTCAGACTACAGTGCAATCAAACTAGAACTCAGGATTAAGAAACTCACTCAAAACCGCTCAACTACATGGAAACTGAACAACCTGCTCCTGAATGACTACTGTGTACCTAATGAAATGAAGGCAGAAATAAAGATGTTCTTTGAAACCAACAAGAACAAAGACACAACATACCAGAATCTCTGGGACACATTTAAAGCAGTGTGTAGAGGGAAATTTATAGCACTAAATGCCGACAAGAGAAAGCAGGAAAGATCTAAAATTAACAGCCTAACATCACAATTAAAAGAATTAGAGAAGCAAGAGCAAACACATTCAAAAGCTAGCAGAAGGCAAGAAATAACTAAGATCAGAGCAGAACTGAAGGAGATAAAGACACAGAAAACCCTTCAAAAAATCAGTGAATCAAGGAGCTGGTTTTTTGAGATCAAGAAAATTGATGGACTGCTAGTAAGACTAATAAAGAAGAAAAGAGAGAAGAATCAAATAGACGCAATAAAAAATGATAAAGGGGATATCACCACCGATCCCACAGAAATACAAACTACCATCAGAGAATACTATAAACACCTCTATGCAAATAAACTAGAAAATCTAGAAGAAATGGATAAATTCCTGGACACATACACCCTCCCAAGACTAAACCAGGAGGAAGTTGAATCTCTGAATAGACCAATGACAGGCTCTGAAATTGAGGCAATAATTAATAGCTTACCAACCGAAAAAAGTCCAGGATCAGACGGATTCACAGCCGAATTCTACCAGAGGTACAAGGAGGAGCTGGTACCATTCCTTCTGAACCTATTCCAATCAATAGAAAAAGAGGGAATCCTCCCTAACTCATTTTATGAGGCCAGCATCATCCTGATAACAAAGCCTGGCAGAGACACAACAAAAAAAGAGAATTTTAGACCAATATCCCTGATGAACATTGATGCAAAAATCATCAATAAAATACTGGCAAACCGAATCCAGCAGCACATCAAAAAGCTTATCCACCATGATCAAGTGGGCTTCATCCCTAGGATGCAAGGCTGGTTCAACATACGCAAATCAATAAATGTAATCCAGCATATAAACAGAACCAAAGACAAAAACCACATGATTATCTCAATAGATGCAGAAAAGGCCTTTGACAAAATTCAACAGCCCTTCATGGTAAAAACTCTCAATAAATTAGGTATTGAGGGGACATATCTCAAAATAATAAGGGCTATTTATGACAAACCTACAGCCAATATCGTACTGAATGGGCAAAAACTGGAAGCATTCCCTTTGAAAACTGGCACAAGACAGGGATGCCCTCTCTCACCACTCCTATTCAACATAGTGTTGGAAGTTCTGGCCAGGGCAATCAGGCAGGAGAAAGAAATAAAGGGTATTCAGTTAGGAAAAGAGGAAGTCAAATTGTCCCTGTTTGCAAATGACATGATTGTATATCTAGAAAACCCCATCGTCTCAGCCCAAAATCTCCTTAAGCTAATAAGCAACTTCAGCAAAGTCTCAGGATACAAAATCAGTGTGCAAAAATCACAAGCATTTTTATACACCAATAACAGACAAACAGAGAGCCCAATCATGAGTGAACTCCCATTCACAATTGCTTCAAAGAGAATAAAATACCTAGGAATCCAACTTACCAGGGATGTGAAGGATCTCTTCAAGGAGAACTACAAACCACTGCTCAATGAAATAAAAGAGGATACAAACAAATGGAAGAATATTCCATGCTCATGGGTAGGAAGAATCAATATCGTGAAAATGGCCATACTGCCCAAGGTAATTTATAGATTCAATGCCATCCCCATCAAGCTACCAATGACTTTCTTCACAGAACTGGAAAAAACTACTTTAAAGTTCATATGGAACCAAAAAAGAGCCCGCATTGCCAAGACAATCCTAAGCCAAAAGAACAAAGCTGGAGGCATCACGCTACCTGACTTCAAACTATACTACAAGGCTACAGTAACCAAAACAGCATGGTACTGGTACCAAAACAGAGATATAGACCAGTGGAACAGAACAGAGCCCTCAGAAATAATACCACACATCTACAACTCTCTGATCTTTGACAAACCTGACAAAACAAGAAATGGGGAAAGGATTCCCTCTTTAACAAATGGTGCTGGGAAAACTGGCTAGCCATATGTAGAAAGCTGAAACTGGATCCCTTCCTTACATCTTATACAAAAATTAATTCAAGATGGATTAAAGACTTAAATGTTAGACCTAAAACCATAAAAACCCTAGAAGAAAACCTAGGCAATACCATTCAGGACATAGGCATGGGCAAGGACTTCATGTCTAAAACACCAAAAGCAATGGCAACAAAAGCCAAAATTGACAAATGGGATCTAATTAAACTAAAGAGCTTCTGCACAGCAAAAGAAACTACCGTCAGAGTGAACAGGCAACCTACAGAATGGGAGAAAATTTTTGCAATCTACTCATCTGACAAAGGGCTAATATCCAGAATCTACAATGAACTCAAACAAATTTACAAGAAAAAAACAACCCCATCAACAAGTGGGCGAAGGATATGAACAGACGCTTCTCGAAAGAAGACATTTATGCAGCCAACAGACACATGAAAAAATGCTCATCATCACTGGCCATCAGAGAAATGCAAATCAAAACCACAATGAGATACCATCTCACACCAGTTAGAATGGCAATCATTAAAAAGTCAGGAAACAACAGGTGCTGGAGAGGATGTGGAGAAATAGGAACACTTTTACACTGTTGGTGGGACTGTAAACTAGTTCAACCATTGTGGAAGACAGTGTGGTGATTCCTCAAGGATCTACAACTAGAAATACCATTTGACCCAGCCATCCCATTACTGGGTATATACCCAAAGGATTATAAATCATGCTGCTATAAAGACACATGCACACATATGTTTATTGTGGCACTATTCACAATAGCAAGACTTGGAACCAACCCAAATGTCCAACAATGATAGACTGGATTAAGAAAATGTGGCACATACACACCGTGGAATACTATGCAGCCATAAAAAGTGATGAGTTCATGTGGTTTGTAGGGACATGGATGAAGCTGGAAACCATCATTCTCAGCAAACTATTGCAAGGACAAAAATCCAAACACCGCATATTCTCACTCATAGGTGGGAATTGAACAATGAGAACACTTGGACACAGGAAGGGGAACATCACACACCGGGGCCTGTTGTGGGGTGGGGGAAGGGGGGAGGGATAGCATTAGGAGATATACCTAATGTAAATGATGAGTTAATGGGTGCAGCACACCAACATGGCCCATGTATACATATGTAACAAACCTGCACATTGTGCACATGTACCCTAGAACTTAAAGTTATATATATATATATAAAGAAATAGCCCATCAAGGGGCCAGCAAAATGAGTACCCAAAAGATATCACTGTGAAGGTTTGGATACACTGACTGAGGAAAAAAGAAGGTCCTGAAAGCGTCTAGACAAAAAAGACTACTTGTAAGTTGCAAGAATCAGAATGGCATTGGACTTCTCAGCTTTCCTCATTAGAAGTTTAAGATCTGAAGCAATCTTTAAACTCGTGAGGAAAATTAAGTCTAATAAATAATTTTCTTCTTAGCCAAACAATCAAATGTGAAGCTAGAATAAGCATTTTCAGGTAAAAAAAAAAAAAATCTCCCATCAAGCCTATCCAGGGAAACTACTAGAGAATGTGCTCCACAAAAATAAGGGCACAAACTATGAAAAAGGAAGACTCAGGATTCTGAAAATGTGCTCCAACATGGAAATTCTCAGGAAATACCAAAGGGAAGACCCAGGACAACTGGTCCAGTGTGGAGCAGGAGGATGGATGCTCCAGGCAAAATGTTTCCAGAAAAGAATAGATTGAAAAGATTTCCTGATAAGTTTGATAAATGAAAAAGTGTTGAGGAATTTTATAGTTCTGTTGGAGAAGAATTAGCTATAAGGTGCAATAAAAAGTTGTATCAAAACAGAAGCATGATCATTTCACACTAGATAGTTCACCTATGAATAACAAAGTTATAATAATGAAAATGAATATTGATTTAACTAAAAACTGTAATGTAACTTATATTGGGAGAATGGAGGAGGTTGGGAAGTAGAGTAGGTACAAGAGTGCTAAATCCTTATCTCCCATAATACATAGTCAGTAGACAATGTCTAAAATTGATAATGCCATTTAGAAACATGGACATAAACACCAGAAGAACCAACTGAAAAGGTTGAAGGTGGCCGTCTTGGAGTAGGATTCAATTAAAAGCTTGGGGGAGGGGAATGCTTTTTTAAAGTTATAAACCTTATGATAGTATGTGTCTCTATAATAAACCTTATGGTAGTATATACAAATAATTACTGTGAACAGTAATTTACAAATTACCTGATATTTGACCATAGTGAACATCTCCATAAATCTGACCATATTTTCTGATCAGAATGAAATACAAGTAAAAACAAATTATATGTTTAAGCCAACCAATCATATGTTTAAACACACCACATCTCAACCCCTAGTAAATTGTAACATAATTCTACAATGTAGAATGTAAGCCAAGAAAGAAAAGTTCAATTTAGAAAATAAGGAAAAAGAAAAATACTGCCTCTGAAAACCTAGTCAAGGCAATTCTTGGCAGTAAACTCAGAGTTTAAATAGACTTTTTTTTTTTAAAAGGCATTCAACTTAAGATTTTAGAAAATGAACACCCCGGTCGGGTGCAGTGTCTCACGTCTGTAATCTCAGAACTTTGGGGGGCTGAGGTGGGTGGATCACCTGAGGTCAGGAGTTCGAGACCAGCCTGGGCAACATGGTAAAACCCTGTCTCTACTAAAAATACAAAAAATTAGCTGCACATGGTGATGAGCACCTGTAATCCCAGCAACCAGGGAGGCTGAAGCAGGAGAATCGCTTGAACCTGGGAAGCGGAGGTTGCAGTGAGCTGAGGTTGCACCATTGCACTCTAGCCTGGGGAACAAGAGCAAAACTCCATGTCAAAAACAAAAAAAGAAAATGAATACCCCCTCCCTCAAAAAAATCCATGGGAGAAAACAATAATATAAAAACTAAAAATATATTCATTTAGCAATTTTCTCTATGTTTTTCCTAATTTTTATGCAGTCTAGATTTCTAGTAACTGTTTTTGAGGTGGCTGGTGGGTTGTATCTTTTAGGCCTTAAACACAGATAGTTTGAAAATATCAACTCGCCTGAACTTACTGGAACAAGAGTTGTCTGAAAAGAATGTGCAGCTCCAGACCAGTACAGCTGAGGAGAAAACAAAGATTTCAGAACAAGTTGAAGTCCTCCAGAAAGAAAAGGATCAGCTCCAGAAACGCAGACACAATGTGGATGAAAAACTTAAAAATGGTAGAGTGTTATCACCTGAAGTAAGTCAGTATTCTTTGGAACTGGAGGTGCTGTATGATGGATCACTTGAGTGATTTCCTCAGTCTTTTTCACATAATCATAAATATTATCTGGTAAACTTGGTTCCTTGAGATTTTGTCAGATGTAGTGAGTTCACCTGGCACTTATTTGGCACCATAAACCACGCTGGACTAGAGACTGAGATATCCTTACATAGTGGTCCATGGACATGGCCCCTTCCTGGCACTGCCAGGCATTTGGAAACTATTACTTTCCTTGAGTATATTTGCCTCCTCAGCTGGGGTTTCTCGTCTGAAATCACAGAACATAGAAAATGATTTGAGGGACTCTTCTGGAGGGCACCTGACTTTTCTCTATACATATTTCTTGAATGATACTAGGTAATTTATTACATACAAGAGATGCCTAAGGAATTAGGGGTTAATTCTTTCCATGAAACCTTGGTTTAGAAGGCCCAGTGTCCATACTATGTCCAGCCAAATAGATGCACAAAATTCCAATCCCAGTAAAAGACCTTTTAGTTATACAGTTTTTTTAAAACTATAGTTTTAGTTATAGTTTTTTAAAACTATGTAGAAGATGATTCATTTATGGGCTGTCAAATTGCCCCAGACTTTGTCTTTTTTCAAAATTTTCAGTCAGTTGGCAGTGGTACCTTTACCTTACTTCATCAGAGAAAGATGAATTTTTGAATCTGAACTTCCTCTGCAAATATTTATTGTTGGTGTCTCATCATTACCAAACCAAGGGAAAATTGCTAAGAGAAGGTGAATAGCTGAGAATCACACACAGTGGTGAATCTTGTAATGTTTTAGTTTGGAGCAAGTGACAGGAAGTTATAGGGGCTAGTTAAGAAATAGGAGCAAGGATAACATTAGATTGTTGCTCACTGAGAATTGATGAAAGGATTGACTTACAAATCAATCCTTGATTGGGGGCTAAGTGGCAGTTGAAAGGAACATTATAGACCTCTGTTGCCCTGTTTTATAACTTAAGCTGGGTAGCTGTGCAGAGGAACAGAGAGCCAGGCTGTCCTCCCAAGGTATTAAATTGGAGCCTAAGGGTTATAGATTTGAAGACATGAGAGCCTAAGATACAGCAGAATTCAAATATTTAAGGAATTCTGCCTGCCGGTGACTATTACTAAGCTCTATAGAAGATAGAAGAAGCAAAAAAAAAAAAAAAAAACCCAAAGTATTATGTTTCCCTTGAGAAATTAATACTCTATTTGGGAAAACAGATAGAAATATAAGAAAACTCTAAACTCTGAAGGACATTGAAAATCAAGTTGTGGATAATGTATTACAGCTATACCTCTTACATTATTTATTCAAAGCAATGAAGTGATCATTTGGGGGAAGATTCATCAAGGCAGCCTCAGTAGATCAGAATCTTGAGCTAGATTATGAAAAACATGATATGCACTGGCAGATACAAGAAAGAAGTCCGTTTTAGACAGAACATCTTTGAAGAAGGCACAGAGATGAGAATTAACAAATTATGTTTGCAGTAGGGTAGAGTTCCATTAATATCAAGAAACATTTAGGTTTCTATTTCATGTGGGATCCCATAACAAAAAACGTTATTTACAGATTTGTGGTGAAAATATAGTATGGCGCATGATACCTATTTTGCGGCTATTCTGGACTGGGGTTTGAGGGAATGATGAGCCTCCTACAACTGGTAGAGTTCTACTTACTCACATGAGCTTCTATGCACCTTTCTTCCACATGGTTGGTTCTTCTTAGTGTACCTCTCAAGTGAGGCTCTGCTCTTATCACGATTTTAAAGCCAAGGTTAATATTCCAAATAGATCTGTCACTAGCAGATGATCGAGAACATGAGATTCTGATGTGACGACACAAGGTATCAATAAAATCTAGTTGGAATGGTTTGCTATCTTAATGTCTTTAAGCTTGTTTAGGATAATTTTCTCTTTCCACAGTAAATTAAAATATTTTTCCTAATTTTATTACTTTATGGAAATGGATAGAAAGATTTTAGATCGTTACACTAATAGAAGATTACCCAACAATTTACTACAGACAAGTCACACCGCTTTTTTTTTTTTTTTTTGGTAAAATCCAGAAACTAAAATTAAAGAATACCTGAACTTTAGATTTCTAATAATACAGAGTAGTTGCTTAATAAGTAGGGAGGAAAATATAAGAACTATTATGTTTATCTAATCTTTTAAACTTTTAATTTCTCATTTTATGATGAGAACATACTTTTTTTTTTTTTTTTTGAGATGGAGTCTCACTCTGTCACTCAGGGTGGAGTGCAGTGGTGCGATCTCGGCTCACTGCCTCCATCTCCTGGGTTCAAGCAATTCTCCTGCCTCAGCCTCCCCAGTAGCTGGGATTACAGATGTGCGCTACCATGCCCAGCTAATTTTTTTTTTTTTTTTTTTTTGAGACGGAGTCTTGCTCTGTCACCAGGCTGGAGTGCAGTGGCGTGATCTCAGCTCACTACAACCTCCGCCTGCCTGGTTCAAGCGATTCCCCTGCCTCAGCCACCTGAGTAGCTGGCACTGCAGGCAAGTGCCATCATGCTTGGCTAGTTTTTTGTATTTTAGTAGAGATGGGGTTTCACCATGTTGGCCAAGATGGTCTCGATCTCCTGACCTCATGATCCACCCACCTCGGCTTCCCAAAGTGCTGGGATTACAGGTGTGAGCCACTGCACCTGGCCTAATTTTTGTATTTTTAGTAGAGATGAGGTTTCGCCATGTTGGTCAGGCTGGTCTCGAACTCCTGACCTCAAGTGATCCACCCGCCTCAGCCTCCCAAAGTGCTGGGTTTACAGGCCTTGAACCACCACACCCTGCCGAGAACATAAAATTTACAGGGAAATCTCTGCAGTGCTTGCTCAAAAGTTGTTGTTAGTTTTTTGTTTCATTTTACTTGGTCTCTGGACCAGCAGCAACAGCATCACTTGGAGGCTTGTTAGAAATGCAGATCCTCAGGCCCCAAGTGGACCTGCTGGATCAGAATCTGAATTCTAGTGAGCTCCTGGGTACACATTAAAGTTGAAAAGCAGTGCTCTATCATAAAGCAGAGTCAACTCTTGATAACCTGTGGTTTGTATTGTGGCAAATTTTTCATCCCAGGATAGTTACTTACCCATTGCCACGTATCTTGTCAGCCTACACCTATTGCTGAGTTAGAGGGAACTGCAAACACTGATATGCTGCAGCCTCACTGGAGCGGGCTGTCCTTGGGTTTCTATATTCACACTACCTTATATTATCTCAGTACTTCCTTAACTTAGATCCAAAACCATAGAAACTGAATTTATACGAAATTGTCCTCAGCCATGTATAAAGGCAAACTCTTCACATTTGTTTTTGATAAAATATAGTCACAGTATAAATTCAAAAGTCAAGTACAGTAAAGTCCTCACTGAACATTGTGGATAGGTTCTTGGAAATTGTGACTTTAAGAGACACCATGTACATCAGGTCCTCAAATTACACTGTTTTCCTTCAACATAGTTGCTTTTGTTACAAAGTTAATAAGAAAAAAAATTTGTTTCGTTATGTATTGTTTCTCTTAAAGTCACAGTTTCCAAGAACCTATTGATGATAAGGACTTACTCTATATTGGATAATTCACTTTTATTTGTGGCTCCTCTTATTCATTCACCTAAGTACATTTTAGTATTTAAGGGGTTTTTTTCTTGAAAAGGTGAATATTATTTTATTCCTTATGGAGCAATTATCAAACCATCAAATTCCATATGGTTAGTGATTGCACAGAGAAATAGAATGGCTGGTGAACATTTTTCTTTAGGTAGATCAGAAATATTCACACTATTGGCCAGGCATGGTGGCTCACACCTGTAATCCCATCACTTTGGGAGGCTGAGGCAGGGAGATCACCTGAAGTCAGGAGTTCCAAGACCAGCCTGGCCAATGTGGCAAAACCCCTTCTCAACTAAAAATACAAAAATTAGCTAGGCGTGGTGGCATGCACCTGTAATCCCAGTTACTTGGGAGGCTGAGGCAGGAGAATTGCTTAAACCCAAGAGGTGGAGGTTGCAGTGAGCTGAGATCCCACCACTGCACTCCAGCCTGGATGACAAAGTGAGTGAGACCCTGTCAAAAAAAAAAAGAAAGAAATATTCATATTATTTTCCTTTGGGATGTTAGGGGAAGGAGTGGAGAGAAATAACATGGGTCCTGTAACCAAGGACACATGAAACTTTTTTCTCTTCTTTCTTCATTAAGTCAACAGATATTGAGTTCAAACTATGTGATAGGTACTGTGCTAGGCAATAAGGGTGTGCAGATGGACAAGATAGTCTGCCACAGGAACTTATCAAGGTGGCCTCCACAATAGGTATGGGTATATGGAAACATATATCCAAATCTCACCAATCTGAAGTAATTCTTTACCACAGATTTGTATCACCAACATAACATGTATTTGGATAGTTCAAAGAACTGGAAGAGCTGGGCATGGTGGCATGTGCCTGTAGTCCCAGCTACTCAGGACGGCAAGGTAGGAGGTTCGCTTGGGCCCAAGACTTTTGAGTTCAGCCTGGGCAACATAGCGAGACCCTGTGTCCAAAATAAAAAAAGAAAAGGAAAAAGAGAACTTGTAGGTTTTCCTACAGGGATTCATCGATCTTCTCTAGTATGTGAAAAAATACTACGTTGCCCTATTTTTAACACCTACATTTTCCTTCTAATAACATTTCATAGGAATCTTATGAAATATTTCAGATACTTAAATCCTCACTACTTTTTTATGCCATATTGTGCTTTTTTATTACTAGTTCTTAATAACTTATTCTAACATTTAGAATAAGTTATTCCCTCTAGGCAGTATATTGTTTTGATAGATCACTGAAGGGACAACAGTGAGTCTCTAGATCTCACTAGTGGAAATATTGACACACAATATGCACTTTAGGGGTTATGGAGGAGATATATGACAATACTGCTAATCCTGTGGGCTTAGGCTTTGTTCAAGTATATTCCGTGGATTAGATGATCAGCATTTGTTGTATAACCTTGGAACATTTCAGAACTCCCCTAAACTTCTGTCTTTTCCATTTTACTCCATCAGGTTTATTGTGACGGCTTAATGATTATGTTAATATGTTGTGTGTGTGTGTTTATGTGTGTGTATACACACATGTATACACACACTGCATTATGTGGCATAGCAAGCGCTCAAAAAACATTTTCTTAAAATCTAGTACAAGAGTGGTAATATCCATTAGACTCAAATAGCTTAGGAGGATCTGAGTATATGACAAAGTCAAAGTTATACTATTTCATTTAAAATGAGTGATTTCTGTTATATCTAGGAAGAACATGTTCTTTTCCAACTTGAAGAAGGGATTGAAGCTTTGGAAGCTGCAATTGAATACAGGAATGAAAGTATCCAGAATCGCCAGAAGTCACTTAGAGCATCATTCCATAACCTCTCTCGTGGTGAAGCAAATGTCTTGGAAAAGCTAGCTTGCCTGAGTCCTGTTGAGATTAGAACTATTCTTTTCAGATATTTCAATAAGGTTTGTTTTTGAGGGTCAGAATATTTTTCTTATAAAGATGGGTCAAGATGCTTACATCCTATATTTATTTTGAATTTTTAAAGAAATTGAAAGGCTTAAAGATTTGATGATGTAACTACAAATTTAAGCATGATTTCTCTTTATAGAACTAAATGTTGTCATCTGAAAGCTTTGTGATTATCCAAAGATGTAGGCCTAACTTTGTGAGGTTCTTAAAGTTGGAGGGCCTTTCAAAAGAAGTCCTTTTTGAAAGTTTTTAAAACCAAAGAATTTAAGTTATATTCCTTGCTCATTATTTCTTGGATGTTTTCTAGATTTGGATGTTCTACCTGGCACTCATGAAAAATCAAGGGCCCTCCAAGTTTTGATTCCCTTTCCTTCATTGCTGCAGGGTAGGGGAATCTGTACTTTCTCATCATGTATGAGTTGAAATGAAGATGAAGTGGTGTATCAGTGGCAAAGATAATAGTAGATTTTATTAACCTGAATGTGCTTAAATCAATTAAAATGTATTTTTTACAGATTAGACAATTTACTGATCCAGAGATGTTTCATAGCATTGAGAACTATATCTGTCTTTTCTCTAATGTCTTTTCCACTTAAGTTATATATTACGAAGTGTTAAACAATGAGATAAGTCTTCTCTGAAAAGTACATTCAATTTATGGGAATATCAGACAATTAATGAAAAATAAAACACTGATATTTTAAAATAAAGTCCTAAGGCCAGGTGCAGTGGCTCATGCCTGTAATCCCAGCACTTTGGGAGGCTGAGTCAAGAGAATCACTTGAGCCCAGAATTTGAGATCCTTTCTCTACAAAAAATACCAAAATTAGCCGGGTATGGTAGCATACACCTGTAGTCCCAGATACTTGGGAGGCTGAGGCAGGAGGATCACATGAGCCCAGGAATTTGAGTTTGTAGTGAGCTATGATCACTACTGCACTTCAGTCTGGGGCAACAGAACAACAGCCTGTCTCAAAAAAATTAAATAAAATTATAATTCTGTGAAATAAGATAAATGAAAATGTTATGCACAGCCTCCTCTTGGATAATCATCATCAGTAGTAAGCTACTGTTATTGTTATTGATGAGAGTGCATCCTATTGCTGCATGTTTGGAGGGTAGAAAGATAGTGGAGTGCTTTGACATAGATAACTTTTTTTTTTTTTTTTGAGACAGAGTCTCGCTCTGTCGCCCAGGCTGGAGTGCAGTGGCGTGATCTCGGCTCAGTGCAAGCTCTGCCTCCCAGGTTCACGCCATTCTCCTGCCTCAGCCTCCTGAGTAGCTGGGACTACAAATGCCCGCCACCACACCTGGCTAATTTTTTTTGTATTTTTTTTTTAGTAGAGACGGGGTTTTACCATGTTAGACAGGGATGGTCTCGATCTCCTGACCTCATGATCCGCCTGCCTCGGCCTCCCAAAGTGCTGGGATTACAGGCGTGAGCCACCGCGCCCAGGCTGATAGAGATAACTCTTTATGCTGTTCTTTTATTTTTTTTTTCCCTGAGATGGACTCTCACTCTGTTGTCCAGACTGGTGTGATCTCAGCTCACTGCAACCTCCGCCCCCCGGGTTCAAGCAATTCTCCTGCCTCAGCCTCCTGAGTAGCTAGGATCACAGGCGTGTGCTGCCATGCCCAGCTCATTTTTGTATTTTTAGTAGAGATGGGGTTTCACCATGTTGGCCAGGCTGGTCTCAAACTCCTGACCTCGTGATCCTCCCGCCTCGGCCTCCCAAAGTGCTGGGATTACAGGTGTGAGCCACGGTGCCTGGCCCTTGTGCTACTCTTAAAGCAAGGCAACCTGGCTAAGGTCAGTGGATTTTCTGATCCTGGGAACCCTTGTATTAATGATTATTTTTCTGGAGAGGTCATTAGATTATTAACAAGTTCTGTGATATAGACATTGTCTGAAGTATTTTTACTTCACATCAGCAGGGAAGAATCCAGTAGACAAAATGCATAACATGGCTGGGTGTGGTGGCTCACGCCTATAATCCCAGTGCTTTGGGACACCAAGGCAGTAGGATCACTTGAGGCCAGGAATTCAAGACCAGCTTGGGCAACATAGTGAGACCGTCTCTACGAAAATATTTTTTAAAAAACTTAGCCAGGCATGATGGCATGTACCTGTGGTCCCAGCTATGTGGGAGGCTGAGGTGGGAGGATCACTTGATCTCAGGAGTTGGAAGCTGCAGTGAACTATGATTGCACCACTGCACTCCAACCTGAGGTGACAGAGTGAGACTCCATCTTAACAATAACAACAACAACAACAAAACACCCAAACTGTCACTTATTTATAACATCCATTCTGGAGTTAAAACTTGGAATTGTCTAGATGTTTCAAGAATCTTTGCCCTCTCACTATCCACTTAGACTAGAGAAATAAAGTTACAGAATTATTAAATGTAAACTGCATAGATTACATTTAAGAAATTATGGAAGGGTGATTATTAGAGCAACAGTATATTAAAAATGAAAGTGTCGGCTGGGCGTGGTGGCTCACGCCTGTAATCCCAGCACTTTGGGAGGCTGAGGCAGGAAGATCACGAGGTCAGGAGATTGAGACCATCCTAGCTAACACGGTGAAACCCCATCTGTACTAAAATACAAAAAATTAGCTGGGCGTGGTGGCGGGCGCCTGTAGTCCCAGCTACTTGGGAGGCTGAGGCAGGAGAATGGCATGAACCCGGGAGGCGGAGCTTGCAGTGAGCCGAGATTGCACCACTGCACTCCAGCTTGGATGACAGAGCGAGACTCCTCAAAAAAAAAAAAAAAAAAAAAAAAAAAAGAAAATGTCATCAATTCAGAATTCCAACAAATTAATTCTTTTTTTTTGAGACAGAGTTTTGCTCTTGCACCCAGGCTGGAGTGCAATGGGGCGATCTTGGCTCCACTGCAGACTCCGCCTCCCAGGTTCAAGCCATTCTCCTGCTTCAGCCTCCCAAGTAGCTGGGATTACAGGCGTGCACCACCACACCCAGCTAATTTTATATATTTTTTAGTAGAGACGGGGTTTTACTATGTTGGTCAGGTTGGTCTCGAACTCCTCACCTCAAGCGATCCCCCCCACCTCAGCCTCCCAAACTGCTGGGACTACAGGCGTGAGCCACTGTGCCTGGCCTGAACTCCAACAAATTCAAAAGGCTGTTAGGTTGTTTTGTGAATATGTTACAAAGCATTTGCCTAAGGACCCAATACCTGGCAGGAATCATTTACACTATGGAGATTAAGGAAGTTCATCTTGAAGTAGCCTAAGAAAAGTAGATTATTATATTAGCTTATCTAAGACACACTTAACAGGTCAAAATATGTATTTGTTAGGTGGTGAATTTGCGAGAAGCTGAACGGAAACAACAGTTATATAATGAAGAAATGAAAATGAAAGTTCTGGAACGGGATAATATGGTTCGTGAATTAGAATCTGCACTGGACCATCTAAAATTGCAGTGTGACCGGAGACTGACCCTCCAGCAAAAGGAACACGAACAAAAGATGCAGTTGCTATTACATCATTTCAAAGGTAACTTCCCCTTTTGACAGTTATGTAAGGTTGATGTGTAGGTGTGGGTACTGAAGGAAGATAGGACAGAATTTGATCACTTAAAAGGTCAACATGTTTAAATAGTTGCTACTTAGACAAGTTTTTGGGCTTTACATGTTTTGGTTGCCGCATTTTGGGACAGTTGACTTTGTTGTAGGGCTATTCGTGCTTGGAATGCCATCCCTTCTGCCTGCCTCCAGTATGCACATAAGAACTGCTACAATCCTGTCAGCTTGTTGTTGGTCTAGTTTTTATGTAGAAATGTGGGATTGATTCAGGCTTTTTGGTATACAGTTGAATTTTTTTTTATTTCTCAGGGATATAATACTATCATATTTAAGTTATTTTCCACTCACAAAATTAAAGTGATAGGTTCTGTCATATTCCTAGTTATATTTCTGGTTATAATTGTCAGTTGATTATAAAATTTTATGCATTAAAGTAATATCTTGGGTCAAAATTATACTGCCATTGATGGGCACATACCATTATCCGTGAGCAGTAGTTCACCACCAACTCTGATAGAAAACTCTTGAGAGTGATCTGGCCTCATTTTACCTAGGCATATGGCCAGTATACAAACAGCTACTATGGCAGCAAAATCATTGTTAGGTGATACTGTTACTCCTTCAATTCAGGCTGCTTAGTCTTGATTCTCATGAATCCATAGCTGAAAGTAGATCAAAAGGGATCTGGAAGAAGCAACCTGAGTAAGCAGAAAATTGGAAAAATCTGTGAATTTGAGTGTTGAGGCAATTTGCTTCTAAGTTAATTCTGTCACTGGTTAATTAGCAACCAGTTGCCTAATGACAATTTCCTGGCAAGATCTCACACATCATTACATTCAAACATGCTCTCCTTACCTTAGTTTAGTTCTGAAACTGATATTTTAATATTTTTTAAAGTGAGTGGGATTATACCACAAAAGTTCATGCTATAGCCAAATAAGAATATATAAAAACTTGGCCAAACATGGTGGCTCATCCCTGTAATCCCAGCACTTTGGGAGGCTGAGTCAAGAGGATTGCTTGAGCCCAGAAGTTCGAGACCAGCCTGGATAACATGGCGAAACCCCATCTCTACAAAAAATACAGAAAACTAGCCAAGCGTGGTGGCACACACCTGTAGTCCCAGCTACTTGGGAGGCTGAGATGGGAGGATCACCTGAGTCCCAGAGGTTGAGCCTGCAGTGGCTGTGGTCACACCACTGCACTCCAGCCTGGGTGACAGAGTTAAGACCCTGTCTCAAAAAAAAAAAAAGTAAAAAAGTCATTCATTTCTATAGCTGTACAAATTGTTCATAACAAAGTTGTGGCTGGGTGCAGTGGCTCATGCCTATAATCCCAGCATTCTGGAAGGTTGTGGTGGGAGGCTTACTTGAAAGCAGCCTGGGCAGCATAGTGGGACCCCATCTGTATTAATCAAGGATCTCTAAAGGGACAGAATAGCATATATATATCATATATGCATATATGCATATATTCATATAGCATATATGATATATATAGATCTATATATAGATATAGATATATGTATATACATAGATATATATGTATATATGCATATATAGCTATATATAGATATATACATATCTATATGTATATATACATATAGATATAGATATATACATATAGCATATATGATATATAGATATATACATATATATCATATATGCATATATAGCATATATGATATATAGATATATGTAGATATATGTAGATATATATAGATACATAGATATATATAGATATATAGATATATGATATATCATATATATCATATCTGATATATCATATATATCATATCTGATATATCATATATATCATATCTGATATATCATATATATCATATCTGATATATCATATATATCATATCTGATATATCATATATATCATATATGATATATCAGATATATCATATATGATATATCAGATATATCATATATGAGATATCAGATATATCAGATATGAGATATCATATATATCATATATATGATATATCATATATCATATATATGATATATAGATATATGTAGATATATATAGATATAGATATAGCATATATGATATATAGATATATAAAATATATAGGATATATAAAATATACAGGATTTATATTATATAAATATATATATAAACATAAAGGGGAGTTTATTAAGTATTGACTTACATGATCACAAGGTCCCACAATAGGCTGTCTGCAAGCTTGAGGAGCAAGGAAGCCAGTCCGAGTCTCAAAACTAAAGAACTTGGAGTCTGATGTTCGAGGACAGGAAGCATTCAGCATGGGAGAAAGATGCAGGCTGGGAGGCTAGGCCAGTCTCACCTTCTTATGTTTTTCTGCCTGCTTTATATTCATTGGCAGCTTATTAGATGGCGCACCAGATTGAGGTTGGATCTGCCTTCCCCAGCCCACTGACTCAAATGTTAACCTCCTTTGGCAACACCCTCACAGACACACCCAGGATCAATACTTTGCATCCTTCAATCCAGTCGACACTCGGTATTTACCATCACAAGTCCATCCCTTGTCAGTTTGAGCTCATACACATCTCCTGAGATCATACATAATCTTCAAATAAAGACAATAATAAGGTTATAATTACACCTCACATAATACAACTATCCTTCATACAACCGGAAATGCACCAATCCCCAACCCAAATGCTATTACATAAAGTTAACAGTACTTAAATGCTGATGTGAAGTCAATAAATCTTATGTCACATGATAAAGGAAAAAGGAAATAAAATGAAGATATTTTCTTAGTACAAGTGTATATGTGCACAAACATGTTTTTAACAAAATAAGGAGGAACTATGACAGTTACAGTCCTCGTTTCTGCGGCTGGTCACATGGTCGTAGCTGGTATTGATGACCACCTTCTTCTGCTACCCATTCTGTATTCCCTTTGCCTTTAGCAAGCAGCTCAGCAGGTTGTGGGTTTTCTTCCTAGTAGAGTGACCCAACCCTTCATTCCTGAAGGGTCTGGACCATTTTTAGTTGTGACTGGATTGGGCTGTTGTAGTTTCCAGTTGACCTTAATCACAGAGCATGGTAATACTAAGCGACGCCCTAATGGATCTCCTGTATTTCTTGCATACTCTTCCTTACCTCTGTTATGAAGTAGTAGACTGATTTCATCTTGATAGTCCAGGTCAGTCACCCCAGCCAACACTGTAACTCCCTTCGTAGCCTGCTGACTTAACGGTAGGTGGAGCCCAAAGTGTCCAGGTGGCAATCTTAACTTTCAGTTTAATGGAATCATTGTTGTGTCTCCTGGTGGCAGTGTTTCTTCCTCTGAAACAAAGACCTCTAGGCCAGCAGAACATAATATTGCGGGAACAGGAAGCAAAAATGTTGCTAATGGATCACTAGGGGTGATGGTGGGTGGTGCCACTTCCACTTCCACCCCTTGGTCCCTGGACTCGTGAATCCTGGCTATGGAAGAAACAGTACCATATACTGGATGCTGATGCAGAGCATACACAGTCTTCTGGAGAACTTTGTCCCAGCCCTGCAAAGTATTGTCATGTAATTGGCATTGTAATTGTGACTTCAAAAGGCCATTCCACCGTTCCATCAATCTAGCTGCTTCAGGATGATGGGGACCTTCATCCCATGAATGACCAGTGAATCCCATGAGCATGAGCCCACTGCCACACTTCTTTAGCCATAAAGTGAGTAACTTGGTCAGAGGTGATGCTGTGTGGAATACCATGACAGTGGATAAGGCACTCTGTGAGTCCATGGATGGTAATCTTGGCAGAAGCATTGCGTGCAGGATAGGCAAACCCACATCCGGAGTAAGTGTCTATTCCAGTGAGGACAAACCTCTGCCCTTTCTGTCATGGAAGAGGTCCAATATAATCAACCTGCCACCAGGTAGCTCGCTGATCACCCTGAGGAATGGTGCCATATTGAGGGCTCAGTGTTGGTCTCTGCTGCTGGCAAACTGGGCACTCAGCAGTGGCCGTAGCCAGGTCAGCCTTGGTGAGTGGAAGTCCATGTTGCTGAGCCCACATCCCTGCCACCATGGCCACTTTGTTCATGGGCCCATTGGGCAATGACAGGGGTGGCTGGGGAAAGAGGCTGAGTGGTATCCACAGACTGGGTTATCATATCCACTTGATTATTAAAATCCTCCTCTGCTGAGGTCATCCGTTGGTGAGCACTCACTTGGGATACAAATATCTTCACAGTTTTTGACTACTCAGAGAGGTCCATCCACATACCTCTTCCCCAAAATTCTTTGTCACCAGTTTTCCAATCATGCTTCTTCCAAGTCCCTGACCATCCAGCCAAACCACTGGCTACAGCCCATGAATTGGTATATAACCGCATATCTGGCCATTTCTCCTTCCATGCAAAGTGCACAACCAGGTGCACTGTTCAAAGTTCTGCCCACTGGGAAGATTTTCCTTCACTGGTATCCTTCAGGGATGTCCTAGAAAGGGGCTGTAGTGCCACAGCTGTCCACTTTCAGGTGGTGCCTGCATATCGTGCAGAACCATCTGTGAACCAGGCCCTAGTCTTCTCTTCCCCTGTCAGCTGATCATAGGGAACTCCCCATGAGGCCATCGGTGCAGGCTGGAGGAGAGAAGGCAGGGTGGCGAGTGGAGACCATGGGCATTTGTGCCACTTCCTCATGTAACTTATGCCTTCAGGACCTGCTTGAGCCTGATCACATATATAGCATTTCCATTTGATGATGGAATGCTGCTGTGCACGACCCACTTTATAGCTAGATAGGTCAGAAAGCACCCAGTTCATGATAGGCAGTTCAGGTCGCATGGTGACTTGATGACCCATAGTCAAACGTTCAGTTTCCACCAAAGCCCAGTAACAGGCCAAGAGCTGTCTCTTAAAAGGAGAGTAGTTAGCTGCAGAAGATGGCGGGGCCTTGCTCCAAAATTCTAGAGGCCTCCACTGTGATTCACTTATGGGGGGCCTGGGAGAGGCTCCAAACAGCATCCCTATCTGCCACTGACACCTCAAGCACCATTGGATCTGCTGGGTCATATGGCCCAAGTGGCAGAGCAGCTTGCACAGCATCCTGGACCTATTGCAGAGCCTTCTCCTGTTGTGGACCCCATTCAAAACTGGCAGCCTTTCAGGTCACTCAATAAATGGGCCAGAGTAACACACCCAAATGAGGAATGTGCTGCCTTCAAAATCCAGATAGGCCCACTAGGCATTGTGCCTCTTTCTTGGTTGTAGGAAGGGCCGAATGTAGCAACTTATCCTTCACCTTAGAAGGAATATTTCGACAGGCCCCACACCACTGGACCCCTAGAAATTTTACTGAGGTAGAAGAGTTCATCATTTTCTTTCATCACTTTGTCCACTGAACTTAGGAGCAACCAACCAGCTTCATTATGTTCCTTGGTTCTCCACATATGGTCAAATTTATTACACAGAGTCACTAAACTCCTTGCCTCTCATGAGCAGTGAATCAGGAGTGTCAAATGCATTTATTTTGCATAATTCTGTAAACAGTTCATGTCAAGGACTATCAGTGTTCTCCATACTATTAGGAGTAGAGTCCTTAGCATTTTTGGGTCTAATCAGATTAAGCAGCCAACTCCAGAAACCCCAAAACCAACAAAAGAACTCCATCCTTAATATTCTGTTCCTTTAGAGCCACTCCTGGTACCAAAACCTGTATTAGGGTTCTCTAGAGGGATAGAACTAATAGGAGATATATAGATATAGATATAGATATAGATATCTATATAAATATATATAGCTATCTATATATCTATATCTCTCTCTATATATATAAAGGGGAGTTTATTATTAACTTACACAATCACAAGGTCCCACAGTAGGCTGTCTGCAAGCTTGAGGAGCAAGGAGAGCCAGTCTGAGTCTCGAAACTGAAGAGCTTGGGGTCTGATGTTCGAGGACAGGAAGCATCCAGCATGGGAGAAAGATGTAGGCTGGGAGGCTAGGTCAGTCTCGCCTTTTTCTGCCTGCTTCATATTCGCTGGCAGCTGATGAGATGGTTCTCACCAGATTAAGAGTGGGTGTGCCTTCCCCAGCCCACTGACTCAAATGTTAACCTCCTTTGGCAACACTTTCACAGACACACTCAATACTTGGCATCAATACTTGGCATCTTTCAGTCCAAACAAGTTGACACTCAGTAGTAACCATCACACCATCTCTACCAAAAATTTAAAAAATTAAGCCAGGCATGGTGGCATGTGCCTGTGGTCCCAGCTACCCCGGAGGCTAAGGTGGGAAGATTATTTGAACCCAGGAGGTTGAAGCTGTAGTAAGCCATGATTGCACCACTACACACTCTACCCTGGGCAACAGGGTGAGATGCTGTCTCAAAAATAATAGTAATAGAAAATCAAATAAAAACAAAGTTATAACTGACAATGTAAACAATTCATGAATTTTCTAATTTCAACTGAATATCGGACATAAAATTAAGTTGATTAATATGACATACTTTATGGGGATTCTGATTTATGATCTCATTAATTTTAAGTATTTTTTAAAACAAGATGATGGACTAATTTAAAATATACAAATATACTTAAACAAAATTCTACAAAACAGCCAATTGTAACCAAAGAAAATCACAAACCAGTAGGATCATTTTATAAATATGCCAGTAGGGGAGAGTAGGTCTGAAATTATGTTTTTTCTGAAGGTTAGTAAACTGGATTTCACTGGTTCAAGAGCATAACCCAATGGAGACAATGTTAGACATTCATAAATATTAATGAAAATATTAATAAAGTTTCTAAACTTTATTACCTGTAAACTTAAAGTTTAGAAACTTTAAGTTATATTGTGGCATAAACTAGAACTTTATGCTGGATTATATTCCCTCTTCTTTTTCTGTGGTGTTTTCCTTTGTGATTTAGTCTTTATGGCCTCTTTTAACAGGTTTTGGTTTTTGTGGGGGTTTTGGCTGTATATTTCTTGGGCCTATAAATCCTAGTCATGTGACTTTTTATATAACCACAGTTCCTGATATAAACTTTACAGAAGATACTAAAGCAGCCAATGAACAGAGTTCCAAACTTGAACTTTTTATAGAAAACACCTTATTTCTGGTGTTCTAAGGATAGGTCTAGTTGGTAGCTACTGCAAAAAAATTCTTATGAAAGTGTGAGGGTTGGTAGGGGGTAGGATGGAGGTGACTAAGGGCTCTCAATCCTACTTTGGGAAATTTTACAGGCAGAAAAATCCAAATGGTAGCTGAAAACAAACCCATTCAGGTAACAGATATGTGTAACATGCTTCTTATCCTTTAAATATAGTCCAGGGCCTATGTTAAAACATAATTTTGCAGCCGGGCACGGTGGCTCATGTCTGTAATCCCAGCACTTTGGGAGGCCGAGGCGGGCGGATCACGAGGTCAGGAGATCGAGACCATCCTGGCTAACATGATGAAACCCCATCTCTACTAAAAATACAAAAAAATTAGCCGGGCGTGGTGCCAGGCACCTGTAGTCCCAGCTGCTTGGGAGGCGGAGGCAGGAGAATGGTGTGAACCTGGGAGGCGGAGCTTACAGTGAGCCGAGCATATCACGCCACTGCACTCTAGCCTGGGCGACAGTGCGAGACTCCGTCTCAAAAAAAACAAACAAACAAAAACATAATTTTGCATCATTTATTTAAAACTGATTTTAAATGCAAATTTTTGTTGTATAGAACAAGATGGAGAAGGCATTATGGAAACTTTCAAAACATATGAAGATAAAATCCAGCAGTTGGAAAAAGATCTTTATTTCTATAAGAAAACCAGCCGGGATCATAAGAAGAAACTTAAGGAACTGGTAGGGGAAGCAATTCGGCGGCAACTAGCACCATCAGAGTGTAAGACTTTTAGTGTTGTCACTCTTAACACTGTTTCTCTAGCATTTGGTGAAGTCATGCCAGCTTTGTAGTGTAGCCTTTACCAATTGACTGGGTTATTTAGGATTAGATACTTCTATTTGTCTCTGTAAACAAAAATCGTTGTCTAAAGTAGAACCACATGAGAAGTGAATGAACAAATTTATAGATGCAAAGGAAATGATCAATTATTGATTGTCTGCCATGTGCCAGGGGCTTGTAGACCTTATCTCATTTAATCCCTAAATTAACTATATTATCTAACATAGCTGTTGTTTTCCTATTTTATAGTAAATTAAGCCTTCTGATTATCACAAAAAAAGATGTATGGTAGGTAAGAGTAAAAGTTTGTATTTTTAAGATAAATCAGG
The DNA here is from genome assembly GCF_000001405.40 of Homo sapiens. NCBI lineage: Eukaryota > Metazoa > Chordata > Mammalia > Primates > Hominidae > Homo > Homo sapiens. The sequence continues at coordinate 83,841,847 of NC_000009.12, read as the reverse complement.
TATTTTTATATATCATGAACCCTGGAAATTAAAAAATGTAATAGAACCTATTTTTGAGACAAAGATGTTTCCTTGTATAATCATATGTAGATATGTAGATTTAGTGCATTCCTAAATGAAATAACATGACAAAATATACTTTGCAAAAATAAAAAATACTATGAAGGTAATATATTCCTATGATTAAAATATACCCTCTTTAAGATAGCTGAATAGAGAGGAATCAATATTTCTAAAATAATAAAGTCTACATTTTATAAAAGAATTAGCTGATAATTTCTAATAATTCTAATAACTTCGATAATTTAAGTATGGTTTATGAAAAGTTGACTTTAAAATCTTTTAGGCACACATGTATTTTTTACCTGGAAAGAAAACTACTTAAAGATGGGCACACAAGATGTAAGAAGACCAGTGAAAAATAATATGGAGGAGCAATGAAGTGATATATGCTGAAAATGTAATAGAAGTAGAATTGGCTAGGTGCGGTGGCTCATGCCTGTAATCCCAGCACTTTGGGAGGCCAAGGCGGGTGGATCACCGGAGGTTAGGAGTTCGAGACCAACCTGACCAACATGGTGAAACCCCGTCTCTATTAAAAAATACAAAATTAGCCAGGTGTGATGGTGCATGCCTGTAATCCCAGCTACTCAGGAGGCTGAGGCAGGAGAATCGCTTGAACCCGGGAGGCGGAGGTTGCAGTGAGCTGAGATCACGACATTGCACCCCGACCTGGGCAACAAGAGCGAAACTCTGTCTCAAAAAAAAAAAAATGCTAACTTATATTTGTGACATTTATCATGTATAGACATTTTCAAGAATAATTCCCTTTAGCCCTCAAACTCAGGATAGGCTGGGGTCTGCTAACTCCATTTTCAGATGAGGCAACTGACGCTTAGAGAAGGCAAGTGACTTAAGGACAGAACAGTAACTATAACACAGTCTAATGTCCCTCATCTTCTGACTGCTGGTTCAGTATTCCAAGATAAAAGTTGCCTGAGGATAAAGACGTGATACAAACATACGAATCCTGCCAAAGAGATTACACTTTCTGATTCTCAGTATAGTAATACAGAGGTGTTTACTGATGTAACTCATTTACTTGAAATACTGTCTGCTATATATAGCTAAAACTTTAACTTGAAACATTACTTGCCAAAAATTAAAAAGTAAACAAGTATCAAGTAAGAAACAAAATAGTCAACATAAGACCACTTTAGCTTTGAAAAAAAGTCTACTGTCAAATTTGAGGTATCTGATATTAGACATCTAGTTTGTAAATGGCCCATGTTTATGCCACCGAGTCTACTAGACATTTCTTTAAAATGACAATGTAGTATGGTGGTATACAGGTTTAAGAAATCTGGATCTTCATCCTGCTCTTTAACCAAACAAACAGACAAATCTAAAACATAGTTAATCTTGGAGAGGTGTAAAATGAGAACAACACTGTTCTGACCAGTTTACCCAAGGAGTCTAGTCTTGATAATAACGTTGGAGATACTATTTCAGCTAATTTGCTATTCTACCTAGAAACATTTAAAATGCTTCTATTTTTGGCTATAAAAATAATGTATAGTCATTATAGAAAAATCTGAAAATGAAGAAAACAAATCAGTTATAATCCTACCCACATTTGAGCATAATTCTTTTCATATTTTGCCCATGCTTTAAAATATACAGTTGCAATTATATTGGGGATATAGTTTACACTATATCCTGTCTCATAATGCTACTCTAATATAATGACATGAAACAAGGTTTGTTTGAATTATAAAATATAGCAATTTATATCAAACTCTGAGTTTCATAAAATGTTTTACATGCTTAATAATCAGTATCCTAGTTAATAACTATCTTGGTATTTGCTGCAGTGTTTTTTCTGTTTGTTTGTTTTTTGTTTTTGAATGGAGTTTCACTCTTGTTACCCAGGCTGGAGTGCAGTGGTGCTATCTCAGCTCACTGCAGCCTCCACCTCCCAGGTTCAAACGATTCTCCTACCTCAGCCTACTCAGTAGCTGGGATTACAGGCGCCACCATCAGGCCCGGCTAATTTTTTGTATTTTTAGTAGAGACCATGTCGGCCAGGCTGGTCTCAAACTCCTGACCTCAGGTGATCCACCAGCCTTGGCCTCCCAAAGTGCTGGAATTACAGGCGTGAGCCACCGTGCCCGGTGGTTCAGTGGGTTTTGATAGAAGACTGCCTACAAGAATTATATTTTCTTTGAATATTTTTGGCATTTTCAAATTGCAGAAAAATTCATCTTTTGACTAAAATATCTTGGTCACTTGATGGTCCTCCCTCTGTTACAGTGTATATGTTTTCTAACATGAGGATAAAATCAGTTTTATATGAACCTACATTCTCTCTACTTGTATTTAAACCTATCCTTGTATCAATTTAAATCACTATAAAACTATATGTAAGGATAATAGAGTCAAAAGATCTGGGTTGGAATCCTTACTTCTTTTACTAGTTGTTTGACCTTGGGCAAATTAATCTTTCCCTAGTCGGTTCCCTCAATTATAAAATTCTGGAAGAGGGAAACTTTCTTGTGAAGAATCCAAGTGGGCTTTGGAGTGAGCCTCAACAATGAGACTCTTTCCTTAAGATCTTTTGAAAATAAGATGCCTTACTCCTTCCCCCAGATACTGTCACCTGGGGAGCAGGATTTTTTTTTTAGAGTTGGGGTCTTGCTGTGTTGCCCAGGCTGGAGCTACCGGTAGTGGTACATTCATGGCTCACTGTAGCCTCAAACTCCTGTGCTTGAGCAATCCTCCCACCTCAGCCTCTCAAGTAGCTGGGGCTACAGGCATAAACCACCGCACCCAGCTAGGGAGCAGGATTTTTTAAAGCTTCCCAGTGACTCTGATGTACTGCAGAGTTTGGGAGCCACTGTCTGTGGTCAACTTAGTATGAGTTCCATGTACGAGGATCTAGATCATTTGCTAGTTCAGGTTATTTGATTTTGAGAGATTTTTAAAAACTAGAGAGTCAGTTATGTTTTAAACCAGGGGTTACAAACTAGAATGCCTACCTGAACCAGAGTGAGCAGTGGGGACTGCAGCAGTCATCTAAATGGTCAGTGGCAACGGTGTTCCAGCTGCTATTGCAATTCAGAAACTGTTAACTCTTATAGTTTTTCTAGAAAAGCTGTAAATCTATATTTTTATATGAAACTTTTCAAATTTTAAATCTTGGGTCAAGTATTACTAACATTATAGGCCAAGCAAAACATGTCTATGGGCCAGATTTGGCTTGAGAGCTGCCAATGTGCAACCTGTGTTTTAAAACTTTGTCTTGGCAGGACTGGGCCAGGTGCGGTGGCTCATGCCTGTAATCCCAGCACTTTGGGAGGCCAAGGCAGGCGGATCACCTGAGGTCAGGAGATCGAGACCATCCTGGCTAACACGGTGAAACCCCATCTCTACTAAAAATACAAAAAATTCGCCGGGCGTGGTGGCGGGTGCCTGTAGTCCCAGCTACTAGGGAGGCTGAGGCAGGAGAATGGCGTGAACCCAGGAAGCGGAGCTTGCAGTGAGCCGAGATCACGCCACTGCACTCCAACCTGGGCGACAGAGCGAGACTCCGTCTCAAAAAAAAAACAACAAAAAACTTTGTCTTTGCAGGACTGAAAGTGTACTAAGCATGCATCAATATATTGAAGTTGGCATTTTTCATCATATTAGGTCTAGTACTTGTATGCATTTCCCTTAAGCAAGTTTTTGTCTTTGCTATTAGATATTCTTTGATTTAAGAACCTCTAGCTTTGATCTCTTCACTCTAATTCCAGTGGGGTGTCCCCACCAAGGGCATATTCTCTCATCTCCATTTCGATGACAGAAATTGTGGCGCACACCCCAGAGTACATTCAGACAGGAGAACCCCGCTATCATGCTGGGAGTGCCAACCAAGGCCAGATTCCCACACATATAATGCCAAGTCCTAGAGTTTTCCCTCGAGATATGGGGCAGAGCCAATATTATCCAGTGCTGGCATCACTTGGCCATGATTTAGAATTCACTAGTAGCAAGAACAGCAGAGAAGGCAGGCATGGAAAGGCACCAGAGGTGCCCAAAGCACTCTTATGTTTCCAGGGAGTACCAAACCCCCAAAAGACTATTTCTCAATTTGTTCCATGAATTAAAGTTGTGAGTTATTCACATGCAAGATGCCTGTAAGTGAAATAAAAATATTCATATTCACACATCTGTTCATCTAAAATAAGTCATTTAACAAAAAAGTTGAAAAACATTATGCATATTGGGTGATAATAATGTATTTATGTTAAGATGTTTTGATTAAAATACCTAATTTTGAGGAAATAGTATCTAATTTTTTGGTTTGGGGATTATTTTTAGATCAAGAGGCTGGAGATGGAGTCCTGAAGCCAGAAGGAGGAGGCATGCTTTCAGAAGAATTAAAATGGGCATCCAGACCTGAAAGTATGAAATTAAGTGGAAGAGAAAGAGAAATGGACAGTTCAGCAAGCAGCTTAAGAACACAGCCAAATCCTCAAAAGCTCTGGGAAGATATCCCAGAATTACCTCCAATTCATAGTTCTTTAGCACCCCCCAGTGGGCATATGTTAGGTAATGAGAATAAAACAGAAACAGATGATAATCAGTTTACAAAATCTCACAGTCGACTGTCATCCCAAATTCAGGTTGTGGGAAATGTGGGACGACTTCATGGTGTCACACCTGTAAAACTGTGTCGAAAAGAATTACGTCAAATTTCCGCCTTGGAACTATCATTGCGACGTTCCAGTCTTGGAGTTGGCATTGGATCAATGGCTGCTGATTCCATCGAAGTATCTAGGAAACCAAGGGACTTAAAAACTTAGACATTGAATAATAGAACTTTTAGTAGATATGTAAAAAGATTCCTTTTTCTAACCTGTTAAAAACTAAAGCTCAAGTTCACTACCTCTTTCCTCAGAATAAAGGAAGAAGGGGAGGAAGGAATCCCTAATTCTTTTATATGCTATAGATGTGTACATCTTCTATATATATTTGGGGAGTTTTAGTTTATATTCCCATAGTAATCAAACATGTTTTCCAATACTTGATAACATTTAAATATTTATAAATACGCTTAAATGTTTTTCCAGGCATATTTGAAGATTAAAACTAGTAATAGACTAAAATATCTATCAAGTATGTATTATTATATAATATAAATGTACATCATAAAAGTATGTTACAATATAACTATATTATTGTTATTCTCAAATACAAGTATATTTTTTTTTTAAAAGATCCAGCTAAATCTTGCTTTTGTCAGAGGGAGTCACCTGCTGCATATGTGGGCTAAGACAACCTCTCAGCTTTATGGATTGAGGCTCATTTACAGTCCTCAGAACTCACAGAAACGGTCAGTCCTGACTTTTTAAACATGCTCACTGTTCTGTTTCTGGAATTTTTTTGGATTTTTAAAAATTTATAATGCTATCTTTTATGTTTGCTAATATTATGCAATATAAGTTTTCATGTCTTTCCTGCTCTATACACTCAATATATCTCTCATTATGTTACTAAAACTGGGAGAAATGAATGCTGTTCCATGGAACACGGAAATTATAGAATAAAACTAAAGCATTCTAACATTTCAAGAGAAAGAACACTGGTTATGACATCTCTGGTCACATGGAGTATGTCTGTAAAGCTTGAAGTCTTGCCAAAGCATCTTTAATGATTTGATGGGCTTAAGTCTGATATTTTTTTCTATAACCTCCTTAGTCAGGCTTTGCACACCGGCCAAACTACACTGGGGCTGTAAATATGTCAATGAAATTTTTACTAAAATCTCCAAGTTTTTCTGGTCAAAATTTTACTATATAATGTACAATTTAGTTTGGAATTAAGAACTAAACAGTTTGCACACCAAATGTAGTTTGTACTTTTTAACCATATTTTTCAGTTATAGGAAACATCCATTGTAATGACCTGAGGAATTATTTTGTTACTTATGTTGTTCTTTGTTACTTTTCCAAAACACTTGTAAACCGAAGTTGAGTTTCTTAAACTAATTAATGTTTTGTTGGGGGCTGTAGCAAAACCATCCTGACATGGATGCTTACTCAGAGTCACCCACTTCCTTGCTGAATCCATTTTTTTCTGATGTAGTGCTGCTACAGACCTTTTCCTTTTGTCCTTTCCTCTGTTGCTGTGGATTTGATCATCTCACATAGGACCCAAACTGTCACCCTGTGCTCAAAGACTTAAGGCTTCCTTTCTCTCATTGCTAGCCCCTAGGGAGTAGAGTTTCTTGGTCTCCTTGCTAAAAACCAGTTCCTTTAGGAAACAAACCAAAACAAAACAAACTTATAAAAAGGAAAATATCTCTTAAGCATGGTACTAAAATTTATTTAAATTAAATAGATTTCTGTGGACTTACCTGGGAATGAAACAATTTATAAATATTGGTCCAATGAGATACTATTTTCTAAATTTCAAAAAACTAATTTACAAACTTAACTGGGAAATTTTATTTTTACCAGGAACTGTTTGAAGTCAGATTCTGGTTTCCAGCTAGTCTTCCATTTTTATAAATTTATGTACATTTATATATAAATATAAATCATACAAACCAAAGGTAAAACATACACATTATAAATATGTATAAATGCACTGACCTTTTGCCATTATTATATATATTTCATATATATATATGTATATACACTTGTACATATACAAGTATATAAGGAAATGTGTTTGTATTTCCATAAGTAAAACAAGTATGTGTAAATTAATTATTTCTAACTAAGGCATAGCACATAATCTTACAAGGAACTTATAATTAGGATCTTTGTTAATAAATACATATTTATTTAAATATATTATTGCTGTGCTTTGTTGAAGGCACTGACCTTTTACCATTATATATACTTGTATATAAACACTTGTATATATATAGTATTATATATATACTTGTATATAGATATAGGTTATACATTTTACATTATTTCACTTTATATTATTTCATATCATATTTTATATCATGATATATCATTATATAGCTATAATGTATATATAGATACACTTGTATATATACATAGATATAGATATATATAATGGCCAAAGGTCAGTGCCCTTAGCAAGCACAGCAATATTTATAAATAAATATTTATTAATGAAGATCCTAATAATAAGTTCCTTATAAGATTAAGTAATGTGCTATGCGTTATTTAGGAATAATTCATTTAAGAATGTATTCTGATACTGGAATCCTACTTGCTCAAGAAATTAACACATACTTGTTTTACCTGTGGAAATACACATTTCCTCAAAGCCAACTCACTAATAAAGCAAGAAAATTTATATCAAAACAACAATGATTAGGTTTGACTATGCAATTGTGAGTTGATTTCTAAATAACAAAGGTATGGTGTTTTTCTTCCTTTTGGTTAAACATATATCCTTTATATATATGACATTTCATGCCACATATGCAAACACACATATAAATAACGTCGTGAATAATATATTCTGGAAATGAACCTCTGGTCATTCTAGTTTAGTCGGTGTTCTCACAAAGGAAAGAAAAAAATTAGACACCTACCCAAGGCAAGTAAAATTATTTTTTTACATATACTAATAATGATTTTACTTTTTCACATGCTTTTTCTAAACATTTTGTCACTTTATTGCCTTTTTGCATGTATATAAAATGTTTGTGGTTTTCTTTTTTTCGTTCATTATGTTCTTTTTTCCTCTTAACTGTAATAAAGCATTTGAAAGGAAAAATATTTGTAAAGTACTAGTTACTTTCCTAACTCTAGAGTGTTATAGCTAACAGAAATGGAAAATTCTTTATGTTGGGAACCACAGGTGGTGAGAACATTGATGAAGGTGCTTTTGTGCTTTAATGTTTGCTTTCTTTTTGTTAATGTATTTTTTTGTCGTTGCCTCAATTCTTCATATCTTCATGAACCCAGGGTCCAAGGAGTCAGCAAAAATATGATCTTCATTAATTGTGGACTAGATTGCCACTAGCCATTGCCTTGTTCAGTCTAGGCCAGTAAAGTGAGGAATGCTTATTTGAGACTAAATTCCTTATATAGAAAAAAATAAAAGTCTTATACTAAGTTTTGGAATGACTATCAGGGAGTGAAATCCTTAGTGGGAGTTCGGTTCTGTGGTCAAAACAAATTCTCATACATTAAATGCAAGTATGACATATTTTGATCTTTCACTTATTTCCTTAGGCACCTACTCGTGACTTTAAAGCACTGGGGTATCAGTATTTGAAAGTTCAGGTAGAAAGTTACTTATGTCCACAATTCCTCTCTCAACTTCACTGGACTTTTTAAAAAAATTCATTATGTATATTTTAAACATTTAAAGTTGTAACAGATTATAGGCTGCCTTGATTAACACTGGTAATATATTCTTCTACATTTATATTTTCAGAAATTGAAAATATAAAGGTGAGAATGAGATCCATTTGCAATAAGCATCTCAAAAGCATTGGGCATGTAGTACTTTTGAGCTTATGTTGGCAGAAGTACACCAAGGGTAGGGTACTGGGGAGCCTCTGCCCGATAAGGAGAAGTATTTTATCACTGTCATTGCTGCTGATAAAAGCAGGCTGAGTTTTCATAGGTTTTGTTGTTTTTAAATTATCTGTAAACAATGCACCCCTTATTGCCTACACCAAGGTTGACTGCTGTGATTCCTTCCATTCCTTGGAATGTACTGCATACAAAGAAAGCATCAAACACTGGAATAGTGTTTGATTTTTATAATGGCTTTCATGTTGACCCCAACATGACTCCAACATGGAGGTAATTAGAACAAAGGAAATTATGAAAAGAAATCCCAGAAAAAGTTGATATTATAATGATGGCTTTTGATATTTTGCATAGTTCTCATTTGTCTGTTTTTATATTTCCTTCTAGGAATTTCTGCAGTGAGTCAACAGAATTGGCACTATTTGAAATGCTAACAGTGTAATTTGAACCCAAATATATTGAATAAGACTTAGATATTATGTTCTACTGGTTAATTGTAACACACAGCTCTATTGAGTTATCTACAGTACTTTAAGAGAAAAATACAACAATCTCATAGTCTGTTATAATGAGCAAGATCCCTATATGCCCAAGGAACAAAACCATTCACAACAGAAAAGAATAGAAAATTAAATATTTTTTAAAAATGTATACTTAATGATTCTTGGAAATTTAAAACTATCTATTAATAATTATATAACTAAAGTAGAAAAGGAATTATTTTAAAACCTTATTTGTATACTGTATTATTGTGTTTTCAAGCTTACTACAGTACTTATATAAAGCAAGGTATAATTTTTCAAGTCCAATGTGGTAAATATTGTTAGAAGTTATGTGAGCGCATGCACACGTATGTTTATTGCGGCACTATTCACAATAGCAAAGACTTGGAACCAACCCAAATGTCCAACAATGATAGACTGGATTAAGAAAATGTGGCACATATACACCATGGAATACTATGCAGCCATAAAAAATGATGAGTTCATGTCCTTTGTAGGGACATGGATGAAGCTGGAAATCATCATTCTCAGTAAACTATCACAAGGACAAAAACCAAACACTGCATGTTCTCACTCATAGGTGGGAATTGAACAATGAGAACACATGGACACAGGAAGGGGAACATCACACTCGGGACTGTTGTGGGGTGGGGGGAGGGGGGAGGGATAGCATTAGGAGATACACCTAATGCTAAATGACGAGTTAATGGGTGCAGCACACCAGCATGGCACATGTATACATATGTAACTAACCTGCACATTGTGCACATGTACCCTAAAACTTAAAGTATAATAATAATAAAATAAAATTAAATTAAAAAAAAAGAAGTTATGTGATCGGCCAGGCACGGTGGCTCATGCCTGTAATCCCAGCACTTTGGGAGGCTGAGGCAGGTGGATCACGAGGTCAGGAGTTCAAGACCAGCCTGGCCATGATGAAACCCCATCTCTACTAAAAATACAAAATTAACCGAGTGTGGTGGCACACCTATAGTTCCAGCTACTCGGAAGGCTGAGGCAGGAGAATTGCTTGTACTCGTGAGGCAGAGGTTGCAGTGAGCCGAGATCGCGCCATTGCACTCCAGCCTGGGCAACAGAGGGAGACTCCGTCTCAAAAAAAAAAAAGTTACGTGGTCTGCCTTATTTTTAAACGAACCATTCCTTGGACCCCACGCCACACTTACCAACAACAAATCATAGGCATGTACTTACTTACCTTTCATTTCCCACAATGATCCAGGATTCCAATAGCTCTAAGACAGATGACTGGAGTGGGAGGGAGACGGGGGAAAGAGGTTTATTTGAAAGCATTCCATAGACAAGCAGAGGATTTTCAAAAAATATTTTGAGAGAATATATTTCTCTGGCATAAGGACTGAAACTTAAATTCAACCTTTGGCTATCTCTAAACACTAAAGAATACTCTTGGTTAGTACTGACTTTGCCATTAAAAAATAACTTTTTTATACTGGTTTTTATTTTTCATACTGGTATATTTTTATACTGGTTCCTTTTCCTATGTTTACTATTCACTCAGGATATTATGAAAAGAAGCCATCCTAGATCGAATTTGAATAGAAATTGTGGAGCCATTCGATAGAGAATTACAAGAAATAGCAGTTTGTGGTAAATTCCAATGGCCTAACAACATACACTGAAGGAAAGCAGTTAGGACTTAAGTGATTTTACCTTTGAAGAACCATGAATGATATACCAAAACAAACAAAAAAATTGCTGTAGGCAAAATGGGATTTATTTTTGTAAAACAATGATATCTCGACTATTTTGCTTATTTTTTTTCCTCTGCTAAAATGTCCCTGAATTTGTCTACCGAAAAACCTGTGTATAAAAAAACTTTAATTCAAGATTACAAACCAGCAGCTACTCGCCTGCCTTGAGGGGCTGGATTAATATTATTCATTTTCATTTGCGGGCTGTAGTTGCACTTCACTGTCTATCCTCTAGGAATGAAAAGGAGTGAGGAGTTATCCGAGTTCAACTAACTGATAATTTTCATAATAATTTATAACTATTAAAGTCAAAGTTTTGTTGTTACTTTCTAGCATGCTTTTTCTAGATGGGAATAATGGGAACAGGGCAAGGTATTTTAATACTGAGGAGTTAATCTCCTTTTGAAATTCCCATCACCTGGGAGGGTTGGACAGCATCTGAATTGTTCCATTCAAGGCCTGGGGCTAAGCCCATCTGTTTCACTAGACATTTTCCTGGCTAGCTCCAGGTGTCACCAGCTGTTAGACATGACTAGAATGACACAGCCTGTAATTTTATTAATAGAGTACATTAAATGACATTTTCTAAACCAAACAGCCTTTAAAAAACTATTTATGAATCACTACCCTGCATTTAATATCAAAATCATATTTTTCAAATGAAACACAAATTAGGGAAATTACTATTTTTGTTACATAGTGAATATTTTTGTTACATACCCTTGCTTTATCAAATAAATGCTTTATCAAATGAAAGCACTTTGAAAATTGAAGCATCATATATGTTTAAGATTAAATTATAAGTAAGTTTTCCATACAGTTGGATGTCAAAATGGGATAACTGTTTGGAACACATGGTTGTTTATTTTACATATATGCAAATCATAAGACATCTTCTAAACAAATTCTCAGTTTTAGTTATATATATCTTCTAAACAAATTCCCAATTTTAGTTATGTATGTTTCAACAGTATAAATAAGAGTATTCTCTGGGAAGATTAATGTGAATTCTAGCAAAAATATTTTAAAGACTTGCTGAATCTATTTTTATAGGCATAGAAGTGCTTCATGACTATTTCGTTGATTTATGAGTGAAAGAGGATGTTTTTTACTGGATCTTTGGCCACCAGTTTTTGGCTATTTATTACTTATTTTTTTAGTAACAGTTACATTTGTGAGCTATTGAACTATGGCTGGAAAATAACTTTTCTTAAAACTGATAAGAATTTTAAACTATTTTTCCCCAAAGAAACTATAAAACAAGTAGTTAATTTTTTTTGCACATGTATAGGTATATGATCAAATAAAAAGCAAATCAGTCCTCATTTAGCATCTGAGACTTTTAGCTCCTAAATACAACAAGTGTATTAATTTTAACATTACCACAGTGGCCTCTCCTTCATAAACATTCAGAAGGAAGCTCATTCCCCTTAGTTTGCAAGTATCTGCCAGTGTAAGGAACATTTTGTCTCTAGATCACAGCACCTATGACCTGAGCAGCCAAGGAAAGAGAAGGTCAAGACTTTAAGGGTAATGGAACCTACAATCATAAGTATTCTAGTGGATTGTGAACAAATAAATCAGAAAAGAAGAATACTAACATACAGTTTTCCTGAGTTACCTTAAGTGGTATGAGGTATTCTTAGTAAGGTTTATTACAAAATTCAGTATCTCCCATGAGAAAGGAAGCTAGGTTTAAGCATTTGATTATGTGAGTTTAGTTGGCCCTTCACCCTTCAAGACATGGGCCAGTACCGTGGGGTTTAGTTCTTATATGGGAAATAATCTGTACCTCTTCCAAAGGGTGGGCTGGTAGCTAAAGTTATTTATTTCCTGAAAATATAAAAAAATGGCATCTATATGTAAATGCTAAAATGTAAAGATGGAAATTTCTACAGGCTTTTAATTTATAGGCATTTTCCTGCTTTATATTTTCTATCAACCTTTATATTTTTGCTGATAGAGTTGAAAACTAAAAGCCCTATCCCTCAAGGAACTTACAGTCCAGTGACATTACTTATGGAGAGAGTAAAGCAGGGTAAGGAGACAGAAAATTAGGGGTGCTTTTTCAGATGGAAATATGTTTCTGAGCTCACATATATATAAAGCTGTAAGAACTACATGTAAACATACTGATCAAAAAATGCTCTTCTAATGTATGCATGCTCAAAAGAAGCAAGTATCATAAATTGTATCTGAACACGGAAATCACATCCAACCAGCTTTGATGGAAGGAGAAGAGCACTTTACAGTTTTAAGTCTTACATTTGGGTCTCTGATCAATTTTGAATTAGTTTTTGTACATGGTATGAGTTAAGGGTCCAACTTCATTATTTTGCATGCAGATATCCAGTTGTGTCAATACAATTTGTTGAAAAAAACTATTCTTTCCTCATTAAATTGTCTTCATACATTTGTTGAAAACCAATTGACCACACAGGTTTATTTCTGGACTCAATTTTATTCCACTGGTCTATATGTCTGTCCTATGACAGACCATACCACACTGTCTTGATTATGTAGTAAATTTTGAAGTCAAAGTGTGAACCCATGAACTTTGTTCTTCTTTTCCAACATTTGTTCATTATTTGGGGTCCCTTAAGTTTCCATATGAATTTTAGGACCAGTTGTCCATTTCTACAAAGAGGAAGATGGAATTTTGATAGGAATTGCATTGAATCTGTAGATCAATTTGGGGAGTACTGCCATCTGAGCAATATTCAGTCTTCCAATCCATGAACATAGGCTATCTTTCCATTCTTTTAACTGTGTTTTTTAGTTTTCAGTGTACATGTCTTACACTTCTTTGGTTTAATTTATTTCTAAATATTTTATTCTTTTTGATGCTACTGTAAGTGGAATTGTGTTCTTAATTTCATTTTCAGATGGTTCATTGCTAGTGTCAAGAAATACAACTGCTTTTTATATAATGATCACCATTTATTTTTAGTGGATAGTAAATTGGTTTAAGAACACATGCCATGAATCAAGAAACTTAGGTGGTGCTTACCCATACAAACTAATTTAATGAGCAGAAACCCCAACTACTTTTTTGTTGTTGTTGATAAAATTTTAGCTGGTTATTTTTAAGACTGTTTCTTTAGGAATTGTTTCTATTTTATTTCTAGGTTAAGGGTGGTATGAGCACAGTAGGTCATTTGGCATTTGTAGTCTGTAGTATGAGATCTTTCCTATAAGTGAAACACAAAGGAATAATCCTGAGCAACCCATGTCTCTCTGTATCTTGAGAATACTTTCTATATATTCTTCAATGCTATATACTGTATTTTAAAGATTAATTATTAATCCTGACAAATTTAATTTATTCAATAAACTTCTGTGTGCTAGGTCTTCATGCTGAGTGCTAAATGCTAAAAGAAACAAAGCTTAATAAACCACAGATCCATCCACCAAGGAACATACAGCCTGTTGAGGAAAGACAGACAAGTAAATAGGCAGTTACATTTGAGTTTGTTCATTCAACAACCACCTGAATGCAAACAATGAGCCTGGCACTGTAGTGACATACCAGTGAGTAAAACAGACCCGGTCTCTGCTTTTAAGGGGCTCACAAAGTAAAGAGGAATATAATGACTCGTAAAAATATAGAGGGTACTGTGGGAGTATGGAGGAAGGGCATCTAACTTTTAGGGGTAAGGTAAGTGAGAACACATGGTATTTGGTATTCTGGTTCCTGCACTAATTCGTTTACGATAATTGGCCTCCAGCTGCATCCATGTTGCTGCAAAGGACATGATTTCGTCGTTTTTTAGGGCTGTGACTATTTTTCCTGGAGGTTTTTATTCCCTTTCTTCTTCTTCTTAGTTGCTTTTTTGTTTTTGTTTTTGTTTTTTGTTTTTTTTTTTGAGACGAAGTCTGGTGTTTAGTTACTATATGCAATGACCTTGGAACGATAAGAGATGGTTGGAGAGTGGAGGCTTGAATTAAATTAGAGGAGGACCTGTAGTTACCAGTAATATTACAGTGTAAGGAATGCATATGAGAATGGATAATTGAGGTACCAGAGGGTACGAGATCCTTTGAAGGGAGGTCAAGGAATTGAGACACAGTAAGGATTTTGAAATGAACATCCACATAGTTATATATATCTGTTATACATACATACATACATATATACACATACCCCTCACAAAGAATTACCGCAAGAGTGATTCCACAATAGTGTTGTAGTAGTGAGTAGTTTTGGAGAGAGTGATAGTAGCCCTAGTACTAAAATCTTTAATCTATGAGTGAGGGGTTGAATTCTTCAAATTAGGCTGCACAGGGACATCAGTGGTTTAATATGTTAAACTCTTGCAAATATCACATTTCATTAAACAGATGCTTTTACGTTTTATGTTGCTAAAGTGAGATTTCTAATTGCTTCTCTCTGACCTCTCAAATTACGATGGTAACTGCCTTCTTTTACAGGAAATGCCCATCTGTCTGTATTAAACACCAGACACATGCCAGGTTTTCCAATTTAAATGACAGTGCTTTAAAACTTGTCATAGACTACTCTGTCCTACCTCCAACGTGTATTTCAAGTAGATACATCTACAGATGCTAGCTCTGCCACATCAAACAATGCACAGTGAATGTTCAAAATCTACATTAAAAACCTCGGTTATAAAGAGCTAGATACTCTGTTTTACATGATGTGATTATTACACATTGCATGCTTGTATCAGAACATCTCATATACCCCATAAATATATACATCTACTGTGTATGCACAAAAATTAAAATTATTATTATTTTTGAGATGGAGTCTTGCCCGGTCAACCAGACCAGAGTGCAGTGGTGCAGTCTCGGCTCACTGCAACTTCCGCCTCCCTGGTTCAAGCGATTCTCCTGCCTCAGCCTCCCGAGTAGCTGGGACTACAGGTGCCCACCACCACACCTGGCTAATTTTTTGTATTTTTAGTAGAGACAGGTTTCACCGTGTTAGCCAGGATGGTCTTGATCTCCCGACCTCGTGCTCTGCCTGCCTCGGCCTCCCAAAGTGCTGGGATTACAGGCATGAGCTATAGTACCCGGGCCAAAAATTAAAATTAAAAATTAAAAAATTAAAACTTCAGTTATAGCTTAAGTTAACAGTAAGTAGGGACTGGCTAAAGACCTGATAAATTGAAAATAAGATTACCTGTAGCTTGGGAAATGATGTACCATGTTATGTAAGATAGGGGCTTTGGGCTCAGACTGCTAGGGGTAGAATTATGAGGTTATTGTGAGGATAAGACACGTTACACACACACACACACACACACACACACACAACCATTCTAAAGACTGCAAGTACATATAAGCATTAAGTTAGGTATGGTTATTCTATTATCATACTTATTTCTAATTATTATGGAATTTCTTTAACTATACATGGACTTTTCCTACTTAGAAAATGTTCATTACATCTGTACACGTTAAGACCCAGTGGCAAGGGGACATCTGGTTAAGCATAGTGCATTGAACACACATTTGTCTCCACTTACTCCAGAGATCTCATTAAAATGACAGTAAAGGAATAAAAGAGATATAAATCTATAAAGAAAAAGCAAACAGGGAAAGAGATCCCAGCTGAATAAAATGCCAACAAAACTTAGAAGCATGGAAAGCAGATGGATGAGTGATCACTGACTTACCAAAGCCGCCAAAGTGACTACTTCAGCTTTTGGGAGAAGGCAGAACCAGCCAGAAGTGAGCCTATCCATGTCACAGCACCCTGGAAAGGCTCTAAAACTAGAGCTGCTTTCTCTCCGAAAGCAGAAGGAGAACAAGGCTGAAAAGGAGAATTCACTGTGAATGTTTTCTAAAGAGAATGATCCTGCCTCCCCTAGATTCCCTACTCCATTCCATGCTGCCCAAATTCACCGGAAGATAGATGGTTTACTTTCTGGAGAGGTTGACTCAGAGCTCTCCTAGGCACCAGGCAGAGCTGAAGACAGGGATGACTCACTACACAGAAAAGCAGAATTAAGTGAAGTTGTGCATATTAAATTATAAGGCAGACCCCTTTCCCCCAGCTTCATTCACAAATTCAGATCCTAGAATGCTGGGATCCTGTCAAGAGACTGGAAGCTTCTTAGGGGAAAACCAGCTGCTCCAAGAGAAGAGGTCTCCAAATATTGAGGTTTGGGGATCCCACGGTGAAGAGTGTGGCTTGTTGACTGTCTTTTACAGTCAGCCCAATAGTCAGTAATCCCTGATTGTTCCTACAGAGGCTCTCATCAACATCTTATTGCCTCATTCTTTTATTTGAAAAATTTTGGCTGGGCGCGCTAGCTAACACCTGTAATCCCAACAGTTTAGGAGGCTGAGGTGAGAGGATCACTTGAGCCCAGGAGTTCAAGACCAGCCTGGGCAACATAGTGAGATCCCATCTCTACAAATAAGAATTAAAAATTAGTTGGGCCTGGTGGTACACACCTGTAGTCCTAGCTACTTGGGAGGCTGAGGGTGGAGGATAATTTGAGCCAGGAGTTTGAGGCTGCAGTGAACTGTGATTGCACCACTGTACTCCAGTCTGGTTAACAGAGTGAGACCCTCTCTAAAAATAATACAAATTTAACAAGTTTTTCATAGATGGGGTATCTCTGTGTTGCACAGGCTGACCTCAAACTCCTGGCCTCAAATGATCCTCCTGCCTGTGTAAATTAGTTCAACCATTGTGGAGGACAATGTGGCAATTCCTCAAGGATCTAGAACTAGATATACCATTTGACCCAGCAATCCCATTATTGGGTATATACCCAGAGGATTATAAATCATGCTACTATAAAGACACACAAACATGTATGTTTATTGTGGCATTATTCACGATAGCAAAGACTTAGAATCAACCCAAATGTCTATCAGTGATAGACTGGATTAAGAAAATGTGGCACATATACACCATGGAATACTATGCAGCCATAAAAAGGATGAGTTCATGTCCTTTGCAGGGACATGAATGAAGTTGGAAACCATCATTCTCAGCAAACTATCACAAGGACAGAAAACCAAACACTGCACGTTCTCACTCATAGATGGGAATTGAACAATGAGAACATTTGGACACAGGGCGAGGAACATCACACACTGGCACCTGTGGGGAGGGATAGCATTCGGAGGTATACCTAATGTAAATGACGAGTTGATGGGTGCAGCAAACCAACATGGCACATGTATACCTATGTATCAAACCTGCACATTGTGCACATGTACCCTAAACTTAAAGTATAATAATAATAATAATAATAAAGATCCTCCTGCCTCAGCCTCCCAAGTAGCTGGGACTACAGGCATGAGCCATGATGCCCAGATATCACCTCATTCTTAAATGTGGTGAACAGTTGATGATCTCCATTTATTTGAAGAAACCTCCTTACATAAAAGACAGAATCTACAATGAACAAACAAGAAAAGAAAAAAAAGCTTTAGAGGCCAGTTGTGGTGTAATCCCTGCACTTTGGGAGGCCAAGGTGGGTGGGTCACCAGAGGTCAGGAGTTCGAGACCAGCCTGGCCAACATGGTGAAACCCCATCTCTACTAAAAATACAAAAAAGTAGCTGCGCGTGGTGGCACACACTTGTAATCCCAGCTACTTGGGAGGCTGAAGCCGGAGAATTGCTTGAACACAGGAGGCAGAGGTTGCAGTGAGCTGAGGTCATGCCACTACACTCCAGCCTGGGAAACGAGTGAAACTCCGTCTCTAAAAAGAAAAAAAAAAAAAGAAATTGGAGGAAATAAAAGCAGTACAGAAAGCCAGAAAACATGTCAAAATCAAGAAATTCTCAAAAATTTTAACTTCCATATACTCTTCTCACTCAGGAAACTGCTGGAAGGAGCACTCCATCCAAGTAAAGGCGTATATCAAGAAACAGAAAAACATGTGGCTGGGCACAGTGGCTCACACCTGTAATCTCAGAACTTTGGGAGGCTGAGGCAGGTGGATCACTTTAGGCCAGAAGTTTGAGACCAGCCTGGCCAATATGGTGAAACCTCATGTTTACCAAAAATACAAAAAAAAAAAAAAAATAGCCGATATGGTGGCACATGCCTGTAATCCCAACTACTTGAGAGGTGGAGGCAGGAGAATCACTTGAACCTGAGAGGCGGAGGCTGCAGTGAGCTGAGATTATGCCTCTGTACTCCAGCCTGGGTGACAGAGTGAGAGTCCGTCTCAAAAAAGAGAAAAAGAGAAACAGAAAAACATGGGATCTGGTAAACCAGAACTCCAACAAAGCAGAAAACAAAGAGAATTCTCTAGACAAGCTTTTCCAACCTGTGGTGTGTGGCCCAGGATGACTTTGAATGTGGCCCATCACAAATTTGTAAACTTTCTTAAAACATACTTTTTTGTGATTTTTTTTTAGCTCATCAGCTATTGTTAGTGTATTTTATTGTGGTCCAAGACAATTCTTCTTCCAGTGTGGCCCAGGAAAGCCAAAAGATTGGACACTCCTGCCCTAGATGAAGGTGATGGGAGGTTCCAGGAAGTCAGCTGTGTAGCAGGCCTGGAGAGCACACTAGAGGATGGAAGTGTCTAGAAGGGATGTCTCCAAGAAAAGAAAATGGAAATGATGGATTACCTAATATGTCTGAAACTTTTGAACAAAATTTCACAACTCTGGTGGAAAATACGGAGATGTAATGGTGATAGATATAGAGAAAACTAAGCAACCACCAGGTGTGGTGGCTCACATCTGTAATCCCAACATTTTGGGAACTGAGGCAGGGGGATGGCTTGAGCTCAGGAGTTTTGAGACCAGGCCAGGCAACATTGTGAGACTTTGTCTCTACCTTAAGAAAAAAAAAAAAATTAGCCAGGAGTACTGGTGCACATCTGTAGTCCCAGCTACTCAGGAGGCTGAGGTGGGAGCCTGGGAGATTGAGGCTGCAGTGGGCTATCATCGCGTCACTGCACTCCAGCCTTAGTGAAAGAATGAGATCCAGTCTCAGAAAAATGAGAGAGAGAGAGATAAAACTAAGCAACTTAAGAAAGAAGGAAGAGCCAGGCGCAGTGGCTCATGCCTGTAATCCCAGCACTTTGGGAGGCCGAGGCAGGCAGAGCACGAGGTCGGGAGATCAAGACCATCCTGGCTAACACGGTGAAACCTGTCTCTACTAAAAATACAAAAAATTAGCCAGGTGTGGTGGTGGGCACCTGTAGTCCCAGCTACTCGGGAGGCTGAGGCAGGAGAATCGCTTGAACCAGGGAGGCGGAAGTTGCAGTGAGCCGAGACTGCACCACTGCACTCTGGTCTGGTTGACCGGGCAAGACTCCATCTCAAAAATAATAATAATTTTAATTTTTGTGCATACACAGTAGATGTATATATTTATGGGGTATATGAGATGTTCTGATACAAGCATGCAATGTGTAATAATCACATCATGTAAAACAGAGTATCTAGCTCTTTATAACCGAGGTTTTTAATGTAGATTTTGAACATTCACTGTGCATTGTTTGATGTGGCAGAGCTAGCATCTGTAGATGTATCTACTTGAAATACACGTTGGAGGTAGGACAGAGTAGTCTATGACAAGTTTTAAAGCACTGTCATTTAAATTGGAAAACCTGGCATGTGTCTGGTGTTTAATACAGACAGATGGGCATTTCCTGTAAAAGAAGGCAGTTACCATCGTAATTTGAGAGGTCAGAGAGAAGCAATTAGAAATCTCACTTTAGCAACATAAAACGTAAAAGCATCTGTTTAATGAAATGTGATATTTGCAAGAGTTTAACATATTAAACCACTGATGTCCCTGTGCAGCCTAATTTGAAGAATTCAACCCCTCACTCATAGATTAAAGATTTTAGTACTAGGGCTACTATCACTCTCTCCAAAACTACTCACTACTACAACACTACTGTGGAATCACTCTTGCGGTAATTCTTTGTGAGGGGTATGTGTATATATGTATGTATGTATGTATAACAGATATATATAACTATGTGGATGTTCATTTCAAAATCCTTACTGTGTCTCAATTCCTTGACCTCCCTTCAAAGGATCTCGTACCCTCTGGTACCTCAATTATCCATTCTCATATGCATTCCTTACACTGTAATATTACTGGTAACTACAGGTCCTCCTCTAATTTAATTCAAGCCTCCACTCTCCAACCACCTCTTATCGTTCCAAGGTCATTGCATATAGTAACTAAACTTCAACAATTCTTCAACCTCATCAAAAACACCAATTCAGTCACTCTACCGTCTTTCCACCATTCTTCACTCCTCTCATAGCTTTACTTCTTACCACTTCTGAAATTATAAGGCCTCCTTTGCCTCTATCAACACCAACTCTGCCCTTATCTTCCCCTTATACTTGCCTGGTCAAATCTCAGTCCTGGTTACTGCCAAAACTGCCTACTCAGTGCCTGCACATGAGCAACTGAATATGGCTAGAGAAAATTGCATAACCAAGTGGCTAGCCTCACTATAAATTCATGACCACTTATTCAATGGGGCTCTTAGTAATGCCTGGAAACTTTACCATGTTCTTTAGTCAGTTCACTCTCCCTCACTCATAAACTCTGATTTCACCTCCCTTCTCTCTTTTTTTCTCAATACTTTCCGTTAAGGACTACATTACCTAGAGTAGGCTAAACTGCTATAAAAAATAGACTGCAAAATGTTATGGCTCCAACTCAATAGAAATATATCTTGCTCACATAATTGGGTGTCCAGGTCAGTGGGTAGCTCTCCTTCATCCAGGCACCTTCTTTCTTGTGGCTCTGCCAACCCCAGAGGTTTGTGGTCATCTGCATAATTGAATCAGAGTCACCGTGTCCAGGGTCCAGCTGGCAGAAAGGAAAATGCATGAAAGAGGCACAAGTACTCTCAAAGTAAACGCCTTGGCCTGACAGTGGCAGACATAACATCTGCTCACGTTCTATAACTTAATACTTGACCATATGCAACTGAAAGAGAGGCTGAGAAAAGCAGTCTGTGTTTTCAGGGAGAAAGGGAGACTAAATTGTGATGGACAATTAGCAGTCTGCCAAAATGATCTTGCTCCTCACTTTGCTGAGAAAATAGAAGCAACTGGAAGAGAACTACTTTCTCCCACTGTCCAATCTATCTACTTATCTCGACATGTCCCATACACGTGGGAACTGGGGAAGATGGGATGGATCCCTAGACTAAACTTGACCAGAAAGGGGATCTTTCTTCCCAGGCTTTCAATAAGAACAATGTGGTCTCAAAGACCCTACTACCTAATCACAAAGTGCAAACATACCTTCTTTCCTTGTGCTTTTCAACCTCTGTGGTTTTGGATATTGTTGAGCAACACTCCTTCCAGCCCTGTTTTTGTGAAACTCCAATTTACCTTGTCTTGATGATTCTGCGTTACCCTATTCTCCTCCCATTTTCTGCTCCATCCCCTTTCTTTGCTGGCTTGGCTCACCTAGATCAGAGCTTCTCAAACTTTTTGATGTGACACAAATCTCTTCGGGTTCTTGTTAAGTTGAAGATGCTGGTTCAGCAGGTCTGGGGTGGAGCCTGAGATTCTGAGTTTCTAACTAACATCCTCATGTCAGTGCTGCTGGGCCACTGACCACGTTTTGAGTAGCGAGACTCTAAAGAGGGTGTTTTCCAAGATTCTGACCTTTGTTTTCTTCTTTTATCTCACAGCAATATCACTCCTAGGCTGATTATTTATGAGTCTATTTTCTAGTTCAGTCCTCTTTCCCATATTACAAAACCTTTATTTCTAACTTATTAGTGTCCATGTCTCTCTGGCTGTCTTGACAACCCTTTGAATTCTTAAAATGTCCAAATCTAAACTGATCTCTCAAGAAGTAGCTCCCTCTCCTTTGTAATTGTCTCTTTTCTCTCTTGCAATTATCTACAAACTCAAAACCTCCACTTTCTTTGATTTCTCTCTTCCTACCCACAATTAATCAATCAGTTGCCAAATTCTATAGATACTGCATGCACATCATCTCTCAACTATGCTCTTTTAAATTCCCCTAGCTGTCCCTTTAGGTCAGACTCATCATTTTTACCTGGCCTACAGTAGATCTGTCCGTTTTTCCACCTCTGATTTCTGCTTCCCCTCACAGATAAATCACTAGCACAAAGAAAAAAAAAAACCTTCCTTTTCTTCCCCCAAACTTCTGAACCATAAAAACTCAAAATACTGAATTAAATATAAATTCATCCATTTGGTATCTTAGGCCCCATACTCCTTTGTCTTTTCTACCTCTCAACATACCCTGGAGTCTTTGCTCTTTCCCCAACACAACTTTCACTGATTCGCCTTCATATATATTCTCATGCTATCCCTGCTTGCTGTAAAACTCTCCCTGTCTCCTTCAAGGTCAATCCCAAATGCCTACTCCTTCATGCTGCCTTTCTTTCCTTATCCCCAAGACAGATATACACGGTTCTTTGATTCCCGGCAGTACTCTGCCACTTTTCACGTGGCACCTATCATGGTTTGTCTTTTATTGTCTGTTTTATCTTTGTTTTATTCCTTACTTCTTTGAAGGCAAAGGTATCTTCAACTCCCCTCTAACTCTGAAGCATCTTACCTGTGGGGCGTCTAATATTAGTTGAATCATGGGGATTTATGGAGATAATGTGATGCGCTGGTAAGCTAACAGAATTGGAAGCCAGTACAGCTGGGTGCCGGCTCTGCCGTTTATTAGCTGTGAGGTTTTGGGTAAGTCACTTAACTTCGCCTGTAAAATTAGTCCACTACGACCTGATGGAGAACCAAGGGAGATAACGTTAAAGCGCCCTGCAACTCTACAGGGAACTGAGCAATGTTAGTTATTTTCCTTACAGAGATCTGATGCACTCTTGCTACTGGAATCTTGACTTGCAGGACCATCCCTACTTCATTGCCTGGAGGTCGAACCCCAAGTTGCAGGGAACCCAAGCTACCAGGTCCCACTGCCCTTTTCCACTCCAGGGCCCTCTAACCGCTCTCCGCGTCGCAGGTGATCCTGCCTTGCTGCGGGGGAGTGGCCTAGAGTCTCACTCCCTCGGGAGGCCTCCCTCCTTCCACCCGCTTGAGGAGAGCCCTTCTCTTCCCTGTGACCCCGAAGACCGTGGCGCCGCCGCCTACGTGAGGCGTTTGGACCCTGCCCGGCCCCCGTAGCTCCCCTTCTCCAGCAGGTGGTTCTGGTCCTCTCCCCCAACTCGGGCGCTCACGTCACCGGCGAACCTCTAACCAGCGCCAGCGCCGCTACCAACCGCGAAAATAAACAAACCCCCGCGCTCGGCGGACGCGCCAGGCCCCGCCCCCGCCCCCGCCCCCGCCCCGAGGCTCTCACGCCGCCTCCTCCGCCCGGGCTTCCCTCCACCCTCCGCCCGCCCGCCTGCTCTCAGCCGCGCTCTCCCCGCCCCTCACCGCAGCCTGCAGCCGCGCTCACCTCCGCGGTCCGCCCCGGCGCCCCGGGACCCGTTAGTGCCCAGCCTGTGGGCCGACCGCGACCCCCGCCCGGCGCGAGCCTGCCCCCAGCTCTGCCGACACTTGACCCAGACCAGTCCCAACGCCCAGTGCGGCCGCCCGGGGAGCCGCGGGAGAGGCGGCGGCGGGGGGAGGAGGGAGAGGAGGGCCGAGCCGGCGGCACGGGAGGCCCGGTGAGTACGCGGAGGCGGGCCCGCCTCGCGGGTGTCCGCTCCGGCACCCCGGAGGCGTAGGCAGCGGCTCGACAGCGCTCCCCTCGGCGCCCCGGCCTCGGGTGGCGGGGACTCGGCCTGAGGCGACGGGCCCCACTGACCGGAGCCGCTGGGCAGAGGGCACGGGAGGGCCGCGGCCCGACGCTCGGCGCAAGGCTCGGGGCGGCGGGGAGGGACTCGCACCCGACTCCCAGGCCGGCGACCGCTGAGCCTCCCGAGACCCCGTGGGGGCCGCTCGAGTGACAGGTGCCACCGTCCCCTCCCCGCCGCTGGCGCCCGCGCTCCCTCCCGGGGAGCCGGGCGCTCGGAAATTTCTGGAGCAACGACCTGACTCGTTTTCTCCCTTTCAGGTTTTGAAGCCGCTTCTCTGCCCGAGTTAGGTTTCGCCCAGCGCAATTTCTTTCTCTATGTACTTTGCGAATAAGTTTCGGAGCATCGGTTAACAGCCTATGGGTGAAATTTGGCTTTCATTCATGAATGAGGTATAGTGAATTACTTTTTGAATATAGTGCTCCTCCTCCTCCCCCGCCAGCTATTGAAAAGTGATTTTTTTTTCTGTTATTGTTTGGAACAGCCTTACCGAATTTTTGTCAGATCTCTAGCATTAAGGTGCTTCATAAATATTGAACAGTAACGACAAAAATAGTTTATCAAATTGGCTGATTGCCTTTTCTCTTCCTCCTCTTTTTCACTCTTTACCTTCGCCAGATTTTTCAGAGTAGATGCAAGTGCTTTCATTAGAAGAACTAATGAAAGATCGTCTGTCTTACACTAAAAAGCCGGAGACACTTTTCTTCACCATTTAGCATTGTCTGTTGTGTAGTAAATGTGCTTGGGATTGTAACTGGAATCATTTAATAAATGTGACTTGTAGCTATAAAAATATTTGAGAAGCTTTTTGGCAAATTAAAATATTAAAAATCTTCATAGAAGTCTAGATTTCTTTTCTCAACAGATTTATAACACTATAGTAGCTTCAATTCTGGAGTAAGAGCAAAACCCAGAAGTTGACCAAAAGAACCTTGTGTGAAAATAGATGTATTTTACTCGTGGGAGAATCCCTCAGGTCCTCACTGAGTACCTGCTTGTATTTTTTGTTTAACTTTCTTGGCCTGCAGAAAGTGGGAGCTGCAGATTGGAGAGGGATCTCAGTACTTAACTATGAGAAAAAAATGGAGTTTGGGGCATACCCATTGGGTTTACATCACTTACAGTAAGTGTGTTTGGAGCAGAGTTTTAGTATGCACTTCACACTTGCTGATTGTGAACCCTATTTTTTTTTTTTCTTGAGGCGGAATTTTGCTCTTGTTGCCCAGGCTGGAGTGTAATGGCGCGATCTCGGCTCACAGCACCTTCTGCCTTCCAGGTTCAAGCAGCTCTCCTGCCTCAGCCTCCTGAGTAGCTGGGATTACAGGCGCCTGGCTAATTTTTTTTTTTTTTTTTTTTGTATTTTTAATACAGACGGTGTTTCGCCTTGTTGGCCAGGCTGGTCTGGAACTCCTGACCTCGTGATCTGCCCACCTCTGCCTCCCAAAGTGCTGGGATTACAAGTGTGAGCCACCACACCTGGCCTGTGAACCCTAATTTTTAAGAAGCCAAAGTGAAAGATACTGTTTGGTTATCTGAAGAACAGAACATGAAATAACACAATTTTTTATTTCACCAGGTGTTAAATCAGTGATACTTGGTGCCATTTCATATTACGCTCAGTTAATTTCGATCTAAGTTATATTTCAGTGAGGCCACACTAATTGGCATCTACATTAATACCTTTTTTTGGTCAGGCTAATTGGTAGTGTTAATAGAAGATGGCTATCATTCATCTCATAAAAAGTAATATATTTGGTTGTTCTTGATTTAAGGATTTTATATGTATAATTGTGTGTGTGTGTGTGTGTGTGTGTTTTCTGAAGTTCCCTAATTGTGGTCTTCTGGACTGAGATATGGCTGCTGCTGTCTTGATTCTAGTGAGGTCATAGTGTAGAGGGATAAGGTCATAATGGCAATGTGCCTCCAAACCTTGATAGAGGCCAAGACTACCAGCCACTTAGGAATTCTTCTGCTTGGGTCGGGCTTGGTGGTGCATGCCTGTAATCCCAGCCCTTTGGGAGGCCGAGGCTGGAGGATTGCTTGAGCTCAGGAGTTTGAGATCAGCCTGGGCAACATAGTGAGACCCCATGTATACACAAAGAGAAAAAAAAAATTCTCCTGCTTGTAGCTTAGGCTATTCATTTTTAGAAGCAGTTTACTTAAGCAGCCAATGCATCCTAGTTCTCTTAAATTAACACTTTAGTTTTTCATTTTTTTGAGACAGTCTCTCGCTCTGTTGCCAGGCTGGAATGTGGTGGCGCAGTCTTGGCTCACTGCAACCTCTACCTCCCTGGTTCAAGCGATTCTCCTGCCTCAGCCTCCCGAGTAGCTGGGACTACAGGCGTGCGCCACCATGCCCAGCTAGTTTTTGTATTTTTAGTAGAGATGGGGTTTCACTACGTTGGCCAGGATGGTCTCGATCTCTTGACCTTGTGATCCACCCGCCTTGGCCTCCCAAAGTGCTGGGATTACAGGCGTGAGCCACCATGCCCGGCTGGCTTAAATCAACACTTTAAAACCAGATATGCTTCCTAGACAAAATTGGTTGTGGCAATTAGTTTGTTAGAATAGTACTTACCGTAATGAAACAACTTTGAACTGCTAATAATTGCTCATGCACATCTGCGTTATGGGAATTGAGGATTGTCTATTGTGCACTTCACATATTTCTTTTTCTACTTGTAGAGCACATTTTTCACTGCATAGACAGCTGTGTACTTGAAGAATGTAAACATGAAGAAAACACTAAGTTCAATAAATGTGTCTTCTATGTGCCAGATCCTGTGGTATTTGTAAGGGATAGAAACTCTTGTCTTTCAGGATCTTGAAATCAGGATCATAGGGGCTAGGCACAACAATAAAGAGAATTTTTTTGGAGTCCATTCAATAATAGTAAGTTTAAAGTATGGAAATATTACAGAGGAGGGAATGTTTAACTTCAGGAACAGGTCAGAGAACGCTTCATAGATATGCTAGCACCTGAGCAGGATTTTGAGGAATAAATGGAAGTTTTCAGTGGAAGAGATAGATGGCATTGTAGACAAAAGAGAACAGCATAGTTAAAGATATGAACAAGTAAACTAATTGTGTGTTCAAGAAATTTCAAGTTGTTTTTTCTTGGAGTACATGCAAAATCTGAAGAAAGAGGGTTGCTAGAGAAAGCCCTAACGCATGCTATTACATTTAATAAGTCAAATAATTGGCTTTTTGGGTATGAAGTATATGTAAAATAAAGACTTTGTTATATTTTTGACATTGCTGCCATCTTTTTTTTTTCTTTTTCTTCTTTGACAAAGGGTCTCAGGCTGTAACCCAAGGTGTAGTGCAGTGGCACAATCACTGCTCACTACAGCCTCGACCCCCAGGCTCAGGTGATCCTACCACCTTAGCCTCCCAAGTAGCTGGGACCACAGTCATGCACCACTATGCCTGCTAACTGTTGTACATTTTGTAGAGAAGGGGTTTTGCCATGTTTCCCTAGCTGATCTTGAACTCCTGGGCTCAAGCAATCTGCCCACCTCAGCCCTTCCAAAGTACCAGGATTACAGGTGTGAACCACCATGTGTGGCCTGCTGCCATCTTAAGTATAAATTAATAGTTTGTACTAGTGGTAGTCATTACATTATGGAAGATAGTAGAAGATATATTTATTTATGGTGAACTGCCTGCATATTGAGAATGTGTGTTTATTTCACATTTTGCCCTGAAACATTTCTGTTTTTAAAATTATCGTGTGAATTTATTTTGTCTTCCTTCAACTATACATTATCCTTGAAATTAGTTTTATCATTTATTTTATGAGATACGGTTTTGCTATGTTGCCTGGGCTGGTCCCAAACTCCTGGACTTAAGTGATCTCCTGCTTCAGTCTCCCAAGTTGCTGAAATTACAGGTGTGCACCACTGAGCCCAGATATCCTTGAAATTATTTTTAAAAGGAACTCAAAGGGAGGAGGGGAAAAATATAAATAAAATAATCATTAGATTTCTGCACCAAAAACCTGATTTGTGTAGTAGTTTAATAATATGTAAATGTTTAATATACAGTATTAGCCACCATATTCATAGACTAATTTAAGTAACTTAATTGGCAGTCCATTGTATTTTCATTTGCATTGTATGGCTTAATTATATTATGTGTATATAAATGTCTAAGCATAGAAGCATCTAAATTTTAAAGACCAAGTGTATTTGAAGGAGAAAAAGTATAGAGAGGGAGGGAGAAGAGCTGTGTTTGAATCTATTTATCCTAACATCTCTTAGATGTGACTGTATGTGGAGATGCAGAAGTTTAGGACACAAGACTGAAGGAATACTAACCCTAGCCATGACCTGAAATATAGTATCTTTTAAAAGCCTAATGTTTTCCTAGTCTCCCTATTTGTTTCTTCTTATCAAGATTAAAAAAAAAGTTACAGAGGAATTCCTGGATTGCATAACATGACTATCTTTTTGAAAATTCTGAAAAATTAGTTAACGAGGGTAGTGTTCTCTTAAAAGTATGCAACATATTAGTCTTCGATAGTTGCTCTCTGTCGTTTGACTTGTCTGTCACTGATGTGAATGGCCAAAGGCGTCTCATTGTCAATTCTGACCTGTAGTTGCCCTTTCTAAATTTTGACACAGGGCAAAAAAATCAATATTGTATTGATTACATTATGCTTAACTTTTTCAACTTGAGTATAGATAACCATTTTTTCTTTTTGAGGTTGTTTTTCTTTTTTTTTTTTAGAACTAATATCATTGTAGAGCCGGGCATGGTGGCTCATTCCTGTAATCCCAGCACTTTGGGAGGCTGAGGTAGGAGGATTGCTTGAGCCTAGGGGTTCAAGACCAGCCTGGGCAACATGGCAAAACCCTGTCTCTGCAAAAAATTAGCCAGGCATGGTGTCACGTGCCTGTAGTCCCAGCTACTCTGGAGGCCGAGGTGGGAGAATCACCTGAGACCAGGAAGTTGAGGCTGCAGTGAGCCGTGATCACACCACTGCTCCAGCCTTGGTGTGTGAGTAAGACCCTGTCTAAAAAAAAATATATATATATATACGTGTATATATATAC
Organism: Homo sapiens; assembly: GCF_000001405.40. NCBI lineage: Eukaryota > Metazoa > Chordata > Mammalia > Primates > Hominidae > Homo > Homo sapiens. Next base: position 83,812,330 of record NC_000009.12, on the reverse strand, counting down.
GTGTGTATATATACATATATATGTATACGTATATATATACGTATATATGTGTATATATATGTGTATATATACGTATACATATATACGTATATATGTATACATGTGTGTGTGTATGTATGTATGTGTATATATATGTGTATATATATATTTATATAGTCATTGTAGAATATTTGGGGAAATAGTAAAAACCATAGAAAGGAAAATAAGCATAGTGAGTAATCCCATGCATTTCTTTCTTCATTTTGGTATGTGTATGAATAATAGACATATTTACAAATTGGGGATTATTTTCATGTTAAGTTTTATTCCCTTCTTTCATTTAAAATTACATTTCCTTCTCTTCTACTTCTGAAGTACTGGTCGTTGTACCTTTTGACATAGTATGTAGATTTCTGTCAAGGCTGTTGCAGTAGATGATGTGTTGATATGTTGGCTATTTTTTTTTTTAAGTATAGCATAGCACAGATGATTGAACTCTTCCAGTTGTTTCATCTCCTATCCCCTTAGCTGCAGATTAAGTAGTGCTATTTTTTGTCTTTAATATTTACTGTTATGTAAAGTCTAATATAATGGGAAGTGGCTGCCACTGTCTTACTCTTTTTGCACTTTACCCTGATCAAACAAGAGGTCATTAAAGGGGCATTTCCCCCTTTCCATTTTAGCTTTTCAGAAGTAACCTTCTGACAGAAGTACCCTTTCAGACATGTTAACACATAGGTTGCTGATGTGACATAGCACAGGTAGCTGCTTTACCAGAAAAATAATTTTGTCTTTTGAGTGTTTGTCATTGGTTCTTTTCTTGATTAACAGTATTTGTCATAATACTTTCTGTTTGCTTTGTGTTTGTTTTGTTACTTCTTTTCATTCATTCAAGAAACGTTTAATATCTATTGTATGCCCACTATTTAAGATATAGTCTCAACTGTGACTCTTGGGTTTCTGGTAGATAGGTATTTTCCTTCCGTAGTATGTTATGTGTAATCTTTAGGTCTTTGACTCTTTTCAGTGGCTGACCACTCACCTACTACTCAATGCCTAAAAACTTTTTTATTTCAAAGATTAAAGCCTTAGCTTGTATAGGGGCCAGATGTTGATAAAGTTTCAAAACACTTTTCAATGGAGTTAGGCATGCTTAGTCAAATTTTTAGATAGTTTGTACCAATTCTCCTATGCCTCATAGCGCCTCATGGCACATTTCAGTCTAATAAGAATAGTAAGAACACCCATAAATGCTTATATAGTCATGTGCTGCAATAACTATGTTTTGTTTTGGTCAATGATGGACATATATAAAGTGGTATTTTTATTGTACCTTTTCTTTAGATATACAAATACTTACCATTGTGTTACAGTTGCCTCCAGTACAGTCACAGGCTGTACAGATTTGTAGCCTAGAAGCAATAGGCCATACCATGTAGCCTAGGTGGATAGTAGGCTGTACCAGTTAGGCTTGTGTAAGTAAACTGTGTGATACTCATACAATGATGAAATCACCTAATGATGCATTTCTCACAACGTATCCCCATCATTAAGTGATGCTTGAGTGTATTGAATGCTTCTGGCTACTGTTCTAAGTACTTTATGTATATTAACTTATTCAGTCTTTACAACAACTCAAGAGAGATCAAGTAGGTTGCTCAAGTACTTACGTTAAGTAGTAAGTTGGGTGTGATGGGCATTCTGGCTCCAGGTCAGTGGTCTTGTGCTGGTGCTCCCTGCCATTTGCCTTTTGCATTACTGACATAAAGAACCAGAGGCATCTCATTCTCCCAAAACTGGAAAGAGATTTAAAGGTGTCTGTACTGAACTAGATGGAAAAAAATGTGAAAAACGTTTTTGTTATAGTATAGGATAAGTAAAACATAATATAAATTTATAGGAAAGATACTAAATGTTGAATTTCTATAAAACTTCAGACTCTTTTCAGGGTTTCTAATGAGAGAATTGTACTTGCTTCTGTGAACATTAACTTTTCATTTTAAAATCAGTTTATCCATGAAATAAGAATATTCAGTTCCTGATCTAGACTTTTAAATAATGATTTCTTAGAATTGAGTACCCATTAAAATTTCATTTGTATGAGTAGGTAATAAAAACAAACAATTTTTATCTAAGCATTCAATAATTTACAACAGTTGGAATTATTTTTAAATAATCTAACAGCTCTTTTCATCAAAAATGTAATAGAAAATTTCTTGCGATAAAAATGAAAGGATTTGGGGCAGTTGCGGTGGCTCATGCCTGTAATCCCAGCACTTTGGGAGGCTAAGGCGGTAGGATCACTTGAGCCCAGGAGTTGGAGACCAGCTTAGGCAACATAGGGAGACCCCCATCTCTATAAAAAAAATAGAAAAAATTAGCCAGGCATGGTGGCACACACTTTTAGTCCCAGCTACTCAGGAGGCTGATCTGGGAGAATCATTTTAGCCCAGGAAGTCGAGGCTGCAGTGAGCCATAATCATGTTACTGCAATCCAGCCTGGGCGACAGAGCGAGACCCTGTCTCAAAAATAAACAAATGAATAAATAAGCAAATGACAGGATTTCAAATTCAATTGACCTTTCTAATTTCAAGTGTTTAATGACAAAGCTCTAGGTGACAGAAAGCATATGCATTGTTTGAGCAGTCACCTTGCAGCTAGATTTGATGCTGCTGAAAATGCATGTCACTGGCAAATGGGTAAAAATATAATCAATATAGAGATTTAAGGCTGTTGCTTTAAGGAAACCTTGCTCACTAGATTTTGGGCTCCCCCATTCTTGACTTGCTGCTTATTCTACTGTGTGCCTTGCTGTTTAGGCACCTTGAACATAATCTTCCAACAGTTTCACAAGCCTGTCTATGATAATGGGTAGCAGTGCATTCTGCAGTTGTCTGATGAGGTAGATTACTAGGACTTGGAGCACTTCCCTTTTCATAGTTGACATAACTCCAGAGCAGCATGTGCAGGAGCTACCCACTGAGGAGCACCGGATGAGGTTTCTTGTATCTGGAAGTGACTGGAACAGAGGCTTTTACTTTTTCAGGGGTTTCCTGGCTACCCCAAGGCCTAAGGGAAACTTTATCTAAGGATACCCTGGTAAGATAGCTCTGCCTTATGCTACAGAAAGAAAATTTCTATGAGCCTTGGAGAGATGTTTCAGAATAGACATTTATGAACATTTAATGCATGCAAATAATCCATATATGAAATTCACAGTTTTCATATCAGTCCTAGAATGGGAAGAAATTTTTTTGTGTAAGGTGTAAGTCTTGATAAGGCTTCAGTAGCAATCTGAAAATCTCAGCAGCTGAAAGCAGCAAAGTTGCTTTCTTGCTCAAGCTACCATGTCCACCACAGGTTAGTAAGGGGGCTTTGTTCATTGTGGTTGCAGACTTTATTAGATCTGGCTGATAGAAATTCCATCTCACTATATGCTTCTGCAATCGCAGAAGCAGGGAAAAGAGAACATGTTGAACCACACACTGACTTGTAAAGCTTTTTAAAGTTTATATTTCGCTGGCCAAAGTAAGTTACCTGGTTATGCCTGCCTTCAACAGAGAAGTGATGTATAGTATCATTCCCCTTCAGGGAGAGACAGTGAATATTTGTGAACAGTAATACAGCTGCCACTTGCAATTAATAGTCCCAACATTTAAAATTGAATATTAATGATAGTTGAACAACTATGTAGGATAATTGTACCTTGAGTGCTCAAGAAAGTAAAATTTTATATAGGATTATTATTTTTTTTTGAGAGAGAGTCTGACTCCGTTGCTCAGGCTGGAGTCAGTCGTGCAACCTCGGTTTGCTGCAATCTCTACTTCCTGGATTCAAGAGATTCTCATGCCTCAGCCTCTGGAGTAGCTGGGATTACAGGCATGCATCACTATGCCCGGCTAATTTTTTGTATTTTTAGTAGAGACAGGGTCTCACTATGTTGCCCAGGCTGGTTTCGAACTCCTGGCCTCCAGTGACCTGCCCACCTCGGCCTCCCAAAGTACTGGGATTACAGGTGTGAGCCACTGCACCCGGCCTATAAGGTTATTTTAATAAGATATGTTGAGGTTGAAGCAGAATTCATCTTTTCCATAATATTTCTGGAATTTCTTTTCCATTTTGAAACATTTTCTTGTTTGTAGTAACTTATGAAGCATTCGTTCTCATGCTTGTAGAAAAGATTGGAGCCAAAAATCTGTCACGGTTTATCAATGTGGTATCATCTCTGTACATTGTGATATTTTATCTTGATTTGCATATTTCTAGCAATTTGTCTTAACATGATACTGTAATAAAATGCTATGACTTAATGACGACTAGATGGCATCTTCAGACATCAGTTCTTACTGTGATTTTTCTTCATTGTATACCAAAAACTTGAAAGATTTCCAAATATTTTTCTGGTTACTTAAGGTGGAAGATTGAATACATACTTCTCATTTTTCTTCCCTCCTGAAAACATACAAACGATAATGTGTGGTTAGCTTTCAGAATGGATCTTAATGATCCTTACTTCTTAGTATTCACCTTTACATAGCCCTTTCCTGCAATGAATAGGGTGGACCTGTGTGATAATGTGAATATAGTAAGAAATATATATGTAACCAGTGGGATATTGTGGAAATGACAGCAGTTCATTCAAATATGATCACTGTGAATCAAGGCATAGAATAGAACTATAAAGAAAAGCAAAGGAGTAAGTTATACAAAAATCAGGATACTTGTTATCTCTGGCTGGTGCAGTGGGGGAATGCAATTGGAGAGAAGCATAGGAGTCAGTTAACGTTTTGTTAACCTTTGTGCTGGCTACTTGGAGTGTTCATCTTAATTTTTTCAAATTGAATATTCAGTTTTTACCTGAAACATTTCAAAATACAAATTTCTGAGTTGCCATTCTGTTAAGACAATCTTTGTCTTTTTTAATTAGAAGAGCACTTAGTCTTCTGGTTGTTACAGGGCTTCTTAATTTGGACTTTCAGAATAAGGTTCAACAAATCTAGGTCCAGGTGGAGACTCAGCCGCTAACTTCCAGAAAGAACTAAGGGAAGTCACATAACCAACTTAAACTCCACTTACCTTAGCTGTATAACTAAAGGATTTGGATTAGGAACTACTAGGGGACTTTTAAGATCCCTTCTAAGTCTAAACGGTTGTGGAAAAGCTGACAGCACATGGAATGAAGCTACACTGACCTATGCTTGCATGGAAACTAGTGAACTAAACATAATGTGGAAGGCATTTTGAAAAGTTTCCTTTGGTTGAGAGAATTTAAGCTCTTTATTTTTGCTGTCAGTTCTAAATCACAGTCTCTAGAATCAAACCTATGGTAGTATTTTATATATGATAAGAGTGGTATTCCGTCTTTACTCCTTTTTTTCTTGTATTGGAAGTTGGGAGTTAACATGTAGTTGGACTAAAGGTCTTTTTTTTGTGTATCATGAAAAAATGATATTCTTTTCCACTGTAAACCATATTGATTTAGGATGTTCTCTATAACTATGTATATATTTCAGAATGATTGAGAGAGGAAGACTGTGAATTTTTAAAGTATACATGGAAAAATGAGTACATTATATCTGTGAAATCTCATATTTTTCTATTGTAAAATGTTATATCGTTTACTTAAATATAAAAGTATGTTATTGCTAATAGTGCTGTGGGTATTAATCCAAATTTACTAAATCCAGTGTCAGAAGAAATTTATTTTATCTACATATGGTTGTTTTAGAATCTACAACAGATTTTACTCTGTTTGTTTACCCATCTGCCTACTCTTCTGCCTCCCCACAGAAATTATTCTTGACAGAAGTATTTTAAAAGAAAAATCTTTACGATGGCCTCAGCAGTACTTAGTTCTGTTCCCACCACCGCTTCTCGTTTTGCCCTGTTACAAGTGGATAGTGGCAGTGGCTCTGATTCTGAACCTGGAAAAGGTAAAGGTCGAAATACTGGAAAGTCTCAAACTTTAGGAAGCAAGTCAACTACAAATGAGAAAAAAAGAGAGAAAAGAAGAAAAAAGAAGGAACAGCAACAGAGTGAAGCAAATGAGGTAACACAATTATCTGTGTTGTCTGCTTTCCCAGTAGATGGTAATCATCCTGAGAACAGATACTATCTTGTTCCCCTGTGTATCCATAGTACCTGTTCCACAGGTACTCTGAAAATATTACTTCAATGAATGGATGTGAATTTGTGTATATTTAAAATCAAATGTAATGATCTTTTTTTTTTTTTGAGACAGGGTCTCACTCTGTCACCTAGGCTGGAGTGCAGTGGGATGATCACAGTTCACTGTAGCCTCAACCTCCTAGGCTCAAGGTAGCCTCACACCTTAGCCTCCCAAGTAGCTGGGACCACAGGCACACACTGCCATGCCTGGCTAATTTTTGCGTTTTTTGTAGAGATGGAGTTTTGCCATGTTGCATAGGCTGGTCTTGAACACCTGGGCTCAAGCAATCTGCTTGCCTCAGCCTCCCAAAGGGTTGGGATTACAGGCGTGAGCCACCACACCCTGCCTGAACATTTTTAAAGTACGTTTTTTCTGACTGGAAGTTTGTGTGTTCATTGCATAAAGTTTAAAATAGGAAAGTCTTAAAAGGAAACAGGTCATTTATAGATATAACCAGAGATATAACCAATTAATATTTTGGTATGTGTTTTCTGTACACATATATAAATTTATATGAATATATACATGTATGTATATATCCTTCTAATACTTAAATGAAAATGGGGTTATATAATAGACTGTTTTATAACTGGCTTTTAAAAAAAATTAACCATGAGCAGTTTTCCATATTGGTAAATACAGATCTCTGTTATTTTAAATGAATCCACAGTTTACAATATTTAATTACATGGTTTTTTTTTTATTTTTTATTTTTTTTATTGATCATTCTTGGGTGTTTCTCGCAGAGGGGGATTTGGCAGGGTCATAGGACAATAGTGGAGGGAAGGTCGGCAGATAAACAAGTGAACAAAGGTTTCTGGTTTTCCTAGGCAGAGGACCCTGCGGCCTTCCGCAGTGTTTGTGTCCCTGGGTACTTGAGATTAGGGAGTGGTGATGATTCTTAACGAGCATGCTGCCTTCAAGCATCTGTTTAACAAAGCACATCTTGCACCGCCCTTAATCCATTTAACCCTGAGTGGACACAGCACGTTTCAGAGAGCACAGGGTTGGGGGTAAGGTCACCGATCAACAGGATCCCAAGGCAGAAGAATTTATCTTAGTACAGAACAAAATGAAAAGTCTCCCATGTCTACTTCTTTCTACACAGACACGGCAACCATCCGATTTCTCAATCTTTTCCCCACCTTTCCCCCCCTTCTATTCCACAAAACTGCCATTGTCATCCCGGCCCGTTCTCAATGAGCTGTTGGGTACACCTCCCAGATGGGGTGGTGGCCGGGCAGAGGGGCTCCTCACTTCCCAGTAGGGGCGGCCGGGCAGAGGCGCCCCTCACCTCCCGGACGGGGCGGCTGGCCGGGCGGGGGGCTGACCCCCCACCTCCCTCCCGGACGGGGCGGCTGACCAGGCAGAGGGGCTCCTCACTTCCCAGTAGGGGCGGCCGGGCAGAGGCGCCCCTCACCTCCCGGACGGGGTGGCTGGCCCGGCGGGGGGCTGACCCCACCTCCCTCCCGTACGGGGCGGCTGGCCGGGCGGGGGGCTGGACCCCCCCACCTCCCTCCCGGACGGGGCGGCTGGCCAGGCGGGGGGCTGACCCCCCCCACCTCCCTCCTGGATGGGGCGGCTGGCCGGGCCGGGGGCTGACCCCCCCACCTCCCTCCCGGACGGGGCGTCTGGCTGGGCGGGGGGCTGACCCCCCCACCTCCCTCCCGGACGGGGCGGCTGGCCGAGCAGAGGGGCTCCTCACTTCCCAGTAGGGGTGGCCGGGCAGAGGCGCCCCTCACCTCCCGGACGGGGTGGCTGGCCGGGCGGGGGGCTGACCCCCCCCACCTCCCTCCCGGACGGGGCGGCTGGCCGGGCGGGGGGCTGACCCCCCCACCTCCCTCCCGGATGGGGCGGCTGGCCGGGCGGGGTGCTGACCCCCCCACCTCCCTCCCAGATGGGGCGGCTGGCCGGGCGGGGGGCTGAGCCCCCCACCTCCCTCCCGGACGGGGTGGCTGGCCCGGCAGAGGGGCTCCTCACTTCCCAGTAGGGGCGGCTGGGCAGAGGCGCCCCTCACCTCCCAGACGGGGCGGCTGGCCGTGCGGGGGGCTGACCCCCCTACCTCCCTCCCGGACGGGGCGGCTGCCGGGCGGAGACGCTCCTCACTTCCCAGACGGGGTGGCTGCCGGGCAGAGGGGCTCCTTACTTCTCAGACGGGGCGGATGCTGGGCGGAGGGTCTCCTCACTTCTCAGACGGGGCGGCTGGGCAGAGACGCTCCTCACCTCCCAGACGGGGTCGCGGCCGGGCAGAGGCGCTCCTCACATCCCAGACGGGGCGGCGGGGCAGAGGCGCTCCCCACATCTCAGACGATGGGCGGCCGGGCAGAAACGCTCCTCACTTCCCAGATGGGATGGCTGCCGGGAAGAGGCGCTCCTCACTTCCTAGATGGGATGGCGGCCGGGCAGAGACGCTCCTCACTTTCCAGACTGGGCAGCCAGGCAGAGGGGCTCCTCACGTCCCAGACGATGGGCTGCCAGGCAGAGACGCTCCTCACTTCCCAGACGGGGTGGCGGCCGGGCAGAGGCTGCAATCTTGGCACTTTGGGAGGCCAAGGCAGGCGGCTGGGAGATGGAGGTTGTAGCGAGCTGAGATCACGCCACTGCACTCCAGCCTGGGCACCATTGAGCACTGAGTGAACCACACTCCGTCTGCAATCCCGGCACCTCGGGAGGCCGAGGCTGGTGGATCACTCGCGGCTAGGAGCTGGAGACCAGCCCGGCCAACACAGCGAAACCCCGTCTCCACCAAAAAAGTACGAAAACCAGTCAGGCGTGGTGGCACACGCCTGCAATCGCAGGCACTCGGCAGGCTGAGGCAGGAGAATCAGGCAGGGAGGTTGCAGTGAGCCGAGATGGCAGCAGTACAGTCCAGCTTCGGCTCGGCATCAGAGGGAGACCGTGGAAAGAGAGGGAGAGGGAGACCGAGAGGGAGAGGGGAGAGGGGAGAGGGGAGAGGGAGCTACATGGTTATTTCATACTTTATTTAATTGAACTCATGATAAGCATTTGGGTTGTTTCCTATTTTTTACTGTTATAGGCAAAAATCATATGACTAGTTGTTTTTGTTTTTTTGAGACGGGGTCTCACTCTTGTTACCCAGATTGGAATGCAGTAGTATGATCTCGGCTCACTACAACCTCTGCCTCCCAGGCTCAAGTGATCCTCCCACCTCAGCCTCCCAAGCAACTGGGACCACAGGCACACACCACTACGCCAGGCTAATTTTTTGTATTTTTGGTAGAGACAGGGTTTCATCATGTTGCTCAAGTGATCCACCCCACCTTGGCCTCCCAAAGTGCTGGGATTATAGGTGTGAGCCACCATGCTGGCCTCTTTTATTTTTTTTTTTTAAAGAGAAGACAGAATCTCTCTCTCTTGTCCAGGCTGGAGTTCAGTGGCATGATATAGCTCACTGTAGCCTCAAACTCCTGGGTTCAAGCAGTCCTGTTGCCTCAGCCTCCCAAGTAGCTAGGACTACAGGCAAGCACCACCACACCCAGCTAATTTTGTTTTTTTGTAGAGACAGGGTCACAGTACATTGCCCAGGCTGTTCTCAAACTCCTGGCCTCAAGCAGTCCACCTGCCTCAGCTTCCCAAAATGCTGAGATTACAGGTGTGCAACACTATTCCTGACCCTCTGTAACTTGCATTGAATGTACATTTTTATGCATTCGATGGTCTTTTTTTTTTTTTTTTTTCTGAGATGGAGTCTTCCTCTGTTGCCCGAGCTGGGTTTTAGTGCCGTGATCTCAGCTCACTGCAACCTCCTCTGCTTCCCAGGTTCAAGCAGTTCTTCTGCCTCAGCCTCTCGAGTAGCTGGGACTACAGGCACGTGCCACCACACCTGGCTAATTTTTATATTTTTAGTAGAGATGGGGTTTCACAATATTGGCCAGGCTGGTCTGGAACTCCTGACCTCGTGATCCGCCTGCCTCGGCCTCCCAAAGTACTGGGATTGCAGGTGTGAGCCACTGCGCCTGGCCCATTTCTTTTCTTTAGAGTAAAAACTGTATGGAAGGCCCTTTTTTCCTAGACATCCTTAGCTTTACTTAAATGCCCAACATTTAATATGCCCATTGTTTTTAAAAGAAATTCTGAGCTACAACTCTAGTATGTGTTTTGTTTAATAGAAGGAGCCGTTGGGTATATAAGGACCTTTCTTTTTATTATTTAATGAAAGAATAGTGTTTTATTCTCATAGTAATGTCCCAAGACTTAGAAAAAAGCCTTTTCAGTTTATTTTTTCTATTACATTTCCATCTCCATTGCTTTCTGAATATTCTTTAAAATGCTATCCACACAGTAACTTTAAAGGAAAGATACTTTCCTCACTGGATGATAACCTTTCAGAAGTCAGATCTTTCAGAACTTTTGATTGCCCACTATTTTCTTTTAGGAATTAAGATGATTTGGGGGAAACAGAAAATAAGGCAATAATGGAGTTTATATTAGAGAATAAGAAAATATAAAACAGAATGAGTGTGAAGGATCCACCCTTTCCACTTCAGCCATTTGCAGTTCTATAAGCCTTTACTTTCTGTAAAGCAAACAGTAGCTGACCTACCAGTGCTTCATTTCCAGCAGCATCTCCTTCTGAATGTCCTTTCCAAATCAGAAACCAGCTACTTACAGTGGTGTTTCTATCTTACTCCCTTTTGCAGAACAATGTATTTGGTAAAAACCACAATTACTTTGCACCAACCTAATATTAACAGTTAAAATTGTTGATCCTCAGTTGAAATCCTCTTTATTAGTTTCTCAGGGCTGCCTTAAAAAAAAAAAAAACACAAACTTGGTGGCTTAAAACAACGGAAATTTATTTTTTCACAGTTCTGGAGTCTAGTAGAGGTTCAAATCCACAGATCAAAAGGGCCATTCCTTCTCTGAGACTCTGAGTAGAATCTTTCCATGCCTCTTCTAGCTTCTGGGTGGCAGCTGTCAATCCATGGCATTCCTTTGGCTTGCTGTGTCCTCACCCCAATCTCTGCCTGTGTTGTTATGTGGCATTCTCTGTGTATCTGTGTCTTCACCTCTTTGTATAAGGATACCAGTCATATTGGATTAGGGCCCAACCTAATTCAGCATGACTTTATCTTAACTTGATTACATCTGTAAAGACCCAATTTCCAAATAAGGTCACATTCAGGGACACTTGGAGGTTAGGGCTTCAAGGTATCTTTAGGGAGGATACAATTTGTTAAAAACTTAAGACAAATTAAATTGAACACTTCAAATGTGCAAAGACCGATTCACAATTCAGCAGCCCCCAGAACCAGAATAGATTCAGAGCTACAACTGGGCTGTCAGTTGGTCAGATAGTATTTGTGGACAGAAAACGGAAGTGAGGTACAGAAACAGCTGGACTGGTTACAGCTCCACCTTTGCCTTATTTGAACATGGTTTGACAGTTGACCACCTGTGATTGGCTAAAACTGGGCGATTGGTACAAAAGTAGGTTATAGTTTGTTTATACATTGTTAGGTTACAGTTCACTATGTATGGAGAAACTTTCAAGTTGAACTTAAAATATGTAAGGAGGCAGTGGGGGCCGGGCGCGGTGGCTCACGCCTGTAATCCCAACACTTTTGGGAGGCTGAGGTGGGTGGGATCACCTGAGGTCAGGAGTTCAAGACCAGCCTGGCCAACATGGTGAAAACCCATCTGTACTAAAAATAGAAAAAGTATCTGGGCGTGGTGGCATGTGACTGTAATCCCAGCTATTTGAGAGGCTGAGGCAGGAGAATTGCTTGAACCTGGGAGGCGGAGGTTACAGTGAGCGAGATTGTGCCACTGCATTCCAGCTGGCGACAGAGCGAGACTCTGCCAAAAAAAAAAAAAACAAAAAAAAAACGTAAGGAGGCAGCTTTAGGCTAAACTTTTTTTTTTTTTAAACTGCTCCTTGCAGAACAGGGCTAACTCATAGGCAGTATGCTCAGTGTCTGCTGGCTAAACTTAATTTAACAAATTCAGTTCATAACAGCCTCTCAGTATTTTTCTCTCGTTTCAACTACTTTGTCTCAGATTATTTTTATTGTTGGGAGTGGCTTGGCCCATACTGTTTTAGTTGATTATGTTACTTTGTGGACTAGGCCCTGTATTTTTCAGGACTAGCAAAGTAGTTGTCAGAGTTGCTTAGGCGATCTCTCACTATTTAAACTTTTAAATGTGTATGCTTTCTGAACTGTATTGTTTTGCATTTTATTTTATTTTTATTTTTGAGACAGGGTCTCACTCTGTTGCCCAGGCTGGAGTGCAGTGGCATGATCACTGCTCACTGCAGCCTCAACCCCCTGGGCTCAGGTGATCCTCCCACCTCAGCCTCCTGGGTAGCTGGGACCACAGGTGTGTGTCACCACACCCGGCTAGTTTTTTTGTTGTTGTTGTATTTTTTGTGAAGACTGGGTTTTGCCACATTTCTGAGGCTGGTCTCAATCTCCTGGGCTCAAGCAGTCCACCTGCTTCACCCTTCCAATGGGCTAAGATTAGAGGGGTGAGCCACTGAGCCCAGTTGTGTTTTGCATTTTAAAAGCACACTTGTTTTACTGTTTTCTACTCCTATAAACTTCTTTTTAGTAAAGAAGAATGATTAAAATGGTGGTATAATAGAGTATAATACATTTTTCACTTAATCATTTTATATATAGATCTACCAACATTATCTCAAATGCTGGCAAAATTAACATTCTACAAAGATTATAGAAAACACAAATAATAACTTTAGCTGTGTGAGTTAGCAAAACGAGTGGTTTCAGTAGAAGTATAAAAATATCATTGGTTTTTTTTTAATTAAAAAAATCATTAGTATCCCAGGATTGGTAAACTGAATTTAATATATTTTTTGTTTGTTTTATAGCTCAGGAATCTTGCTTTTAAGAAAATTCCCCAGAAATCCTCCCATGCTGTTTGTAACGCTCAACATGATCTTCCATTGTCAAACCCAGTACAGAAGGATTCACGAGAAGAAAATTGGCAAGAGTGGAGACAAAGAGATGAGCAGGTACAACTAAGTAAATAAAATTGCTTTGTTTTTCATTGAATTTATGGATTTTTCACATGGCAGTGCCTCTGAATTCACGTCACCACTGTTCTGAGAAGCAATTTGTATTGGATTAATTCATATTTGTTGCTTTTAATAAGAGGTTCTGTTTTTGATCTACTGAAAAACAAAAGTGATACATTTGTTGTTTATGTTAGTTTTGACAATAGGAAGCAGTTATTTTGTGGTTTTAAAAATCATCTGCCTTTTACAAATCAGGGAGAGACAGGGAAGGTAGGGGAACAGTATTAAATTATTCCAAGTAAGAAAATCACATTTGTAGGGCAGAAATCTCTTGTTAAAAATACACAGTGACTAGGCTGGGTGTGTACAGCCTACAGGTGGCTCACACCTGTAATCCCAGCAATTTGGGAGTCTGAGGCGGGTGGATGGCTTGAGCCTAGGAGTTTGAGACCACCCTGGGCCACAGAGCAAAACCCTTTGTCTACAAAAAAAACAGAAAAATTAGCCGGGCATGGAGGCGCACACTTGTGGTCCCAGCTACTCAGGTGGCTGAGGTGGGAAGATCAGAGCTCAGGAGGTCGAGGCTGCAGTGAGCCATGATTTTGTCACTGCACTCCAGCCTGGGCAGCAGAGTGAGACCCTGTCTCATAACAAAAAACAAATAATACCCAGTGACAGTTTTGCTTAAAAAAGAAATCCTTTGGGAAACTTTACTGTTGTTTGTTTCTTTAACCTGTTTACATGATATTTTGTTCTTCTATGTCTCTATTAAATGTCATTAACAACCAAATAAAATAGATAACTCATTAAGACGAATACATATCTTTTTTGTGTGTGGAGTCCAGGAAAATAACATACTAAGCCTGGAATGTACTCTAGGAGATGCTATATGTATAGTAAGTGATGAATTATTTATTTGCCTGTCAAACTATCATTTGATGCATTCAGAATAAGTATCATTCTAGCAGATGTTAGGTCTAGTAGAGTGGCTGTTTCTATCATTCTTGGGTTACCAGTTTTAAAATAGACTATACTGAGTTATTCTCTTAACATAAACTGTGCTAATTATAACATTTTCTTTAGGATTTTGCAGTGCCTCAGGCTCATGATTATGAGCATTAATTATTACTATAGAGCCATGCAGTAGTGCTGTTCAAATGGCAGTTCCAGGTACTGGTATACTGGATAAATCATCTTGTACTGTTTCTAGGGGTTGATTCTTTTTTTTCTTATAAAATATTCATTATGACCGATTCTTGTTTACAAATATAAATGTTTTGATGATCTACTTGTTTAGCCAGTAATAGAATTTACCAGTGTCTTCATTGGAGAGAATTTCTCCCAGTGGCCTAAAGTTTACTGGAGAACTAATGAAGGAAAACTACTCAAATTTGCACCAAAATAAATTCCATGCAACATGGGAACTTGATCACAGATATCTGATTGCCTTTTCTTCTGCTCCCACTGATTGCTGCTGAAATGAGCAGGTAATGATGAAAAGGAAATAGTGTGACTTGGCCCTGATCCTATATAAGGATGCCGTTGAAGGCCCAGGAACTTTGACGAATTTCTGCTGAGTATACTACTGATGGGTCACTTAGGAAGACCTGGAGCCTTATGTGGGAGACTCACTTGGAAGAAAATAATGTGTGGAAGTAGAGTAGATCTTGGGATAATTACACTGAGAGGTGAGGAAGAGATAAGGGCAAGCCTTGCAACTGATGGACAATATACTGTCTGGAATCTATCTTATTAATAGAGTAATAATAGATTTCAAAAGTAGCTACATTTACAGGGATCAGGCAATGACTATATACTAGGCAGAAAGCATACAATGTAGGGGGTGTTCTTCCTGACACAGTATGAGAAATTTCGGGGATGGAGGGCTGAGCCAGACAGAAAGCTGGACATGGAAAACTTAGCTGTTACTTGGCTGCTTATGTCAAACACGAAAGAGAAATTATGGTAAGAACAAAGTTTCCTACTCCTAAATCACCATATAGATAATGCAAATTTACATCAACTAAGCCTTAGCATACAATCTGAGAGCTAGAATTAAACACCTAACCAGATGGACAGTAGGAAAGCACTCAGTTCGCCTGTTTATGAGCAAACACTGGATCTCAGTTGATCTTGTATCAATGGAAGAAAAGTTTCTGCCACATGAAGGAAAAGCACATTGTACTTAGTGTCTGGAGTGAAAGCACACCTCGAAAAAGATTTGCTGCAGGAAATGGAAGTTTATTTTAGATAGCATCTATGTTTTGCTTTAATAAAAATCAAGAGGCTAGAACGTTTTGTAAAAGTCAAGGGGATAGTAATGTTATATAAGAAAGTAAGATAAAATAATGCACTAAAATGAAAAAGTGACTGAGAGAAATTAAAAGGGAGACGGGTGAATTAAAACTGAGATGGGGCCGGGTGCGGTGGCTCACACCTGTAATCCCAGCACTTTGGGAGGCCTAGGTGGGCGGATCAGCTGAGGTCGGGAGTTCGAGACCAGCCTGACCAATGTGGAGAAGTCCCGTCTCTACTAAAAATACAAAATTAGCCAGGCGTGATGGTGCATGCCTGTAATCCCAGGTACTCGGGAGACTGAGGCAGGAGAATATCTTGAGCCCAGGAGGCAGAGGTTGTGAGCCAAGATTGTGCCATTGCACTCCAGCCTGGGCAACAAGAGTGAAACTCCATCTCAAAAAAACAAAAAAAAGTGAGATGGGTGAATTTTAAAATTTAGGAAGTAAAATCATAGCAGATTAAAAACTTAATTAGAAGGACCAGAGTATCTACTAAAGAAAGCTGAGCCAATTCTGTGAAGGAAAATTTGAGATAAGTTTTGCTGATAAAATTGACATGATAGATTGGAACACTGAATTTAAATCCAACAGAGGCATAATTAATGTCCCTGAAACAAATAGAAGAGACACAGGTATTAGAGATTATGTTGATAGGCCGAGTGCAGTGGCTCATGCCTGTAATCCCAGCACTTTGGGAGGTTGAGGCAGGAATATTGCTTGAGGCCAGGAGTTTGAGACTGGCCTGGGCAACATAGTGAGACCCTAGCTCTAAAAAAAGAAAAAAGATTATTTTGATAAAATCTAAGCTTGAAAAGAACACCAAATTTAAGCGTTTTAAGAATTAGATTCTAATTTTAAGAATGAGGAATAAGGAAATAGTAGTATAAATATATACACAGGAGAAAACTGGTTGCCTATACAGGATGAAGAATCAGGCTGGCTACTTTAATCACCAGAACCAAAATGTTAAGACCAAGAATTTCACATCTAGCCTAGAAGTCATTTGTGTGAATGTGAAAGAAACACACTTAGGCCCAGTGCAGCAGGTCATTCCTGTAATCCCAGCACTTTAGGAGGCCAAGGTAGGCAGATCACTTGAGCCCAGGAGTTTGCGAGACCAGCCTAGGCAATATGGCAAATCCCCATCTCTACAAAAAAATGCAAAAATTCACTGGATGTGGTAGCGCATGCCTGTAGTCCCAGCTACTCAGGCTGCAGTGAGCCGTGATCATGCCAGTGCACTTCAGCCTGGGTGACAGAGCGAGACCCTATCTCAAAAAAAAAAAAAAAAAAAAAGACACTCTCAGACATAACCATAACTGAGAGAGTATACCACCATTATCCTTTCTGCAAATTTTTCTGAGATGTGCTCCTGTCAATTAAAAAGAAAATCTAAATAAAGAGCACAAACAATAAAAAAAACACTAGTGGTGAGTATTTAAGCTAGTTCAATAAAGAATTAACTCTAAGTAGCAGCTAACTTGTATCTATCCCAGCACACTTCATTGTGGAAAAGTGGTCTTATATTCCCTACTCATTTATTTGCTTAGATGTATATATCAAAAGATGTGTATGTTTCTTAATTGAAATGAGTGTCATGTGATACATGATGTATAAAATGATATGTAAATTATATCCCAGTAAAGCTGTTTTTAAAAAAATACGTAGGGCATGGCTTTGACTTGGTTGTATGCATAATTTTCACTTTTTTTTTTTTTTTTTTTTTTTGAGATGGAGTCTCGCTCTTGTCGCCCAGACTGGAGTGCAGTGGCACAATCTCGGCTCACTGTGACCTCCGCCTCCCGGATTCAAGCGATTCTCCTACCTCAGCCTCCTGAGTAGCTGGGATTACAGGCATGTGCCACCACGCCCGGCTAGTTTTTTGTATTGTTTTTTAGTGGAGGTGGGATTTTACAGGCCAGGCTGGTCTCGAACTCCTGACCTCAGATGATCCTCCCCTCCCCACCTCCACCTACCAAAGTGCTGGGATTACAGGCGCGAGCCACCACACCCAGCCACTGTTTTTTAAAACGATTAAATCAAGATCAAGAAACATATTGTTCACCAACAGCTGTTGCCTAGGAATAAATCTCTGTGTAGATGTTTTTCAGGTATAATCTGCTTTATGCATGATGCACTGATACTATTGATTCCAGTGTACCTTTTTTTAAAAGTCATGACTCAAAAAATAAGTAGAAAAATCTCTTCTTAAGGGTTTCAGTGATTAACAGACCAAATTTTATTGTGTATTTCTTCTGTTACTGTATTGATTCAAACTCTACACGTCACTGGTATTTTTCTCACTCTGAAGTGACATGTCTGTTAGTATGTGCACAATAGCAAGTTCTCTCTTACGTGACATCCTTCAGTTCATTTGATAAAGGTTTTTTTCCAATAGCTTGTTCTGGTTTTGTTTGTTTGTGAGTGTAATATTTATCATTAACTGTGTGGCTGGTATAATAAATCCCTTGGCAGTAGTTTGACTACCTGGTTTCCTTATAAGGAGTGTAAATTCAAATAAATCCATTGTATTTTTGGCTCTTTAGCAACAAAATTAATCACTTTTATGCTGGAAAGCATTACTTAGTAGTTGTTCTGGAAAGACTCCTACAGGTCCCTTGGCTTTGTTTGAAAGTGAAACAAAAACTGTGATATCTTCAGGCCACTGGTCTCACCAAGTTTCTTTCTCTCTCTTTTTTAATTTTCATATATTTTTTGAGATGGGGTCTTACTCCCATCGCCCAAGCTGGAATGCAGTGGTGTGATCATGGCTAACTGCAGCCTTGACTCCCAGGCTCAGATGATTCTCCCGCCTCAGCCTCCCAAGTAGCTGGGACTACAGGCACACTCCACCATGGCTGGCTAATTTTTTGTATTTTTAGTAGAGATGGGGTTTTGCCATGTTGCCCAGGCTGGTCTTGAACTCCTGGTCTCAAGCAGTCCACATACCTCAGCTTCCCAAAGTGCTGGGATTGTAGGCATGAGCCACCACACCCAGTCTTCTGACCAGATTTCATGACAGGTAGCTAGGAGCAAATAGATGGATGACTCAAATGAAAATTTTAAATATTCATTATCTTAATTTTCTGTTTATAACTTTCCTTTTCTGCTCCTTTTGTGACATCACTCTCATCCTAACACATACACGTTTATATTCTATATTCACTGTATTGGAGTCCTGTTAATTTCAAAATTTATTGTGTTTTTATAAGTTGCATTATTTACGGTTCTATTTTCATTACTACTTTTAATTCTTTTGTGACTCATGAACCATTTTTATTGCTTGGAGGTGTGATAAAGCATACAACAAAAATACAGACTTAGTAAATGCAAACAGCACTCAGAAGACATAAAAATACATTAGCTGAGATGAACTGAATGTGGTAATGAATGTGAATTATATATGTCATTTTTGTAGAACTCTGACAACCTTTAGAATAATTATGTTCAATAAGACTACTGTAAGATTTCTGGGAAAATAATCTTGCCTTCCAAATTACTGAAAGATATGTAGTCTACACTTTGAAAATCTAATGGGTTAGGGGACCACTATGCACCACTGCTATTAAGTCCAATCAGTTGGCTGCAAGTGTTAGATGTCTTCAGAATGGTGATCTCTTTTGTTTTATAGTAACTATATTTCCATGTTGCCTATGAGAATTGAAGACTAACTCTTCATTTGGAATTTATTTTGTTTGGATTTAAATGAGTAAAATTGTAATGGTACTTAGACTTACAAATTAATTTTTAAAAAATGTTAGTACCAAAATATTTACTGTCCTTTAGGTTTTTCATTGGTTCTTCATACTCTTTAACTGATTGAGCTATAGGTTTGCTTAAATAGAAGAAAAAATGTTTTACTACTAGATGGGGAGTAGGAGGCAATGAGGAAGTCAAGAGGAAGGGGATCTGAAGTACTCCATCTTGGACACATGTAAGTATCTTCTTGAATTCTGTAGGCATTTTAGTGCCTGCTATTTCCTCTTTTTCTTCCTTTCCTCCTACTCCCATAAATAAAAAGAAAATAATAAGGAACTTCCCATTCGCAAACTTAAACAAGGTACTTTTTTAAAAGTATGCTTTTATTTGCATTTTATTGCCTGGAGCCTGTCTTATAGGCCCAGTCTCTGTCTCTGTCTCCCTCTCTCTTTTACCTATACATTTACTGATTAAGTAGATTGTCAGCTATAGTTATAGCAGTCTTTGATAGAGAATAAAGATATGTTTAGAGAATTTTGAATCACATTTTCTTTCTCTTTTCTGATATGTGTTAGTCTTGTGCTACCATTCTCCCTGTTATCTAAGGTCAAAAACCTTATCTTTGATTCTTTCACACTTCATATTGTCAGTGTTCCAAAACTTGATCAGTCTCTTCTTTATTTTCTGCGCTGCTACATTTTGGTCCAGGTGCCCATATGCTGTCTGAGATTACAATGGCTTAGTCAGACACATTGATTCTAGGTTCTCATTCTTCTAATATTCCAGTTTATATCTTAAAAATTACTTTTATTTAATATTAGCATTCCTCTTTTTTCTGCCCTATAGCCTTAAATTTTAGGAAGTGTCTGGAACCTTATGCTGCCCTAACTAAGCAATCTTATTTTCTACTATTCTCCAACATGGGAGAGTAATTCTAATTCATTTGGTACTGCTCTTATGCCAGGAACTGTGCTAGGTACTTCATACATATTACAACTTTAAGTCCTTAAAACTACCTTGTACAGTTGATATTCCAATGTCCTTTTTAAATGTTCTGAGATTCACAGGAGTTAATATAACTTGTTCAAAGTCACAGCTAGCATGGGTGGAATAGGAATTTAAATTATCAATTTCTGTGATCTCCCAAAGCCTGTGTTTTTTCCACATCTTTCTCTTGTAATGTTTAAAATTCACTTTTTGTCAGAATGACTTTCCTTAGTATCCCATAGTATATCTATTCTTAATATTATAACATTAACATAATGTGGCTCTTCCTGCAGTTCTATTTCTGCCTATCCAAATTGTATCTATATTTAAATACCAACTTAAAAGGATTTTTTTTCTGTATTCCTGAATCACATTTGTTGTTGATCTTCTTTTTCTCAACTTTTGTAGCTCTTTTAATGTCTTATTCTATTTCCTGTAGTTCATACACGTTAATCTTACATCCTCAACTGGGTAGGAATTCTTCAAGGGCAAAAGCCAAATTTATGCTGCTGCTTTAAATTAAGCCCCATAGGCAGGGAGGGCACAGCCCCTAGAAGACTCTAAATGAATCCTTAATGGCTGATTGGTCATACAATGAAATTTTTGGAAGATTTGTTCTAGTTTTCAAAAATTTAAATTTAAATCATTTTTGTCTACCTGCATTTTCTTGTATACTAGTTTGTGTTAACAATTAAAAGGTAGATTTAAAGTCTGAGCTACAATTAGAATCAGTTGCTGGGAGGGCCATATGTTTTTACTTTAAAATTTCTATTTCTATTTTCCTTTTTTTTTTTTTGAGACGGAGTCTCGCTCTGTCGCCCAGGCTAGGGTGCAGTGGCGTGATGTCGGCTCACTGCAAGCTCCGCCTCCTGGGTTCACACCATTCTCGTGCCTCAGCCTCCCGAGTAGCTGGGACTACAGGCACCCGCCACCACGTCCGGCTAATTTTTTTGTATTTTTAGTAGAGACGGGGTTTCACCGTGTTAGCCAGGATGGTCTTGATCTCCTGACCTTGTGATCTGCCTGTCTCGGCCTCCCAAAGTGCTGGGATTACAGGCATGAGCCACCACGCCTGGCCTAAAATTTCTATTTCATTCAGTTTTTATCATGCGATTAGAATGAACTGCCTTAACATTTAAATTCTGTAAGTTAATATGAAAAATAAAAATGACATCTAACAAGACTTCCAACTTCCTAACCTGTTCTGCCCACTAACTTATTTCTGGAATATCATCAGACTATGTGACATATTAGAAATAATCTCAAATGCCCTTTCTATAATTAAATGTCATCAATAGGGATTAAAATTTTAGTGGCAAATTGAAAAGCTTTGTTCAGAATAAACAAGTAGTTTTGTTACTTTTTCTTTTTTTCTTTTTCTTTTTTTGAGACGGAGTCCCACTCTGTCATCTAGTCTGGAGTGCAGTGGTGCAATCTCAGCTCACTGCAACCTCCGCCTCTGGGTTTAAGCGATACTCCTGCCTCAGCCTCCCGAGTAGCTGGAATTACAGGCATGCACCACCATGCCAGGCTGTTTTTTTGTTTGTTTGTTTTTTTGTTTTGTTTTGTTTTGTTTTTTGTATTTTTAGTATTTCACCATGTTGGCCAGGCTGGTCTCAAACTCCTGACCTCAGGTGATCCGCCCACCTCGTCCTCCTAAAGTGCTGGGATTATAGGCGTGAGCCACTGTGCCGGCCTAGTTTTGTTAATTTTTCTGTTAGGATGATTACTGTCCTTTAAGTTTAGTGAAACATTTTATTATCAGTTTGCCATGAGGTTAGGTGGAGAAATTGATGGAAATTTCCTTTTACCTTATAACCATTGAATACCCATGTACATAAGTGTATATAGTAAGACTAAAAGATTAATTTATTACTTTTTCTTGCTAATTACTAGTTCAGAGTAATTCTTCAATTCTTTTCAGTTATTCCATAAAGTATGTATAATTTACACTGGGCTTAATCTGATTTTCTAGTTCTATATATCCTTACCATTTTAATTCTAATTGTATTTTTCTGCATTCGATTGTTTTTCTGTGTAAGCTTAATCTTTTTTTCCTCTCTTTTTATTGTATCAGCATAGGATTAGATGCTTTCAAAGGGATGACTTTGCTTAGAAATGTTTAGTTCATAGTGTCTATTAAGATTTTTCTAGTTTTTAAGGTTTCTCCTTGAAACAGATCACTTCTTTTTGGAGTTGGTTTCTATTTTAGTTTAGATTTTTAAAAATCATTAAGTAATAGAAACAATTATGATTAACTTAGCCAAAAACCTTTTTTGAAGGATACTGAGTGATTCACAGATTTGAATTAAAAACTAAATAATTAGGTCTTGAAAAAGCTGGAAACCAAGGAATTTGGGAGTGCTCAGAGGCATGAGCTAGTAGATGTCATTTTTCGAGGGTTATCATCAGATAATTAAACCCACCTGCTTTTCCTTTGTTCTCAAAATTTAATTCCTGGGAGGAAAAAAAAGGAATTGGATCACTTGCCCCCACCTTTTGTCATTGGTGATGATAGCTTGGGTGTTTGTGTGGTATGGTAGTGCTTAGTGTACAGAATTATGCGACTGGCTGTTCTGCTGAAACCATGGGACTTTGGAATGAAGTGCACTTATTTAAAGGAATCGAGGAAGGGATTCTGGACAGATAAAAACAAGAGATGCCCACTAAATTTATGCTTTTGTTATCCTGTACACATAGACACATACATGTACACAAATCCAGGATGTTTACCCATGTCATGTTGCAGCTATCTTATATACAGCTGCAAACCCACTCACCTTATGCCCAGTAGTGGACAACTCAAAGTCGCATCCAACTACTGCAACATTCTGTTTGGCAATTAGGAAAAGTAAGTCTTGTAGAGATTAATTGGATTGGAGGGTGGTGAAAACTGGATTTTAAAAAGTTAGGTGAGATTGATTAGTGAAAAAGAGAAACAAATATATATCACAAAGAATCATTATTAGATGACTTAAAGCAACCATATAGTTTATCATTTTGAGAGTAAAAAGATGCACTATGAACAATTATTCTGTAACACCTGGCATATGCCAGGACATTTGGCAAACTTATTTTGTACCTGTGGTTTTTTCTATATTCATGAAATGGCATATTGTGTTTAATAATGCTTATTGAGTTATTTTTTAGTATTCTTATATTTTTGAGTAATAATCACTCATAATTTTTAGTGTCCTAAACTGAATGTTGCCTTTGACATCTATTATAGTGCCAATTATTTGGTAAGATTTTTTTATTAAGGTAAAAAGTAAGATTATATCATATATAATAGATAACAATGAAGAGGAGAAATGGAAATCTCAAAATTGGAAGTTTGTATTTTGATGTCTTCTATAGAATATAGGCTTCCTAGTTTGGCATGGTTAGATAACTTTGGAGAATCCATATTGTTTTTTAACATATTTGCTTTCTTTTCCTCTGTATATAGTAATATGTATGGTTATTTTGCTCATGTGATGTAATGATACTGTCTGTTTATTGTGAAACTTTTTTTTTGTAGCTGACATCTGAAATGTTTGAAGCAGATCTTGAGAAGGCATTGTTACTAAGTAAACTAGAATATGAAGAGCACAAAAAGGTATTTACATACTTACTGATTTAGATATTTTAGAAGTTTAAGTGGTGAGAGGTTAAAATCAACCTACTTGAATTTTACATAAAATTTTTCTGTAAAAGTTTGTCCAAAAATTCATTACCATAATAAAATATTACCAAGAAGTGTTTATAATAGGATTCCTTCTCAAGTTTTGAGATAGAACAGAAACAGTTGGAATTAAGCTTTGTCCGGTGACTTGGAATGTTAAGGAATTTCCCCACCCAAGATGAAGGGAAGAGAGAGAATAAAATTCACAACAGATGATTTTAATTTAATTTTATTTATTTTTATTATTATTTTTTCTTGGGACCGAGTCTCACTCTCTTGCCCAGGCTGGAGTGCAGTGGCATGATCTCACCTCACTGCAACCTCCGCCTCCCAGGTTCAAGCGATTCTCACGCCTCAGCCTCCTGAGTAGCTGGGACTACAGGCGTGAGCCACCACACCCAGCTACATTTTGTTTTTTTAGTAGAGATGGGATTTCGCCATGTTGGCCAGGCTGGTCTCAAACTCCTGAGCTCTGCTGATCCACCCACCTTGGCCTCCCAAAGTGCTGGGATTACAGGTGTGAGCCACTGTGCCCTGCCGATTATTTTAATTTTAAATGAACATAGAAAATAAGTGGATTTAAAATTTTAATATGGGCTATTACAGTACAGGGGCATTTATTGAGAGACCCTCTGCCAGAGTTGCACTACAAATCAAATAAAGTAGAAGGCCATTTCTGAAATTTTGGCCTTGAAAACTCAGCATTTGTCACTGAGCTTTGATATTAGGTTGTGTGTTGAAATGCATTCTATAGCTTGTTATTAAAGGAGGATTTAAGTAAAAAGAAGTGTTGGTTTCCAGTTTCCGTATTTAAATTGTGTGAGTATTCATTACGTTAATATCATTTAACATTTTATTCCGTAACATTTACTGGGATCCTTTTTTGGTTTATAACATTTGTTCAAGCTGTGATTACTCAGTGGTTGATCATAAATGGCCTCTGGTCACCCTGAAGACTTTTTGGCCATGTCCTTGTGCATTAGTGTCTTTATCCAAAATGAAAAGAAGTGAATAATTAAAATTCACAGCAGCTACTCAGGAGGCTGAGACAGGAGGATTGCTTGAGGCCAGGAGTTTGAGACTAGCTTGGGTTAACACAGCAAGACACTGTCTCTAAAAATTTTTTTTTAATTAGCTGGGCATGGTGGTGTGAGCCTGTATTCCCAGCTACTTGGGAGGCTGAGGTGGGAGAACCCCTTGAACCCAGCAGTTAGAGGATGCAGTGAGCTATGATCATCCCACTGCACTCCTCCTGCCTGGGCAAGAAAGGGAGATCCCATCTTAACAAAAAAATTCACAGCATTGATTTTGCTAGTTATTTATAGTTCAAGGGAAAAGGAAAAAAGTTGCTAATAAAGTGGGCTGTATATATTATATGTGTTTCATTTCCATATCCCTTTCTGTTACCTCAAATAACGAAGAATGAACTGTAACCATTATTGTTACATACCCATTTAGACACAAAGCAGGAAAATTAACAAAAATTGATACAGCTAGTTTTACTATGATTTAATCATTTAAATGGACTGTCAGGTTACACCGGAAAAGTAATCCTGTCTTGCTCAATTAGGAGATAAAATTTATCAAATAGAATATTATACAAAGGTGACTTCTTGCTGTTAGACTTATGGATATATGTCTAGATTCTAAAGCTAGAAGGATTACCTGTATCCTTAGAGGAGAAATAGAGTAAATAGTGTTGATAAAATGTCGTACTCCCAGCCAGTGTTCTTTGCACAGTCATAGGTGTAGTACTCAAAATCATTGATTTTAGCCGACAATAATGACTAAGAGAAGGGAGGAACTTCTTTTGTGTGCAATGGGTAGTTTGATGTGATGACATTGATGGGTAGTCATTGAGATAAAAGTCAATATTCAATAAAACAACTTTTAATACAATTGTTTTAGCCTAAGGATTTTTATAACAGATAACTAAAGTTTGGGATGGCATTTTCTTTTTCTTTTCTTTTCTTCTTTTTTCTTTTTTTTTTTTGAGACAGAGTTTCGCTGTTGTTGCCCAGGCTGTAGTGTAATGGCGCAATCTCGGTTCACCACAACCCCCGCCTCCCGGGTTCAAGTGATTCTCCTGCCTCAGCCTCCCGAGTAGCTGGGATTACAGGCATGTGCCACCACCCTGGCTAATTTTGTACTTTTAGTAGAGACGGGGTTTCTCCATGTTGGTCAGGCTAGTCTTGAACTCCCGACCTGAGGTGATCCGCCCGCCTCAGCCTCCCAAAGTGCTGGGATTACAGGCGTGAGCCACCGCGCCTGGCTGGGATAGCATTTTCTGTTCTATTCTGTCAGTTATTCACCAAATAATTATTGAATAGCCAAAGTGTGCCCCTTGAGTGTAGTGGAGGGAGACATAGTGTATAGTATTGAGAGATGTATGTTCTCAGTGCAGTGGAAATTCAGAATAATAGAAGGCTTTTCAGTGCCTTTGTTGGGGATGGGTTTTAGGAAAGGATTCTTTAAAGAGTCTTATTACATGTGTTAGAAGTTCATGAGGTAGACAAGAGGAAAGTAGGCATTCTGAAGGAAGGAGTGGCAAGTATATAAGATGTGTACATGTGAAAGAATATAGCATATTTGAAAAACTGTCATTTAAGGACCTAGAACTTCTGGAGATACAGCCAGAAGGATAGGACATAAATTTCTTCATGTACTAGGCAAGGAGATTGGGTTTTATACATCCATTGGCAGAAAGCTGTTTAATCATTTTAACTTTTAGATTGATTTTGGGTTTTCATTTTAGAAACTCATGTAGCAGCGTAGAAGATGGATTGAGGAGCTAAAATTGGAGACTGTTGCAGTATCCAAGCAAAAGGGAGATGGGGGAATGACAGAATGTACAAAGAACAGAGAATGAATTTAAGATATCTTCAGGAGATAAGTTAAACAAGACCTAGTAGTTAATTGGCTGTAAGGTGTGTAGGAGAGTAGGCAAGGATACTCTGAGGTTTCCAACTTAGACAGATGTGCACATGGTGGTGGCATAACAAGGTACTTCATAAAGGATCGAGTGGGGAAGGCAGGGTAGTGAGATGGAAAGATAGAATACATTTCGTGTGGAGATGCTTATTGAACATTCCAGTTCAGTTGTCTGTCTATACAGAAATAATTAGTTTATTGGTAGAACTTTAAACTTTGAGATTGAAGAGCAGTGGGTATAAAGCATTAAAAAAATAGGTTAAGAGTGGGATAATGTGAACAACCGCTACGCTTTTGAGAAGGTTGAGGAAAGAAGCCAGCAAAGGAAACTTAGCAGTAGTCAGAAATGTATTAAGAAAACCAAGAGATGCTTGAAAAAAATAATGTGTTTTGGATATGGCAATAAAGAGGAGATTGACCTTAACTTTAGTATCAGAGACCAGCAGAAGCCAGATTTCAGTGGGATGAGGCAGGAAATTGCTGATTATTGTCTTAAATTTGGTCTTGAAAGGTAGAAGGTAGCAATGAGGAGGGGGTTATAGGCCAAGGTATGACTTTTTTTGTTTTCATTTTAATGTTTAAGATGTAAGGGATTGAGTAAATGAATAAAGAGGTATCTCTTTATACAATTTGGCTAGCCTAAATTTTGGTTTTTTATTTGCCTTTTATCTTTAAAAAATAAACTTTAAGAAACATATTACCTGTTGGTGAGTTTATTTTACAGTTTGTAAACTGAACTTAATTGTTGTTGGTAATTCTTTTTAGGAGTATGAAGATGCTGAAAATACTTCAACTCAGTCCAAAGTTATGAATAAAAAAGATAAAAGAAAGAATCATCAGGGAAAAGACAGACCTCTCACAGTATCACTAAAAGATTTTCATTCGGAAGGTAATGTATATACAATGCTATTATGCTAAAAGAACTATTCTACATCTGTTTTATACTTCAGTTGTAAATGTCTTTCTAATTTTTAAACAATAAGTAAAAGTTATTCATGTATCATGTAGAATGTAAAAAATGTAAACCTTTGTCTTAGTTCGTTTTGTACTGCTGTAACAGAGTACCTGAGAATGGGTCATTTATAATGAATGGAAGTTTATTGGCTCACAGTTCTGGAAGCTGGGAAGTCCAATATCAAGATGCCAGCATCTGGTGAGGGCCTTCTTGACGAGTCATCACATGGCAAGAGTGAGAGCAAAAGGGGGCCAAATTTGCCCTTTTATAACCAATCCCACCTGTGAGGGTGGAGCTCTGATAGCCTAATTACCTGTTGAAGATCCTACCTCTTAATATTGTTACAATGGCAATTAAATTCTTCTTTTTTTTTTTCTTTTTTTAGATGGAGTCTCACTCTGTAGCCCAAGCTGGAGTGCAGTGGTGCAGTCATGGCTCACTGTAACCTCCGCCTCCACGACTCAAGCAATTCTTATGCCTCAGTCTCCCGAGTAGCTAGGACTACAGGCCTATGCCACCATGCCCAACTAGTCTTTTGTATTTTTTAGTAGAGACAGGGTTTCACCATCTTGCCCAGGGTGGTCTCAAATTCCTGAGCTCAGGAGATCTGCCTGCCTTGGCCTCCCAAACTGCTGGGATTACAGGCGTGAGCCACCACACCTGGTAGCGATTAAATTTCAACATGAGTTTTGGAAGGGACAAAACTGTTTGGAAATAAACTAAAACCATTTGGGGTTTTAAAGTAATTTAAAATCAGTCATTAAAACCCCATAAAACTTTAGTAAGAATTTATCTTTTTGTATTTTTGAGTTTGTCTCTTTCCTAAAACTTACTGAAAATAAAAACTGACATTTGTAGTTTGAGTCATCTTGAAACATATTTTTTTCCTTATACATAAACTGATTTGGCTTACAGTAGATCAGGAATAGTATTTTCATATTTCAGCCATTGTTGGTCAGCCTCTTCAAGTTATCTGGAACTGCATCTTAGAAAATTAAAATACAAATTTTAGAATGAGACTTATTACCAGAAAAGTGTTTATAGTATCATTTGTATTTTTTATCAAATGGAGAAGACAGAAGGAATTTTACTATCCACTAAACTTTTGAAGATAAACTGCAAAGCACATTATATTTAATGTGGGAAATGTTAAAAATACTTAGCCTGTGCTGTACAGTATGGTAGCTACTATTCATGTGTGGCAATTTAATAAAAATTAAAATGAAAATGTAGTTTCTTAATTGCATTAGCCGTATTTCAAGTGCTCAGTCACATATGACTAGTAGCTTCCATGTTAGTCCAGCTATACAACATTACTATCATCACAGAAAATTTTATTGAACAGCGCTGTGTCTATACCCGTCAGAATAGTTGCTCACCGTATGAACAGCTATTTGTTCATTGACAGAGCATTTTATTTGACTCATATGAATTCAGCCTTAGTACATTGGGCATTGTTCTGTGAGGATAAATATTACCATAGCAATAATTTCAAAAAGAAAAAAACCCAAATACTGCTTTCAGAAATAAGCCTTTCTTTGAAAATCAGAGAATATATTTAGAAGATTATATTGTTTTCCTTTGAGGATCAAGGAAGTTTTTCCCTGTAGGCTGCCAGTGATTAAGTTGCTTTGTTTTGGGGTTAAAAGAACAAATACATATTAAAATTTCCAAGTTTTGGTCGGGCGTGGTGGCTCACGCCTGTAATCCTAGCACTTTGCGGGGACAACGCAGGTAGATCCATTTCAGGTCAGGAGTTCGAGCCCAGCCTGGCCAACATGGTGAAACCCTGTCTCTACTAAAAATACAAAGAGTAGGTGGGCGTGTGGTGGCGTGTGCCTGTAATCCCAGCTACTCCAGAGGCTGAGGCAGGAGAATCTATTGAACCGGGGAGGTGGAGGTTGTAGTGAGCCAAGGTTGTGCCACTGGACTCCAGCCTGGGACAACAGAGTGAGACTTCATCTTTAAAAAAAAAAAAAAAAAAAAAAGGCTGGGCGCGTTGGCTCATCACGCCTGCAATTCCAGCACTTTGGGAGGCTGAGGCAGGTGGATCACCTAAGGTCAGGAGTTTGAGACCAGCCTGGCCAACATGGTGAAACCCCATCTCTACTAAATACAAAAAATTAGCTGGGCGTAGTGGTGCATTCCTGTAATCCCAGCTACTCAGGAGGCTGAGGCAGGAGAATTGCTTGAACCCAAAAGGTGGAGGTTGCAGTGAGCCAAGATTGCGCCATTGCACTCCAGCCTGGGCAACAAGAGCGAAACTCCATCTATCTCAAAAAAAAAAAAAAAATCCAAGATTAGTAAAAAAGATTTCACCTAAGAAATCTATTTTGGGCTGGATGCAGTGGACCATACCTTTAATCCCAGTGCTTTGGGAGGCCAAAGCAGGAGATCACTTGAGGCTAGGAGCCAGAGGCTAGCTATAGTGAGCTATGATCATGCCAGTGCACTCTAGCCTAGGCAACAGAGTGAGATCTTGTCTCTTAAAAAAAAAAGAAAGAAGTGGCTGGGCACAGTGGCTCACGCCTGTAATCCCAGCACTTTGGGAGGCCGAGGTGGGCGGATCACGAGGTTAGGAGATCAAGACCACCCTGGCTAACACAGTGAAACCGATCTTTACTAAAAATACAAAAAATTAGCTGGGCATGGTGGCACGCGCCTGTAGTCCCAACTACTCGGGAGGCTGAGGCAGGAGAATCACTTGAACCCGGGAGGCAGAGGTTGCAGTGAGCCGAGATCGTACCGCTGCACTCCAGCCTGGGCGACAGGGTGAGACTCCATCTCAAAAAAAAAAAAAAAGAAGAAATACATTTTATTAAAAACTAGGCAGAAACATGGAAAGAATGCTTTCTAAAACTCCTGTTTTCCACATTTGATTTCTTAAATGGTATGTAAATTTGAGAAAAACATCAGTATGTTATTAAAGAGAACCTACACAGCTTTTGCAAGTCATGATTAACACAGTTGAGGTTCTTCCTTAGGTTCTGGCATCACTGTATGCTAAATAGAGCGTGCTAGAAGAGTGACTGTCTAATTTACCAAGATTTGGTAGTTTGATCTAAAGTTGGTGATTTTGGCATTTACTGTGTTTATGGACACTATTCTGATCAAGAAATTCTTTAGAGAACTGGACCAGCTTTTAGATTCTCAGTCATAAGAAAGTTATATTTTTAGTCCTTGAGAATAGAAAATTTCTGCTGTACACAAGAAGCATTGTTAAGTATTAGATACCTGATCATCTACTTTAAATAAGAATACTTGCCCACTATTTGTACTTTATTTAGAGACAGAGTTTTGCTCTGTCGCCCAGGTTGGAGTGCAGTAGCATGATCCTGGCTCTCTGCAGCCTCCGCCTCCTGGGTTCAAGCAATTTTCATGCCTCAGTCTCCCAAGTAATTGGGATTACAAGTGTGTACCACCATGCCTGGCTAGTTTTTTTATTTTTAGTAGAGATGGGGTTTCACCATGTTGGCCAGCCTGGTCTCAAACTCCTGGCCTCAGGTGATCCGCCCGCCTGGGCCTCCCAAAGTGCTGGGATTACAGGTGTGAGCCATAGCCCCTGGCCTTATTTGTACTTTAGATTCCCTTATGCTTTCCTCATTCTGCTCTTGATAATTCCTTTCCAGAAATGCTGTGTTGTTTCTAAGCCAATAATTTGTTTCATCTAGATGTATTTGTTATGGGTTATTTTTTATGTTAAGTCTATAAATATATATCAATTTTTAGGTTTTTTAATAGTGCTATTAAATCACCTTGATATATGCTTTTAAAATAAAATAGCTAGTAGTTTTAAAGGACATAAATTACTATTCTACCTTTTCATTACACAAAAGCAGTAATCTGAACATTTTTTGTAGTTATAGTAACCTGTGATTTGATTTTGGACATACTTGTGTCCCCTTGACTTGCTCCCCCCACCTCCCAAATTATGTGGAACCAAAAAACTAGATTATGTGGAACTCATATGCTTAAAATGCAATAATATCCCTTGATATGGGTGGGATTTACTAGGATAAGACGTTCCTTAAGCTGAGTAAATTAGTAATTATATACTGAATTTTAACATCTTAAACCTAGAAAAGTAAATCAGATGAGAATCCTAGAAAACTCTTAAATGACTTCTATAACTCATAGGAGATAATTTTGAAATTCTTTCAGTTTCGTTTTTTTTTTTTTTTTTACATTTTTGTATGTTAAATTCCTTCAATAAAGTTTCATCTTTGTTTCTTTTTCATTTACAGATCACATTAGTAAAAAGACTGAGGTAAGTCTTATTGTAGCCATCTTGTAGAAAACACTGATGATTTTAAGAATAATACTTAAATACTTAGCAGTAAGTCTTTTTTGAGACATAATCATTTAAAGGACAACCCATAGGTTTGTCTTGAGTGAACCCAGTCATGTTTCTGCCATTATATAAGGATGTAAAATGCATTGTTGTAGAATAAAAATAAGATTATTTGCATGAAGCATAATATAATTTGGCTTTATCATCCTAATTTGTATATATATGTGTATGAGCCAAAGGTTACTTTGTGTGTGCCAAGCTTAAAATCTCAGAGAAAAGTGGTTTAATCTCTCACTCTATATTTTAATCTTTATTAAAAACTTATCCTGAGAAGATGTCTCATATTATTTTGGAATTATGGAAGTTTGAAATAAACTGTGATTCTTTAGATATACTCATGGGTAAAAGTAACCTGATTATATACTTCTCTTACCATTCACTGTTAGTGTAGCCTACACTTCCTGGTGTTGGGGATTTGGGGTTTTTTGTTTCTGTTATTTAAATACTATAGTATAGCCTCTCCAAATCTTTTAGTTGGGAGATTGTGCTATTAAAAAAATGCTCTAACATTGAGGAAGATACTAATGAAATGTTAAAATTATTTTTATCTTTTAAGGTAATTTCAAAGTTTTATTCTTCTATTATATATGTGTTCTTATTAGGCATTCCGTTGTTTAATTTTTTATGGTCAGATGGTCCTCGATTTCACTTTAGAATGTGTGTGTGTGTGTGTGTGTGTGTGTGTATATGTGTATATATATACACATATACGTGTATATATATGTGTGTATATATATACACATATACACGTGTATATATATACACATATACACGTGTATATATATACACATATATGTGTATATGTGTATATATGTATGTATATGTATATGTGCGTGTGTGTGTGTGTGTATATATATATATATATATATATGGCTTCTGACCATTTTTTTGTTTGTTTCAAACATTTGCTTCACAGGCTAGGAAAACGAAATCTATCTCTTAAAAAAAATCACATCTAAATAATTTTGTGATTGTATTAATAATTTAGTTCCTAACTATGCATGCAAACACAGAATTGATTTGTTGTTGAAACAGATGGTCAATTTTTTTAAAAGTTATTTGCAAACCATTGTCATCATTTTTTAGATTAAAATTTAAATGACTACATATATAGACTGAATATTAATTCCATGTTTGAAAGTGGAAAACATACTTTTGAACTGATTCCAATTTATTTTTGTCCATTGATTTATTTGGGGGATAGTGTTATACAAATAAGAAAGCAGATACACATGGTGTACCTGCTCCTAAGACAACTCTATAAACTGTTTGATGCTTGCGTTTTCTTCTTTCCTGATTTGAAAGAAGACAAAAAATGCAAACTGACAAGATCCTACCTATTTAATATATTAAAGATGAGTTGTATTTAAACAAGCTTCTGTATGTAGAATAATATATCTTGTCTTTCCTTATTTTAGAGCTGTGTTCTGTCTTGTTAAATAATCTGATATATAATAAAATTCATTTTGAAGATTTCTGATTAAGTTCCACATTTGTAAATACAGTCTAATTATGATTTATTTCCCTTACAACTATATTAAGAATTTGGTTATAAGAATATGTAATTCACATTATCTTTATTTTTGTTTTTGTTTTTTAACTTTTAAAGTTCAGGGGTACATGTGTAGGTTTATTATATAGGTAAATTTTGGTCACGGTGGTTTGTTATACAGATTATTTTGTCACCCAGGTATTAAGCCTAGTACCCATTAGTTATTTTTCTTGATCCTCTCCCTCCTCCCACCCTTCACCCTCTGGTAAGCCCCAGTGTGTCTTGTTCCCCTCTATGTGTCCATGTGTTCTCATTATTTAGTTCCCACTTAAAGTGAGAACATGCAGTATTTGGTTTTTGTTTCTGCATTAGTTTGTTAAGGATAATGGCATCCAGCTCTATCCATGTCCCTGCAGAGGACACAGTCTCATTCTTTTTTATGGCTGCATAGTATTCCATGGTGCATATATACCACGTTTTCTTTATCCAGTCTACCATTGATGGGCATTTAGGTTGATTCTATGTCTGCTATTGTGAACAGTGCTTCAGTGAACATATGTGTGCACGTGTCTTTATAATAGAACCATTTATATTCCTCTGGGTATATATCCAGTAATGGGATTGCTGGATCAAATGGTATTTCTGTTTTTAGTTCTTTGAGGAATCGCCACACTGCTTTCCACAGTGGTTGAACTAATTTACATTCCCACCAACAGTGGATAAGCATTTCTTTCTCTCTGTGACCCTGCCAGTATCTGTTATTTTTTGACTTTTTAGTAATAGCCATTCTGACTGGTGTACCTTTTGATACTTGTTAAAAGTATGCCGAAATTATGTTCCATTTCCATTAGAGGCATTTCTTTCTGGGACTTAAATATTTAAATGTTACAACGGTTATACCATTGATCTAGAAATTTAGAAGATCTTTTTTTCCACAGAGAATCCAAAAAAGCCTAAAGAAAATTCCAATTTGAACTCTCAAACAAAATGTTATTTGCTCCTACAAATGAACTAGTTTTGTTAACGTCGTATGCTGAATGATTAACTTAATTCATTCCATCTTTAATATATTACTTAGGCCAAGGGATTTTTTTTTCATGGCTACTCTTAAGTTCCTAACATCTGTGGCAAATAATATTCTTCTTACCTACCTCCCCTTAAATCAGATATTTATTGGATAACATTCAGAAGGGAAAATATTTTACTTTATTGATGGGTGATGAGGTGTACTTGAACTGCATATATATTCTTGGTGCTAGCTAAACTTGTTCTCAGGTTAATTTCATTATTTCTTTTTTCTTCTGTCTAGAGTAGGTGCTTGTACATACCTCTTTATAAAATCTCAACAAATCATGCCTTTTCAGGAGTTTTATTTGATTCTTAGTCTTTTTTCTTCTGTTGGACTGAAGTTGTTTTGTTTTTTAATATGTTGCTTTTTAAATGCCAGAACTGTTAGGAAGGGTATCTCATAGATACTCATTTCTCTCTAGTCCCAATTTTATCTGGCCTTCCAAACTCCAGTCCTTCTAGTATGGTTTTAGTTTTAAAAATCTTAGTGATCATCATATGTCTTGAAGTCTAAATGATCCAGTCTTCAATATGCTTGAATGCACTATCATTGGAGGAGTACCCAAGAAACTGTAACAGTGGTTGTCAAAGGTGGCAGTGGGGGAGATATTGGACAGAGGGATAGGAGAAATAGCCTGCCTGCTTTTTACAGTATAAGCTTCTGAATTTTCTATCATGTCCGTGTACTACTTATGTAAAAATTATATTAAAAATAAAAAGAACTGTGTGAAGAAAGGAACCAGGGAACAAACCCAGTCCTATCTGTCTCTACAACCTACTTCCTTCTTATAGCACTGTGCTTTAGCACTAATGCTCCACATGTCTACCTTTAGCTGATTATGAGCGTGGACAAATAATTTATTCACTTTAGGCCCTAGTTATATTATGAAAAGTAATGTTGGATCTGTTGATTTCTAAAATTATGATAAATGATCAGAGTGCAATTGAAATAAAGAATAAAGAAAAATACGCTAAAAAAATGAACCCTATTGTTAATGCTACCAACACACAGGAGTGTAGCAGTAATCAAATTAGACTATTAATTTTATT
Source organism: Homo sapiens (assembly GCF_000001405.40). NCBI lineage: Eukaryota > Metazoa > Chordata > Mammalia > Primates > Hominidae > Homo > Homo sapiens. The sequence continues at coordinate 83,776,687 of NC_000009.12, read as the reverse complement.
TTTCTTTCTGAGATGGAGTCTCGCTATCTTGCCAAGCTGGAATGCAGTGGTGCAACCTCCACCTCCAGGGTTCAAGCGATTCTCGTGCCTCAGTCTCCCGAGTAGCTGGGGTCTACAGATGTGCACCACCATGCCCAGCTAATTTTTGTATTTTTAATAGAGGTGGGGTTTCACCATGTTGGCCAGGATGGTCTCTATCTCTTGACCTCGTGATCCACCTGCCTCGGCCTCCCAAAGTGGGATTAGAGGTGTGAGCCACTGCACCTGGCCTAAATTTTTTATTTTGTTTCTTTTCTTTTTTTTAGGTTATTAAATTTTAAAAGCAAATAAATTTAATCTAGCTTTAAATAAATCTCACCTAGAATCTGGTTTTACCTAAAGATTCAACCTATTTTCTATTCTTCTCAGTGTGTTGAGCTCATTCTTGTTACTAAGCCTTTCCTTGTTTGTATGTGTTACATTTGTTAGCTCTCTTTGGTTATAAGCAACAGAAGCCCAACTCAATCCAGCATAAACAAAACAGAGACAGTTATTTGGTTAATGTAACCACATCATGGAAGAATAGGGGGAGAGTTGACCTCATAGTTGACTGGATCCAGGCATTTAGACAGCTTTAGGACTCTCCATTTCACTCCCTACTCTCAGCTGCTATCTGTTCCTTCACTTCAGGCGAGATCACATGATTACTTGGGAATCTCGGGGTTATAGCTTTACAGAATTTCTTATAAACTGTTAATTAGCTTTTGAGGTTTGATAGATTCATTTCTTTTTCTTTTCTTTTCTCTCTCTTTTTTTTTTTTTTTTTTTTTTTTTGAGACAGAGTCTCTCTGTGTCCTCCTGGCTGGAGTGTAGTGGCACGATCTTGGCTCACTGCAACCTCTGCTTCCTGGGTTCAAGCGATTCTTGAGCCTCAGCTTCCCGAGTAGCTGGGATTACAGGCGCCCAGCACCACGCCCAGTTAATTTTTTATTTTTATTAGAGACGGGGTTTCACTGGGTTGCTCAGGCTGGTCTCAAACTCCTGGCCTCAAGTGATCTACCGGCCTTGGCCTCCCATAGTGTTGGGATTTCAGGAGTGAGCCACTGTGCCCGACTCAAGTTGTTTTCTTTCAAAAAAAATTTTTTTTTCCTTTTTAACATCTGCCAAGGCTCTGTCATCCATCAAGTTGTTTTCTTGAGGAGTTGAGGGAGGCAAGAATATTTCCTAGATGGTGTGATATATTTCCTATCATATCACATCGGGGTCATAGAATATGAGGTTATTTTTATGATGTTAAATTGATTACTGTTTCTAAAACCATTCTCCAGTAAAAGGAACCAGGACTCGTTGGAGAAATGGCTGTATCTAGGGCGATGACAGGGAATATACAAGACGAGCCCAGAGCCAGGCATGGTGGCTGGCGCCTGTAATGCCAGCTACTTCAGAGGCTGAGGTGAGAGGAATGCTTGAGGCCAGGAGATCCAGACCAGCCTAGGCAACATAGTGTGATCCCATCTCTAAAAATTTTCATAAACAAAATTAGCAGGCTCAGTGGTGCACACCTGTAGTCCCAGCTACTCTGGATGCTGAGGCAGGAAGATCATTTGAGCTCAGGAATTCCAGGATGAGCTATGATAGCACCACCGCACTCTAGCATGGGCGACAGAGTGAGACTTCATCTCTTAAAAAAAAAAAAAGAAGGGGCCGGGCGCGGTGGGTCACCCCTGTAATCCCAGCACTTTGGGAAGCTGAGGTGGGCGGATCACAAGGTCAAGAGATCGAGACCGTCCTGGCCAACATGATGAAATCCCGTCTCTACTAAAAATACAAAACTTATCTGGGTGTGGTGGCATGCACCTGTAGTCCCAGCTACTCAGGAGCTGAGGCAGGAGAATCGCCTGAACCCGGGAGGTGGAGGTTGCAGTGAGTCGAGATCGCACTGCTGCACTCCAACCTGGCAACAGAGCCAGCCTCTGTCTCAAAAAAAAAAAAAAAAAAAAAAAAAAGGGGGTTTCTGTTTATTGATAGTTTCTTTTGCTGTGCCGAAGCTTTTCAGTTTAACTAGGTCCCGTTTGTCAGTTTTTGTTTTTGCTACAATTGGCTTTTTTTTTTTTTGAGACAGGGTCTTGCTCTGTCACCCAGGCTGGAGTGCAATGGCACGGTCTCAGCTTACTGCAACCTCTGCCTCCCAGGCTCAAGCAATCCTCCCACCACAGCAGCTGGGACTACAGGCACATGCCACCACTCCCAGCTAGTTTTTTGTATTTTTGGTAGAGACAGGGTTTCGCCATGTTGTCCAGGCTGGTCTTGAACTCCGGGGCTCAAGTGATCCACCTACCTTGACCTCCCAAAGTGCTGGGACTACAGGCGTGAGCCACCGTGCCTGACCTGCAATTGCTTTTGAGGAGTTGGTCATAAACTCTTTCCCAAGGCCAGTGTCCCCATTGGTATTTCCTAGGTTTTATTCTAGGATTCTTGTAGTTTTAGGTCTTACATTTAAGTCTTAAATCCATCTTGAATTAATGTAAAGTAGGTATAGACCAGGCACAGTGGCTCACGCCTGTAATCCCAGCACTTTGGGAGGCCGAGGCGGGTGGATCACTTGAGGCCAGGAGGTCAGAGACCAGCCTGGCCAATGTGGTGAAACCCCGTCTCTACTAAAGATAGAAAAATTAGCCGGGTGTGATGGCACGTGCCTAGAGCAAAACTGTCTACAAAATAATAATAGTAATAATAAAGTAGGAATAAGGTGATGTTAACAAATATGATTTTTGTTAGGTATGATGATGATAATATGGTTAAATTGGACAATTTTTTATAGCTGCATGTGAAAGAATTTCGAGATGAACTATCATAATAACTGCATTTTATTATAAAATACCTAGGCCCAAAAAGGAGGGCTAAATGTAGAAAATCCTTAAATCTAAATGTAGAGTATATGGATGAAAATTTTCATAATAAAAAGTTAAGAAACCAAACAAAATGAAATTATATTATTTAGTGATGCATCTGTAAAACAACAAAAACATGGAAATGATCAACACTAAGTTGAGGTAATGGTTACCTTGTCGAGGCACGAAGATGAGACTAAGGGAAGAGTATATAGATGGGCCATAAGGTCTGTAGGTAATATTCTAGTTTTTAAGTAGAATGGTGTGGGATCAAGTGTGTTTTTTTTTTAAACAGCTGTATTGAGTTATAATTTAAATACTATAAAATTCACCCATTGCAAGTATATAATTCACTCATGGTTGTGCAGCCATAAACACAGTCTAGTTTTGGAACATTTCCATAATCTCAGAAAATTCCCTCATAGCCATTTGTAGTCAATCCCTACTCCCACCTTCAGCCCCTGGCAACCACTGATCTACTTTCTGTCTCTAGAGATTTGCAGTTTCTTGTAACCTATAATGGACTCATAGAATGTATAGTCTTTGTGTTTGGCTTCTTTCACTTAGCATAATGTTTTTGAGGTATATCCGTGTTGTAGCATGTGGCAGTAGTTAATTCAGCCGTATCACTGAATAGTATTTCATTGTATAAATGTTGTTTATTCACCAGGTTATAGGCTTGCTATGCACATTTGACGTATGTCTTTGTGTGGATATGTTTTAATTTCTCGTAGGTGGTTACTTAGGAGTGAAATTGCTGGGTTGTGTGGTGAATTTATGTCTAACTTTTAAAGAGTCTGTCAAATTGTTTTTCAAAATGACTACCATTTTTCACTCCCACCAGCAATATATGAGAGTTCTAGCTCCTACGCATCCTTGCCAACGCTTGATATTATCTCTTGTTTTGATTATAGCCATTCTAGTGGGTATGTAATGTATTTGATTGTAGTTTTAATTTGCATGTTCCTAATAACTGGTGATTTCAGACATCTTTTCATATGCTTATCAGCCATTCTTATATCTTCTGGAAATATCTATTCAAATTTTTTGCTCATTTTTGTGTATTTTCTTATTGATTTGTATGATTTCTTTATATGTCTGAAAACAAGTCCTCTATCAGATACATGATTTGCAAATACTTTCTTCCAGGCTATGCCTTGCCTTTTCTTTTTAATTTTTTATTGATACAAAATAGATGTACATATTTTGGGGATGTCTTTTTGGTTTTTTAATTGTGTCTTTTGAAGCACAAAAGTTTTAAATTGTTATCAAGTCTAGTTTGTGACTTTATGGATTGTACTTTTGGTGTTCATTAAATAAATCTTTGCCTAACACAAGTCATGATGATTTATTCTAGAGGCTTTATAGTTTTAGTTCTTCCTTTAAGAGTCTGTGATCCATATTTTGAGTTAATTTTTGTGAATTGTGGCATATGCATAGACACTTCTCCCAGCACAACACTCTTATATCCTTAATAAAATACCTTGACACCTTTTTAAAAAGTAAATTTGATCATAAATATGAAGGCTCATATCTAGATTCTCAATTCTGTTCCATTGATCTGTATGTCTATACTTACATAAGCACCATACTGTCTTATTCATTGTGTGCTTGGTACCAAATAGGTGTGCAGAATTTGAATTAAACTGAAATTGAATTGGCTAGACTTATTATGTTAAATATTTTATGTTCTTACATTTGCCATATTTTAATCTTTTTTTCTGGTGTGTGTGGGATGTAGTAGTTGATTTATTTTTGCTTTTCTCCCCCCTATAGTTTGTTATCAGTATCTTTTGAAAAAAATCCCATCTCTAGATCAAAAAGAAACTTTGTGGCCTCACTCAAAAGTACTTAAGGGACAGAATGCCCTTTGTGATAGGCATGATGTGATGGTAATGGGAGCAACTATCAACAAGCAGGGACATTGGCTAGAATTATAATTATAATTATAATCTCTAGTGATATGAAATCCAGAGGCTGATTAGTTGCTAGCAGTATGTTATTCTTTCCACAGAAGCTCAGCAGTGGTTTTTAGCATTTCTGTATTTATTGCTGTAAAATAAAATCTTACAAGAATATACTGGAACTATTTTATGAAGCAGTAATTTTAGAGTTATGCCTGTATCCCTTAGCAATCGCACATGCATTCTTAAGGCCATAATTACTTGGGGGGGAAATAATACTTGCTCATCAACTTCTCATGATGTTTATGAAATTCAAATAAGGTAATGTTTGTTTAAGTGCTTTGCAAGATATAAAGTGTTGCACAACCATTTTTAATGTCATTCATATAGTAAGCACTGGTATACAAATAAATTTTTTTCAAACACTTTACTTTCTAAGATAATGTGAAGTGAAAAGTATGAATAATTATTGAACCTTGGGGTCGTTTGCCCACAGATACAATTGTGAATAGCTGTAGTTCAAGAATGTGGGGACAGGCATGGTGGCTCACACCTATAATCCTAGCACTTTGGGAGGCTGAGGCGGGTGGATCACCTGAGGTCAGGAGTTTGAGACCCACTGGCCAACATGGTGAAACCCCATCTCTGCTAAACAAACAAACAAACAAACAAACAACAAAAAAATTAGCCAGGAGTGGTGGCATGTGCCTGTAATCCCAGCTATTTGGGAGGCTGAGGCACAAGAATCGCTTGAACCTAAAGGGGTGAGGGTTGTAGTGAGCCGAGATTGGGCCACTGCACTCCAGCCTGGGTGAGAGTGAGACTGTCTCAAAAAAAAGAGAATGTGGGACATAGGTGAAACCAATGAGTGAGAGGAATGTTTTCTTCAGTCTCTGTCTTCATAACAGGATGTTGAAGAGGAAATGCTCCTTTTCTTGGAGAATGTAAAATTTCTAATATATAATTGGATAGACAGTGATAAAAATCTTATCTTTTAAAAATCTTCTATTGGCATGTGGAATTTATATAAAAATTATTTTAAAACGTAATGTAACGCCGGACGCAGTGTCTCATACCTGTAATCCCAGCACTTTGGGAGGCTGAGGCGGACAGATCACCTGAGGTCAGGAGTTCGAGACGAGCCTGGCCAACATGGTGAAACCCTGTCTCTACTAAAATACTAAATTACCTGGGCGTGGTGGCACATGCCTTTAATCCCAGCTACTCAGGAGGCTGAGGTGGGAGAATTGCTTGAACCTGGCCTGGGAGGAAGAGGTTGCAGTGAGCCGAGATCTTGCCATTGCACTCCGCCTGGGCAACAAGAGTGAAACTCCGTCTCAAAAAAAAAAAAGCAGTGTAAACGATTGAGCAACATAAAACTATAATAATCAAGACAATCTGGTACTGGCATAAGAATAGACATTTACAGATTGATAGAATAGGATTAAGAGTTCAGAAACAAACTATTGATTTTGGACAAGAGTCCCAACGCAGTTAAAAGGGCAAAAGAATAATCTTCTCAACACATGATGCTGGATATTGTCATGCAGAAGAGTGAATTTCGACCCTTTCTTCACACCGTGTACAAAAATTAACTCAAAATGGATCACAGAACTAAACACATGAGCTAAATCTGTAAAACTTTTAGAAGAAAATATAGGAGTAAATTTTTGAGTTAAGCAATGGTTTCTTGGATAAAATTGGACTTCATCAAATTTAAAAACTTCTGTGATACAAAGAATACCATCAAGAATATGCCAAGACAAGCCATGAAATGGTAGTAAATGTTTGTAAATCATATTCAATAAGATATAGACATTTAGAATATATAAAGAACTGTTACAACTCAAAAAAACAAGTAACCCAGTTAAAAAATGGGCAAAGGATCTGAGAAGACATTTCTCCAAAAAGATATACAAATCTTCAATAAGCACACAAAAGGGATGTTCAGCACCATTCGCTGTCAGGGAAATGCGACTGAAAACCGCAATGAGATAGCACTTCACACCCGGTGGCTATCATGAAAAAGGCAGATAACAACAAGTGTTGATGAGAATGTGGAGAAATTGCAACCCACTTGACTGCTGATGGGATTGTAAAATGATGGGCTGCTTTGGAAAATTATCTAGCGATACCTCAAAAGGTTAAACATAGAGTCACCAGCAGTTCTACTCTTAGGTATATACCCAAGAGAATTGAAAATACGTCCACACAAAATCTTGTGCATGAATATTATAGCAGCACAATTCGTAATAGCCAAAAAGTAGCAACAACCCAAATGTCTATCAACCAACAAATGGAGAAATAAAATGTAGAATGGGATATTTGGCAATAAAAAGGAATGAAGTGCTGATACAAGCCATATATGGATGAATCTTGAAAATATTTTGCTAAGTCAGAGAAGCCAGTCAAAAGTTCACATATTGGATTATTCTGTATATACAAAATGTCCATAATAGGCAAATCTATAGAGACAGTAAATAGATTAGTGTTGCCTGGGGCGGGTGGCAGGTATTAGGAGGAAATGGGGAGTGACGGCTAATGGGTACAGTTTCTTTTTGGGGTGATGGAATTGTTATATAGTTGATTGGGGTGATGGTTGTACAACTCTGTGAATATATTAAAAAACCAGTGTCTTGTACACATTAAATTGGAGAGTTGTTCAGTATATAAATAACAGAAATTTAAAAAGCAATATCTAAGTCCAAAAAATATGAAGTATGAAAGGAAATTTCCAAATGTGTCTCTACTGTTTTATCTTCTGGAGATGGAGAAGGATCAAGTCGTTGATTGTCTCTTAGCTGTCATTTTTCTTTCTTTTTTTATCCTTCTAGTGGTTGACTAGGTGTACTAAATGCATATCCCTTCTTGTGGTTGACTAGGTGTATTAAATGCATATCAGTGCATGTTGAATGATAGTAAATCGTAATTCATTTTTGACAGGAATTGAGTTCTTCTCAGACTTTATCACATGATGGAGGATTCTTCAATAGACTGGAAGATGATGTTCATAAAATTCTTATTAGAGAAAAACGAAGAGAACAGCTTACAGAATATAATGGAACAGATAATTGTACAGCTCATGAACACAACCAGGCATGTAAAGTAGAAAATTCTCTTAAAATCACAGTGAAATTGAAATGTAATTTTTATTTTTTAAACAAGTAAGCAGTAGAATCAAATTATGATTGTATAAAGTAGTAGTTTAGGATATGATCTTAGTAATTATCACGCAAAGGTATTTATATTAAAAAGTATGAAGTATACTCATACTGTATGACTAGTTCATTCATTGATGACTATTTGCTGAGCATGTGCCATAAGCTATGTACTGTTAGGCACTCGTATGAGGGAGTGGAAACACGAAGATGGATAAGACCTTTCTTCCCTTAGACACTCAGAGTTGTGGGGATATGGAGAGGTAGACCTGTAAAAGGATCATCATTCAGCACAAATGAAAACTTTAAGGGGGATATGAACAATAAAAAAGAGGTTTTGAATAGCAAAGGTAATTGATCACTGCTTGGGTGAATTGTGGTGGGTATATAAAAAGTGACATTTGGGATGGAGTATGAATAGTGAGGAACTGTATAAGCTGAGAAATAGAGAAAGACTTTGGGTCTAAGGGAACTGAGAGAACAGACGTCCTGAAATATAAAAGGCCCTAGACCAAATGTTTAGGAAACTGAAAAATTCTGCAACTAAGAAGTTTACAGTTAAGCAAGTGTGGGATGACATGACTGGAGACATAGATTAGATTTATGTCATAAATGTCTTTTCTGTGAAACTAAGAAGTTAGAATTTTATCCTTTACAACAGGGCAAGCTATAGCCCATGAATCAAATCTGGTCAGTGGTCTGTTATTATAAGGACTGTAAGCTAAGAATGGCATTCATATTTTCAAAATACTACTTAAAAAGAGAAAAGAGCCTGGCACGGTAGCTCACGTCTGTAATCCCAGGAACTTGGGAGGCTGAAGCGGGCAGATCACTTGAGGCCAGGAGTTCAAGACCAACCTGGCCAACATGGCAAAACCTCATCTCTACTAAAAATACAAAAATTAGCCAAGCATGGTGGCACATGCCTATAATCTCAGCTACGTGGTAGGCTGAGACACGAGAATTGCTTGAACCCAGGAGGTGGGGTTGCAGTGAGCCAAGATGGTGCCACTGCACTCCAGTCTGGGTGACAGAGCAAGACTGTGTTTCAAAATTAAATAAATAATTTTAAAAATTAGAAAAGAGAGAATATGGCTGGGTGCTGTGGCTTATGCCTGTAATCCCAGCACTTTTGGGAGACTGAGGCTGGCGAATCACTTGAGGTCAGGAGTTCGAGACCAGCCTGGCCAACATGGTGAAACCCTGTCTCCACTAAAAATAAAAACAAAAATAACTGAGCGTTGTGGAGGGCGCCTGTAGTCCCAGCTACTCGGAAGGCTGAGGAGGAGAATCACTTGAACCCAGGAGTCAGAGATTGCAGTGAGCCAAGATCACACCACTGCACTCTAGCCTGGATGACAGAGCAAGACTCCGTCTCAAAAAAAAAAAAAATATGTGACAGAGACTGTATAAAACCCATAAAGTCTAAGATGTTTGTTGTTGGACCCTTTGCAGCAAAAGTTTGCCAGCCTCTGCTACAAACCAGTGTTACCCAAGATATATTATCTGAGGGAGAAAAAGATGCTTTCTCTCCTCATACCCCAGTCCTGGATATATGGGACCAGGAAGAGGTGAGACCTACTCCAAGATCCTCACTGCCACATCTTAAATTCCATCATACAGAGAAAGTGTGTTACCTCTCAGACCTCTATGTCTGCATTTATTTTTATCACCAAAACCACTAGTCTCTTACTTCGTCTTAACTATAAACCTGTTCTTGACCCTATATTGACCTCCAATCCATCAATTCTCCTAGCTTGAAACTTGTAGTAATTTCACTAATGTCCCCATGAACACTTTACCCTTACTTCCTTAATTTTCTGTGATTCCTTTCTTGCCAGTATGTAGCACTGGCTCGCACAATATTGTCTGCCTTGCCTGTTTTAATTCTCCAGCCACCAGGTGTTTAAAAGGTATTTCTAAAAACACTGCTAATGTTCTCATCTGAAAATCAGTACTATGTAACTTTTGCCATAGTCTCATTTCTACTTAACAGTCCTTTGATTGATCTCTTTCTAAATTTGACAGATTCCTACAATAGCCATTCCAAATTCGAATAATCTGGTTCCCATCTGTTTCCATCTTTTCTTCTCTTCAATGGATGTTATCGCTTTGTTTACTACAAAGACTGGTAAATTCAGTCTTACAGTAAATTAACACCATCTATTAACATTTGTGTTATATGGTATACAGGAGAAGCTTTAAGAACTTTTTACTCTAATGCAGCAATAAGGTTTGTCTATAAATAACACTGTTTCTTATGGAAAATCTATTTTCGACTCAGTAGTGGGGAATCCTTGCCTACCCTGACGTACTCGTGAGGTTCTTTCTGGCATTGAATTAAATTTAATTGTTTTCCTGTCTTTCCTCAACTTCCAAATTTTATGTACAATCCAAGCGTATTAGTCCATTCTCATGCTGCTATGAAGAAATACCCAAGACTGGGTAATTTATCAAGGAAAGAGGTGTAATTGACTCACAGTTCCACTTGGCTGGGGAGGCCTCAGGAAACTTAACAATCATGGTAGAAAGCACCTCTTCACAGGGTGGCAGGAGAGAGAATGAGTGCCAGGTGAAGGGGGAAGCCCCTTATAGACCATTAGATCTCATGAGTATTCACTCACTATCACAAGACCAGTATGGGGGAAGCCACCCCCATAATTCAATTATCTCCCACCTGATCCCACCCTGGACTCATGGGAATTATTATAATTCAAGATGACATTCAGGTGGGGACACAGCCCAACTATATCATTCTGCCCCGGCCCCTCCCAAGTCTCATGTCCTCACATTTCAAAACACAATCATGCCTTCCCAACAGTCTTCCAAAGTCTTAACTCATTCCACGATTAACCCAGAAGTCCAAGTCTAAAGTTTCATCTGAGATAAGGCAAGTCCCTTCTGCCTCTGAGCCTATAAAGTCAAAAGCAAGTTAGTTACTTCCTAGATACAATGGGAGTACAGGCATTGGGTAAATACGCCCATTTCAAATGGGAGAAATTGGCCAAAACAGAGGGGCTACAGGCCCCATGCAAGTCTGAAATCCAAAAGGGCAGTCATTAAACCTTAAAGTTCCGAAATGATCTCCTTTGACTCCACATCTCGCATGCAGGTCTTGCTGATTAAAGAGATGTGCTCCCATGGTGTTGGGCAACTCTGCCTCTGTGGCTTTGCAGGGTACAGCCTCCACTTACTGGCTGCTTTCACGGCTGGCATTGAGTGTCTGCAGCTTTTCCGGTGCAAACCGTGGGTGGATCTACCATTCTGGGGGCTGGAGGACAGTGGTTCCTTCTCATAGCTCTGCTAGGCAGTGCCCCAGTAGGGACTCTGTGTGGGGGCTCTTGACCCCACATTTCCCTTCCACACTGCCCTAGCAGAGGTTCTCCATGAGGGCTCTGCCCCTGTAGCACACCTCTCTACCTGGACATCCAGGAGTTTCCATACGTCCTCTGAAATCTAGGCAGAGGTTCCCAAATCTCAGTCCTTCTCTTCTGTGCACCCACAGGACCAACATCATGTAGAAGCTGCCAAGGCTTGGGGCTTGCACCCTCTGAAGCAAAAGTCTGAGCTGTACCTTGGCCCCATTTTTAGCCATGGCTGGAGCAGCTGGGACACAGGGCACCAAGTCCCTAGGCTGCACACAGCAGAGGGGCCCTGGACCCAGCCCAGAAAACCAATTTTCCCTCCTAGGCTTCCAGACCTATGATGGGAGGGGCTTCTGTGAAGGTCTCTGACATGCCTTGGAGACATTTTCCCCATTGTCTTGGTGATTAGCATTTGGCTGCTTCTCACTTGTGTGGTAGACTTGAATTTCTACCCAGAAAATGGGTTTTTCTTTTCTACTGCATTGTCAGGCTGCAAATTTTCTGAACTTTTATGCTCTGTCACCTCTTGAATGCCTTGCTGCTTAGAAATTTCTTTCACCAGATACGCTAAGTCACCTCTCTGAAGCTCAAAATTCCACAGATCTCTAGGGCAGGGGCAAAAAGCTACCAGTTTCTTTGCTAAAGCATAGCAAGAATGACCTTTCCAGTTCCCAACAAGTTCTTCATCTCCATCTGAGACCACCTCAGCCTGGACTTCATTGTCATTCAACAAGTCTCTAGGAAGTTCCAGATTTTCCCACATTTTCCTGTCTTCTGAATCCTCCAAAGTGTTCCAGCCTCTGCTTGTTACCCAGTTCCAAAGTCATATCCACATTTTCAGGTATCTTTATAGCAGCCCCTGACTCTCTGTGGTACCAATTTACTGTATTAGTCCATTCACACACTGCTATGAAGAAATACCCGAGATTGGGTAATTTATAAAGAAAAGAGGTTTGACTCACAGTTGTGCATGGCTAGCGAGGCCTCAGGAGGCTTACAATCATGGTGGAAGGCACCTTTTCACAGGGTGGCAGAAGACAGAACGAGTGCTGAGCAAAGAGTGGAAGCCCCTTAGGAAACCATCAGATCTTGTGAGAACTCACTCACTAACCGGAGAGCAGTATGGGGGAAACTGCCCTCTCCACCTAGTTTCACCTTGACACTTGGGGATTATTACAATTCAAGATGAGATTTGGGTGGGGACAGAGCCAAACCGTATCACCAAGCAACCATGTTAATTAACATTTATGGTTAGCATATTCACTTCTTCCTTTTTCATTGATTATGATTTTCCTTTTTCATTATGATTTTCCCCTTTGTAGTATCTTTTTTAAAGCCACCTGAGATCATTTTTGGATAGAAGGAATGATATTTGTATATTTCAGGACATACTTAGGTTCCTCAAGGCCTTTATAGAACAAAGTTGGGTATATAACTTTATATTAACAAGTTTAAATAATTAAGTAGCAGTATGATTTAAACCGAAGTGATAGTTTGACATAGTGGAAAGAGAACAGACTTTGAAATCAAACAGTTTTATCGATTATTACATTGGGATGAAATTACCTGCCTTTCTTACACTATTAGGAAAGTTATAGATTATTATTTAAAATGTTTAGCAGAACATGTTTTCCACAGTATGCACTCAATAGATAATTATTTTTGTACAAGCAAAAAATGGTGAGCCCCAGAAAAGATACACTGTTAAAATGCTATAGTAATTCACAGGAAAGGGGATCAGAGATGGCTTTGTGAGGAGAAAATAGCATTTGAATTAGAAACTTAGAGTAGAATTTGGGTTTTCTTTGCTCTTTTTAAAGAAATTTTAATTTTTGTGGCTACATAGTAGGTGTATATATTTATGGGTTCCAAGAGATGTTTTGATACAGGCATGCAATGCTTACATAATCACATCTTGTAAGCATTTATCCTTTGTGTTACAAACAATCCAATGATACTATTTTAGTTATTTTTAAATGTACAATTAAATTATTGACTAATAGTCACCCTGTTGTGCTATCAAATACTAGGTCTTATTCATTCTTTCTAACTTTTTTGTACCAATTAACTATCCTAACCACCTGCCCACTCCCTCACTGCGTTTCCCAGCCTCTAGTAACCATCCTTCTACTTTGTAACTCCATTAGTTCAGTTGTTTTGAATTTTAGATCTCACAAATAAGTGAGAACATGTGATGTTTGCCTTTCTGTGCCTGGCTTATTTCACTTAGCATATGACCTCCAGTTCCACCCATGTTGTTGCAAATAACAAGATCTTTTTTTATGGATGAAGAGTACTCCATCGTGTATAAATACCACATTTTCTTTATTTATTCATCTGTTGATGTACACTTAGGTTGCTTCCAAATCTTGGCTGTTAGAAACAGTGCTGTGATAAACATGGGAGTGCAGATAGCTCTTCAGTATACTGATTTCCTTTCTTTCGGGTATATACCCAGCAGGATTGTTGGATCATGTGGTAGCTCCAGTTTTATTTGATTTTTGTATATGGCAAGAGATAGGTGTCTAGTTTCATTCTTCTGCAGATGGATATTCAGTTTTCCCAGTGCCATTTATCGAAGAGACTGTCTTTTCCCCAGTGTATGTTCTTGACACCTTTGCCAAAAGTGAGTTCACCTCAGGTGTGTGGATTTGTTTCTGGGTTCTGGGTTCTGTTCCATTGGTCTGTGTGTGTGTGTTTATGCCAGTACCTTGTTATTTGGTTACTATAGCTCTGTAGTATAATTTGAAGTCAGGTAACATGATTCCTTCAGTTTTCTTCGTTTTGCTTAAGATATCTTTGGCTAGTGTGTCTTTTGTGGTTTCATATATATTTTAGGATTGTTTTTCTATTTCTGTGAAGAATGTCATTGGTATTTTAATAGGGATTGCATTGAATCTGTAGATTGCTTTGGGTGGTATCGACATTTTAACAATATTCATTCTTCTAACCCATGAACATGGAATATCTTTCCATTTTGTCATCTCTTCTTCAGTTTTGTTCATCAGTGTTTTATAGTTTTCATTATGGAGATCTTGTTTGGTTAATTCCTAGGTATTTATTTTTATTTATGGCTATTGTAAATGGGAGTAAATGGGATTACTTTTGTTGATTTTTTTTTCAGGTTGTTCTCTGTTGGCCTATAGAAATGCTACTGATTTTTCAAGGTTGATTTTGTATCCTGCAACTTTACTGAATTTATCAGGTTCTAATAGTTTTTTTGTGGAGCCTTTAGGTTTTTCCAAATATAAAGTGATACCATCTGCAGACAAGGATAATTTGACTTCTTCCTTTCCAATTTAGATGCCCTTTATTTCTTTCTCTTGTCTGATTACTCTAGCTAGGACTTCCAGTACTACGTTGAATAACAGGGTGAAAGTGGGCATCCTTGTCTTGTTCCAGATCTTAGAGGAAAGGCTTTCAGTTTTTCCCCATCCAGTATATTACTTGCTGTGGGTTTCTTGTGTATGGCTTTTATTATGTTGAGGTATATTCCTTCTATACCCAGTTTTTTGAAGGTTTTTATCATGAAGCGATGTTGAATTTTATCAAATGCTTTTTCAGCATCAATTGAAATGATCATGTGGTTTTTGTCCTTCATTCTGTTGATATGATGTATCACATTGATTGATTTGCATATGTTGAACCAGCCTTGCATTCCTGGGATAAATCCCACTTGGTCATAATGAATGATCTTTTTAATGTGTTGTTGAATTCAGTATTTTTTGTGGATTTTTTGCATCAATATTCATCAGAGATATTGGCCCCTAGTTTTCTTTTTTCGATGTTTCTTTGTCCGGTTTTGGTATCAGGGTAATACTGGCCTCATAGAAGGAGTTTGGAAATATTCCCTCCTCCTCTTTTGTCAGAATAGTTTGAGTAGGATTGGTATTAATTCCTTAAGTGTTTGGTAGAATTCAGCAGTGAAGCCATTGGATCCTGGGCTTTTCTTTACTGGAAGACTTTTTATTATGGCTTCAATCTTATTATTGGTCTGTTCGATTTTGGATTTCTTCATGGTTCAATCTTGGTAGGTTGTATGTGTCTAGGAATTTGTCCATTTTCTCTAGATTTTCCAATTTATTGGCATATAGTTGCTCATAGTAGCCACTAATGATCCTTTGAATTTCAGTAGTATTAGTCATAATGTCTCTTTTTTTATCTGTGTTTTATTTGGATCTTCTCTTTTTCTTGATGTGGTTAAAGGTTTGTCAATTTTAATTTTTCTTTTTTTGATGTTTTTTGTTTTAATTTTTTAATTTTTAGGTTTTTTTTCAAGTTTAATTTTTCAAAAAATCAACTTTTGGATTCTTCATTTCAATTTCATTTATTTCTTTTGTATTGCTTTCTTCATTTTAGTTTCATTTATTTCTGCTGTGATGTTTATTATTTCTTTCTTCTCATTTTGTGTTTGGTTTGCTCTTGCTTTTCTAGTTCTTTAACATTAATTGTTAGGTTGTTTATTTGAAATTTTTCTTCTTTTTGGATGTAGGCACTTATAGCTATAACTTTCCCTCTTAGTACTGCATTTATTGTATTCCATAGCTTTTGGTGTGTTATTTCCATTATCATTTGTTTCAAGAAATTTTTCAGTTTCCTTCTTAATTTCTTCATTGACCCACTGATCATTCAGGAGGATATTGTTTAATTTCCATGTATTTGTATAGTTTCTAAAATTCCTTTTGTCCTTGATTTGTAGCTTTATTTCATTGTGGTCAGAAAAGATGCTTGATATTACTTCAATTTTGTTAATGTTTTAGGACTTGTTTTGTGACCTAACACAGGGTCTATCCTTGAGAGTGATCTGTGTGCTGAAGAAAAGAATGTGTATTCTGCAGCTGTCAGATGAAAAGTTCTGTCAATATCTATTAGGTCCATTTGGTTTATAGTGCAGATTAAGTCCAGTGTTTCTTTGTTGATTTTCTTACTAGAAGATCTGTCCAATGCTGAAAGTGGAGTGTTGAAGTCACCAGCTATTATTGTATTGGGGCCCATCTCTCTCTTTAGCTCTAATAATATTTGCTTTATATATCTGGGTGCTCCAGTGTTGGGTGCATATGTATTTAAAATTGTTATATCTTCTTGCTGAACTGACTCCTTTATCATTTTATAGTGACCTTCTTTGTTTCTTATAGTTCTTGTCTTGAAATCTATTTTGTCTGATATTAATATAGCTACTCCTGCTCTTTTTTGGTTTCCCTTGGCATGGAATATCTCTTTTACGTCTTCATGGGTGAAATGTGTTTCTTGTAGGCAACAGATCATTGGGTCTTATTTTTTAATCCATTCAGCTGTTCTATAAAGACAATAGAATTTGAACATGCAGAGATGAAGAAGAAGAAACTGGGATGCCTTGAGTAAAAGTATGGAGGTAATGAAGTATAAACCAGTTTAATTAAAATAGAAGGTTTATAGAGGAATGTAATATAAATTTGAAAAGTTAAGTTGGAAAAGACTGTGGCAAATTTAAAGGCTGGTTTATAATTTAGTCAGCAGACGTTAAAGACTTTTTGAAGATTTTTGAGCAGAAAGCAAAGTTTATTACAGTAATATTAATTTCACTGCAGTGCCTAGGAAAAAACCGAAGGAAGGTAAAGACTACTAATTATTAGGAAGGATATAGAACAGCATTAACATACCACTAGTGGGAATGTAAATTGGTATAACCATTTTGAAAAACAATTTGGCATTCACTTTTAAAGTTGAAGATAATGGGCATGACCTTATGTTCTAGAAATTCTACCCCTAGATTAAACCCTGAAGACATGTCCAAAAAAAATGTTCAAAACTCAGTTGTTTGTAATAGCAAAAGAATAAGAGAAGTGAATAAGTTGTAGTTATACATAGCAACATGGATGCATATCAAGAGCATAGCATTTAATGAAAAACATAAGTCACCAAATAATAATTTGATGACATTCATATAAATTTTTTTTAATAACCCTGTCTCTGCAAAAAAAAAATTATCCAGGTGAGTTGGCATGCATCTGTAGTCTCAGCTACTCAGAAGGCTGAGGTGGGAGGATTGATTGAACCTGAGAAGTCAAGGCTGCATAGAGCTGTGATCATGCCACTCCCTTCCAGCCTGGGCATTGAAGCAAGACCCTGTCTCAAAAAAATAAATAAAAATTAAAAATAGAAATTTAATACATTATTTAGGGCTTCATATACATGTAGTAAAATACTTTAACAAAGGAAAAGAACGACAAAATCTGTAATCATGGATATCCTCAGAAGAGGAGGGAAAAGGGGTATGATTGGGGAGGGGCTGCCAAGGTATTGGTAATGTTCAAATTCTTAATCTGCTTTTTGGTTTATTTTTCTTTTTACCTAATGTGTCGTACATAAAATTCTTTTGCGCATGTGAAGTTTTTCATAAATGAAAAAATTAGAAGTTTTTCTTAGCTTTCATTAAGTGTAAAGGAGAGAAAAGAGGATTCATGCAGTTTAAAAAATTCTCCACTTCTCTTTCTGTATATACTTCTTTCCTCTATCCAATGTGCTCCTTTCTCAGAGAAAGAAAGCTCTTCTGCTTTCCAAGGTTAAAATCCTTTTTAACTGTGCATACATTAATATATTAGGCATTTTTAAAGGTGAAAAGTAAATCAACCCTAAGTCTGTCTGTCATTCAGTTTTTTTTTTTTTTGGAGATGGAGTCTCTGTCACCTGGCTGGAGTTCTGTAGTGCTATCTTGGCTCACTACAACCTTCACCTCCTGGGTTCAAGCAATGCTCCTGCCTCAGCCTCCCAAGTAGCTGGGATTACTGGCATGCACCACCACGCCCAGCTAATTTATTATGTATTATTTTTTTATTTATTTAGTAGAGACAGGATTTTGCCATGTTGGCCAGGCTGGTCTCGAACTCCTGACCTCAAGTGATCTGCCTGCCTCAGCCTCCCAAATTGCTGAGATCATAGGCATGAGCCACCGTATCCAGCCTAGTTTCATTTTTGAATAGTGTTTTTCTAGGAAAATGCCTAGATGCATAGGTATTTTAAAATAATTACAACAATAATGAATCTAGTTTTCTAACCCCTTTTGTAATCCAGGTGTTATATCCTGCCAAATCAACATGCTGTAAGTTGCTTGGTATTTGCCCTATTATTGAACATTGTTTAGAATTGATGGCTTGATATTCACTGATCATACATTTAATTTTTTGGTGAATCATTTCCTTGGAATCGATTTTTTAAGATAATAATTGAATCAAAGGATATAAGCCTCTGTGTTGCTCTTGGTGCATTCAGCATATTGTCTTCTAGCAGCAGGATGTGAGATTACTAATTTCTCCACAACTGCACCAACGCTAGGTAGGTCAGTTATCCCTGATCCTGTCCCCTCTTGTGGCCTTCGGGGCTCTGTTTTATTAATTACCCTTGCGGCATATTCCATCCTGTTGTTTGATGGATACCTTAGTCTCACTGTGTTCAAACCCAGGCTCATCATCTTCCTCTCCATACCAAGCATTTGGCTTGACTTCTGTCATTTCAGTTTTTGGTTTCCTCATTTTATCTAGATATCCAGATTCTACACTTTTTTTTTTTCACTTTTCTGTTTTTCAAGATTTTTAGAGTTTTAAATCTTTGAAATATTTTTCAGATCTATCTTTGTTTCCATTCTTACCAACATTTCTCTAATTTAGGCTCTCATTATCTCTTACTGGCATTATTTCAGTAATCTAACCAATCTTTCTGCTTCTTGCCTTTAATGCCATATAATGTGTTACACCCTGCTAACTAATGCCTTTTTATAAATCATTACTGCCATCATGCCATGCTGTGCCCTTAAACTTCAGTGTCTGTTGAATTAAGTACAGTGTCCTTGACCTGACACCCAAAGTCCTTAGGCTATGCTTTTCAAACTGAGTTTCCCAACCCATTCAATAGGCCCTAAAATCAGTTTAGTAGATTGCTACCAAAAAAATGGGACAGGAGAAAATGTCAGAGTATGTGACACCTATTTATATTTTGTGAAATTTGTTTCTATGTGTGCATGTGTTTGTATAAAACCTATCATACGTCACTGTCAAATAAGTTTGAAAACATTGTTATACAGGATATCCTTAACTTAATTAACTTTAGCTGTTTGTACTCTTCCAATTTTTCTTCTAGCTGGAGCAGACCACTCCTGTCACAGAATGCTGAGTGGGTCCCAGCTTTATTCAAGGTTCATTTCATTCATTTCACATGCCATCTCCTCCCAGAAGCTCTCTCTCACTGCCCCAGCCAAACCCCAAACCCGAGACACGGAAAACCTGGATATAATTTTCCTTTTTCTATACCCCATAGCATTTTGTTTTTCTTACTGCACATTTCACACTGCACATTTTCCCTGTCATTTTTAATAGATTACAGAGCCCTTGTCAGCATAGGCTTTATCTTGTACATCTTTTCATCCTCATTTTAGTATAATATTTTCTACTTAGAAGATACTTTTTAAAAGGTATTTATTGAAATATAGGACTTCATTGAAAATGAGTATACATTAAAACAATATGACTTTGTTTTAAAAAGTAGTATCTCTTGTAGAAATTTTGGGAACTGCTGATAAGTAAAATGAAGAAATGATAATGGCAAAAATAAGTATTTGAGGTTTGCTATGTATATGCCAGGCACTGTGTTAAGTACTTAAAATGCATGATCTCATTTGATTATTAACAACTAACTATGAAGTTGGTGGGTATCATTATCATCCCCAGTTTTCAGATGTAGTGGGAGAAAAATGACCCTAATCTCATTCACCTAGAGAAAACTACTACAGTACTGATAATTTGGTGTGGTCTTACTATGGATATATTCTTTTTCCCTCATTAATGTAGAAACTGTTAGATGGACCACTTTTTCAGTTAAATACAAATGATGAGCATTCAGGACATTAATTCTTTTTGTTTTGTTTTCTTTTTTTTTTTTTTTTTTTTTTGAGATGGAGTCTCACTGTGTTGCCCAGGGTGGAGTGCAGTAGCGCAATCTCAGCTCACTGCAACCTTCGTCCTCCAGGTTCAAGCCATCCTTGTGCCTCAGCTTCTCCAGTATCTGGGATTGAAGGCATGTGCCACCACACCCAGCTAATTTTTGTATTTTTAGTAGAGAATCACCATGTTGGCCAGGCTGGTCTCAAACTCCCGACCTCTGGTGATCTGCTCACCTCGGCCTCCCAAAGTGCTGAGATTATAGGCATGAGCCACTGTGCCTGGGACATTAATTCTTATACATGAAATAATTCAGTTTATAGGTAAATTGCCTCTAATCACACTAAGAAAAAAAAATTTTTTTAATGTACCAGTTTGGCTGGGTGCGGTGGGTCACGCTTGTAATCCCAGCACTTTGGGAGGCCAAGGCAGGTGGATCGCCTGAGATCTGGAGTTCAAGACCAGCCTGGCCAACATGGTGAAACCCTGTCTCTAGTAAAAATACAAAAATTAGCCAGCAGTGGTGGCAGGCGCCTGTAATCCCAGCTACTTGGGAGACTGAGGCAGGAGAATCACTTGAACCTGGGAGACAGAGGTTGCAGTGAGCTGAGATCACACCACCGTACTCTAGCCTGGGAGATAAGATCGAGACTTCGTCTCAAAAAAAAAAAAAAAAAAAAAAGTACCAGTTTGATAAAACCTGGATTTGCTTACTAGTGAGATTGTACTTTTTTTAATGTTTGTTGGTCATATGTCTGTCATATTGGTTGCAATTTATTTTGTTTTTCCTTTACCTTTTTATTTTGTTACAGTGGTTTTTTTTTGAGATCTTTCATCAAATCACATCTACCAATCTTTTCCATTTTTCCTCTTTTTTTTGATGTCAATTTCAGAAGGGCTTCTTATTCAAAGATAATAATCATATTCATCAAGATTTCTAAAAATACATATATGGTTTTATTTTTATTCAAAAGTAAAACAGTATTATTCCATGATTATTTACTCAGTATAAAATAATTTTGATAAAAGGAAATTGTAAACAATAAAGCAAAATCTTTGATAAACCCATGTTCACGACAGTTAAAGTTTTGGTGTATGTTCTTCCAGAATTTTTTCTTTGCACACATTACAACTTTGGAATCATGCAAATATTATTTTATAGCTCTATATCACCATTTTTAGTGACTTAGTTTTCAGTTTTTGAATTTACTATATATTTAACCTATATCCTATTGTTTGGCATTTAAACTGATGTCCAGTTTTTTGTTGTGATAAATCTACAATGAACACTTTTCATAGATACTTCCCTACCTCATTTATCTATTGGAGATAAATTCCTAGAAGTGAGATTCCAGAACTTAATAGTAGTATATTTCTAATTTTGACCTACTCACCTCATTGCTTAAACTAGAAACTTAGATTGTAGTGTTCATCTTCCTCACCTGCCACATTCTTTAAACCTTTCATCAAATGCTACCTCCAAATTATTTCTCAAATATACTTCTCTCTATTTATACTGCTTTCACCCTAATCCAAAGCATAATCTTATTTGACCCAGGGTTAGAGTAGTAATTAAAGGATCTTTCTACCTGTCTTACCTCACTCCATTTCATTTCCACACAGCATGGAAAGGGATCCTTTGCAAACATAAGTCTCACACAGTCAAATCTAACCTAGCAGTCCTGTTCAAAATCCTTCACTGCTTTCTGTTTTACTCAGAATAATGTGCAGACTGTTCTTATGGCCTTCAAGGCCCTCCAGGATCAGTTCTCTACTGGCTTTTCCAAAGTCATCTTGTACCATCTTCCCCCTCACTATCTTACCATACTGGTTTATTTTTTTCTTCAAATTCTCCAGGCCCTTCCTGCATGGCCTTCAAACATACTGTTCTTTCTACCTGGAAAGCTCTCACTTCCCCTTTTTACTTAGCCAGTTCCTACCCATCACACAAGGTTCAATTTAAGTGTCACCACTTTAGAGAGCTTTACTAATCTAGAAAAGAAACACAGAATCTTTTCAATTCTGTTCACCATGGTGTACTCAGCTCCTAGAAGTTAGATGCTCAGTGAGTATTTGTAGAGTACTACATTGATGTTGCCACATTACTCCTTAGATAAATAGAACCATTTATATTCTCATCAAAGGTATGACTTTGGGGTGATTTTTTGTTTACACTAAATTTGTTTATTTTGGTATATGGTGCAAGATGACAGGGATTTAACCTGATTTTTCCCAGTTAGCCACTTGTCCTGTAACCTACCATTATTCTGTAATTCAGCATTTTCTCACTTTTTAAAAGTATCATCCTTACATTACAATAAATTCTTATATCTGAAGTCTCTTTCTGGATTTCTTTTCTGGTACATTGTTCTGTCAACCTAGGTTCCATGATTTTATTTATTTTGCCTTATATAATTGATAGACAAATCTTTCTTCATCAAATCAACTTTTTGTTTGCGTCTATCCTGAATTCTCCAGATGAAGTCTTTACTATCTTTTTAAGTTCCAAAGAACAACATCCTATTGGGATTTCTATTGAAATGTTATTGAACTTACAAAGTAACCTGTAGCCTTCCTATTTACAAACATACTTTGTTCTGTGTCATTTTCGAGATTTTATAAATTTCTTAGTGTTGGTCCTGATCACTTCCTAGTTTTATTGTTCTGGTTAGCTTTTCTTGCTGTTGTGAGGAAATTATTTTTCTAGTTCTGTCTTCTACCTGTTAATTGCTAATACAGTGAAAAGCTATTTATTTTAGTTTTCATATTTTTTATTAATTTTGTATTTGTAGTCATTTTTTGAATTTTTGAATTTTTAAGATAGACTAATAACAACAACTTGTCACAGAGCACTTTTAATATGTTTGTTCCAGGATAGAAATATCCTTTGAAAGCCCTGATATTGTTTGTCAGTATGTTTGGCTTAATTATAAATACTTCCTTGCTTGCATTGTGTATTAGGATTATATAATTGAGTGAAAGTAGAAATGTAGTCAACAGCATAAGGTGGCCTCAGAAAATTAAGGTCAGAATTTTTCCTCTTAAACTTTTCACAAAGGAATACTATAAACCAGAATTAGCGGAATAATCAAAGTCCTAAAGTGTTGTTTCTCTCTTTTCAGGAAGTGGTTCTGAAAGATGGAAGAATTGAAAGACTAAAGTTAGAGCTTGAAAGGAAAGATGCTGAAATCCAGAAGCTGAAAAATGTAATCACTCAATGGGAGGTTTGTGTCCATTTACTGTTGTTAAAGAAAATAATTCTATAAATTTTCACGTTTTCTGTTTTTCTTATATGTAAATATGTTTAATATGCAATTCATGGGAATAGTCATTCTGTTTTTTATGTTCTTAAACTCTTTAATGGTTTAAAGTCTGAATGATTATTTATTTATTTATTTATGTTGTTGTTGTTGTTGTTGTTTGAGATGGAGTCTCATTCTGTTGCCCAGGCTGGAGTGCAATGGAGTGATCTCAGCTCGGTGCAACCTCCGCCTGGGTTCAAGCGATTCTCCTGCCCTGAGTAGCTGGGATTACAAGCATGAGCCACCACGCCCGGCTAATTTTTGTATTTTTAGTAGAGACAGAGTTTCACCATGTTGGCCAGGCTGGTCACGAACTCCTGGCCTCAAGAGATCCGCCCACCCCAGCCTCCCAAAGTGCTGGGATTACAGGCATGAGCCACCGTGCCTGGTTGTATTTTGTTTTTTAAAAATCCACTTTATTGTGGTATAGTTTACACATAGTATAATTTATTTTTGTTGTTGTAAAATACATATAACATAACCATTTAAAGTGTACAATTCAGTGGGGCATTAAGTACCTTTATACACAGTATTGTGTAACCATCACCACTGTCTATTTCCAGAACTTTTTCATCATCCCAGGCAGAAACTCTTAACCCACAAAGAACTCCCCATTCTCATTTTCCACACCCCGGTAACCTCTAATTTCTGTGAATTTGCCCATTCTAGGTACCTCATGTAAGTGGAATCATACAGTGTTTATCCTCTTTATGTGTGGCGTATTCACTTAGCATAATGTGGTTTTTTTGTTTGTTTGTTTTTGTGAGACAGAGTCTCGCTCTGCTGCCCAGGCTGGAGTGCAGTGGCACAGTCTTGGCTCACCACAACCTCCACCTCCTGGGTTCAAGCACTTCTCCTGCCTCAGCCTCCCAAGTAGCTGGGACTACAGGCACGTGCCACCATGCCCGCACCACCATGCCTGGCTAATTTTTGCATTTTTAGTAGAGACGGGGTTTCACTATGTTGACCAGGCTGGTCTCGAACTCCTGACCTTGTGATCTGCTCGCCTTGGCCTCTCAGGGTGTTGGGGTTACAGGCGTGAGCCACTGTGCCTGGCCTAGCATAATGTTTTTAAGGTTCATCCACGTTGTAGCATGTGTCAGAATTTCATCACATATTGTAGCTGAATAATTTTTCATTGTGTGTATATATTTTGTTTACTGGTGCATAAGTATCTGAGTCCTTGCTTTCAGTTCTTTTGGGTATGTACATACCTAAGAGTGGAATTGCTGGATTATATAATTCCACATTTAACTTTTCGAGGAACTGCCAAACTTCCATGGCACCTGTGTCATTTTACATTCCCACCAGGAGTGAACAAAGGTTCCAGTTTCTCCACATCCTTTCCAGCACTTGTGATGTATACAATGTATTTTTAACTACAAATCTTACCTCTCCCCTTAGGTTTTTTTTTTTTTAATCTATTTTTTAAATCTGTTATTCATATCAAGTATCATTCCTTTTTGACTAATATGAATTCACTCAACAATTATTTATTGAGTGCCTGTAATGTGCCAGATACTTTTTGCGCCCTGTGTATGTGGTAGTGAAAAAAAATAAATCAAGTTCCAGCCCTGATGGTTCTTACATTTCCCTTCTTCTTCTACTCATGCCTTTAAGAATCATCCCTACTAAAACTTTTTTTGACTGCACCCACTCATTTACCTTAGCTTTTCATTTACATTTCTCTTCGCTTTTTTTTGTACTAGACACAGAGAATACAAAGATGAGTTAGCAAGAAGCTTGTAGATTAATGGGGAAGATAAACATGTAAATAGTTGCAGTACAATGTAGGATATGACAGAATGCTCCAGAAGAACAGACAAAGGAATGAATGAGTTGCTGCTATCAAAAATTGGTAAAGATCTCATAGAAAAGATGATTTTTCCAGGTAGAGAGAATTGTATGTACAAAGGCATGGGAATATGATGGAAGGAAGGTACATTGTGGCTGACATTCAGAGAAATGGGAAACTAGAAGTTGAAATTGCAGATATGAGTTGGGTTCAGAATTTGAAGGCATTTGGATTTTAGAGAGGTCTTTAGGCCGGGCATGGTGGCTCACACCTGTTAATTCCAGCACTTTGGGAGGCCGGGGCAGGCGGATCACGAGGTCAGGAGATCAAGACCATCCTGGCTAACATGGTGAAACCCTGTCTCTACTAAAAATATGAAAAATTAGCCGGGCTTGGTGGCACGCGCCTGTAGTCCCAGCTACTTGGAATGCTGAGGCAGGAGAATCGCTCGAACCTGGAAGGTGGAGGTTGCAGTGAGCTAAGATCGTGCCATGCACTCCAGCCTGGGTGACAGAGTGAGACTCCATCTCGAAAAAATAAATGAAATAAAATAGAGAGGGCATTAAAAATCTTTAGAAGGTAAGTGACATGATAATTATTAAGTAGCTGGCACGTTACAAGCATTGAATAAGTAATTTTTACATGAATTAATATTAGTCAAAGAAGAATACTTGAGATGAATAATAGATTAAAAAATAGATTTTTTAAAAAGCCTAAGGGAGGAGGTAAGATTTGAGGTTTAAAATAAAATGTATACATAACAAGTGCTGGCAAGGATGTCGAGAAATTGGAACATGTTCACTGCTGGTGGGAATGTAAAATGACGCAGCTGCTGTGGGATGATATTGAGAAGATATTTGCGATGATGATGCATGTTGCTGAGGCTTGGAGTGAAGACAGTCTGCTAAAACAATGGATAAGTATAGAGTGTAAGAGGAAGAGCACGTCTTTGACTGATTTGGGGAATGGGAACTAATAGATTTCATTTTGGATATGTTGCGTTTTAAATGGCTACTTTTTTAGACAGTGCAGTAACAACACGTGTATTTAATTTTATCAACTTTGTATGCTGTCTGTCATGAAATTAAATATGCTAGCAAGAATGTTATGTATTTCATATGTGCTCTTTATTAGCTAATATGTTACTGGTATTTTGTACATTTATATTTTTATATATGCAGTTTTTAAGCAATGCAAATAATTGTCACAGGTAATCATGCTCATTTGCAATTTTTGCTTTATGAGCTATTTTAGACCGTAAACCTTGAATAAGAGGTACCTCCATGAAGACTGATCTGGACCTTGAACAAAGGCTTGAGCCAGAGATAGAGTTTGGTGAAATACTAACATAGGTTGGAGCCCAGAGGGTGGGAATTTCATAGCGAGTGTAGTTTCATATTCACAATGAATATTTCTATATTCATAGCGAATATAGTTGTAGTTGAGTGTATGTGTTTTCCCCCATTATATTTTTATGTTTCCATTTGACTGGTCTCCCTTGTTCATTTCTGAGCTTCTCAGCAGTCTTTCTACGTTTATATTCAGTATGGTGCTTTACTTCAGTTTATTGTATTCACTGCAGTATTACTCAGTAAACATTATTTACTTATCATCAACAATTTAATGGACAGAGTACTATTTAGTAAAAGCCATCTTTATTGGACTTAAAACACATTTTAATTTGTTTTTAAAAAATTTGAATCTGGTAACTTCTATACATATCTATGTATATGTTGAGAGGAAAAAAATGATTTTTCTTATATTAATGTTTTCTTTAGGGTTTTGTTTTTCTATACTGTGTTAAATGCTTTGTTTTCTCTAATGTATTAATGTATTAAATCTTTATAAATGATTCAGGCTTGGGCGCAGTGGCTCACGCCTGTAATCCCAGCACTTTGGGGAGGCCAAGGCGGGTTGATCACTTGAGGTCAAGAGTTCAAGACCAGCCTGGCCAACGTGGTAAAACCCCATCTGTACTGAAAATACAAAAATTAGCCAGTCATGGTGGCACACACCTGTAGTACCAGCTGCTAGGGAGGCTGAGGCAGGAAAATCACTTGAACCCAGGAGGCGAAGGTTGCAGTAAGCCGAGATCGTGCTACTGCACTCCAGCCTGGGCGACAGAGTGAGACTCCATCTCAAAAAAAAAAAAAAAAAAGTAAATAAATAAGTGATACAGAGAGTGTTATAAGACATGTTTAATAAGGGTAGCATGGGGTAAAATTGCCTAAAATATGGATGTTAATGTGGGAACACAATCCTTTTTGTTCATAAATGTATACTTGTATCATTTTTGTAATGTGAGAAGAAGCTAAGCCATCTGGAAAAAGAAATTGAAAAAGAGTTGAAAGATATTTGGGTAAAGTACTAATTCATGCCAGCCAAAAATTATAACAGTGATTATTTAGTTAGTGAAATAACAAACGATTAGTGAATCTTCAACTGAGAAGGTATAGAACTGTCCTATAAAATTCAATATCCACTACAAGTCTATCACATTTTAAATTTAAAATTAAAGTTTAAAATTAAAAATTCATTTTTCTCAGTCACACTAGCCACATTGCTAGTGTTCTTTCAGTAGTCGCATATTGGACAGTGACAAATACAGAGCAGATGTAGAAAGTCCTAGTATATTGCCAGACAGTACTGCTTTAGAACTGTGGCTCATTTTTCTTTTGGTTTTCATTTAAATTATTTTGAATTGTATAAGGGTTTTATCTGAGGAAGAAAAGAAGATTATTTAGGAAAATTTAGTATTATCTTGAGTTTTCTCCACTTTTATCCCTCTCTCCTTTAATTTTCAATCACGTATAATATTGATATGTATTATTGTGCCAGGGACTTAATTTAAGTTGTAGATAGTTCCGAATACATTTTCCTCCATCCTGTTTGTTTCTAAAGTAATTATATCTTTGAGCAAGCCAAGAATTCAGAGCTCTGTAAGTTGACAGTAAATCATTAATTATATCACTTACTTTTAAAAAAACTAAATCTTTTTTCTTTGACTATTAGGCAAAGTATAAGGAAGTAAAGGCAAGAAATGCACAATTATTGAAAATGCTTCAGGAAGGTGAAAGTAAGTGGATTTTATGTTTTTGTAATTAAAAGTTTATCTTAAATAATATCTGAAGGTACTTTTTCAAATGTGTGATTTACCAACTCAACAAAAGTGTTTGATAGCACAATAGGGTGACTATAGTTAACAATAATTTGTATATTTCAAAATACCTAGAAGAAAAGATTTGAAGTGCCTTCAACACAAAGAAATGATAAATGTTTGAGTTCCTGGATATCTTAAATACCTATTTGATCAGTACACTTTGTATGCCTGTATCAAAATATCACATGCACCTCATAAATATATATGATTATTATGTGCCAATAAAAAAAATTGAAAAAAAGACTCAACAAAGTAGAAAGGTTTCCCAGAGTGATATAAGCTACATAGTTGGCCAAGCATGGTGGCTCACCTGTAATCCTAGCACTTTGGGAGGCCAAGGTGGGCAGATCACTTGAGGCCAGGAGTTTGAGACCAGCCTGGCCAACATGGTGAAACCACATCTCTACTAAAAATACGAAAAGTAGCCAGGTGTGGTAGTGCACACCTGTAATCCCAGCTGCTCGGGAAACTGAGGCATGAGAATTGTTTGAACTCAGGAGGCAGAGGTTGCAGTGAGCCGAGATTGCACCACTGTACTTGCAGCCTGGGGAACAGAGCAAGACTGTCTCAAAAAAAAAAAAAAATGCTGGATAGTTGCTGATAAAGTTATTATTACAGGTCACTCTTACAGCACCTTAGTTTTATACCAGTTTATAACTATTCAGGTAAAAGAAACTCTTAAAATTTCAATTCTTATAACTTACTGAACTATATTTAGAGGGAAAACAAGCCTAACATTTGCTTAGGATTCTGCTTTTTCAGTTATTGAAGGAGGCAGCCTGTCATCACTTTAGGTTTTCCTTTTTGTTTCCTTATTTCCTTCTCCCCTCCCCACTGCTCTTCATACTTTTGCTGCTACTCTGTAAACTTTTGACAAGAGGTTACCAGCAGGAAGCCAAGGAAATCAATAGAAAAAAATGATTGCAGATGATAAGATTAGTAAAGCTGATATACAAAAGCCTGCCAAATCAGTTGCATTTCTCACTGTGTATATACCTAGTGACATTTATCTTGAAAGTTTTATGAAAATTTTCCATTCATAATAGAAAAAGAAATATATGTTAATTTTTTAGTATGAGACTTAGGCAAAGGAAATTATAAACCACAAAAGAAACACAGATTAAGACATAAAGGAGAAAATCTTTCTCTGAATAGACAAAATTAATCAACAGTTTTCCTGTTAATAAATGCTAATGAAACTCCAAAGATAGCTCCTGTGAATATTGTATAGCTCTTAAGAAATTGTGAAATTCACCTTGAAAAATGAAAAAACAAAATACCAAAAATGGTTTTCAGATGTGAAGATATAGTCAGCCCTCCATATCCATGGGTTCCCCATCTGTGGATCAATCAATTGTGGATCACAAATATATTTGTTGAAATTGTACATGTGCAGACTTTTTTCTTGTCATTACTCCCTAAACAATAACAGTGTAACAACTATTTACATAGCATTTATGCCATATTAGGTATTATAGGTAATCTAGAGGTGATTTTTTTAAATTGTTATTTATTTATTTATTTATTTTTTGAGAAGGAGTCTTTCTCTGTTGCCCAGGCTGGAGTGTGGTGGCGCTCACTGCAAGCTCCGCCTCCCAGGTTCACACTGTTCTCCTGCCTCAGCCTCCCAAGTAGCTGGGACTACAGGCGCCTGCTACCACGTCTGGCTAATTTTTTTGTATTTTTACTAGAGACGGGGTTTCACCATGTTGGCCAGGATGGTCTTTATCTCCTGACCTCGTGATCCACCCGCCTCGGCCTCCCAAAGTGTTGGGATTACAGGCATGAGCCACCACGCCCAGCTAGTAATCTAGAGATGATTTAAAGCATATAGAAGGATATGCATAGGTTTTATGCAAATATACACCATTTTATAGTAGGGACTTAAGCATCTTTAGATTTTGGTGTCCTCGGGATGTCCTGCAAGCAATTGTATACCAAGGGATGACTATACTTGGAATATAACTGTCCAAACAAAATTTAAACTACATTACAAAATAGTTGTCAAACAATGAGTAAAAATCAGAAATCATGTCCAGTTGAACAGAACATGAATACTCTTGAAGTAGGTTCAACCTTATATTTTTTATAACTTAACTATTACACAAATAGAAGTTAAAGAATTATGGGGGGAGGCCAGGCGCAGTGGCTCATGCCTATAATCCCAGCACTTTGGGAGGCCGAGGCAGGTGGATCACTTGAGGTTAGGAGTTCGAGACCACCCTGGACAACATGGTGAAACCCTATCTCTACTAAAAATACAAAAATTAGCCAGGTGTGGTGGTGCTTGCCTATAATCCCAGCTACTTGGGAGGCTGAAGTGCAAGAATCACTTGAACACAGGAGGCAGAGGTTGCAATGAGCCAAGATCATGCCACTGCACTCCATCCTGGCTGATAGAGTGAGACTTTGTCTCAAAAAAAAAAAAATACGGGGAAAAATATTATTTGGACATTTAGATGTCTACATCCTGAGATTAATTTAGACCTGTGCATGTTATTGATCTCCATGTGGGTCTTTTAATGAACAAAGTTATGAAAATAAAAAATTAAGTTATTTAGAAGATATATTTCTAAGTGCAGAAATGAAGAGTATCATTGCGTATTGGATGTATAAATTCTAAATATGTAAAAATAAAATAATATTTCCTCCCCATAAAACACTGTGGAAATTGAGAAAGTTAACTGATAAAAGCTTGCTCTCAAAAATAGATTAAAAATCGCTATCAGTAACAACAGTGTCCATAGCATAAGTAATCCAAGTAGAATTTTATATAGGATCATTACATGAAAATACTTGTAACACTTATAATGTAAATGTAAATATGGTCAGTTCTGTAATAATGCAGCATGTGTTCCTAAAAATCACTAGTCTCTGCAAAATCACACAAGATGGCCAGGCACAGTGGCTCACACCTGTAATCCCAGCTTTGGGAGGTTGAGACAGGTGGATCGCTTGAGCCCAGGAGTTTGGGACCAGCCTGGGCAACATGACAAAACCTTGTCTCAAAAATTATATGTACAAAAATTATCCTGGCATGGTGGTGCACGCCTATGGTCCCAGCTGCTTGGAAGGCTAAGGTGGGAGGATTGCATGAGCCCAGGAGGCTGAGACTGCTGTAATCCTGCCACTGCACTCCAGCCTGGGCAACAGAGTGAGACCCTGTTGATATGGTTTGGCTCTGTGTCTCCACCCAAATCTCACCTTGAATTGTAATAATCCCCAGTTGTCAAGGGTGGGACCAGATGGAGATAATTGAATCATGGGGGTGCTTTCCCCCATGCTATTCTCATGTTAGTGAGTTCTCATGAGATCTGATGGTGTTATAAGAGGCTTCCCCCTTTGCTCAGCACTTATTCTCTCTCCTGCCACCTTGTGAAGCAGTGCCTTCTACTATGATTGTAAGTTTCCTGAGGCCTCCCAGCCATATGGAACTATTAGTCAATTAAACCTCTTTTCTTTATAAATTACCCATTCTCAGGCAGTTCTTTATAGTAGTGTGAGAATGAACTAATACACCTGTCTCAAAGAAACAAAAAATCCCCACAATACTTACGAGAAAAAGGAAGGTTAGAAGCACAGCACTTAAAATCGTTGTCAGTGACACATGAAAAAAAGATGGGAAACTAATAAAAACAGTAACGCAGTTTTACACATGTTAAAATGGTTAAATACATAAATATTACATAAATATGGCACTTTACCTTGAAGAAAACCTGAAGTTTGCTTGTGGGGAAGTAGGTCTCAGAAGGGTTATAGCTTGTGTGTTACTGCTGCATGGTGGAAGGATGGAAAGTTGTCAGACCAGATGGGTGTGTTTCCTAACACACAGTGAACCAAGGTAGCTGGTAGATATTCAAGGAGTACATGTGGGTGTGGTTTTCTCTGTTCATAAAATTGTACATAAGTGTATTGAAAATTTGTGTTATGTTCAAGTTGTTACCTAATACATCAACCTCATTGAAACAAATTTGTGTTTTCAAAACAAGCATTATAGGAGAACTGATTGTAATTGAAATATTACATAACTCTTTAAAATCACTAGTTTTCAGCAAGTGTTTATAATCCTGGGGATGGAGGAGTAGAAAGCATAATTTGTAAAAGTTCCCAGGTTGATTCTTGAGAGACTGAATTGATTCTTGATAGGGTGTTTCATCTTATCATATTAAACTATGAAAATGAATTTGAACTACAATCTTACATTGGCAGAGCTGTGGTGATATCAGTAGTCATTTTCCTCCTTTGCTAATTTTATTACAATTTTACCTCTCTAGTCTCTCCTAGTTTGTTTTCAAAGTGAGGAGTTAGTTTTTCATACATTAGCCGTTACCATGAGTTAAGGAAGTTCTCAGCCATGTGAAAATTTCTGAAGCTTAGGAAACATAGGGCCAAAGTATAGATACCTCGCTTCTCCCAAGAGAGAGAAGCCTCTAGAAAAAAATGAATAGTTCTAAGAGACCACACATGTCATATGATCATTTGTGATCATATGAGCTACATTTAGTTGACATTGCCTTATTGGTATGAAAATTTATTCAGAGAAATATAATTTTGTTGGCATTATGGTATGCTCACCACCCCCAACAATTCAACAAAAAAAGCACTCTGCATTGTTTTTATTTATTTATTTTGAGACGAATCTCACTCTGTCACCCAGGCTGGAGTCCAGTGGCGTGAGCTTGGCTTACTGCAGCCTCCGCCTCATGGGTTGAAGTGATTCTCCTGCCTCAGCCTCCCGAGTAGCTGGGATTACAAGAATGTGCCACCATACCTGGCTAATTTTTGTGTTTTTACTAGGGACAGGATTTTGCCATGTTGGCCAGGCTGATTTTGAACCCCTGACCTCAGGTGATCTGCCTGCCTCAGCCTCCCAAAGTGCTAGGATTACAGGTGTGAGCTACCATAATTGTTTTTAAAATCATGCCTTAAGATTAGTCAAGGTATTTATAAAGTTTTTTCCATATGTGAAATTTTGTTTTCTTGTATCCTTGTCCTATTTAGAGTAGATATAAAAATTAATCTTGCACCATATTTGTGCAATTAAAAAATATGTATTTTTTTATTGACAGAGTCTCTCTCTGTCGCCCAGGCTGGAGTGCAGTGGCACCATCTTGGCTCACAGCAACCACCACCTCCCCAGTTGAAGGGATCCTTATGCCTCAGCCTTCCAAGTAGTTGGGATTACAGGCATGCGCCACCACACCTGGATAATTTTTGTATAATATTTTTTAGTAGAGACAGGGTTTTGCCATGTTGGCCAGGCTGGTCTCCAACTTCTGGCTTCAAGTGATCTGCCCACCTTGGCCTCCCAAAGTGCTGGGATTATAGGTGTGAGCCACCATGCCCAGCAATAAATATTTTAACACCACAGAAAATGTAAAATTTCTAAGAAAAAAATGCTGTGCTGATGATGATCAGAATTTACTGGTGAAAATGTAAAACAAACAAACAAAAAAGAATTTACCAGTGAAAAGTAAGAGCTATGCAAGGTCAAGAAGTAGATTCTTTAAGTATGACAAGAAATCATTGTTCTAATTGCACTGCTATGTCTTAGTTCCCTGAAGTATTGTTGAAGTATTTGGGTGACTGGAAAATCTATACTGCTGTTTTTCCTTTTTTGTCAGTGAAAGATAAGGCAGAAATACTTCTGCAAGTTGATGAATCACAAAGTATCAAGAATGAGCTCACTATTCAGGTAAGGAACTGTGGAGCATACATGACTGGTTTTCTTAAGCTGTCTTTAGTCTTGAATTATTAAACTTAACAAATACAGCTCATCAACACTGTAAGGATGTAGTATAAATTATACTTTATTATTATGTAATAGCCCATGAATGAAGATTCTGTTTACAGCACTAAAAGAGGTAGGTATGTCCTTCCCCCTGAAGAATAGGGGATGATAAGGCTGTATTTTAATGAACCATGAATTTAGAGACAGAAAGGGCCAATAGAACTTAACCCTGTATCTGGGCTTGATTTTTCTCCCCTTCACATCCTTATTGTCTTCTTCTCTCAGGACAGTTTGCCCCATCTTTAACATAGAGCTGTGTACAATACCAAATGGAAATTATGGGGGGAGCTTCTCTGTTACTCATCCATTTAGCTGTCAAAAACCTATCATTGTGAATATGTTAAGAATTGAGTATTTGCCAAAAACCCCAAAAATTCTTTTTCTTATTGAATATTTGGTTATAGGTGACTTCACTTCATGCTGCATTAGAACAAGAAAGATCTAAAGTGAAAGTATTACAAGCAGAGTTAGCCAAATACCAGGTATGCTTTTATAATTTATAAGTGTTTTTATCACAAATAATACATTTGGAGTAGATACTGTGTGAGAATAAATGCAGTATTTTATTCTTAGGCCAAAATTTATTCACTAAATATATTGATAATTTTATTATCGGTCATATAATTTACAATGTAGAAGATGTTATTCTAGACATTGGTATATACAGCAATAACTAGCATAATTCAGGAAAATTCTTGGTACTACATAGATGATACAGCATACATGCCATTGAATCATATTGGGGAAAGGCACAAAAGGACAATTGTCCTGTTTATAAGGTTGATCACTTGGATACAGTGATATCTCCTAGATATCTCCATTGTAAATATATATTTTCCCTTTTATAATTAATATGTGAGGTGATACTTTAAGATTGTATGAATACCCTTTTCATCTAGTGGCTTTAGCATCCATTGATATTTGTGCCTTTTTTTGTGATTGCAAAATAGTGATTTTCTAACTCTATCATTTCTTCTGCATTTACAAGCTAGCATTGAGCAGTTTGTTCCAGGATGAAGCAATTAAAAATACCAGTGCTTTTGTGTGTGTGTGTGTGTGTGTGTGTGTGTGTGAGAGATATATTTATGTGTGTGTATATATATGTGTTTCTAAATCATAATATAAAATACATTAACTGGAATCATAGCCAAAAAATCTCAAAAGCCACTCATGGTGTGGAGAACATAGCAGTTGATTAGCCGTGGCTTTAAAATTGAATCAGTCCTAGAAAGAGAATTCCCTTTACCTGGGATACCTTGAAAAGATTCTTGTGTGTTTGTTGTTTTGGATTTTTAAGAAATCTCATCGAGAAGCATGGTAGGAGTTTTATGTATAGTGGGTGGGTATCTATTTCAAAAAATATTTTTGCTAAGTTTATTTTTATTTTTCTGCTAACTGGAAATAAATCTTGTTTTTAATACATGTCATTACACATCTCCTGTTCCAAAAAACCTATTCATACTGTTTTTCTCTGAATAAATATTGGCAAAATTTTTATATGGTCAGGAGTGAATGACAGCATTCTTATGTGCGAGTATTGTTTCATTTTGTTTTATAATGTTGATGTTGAAATGGTTATTATAGTCAGAAAAAGAATGAAAGAAACAAAGAGAAACTGCCATCATTATCAAATGAGTCTGAGCTCCATATGCCCCTGATACAAC
Organism: Homo sapiens; assembly: GCF_000001405.40. Taxonomy (NCBI): domain Eukaryota; kingdom Metazoa; phylum Chordata; class Mammalia; order Primates; family Hominidae; genus Homo; species Homo sapiens. Next base: position 83,740,769 of record NC_000009.12, on the reverse strand, counting down.
CACCTCTCTTTAAGAGATGCACTTCCACAGAAAAGGTAGTTCCCAAACTTGGCTGATCATTGGAATCACTTGGAAACTTTGAATTAAAGATTGTTAGCCAATTAAATAGGTGTGGGACAAAGCCTAGATGTCAGAATTCTAAAAATATTACTGCTTAGGTAATTCTGATGATCAACTAAGTTTGGACACCATTGCCATAGTTTTATAAAAATGGGAAAAACTATACATACAACTATTATAAAGTAAATACATTAAACCATTATTTATGGTTAAATTGAAGGGGGTAGAGTAGCTATTGATGATTTTAATTTTATTCTTTGCATGTTTGTACTTTCCATATTTCTATAATGAATGTTTTTTAAATCAGAATAAAACAGAAAATGTTATGTTATGTTATGTTATGTTAAAATATTTATGTAAAACCCTTCTTGTCCTTTATGCTGCCTTTCCTTTGCTTTGGCTCAAGTCAAATACCACAAATGATGTTTCATATGGAGCAAATTAAATACAAATTTATATATGCAACTAAGCAATATGAAAAGCATAACCTAGTTTTCAATCCACTAATGAACAAAATCAAATTTCTAATGCTAATGTGAGCAAAACGCAACAGAACTTGAATTATAAATTGAATTACCCAAAAGGTAATGAACTGAATTACTAAATTTGCTGATCATATGGAACAAATTTAAGTGTACTGTTTATTTTAGTATTGATCAAAAACTTTATTTTTAATTCTAGAACAGTCAAAATGAGTTCTAAAAAAATAAGATATCGGTGAGCTTACTAAGGCAAGACTCTTATTCAAATAGAAGTAACTTTTCTAAAACCAACCTTAACCATTTATAAAAAATAACCATATTAAAATAATGTAACAGTATGTAGACTCAAATTTACAACAAAATCAAAAAAGAAATTGCTTCCTTCTCATACCCCAAGATGCCTTTGGTCTATATTTTTTAAATGAAGTGGTCCCAAAATGGTATGTTGTAAATAATTTTCCCTATTTTTTTTTTTTTTTACAGGGTGGCAGAAAAGGGAAAAGAAACTCTGAATCCGACCAGTGTAGGTGATTACATTAGCCTTTGAAGTCAACACAAAGTTTAAAACTTCCAGGATTTTGCAAAGTTGTATATATTTAATGCTGTGCAACTGCTAAACTATGCAGTTTTTCTTGAAGGAACTAAAAGCAACTAGCTCCCTAATGGTCTATAATTTTATTTCTTTTGGCTTAAAGTGAAAAAGAAGAAATAGAGAATTCCAGCAGAATTCAGTGGTTGTCTACTATCCATACTTCTTATCACTTTAGTTTTTCATCAGTCAATAAAATTAATTTACTCTTCCACTAATATGTTTGATTTGTTAAGTTTCAGAAACATGAAATGAAAGTATTTTTGCTTACAGCACAGCCAATCAGTTGGGTCCTTTCAGTTCAGTGAAAATTTTCTCAGCACTTTCTGCACACTAAACCCTGCAGGACATGCAAGATGAAATATGGCTGATACCCTCAAATAGCTTATGCTTGGGGGAAGTAGAAGGTGGGAGTGGTTAGGCCGGGTGTGGTGGCTAACACCTGTAACCCCAGCACTTTGGGAGGCCAAGGTGGGCAGATCACTTGAGGCCAGGAGTTTGAGAGCAGCCTGGCCAACATGGTGAAACCCCGTCTCTACTAAAAATATAAAAATTAGCTAGGCATGGTGGTGTGCGCCTGTAATCCCAGCTACTCGGGAGGCTGAGGCAGGAGAATCGCTTGAACCTCGGAGTCAGAGGTTGTAGTGAGCTGGGTGACACAGAGAGACTCTGTCTCAAAAAAAAAAAAAAAAAAAAAAAGGTGGGGGTGGGTAAAACAAGAGCAAAAAATAATTACCATAGATAGTAGAGTGTGAAATCACATTGTTTGGAGATGGAGAAAACTTGCATGAAATAGCTTTTAAAGGGTAGATATTTTTTCTGTAAATTTATTGACAGGCGGTCCAGGCAGGCAGAATGAAAAACAGTCTGTGGGCTGGGAATGGTGGCTCATGCCTGTAATCCCAGCACTTTAGGAGGCAGCGGTAGGAGGGTCACTTGAGCCCAGGAGTTCAAAACCATCCTGGGCAACATGGTGAGATCCTGTCTCTAAAAAAAAAAATTAGCCAGGTGTGGTGGCATGTGCCTGTAGCCCCAGCTACGCAGGAGGCTGAGGTGAGAGGATCACTTGAGTCTGGGAGGTCAAGGATGCAGTAAGCTGTGATCTTAACACTGAACGGATGACAAAGAAAGAAAAGAATTAGGGCTGGGTGCAGTAACTCACACCTGTAATCCCAGCACTTTGGGAGGCTGAGGCGGATGGATTGTTTGAGCCCAGGAGGTCGTAACCAGCCTGGGCAACATGACGAAACCCTGTCTGTATAAAACTAATAATAATAATGTCTGTGAATGCTTTCACCATAAGATAAGGGCTAAGCCAAGGTTGTCTAATCTCCACACTTCCCCCATGTCAATACTGTATAGATGATCCTACCTCATGCAGTAAAACAAGAAAAAAAAGTGTACAGATTGCAAACAAACAAAAACAATTTGGCTTGAGAATAATAACATGACTCACTGGGAATAGAAAGAGTACTTGTAGCTGGGTTTGGTGGCTCATGCCTGTAATCCCAACACTTTAGGAAGCTGAGGTGGAAGGATCACTTGAGTCCAGAAGTTCAAGACCAGTCTGGGCAACATAGTGAGAACCCATTCCTACGAGGAATTTTTAAATAATCAGCCAGTTGTGGTGGCATGTGCCTGTGGTCCTAGCTACTTTGGAGGCTGAGGTGGGAGGATTGCTTCAGCCTGGGAGGTTGAGACTGCAGTGAGCCGTGATTGCAACGCTGCACTTCAGCCTGGACAACAAAGTAAGACACCGTCTCAAAAAAAAAAAAAAAGTCGGCGGGAGCTTTGGTGTGTAGGAGGAATAAATGAGAGATTTTTCACTAGTCTAATCAATTGCTATAATAATTAGTAGTTTATGGGATTCAACTGTTTTTAGTAGAGGCAGTAAAATACAATTATGATTCATTAAAATACAGGATTTTAGGCCAGGCACAGTGGCTCATACCTGTAATCCCAGCACTTTGGGAGGCTGAGGCAAGTGGATCATTTGAGGCCCGGAGTTCCAGACCAGCCTGGTCAACATGGTGAAATCCTGTCTCTCCTAAAAATACAAAAATTAGCCAGTTGTGGTGGTGTATGCCTATAGTCCCAGCTACTGGGGAGGCTGAAGCACAAGAATTGGTTGAACCCCGGAGGTGGAGGTTGCAGTGAGCTGAGATCACACTGCTGCATGCCAGCCTGGGCAGCAGAGCAAGACGCTGTCTCAAAAAAATAAAAGTAAAATACAATTTTGTGTGTGTGATAACAAAGATGAACACATAAATGCTGGTCTTCAATTGAACAGAATAGGTAACCCAGAAATAAGGCTGCACACCTGCAACTGTCTGATATTTAACAAACCTGACAAAAATAAGCAATGGGGGAAGGATTCCCTATTTAATAAATAGTGCTGGGATAACTGGCTAACCATATGCAGAAAACAGAAACTGGACCCCTTCCTTACACCATATGCAAAAATTAAGATGGATTAAAGACTTAAATGTAAAACTCCAAACTGTAAAGACTCTGGAAGACAACCTAAGCAGTCCTATTCTGGACATAGAAACAGGCAGAGATTTCATGATAAAGACACCAAGAGCAATTGCAACAAAAGCAAAATTTAACAAACAGGATCTAATTAAAGAGCTTCTGCACAGCAAAGGAAACTATCAACAGAGTGAACAGACAGCCTACAGAATGGGAGAAAATTTTTGCAAACTATGCATCCGACAAAGGTCTAATACCCAGCATCTATAAGGAACTTAAATTTACAAGAAAAAAAAAACATTAAAGAGTGGGCAAAAGACATGGACAGACACTTTTCAAAAGAAGACATACAGCCAACAATCATGAAAAAAAAGCTCAACATCACTGATCATTAGAGAGAGGCAGATTGAAATCACAGTGAGATACCACATCACACCAGTAAGAATGGCTGCTGTTAGTCAAAAAATAACAGATGGCTGGCGAAGTTGTGGACAAAAAGGAATGCTTATACACTCTTGGTGGGAGTGTAAAATAGTTCAATCATTGAGGATGATAGTGTGGCGATTTCTCAAATAACTAAAAACAGAAATACAATTTGACCCAGCAGTCCCATTACTGGGTATATATCCAGAGGAATATAGATCGTTCTGTCATAAAGACACATGCACACGTGTTCATTGCAGCACTGTTCACAATAGCAAAAATGTGGAATCCACCTAAATGGCCATCAATGGCAGACTGGATAAAGAAAATGTGGTGCAAATACACGATAAATACTATGCAGCCATTAAAAAAAAAAAAAAACAGCAAAATTGTGTCATTTGCAGGAACATGGATGGAGCTGGAGGCCAGTATCCTTAGCTAACACAGGGACAGGAAACCAAATACCTCATGTTCTCACTTAACAAGTGAGGGCTAAATGAAAACACACGAATGCATAGGGGGAGCGACATACACTGGGGCCTACCAGAGGGTGGAGAGTGGAAGGAGTGAGAGGATCAGGAAAAATAACCAGTGGGTACTAGGCTTAGTACCTGGGTGATTTAATAATTTGTACAACCCCTGTGACACAAGCTTACCTATGTAACAAACCTGCAATGTACCCCTGAACTTAAAATTTTTTAAAATGCTGGTCTTGGCCTCCAAAACCAGCCTTATATGAAAAATTCCACTTCATGACAGTCTTTGAAAAAAGAAAAACGCAAAGGTAATGAAATTGTCATCATTGCTTATATATGTCTGGCCTCTCCCATGAGGTTGTATGAACATTGCAAAGGAATGTAGTTATAAGGCGTATAGAAAACAGCAAAATGACAGAAGTCTTATCAGTAATTACTTTAAATGTAATGGACTACATAATCCAGTCAAAAGACAGAGACTGGCAAAATGGATGTAGATAAAAACCATGATCCAACTAAATGCTCTCCACAGACGCTTGCTTTAGATCCAAAGACACCTGCAACTAAATGCTCTCCACAAGACACTTGATTTAAATCCAAAGACACAGATAGGTTGAAAGTAAAAGGATAGAAATGGATATTCCACACAAATAGTAACCTAAAGAGAATAGAAGTGGCTACATAATATCAGACAAAATAGACTTTAAAAAGTTTGCAAGAGACAAGACATTATGTATTAAAATGTCCAATACAGCAAGTAGATATAATAAACATGCATCTAATAACAAACTATCAAAATATACAAAGCAAAAACTAATAGAATTGGAGAAATAGCTCAACAATGATGGTTGGAGATTTCAATATCCACTCTCAATAATAAATAGAACAACCACACCGAAGATAAGGAAAATAGAGGACTTGAACCACAGAATAAACCAATTGAATCAAACAGACATATACAGAACACTCTACCCAACAACAGAATACCTATTTTTTCTCCAGTGCATATGGAACATTTTCCAGGACAGACCATATATTAGGCCACAAGCTAAGTCTCAAAAGACTTTCCATTTTTTTTTTTTTTTGGTCTCATCTGACTCATCTTCCATCAATAGACTTCAAAAGATAGATGTCAAAGTATCTTGTCCAGCCACAAAGATAGGAAGTTAGATATCAGTAACAAAAGAAAAATGGAAAAATTTACAAACTTGTGGAAATTAACACACTCTTAACCAATGGAACAAAGATGAAATTACAAAAGAAGTTGCAAAATACTTAGAGACAAATGAAAACAAAAACACAAAATACCAAAACCTATGGGACACAGTGAAAGCAGTGCTAAGGGGGAAATTACTATAAGTGTTTATATTAAAAAATAAGAAATCTCAAATCAACAACCTAACTTTGCAAAGTAAGGAATTAGAAAAAGAAGAACAAACTAAACCTAAAGCTAGTAGAAGGAAGGAATCCAGAGACTAAAGCAGAGATAAATTAAATTTAAAAAGAGAAAAATAATAGAGAAGATTAACAAAACCAAAAGTTGGTTTTTCAACAAGATTAACAAAATCGACTTCAGCTAGATTAAGAAAAAAAGGAAGAAGACTCAAATTACTAAAATGAGAAATCAAAGTGGGAACATTACTACAAATTCTACAGAAATAAAGGATAAGAGTACTATGAGCAATTGTACACCAACAAATTCGATAACCTAGATGAAATGGAAAAATTACTAGAAACAGAAAATTCACCAAGATTAAACCACAAATAAATAGAAATTTTTAATAGACCTATACCTAGTAAGAAGATTGAATCAATAATCAAACTTTTGTTTTAAGAAAGAAAAGCCCTGGACCTGATGGGAGACGGATGGTGGTGATAATTGTACAATATGAATATACTTTATGTCACTAAACTGTACACCTAAAAATGATGAAGATTTTAAATTTTATGCTATGTGTATTTACGTTATATGTATTCCCTACCATAAAAAAGTAGAGAAAAAACAATATTAGGCTCTTCACATAAAGAAAAATCTAAATGGCCTGCAATCCTAGGTACTTGGGAGGCTAAGGCAGAACAATCACTTGAACCCAGGAGGTGGAGGTTGCAGTGAGCTGAGATTGTGCCATTGCACTCCAGCCTGGGCAACAAGAGCAAAATTCCGCCTCAAAAAACAAAAACAAAAACAAAAAAAACAACATACACAGAAAGAATTTAAATGACAGTAATGCAGGAAATGAGAAATCAAAATGCTATAAGGCATATAGAAAATAAACAGCAAAATGACAGCAGTTTTTTCTTATTAGTAATTACTTTAAATGTAAATGGACTAAATAATCCAATCAAAAGAGACTGGCAAAATGGATGTAGATAAAAACCATGATCCAACTAAATGCTCTCCACAAGACACTTGCTTTAGACCCAAAGACACAAATAGGTTGAAAGCGAAAGGATAGAAATGGATATTCCACGCAAATAGTAACCTAAAGAGAATAGAAATGGCTACGTAATATCAGACAAAATAGACTTTAAGTCAAAAAAGGTTGCAAGAGACAAAGAAGATTTTATATATTAATAAAATGTTCAATACAGCAAGTAGATATAATAAACATTTATGCATCTAGTAAACTATCAAAATTTATGAAGCAAAAACTAATAGAATTGAATGGAGAAATTGTTCTACAATGATAGTTGGAGACTTCAATATCCCACTCTCAACATTAAATAGAACAACCACACCGAAGATAAGGAAAATAGAACCACAGAATAAACCAATTGGATCAAACAGACATATACAGAACACTCTACCCAACAAAGAATTCCTCTACCAACATGGCAAAAATTTAAAAGTCTGATAATAACCAGGATTGGTGAAATTTGGGACCAACCAAAATTCTCTTACAGAACTGGCGGTAGTGTAAATTGTTACAACCATTTTGGAACATATTTTGGCATTACCTTGCAAAGCTGAAGATTCATGGATCTCATAACCCAGCAATTCCACCCTTACGTATGTGTACCCTGAAGAATCTTACGTACATATTCATAGAAGCATCATTTGTTATAGTAAAAAACTGGGGAAAAGAAATCCATCTGAAATAGATTAACAAGCCTCCCCTATATAGTAACAATATGGATGGATCTCAAACAATACTATGTGAAAGAAGAAAGAAAGAATACAAATAGTACGATTTTAGACATATGAAATTTGAAAATAGGCAAAATTAATTACATATTGATATTTTACAGATGATAACATACAAAATCAAATACATGATTATCATGAAAATCATTTTATTGTTTATCTCTAGGGGCTGGGAGAGGATTATGATAGGAAGAGACACACCAGGGTAATCTTTTGGGCTGCTGGTTCTATTCCTTGACCTTGGATACAATTGTATATTTATGCATATCTTAATATATATCTAAATTATATATATGATGTGCTTTATGTACCACATAATATATATCACAAAATTCTTAAAAGGGGGACTGTTTGCAAGCATCTCTTATCTTAAATACTCTCCATAAGGCAGTTACATGTTATGTTAGAAAACTAAAATAATCCTAGACCCTAGACCCTTAAATAAAATAAACTATTTAAATATTTCTAGGAAGAAACAATTAGGCTTTTTCCTCCCTCTTAAAAACGTATGGATGTGTCTGGGGCCCTGGAAGACTCTAAATGTTCATTTTGCCTTTTTTGTGATTTTAAAAATATTCTCGATTTTGCCCTTTTGAGAAATAATGAGCAAAAGGGGGAATTTTTGAACACCACGTAAATTTTAAAAGTGTACTTTAAACAGTATACATGACTACAATTGGGAATACTATATGCTGAGTAGTAATCTGTGATTTAAGATCACAGTAATGCATTGGCCATAGCTCTTACTTGCTTTAGAGCGTTGATTGTGTGCATCTTTTCCCAGGTTCATACTGAGTAATGTCGTATCATATTGATATCTTGAAATTGAATATGGTGGAATATTTACAGCATGGAAATTGGCAAATGATACAAGCTACAAATGCACCCCCTTCCCTACCCCAGCCATTTGTTAAACATTTATCAGCACACCACTGCTTAAGGACTAAGAGTTCTGAATGTAAGTTTAAACTTTTTTTTCATTAGTTTTCGTATCTTTGGAGAAGCTTAATCTGCTTGACAAACAGCTCTGTCAAGGCAGTCAAGTATTTCTTAGGACTAAAACAAATATGCATCTCTAACAAGATAATTGGTGTAAAACTCAGAAAAGAATAAATTGAAATGTAGAAAAAAATGGAAGAATAAACACAATTTGGCCTGCCTTAGACCATGCCCCTCCCATTTTGTTGCTAATATGAAAAAGAAAAATTACTGAAATAGTCTCCTTTTTAGGCAGTTTGCTCAGCAGTTGAGTTCTACTTCCAACTGCTCCATTTAGGAGAAAATAAAACTGTCCTCTGTTCTTTGGAGGTGAAAACATGGAGGCAGTTTCTCTATTTGGAATATCATGAAATTTGGGGTGACTGTGTTTAGTATTTGATGTAAAGTTTTTTTCTCTTTGTCCCAGCTCCCTGAAGCTATTTAATAAAGGCCTTTACATGGGCGCGGTGGCTCACGCCTGTAATCCCAGCACTTTGGGAGGCAGAGGCGGACAGATCACGAGGTCAGGAGATCGAGACCATCCTGGCTAACACAATGAAACCCCGTCTCTACTAAAAATACAAAAAATTAGCCGGGCATGGTGGCGGGCGCCTGTAGTCCCAGCTACTCGGGAGGCTGAGGCAGGAGAATGGCGTGAACCCGGGAGGCAGAGCTTGCAGTGAGCCGAGATTGCGCCACTGCACTCCAGCCTGGACGATAGAGCGAGACTCTGTCTCAAAATAAATAAATAAATAAATAAATAATTAAAGACGTTTACAGTTTTATTGCTCTTGTATTAATCAGGGATACAGAAGTATTATTTATCCAGCTTTTCCATCAAATGGAAAACTTTATAATAGCCCTTCTAAAGTGAGATGTAGATACTACATGCTTGTGAGATGCAGTGGCCTTTAGTGAGTTAATGTCTAATGAAGGAAAATGGGATGGAAATCCAGAAAACCCAGACTATGTTTTGGCTGTGTTGACCATTTACCCGATGATAGCAATTTAGTTGTCCTTTGCCTCAGTCTCTTCATTCTAAGACTTAGACTTACAATACTGGTCATATAATTCATAAAGATTTGCACTTATCTTTTGGAGCATGTTGGGATAGAGGCAGTGTATGAAGTGGTAAAATAGATTTAATGGTCCAACACCAAACAAGACAAAAATAACTTCTGCATTTCAATAAAGGCTATGTTTTCTTCCTCCTCTTCCTTTTTCTTCCCCTTCTCCTCCTCTTTCTCCTTTTTCTCCTCCTTGTTTCTTCTTCTTTTTTGTAGAGGTGGCGGTCTTGTTTTGTTGATCAGGCTGGTCTCAAACTCCTGGGCTCAAGGAGTACTGGCCTCCTGAAGTACTGGGATTACAGCCTTGGCCTCCTGAAGTACTGGGATTACAGATGTAAGCCACTTCACCCAGCCTCACCCACTTTTACTTTTGTGCCTTGTGATCTATTTCTTTTATTCTTTTTTTTAACTTTTATTTTAGGGTCAGGGGTACATGTACAGGTTTGTTATATATGTAAATTGCATATCACGGGGGTTTAGTGTACAGATTATTTCTCCACCCGGGTAATAAGCATAGTAACTGATAGGTAGTTGTTTGATCTTCACCCTTCTCCCTCCCTCCACCTTCAAGTAGGCATTGGTGTCTGTTATTCCATTCTTTGTGTCCGTATGTACTCAAAAGTTTAGCTCTCACTTGTAAGTGAGAACATGTGGTATTTGCTTTTCTGTTCCCGTGTTAGTTCACTAGGATACTGGCCTCTGGCTCCATCTATGTAGCTATAAATGATGTGATCTTGTTCTTTTTTTGGCTGCACAGTATTCTATGGTGTTTGTGTACAACATTTTCTTTATCCAGTCCACCGTTGATGGGCATTTTGGTTGATTCCATGTCTTTGTTGTTGTGAATAGTGCTGTGATGCTGTGATGAACATACACATGCATGTGTCTTTATGGTAGAATGATTTATTTTCCTTTGGGTATATGCCCAATAATGGAATCGCTGGGTTGAGAGGTAATTCTGCTTTGAGTTCCTTGAGAAATCGCCAAATTGCTTTTCACAATGGCTGAACGTGTGTGTTTAGTACACTGAACCTAAGAGATTTGGCTTCTACTTTGCAGAAAAGCTACTCCTTTTGAAAGCATACTCTCTCTCCTGCTCCTCCTCCTCTTTCTCTTCCTTTTTCCTCTTCTTTCCTCTCTCCCTTCCTCCCTTGCATTGTACTGGCTTGCTTAGCAGTGAATTTTAAGATACAGCCTTCTAAAAAAAAAATGGCTAGTTGTTGTGTAAGATATTTTACAGAGTCTAAACTCCTACAAAAATAGGTCTAAGCCCAGTCCAGCCTGCCTGTAAAGTTTTCATTTAATTATCAAATTCAGCCTATATTTAGAATAACATTCTAATTACACTGTTCACTTAGATGTATTTTTGTACTGATTTTTTTAAATTCACAGTTTCATAGGGGAAACAGCCTCTTTTGAGGTTGAAAAAACAATATTTGTGCTGAAAAATTTTAGTTGCTTTTTTCTTTTTTTTTTTAAATTGTTGAAGAGAAATTTTATGAAATTGTCAACTAATTCTTTATAATATAAATATATAAACATTTGTGGTAATTCTTATAAACAGTTCTGACCAATTCCTTTCATGAAAAGCAGTGTGCTCTGTAGTAATTGCTAAGCAAACAGAAAGCTGTGTTGCAAAGTGGTTTTTTTTTGTTTTGTTTTGTTTTTAGCTTTTTTTTTTTTAATTTTTTTTTTTTTTTAATTGATCATTCTTGGGTGTTTCTCGCAGAGGGGGATTTGGCAGGGTCATAGGACAATAGTGGAGGGAAGGTCAGCAGATAAACAAGTGAACAGAGGTCTCTGGTTTTCCTAGGCAGAGGACCCTGCGGCCTTCCGCAGTGTTTGTGTCCCTGGGTACTTGAGATTAGGGAGTGGTGATGACTCTTAACGAGCATGCTGCCTTCAAGCATCTGTTTAACAAAGCATATCTTGCACCGCCCTTAATCCATTTAACCCTGAGTGGACACAGCACATGTTTCAGAGAGCACAGGGTTGGGGGTAAGGTCACAGATCAACAGGATCCCAAGGCAGAGGAATTTTTCTTAGTACAGAACAAAATGAAAAGTCTCCCGTGTCTACCTCCTTCTACACAGACACGGCAACCATCCGATTTCTCAATCTTTTCCCCACCTTTCCCCCTTTTCTATTCCACAAAACCGCCATTGTCATCATGGCCCGTTCTCAATGAGCTGTTGGGTACACCTCCCAGACGGGGTGGTGGCCGGGCAGAGGGGCTCCTCACCTCCCAGTAGAGGCGGCCGGGCAGAGGCGCCCCTCACCTCCCGGACGGGGCGGCTGGCCGGGCGGGGGGCTGACCCCCCCACCTCCCTCCCGGTAGTTGCTTTTTTCTCCACCAGATTTTAAAGTGAGAACTATGTTGGAGGTTGCCAGGCCCTGCTAGGCTCAGTCAATACAAGAATCCTTCTGTAGCATCATGTAATATACCCATGTAACAAACCTGCACGTGTACCCCTGAATCTAAAATAAAAGTTGAAATTATTTTAAGAAAAAGAATACATACATTCATAGATACATTTCCATCTATAATTATATCTATACTGAAAACCATGAGTTCAACTGATTCTAATCCAGTATTGTAATTTCATTCTAGTTTTCTCGCTTACCATATTTGTAATTCCCTTCTCAGACAGTAAGAGACCTGGCTCCCATTATCCTTAATATCCTTACAATTGAGTCTTATTACTCACAGTAGTTACACTCTATAAAGTCCCCGGGAACACCGAATTACTAAATACTGAACAACTGGTCAGAGAAGAAGCACAGAGTTTGGTTCCTCCAAGTCTCTGGTCACAGCATTTCTATCCACTGATCAATATGTAACCTTCTTTTATGTGTGTTTCTATTTAAGGACCCTTACTTAATATATATTGTTCATTCATTAAAATTAAACTCATGGCCACAGCACTATAACTCATGCCTAACAAAGCTTATCTAATATGTGTTGTCTCCATAAGGCACATCACAGCCTTCTTGTGCTTAAGAACGCTAGTCTGCACTTCAGCCCTATGCTTGGGGCCATTTTAAACAGTGAAATCACCACAAAAAGCAAAAAATGCCTTTTTAAAAAATTTGGCAGTAAATAAACTGTGGAAAAGATACTTGTTTACAGTATGAGAGCTGAAATGAAACAAGAAGGCCTCAGCTGGGAATGTGTATATCCAGCAACTTAAGTTTTTTGTTGCTATGTGCATGTCCATGAATGGTCATGAAAGCATCACAAGTATTGATTTTGAGGTTACAAATACATTTTACCAAGTAGGCAAATTCTCAAATATGGAATCCACAAACAATGAGGATCAATTGTATTTATTTCATGAATGTCCTCATTTGTAACCCATCTCCTATCGGTGCTGCCTCCCCACTCCACTGTGGGAATGCCCTTCTCACCCTGCTCAGTCTCTGACACTCAGCTCTGGCTATAGTGCCTGCCACCATGCCCCCCTACCTTCTTCTCTTGCACTCTTGAACCCACCTGTTGACTTTAGGACTGAATTAGGAAGAGAAAGGAGAAGGATACTACTTCACTTTGAAAGTTTAAAAAGAATCTGTCTAAATCAATGAGGCATTTCAGAGGTAGGGAAGAAATAAAACATGTATGTCTCACTGAGCTTAAGGAATAAAGTAATACGGATACAATTGAGGCACATCTTTCCATGTATTCTTCCCCAATTCCATTCCCTTTCTCTCAAAGGTGGTTACTATCTTCATTTATTTGTTTTTATTCCTATGCATGTTTTTATACCATAATATATTGTTTTGCATATTTTAAAACTTGATATAAATGATATACTATATGTAGTGATATACGACTTGCATTTGTTTCTGCTGAATGTTTTTTAGATTTTGCTAAATTGATACCTATATCTCTGGTTTGCTGATTTTGCTTGCTGTATCATATTCTGCTATATGAATATGATACATAAATATGTTATTTCCCACTTTAATTATTACAAACAGTGTTGCAATAAATATTCTTGTACATGTCTCTTGTGATACTATAAGGGAGTTTTCTAAGACCTATACTTAGAAGTAGAATTGCTGGATTGTTGGATGTGAGTATCATCAACTTTACTGGATAATGTCAGTATTATTTTCCAAAGTGGCTATACCAATTTACACTCCCAGTAGCAGTATGTGAAACTTCCCTTTTCTTTACAGCCTTAACAACACTTACTATTGTCAGATTTGTTTTTGCCTATAAGTATAATGGGTATGAAATAATACCTTGTTTAAATTTGTATTTTTCCATATAAACTAATGAGATTGAGCATTTCTTAGGCGTTTACATTTGAGTGAAATGCTCATTTTTCTTTTAGGTATTTTTTTCTTATTTATATGCAGGTATTCTTGATATATTCTGGATACTAATTGTTGTTTATGTGTTTCCCACATACACTTTGCAGCATATGGCTTGTCTTTTCATTTTGTTTATAAAGTTTTTGATGTACAGAAGTTTTTTATTTTATTTATTTATTTATTTTGAGACAAGGTCTCACTCTGTCACCCAGGCTGAAGTGCAGTGGTGTGATCATGGCTCCCTGCAGCCTTGAAGACCTCTTGGGCTCAAGTGGTCCTCCTGCCTCAGCCTCCTGAGTAGCTGGGACTACAAGGCATGCACCACCACATCTGGCTAATGTTTTTTCTTTTTTCTTTTCGTAGAGATTAAGTCTCACTATGTTGCCCAGGCTGGTCTCAAACTCCTGAGCTCAAGTGATCCTCTTGCCTCAGTCTCCCTGAGTGTTGGGATTATAGCTGTGAGCCATTGCACCCAGCCAGAAGGTGTTTTGTTTTGTTTTGTTTTGTTTTGTTTTGTTTTGTTTTGTTTTTTGAGACGGACTCTCGGTCTGTGGCCCAGGCTGGAGTGCAGTGGCACAGTCTCGGCACAATGCAACCGCCTCCTGGGTTCAGGCGATTCTCCTGCCTCAGCCTCCCGAGTAGCTGGGATTACAGGTGCGGGTCACTGCGCTTGGCTAATTTTTGTATTTTTAGTAGAGACAGGTTTTTTTTAATTTTAATGTAGTTATTTAAGTGTTTTTGTTATGATTTGTGCTTTTTGCATCTTTTTAAAGAAATCCTTTGCTAGCTTCTAAAAGTTACTAAGTTTTGCTTTCCACATTTAGGTTACCAATCCCATACATAAACTTCTTGCTTACCCCACTCAAGCTATGACACCATCTTCCAATGATGGTTTGGATGTGGTTTGTCCCCACCAAAAGTCATGTTGAAATTTGATTCCCGATGTGGCAGTGTTGGGAGGTGGGGGTCTAGTGAGAGGTGTCTGGGTTATGGGTGGCAGATTTCTCATGAATAGATTAATGCCAAGTGAGTTCTTACTGTTAAGGAGTGGATTAGTTCTCTCAAAAGTGGGTTGTTACAAGGTGAGGTTCCTCCTGTTTGGCCCCCCTTTGTACATGTCCACTGCCCCCTGTGACTTTCTGCCATGTTATGACATAACCAGAAAACCCTCACCAGAAGCCAGTGCCATTCCCTTGAACTTCCCAGTCTGCAGAACTATGAGTGAAATAAACCTCTGTTCTTTAAACATGACCCAGGCCTAGCTATTCTGTTATAGCAACACAAAACAGACTAAGATAGTCAATATGTATATCAATACAGTCATACTCTTCAGGGATTGCACCTTGATTATACACAATTGAAACAGAGTGCTTAATCTTTCATGAAACTTCAGAGTTTGTCTTATAAACAGTTGAGCATTTCACCCTAAACTTAATTGAAGACTATTAGGAGGCCAGGCGCAGTGGTTCATGCCTGTAAACTCAGCACTTTGGGAAGCCAAAGCAGGTGGATCACCTGAGGTCAGGAGTTCGAGACCAGCCTGGCCAACATGGTGAAACCCCATCTCTACAAAAAATATAAAAATTAGCTGGGCATGGTGGTGCTTGCCTGAGTCCCAGCTACTCAGGAGGCTAAGGTAGGAGAACTGCCTGAACCCAGGAGGCAGAGGTGGTTGCAGTGAGCCAAGATCACACCACTGCACTGCAGCCTGGGTAACAGACCGAGACTCCATCTCAAAAAAAAAAAAAAGAAAAGAAAAGACTATTAGGGAGTTCTTACAATTAGCATTTTTGTAAACCTTAGTAATTAAGTGATTTTTCTTTTTTCTGTAACTCTAAATTCTCCCAATGTGGGGAATGTACTTATAAATAATAAATTAATTAAAGTGTTGCCATTTCTTAACTGGAATTATGCTAGTTTGAGGATCTTATTCTATAGAGTAGCATGGGCCAAATCAGATCTGCTGCCTGTTTGCCTACAGCCTGTGAGTAATAATAGTTTTTACATTTTTTTATGGTTGAAAAAAAAAGAAAAATATTTCATAACATATGAAAAGCAGAAGAAATCCCAATTTCAGTATCCACAAGTGAAGTTTTATTATAACATTGATTGCTACACTGATTCATTTACATATTGTCTATGGCTGCTTTAGTGCTTACAACAGCTGAGTAATTGCAACAGAGACTGTATAGTATGCAAAGCTCAAAATAGTTACAGCCTCACAAGATAGTGTTCCCTGTGAGAGCAAAGGGCAGGAAGGTTTACTGCCTATTATAAAAGATTTGGGTTCCCTAAGCTCAGAGTTCCTCTCTTGTAATGCAGTCTACTACATGTACTGATGACATTTGGCCCTCTTTGAGTTGCCACAACTCTGGCAGCTAGGCCTTGGGGAACTGGCACACTAAAATACTGATATTTTGCCTACCGTATTGCTGTCAGTAATAAGGTCCTTTGTTTCAGGAGTCTTATGTCTTCTATCCACATCCATAAAATTGTGGCAGACTAACTTGTTTTTTGTTTTTGTGTTTTTTTGAGATGGAGTCTCACTCTGTCACCCAGGCTGGAGTGCAATGGCATGACCTGGGCTCACTGCAACCTCTGCCTCCCAGGTTCAAGTGATTTTCCTGCCTCAGCCTCCCCAGTAGCTGGGATTACAGGCATGTGCCACCGCACCCAGCTAAGTTTTGTATTTTTAGCAGAAACGGGGTTTCACCATGTTGGCCAGGCTGGTCTTGAACTCCTGACCTCAGGTGATCTACCTGCCTTGGCCCCCCAAAGTGCTGGAATTACAGGCATGAGCCACCATGCCTGGCCTCAGACTAACTTGTTAGTTGGCATGTAGAGTAAAACCTCAGATGCTTCACAGTTCTTGAAAGTTTTGATACCCAGGATGGGATGCTGTCAGAGACGTGGCTTTTTGGAAGAGGAAAGATAGGGGTCTTGTGGCCTCATTAATGGGATTTTAGGGAATCATCAGGAAGTCCAAAGGAACCTATTGATTAAATTGTATTCTCAATCAGGCTACACATTGTTCTCCATTTTACTGCCTGTTAATGAGGAAGAATTGGAAAGGTGGTCGCAGGCCAACTACTGGGAAATAGGTTTAATGACAGCTACCCAAATGGTGGCCTGGTTGTTGCTGACTCTTCTCTGGGTGAGAGAACTTCTTTGTCAATCTGCAAGTTACTCCATTGTAACTACAGCTAAATTTTGCCTTCTTTCAAACAATGAAGAGTATGCACTTACATTGAACATAAAAGGGAAATATGCAACTGCTATGGGCAGAAACCAAGTAAATTTTTAGAACTTTGACTGGTTTACTTGGGAGATGAGGGTGTAGGTGTGTAATGTTTGATAAGAAAGGCAACAGCTAGGCTATTTTACAGCTCAGGTCTTCCTTTAGTCTATCATGCTAATCTTAGATCCATCTGGAGATGACAGTAAAAAGTCTTGGAATTTTTTGCAGTGCACATGGACTGCCACAAAAAGCTTTGGTCCTCTGAGAGAGATTTTCCTGAGACACATAACTCCTGTGGGAAATGATAAATGAGGCATTCAGATTACTATTAAGGCTCTAACAAACTGCCTCAGACTGAGATTACAATGTTGATGAGGTAACCAACTGAAGAATAAGAAACCCAAAGAAATCTAGATAACTTCTTGTAATTAGCCCTGCCGTCATGGAAGACTCCACCTATCACTTATGTTGAATTTAAGAGATGTTATTTTGATAATGGGGCAGCAGATATCCCAGATTAAGGTGGACTCCTCAAAAAGGTCACATTTTGTGAGCCAAGCCCTAAGGGCACAAACCCCAGACATACTTGGAAAATGTGGTTCTGGCTGCCACAGTTCCCAAGGCTGAAACACTATGAGCAAATTAAGACTTTGCAACCTTATATATGGCTTTCAGTGGATGGAAAACATTGGAAGTTTGTTTGGTTAAGCTGTGGTCAGCCACTGCATAGCTTAAAATGCACCTTGCTTACTGTGCATAGTCACTCTCTCCTGTGCCTCTCAATCCGTCCCTCCCCCACTACCCCAGCCTGATTTAAGGAATAGATGATTAGGAGTTTCCTGGTCACCAAGGGGTACTGAAGATCTATGCACCTGTCAAGTGTGCTGGGGAACTTTGGGGAGGGGAGGAACTCCAATTCTTATGGTTTTGCTGGATATAGGCATCTGAGTCACTATTCTACCCATTTCCATGGGAGGCACTAGCATGTGGATTCAGCTAATGGAACCTGGGCAGAGTTCACCTGGTGAAGGAGAGCTAATAGGTCGGTGGGACCCGTGGTTCAATCAGTGTATTGTGTATTGCTTTTACATATGAACATATAATAGGAATTGATGTGTTTTATACTTGTGGTCCCTCATCCTGTAAGTGCTATAGGAGAGTCTCCTGATTGGGAAAAGCTGCAGGTAGAAAAGTGCTAGTGCCTGAGGCACCATAGTCCTAACGACCCCTCTAAGTTACAAGTTTATGTGACTGATGATTTTGCTGATTGAAGCCTCTGACAAAGGGGGGCAGCTTCTATCTGGAGGTGCCCTTGGGGTTTGGGACTCATAGCCTCCCTGACATGGCAACCATATATATCCATTTTGAAAAGCACCTGGTAGTTTGCTGCTGGGCTCTTGTTGAAACACAGTGCCTGACTGATAAAGGCCTTTTGACTTCTAGCCTGATATTCCCATTTTGGGGAGCATCAACTTGAACAGAATGACTAACAAGGTGGGAAGGGCTCAACAAGCCTTGTTTGTCAAATGGAAACAATATATTCAAGAATGCCACTGTTCTGGCCCTAGAAGCATCTTGGCTTTATAGGAGAAAGTGGCACCTATCTCTCAGGGAGAAACCTTATCTTTCCCCTTTCCTCCTGACTTTTCTGTCTGAATGAAAGCCACCAGCTCAGTGATGCCTTCAATTCACAATTCATCATCCTAAATGCCTGTGCCTAATTCACACATGGTTTGGCCAAACTGAAACCTGATGGGAGTTGTCTGAGCTGTTGTAGCTGTTCAGCCCTAGTGTTGACTATGTAGAACCAAAAATGGATGTGGTTACTGTATTAGTAGGCAGAATTCAAGGCCAGTTTCTTATCTGTGACCATAGTCCTCTTGATGAACCTTGTTATATTAATACTAACTCTTGGGCTGTTGCACTGGCCTGGCTCTTTGGTCTGCACTTGGAAACTACAAACTAGCAGACTGAAAACACTCCTCTTTGGGGCCATGAACTGTGGAAACAAATCACAGCTGCTGACTCAACTATGTGGGTGCCTCAAGTAGATGTCCATGGTAAAAGCCCAGTCTCTGATGAGGCTGATTGGAGTCAAGCACTGATCAAGCGTGGACTGCCCTGACACCATTGTTGCCTCTGTGCATCATTGTACTAGACATGGTACACACTCATCATCATAGACAGGGCAGAGTAATTTATATACCTGATGCAAAGGCTACCATTGCATGCCAAACCTGTGACTCCTGACAAAAGTTGACACATTTGTCTCACAGTGAATGAGACCATGCTCCTGACATATTAATTTCACTGGACTTTTGACCCCCTCTCATGGATATTGGTGGTGCCTAACTGTTGTTGACACTTTTTCATGTTATTATGTAACTGGTTCAGTCCAATCAGCTGACTTTAGCCACACTGTTGTGGTCCTTGAAACTAATTTGCATCATGCCTTTGAGTTTCTGGACCATTTGCAATCTAGTGCTGCTGTGCCTTTTATGGCAAAAGCCACTCAGTGGGCTAACAATCAAGATACTTAATGGACCTTCCATGCTCCCACTATGCACAGACATTTGGTATTGGTGAGCATTGGAACAATTACCTCAAAAATTAACTCAAAAAGATGTCACTCTATCTCTCACATTTCTTCTTAGTCCACACATTTTGGTACTAGGTATTTTGGTCACTGAATGGGGCTGTCCCCATAAAGGGATCATCTTTTCTTGGCCACTTCCTAGATAATGATCAGGACGAAAGGGATGGGATTGGGTGGGGCATGTGTTGCTTATAAATCTGCCTTGCTGGGCGCAGTGGCTCACGCCTGTAATCCCAGCACTTTGGGAGGCAGAGGCGGGCGGATCACGAGGTCAGGAGATCGAGACCATCCTGGCTCACATGGTGAAACCCCGTCTCTACTAAAAATACAAAAAATTAGCCGGGCGTAGCGGCAGGTGCCTGTAGTCCCAGCTACTCAGGAGGCTGAGGCAGGAGAATGGCGTGAACCCCGGGAGGCAGAGCTTGCAGTGAGCCGAGATTTCACCACTGCACTCCAGCCTGGGCGACAGAGCGAGATTCCATCTCAAAAAAAAAATTAAAAAAAAAATTAAAAATAAATAAATCTGCCTTGAAAATTCAGAATTCCACCCTGGGAATTCCTGGGCATGAAGCTTCTCTCTTTACCCTAATGGCAATCACAGGCCGACCCAGTTGGTACATCCTCTGGGAGGCGGCCAGCCAAAAGGGGGCCTAAGGGATTTAATTCTGGTTCAGCTACTTAGCTCTTGTTTAACAAGGTCCCAGGTCATAAGGATAATGACCACGTGGTTGGGAACATTGCTCCCTATAGTAGCCCATGTGGACCAAAATGGGGGACACAATGGGTCTCTATATGTTTTAGAAAAATATCCTTTTGTTGTTGTTGTTACACCTTGCCTTTCTGGATACAAGATCTGTGTGTGAGAAGGAAATTATTTGACAAAAAGGTGAAGTTACAGCTACTGGATTGAGACACATTGATTTTTTTTTTTTTTTTTGAGATGGTGTCTTGCTCTGTCACCCAGGCTGGAGTGCAGTGGTGCAATCTTGGCTCACTGCAAGCTCCACCTCCCAGATTCAAGCGATTCTTCTGCCTCAGCCTCCTGAGTAGCTGGAATTACAGGCATGTGCCACCATACCTGGCTAATGTGTGTGTGTGTGTGTGTGTGTGTGTGTGTGTGTGTGTGTGTGTGTGTTTTAATAGAGACAGAGTTTCACCATGTTGGTCAGGCTGGTCTCAAACTTCTGACCTCAAATGATCCGCCTGCCTTGGCCTCCCAAAGTGTTGGGATTACAGGCATGAGCCATTGCACCCGGCATGGTGGTGGTGGAGGTAGATTAAACAACCCCAGCACTAGGAGAAGGAACATCTTAGAGCTTGGGAGGCATAGGAAAGGTAGAAATATCAATGATCTTCTATCTTTCAGAGCCATCACTGGATCTTTACTCATGAAGGAAAATAATCTGGTGAGGCTCTCCTGAACTAGCAAACACTTCGAATATGACGGACTACTGCGTCTGCCACATCCTGCCAGACAGCTCTGACTGCAGTTGATTGCCATACTCCTTCACCTTAATAAGAAAACTACTGAAAAGAGCAGAAAATGGCCCAGCTCCTGCATCTCTCATGCAAAACATCTGTCAGCACCTCTGGGTATCTTTCCCACTCCTGCTCCTGTAAATTTTGCTAGTCATTCTATAGAGTAGATGAATACCACCTGGCTGGTGGCAAGGACAAATAGAATGGTATGGACTGAAGGCCCTCGGGCAGTCCCTCCATAAATAAAAACTAGGCTCAGTTATTCAAACTGCACTGGGAATCCTAAGGCCTACCAACCATCTGGGAGGCCCTAATGCGAATCATATGTTGGGGGCTCCAATAATTATAAACAATGTTTTCTTTCCAGGTGCACCACATATACTCCCAGGATTTAATTAATTAATTAATTAATTAATTAATTAATTTTTTGAGGCAGTTTCACTTTGTCACCCAGGCTGGAGTGCAGTGGTGCTATCTTGGCTCACTGCAACCTCTGCCTCCTGGGTTCAAGTGATTCTCATGCCTCAGCCTCCAGAGTAGCTGGGACTACAGGCACACACCACCACACCCAGCTAATTTTTTTTATTTTTAGTAGAGACAAGGTTTCACTATGTTGGCCAGGCTGGTCTTGAACTCCCAACCTCAAGTGATCCATCTGCCTCATGAATTTCTTATGTAGAAGTCAGCCAGTAACTTGCCTTGTCTTAAAAACACCTTACAGGCTGGGCGCGGTGGCTCACGCCTGTAATCCCAGCACTTTGGGAGGCTGAGGCAGACAGATCACTTGAGGTCGGGAGTTCCAGACCAGCCTGGCCAACATGGTGAAACCCAATCTCTACTAAAAATACAAAAATTCACAGGGCGTGATGGCATGCACCTGTAGCACCAGCTACTCAGGAGGCTGAGGCAGGAGAATCACTTGAACCTAAGAGGTGGAGGTTGCAGTGAGCCGAGATTGCATTGCTGCACTCCAGCCTGGGTGACAGATTAAGACTCAGTCTCAAAACCAAACCAAACCCCAAAACACCTTACAGTGACTTACACTGTAGGGGTGGTCATAAGAAATCTTCAAGTGTTTAAGGAAACACCATCAGTAGATAACTGGGAGAACTATGCAAATGAGGCTACTCTAGATTACTCAGAGGATTTTCTCAGAGGGATAGCTGACTTGTCATGTATATATGCACCTGCGCCAGTTATTCCTACAATGTGAGCCCGCCAATTAAAAGAATGAAACAAAATTTTTCCTAACTTTAGCTGAAATGATCAGTGATATCATATTGGCTCTGGAAGGGATTCAAATCCACCTCACTTCACTGCTTAGGGTTGTTGATTGATATAACTGCCCTAGATTTCCTTCTTGCAGGCCATGATGAAATATGTGTAAATGCTAATACATCTTGCTGTACTTGGATATATTCCTTGGGCCAAGTGGAAAAAATCAATTCATAAACAATGCCAAGGAGGCAGCCGAAGTAGACCCTAAAGCTTTATAAGATTTGTTCAGCCGATTGTGCCTGGAACCCTGGAAAACATGGTTATTAATATTGCAGGTTGGCCTTATCTTGCTACCAGTAGTCTTGTTGACAATAGCCTTATTAATGCTGTATGAAACAAATTGAATAGATTTGGTCTCAGCCTCTGGTGAAGATTCATCAGAGTGACTTAACAGTGTGGCATACTCATGGGAAAGTTTGCCAGAAGTCAAGAAAGTACAGAAACAAGGGGTGGATGTTGAGAGACAATTCTCTATAGGTCTTCCATGATTCTGCACATCTGGTGAATAGAGGCACTGCCTGGCTATAGTGGATAGAACAATGGCTGCCCAGAAATGTCCACATTTTAATCTGCAGAATCTTTGAGACTGGGCACAGTGGCACAGGCCTATTATCCTAGCACTTTAGAAGGCTGAGGTCGGAGGATCACTTGAGCCCAGGATTTTGAGACCATCCTGTGAAACACAGGGAGAACGCATCTCTACAAAAAAAAAAAAAAAAAATTAGGCATGGTGGTGTGTACCTGTAATCCCAGCTACTGGGGAGGCTGAGGTGGGAGGACTGCTTGAGCCCAGGAGGTTAGGCTGCAGTGAGCTGTGATCGTGCCATTGCACTCCAGCCTGGGTGACTGAGTGAGATCTTATCTCTTAAAAAAAGAAAAAGAAAAAAATAACCTGGCTGGGCGCGGTGGCTCACGCCTGTAATCCTAGCACTTTGGGAGGCCAAGGCAGGCACATCACGAGGTCAGGAGATTGAGACCATCCTGGCTAATATGGTGAAACCCCGTCTCTACTAAAAATACAAAAATTAGCCAGGCGTGGTGGCGGGCACCTATACTCCCAGCTACTCGGGAGGCTGAGGCAGGAGAATGGCGTGAACCCGGGAGGCAGAGCTTGCAGTGAGCCGAGATCGTGCCACTGCACTCCAGCCTGGGTGACAGAGTGAGACTCCGTCTCAAAAAAAAAAAAAAAAAAAAAAGAAAAGAAAAAAAGAAAAAAAGAACCTTTGAAAATATGTTACCTTACATGCAAAAGTGACTCTGCAGGATGCAATTAAGAATATTAAGATGGGGAGAGAATCTTGGATTATCTGAGTGGGTCCAACATCATCACAAAGATCCTTATGAAGGAAAGAGGGAGGCAGAGAGTCAGAAGAGATATGACAATGAAAGTAGAGGTTGGAGTGATGTGGCCACAAGTCAAGGAATGTGGGCAGCCTCTAGAAACTGGAAAAGGCAATCGATTCTCCCTTACAGCTTCCAGAAGAAACACAGACTTTGATTTTAGCCTTTTCAGATCAATTTTGGACTCCTGATCCCCAGAACTATAAGTTAATAAATATCTGTTGTTTTAAGCCACTAAGTTCATGGTAATTTGTTACAACAGCAATAGCAAACTAATATATTGTGTTTCTTCTGGACAATTGTCTTTTTTTTTTTTTTTTTTTTGAGATAGGGTCTTGTCTGTGGCCCAGGCTGGAGTGCAGTGGCACAGTCACAGCTCACTGCAGCCTCAACCTCTGGGTGCAAACAATCCTCCCATCTCAGCCTCCTGAGTAGCTGGGACAACAGGTGGGTGCCACCATGCCTGGCTAACTTTTGCATTTTATGTAGAGATGGGGTTTTGCCACATTGCCCAGGCTAGTCTTGGTCTCCTGAGCTCAAGCAGTCTGCCCGCTTCCGCCTCCCAAAGTGCTGGGATTATAGGTGTGAGCCACCAAACCTGGCCTGGACTATTTTTCCAAGGGTATTTCTATAGTGAACAGTCTTAGAAGATAAAGTATCTTCCTACAAAGCAAAGGGAAGTCATGCTTACTGCCCATTATAAAAGATTTGGGTTCCCCATGTTTGGATTTCCTCTCTTATCATGCAAACCACTGTGTGTACAGGTGTCACCTAGCTCTCTTTGTATCACCTTGTGGAAATTAGGGCTTGGGTAACTGGTGCAAGAAAATGCTGACATGGCAGCCACTGATACTGCTGTGAGTAACAAAGACCTTTGTTTCTCATGTAGGAGTCTTGTGTTTACAGTTTGAAACTGATAGCTTGTAAGTGGGGACTCAGATCCTTCACAGTTATTTGACATATTATAGAACTTGGATAAGCCACAGGTTCTGCCTTGACCTTTCAACTCATTGACCATTCTCAAATGGGAAAAAAGGCTGTAAGAATTATTCAAGTGCAATGAATGACGGGAAGACAATACTTTCTTCTTTAAACACCTCTCAGCTTCCAGAAGCATTATATTTTCCCCCCAGAAGCATTAGTATCCTCTGGAATTCTTGGATGATTGGCATCATACTACAGATTTTGAAAATTCCTAACCTTCTTTTCTGTGTCCTCAGTAATCACCTAAAATTTCCCCATGGCTCATTTGCTTAGTTTATACATGACGGCAGACTCTTCACATAAGCTAACCTCCTAAGGTCAAGAAACACATTCCAAGTATGTTTGTTTTGAATACATTTGTCCACTGAAATCACCAGGCTTAGAGTTTTACACACAAAATAAGACCAAACCTGAGTCTACTTATCAAAATATATATCCTTCTATTCATATGTTTCCAGGAGAACCAGTCTTAACACTTCTGCAAGATAGTCAATGCTTGCCTTAGGGACTGTGTCTTAGGTTATGAGCAGTAACTTGTTTGTAAGAGAGGTCAAAGGAGAATAGTCTTCAAATATTTTCAGGCATTTTCATAAGACCTGAGTAAATTCAAGACTCTTGATAAGGGATGAGTAGGTGAGATGCAGTAACTGAGATTAAGTTTATAATGGAATCCTGGCAAGACTTACCATCTACTGGGAAAAATTCGCAGTGAAGTTTATCTTGAGTATTCTAATAGACTCAGAATTAAAAAGACTTTGACGTGAAATATCATTTTTGATACTTGATAACATTTGCTACTCCACTTTGTAAGAGGGGAAATAAGAGGAAAGATGCAGATGGTAAAGAGGATTCCACTAGCTCTCTGTACAGCAGTGGTTCTCAACCAGGAGCAATTTTGCCTCCAATGTGACATCTGGCACAGTCTAGAGACATTTTCTATTGTCATGACAGGGGTAGGGTGGGACTGCTACTGACATCTAGTGAGTAAGGATTCTGCTAAACATCCTACAATGCACAGAAAAGCCCCCCACAAGATAAAATGATCTGACCCCAAATGTCAACAGTATCAAGGTTGAAAAACCCTGTAATACAGGAAGGATTAAAAATAGACTGGTGATAGAATAATTCTGTATCTTGACTGCAGTGATGGTAACATAAATTTATGTATGGAATTTTGCATACAGCTACATGCATACAGACACACACATGCAAATGAATGCAGGTTAAAAATATGGTACAACCAGTAAGGTCTGTAGTCTAGTTAACATGTCAATTTCCTAATTTTGATATTATGCAACAATATCAAATGCCACCACTGGGGGAAGCAAGGGTACACAGGACTCTATTTTTGCAACTTCCTATAATTACTTCAAAATAAAAAGCGAAAAAACGAATAGAGCCCCAGCCATGTTCTCCAAAGAGGCTGCTATGTCTCCTTACCTTGTGCCGCTGCCAGCCCCCTTTGCTTCTGTGTGTTATGCAGTGCTTGGTACAGCACCAAGAAAACTATGGGATCCTACTTAGCAACTTTTATCCAAAGTTTGTAGTGGCCGTACATATATTAGGTTGGTACAAAAGTAACTGCAGTTTTGTCATTAAAATATGGCAAAAACTGCAGTTACTTTTGCACCAACCTAATAGTTGCTCCTTCTACCCAGTGTCTAAAGTTTTAGTTGGCAAATTAATAAGCACCCATCTTTACCACCACCTCTTCTCCAGCCCGAAGACTCAGAAACAACTGGAACACTTCATTCCCTTTGATTTTGAAGTAGCCCTAGAGATATTTATGAAGTGTTCCAATTGTTCCTAGGCTATGGACCCAATTTGAGACTGGTGTTCTAGGAGAGTTTCTATTCCCCATTATGAACTCTTTCTCAAGACATCGTCCCTCTCAACATGCTTAAAATCATATCCATTCCTTAAGGGCTGGCTCAAAATCATTTCTTTCAAAAGCCTCTGACTTTTCCACCTTCCCCTGCCCCAGTGTTTTATTTCTTTGAACTTCTATTGTAAAGCAAATAAGTTCTAAGGCATGTATGTATACATCTATCTTTCTTTGAATTAATCAATCATCTATTTATGTCACTATACTATAAACTTCAGGAAAGACAAAGGAGTATAAAATATGATCTACTGCTCTAAAGGAGTTTCCTCTCTGGTGGAAAACAGGATGGTTCAATAATTCATTTCAACAATAAATGCTCTCATGCCAAGAAATCACACTGGGCACTGTGTGGTATTAGCTTGGTGCAAAAGTAATTGTGGTTTTGGACTGTGAATTTTAAATCATTATAACTAGGCTCAAATGCATCTTATTAATCAAAATAGGAACCATTACAATCAACACATTTTTGCCAACGAGAAATAAGTTTGTTTATTCCTGTAGCATAAAAATCCATGCTTTGTGATTCAGCGAACTATTGGAAAGCATGTTCTGCATCCTGCTGGTTGTGGAAGCGTTTTCCCTGCAAAAAGTTGTCAAGATGCTTGAAGAAGTGGTAGTCGGTTGGCGAGAGGTCAGGTGAATATGGAGGATGAGGCAAAACTTCGTAGCCCAATTCGTTCAATTTCCCAAGTGCTGGTTGTGCAATGTGTGGTTGGGCACTGTCGTGGAGAAGAATTGGGCCCTTTCTGTTGACCAATGCCAGCGGCAGGTGTTGTAGTTTTTGGTGCATCTCATCGATTTACTGAGCATATTTCTCAGATGTAAGGGTTTCGCCAGGATTCAGAAAGTTGTAGTGGATCAGACCAGCAGCAGACCACCAAACAGTGACCATGACCTTATTCTGGTGCAAGTTTGGCTTTGGGAAATGCTTTGGAGCTTCCTGGTCCAACCACTGAGCTGGCTGTCACTGGCTGTCGTATAAAATCCACTTTTCATGGCACATCACAATCTGATCGAGAAATGGTTCACTGTTGTTGCGTAGAATAAGAGAAGATGACACTTCAAAACGACAATTTTTTTGTTTTTCGCTTAGTTCACAAGGCACCCACTTACCAAGCTTTTTCACCTTTCCAATTTGCTTCAAATGCCGAACGACTGTAGAATGGTCAATGTTGAGTTCTTCAGCAACTTCAGGTGTAGTTATAAGAGGATCAGCTTCGATGATTGCTCTCAATTGGTCACTGTCAACTTCCGATGGCTGGCCACTATGCTCCTCATCTTCAAGGCTCTCCTCTCCTTTGTGAAACTTCTTGAACCACCACTGCACTGTGCGTTCATTAGCAGTTCCTGGGCCAAATGTGTTGCTGATGTTGTGAGTTGTCTCCGCTGCTTTATGACCCATTTTGAACTTGAATAAGAAAATTGCTCGAATTTGCTTTTTGTCTAACATCATTTCCATAGTCTAAAATAAATATAAAACAAACAGCAATGTCATTAGCAAAAAAAAAAAAAAAAGAAATGCACATTAAAATGATGTATAACATAACCACATTTATTTAAGAATGTATTCCAATATCAAATGACAAATTCCAACAGTGCAAAAACCACAATTACTTTTGTACCGACCAGCAGTTCCCCAACCTTTTTGGCACCAGGGACCGGTTTTGTGGAAGACAATTTTTCCATGGACTGGGGGTCAGGGGGAGATGGTTTTGGGATGAAACTCTTCCATCTCAGATCATCAGGCATTAGATTCTCTTAAGGAGCACACAACCTAGATCCCTCACATGCCCAGTTCACAATAGTGATCACTCTCCTAACAGAATCTAATGCCGCTGCTGCTGCTGATCTGATGGGAGGTGGAGCTCAGGCAGTAATGCTTGCTTGCCTGTCACTCACCACCTCCTGCTGTGTAGCCCAGTTCCTAACAGGCCACAGACTGGTACTGGTCCATGGCCCAGGGGTTGGGGACCTCTGGTATAAATGATGATTAAGACTTGATCCCTGTTTTCAAGGCCTTTATCTAATAAATGAGATATGCACAGACATATGATACAAGACAGAATGTGGTAAGTGACATCAAAAAGTAATAAAGCTATATGGGAATACAGAGGATTTAAAGACTATTTCGGATCCAAAAAGGGTTATTAGGGAATGTCACATTTGAGTCTTGCGGGATGGGTAAAATGATGGGGTCAAAATAAGGGGGAAGAATTTCTACTTGCAGTTGAAGCTGGAAAGTGCAAGACATGCTTGGAGAGCTTAGCTGACCAGTTTGGTTGAGGATAAGATATGAGTGAAGAGCAAGGTCTTTGGTTTACAGAAGACCCTGGACACCATGCCACAAAGTTTAGACATTACTCTTAACACTTTGGTGACAGTGACTGGAAATTTTCAAGCAGGTGTCATAATCAAAGCTTCGTTCTAGGATAACATATGGCATCACAGGAAAATAAGAGTTGAGGATGGAGACTTTAGATTGAGGCAGAGGAATCTGTAGGAGGTTATTGCTGTAATCTAGGCCAGAGCTCATGAGGGTGTAAACTAGACTGGTAGCAGGAGAAAGTTTCAGATAATAGAAGCTGTGCTACAAGTGATGAATGGTCAAGTGAAA
Organism: Homo sapiens; assembly: GCF_000001405.40. Classification (NCBI taxonomy): domain Eukaryota; kingdom Metazoa; phylum Chordata; class Mammalia; order Primates; family Hominidae; genus Homo; species Homo sapiens. The sequence continues at coordinate 83,711,345 of NC_000009.12, read as the reverse complement.
TGTGCAGGTAATTATGACGGAAGGTCAGATTCTGTAAGCTTGGGTATTCAAGGAGTTTCAGAAAGCAGGTAGCAATAATGGGTACAAGGAGGTGGGTGTAATGACTTGAAGGAATGATCAGAAGTTAAGAAAAGTATAATGTATAAGTGCTTCTAGGGATGATAATAAAGGTATTTGACTGGAATGGAGCATATATATTGAGAGCAACAGGAGTCAACACTAGGAGTTACCTGTGGAAGGCCTAGTTAGGAAGCTCTGGGCTGGGCGCAGTGGCTCACACCTGTAATCCCAGCACTTTGGGAGGCTGAGGTGGGTGGATCACCTGAGGTCAGGAGTTTGAGACCAGCCTGGCCAACATGGTCAAACTCTGTTTCTACTAAAAATACAAAAATTAGCTGGGCGTGGTGGTGCATGCCTGTAATCCCAGCTACTCAGGAGGCTGAGGCAGGAGAATCGCTTGAACCCAGGAGGCGGAGGTTGCAGTAGGCCGAGATCATGCCATTACCCTCCAGCCTGGGCGACAGAAAAAAACTGTCTCCAAAAAAAATAAAAAGCTTTGGCTTTATTTTCTAGGCAGTGGGAAACTTATGATAGATTTTTCAGTAGCCTAGTAACATGATGAAGTCATGTTATTTATAGCACTTACATGACATATGTACTACCTCGTATTAAAGGTATGTTCCTGGACACAAGATTAGAGGATTAAAGTTTGTCAGAGGATACTCAATGAATTCTTATTGAGTTGACTGAATCATTTTGTCAAAAAAGAATTATTCTATCGTGAATAATAACCTTCTATCAATATACTTGAACTCTGAATAATGGATTTTCTCAAAATGGGACTTCTTCAGTTGGAGCTGGCTCATACTGGCTTGTGAGGGCTTACTGGTAAAATTTCACGTGTTTTGTGAGGCAGAGGATCTCAAGTTGGTAACCATTTGCAAGTATTTACATCAAGGAAATTGGCAAATGTAATAAAGTTTATTTTCAGGAGGACTGGTTATTAGTCATTTACCAGGACATCACTGCCAGTCTCCCTCCTATCCCTCACCCCCATCATCCAACTATCACTTCAAGTTTTTTGACGGCAGAAACTGAGTCTTATTATTCTTGTATGCTCAATATAGTATTATACAGTATTAGGATACTGTGATAAAATATGTTCTTAAAATTTTCTCCAGACAGACCATTTAACAAACAAAAACCATTCAGAAGAAAATGCCACAAATAAACATCTAGACCTGGGGTTGGCAAACTATCTTCTGTAGGCCAAATCAGATCCTATGTCTGTTTTTGTTTTGCAAGTAGAGTTTTTAGTAAACATAGCTATGATTATTCATGTATGTATTGTCTATGATTACTCTGTGATACAAGGGCATAGCTTAGTGTTTTAGACCGAGATCCTGTGGCTCACAAAGCCTAAAATATTAGGTTGATGCATAAATAATTGCGGTTTTTGCAAATTTTTTTTTTTGGCACCAACCAAATATTTACTATCTAGCCCTCCCAGAAAGTTCACTAATCTCTGATTTACACCATAGTGCCCCCACCTCCGATTCTCATGCAGGTCAGGATTATATCTAAAAAGTGCCATAACAATGGATAACTATATGGTATCTTCTTACAGGTAAATCTTATTACCTTATAGTGTCACACACATCAAACATTTTTAGACAATAATGTAGACACAGATAATTGCAAAGTCCATAAATGCAGGGAGACAGACACACACACACACACACACACACACACACACACGGTATTTGTTGGAGAATCAAGGGAAAAACCATATCTCTAAATGGTAGGGAGTGAAGTCTTCCTGGGGCATGTGATACAGGATGAGTAGAAGTTAGACAGGTGAAGGCAAGGGGAAAGTCATTCTAGGTAGAGGAAGGCAGCCTAGGCAAAGCATGCAGGTAAGACACAGCATGACAGGGAAAAACAGGTAATGAGGAGCTAATGAAGTTGAGGAGAAATTTTATTTAGACATATGGAAGAAATTCCAAATGATTGGTTGTCCAGTTGTGGCACTTTCTAGCTTTAGAAGCAGTGATCATCTCACACCTGGACATAACCAAGTAGTCATCCTTCATTAAGCAGAAGGCCTTGTTATTGAGCCATGCTGCCAGAAATTTAGGTGATATCAAATGATGTCTATACTGAAATCGATACCCTCAGGATTCTCTTAGACCCAGATTCCATAGAGCTCTGCTAAAAAGTCGTGTTTATGTAACAGTATTTATTCTCAGAACAGGGTTGGACGGCTTAGGAGCAGAAAGGCAGAATGTATCTTTGCGGATTTGGGTCATAGTGGGCTGTCAGGATTTAAATTGTGCAACATTGATTAATAATGGGCTGGTTTGTACATTCCTTGCAAGTCATCTTTAAAAGCCAATGACGTCATTTCAAATTAGGATTCTCAGAGATAATTTCTCTCTGTATTACACTGAAAATAATTTTGGAACTATCCTTAATGCCACTTAAAGCCTGAAATTGACCAGTAACTTAATTTGATAGAATATAAGGCGAACACCTCAACTATATTAAATTGTCCCATTTGGGTGGACACTCCTCGGGCACCCTGTTCCGCCCTACACACAGATAATCTGGGGGCGCTCGCGCACAGCTGTCATCGTAGCAGCAGAGGCCACTGTCAATACAGGTTGCCTGACTGATCGTCTGACCAAACCGGGCTAACCCGAGGGCGGTAAATAAGCTCTGGCCATGAAGCAATGACTCCGCAGGATTGCGCAGGGCAGTCACGGGCGTTCACTCCATTTTCTGTTCGTTGTGCTGAGGCCTTTCCACCATTAACTTACCCCAACTCCCCCGCATAGGGCAATACGACCCCTCCAAATATCAAACGCTAAGCATATTAAAATAACAAAATACCTCGCCGCTATTTTATCACCAGACCCTCCTCCCAGCGGGGAACGCAGAGTAGACAGAGAGGCAAGGGAGGGCAAGGCGATTGTGACAGCGCGGAGGGGTGAACACGGCCCAGCTGGGCATGAGGTAAGGTGGGGAGACTACCTGGACAGCAAGCGCGCAGGCGCAGCCGCGGCCGCAGGGCCCACTGGTCCCTTTCTAGTAATTTCGCTAACCGTGACGTCATCTCGGTGCGCCGTTACAGCGCTTAACTGGAAACTGCGATTTAGTTTTTGGTGAAAGGAGTGGAAAAAAACCATGAACTGACCTACCCCGCCCCATTTTGCTTTTAGTCCTTCACACTGGCTTCGCCTGCACTTTGGGCAATGGAGCGGGAAAGGAAAAGGCACGCAGGCTGAGCTCAAAGTCGCGCCAGCCGGGGATGACTCGGCGACGCCGCCAGGCGCGTTACCCGGCGTGCTCCGCGCGGCGCCGGCGAAGGGACGTGGGGGAAGGGGCAGGGAGGAGGAAGCGGTGGCTGCTGCGGATGTCGGTGTGAGCGAGCGGCGCCTGAACACACGGCGGCTGCCGAGCGCCTGACCCGGGCCTGCGCCAGAGCCTGCACCGAGCTCCGGGGCCCCACACCCGCTACGGTGGCCCTGCGCCCGTTGCTACTGAGGCGGCGTGCTCTGCATTCTTCGCTGTCCAGGCCTGCCGGCTCTGGTGTCTGCTGGCTCCTCCTTGCTCGCCTGCTCCCTCCTGCTTGCCTGAGTCACCGCCGCCGCCGCCGCCACAGCCATGGCCGAGAGTGGTGAAAGCGGCGGTCCTCCGGGCTCCCAGGATAGCGCCGCCGGAGCCGAAGGTGCTGGCGCCCCCGCGGCCGCTGCCTCCGCGGAGCCCAAAATCATGAAAGTCACCGTGAAGACCCCGAAGGAAAAGGAGGAATTCGCCGTGCCCGAGAATAGCTCCGTCCAGCAGGTGAGGCCGCCTGGGGCTCGGGCCGGGATGGGGGTGGCGGCAGGACCTCCGCCCGCCGCCCCAGGAGACCTTTTGGAAGGGCCTGGGAGAGGGGTCGTCCTCGGCCATTCTCCCGGGCGTCGTCCCAAATTAGATCACACCCAAGTTCGTGGGTTTGCGCCTTGGGACACCGCAATGGTTTGTGGCGTGGCGGCGCGGCCTGTTTGTGGGACGGGCTGATGCCGCTTTTCTCGGAGCCTTCCTTCTCTGGTATCCGCCGACCCTCAGCCTCCTCCCCCAGTTCCCCGCCCTCCGTCGCCTCCCCTCCAACTCCTCACAAAGGAAAGGGACCCACCGCCAGCCTCCGGGCGGGGTGGAGGCTGGGCGGGGGCGAGGGTTCGCTTTAGCTCAGGCTGCGGTTTTGTTTCATGAATTAAAAAGGGGTGGGTGGGATCCTCGTTGTTTTACGTGCCTGCTTGTTAAGGTGGGTTTTGGGGTGAGGTGCATGTGTATATTTAGTTCTGCATTTTAACTCCTGAAATCTTTCCCACCTTGCAACCTTTAAAAAAAAATTATGACGTAGAAACTGTTTTTAGCTCCATCTTAAGTAATAGTGATAGTACTAGGTTTAAGGAGAAAAGTGAATGACTTTCTTTCACTGATGACTTGCTCTTTCCCTTTTAGTATGTTTATCATCTCTTAGATGCCAATCATTGGGTAGGTTTTTGTTTGATTTTAGAGGGGCGATAGCGATGTTGATATTAGCGGTTGCAATCAAATAAAAGAAAATCGGAGTGAATGCAGAATATTACTTAAACTTGGTTCAGGAATACAAATCTTGCAGTTAATTAAGATTCTTGGTGGAATTTAACAAATAATTTTAGTGTATTGTTGAATACGTCGTGTTTTCCATAATTACTGACTTAATCTCTGAAGATCGCAAACAACGTGAACAGTTGGTGACAGGAAACAACAATTCCTGAAATGTACCTATCAGTTTCCCCAGGGACAGTAGGTGATTGGGGTATTGGTTTAACGAGTTCCAAAGGTAGTGTATTTTGTGAAGCAGTGAGGTGTGTAACATCAAATGAGAGAAACTTTTACCACCAACAGAATTATCACTTTTGTTTTTGTCTCCCAGTGCTTGTAAAAATTTTCCTTACCATTTTTGTATTTTCAAGCATGCGGAAAGTTGAAAGAATTGGGAAGTGGATACACATATGTCCATCATCTACAATTAGCATTTTACGGTATTATAATCGATTATCAAGTTCATTTAATTTTGGGGAGCAATTCAGAGTAAGTTGCACGTATCAGTAGATGACACCAGTACATGTCACTTCAGCATTGTGAACTTATTTGCCTAAGTTCAACTTCATTTTTTACGTTTTTTTGACGTAATTTTGGCAGCAGTGAAATGCATATGGTTGCCATTCCGTGAGTTTTCATAAATGCTTACACCTGTGTAGCCCAAGCTCTTATCAAGATATAGAACATTATAATTGACTAGAAAGTTTTTTCTTGCCTTTTCCCAGTCATTTCAGTCACTTGGCCTTTCCATCAACCACCCAGTTTTTTTTTTTTATGCCCTAAGTTACAGAGTTGCCTGTTTTAGAACTTAACATTAAATGGGATCCCATAGAGCCTATAGTACTGTGTGTATTTTTCTGGGTAAGGCTTTTTTTTCCCACTCAGCATAATGTTTTTGAGTTTCGTCTTTGTTGCGTGTATCAGTAGTTCCTTTCTTTTTATTAGTGTGTAGTTTTCCACTGTATGTGTATACCATAATTAATCTATTCACTGTTGAAGGTCACCTGGGCTGTTTGCAGTTAGTTACTATGAACAGTCTTATACAAGTCTTTTTGTGGTCTTACTCTTTTATCTTTCATGGTTATATACTTAGACTTGGTTTGAGTAGGTCATAGGGCAATTGTATGTTTCAGTTTTGTGAGAAACTATGTTTTAAAAAATGCTTCTGGGCCGGATGCGGTGGCTCACACCTGTAATCCCAGCACTTTGTGAGGCCGAGGCGGGTGGATTGCCTGAGGTTCGAGACCAGCCTGGCCAACGGGGTGAAACCCCGTCTCTACTAAAAATACAAAACTTAGCTGGGCGTGGTGGCAGGCACCTGTAATCCCAGCTACTGGGGAGGCTGAGGCTGAGGCAGGAGAATCATCGCTTGAACCTGGGAGAGGGAGGTTACAGTGAGCCGAGATTGCGACATTGCAGTCCAGCCTGGGCAACAAGAGTGAAACTCCGTTTCAAAAAAAAAAAGGAGTGCTGGCTTCAGCAGCACATATACTGAAAAATGCTTGTATCATTTTACCATCCCGCCAATGAAGATACATGGGAGTTCCTGTTGCTCCATATCCCTGCTAACATTTTGATATTGTCAGTCTCTGTAATTTTAGCTATTTTAGCGGGTGTGTAGCCATATTAAGTTTTAAAGCTCTCGGATCTCTTTTCTAGGATTCCTAATTCATGCCTCCACCATCCTGGGTGCTTTCAGCATTTTACTGCAAAAGATTAGAAATAATCAGTATTTTATAAATAGAAAAATTCCTTTCAGTCAATATATGATGTTATAGCTGTGAGGATGTTTTTGCTTTTTGTGATGTTAAAATTATAAATTCTGTGAACGCTTTTATTTTACTCTGCTGTAACCAAAGTGAGATTTTTTTTTTTTTTTTTTTTTTGAGATGGAGTCTCTGTCACCCCCCAGGCTGGAGTGCAATGGCATGGTGTCGGCTCACTGCAACCTCCCCTTCCCGGGTTCAAGGATTCTCCCACCCCAGCTTCCCTAGTAGCTGAGACTACAGGCGCATGCCACACCACACCCGGCTAATTTTCCTATTTGTAGTAGAGACAGGGTTTCACCATGTTGGCCAGGCTGGTCTCGAACTCCTGATCTTGTGATCCGCCTGCCTCGGCTTCCCAAAGTGCTAGGATTACAGGTGTGAACCACCGGGCACCCGGCCCAGTACGAATTGTTAATAGATAAAATTAAAGTCTTTCTGAAGTAGCCTTTTCTGATGGTAGTTTATTTTTAAATTCTTGATCATTGTTTTATGTTGAAGCAGAAAATGTGATAAAAATTGACGCTTATCACCACACCAGAGAACCTGTAGACAAGTTGGGCTTTGTATATGCAAGGGAAACAGATACAGGAAAATGTGGAAGAAAAAGAAAAGCAGTTTTCAAATGACCTATTTGTAAAATCTACTTGAAGCACAAAAGATATGCCATTTTATAATTTAAAAATTTTAAAGGGTTTGATTGAAACTGTTTGTTACAAATGAAAATTTGTCATTAAAAATACTTAATGACATTAAAATTCCACTGAAAGTGTCCAGTTAGAAATTGGGAAATATTTAGTCTTTAAAATTTGTACCTAATTTTGGAGGGTCAGAGGGTAAGCCGAAGACCTCCAGAGGATAATATTGAAGGCTTATGCTCTGTATCAGACAAATTCCGTTTTCTATAAGTTAAAATTTCTTTCAATAAGTATTTCTATGTAATGTAGATTCCTTAACACATTATACCAAAATTCTGTTTATATGAACATGCTGTAATAAGTGATTAGATGAAATTACGTTAAACTTCTTGGGTAAATTGTAAGGTGGTAATTTATTTTCCTATTTTTCCATTGGTTTCTGGTCGTGAGTACCAACAGGCAGAAACAGGTTGCCTTAATTTTTTACAGTGCTATATACATTTGGTATTTAATAATGTTACTTGTTCAAGGTTACTAATAAAGCTTAAGCTTTTTTCCAATTTAGAGTGAAATTTATTATTCACGGAGCACTCAGAATCAACTGAGTAACATAAATTTTTACTTACAGGTTGCTAGAATAGGTAGTGAGAATATAAACTGCACTGTGTACATTCCAAGGTGCTGTCATTAATAGAGATTTTTGTAATACAGGTTTTGAGTATCCCTTATGGGAAATGCTTGGGACCAGAAGTGTTTGGGACTTTGGATTTTCTTTTTTTTTGGATTTTGGAATATTTGTATATACATAATGAGATATCTTGGGGATGGCACCTAAATATAAACATGAAATTCAGTTATATTTCATGTACATTTTATGCACAGAGCCTAAAGGTAATTTTATACAATATTTTAAATAATTTTGCGAGTGAAACAAACTGTATACATTGAACCATCAGAAAGCAAAGGTGTTACATATGGGATTTTTCCACATGTGATGTCATGGTGTTAAAAAATTTCAGATTTTGGAGCATTTCAGATTTCATATTTTTGGATTGGGGATGCTCAACCTGTATGTAAGTAAATAGATACAAAAGCATAAATGTGTAGTGGCACAAAGTCCCTGTGTATGAGATTTTTTTTTTTTGGTTAATTGTTCATCATCAGCTATTGAAAAGAGCTTTGAGGATTTCCAAGTATCCACGAGCAAGATAACATCTAGAAGAATGGAGAGTTATATATGTGAGACATTAGTGCAGATAATGGAGGGGAGTTTCTGTGTAACTTCTAATTAGCTTATTCTGGGATTTCATAGACTGTTAGGTTATGTGTAAAATTTTGAAGTACATTTACTTGAAATGTTCAGGCAGTATATACTCTGGTTTTAGAAAGTGCCTTCTGTCAGTGCAAACTTCTGGGAAAATATTAATATACTTAGACATAATTTAAACGTATTGAGTCAAATTGAGCCTTTCTTTGATAAGGCAACTTGCCTTAGGGTCATCATCACACACATGATTTAACGTTATACTGTATAGTGTGGATCTAGAACTATACTGTCCACTTTGATACCATCACCCACATGTGGTTAAGTACTTAAAAAGTGAGATGTGTTAAGTGTAAAATTTATACCAGATTTTGAAAATTTGGTATGAACAAAATAAATATCTTAATACTTTTGATATATTATGTATTGAAATAGTATTTTGCAGATCGTGAGTTAAGTAAAATATCAAAATTAATTTGACCTTTTATTAAAAACTTTTTTTTCAGTATGGCTGCTTAAAATTTTTAAATTACTTGTGGCTTATATATATTTCTGCTGGACAACATCTTATCCAGAAGGTTGGATTGAATCAGTATAGCAAGATATCTGAGAAAAAAAATGTCTGTGAGATCATTGTTTTCTTATTTGCTTTGTTCTAATACTGGACAGCTGAAAAACTCGTTATTTAATGATTCTGATTAACAGAGATTGCTTAGCTTTTTTTAAGAAAGAGCGTAATTGAAGTGTAATTTGCCTACCATACAGTTCACCATTTTAAAGTCTGTAATTGATGTAATACATTCACAGGGTCGTGTAGTCAATTTTAGAACGTTTAGAACCCTCAAAAAGAAACGCTGTACCCTTTAGCAGTTGCCCTTCGTTTCTCCCTGGGCCCCCCAGCCTTAGGCAACTACTGATCTATTTTTTGTCTATAGATTTGCTTGTTCTGGGCGTTTGTTGTAAGTGGAATCATGTGGTCTTTTGTGATTGGCTTTCACTTAGCATAGTGTTTTCAAGGTTCATCCCTGTTGAAGCATGTGCCGGTACTTACTTCCTTTTTATTGCCGAATAACATTCCATTGTGTTGCCAACAGCATTCCACATTTTATTTTTCTATCACGTGGTGGACATTGGGTTGTTTCTACTTTCTGGCTATTGTGACTAATGCCTCTGAACACTCATGTATAAGTTTTTGTGGGGACATAACGTTTTCATTTTTCTTGGGTGTAGATCTTGGAGTGGAAATTGCTGGGTCAAAGCTCTATGTTGAGCTTTATGAGGAGCTGCCAAATTATTTTCTAAGGTGTCTGTACCATTTTACATTTCCACTAGCAATGCATGAGGATTCCGATAACCACATTCTCGGTAATACTTATTACTGTCTTTGTGATTATAGCCATCTTACTGGCTGTGAAATGGTATCTTACTGTGATTATTTTGCTTTTTATTTTCATTATTATTTTTGCTGGGGGCACTCTGAGGAAAACTGGACAGCCTGCTAGACAAATTTGCTTTTTGTTATCTGAGCAGTAGTTCTCACTGTGGTTTGGGGAGTCCCCATACCCTGTTAAGGGTACCATGAGATGAAACTATTTTCATAGTAATTCTGAGATGTTATTTTTATTTTTCAGTCTAATTTTCTCAAAACTGGGCAGTGCACTTGGCTAGAGTCTTTAAGGTGTGGGATATGACAACAGATGTGAAAATCCAGCTGTCTTCTATTACAAGACTAAAGTGATTTCCAAAAATTTAAAATAATGCCACTCTTATCACTGAGAAAATAGTTATTTTTCATAAGGATGTTATTTTTATTAATATATAATGTATTATTTTTAAATGAATTTATTTTTAAAGGTTATTCAGTTTTAATTTGTAATATTATAAATATCAACAGCTATAACCTAAACAAGCAAAACTCTTTGGAGTTCTGAAGTTGTAAAATGGTGTCCTGAGAGCAAAAATTTCTGTGGTGGCGTATTTTATAGATTACGTACTTAAAATATCGGGTAGTGGCTCCAATAAGTTGCCATTACCTCTTGCCTAGAAACTGCAGTAGCCTACTGGTCAGTTGCCTGACTTCTATAACTCTCCCACCAGCCATTCCAAGAGTGATCTCTGAAAAACGTTAATCAGAGCATGCCACCCTCTGTGTAAAGCTAATGGCTCCCTGTTGGTCTTAGAATATATAATGGAGTAGCGAGGCCCTGTGTAATACGGTTCCATGCCCTCTCCATTTTTTGCAGATGCCTTCTTTCTTTGCTTGCTTGGCTGACTACATTGACCTTCTAGTTCCCTGACCTGTTAATACTTTTTTTCCTGCCTGAGGACTTCTGTACAGTTTGTTCTTGCTACCTAGAATGCAAGAACACTCTTTGCCCATTCCTTTTCCATCTTTAAATCTTAATGCAAAGGTCAGTTTCTCCAGGTAGTATCTATTTCTGATTGTCCAGACTGGATTGGGATCCCCTGTTGGATTTCTCACAGTAGCCTGTTTTTGATAAGAATTCATCACAACTAAAAATTGTATATTTATGTGATTCCTTCTCTTTAGAGAGGGGCTGTGATTGTTCACCATTGTGTTACCAGAGCCTAGGGCTCAATAAATTATTTACAGATGAATCTAGTCCATTATGTACAATAATACATATTCAGTAATAACTACTTATTGTTGAACCTTTACTGAGTGTAGTATGTACATAATCTGGTAGCTCCCAGTCCTTTTGTGGAAGCTTCCTCTTAAGCTGTTCCCCCCAGGTCACCACTCTCCAGGCACAACTCTTGACTGCTTCATGATGTTCACTCTTGCTTCTCTGCCTGGAACATTACTCTTCTAGAACCACCTTTCTTAGCTGGAGATTCTCATCTGAACCACAGAGCACAGAAAGTGATATGAATAGCTATCCATTTCTTTTCAAAGATGGTTCATAATGAATATAATTTTAGATGTATAGGAGAGAAGTTAATTCATTACATAGTGAGTGGTTTGTTGGTAAATGCTGGTTTATCAACCCGTTCTTCAGGAAAAACACTGATTTGTAGTGTTTGCTGGATTTCCATGATGTAAATATTCTCACTGTGGCAGATTTCAAGATACCGTTATTAAACTGGCTCACAAAATTTATGAAAATTTAAGAGCCATTGCTTATAATGGGTGCCTTAGGGCAGAGGCCAGCAAACTGGTAGTCGAAATCTATTGTGCCCATTTGCTTATGTGTTATCTATAGCTCCTTTCAGAATAGACCATGTGGCTGGTAGAGCCAAAAATATTTACTGTCTAGCCCGTAACAGAAAGTTTGCTTACCCTGGTATTAGGGCTTCCTGTTAATATATCTTGTTCATCAAAACACTTCTCATTGGAAATTTTTACCATGACTTATTTTTTATAGAAATACAATGTGAGCTGGGCTCAGTGGTTCATGCTTGTAATCCCAACACTTTGCGGGGCCAAGGTGGCAGGATTGCTTGAGCACCATGGCTCAGTGATCATGGCTCACTGCAGCCCCCACCTCCTGGAGTTCGAGACCAGCCTGTCTACAAAAAAATAAAAATTTAGCTAGGTGTGGTGGCACACACCTGTAGTCCCAGCTAGTCCAGCAAGGTTGAGCCCAGGAGTTTGGAGGTTACACTGAGCTATGATTGCACCGCAGCATTCCAGCTGTGGTGACAGAATGAGACTTGGTCTCTTAAAAACAAAAAACAGTATGAGCCACATATGTAATTTTCCTATTAGCCACTTTAATCAAAAGGAAGGACTGAAGTCAATTTTTCAATAGTGGTGACTCACACATAACAAAATTTATCATGTTAACCATTTTTAAGGGTTCACTTCAGTGACATTAAGTACATTCACATTGTTGTACAATTGTTACCACCATCCGTTTCCAGAACTCATCTTGCAAAACTGAAACCCTGGACCGTTTAAACAGTAACTCCCCATTTTCCCCATTCCCCCACCTCTAGCAACCACCATTCTTCTTTCTGTCTCTGAATTTGACTACTCTAGGTATTTCATATAAGTGGAATAAGACAGTGTTTGGCCTTTTGTGATTAACTTATTTCCCTTAGTATAACGTCCACAAGGTTCATTTATGTTGTAGCATGTGTCAGAATTTACTTTTTTTTTTTTTTTTGAGACAGGTCTCACTTTGTCACCCAGGCTGGAGTGCAGTGGCACAATCATGGCTTGCTGCAGCCTCCACCTCCTGAAGTTCAAGTGATCCTCCTGCCTTAGCCCCCCAAGTAGCTGGGACTGCAAGCTCACATCACCATGCTTGGCTACTTTGTATTTTTTTGTAGAGACAGGGTTTCACCATGTTGCCCAGGTTGGTCTCAAACTCCTGAGCTCAAGCGATCTGCCCCCTTGGTCTCCCAAAATGCTAGGATTATACAAGTGTGAGCCACCGCACCCAGCCAGAATTTACTGTGTATGACTGAATAATATTCCATTATATGTATGTACCACATTTTAAAAATCCATTGATCTGTTGCTGGTCGCTTGGGTTGCTTCCACCTTTTGGCTATTGTAATTTTAATATGCTTTATTTAACCCAGTATGTCTAAAATATTTTAAGGTGCAATTGATATAAAGACTATAAAATATCTTGCATTTTGAAATACTAAGTCTTTGAAATATATTTTGTAATTTACACTTAAGCATACCTCAGTTTGAAGTAGCCACATTTCAGGTGCTTAATAGCCATATGTAGCTAGTGACTGCTGAATTAGCACAGCTAATAAAGCTTTCAGGATGTGCTTCCACCTGCCTTTTCTCCTGTTTTCATTGCATTTCAGCCAGTTTGTATTGTCTCTTCCCCTACCCTCAAATATCACTGGCTCTTTCTTCCCCTTTTTGAACCTTTGCAAATGCTGTTAATGACAATGACATAATGGCCAATATTTATTGCAGGCATGATTTATAAGGCATGATGCATTATATTTTTTTAAAATGTCACATAACTTTATGATGAAAGCACTATTATTATCCTTTTTTTAAAAAATGAAGATGCTGGCCAGGCATGGTGGCTCATGCTGCTAATCCCGGCACTCTGGGAGGCCGAGGCGGGTGGATCACATGAGGTCAGGAGTTTGAGACCAGCCTGACCAACATGGAGAAACCCCGTCTCTACTAAAGATACAAGATTTGCCAGGTGTGGTGGTGCATGCCTGTAATCCCCAGCTACTCGGAAGGCTGAGGCGGGAGAATCGCTTGAACCTGGGAGGTGGAGGTTGCAGTGAGCTGAATCGTGCCATCGCACTCCAGCCTGTGGGATAAGAGTGAGACTTCGTCTCAAAAAAAAAAAAAAAAAAAAGGGTACAAAAAATAGCCGCGTGTGGTGGTGCATGCCTGTAGTCCCAGCTACTTGGGAAGCTGAGGTGGAAGAATCTCTTGAATCTGCGAGGCAGAGGTTGCAGTGAGCTGAGATCTTGCCACTGCAGTCCAGCCTGGGCGACAGAGGGAAACTGTCTTTTTTTTTTTTTTTTTTTTTTTTTTGAGACAGTGTCTTGCACTGTTGCCCCGGCTGGAGTGCAGTGGTGCAATCTCAGCTCACTGCAACCTCCGCCCCCTGGGTTCACACAATTCTCTTGCCTCAGCCTCCTGAGTAGCTGGGATTACAGGTGCACACCACCACACCCAGCTAATTTTTTGTATTTTTAGTAGAGACGGGGTTTCATTATGTTGGCCAGACTGGTCTTGGACTCCTGACCTCATGATTCGCCTGCCTTTGCCTCCCAAAGTGCTGGAATTACAGGCGTGAGCCACCGCGCCTGGCCTATGTCTTAAAAAAAAAAAAAAAAACCAGAAGATACTGAGACTCATATTAATAATGTGATCAAATTCATACACATATTAAGTAGTAGACTGTAGATTCAAACCCAGTACAAACTTGGGAGGCCTCACCGATCCACTGCCCCAAACTGCCTTGACTTTCCTTTGACTGGCTTTTCAGTCTTTAAAGTTCATTGAATAGCTAGGTGTGGTGGTGCAAGCCTGTAGTCCCAGCTAATTGGGAGGCTGAGGTGGGAGAATTACTTGAGCCCAAGAGTTCCACGCCAGCCTGGGCAACATAGCAATACTCTGTATCTTTTTTTAAGAAGTTTATTTAAATATTAGTTCATCAGAGGGTAATTGGACTCATCAGTCTATGTCAGATCATTGATTATAATCTCTGATAATATTTTGTGATTATATGGATTGTCTCCTTCACCCAGCCCCCCTGCCCCCGAGTACTGTAAGAACTTCAGGGGCAGGGACTGTTTTGCTTACTTTCTAATCCCATGTTGCCTAGCATTGTGTCCTGGGCACACACTGAGTAGACAAGTATTTATTGAATGACCAAATAGTGTTTTAAATATTTATCTGCAATATTTTGTACCTAGTTGGGATTTTTTTTTTTTTCCTTTTTTAGACAGAATCTTGTTCTATCACCCAACCTGAAGTGCAGTAGTGCGATCACAGCTCACTGCAACCTTGATCTCCTGGGCTCAAGCGATTCTCCCACTTCAGCTTCTGAAGAAACTGGGACTGCAGGCGTGCACCACCTTGCCCAGCTATTTTTCTTATTGGGTTTTTTTTTAAAATTTTTTTGTTTGTTTTTATAGAGACAGGATTTTGCCATGTTGCCCAGACAGGCTGGTCTTAGGAATATTTTAACAATGTGATTTTGAAAAAGTGTGTTTATTCTTAGTCAACTTAAGTGTCTGATGGCATTATTACAGTTACTTTCCTGTACCAGCAGCTGCAACTACAAAAAAGATAAGAGAGGTGATAGATATATTAGCTTGATTTAGTCACTCCACATTGTTTACATATATCAAGACATCATGTTGTACTTTATAAGTGTATACAATCATGATGGCAGGCGGATTATGAGGTCAAGAGTTTGAGACCGTCCTGGCCAACATGGTGAAACCCTGTCTCTACTAAGAATACAAAAATTAGCTGGGCGTGGTGGTGTGCACCTGTAGTCCCAGCTACTGGAGAGGCTGAGGCAGGAGAATCGCTTGAATCCGGGAGGTGGAGGTTGCAGTGAGCTGAGATCGTGCGACTGCACTCTATCCTGGCAACAGAGTGAGACTCCGACTCAAAAAAAAAAATTAATTTGAAAAGTGAAGTGAAACTATACAAATACCATTAAATTGAGATTAGGAGCTTTTTTTAGAGACTGAAGTTGATACTTAAATCTGCTGTTTGCAGAGACTGTTGGATTAGCATACTTCACAGATTCTATTTATTATAGGCATGAAAATATATGTGTGTATTTGCAGAATATTGTTGCTAGACCTGAACTCTGATTTTTCCAGGTAAATTTATACAACTATGAGTTAGTTTGATGTCCTGTAGATATGGCAACAGTCTGCCTGGTTTACTGGTTAAGCAGCTGCCATATAGATGTCTAAAACTTGGGGGTAATTTTTTTTTTTAACTCTTTAAAGCTCTCTCCAGTTTTCTTAAAGGATATAACTTTTACATTTAAAAAATACCTTTTACATATTTTTGCTTTAAAATTAAGAAATTCAAATGATGTTGAAAAGTATAAAAAAGGGGACTGGGCATGGCGCCTCACGCCTTTAAGTCCAGCACTTCGGGAGGCTGAGGTGGGCAGATCACAAGGTCAGGAGTTCAAGACCAGCCTGGCCAATATAGTGAAACCCCATCTCTACTAAAAAAATAAAAAAATTAGCCAGTGTGGTGGGGAGCACCTGTAGTCCCAGCCACCTGGGAGGCTGAGGCAGGAGAATCACTTGAACCCGGGAGGTGGAGGTTGCAGTGAGCCAAGATGGCGCCACTGTACTCCAGCCTGGGCGACAGAGTGAGACTTAGTCTCAAAAAAAAAAAAAAAGGTGGGAGGGCCCATTCAGGATAAAAGGTAAAGTTAACTTTTTTTTTTTTTTGGGTGATTCTGTCCAGAAAGGTATTTATATGTTCATATATAATTTTTACCTTTTGTTAAGCAAATGGGGTCAACCACCCACAATTTTCTTTATCTTACTCGTTCTACTTGTGTTACCTTGGTAGTCTTTCCATATAGAACTAGCTCATTAGACTATTACTTATTATTTTTATGATTTATTGTTTTGGTTTGCTTATTAATATTTTGAGAAAGGAGAGCATGAACCTTAGAATTGGAGAAATCTGATGATGGGTAAGGAGCTTTAATCATCTCAGCCTCACTGGCTACATTTTTAACATATCGTGTAATACCTGCTTCAGTACATTGTTTGGAGGATTTTGTGACATCGTATGCATAAAGTACCTGACTCAGAGTTTATATGATTTACTTATATTGGTTTCTTTCCCCACAGCCTTTTGTTCACCGGTGAATTGAGTTTTAAGTTTTTGCAATAGAAGGAAGTATATCTATCCTAGCATGTGAATAGTGAAACATTTAGTTTGTTATTCTTGTCAGATTTAAATTAGAGAGAATCTAAAAAATAAATTTTCTGAACGATACACTAACATTTGTGGCTGTGTACAGTTTTATGAGAGAGTGCCCCTTTCTCATACGTGTTACATATTCAGTGTAGTAGTTTCTCATACTTGGCATCCTTGTATAAAGGGTTATGCAGTGTTTTAAATAAGACTACTATAAGGTTAAACATCAGACTCTTGGAGAATGATAACTGACAGAACCATGTATATGGATGATTTATGGACTTTTTTCAAATACTATTAGCAATATTGAGTAAGGAGCTAATTCAAAAATAGACTCTTGAAGGATCTCTGCCTTAAAATACTGAAATAGCAAAGATTTGAATACAGTATTCAGATAACTATTTAGAGAATCCTTGCTAAATGCTGTTAATATGTGATTCTGCGGGAAATGAAATTGTGTGTGTTTTATCTTCAGAGCTGAAGTAAATTTTACTTTTGGATAGGTTGATTCCCAACTCCCCGGATGTTTAATAGGTGAGATGGAGAATGGTTGTTTAAAAGCAAGTTTGGATGTTTGGATTTTGAAATGTTTGTAAAGGGTGACAATGTTGCTTTTAAAGTCAGATTAACTCCATTTTCAGAGTGTTTACAGTTGAGAGTTTATCCTTGCATAATTAGATTAGCAATATTTGAATGTCTTAGTGAATGAATTGTGCCCAGGAAATTTCCGTATGTCTCTTAATTCTCCCATCAGCCCTGCAGAATAAGTATCTCTATTCCTGATGAAGAAACCAAGGCTCAGAGACAGGTAACATCCTCCAGGTCACACAACTAGTATGTAGCAAAACCAAGATTTGAATTCAGGCCTACATGTTTCAAAAATACTCTTTCCTAACCTTGATTCTCCTCTCTTTCCTCCATATGTGTGTCTTATTTTCTTCTCAAAAACAATTGAGAACAGGGAGTAAGCAAAGTCAGCCCTCAGCAGCTGAGATTGGCACCATAAAAGTTGATACACTAAATCTTGATACATTTTCATTTCAGGGCAGCATTTCACATTCTCTGCGTACTCTTATTTGATACGGTTTTCTAACTTCTCTTAATTATTTGCTGCTTCTTCCTCAGATTAAAAATAGAAAATTTAGGGGAGAAAGAAGGTATGCTTTCAAGACAAGAACTTGACAGTCTGGTTAAAAAAAAAATAAGAAAAAGAAAAAGGCAGATACAAGATACCTTGAGAGTCTGGACAGTTATCACTATATTGCAGAACAGCAGTTGATATTCACACCAGTAACTCAGCATTATCAAAAGTTAAAATTACATTCAGTAGAATGGAAAACAATTTTGGTGCTCAAACAGAGGTAACCTTCAGTTAGCTGGAGAATCCACTCATGTGCAACACCTGGCTTTTGGATGATGTTGAAAAAAATGGGGTTGCTGAAAGTTGTTTTGTCTGTGCTGGGTTCATTTTGAAATCATTACATTGCTTATTCAAGGTGCATTAGAATTTTGATTCTTATGGTTGTTGAGAAAGAGTTTAGTAATTCTCAGCTTTCAGTTCTCTGGCCTGTAGTTATTGTAGGTTATCAGTGCAAGACCAGAGTTGGATGTACATTTGTAGGAAATATGGATACTTTGAGGCCCGTTCTATCATGTATCTTTCATTTTGAGTTAATAGTGACCACATAGGCTTAAGGATAAAAATAAGTTAATCTAGGTAATCTTTTTAATGGAAATTACAAAAATTCTTCCTTTATGGTTCTGGCTATTCCCTAGATGAAAATATTTTTTTATTATTGTTGTTATTATTATTTTTAAAACGGAGTTCCGCTCTTGTTGCCCAGGCTGGAGTGCAATGGCATGATCTCAGCTCACCACAACCTCCACCTCCCGGGTTCAAGCGATTCTCCTGCCCCAGCCTCCCAAGTAGCTGGGATTACAGGCATTTGCCACCATGCCTGGATAATTTTGTATTTTTAGTAGAGACGGGGTTTCTCCATGTTGGTCAGGCTGGTCTCAAACTGCCGACCTCAGGTGATCCGCCTGCCTCGGCCTCCCAAAGTGCTGGGATTACAGATGTGAGCCACTGCGCCTGGCCGAAAATATTTTGTATAATTGTAATAAGTTTTATTTTTCTGCAGAGGAATAGTGTCAGTGAGCTACCTCTGTCTAAACAGCTTTGAGATTTTCTAAGATGGCTAATTAAGTTTTTCCATATCAATACTATTTAGTTTCTGATTCCTGCTGTTGTATGATAAAAGTGTAGATTAAACAGACAAGGAAGTTACGTTCAAATGTTAGTGATAAAATTTCTAGAAATTTTGAAGACAGTGTAATCTGAAAACTTTCTCTTTATTCTGTAGGAAGCAGAATAGAAGTAAAAGATATTTGAAGTACGTGCAGAATTTTTAGCTGTAGGACAAATTCCATTTAGATAAAAACACTACATTATTTAACTTGATTTAATTTTCTAAAATATGGTTTATTCGGAAAAGTGTACCATATCTGGCACGGTACAATTAAACTTAAGATTCTTTTACCTTTGTTTCAAATAGAGTGGCAGACAGCTAAACTTACAAAGTTGCTTATTTCTTGGTTTTTGCTTGCTTGTTCCAAGTTTTGTATATTTTTTACTCAGAACAAATCAATTTAACAGTAGCCTTCTACTTGGAAGTGGTTCTAGTATCTAAATTAGGTGACATTGGTGGTTTGAAATTTAAAATAAGAACTGAATTATGAATGGTAGTCATATGCAGTTGTCTGTAGTTCCCTAGAACTGTACTGTATGCTATCACCATTTTTAACATGTTTTCCAACTTTTAGCATGAAGTGCCATAAATTCATACTTCAAGACTAAGATACCCCTCCAGAACCAAGAGTTCCATGAGGTTGGAGGATCCCAGTATCTATGACATTAATTGTCAACAGCTCTGTAATTTTGTGAGTGAACGTGATTTCTCACGTGTCTGTCAGGACTTTGGTTTGGTTTCTTGAGGTTTTGTTGTAAGGAGTGAATGTGAAAATGTGTGTGTGGTGCCAGGTACAGCATAGCTGTGTAATAATGATTAATGGAGGTAATTTTCGAATGTGTGGTGTAGTGTCCTACTCTACTGCATCTAGGACATTGTAGAGAAGCCCTTAGTCTGTCCAGAAAGCCCTGATTATCCTTCAGGTACTGATACTGACAACTCATGGTTAGGAGACTCCTGTCTTTAAATGTTACCAGAGGTTCAAGTGAGCTATATTCATTGCTGTTCTATTAGATTTTGAGATTACAGCTGTTTTGGATATCAGGTTTTAATTGTCTCTGCCACATACGATGTTAATGGATCATCTTTTAGCCTTTGGTGATTATCTCTGTTGTCATTTTCATGTCTTATATCCAGTCTGGTCTGCTACCTAAAACTAAGTTCTCTTCATTCCATTTCCTTTCAGTTGACCTGCCCAAGATGAGGCATATATATATATATGTATTATATGTGTATATATATATGTATATATTGTGTTTGTTTTTTATTTTTTTTATTTTTTTGAGACGAGTGCCTCTCTGTCACCCAGGCTGGAGTGCAGTGGCGCGATTTTGGCTCACTGCAATCTCTGCCTCCTGGGTTCAAGTGATTCTCGTGCCTTAGCCTCCCGAGTAGCTGGGATTGCAGGTGTGTGCCACGATGCCTGGCTAATTTTTGTATTTTTAGCAGAGACGGGGTTTTGCCATGTTGGCTAGGCTAGTCTCGAATTCCTGACCTCAGGTGATCCACCCGCCTTGGCCTCCCAAAGTGTTGGGATTACAAGCGTGAGCCACTGCGCCCGCTCCCATTGAGGCATATTTTAGCTTTGGGGAAGGGAATAATTTGAAATTGAAATACTAAGGAGAGCTGGCTGTGTTTCGACTTCTTGATGTTTCTGTTCTTGTTTTTTTTTTTGAGACAGAGTCTGGTTCCATTGACCAAGCTGTTGACCAAGCTGGAGTGCAGTGGCACGATCGTAGCTCACTGCAGCCTCCAACTCCTGGGCTTAAGCAGTCCTCCCATGTTGGCCTCCCAAAGTGCTGAGGTTACAGTCATGAACCACCACGCCCAGCCCCTGCTGCAGCTTAAAAGTTCACAGCCAACTTTTAAAACTATTTTTATTAAAGTACAGTATAGAGGAATACATGTGTCATAAATGTACAGGTTCGTGTTTTAGCCTAAAGGTCGAGAAAGTAGAACATGATACCAACTCCCAAGAAGTCACTTGCAAACTTAAGGTAACCACTATTCTCACTTTGGGCACCATGGATTTTGTCCCCAACCCTTAAAAAAACGAAAAAACTCACATAAATGAAATCATACAATTTATATTCATTTGTGACTGGCTTTTTCGCTCGTGTTGAGGTATCCGTGATGATATGTGGCAGTAGTTCATTTGTTGTCATTGGGGGTAATCTATCAAATGACTATACTATAGTTTATTTTACAGTTGAGGGACATTTGGATTGTTTGCAGTTTTTGGCCAATACAAGTAATATTGGTTCAAATGTTGATTGTATTTTTTGTGGACATGTAGTTTGTTAAATAGTGGAATTGTTGGGTCATAGGGTAAGCATATGTTCAACTTCTGTTGCAAAATGTTATTCCAAAATGTACTGATTTATACTTGTACCCACAGTGTGTGTGGTTTCCAGTTGCTCTGCATCCTCTGTAACGCTCTTTAACAGTCTTAAACTGAACCATTCAGTGCATTTGTTACTGGTTTTAATTTAAAGTTACCTGTGTTGTTTGCCATTTAAATGAAAAGGATTTCATTTTTGTGAAATTCCTGTTTCAATTTCTTGGCCATTTTTCAATTGGGTTGTGTTTCTTGGTGATTTGTAGACATTATGAAATCTGGATTTGAGCTGTGCTGGTTGTGTTGCAAATTGTCTCTTTAAGGGCTTATCTTTTTACTCTGCTAATGATAGTCCAGTATATGGTGCCCCTTTAAAACAATGGTTAGGTCTTTTTGTATCCCACTTAGGTCATCTTTTCCAATTGATCAACACTTGATTTCTTGTTATCTTTTTGGTAGTTTAATTGCATGTGGTCACAGAGTACAACTTGGTCAGATTTTAATTTTTTGAAATATGTTGACTTTCTTTATGGCCCAGCATATGTAGTCTAATTTAGTAAAGGCACTTAAAAAGAATGCTTATTCTGTAGTTGTTGGGTTTGGTGATCTGTGTATGCTCAATTAGGTCATATGTTAATTGTTCATAGCTTTTCTATTTTTACTAATTCATTTTTGCCCATTTAGTCTGTCAGTTTCTCTGAGATAAATGTATCACATTGTTTATAATAGCCAAAAGGCAGAAACAACCCAAATGCTCATCACCTGATGAGTGGATAAGCAAAATAGGTGGTATATTCATACAATGGCATACTATTTGGCCATAGAAAGGGATGAAGTATTGACACATGCTGTGACATGGGTGAATCTTGTAAACATGCCAAGTATAAGAAGCTAGTCACAAAGACCATATGTTATAATATTGCATTTATATGAAATACTCGTATGGAAACAGAAAGTAGAAATTACTGGTTTCTTATGGTTGGAAGTGATGAGCCATAGGTGGGTGATAGCTGTAGGGTATAGATTTTTTTGAGGTAATGAAAATGTTCTGAAATGGATTGTAACACATGTCTGTGAATACTCCAGAAACCATTGAATCGTATACTTTAAATGAGTGAATTACGTGGTATGAGTTATGTCTCCATAAAGCTTAAAAAATACTATTTTTTGGTAGGTATTTGAAAGGATGTAAGAATAGATGCATGTCTTTTTTTTTTTTTGAAACGGAGTTTCGCTCTCATCGCCCAGGCTGGAGTGCAATGGTGCAATCTCGGCTCACTGCAACCTCTGCCTCCCAGGTTCAAGCAATTCTCCTGCCTCAGCCTCCTGAGTAGCTGGGATTACAGACATGCACCACAATGCCCAGCTAAGTTTTGTATTTTTAGTAGAGACGGGGTTTCACCATGTTGGCCAAGATGTTCTCTATCTCCTGACCTGTCATCTGCCCGCCTCGGCCTCCCAGAGTGCTGGGATTACAGGTGTGAGCCACTGCACCCCGCCCGATGCATGTGTTTAATCTAGTATCTTACCTTCAAATCCTAAAATACAATAAAATGCTATATAACTGTATGTTCAGTAATTAAGTCACTTATTTCAGAATAACGAGGGATATCAAAAATTTTGGAAAGCATTTCTGAGTTTAAGGTTAAGAAACACAAATCTAGTTTTACCCTCTCATTTTGCATATGAAAAATAGTTAATCTGGATAGGTTTGTCTTTGAAGTCAAATCTAAGTTTGAATCCTAACTACCAGTTTATTAGCTGTATCAGTGTGAGGGGAAGGGAGACATCTGTAACCTCTTTTTCTGTGTCTGAAATAGGATTAAAAACTCTCTTCCTCGAAAAATTGTTGAGTATTAAGAGAACTGGCATAGTAGTAGCTACCATTTATTGACTACTGCCTATATACCTGATGTTTGCATTTATATACATTCTCGTTTAATTCTTACAAACCATGTGTTCTGCCATTCATTATATTACTATTTCGGATAGGTACTAAAGGGAAAAATGAGATGTCTAATAATGGGAGTATAGTTAAATTATGACCTGTTTCTAGATATAGAATATCATGCAAATGGTGTTCTGTGAAGATTTTCTGTTAGTTACTTGGAAATTGCTTATCTTAGATAAAAGGATTATATATCATAGGATTTCAAATAAAGGAAAGAATGCAGATGGAAAAGCTTCAAAATATTTACTGAAGTATAGTTTTGTGTTATCTTTATGCTTTTTTGGTTATTTTTCAAAATGTTAGCAATGTGTATGGGAGTTGACAAAGGTAAAACAGATTTTTTAAAAATCAGTTGTTTATATTGGCTGTTGTAAATTGATTATGGAAAATTTTGTTCATACACAAATGTAGAGTGTTAGGAACTTTCATGCACCTATCTCTGATTTTCAACAATGATATATAGCTTATCATGTTTTTTATATATGCCTTCCCTTCCTTGTCCCCACAAGATTTTTTAAATCTCAGACATTCTGTCATTTAATGTCTTTCCGTTTATCGTGACAACCAGAAGAATGCCCCTATATATTTCCAAAACACCTTCTTGGCAGCAATTTCCTTATCTGTTGAGATCCACTGCTGTGGGACAGTGAGGTAGAGTGGTTTGAAGATGTGATTCTTTTCTGAATTTGGACTGATTTCTTGAGCCAGTCTTTTAATGTAGATTCCTGGGCCCACTCTGAAGCTTTCCTATTTGGACAGTCTGGTAAAGCCTAAGCATACTGGTGATTTTGGTAAAGATCTGAGAATAGTATAAGTAAGTGTTTCTTTATAGCATGATGCTCTTTTCTCTTGTCTGGTTTTATGTGTCTGGTCCCTGGAAAGCCTTTCTTCAGGTTTTATCGGCTACTTTCTTTAGTAGTCTTTCTTTAGTTTTCACTTAGGGAAAGCTTTCCCTGACTTCCCTTTATGCTTCCTTTGGACTTCATGGTTTTACTTGACTCTCATTGGACTGCTCACCTTCAGGGAGAGTTGTGTCTTTTATCTTTGATTTTCCACAGTACTGCTTGTTAATAAATATTGAATAAAGTAAGTGGGAAGGATGGTCAGTATAATACAGATTAAGTATACTTTATCCAAAAACTTTTTTTTTTTTTAAACAGACAGACTTGGGACCAGAAGTGTCTCAGATTTCAGATTTTTTTTTCTTTTTTTGTTTTTTTGGATTTTGGGATATTTGCCTTATATACTTAATGGTTCAGCATTCCTAATTTGAAAATCCAAAGTTGGAAAATGCTCCAATGAGCATTTCCTTTGAGTGTCATGGATACTCAAAAGTTTTGGATGTTGGTGCATTTCATATTTGGGGTATTTGCATTAGAGATACTCCACCGCTAGGCCAAGAATATGAGATTGGCTGTGTATACTGTATTCAACTAGAAAGAAAGGAACAGGACTGAAGATAGAAGTCTGAGGAATGGATTATTTTGGACGTGGTAAGAGCTAACTGTGGCTCGAACTAAATTTGGTCTCATTAACATAAAAAGAATAAGGATATTGGGAAGCAATGCATTGTTAGGCCTTAGCAGAGGATCGAATATAGGATATGTGCACCTATAGTAGGACCTTTGTGTTAGAGATGAAGTAATAATCATTTCTTACTAACATCAAGATACTGACATAAAAAGGATGCATCTCTGTATTGTTTTGAATTGGGGATTTTTTGTTTTGTTTTGTTTTTAGAGGCGGGATATCACTCTGTCACCCAGGCTGGAGTGCAGTGGTGTGATAATAGCTCACTGCAGCCTCGAACTCCTGGACTCAGGCAGTCCTCCTGCCTCAGCCTCCTGGAACATTGGGATTATGGTGTTTGAATTGTAGCGTCTGTAGTAGGGGCCTCTATGAGGTACCTGTAGAAACTAGACTGTATGGTGCTGTGCAAACAACTGTAATACATACTTATTTTATTTTTATTTAGTTTAAGGAAGAAATCTCTAAACGTTTTAAATCACATACTGACCAACTTGTGTTGATATTTGCTGGAAAAATTTTGAAAGATCAAGATACCTTGAGTCAGCATGGAATTCATGATGGACTTACTGTTCACCTTGTCATTAAAACACAAAACAGGTATGGTTTTGGAAGATGTACAGCTTTAAAATTGTGGATAAATGTTCGTACTTCTAAAAGTAACTAGTGTTGGCTGTAAATTACTTTCCCTGTCATTAATATTTAAATAGTTAAAATTCTTTCCTTGCTGTCGATAACAATTTTTTTAAAAAGTGTGATTCCATGTTAATGCTTACGTGATTGTCAGATAACCATTTCATATTTTACAAGGTTCATTGGTATTTAGTTATTATACCTAAATTATTTGCATTAGAACAGGCAAGTTTTTAGCTTTTCTTTTAGTAAGGAAATTTTTAGACAAAGATCATGAGTAACTTATCTCCTTAGCAAACCACGAATTGATAATCATATTTCTTTAAGTCTAAGGAACTTTTTTTTTTTTTTTTTTAAGAGACAGAGTCATGCCATGTTGCCCAGGCTGGGCTCAAGTGATGCTCCCATGTCAGCCTGGGACTGTAGGTGCGTGCCACAGTGTCCAGCTGGCACCACCAGTTTTAAAGAGATACCTTTGTGTATCACTAAGAAAGAATACTGCTAACTGAATTGATGTTTTCTTGTCACTTAAAATGTTTATTTTATACTTAGTGAAAGAGCTCCTTTAGACTTACATGGGTATGGAATTTTATCATATCACTCTTGCATAACATACGAAGACTTAGTTGTCAGTGTCCATATTTTTTCATACAGTATCAAACTCTGTTCTGTCAAGAGTGTTGGTGGTGTAGCATTGCTTAAAAGAGCTCTCCAGTATTTTCTCCAGGATTTTGTTCCAAGCCATTAACACTCCTGTAAGTTTTTATGCTGTTGTTTACCAACAGCAAATACTTGCTTTACTCATTCAACATATTCCTTCTATTTTGGTGCTATTCTGAATACATGGTAACTTCTGTCAGTGCCAATTAATAGTGTAATTATTTTGAAGACACTTAATGTGGTAATTAAGCCCGTTACATATGATACAACAGTGTACCCAGGCATTCAGTTGAAGTCATGTAGACTACATGTGCAGGCATGTAGTTGATGCCTGGCTGTCAGCAATTGTAAGACAGATCCTGATTTCGGAGATGTTAAAATAGAAAAATGTGTGCCTTAGCTAAATTCAGGGAAAGAAGCAATGAGTGGCATTCAAAACTCTTATCTGGTATCATCTGGAAGGGTTTTTTTTATTTCCTTACTTTTTTTTTTTTTTTTTTGAGACGGAATTTCACTCTTGTTGCCCAGGCTGGAGTGCAACGGTGCGATCTCAGCTCACTGCAACGTCTGCCTCTGGGTTCAAGCGATTCTCCCGCCTCAGCCTCCCAAGTAGCTGGAATTACAGGCATGCGCCACCACGCCCGGCTAATTTTGTATTTTTGATAGAGACGGGGTTTCCTCATGTTGGCCAGGCTGGTCACGAACTCCTGAACTCAGGTGATCCACCAGCCTTGGCCTCCCAAAGTGCTGGGATTACAGGTGTGAGCCACCTTGTCTGGCTTATTTCCTTTTAGAGATAATACTAAGTAATAATCAGGCCAGGCGCGGTGGCTCACACCTGAAATCTGAGCACTTTGGGAGGGTGAGGTGGGCAGATCACCTGAGGTCAGGAGTTCCAGAGCAGCGTGGTAAACATGGTGAAACGCTGTCTCTACTAAAAATACAAAAAATTGCCCAGCACAGTGGTGTGCACCTGTAGTCCCAGCTACTCGGGAGGCTGAGGCAGGAGAATCGCTTGAACCTGGGAGGTGGAGGTTACAGTGAGCCGAGATCATGCCACTGCACCTCCAGCCTGGGTGACAGAGCAAGACTCTGTCTTTAAAAAAATAAATAAATAAAGTAATAATTATTAATCATATTGATTTGTTGGCTTTCTTTTGGTGAAGTCTCTCGCTTTTTATTGTTTTCAAGAATTTCAAGGGCCAGAGTAAAACTGGCTCATAACCCTCAAGAACTAGAAGGGGATAGATAAAAAAGTTGTGGGTTTTTTTGTTTGTTTGTTTGTTTGTTTTTCAAGAGTCTCTCTCTGTCACCCAGGCTGGAGTGCAGTGGCGCAATCTTGGCTCACTACAACCTCCGCCTCCTGGGTTCAAGTAGTCTTCCTGCCTCAGCCTCCTGAGTACCTGTGATTACAGGCATGTGCCACCATGCCCGGCTAATTTTTGTATTTTAGTAGAGATAGGGTTTTACCATGTTGGCCAGACTGGTCTTGAACTCCTGACCTCAGTTGATCGCCTGCCTCGGCCTCGCAAAGTGCTGGGATTACAGGCGTGAGCCACCGCACCTGGCCAAGATAAAAAAGTTTTTTATATAGTCAAGCTTTGTGGGTGTAACTGGTCATTGGCTTCCCTCTTATGAGATAACCTACCTCCATCTCTTACATAAGCAATATGATTGAAACTAATGAAATATTTGTGTACATTATACTCAAAGAGGAGGGGCAATTGCAGCATATTTTGTATTTTGTAGGGTTTTATTTTATTTTGTATTTTTTGTTCCTAATGCTTAGTTTTCTCAGGCTTTTTACTAAATGATAATTTGATTTGGTCTGAGAGTTTACCCTTTATTTCTAGATGTCAGGATTTCAGTGGTTCTTTTTTTTTTTTTTTTTTTTTTGAGACGGAGTCTCGCTCTGTTGCCCAGGCTGGACGGAGTGCAGTGGCGCGATCTCGCTCACTGCAAGCTCCGCCTCCTGGGTTCACGCCATTCTCCTGCCTCAGCCTCCCAAGTAGCTGGGACTATAGGCACTCGCCATCACGCCCGGCTAATTTTTTGTATGTTTAGTAGAGATGGGGTTTCACTGTGTTAGCCAGGATGTTCTCTATCTCTTGACCTCGTGATCAGCCAGCTTCGGCCTCCCAAAGTGCTGGGATTACAGGCGTGAGCCACTGTGCCTGGCCTTTGGTGGTTCTTTTAAAAATAATCAGCTCTACTGCTTACTCTGTGATTAATTATTTTCCCTAGGCCTCAGGATCATTCAGCTCAGCAAACAAATACAGCTGGAAGCAATGTTACTACATCATCAACTCCTAATAGTAACTCTACATCTGGTTCTGCTACTAGCAACCCTTTTGGTTTAGGTAAGTGTCTTTAGTCATTCCAGTAGGGATGGGAAAAAATACTCCTTTCCCTTCCTGGGTAGTTTCAGATAAAATGAGAAAATAAAACATTATGTCACTTTAACAACAAAAATTAAAAAAAAAAAACATACATTCCTATAATTGTAGATATTAAGGAAGTAGTTGGGGATATGGATATTCTTACATATCAGTTGGCGCCTTTCTTTTTAATGATGAAAGAGATGTAGTTTGTGTATACCTGATCTGACTACCACATAATTTAGTATGAGTAAGATTAGCTGGTTATTAATCGTAAGCCAGCGTCCCTGAATAATAATTTTTTCATTTGTAAAAGGAAGGGATCAGACTGCATTAGTTATTTTGTAACTGTCCTGAACACATGGAAGGGGGTCTGGGAAGCCAGCCTCGCCTAAAACTGCTTTTGTTTTTCTTATATTAGTTTTTGTTTGTTTGTTTGTTTGTTTTTTTAAGAGAGGCAGGATCTTGCTCAGTCACGGAGGCTAGAGTGCAGTGATGCCATCCATAGCTCACTGCAGCCTCAAACTCCTGGCTTACGGTGTCCTGCTGGTGTCCCAAAATGCTGGGTTACAGATGAGAGCCACTGTGCCTGGCCTGTATTAGATTTATATATTGAGGTTCTGTGGAATATATATATATATATTTTTTGAGACAGAGTCTTGCTCTGTCGCCCAGGCTGGAGTGCAGTGGCGCGATCTAGGCTCACCGCAACCTCTGCCTCCTGGGTTCAAGCGATTCTTCTGCCTCAGCCTCCCGAGTAGCTGGGATTATAGGAGTGTGCCACTACGCCCGGCTAATTTTTTTGTATTTTTAGTAGAGACTGGGTTTCACCATATTAGCCAGGATGGTCTAGATCTCCTGAATTTGTGATCTGCCAAAGTGCTGTTATCCATTTTCTTTTGATAATAGATAGCCAAACTCAGTGGCTTATTACAACAAAGCTTCATTTCTTGCTGCATTTTTCTGCATGCTACGCTTTTTACCGGTTTGTAAGGTGCCCATCCATATAGTCCCTCAGAGACTCAAGCTAATGAAAGTCATTTTTCATTCTGCTGTATTATAGCTCTACCATTTGGAACACGGCAGAAGAGACAGCTACAGGGTTTTAAGTTGAACCTGCTATACTTTGGCCAGAAGTGGCATATATCATTTCTTGTAGTCCTTTGGCATTTCACATAGGCCTGTCCAAGTGCAAAAGAAATAATAAGGCTGCAAAATGAAATGTTTGGTGAGCACTGCTATCTGCTACTGTAGTTAGTCATACTGAAGTTTTTGTGGTTTCAAGAATGCATTAATACATTTATTTTTGTGCTTTTTGTATATGGTGTTCATTGTGCCTAGTATTCAGTCCCCCTCCTAACCTTCTTCACGTTTCCTTGCCAAAGTATTTATGCTCCAGACTCATTAAGTGTTATCTCTTCTTCTGAAAGTAGCCATTCCACTTGGGTTATATTACCATAATATCCTGTGAATATTCTTTACTGAAGTACTTAGCATCTGTATAGACATTTATTTTCTTGTCTGTCTTTCCTACTAGATTGAGTTCTGAGGATGTCTTTCT
This sequence comes from Homo sapiens, assembly GCF_000001405.40. Taxonomy (NCBI): domain Eukaryota; kingdom Metazoa; phylum Chordata; class Mammalia; order Primates; family Hominidae; genus Homo; species Homo sapiens. The sequence goes on along the minus strand of NC_000009.12, from coordinate 83,681,371 downwards.
TGTTGCCTTATTCTCAATACATATGTAACACAGTCTCTGGCATATATAAAAAGTGCTCAGTAAGTGAGAACTGAATGCATTTAGTTGGTTATGTAATTTTACGAAGTAAACACTTTGTGGTAAGCACTTGGTCATCCTGTTGCTCTGTTAGGTTTCTCCTTGATTGAAGTCCTCCAAAGAGAAATCTATTTCCAGGTATTCCCTGGCTCTCTGTCTCCTTGACTGGCAGTATCAGCCCTCTTGTACCCAGTGTTTATAGGTGAATTCTGCTTCCTGTTAATAAAACTTAAACTAGTCTTTTGGAAAGATTATTAGAAGCATAGTCTGGTGTGTGTATTTATTATTTCTTCCTTTAGCTGGCATAATCTGGACTGTTTTTTCTGACACCAGCCAATTGTCCAATACCAGCTCTGTGTCCAAGATTCAGCTTCATTTCTGATACTACCTACCTACAGTTAGTGTCTGATCTCACAAGTTAGCAGACTCAGTCCTGCAAGACTGCCCCTACTTCAGATACTGGTCACAAGTTCTAGGCCATCTGTACTTCTGACTGACCAGCTCTAAGTTGGGGGTTCCCCTGACCTCCTCCTCAGGTTCAATAATTGCTAGAATGGCACCTAGAACTCAAGGAAACACTTATGTTTACCTGTTTATTATAAAGGATACAACTCAGAAACAGACAAATGCTTGGAAGATAATTATTAGGGCACAAGGTATGGGTATGTGGGGGATGGAAGTTGGGCTCAAAGGTTCCATCCAGGTTTCCTCAGCGCACAACCCTCCTAACACTCAGATGTGCTTTTCATTTTGAGTTTTCTTAATTTTATTGTTGAAGAATTTGCATAGAGCTCTATCTCCACCTCCCTACCCTTACTTTCTTGGTGGGTGGGGCTGAAAGTTTTAGCCCTTTAATCACTTTGTCTTTCTGGTGACCAGCTCCTTTCTGAGGCTTTCCAGGGGCCTAAGTCACTTCATTAGCATAATGATCAAAAGGGCTTGTAATGAATAATAAAAGATACTCCTGTCACTCAGAAAATTCCAAAGTTTTAGTAACTCAGGATCAAGGAGAAAGACCAAATATATTTATTATTATACTACATACATGAAAATATATTTTGTTGATTTTATTACTTTAATTACCAAAGTGTAAATTTTTGGCTAATTTCAATGATAGGAATTAAATATTAGTAATAGGTATTCGATTTGTTTTTAAATGATTTCTTGTAATAGACTATTGGGTCAGCTAATACTTTTTTGCATCTTCATATTTTATGTCATGTTAATGATAAATTTTCTGACTTTGATTTGTATGTTTTTGCCCTTTATCCTCTTAGGTGGCCTTGGGGGACTTGCAGGTCTGAGTAGCTTGGGTTTGAATACTACCAACTTCTCTGAACTACAGAGTCAGATGCAGCGACAACTTTTGTCTAACCCTGAAATGATGGTCCAGATCATGGAAAATCCCTTTGTTCAGAGCATGCTCTCAAATCCTGACCTGATGAGACAGTTAATTATGGCCAATCCACAAATGCAGCAGTTGATACAGAGAAATCCAGAAATTAGTCATATGTTGAATAATCCAGATATAATGAGACAAGTATGTGGAAAGTTCTTTCAGTTCGTTTAGCTAAAAAATGATATATTTGTTATTTAATTTTCTGTGGTTAATGAGATTGTCCTGTATGTATGGTTAAGCTAAAGAGAGAAATCCTTATCTTGGTTTAAGAAAACTCAACAAAGCGCTAATTTGGCTGTTTGAACTCTGAATTTTCTGTTAAATTGAAGGATCTTTGTAAATAGTTTATTTTGAAGGCTTAAGAATCAAAAAGTCCAATGCTGGAGATGGGAAATTCACTCATAACAAAGTGCTTCCTTCTTTATGTTATTTGAATGCTAAGTTGCTTTTTTGAGGTGAAATACACCAGGGATTATTTAAAATAACCTCCTGCCTTATATGTTGAATACAAAATTGCAACAACTTTAAAGCTTTAATTGGTTTTTATTTGTGATTCTAGAATCAGACAACACCTCATTTTATAAAATAGAGTGTTCTCATGAGCTGAGCAGAAGAGGTTGGCTTTATAGGCATAAAAGGGCTGAAGAAAGCAAAAACGAACAAAAAGCAGATGGGTCATTTCGAAGTTACTTTCCTAATAGGGTTAAAATGGAGGGAACTCTTTCTTGTTACAGTGACTCACGTTGACTGCAGCTTACTATGGTTTTGGGGGGGAAACTGGCCCCTTTCATAGTTCACTTTGATTACATGGCACTTGGCACAAGTGGCTCTATTTTGGTTTGTTGTGGTCTGCTGGGGCATAGTGCAGGAGGCTGGTCCAAAACAGTGGCCTCCTGGCCGGGCGCGGTGGCTCACGCTTGTAATCCCAGCACTTTGGGAAGCTGAGGTGGGCGGATCACGAGGTCAGGAGATCAAGACCATCCTGGCTAACACGGTGAAACCCCGTCTCTACTAAAAAATACAAAAAAAAATTAGCGGGGCGTGGTGGCGGGCGCCTGTAGTCCCAGCTACTCGGGAGGCTGAGGCAGGAGAATGGGTGTGAACCCGGGAGGCGGAGCTTGCAGTGAACCAAGATCATGCCACTGCACTCCAGCCTGGGCGACAAAGCAAGACTCCGTCTCAAAAAAATTAAAAAAACAAAACAAAACAGTGGCCTCCCATAAACTTTGTTTAATGGCAGTTAATAAAGTAATTAATGTAATTCATGTGTATTTCAATGCCTTTTTTTTTTCTTTTTTTGGAAATATTTTTCGTAGACGTTGGAACTTGCCAGGAATCCAGCAATGATGCAGGAGATGATGAGGAACCAGGACCGAGCTTTGAGCAACCTAGAAAGCATCCCAGGGGGATATAATGCTTTAAGGCGCATGTACACAGATATTCAGGAACCAATGCTGAGTGCTGCACAAGAGCAGGTGATCCACTGGCTCCAAGGTTCAGGCCAAGGAGTAGCTTCTGTTTTAACACAAATATGTGTATGATTGAGGGTAGCTTTTATATGAGGAATGTGGTTTTCAATTTTTAAAAAGTTCAGTGGCCGGGTGCAGTGGCTCACGCCTGTAATCCCAGCACTTTGGGAGGCCGAGGCGGGTGGATCCCGAGGTCAGGAGATCAAGACCATCCTGGCTAATACGGTGAAATCCCGTCTCTACTAAAAATACAAAAAATTAGCTGGGCGTGGTGGTGGGCGCCTGTAGTCCCAGCTACTCGGGAGGCTGAGGCAGGAGAATGGTGTGAACACAGGAGGCGGAGCTTGCAGTGAGCCGAGATCGCGCCACTGCACTCCAGCCTGGGTCACAGAGCGAGACTCCGTCTCAAAAAAAAAAAAAAAAGTTTCATATCTTATTTAAAACAAAAGCTTATTCTTTGTGATTTTTTATGTCTTTTATTACAGTTTGGTGGTAATCCATTTGCTTCCTTGGTGAGCAATACATCCTCTGGTGAAGGTAGTCAACCTTCCCGTACAGAAAATAGAGATCCACTACCCAATCCATGGGCTCCACAGACTTCCCAGAGTTCATCAGCTTCCAGCGGCACTGCCAGCACTGTGGGTGGCACTACTGGTAGTACTGCCAGTGGCACTTCTGGGCAGAGTACTACTGCGCCAAATTTGGTGCCTGGAGTAGGAGGTATGCTTTTAACAACTCAGGCTTTTTTCTTTGTTGTCCTCATTTACATAATTAAAACATTGTTTATACTCTTATTCTTTGTGCTTTTGTGTGTATGTATAGTGAGTATCTTTTATAAACTATATTTTTCATGTTGCTTTTGTTTTGTTTTGTTTTGTTTTTTTGAGATAGAGCTTCGCTCTTGTTGCACAGGCTGGAGTACAATGGCACGATCTCAGCTCACCGCAACCTCTTCCTCCTGGGTTCAAGTGATTCTTCTGCCTCAGCCTCCCGAGTAGCTGGGATTACAGGCACCTGCCACCATGCCCGGCTAATTTTGTATTTTTAGTAGAGACAGGGTTTCTCCATCTTGGTCAGGCTGGTCTTGAACTCCTGACCTCAGGTGATCCGCCTGCCTTGGCCTCCCAAATTGCTGGGATTATAGGTGTGAGCCGCTGCACCTGGTCACATTTTGTTTTTTAAAGGAAGCTTTAAATGTAGAGAGAACACTTATTTACTTGTGTAGTTGTTACTAGTTACCTGTGTAGTTGTTACTAGAGCACATGTTTGCTGTCTTTAGCCTGGTTTTGTATTTTAGATCAGTAGATTGTCAAGCACCCGTCTTGAGGTCAGGGCTATACTGGCTGCATCAGAGCACCTGCCAGGTTTATTAAAAATCAGATTCCCAGATCTTACCCTCAGACTTTGTGGAGCCAAATCTTTCATAGTGGGGTTAAGATCTGTGTTTGTGTGAAGCAGATTCTCATGTGTGAACAGGTTAGAAATTTACTTTTGTCCACTTTTCTGTAGACTGAACTCAGATGTCTTCCTTTCAGCTATTCAGATACTACATGCGGATGTTTTGTCCATGAATTAGGTCCAAGATCATTAGCCATAGTGACAATTTTAGTCCTAATACTTGGCGTATAAGTAGGAAGAAATGGAGACATGGGAGCACTTCTCTAAGATGAGATAGACTGGGCATGTTTTAAAAGATGCCTGTACTTTGGCAGAGGAAGTGGAAAGATGAGGTGCTGGATGAAGAATTTTTAAAAATTCATTGCTGAAAGAAGAATCAGAATGAGAAGAGTAATTAATGATCACAGTTGATATATATTCTTTTATAGAATACAGTGGATATCTTGAGATTTATGTTTATAATATAGGTTTTGTAAAACCTGAAGTAATACCATTTTTAAATCAATAAAAATATTCTGTTCTATATTCTACTTAATCCTTACTTTGATACTAACAATCTTTTGAGAGGGTTGCAATGTTCTTACTTTAAAGGGTATAGAGCAGGCAAAGATTTAATCATATTTCCTGACTGGTTAAGCTGTTGTTTTCTTTCCCTTTACCATGATTGTCTACAGTAATAACTTTTGTCTAAAAAACCAAAAACCAAAAATCAGTTTTGCATCCTTTTACTCAGATACTTAATGGTTTGATACTTTAACATTTCATGTTAATATTTCCATCAAGGGAAAACAAGAACTAGCAAGAATGAACTTACTCTGCTGGCCTATCAGATTGTCAGCATATTTGTACAGTATTATGATTCTTACTCAACTGTGACATTTGATGCATACATATATGCACACATACACATGTAAAGATGAAATTCTTGACTCTTCTTTGGTCCTGTAAGCACCTACTCTAGAATGTAAGGAAGTGTTAGAGCAGGAGTTGACAGATTTTTCATGTGAAGGGTCAGATAATACTTCAGGTATTACTGGCCAAGAGGCAAAATGGAGAATGTATTACATCAAGAGACAAAACAAATTCCCACAAATTTTTTAATTGAAAAAATAAAAAAATTGGTAATATTTAGTTACAATATTTTCCTTGTATCTACTGATAAGAGGAATGGGACTTCTTTGGGGGAATAACATTTTGCATAATTGGGGTTCAGTGTTCTGTTTACCAGAATTGCAAAGTTCATCTGTTAATACTGATATGTAGTGAGACTTGACTGACTTATTCAAAATACGTACTCATTCCAAAAGCATTTGATTTTAATAGCATATTTATCAGTGTGGAAGGCATTTATAGAATTCCATTAGATAATGTTGTTTTTAACATGCCATTACATTCAGATTAATCACTTCAAAGTGAAAGGTAGTAGCTCCTCAATTGCACAGTTAAGTGAACTTTGAATGTCAGTTGCCTTTGCATTTGCATTGAGGTCTGAAAAATGTTGCTGGTGGTATGAGCTCAAAAGTAAATCTGCAAATTTGTGAGAATGGAGGTCTTGCTTCTTGTGATTTTTTTTTTTTTTTGACGGCATAGGAAGTCTGTAAAGCACCTTGACATTGCTTGTGATTCAAACAATTTTAGTTGTCAAAATGACTTTAGTATGATCACACATAAATGCTGCTTTGCTTTGTAGTTTTAGGTTGAATTCATGCATAAGCATTACCAACTCTCTAACAAAAACGAATTCATATAGTAATTCAATGTTTGGTTGTTGGAGGGTTGGCAGGGTAGTGGTTCTCATTTACTAAAATTTTAATCTTTGGCATGAGCTAATAAAATAATGCAATGAAACTTTACCTCTGCTAAGCCACCATCAACCTTCTGTGTGGTTAGGCATGTCAGAATATTGAGTTATTGTTAATAAAAATTCATGAAGTTGACTGGTTAAGTTTACAGGAGTTAACAGTGCTCCTCATTGATACTCCTGGTTCAGTAACATGATAGATCCAAATGTTTTCCAGAGTACCTACTGATGAATAAGACAGTCAATAACTATAGTCTTTAAATACCTTACATTTTTATATGCTTTGAAAATATGTCCAACTAAGTCGTTTTAATTCTGCACGTTTTTGCTGCCATGAGATGTAGCACATCTTAGCAGATTCTACTTCAAGTTGTACCAAATTCTTATTTCTCAACTTTTTAAAAAATGGTCTTACCCTGGTTGTTCCATTCAGACTATTTATAGAGGGTAATTTTCCGGTCACTTCAGACTTACCATTGACTCCCCATACAATTGAGCAGTATCAGTAACATCTGTCAGCTTATCAAGAACTTAGAAATAGCACTCAGAATCATTTGCGTTGTTTTTAAATTGAGTATTGACATCCTTAACTCTGAGAAAAACTGTTCCTCCTGAGAGCCGAGTAGACTTCAGTGAGTTTATTTTCTCTGGACACATTTGGTTACTGCAATCAAGATTTAATTAACTGTTAAATTAGTCATCACTAGTACTTGGCTTCCTTTGGCTAACAAGCCACTTGGAAACTTAACTTTGGTTGCAGTCTTATTTTCATTTTTATTTTTTGTGAAAAAGTGGCTATGATGAGATATTTCATTCTAAAGTTTATATTTCTTCTGACCATTGCTTTTCTGTGAGTGGGGAGTATTGTGATGAGTGGTTGGTCCGGCAGTGCTTATATATGTTGTATTCTTTTAGTGTCATTGCATAAGAAACACAAGTTTTGCCATCTCATTTAGTAAAATATATTCCACTGTGCCTTAAAAACCTGACATTTGTAACTCTCCTTCTTCCTTTTTTCTTGTTCTGGCATGATTGGTATATACTGGTTATTTTTTTTTTTTTAATGCTGCAGTGATTTTGTGCTGCATGAGTATAACTGATTCACTGTGTTTTGTAGTAGTATACTGAACAACAGTACGAAGGAGGCCAGGTGTGGCATGGTGGCTCATACTTGTTATCCCAGGACTTTGGGAGGCCAAGGTGGGTGGATTGCTTGAGCCCAGGAGTTTGAGACCAGCCTAGCCAACATGGTGAAACCTCACCTGTACAAAGAAGACAAAAAGTAACCGGGCATGGTGTGCAGCTGTAGTACAGCTACTTGGGAGGCTGAGGTGGGAGGATTACCTGTGCTTAGGGAGGTTAAGGCTGCAGTGAGCTGTGATGGCATCACCGCACTCCAGCCTGGGAGACAGAGCAAGACCCTGTCTCAAAACAAAACAAATAACAGTATGAAGGAGTGACAGTACCATAGACAGTTTCTGTTGCAAGTACTCACTGCTTTTGTAAAAGTGCAAAACACCCATAGACAATAAGTGAGAATGACTGTTCCAATAAAATGGTATTCATGGGCGTTGAAATTTGAATTTCATATAGTTTTCACGTTTCACAAAATATTTATCTTGGATTTTTTTTCCCTTAACTATTTAAAAATAAAAACGTAAGCGCAGTTTTTTTTTTTTGTTTTTTTTTTTTTTTTTTTTTAAAAGACCGAGTCTCGACCTGTCACCCAGGCTGGAGTGCAGTAGCATGATCACGGCTCACTGCAACCTCTGCCTCCCAGGTTCTAGAGATTCTCGTGCCTCAGCCTCCTGAGTAGCTGGGATTATAGGCACCCACCACCACACCTGGCTAATTTCTTTGTTTTTTTTCTTAGTAGAGACAGTGTTTCACCATGTTGGCCAGGCTGGTCTCAAACTCCCGACCTTGGGTGATCTGTCTGCCTTGGCCTCCCAAAGTGCTAGGATTACAGGTGTAAGTCACTGCACCCGACCAAAAATTGTTTTGGTTTTTTGGTTTGTTTTGTTTGAGACAGAGTCGTCGCCCAGGCTGGAGTGCAGTGGTATAATCTTGAGTCACTGCAACCTTCTTCTCCTGGGTTCAAACGATTCTCCCTTCTCAGCCTCCCCAGTAGCTGGGATTACAGGTGTGTACCACCACACCCAGCTGATTTTTGTATCTTTAGTGGAGACGGGGTTTCGCCATGTTGGCCAGGCTGCTTGAACTCCTGACCTAAAATGATCCACCCGCCTCAGCGTCCCAAAGTGCTGGAATTACAGGTGTGAACCACCATGCCTGGCCTTGAAACATAAAAGCAATTTTTAACTCATTAGCTTAGCAGAAACATGTTGTAGGCCAGATTTGTCCTGCAGGCTGTTATTTGCCAGCCTATCTTAGAATACAGATATACCTCATTTTGTTGTGCTTCACAGATAGTGTGATTTTCACAGTTTGAAGGTTTGCAGTGACCCTGCATTGAGCAAGTCTGTTAGTACCATTTTTCCAACAGCATGTGCCCACTTCATGTCTCTGTGTCACATTTTGATAATTCTCACAATATTTCAGGCTTTTTCATTATTCTGTTGTGGTGATTCTGTAATCAGTGATCTTTGATGTTACTTTAGTAATTGTTTTGGGGTACCAGGAACCACCTTGTACCTGGCAAACTTAATCAGTAAATGTATGTGTTCTGACTGTTCAACTGACTGGCTGTTCCACTTGTCTCTCTTCCTCTTCTTGGGTCTCCCTATTCTCTGAGACACAACATTGAAATTGGGTCAGTTAATAACTCTACAGTGGCCTCTAAGTATTCAAGTATAAAAAAAGACTCCTGCATCTCTTACTTTATATCAAAAGCTAGAAATAATCTTGTTTAGTGAGGGAGGCATATCAGAAGCTAAAATAGGCCAAAAGCTAGGCCTCTTGCACCAAACAGCCAAGTTGTGAATGCGAAGGAAAAGTTCTTGAAGAAAATTATAAGTGCTACTCCAGTGAAGACATGAATGACAAGAAAGCAAAACAACTTCATTGCTGATGTGGAGAAAATTGTAGTGATCTGGATAGACGATCACACCAGCCACACTATTCCCTTAAGCCAAAGCCTAATCCAGAGCAAGGCCCTAACTCTCTTTAATTCTATGAAAGCTGAGAGGTAAGGAATCTGCAGAAGAAAAGTTGGAAAGTAGCTGAGGTTGACTGGCTTATGTTTAAGGAAAGAAGCCAACTCCATAATGTAAAGGTACAAGGTGAGGTAGCAGGTGCTGTTGTAGAAGCTGCAGCAAGTTATCCAGAAGATCTCCTAAGATCATCAAGGAACGTGGCCACATGAAACAACCAGTTTTTAATGTAGGTGAAAAACAGCCTTCTATTGGAAGAAGATATCATCTAGAATTTTCATTTCTGGAGAGAAGTGAATTCTTAGCTTCAGTTCTTCAAAGGAAAGGCTGACTGTTGGGGCTAATGTGTCTGGTGACTGAGTTGAAGCCAGTGCTCATTTATTATTCCAGTAATCCTAGGGCCTTAAAAATTATGCTAGATCTATTCTGCCTATGCTCTGTAAACAGGAAAAAAAAGAAAAAAAGAAAAAAAGCCTGGATGACAGCACATCTGTTTACAGCATGGTTTACTTAATATTTTAAGTCTACTGGTGAGACGTTGCTAAGGAAAAGATTCCTTTCAAAATATTAGTGCTCATTGACAGTGCATGTAGTCACCCAAGAGCTTTGATGGAGATGTGCAAGGAGATTAATGTTGTTTTTATGCCTGTTAACTAACACAGCATTCATTCTGCATGCAGCCCATGGATCAAGGAGCACTTTCAACTTACAAGTCTTATTTAAGAAATACATTTAATTAGACTATAGCTGCCTTAGTGAGTCCTCTAATGGATTTGGGCAAAGTAAATTGAAAACCTTCTGGAAAGGATTCATTCACCATTCTCAATGTCATTAAGAACGTTCCTAATTCATGGAGAGGATGTCAAAATATCAACATGAACAGGAGTTTGGAAGAAGTTTGTTCTGTCCCTCATGGATGCCTTTGAGGGGTTCAAGACTTCTATGGAGGAGGGGACTGTAGAAGTAGTGGAAATAGCAAGAGAACTAGAATGTGAAGTGGAGCCTGCCAGGTGTGTTGGCTCATACCTTTAATCACGGCACTTTGGAAGGTTCGGGCAGGAGGATCCCTTGAGCCTAGGAATTGCAGGCAGCAGTGAGCTATGTTCGTGCCACTCCCCTCACTCCAGCCTGGGTGACAAAAGCGAGACTCCATCTCAATTTAAAAAGAAAAAAAGAGGTGGAGCATGAACACTGACTGCGTTGCTACAATGCCATGAAAAAACTTGTACAGATGAGGAGTTGCTTTTTGTAGATGAGCAAAGAGTGGTTTCTTGAGATAGAGTCTGCTGTAAGTGAAGATGCTGTGAACATTATTGAAATGACAACGAATTCAGAATGTTTCATAAACTTTGTTGATAAAGCAGTGGCAGGGTTTGAGAGGATTGGCTCCAATTTTGAAAGTTCTGCTGTGGTAAATGCTGTCAAACAGCATAGAGTGCAACAAAGTTTTCCTGATGTGGCAAACTTCATCGTTGTCTTATTTTAAGAAATTGCCACAGCCACCCCAACCTTTAGCGACCACCAGCTGACTCACTGTTAGCAGCTTTCGGCAATAAAGTATTTTTATATTTATGTGCAGAGTTTTTTTTTAGACCGAAGGCTGTGGCATACTTAATAGACTACAGTATCATGCAAACAACTTTTGTATGCGCTGGGAAACCAAAAAATGTGTGTGACTTGCTTTATTGCACAGCAGTCTGGAACCAAACCCACAGTATCTCCAAGGTTGGACTCTAGGATGTGAAAAAAAAACTAAGTTAAAATTTACAACATGAGAAAATAGGAAAAACAAGAACTATTAAAAACAGAATTATAATAAACTAGAAAGATAAGTGAGAAGAGTCAGATGTCTTAAGCCTGATATAACTGGATGGAATAGCAGAAAGGAGATGAAAAACCTAATGAGTTGACTTGGCATAGTAAGTTTGAGAATATATTTGAGTTTGAGTGTATCTAGTTGGCAGTTGAAGATCTAGGTGTGAGTCAAGCAAATTAACTTAGTTTTCAAAGAAAATTTGCCTAAATATACAGTTGTCATCACATATGGAATTCACATAAATTCAGCTGTAGCCCTTGGCAATAAAAGGAAAAACAATAATCATAAGTGCTTTGTACATTAATTTTCTTACAACCACCCTATGAAGTAGATACTGCTTTCTCCATTTTACAGATGGGGAACCTGAAGTATGAAGACGCTAGATAACTTGCCCAAGATCACATGGGTTAGATTAGATTTGAACCCACGTAATCAGGCTCCTGATACTGCTTGGAGTCACTGTGCTCTATGGTTTCAAATGTTAAATGTGCCTACCATTTTACTCAGTGAGTGGCAGTACACAGTGAAAATGGGTGGAGGCATTACATCTTTTGTTGCCTTGGGCATGAAGGCTTACTTCTTTCATAAGGGTGGGCAATATTAAGTGCCGAATATGATTCTAATTAATTCTTTGCAGTCTTGGAGGAAAAGTTGGCTCAGTCCTTTTCACTTTATGGAATTTTTCAGCAGTAATTTTGACCATACGTAATTTTTGCCTTAAGTTGACTTCAGAAGCTAGCTCTTCATTAGACAAGATTTTACTGTAAATGCAGAATGTTTAAACTCATCAGTCCTCTTTTCCTGGTATATGTTGGGCATGTACTTTTAGAGATGTTTTAGTTTTAAAGTTCTTTCGTAGTTCAGTTGATACATAATATGTATAATCATTTGTACTTGGTGAAATTAAACACAGTGCATATTATATTTTAAAGCTTTAACTTTTGTTTAAGTATTTTTCCTTAATATGTCTTTTTTAAAAACAAACTTTCAGCTAGTATGTTCAACACACCAGGAATGCAGAGCTTGTTGCAACAAATAACTGAAAACCCACAACTGATGCAAAACATGTTGTCTGCCCCCTACATGAGAAGCATGATGCAGTCACTAAGCCAGAATCCTGACCTTGCTGCACAGGTGAGTTTGTAATTGTATTGAAAAAGACTGTGCAGTGTGAATTAAAATAACCTAATCTTGTAATTGTGATTTTGGCACATTTGTGTTGTGTATGATATCTTAATACACTAGAAAAATAAGTAAACTGTGTCTCCAATTTTTTAGACCGTGTGTTTCTTTGCAGTAAATTAATACTTCATATGTAATTAAAACAACTTTATCTCTGCCATTCATTGACTAGAAAGAAGTGCAGGTTTAGTTTGTTTCTACATATGTTGAGTTAGGAGACAAGTACAGAGTTCTGGAATGCCCACTCTTTTGAAGATAAACTACTTAATGAAATGTAAATCTTGAAAGCAATTAAGAGCAATGTTAATACATTTGAAATACTTTTATTTAGTAGATCACTCAGATTATAATAGTCATGCTCAGAATGGCAGTTGTAAAATAGCATTTATTAAAGACGGGAATTTGTCAGAACAATGTTCTCCTTCTTTCAACTATTGATTCCCCTGCTGAAAATCGTATACAGGTCCCTTATTAATGTATTCCTTTTTCTAATTTGTTTCTAAAGAGACCACAGCTAAGAAAATTGGGGATCTTAATGCTGGCTGAACACTCAGGATCACTTGGGAAGCTTTATAGACAGTACCGATGGTTGGGGCCTCATCCTTAGAGATTTTGAGATAATTGCGTCCGATAACCCTTTCTCCCTCAAGTTGCCTAGGTACTATCTAGGTTCCATACCACAGGGCTTGAAAAACCACGGAGAATGTGAAATAAACCTTGATAATCTGTAGTTTATATTTGCTGTTCGTTAAAAATGGCTTCTGTAGTGTGTCAGGAATTTGGAAGACTTTATAGTTAATCTCATCCCTTAAATTTTAAAAGCTTTAAGTCAAATGAATGGTTTTTATTTTCTAAATTCTAAAACTATATTGATTCAGGTATCTTTGTGTATAATTCTCAGTAATAACTTATGCCCTCACCAAATTTGTGGAATTGGAAATAACAAATTTTAAGAAGAATTTTTGTGTCTGTGATTCTGTATATTGGAGGTACATTTTATGGAAGATTGATTTATGCATATGAAACTTATCAGACTGAGTTGTTAGTATTAAATGCTTCAATTTACCATAATAAGCCATTTTAAGTGTGTATTTGGCTAATACTGAATGTGCATCTTGCTTTTAAAATTTGACTTTAACAAGCACATGCGTAGCAATTTTGTAATAATCTTACTTTAGTAAAGTGACTTGAGCACTCACATACTATTTTTTTACTCTAAAACAAAATGTTGCTAGTACTAGATTGGCATGTCTTTTATTACAGATAATTTAGAAACTTTTACAATGTTCTTGTTATCTGCAGATTAAAATTTGTGGTTTTTCTATTCTTTTGATTTTTAAATATTTAAAAAGACTCTTGAGTGTAAAAACTTGTGGTATAAGCACTCAGGTAAGTTATAAGAAGTATCTAATAAGATGATTATCTGTGAAAGGATACGTTTAAGATGACATGCTTTTTTAAGATGAAATGAAGTGAATTCCAAAAGATATGTGTGATAACCTCGTTAATATGTTGATGATAAGTATTTGGAACCAATAAAGAAGCAGGTTTGTTGACCTTAAGCCTGTATGAGTTTACTTACTGTGAACTTACTGGTCACTTTGAAATAAATACTGTATGTTCCTGAAAGGTTGTCTGACATCTGCTTTTGTTATTGTATTGAAATTAACTAAAAGATCACTTTGCAAGAATTGGGGCGAATTTTCTCTACCAGCATTTACATTGCTCTTAAATACGGTTAACTTCTTGAGGGCAAGGATCATTTCCTCCCCAGACTTTGGATAGATAAATAGGCTATCAGTAAATCCTTGTTAGTTGACTTTTTACTCCGCCTGGGGAAAATGATATAAAATGTGTCTTTTGAAGCTACAAGAATTTATTAGCTCTGGTTATGCTCCTTGTGTATTTTAATCTTATTTTCAGGTATATGACATCATACTAATAATGATCCTGATTTTTAAATTCTTAACGTTTATTTGAAGTTTAGGAGATGCCACTTTTCTCATCTCTGGTAGTAGTGAGGTGAAATCCAGATGCTAATCTTGGTGTTCTCAAATGGATTTACATCTTTTAGGTCTTAAATCATTTTAATACTTTTCCCAGAGGACTGTTGGTGCTAGGCCTGACTGATTTTCACCTAGCAGCTCCATTTCTCTGGCAAGTTGGTTGCTGTTTTGCGGTGTTATTTTTTTGGACCTAATATTAGCTGTTTTGTAGTAGGCAGGTAGATGTAGTGGTCCTTTTCAGATCTAGATTTTCTCTGTGCCTGCCACTTGTGTGTTGAGGTTTCTAAGCAAGCCATGTTACATAGTTCATGTATTGATGTTTATGTTTATTCTGCCAGTGTAGTAGAAAATATATCTTCATGAATGCCAGTTACTCCCATTTTTCTTTCAATGGCATATATTCACGTTTGTTCAAGGAAAAGCCTAAGAAAATGATTGCTTTTATTTTTTAGGATATTGCATGTCATTATCATAACCACCATTCTCATTGAGAGAGAATATGCCTCATTTTTTTGTTTTTGTTCTTCTGGAGATCCCTCTTGTGGACAGTATCTTCCCTTTTCCTTTTTTTATTTATGTTCTACCTTCCTCCCTTTTAAGTGCCAGCTGAGGCACTTGGGGGAAGATAGAATAAAACAAGGTACATTACTTGTTTCAGATATTTCCAGTTAAAATTGTTTGAACACTTGCCCCATAGATGATGCTGAATAATCCCCTATTTGCTGGAAATCCTCAGCTTCAAGAACAAATGAGACAACAGCTCCCAACTTTCCTCCAACAAGTGAGTAAGACAAGATGTTAGCTATCTTGGGTAATGATTTGCTTGAAAAAATTTGATGATAAACATTTTTCCTTGCTCTTCTCTGGCTGATAGCAAAACATAGAATAGAGACCAATAATGCTGTCAATTCGTAGAGAATTCAGCTTGATCTTCACTGAGTCCCATTTCACTGCTGACCTTTTGCTTATGTTTCTTAAACATACATTCTGAGGAAAGAACATTTTGTTTTTGCTTTTGAGGACCTAGGATTTTGAATGCTTTGTTAATACCATAAACCATTTCCTTTCATTGTACTAACTTTGAAGTGCTTCCTTGTGTCATGTTACGCTTTATGGTTTAACTAATTTTGAGTAACAGGAAAGAGCTACCCTATTCTATTTTATAGGTTTTCTTCCAAATTAGTAGAAGGCTTTTTTTCCCCAAGGGGTAGATCTCATTTCCTCAAACTCGGGATTAGTAAGATTAAAATAGTCAGTGTTGTCATATAAGGAAGTAAGGAAGGTTATAGTATAAACGAGTACTTGAGATTGCCATGGTATTTTATTATTTAAAACGACAAAAGAGAAGTCAGTCTTGGTGTTTTGAAACTGGTAGTTCTAGGGCCTCATGTATTATGCAAATGACTCTCAGACCTGTAAACCATTTTCCAAGGTTGGTGTCCTTGATCTATTGTAATGATGTAAGCCTATCTTTGGTTAGTCAGGTGGTGTATATTTGGAAGTAGTAAAGCTAAACTCAGGATACATGTATTAACGTCAAATTTGGAACTGTTGTTTTAGAGTGTACCTTACTGGTAAAATTGTTATATTAGTAACAGATAACACTTGGTTAGGTGGAATATGTGGCTTTTTACCATATCCACGTCGTAAGAATTGTGCCTTTGGAGGTTGTGTCTTAGAAGTAATACTTTATCTTCTGTTGGAGAAGGGGAATAGTTGTGGCTTCCAAAGTAGCTCCTGATTTTCTTCCATTATGGAAATGGCTTTCATGATGGACTTAGGAGGAGGTCAAGTAATAATTTGCACACTAGGTTTGCTGTCAAAGAGGAGATACTTGCGTTTATTTTGGGAAAGAAATTATGGATTACCAGTGTCCAGGAGTAAGGTTTTAGATTTTCTCCAGAAGCATAACAGAGAAAAGATTTAAAAATTTACGTTCACTGATTTTAATTCCTTTGTAACCACTAGTTTTCTTTCTTCCTTAGATGCAGAATCCTGATACACTATCAGCAATGTCAAACCCTAGAGCAATGCAGGCCTTGTTACAGATTCAGCAGGGTTTACAGACATTAGCAACGGAAGCCCCGGGCCTCATCCCAGGGTAGGCTTATTTGGGGAAGATAATGAAAGTGTATAATGGTTACTTTCTCTGAGAATTTCAGATTTAGTATTATTCTGCCTGCCTTTTTTTTTTTTTTTTTTTTTTTGGTGGGATACAGGGTCTCGCCCTTCGCCTAGGCTATGAGTGTGGGGGCGCAGTTGTGGCTCACTGCAGCCTCGACCTCTCGGGCTCAAGGGATTCTCTCACCTCAGCCTCCCAAGTAGCTGGGACTACAGGTGTGCACCACCACACCTAGCTAATTTATATATATAATTTGTTGTTGTTACTGTTTTTAGAGATGGAGCTTTGCCATGTTATCCAGGCTGGTCTCAAACTTCTGGGCTCAAGAGATTTGGCCTCCCAAAGTGGGATCAGAGACATGAGCCATAGCACCTGGTTCTCCCCCACCGTTTTTATTTATTTATTTACTTATTTATTTATTAAGAGATCGGTTTTTGCTCTTTTACCCTGGCTGAACTTGAACTTCTAAGCTCAGGTGATCCTCCCACCTCAGCCTCCCCAGTAGTTGGGACACAGTGCCTGGCTATGATTGTTTTTAAGTCAGGGTTTTCAAAGTTAAAAATGATTATTATTATTTTTTAAATTCCTTTTAGAGATAGTCTCACTCCATCGAGCAGACTGGAGTGCAGTGGCGCGATCTCAGCTCACTTCAGCCTCTACCTCCTGGGCTAAAGCAATCCTCTTACCTCAGCCTGCCAAGTAACTGATACTACAGGTGTGCACCAGCACACCCAGCTAATTTTGTTTTTATTTTTTGTAGAGATGAAGTCTCAACAATGTTGCCTAAGCTGATCTCAAATTCCTGGGCTGCTGGGATCATCGGTCTCCCAGAATGAGCCACTGCACCAGGCCAAAAGGGCTTATTTTAAGAAGATGGCTTAGCTTATATTAAAATGTAACTGATTTACGGACTGGCTTCTGGTTTTGCAGGACCTTAGGATATTTCCTATTTGTGCTTTCTGTAGGTTTACTCCTGGCTTGGGGGCATTAGGAAGCACTGGAGGCTCTTCGGGAACTAATGGATCTAACGCCACACCTAGTGAAAACACAAGTCCCACAGCAGGAACCACTGAACCTGGACATCAGCAGTTTATTCAGCAGATGCTGCAGGCTCTTGCTGGAGTAAATCCTCAGGTATCAGTTCTTTTCCATTCAAGTTTTGTATTCCTTAATGTTGGAAATTTAGAAATTTCCAAAAAGAAGGAAAAAGGGAGAAAAAAGGAAAGCAGTAGTTCTTAGGTGTTTAGATTAATGAAAAATACAGTCTTAAGGATATTGAGTAAGAAAACAGGCATTACAAAAATTGTTGACTTTGGTGCTGAGACACTAAAGGAAACGTTGTTACGGTTGTAGAGAAGACATGCTACAACCTAAAGTCTTATTTTTTAGAAATTGCCTTTAAAAATGCATTTTTTTTGTTCCTATTTGAAAATCATTTGAAATAGATTTTGCTTTAAAAAAGTTCTTAGGGAGGAATGGAAACTTGATTATCCCAAGTACCTCCAGGGCAGCTGTATTCTAGTCTGTCTTTTGACTGGAAAAAAGTCCTAACTACCTTAACTCCACCCATGACACCACCTCCTGCGGTAGCTTGTGTTACATATATATATATCTCGTAAATATGGCTAAAGAATATGGACCCCCTAATAATGTGGTTGCATCTACAAACATACATTGGTTTTACTAATAATGTGCCATTATATAAAGATGATCGCCAGTTTAAACCTGTTTTATTAGGTTGTCCCCAAACTTCTTAATGTCTCAAGGTCTGTTAGGTGCTTTCTGTTTTCTTTTCTGGGTTTCTTTTTTCTTTCCCTTTCTCCTTTCCCCTTTCCTTTTCCTCCTTCCTCTTCCCCTTTCCCTTTTCCCTTTCCTCTTCCCCTTCCCCCTTTCCCCTTTTTCCTCTTTCCCCTCTTTGCCTTTCCCTTTTTTTTTTTTCTTTCCCTTTCCCTTTTGACAAAGTGCCCAGGCTGGATGCAATCACAGCTCACTGCGACCTGCACCTCCTGGGCTGCAGCAATCCTCCCACCTTAGCCTCTGGAGTAGCTGGGATTACAGGCGCAGACCACCACACCTGGCTAATTTTTGTATTTTTTGTAGAGCTGGGGTTTCAACCGTGTTGCCCAGGTTGGTCTCAAACTCCTGAGCTCAAGCGATCTCACCCGCCTTGGCCTCCCAAAGTGCTGGGATTACAGGCGTGAGCCTGGCCTGCTTTCTGTTTTCAAGCCTTACTAAATATAATAAATAGGGTAGGGTTCTGTCTCATACATATCTGTATTCCTGATAAGCTAGCGTAGCATAGTTTCTGGCTCTTGGTAGGTACTCAGTAAATATTCATGGAATAAATAAGAAAGAAGGATTTGGAGTATTAGAATTAATTGTGACATAAGTTAACTTACAAGCCTCCAAATTATCAGGTAGGCCTAGGATTGATTGGTCATTTATATGGAGATTTTTTTTTTTAACTTCATTTCTGAAGAAAAGATTTGATGCTGCTGAAATGTCAGAATTAAGAGTATAATTTTGGGCCTGAAACTGAAGCTCTTTTCTAAGAATTGACTGTCCAGTGCAAAAATTAAACTCACATTCATTCGAAGAATCATTGAAGCTTTAGAATTTTATACATGAGGATACCAGCTTTTATAGTTACTCAATTGGTCAGTAGCTACACAAATCATCTAATTCTGAACTATCTGTGTGTGTGTGTGTGTGTGTGTGTGTGTGTGTGTGTGTGTATATGTATATGTATATACACACACACATACAGGTTTTTCTGCATGTACGTGATCCTCTAAAATAATGGTTGATGTTTATTAAGCTTTTCTCCCCCTCCCCTAAAGTAGAGTCGTGATCTATTTGACATGATTATTTAGGTACAAACTAGACTATTTAAAATAAACTGCTAATGGACTTTTAAATATGTTGGATAAGTTTCAAGAGGTGGGCAGTGTTTTTAAAGCTCAGTAGATCAGCATATGTTATAAAAAAGCAATTAAAAAATTTTAAAAGTCATGTGTGGCAGGGACTGGCTTCCTTTAGAGTTGGATTAATTTTTTTTTTCTTTAATAGCTACAGAATCCAGAAGTCAGATTTCAGCAACAACTGGAACAACTCAGTGCAATGGGATTTTTGAACCGTGAAGCAAACTTGCAAGCTCTAATAGCAACAGGAGGTGATATCAATGCAGCTATTGAAAGGTTACTGGGCTCCCAGCCATCATAGCAGCATTTCTGTATCTTGAAAAAATGTAATTTATTTTTGATAACGGCTCTTAAACTTTAAAATACCTGCTTTATTTCATTTTGACTCTTGGAATTCTGTGCTGTTATAAACAAACCCAATATGATGCATTTTAAGGTGGAGTACAGTAAGATGTGTGGGTTTTTCTGTATTTTTCTTTTCTGGAACAGTGGGAATTAAGGCTACTGCATGCATCACTTCTGCATTTATTGTAATTTTTTAAAAACATCACCTTTTATAGTTGGGTGACCAGATTTTGTCCTGCATCTGTCCAGTTTATTTGCTTTTTAAACATTAGCCTATGGTAGTAATTTATGTAGAATAAAAGCATTAAAAAGAAGCAAATCATTTGCACTCTATAATTTGTGGTACAGTATTGCTTATTGTGACTTTGGCATGCATTTTTGCAAACAATGCTGTAAGATTTATACTACTGATAATTTTGTTTTATTTGTATACAATATAGAGTATGCACATTTGGGACTGCATTTCTGGAAACATACTGCAATAGGCTCTCTGAGCAAAACACCTGTAACTAAAAAAGTGAAGATAAGAAAATACTCTTAAAGCTGAGTATTTCCTAATTGTATAGAATCTTACAGCATCTTTGACAAACATCTCCCAGCAAAAGTGCCGGTTAGTCAGGTTTGTTGAAAATACAGTAGAAAAGCTGATTCTGGTTATCTCTTTAAGGACAATTAATTGTACAGACACATAATGTAACATTGTCTCAACATTCATTCACAGATTGACTGTAAATTACCTTAATCTTTGTGCAGACTGAAGGAACACTGTAGTATACCCCAAAGTGCATTTGCCTAGGACTTCTCAGCTTCTCCCATAGGTAGTTTAACAGGCATTAAAATTTGTAATTGAAATGTTGCTTTCACTGAAAAAGTGTCTTGATGTTTCAGTTATTTTTAATCGCCATAAAAAAATAGAACTATCTTTTGGGTTTATCTGTTTTCTCATGCACAGGCAATACACAAATTTAAAATGAGTTGTGAGCCAATTGTTTCTGAAGTGTTTTGGTAGTTCTATTAAGAAATAGTTAAATATTGTGCTTTTCAGAGCCTCAGAGAAAGGGGGACGGGGTGGGGGGGTGGGGCAGCGGAATCTGTCCTGGATGGGGCCAGCTTAAATAATACTGGCAACCAAGATTCTGTTAGGATTTCTGTGCATATAGTGTAGTAAAGAAGTATCATTCAGGGGTGAAAAACAAAGAGCCGTTTTAATGATGTTGAGTACATTTGGCTGTTTTATAGCCTTTTTCTTCCCTCCCCCAAAGAATTCTGTTTGCCTAACTCCCAAACTGTTGGGGTGGTACATTCCTTTAGGACCAATTAAAACATAATTGAGGGTCAGTGATACATTTGGCTGACTCTGGTTCAGTATTCTCTTAGGTGATTATATTCTCTCATGTACAGTTACAGGAAATTAAAATGTTAAAGTAACCTAAAATGAATTCAGACCAATAAAATCAAGGGAAATACAAGTTGATTGCATTACTTCTGTATGTTGCTTGCTATTAAAAAGGTTAAGAGGCCAGGTTACCCACCAGTCCTTGCACTGTTCTGACACTTTCCCCAGGAGGAAAACAAGTACAAAGGTTACGGTGGAGGCATAAGTAGAAGAGATTGTTAAGAAGGGTATTCATGTGTCTTTGCTCTTTCTGCTTTATGCCTCAGTTTGGTTTAAAAACTTCTGTACTGGCAAATGGTGGTATTCAGTGTGGGATAGTGTCATAACTAATTTGACAATTTATTAATCATAAAATAACAATAAATCTCTAGCTTTTACACTTGATTTGTCTTGCCTCTTTTGTAGAAAGAAAAAAAGTCTTTAACTTTTGCTAACCATGTGTTTTAAAGGCTATTGGAGTTGATTTACCCCAGATTTTGTCACATTTTACATTCTTTATTTTTCAGGTTTTCCAATTAAAACGTCACAGTCTTTTGTGGTGTGATAAAAAGATAGCACACTGGGAAGGTAGGTGACTTGAGCTCCACTTTTGATCTTGGTACTTGACTAGTTATGTGACATTGAGGCGTCATGGTTTCTTTATTATACATGTGGTGGTGAGGCTTATAGGTGTGCTGGACTGGGCGATAAGCTCTGAAGTACCTTTAAGCTACTGCAGTGGTATGGTTTTTGTTTTTAATATGTTTATTTAGGTCTAAGTCTAAAGATAAATATCTACATCTTAAGGGGTTCAAAATACTTAAAATTCTTATCAGCACTTAAAGGATGTTTAAAATACTGTAGGCTTAAATTGTTCTCATATTGAGTGATAATATTTAGTACAAATTGAATAAAGAATGGGGTAGTGAAAATAGCATTTCAGGATTTTATTTCCCAGTTATAATATTTGCGATATCCTAAACAAAGTCTAGCAAATATTGAAAAATCAGATAAATGACACCTGGCCTCTGTGTGTATTTAGAATCTTGAGTTTCAGACTTGGTTTAAATATAATAATGAAAAGAGTCTTTTATTCTTACTATGTTAATTTAATAGGCATATATCACAACAAAATATAACAATGGATAACAATATGCTAGTGACAAAAGTGAAGCTAAGCCGTGTGTGCAATGACATACACATGATTAACAAAAAAAAATGACTCTGTGATTAATGCAGGGAAATACTGCATATTGTACTTCTTCTCATAGAGATTAATATTATATTACAATTAACAGGAAGTCTTGCATGAAAGAAGTCTATTTAAAGTTTTATCAGCTTTTTCCAGTCTCACTAGACCATCTTTTAACTATTCTTTAAGGTGATGCTGTATACAATGAACACCCTTCCTATACTTCGTGTATCTACCCTTCTCTGGTGTCGCACATGGTATTTATCTACTTTGGCTCCTATAAACCCTACCATTCTTTCTGGGCTCAGTTCTGAAGGCGTCCTAAACTTTGCTGATCCAGTGTTTGGGAAACTCTTAACTGTTCATACTTAGTCTTTACTGTCAATTGCTGCATTTTGCTCCCCCCATTCACCTTGTAGCATTTTGTTTTGTTTTTTATTTTTCTGCTCTAAAATTGTCTTGGCAATTACCTAAGTAACATCAGTTGTTCCTCTTCAACTTCTCTGTATCTTTTCTCATAGGCAACTATTATGTCAGAAAGTCAAATTATTGAACATCTACTGAGTGCCAGGTTCTTTTCCAGTTGCTCAGAGTATAGCAGCAAATAAAACAAGATTGTGTCCACATGGGGTTTACATAGTAGAATGTAGGGAGATAGGAAAACATACAGATTGCCTGCCAGGTAATCAGTGCTTTGGTGAAAAATGCTGCATAGTGGGGAGACCAGGTCAGGAAGGTGGCGTTCTTATTTTATATAAGGTTGTCAGAGAAAGCCTCAGCTCATTGAGGAGGTGACATTTGAACAGAGACTTGAGTATCTGGAGGGGTGAACAACTTTTCCAGGAAGAAGGACAACTAATTAAAAGGCCCTGAAATAGTGTCCTTGAGTGTATGTCAACCTAAAGGGAAGAAGCTGAGGCACAAAATATAATTTCGAAAGAGTTTACTTGAGCCAAAGTGAGAACAGCTGCCAGGGACCCATTTCAGGTTGCCTTGGGGAGTACTCTGTTTGGTACAAGCAGGTTTTTAAAGGCAAAGGGGAACAAGGAGTGGGCTGATAAAAGTTTTGACAGGTATTCTCATTGGTTTCCAGAGATAATATTGATTAGCCATTGGCTGTACGCTGTTGAACATAGGGTAAAAGTTATGATGTCTACTATATGACATCTTAATGGCTACTTGGTGTCATTCCAGAGCCCACATAGTCATTTGCTTCAAGAGGTAATTATTTAGCTCAAGAGGGAATGAGACGTGACTGATGTCACATTTTAAATGCCTCTCTGAGCCTGATAATTTAAAGGGGTTTGCATTCCTCAGATAAAAACTTCTGTTTCTTTCTCAGTATGTTTGTAGAACACAAGGAATCCAGTGTGGGTGGGCAAGATGAACAAGGGGGAAAAGCAGGGTAGGAAATAGGAGAGAGATGGGGTGGTTCAGGTGTTTGACATGGAGGACTTGGTAATACACAAATCTTTATGACCCACCCCCAGAGTTTGTGATTAATAGTTATGGAGTTGGGGAAGAATTTGCATGTCTAACAAGTTCCTAGGTTGAACAACTAATGAAACAACTAATGAAAACCACTGCACTACAGGAACCAGGGTGAAAACAGGAAGACTTTTAGGAGGTTATAATCTAGTGAGAGATCACAAGGACTTGGACTGGGCTGGTGGCAGTGGAGGTGGTAAGAAGTTGGATTTGGGGTATGTTTTGAAGGTAGAGCCAATAGGATTGACTGATAATAGAGGTGTGAAGTTTAGAGCAAGAGAGGAGTCAAGCAAGGCAAACAAGGTAGAAAGACAGGAGAAGGAGTGGAAATCAGGATTTTGGTGTTGACATATTAAGTTGAATGTACTTGATGGAACATTTAAGTGAAGACGTTGAGACAAGTGGAGGAGCTCCAAAGGAGAGGAACAGATAGCTCATAAGGTGAGAGTTAAGAGAGGTCCTGAAAGCGGATGATGAAACTTACTAAGAAGGAGAGTGGTTCAATACACTGCTGCCTCAGGTTCTCATCATGGATTGAGTGTTAACCCTTTGCCGTTAGTAAAGAAAGGACCCTCATGACTATGACTATAGCGGTTTAGAGTGTTGGGGTAAAATTGTGGTTAGAGTGGACTGGCAGGAGGCACAGTTTGGAAGAGAGAGAAACGGGGCAGTAGCGGTGGGGAGGTTGCTGTGGTGGTGGTGGTGTAGAAGTATGCCTTTTTTTTTAAGATGGGAAATACTACAGCATGTTTTTATTTTAATTGTAATGACCAGTGTGTGGGGCATGGGGGAGGGGACTTGCCCAGGTAATTGTTTTCTACCAAAAGAGAGAAATGTACAGAGAGAAACGAGTTACTGCCAGCTTTTGATTCCCGGAAGAGGTTTTAAAAAATAAAATCAGCACCTTTGTTACATGGGCTGAGATGTGAGAGAGAGGGTTTCTTTGTCTTTCCAGCCATCATTTGCCTCAGCTGGGTCTGCCTTTTCTTGCCAGTAGAAGTGGCACCTGCCCAGCCCATCTGAACTACACTTCATGGTCAGCCCTTTCTGAAGTATAGGAAAAGCACCCCTCCCAGCTTTTTTGCTTGGGTAAGATCTCATTGAACAAAATTGAGATTTCCTCTAAGCTCGGACAGTGGTGAAGCACACCCTCAGTTTGTAATTCCAGCCTGTGCCTGATAACATGAGTATTTCTGACTTCCAGTCAGCTGTCTTGCTTACCACTTTATGCTTAGACAAGGCTAGACACATATAGGAGCTCTCATTAGTTTCCCTCAAAGACCAAAGCTGAGTGTGGGAGCCTAATTCTTTAATGGGATATATACTAGACACTTGGGTATTCAAGCCAGATTTTTTTAAAAAGGTATTTCAGACACATTTTCAATTCCTTATATTTTACAGAGCGGGGAGGGAATTTCCACTGTGTTGTGGTTATCTAATGCTTTATAACAAAACTACACCACAGCTTGGTGGCTTAGAACAAAATCATTCATTTTGTTCATGAGTGACCAATTTTGGCAGGGCTTGGTGAATACAGTTGGACCAACTTGACTGAGTCTGGAGAATTTACTTTCAAGAGGGCTTATTATGCACATGGATGTTAAATTAGTGCCTGCTTTTATCTGGGAGTGCACTCAGGGTCTCAGTTCCTTTCCACATGGACCTTCCAATAGGGCTACTGTGCTTCCTTACAACGTGACTGGTGGGTTTCAAAAATAAGTATTTTAAGAAAAATGAAAAGTGCTGTTTTTTTTTAAGTTCTGGGCTCCTAACTGGCCCAGTGTCATATCTCCAGTATTCTATTGTCCAAGCAGTCTTAGCTTCCCCAAATTTAAGAGGAGGGTTTGAAGACCCCACTGCTTGTTGGGAAGGATGTCAAATAATTTGTGAGCATCTTTATCACACACTGCAATCCCAGAAGGAGGAAAATGTTGGAGGGGTACACATTTCTTCTCCACTGTTCCTCCCTTTCTAAGGGAAGTAGTGACATGGCTGCTTGTTGAATAGTGTAGAAGGAACTAAGCATAACTATGAACCCGTTTGGGAAACTGTCCAAAGGGAAGCATGCATGCTAGTCTACTTCCTGCCACAAGGTTAGGGAGATAGGCCTGACCCCTACAGGTTTTTTTTTTTTTTAAATTTTTAACTGTGGTAAAGTATACATATCATAAAATTTACCATTGTAACCATTTTAAAGGGTACAATTCAGTGCCATTAAGTATATTCATAATGTTGTATAACTACATCACCATCCTTCAGAACTTTCTTATCACCCCAAAAGGAAACCTTGTAGCCAGTAAGCATTCAATCCCTATTCCCTCCTCACCCAACCCCTGGCAACTGCAAAGTCTGTTTTCTGTCTCTCTGGATTTACCTATTCTGGACATTTTATATAACTGGAATCATTTAATATGTGGCCTTTTGTGTCTGGCTTCTTTGACTTATGTTTTCAAGGTCCATCCATTTTGTACTGTGTAATCTCATTCCTTTTTATGGCTGAATAATGTTCCACTGTATATTTATGCCACATTTTATTCATTCATCTGTTGATGGACCCTTTTCACCATTTTCCTATTGTGAACAATGTTGCAATGAATATTGGCCTACAAGTTTGAGTTTCCGTTTTCAGTTTGTGCACCTGAAAAATCTAAGACAGATCTCAGTTCATTTAGAAAGTTTATTCTGCCAAGGTTGGGGATGCACGCCCGTGACACAGCCTCAGGAGGTCCTGACAGCATGTGCCCAAGGTGGTTGAGGCATAGCTTCATTTTATACATTTTAGGGAGACATGAGACATCAATCAATATATGTAAGATGTACATTGGTTCCGTCTAGAAAGGTGGGACAACTGAAATGGGGAGGGGGCTTCCAGGTCACAGGTAGGTGAGAGACAAATGGTTACATTCTTTTGAGTTTCTGATTAGCCTCTCCAAAGGAGGCAATCAGATATGCATTTATCTCAGTGAGCAGAGGGGTGACTTTAAATAGAATGGGAGGCAGGTTTGCCCTAAGCAGTTCCCCTCTTGACTTTCTCTTTAGCTTAGTAGTTTTGGGGCTGTAAGATTTATTTTCCTTTCACAATTTCCTTTGGGGATATATGTAGGAGTGGAATTGCTGGGTCATAATGGTAATTCCATTGTTAACTTTTTGTGGAACTACTGAATGGTTTCCATAGTGGCTGCACCATTTTACATTCCCACCGGCGTTGTTTGGGTTCCAGTTTACATCTTGCCAACACTTCATTCCTCCTCCACTTCCCTTCCCTGTTTTTTTAATTACTGCCATCATGGTAGGTGTGAAGTGGGATCTCATTGTGAGTTTTTTTTTGTTTTCTTGTTGTTTTTGAGACAAGAGCCTTGCTCTGTTGCCCAGGCTAGAGTGCAGTGGTGTGATCTCAGCTCACTGCAGCCTCCGCCTCCCAGGTTCAAATGATTCTTCTACCTCAGCCTCCTGAGTAGCTGGGACTACAGGCATGTGCCACCACGCCTAGCTAATTTTTTGTATTTTTTTGTAGAGACGGGGTTTCACCATGTTGGCCAGGCTAGTCTCGAACTCCTAACCTCAGGTGATCTGCCTCCCTTGGCCTCCGAAAGTGCTGGGATTATAGGTGTGAGCAGCACCAGGCCTCATTGTGGTTTTGATTTGCATTCCCATAATGACTTAATGATGATGAGCATCTTTCATATGTTGTTGGCCATTTGCATACCTTTGGAGAAATGAAGTCTTTTTCTATTTTTCTTTTGTTGCTTGTGCTTTTGGTGTTGCAGCTAAGAATACATTGCTAGGCTGGGCGCTGTGGCTCACACCTGTAATCCCAGCACTTTGGGAGGCTGAGGTGGGTGGATCACCTGAGGTCAGAGTTTGAGACCAGCCTGGCCCACATAATGAAACCCTGTTTCTACTAAAAATACAAAATTGGAGGCTGAGGCGGGTGGATCACCTGAGGTCAGAGTTTGAGACCAGCCTGGCTAACATAGTGAAATCCTGTTTCTACTAAAAATACAAAATTAGCTGGGCCTGGTGGTGCATGCCTGTAATCCCAGCTACTTGGGAGGCTGAGGCAGGAGAATTGTTTGAACCCGGGAGGCAGAGGTTGCAGTGAGTCAAGATCGCACCACTGCACTCCAGCCTGGGTGACAATAGCGAAACTCTGTCCCCCGCTCCCCCACCCAAAAAAACAAAGAATACATTGCTTCCCCCTATATTTTCTTCTAAGAGTTTTTTGGTTTTAGCTCTTCTATTTAGGTCACTGATAAATTGGAGTTATTTTTGTTTATAGCAAGAGTCGCAATTTGTAATTGGTTTTGTGGTTCTAGATTTGCAAAAGGAAGACCAGAATGTTTTACCCATTCCCACCCTTCTCCTTCAAGAAAATAATAAAAACAAAACCTAGAAAGACCAAGGACAAATTATGGCTTAAAGATAACATGATACTAGATACTAAAATGTTGCTGATTGTAGAGCATGCTCTTGACCAACTGAGATCTTTGGTTTTCCCAGGAAATTGTTGAAGTTCTTTACTTCCTCTTCTCATTTCTATGTCTTCTCCACCCTCATACACTATCACCCAGTATGACTTCCATTCTCTAGTCTTAATGAAGGTGTGATTTGTATCATATCCGCAGACACTAAGCCTCCTTCATACTCTTGTACCGTGTGCACTGTGAATGCTGATCCCAATTTTAATGTAGCACTGTTAGAAGTCTCAGTATCACATATAAGCAGTGGGTACAAACCAGCCTAATAAAAGCATGTGGGTGAAATCCATATGGAAAGAATGTATAAATGATGTTAAAGACATCATTTGTTAAATAAGTTAAAGATGGAAAATATTGATTAGACAGTGAGGCAAGTGATAACTTTGTGTACATCCTCATGAAATTGAAGAATTAGTTGAGGGCTACAAAAAATGTTAATCAGCAAAGAGGTGGTAATTCTCAACCCTTGCTTCACATTAGAATCAGCTAAAATGATTAAAAAATAAGGCCACCTCAGACTAAGTGGAATTGTATCTGGGTGAGGCTCATGCATACATTTTAAAAGCTCTTAAAGTGATTGTAATGTGCTGCCAGGGTGTGACTTAGGCAGTGGTTTTCAGCTTCAGTTGTGCATACAGATCACCTGGGACCTTGTTAAAATGCATATTCTTATTCGAAAAGTAACTCAGAATGGAGCCAAGACATGAGTTAAAGCAAAAAACTCTTAGAAGAAAACATAGGTGTAAATCTTTGTGACCTTGGGTAAGGCAGTGGTTTTTTAGGTAGGACACCAAAAGCACAACCAACCAATGAGAAATAGGTAAATTGGACTTCATCAAACTTTAGGGTTTTTTGCTTCAAAGGAAATGATGAAGAAAGTACAAAGACAATCCAATTCACAGAACGTAAGATAACATTTGCAAGTAATATATCTGATAAAGAACTTTTACAACTCAACAGTGAAGAGACACTTTTAAAAATAAAAAGAATTTGAATAGACATGTCTCCAGGGAAGATGAACAGATCACCAATAAGCATGTGAAAAGATGCTCTTCATCACTAGGGAAATGCAAATCAAAATCTTAAGAAGATACCACTTCACACTCACTGGGATGGCTGTAATCATGAAGACAGACCAATAACAAGTGTTGGTGAATGTGGAGAAATTGGAAGCTTCTTACATTGCTGGTGGGAATGTAAAATGGGGCAGCTACTTGGAAAACAATTCAGCAGTTTCTCAAAAGATTTAACTGCATAGTTAGCATTTGACCCAGCAATTTCACTGGTATGTATATACCCAAGAAAAGTGAAAACAATATGTCCCCACAAAAAACGTGTACACGAATGAATGTTTATGGCAGCATTATTCTTAATATCAAAAATGTGGAAACAACCCAAATATCCATGAACTGGTGAATCCATTTCTTAAAATGTGGTATATCCATGCAGTGGAATATTATTCAGCAACAAAAAGGAATGAAGTACTAATACACCCTAAAGCAGGGACAGACATTTTTACATAGGCCCTTGGGTACTTCTTGGACAAATATGTTGGCTGGAGTTGGGTGAGATGGGATAACTTCTCAAGGTCTTCAGTTCCACATAGGTTAACCACAAGAGGCCAAGTGATGGAAGGGGAAGTGGTATATGTACTGGGACATTAGTCCACTAGTCCATGTCACTCAACCATCTGGCCTCGGGGTAGAGGTCAGCTACTACAACCTGGCCCTTGGGTGGGAAACCTACCAAATTCTAATTTTTTTGAGAAGGGAAGTTAAATCCTCCCATCTGAACTCCTGGTGATTCTAAAGATAATGTGTCCCAAACTTTCAAATTGAGGCCTAAAAGATCTTAGTGACAGTGACAATGATATCTGACAGTAAGAAAAATGTAGTTCCTGTCATCCAGATGCTGGCCTGGTGTTAAAAGCTAGGCCTTCATGTCCTGCTAAGCATACACAATTTCACAGGACACCTACATCAGAACAAGACTGCTTTTCAGCCGTGGTGGGTCAAGACAAAGGAACATTTCTTTAGTCATGTCAACACCGAAAAACATGAGCATTTTCCAAGATGCAAAAATGACCAGACATCTCCCTGTCCTTGTTAATGTGCTTCTTAACCAGTTATAGCTTTAGCTTCACTTCCTTCTTCACACTTTACTTTTTTTTTTTTTTTTTTTTGAGACGGAGTCTCTCTCTGTCACCAGGCTGGAGTGCAGTGGCACAATCTTGGCTCACTGCAACCTCCGCCTCCCAGGTTCAAGCAATTCTCCTGCCTCAGCCTCGCGAGCACCTGGGATTACAGGCACCCGTCACCATGCCCAGCTAATTTTTGTATTTTTAGTAGAGATGGGGTTTCAGCATGTTGGCCAGGATGGTCTCTATCTCTCAACCTTGTGATCCGCCCGCCTTGGCCTCCCAAAGTGCTGGGATTACAGGCGTGAACCACCGCACCCGGCATATTTTCTTAAGATAACCAGTTATCCCCCACTTTCTGACAGCATCCATTTAGAGAGCCCTGCTTCCTTGAACCCTACTCAGGACTACCTATCATGCAACCAAACCTTAAATCCTTTCTGACATCTTACTGAGTCTTTCGCGCAGTTTTTGGAGGTGTGTGTTCTTCCTTATACAGTGAGCAGTCAACCCAACTTGTTCAGGGCAGATTGTGTTCCTGTGT
This sequence comes from Homo sapiens, assembly GCF_000001405.40. Lineage (NCBI taxonomy): Eukaryota > Metazoa > Chordata > Mammalia > Primates > Hominidae > Homo > Homo sapiens. The sequence goes on along the minus strand of NC_000009.12, from coordinate 83,650,528 downwards.
TATCTGGTCTGGAGCTGCATAGTTGTTGCCCTATTCAGATAGTGTGTGCATTTTTAATTTTGTCACAGTCTTCAGTCTCCCATATCCCACTAGTGTTGGTCACATTCTTTGGCCATCAAATTTGCAAGTCTTGCCATGGACTGTCATGGGTTGAGGGCATTTCCTTAGGCACCATCTGATTGGGTCCCTGATTAAGGTATGTGTTAGATACTCAACATCAGGTCTGGGGTCCTCCTAAGTGATGACCAGTGACTTCAACCTCCCACAAAGTGGACTTCAATTTGCACAGCATCCAGGGTAGGTTGCTGGGGGGAAACTCTGCTGGAGGGAATGATGATCATCAGGAAATCAGCACCAGCTCACATTTCACACATGAGATTCTGTGAAGCTGGGCTGAAACAACTCCACACACTGATGCTCAACACAGCTTATTGGCTGAATGCCTAATCAGATCCTAATTCCGTGGTAATTGCTGGCCCATGATACAGTTAATACCCTGATCTTGAATATATCTTTGATCAGATATATTCTGAACAGATGTGCTGTTCAGTGAAGGGATAATAAACTTGCATATTACAGTTTCAGAAAATTAAAATCCCTGGTGGATGGTGTCTTTGATTAAAGTCAGCTTGTTATAGTTTCCTCCTGGTTCTTGTACTCTGTCCACTGAAAAATAGTTTGCTTATCAGAGCAGACTCTAGAGAGGCACAGGATGTGAGCACTGGACCTTGGCAGCATCTAGTGACATCCCCTAGGGCTGCCTTATCTGTGTCACCCAGCTAGTTTACGCCAGTGCTATGCCTTGAGCCCATGTTTTTCTGGGTCCTGATTCCAGAGCCGGCTGCTCAGCTGATTGCTGGGTCATCCCATGCTTCAGGGACCTCATCCTAGGCTCTGCCTGATGTAACCTGCCCAAGGGCTGGGGAAAGGGGTGTGGAAAGACAGAGACTCGGTGGGGAGCTAAGCTATCAGAGCCAAAAGACTTCATTCTTACGAGGCAGGTGATACCCTCATTTTACAGGAGAGAAAAATGTTTAATCTGAAATTTTTCTGGTGGTGGGAATGGAGACTTGGGCGGGGGTGGGGTGGGGTGGGGGCGGGTGGAGAATCCTCCCAGAGGAGAAGGTGAATCTTTTATCTCCATCCATTTTGAGCCACTGCAAACCATCTGGCCCTTCTTCCCTGGGTTCTTTGTGCTTGCTGGGTCTCTCCCACCCCGGCCACCAGAGGGCAGTACCGGTCCACACCTCGGTCTCCCCGGGACCATGTTTGGGAAGATTAGAACAGTGCTCTCAACCCACCAGACTCCTTTTCAACACCTGCTTTTTAACAACTATTTTCCAATGCCCCTTTACTATCACAAAATGAGATTGCTAACAAAACGTACCTAAGCAATTAATAAACATAATGCCTTAGCTCTAATGTAAAGGACACATGAAAGTACGAATAAGGGCCGGGCCTGGTGGCTCACGCTTGTAATCCCAGCACTTTGGGAGGCCGAGGCGGGCGGATCACGAGGTCAGGAGATCGAGACCACGGTGAAACCCCGTCTCTACTAAAAATACAAAAAATTAGCCGGGCATGGTGGCGGGCGCCTGTAGTCCCAGCTACTCGGAGAGGCTGAGGCAGGAGAATGGCGTGAACCTGGGAGGCGGAGCTTGCAGTGAGCCGAGATCGAGCCACTGCACTCCAGCCTGGGTGACAGAGCGAGACTCTGTCTCAAAAAAAAAAAAAAAGTACGAATAAACTTTCAGTGTGTACTGCTTGAGCACGACTACACTAAATGAAAACGATGGAGTCATTATGTGCTTGTGCCCATTGTGGGGTCACCCCTGAAAGAATGCAAGTGCATGTGGGTATGTTGTGTCGGTGACAAACACATCGTGATTTTCTAAAATGGTAAACAATTCTTGGTAAAGTTAAAAAATAAAATGGGGGCCAGGCACAATGGCTCACGCCTGTAATCCCAGCACTTTGGGAGGCTGAGGCGGGCAGATCACTTGAGGTCGGGAGTTTGAGACCAGCCTGGCCAACATGGGGAAACCCCATTGCTACTAAAAATACAAAAACTAGCCGGGCGTGGCGGCATGTACCAGCTACTCGGGAGGCTGAGGCAGGAGAATCGCTTGAACCTGGGAGGCGGAGGTTGCAGTGAGATGAGATTGGGCCACTGTACTCCAGCCTGGGCAACAGAGTGAGACTCTGTCTCAAAAAAGGAAAAAAGAAAACTCTCTTCAAACCCAGCACTCATTGTTAGGTGTCAAGTGCATGGGAGCTGGACGCAGACCTACTCTCCAGCTCATAGACTTTCTCCAAGTGTGATGGTGGGGAGGCGCCTGTGCTGGGGTTGCGGCCCTCCTCACAGTGGTGCATTAACTGCATTGATTTTTTTTTATTGAGATAAAAAATTGCCAGTATCAAAAAATGGCAGATAAAAATTTGTACACCATAAAATTCATTTGAAAGTGCGCATCAGTGGATTTAGTGTATTTTACTGTGCTATGCAAACATCACTACTATTGTGTAACTCCAGAATATGTCCATCACCCGCAAAAGAAACTGTGTACCTGTTAGCCAGTCCCAAGTCCCGCCTTCCCCATCCCAGGCAACCCATCCGTCTGTCTCTGTGGATTCTTCTATTCTGGACACCTTTTCCCTTATCTCTCTGTGTGTTCACTTCGTCTGAATGCCTCATTGACTATTCCCTGCTGTTACACCAAGAGAAACACTTGAGAGGCACACCCATCTCTTTGGTCCCTTCTACCTGCTACCTGCGATCCCTGCCAAATCAGCCGCTTTACACACTTGGGGGTTAGGTGCTCCCCAGCCTATCACCAGCCCAAAGCACCACTTTAGAGACTGCACTTCATCCCTGGCCTTTCGTGAGTTGTCCAGTGGGTCTTTGGCGAGAACTAATCCAGTCCTAAACTTCACCTTCGTCAAGATTCCCCCAGCTGCTGCCATCTAAGTGGGCTCAGCATGAGCAGGGGATCCAAATGGGGTCCTGGTTGTCAGACCTTACCCTGAGGCTCCCACCCCTGGCTGCTCACCAGAGTCAGTTGTGGAGCTTTCAGAGGTGAGACCAGGGCCCCTCATGACAGACACTGCTTCAGTGGGCTTGGAGGAAGCAGGAACAGGTCTGTGCTTTTCAGTTCCCCAGGTGACTCTTAACAAGCAGTCGAGGTTGAGAATCACTGCCTTCCTCAATTTTTCCTGTTTCCTGTCACCATGACAAAGGGGAGGCCAAAGGCTAGTCCAGCTGTGGAGCAGCTGTGGGGGTCTTTAGTCAAGGAATGTGCTTTGGCATTCATTATGGGGAGAGAGCTGGGACAGGGGCACGATCCAGCCAGAATGGATGCTTCTCAGCAGTTCTAAGTCCCCATGGTCAAGGGCCTTGTTGCGTCCTTTCTGTCCCAGGACTCTAGCTGGTGCCAGAGAATACGCGATGCCTTATCTTTCACCCCAACTGGAACCACCTGACAGCCAGGGCTTTGTGTCACAAGCCTCAAACCCTCCATGGTGCCTGTCACATACAGTCTGGACTCACTACTAAGTACAATGGATTGGTTGATTTCTCCCTCCACACGGCAGGGGGACTTACCCAGCTGGGATGTGTTAATTTGACAACTTCAAGTGCCTGGCCCCCAAATATGAGGGTTGATGTAAACCAAAGCCAGCCAGAAGCTACTCCAAATATCTTGGCAAAGAGAAAAATCAAGGGCTCCACGTTTTCTTAGGCAAGGACCATCCACCAATACAGCCCTTTTATTCCACTGGCATGTGATTTCCTTCCTTCCTTCCTTCCTTCCTTCCTTCCTTCCTTCCTTCCTTCCTTCCTTCCTTCCTTCCCTCCCTCCCTCCCTCCCTCCCTCTTCCCTTCCCTTTCCCCCTTCCCTCTCCCCTCCCCTCTTCTTTCCCTTCTTCCCCCTTCCCTCCCTCCTCCCCTCCCCTCTTCCTTTCCCTCTTCCCCCTTCCCTTCCCTTCTTTCTTTTCTTTCGTGATGGGATCTCTCCATTGCCCACGCAGGAGTACAGTGATGCAGTCATAGCAAACTTCTTGGCTCAAGCAATCCTCCAACCTCAGTGCCCCCTGAGTAGCTGGGACTACATGTGCATTCCACCATGCCTGGCTAGTTTATTTTTTTCACAGACGGGATCTCGCTATGTTGCCCAACCTGGCCTCAAACTCCTGGGCTCAAGTGATCCTCTCTCTTGGCCTCCAGGGTCACTGGGGTTACAGGCACAAGCCACTGCACCTGGCTGTAGTTCTTGAGTCAAGTATGACATATGCTGGTGAATAGAAACAGGTAAATTGGTTCTAAAACTCAATCTCTGGCCAGAGCTAACCAGTGGGCCCACAGGGTGGCCAGGTCCTGTGGCCCTGGTTGGGACAGAAGGATAAAGCATCTTCCTGGAGTACGGGGAAGGGCTCAAACCTGGCCCATGTTGGTCAGATTTTGGCCTGCACAGCTGGTGCCCAGGTAAGCTGCATGCCAGGAGGGCACTGGTACTTCTCCCCTCCTGCTCTGCATCCCCCAGCGCTGCTGCCGCGGTGCTAGTGACACATCACTGCCCACTGGAAAGTTTCATTTCATGTCTTGGCCATAGCAGCTCTAGTGCTTTTTCTTCACCTGCCTAGGGTCCATTGCTGATGACTTTTACACAGGACAGCAAGCAGGTGGACATCAGCTTAGGCTCACGGAGGTCTTTTAGAGACCTCTGGTTCCTCTTTGTAGAATGAGGGATATACTGGGTCAGCGAGTCTCTCACTTCATTCGCCTGAGTTCCACCTTGGCAATTTTGTAATGGATCATGTACTTTTTATTTATCTTGAAATGACCCAATTTATATAAAAATGTTCTGCTTTCAAAAACTGTAATGTCACTACTTTCAATGGAAAATGGATGCTTACCTTACACAGAAGGACAGTAAAAACAGAAACAAGAACCAGATAAAAGTGATTAAATTGTGGGGAGACCGTGTGTCTGCCAGGGGTCTGAGCCTGCGGCTGCTCTCTTTGTTGAAAAGGAAGCTTGACAAGTGCTGGAAAGGGGTGAAGATACTCATACGAAACAGACACTCCCCATGTCACAGACAGGCAGAGCGACAGAAATATAAGGGGGATCCCTTCTGATCACGTGTCGTATTATTTAAAGCCACACCTGAAATCACTGACATCTGAAATCACATGCCTTGTATATTCCCAGCAGCGCTGCCACACACTTAGGACTAACTGCTGAGATCTGTCTCCAGTTCTGATATCTGCAAATTCACAGGGTGGAGTAGGGCCTTCTCAAATGATCTATGAGGACAGCTCCCCTACTTGAAAAGCAATGTTTTTTTTTCCGCTAAAATAATTGTTTTCAATCTTTATTCCACCAAAATGATGCTTTTTGTTATCGTATCAAATTTTGTTGAGCTGGGTACTGTGTCTCATGCTTCAAATCACAGCAACTTGGGAGGCTGAGGTGGGAGGATCACTTGAGGTCAGGAGTTTGAGACCAGCCTAGGCAACATAGCAACACACTATATCTTAAATTTTTTTTTTTAATTAGCTGGGCGTGGTGGTACATGCCTGTAGTCCTAGCTACTTGGGAGGCTGAGGTGGGAGGATCACTTGAGCCCAGGAGTTCAAAGCTGCAGTGGGCTATGATCATGCCACTGCACTCCAGCCTGGGTGACAGAGCAAGACCTCGTCTCTAAAAAAGAAAAAAAAAATCAAATTTTGTCGACCAAACTCTAATATTTTAAAAATTGAAATGGAGTCTCACTGTGTCACCCAGGCTGGAGTGCAGTGGCACAATCTTGGCTCACTGCAACCTCTGCCTCCTGAGTTCAAGCAATTTTCCTACCTCAGCCTCTGGAGTAAATGGGATTACAGGCATCTGCTACCACGCCCGGCTAATTTTTTTTTTTATTTTTAGTAGAGAGGGGGTTTCGCAATGTTGGGCAGGCTGGTCTTGAACTACTGACCTCAAGTGATCCACCCGCCTCAGCCTCCCAAAGTGCTGGGATTACAGGCGTGAGCTACCACGCTGGGCCCAAACTCTGCTTTTTAAGTAGCAGTTAAGTTTCTACGTTTAAATTACACACAGATACATAACACACAACCACTCAGCACAGAGCTGGTGATCAGCAGAGACAGTTTGAGTTGACATAATTTTAGGCAAAAGGCAAGAAGCTTGGTATTGCTACTGGTAAGTATGTTTGCATTATGCCATTTAAGGAACTGAACAAAGTTTGCTTGTTCTGCAATGACTACCTTTTGAGACCTTAGCTTAAGAGCCACTATTCTGAACCACAGCTCCAGGACAGAGAGAGGATTAGGAGGTGTGTGGTGTGCTGGGTGGTGGGTAGATTATGTACATGTTTATACTCCCAACATCAATTTCCAGGGAATGCCAAGGACAGCGAAGTTTCATTTATTTGTGCAAATACAGGCATGAGCAAGAATGTTCTAAACAATGTAACGATTTCCAGCATTGATTACAGAATTTCCTCTGATCATTTGATTTGGTTATAGATGAATTTAAACTTCAATTTAAGCTTGACTTTTAAAACTCCCCCTCTGCTTCCTGATGAACCAGCATAATTCCTAAAATTACACCTAAACAAGTCTGTCTTGACACATTGGGGTTTGCCTTTAGAAACATTTAGAATCTAGTATGGGCAAGGCGGCTGGAACGAGGTTTGGGATGGCACAATGATTTATGCTTAGTTCTGTTTGGACCACTGATACAAAATCATTGTCATTTCATTTTTAGGGTTTCCATAATTGTAGCAATTATCTCTGAAACATTTTTGTCCACACTTATTTGGATAAAGTTTTCTGGAGCTGCTGGGGGCTCCAGAGTCTCAAACTGGGACTGCAATAATTCAGGGGGCATAAAATGTCCCTCTCTTTTGAGTAAGCGTCCAGAGATGACCTCAAACGACCCGCTCAGATGGACCACCAGGAGCTGCATCTCAGCCTGCTTTGCTTCCTTTCCCGACTCCTCACACTTCAGAGCTACACCATCTTTTCCTTGTGTTAATATGTCTCTGTACGTTTTCTTCAGGGCTGAACAGGCTAGAACCACACGCTGTCCCGAGGCTACATCTCTGTTTAGAAAAAGAAAAAAAAAAGAGGGAGGCTAAAGAAGGAGGACATTTAAAGTAACCTCTGTCAATTCTAGTTGCAGGACTCTAGTCCTACTTCCTGCCAGTGGAAGGCATTAGAAAATGGTGTTTAAGCATCAGGCAGTCCTAGCATCGAGTTAAATATCTTCTGCTAGTAAAGTGAACAATCTTGGGCCAAGGCATTTACCTCTCTGAGCGTCAGTTCATCATCTGTTAAGTGGGGCTACCTAGGGTACTTGCCCATAGATCTGTCAAAAGGAAAACACTGTTTGAGATCTCTGATACACAGATATGCTCAGTAAGTGTTAGTTCTGCTTTGATGGATGTCAGACGTTGCTCTGTCGCAGTGTGTGGACACAGGGCTGCCGGCATGCCCCTGTGCCATGCAAACAGCCAAGCTCAGGTCCTCTGCAGGATGTTCAGGGATCTGCATTCTACAACTGGATTCTCCCCATTCCTACTCTACAGTGTCTGGGGGAGTTGCCAGGTGCAATGCAGAGCTGGAGAAAGCGGGAGAGAAGGGAGCATCAGCCTCTCTGTGGGCAAGGTGAGCAGCATATGAGAGGTTCCTAGGGATGCACTAAGGAAAAAACTCCAGCCAGAAACAGAGGCAGACACAGCAGCAATAAGGGGAAACCAGTGCGGCCAGAGACCACACAGGAGAGTGAGCCACAGCTTCCACTTGGCTGCTGAGTGTGGGAGGCAGTCATCCTGGGGTCAGGACAGGATTCTAGAGTTAAGAGGTGGTGCATAAATTCTGGCTTGGGGCTGGCTTGGGGATCCAGTATAAAGTTCTCTTCAGAATGAAAGTTCTGAAGGAAGGGGCCTCCCCTGCTTTTTTTTTTTTTTTGCAGCCAATACATGGCTAGCAAATATAAAAATGAAGCCATACTCCTTTTTATGACTATGAAATGATAGTACTGTAAAAATAGACTCTCATGAGTATATTATATTAGAAACCCAGGTAGGCAAAAATTTTCAAACCTTGAAACCCAGAACCATAAACCCCTAAATCAAAACTCAGCCCATGCAAAGACAGGGCTGCCAGCCATGTCAACGGGTGTGAAAAAAGCAAACTGAATTTATGTTCATTTAAGTATATTATAACTTCGTATGGCCTAGATGGTTTTAGATGGATAAAATATGACTTCATCTTAGAAAGCAAGATCCGTAACCCACTCCCTGCCTTTTCCTTATCCTTCTCCACGTCCCGACCAGGATTTCCACTGGGGTCATGGGTGCTGTTGGGGGGGGACCCTGTTCGCTCAGGGGCATGCTGCAGAGCTGGGCAATGTGGACTCTAATCCTGGTGGCTAATTACCTGTTCACTCACAAATGACCTCAGGCCTTCCTGGTAGTCACAGCTTGAAGTAAAGGGAAGAAAAATTGACTGAGATAGGCAATAACAGAAGTGGCATCAGTGGACACTTTTTGAGCACTTACTATGTATCAGATATTGTTCTGTTGCCCACTCACCAACTCACTTATTCCTTACAAAAATCTGTGAGTAGGAACTATATTAATTCCCATTTTACTGATGAAGAAACAGACTTATGGAAACCAAGTAGCTGATCAAGACTGCTAGCTAGTAACTGTGTGGAGCTGTCTAGAAGGTTTGTCTCCAGAGCCCGACTAAACTCCATGCTGCCTGTGGCTGGTTGAAATCATTGTGGTTACCTGATAGAAGTGCAGCCAGTTTCTAGAATCCTTTACCATCAGTCAGTTGTGATTTCAGGAGTGTATTTTTTTTCCCTGTCTTTTCTGAGGGTTTTCTTTACCTGCTGGCTTTGGCTTATGCCAAGGCCTGGTGGTCTCTTACCTTAGTAAAATGTCATGCAAGTTACAGAGCCATGGAATCCGGTCCTGAAAAAAACAAAAACAAAAACCCAGACACAACGTGACTTCTCCAGGTATTGTTTGTTTGTAGAGAAACAGTTATATCATGTTCACAAATGTTAAGGTCCAGCGAGAGCTCAGTGGTGTGAGGAGTGGGCCATGCACAAGGCTGAGGGGCCAGCTGCTGGGCAGAAACATTTTCTTTCAGCTGGTGTCAGTGGCTCTTTTCATAATAATAAAAATTGCCCTAAAGTACCAGTATGTATCTCCCCATATTAATCTCCCCATTTTACACGTGTCCTCCCTGGTTCTGATACGTTTACAAATCTTTTATTGTACTGCCTGTATTCTTTAGGTATCTCTGATCTCAAATGTAGAGAGATATTCACATAAACCCTTACGTCAGCTGTCCCCTGGTCCTATTCTTCAAACCCTCCAAAGAACAAAATTCCCCTCAGATAAAATTATTTTAAGAAATTTATATTTTTGCCAAAGAGAAGACAGATGAAATTTACGTAGCACGTGCTACAGTGTTTCACAAAGAAATCCTCCTGAGACAAGTAAATTCTCTCCTTCCTGGCGCAAATCCTGATTATTGGCCATAATGCATTGGAAAACAAAACAAAAAAAACTTTCTATTATTGAAAAATTTAAACACACTGAAAAGCAGACAAAATAGTACAAAGCAAACCTCTGTATACCAATACCCAGCTTCAGCAATTTTCTTTTGAGATGGAGTTTCACTCTTGTTGCCCAGGCTGGAGTGCAATGGCACGATCTCGGCTCACCGCAACCTCTGCCTTCTGGGTTCAAGCGATTCTCCTGCCTCAGCCTCCTGAGTAGCTGGGATTACAGGCATGCACCACCATGCCCGACTAATTAATTTTGTATTTTTAGTAGAGATGGGGTTTCTCCATGTTGGTCAGGCTGGTCTCGAACTCCTGACCTCAGGTGATCCGCCTGCCTTGGCCTCCCAAAGTTCTGGGATTACAGGTGTGAGCCACCGCACCCGGCTGGCTTCAGCTATTTTCAACCCACTATTAGTCTTGTTATACGTATGCCCCCAACCACATCCCACATCCCAAATAATCCCATCCTAGGTTATTTTGAAGCTGATTCCAGAAACATGATGTGTTTTTAAAAGTCCTTGCTTTTAGGCATTTGATTACTACCGTTTTATTTAGAATTTTTGATTTTATATACTTGAGATGGGCCTATATTTTAAAAATATGGTCCATATTAAATGTCGGTATCAGGGCTTTACTAGCTTTATAAAATGAGTAGGATAGTTTTCCCTTTTGTCCTGTTCTTTCAAACAGCTTGTATATAATATATTATGTTTGATAAAACTCATCTGAAAAACCTTCTGGGCCTGGGGCCTTTTTTGAGGGGAGATCTTTCATTACAGATTCAATTTCTTTAATGAGCATTGTATTGTATTCAGGTTTTCTATTCCTGATTCACTTTTGGTAGCTACAACATTTATGATGGCAGGAAGAGACCACACTTAGACAGGTGAGCCACCATCCCTGCCCTTCCCATCTCTTACTGCATCCTCTTACTTGGCTAAAGAATCAGGAACTTGGTGGAAGCCAGGCAGCCACACAGCAGGAGCAGATTCAGCTCATTTCAGCCCAGCTTCCAGGCCTCCAGAACCTTGAACACAGTTCGTATCTGTAGGTTACACTTGCTGTACAAGATAGTCACTTTTTATCACCTTTGTCATTACTTCAAAGGAGTAACATAAACAATCCATGCCCTTACTATAAATTATACAGCTCTCTGGACCTTCTGCTGCTTAAGCCAAATGCAGCACCAGAATAGTCACAATTTCACTGGGGAAAAAGCAGGTGTCCCTAAGCAGTATCTGCCACTAGATCACTGCCATCCAACCCCATTTTCCCCAGTCTTGATATTTTTCACTGAAATTATCCAGTTTTGTCTAAGTCTTCAAATTTACTGGCATCAGGTTTTCCACCTCCCTCTTTTCATTATTCATCTCAATTGTGCTGCTTTCTTCTTGATGAGTCTCACCAGAGATCTATTTTTATTTTGTCAAACAACTAGCTTTTGTTCATAGTTTATTTTTTCCCATGACACAGCCCTCAGGAGATCCTGAGAACATGTGCCCAGTTTGTTTTCACTAGCATTCATTTCTGTTATTTCCTGCATTTATTTTTTTCTACTTGAACTGAGCAACTAGCTCGTTACTTTTCATTCTTGTTATTTCCCAAAAATGTATTTAGAGGCTAGTTTCCCTCTAAGTAATGTTGTAACTGCATCCCACAAATTTTAATTGATAGTACTTTTGTTGTATATTACTTAATATTCTGTAATTTCCATTGTGACTTTTAACATAAATTATTTATATGAATGTTAATTTTTTAAAAAATTTGCTTATTTATTTTTAGAGTTCCCAACCATTTTGGTGATGTGTGTGCATTTTTATTATTGATTTACAGTTCATTATAGTAAAAAATGTGAGTGGTATGATACTGATTCTTTGAAATTTGTGGCAATACTCTTTGTGGTCTAGTACATGTCAATTTTTATAAATGTCCCACATGTACTTAAAAAGAATATTATTTTTCATTAATGCCTATGTCAGGCTTGATGCATTTATTCAAATCTTCTATATTCTTACTAATAATTTCTTTTGTCTACTTTATGTATCAATTTTTCAAGTTATTTGAAATTCCATTAGACTGAGAAGTTGACAGTCCACCCTTCTGTCTTTGTGTATGTTAGAAAATGTCTTTATTTTGTGCTTACTTGTGAATAAGATTTTTTTAGTTGGTGAAGAATTCTTGGTTGACCATTATTTTTCAATAGTTTGAATAATTATTTCATTTTGTTTGGGCCTTTATTGTTGAGAAGTCTCTTTTAGTGTATTAGTCAATCCTTTAGAAAATATATCTTATCTCTGGTAGCTTTATGTAGGAAAAAGCCTCTTTGTCTTTGAGCGGCTTTGCAGTTTTATTCTTGCCCTGCTCAGGACTTATTTTGCATATTCAGTGTGAGTACTCATACCCTGGAAAAGTTGTTACTACCTATTTGAATATAGCCTTTCTCCTATTCTATTTACTTGGGTTCCTTGTAGCTATCCAGGAAGTTTGACATTTTATCATACACATCTATTCATTTTTCTTGAATATTTTCTGTTTAGCTCTCTTCTTCATCCTGGGTAATATCCTCCAATCTGCTTTTCTTCTAATTCACTAGTTCTCTCTTCAGCTGTACTAGTTTATTGTTTAATCCATCTATTGATTGTTTTATTTCTAATATTTTTATTTCATTCTTTTTCAAATTTTCCTATTCTTGTCTTCCATTTGATTCTATTATGTCTAGTTCTTGGAGAACAACATCTTACCATTAGTGTTTTTGCTGATTCTCTCTCATAGTGGTCCATTTTCCCATATAGTTTATAGTTTCTGATTGTAGTTTCATCTTCAGCAAAGGATTTTTTTTTTTCCTTTGTGGGAGTCCTAAGTTTTGGAAACACTTTCACGGGCAGTTTCACCAATTCTAGAACAGTTTTATGTCAGTTTATAAGCTTGGTGCCTCTTTGTCATATAGTGTGAATTTGGGTGTAGCCGGAGCTCAGGTTTCTCAAGGATGATTGTTTTTTCCCACCTGTGGCCCAGGGAGGCAGCTAGATTTTTTGCTCCTTTTGAGTTCAGTGGGTGGCAATATTTTTAGTCCTCATTCAAAGACAGCCCTTATATGAGGACTTTATATTCTACAACTTGACATCAATGCTAACAACAACAACAAGACTTTATGTAAGATACTCAGGTCCAGCTCCATGCTTCATACAGGCTTACAATCTTATCTCCCATCTCTATAGGCTCATCAAAACCTCAGCCTCCTGCTCTCCTGGCTTTTATACAGTCAAAAAATGTGGGGGAGTGGGTTATTCTGGTTTAGTTCAGCCTTGCCACACTTTGATTTTGGCACATGAGATGTTCTCGTTTTGCTTTGGACTTTGGCCATTTTTATTTTCCTTTGATCTTTTCCATGAGGAGCCTTTTAAGCTCTCCAGCTCTGGGTAACCACCTTTAGCTCCTGGGTATCTCCCCTGGGCTCAGGCCATTTCTTATTCACAGTAATTTATCTTCAGTAAGTGCAAGGTCATTCTACCAAGGCTATCACTTTGTGCTCAGCAAGTCAAAAACCCTCTAGTTACCTGGATCCACTCTCCATAGAAGGAAGAGGAGAATTAGAAATAATATTTCTTTTTCTTCATATCAAATACAAGATTATTTTTAAAGCACTGCGTGCTAATGTAGGATTGAGGGTCCCGTAAGTTTACTAATCATAGAACTCTTAAGACTTTACTTCCATGCACACACTATTTAACCAGAGATCACTTAGGAGTTCAAATGTAATAGCTACAAAAATCACAAAATGTACAGATCAAATGATGACAGTCACACAGTTTACACAAATTATAATCTAAATGTCAATAGCTACATAATTAACATAAATCATTACTCAAATCACAACAGTTACTGTCATGTATGTACTTAGAGCTGAAATGTACTTAACAAATGAAACATCTGTTTATGTTAGCACTTGTCTGGGAGGTGTATGTAGTGAAACAAGTGTGGTTTTTTGTAAATGCAGTAACAAGATGATGAGGCTTACCAGCTCCATATTTGCAGACCACATGGTCAATTTTTATAAATGTCCCACATATACTTGAAAATAATATGGTTATTTACTTTTCATTAATGCCTATGTCAGACTTAATGCATTTATTCAAATCTTCTGTATCCTTACTCATAATTTCTTTTGTCTGCTTGCTGTATAAATTTTCAAGAAAGGTTTTTGAAATTTCTCCATTAGACTGAGAAGTTGACAGTCTGCCCTTCTGTCTTTGTGTGTGTCAGAAAATGTCTTTCTTTTGTGGTTAATAAAACACAAAATAAAGTTATTAATGTTAGAATATATGAGGAGACTTTATGTGCTCTTGGAGAAGAGTGTATATATTTAATGCTTATTATTGGCAAGGTTTTCTAGGACATCCTACTAAAAAACTAGATGTTCTGGACACTCTGTGAAGAGAAAAAAAGTTGGGCAGTCTACATTTATGCAACTTGAAACTACCATTGCAATTCAGTGTTTTCTGGGCTTATGGTGGGGAATGGGGAAGAAGGATGTCAAGGATTATAGGCTACAGGGACAATTAGCTGGATTGACTGACCTCTGAAGTATTTTTTGATGGAAAATTGCCCCTGGGGAGAAGCTGCCCTTTCAAGCACAAATTTGGATTTCCACTTTCCTTTATCCATTTATAAGTGCTGATTGTGTGTGTAGGGAGACCCAGCCACTGTTGTAGGTGCTTTTGGTCCAATACCCTAGATATGATCATTCTAAGTTTGAGTAATTCCTAAGGTACCATTTGAACTCATCTTTCTAAATTCCTTTCTTTCTCTTATTCCCCTTGTAATTAGCCAAGCTTTTCTACTACATTCACAGGCTAATGGAGATGAAAAAGATAATACTGCTATATGTCAGCTTTTTATAAAAAAACCCTCTTGGATATATTTTCTAAAACAGCTCCTCTAACAGACAGTTGTAATGAAAGAAGGCACTGGGCCTTGAAGCCTCCCACATTAGCAGGAGGTTCTACTTCCCACTCTGGGATTCAGTCCTATAAAAATGTGGCATGTACTGGCCCGCGTAGAATAAGCATTTAGGGGACTGATTTCTAACCCCAGAGTATGTTTTACATGAAAATGGAGGCATCTGCCTTCAAATCATAGAAATTATGTCAACTTCTACAAAGCTATGAGTCAAAGGATTTATCTTTGAGAAAATGAGGACCACAGCGAGGTGCTTTCCTAAGGACTTGGAAAAGAAGGAAATAAGATTGTTCTCTAAGGGTTAAATTTAAAGATCAACAGTTAAAAGGAAGGGGCAGCGATGTGTAAGGTCATGCGAAGGAGTTAGAATGACTCCCAGGCTAGCAAGGCATCACTGTGATCCATCTTAATATTTTCACATACCTAGAGGAAGCATGTCTGTCCCAGGCAGGCTGGGTAGGCAAGAAGGCCAGAGCAGGGCACTGTAGATTGAAATGTGAAGCACTGTCCAGCGGACATGGTGCCTTGGCCATTGGCCTTTGAACATCGTATTCTCATTAGCAAGCCTTTTCCTACTAATGCATGGTCTCGCGCCACCAGATTCTTTGGTCCTAACTCTCCCATGTTCACTAAGAAACCTCTGTATGTTGGTTTCTGAAAATGTGGGTACTAATGTGATTGTTACAGGCCACGTGACAGTTGTATTTCTTTTGGTACATTGATCAACTGGCATTTTGGTTTATGCAGGAACTTGTAAACCTGATTGGTAGGGGTCTCACATGACAGATGAATCCATGTTCAGTGTGTTGACAATATCAAGGGGGCTGGGCCTGCAAGACAGAGAGCCAGCCCTGGAGTCCCAGCTGGGTAGTCAACCAGCCTTTTCCAAGGTGCACCCCTTGTCATTGTAGAAGTCTCTGGATGGGACTTTTAAGGCTTTATTTAAGACTAGTGCCGTGGGCTGCGAATCTCCATTCAGCAAGAAGAATGCTTTAGAAGAGGAAGTGATTGGAAAGTTCTGAGGGCTGAATGCTAATTTACATGATCACATATCTACTTAGAGTTAAGGGGCAATTCGAACTATGAATTAGGACTGACTCAGAGATGAAATACACAGAAAAAAATTAATTTCTTTTTGGCACGAGTAAATGTTCATAATGAGTTTGGGGTGAACCAAAGAGAGAGGACAATTTGTTTAAATACCAGAATTTCTTTCTTATTAGCAGAGGCACAAACTTGCATTTTGCTATTTTGCTCAGATTGTACATTCCGCCATTCCATCTGCACAAATATTTCTATTTGCTTGTGCTGTGGAAATGGAGATCAATCTCTGTATTATTTTATGGCTTAGGAAACAAATATACTTTTCATTAAGCTGAGTGTTGACTATCTTATTCATTATACTTTCTATGTGCCTGAAATATTTCATAAGAATGAAACAAACAAAAATTACAGAAAACATATTTGGGTAATAAGTTTTCTATCTTGTGTACAAAGAAATAGAGCTTTACTTTGAATACATGTTTTTTCATTGTTTTAATAGTGCCTTAATGGATGCTTTAGTCAATAATAAAGCACACTGCTTCATCTAGTCATAATAAAGCTTTTCAGAATCTCAACTATGAAAGCCATAATAAACATAAATATAAAACTATTTAAACAAAAATAGGTGCTTTTAGACATCCACCTTATCGGAATTTATGGCAGACCAGATTAATGACCATGCACCAGTAAGGACTGTGTCCATCAGTCATAAAAACAATAGAGAGGGTTGGAAATAAAAGAGCAGCACTTTGAACATTATTCCTGAAATTTCCAAATAGTGAATCATAATTAAATGATTATGAATTTTCTTTGGAGATTCCCATAAAGCCACAAGGAGAAAGGTTTTTTCCAAGGCAGCGCCAGTGTAGAAATTCAAGTTCTAGTGCCTGACCTGCTTTAAGCCAGGCTACCATGTCAGTGCCGTCATGACCACCCTTTAAGTCAGTGCCTCAGACATCTTTAAGGCCTAACCCCTACCATGGATGTGCTTGTGGGGAACTGCCCCTCTCATTCCTGCTGTCATTCTCACCCTCTGTCTAACCCTTTTCTCTCAATTTAACAAACCTTGATTCACTTCTTGTGAATCATTTGTTTAATGGTTGGATGATCAGGGCCTTTAACACAGTAGGAGAAGTATGATCTTTGAAGTTAGAAAGACTCCCTTTGCTGTGTGGCTTTGCTCAAGTTACTTAATTTCTCTGCACCTCTCTTTGTTCATTTGTAAAGTGGGGATCGTATATAATTCATTGAGCTGCTCTGGGATTTAAATAAGAAAAGGAATAAACTATTTTTTGGTTGATTTAACAGTTGAAATAAACAGTACTTATTTCCAACTCTGAATTTTTGAAAGAGTTTAAATTCATGAATTTGGTAGGCACTGGGCCTTAATTCCACAAACATTAAATGTGGTGCAAAGCACCATACTGAGTGAGCACTGGGGATAAATATGAATGGTGTGGTTCCTGTCCTCAAAGAGAAGAGGCAAATGAGTAATCTATTAAGTCACCTGCAGGGCAGTGATGAGGGCTGTGGGAGATATACTAAGAAGGGCTATGATAACACAGCAGGAGGACAGGCCAATCTTCTTTTATTTTTTTATTTTTGAGATGTAGTCTTGCTCTGTCACCCAGGCTGGAGTGCAGTGGTGTGATCTTGGCTCACTGCAAGCTCCACCTCCTGGGTTCACGCCATTCTCCCGCCTCAGCCTCCCGAGTAGCTGGGACTACAGGCGCCTGCCACCACGCCCGGCTAATTTTGTGTATTTTTAGTAGAGACGGGATTTCACCGTGTTAGCCAGGATGGTCTCGATCTCCTGACCTTGTGATCTGCCCGCCTCGGCCTCCCAAAGTGCTGGGATTACAGGCGTGAGCCACTGCGCCTGGAGGACAGGCCAATCTTGATCAGGCCTTGGAAAGAGTAAATCTTAAAAGATAAAGATAATTTCAAGACCTTGACTGGCCTGCTAAGGAGTGTGGACCTTATTGTAAAGGTGCTAGGAAGGACCTAGACACATGAGCTCCAAATTTTATGTTCATAATGAAGAAAGGGGGGAATTGAGATCTCTCTACAGTGAAGAAATTGGAAGAAGGAGATATTAGAGCAAATTCACTGAGCTCTATGCCTTCCAGACAGTTACTGTGGACAATATAATAAGTTATGAAAATCAAACACACAGAAGTTTTAGAGGAAAGAAATGAGACAATCCAAATTAGCATCTCTGCCTATGGCTCTGATGTTCAAGGTTTTCACACTCCAGATCAAGCTTGTACAACACACAGCCCGCAAACCCTACTGCGGCTTTGAATGTGGCCCAACATAAATTTGTAAACTTCCTTAAAACATGAGATTTTTTTTGTGATTTTTTTTTTTTTTTTTTTTTTTTTTGCTCATCAGCTATCGTTAATGTTAGTGTATTTTATGTGTGGCCCAAGACAATTCTTCTTCCAGTGTGGCCCAGGGAAGCCAAACGACTGGACACCCCTGCTCTAGATAGTCCCTACACGCAAAGATGGGGAAGGCAGTGCACTCCCGACTCCCAGCCCAGTGCTCGGAGGTGAGCACAATGAATGCTCTACGAAGAGTGAAATCAGAATGTCATGAGGCTAGAGAAAGCTTTCTTGGCCTATGGAAACATCTTGAGAAATTAAATGTCTTTTGGAAGGGGATGATGGGTAAAGAGAGAACAGATAATGGTAGAATATGGGTGGAGAGAGACGGGAAGGAAGATGGGGAGTGGGAATGGCGGGGAGATGGGTGTGTTTTACCTGATGCAAAAGTTAAGTATATAGAATGTTATATACTGACCCCCTCCATGAAAAAGAAGAATTCCAAAATTCAATTCATAGATATTTTTGGAAGATGAGACCAAGGGTGATATATTTTGTGAAAAAATTTTTTAGTACTTTCCAAATTTTCTATACAGGGCAAATATTACAATTATAATCAGGAGATTTTTTTCAGGATTTTTTTTTTCCCAAAAAAAGCCCTCTTTTTACAATAGACTTTGAAGTTGAAGACTATTCAGGTGCCCCTGCAGGCTCAGATAGGACACTGTGGGCTGGGCACCTAGGGGAGACTCACTGACTGGTGGCTTTGAAATTCTTTATTATTAATTTCATCATAACGCTAATAATTTATCACAGCTTGGGTAGAATGTTTCTAGACTGGCACTGTCCAACACAGCTTTCTGCAATGATGTTCTATAGCTGTGCTGTCCAGTAAGGTAGCCAGTAGCCACTCATGGCTACTGAGCTTTTGACATGTGGCTGGTATAACCCAGGGACTAGATTTTACATTTTATCTATTTTAATTAATTTGTATATATTTTTTTCAGACAGGGTCTCACTCTGTCCCCCAGGCTAGAGTGCAGTAGTGCAGTCACAGCTCACTGTACCCTCGAACTCCTGGGCTTAGGCCATCCTCCCACCTTAGCCTCCCGAGTAGCTGGGACTACAGGCATGCACCACCAGCCTTTTTTTTTTTTTTTTTTTCAGTTTTTGTAGAGGCAGGGACTTGCTATGTTGCCCAGGCAGGTCTCAAGCTCCTGGTCTTCAGCCTCTCCCTCCTGGGGCGCTGGGATTATAGGCTTGAGCCACTGAGCCTGGCCTAATTTACATTTAAATAGCCTTAGGGAGCCCTTAACATGTTCTACACAGACTGCAGCTCTGAGCCCTCCGAACACAAAACTCTCCCCACGTCCTCCCTAGACTCTTCCTCAAGGGAGAACCAGGGCCTCTGACTTGGACACGGACACGCTTTAATCCATTCACAGGGGGCTTTCCTCAGCTCTGTAGCATGGGGGCAGTGCGGGGAGGGTGGGGACCGGTTACCGGGGCAACCAGGAGCTGTATTGGTGCCAGCCCAGCTGTGACCCATATCTTCAGTCTTAGACTCGTTGGATTCTTATCAAGAATGAAAATCATCTGTCGTTCTACCTCTTGAGAATGTAAACCATCTGTCGTTCTACCTCCTTATCTCTCTGTTTTGGTTATCTCTAAGGTCTGCCTAGCTTGTAGTTTTTTTTTCTGAAAAAATTTAGTAAGTAACTTGTGTCTCTTCCAGTAATCTTTTCTCCTGTACATAAATTTCTCTTCTGAATTCTACCCCCCAATCCATAGAGTCCACTTAACAAGCATCACTTGTGAAGAAGAGGAAGACTACAGAAATTCCATTTTAAAATCTATCAATTTTGGTTGCTTTATTTTGTTATTTAACTTACCTTTTATTTGCAGTCACCAAAGAGAAACCTAAAATAACACTGGCACAGTCACATTTTATACACTCCCTTAGAAATGGTTATTGGCATGTATATATGATTTATGTTGTATGCGTATGGTTAGCAATAATTTTAAAACGTGATATTTATTGAATGCTACAGGCACTTTTCTGTGCATATTTTTTGTATTATCTCATTTAATACTTCCAAGAATCCAATCAAATAGATCCTGTTACCATTCCTACCCCACAGGAGAAAAATGGGGCACAGAGAGACTAAGCCCTTTGTCAAGCTCATACAAGCCTGGTGGTGGAACCAGGTTGCCTATGTTTATTATCTCTAGTTTAGTATCAACATTATTACTACTCTTTTTTATTACTACTCTATTATACTATTATTACTCTCATTATTATTACTCTCTTTTATAGTTCTATTGCCCTATCTTCTAAAATCAAATGTTGCAAACCTGTGATGATTCAAGGCCTGAAGCACTGCAAACTCAAGCTGTACCCCCAATAACAAAGAGAAGTGCACTCTTGGGGTGCTCTAGAATAGACCTAATAATGGTTTAATGGCTCAAGGCACAAAAAAGAAAAAGACAGTGAGCTAGGGAAAGGACACCTGGGGGTGAGCCCAGCCCCACTGAAAGTGAGAACAACAGTGTTGGTCTGCGGCCAGTTCCATTCGTTCTTGCCCTTTGGACACACTTAGTGCGTGGCCCCAGCCTTTGACCTGCCCTCATCTCTCCTGAACTATGGCCAGTTATGCCAGCGAGTTTGTAACTCTGGTGTGAGACACTCTAGGGGATGGCCTCACGGCCTGCACACAGGAGAGTGCTATTCATCCATTCATTCACTCGAAAACATGCCACAACTATTTTCTGATGTTTACTGTGTGTCAGGCCTGGGGGGTACAATGGTTAACAGAAACAGCCACAGTCCCTGCCCTTTTAGGGGTAAAGTCTAGTTGCAGAGACAAACATTAATCAAATTCTCAGACCATCAGTTGTTGAGCTGCCACAGGGACAAGTGCAACAATGAAATGGCACCATGAGAGTCCATCATGGAGGTTTCACTTCCCTGAGGAAGCAGCATGGGTGCTGAGATCAAAGGATGAGAAGGGCTAGCTCAGGGAAGAAGGGAACAGGGATACAAAGGCCCCATGGGAGAAGCATTGCAGTGGGAGGGGCTGGAAGAGGCCAGGGAGCTCCTGTGGAGATATGGAGGCGCATGGCTCCTAAAGAGGCTGGAGCCATGTGGAGGCCATGCCATGCATGCTTAGCAGTGTAAGTATTTGGTCTTGATCCTGAGGTTGGTGGGAAGCCTCTAAAGGGTCACAGGCAGAAGAAACATGGCCAGCTTTGAGTTCTCAAAGATCACTCTGGCTTTAGGGTGAATGCTAGAGTACGGTGATAGTGGTAGGCTGACAGCACCTGGGAAGAGAAGATGAGGACTTCCCCATGTATGAGGCACAGGGAGCCTCTGACCTCTCAGGAATTACATTCTTCAGGTTAAAATCCCACAACAAGGTGTTTTGGCAGAGCCTGTTCAGGCTGGGGCAGAGGGTGGCATTGTTCCTGGGGCCATGTTCAGACAGTTGTTCAGGACTGGAGCTAACATATGTAGAGGATCTACTGGGCACCTGGCTCTTTGTAGCCCCTGTACAGTGACCTTAGGACTCACGAACTCTACTACAGCAAGTGCTGTAGCGAGCTCATCCTGTCACCCAGGTGGAATATGTGTGATGGACACAGACAGCAATTGTTACCTGGTCATTGAGCGGTATGCCTTTTCCCATCTTCCTTCGATTTTCCTCCGGGTGATAATCATCAGCATCATAGAATTTCCATCCCAGCTTTAAGAACAAAGTGAAAGGGTGTATGTGGCAGGCAGATGGGCCAATGTGATAGTCATTGTGGGATTACTAACAGGCAGGTGTAGAAACAATACCACCCGCCTGGTTCCCATCAACCCCAAGGACAACCCCCAGGAGGGAAGCACCTTGTCATGCCATTTCACAACCCCCATGACTGGGCTACCACAGCCTCCTTTAATTCATTACTTTTTTTTTTTTTTTGAAATGTAGTCTCACTCTGTCACCAGGCTGGAGTACAGTGGCGCAATCTTGTCTCACTGCAACCTCCACCTCCCGGGTTCAAGTGATTCCCCTGCCTCAGCCTCCTGAGTAGCTGGGACTACAGTAGGCGCGTGCAACCATGCCCGGCTAATTTTTGTATTTTTAGTAGAGATGGGGTTTCACTATATTGGCCAGGATGGTCTTGAACTCTTAACCTCATGATCTGCCCACCTCCCAAAGTGTGGGGATTACAGGCATGAGCCACCGCACCCTGCCTATTCATCACTATTTGTAATCACCAAGGAGAAAAACAAAATTGCTCCAGTGGGGTTCAAAGCCATGTGGAAGTGTCTGTACAAAGCAGAAAAAAGGCAGAGATGCAAGGAGACCAGAACACAATGGGACAAGCACTCGGAAGGCATTAGGACAGGTTACTAACCTCAGATGCCAGCAGGGCGCCCACGGTGGATCTGTGGAGAGGACACAGATGTTCCCGTTACTGCCCTGCCCAATGTGTGGAGCTTCCTTCTGTGCAAGGATGTCTGGGAAAGGGATGGCTGCCTTAGCAGGAATTTAAACACCAATCACTGTGTAATCCTAAAGCAGTGATGCCCGTGACCGTGGAGTCTGGAGACTGGCCTTAGCTGATCCCCACGAATGTCAATGAAGAAATAATTAGTTAACACTATTTCTTTCTCTAAAGGCAATATATAAGATCTCATTAAACCCAAGTTTTTTCTTCAGTAATCAGTTTTTGGTCCCTGTTGTGTAATTTTTTTTTTTTTTTTTTTTTTTTTGTGGTGGGGATGTTGAATTCATAGTGATAAAATTCTGCTGAAAATATTGAATGGAGGGGTCTGATGGAGGATTTAATCTCCAGCAGCACCCATGTAAAGTTCAGGACACTCATAAAAGCATAAAAACATTTTTGGAGTTTAAAAGAGACACACTCGTAAAATAAAGGACATGGGTCAATATCTCATGAATCACCGGCACTTGTTAAGACTGGGGGTTAAATGTTCTCTGTGTAGAGCATTTGGTAACTATCTGTTCATACTCTACCAGGCAGCATGTGCTAGTGAAAGGGGCTCGGGACTCAGTACTGGAGATGGGGCCACAGTTGCCTACTGCCACTAAATGACTGAGTGCTCCCAGCCAAGTCACCTGTTCCTTTAAACCTCAGTTTTCTCACCTGCAAAACAAGGGATCTGAGCCACATGATGTATCCATCCACCTACATTTCATTTCTTTATTGAGCACCTACCAGTTCCCAGGATGTAACGGTAAGCTCACTGACACATGGCCTCAGCCTTCCTAAACAGTCTAGTACATAGGGTAGGTAGGGGTGGAGGCCAGCAGACAATGACCCATAAAGTGCTTTCTCGCTTTCAATGTTTAAAGTGTTGCCCAAATGCCAATTATTTAAGCACTATCTTCCTAATTTTTACCTATCCCCATACTATTTTATCATGCCCTCTTAAATTTTACATATCACCTCAACATTTTGATGTTTTTATTTAATTGCTTCACTTTTAAAAATTAAATAAGTGTGTTAAAGAAGGAAACTTTCTTTCATTCCCTTGCACAAGAAGCTATCATCACTTGCCTTGAATAGAAGGTACCTGAAAAGCTGTATATAATGAAAACAGAACAATGTGATTAAATTCTAGCTGGATACTGTTGCCTAACAAAGGTCCTCTTTCTTTCACTAAAAAGCTATCAGAGAGGTGTTAGACACAGTTGTACCAAACTGAGATCTGCTCCTGGATGTAACCAAAGGTTGCGAGAGCAGTGAAACCTTTCCCATTAGTTCATTCTATTGAAGGCTGCGCAGGGAGACATGCAGCCTACGGATGAGTAGACCATCCCGGCCAAACTCCATGGCTGGTGAAGCCAGAAGTGTGCATAGCAGAAATCACACTTAAGACCAAGTTAGGTTGAGCCCTTGGCTCACGCCTATAATCCCAGCACTTTGGGAGGCTGAGGCAGGCGGATCACTTGAGGCCAGGAGTTCGGGACTAGCTCGGCCAACATGGCAAAACCCCGTCTCAACTAAAAATACAAAACTTAGCTGGGTGTGGTGGTGCACGCCTGTAACCCCAGTTACTCCGGAGGCTGAGGCATGACAATCGCTTGAACTCAGGAGGCAGAGGTTGCAGTGAGCCGAGATCACGCCACTGTACTCCAGCCTGGGCGACAGAGTGAGAGTCTGTCTCAAAACAAAAAACAAAAAACAAAAAAACAAGTTAGATTAGCCATGAATGAACATGCCAGCCAGCACTCATAATTTGAAAGCAGAGGTAAAGAGATGTGGGTGTAGACTGTCAGGAAGAAGATGGGAAAAGAAAAACCACTGTCTGTCTAAACCAGAGAACACCTGGACTCTTGAATATGCACCAAAGACCCTGGCAGAAATAAGGCACAGTGCTGGGCCCAAAAATACTGGTCAGACCCAGGATTACAAATCAAGATTTGGGGTCCATATGTCTCCCAGTGGGTTGGTCTAAATCAGGGGCAAGGGACTTAAAAAGACAACACAGACCAATGGGGGAGAAGGAAGGGATGCAGAATCAATGAGAAAGATATTCAAAAGGTCTGAGCTTGTTTCATCAGCAAAGAGAAGGAAACCTGGAAGGAGATGTTAAGGGTGGCTTCATTAAGATTGTGAAAATATAAAGAAAATTAACTCTGCCACCCACTCAGATGCCTGCCGTCTTCCATCCATCCATCCATTCATTAAGTCAACAAGTATTTAGTATCTACGAAATGCCAGGAACTGTTCTAGACACATGTATCAGTAAATAAAAAGGAAAATAATCCTTTACATTCAGGTGGGGGAAGACAGTAACAAACTTAGTCCTTGAGGTCACTGTGTTTTAACAGTGTTCTAAATGGAGTCTTTCTGTTTTGAGACTATTGTTCTCTTCAGCCATTAGGCTGTGATAAATATTTTTCTAAATGCTATGGAGTATAATTAAAAAATCCTGTAGGGCTCCAATAGGGGTTCACAAAGTCACTAAAGAACTTGATGTTGCTACATCCAATGATGAATATAATCAAGTCCCAGTCTTTTTATTACTCAGCTAGTCAATAACATTGGACACATCTCCCTGACCCTGCGCCACTGAAAGTCCCCAGGGTTCAGTTCTTGGCCAGCTTCTTTATCTACATGCACTCCTTTGGTGATCTCAACACCTTAGATCTTTAAGTACACCCACACAACAGTGATTCCCACAGTTAGATCTAAAGTCCCTCTCCTCTGAACTTCAGACTTGGACATCCAACCACCATCCACTGGATGACTAATTGGCTCGTCCAAGTCACCATATCCCACACTGAGCTTCTGAGGTTGTCTTCCAAATCTGCTCTATCTACTGCTTCCCCAAATCAGTTTGTGGCGACTCCCTCCTTCCAATTACTCAGGCCTAAAATCTTGAATCATCCTTGACTTCTCTCTTGTCTTCTTACACCCAACATCCAGTCCACAAACACATCTTTCTGACTCTACCTTCAAAATATTGCCAGCATATGACCACATTCTCTTTACCTGCATTGTTTCTGACTTCATCTCCCATCATGCTTCCCCTCACTCAGCCACAATGGGTTCCTTCCTGCTCCTTAAAGAAGCCAAGCCTTAGCTGGGCGCGGTGGCTCACGCCTGTAATCCCTGCACTTTGGGAGGCTGAGACGCATGGATCACCTGAGGTCAGGAGTTTGAGACCAGCCTCGCCAACATGATGAAACCCCGTCTCTACTAAAAATACAAAAAATTAGCTGTGCATGGTGGTGGGCGCCTATAATCCCAGCTACTTAGGAGCCTGAGGCAGGAGAATTGCTTGAACCCGGGAGGAGGAGGTTGCATTGAGCCAAGATTGCACCACTGCACTCCAGCCTGGGCAACAGGAGTGAAGCTCCGCCTCAAACAAAACAAAACAAAAAAAAAACAAAAGAAGCTAAGCCTCAGAACCATTGCACCTGCCATTCCCTCTGCCTGTCCTGCCCTTTCCTCAGCTATCCACATGGCAGGTTCCTCAAGTCTTGCAGGTCTTTGCTGAAACGCCACTCCCCCAGAGGAGACATCCCTGACCACTCTGCCTGGCACTCTTTGTTCCCCTTACTCCAGAGCATCTATCACCAACTCACACACTACATATATTCATTTACTCTGTCTCCCATACCAGAATGTAAATCCTTTGAGGGCAGGGATTTTATCTGTCCTGTTCGCTATATGACAATGACATAGAGTAAGGATTGAGCTCAATAATTACTGAGTACATGAATATCACAAGCTATACATCATAGGGATTAGGCCTCCCTCATCTGATTCAAGACTCAGAGGGGGTACATGAACTGCCCAGGCTCACACAGCCAGACAGCAACAGAACCAAGACCTAGGGCTCTTCACTCCTGTTACATCACACCATGGCAATGATTTTACATTCTCCAACTGATTCAAATCATATGGCAGCTAGGGATTTGGGGGCTCCATGTTTTATTTCAATTGCAGTTCAAGATTTCTTTTTATCTTTGTGGCTGAGAACCCTACAATAATTTTGGAAAGCAAAACCCATCTACCTGGAGTAAATCTTTAATATACACCTGACTACACAGGCCACAACATGGGCCGTTCCTGATTCAGAAAATTCTAGAAGGGTCCTATAGGCCCTTGAAGGTTATGATGTTTTAGCTGATCAAGTTCTGTCCTTTGCTGCCTGTGGTCGAATGGTACAGCAGCTGTCTTTTCTGATAAAGGGCACAGTTAGACTTTGGTTTAAACAGGAAGCCAAATGTTAACTCCTCAGTCTCCAGGTTAGCACACTGGGCTACCTCTGTGGTTTCCACAATTCTCTTCTTTCTTTCCAAACCCTCAGGAGCCACCCTCCATATTAACGCTGTCTCCTTCCAGGTTAAGCTGATGAAAGGAAGGGGAAAACGATTCACTTTCCAAAATTGAATCGGAGAAGTCCAGGGCCTCATAGGAGGAGGCCGCTGTGTGTCCAGATGGCCAAAGGTCTGTGAGAGCCTGGGCCGTGGTTTGCGTCCTCTCGCTAGAGGCCGTGCGCCCTCCCGCCTGGCCCCGACAAGGCGCCCCGAAACCTAGCCCCGCGCCGCTCGCTAGGCCTCCACCTGCGCGGCCCCGCAGCCGCCTGTTCAGGAGCGGCTTCCTCCCTGAGCCTGCGGTCGCCGCAGCCTCCCCGTCTTAGAGCGGGAACCCGGAGCTCGGATGCGGTCCCAGGATGGGCGCCCCGCGAGCAGGCTGGAGGGCGGGGAGAGGGCGCGGCAGCCGCGGGCCTCGGTTTCTTCATCTGCAAAGGGAAGGGTGGGGGGTCCCCAAGACCCCAGTCCACCGGCAGGGACGGCGACGCGTCCGGCCTCCGCCGCGCCCGCAACACTTGTCCCGGGCGCCCCCCGCCCTCTCCCGGACCTACTTCCCCGAGCCGCTCACGCCCATCACCAGCAGCGCGCCCGGCGCCGCCATAACCCAAGCTCGGCTCCTTCCCGTCGCCTTCCGGGCCCCGCCGGCCCCGGCCTACCCGGCGCTCGAGGGGCGGAGCCGCTCTCGCCCCGGCCGGGGCAGTGAGGGCCGTGCCCCTCTGCGCCCTCCCCGTTTTCCCGCGCCCCTTTTCCATGCTTTCCTCCTCCCTTTCCCAACCTCCCGGCCTCTCTCTCCTGCCCCTTCTTTTCCTCTCCCCTCCCCTCCCTCTTTCCTCTTCCCGGAAGTGAAGCGCGCGCCCGGCCTGGCACTCGCGTCTCCCTGGGCTGGAGGGAGCCGCCCAAAGCCCCGCCACCTGTCGTTCTACTGCCCCGGCCCCTCTTGGTTCCAGAGGATCCTCACCCTGGCAGGCCGGATCCTCATCCACCCATGGAAAGCATTCATTCATTCATTTATAAAAATGTTCTTGTAAAAAGAATAAACAGAAAATAAGACTCATAATTTCCCACACCAGGCAGCAATAAGCAGCACTTCCTAAAACGACTCCCCTTTCCCCGCGCCCCGTCGTAGATAGATGGGTATGAGTATTTTGTAAAACTGGGATCAGGCCGTACACAGCGTTTTGTAATCTGGCCTTTTGTCACAATAATAAATGGCGGCCATCTTTTGGTGTCAAACTTAGGGTTGAGTGT
The DNA here is from genome assembly GCF_000001405.40 of Homo sapiens. Taxonomy (NCBI): domain Eukaryota; kingdom Metazoa; phylum Chordata; class Mammalia; order Primates; family Hominidae; genus Homo; species Homo sapiens. Next base: position 83,622,524 of record NC_000009.12, on the reverse strand, counting down.
TGACCGTAGCAGCATATGTCTTGGCTGTATGGCTCTGCTGTTAAATCCAGCACTGGTTGGGGCTTTAAGAGGAAGGAGCACCACTTTAAAGTGTCCATTTGCTTTAAAACAATGTTAATTATGTGTCGTTTGAACTATTTGATTAAAAGCACTTCTTTTTTTTTTTGAGACGGAGTCTCGCTCTGTCGCCCAGGTGGGACTGCGGACTGCAGTGGCGCAATCTCGGCTCACTGCAAGCTCCGCTTCCCGGGTTCACGCCATTCTCCTGCCTCAGCCTCCCGAGTAGCTGGGACTACAGGCGCCCGCCACCGCGCCCGGCTAATTTTTTTTGTATTTTTAGTAGAGACGGGGTTTCACCTTGTTAGCCAGGATGGTCTCGATCTCCTGACCTCATGATCCACCCGCCTCGGCCTCCCAAAGTGATTAAAAGCACTTCTAACCGCATTTGGCATCACCTCCTTTGGTCTTTTGTTAACCAAGGTAGGTATTACTCTGTGTCCTAGAAAACAATAAAAGTGACATAAAAGCATTTATCTAATGAATAGTTCAATTACCCCTGCACTGCCTTTGTTTTTCATATACTTAGCCCGAGTAGGTGAGATTTCAATCTGGATGGGGGCTGTACAGGTGAAGAAATTGAGGCTTGGAGAGAGGTCTTACAATTCAGTTATGGTCAATACACATTTCTTGAACATCTACCATGTGCTGGTTAATATCATATTAATATTCATTTAAAAGATTACCCTCTAGGCATTCTCAAGCTTGATAAGAGGAATAGATGTGTATGCAAATACTCTTAACTCGTGCCCTGCTTCGCTAGCTCAGTATGAAAAAAAAAAGCTCATATTTCTTTCAATGTTCAAATCAGAATGATTAGCAGAAAATCTGATTCTTCTCCTTGGATTTCTTTCCCCAGACATGTCCAAGGATCTTAAACTTGCTGTGCTGCTCAGGGTGGTGGCAGGAAACAGCATGCTCAAATTGGGGCAGGTGAACAGGATTTAACAAAGGGACTATTAGCACAGGTGTGGGTAGGGTCAGAAAAAGCAACTAGGGGCAGAGTCCACATCTGAGTAACCGAGAAGTGTTTTCACTCTTAAATAGAAAGGGGCTGATGAGAGGGAGCCTTTATATGGGAAGGGAAGAGAATGGAAGGAGAGAGACAGAGAGAATAGACCATATAGAAAGAAGTGTCTGACAGGACTGTAGCCTTAGGAAGAGAGAGATAGACATTCCTTGTTGACCCAGCAGAAAAATAATCAGGAGAATAAATAACCTCCCCTCCCCTCCTCTTGCCCTGTGATCTCCTGCTCGTGGCCAAACCCCACCAGCCAAACCCAATTGGAAGGTGGAGAGCTAGGGAGTCCGGCGGTGCCCATGCATGCCAATTTCCTGGGCTCAGAGCAGGGAAGAGAAGGGTGGAGATTGTATCTGGAGGTACCAATGAAAGATACCCAGCATGCCAGTGTCAGTGAAACTCTGTGCCTGCTTCCAGGACAGCGGAACTTCAAAGGTGCCCCTAAGAGCTGAATTCCACGTTTTTTTTTTTGCTTTCCAAAGAGTGCCACCTGCTGGTCCTGGTTGTCTCGGTGCTTCCCAGCTGTTACTATGGGGCAACCCAGATGCTGAATATTGGTCTGGTTTTAGGTCCTGTCTACTGCAAGAACTGTTGTACTGAGGCACATGGTACTCTGGAAACCCCGAGTCCCTAGCGAGGCACAGCTTCTTGCATGCGTTTCTATAGTCACTCAAGTCCAGATCACCCCCAGATTCTGGACAGCATGTACTGTAAGTCTCAAACAGAAATGGCAGCGCTCCTGTATGAAGCTGACCATTTCCACAGCGGTTAAACAGAGCTCAGTGACGAGCACCTTAATGCGCACAGGCACTTCCCTGGGAGGCAAATCATCCACAAAGATGGCTGGGTTGGGACAGATATTCACATACCAGGAGCCTCACAGCTCTGATATGTCTAATTGAGAAGAGTTTGGATCTTCCCCCTTTCCCTTCCAGGAGAGTCCTTGATCCCAGTTTAATTCTGAGAGTTCAAATAGATGCATGAAAGAGCTTAAAAGTCAAATCCCAGGTCTTAGCCAAGTAGCTTGTTACACTTTCTTCTGGAAGTAATGGCTGTATACTTGCTTCACATCTTCATAATTAAAAGTGGCCACTCTAAAGATCCAGAACAAAGTTTGCAGAAAGGCAAAATGGTATCTGTTATCTCAATAGATGTAAAACAAAAGCACTTCACAGAATTCAACTTCCCTTTGTGATCAAAATACTCAACAAACCAGGAATACAAAATTCCCAACTAGATAAAAAGTATCTGTGAAACCCCAGGTAACATCATACTTAATGGTGAAAAGACTGAATGTTTCTCCCTATGATCAGGAACAAGGCAAGAATGTCTTCTCTCACCGCTTCTATTCTACATTCTGTTAGAGGTTCTAGCCAGGGCAATTGGATAAGAAAAAGAAATAAAAGGCATCCAGATTGGAAAAGAATATGTAAAACTATCTCTATTTCCAGATCACATGATCTTGTTTATAGAAAACCTAAGGAATCCACAATAAACCTACTAGAGTTAATAAGTGAGATCAGGAAAGTGACAGGTTACAAGATCAGTGTATAAAATCAATTGTAATTCTAAACAATCTGCAAGGAAAAAATTAAAAAAATTTTCATTTACAAGAGCATCAAAGAGAACAAAATAATTAGAAATTTAACAGAAGTATAAAATGGTAGTCTGAAAACGACAAAACATTTTTGAAAGAAATTAAAGGAGGCCTAAATAAATGGAAAGACAGCCTGTTTTCATGATTTGGAAGACAATATTTTTGAGATGGCAACACCCTCCAAATTATACAGATTCAACACAATCCTCATGAAAATCCCAGCTGGCTCCTTTGCAGAAACTGAGAAGCTGATTCTGAAGTTCATATGGAAATTTGAAGGAGATAGAAAAATCTTGAAAAAGGGAAAAGTTGGAGTATTCACATCTCCCATTTAAAAAACTTACTTCACTTATATACTCATAAAGTCAATTTGGTACTGACATAAGGATAGATGTACAGACCAATGGAATATAACTGGGAGTCCAGGAATAAATCCATAAGTTTATGGGAAATTGATTTTCAACAAGGGTGACAAGACAACTCAATGAGGAAAGAACTGTCTTTTCAACAAATGGTGCTACAACAACTGGATTTACACATGTATAAAAATAAATTTTATTTATTTATTAAATTATTATCATTATTTTTCTGAGGCAGACAGGGTCTCACTCTGTCACCCACGCCAGAGTGAGTGGCACAATCTCTTCACTGCAACCTCCGCCTCCCAGGTTCAAGTGATCCTGCCACCTCAGCCTCCTGAGTAGCTGCGATTACAGGCATGCGCCACCACGCCTGGCTAATTTTTGTATTTTCAGTAGAGCTGGGGTTTCACCATGTTGGCCAGGCTGGTCTCAAACTCCTGACCTCAAATGATCTGCCCACCTCGGCCTCCCAAAGTACTGGGATTACAGGCATGAGCCACTGTGCCTGGACTTGATTCACTTCTTGTCAATCATTTGTTTAATGGATTATCAGGGCCTTTAACAGAGTAGGAAAAGTATGATCTTTGAAGTTAGATTAATTGATGAATTAATTGATGGAGAAAAGCTGCAGAGATAGAAGGAGGATGTGGGAATGAGACTAGAAATGAAGGGATATGGGGGTTGCGTAGCCTCTGACAAAATAACTAAAAGCCTCTTTCTGATTCAAGATCTCTGCCTATAACATGAAGGAAGACAGGAGAGAATTACCTCAACAATACCTTTCATAGGTCTGAACATTAAATCATTTCATCCTAATTTCTCTAGATTGTTCATATGAATAATTTTTGACAACTAAAACACACCTTCCTCAATCAAAAGACTTAACACAAGATCTTTTTGGAAAATAAGGACAGGAAACATTTAAAACAAAACTAACAGTGAATGTGAACCTATGTCAAGCCATGCCATACCTTAAATGCCTCTAACATACATTTGGCATGGCACAACTGAATTAATCTTATGGAAGAGATAAAAGGCATGATCATTGATATGTAAAAACTGTGCATAAATATGCCATTTCAGGGTGCTATACTAGTCATACAAGAATCAAAAGAAGCATTAAGCCATTTATCTATCTACTTCAACTTCTGTTAAGCTTCAGAGTGCTTTCATCCTCAACAAAATCTTCCACAGAACCTCAATATATAAATCTAATATAGGCCAAGCGCAGTGGCTCACATCTGTAACCTCAGCATTATAGATGCTGTAGGTTGGGACGCCAAGGCAACAGGATCCCATAAGTCAGGAGTTTGAGGTTGCAGTGAGCTATCATGGCACCACTGCACTCTGGCCTCAGTGACTGAGCAAGATCCTGCCTCTCTTAAAGAAAACCAAAAAACTAAAAAACAAAAACCAAACCAAACCAAAACAAAACAAAAAACAAACAAAAAAACGACTATAAGAAAAGTAAAAGCAGTTTTAGGCTGGGCTGGCTTCCCAGGCCCCAGCCCTTCCATGTATTCAGGATAGTTACAAAAATAACTAATGCAGTCCCATCCCTTCATTTTACAAATGAGAAAATTATTACTCAGAAGTGCTGGCTTATGATGAACAATTAACTAATCTTACTCATGCTAAATTATGTGGTAGTCAGATCAGGTATACATACACTGCATCTTTTTCATTATTAAAAAGAAATGTGCCAATTATTGACCACTTATTAAATGTAAGGTAACCCAGGACATCCATATCCCCAACCACTTCCTTAATATCTACAATTGTAGGACTATATAAATTAGTTTTTAAGATTTTTGTTGTTAAAGTGACATAAAGTTTTATTTTCTCATTTTATCTGAAACTACCCAGAAACAGAAAGGGGTATTTTTTTGCATTTCTATTGGAATGACTAAAGACACCTAAACCAAAAGGGTTGCCAGTAGCAGAACCAGATATGGAGTTACTATCAGGAGTTGATGATGTAGTAACATTGCTTCCAGCGGTATTTGTTTGCTGAGCTGAATGATCCTGAGGCCTAGGGAAAATAATTAATCAGAGTAAGCAGTAGAGCTGATTATTTTTAAAAGAACCACTGAAATCCTGACATCTAGAAATAAAGATTAAACTCTCAGATCAACTCAAAATGTCATTTAGTAAAAAGCTTGAGAAAACTAAGCATTAGGAACAAAAAATACAAAATAAAATAAAAGCCTACAAAATACAAAATATGCTGCAACTGCTCCTCCTCTTTGAATATAATGTACACAAATATTTCATCAGTTTTAATCATATTGCTTATGTAAGAGAGGGACCTCATAAGAGGAGAGTCAGTGACCAGTAACACTCACAAAGCTTGACTATATAAAAAACTTTTTTATCTATCCCCATCTAGTTCTTGAGGGTTAGGGGCCAGTTTTACTCAGACCCTTGAAATTCTTGAAAATAAAAAGCGAGAGACTTCACCAAAAGAAGGCTGACAAATCAGTATGAATGATAACTGATTATTACTTCTTTTTTTTTTTTTGAGACAGTCTCTGTCACTCAGGCTGGAGTGCAGTGGTGCGATCTCAGCTCACTGCAGCCTCCACTTCCCACATTCAAGCGGTTCTCCTGCTTCAGCCTCCTGAGTACCTGGGATTCCAGGCGTGTACCACCATGCCAGGCTAAGTTTTTATATTTTTAGTAGAGATGGGGTTTCACCATGTTGGCCAGGCAGATCTTAAACTCCTGGCCTCCAGTGATCCACTCTCCTTGGCCTCCCAAAGTGCTGGGATTACAGGCATGAGCCACCACGCCCAGCCAGCATCATATATTCTATGATCCCATTTAACTGATATGTCCAGAATAGCCAAATCTGTAGAGATAGAAGTAGATTAGTAGTTGTCAGGAAAGAAAGGGTGGCTGTTGGGAGAAAATGGGGAGGAAATGACAATGGATATGAAGTTTCTTTTTGGAGTGATGAAAACTTCCAAAATTGGTTATGGTAATGATTGCATAACTCTGTGAAAATACTAAAATCATTATATTGTATATTTTGGGTAAATTTTATGGTCTGTGAATTTTAAAGTTGTTAAAAGATAATAGCAGGTCTGTAGGGCAACAGCAATGAAAGTGAAATTTATAAAAAGATACTATTTACAATATTACTGAAAATGAATTAGAAGTAAGTCCAGCAAAGGTATGCAAGATCTTGATGAAGAAAATTCTAGAAATTTTAGAGGCATCAAAGACCAAATAAATGGTATGCCATGTTCTTTAATAGTAGATTCAATATTGTAAAGATGTCGGTTTTCTCAAAATTGATTTAACAATTCAATGCATTTTCAATCAAAATTCCAATAAGATATTTCATGAATATTCAGAAGCTTAATTCAAAATTTATATAAAAATGCAAAGGGATAGGAAGAGATAACTATTGAGGAAGAAGAACAAGATGGAAGGAATGTTTCTACCAGATATTAAATTTTATTATAAGCCAGGCATGGTGGCTCATGCCTGTAATCCCAGCACTTTGAGATGCTGAGGCTGGAGGATCTCTCGAGTCCAGGAGTTCGAGACCAGCTTGTGCAACATAGTGAGACTCCATCTCTATAAAATAAGAAAAAAAAAAATAGGTGGAGGTGGTGGTGCGTGCCCGTAGTCCTAGTTACTTGGGAGGTTGAGGTGGAAGGATCTCTTGAGCCCAGGATCAAGGTTACAGTCATCTATGATCATGCCACAGTGCTCCAGTCTGGGTGACAGAGTGAGACCCTGTCTTTAAAAAAAGAATAAATAAATAAATACACTTTATTATAAAAGTATAGTAAACCACACAGTGTAGCGTTGGCCTAAGGATAGACTTACAAACCAATGGAACAGAAGAGAAAGCCCACAGACCCTTCCACATATTGATATTTGCTATTTGAGAGAAGTGGCATTGCAGATTAATGAGGAAGGATGGATTCATAAATAAATGATACAGGCACAGGTGATTATCCATGTGGAAAAATATGAAATGGATTTCTACCTATATCTGTTAGCATTTTGATGCATAACAAATCTCTCCAAAAGGCAGAGATTTAAAACAACGAGCATTTATTTAGGTCTTCTTTCTATGGGTCAACAATTTTGATTGAGCTCCTGGCTGGTTCTTCTGGCCCTGACTGGGTTCATTCATGCATCTGTGGTCAGCTGTTGGGTCAGCTAGGGGCTGACTGGCCTGAGATGGCTTCACCCAGGACGTCTTGTTTCGGCTTCACATGGTTTCTCATCTTCCTGCAGGTTAGTCTGGGCTTATTCTTGTGGTGGAGGAAGGGTTCTAAGACATCAGGCGTAATTGTATAGGCCTTTTGAGGTCCAGACTTGAAACTAGCACAGCAGCACTTTCAAGAGTTGGGAAAGTAGGCTCTGTCTCTTGATGGTAAAAACTGAAAAGTAACATTACAAAGGGACATGGATACAGCGAAGGAAATAATTGCAGACATCTGTGCACTCTGTCAATCACACTGCCCATATCTTACACAAGTCCAGGTAGATTAAAGGCTTAGCTGTGAAAGAAAAATTAAAACATTAGACCTTAGACCTTATAGGTGAGTATAGGACAGTGAAGATTTTTTTTTTTTTTTGAGACGGAGTCTTACTTTTGTCGCCCAGGCTGGAGTGCAATGGTGTGATCTCAGCTCACTGCAACCTCCGCCCCCCAGGTTCAAGCTATTCTCCTGCCTCAGCCTCCTGAGTAGCTGGGATTACAGGGGTGTACCACCATGCCCGGCTAATTTTTGTACTTTTAGTAGAGACAGGGTTTTGCTATGTTTGCTAGGCTGGTCTCGAACTCCTGACCTCAGGTGATCCACCCACCTCTGCCTCCCAAAGTGCTGGGATTACAGGCATGAGCCAGCACGCCTGGCCTAAGAATTTTTTAAACAAGATGCAGAAGGCAAAATCCATAAAGAAAAGATGGATACACATTTTTTAAGACCTTGCCATGTATAGCATGAAATGAAAAGTCACAGAATGAGCCTAGAGCTTTTTTTTTTTTCCCCCGTGCAGGATTGGTATCGAGACTATTAGGAGGTCTCCTAAAATCAATATTAAAGAGACAGAAAACCCAATAGAAAAAAAAAAGAAAATACACAAACAAGAATTTAATAGGAGAGGAAACACAAGTGGTCCATAAACATAGGAAAAAATGTTTAATCTTAACCTTATTAGTAATTAGAGAAATGCAATTAAAATTATAAAGGCCAGGCATGGTGGCTTGCGCCTGTAGTCCCAGCTACTGGATGGGGGTGGGGAGGTGCTGAGGTTGTAGGGAGTGCTTGAGCCCAGGAAGTCGACGCTGCAGTGAGCTGTGATCCTACCACTGCACTCCAGCCTGGGCTACAGAGTGAGACCCTGTCTCAAAAACAAAAAACAAAAAACAAACCACCAAAATAAAATTATGAGGTACCATGTACATACGAAGCAAACTGGAAAAATACAAAGTGGAACAGTACCAAATGCTGGCTGGGGTGTGAAGCTTGAAGACACTCGTCCTCTGCTGAAGGAAATGTAAACTGTTATCACTGCTCTGGAAAAAACAGTTTCGCCTGATAGAGTAAAACTGAATATGCACATATCCTATTAGGTTAGTGCCATTACTTTTTTTTAAAATTAATTACTTTTTAAAATTTTACTTTAAGTTCTGGAATACAGGTACTGAATGCGCAGGTTTGTTACATAGGTATACATGTGCCATGGTGGTTTGTTGCACCTATCAACCGGTCATCTAGGTTTTAAGCCTCGCATGCATTAGGTATTTGTCTTAATGCTCTCCCTCTGCTTGCCCCCCACTCCGCCCAACAGGCCCCAGTGTGTGATGTTCCCTTCCCTGTGTCCATGTGTTCTCACTGTTCAACTTCCACTTGTGAGTGGGAACATACAGTGTTTGGTTTTCTGTTCTTGTGTTAGTTTGCTGAGGATGATGGTTTCCAGCTTCATCCATGTCCCTGCAAAGACATGAACTCATTCTTTTTTATGGCTGCATAGTATTCCATGGTGTATATGTGCCACATTTTCTTAATCCCGTCTATCACTGATGGGCATTTGGGTTGGTTCCAAGTCTTTGCTATTGTAAATAGTGCTGCAATAAAGATACGTGTGCATGTGTCTTTATAGTGGCATAATTTATAATCCTTTGGGTATATACCCAGTAATGGGATTGCTGGGTCAAATGGTATTTCTAGTTCTAGATCCTTGAGGAATCGCCACACTGTCTTCCACAATGGTTGAACTAATTTACACTCCCACCAACAGTGTAAAAGCGTTCCTATTTCTCCACATCCTCTCCAGCATCTGTTGTTTCCTAACTTTTTAATGATCGCCATTCTAACTGGCATGAGATGGTATTGCATTGTGGCTTTGATTTGCATTTCTCTGATGACCAGTGATGACGAGCATTTTTTCATATGTCTGTTGGCTGCATAAATGTCTTCTTTGGAGAAGCGTCTGTTCATATCCTTTGCCCACTTTTTGATGAGATTGTTTGTTTTTCTCTTGTAAATTTGTTTATGTTCTTTGTAGATTCTGGATATTAGCCCTTTGTCAGATGGATAGATTGCAAAATTTTTCTCCCATTCTGTAGGTTGCCTGTTCACTCTGATGACAGTTTCTTTTGCTGTGCAGAAGCTCTTTAGTATAATTAGATCTCATTTGTCAATTTTGGCTTTTGTTGCCATTGCTTTTGGTGTTTTAATCATGAAGTCTTTGTCCATGCCTATGTCCTGAATGGTAATGCCTAGGTTTTCTTCTAGGGTTTTTATGGTTTTAGGTCTTACATTTAAGTCTTTAAGCCATCTTGAGTTAATTTTTGTGTAAGTTGTAAGGAAGGGGTCCAGTTTCAGTTTTCTGCATATGGGCTAGTCAGTTTTCCCAGCCATTTATTAAATAGGAAATCCTTTCCCCGTTGCTTGCTTTTGTCAGGTCTGTTGAAGATTAGATGGTTGTAGATGTGTGGTGTTATTTCTGAGTTCTCTGGTCTGTTCCTTTGGTCTATATATCTAAAAACTGCAATCAAATACAATTCTGCAATTCCCTTCCTAGGTCTATATATCTAAAAACTGCAATCAAATACAATTCTGCAATTCCCTTCCTAGGTTTATACACCAGGAAACACGTACGCAAATGTGCAAGAAGTCTTGTTCACAATACTCTCGAATTGGAAATAATCTGAATATCTATCAGTGGTGAAGTGGTTTTATAAGTCATGTCATATTCAAACAAGGGAGCCCTGTACAACAAATAAAATGAGTAAACTACAGCTACAAAAGCATATCAAAGCCATATTGCTGATTGTAAGAATACAATCCGTATGATCCTCAATTACAGAAAATTTAAAAACAAGAAAATTAAGCAATACATTTGTAGTTAAAAGACACACACACACACACACACACACACACACACACACTAAAACTATGCAGAGAAGAAAAGAATGATTAACCTAAAATTCAAAACGAAAGCTCTTGGAAGAGGCACCAAATGTCCTCTAGTGAACTGGTAATGTTCTATTTCTTAGCCTAGATATTGATTACACAGATGTTTATCTATTCTTTTATTTCAAGCTGTACATGTAGATTTTATATACTTCTTTGTGTGTAATGTATCACACACACACTTAACTGGGATCTTCCCTGCCTAATTTACGGGTGCCGGCAGCAGTGAGCGACCCAGGAAAGTGTCCCCTGCAGGCAAAGCAGGAATGAATAATGTCTGGTATGCTAGAAATCTAAATTGATCTCGACCTTCCTCTCCTCCAGCTTGATTTATTCCCTAACTGGCCGCTAGTGTTTCTGCTGACATTGCACTTGCTGATAACTATCTCGGACACCAATGACATTGCATAATACTCCTTCACAGGTGTTAGTATGTGAATACTTGCCACTAAATAAGAGTTACATTTTATTAAAAAAAATTAAGTCCACTTTAAAACAAAACAAAATAAAAATGCCCTTTAGTATGTCTTTGACAGAGTATGTCCTTATCTCCTCTAACAGTGGCCAGTTGATTCAGGCAACACTTTAAATGATGACATGCATTACCTATTATCTTCTTTTCTAATGCGCTTCAAGTACACTTTCTCTCATTCTTTCATCTATACAGTAATGATGATAATTTTTACAAGTACAAATTCCCCAGATAATTAAGCTTCTCAAAATTTTCTTTGAGTGGAAGACACAGTTATGCTGCATTACTCTTATAAAAATAGCTTCCTCTTTATTCTTTATTCTCTTGAAGAAAAGTTAGTTGGCTATTCTTGGGTCAATCCAACTATGCCAGCCTTTCAAAACTTTTGCTCATGTGATATACATTTTCTAAATTTCTTTTAAGGTCAATTTCTTAAATAAAAGAAAATGGCTAAGTTGCTTATTATTTGGCCTTGATCTCACACTCTTTTTTTTCTTCTCTGTAATAAATTCTTAGTTAGCTTGAAGGGTAGGGGGATGTGGATTTCAACTCAATCAAATTTCCTTGTAGACTTAGCCTGAAGCATAGGGGGATGTGGATTTCAACTCAATCAAATTTCCTTGTAGACTGAGAGTCACACCTATTGTCACACCGGGAATTTGAGTATACTAAGTCTTCAGTGATATTAGAAAACTTTCTGTAGTTGCATCTTTTATTGAAGATTCAGAAAACATGTCAGACCCGGGCACAGAGCTCATGCCTGTAATCACAGCACTTTGGGAGGACAAGGCAGAAGGACTGCTTGAGGCTAGGATTTCGAGACCAATCCAGGCAACATAGGAAAACCTTGTCTTTCTCTCTTTATATATATATAAAAAGAAAATATGTCAGAATATTTAAGTGCCCTGGGTCATTATAAATATCAATGATCATCACATAGGGTTGTAGTTACCTATTGCCACATTACAAATTACCCCAAAACGTAGCAGCTTAAAACAGCAAACATTTATTATAGTACAGTTTCTGAGGGCCAGGAATCTGGACTGGCAGTGAAGCTGTCAGTAGGGCTGCAGACTCATCTGGAAGCTCAGCTGGGGAAGGTGCTGCTTCTATGCTCACTCACATATTGTTGGAGGCCTCAGTTTCTTGCTGGCTGTTGGCTGGAGACCTCAGCTGCTCGCTACATCTGTTTCTCCATTGGTTGCCTGAGTGGCTTCACAACATGGTAGTTGGCTTCCTCCAGAGTGAGTTATGAGAGAGAGACAGAGACAGAGATAGAGAACCAAGATGAAAGCCACAACCTTTTATAACCTAATCTTGTGTCACAGTCACTTCTGGAACAATATGGGAGGGAATTATACAAGGGTGTGAATGTCAGGAAGTAGGAATTATTGGGGGTGTTGTCTTGGAGGCTGGCTACCACAGACAGAATTTATAATGGAGTAAATCCTCCTTTTAAAAAACATTATTAGTTGTAGTAAAAAAAAAAGCCCCAGAAAACTGTCAAATACCATATGTTCTTACTTATAAGTGGGAGCTAACTAATGTGTAGATATGGACATAAAGTGTGGAATAATAGACATTGAAGACTCAGAAGGGTGGGAGAGTGGGAGGGGCTGAGGGATGAGAAATTACTTATTGGGTATAATACACAATTCAGGTGATGGTTATACTAAAAGTCCAGACCTCACCACTGTGCAATATTTCATGTAACAAAATGGCACTTGTACCCCCTAAATTTATACAAAAAACCCCCACAAAACAAAATTTACCACCTTAACCATTTTTGAGTGGACAGTTGAGTAGTGTTAAGTGTATTCACATTGTTATGCAACAGAGCTCAGAGCTCTAGAACTTTTTCATCTTGAAAAATGGGGTACTTTCTTCCCCCCAGCTGCCAGGTGTGTGTGTGTGTGTTTTAAATTTCAGTAGGTTTTTGGGGAAACAGTTTGTGTTTGGTTACACGGATAAATTCTTTAGTGGTGATTTCTGAGATTCTGGTGCACCCTTCACCTGAGCAGTGTACACTGTACCCAATGTGTAGTCTTTTTATCCTTCACCCCCCTCCCACCCTTTCCCCAGAGTCCCCAAAGTCCATTGTATCATTCTTTTTTTTTTTTGGGGATGGAATTTCACTCTTGTCACCCAGGCTGGAGTGCAATGTTGTAATCTCAGGTCACTGCAACCTCTGCCTCCCGGGTTCAAGTGATTCTCCTATCTCAGCCTCCCGAGTAGCTGGGATTAAAAGTGGCCACCACCAAGCCTGGCTAATTTTTGTATTTTTAGTAGAGACGGAGTTTCACCATGTTGGCAAGGCTGGTCTCGAACTCCTGACTACAGGGGATCCACCCACCTTGGCCTCCCAAAGTGCTGGGATTACAGGCGTGAGCCACTGTGCCTGGCCGATTGTATCATTCTTATGCCTTTGCATCCTCATAGCTTATAGCTTAGCTCCCACTTATGAGTGAGAACATACAGTGTTTGGTTTTCCATTCCTGAATTACTTCACTGTACTTTGGCCTCTTTCAGCCATGGTTGGAGCGGCCTGGGACACGCAAGTCTCTAGGCTGCACACAGCATGGGGACCCTGGGCCCAGCCCACAAAACCACCTTTACCTCCTGGGCCTTTGGGCTCTTATGGGAGGGGCTGCCGTGAAGTTCTCTGACGTGGCCTGGAGACATTTTCCCAGTGGTCTTGGGGATTAACATTAGGCTCCTTGCTACTTATGCAAATTTCTGCTGCTGTCTTGAATTTCTCCTCAAAAAATGGGTTTTTCTTTCTACTGCATCATCAGGCTGCAAATTTTTCTAACTTTTATGATCTGTTTCCTTTTTAAAATGGAGTGTTTTTTCTTTTTGAGACGGAGTCTCACTCTGTCACCCAGGCTGGAGTGCAGTGGCACGCAGTCTCTGCTCACTGCAAACTCCGCTGCCTCCCAGGTTCAAGCAATTCTCCCACCTCAGCCTCCCGAGTAGCTGGGACCACAGGTGTGTGCCACCATGCCTGGCTAATTTTTGTATTTTTAGTAGAGACGGGGTTTCACTATGTTGGCCAGGCTGGTCTCGAACTCCTGACCTCATGATCCGCCCGCCTTGGCCTCCCAAAGTGCTGGGATTACAGGCGTGAGCCACCGCGCCTGGCCCGGAATGCTTTTTAACAGTACCCAAGTCACCTCTTGAATGCTTTTCTGCTTAGAAATTTCTTCTGCCAGATACCCTAAATCATCTCTCTCAAGTTCAAAGTTCCACAGATCTTTAGGGCAGGGGCAAAATGCCGCCAGTCTCTTTGCTAAAACATAACAAGAGTCACCTTTGCTCCAGTTCCCAACAAGTTCCTCATCTCCATCTGAGACCACTTCAGCCTGGACTTTATTGTTCATATCACTATCAGCAGTTTTGTCAAAGCCATTTAACAAGTCTCTAGGAGGTTTCAAACTTTTCCACATTTTCCTGTCTTCTGAGCCCTCCAAACTGTTTCAACCTCTGCCTGTTACCCAGTTCCAAAGTCGCTTCCACATTTTCAGGTATCTTCTCAGCAATGCCCCACTCTACTGGTAGCAATTCATTGTATTAGTCTGTATCCACACTGCTGATAAAGACATACCTAAGACTGGGAAGAAAAAGAGGTTTAATTGGACGTACAGTTCCACATGGCTGGGGAGGCCTCAGAATCATGGCAGGAGGCAAAAGGCACTTCTTACATGGCAGCAGCAAGAGAAAAAGAGGAAGAAGCAAAAGGGGAAACCCCTGATAAACCCATCAGATTTCATGAGACTTATTCACTATCACGAGAATAGCATGAGAAAGATTGGCCCCCATGATTCAATTACCTCCCTCTGGGTCCCTCCTGCAACACGTGGGAATTCTGGGAGATAGAATTCAAGATGAGATTTGAGTGGGGAGACAGCCAAACCATAACAAAGTCTTTGCCTAAGTCAATGTCTAGAAGCGTTTTTTTCCAATGTTATCTTCTAGAATCTTTATAGTTTCAGGTCTTAGATTTAAGTCTTTTATCCATCTTGAGTGGATTTTTGTATAAGATGAGAGATAAGGATCCAGTTTAATTCTTCTACATGTGGTTTGCCAATTATCCCAGCACCATTTGTGGATTAGGATGTCCTTTCCCCACTTCATGTTTTTGTTTGCTTTGTAGAGGATCACTTGACTGTAAGTATGTGGCTTTATTTCTGGGTTCTCTATTCTGTTCCATTGGTCTGTATGCCTGTTTTTATACCAGTACCATGCTGTTTTGGTGACTATGGCCTTATAGTATAGTCTGAAGTAGGGGAATATGATACCTCCAGATTTGTTCTTTTTGCTTAGTCTTGCTTTGGCTATTCAGGCTCTTTTTTGGTTCCATATGAATTTTGGGATTTTTTTTTCTAGTTCTGTGAAGAATGATGGTGGTATTTTGATGGGAATTGCATTGAATTTATAGATTGCTTTTGGCAGTATGGTCATTTTTTGTAATTGATTCTCCTCATCGAGGAACATGGGATGTGTTTCCATTTGTTTGTGTCATCTATGATTTCTTTCAGCAGTGTTTTGTAGTTTTCTCTGCAGAGGTCTTTCACTTTCTTGGTTAAGTATATTTCTAAGTATTTTATTTTATTTTTTTGCAGCTATTGTAAAAGGGGTTGAGTTCTTGATTTGATTCTCAGCTTGGTCACTGTTGGTGTATATCAGGGCTACTAATTTGTGTACATTAATTTTGTATCCTGAAACTTTGCTGAATTCATGTACCCAGGGGCTTTTTGGATGAGTCTTTAGGGTTTTCTGGGTATGTGATCATGTCATCAGCAAACAGTGACAATGTGACTTCCACTTTACCAATTTGGATGCCCTTTATTTCTTCCTCTTGTCTGATTGCTCTGGCTAGGACGGATACTTTCTTATACCTGTATTTCTTGTTGATCAGACACTGGTAGACGGCATTACCCTGATTTTGTGCTCTGTTTGGTTTAGATACTTCTTTCTGCCCCTGTCTGTGGTCTACTGACTTAGTGGCCCCTTTTTTCACTCCGCTCTGTACCAACATCCCTTGCCCTTACCATGTGACTCTGCAGTCCTCTGTGTGAAGCACTGTGCCCCTTGTCTTTGGGCTTGGCCATCTGACTTACTCTGGCTGATGGAGTGAAGGCGAAGGTGACAGTGTGCCAGTTTTGAGCCTAGGCCTTAAGACGTGTCACTTTTTCTGCTTGACTGCTTATGCTTCTGCCATCACCTTGAGAAGAGTTTGCTGCTGCCTACGAGACTGTTATCTCCTGCCCCCTAGAATTGACACACATAGAGCAGATGTAAGCCCAACCTGCTATGAGTAGCCCCAACCAGTTAGACCTTTACCTTAAAGCCAAGCTGCCCAGCTGAGGCAACTGCCAATCAATCTGTAGATACCTGGGTGGGCTCAGCTGAGAGGGCAGAACCCATAGCCGTGTGAGAAGTAAATGCTGAATGTTGGGTGTTGCTGATATTTGTGGTTGTTTGATACAAACTGATGTTCTGCCCTTTTCCACTCTGACTTCTGCCCCACGGGTTCCCAGACACACTCACATATCATCACTGTTTTTTCTTCTGCACTGTCATGACACCTGTCTACTGTTTGAGTTGACTGCAGCAGGTTCCAGAAGTAGTCTATTCACTGAGGATGAGCAGGAAAAGAATAACAGTCCCTCAGAATTACAGACATGAAAAGTACCTCAAGAGTTTCTGCACACGGGGTTTCTGGAAAGCAGCTGGTACTGCTGTGAATGTTCCTTTTCCTCCTGGGGAGCAGAGTCACATTCTGCAGAACATCCACTGAATATGCTGAGGCAAAGCATTTGCCATGGTGATGTTTTGTGCAAGATGGTGCTTATTGATTAACAATGGCCTGGTTCATGATAGATAGTGATGGATTCAATATGGATGAATTTATCACGATTAGCAATAATGTTGACTTGATACAATATGCTGATGATTAGTTTATTTTTTATATCTTAAAGGATCATTCATAACCTTTTCCATAGTCTTCTTCTGACCCTCTGCACCTCCTTCCCAACTTCCTCTAGGATTGTTTTTTTTTTGTTTGTTTTTTGTTTTGCTTTTTTTTTTTGAGGCAGTCTTGCTCTGTTGCCCAGGCTGGAGTGTAATGGTGTGATCTCTGCTCACTGCAACCTCCACCTCCCGGGTTCAAGCAATTCTCCTGCCTCAGCCTCCTGAGTAGCTGGGACTACAGGTGCCTGTCACCATGCCTGGCTAATTTTTTGTATTTTTAGTAGAGACGGGGTTTCACCGTGTTAGCCAGGCTGGTCTCGATCTCCTGACTACGTGATCCACCCGCCTCCAAAAGTGCTCGGATTACAGGTGTGAGCCACCGTGCCCGGCCAGGACTGGGGTTTTGAGAGGACTGGCATGTCTCTAAGTATATTTCATCCTTGATATGGTTCATGTTTATAGCACCTAGCACACTGCTGCATTCAAAATTAGTACTTGAACGCCAGTGACCTAACACAGTGCCTTTCATGGCAACTGCTCAACAAATAAATAAACTTATTGGTTAAATAAGGTAAAAAAGGAAATCAGTTCTGTTGGCTTCAATTTTCTAATCTGTTAGATCAAGGGGAGAGGGTCAGTGAAGTAGATGATTCCTAAGGCCCCTCTTTGGCTTGAGCCTTTATTACACTTCTGAGACACAGTAGCTGGGGTTCTGGGACACCTGGCTCTGCCTCTAGCTGTTGGTCTGACCCCTGAAATCCCACCACCTGGTGAGTGGGAGAGGGAAAAGGAGAGGCTTACAGTGATTCAGATGCAGGGCACGGCACTTAAATACAGCATCTCATTTACTTTTCACAGTGACCTTGTAAGATTGGGATTTAGCAGACGAGAAAACAGGTGCCGTGAGGTTGAAGAACTGCTTAATAAATGGTGAACTGGGGGCTTGAAAAAATTCTTGTCTGACACTAAATCCAAAATCCTTTCAGTTTTAACCATAACATCACATGATTCAAGGTGATTTATACAAGGACCTTGGTTTTAATAGTGTCCTATTACAAATTTGGGATGGATAATTCCAAGCCCATTTGTTTTTACAATATATACCTTATTTAAAAATATATATGACTAAATGCAATTGAAGGGAGAAGTATGCATGTAAGTACAAGATTATGTTAAAAAAGATTTTACATTTAACACAAAGAGCCAAAGTTATGAAGGTAAAAGAACATGCTGAACAATTCAGGAGAGACACACTCCTATGGTGTGCCATTTCATTATTTATGTGACATTGTGTCTCAGTATGTCATGCATATAGAATAGCCACAAAATCTTGCGCATGTTGGTCATCTCTTGGGGGAGGATGTGGGTCTCAACAGTAACTTACTTGGCTGTTGGCCACATCTGAGATTGGATTAAGAAATTAGGACTCCAGCTACAGAGGTTTCTTTTAGTGCAGGCTGAGCTAACTGGTGATAGTTGGGAGGTTAGGGTGGGGAACACCCCTTTCCTTCCCATCCCTCTACAAAGGGATGCAGGTTGAGCTCTTTACACTCTGGTACTCAGGTTCCTGGGCCTTTCACTTTATGTTACTAGAAGAACCCCTATTTTTCCATTCATGGGCAGTTTTTCTCATTATCTTCAACTCTGTACTTTTTATTGCTTTTTGGCCCCAATAAAAAATTCTATCTATAATGATTGTCATTAAAGAACAGCTAGCTGGTGTGGATTTTGTCTGAAATATATATTCTTTCTCTCCGTAAACACTTTACATCTCTCTCTTTTCACATGTTCAGGGCAATTTCAACCATGGACAGAATATTGAATTGTTATCAGCAGAATTCCAGACATTTGTGCTAGAGGAGCTTTGTAAATCATCTCATCCAAAAACCTCATTTTTGAATGAGGAAACTTGTTATTCAACTGAGTGAAGTGACTTATCCAGAGCTGGGACCCAAACCCCATCCCCTGCTGCCTTGTCCAGAGCCTCTCGTGCTATACCAGGGTCCTCCCTGACACAAATTTAAGGCATCCAGGAAAGTTAGAACAGGCCCATGTGGGCCACAGGCTGAACGTGTCAGGCTGTATCTTGAGAAAGCAGTCTCCGGAAAATCGAGAATGTTGAAAATGTGATACGTTTGTTCTGGTTCACTCAATCAACACATATTTATTGAGCACAAACTGTGTGCTAGACATTAGGTTCAAAGCTTGGCAGGTAGAGTGGGGGGAAGCCCAAATGTGGTTCTTGCCATCCAGGAGGTTACAGACTGGTGGAGGAGGCAGGCCTAAACATGAAATAAGGCGCACCAGAAATATTTTCCTTCATGTAAAGGAAGAGGATGAGAAGCTGTAACAGAGGGACCTAATTTGGATTGAGAGTGGGGTAGGAAAGGCGTCCCTGAAAAAGTGAAAATTTTAGCAAGATCAGAAGGCTAAGAGGAGCTACTCAGGCAAGGAATAGTGGGGAGAGGACCCAGAGAGAGGGAGGAGCATGTTTAAAGGCCCTGGGGTGTGTGTGCGGAGTCTCACTGCTACCACCCCGTTAGTTGTTAGCAGTGGTCACTCTGTTAGTTGTCAGCAGTGGACCTTCGGTGGTAGTGGGGAGCCCAGCAGCAATCCTGCCCCCTAGACCGTAGCCAATTGGTCCAGGGAAGGACATGAGACCCAGACTGAGCCAATCAGATTATTATCTCTTGGGAATTTGGAATGTGGAGCTGACCCTGGGAGATCCCCAAGCCAAGGCAGGTGAAGGGCAGTGCTCTAGAGCCCAAGGCCTCCTGTTGAGGCACCCAAGCTGTCCTGGTGCTGGCCCATCTCTAAACCTGAAGGCTTACCTCTTCTGTGGATTCCATGAGATATCTCGACATGTTTCCCTATTGGTTTAGACTTGGTGCAGCTACTTGTAACAGGCTGGAAACAGCAGTGCCTGAAATAAGGCAGAGGTTTGTATTTTTTCATGTCAAAGACTTTTGGAATTAGCCAGTGCAGGCTGGCGTGGAAGGTCCCATGGTCATTGGGTACCAAGGCTCTGTCATAGGGTCATAGAATATTCAACGTGATAATACGTGTAAAAATTTAGCCCGGAATTTGGCACAGGGCAAGTGCTCAGTATTGTTGTGGACTATGGTCATGGTTACCAGCTTTACCTTGTGACAGCCTGACTCTTGTCACTCAGTGTTGGGGCTCCTGAACACTCAGTGCTGGGTGGTTTTCTCTTCTCTTTCTGTCCTTCCTCTAGTTCCATGCCTTTCTGTGCATATGGAGAAACATATTCCCCAAATATCTATTTTCCCTGATCTCCACACCACTCTTCTAGTCCAAGCCACCTGGTCCCTCTGAACTGCTGCAATTGCCTCGTTTTGTTGTCCTGCGTCTACTCTTGGTGTACCCTGTGTCTCCTCACTCTAGTGATCTATTTTACATGTGGCGTCCAGAGGATCTTTTAGAAATAGAACATCGCTGTTGCGCTGCAGACGCTGGATGGGGAGTCATCACACTTAGAATTAAATTCAAGTGCTTAACATTACCTGCAATTTTCCATGTGATCTGGCCCTTACCTACCTCTCGAGCCCTGTCTTTTACTGTCACTATGCACTGGCCTTAGTTAAAGCCCTTTAATTTTTCAGGTGTGTTTTCTCTTGGGCCCTTGCACTTGCTGCTCTCTCTGACCCACCACTAACTCCTCTTAACTCGGGTGTACACTTCAGGTCCTAGCTCACAGGGGACTTCTGTCACTTCCTCAGACAGGACTTCCCTGACTGCCCCTCTCCCATCTCTCCTGATCATAGAATCTGCTCTTTTCCTTCATAGCACGTGTCATGATTTACACTTAGGCATTTATTTTGTGTGTTTGGTTTAATGCCTGTCCCATACTAGACTGCCAGCTCCATGTGGATCCTGATATACCTGTTTTCCTTACAATTGTGTCCCAATCATCGGTACAATGCCTGGCACAGAGAAGGTGCTCTGGGAACAAGTGTTCACTGAATAGATGACACCACTGTAGCTGCATGACTGCATGACAGATGAGGATTACTCCTGTGCCCCTGCCCCACCCTCCCAGGTTCTGATAAAAAACCAGGAAGAGAGGATTCTGGGAGCATAAAGAGGTCTGAGGGCACTGCCCAGGAGAAAAAGCTGTAGTATAGGCAAGGAGAACATTCCTCGGCATGTGGGTAGGAGACATCCAGATTAAGCCCAAACTGAAATCAGAGTCCGGCTGTTTATGCAGAACTGCTGGATTATGAGCCCTCTCTCGAGGCTGCCATCTGCAAGAGCTGATATGCATAGGAAGAACAAGGCTGTACCAGGAGGAGGAGCTCTGCTTGGCGTCTCAGGTAATAGACAAAGGAGGTGGTGGGAAGCACAGCATGTGTGCCCCACCAGGGCTTCCAGGATTGGGCCTGAGTCCTCGTACAGAGGTGAGCTGGGTCTCAGGTGGGAGACCCTCATCCTGTCTCAGCCCGAATCTCCGCCTGCCTCCAGGACAGTGAAGACAGCATGAGGGCCAGTGGTTTTAGGTCACGTGGGCATTGGCATCAGAAAGGATGTCCACGAGGAAGCCTAGAGGAGCCTGGAGAGCACCATCCCCTTCTCTTTCCAGCACTTTTCCAGTTTTCTGTAGAAACCATCTCACACTTTCTCACCTTTTCTCAAGTCTCAGGTGACCCTCCTTCAGTCTCCACAGATGACTTCCTTCAGTCCCCCATGGGCAGAGACAAAACAACCTCGGCTTCTTTCCACCAAACCTGTGTGCATCACATGCTCCGTGCTCTGCTTCTCCTGTCTAGGGCCAAGCCATCCACTTCTCTCCTCTCTCCACTGTTTCCTTTGAATTGCTCCTTGTCACTGGAATTTAAACTTGCCCAAACTTCTCCCATCTTTTTTGTTTTTAGAGGCAAGGCCTCACTCTATCAGCCAGGCTAGAGTGCAGTGGTGTGATCGTAGCTTACTGGCGCCTCGAACTCCTGGGCTCAGGTGATCCTCCTGCCTCCTGAGTAGCTGGGACTACAGGTGTGAGCCACCACACCTGACAAACCTCTCCCATCTTGAATGAAACCTTCATTTGACTTTATTCACTCTCTTGTCCTTCATAGCCCAACGTCCTGAAATAGTGGACTATACTTGGGGTCTCCACTTGCTCACTTTTCAGTTTTCCACTCTCTGTAGCCTGGTTTGTCCTGTCCCATTACTACCTTGAGAACATTTTCACCAAGGCCATGATGGTGGGCTGAATAGTGGCCCTCTGAAGATATCCAAGTCCTAATCCCTGGAACCATGAAGGTTACCTTATTTAACAAGACAAGATACCTTACTACTGGTTTTGACTATGGAGGAATGGGACCATGAGCCAAGGGATGAAAATAATGTATCTCTAAGCCCCAGCCTCCTTTCCCATGGAAATCTCTTACCTCTCTCGGCTCTTGCCTGACTTATCCTGTGGGTCTGCCGTGGGGAAGGAGGGCCTGGTTCATTTGTCTTTCTCTTTACCTCCTCTCTGAAGGAGATGGGGCATTCGAGAAAAAAGTCCAGGTATTAACAGGCTGTTGCGCTTTCATCTGATGTCAGAGGTCTCTGGGTACATTGGAGCTTCTCTGCTGGGGCTGTTTCATGGGTGGTGGGTGTTAGAATTTGTATTTCTTCTTATTAGAGTTTGTATTTCTTGCTCCATTTGCTGGTTGCGAAGACTCCAGCCACTCATTCCTCAGCTTCCAGCATTCAGGAGCTTAGCTCTCAACTTTCCCCAGGAAAGTTTCTTGGTCTAGTTCATTCTAAGATGACCGTCTGTCTTCCATAAGGTCTAAGTCTGGCCCATGGGCAGCAGTGGGGCACCCTCATTCTGCCAGGCTCTGGAGAGGCTGCCATTCACCCATCCTAGCCTCTGAGCCTGGCTGAAATTGCTCACCTTCAGACTTTCACACTAGATGCTAGATCTTGCATACCCCACCTCCCAGGAAACACGTCAAACTCTCCATGTAGTTTTTTTCAAGCCTCTCTGGCTTGGTTAAGGTGAGAATGTTGGAAATAAGAGTCATAAAGAAAATGAGCACTCAGCAAGGCAAATTTACTTCTTCAGAAGGGTGCTGCTTGTTCTTCTGGTCACTGCGAGAGCACAGCAAACAAAGGAGGGAAGTGGGTTTTAACCCTAATGCAGTCAGTCCCTGCTACTATGTTCAGTCCCCTTTGGCTGGGGTCGGACCACACAATCTAAGCTGATCCAGATTAGCTACTTCAAATGGAGCAGGGGTGGGGGCTACAGCAGCAGGAAGAGCAGTTTCGGAACTAAGCGTGCCAAATAAGGAACAGATGTGGGTTGTTACAAATTGGGAACAGATGTGGGTTACAGATTGGGAATTGATGTGAGTTACAGATTGGGAATGGATGTGGATTACAGATTGGGAATGTCTGGAAGGTTGTTTGCCGTAACTAGGGGCAAGGAGGCAAGGAAGTTAGGCTTTGAAAATAGAAGACAGGAACCTTTGAAGAGGAACTCACTGTTTCCAACATATCCCTCTCCTCCCTCCATGGAGCAGGCGAGGTGGGGGAAAGGACCACACAGAGATGAGTCTCTGGAATGCTGATATGAGAGCAAGCCTCATAGATATTTCCATGGCCTCTTCTATGAAGGATTCCTTCAGTGGAGAAGATTCTTTCAACGCTGAAGCCTGAGGAAGTTGAATGCTCACATCAGAACCTTTGAACTATGTTACATCAAGACTGTTAATTCTATTAAGTGTAGAAGAAATAAAAGCCACAATTATCTGGCTACTCCTATACTTCAATATGTGAAGACAGAAAGGAGAAAGCAGGGAAACTGTGTCAGTGCTGTGTGAACCTTGTTCGTGAAATTGCTTGGTAAGTTGTGTAATGCAGAAGCCAGAGGCCTCCTGCTCTGTGAGATTGCTCAATCCCTGTCCTCACTCTAGACTGTAGACTCTTCAGAGCTTCTCTTCCCAGTGTCATCTCTGACCCTGGCTCCTCCTTTCCCATGGCCCTGACCCCTTCACTACCTTGCCCAGATGAGGGATTCTGCCCCTCTGCAATTTTCCAGGAACACATTCACCTTATAAGGCCTTTGTGGTGGTAGCACACTAAGAAACTTGGCACAGAGGCCCATGCAAACACAAAGCGGAGTATTAGACATCTTTTTTACTAACAGCCCTTGGCCTACCCCATGACTGGGATATTTCTTTGACTGTCTCACACTATATAATATTCCACATGGCTGTCATTTTGAAGGCTCAGATATCTAATTCGGCTCAAAATTCTAGTTCCTTTCCCATGTAGAGAAATTTAGTCTTTGGTTGCCTTGACTCCTGATCCATGTCTTTATGTTCTCTTCCCCAAAAAGCTTCTTAATAGATATTTTCTTCCAAAATAGAATTTTTTTTCTTTTTTGAGACGGAGTCTCCACTCTGTCGCCAGGCTGGAGTGCAGTGGTGCGATCTTGGCTCACTGCCATCTCCGCCTCCCGGGTTCAAGCGATTCTCCTGCCTCAGCCTCCTGAGTAGCTGGGATTACAGGCACCTGTCACCACATCCAGATAATTTTTTTGTATTTTTAGTAGAGATGGGGTTTCACCGTGTTGGCCAGAATGGTCTTGATCTTCTGACCTCATGATCCGCCTGCCTCGGCCTCCCAAAGTGCTGGAATTACAGGCATGAGCAGATTTTTTTTTTTTTTTTCTCAGATGGAGTCTCGCTCTGTTGCCCAGGCTGGAGTGCAATGGCGCAATCTTGGCTTACTGCAATCTCTGCCTCCCGGGTCCAAGTGATTCTCCTGCCTCAGCCTCCCGAGTAGCTGGGATTACAGGTACGCACCAGCACACCTGGCTAATTTTTGTATTTTTAGTAGAGATGCAGTTTCGCCATGGTGGCCAGGCTGGTTTCGAACTCTTGACCTCAGGTGATCCACCCACCTTGGCCTCCCAAAGTGCTGGGATTACAGGCGTGAGCCACCGCGCCTGGCCCAAAATAGATGTTTATTTGGTGGTTGTTGTTATCTGTTCAGATTGTAACATTTTCAGTACATGCCACCTGGGGTGGATTTTTTTTCTTTCCTGTTTTGTTCTCCAGCATCCAGAACAGTGCCTGGCACACAGTAGGCACGTTATTAATAGGTATCAGATGAATGTGGAATGAATTAATTTTCCCCATATAAAACATTTGCAGTCTCCTGCAAAAGTGCCCCACAAGGATTTCCCATGAAGTATGTGAATAGAAGACAAACAGCAGATTTAGCTATGGCACCTCTTTGAATCCTGCGTGGGGTGTTGTTGTCCAGGTCCACCCAGTGAGGTCTAGATCTGTGGTAAGTTCCTCATCTCTCCTCTGGGATGCCAGCTTTCTGCACTAGGCCGCTTCCACATTGGACAGGTGCTCTTGGGCCTGGGGGATGCATGGCTGGCAGAATTGCCCCTGCCTCAGTAAATGTCCCTAGAGATTCTGGGTGACTTGGTTTACTTCCAGCAGTGTCTTCTTGGGCATAAATTTGTCCTGTAGGGGGCGCCAAATTCCAACCTTTCCCTGGCTAGCCCTCTTCACTCTCAGGTTCCTGAGAATCCCCCCAGGTCTCTGAGTCCCCTGGTACTTGGAAGATGTGCCTCTGGGTAGGCACCTGCCTCTGCAGCCCCTCCCTCCAGAGCTTTGGCTTCCTGGAAGGAGAAAGGTTGGGAAAGTCCGTGGAGTCCATTCTTTCTTGGAGACAACATGGCTCACCCCTTTGGCTTCTTTATCTCCCTTTGGCTTCACGTTCATTGTCCAACACCTCCCAGACAAGTTGTAGCTCCTATATAAGCAGGATTGGACTACTGGCCTATATAAGCAGGATTGGACTATTGGCATCTCACTAGAAATTTTCTCCTGCTAAACCATACACTAACATACACAAAGGAGGCATTTCTCTTCACAGTCTCAAGGTTTTCCCAGCAGAACATCACTATATAATTATGATTAGTTGCTTAATCTCCAAAACTTTCTACATTAGTGAATGCGCACATGAAACTTACTAGGCAAACTTTGTGCAGTGGCAGTATCATAGCCAGTGAGGTTTGTCTGAGGCACGATTATTGATAATTGAAAACTATTCCCAATACCTTACCAGGATGATTTGGCATATAGTTGGCATTGGCAATTTTTGACTTGGCAAAATAGTCTTTGGTTGCCTTGACTCCTGATTCATGTCTTTACGTTCTCTTCCTCAACAAGCTTCTTAATAGGTATTTTCTTCCAAAATAGGTTTTTTTTTTTGTTTTTTTTTTTTGAGACAGCGTCTCACTCTCTTGCCCAGGCTGGAGTGTAGTAGTGTGATCTTGGCTCATTGCAACCTCCACCTCTGTGGAAACTGAGCAAAAAAAAATTACTAGGTAAATGATTATGGACAATATAACTCCTTATTCCAGGTGTTCAAAGTTTTTAAAAACTAAAAATTTCTTTTATTGAGGTATAAATTATATAAACACACATCTAAAGGGTACAGCTCAATGAAAATCTATATGTGGATGTAGCCCTAACCACTACTCAGATCATCACATAGCACCTTTCTAGGCCTCCAATGGCTGCCTATGCCCCCTCTCCAAGCTGACACCTCCCAAAAGATTGCCACTATTCTGCCCTATAGCAGATTAATTTTTGCCTGTTTTGGGGGAAATATACAAATGAAATCTTTAGAGATTACTGTCTTTTGATCAACATTACATCGTCCTTGTTGCTGTGAGTTGCAATGGTTTCTTTTTCTTTTTTTTTTCTGAGATGGAGTCTTGTTCTGTCACCCAGGCTGGAGTGTAGTGGCACGATCTCGGCTCACTGCAACTTCCGCCTCCTGGGTTCAAGAAATTCTCTTGCCTCAGCCTTCCAAGTAGCTGGGATTAAAAGCATGCACCACCATGTCTGGTTAACTTTTGTATTTTTAGTGGAGACGGGGTTTCACCATGTTGGCCAGGCTGGTCTCGAACTTCTGACTTCAAGTGATCCACCCACCTCAGCCTCCCAAAATGCTGGGATTACAGATGTGAGCCACCATGCTTGGCCAATGGCTTCTTTTTCGTTGTTGTGTAGTATTTCATTGTATGACTATGCCTCAATTTATCCATTTTACTTTTTTTTTTTTTGAGACAGGGCCTTGCCCTGTTGTGGAAGCTGGAATGCAGTGGCACAGTCATAGCTTGCTTCAGCCTCCAACTTCTGCTCTCAAGTGATTCTTCTGCCTCAGCCTCCTGAGTAGCTGGGACTATAGGCATGGGCCACCATGCCAGGCTAATTTTTAAAATTTTTAATAGAGATGAGGTTTGGCTGTGTTTCCCAGGCTGGTCTTGAACTCTTGAGCTCAAGTGATCCTCCCGCCTCAGCCTCCCAAAGTGTTGGAATTACAGGGGTGAGCCACCCTGCCTGGCACCATTTTACTCTTGATGGACATTTCAGATGCTTCTAGTTTGGGGTTTTAATGAAAACAATGCTGCTATAAACATTCTCGTATATGTCTTGTACATATAATTGCAATGAAGTCCAATGTATCAGTCATTTTTTAATGGTTAGTGGTTTTTATATATTTGTAGTCAGCATGTAAAAGTTTTGATTCTTGGCTTTGCAAGTCTATAAACTTGATTTCTATCAGCCTATCTAGTGTTGTTCAGGCCTAGAGAAGTGATTCAAAACCAGACTCACAATAGATAAAAGTATTTTGTTGTCTAAAAATATCTATACAGTGTAATTTTATTTTAATATAAGATCGATGTATAAGTCTCAGAGATAATTTATGCATTTGCGATTTACAATCCAACCCATCTCATTTCAGGCTCCAAAAACCTGAGAAAACAATTTAACAATTTATCAATCAGAAGATTGCTTGGTGGACATGGATTTAGAGTGAGAAGGAATTGAATGGGCTCAGTAGATATTTACCATAAGCCATGAAAGACTCTAAGGAGCCATCACTATTGCTCTGTCGAGTTCACTATTTTCTGTTACAGGAATCACCGAAGACTTGTGTATTTGTAGCTGGGTAGTAATACCTATTCATATCCTTCTCCATTTTTTCTGTTGGTTCATTTTTTTCTCACTGAATTATAAAAACCTCGGCCGGGCGTGGTGGCTCACGCCTGTAATCCCAGCACTCTGGGAGGCCGGGGCGGGCGGATCACGAGGTCAGGAGATCGAGACCATCCTGGCTAACACAGTGAAACCCCGTCTCTACTAAAAATACAAAAAATTAGCCGGGCGCGGTGGCGGGCGCCTGTAGTCCCAGCTACTCGGGAGGCTGAGGCAGGAGAATGGCGTGAACCCGGGAGGCGGAGCTTGCAGTGAGCAGAAATAGCGCCGCTGCACTCCGGCCTGGGTGAAAGAGCAAGACTCCGTCTCAAAAAAAATAAAAACACAAAAAAAACCTCTTTGTATATTTGTTTGTGATTTCCCCTCAATTTATCCTTTATTACTTTATTTATAATATTTTCTTTTTGCCCAGGAAAGGGTTAAGATTTTTACCTAACATAATTTCTAGAATAATTTTTTAAAATGAAACTATAAGCCATGGCATTTTTATAGAATATACTGAAATATATTGACATTTATTTTGTCATGTCAACTAGGAATAATTTTACCAGAGAAAAATGTTTTATATCTGGCTGGGCACGGTGGTTCACGCCTGTAATCCCAGCACTTTGGGAGGTCGAGGAGGGCGAATTATGAGGTCAGGAGTTCAAGACCAGCCTTGCCAATATGGTGAAACCCCATCTCTAATAAAAATACAAAAATTAGCTGGGCATGGTGGCATGCATCTGTAGTCCCAGCTACTCAGGAGGCTGAGGCAGGAGAATCGCTTGAACCTGGGAGGCGGAGGTTGCAGTGAGCTGATATTGCGCCACTGTACTCCAACCTGGGCAGCAGAGCGAGACTCCCATCTCAAAAAAAAAAAAAGTTTTAAACCTGTACATAATTGAGAAAATACGTTATTAAAATATTCAGGAAATATTATTTTGTTATCAGCTTATTGTTTTAATCATTTACTGGTGATGCTCATTTGCAGACAAGATTGGCAGGTATCAAAAAACTTAGAAAATGGAAGAAAAACATCTTGAGAAAATTCTGTCTAGAAACATATTATTCTGTGGATTTGTAAAATATGAATTGCCATTGTAGTATTTTAGTGCAAAACATGTTGGTCCATCTCATGGAAAAATGAGTGTTCCCTATGACCCAGTTTGCAAACCCCTATATAGTATTTCTCAGTTTTGTTCTCACTGTAGGCCCTTCATACAAAAGTTTGAAGAAACATGTGGATAAAAATCTTTCAGTTGCCCGGGCGTGGTGGCTTACACCTGTAATCCAAGCAGTTTGGGAGGCTGAGGTGGGCAAATCACTTGAGGCCAGGAGATTGAGACCAGCCTGGCCAACATGGCAAAACCCCATCTCTACTAAAAATACAAAAATTAGCTGGGCGTGGTGGTGCACTCCTGTAATTCCAGCTACTCAGGAGGCTGAGGCAGGAGAATTACTTGAACCAACCAGGAGGCGGAAGTTACAGTGAGCCGAGGTCGTGCCACTGCACTCCAGCCTGGGTGGCAGAGTGAGACTGTCTCAAAAAAAAAAAAAAATTCAGTTAATTACAAAATATGTCACAAATATTAAAATAATAACAATAAAGCAGAATAAAAAAATTGACCATAAAAATGATAATGGTTTCATATTAGTGGGAGGGTTGATATTGTTTGGAATCATTCACAGAGTGTCTATGTATAGCTTGAAAAAAGCTTAAATTACAGGTTAACACCTCATTGTTTTATTTCCTTTGACTTTACTTCTACTAATTTATTTATTTATTTATTGAGACGGAGTTTTGCTCTTGTTGCCCAGGCTGGAGTGCAATGGCGCCATCTTGGCTCACTGCAACCTCCGCCTCCCGGGTTCAAGCGATTCTCCTGCCTCAGCCTCCTGAGTAGCTGGGATTACAGGCATGTGCTACCATGACTGGCTAATTTTTGTATTTTTAGTAGAGATGGGGTTTCACCATGTTGGCTAGGCTGGTCTCAAACTCCTGACCTCAGGTGATCTGCCCGCCTCGGCCTCCCAAAGTGCTGGGATTACAGGCGTAAGCCTCCACGCCCGGCCTACTTCTACTAATTTTGAGAATACCAAATCACAATGTTAAGTCATGAGAAACTGCAGCAAGCATTGAAGAGCTCCGTCAGATGGTGCTGGCATTTACAGAAATGATGGGCATAGCTCACTGGTGAGTGTGTTCAGTGCTCCATCAGATGCTAAATCAGCCAGCATCACACAGATGTTGTGAAGGAGAAGGATTCCTACTACAGTCTGGCTTCATTCAGCCCTGGAAAGTCATTCTTAACATTTCCAGCATTTGCATATGATGTAAAAATATGCCCAACAACACGTGTTGATTTTATTCTTGAAACAATGAAGAAAACCATCAACTTTTAAGAAAGAGCCAACCCACGACCTGATGTTTGCACAACAGGCCACTCTTCTTATGATGTCCTGATATCCTTTTCTCATATTACAACTTGACAAATTTTGGCTCTGAATGAATACGTAAGACAGTTCATTTGAGATCCATGGAGCAGGCCCAACTGAAATAAGAAAAACTATCTTTACTCTGAACTATTAGTATCATGGAATAATACTTTTTTTGAAAATAAATAGAAGTTTTTATGCTTGAAATAATTCAGAAACAGAATGTTCTGAATTATTAACAGAATGTTAATAAAACAAAAAACATTTTTTGATATCTGCTTAATGAATTCAGTCCCTCATCATCAGTACAAAATAAAAACAATTAAAAACAAATTTCTCTTGATCATGGATTTTTGCAAAAAAGAATTAAAGCTTCTCTGTCTCTCCTGAAATTATATTCCAAATTTTAATAGAGTTACTATTAATACATCAGAAGCTATCTCTTCTTGGGAAACATATCACTTAAACTTTTAGAGCTTAGTTGCTTCTTAATAATTGGAGAATACTTGCTCTGTCTCTCTCATGGTTTGCTTAAAATGAAGGTGAAAGCAATTGTAAACTGCAAAAAGCTACAGAAGTGCTGGTGGTATTAGATGATGATTATTTAATCTTAAAGTCTATTCCCATCCTAGCCACCATTTTAGATATTACCATATTCCATTAATAGTAATGTGCTGGTGAGGTAAAAATACTCCAAGATAAATTAAACAACAAAATCTTTGCAGTGTATGTAAAACCTTTTTTTTTTTTTTTTTTTTTTTTGAGACAGAGTCTCGCTCTGTCACCCAAGCTGGAGTGCAGTGGTACGATCTTGGCTCACTGCAAACTCCACCTCCCAGGTTCAAGTGATTCTCCTGCCTCAGCCTCCTGAGTAGCTGGGACTACAGGCACTCACCACCACGCCCGGCTGATCTTTGTATTTTTAGTAGAGACGGGGTTTCACCATTTTGGCTGGGTTGGTCTCATTTCTGACCTCAAGTGATCCACCCACCTTGGCTTCCCAAAGTACTGGGATTACAGATGTGAGCCACCACGCCTGGCCCGTAGAGCTTTTATAAATGTAGAAAAAGTCATCCTTAATGACTATTAAGGATGTAATATGATGTCTGTGAAAATTAAGATAATTTAATATTCCATTTCAAATTTCTAAGATCTATGTAAACAAAATTATTTGATCACATTTGCCCCTGAAATAGCTGAGCTATCAAACACTGCTTGATAGACCTTTGGAGACCACCTGTGTATATGGACCATTTGTGGGAACACAGCCCCACATGAATGGAATGGAATCTTTCCCCACCATGGGCCAAAATGGAGAAGACCTCTTGACTGCCATGGTTGTAGAACTGCTTAATGAGGTTCTTCCCAGCCTGCCAGTCTATTGCATGGCTACTTCAAGGCTTTTGAGAGTTCCTGGTGCATCTGTCCTTTAAACAGCAATGGATGTCTTGAATCAGAAGTACATCTTATTTAGGCTGGGTGCGGTGGCTCACGCCTGTAATCCCAGCACTTTGGGAGGCTGAGGTGGGTGGATTACCTGATGTCAGAAGTTCAAAACCAGCCTGGTCAACATGGTGAAACCTTGTCTTTACTAAAAACACAAAAAATTAGCTGGGCGTGGTGGCGGGTGCCTGTAATCCCAGCTACTCAGCAGGCTGAGGCAGGAGAATCACTTGAACCTGGGAGGTGGAGTTTGTAGTGAGCCAAGATGGCACCATTGCACTCCAGCCTGGGCAACAAAAGTGAAATTCTGTCTCAAAAAAAAAGTATGTCTTGTTTATAATAATTTTATGGGTGGGAAAAATAAGATGGAAGTCAGAGGGTTTCCCAGGGTCATAGGGCAAGTCATTAAGTGATCACCATTTAAATTTAACTCAGTTCTTACACTTGGGTGTGAGGTGATGTATGCTGGGTGTAGCAAGCCATTCTTCACTTTTTAATTTGACAGAAAACTCACTTTATACATTTATCCTCAATTTTGTTTCTTGATTTAACTCCAGATTTTATCATATGACATTAAAAGCAGACATCCGAATGAAACTTATCTTTGTTTTAACTTCATACGCTACCTGGCTTCAAGCTATACTACCAGGCTACAGTAACCAAAACAGCATGGTACTGGTACCAAAACAGAGATATAGATCAATGGAACAGAACAGAGCCCTCAGAAATAATGCTGCATATCTACAACTATCTGATCTTTGACAAACCTGACAAAAACAAGCAATGGGGAAAGGATTCCCTACTTAATAAATGGTGCTGGGAAAACTGGCGAGCCATATGTAGAAAGCTGAAACTGGATCCGTTCCTTACACCTTATACAAAAATTAATTCAAGATGGATTAAAGACTTAAACGTTAGACCTAAAACCATAAAAACCCTAGAAGAAAACCTAGACATTACCATTCAGGACATAGGCATGGGCAAGGGCTTCATGTCTAAAATACCAAAAGCAATGGCAACAAAAGCCAAAATTGACAAATGAGATCTAATTAAACTAAAGAGCTCCTGCACAGCAAAAGAAACTACCATCAGAGTGAACAGGCAACCTACAAAATGGGAGAAGATTTTCGCATCCTACTCATCTGACAAAGGGCTAATATCCAGAATCTACAATGAACTCAAACTAATTTACAAGAAGAAAACAAACAACCCCATCAAAAAGTGGGTGAAGGATGTGAACAGACACTTCGCAAAAGAAGACATTTATGCAGCCAAAAAACACATGAAAAAATGCTCACCATCACAGGCCATCAGAGAAATGCAAATCAAAACCACAATGAGACACCGTCTCACACCAGTTAGAATGGCAATCATTAAAAAGTCAGGAAACAACAGGTGCTGGAGAGGATGTGGAGAAATAGGAACACTTTTACACTGTTGGTGGGACTGTAAACTAGTTCAACCCTTGTGGAAGTCAGTGTGGCGATTCCTCAGGGATCTAGAACTAGAAATACCATTTGACCCAGCCATCCCATTACTGGCTATATACCCAAAGGACTGTAAATCATGCTGCTATAAAGACACATGCACATGTATGTTTATTGCGGCACTATTCACAATAGCAAAGACTTGGAACCAACCCAAATGTCCAACAATGATAGACTGGATTAAGAAAATGTGACACATATACACCATGGAATACTATGCAGCCATAAAAAATGATGAGTTCATGTCCTTTGTAGGGACATGGATGAAATTGGAAATCATCATTCTCAGTAAACTATTGCAAGAACAAAAAACCAAACACCGCATATTCTCACTCATAGGTGGGAATTGAACAATGAGAACATATGGACACAGGTAGGGGAATATCACACTCTAGGGACTGTTGTGGGGTGGGGGGAGGGGGGAGGGATAGCTTTAGGAGATATACCTAATGCTAAATGACGAGTTAGTGGGTGCAGTGCACCAGCATGGCACATGTATACATATGTAACTAACCTGCACGTTGTGCACATGTACCCTAAAACTTAAAGTATAATAATTAAAAAAAAAAAACCATGGCATGGGAACCTCCCATTAGCATGGCCTTTAGGTTGGAAGGGAAAGGAAGAATCACTTAGCCAAGACTGAACAAAACATCAATCATTTGAAAAGATTGCTTGGCCTCTGATGAACTAGAAAAGAGTTGACTCACTAACCTATATTTCCCTCTGCTTACACTATTAACATGCTTTAGTGACACAGTCTGTTCAGTAATCTGGATCCTTAACATAAAACACTTCACTTGACATTTTTGCTTTTTTAGTTGCGTGTGGGAGGTACATTGTCATAAGCAGATTAGAACAAGGGAGTAGATGTTGAGAGAGAAGTTGAAAGAAAAAAAATTCTGTCTCACAAATGTGGTTCTGATTACATATTCAAGATGAACAATTACAGTTTTGGGGCAATCCTACTTAGGAAAAAGAATACCTAAGAATACTTATCCAAGTGAAAGTATTCTTTGTTCAAATCCTGAATATTTGTTTACCTCCAAGCTAGGTGATTATTTTTACTCTCACTGGTTGGATGTAAAATACTCCCTACTTCTCCTGAAAGGCTAGGGTGGGGATGGGACAGATTCCAAATGAAACCACCAGCTCCTTTCAACTTGACATCAGGATGTACGCTGGGCAAAAATTGTGAAAAAATAAGCTTGTCTTTCTTGCCTTTACTTTAAGAAAATTGTGATTAAATATAACATGAAATTTATCATCTTAACCATTTTGAGTGTACAGTTCAGTAGTGTTAAGTACATTCACATTGTTGTACAATCAATCTCCAGACTCTTTCATCTTGTAAAACTGAAACCCATTAAACAATTCTCCATTTCTCCATCCTTCCAACTACTGGCAACCACCCTTCTAGTTTCTGTGTCTGTAAATTTGACAACTTTAGATACTTCATATAAGTGGTACCTTACAGTGTTTGTCTTTTTGTGACTGGCTCATTTCATTTAGCAGAATGTCCTCAGTGTTCATCCATGTTGTCACATGTGTTAGAATTTCTTCCCTTTTTAAGGCTAAATAATATTCTCTCATATTATGTACCACATTTTGTTTATCCATTCATCTGTTGACGAACACTTGGGTTGCTTCCAGCTCTTGATGTGGGTGTGCAAACATCTGTTTTTTTTTTTTTTTTTTTTTTGAGATGGAGTCTTGCTCTGTCACCCAGGCTGGAGTGCAGTGGCACGATCTAGGCTCACTGGAACCTCCACTTCCCAGGTTCAAATGATTCTCCTGCCTCAGCCTCCTTAGTAGCTGGGACTACAGGCGCACACTACCATGCCCGGCCAATTTTTTGTATTTTTAGTAGAGACGGGGTTTCACCATGTTGGTCAGGCTGGTCTCCAACTTCTGACCTTATGTGATCCACCTGCCTTGGCCTCCCAAAGTGTTGGGATTACAGGCGTGAGCCACTGCACCCAGCTGCAAATATCTCTTTGCGAGCCTGCTTTTGATTATTTTGAGTATATACCTAGATGAGGGATTGCTAGATGATATGGTAATTTTATCTTTAGTGTTTTGAAGAACTGCCATATTGTTTTCCATAACAATGACACAATTTTACATACCCACCAGCAGAGCACAAGGGTTCCAGTTTCTCCATATCCTCACCAACACTTGTTATTTTTTTTCTGTTTTTAATAGTAGACATGCCAATGGGTGTAGGGTGATGTTGTGGTTTTGTTTTGCATTTTTCCATTGATTAGTGATATTGAACATCTTGTCATATGCTTGTTGGCTACTTGTATATAATCTTTGGAGTAATGCCTATTTAGCCTTTATTTTTTTGCACTCTTTATCTCATTGGGCTGCCTCCCTCATCCATATCCCTTCTTAATTATTTATGCCTTATATAGATCCTAAAAGAGGACTTGTGGCAGCTTCCAAGGATATGTATAAGAAGACAAAATAGTTGAGAAAATGGGATAAAAGAAAGCACAGTGAGGAAAATAAGATGAAGCCCAGGGGTAGGGTTAGGGCACAGAGCACATTTCAATAGCCCTCTTAAGTTGCTGTGGCTGCAGGTTCCCTAGCAGCTAGGGCAGAAGGGAAAACATAATAATTTGTTGTAAGGTAAACCCAAAAAGGCTTCTCAGGAGAGCACATCCCTTCCTGCCTCTGTGGCCTGAGAAGTTTTCCCCGCGGGACTGAGTGGGGGTTAGGACTTCAACAGATGAATTTTGGTAGGGGGGCACAATTCAGCCCATAACAGTTATTTTACTAAGAGGGGAGAGGTTGTTAAAATCTCCAACTTTTTTTTTTTTTTTTTGCACAGGTTAGAGTCCAGTGGCATGATCTTGGCTCACCGCAACCTCTGCCTCCCAGGTGCAAGTGATTCTCCTGCCTCAGGCTCCTGAGTCGCTGGGATTACAGGTACACACATACCACCACACCCGGCTAATTTTTGTATATTTAGTAGAGATTGGGTTTCACTCTGTTGGCCAGGCTGGTCTCAAACTTCTGACCTCAAGTGATCCACACATCTTGGCCTCCCAAAGTGTTGGGATTACAGTCGTGAGCCACCGCACCCAGCCAAAATCTCCAACTTTGATTGTGGATTTGTTTCTCTTTCTTTTCAGTTTGGTTGCTTTTGCTTTACATAATTTGAAGCTGTCATATTAAGTGCATACAAATTTAAGATTAAAAAAATCTTCCTGTGGACATTATTCTTTTATCATTAGGTAAGGTTCCTGTTTATCTCTTATTTTCCACTTGGGATATTCATTAGCCCTTTCTAAGGAGCCAACCTGAAGTATTTAGTTTCCCTGATTATGCTGTGCACTCATAAACTTAAAAAAAATCTAATTAGATAATACTTGTGTGGAATTTCTCTATTGTTTG
Organism: Homo sapiens; assembly: GCF_000001405.40. Classification (NCBI taxonomy): domain Eukaryota; kingdom Metazoa; phylum Chordata; class Mammalia; order Primates; family Hominidae; genus Homo; species Homo sapiens. Next base: position 83,585,802 of record NC_000009.12, on the reverse strand, counting down.
GGATTACATTTGTGTGCATGTATCAGAAAACCAAAAAATAACAATAGCTTAGATAAGTTGGAAGTTTATTTCTAACTTGCATAAAGAGCTCTGAAAGTAGAAAGTTCTGTGGATGGTAGTTGCACATAATCATAGGAGACTCACGCTCCTGTCTCTCTGCCTCTCTACATAGCGTTTCTTGGCCCAAGATGGCTGCTTGGAGCTCCAGCCATCAAGTCTGTATTCCAGGCAGCAGGAAGGAAGAAGAGAGGTGAGTATAAGCTCAATGCTGCTTACACTCCATTGGTCAAAATTTAGATGCATAGCCACAGCCAACTCCAAAGGATCCTGGGAAATGCACTCTTTATAGGTAGCAATGTGCCCAGGTAAAAAGCGGGATTCTGTGAATAGAGAGGAAGAAACAATGAATGTCAGATTAGGCAAATAAGAGTTTCTATTACTGCATTATATATAGAGTTTCTTCCAAGACTGCCCCCTTACTGGTTGGGTTCTTTGGATCCTTAAGCCTTTGGTCCTGGCTGCTCGCTTTGCTGCAGGAAGCACCTTGTTCCTCCTGGCTGAGTGGGCTCCATTTCATATGGAATGAGGCTGAGCTCTGGCGGTGGCATCCTGCAGGGCTGCCCTGGAGGTTTCCTGGCTCCCTCACAATCCTGCTGTGTCTTCCAGGCTGCTGCCACCGCCCACAAAGTTTACAACCCAGACATAGCAGGACTCAGGGTTTGCCAGTCTCCCCGAGAGGCTCCAAATGAGAGAAGTGATGTTCCTAAGGTTTTAATGAGGCTCTAGTTTAAGAAACCTCAGACTTAAACGAAAGGTGAATTGAAATGCTTTATTCTTGTTCCCTGCCTCTGTCTTTCATGTCTTTCAAGCCCCTGTGAGGCTTTATTTACTTAATTCAATAATAGAAGTCTATTATAATGAATAGAGCTAACACTGCGTGACACCTCATTTGTCCTATTATCGATCCATTTCACGGATCAGACAGCTGTTGCACAGAGAGATCAAGTCCCACAGCAATGAGTGCAGAATCTGGACTAGAACCCAGGCATTTGGGCTCCTGAGCCTGCCTTATTCCCTGAGAGGAGTGCTGGCTCTTCCTCTTATTGTTTCTCAAGGAGAATTACAAGAGGTGTGGCACAATTTTAAAAGCAAAGTGAAATTTGCTTGAAATCTCATAAGACACAGGTTTCAAGAAACAAAACTTTCTGTCCATGACAAAGTTCTTTATGGAAGAAGATGAGTGGCTGAAAGGGGAGGTGAGAGATGGAGTGACAATACCAACACCCCCTTCGCTGGACTTCCTCACTCTAAAATTAACGGGGATGAAAGAGTGAAGGCTAGGAAGGAGGCTGATTGGATGTGGAGGGAATATAAGAAGTTAAAATGCTCCTGAATGAGACAGGGAAAAGAGGAGTAAGACAAGGAGGAGGAGGAGGAGGAGATAATCGGGGGAGGTTAAGAGACTCATTTTACCTTATTTATTTTATTTTTTTGAGATGGAGTCTTGCTCTGTCACCAGACTGGAGTGCAGTGGTGCGATCTTAGCTCACTGCAGCCTCCATCTCCCAGGTCCCGAGTAGCTGGGACTACAGGTGTGCGCCACCATGCCCAGCTAATTTTTTTGTATTTTTAGTAGAGATGGGGTTTCACCATGTTGGCCAAGATGGTCTCGATCTCTTGACCTCGTGATCCACCCGCCTTGGCCTTCCAAAATGCTGGGATTACAGGCATGAGCCACCACGCCCGGCCAAGAGACTTATTTTAAACAGAGCCTGTGGAGCCAAACACTTGGAAGTCAGGCAGAAGAGGAATCACTATCGAAGGAGGCTGAAGAGGCAAGGCCAGAGAGGCAGGAGGAAAACCAGGATCAGGTGGGTTCAGGGAAGACAAGAAAGAGTTTCCACTGGCTGCAGTGGCTCATGTTTGTAATTTCAGCACTTCAGAGGCAGGAAGATTACCTCAGCCCAGGAGTTTGAGAGCAGCCTGGGCAACATAGTGAGACCCCATCTCTACAAAAAATACAAAAATCAGCTGGCCGTGGTGGCATGCACCTGTAGTCCCAGCTACTTGGGAGGCTGAGGTGGGAGGATTGCTTGAGCCTGGGATGTCGAGGCTGCAGTGAGCCATGATTGGGCCACCACACTCCGGCCTGGGCTACAGAGTGAGACCCTGTCTCAAAAATTTTTTTTTCAACAAGGGATTGTATCTAATGCAAGGGATTATATCTAATTTAGATTATATCTAAAGCAAGATGTAAATTGAAGTGTGTCTGATGGATCTGGTAATGTAATTTTAATTATACTTTGAGTAAAATGGTAAATATGTACTTTCCTTTGGAAAAAATATAATAGAAATGTGGCTAGTACGGTATTGTGAGAAAATGGGGCTGGCAGGGGGAAGGCTTTTGCATTACAAATTGCTGATGGTATTGCTAGAAAGGGCTTCTACCCCTCCCTCTGCTGGCAGGAATGGGACATGTCTGGTTCTATGTTGAGGGGAATCAAGTGTGAGTAGCGAGATGTTCTTAACACTGAAGTTTTCCAAAATGAAATGTAGTCAGCATGTTATTTTTTTGAAGCAACTTAAATTTTTACCAGGACAAATTTTTGTGCAGAAAAGCCAGTAAAAATAAGAAATAATAGTTTCTCTAAAGCGAATTCTCAAAAATAGAAGAGATTGGAAAGCTATGGAATAATTTGGGATGGAAAATATTACTCTTGGCTCTGGAAATGAGTTGTAAGTCATGGTTGGTGAAGATCTTAAATATCATCTGGAGAGGACTTGTGTTTAGTGGAATAAGTTCAGTTTTTAAAACATTGATTCATTATGAGTGAGACGTGCTCCATGTTCAAGAGGCTATAGGCTTATCGATCCCAAATTGCAACGTCTCTTACAACTTGAAACTGATTATCTGGATCTGTTTGAAAAATTTCCCCAGGTGCTTCATTAATTGTACCTGATCTCAAATCTAGGCCAAAAATGGTACTTCAATTTGAGAACAGAGTCACTGACACCATAAATAATGTTTGGGAACCTCTCCAAATGCTAATTCCAGGGCTTTGAAGTAAAAATATAGCATCTCACCAATATTTCATTTTTCTTCTAAATTTGCATTAAACTTATTACCAAGGACATACAAAGTGAGTAACTTTTTGTTATGTTTTTGCTTGTTTAGGTTAACAGATTCTGCTATGGAGAGTTTTATACCTCATCCAAGATTGTAGTTAGAGCACACTGTTGTATGTGCAAGTTGGTGATTTGAAATTATTCCAATATAATGGGAGTTACTACCTTTTCTTACCCCAAGAATTTAAAATAAAAAGACCACTCTTTATTAAATTATCCACAGTAAAACAGATACTAGGTTCCCTAATAAATCAAGTTTAAGAGCAAATATACTCTAAATCCTTTTAAACTAAATAGTATCACTTTAATGAACTAAATTTAAGAATTGGAAGTTCTCTTGAAAATCCACTGAATATCTTTTCACTAAACCTGGAATTCTTCCAATTGCAACATTTTCTGATCTGGGTATTTCTCAAGACTTGATTAAGATATTGCTTTTCGGCTGGATGCAGTGACTCATACCTGCAATCCCAGGGCTTTGGGAGGTTGAGGTGGGAGGATCACTTGAGCCCAGGAGTTCCAGTCTTTATGGGCTATGATTGTGCCACTGTACTCCAGCTGGGGTGACAGAGTGAGATCCTGTCTCTAAAGAAAAAAAAAGAGATTACTTTTTATTACTTATGACAACCTTTTGAGGTATAATTCTTATATCATACAATTAACAGTGTATAATTCAATGGTTTTAGTATATTCACAGAGTTACGCAAGCATCGCTGCCATCAAGTTTAGAACATTTTCATCATTCTAACATGAAACCATGTACCCATCACTCCCCATTTCTCCCCAACCACTCTGCCGGCTATTTTGGACATTTCACATAAAAGAATTCATACACTATGTGGTCTTTTGGGATTAATTTCTTTCACTTAGCATAACTACACACTTCATTTTTTTATTGCAAAATAATATGCTATTGTATGAATATGCCACATTTTATTTATTCATTAATCCGCTGACGAACATTTGGGTTGTTTCCACTTTTTGTGTGTGGCTATTTTGAATGCTTCTATGAACATTTGTATACAAATTTTTGTGTGGACATACATTTTTGCTTTTGTTGGACATATACCTAGGAATGGAATTATTGAATCATATGGTAAGTCTGTGTTTAACCTTTTGGGGAAGTGCCACACATTTTCTCAAAGCAGCCACACCATTTTACATTCCCATCAACAGTGTATTAGGGTTCCAATCACTCCACATCCTTGACAATACTTGTTATTATCTGCCTGATTATAGCCTTCCCAGTGGATGTGAAGTGGATCTTGTGGTTTTGATTTGCATTTCCTCAATGATTACGGAAGTTGAGCATCTCTTCATGTGCTTATTGGTCATTTGTGTATCTTTGGAGGACTGTCTATTCAAATCCTTTGCCTGTTTTAAAACTGGGTTGCCCTTTTATTATTGAGTTGTAAGAGTTCTTTATATACTTGGTATACAATTTCCTTAACGGGGTGTAATTTGCAAATATTTTCTCCCATTCTGTGGGTTTTTTTCACTTTTTGGATGGTGTTCACTGAAGCACAAAAGTTAAATTGTTTTAGCATTTTAAAATTTATTTTATTTATTTAACATTTCATCTTTAAAAAGTAAACCTTTAATATGAAAATTTTCAAACAAACATGAGACAATATAATGAATCTCCTTGTTTTTAGCACCCAGCCTCAACAATTTGCTGTTCTTGTTTGATCTAGCCTCCCTCTCCACAACACTTTTATTTTCCATTATGCTTTGTTTTCTTCTGAAGTTTTTTTCATTTAAAAAAATTAGTATTATTTTTAATTGACAAATCATAACTGTATACATTCATGGGGTACATTGTGGTATTTTGATATATGTATATAATGTGAAATGATTAAATCAAACTAGTTAACATAACCATCACCTTACTTGATATTTTTTGTGGCAATACATTTGAGATTTCTTCCCTTGGTTATTTTGAAGTATACGTTATTGACTGTAGTCACTCTTCTGTGTAGTAGATCTCAAAACTTATTGTTCCTGTCTAGCTGAAACTTTGTACCCTTTGGCCAATAATTCCCCGTTCATTCTCTTGATCCCCATACTCCCAGGTTCTGGTGCCATCATTCTGCTTTCTACTGCTATGAATTCAACTTTTTAAAGATTCCATATATAAGTGAGATCACGAGGTACGTGTTTTTCTGTGCCTGGCTTATTTCACTTAGTATACTGTCCTCCAGATTTATCCATGTTGTTTCAAGTGACAGAATTGCCTTCTTTTTACAGACTGAATAGTATTCCATTGTCTGGACATACATTATCTTTATTCATTTATCTGTTAGTGAACACAGGTTGATTCCTTATCTTGGCTATTGGGAGTATGGGAGTACAGATATCCTTTTGATACAATGATTTCAATTCCTTTGAATATGTTCCCAGAAATGAGAGTACCGGATTGTACAGAGTTCTACTTTTACTTTTTTGAGCAACCTACACACAATTTTTTCATGATGGCTATACCAATTTACATTTCCACCAACAGCATACATGGGTTCCCTTTTCTCAGCATCCTCACCAACACTTGTTATCTTTTCTCTTTTTGATAAAAGCCATTCTAACAAGGGTGGCATGATATCTCATTATGGTTTTAATTTTTATTTCCCTGATAATTAGTGACATTGGGCATTTTCTTCATGGCCCTGTTGGCCATTCGTATGTCTTCTTTTGAGAAGGGCCTATTCAGATTCTTTACCTATTTTTAAATTGGGCTATTTGTTTTTCTTACTATTGAGAAATTCACTATTTGAGTTTCTTATATATTTTAAATATTAAGCTTTATCAGGTATATAGTTGCATAGTTGCAAAGATGTCTCTTCACCTTGTTAATTGTTTCTTTTGCTGTGTCAAAGCTTTTTAGTTTGATACAATTACATTTGTCTATTTTTGCCTTTGTGGCCTGAGCTTTCAGGGCCATATCCAAAAAACCATTGCGCCCAGGCTAATGTTGTGGAGATTTCTGCCTATGCTTTTGTCTAGTAGTTTTACAGTTCCAGGTTTTATGTTTAAGTCTTTAATTCATTTTGAGTTGTTTTTGGTTCATGGTGTCAGATAAGTTTCTAATTTTATTCTTTTGCATGTGGATATCTAGTTTTCCCAGCACCATTTGTTGAAGAGGTCATCCTTTCTCCATTGTGTGTTCTTGGAACCTTTGTCAAAAATCAATTGACTGTATATGTGTGGGTTTATTTACAGTCTTTCTATTCTCTTCCGTTGGTTGATGTGTCTGTTTTTATGCCATTACCATGCTGTTTTGATTACAATAGCTTTATAACATACTATGAAATCAGGGAGTGTGATGTCTCCAGCTTTGTTCTTTTGTAGTTCCACATGAATTTAAGGATTTTTTTTTTTTTTACATTTCTCTGAAAGCTGACATTGGAATTTTCATAGAGATTACATTGAATCTATAGACAATTTTGGGTAGTATAGGCATTTTAAACAATATTAATTCTTTAGCTTCATGAACATGGAATATCTTTCATTTGTTTGTGTTTCCTCCTATTATTTCATCAGTGATTTGTAGTTTCCAGTACAGAGGTCTTTCATCTCCTTGGTTAAATTTACCCCTAAGGTTTAAATTTTTTTCTTGTTACTATTGTAAATGTAATTGTTTCCTTTTTGAATAGTTTGTTATTAGTGTTTAGAAATGCTACTAATTTTCATATGTTGTTTTTGTATCCTGCAACTTTACTAAATCTGTTTATCAGGTCTAGCAGTTTTTTGGTGGAATCTTTGGGATTTTCTATATATATGATCATGTCATCAGCAAACAGAGAAAATTTTACTTTTTTCTTTTCTATTTGGATGCCTTTTATTTCTTTCTCTTGCCTAATTGCTCTGGCTAGGACTTCCAGTATTATGTTGAAAAGAAATGATGAGAGTGGGCATCCCTGTGTTGTCCCTGAACTCAGAGGAAAATCTTTCAATTTTTTACTGTTGAGTACTATGTTAGCTATGTGACCTTTATTGTGTTGAAGTCCATTTCTTCTGTACCTAATCTGTTAAGAGTTCTGTTTTTTTACCATGAAAGAGTGTTGAATTTTATCAAATGATTTTTCTGCATTTATTGAGATGATCAGATGATTTTTATACTTCATTTTGTAAATGTGGTATATCACATTTATAGATTTGTGTATATTGAACCATCCTTGCATCCCTGGGATAAATCTCACTTGGTCATGGTGAATGATTGTTTTGATATGTGATTGAATTTCCTAGTATTTTGTTGAGGATTTTTCCATCTATGTTCATCAGGGATATTGACCTATAGTTTTTTTCTCTTGTACTATCCTTGTCTGACGTTGGTATCTGGGTAATGCTGGCCTCATAAAATGAATTTCGAAGTGTTCCCTCCAGTTCAATTTTATAGAAGCATTTGAGAAGGATTAGTATTAGTTCTTCTTTAAATGTTTGGTAGAATTTAGCTGTGAAGCCATTTGGTCCTGGGCTTTTCTTTGATGAGGTAATTTTTTATTACGGATTCAGCTCCTTACTCATTATTGGTCTGTTCAGATTTTTTTTTTATTTCTTCATAGTTCAATGTTGGCAGGCCGTTTGTGTCTAGAAATTTATCTATTTCTTCTAGATTATCCAATTTGTTAGCATATGAGTGTTCACAGTAATTTTCTTTGATCCTTTGCATTTCTTTGCTATCTGTTGTAATGTTTCCTCTTTCATTTCTAATTTTATTTATTTTAATCTTCTCTCTTTTTTTCCTAGTTAGCCTAAGAGTTTGTCAATTTTATCTTTTAAAAATGCAACTCTTATTGTCATTAATTTTTTTGTCTATTATTTTCTGGTCTCCATTTATTTCTGCTCTGATCTTTGTTATTTCCTTCCTTCAGCCCAATTTGGACTCAGTTTGTTCTTCTTTTTCTAGTTGCTTGAAGATTGTTTATTTGAGATCTCTCTTCTTGTTTGGTATAGGCGTTTGTTGCTATAAAAACAATAAAGTCCAGTTCTTTTCCCCCTTTGTTGCTTGTGCTTTTTGTGTCATATCCAAGAAGGCTTTGTCTAACCCAAGATCACAGAGATTTCTACCTATGTTTTCTCCGAAGAGTTTTATAGTTTTAACTTTTGCATTTAGGTCTATGATCCACTTGGAGTGTTTGTATATATGGTGAGGAATGGGTCCAACTTTATTTTTGTGTAGATAGATATCCAGTGGTCACAGCACTGTTAGTTAAAAAGACCATTCTTTCCCTCATCGAATTGTCTTGACGTTCTGTTGAAATCAGTTGACCATAAATGTGAAGGTTTATATGTGAACTTTGATTCTATTCTATGGATCTACATGTCTATTCTTATGCCAGTACCTACACTGTCTTATTTACTATTGCTTTTATGAAATTGGAAAGTGTGCATCCTACAACTTTATTTGTAAGATGATTTTGGCTGCTCTGGGTCCTTTATATTTCCATATGTATTTTAGAATTTTGCCAGTTTCTGGAAAAAAAAAGTCAGCTGGGCTTTTGATAGGGATTGTACTCAATCTATAGATCAATTTGAGGGTATTGCCATCTTAATAATATTCTTCCAATATATCAACATGGGATAATATGTCTTTCTATTTATTTAGGCTTTTAATTTCTTTTAGCAATGTTTTTTACTTTTAAGAATTTGTAGTTGTTTTAAAAAGAAGTATTTTATTTTTTGATACTATTGTGAATGAAACTGTGTTCTTAAATGTTTAGATTTTCATTCCTAGCATAGAGAAATACAATCGATAGTGCATATTTTGTATATTAAGCTGGCAACCTTGCTGAACTTGTTGATTAGTTCTAATAGATTTTTTAGTGGATTCATTAGGATTTTCTGTATATAAAATCATGTCAAAATAGAGGTAGTTTTATTTCCTTATTTCCAATCTGGGTGCCCTTTATTATTTTTTTCTTGCCCAATTACCTTGGCTATAAACTCCTGTACAATGTTAAATAGAAGTGGTAAGAATGGACATCCTTATCTTATTATTGATCATGGGGGAGAGTATTTAATCTTTTACTATTAAGATGGACACATAGAGGGGAATAACATACACTTGGGCCTGTTGGAGGATAAAGGGTTGGAGGAGGGAGAGGATCAGGAAAAATAACTCGTGGGTAGTAGGCTTAATACCTGGGTGATGAATTAATATGTACAACAAACACCATGACACAAGTTTACCTGTATAACATACCTGCACATGTACACTTGAACTTAAATAAAAGTTAACAAAAAGTATGATGTTAGCTGTGGGCTTTCTTGTAGATACTTTTTATTAGGTGAAGGAAGTTCCCTTTTGTTCCTGGTTTCCTGAGTAGTTTTACCATGGTAAAATGTAGAGTTCGACAATTTTTTTTTTTGCAACTATTGAGATGATCATATGGTTTTGTCTTTTATTATGTTGATGTGGTATATTACATTAACTGATTTTTGGCTACAAAACCAATCTTGCCCTCCTGGGATTAATTCTACTTGGCCATGGTGATTAATCCTTGTGTATGTTGTTGGATTTGTTTGCTAGTATTTCGTTCAGGATTTTTTTGTCTATAACTGTAAGAGGTATTGATCTGTAATTTTCTTTTCTTATGATGTCTTTGTCTGGCTTTTAGAAAATTTTTTATTTTTTTTTTGTAGAGATGAGGTCTTGCTATATTGCCCAAACTCCTGGCTTCGAGTGATCCTCCCGCCTTGGCCTTCCAAAGCACTGAGATTATAGGCATGAGCCAATGTGCCTGGCTTGTCTGGCTTTGATATCAGGGTAATGCTGGCCCAATAGAATTAGTTGAAAAGAATTCCCTACTTTTCTATTTTCTAGAAGAGTATGTGAAAAATTGGTATTAATTCTTCCTTAAACATTTGAAGGAATTCATCAACGAAGCTATCTGAGCCTGTACTTTTCCTCGTCGGAAGTTTAAAAGCTAGTAATTCAATCTCTTTATTTGTTATAGGTTTATTCAGATTTGTCTATTTCTTCTTTAGTCAGTTTCAGTAGTTCACATCTTTTTAGGAATTTATTTGACCTAAGTTATCCAATTCACTGGCATACAGTTTTGTGTGTTTATTGAACAAGTATATCCCCTCTTAATATGAGAACTCTCCCACCTCCATTCTCCATAGTTTATAGTGGGAGAATTCCCTAGTCACATTTATAAGGAGTGAGCTGGGCTTCCTAACTACCATTGATTGATCCATCTGACCAACTGGGGGTTGAGAAAGAGCTGCTTTTCCTCCAGTCACATGGGCCAGTAACCCATTAACTCAGAAGCTCTCAGAAGCCACATTTGACATCATGTTGCCTGAAAAATAGAGAAAACCATTCTGCAGCAAGAGGTATCAGTGAAGCTGACTGGAAGAGTACATATGGGAGGCAGAGGTTTGATTAGGACTAAACCCCTCGTTCTAGTTCATTATCGAAATTGGGTTTCATTCCTGCTAATAGTTTCACTCTCTCGCAGCCTTCTTTTTTTTCCCTTAAGTTCTTTGAGAGGATGTCTTTCAAATACAACTAATAGAATCTTGACTAATAGAGAGCTTGGTCCTAGGGAGCAGGCATTGTGAGTAACAGAACTTAAGGGATGATTTCAACTTGAGGCAGCAAGGCTGCATTCTGTGTTTTCAGGGTGATGTTGCAGTCAGTGGCGAGCTTCAGTCCCAGGAGCCTGGATGAAAGTAGACACAGAACGAGAGATCAAGGATGCAACAAGGAAGAAACATCTTCCCTGTTAGTACCCAGTGAACTGAGACTGGGCTAGAAAATCACATCTGGTAAGTAATAACAGCTGGACTCTCTGTTATTCCCCATCTCTAAAACTAAGATTGAGGTTTTTATGGGGAAGTTGGAGAATCAACAATTAGAAAGGAAAATCTTAGAGGTCCTGGGTTTCCTGATACCCCTTTTTCTAGGTCCTCTGTTGGACTAAGGGATGCAGCTTCCTGGACCAAAATAGAGCCTTAGGTACAGAGACAATCAGCCAGTGTAATCTGAGAGAAAGCCACCTTGCTAACCTACCCCACATTCTATTAATAGTTTCCCACGTGTGGCCCCAAACCAAGGTCCTTAAATAGATACAAAGAAGGTGAGAAAATTCCTCAGTGTTTCTGCTAAGAAACAAGCTGCATGGTCATGGCCTTGTCCCTGGAGTACCATTTAGCAGACCTAGGACTTTAAAGGTGATGAAAAGATTTGTGTCATGGAGTACTATTAAATGGAGTTCTTCTCGAATGGAACTTATCAGTGACCCATGAAATACACCAGTAATTTAATGTAGTTTATTATCTCTAATAAAAAGAGTAAAATATGTATTTTTGGCTAGTGCCCATTTGGATTTTTTTTGGTAGTTATTTTGTTTTTCCTCCACATTTGTATATAGGGTAGAAGTTGGTTACATTGATCACACTTATCATTTTGTTTGCCAGTTGTAAAATCAGAAAGGGTCATACCTGGAGCAGATGGAAATTACACTAAAGAAATAATGGACATCACCTGAAGATCCTGAATGGAGAGCAGTGGTTCTGTGAAATCTCCTTTGGGTGCAGTAGCTGGGTGTGGCTTTGCCACTAGGGAGAAGATGGTTGTGTTACATAAAGTAAGGTCATATTTGGAATTTCATGTGTAGCGGAAGAGGGTGTATATATGTTGAGTAGAAAAGAGAAGGAATGTATACTTATTGGGGTAATAGCCTTGCTATTTTTTAGAATAGCCTCCTTGTTTTTTAATCACACGCTTACAGTGGTGGAACTCTCAGCAGCCATGTTTTGAAAACAACACAGCCCTTTTGTCACTTTTGATTGACCCAAACTTGACCAAAATCCCTTTCTTGGACGCTTTTACTATTTCATCAGTTTAGTAATGGATGTCTGACTCAAGCTGGGAATGCTATGGGTGGCAAGGTGGGGGGTCAGGGGGAGGAGAGAGAGAGAGAGAGAGAGAGAGAGAATCGTTCTTTTCCTAATTACTGGACCAGTAACAAGTAAAGGTATTCAAGGTCATCATTTTTTGCCATATGGACTGAGGAGGAGAGGAAGCTGGATGCAGCAAGAGAGAGGAATGAAGGCAACACTCACAGAAGAGTAGAGATGAGAGGCAGAGAGACTAGTTGTGTTCAGGTCTCTGCTTCCAGCTTGCTCCTGGGGTCCCACTATTTCTTGCCATTAGGTTTTTGCGATCCAGTCCTTACAATCAGGTGTCCTGCTTTGCTTAACTTAATTTTAGTAAGATTCTTACTTATAACCAAAAGAATATAACTAATGTAGTCTGTTAAAGACACTAAAATCCTGTTTGCCACATTTATGGTAAAATTTTTAGTATAATGATTTGTTATATAAACAAAAACATGGCAATATCATTCTTAGCCTATAGGCTTTTTAAGTGAAAAAGAAAACTATAATTTCTCCTCCTTCTCCACCATCTTCTTCCCATCTTCCTCTTTCTTCTTTTCTGAATCTTCTTCCTTTTTTTTGGTGCTCTTGGAGCCTAGAACAATGATGGGCATTAATAGATGCTCAATTAATGTTTATTGACCTAAACTGAACATAAATAAATAGGAAAATAAGAAAGAAATTCCTCCACAATCTCACCACTACATGAATAAAACTCTTTTCAGTCATCCCTGTACTTACCATTGTCCACATTCTTCCGTCATTTTTATTTTTCTGCAATCCCAGGATAGACCCAGTTTTGATTCCTACCTTTGTTCAATAACACTGTATTATAAATACATTTCCATGATGGTCACAGCCTTTAAAATTGCAATTATTATTGTTGCTTCAATAACAGGAAAAGATAAATGTAGAAAGTATTTTTTATTGAATATTTCATAAGGCCAAACAGAAATGGAAAGTGCTTTCATTATAGTCAACAAGCCAAATCTCTGGCTTTTCTCTTGCTTCATTGCCTTTCCCTGAGAAACCACATCCTGCACAAATCCAACTCTGCTCTTACTCCACGCCTGTTCCCGTGCTGCTGAACCAGGCTGGAAGAAAAACACAGCCACACATGCCTGTCTCACTTTCACTTCCTGACCACTCACCCCAAGAAGGCTCATAATGCTGCGTAGCAATCATTCTATATTTCTCTAATCTATTTACTCTCCCTTCTCTTAGGCGATTCTTTGCATTCTTTAACCTCCAAACTCTGACGCTGCCTCCTCCAGCCTCTCTCTCAGGGGATAACTACATATTCTTTCACTGAGAAATGAGAGACAATGAAAAGAGACTTCACAAGGCCCCGGTGCCACCTCTCATCTACCTCCATTTGTTCTGATATACTCTACTTTCCCTCTAGTTATTAAGAATGAATTGAACATGCTGCCCTTTCAGGCCTGTCCTTTCTCGGCACTGATTCTATCCTCTCACCAGCTCAAGGATTTTCCTCCAGCAATTCCCTACCATTTCCACTATCCCCATCTCTTGAAACAGTATTCTTTTCCTCTTTACTTGACTCTTCTCATTAGACTACAAATGTGCTGTTACCACTTGCCTACACACACACACATGCGCATGCACACACACACACACACACACACACCTCAAAAAACTTCACCATCTATCTATTGCTCCATTTCTTGTCTTCCTTGTCAAGCAAAATTCTGTGAGTCTAGTGGTTCTCAAAGTGTGGTATAAGTACCAGCAGCATTAGCATCATCTGGGAGCTTGTAAGAAATACATATTCTTGGGCCTTACTCCAAATTTACTGAATCAAAAATTCTGGGTGTGGGCCCAGCAATCTGTGCTTTAACAAGCCTGCAGGTGATTGTGATCTATACTGAATGTTGGGAACCACTGTTTACGTATAGTTGTTGACTCCAATTTCTCTTCTCTCATTCTCTTTGAAACACACTCCAGCCAAGCTTTAGGTTCCCCTGTTTCACAGAAATTCCTCTGTCAAGGTCAAGAATGATCTTCATTGGTGGGACCAGGTTTCTCATTGTCAGAGAGTAAAGTTACAGATGAGCAAGACAGGAAGGCTAGAATGAACTCTGTGGTACTGGGTTAAGGTCAGAGATGTCAGTGTGGACTTATGTTTAGCTGAATATATAATTTCTGTCTTAGCTAGATGTCTCCCTTGGCCCCAGCCTTGTGTACCCAACCGTCTACTTGAAATCTCAATTCAGATGTCAACACGCAACTAAAATTTAACCTGACTAAAACAAAGCTACTGGTATCTCCTTCACAGGCTTGCTCTTCCTGCAGTCGTCACTATTTTCATGAATGGCAATTGCATCCTTTTGGTTGCTCAAGTCAAAAACCTTGGAAGTCTATCTTAGTCTGTTTTGTGTTGCTAAAACAGAATACCAGAGACTCCGTAATTTATAAAGAAAAGATGCTAATTTGGCTTATGACTCTGGTGGCTGGGTGGTTCAAGATTGGGCAGCTGCCTCTGGTGAAGGCCTCTTGTTGCTTCTACTCATGGTGGAAAGTAGAAGGGGAGTGAAGAGGAGTGAAGTTTGCAAAGAGATCACATTGGGAGAGGGGAAGCAAGAGAAACCAAGGAAGCCAGACTCTTTTTAAGAACCTTTTTTTGCAGGAATGAATCCATTCCTGAGAGAGCAAGTGCTCACCTCCATGGGAGAACATTAATCTGTCCATGAAGGAATCCCCCCCAGCCTCAATGACTCAAAGACCTCCCACTAGTCCATATGACTTACATTGCCACATTGGGAATCAAATTTCAGCATGAGTTTGTGCAGGGACAGACTAAATCCAAAACATAGCAGAGTCATTTTTGACTTTTCTTTTACCTTATGTGCAGTCTTTTCAGTCCTACTTTCAAAATATACTCCGAACCCAGTCACTCCTCACCACCTCCTTTGCTACCCAGGTCCAAACCACCATCATTTCTTGCCTAGATTACGGAAGCCGATTCCTAACTGGTCTCCCTGCTTCTGCCCTTGCCTCTCTTCATGTGTTCTCAACACAGCAGCAAGTGTTCCTGTCAGTTTGTAAGTCAGATCATGCCAAAATCTGCTCAGAATTCTTTATTGAGTTCTCAATACTCTCAGAGTTAAAGTCAAATCCTTTCCATTGCTAACTGGTCCCTGTGTGATCTATTCACTTTGCAATGCTGTCTGACTTGAAATCCTGCTACTTTCGGTCTCCAGTCCAGCTACTAAGACCTCATGGCTGTTCTTCAACAATCCAAGCATATGACTCCCTGAGGATCTTTGTACTCATTGCATTATTTGCTGAGAACACTAAGTGTGTGATAATTTGTTATGCAACAGTAGAAAACCAATGCAGATTAAATCACATGAAATTGCCAGTAGTTCAAAAGTAATATATGACCTCCAAGATGGCAATTTCTTGTGATTCTATGTAATGAATTGCAACAGTCATCTTTACTCCCAACACCCCCTTTTCCTTTCCCTGCTTATTTCCCCTCAGATAATTGGATCACCATCTAGTTTACTATTTTTCTTATGTATTCTGGTTATAAGTTGTTTCTTCCCACAGCAAGGTAATCAGATACCTCTATCTGCTTTGTTCATGCTGTTGTCCCAGTGCCTAGAGGAGTGCCTGACATACAGTAGATACTTAGTAAATGTTTGTCAAATGTTGCATGAGTGAATGAAGGTAAGCGGAGGAGATGGGAATTTGAGCAACATGAACCACTTTGTTGGACAAAAACTCAAACTGAAAATCTGATGGGAACTTGAAAAAGCCAGGAGCTCTGTATTCATCCTTAAACTTTGGAGTTTCCAGAATCCGACATTCTGGAGAATTTCAGTTTCTGTGCTGAAATGCCTTCAATTCAACACAAAACAACTAAAATAGAAAAATACAAAGTTCTCAGAGTAGGAATTCTGGGAAATACAATTGAAGCTGAGGTTTGGGTGGGGACACAGCCAAACCATGTCAAGGAGTATGTAGAAATATGCTGAAGTATATATTAAATTAAGTGGCGAAATCAAAATAATACCCATATTAAAATTGTAGCCGTTTTGAAAACACGTATCAAGTACTACTTGGCTTTCAAAAGAGACAAATCTTATCATCTGCAACAGCATGGATGAAACTGGAAGATATTATGCCTGGCCTCAGAAGGCCAGGTCAAAAAGTCTAGCAGCTAAATTTAGAGAGCTAGAAATGGAAACAGCAGCAATCAAATGGCTACTTTCCTTCCTCAATTTGAGGTCAATGGCAGGATGGAGGAAGGAAACTGCAGCTTCTGAGAACAGGCTGAGCACTGGGTGGCAAGTCCCCGTTTCTGTGGGCAGCATGCTCTCAGCCTCAGCTCCTGGGCCAGGCAGACGCCTGTGGGTGGGCTGGGACACTTTAGATTGGGTTGGGGAGAGTCTATTTATCAAAAATGAGATCCATCTGCAAGAGGAGGGATCTCTTCCAATGTTATTGAAGTTTTCCAGTCCATCTAAGGTAAATTTTCTTCCTTAAGTAGATGGTATGCATTTTTAAAACATGGCATTAAGTATCTACATGTTTTCTTTAGCAGAGTATCGTACCTGAGCACAGATATCTTCTTAGTCTACCTTCAGAAAGTCTCTGGAGCATTCAGGCTAGAATTTAATATCCTTCGTGCCCATATTCTCCTTTTTTAAATAGCTTATTATCTTTGCAAAGAAAAGTTTATCTAGACTGCTGCAGGAAATTGAAGGGTTAATCCTATCCCTTACTCATATTGGCTATTGAAATCATTTCCCAATATTGTGTCCAATTATTACCTCTATGTATGTATGTATGTATGTATGTATGTATGTATGTATCTATCTATCTATCTATCTATCTATCTATCTATCTATCTTTTCTAACAAGTTGTAGTTATTCACATTTATGGAGTATAATGTGATATTTTGATATAGATCAATGTGGCATGATCTATTTAAGCTAATTAACTTATCCATCATCTGACTTACCTATCATTTTTTACACTGAGACATCTGAAATTTACTCTTACTTATTATTAAATATATAGTACATTATTTTGACTATAGTAATCTTAATTGCAGTAAACCTAGTCCTCCTGTCTGTCTGAAACTTTATACCTTTTGATCAGTAATTCTCCATTCCCTTCTTCTCCACCCCACAGCGTCTGGTGACCATTGTTCTACTCTCTAATTCTTTGAGTTCACCTTCTTTTAGATTCCACACATGAGTAAGATCAGGCAGTATTTGTCTTTCTGTGCCTGGCATATTTCACTCAGCATAATATCTTCCAGATTCATCCATGTTGTTGCAAATGACAAGATTTCTCTCTTTTTAAAGGCAAAGTGGTACTTGATATGTGTTTTAAAAATATCTACAATTTTAATATAGATATTATTTTGATCTCCCCAATTAATTTAATACATAATTTGTCATATTTCTACATACTCCTTGAAATGGTTTGTCTGTGTCCCCACCTAAATCTCTACTTGAATTGTATCTCCCAGAATTCCCACGTGTTGTGGGAGAGACCCAGGGGGAGGTAATTGAATCCTGGGTGCCAATCTTTCCCCTGCTGTTCTCGTGATAGTGAATAAGTCTCATGAGATCTGGTGGGTTTATCAGGGGTTTCTGCTTTTGCTTCATCCCCATTTTCACTTGCTGCTGCCATGTAAGAAATGCCTTTCATCTCCTACCATGATTCTGAGGCCTCCCTAGCCATGTGGAACTGTAAGTCCAATTAAATCTCTTATTCTTCTCAGTCTCAGATATGTCTTTATCAGCAGCGTGAATTTGGACTAATACAGTGAATTGGTACCAGTAGAGTGGGGCATTACTGAAAAGATACCTGAAAATGTGGAAGTGACTTTGGAACTGGGTAACAGGCAGAGGCTGAAACAGTTTGGAGGGCTCAGAAGAAGACAGGAAAATGTGGGAAAGTTTGGAACCTCCTAGAGATTTGTTGAATGGCTTTGACAAAAATGCTGATAGTGATATGAACAATAAGGTCCAGGCTGAGGTGGTCTCATATAGAGATGAGGAACTTGTTGGGAATTGGAGCAAAAGTGACTCTTGTTATGTTTTAGCAAAGAGGCTGGCTGCATTTTGCCCCTGCCCTAGAGATTTTGGGACTTTGATCTTGAGAGAGATGATTTAGGGTATCTGGCAGAAGAAATTTCTAAGCAACAAAGCATTCAAAAGGTGACTTGGGTGCTGTTAAAAGCATACCATTTTAAAAGAGAAACAGAGCATAAAAGTTGGAAAATTTGTAGCCCGATGATGCCGTAGAAAAGAAAAACCCATTTTTTGAGGAGAAATTCAAACCAGTTGCAGAAATTTGCATAAGTAGCAAGCAGCCTAATGTTAATCCCCAAGACCATGGGGAAAATGTCTTTGGGCCATGTCAGAGAACTTCACGGCAGTCCCTCCCAGCACAGGCCCAGAGGCCTAGGAGGAAAAAGTGGTTTTGTAGGCCAGGCCCAGAGTCCCAGCCTAGGGACTTGGTGCAGCCTAGGGACTTGGTGCCCTGTGTCCCAGCTGCTCCAGCTGTGGCTGAAAGGGGCCAACATTTAGCTCTGACCGTGGCTTCAGAGGGTGGAAGCCCCAAGCCTTGGCAGCTTCCACGTGGTGTTGAGCCTGTGGGTGCACAGAAGTCAGGAACTGAGGTTTGGGAACCTCTGCCTAGATTTCAGAAGATGTATGGAAATGTCTGGATGCCCAGGCAAAAGTTTGCTGCAGGGGCAGGGCCCTCATGGAGAACCTCTGCTAGGGCAGTGTGGAAGGGGAATGTGGGGTTGGAGCCCTCACACAGAGTCCCTACTGGGGCACTGCCTAGTGGAACTGTGAAAAGAGGGCCACCGTCCTCCAGACCCCAGAATGGTAGATCCACCAACAGCTTGCACTGTGTGCCTGGAAAAGCCTCAGACACTCAATGCCAGCCCGTGAGAGCAGCCGGGTGGGAGGCTGTACCCTGCAAAGCCACAGGGGCGGAGCTGCCCAAGACCATGGGAACCCACTTCTTGCATCAGTGTGACCTGTATTTGAGACCTGGAGTCAAAGGAGATCATTTCGGAGCTTTAAAATTTGACCACCCCACTGGATTTTGGACTTGCTTGGGCCCTGTAGCCCTTTTGTTTTGGCCAATTTCTCTTATTTGGAATGGCTGTATTTACCCAATACTGTACCCCCATTGTATCTAGGAAGTAACTATGTTGCTTTTGATTTTACAGGCTCATAGGTGGAAGGGTCTTACTTTGTCTCAGATGAGACTTTGGACTATGGACTTCTGGGTTAATGCTGAAATGAGTTAAGACTTTGGGGGACTGTTGGGAAGGCATGACTGGTTTTGAAATATGAGGACATGAGATTTGCAGGGGCCAGGGGTGGAATGATATGGTGTGGCTGTGTCCCCACTCAAATCTCAACTTGAATTTTATCTCCCAGAATTCCCACATGTTGTGGGAGGGACCCAGGAGAAGGTAATTGAACCATGGGCATTGGTCTTTCCCATGCTATTCTCCTGAGAGTGGGGAAGTCTCACAAGATCTGATGGTTTTATCAGGGGTTTCTGCTTTTGTTTCTTCCTCATTTTCTCTTGCTGCCACCATGTAAGAAGGGCCTTTCACCTCCTGCCATGATTCTGAGGCCTCCCCAGCCATGTGGAACTATAAGACCAATTAAACTTCTTTTTCTTCTCAGTCTCGGGTATGTCTCTATCAGCAGCATGAAAACAGATTAATACACTCCGCATAATAATGTCAGTAACTGTGCAAGATTCCCCAAGATTAACATATGGCCATTTCAATTTTTTTGGCCTTTTTATTGTAAATCATACTTTAGCACCCAACTTAATAGACTCTCCTCCTTTCCCAGATGGGAGTATGCAGAGCCAGCTCTAAGTGTTAACAGAATAACTAGTGGCTTATTTGATGCAAAAGGAGACCAATTTCCTAACTCCTTTCTCAAATTTCTCCACTGGCCTGCCGTATTGCCTAAAATTCCCGTAATTGGAAAATTCAGGTTAAGACTTAAACTTCAGCTGAATCCATATTATTATTTTTATTTGGAAGGACAACACATAAGTAATTATCATCCATTAATTCTCTATTACTAATCAGTGTATTTGATTGACTTCTCAGTCACCAGGCAGACATTGAAGAAATGGGACTGGGACAGTCAGATTTTGACAGGGCGCTACGGGCAGTATCTTTGCAGGTGTAAATGTGTCTCAGGAGAGGGAACCCTGGGTGACTGGGTCCATCTGAGTAGCCCAAGATTCATGGCTAACAATGAGGCTCTAAGAAGAAGAGTCTTGTTCTGAGGGTGGATGCCCCACCCTTGAAATTGGCTTCCTTATGTTTCAGCTCTGGATAAACAACTTCCTCCAGATCCCGTCATTCTTCACAGTCTTATTCTGAAACTATAGCATGCGCCTTTAGTAAACCAAAGTGGCATCCACATCAATAGAAACTCTCTGACCTTAAGTCTTACGTGCTTGAGATGACCTGGTTTGGCAGGGTCCAGAGAACACTTTAAGGACAGGAGTGTCTCCCTATGTGATTGGCTCAGTGGACTCTGCCCCTTACTTCCAGATCAAAAATAGCATCAGTGGTCTCTGGAATACTTCAGCGAATAATGAAGTAAGGGAGGCAACTGGAACAATTGTGTACCTGGTAAAATCTCATTATTATTCCCAGGAAATGGGCTCTCTGGATTAATGAGTCCCCACAGTGTTTTCATGGGAAAAATTAAATTAAATATCACTGGCGTTGACAGCCTGACTGCCAGTTAGCTCCCACCAGGCAGCCAAA
Organism: Homo sapiens; assembly: GCF_000001405.40. Classification (NCBI taxonomy): domain Eukaryota; kingdom Metazoa; phylum Chordata; class Mammalia; order Primates; family Hominidae; genus Homo; species Homo sapiens. The sequence goes on along the minus strand of NC_000009.12, from coordinate 83,564,986 downwards.
AAGCATTAAATAGAATGTGTTTCTGACATCTGCTGCCTCTGCCTTTTGAGGTGATTATTTTTGAACTTTTGCCTGCTCAGTGGCCCCAAGTTGGTCAGCCTATGCCATCTTATGGCCTCCTGGGGTTAAAAAGCAAATGGTGGGCTCTGCATGTTTCCTGGGATGCACGTCGTACAGGTTCCTCACCTCCTGCCTTGGCAAGAGAAGCAGAGGTTCTTTAAGAAACACTTGTATTTTGTGCCAGCAATCAGGGATATCTTATGACTGAAGGGCTAGCTCTTGAGTATGGACAATGGACATGTGGGCATATGTCTCCCTCTACAAACCAATATCTGGCAATTCAACATGGACCACATCACAACAAGATTTGGATCATTGAAGCAGACCAGAGATACTCTTTCCCTAAGATATCAGAATAACGGACTCAGTTTTTTGATTTGCTTTATTTAGGAAAACATGCACATATTGTTCTCAGTTGGGCTTTCCATATTCAGGTGTCAGGTTGAGACAGTGTGGTTGTAATCAGAATTTAATATTCACGTAAATATGCAAACAACAAGGAGAGATTGAGGCTGTTGGCCTTGACATTGGTGACTTCCCTAGAGCTTGGCATATATTAGGGACTTAGAAAATTCTCCTCCCTCTCTTTCCCCTTCTTCCTAGTTAGGTGGACTACAATTGGAGAGGAATGCTTAGGCAGTAAGTGGAGATAGTTGGAGGTGTATACAGCAGTGGGGATTATTATTATTATTATTATTATTTTAAATTGGCTGAATTGCCAATATTCTCAGAAAGTCAGTCAACAAACTTTTCCCAATGGTCTCCACTTTGATATGGCCACTATACTTACCAGATGCTTGAGGATTGGCCTAGAGAGAGGCCAGCCTCTGGGACTCCTGGAGGGAGAAGATGGGGTTGAAATCTGAACATTCCTTTAAATATCATGGCAACAAACTTTACACTGATACAGATGAAGGAAGGGCCCATGGTGATGAGGTGGGCACACTGACTTGGCACTGTAAGGTAAGAATACTGCCAGGAGACGAATTTTAAGGGAACATGTCTGAATTTATACAAGCAAATCATTTGAAGTCACCTTCTAAAGACATATTCTTATGCCTGTAAAGTAATGCAGGTGAGAGTACTCTGCAAATCCCCAGGCATCTTGTGGTAGGATAATGTTTTGAGGTATTGACCAGTCTTCCCCAGCCCCATCATTATTTTTTTCCTCTTTAGTAGAAAGCAGCAGAAAGACATCTTCTTCCTGGCTTTAGATTTCAAAAGCATGTCCTACGTGAGCTGGAGAGGACTCAAGGAGTAGTTAAAATGTTTGAGAGGGCGAGGAGGGATTCCTGCTCTTAGATTAGCTGGAGGAGGGAGTGGGAGGTGTTAAGAGAACAGATGGTAATGGAACCAGAGGAAGGATGGTTGCCTGTGAGGGCCAATTGGAGGGCACTGTGGGCTGGATCTGAGCACCCACAAGCCAGCTGGGAGCCCAGCTAGCATCCACACACTCCAGAGAGCATCATTTATCATTGGAGCCCAGGGACTAGGCTAACCCAGCTTTTTGTTGGGGTCTAGTCAAGCCCTCACTTCCATTGCCACCAACCCTTTACTCAGAGGCTGCTTAGCAGGGCTGTCACACTGGGAGAACAGTCCCCCACTCTGCACTCACCCAGGACACCTGCATGCCTGAAGGAAGTGGTGTGGAGTCTTAGACACGCAGTAGGTGAGGGTGGAGTGAAGGGAAAGTCCCCAGACATATCCTGGGAGGTGTAGGGGTAGGGGGCTGAAAGAAAACAACTTGGGAAGCCCCTGAACTGGGAAGGTGCTTAATTCTCCTTCTGTCATAAAAGACTCTATCCTAGATGCCAGAGGACCTGGCTTTTAATTGCAGCTCTAAGTCATTGTGTAATTTTGGGCATAATACTGCGTATCTTTGCGTCTCAGTTTCCACATTGCATTCATTCATTCGGCCTCTCATTCTTTTTTTTTTTTTTCATTTAATCACTATTACTTACTTTTCAGCTCTTCTCTCATTCAATAACATTTATTGAACACCATTTATTGGTGAAACTCTGTGCTGGGGGGGGGGCATTGGCCATACAACCAGACATGGTTTCTGTCCTCAAGGAACTTAGAATCCAGAGCTCCGAAATGAAAGGATCTAAGCCTTTGACTTTTAAGTTTCTGCCAATTCTGACATTCCATAATTCTATTAGTATTGCAAGTTTAACATTGATATCTTGTCATAAAAAAGGGTAAAACCCTTCTTTCACAGAGCCTGTGGCTCGGTGACAGCAAATTCTTGCCCTGAGAGATTGGCTTCAATATCTGGAAATGGCTAAAGGTTATTTGGAGCCACGTGTGGTGAACAGGACAGCTAAGGTGTAGAACAGAACTAAGTCCCAGGTGGCCCGGCCGAGAAACGTATGTTCCTGCATTTATTTCTGGTTGAAGTCACCTTGGGCATAGCTTTTGAATGACCTGTGGTAGTCTGCCTAGGAGTTCCATTTTTGTTAAGCTTTCAGATCATCTCCCAGTGGTAAGCTTGCTGACTGCATGTTCAAGGGAGAGTCCTTCCAGCTGCTATAGCCACCTTGGTCAGTTGGGGTTTGTAGTCAGCTTCTCGCATCTCCATCTTTGCACAGTTAGTGCGATTTCACTTTCCCTCTCCCTTACCTTCTTTCAAAGATTGGCAACAAATTTCAAGTAGTCAAGGATACCGCGTCTAAGGAACTACTTGTTATAAACAATCTAATCCCAATTTGTGCGAGATCTTCTATCTTCTGGGTGAAGGAACCTAACTAAGTTGTCATTCTTCCATTTTTACTCCCTAAATATCCCGCTAGCTCGTTCTGTGAGTGTTCACTTTCCTATCTCATACCCTCCCAAGACCAGGAGCAATTTGATCCCATCCACTCATTATTCCTTTATTCTCCAAATATACAATAGAATAAATTATATACCCTGTACCAGGCATTGTGCTGGGCTGGATGATGCATAAGATATGTTCCCTGCCTCATGGAGCTTCTGGCACTGGAGGAGGTATGGACACATACACAGTGAATTGTGGTGCAGCTTAGAGAGTGCAGATAGAGAAGTATCTAGGAGATGTGTGGTGGCATAGAGGAACAGAGGGCAGGCTGGGCTCTTCCTTGTGGCAGACTCTGTTCTTGTTTGCAAATATACATGCTCTTCTCTATTTCCCTACCCTATTCATGTCAGGGTTTTCCATGAGACTTTCCTTGGCTTATTAAGTGATGTGAATCATTTTGAGTCAGCAGCTTTAAAAGCCAGCATATGGTTTGCCATATTCTTTCATTTTGCCCTTTGCCATGATGACTAGCAAGTATTCCAGGTTGTTCTGTCAGCCTGGTTCCTGAATGGAAGCTGACATGTGATCATCATGTAGAATAAGCAATAAATAAATTGTTTAGGATTTGCAGATTTCAGGGCTATTTAGGATTTATGGAAATTTAAGGGCTATTTGTTACTGCAGCATACCTAGTAACTTCTGACCAATACACTTTCATTTGTCTTTATACCCCAGTGTCTGGTGCATAGCAGCCGCCCTGTAAATGATTGTTGAATGAAGAGCTGAAGGGATTAGATCAGCTTGAATGAGAGAGAGAGGATGAGGAAGGGAGGCTCAGTGGTGTCTGGAAAGCCTTATGTAAAAAAAATTCAGCAAGAGCTTGGCCATCACACATGTTAGAAGCTTTTAAAGCTGAATTTGACAGGAAAGGCTCACAGTGCTTCTGTCTTTCCTTATATCTTCTGTTTGTTTGTTATGTCACCAGAACCTGACTAGCAGAAAAGAAGTAACATTAAAAAGATATGGTGTAGCTCACAAAATCACTGGGCAGGGGGAGTCATTGCCAGAAAAGCAAACTTGGGGTTAAATTTCCAAGAATAATACCATGGAACTTCTCAGAGAAGGAAGTGTTTCCTAACTTCATTCTTAAGGATAAAAATAAGTGGCTGTAAGAGACATTCAAAATATAGTGGCTCAAAGAATATAGAAACTTACTTTTCTTTCATCTCAGTTCTAAGGTGAGCAGTTAGGTCTGCAGTCATCTAGGGAGCAAGAATCTTTCAAAGTCATTGTTCTATCATCCCTAAGGGCATTGTCATCATATAGGTTATCAAAGCTGGGTGGCTTCCATATCTTGGTCCTAGCCAATGGGAAGACAGAAGAGGCACATTAATGGTCTTGCCTGGATCTGAAAGTGACATGTAACACTTCTGCTTATATTTCATTGGTAAGAAGTTAGTCACATGTCAACACCTAACTGTGAGGCACATGTAGTCTGATAAGGCAGCCATGTATCCAACAACAGCTTAATTGGTGTGAGTGTAATTCAGCTGTCATTGCCCTAATGCTGTGTAACAAACCACTTACAAACCTGGAGGCTTTTAAACAACACGCATTTATTCTCACTCTCACAAATGTGCACATTGGCTGTTGTTCAGCTGATCTAACCTAAGCTGAACTGGAAGGCTCCGATTAAGGCTACAGGTTGGTTGGGCATGATGCCAGGGTGTTAGTTTGGCTCCATGTACATTTGTTCTGGGGCCCCGGCTGAAAGGGCAGTGTCTCTTTGGGGCATGTTCTTCTTATAATAGAAGTGCACGAGAATGAGCAGAGATGCTTGATGCCTCTGGAGACTCAGCCCAGAAAGTGACAGCACACTGTCACTTTCACTTAAATTCCGGTGGCCAAAGCAAGTCACATTACCAAGTCCAACATCAACAGGGCAGGGAAGATACGCTGCCTGTTCTACTGGGAGATGCTGCAAACTCGCACTGCCAAGGTATGGATGTGTAATTTTAATACAGCTAGAGAATGAATAATCCAGAACCATAATTCAATTCACATTTTATGAATGAAGAGGATAATGTATTTTGGTGGACAGCTAGAAATCTCTGCCACATCCAACCTTTTCATTTCTTGTCATTTATAGAATGTGTAAAGCACACGGGGATGCATTGGAAGGAATTTGTGGCCATCAGCATGGGACTTAGTGATAAAACTCTGTATATACTTATAATAAGATTATAATAAGATAGATAAAATATAAGATATTAGGAAATAAATATTGAACAAGTATTAAACTTCTAAATAAAATATTTTTAATTTTTAATGAGAAACAATTTCACTTCTATGATCTGAATTATTTTATTGAGGTATAATTTATATATAGAAATATCATTTAAAGTGTATAATTTTATGACTTTTGACAAATTTATGTATAACTTCTTTTAGATATCAAGATTTATACTTGAAATGGCTACTTTCAAGTCCTGCGGAAGTTTGTCACGTATAGTGATAGATTTTAAATGATAGGTTGAAACATATGGAACTGCCAATATTAGGGCACCCTTCACCTAGAAAATGGCAATTACATATGGGTCAACTTAACACAATTACATTTTGTCTAGTCAAGTGCAGGCATACATTGGAGATATTGTGGGTTTGGTTCCAGACCACCACAATAAAGCAAATATTGCAATAAGGCAAGCTGCACACATTTTTTGATTTCCCAGTGCATATGAAAGTTATGTTTACAGAATACTGTAGTCTATTAAATGTACAATAACATTATGTTTAAAAAACAATGTACATACCTTAATTGAAAATACTTCATTGCTAAAAAATGCTAATGATTATTTGAGCCTTCAGTGAGTCATAATCTTTTTGCTGGTGGTTGCTACAGCTTGGGGTGGCTGTGGCAATTTCTTAAAATAAGACAACTATAAAGTTTGCCGCATCAATGGACTCTTCCTTTCTTGATAGATTTCTCTGTAGTACTTGATGCTGTTTGATAGCCTTTAATCCACAATAGAATGTCTTTCAAAACTGGAGTCAATCCTCTCAAAACCTGCTACTGCTTTATCAGCTAACTTTATATAACATTCTAAATTTTTTGTTGCCATTTCAACAGTGGTCACAGCATCCTCACCTGAAGTAAAGTCCATATCAAGCATCCACTTTCTTGTTGTTGTTGCTCATCTGTAAGAAGCAACTCCTCATCTAATGAAGTTTTCTCATGAGATTGTAGTAATTCAGTCAATGTCCAGGCTCCACTTCTGATTCTAGTTCTCTTGCTATTTCCTCCACACATGCAGTTACTTCCTCCACTGAAGTCTTGAACTCCTCAAAGTCATCCATGTGGATTGAAATCAACTTCTTTGAAATTCCTATTAATGTTTCTATTTTGACCTCCTCCCATGAATCACAAATATTCTTAATGGCATCTAGAATGGTGAATCCTTTCCAGAAAGTTTTCAGTTTATTATTCCAGATCCATCAGAGGAATCACTATCTATGGCAGCAATAGCCTTACAAAATGGATTTCTTAAATAATAAGACCTGAAAGTCTAAATTACTCCTTGATCCATGGGTGGCAGAATGGATGTTGTCTAAGGAGGCATGAAAACAACATTCATCTCCACATATATCTCCATTAGAGCAATAAAGTGAAGTATGCCTGTATTTACAAATAAAGTCAAAGCTTTTTTTCTTCAGCACATACAGATGTCAGCATACTAATCTTAACAATTCACTAATAAAATTGACTAATCATCACATGTGAACCATTTTCACTTTACTTCTCCAAATTTGGCATTTTGCTTTCAATCCCTAATAAAGGATTGTTAATTCACACACACAGGCGCACACATGCACATGTGCGTGCGCGCGCGCACACACACACACACACGTGCATGCGTTTTACACATTTTTAAATTCAAAAAATTTTTAATTTTCAATTTAAATGCAGATGCACAAAAATGTTAGTTAAGCTACTGTATTTAAGCTAAGACTATCCTTCAACAAATCTGCAAGGTGAGATTTGTTTGCAAAAAGTTCTTATTTTGGTGCATGTATTTTTGACAGCTCTCTTGCCTTGAATGCCAATACATTCTGATATAAAAAACAGAGTGATACTCTGATCTCATGCTTCACTGAAAACTGAAACCAGATGGACCCCAAGAGCTTGTATTTTGTTAGATTCACCATTTTAGTTTCATCATTCAATGTGCAATTTAGAGCCATAGGCAAACATTTACATATGAGAGCTTCTCTATGAATAAACAACATGTGTTACTTGAATCTCAGGGTTTCAGATAAAATCCATGTTGTATAGGGCCTTCACATCTTCCTGACATTGCAAACAAATCCTGAGTGCACAACCCCCTGCAGTGTTTCCATCATATTTCTTTTCGTTTTTCCCCCCAGATCTTCATTTCTTACCTCAAATAATTCATCTGCAATAGTTTGATTTAGCACTTTGGTTCTGGAACAAATAATTTCTCTTTGGGCCTTCTAATTAGTACTCTAAATTGATAGAGTTACTCATATCTGTACTTATACCAATCAATTGATAATCTTCTGAATCTTCTGAGTTAGTGTGATTTCTACATTATACGAAATGTCATCCATGTGTCTGCTAATCCTGTTATCTGATGGGGGACATCTTTCTCTTTCTTTTGCTTCCAGTGGTCCCAATTAGGCTGTTGACAATTTCCATGCAGGCAGATAAAAAGCACAATTCTGCATTTGTGTGGCATTTTAGCTTCAGCAATTTTTTTTCATAACTTTGTAACCAGTGCTCTGGTATTGTTGTTACCAATGTCATAAAAGAAGTTTACTTCTTATTTTGTGCATGTAGATGCATAAAAATAATTTTTTCATTTAATGTGTAGAAGTAGGGCTGAGGTGATGGTGTAGTTTGCATGGCGCCATTGCTTCATTTGATAACTGCAAATATGATGCCTTGGAAGAGAAGACTTATCAGCAGATAAATCAAAATTTGAGACAGCCCTTATAAATTACCTAATTGGTAATTCAAACTCTTTTTCTTATTGCTTTGTCTGTCTCATGAATCTGATAGCTCTTAACATTTAATTTAAAAGCTTTTCATAAATATGCATAAAAAGTAAATATTTAAATATAAAATATTCCTTGGGACTAGAGACCTTCATAGCTTCAGAATATCTTTTGGTCAATATATTTTTAAGTCATTTTCATTCTTAAGAATGTTTTAAAATAAACTATTTCAAAAATTAAAGAATAAAATATTCAGAGACAAGATAAAAATTATTGAAACTTTAATTTTTACTTAATTCAATAAGGAAAAAATCTCAAAAAGTTATACAAAATATAAATATCACAATCCTCATATATCCTAAAATATTTTGAAAAACGAATCTCTTGATGTTGTAAGGGCCTCAAATATCTCTTAATAAGTTGAATTAAGTAATGTTTATTATTATTATTTTTAGAAATACAAATAAATTCTAACAAGAATCTAAAATTGGCTAATTGAAAATTCCAAAAGCAAATTAAAAACTGAGAAACAACAATGGAGAGAATTCATAAAAAATCAGTCATTTAATAGCAAATAATATCCAGAATGAAAGGCCAAAATATCTTTTACATTAGTAAAAAATGTGAAAAGAGCAAATTAATTAGGAAAGAAAACGAAATATTTTATATTCATCTGAAAGACAAATATAATTTCTCTGACAATAACCAAATTATAGCTAAATTAACCATCAGATGAATTGGGATGATCTAATGGGCAAGCCAAAGACATGTACTATGTGTATGGCTATTGTCAAGAGCTTGCTGGCTGTAGGTCAATAATGCATGGAGTTATATGACCCAAAACAATATTTGCTGAATTCAGGAATTTCACAGAAGGTGGCCATGTAAATCATGTTCAAAATATTTCCAATTGTTATGTTTTAATAAACCATTTTTCTTTGTTTTTTTTTTCAAAAGGCTAGTGAAGCAGTGAAGAGTGGAGAGGGAACAAAGAAATCTGTAGGGGAGTGGCCAAGATGGCTGACTAGAGGTAGATAGTGTGTGTGTGGCTGTCATGGAAAGGAACAGAAGGGGCAAGTAAATACAAAACCTTCAGTGGAAACGTCCATTGGGCATTGGGTCTAATCAAGGAAACAGTTTGACCCACAGAGAATGAAGAAAAGCAAGACAAGACAACAGCTCACCTGGGAGCAACATGGAGCCAGGGGATCCTCCCTAGACCAAGAAGTGAATGACCGATCCCGGGAAACCACGCTTCTCCCACAGATCTTTGCAACCCTTGGGTTAGGAGATCTCCCTGTGAACCCACTCCATCAGGGCCTTCAGTCCTCAGTCTGACAGACAGAGCTATGTGGAGTCTTGGCAGAGCAGCTGCTCAAGCATGCCTGGAGACCCTGGAGCCTTAGATACTTGGGCTTTCCTGCAAAAGTAGCTGCAGCTCCAGCAAAGTGGGAGGTTAGATTCCTGTACCTACCCATAGGAAAGAGGCTGAATCCAGGGGGCTGAGCAGTAATAGCCTGCAGGCCCTAATTCCATGACACTTCACAAGATAAGACCCACTGGTTTGGAACTCCAGCTGGCTACCAGTAGTGGCATTGCACCTCCCTGAGAAGGATCTCCTAGGGGGAGGGGGAGGCTGCCATCTTTGCTGTTTGGGTACCTTAGCCATTCCAGCCTTGGGGCTTTGGAGAGTCTGAGCCAACCCAGGTTGAAGGGGTCCCCCAGCACAGCACAGGTGCTCTACCAAATTTGGCCAGACTGCTGCTTTAAGTGGGTGCCTGATCCCATTCCCCCTCACTGGGTAGGACCTCCCAACTGGGGCCTCCAGCCACTCCCACCCAAGCTCTCCAGCCAACAGCGATCTTAATTCCCCCTGGGACAGCACTCCCAGAGAGAGGGGTGAGCCGCCATCTTTGCTGTTTGAGTGACTTAGCCATTCCAGCCTTTGGGCTTTGGAGTGTCTGAGGTGACTGGGGGCCAAAGTGGACCCCCAGCACAGCACAGGTACTCTACCAAAACGTGGCCAGATTGTTTTTTTAAGTGGGTCCTAATCTCATTCCTCCTCACTGGATGGGACCTCTTAACTGGGGTCTGCAGCCATTTCTTATAGGTGGCTTTGGGCCAGCAAAAGGTTTGTACCTCCCTGGGACAAAGCCCCCAGAGGGAGGGACAGGCTGCCTGCTATCTTTGTCATTTTGCAGCATTCACTTGTGATACCTCGAGGTTCTAGAAAATCCCAGGTGGCTGGGGACTGGAATGGGCCCCAAACATACCACAGTAGCTCCACAGAAAAGTGACCAGACTGTGACGTGGGTGCCTGATCCCATATCTCCTCACCAGGCAGGTCCTCCAGGCCTGGGCCTCCAGCCACCTGCCACCAGAGCTACCAAGCCAGTACCAGTTCAGCAACTCCTTGGACACAGCCTCCGGAGGCAACCAAAAGCCTCTCTTCCACTGCTTCTGCAGTGGAACTGCCCTTGCCCTCAGACTAACAAAGGAGCAAAGACTTTAAGTGTCTTATCCACATCTCCATCAAGCTGCAATCGACCCAAGAAGAGGAGGCCAGTCTGTCTCCCATGGGTCCCACACACCCTCCATGGCTTGTCACCAGACAAGGAAACATTGGCTTGGGCCCACAGCACAAACCGTTCATTTTGTGCTGACTGCATTGAGCAATTGCTGACCAGCATCTCTCTGGGGTGGATCCCCAGGAGTCAAGCAAATGACCCTTGGCCACAACCACTACTAAGATCTCTTCCTCTGCTGCCTCTTAGCTGGGAAAGGAACATAAACACTGAGATCACACCAGAGCTGCAGTGAGCAGCCGATGAATGCTAAGTTGTGATTACAGCCAGCACTGAAGGTGGAGAGGAACCCACACTTTCAGAGCACTGAGAGGGAACACAGTTGCAACTGTGAGGAAACATAGGGGAGCCACACAATTAAGCAAGAGTCTACAAACTGACCGATGAGCCTAAGTGTTATTTGCTGGATCACACCCCAAAGCTTCAAAACCAAAAATACCTCACAAATATACCCCCCTATGAAACTAGAGATAAGAAGTCAGCTTCAAATAAAGCCACTACGCAAAACCTTGGCCCAGTGAAAACATTCAGAAAAGAAGTCTATTGACTGTACTTAATCTACACTGCAGTTAAAGGAACACCCACATGCCGAGATGAGAAAGAACCGATGCAAGAACTCCAGTAACTCAAATGGCCAGAATGTTGTATGTACTCCAGATGACCATACCAGTTCTCCAACAGGAGTTCTTAACCAGGCTGAACTGGTTGTAATGACAGAAATAGAACTCAGAATATGGATAGGAACAAATATCATTGAGATTCAGGAAGATGACAAAACCCAACCCAAGGAGAACAGAAATCACAATAAAGTGGTACAGGAGCTGAAGGACAAAATAGCTGGTATAAAGAGATCCTAATGGGTCTGACAGACCTGAATAACACAAAAATTTCACAATGCCATCACAAGTATTAGCAGCAGAATAAACCAAGCTGGGGAAAGAATCTCAGAACTTGAAGACTGGTTCTCTGAAATAAGACAATCAGACACAAATAAAGGGAAAAAAGAGATGAATGAACAAAACCTCAAAGAGGTATGGGATTATGTAAAGAGGCCAAATTTATGAATCATAGGCACCCCTGAAAGGGCACCTTCTTCTACACAAGAAGATCATCCCCAAGACACATAATCTTCAGATTTTCCAAGGTTGAAATGAAAGAAAGAATGTTAAAGGCAGCTAGAGAGAAAGTGTAGGTCCCCTACAAAGGGAACCCCATGAGGTTAACAGCTGATCTTTCAGCTGAAACCCTACAAGCCAGAAGAGATTGGGGATCTATATTCAACATTCTTAAAGAAAAATATCTTCAACCAAGAATTTCATATTCAGCCAAACTAAGCTTCTTATGTGAAGGAAAAATAAGATCGTTTCAGATAAGCAAATGTTGAGGGAATTCATTATCACCAGACCTGCCTTACAGGAGATCTTGAAAGGAGCACTAAATATAGAAAGGAAAAACTGCTGCTAGCTAATACAAAAACATACAGACCAGAGTAACTGTAAAGTAGCCACACTAACAAGCCAACATGACAGCCAGCTAACAGCATAGTGGCAGGATCAAATGCACACATGTCAATGCTAACCTTGAATGTAAATGGGTTAATTGTCTCTCTTAAAAACTAGAGTGACAAGCTGAATAATAATAATAATAAAAAAGCAAGATCCAATGGTATGCTGTCTTCAAGAGACCCATCTCACCCAAAATGACACTAATAGGCTCAAAATAAAGGGATGGAGGAAAATCTACGGAGCAAATGGAAAACAGAAAAAAGCAGAAGTTGCAATCCTTATTTCAGAAAAATAGTTTTCAAACTAATAAAGATAAAAAAGACAAAGAAAGGCATTACATAATGGCAAAAGGTTCAATACAACAAGAAGACCTAACTATCCTAAATATATGTGATATATATGTACCCAACACAGGAGCACCCAGATTCCTAAAGCAAGTTCATAGAAACCTACAAAGATACAGAGACTCCCGCAAAATAATAGTGGGAGACTTCAACACTCCACTGACAGTATTAGATTGAGGCAGAAAAGTAACAAAGATATTCAGGACCTAAAGTGAACATTGGACCAAATGGATCTGATAGACCTTTATAGAAGTCTTCACCCCAAAACAACAGAATGTATATTCTTCACATTGTCACATGACACATACTCTTAAATTGACCACATAATTGGACATAAAACAATCCTCAACAAATGTAAAAGGACCAAAATTATACCAAACACACTGTCAGACCACAGTACAATAAAAATAAAGATCAACACAATGAAAATTTCTCAAAACCATACAATTACGTGGAAATTAAACAACAAGCCCCTGAATGACTTTTGGGTAAATAATGAAATTAAGGCAGAAATCAAGAAGTTCTTTGAAGATAATGAGAACAAAGATATAACATACCAGAATCTGTGGGACACAGCTAAGGCAGTGTTAACAGTAAAATTCACAGCACTAAATGTCCAAAATCAAAAAATTAGAAAGATCTCAAAGTAATAACCTAACCTCACAACTGAAAGAATTGAAGAAGCAAGAACAAATCAATTTCAAAGCTAGCAGAAGACAAGAAATAACAAAAATCAGAGCTTAGCTGAAGGAAATTGAGACACGAAAAACCATTCAAAAGATCAATGAATCCAGGAGTTTTTTTTTTTGAAAAAAATCAATGAAATAGGCCACTAGCTAGACTAATTAAGAAGCGAAGAGAAGATCCAAATAAACACAATTAGAAATGACAAAGGGACTGTTACTACTGACCTCACAGAAATAAAAACAACCCTCAGAAACTACTATAAACACCTCTATGCACACAAACTAGAAAATCTAGAAGAGAAGGATAAATTCCTGGACACATACACTTTCCCAAGACTGAGCCAGGAAGAAATTGATTCCCTGAATAGACCAATAACAAGCTCCAAAATGGAATCAGTGATAATAGCCTATCAAGCAAAAAAAGCTTGGGACCTGATGGATTCACAGCTGAATTCTACTAGATGTACAAAGAAGAGGTGGTACCATTCCTACAGAAACTATTCCAAAAAATTGAGGAGGAGGGACTTCTCCCCAACTCATTCTGTGAGGCCAGTGTCATTTTGATATCAAAGCCTGGCAGAGACACAACAAAAAAAGAAAACTTCAGGCCAATATCCTTGGTGTACATTGATACAAAAATCCTCAAGAAAATACTTGCAAACCAAATCCAGCTGCACATCAAAAAGCTAATCCACCATGATCAAGTAGGCTTCATCCCCAGGATGCAAAGTTGGCTCAACATACAACAATCAATAAATGTGATTCATCACATAAACAGAACTAAAGCAAAAACCATATGATTATCTTAATAGATGCAGAAAAGGCTTTTGATAAAATTCAGCATTGCTTCATGTTAAAAACTCTCAATAAACTAAGTATTGAAAGAACATACCCCAGAAAAATAGATCCATCTATGACAAACACTCAGCCAACATTATATGGAATGGGCAAAAGCTGGAAGCATTCCCCTTGAAAACCAGCACAAGAGAAGGATGCCCTCTCTCACCACTTCTGTTCAACATAGTATTGGAAGTTCTAGCCAGAGCAATCAGGCAAGAGAAAGAAATAAAGGGTGTACAAATAGGAAGAGAGGAAGTCAAACTACCTCCTTTTGCAGACAATATGATTCTATATCTAGAAAACCCCATAGTCTTGTCCCAAAATCTCCTTCAGCTGACAAACAACTTCAGCAAAATTCCAGGATACAAAATCAATGTACAAAAATCACTAGCATTCCTATACACCACTAACAACCAAACTGAGAGCCAAATCAGAAAGACAATTACATTCACAATTCACACATGAATGCACACACACACACACACACACACACACACACACACACTACCTAGGACTACAGCTAACTAGGGAGGTGAAAGATCTCTACAATGAGAATTACAAAACACTGCTCGAAGTAATCAGAGAAGATGCAAACAAGTGGAAAAACATCCCATGTTTGTGGATAGGAAAAATCAACATCATTAAAATGGCTATACTGCCCAAAGCAATTTACAGATTTAATACTATTTCTATCAAACTACCAATGACATTCTTCACAGAACTAGAAAAATTACTTAAAAATTTATATGGAACCAAAAAAGAGCCCAAATAGCCAAGGCAATCCTAAGCAGAAAGAACAAAGGTGGGGGAATCATGTTACCTGATTTCAAAGTATACTACAAGTCTACAGTGACCAAAACAGCATAGTACAGGTATAAAAACAGGGACATAGACCAATGGAACAGAATAGAGAGCCCAGAAATAAGGCCACACATCTACGACCATCTGATCTTTGACAAAGCTGACAAAAACAATGGGGAAAAGACTTCCTATTCAATAAATGGTTCTGGGATAACTGGCTAGCCATATGCAGAAGATTGAAGCTGGACCCATTCCTTACATCATATCTAAACGTCAACTCAAGATAAAATAAAGACTTAAATGTAAAACCCAAAACTATAAAAATCCTGGAAGACAACCTAGGCAATACTATCCCGGACATAGGAATGGGCAAAGATTTAATGATGAAGATGCCAAAAGCAATTGCAACAAAAGTAAAAATTGACAAATGAGACCTAATTAAACTTTAGAGCTTCTGCACAGCAAAACAAACTATCAACAGAATAAACAGACAACTTACAGAATGGGAGAAAATATTTGCAAACTATGCATCTGACAAAGGTCTAATGTCCAGCATCTATAAGGAACTTAAACAAATTTACAAGAAAAAAAACCAACCCTATTAAAAAGTGGGCAAAAGACATGAACAGACACTTCTTGAAAGAAGACATATATGTGGCCAACAAGCATATGAAAAAAATGCTCGATATCACTGATCATTTGACAAATGCAAATCAAAAGCACAATGAGATAGCATCTCACACCAGTCAAAATGGCTATTATTAAAAAGTCAAAAAATAACTGATGCTGGCAAGGTTGCAAAGAAAAGGAAACTCTTATACGCTGTTGGTGGGAGTGTAAATTAGTTTAACCATTGTGAGAAGCAGTATAGTGATCCCTCAAAGAGCTAAAAGCTACCATTCAACACAGCAATCCTATTACTGGGTGTATACCCAGAGGAATATAAAGCATTCTACCATAAAGACACATGTACACAAATATTCGTGGCAGTACTGTTCACAATAGCAAGGACATGGAATCAACCTAAATGCCCATCAGTAACAAACTGGATAAACAAAATGTGGAACATACACACCATGGAATATTATGCAGTCATAAAAAAGAACAATATCATATATTTTACAAGAATATGGATGGAGTTGGAGGCTATCATCCTTTGCAAACTAATGCAGGAACAGAAAACCAAATACCACATTGTCTCACTTACAAGTGGGAGCTAAATGATAAGAACTTATGAACACAAAGAGGGAAACAAAAGACACTGGGGTCTTCTTGAGGGGGCAGGTTACAAGGAGGGAGAAGGGCAGAAAACACAACTCTTGGGTACTGGGTTTAGTACTTGGGCGATCTAGTAATATGTACAACAAACCCTCATGACACATGATTATCTATGTAACTTTCACATGTACCCTCAAGCTTAAAATAAAAAAAAGAAATCTGTAACAGATTGTGATCAATTAGTTGTAAATACTACTGTACTCAGACCAGACAATAGACTATTTTTTAGAGCACTTTTAGGTTTACAGAAAAATTGTGCAGAATGTACAAAGAGTTTCCAGATAGCCTACCCGTTTCCTCAGTTTCCCCTATTTTAACACCTTGCATTAGTGTGGTATGCTTGTTACAATGGATGAAAAAATATAGACACATTATTATTAACAGAAGCCTATAGTTTATATTAGGGTTCGCTATGTATGTTGCACAGTTCTATGGGTTTTGACAAATGCATAATGTTAGGTATTCACCACTGGAGTATTATACAGAATAATAGTTTCACTATTCTGAAAATGTACTCCACCTATTCATCTCACCCACTCTCCTGAACTCATGGTAATTACTAATCTTTTTACTGCTGTTTGCATAGTTTTGCCTTTCCTAGTATGTTATACAGTTGGAATAATACATTCTGTAGCCTTTTCATATTGGCTTCTTTCACTTAGTGATATGCATTTAATATTCTTCCATGTCTCTTCATGACTTGATAGCTCATTTCTTTTAATCATCGAGTATTATCCCATTGTATGGAGATACCACAGTTCATGTATCCATTCACCTATTAAAGGACATATTGGTTGCTTCTAATTTTTGGCAATCATGAATAAATCTGCTATAAATGTCTGAGTGCAGGTTTTTGTATGGACAAAAATGTTTTCAGCTCATTTGCATGAATACCTAGTTGCATAGGTGCTACATTATATGCTAAGCTTATGTTTAGTTTCATAAGAAACTACCAAACTGTCTTTCAAAGTGGCT
This sequence comes from Homo sapiens, assembly GCF_000001405.40. Lineage (NCBI taxonomy): Eukaryota > Metazoa > Chordata > Mammalia > Primates > Hominidae > Homo > Homo sapiens. The sequence continues at coordinate 83,548,138 of NC_000009.12, read as the reverse complement.
GTACCATTTTACATTTCCACCAGTGATCAATGAGAATTCCTCTGCTCCACGTTCTCACTAGCATTTGGTATTGTCAGTGTCAGTTTTGGGTCTTATCCATCTAACTGGTGTATCACAGTATCTCATTGTTGTTTTAATTTGTAATTCTGTAATGAGATATGATGTTGAGTATTGTTTCATATACTTATTTGCCATCAGCATATCTGCTTTGGTATTGATTTCTAGTTTTATTCCACTGTAGTCTGAGAAGATATTTGATATAATTTTGATTTTTACACTTGATCTTAGCCAAAAGACTGAGAAGTGATATAATTTTGATTTTTAAAAATTTATTGTGACTTGTTTTGTTGCTTAAAGTATGGTCTATTTTGAAGAATTGTTCATGTGCAGATGAGAAAAAAATGTATGTTTGGCAGTTGTTGGGTAGAATGTTGTATAAATGTCTGTTAGGTCCATTTAATCTAGAGTCTGATTTAAGTCCAGAGTTTCTTTGTTGATTTTCTGCCTCAATAATCTGTCTAGTGATGTCATTGGATTGTTGAAGTCTCTCACTATTATTGCATTGCTGTATACTTCTTTTCTTAGGTCTAGTAATATTTGTTTTTATGAATCTGAGAATTCCATTGTTGGGGGCATATATATTTAGAATTGTTATATCTTCTTGATGAATTGATCACTTTATTTTATAATGATAGGGACAAACAGTAAAAGAAGACAACTTTAAATCAATACTTTCAGACACTTTAAATCAACAACAGTAAAAAAAGACAAAGAAGGTAATTAGATAATGATTATATAATAATTATATATAATATTATATAATCATAATGACCTTTTTTGGTTATATTATATTATATAATGACAAAGAAGGTCATTATATAATAATAATTATATGATCATTATATATAACTATATAATGATTACATAATAATAATGACCTTCTTTGTCTTTTTTTAACTGTTGATTTAAAGTGACTTAAAATATTGATTTAAAGTTGTCCTAACGTCTTGATTCTATAATAATGAACTTGTTTTATTGTTGTTGATTTAAAGTGTGTTTTATCTAATATAAGTATAGCTATCCCAGTCTGCTTTTGATTTCCATTTGCACAGAATGTCTTTTTCCATGCCTTTACCTTGAGTCTTTAAATTTATTTACCAGTTAGATGGGTTTCTTGTGAGCAACATATTGTTGGATCTTTTTTTTCAAAAATCCATTTCACCAATCTATACTCTTTTTTTTTTTTTTGAGACAGAGTCTCACTCTGTCGCTAGGCTGGAGTGCAGTGGCACAATCTTGGCTCAGTGCAACCTCCGCCTCCTGGGTTCAAGTAATTCCCATGCTTCAGCCTCCCAAGTAGCTGGGATACAGGTATGCACCACCACACCCAGCTAAATTTTGTATTTTTAGTAGAGACGGGGTTCCACCATGTTGGCCAGGAGTGGAACATTTATTTTATTTACATTCAAGGTTAATATTGATGTTTGAAGCTTTGTTCCTGTCATAATGTTAATTGTTACCTAGTTGCTTTGTAGTCTCAACTGTGTAATTGTTTTATACAACTTGTGAGTTTTATACTTTTTATGTGTTTTTATGATGAAGACATTTTGTCTCTATGTTTAGAACTTCTTTGACATTTCTTATAGAGCCAGTCTAGTGGCATCAAATTCCCTTAGTGTTTGCTTGTCTGGGAAATAGTTTATTTCTCCTTCATTTATGAAGCTTAATTTTGCAGGATATAGAATTGTTGGCTGACAGTTTTTTTGTTTTGTTTTGTTTTTTGAGACGCAGTCTTGCTCTGTCACCCGGGGTGGAGTGCAGTAGCACAATCTTGGCTCACTGCAACCTCTGCCTCCTGGGTTCAAGTGATTTTCATGCCTCAGCCTCCTATGTAACTGGGATTATAGGGGCTTACCGCCATGCCTGGCTAATTTTTGTATTTTTGGTAGAGATGGCATTTCACAATGTTGTCCAGGCTGGTCTCAAACTCCTGATCTCAAGTGATCCACCCACCTTGGCCTCTCAAACTGCTGGCATTACAGGTGTGAACCACCATGCCTGGCTTTTTTTTTTTTTTTGAAGACTGAAAATAGGACCCTTATCTCTTCTGTCTGGTAAGTTTTCTGATGAGAAGTCTGCTGTTAGTGTGATGGGATTTCCTTTACAGGTGATTAGACAGTTTTCTCTTGCTGCTATTAGGATTCTTTTTCTTCATGTTGACTTTGGACAGTCTGGTGACTATACACCTTGGTGATGTTTGTCTTGCAATATATCTCCTAGGAGTTCTCTGAGCTTCTTGTATCTGGATGTGTAAATCTCTAGCAAGAAAAGTAAAGTTTTCCTCAATTATTCCCTCAAATAGGTTTTCCAAACTTTTAAATTTTTCTTCTTCTCCCTCAGGGATACCTATGACTTACAGGTCTGGATGGTTTATAATACCATATTTCTCAAAGGCTTTGTTCGTTTAAAAAATTATTTTCTCGGCCGGGTGTGGTGGCTCACTCCTGTAATCCTAGCACTTTGGGAGGCCGAGGGGGGCAGATCACGAGGTCAGGAGATCAAGACCATCCTGGCTAACACGGTGAAACCCCATCTCTACTAAAAATACAAAAAATTAGCTGGGTGTGGTGGTGGGCGCTTGTAGTCCTAGCTACTTGAGAGGCTGAGGCAGGAGAATGGCATGAACCCAGGAGGCGGAGCTTGCAGTGAGCTGAGATCGCACCACTGCACTCCAGCCTGGGTGAAAGAGCAAGACTCCATCTCAAAAAAAAAAAAAAAAAAACAAAAAAAAACAACACTTTTCTCTGTATTTTTGTCAGATTGGGTTACTTCCAAAGACCTGTCATTGAGCTCTGAAATTCTTTCTTCCTCTTGGTCTAATCTATTGTTAAAGCTTTCAACTGTATTTTGTAATTGCTTCAATGACTGTTTCATTTCCAGATGTTCTTTTATTTTTTAAATCTTTTTCCTTAGTAAATTTTTCATTCATACCTTGAATTGTTTTCTGATTTCCTTGTGTTGTTTTTCAACTTTCTCTTGGATCTCATTGAGCTTCCTTACAATCTATATTTTTAATTCTTTATCTGGTGTTTTGGAATTTTCATTTTGGTTAGGATCCATTGTTAGATATTTAGTGTGATCCTTTGAGGTTATCATAACACACTCTTTTTTTCATGCTGCTGGAATTGTTGTGTTGGTCCTTTCTTATTCTGAGGTGTCACTTCTTATTTTTGAATTTACTTTTGTTTGGACAAGACTTTTTATTTCTTCTTTGAGGATGACTGTAATGTATGTTGAATAGGATTGTTTGGCTTTGCTTCTTGGTGCTTTCAGGGGGCCAAGGCTCTGTATGAATTCCTTGGTTATAGATAACGTTAGTATGGTTGTTTTCTCAAATGCTGGTTGTAGTAGTGGTGTACTGGGCATGTGAGTAGGCTCTCAGTCTCCTGTAAAGACGGAGATAGAAGTCTTCAGAAACTTATCTCGGTCCCTAGTGCTGTACACTGAGTCAGCCAAATTTGTATTAGGTTGTGCAGTTTGACTTCCAGACCAGTAGGTGGCACTTGAAGGTAAGAGCTTCTGTGGCAGACGCAGATGGGTATATACTTGATCTTTTTTTTCAGCTGGGAGAAGCTCTGTGTTGTCACAGGCAATTATCTGGCCTGTGGAATACACCATTCTCTGAGTTTCCTGCTCAGCCCTGGGTTGGGGAGTGGCCAAAGCTGAGTCAAGCTGGACTGCCAGGCTTGTTCTTGGATAACCCAATGCCAAGCACAAGCACAAGCCCTGATGGGGTGCTTAGGGGAGCTTCTGGTGAAATGCACAAAGGTCTCCTCAGGGGGTCAGGGGGCTGCACCAGCTCCATGGTGCAGAAACGCAGTCTTCTTCCCTATCATGCCTCTGTCCCAGGGCTCATGACTCAGTTCGACAGACACTTCAATGTAGCTGAGAGACATGGACAATGCCTTTCCTGTGGCTCTCTGCTGAAATGGCTTTGGTGTGGAGCCTCTTCCCTCAGCCCAAAATAGACAGCTTTATGGCTCACCTGTTCTTGCTGCAGGAATGCTGCCACTGTCTGTACAGAGGTGGAGGGGCCCTGTCTTTTGTACAATCTAGGGCCCAGTGGGGACATTGCCAGTAAGGATGCAGTCATCCTTAATAGCCCTGGAATGGCTGTCTACAGGTATGCTTAAGCCAAACCCTGGCGGCAGCAGCTATGCGGGGAGTAGGAGGCTTCATCTCCATTACCAGGCCCAAGCACTGGGGCCACCTGGCTGCTATGGCAGAACCACACTCTTCACCCACAGAGCCAAGCACAGTGCCCATGTCGCTGTTGAAAGGAGTGCAGTCACTTTCAGCACAGAAGTGGGGAGCTCTCAGGAATAGGAGAGCACACTCTATGGTTTCTTTTGTCCTAACAGGTGTTCCCTTGGCATGCTGCACTCTGCCTTTTCCTTGGAACAGCATGCCCTGAGGGTCAGACCCTCAGCTCTCCTGGGTCCAGCTGGCCCCATGTGGGTGCCACAATCTCAGTGGGTGCTGAGGGATGTCTGCAGGGGATTTGGTGATGTGGAGACACAAGAACTGAGATTCCCTGGGCAGGATAGAGTCCCAAAATGGGTGCACACCCAGTGTGGTGCCCGCTACCATAGCTCAAATTTGGGGGTTGCTGACAGCCCAGTGCAGTGCCCTCAAGAAATTCCCAAATTGCCGCCCACACCGATGCATAAGCTTGTGAGGGCAGAGGAGCTCTTCAACAGTTTGGAAACTAGCAATCTGTCACAGGGGTGAGGGCAACCCAAAACATCCCCACTTACCCTTTCCATGGGACCCCAAGTCCTTCAGGATTCAATTTCTGCCAAATTCTTGCCTCCTCCTTTTTTCTGTGCCCTAGCTTCTGCTTGTGAATTTTCCAATAGGCCTTCACACTCGTCTCTTAATCTTTTGAGTTATGATTTTTCACCTCTAACTTTGGTTCTTCTTTTTTGGGGAGATTGGGTGATCAGTGTCTCCAGTCAGCCATCTTGAAGCTGCCCTAAAAGTTTTACATTTTAACTGAGTCCAACTTATGCTTTTGATGTGTTGATGTTTGTTGATTTTTATCACCAAACTGAAGATTACCTAAATTTTCCCTCATGTTATCTCCTAGAAGTTTTATTGTTTACATGTGAGTCAATGATTTATTTTGACTTAAAATTTGTGAACAGTGTGTGGTCTATGTCTATACTCATTTTTTTGCATGTGAATGTCTAGTTTTTCCAGCACCATTTGTCAAAAAGATTATCCTTTCTCCATTGGACTGACTTTGCTTCTTTGTCAAATATCAATTGACTGTATTTGTGTGGGTTTCTTTCTGGTCCCTCTATTTTGTTCCACTGATCAATTTGTTTATTCTTTTGCCAGTACCATACTGCCTTGATCACTTTGGTTTTATATTAAGTCTTAAAGTCAGGTAATATCAGTCATCTGAGTTTGTTTTTCTTCAGTATTGTGTTAGCTACTCTGGGTTTTTGCCTTTCCATATAAACTTTAAAAAAAGTTTGCTGATATCCACAAAGTAACTAGCTCAGGTTTTGACTTGGGTTGCACTTAACCTATAGATCAATTTGGGAAGACCTGAAATCTTAACAGTATTGAGTCTTCCTATCCATGAACATGGAATAGCTCTCCATTTATTTAGTTCTTTGATTTCTTTCACCAGAGTCTTGTAGTTTTCCTCATAAAGATCTTGTGCATATTTTGTTAGATTTATACCTAAATATTTCTTTTTAAGTTATCAATTTTAATGGCTGTAAAAGTGCTTAAAATGAAAAAATTCAAGATGCAATATTTACAACCATCAATCTTTTGTGGGCAGGCCACCTGTTATCTATTTGTGGCTTACCAAAGTGTTATAACCCATTGGTTAGGCATATTTTTTGGTAAAGAATATCAGTTACTATCACTGAGCGTGAGACACTAATTAATCTCACCCATTGCCACTTCTTTAGTAAGAACTGGACTTGCAGCCACTGCTATGGCTGACATTCTAATGCCTCAAGTGGAGCCACCTTTCCTGTACTCAAATGTCCTCTGTTTGTTGCCTGTCATCCCAGCTACTTGGGAGGCTCAAGCAGGAGGATTGACTGGGGCCAGAAGTTCGAGACCAGCCTGAGCAACATAGTGGGACCCAATCGGTAAAAAATAATAATAATAATAAAAAATAAAAAAATGTTTCTGGTTGTCTTTGGGGGACAGGTTCAGATTTGGGAATATTTGTAGGGGGATTTTAGCCTGGCCTTTGTTCACCTGGTGTAGAAATCTTGTTTGTCCTATAGATCAAATTGAGTCCTAGTTGGATGCTTGGCCACCAGCAAAATCCCTATGAGTCACACCATTCTGAAGTCTACTTGGGTACCACTGCTTATGATTGTACCAAGCCCTCCCTGGCACTGAGGGTTAAGTCATGCACCACTATTTGTCTTCTGCCAGCCCAGGCTCTCATCCTTCCCATTTAAGTCAGGGAGCTCCTTTTGACTGCAGTGTCTTTCACAACCATCTCTTGCTACAAAGAACAGCCACTTTGGTGCTTTTCAAAGATGGCAGTCCTTCCTTTGCCAATGATTCTTTGAAAATCTTGGTGGATGCCCCCTCAGGGGACACAGTTAAAGAGAGGTAAGCTGGCCACATGTGGAAATACACTGCAATATTTCCATCTCCTTGATTCTTTGGATCTTTTCCTGTACATGTACCAGGGAATTTCCTTTTTCTCATCTTCATTTAGCTGAGTCCAGAAGTCAGTTAGTCAATTTAGATAGTACATTGAAACCAGAGTCATTGGGAAGTGAATTCAAATGGACAGATTCAGGTTTATTCACACATATACTCTTCAATGTAAATTAGCAGAATCTTGCAATTCTTTCTCTTCTTGGGGTTGACTTTATAGTTGGTCTCCTAGGGTGTGACTGAATCTGGTTCAAGTATTAAGAGTGAGAGTAGTCAGAGATGGTGGGAGAGGGGTGGGAGGAGATCGGCTTCCCTTTCCAAGGTAACTGCCTTAAGTGAGTTCCGAAGAGGATCTTCAAACAAAGCAGGAACAGCCTCGTTACATAAGGAAGAGGGCATGCTTCTGCTGCCAAGGGAGTTTGGGGGCTTGAGTGACTAGGAATCATTCAAGTTTTCTTTTATAGTCCTATTCTTATTCCCAGATTCCCACTCTTTCCTGCTGATAATTATAAAATCTTGTGAGGCCGATAATTCAATTGACTTTGTAATTTGGCGATTTGTAGATGAAATTGTGAATTTGGTTTTTCAGTTTTGGCCTTGTGGCTCAATTAACAAGATATTCTTTGAGCTCTGTTGTTTGTAAAAATACAGTTGTTTAAAAGTCATAAGCTGATAATTTAGGACTTAGTGCATCACTACTTTTCTTTCAGTGGTCCAGTTTTAAACTCATCCCTTGAGTTCATTCTTTGAGTTCTTCCTAATCTTCATATTATTATTATTATTGTTGACAATGGCCAGTTGGTTTCCCAGAGCCTTGTCTTCATTGGGTAGTTCAATCCAGGTGACCATACTTGGTAATTTACCTAGCTGTCATGCCAAGTGCTTCCAGAGCCTGTATTTTCATACTAGTTGAATCTCAGCCTTTATTCCTAATCAGGCCAGACAACCAATCTCAGATTCTTCTCATTTCTTCAAAATTCTGTTTCTTACAGTCCCACATTGGGTTATCTTTATTCTGTCTTTTTCACTACTGTCCTTGTTGGTCTTATTTTGCTTCCTTGGAATTTGGGGTAACAATTTTTGGGTATTGATATGACTCTTTTGGAGCCTAACGGTCACTATAATAGGATGGACAAGTGTGTGTGTGGTCTTAAAAGAAAAGCATGGACTGTTTGGCTGGTGACTTTTCTTTGATCTCTGGGCTGTCTGCTCTTTTGGCTAGCAGAGATGATCCAGTTTTCAACTTGGGGCAGGTCCCATCCCTGCCACCTCATATGTGCATATGGGGATTTACAGATTACAGCTGTAAGATGTCCTCCACTGACCCGGTGTCATACCAGCTTCCCAGCCACCTGTGGGATGAACAGGTGTTCTCTCCTTTGAAATGAGAAAAGAAATGGAGAGACTTTTCAAAGATCCCCAGGATTAGCCAGTAGCTGGGCCAAGAATGAAATCCACATCTTCCCATACCCTCAATACTGACCTCTCCATCAGGATCTGCCCTAACATTTGAAGGGCCCAGCTCAAGAGCCTACATGAATGCCCCATACTATCATCTAAATATTCATAAGCAATAGTCAGCTATTGAGTGCTACATAAAACATTCTCTATCCTCCTATCTTGACAAATTGTTGCAATTTGGAATTTCCAGGAGCAGATACTGAGACTGAGTTTGTCCTGTGTGGTATTTATTAGTGATCAACAGGGAGAGGAGGCAGGAGCAGGCAGAGAGAGAAGTCCAAATGCAATGCGGACTCCCCCAAACCTTAGCCAACCCCACTAGGTGTCCTAGAGAATATATGGCCCACCAGACTGTCCAGGGCAGGTAAAATTTGTGTGCCACTCTTCCTCGACCCCCAGGACAGGGCATATCTTTGGATGAGGGGACTCTATGCAGGCACAAACCTTGAAAAAGCTGACAGCTGGTCAACACCTCCTCTTCTAACAAATGTTCCTTCCTAATGACCTGTTCTGCTCCGGCAAGAGCAACAGGGTGAGAGGACTTCCATCTCTCCCAGCTCCTGGACATTCTAGTGCTCACATTCAAGCTCCATACCCCTGACTCAACAGCTGCTCCTGGCCACTCTCGGGCCTACGGTACCTGACACAGTGGCTCTAGCCACCTTGGGGACAACAGAGAGGCAGGATACCTCCTACCTTCAACACCCTGGAGGCGCGTGGGGAATTCCAGAGTCCTCAATACCCAGAGATTGGACTAAAACGGGATGGGGCACATCCGCTTTGCCATTAGACCTCTTAATTCCTGAGCAACCGGGAACTGGAGGAGGTCTGTAAAGCAGGGGAGTAGGATAGGAACCTATCCCTCTTGCTCGGGTCAAAGGTATGCTATCAAAGATCACACTAAGATGTTGGGAGATTTAAAGGAGGATTTGCACATGGAAGGCTCTTTTTTGGAGAAAGAGACTGAGTCCTAGCTAGCATTAAATAAAACAATGGCTTAAACAATCTCCATGAGTACCAGAGATTTTTACTATTAGCGATATTCCTGGTGTAGCCGTGTCAGGGCTGTCACTCTCTCTGTCACTCGCCCTGGGCCCAGCAATCCTTTCCCGAGGCGGAATCCCCCTGGCGGTGTGGGTCAGGATCGCTCTCCGTCCCCTACCCGCGCCAGGTCCCTGGAGCTGAGCAGAGCAGGGCGCTGTCGAGCGCGTTGGGGAGCCGGGGCCGGGACGAGCACAACCGGGAGCCCGAGCGACAGCGGCCAGGGGAGGGAGGAGGCGGTGAGGCTGAGGAAGGCAGTCGGGCCCAGCTTGACGCAGCGGCGGCTGCGACTGAGCAGGCCACCACCAGGGCACCCGGGCCAGCCGCGCCAGCCATCCCTCCGCCTCCTCCTTCAGCTGCTCGGCGCGCGTGGGAGTGAGTGCGTCGCGAGCCCGCCGGGGGTCTCAGGCTCTGGGCGTCCTCGGCGAGCGAGCCCGGGCAGAGGGAGGCGCACGAGCGCGCGCGACAGAAGGAGGCGGGGAAAGGAGGGGGCGAGGCGGAGGCGAGCGAACAGAGGGAGGGACCCGCCCGCCGCGCCCCGGCCGCTGGGCATGTGTGTCCGCAGGCGCCCGACGCTGCCGATGTCCCGGGGCTGAGCCGCGCCCAGGTGTCCCGGACAGTGCGTGCGAGCGTGTGTGTCCGCGCAGGCGAGCACCGCGCCGGCCCTGAGCCTCCCGCTCGCTCCCCACGGCCGCGGTGCATGTTCGCCTCCTGCCACTGTGTGCCGAGAGGCAGGAGGACCATGAAAATGATCCACTTTCGGAGCTCCAGCGTCAAATCGCTCAGCCAGGAGATGAGATGCACCATCCGGCTGCTGGACGACTCGGAGATCTCCTGCCACATCCAGGTGCGCGTGGAACCGGGCGAGGGCGCGGGGCACACGCCGGGAGCAGGGCGGGGGGCCTTTGCGGTGGGCATGCGAGAACAAGGAACCCACTCCCGGAGGGGATTGGGGGACTGCTAGAAAGCCAGATTTCGATTCCTCAGGCCTCTGAGGGTGGGGGGCCTTATCCTGGCATGGAGGGGCATGGTGCCCTGCAAGCGCCAGGCACGCGTTATCCGCGCCCAGTCTCCTTCCCCTCGCGTGCACCCTGCGCGCGCGTCTCACTGCGCCCGGGCTAGGGGCGCGGGGCAGCTGCCTCCGGAGGGACTCTGGCCCCTCTGGGCCCTACTCCGCCAGGAGATGGGAGCTCCGAGGGCTGAGAGGGGCACCTGCATGTCGCCCACTGGTATTTCCTCCCTTCTTCCACGTGGAGAAGGCATGCATCAGCTGGGTTCACTCATTTCTGTCTCCCGCGCCCAGGCTCCGGAGACGCCCTCAGTCCCGGAACCTGCTTTCCGCTCCGTGTCGGTCCCCCTCACCCTCCGCCGGTGGTCTTTAGTTCTCCGCGTGGGGCGGTGGCGAAGTTTCCCCAGAGTGAGAGAGGCCGGGCTGCCCTGGGCGCCAGCCTTGAGGGATGGAGCGCGCGCTGCGCCGGACTGGAGCTACCTCGAAAGGAATGTGTGAAGTCTGAGTGTTTCGGAGAAAGGAAAAGGGATTGTGAGGCCAGCAAGTGGGGAGCCCTGCAGGAACCTGGGTCCTGGGTAAAAGAGCCCCGTGGAATCTTGGTGGACATTCACTGTCGCCCAAGTTGGAGGAGAAGGCGAGTTGTTTGGGAGAAGGCAGCTTTGCTGGCAGCCCTGTCCTCGGGTAGTAAGTGCCTCTGGGCTGTCAGGAGAGCTAGTGTGAGGTGCAAAGGTGTGTGTGTGCATGTGGTTGCGCGTGCGTGTGCATATTTGCTGTGGGTGAATATGTAGGCAGGTGGGAGCCCCTCTTCCAGGACCCCAAAGATGCCCCACTCGGTGCGCACACAATCAGGAAAGGTTGTGTCAGGGCTCAGCACAATTAACTTCTGACTTCTAAATCTATTTAACTGTTTATCTCTGGGATTTCCTTTCTCACCTACCCTAGTCGAGTCTTGAGGCTCTGGGACTGAGCTTTTTTTTTTTTTTTTTTTTTTTAGTGTAATACAGGGCACACCACCCATGTCAGTGGGAGGTGAGTGGGGCAGCATCTCCCAGAGTAGGAATCAGCCTCTAGGCTGTGCAAACCATGAAGGAATGAAAGGACTTTCCCTGTTTTATTTTTATTTAATTTTTGTTAGTGGGAGTGTGTGACATGTTGGGGGCAGTTGCAATTAATTTGTAACCTGACAGCCGGACAAGTGTCAAGGTAGGAATGTGATGCCCCATGATCTCCCAGGAAAGTAGGCTCCCATTGAATTTTCTGGGGGAGCTTGAATTTCATTCTGAGCTAAGCAGCACTGCTAAACTTAATAATAAAAGGATTAGCAGGATAGGCAGTGTTTCTACTGCCACAAGGGTTGCACAGAAGCATCTGGCATGTACTAATAGTCTTGTGATCCAGAGAGTGTGGACTGTGCACTTTGCTTTAAGTCCTAAAGTGGGTGTACAGGTCCTTTAACCCATAATGAATGTGTAGATGATGGAGGGGCCGTCAGGGAGAGAGGCTGTTGAGTTCTCCTCTGTCTCTCAGCCCTCTTCTGCCCTGTACCACTTGGTGTTGACATTTTTTTCCCCTCCCTCAGGATGAAGTCTTCCTTAGAATAATAAATATTCCCCAAAGGACATGTATTTGTTGTCTTGTGTTTTGAGAAACAATAAATTGTAGCCAGTCTAACAACAGTTTGAAAAACTCCAGTGCTTATGACCCAACTAGTGCCAAAGAGGTTAAAATGTTATGTTTCAAAATGTTGGCTTGGGCACTGATTTTTAAAAAATTATGATGTTTCATTTTGTGATTTGTCTTTTTCTGCCCTTTCTGCCCCCAAATTACAATTATTATTTAACCAATTAAAATAAATTAAAATATTTTATTTGGATAACTTTAGACCTCACACTTTCCTAGAGTACTCCAGACCAGGAATTGAAATTGCCCTTCCGGGTATCAGGTAACAAAGACTTCCCATTTGCTTAGAGTGAGAACAAAAGGATTAAAAAACAATGCGAAACAAAACCATTTGGAATTACTGGCACTTGTTCTGGGTGAATCCATCTGTGTTTGCTTCCTTCCTTCTATAGAACTACAAAGTTAAAGGATTGTATATATTGTCACAGAATGTCACCCTCTCTCCATAGCCCACATCTGCCTGTCTGCGTTAGGAGCTCTCATCCCTGGTGTCTGCCTGGCTCTGGAGCAGGGGTGTCCAATTTTCTGGCTTCCCTGGGCCACATTGGAAGAAGAAGAATTGTCTTGGGCCACACATAAAATACACTAACGCTAACGATAGCTGATGAGCTAAAAAAAAAAAAATCACAAAAAGTCTCATAATGTTTTAAGAAAGTTTATGAATTTCTGTTGGGCTGCATCCAAAGCTGTCCTGGGCCATGGGTTGGATGAGCTTGATCTAGAGGCTCTGTAGGAGGAGCAGGAGCTCTTGGACATGTGTTAGTTGTTCACTCCTGTTCACTACAGGAGTGCTGCCTATGGAGCCCCAAAATAAGTAGGGGAAACTCAAGCCACACATCCTTGGGAGCTCATTAGTCTGTGTTCTCTAGTAGGTAAGCATTCCAGATTCAAAGAAAAATGAGCCACTCAAACAGGTTTCTCTAGCAAGGTGCTGGAGAGTGGCCACACATGGTAGATGCAAGAGATGATAGAAACCTTCAGGACTATTGCTTGAGACAATGTGAATAGCTCTAGGTGCCATTTCTTGAGCATCTCTCATGAGCCAGCCTTTTCCACTCATTATGTCTGATCTCTACCACCAACCTTTGAGTAGGTATTATTCCCTTCTTTTGGGTAAGAAAACTGAGAAGCTAATAACTTAAGTGACTTGTTCAAGGCCACATCTCTAAAAAGAGAATGAGCAGCTGGAATTCAAATCCAGAATTGTCTGGATCCAAAGCTTATGTATGTCTTTGACATATTACCCCATAGTTAAAATAGCTGAAGTTTCAATGAAATTTCCAGACATGGAAAGAGGTAAATCCAAGGTAGGGGAATTTAAACCAGTGACTGAAGGCCAGTTGGGATTCATGATCTGAATGGACAAAGCGACCCTATTTGCCAGTTTGCAAACTTAATGTGTCCTGGGTCTTCCAGGGAGGCTGGCATCTCAGAGCTGATTGGAATCCCACAATCCAAATGTCACTGGGGGCCATTTCCACCCCCCAGAAACATGGTATTTGCCTTTAAAGAAACTATATGCATAAATGCCTTGTTAGGTTTGATACACTGTGTCCTTATATTTCAGACAGTAGTAGCCCCAAATTATGCCTATGCATCAAAAGATGAACCAAGCCAGAAACTAAGGGAGAATTGCCTAGTTGTGCTCTGATTAGAGGGTGTGATGGTGAAAGGGCATGTGTTTTGTGCCTCTTCAGTGTGCCTCCCACAAGGGGAGAAGGCAGAGTATTCTCCTTGTTACCTCCCCACCCCCTAGGATCTTTGCATTTGCCACTGCATAGAGGATAGGAAAGAGCTTTTGCAAAATAACAGCTTTTAAATAATCCTTTTCCAAATCATATAATTTTGGTAGTATTTGGCCAACGAAAACTTTCAAACACACAACCTAGTGGTCCAGTCTCAGCAGACTGGTGGTCAGTTCCAATAAGAGATGTGGAAGTCACTGGCTCTGTCTCTTTTCACAGGGTCTGGGATGCTGTCCCATCATATCATTTGCTTGTGAATGTTCAGGTAGGATGGAAGATAGAGGAATTCCAAATAGACAGGGAGTAAAGGGGAGTTTGGGTTACAAGACAGAGGCCTGGGGAAGGGAAGGAGTTACTGAATGCTCCTTATTGGGCTTTTCCAATTGAGCCAACCCCTGAAGTCTGGATTTTGTAGGAGGATGAGGTTTGACTCTAATTCTTCATTCAGCCTTGCTACTTCAATTAGAGTGGAGTCCTAGCCATCTTCTATCTACTTTTTTTTCTTTAGACACCGGCATTGTTATTCACAACCCTTGCTAATGAACTTGCCATTTTTAATACTGACTTTTTTGGGTTACATAGATTTTTGACATTATTCATACTTTGGCAAAGCCTGGTAAACATGGCTGACATAGTTGGAATTGGCTGAAAATTTGTATTTGTATTTGACTAAAAATCTTAGCATAGTGCTTTGCATACAGTAGGAACACAATAAATATCGATGTAGATTGAATAATTTTCTTTCTAGACTGTTAAATTCACAAGAGTAGGAACATTCTGATGTTCACCGCAGAGTCCCTGATATTTAGAATAGTGCCTACTATTCTATATAGTATAATATGTGCACATTAAACATCAGTTGAATGGATGAGTGCTAACCTTCCCAATATTTAGTCTAACTCATTACCTGTCAACATGAAGGTAGCATGCCAGCATTAGATCGGGAATCAGATGTGTGGTTTAGTTATGTTACCAACCAGCTGTGTGATCTTGAGTGAGTCATTTGACATTTGGAGTCAATTTTCTTTTCTTTTGTAAAACAAAAGAATTTGGTTAGATGGATGCTACAGTTTAAAAAGTCTGTGGTTTTATTATTGACTGGATAAATTACATGTGAATGAAGCATTTCTGTTGACAAAGTGGTAGTGTACGTATTATCTCATATGAATTTTATAACTATCCATTATCTCCATTTTATGGATGTTATTGTGTTACTGAGTATTATCTCAATATTGTATTACTAGATATGGAAAATGAGATTCAAAGAGGTTAGCAATTTGGGTAACCAAGCAAATAAGTGGATCAGAACCCAGGTCCTTTGACTCAAAATCCAGAGCTCTTTCATCTCTGGAGCACTGCCTCTTGGGACTGAATGATTAGGCTGCTTTTGGCTGCAAGTAAAAGAGTAGACAAGTTAAAGTGGCCTAAATAATAAGGACACTTATTATCTTAGCTGGCAAAAAGTCCAGAGAGAGGGCAACTTCAGGGCTGTTCCAAAGCTCTGCCTGGACTCAGTTGCTGCTTCCCATCTTTTCACTCTGGCATCTTCAGTGCATTAACTATGTCTCTATAGTCTCCATGATTATGAGGTGGCTGCAGTAATTTTAGATGTCAGTCAGTCACTACCACATCCACTGTCCAAGAAGAGGTATTTCCTCATGCATTGCCTTTTTATCACAGAGGAACACTTTCCCAGAGTCCCCATCAGTTTTCCCATCAGATTCCATTGGCCTGGATTGGATCATATGCCCATGCCCTAGCTGTAAAAGTGTCTAGGAATATATGCATCTGGCATTTTTCCTCTCTATAATGGGAGGTGGCTTTGCCATTATGGAAGGAATGGAATTATGTGTGTGTGTGTGTGTGCATGCACATGTGTGTGGTGGGGAGGAACAGCTGTCGGCTAATCATGCAGGAGCGTCTTTCAGAATACGTCAAATTAGGTTGCAATTATTGTTACAATAAACCTTTCATGAGAGTTTAGTAAGATGTCATCTCAGCCCTGGCTTTTTTTAGGCAATCTTTGTATGATCAAATTCTAGAACAAGGAAAATTATGAGAGAGTCCTTTGTAGTGTGTGTTGTTAAATATCATTTCTGCCCTTATGGAATGGGTGGGTTCTGGGCAGCTAAAAGGCATCTTGTTCAGAGCAGGCACAGCTCTCTATAGCAGACAAACTTTATGCTTGTTCAAGTGGCACAGTGGCATGAAGTGGTTGAGAGCATATGTTCTGGAGCACTGCTTGCTTGGGTTTGAACCCTGGCTCTGCCATTGACTAGCCAGGTGACTTTGGGGAAGTCACTTTTCCTCATTGGGCCTCAGTTTCCTCAGCTATAAAGTGGAAATAATAATAACATAGCCCTCATGGACTTTTTGTAAGGATTAAATAAGGATTATATGTCAAGTGCTTAGCTTAGTACCTGGCACATAGTGAGAGCTGAAAAAATAGTGACTGTTATCTTAATGTTTTGTGAAACTATATTAGAGGTAATCCTAAATAGTGGGAAGGCTTTGACTTAGAATCAAATGACTTTAAGCCTAAACTCCATCACTTTCTGATGGTGCAAGACCTTAAGCCAGTCACTGGGCCTCCTGTTCTTCAACTGAAAAATGAGAGTAATAATTCCTCAACTGCCAGTCTCCACTGTGTTGTTGAGATGGCTTATGTAAAAGCATGTTGTAAATGTTCAAATATCACCCAAATACAGAGTACTATTCTAATCAATTTAGTTGAAGAAAAGGTTAGCTTCTTATCTGTTGAAATGGGAATGATATTATCATGTGCAAACCTATATCTGTGCTAAATATCAGGCCCCATGATGATCCTGCTGGTGAAATCCAAGCTAGGTCCAGCTGGCAGCCACAGTTTTCTGCTAGTAAGGACAATTCAACACTTTTCTCTACCAAGCTCTTCTGGAATGCCATTCAGAGTCTACTGAAAATCAGACACAAAAGGAATAGAGGAGAGAGGCAGTTTGTTAAATACTGTGGCACAGCTCTGACGTTTTTAGACCTATATTATATGGGCCAGCTCTTTATATTAAGTATATCCTAAAAAAATGTAATGTTATTCCAATGGTCTGCTAAGATCTTATCTCTTGATATTTTCAAAGCAAAGGCAAAGTGTATTGACTTCAGGGAGAATACAATAATATTAGCTGCACATTGACGGTGTATCAGCTAGAATTCTTTTAACTACATGCAACAAATTCTAATTCAAACTGGCTTTAACATTAAGGACATTTACTGACTCATATATTCAGAAGTCTTGAATTATATATTTAATTCAAGGACTGTGGCTCTGTTTCTCTGGGGTTCCTTTGCCTCTTCTTGCCATTTGGGATGGCTCTATCCTCAGACTGGTAGTGAAATAGTTATAGTAGTGCCAGTTCTCACATTTTCATAGGATACCCTCCAGAGGAAGAGAGAAGCCACTTCCAATTCAGCATCCCAAACAGAAGTGTGCAGTCATTCTGATGGGACCTCCCAGGTCACATGCTTACCCCTGAAGCAGTGACCCTGACCAGGGGAAGATAATGTGCTGATTAGCTTAAGGTGCAGAGCTTGACCCTGGGACTCAGGGTGGGATCAACTTCCCCTGTGGTGATGTTCTGCCTGGGGAAGAGCAAATACCTAAAATCAGATAGGAGGAAGGGGGAAATGGCTCCTAAAAAGATAACCCACAATACCTACTGTAGATGCTTTGTCTAGGGTAGGTGGTTCTCAAAGTGTTGTCTGGGGAATCCTGGAAGTCCCTGTGATCATTTCATGGAGTCCATGCTATTAAAAAAAAACTATTTTCAAAATAATACTAAGATATTGTTTGCCTTTTTGGATAACAGTTTTATTGAGATGTAGTTCACATTCCTTGTAGTACGCCCACTTAAGGTATACAATTTTTAATATATTCAGAGAGTAGTGCAGTCATCACCACAATTAATTTTAGAATATTTTCATCATCCCCAAAATGAACCTTTGCCCTTTAGCAGTCATACCTCCATTTCCCTCCAGACCTCCCAGTCCTAGGCAACCACTAATCTACTTCCTGTCTGTATAGATTTGTCTATTCTGGACATTTGATAAAAATGGAATCATAAAATATGTGAACTTTTGTGTCTGGCTTCTTTCACTTAGCACAATGTTTTCAAGGTTTATCCATATTGTAGCATGGGTCAGTACCTCCTTCCTTTTTCTTGTTGAATAGTAGTCCAGTCCATTGCATAGATATATCACATTTTGTTGATCCATTCATTAGTTGAACATTTGGGTTGATGGACATTTTGGCTATTATGAATAATGTTGCTATGAACATTCCTGAAAAAGTTGCTCTCTAGACATGTTTCATTTCTCTTGGGTGTATACCTAGAAGTGAAATTACTAGTCATATGGTAACTCTGTGTTTAATCTTTTGAATAACTGTCAAACAGTTTTTCAAAGTGGCTGCACCATTTTACATTCCCACCAGCAGTGTAGCAGGGTTTCAATTTCTTCACATCCTCTCCAATACTTGTTATTATCTATCTGTTTGATTATAACCATCCTAAGTGGGTGTGGAGTGGGATCTCATTGTGGTTTTGATTTGCATTTCTCTGGTGGCTAAAGTTGAGCATCTTTTCATGTGTCTATTAGCCATTTGTATATCTTCTTCAGACAGCTGCCCATTTAGATCCTTTGCCCATTTTAAAATTGGGTTGTCTTTTATTATTAAGTTGTAAGAGTTCTTCATATATTCTGGACACAAACCCTTTATATAATAAGTGATTTGCAAATATTTTTTCCCATTCTGTGGGATATCTTTTACTTTCTTGATGGGGTCAAAAAAGCTTTTAATTTTGATAAAGTCCAATTTATATATAATTTTTGTTGCTTGTATTTGTGATGTCATAGCTAAGAACTATTGCCCAATTCAAGGTAATAAGGACTTATGCCTATGTTTTCATTAAACAGTTTTATAGTTTTAGCTCTTACATTTAGGACTTTGATCCATTTTTAAAATTGATACATAGTTTGCATACCATAAAATTCATCATTTTAAAGTGCACAATTCAGCTGATTTTCATATATTCATAAGACTTTGCAACTACAATCACTCCCTAATTCCAGAACATTTTCATCACCCCAGAATAAATCTGTATCTATTAACAGCTACTCCCATATTTGATCCATTTTGTGTCAATTTTTGTGTATGGTGTGAGGTAGGGGTCTAACTTTATCCTTTTGCATGTGGATATCCAGTTGTCCCAGCACCATTTGTTGAAAAAAGCAACTCTTTTCCCTGTTGAATTGTCTTGTCACTCTGATGAGGTGTTGTTTACCTTTTCCACTTTCAGTCTTTCAGAAGTGTACAGTGGAATTTTCTAGAGGCTACAAGATGTGTGATATTGCAACAGATTGAATGAAGAAGCATATGTGAGAATACACCTCTTTGTTGAGTCAGACATTAAAGATATTTGCAAAACAATGCTGCTTTTATCACTACTTTATTTTGTACAATATAGCTATTTTTAAACAAAAATATGTTTTTTACATTAATGTACAGTGGGTTTATTGTTATTTTTAAATGAATCAATAATCGAATATTTTAAATAATTCTGTCTATATATAATATAAACAAAGGTTTTACAGATACTCAGTAGGTAAAGGAGTTTTGAGGCCAACATGCTGAAGAATTGCTGGGTGCAGTGGCTCATGCCTGTAATCCCAGCACTTTGGGAGGCCGAAGTGAGCAGATTGCATGAGCCCAGGAGCTTGAGACCAGCCTGGGCAACATGGTGAAACCCTGTGTTTACAAAAAAATACAAAAATTAGCTGGGCTTGGTGCGTGCCTGTAGTCCCAGCTACTTGGGAGGCTGAGGTGGGAGGATTGCTTAAGCTAGGGAGATGGAGGCTGCAGTGAGCTGTGACTGTGCCACTGCACTCCAGCCTGGGTGACAGTGAGGCCCTGTCTCAAAAAAAAAAATTGCTGGTTTAGGTGACTGTCCATTTACTGAACTTCCTGAAAAATTAAAAAAAACAAACCCAAACCTAAATAAAACAAAATAGAACTTATATGCTTCTTCTTTGCCTCCAAGATCATAAGTTACAAGTGCCCCAAGTGATGTCAATTAAATAAAAAACACTGCATGTTCACAGAAAATATGTATGTTATATTTGGAATTCTTAGTAGTAACTATGCACGTGTGTGTGTGTGTGTGTGTGTGTCTGCGTTTATATTCAAAATATTAAGAGTAGAAGGACAAGGCTAGGCTCTAGTGTAATAAGCATTTTCTAATTTCACTTGCTCTCTAACTGAATCCTAACTTTTTAAACTCTAATAATTGCATAAAGCTGTGTCTTGTTTTGAGACCCTTCTTTTGATCATGGAAAATATACAGCTAAACATGAAGTGTTTAAACTGTAAACCATTTGAATCAGGCCCATTAGTCACTTGAATTATTAAGTTGTTACTTCTTTTTCTGAGTAGGCATTTTGGGAAAACAGAAAAATGTTGCAGGAATGGAAATATCAGAATTTATCGCATAAGAATCTGAGATTCACATGGCATAAGTGTTATGCATTGGGAGGATAACATGGCCCTCTTTTAGTTCTCACTCTGTGATGGAGAATTTCAAGTTGCTCTTCTCATGAAGTAGCAGAGAGCCAGATGCGGAGTCCAGAGGCAGGAAAAATAATAGGACTAGGGTCAGGAGCCAGTTGGGCAGATTTTGCAGCTGAGGTTTGAACTTGACTCAGGCTCAGAAGAGTTAAGTTCAGCATTGAGCCCTGGGAGAAGTGTGTAAGTGCTTCTCGGTTGGATGTTTCTGTGGATTTTCTGTGCTCTTGTTCAAATGCAGACTCGGATTCAGGAAGTCTTGGGAAGGGCCCTGAAATTTGACATTCTTAGCACGCTTCCAGGTGGTGCTTGTGTGGCTGGTCTGTGGACCACATCTGGAATAGTCAGACATCAGTGGAATTTACCTTTCTCCTAATAATATTGTTAAGTTCCTCGAGTGGAGGAGTCTGTTCCTTTTGTTCCTCCCTCGATTGTGCCTCACTGGGCGCATTTCTTTGAGTAGATGTTCAATGAGTGTGGGTAAGTGAGTGAATAAATAAAGAAATCCATCCTGGTGTGTCTATCACAGGTATAATGAAGTGCTGATTAGACACTGTTGCTGGGTATGGAATGATTCTGTTTGACTATTTGTTCCAACCAAATCGAGAGATTGTTTTTTCAAACAGGATTTCCCATGGCAAATCTGATGAAGTGTTGCATGTCCATGAGAGCACACAGGACTAGGCTTAGTGACTGCCTTCTCGTCCCTCTGGGCCAGGCTTCCCAGTCTTGCTTTCCTGTACCCTGGACTCCTGGTGGTATTTCTGAAAAGCTCTGGCAATATCTCGGCACAAACAAGTCATTGTGTATAAGCCAGCAGTGCCTGGAAGCCCCTGGAGGCATAGGGGCCCCAGCTGTTCTTACTTGCAGAAGTGACTCTGAGGGACAATGACCCTGGAGGGCCATGCAAAATGCATTCCAGTTGTAACTTAAGCTCTGGAGCTGAGCTGTTTGCTTTGTTGATTCTCCCCGAAGGTGCAGGATGGAAAGGAGGGGACCACTTTAGCAAAAAGAAAAAAAAAAAAAAAGAAGCTTATTCTAAAAAGGAAGAGCATTTGTTTTGATCAAGAAGTTAGGTTTTCAAAAGTAAATTAAAGTTTGTTTGAAACATCATCAATCTTATTCAATAAACATTTGTTAAATATCTCCTATATTCCTAGCACAGAGCTGGAAGTAGAGATACAAAAGAAAATAAAATCAGCCGTCATCAAGGAGCTCGCAGTCAGTTGGGGGAAGATAGAAAAGATAGTGATGCGAGGATGAAATGATGGATGTAGAGACAGGTAAATGCAGGTGGAGGACTAAGAGGAGGCACCAAGTGCAGGCTGGGGCATCAGTAAGTATCTCTGTTACAGATGAATCTTGATTAATAATTAAAGGACAAGTGGAAGTAAACTCTTTCAGAAGGAGAAAAAGGGCATTACAAGTAAAGTGATCTCTTGCTTGCTTGGTGTAAAACCCTAGGCATGAAACAGGATGACTGAATCTGGGAGTTAAGGAAAGGAGAATCTGGGATGAGTTCCACATGGTTAGTTTCAATGACTGGGTAATGGCGATGCCATTCCAGGAGAGACAGTCCTGGTCACATAACTTGTGTGGTCCTGTGCAAAATGAAAATGCAGAGCTCCTTGTTAAAAAATTATTAAGAATTTCAAAGTGATGATAGCAGACCATTACGCCAAGTACAGGGTCCTTTTAGGCACGGGTCCCTAAGCAAATGTGCAAGTCACACACCTGTGAAGCTGACACTGAGGAGATAGACTAGAGGAGAAGCAGGTTGGGGGAACAGAGAATGAGTTCCATTTTGGGTACGTTGATTTTGAAGTGCCTGTAGGGCGTCTGAGTGGAGAATTCTCAATAGACAGTTGGATATAAGGAATGAAAGTTACCAGAGACACAGGTCTGACATAGAGACAGAAGTAAGGGAGTTGTTAATGTTCTTGCAAGTGGTGGCAGAAACCATGTGGTATGAATAAAACTTCCATGACAGGTCTTCCTTTTTTGTCTGTATTTCTGGTTGGGGCAGGCTTGTAGATCACTGAATTGTGAGCTCTGGAATTCTTTCCAATAGTACTTGATCGTTTTTCCTTTGTTAGGCAACTCTCACCTGAACCAGAGCTGGTCTCTATTTTCTTCTACAAATGGGGCAGCCACACCAGGGTTGTCAGTGGAAAAGCACTTTTCTGTCCTTAATCTTCATGTCCTAGCTTGGACTTGCAAATGAAAAAGACCTCTTTCAGTTTTCAAGTTCTGAGTGTCAAAGCATACGATTTTCTTTCTAGGGAAGTTGCCCTTTGAGACAGTGTCAGGAGCATTAAGTAGATAATACATTTTAAAATCCTATCAACATGCTACAAAATTAAACATGTTATATGAGGAGCAGCTTTGCAAGTTATGCTGCAATAATTTATCTTTATTTAGTATTTATTTATATCTCAGATACCTCTTGTGGCAAATTTTGTTTTGTATATAGTTTTCAGGGGGTTATTGTGAAAATTAAAATAATTCAAGTTCTACAAAATTGCTCAAACAACAATAATCTAATATTAATAATGCAATGACCTGAATCTTAAATGTACAATAGAGTTTTATCTGAATATATCTATGTTTTATGCTAACGTTTGAAATATGATTATTCTGTAGCAGGGGAAAGCAATTAACGTGTTAACAGATCAGGGTATGGCTTATAATCTCTCACCTCAGAAGTATAATTTGTTGCTTTAAAACTCTAGTCCGTGATGCTAAACGTTAATCTGGAAAGTCAAGATTAACCAAACCAAGGTCTTTACACGTAAACTGAGAATTCAAACACAATATTATTTACTAATGAATATAATGATAAAAATCAAGCAGTCTTTAAAAAATCAGTAACTAATTAGCCTTATTAATAGAAGAGAGGACAAACACCTAATTAACTAGTTGGCTAATAATTCTTCCTTGATGTTTCTAGCTAATGTTATTTTTTGGCCGGTCGATACACATATTACTGTCCATTGTTCTGAAAATAATAATGCTAGTCTTTGTCATCTGTACCTTGTGTAGGTATTGTCTACAATGTTATGATAAGTGGAGTATTTATTGGTTCTTTGTTTAGCAGCAAGCTTTCTATATACTTATAGTCCTCTTGATATCCTCGAGTATAATAATGATAATATGTATTAATTGATTAAATTGAGGTTGATTTAAACAGAGATGTTATAGGATTGGTCCAATGTCTCATATTTAGCAAGATTAGGATGGGGTATTGTGTCTTGTATTTTAGGTTTGCTCTTATTACACTAAATACCACCATTATTTTGTTTTTGAATGTTCTCAGTAGTCTAAATGATATAATTTCTTTCCACTGACAACTTTTTTAATAGCTCAAGAGAAAAGCCATACACAGATCACACCTCTGGGTAGAAAAAGCACATTGATGTCTTGGAACTGTCATCCAAGGACACAGTCTAAATTCTTTCCATGTCTACTTTCTTTTTGTAACCTGTGGCTGAATGTACATCCAAATAAAATTGCAATCAACTTACCATGGTTATATGAGTATTTTGTCATCTAACATAAGTAGACAATTGAAAACTACCTCCCCTTTCCTTTTACATGTTTGGCATGGTACAAATATTGCTTGTAGTTTGAAATTTCAAATTAGCTCCCCAGAAGTTGTAAAAAGAGAAAAAGGAAGGGTAATGCTAATGAAATTTTCTATCTGCCCTTTAATGTAATTTACCTTGTAGTTTTGAGATTGACTCTGAAAGTCAAAATCTAGCAATGCAGAGCATGGTATTTAGAGGACTTTTAGAAAAATAGGAAAACAATGTATTACTATTATTTTTGCTTAGGCACTAGCCACTGCCATGTCAGGCTCTCTCTGTTTTGAAGGCTTAGGCAGAAGAGTAATAAACTCTGTGGAGTAGGGATGGAAAATACACTTCAGGTTATTTTATGCCACCTGGAACCTTATCAAGGATATCTTCACCTCCTGTGTTCCCAAACCTCAGGGGAGAAGTATTTCTGCTGAGGGTCATCCTGACACAAGGGGGCACCTTGAGTGACACCTTTTGCCTCCAAGTTTGAAGACATAGTTTTTCCACCATGTATAGATGGCACTTTCTTGGTTCAGTGCTGATTAAAAGGAAAAAAAAGAGGAAAAGTTATACAGTAATTCAAAGGCAGCTGTGAAGCCTGAGTTTGCAGTGCCAGCAGCAGTGTGGTAATTTGAGAATAGTAAGTTAGACAGACAAAGCAGATTTTAATCATATGCCACAGAGAGGAAGGTGGTTTAGGTTTATCTCCAAATTGTACCTCCATAGAGAAAGGGAAGCTTTTAATGCGATTATTCAACATATATTGTTAAAGATTACTTTTTTCCTTTCCCCAACCTTTCTTTAGTGTGTTTACTGGGTTAGAAATGGCAGCCTTTTTTTCTCTCTTAGTGTATTGAGCAGTTGTTAAATATAAAATATAAAACATTTTCTTGGTGTTATGGGAAATGCAGAGAGAGATAGAGAGGGAGAGATTGTGAGATTCTAGTCTGAAGACAGAGCTGAAGACTTAAGAAAATATTTTCATCCATCTATCTATCTATCTATTCATCCATCTAACTATCCATTAATTCATTCATCATTTATCCACTCTTCCACTCACCCACCAACCCACCCATCCACTCATCCACTCTTCCATCCACTCATCCGTAAATCTATCCATCCGTCCGTCCGTCCATCCATCCATCCATCCATCCATCCATCCATCCATCCATCCTCCATCCATTCACCAAACAAACATTTATTGAATACCTCTGTTGGGGACTGCTGTGAGTAGCAGAGATACAAAAAGACAAATAATAATTAATCCTTGCCAATCTAGTAGAAAAGACAGACAGACACATAAACAGATTCAGCATAGCACTATTGTGATAGAAAAATACTAGGATGTTATTGGAGCTCATAAAGGGGCCAATAGTAGAGCCAGAGTGTGGCTTGGGGGAAGGCATAACCTTTCTTTAACCTCTAGTGGCTCTCCTCCAATGTTACTACTTTAAAAAATATATCGGGCTGGGCGCGGTGGCTCACGCCTGTAATCCCAGCGCTTTGGGAGGCCGAGGCGGGCAGATTAAGAGGTCAGGAGATCGAGATCATCCTGGCTAGCACCGTGAAACCCCGTCTCTACTAAAAATACAAAAAATTAGCCGGGCGGGGTGGCGGGCGCCTGTAGTCCCAGCTACTCGGGAGGCTGAGGCAGGAGAATGGTGTGAACCTGGGAGGCGGAGCTTGCAGTGAGCCGAGATCGCTACACTGCACTCCAGCCTAGGCGACAGAACAAGACTCCATCTCAAAAAAAAAAAAAAATTATATATATATATATAAAATTTGTGGTTTATTTCTTTCTCCTTATTTATTTTTATTGCAGTAAAAAATGTATGTAACAGAATTTACCATGTTAGCCATTAAAAAAAATCTTTTTCTTTTGCAGTGCCTGTGCCTCGCACAGCTCTGGGACAGGCACAGCTCCCTGCCCCCCCAGCCGCTGAAGGCTTCTCTACGCCCCTGTTCTGGCCTCCGCGAGCAGAGGAGCTTGAGGCGGGCAAAGCTTAAGGCGACACCATGTTAGCCATTTTTAAGTGTGCAGTTTAGTGGCATTAAGTAAATCACATTGTTGTGCAACCGTAATCACCTTCCAAAGTTACTACTTATAAAAGAGATATTCTTTGAAATGGATTACTGATATTTTGTCACTCACATTTCAAGTGTGAATAAGAGAATCTTTAAAAGCTTTGTTCTTTTTCTTGCAAATGTCTCAGCCAAAATTGTATCTTGCTATAAAATGTGATTTCAAGAGACGTCCCACACCCCCTTCCTTGGTTCCTACTAGACGTTCACCCTCAGCGTGTCTCCTGTATAGATATGCTGGAGCAGCCACTGAGGGGCCCTAATCCAGCCTGGGAAGGGCCAAGAAGATTTTCTGGAGTAGATGATACCTGAGATGAGCTATAAGGAAAATGTAGACATTGTCTGGCTAATAAATGGGGAAATGTGTTGAGAAAAGGTGCAGTTAGGGAAAGAAGGACATTCTAGCAAAGGTTGAGCATAGAGGAAGACATAACATTTATGAGGAACTGAAAGAAATGCATTATACTTTTCTAAATCAAGAAAGAGTTCCTTACTGTGCAGTGGGAAGTTGGCATTACCTGCTCAGACTGTGCAGACAGTGGAGTGGGGGTCAGAGTCTGGAAAACAATGATGACCACTGTTTATTAGGGAATAATTAAGACAACTCCTCCATTGAGTCATGGTTTGTGACTAGCTTGGCTCACACTTGGGCAAGATTCGTTGGGTGTTTTGTTTCAGACTTTGAATGCCTCAGTGCTTTTTGAAAAGCCCCACCCTGAGGCAAATTGGCGTTTGCCAGTTCTTTTTTTCTGGAGAGGTGGTGACAGGGTCTCATTTTTTCACCCAGGCTAGAGGGCAGTGGCGCCATCATAGCTCACTGCGGCCTTGAATTCCTGGGCTCAAGTGATCCTCCTGCTCCAGCCTCATGAGTAGTTGGGACTACAAGTGGTGCCACTATGCCAGGCTAATTTTCTTTTTAACTTTTATTTGTAGAGAAGGGGTTTTGCTATGTTGCCCAGGCTGAGTTTGCCAGTTCTTTAGTTAAGGTTTTAAATTTCTGTGTGCTGTTGGGATGGTGATAGTTTCACAACTTGTGACCTTCAGTGATGAAGCAAGTCTTTCTTAATATAGGCCAGGAAATTAGGAGACCTTTTCCTTTTTTTTTTGAGATGGAGTCTTGTGCTTGTCACCCAGACTAGAGTGCAGTGGTGTGATCTCGGCTCACTGCAACCTCCATCTCCCAGGTTCAAGTGATTCTCCTGCCTCAGCCTCCTGAGTAGCTGGGATTACAGGTGCCAACAACCATGCCTGGCTTTTTTTTTTTTTTTTTTTTTTGTATTTTTAGTAGACACAGGGTTTCACCATGTTGGCCAGGCTGGTCTCAAACTCCTGATCTCAGGTGGTCCACCCACCTCAGCTTCCCAAAGTCTTGGGATTACAGGCGTGAGCCACTGTGCCAGCCGGAGACCTTTTCAAAGCAACTTACCCCATTAAGCTGTTAGAGTAGTCATGAGCCCAGCTAGAGAGGGTCTGATGTAAGCAATTGCAGAAATTCCAGGAAATAAGTATCGAACAGTATTGAAAAGCCTCCTTATGCATAGTAGACCAGTG
This sequence comes from Homo sapiens, assembly GCF_000001405.40. Lineage (NCBI taxonomy): Eukaryota > Metazoa > Chordata > Mammalia > Primates > Hominidae > Homo > Homo sapiens. The sequence goes on along the minus strand of NC_000009.12, from coordinate 83,520,694 downwards.
CTGTCTGGTAGAACTTTTGCAGTGGTAACACTGTTCTGTATCTGTGCTGTCCAGTTTGGTAGCCACTAGCCTCAGATGGCTATCGAGCCCTTGCAATGTGACTGGTATGACTGAGGAACTGAATTTTCATAGCTATTTAATTTCAACTCATTAAAATTTGTTTACATAGTTACACATGCTAGTGGCTACCACACTGGACAGTGCAGCAATAGTCTCTTAATGGTAGCTAACTCTGGAAGCAGAGAGGAATTGAGTAAAGATGGGAGCAATGCAGGGAAGCTTTGCATTACATACATCTGTGTCATCTGAGCCTTTGGTAAGCATGTGTTACTTTCATAATTTCAAAACTATAAGAAATTTTTCAGCAAATACATATGCCTTTATTTTCAGAGAGAACTTAGAAAGTTGGAAGGGATTTTAGAGTTTTAATCCAATGCCTGCATGTTTCTCAGGGAGCATCTGAAGTCCAGGGGGGGAAGGAATTAGCCTGGTGAGTGACACACAGATTGGGACCCAGGCATCTGGACCCCATTTTCATATTTCCTTTTTTAAATTATACTTTAAGTTCTGGGATACATGTGCAGAACGTGCAGGTTTGTTACATAGGTATACATGTGCCATGGTGGTTTGCTGCACCCATCAACTCGTCATCTACATTAGGTATTTCTCCTAATGCTATCCTTCCCCTTTTCCCCCATCCCCCAACAGGCCCCAGTGTGTGATGTTCCCCTCCCTGTGCCCATATGTTCTCATTGTTCAACTCCCACTTATGAGTGAGAACATGCAGTGTTTGGTTTTCTGTTCGTGTGTTAATTTGCTAAGAATTACGGTTTCCAGCTTCATCCATGTCCCTGAAAAGGACATGAACTCATTCTTTTTTATGGCTGCATAGTATTCCATCGTGTATAAGTGCCACATTTTCTTTATCAAGTCTAACATTGATGGGTATTTGGGTTGGTTCCAAGTCTTTGCTATTGTGAATAGTGCTACAATAAACATATGTGTGCATGTGTCTTTATAGTAGAATGATTTATAATCCTTTGGGTATATACCCAGTAATGGGATTGCTGGGTCAAATTATATATTCTAGTTCTAGATCCTTGAGGAATCATCACACTGTCTTCCACAATGGTTGAACTAATTTACACTCACACCAACAGTGCAAAAGCGTTCCTATTTCTCCACATCCTCTCCAGCATATGTTGTTTCATGACTTTTTAATAATCACCATTCTAACTGGCATGAGATGGTATCTCATTGTGGTTTTGATTTGCATTTCTCTAATGACCAGTGATGATGAGCTTTTTTTCATGTGTTTGGCGGCCGCATAAATGTCTTCTTTTGAGAAGTGTCTGTTCATATCCCTTGCCCACTTTTTGATGGGGTTGTTTGTTTTTTTCTTGTTATTTGTTTAAGTTCCTTGTAGATTCTGGATATTAGCCCTTTGTCAGATGGATAGATTGCAAAAATTTTCTCCCATTCTGTAGGTTGCCTGTTCACTCTGATGATAGTTTCTTTTGCTATGCAGAAGCGCTTTAGTTTAACTAGATCCCATTTGTCAATTTTGGCTTTTGTTGCCATTGCTTTTGGTGTTTTAGTCATGAAGTCTTTGTCCATGCCTATGTCCTGAATGGTATTGCCTAGGTTTTCTTCTAGGGTTTTTATGGTTTTAGGGCTTACATTTAAATCTTTAATCCATCTTGAGTTAATTTTTGTATAAGGTGTAAGGAAGGGGTCCAGTTTCAGGTTTCTGCATATGGCTAGCCAGTTTTCCCAACATCATTTATTAAATAGGGAATCCTTTCCCCGTTGCTTGTTTTTGTCAGGTTTGTCAAAGATCAGATGGTTGTAGATGTGTGGTATTATTTCTGAGGCCTCTGTTCTGTTCCATTGGTCTATATGTCTGTTTTGGTACCAGTACCATGCTGTTTTGGTTACTGTAGGCTGGTAGTATAGTTTGAAGTCAGGTAGCGTGATGCTTCCAGCTTTGTTTTTTTTTGCTTAGAATTGTCTTAACTATGCAGGCTCTTTTTTTGGTTCCACATGAAATTTAAAGTAGTTTTTTCTAATTCTGTGAAGAAAGTCAATGGCAGCTTGATGGGAGTAGCATTGAATCTATAAATTACTTTGGGCAGTATAGCCATTTTTACAATATTGATTCTTCCTATCCATGAGCATGGAATGTTTTTCCATTTGTTTGTGTCCTCTCTTATTTCCTTGAGTAGTGGTTTGTAGTTCTCCTTCAAGAGGTCCTTCATATCCCTTGTAAGTTGTATTCCTAGGTATGTTATTTTCTTTGTAGCAATTGTGAATGGGAGTTTGCTCATGATTTGGCTCTCAGTTTGTCTATTATTGGTGTATAGGAATGCTTGTGATCTTTGCACACTGATTTTGTATGCTGAGACTTTGTTAAAGTTGCTTATTAGCTTAAGGAGTTTTTGGGCTGAGATGATGGGGTTTTCTAAATATACAATCATGTCATCTGCAAACAGAGATAATTTCACTTCCTCTCTTCCAATTTGAACATGCTTTATTTCTTTCTCTTGCCTGATTGCCCTGGCCAGAACTTCCAATACTGTCAAACAGGAGTGGTGAAAGAGGGCATCCTTGTCTTGGGCAGGTTTTCAAAGGGAATGCTTCCAGCTTTTGCCCATTCAGTATGATATTGGCTGTGTGTTTGTCATAAATAATAGCTCTTATTATTTTGAGATATGTTCCATCAATACCTAGTTTATTGAGTGCTTTTAGCATGGAGGTGTGTTGAATTTTATCAAAGACCTTTTCTGCATCTATTGAGAGAATCATGTAGTTTTTGTCATTGGTTCTGTTTATGTGATGGATTATGTTTATTGATTTGCATATGTTGAATCAGCGTTGCATCCCAGGGATGAAGCTGACTTGATCGTGGTGGATAAGCTTTTCGATGTGCTGCTGGATTCGGTTTGCCAGTATTTTATTGAGGATTTTCGCATCAATGTTCATAAGGGATATTGGCCTGAAATTTTCTTTGTTGTGTCTCTGCCAGGTTTTAATGTAAGGGTGATGCTGGCCTCATATATTGAGTTAGGGATGAGTCCCTCTTTTTTTATTGCTTGTAATAGTTTTAGGAGGAATGGTACCGGGTGCTTTTTGTACCTCTGGTAGAATTCGCCTGTGAATCCATCGGTCCTAGGTTGTTTTTTTTTTTTTTTTTTTTTTTTGGATTGGTAGGCTATTAGTTACTGCCTCAATTTCAGAACTTGTTATTGGTCTATTCAGGGATTCGACTTCTTCCTGGTTTAGTCTTGGAAGGGTGTATGTGTCCAGGAATTTGTCCATTTCTTCTAGGTTTTCTAGTTTATTTGCATAGAGGTGTTTATAGTATTCTCTGATGGTAGTTTGTATTTCTATGGGATCCGTGGTGATCTTCCCTATATCACTTTTTATTGTGTCTATTTGACTCTTCTCTCTTTTCTTCTTTATTAGCCTGGCTAGTGGTCTATCTATTTTGTTGATCTTTCCAAAAAACCAGCTCCTGGTTTCATTGATTTTTTTGAAGGGTTTTTCATGTCTCTATCTCCTTCAGTTCTGCTCTGATTTTAGTTATGTCTTGTCTTCTGCTAGCTTTTGAACTTGTTTGCCCTTGCTTCTCTAGTTCTTTTAATTGTGATGTTAGGGTGACAATTTTAGATCTTCCCCACTTTCTCCTGTGGGCATCTAGTGCTCTAAATTTCCCTCTAAACAGTGCTTTAGCTGTATCCCAGAGATTCTGGTACATTGTGTCTGTTCTCATTGGTTTCAAATAACTTATTTATTTCTACCTTAATTTCATTATTTACCCAGTAGAAATTCAGGAGCAGGTTGTTCAGTTCCCATGTAGTTGTGCAGTTTTGATTGAGTTTCTTAATCCTGAGTTCTAATTTGATTGCACTGTGGTCTGAGAAACTGTTTGTTATGATTTCCATTCTTTTTCATTTGCTGAGGAGTGTTTTGCTTCCAATTATGTGATTGATTTTAGAATAAGTGCTATGTGGTGCTGAGAAGAATGTATATTCTGTTGTTTTGGGGTGGAGAGTTCTGAAGATGTCTATTAGGTTCGCTTGGTCCAAAGCTGAGTTCAAGTCCTGAATATCCTTGTTAATTTTCTGTCTCGTTGATCTGTTGAATATTGACAGTGTGGTGTTAAAGTCTCCCACTATTATTGTGTGGGAGTCTAAGTCTCTTTGTAGTTCTCTAAGAACTTGCTTTATGAATCTGGGTGCTCCTGTATTGGATGCATATATATTTAGCATAGTTAACTCTTCTTGTTGCATTGATCCCTTTACCATTATGTAATGCCCTTCTTTGTCTTTTTTGATCTTTGTTGGTTTAAAGTCTGTTTTATTAGAGACTAGGATTGCAACCCCTGCTTTTTTTTTTTTCTTTCTATTTGCTTGGTAAATCTTCCTCCATCCCTTTATTTTGAGCCTATGTGTGTCTTTGCATGTGAGATGGGTCTCCTGAATACAACACACTGATGGGTCGTGACTCTATCCAAATTTGCCAGTCTGTGTCTTTTAATTGGGGCATTTAGCTCGTTTACATTTAAGGTTTATATTGTTATGTGTGAATTTGATCCTGTCATTATGATGCTAGCTGGTTATTTTGCCCATTAGTTGTTGCAGTTTCTTCATAGTATCAATGGTCTTTACATTTTGGTTTGTTTTTGTAGTGGCTGGTATCGGTTTTTCCTTCCCATAGTTAGTGCTTCCTTCAGGAGCTCTTGTAAGGCAGGCCTGGGGGTGACAAAATCCTTCAGCATTTGCTTGCCTGTAAAGGATTTTATTTCTCCTTCACTTAATGAAGCTTAGTTTGGCTGGATATGAAATTCTGGATTGAAAATTCTTTTCTTTAAGAATGTTAATATTGGCCCCCACTCTCTTCTGGCTTGTGGGGTTTCTGCCAAGAAATCCACTGTTAGTCTGATGGGCTTCCCTTTGTGGGTAACCCGACTTTTCTCTCTGGCTGCCCTTAACATTTTTTCCTTTATTTCAACCTTGGTGAATCTGAAGATTATGTGTCTTGGGGTTGCTCTTATTGAGGAGTATCTTTGTGGCATTCTCTGTATTTCCTGAATTTGAATGTTGGCCTGTCTTGCTAGGTTGGGGAAGTTCTCCTGGATAATATCCTGAAGAGTATTTTCTAATTTGATTCCATTCTCCCATCACTTTCAGTTACATCAATCAAATGTAGGTTGGTCTTTTCACATAGTCCCAGATTTCTTGGAGGCTTTGTTCATTCCTTTTCATTCTTTTTTCTCTAATCTTGTCTTCATGCTTTATTTCATTAAATTGATCTTCAATCTCCAATATCCTTTTTTCCGCTTGATTGATTCACCTATTGATTCTCGTGTATGCTTCACGAAGCTTTCGTGCTGTGTTTTTCAGCTCCATCAGGTCATTTATGTTATTCTCTAAACTTGTTATTCTAGTTAGCAATTCTTCTAACCTTTTATCAACGTTCTTAGCTTCCTTGCATTAGGTTAGAACATGCTCTTTTAGCTCAGAGGAGTTTGTTATTACTCACCACCTTCTGAAGCCTACTTCTGTCAATTTGTCAAACTCATTCTCCATCCAGTTTTTTGCTCTTGCTGGTGAGGAGTTGTGATCCTTTTTGAAGAGAAGAGATATTCTGGTTTTTGGAACTTTCAGCCTTTTTGCGCTGTTTTTTCCTCTTCTTCATGGATTTATCTACCTTTGGTCTTTGCTTTTGGTGACCTTTGGATGGAGTTATTGCGTGGTCAGCCTTTTTGTTGATGTTGATGCTATTGCTTTCTGTTTGTTAGTTTTCCTTCTAACAGTCATGCCTCTCTTCTGCAGGTCTGCTGGAGTTTGTTGGGGGTCCACTCCAGACCCCATTTGCCTGGGTATCACCAGTGGTGGCTGCAGAACAGCAAAGATTGCTGCTTGCTCCTTCCTCTGGAAGCTTTGTCTTAGAGGGGCATCTGCCAGATGCCAGCCAGAGCGCTCCTGTATGGGATGTCTGTCAACCCTTGCTGGGGGGAGTCTCCCCATCAGTAGGCATGGGGGTCAGGGACCTACTTGAGGAGGCAGTCTGTCCCTTAGCAGAGCTCGAGCACTGTGCTAGGAGATCCCTGCTCTCTTCAGAGTTGGCAGGCTGGAACGTTTAAGTCTGCTGAAGCTGCGCCCACAACCACCCCTTCCCCAGGGTGCTCTGTCCCAGGGAGATGGGAGTTTTAGATATAAATCCCTGACTGGAGCTGCTGCCTTTCTTTCAGAGATGGCCTGCCCAGAGACGAGGAATCTAGAGAGTCAGTCTGGCTACAGCAGCTTTGCTGAGCTTCGGTGGGCTCTGTCCAGTTCAAACTTCCTAGCAGCTTTGTTTACACTGTGAGGGGAAAACCGCCTAGTCAAGCCTCAGTAATGGTGGACGTCCCTCTCCCCACCAAGCTCGAGCATTCCAGGTCAACTTCAGACTGCTGTGCTGGCAGTGAGAATTTCAAGCCAGTAGATCTTAGCTTGTTGGGCTCCATGGGGGTGGGATCCGCTGAGCAAGACCTATTGGCTCCCTGGCTTCAGCCCCCTTTCCAGGGGAGTGAATAGTTCTGTCTTGTTGGTGCTCCAGGTGCCACTGGGGTATGAAAAAAACTCCTGCAGCTAGCTCGGTGTCTGCCCAAATGGCTGCCCAGCTATGTGCTTGAAACCCAGGGCCCTTGTGGTGTAGGCACCCAAGGGAATCTCCTGGTCTGCAGGTTGTGAAGACCATGGGAAAAGTGTAGTATCTGGGCCAGAATGCACCATTCTTCAAGGCACAGTCCCTCAGGGCTTCCCTTGGCTAGGGGAGGGAGTTCCCCAACCCCTTGGGTTTTCTGGGTGAGGCGACACCTCACCCTGCTTCTGCTCACCTTCTGTGGGCTGCACCCACTGTCTAACCAGTTCCAATGAGATGAACTGGGTACCTCAGTTGGAAATGTAGAAATCACCCACCCTCTGTGTTGGTCTCACTGGGAGCTGCAGACCGGAGCTGTTCCTATTTGGCCCTCTTGCCTGGAAATCCCATTTTCATATTTCTTTCTACTTCATGATAAGGCATTATTATATGACTTTGGTTAATGTTGTAATGTTTTCTCTTTGTATGAAGAAATAAAGGACATATAATGATTAAGCAAAAGGAAGTTAACTCTTCAAACTTGTAATTATTGATAAGTTAACCATACCTTTTAATCAGCAGTTTCTCTTTTTCATTTATTTTGAAGATAAAATCTCTTCTTTGATAATAATTATAAACATAATAAAAATCAAATAATACAAAAGGTAATCCAGTGAAAAGTAAATCATCTTCCTACATCTGACCCTAGACGTGCTCCTCAGAGGTTAGTACTCTCTGCAGATATTTTGGGTGGAACCTTCCAGAATTTCCTTTTTCCTTCCAGAAAACAATATTGGCCATCAGTTAGTAGGAAGTAATACTAACTCCACTGAGGTGTAGTTTTGTGTGGCCAAATGACCTGGAGAAATGCTTTGTAGGGCTAGGTTGGCTCACACTTCCAGATCTAGAGGTAAGATCTGTTGGGTTTTTGTCTCAGGCTCTGAATGCCTCTATGAATGTGGGAGCCCACTTGATATTTATGTTTCTCTATGTTTCTCTAAGCACCCTTATTCTCTCTGGTGGGCTTGTATTTGCGACAGATGGTTGATAGTCACTCCTGGTTTTTGGGGAGTGTCTTTACCACTTCTTTCATCGTGTCATTTTATTTCCCTGCTTCACAGTGTGACTGGGATCCATGAAGAATCATCTGTGTGCTCCCCTTTCTCTGCTCACTTCCGTGTCTTGCAGACTTAGGATGTCTTCAAAGTGGACCTTTCCTCCCAAAGGCCCTGTTTAAAATTCCACTGTCTCAGTGATGTGTGAAGAACAGTCAGAGATGCTGAAAGACACCGGAAGTGTAAGATTCCTCCCAGGAAATAGTGACTTTCTCAGCACCCAGGGGACTCCAGAGAGTAGGGATAAGGGGAAGGGAGTGCTGGCCTTCAAGAAGAGGTGAGCAGAAGGGAAGGGCTGGAGATTTGTTTTGCTCAGGTGGTACATGAGTGTGACATGCAGCCAAGTGGGCTAGGGGTATATGCTACCACAGTAGTCCCTACGGTCATTTCCGCAGATGGGTTTAGAAAGGTTCTGCGATCAGTGGATGGATCAGCCAGTAACCATTAACTAAATCAACAAAGTTTTAATGCCCCAAGACACACACTATGTGAGTCTTCTCTCTAAAGTGATACTCCCAGCCACTCTCCATCACATTACCATCTGTCACTTTTTATGGTTGTTCATTAACTTGTTCACCCCTTGTGTGCCTGTTTGTTTTCTGTCTTCCCCATAGACTGGCAGCTCCATGAAGGCAGGGATGTTCCTGCACCCCAGTGTCTAGAATATCCCCAGTGCCTGGAACACTGTGGGGGCTTAATAAAAATATTGGTTAGCTGAAAGAATAAATAAATGAGCACACTTTACCAAATAATAATAATAGCAGCAATCTGTTGAGCACTTAGTATGTGCCAATCCCTGTGCTTTCATCTCATTTAATCCTCAAAAGCAGTTCTAGGAAGTGGGAATTGATGTCCCTATTTTACAGGTGTGGAAAATGAGTCCCAGAGCTGGTGGGTACCCTGTCTTCGGTCACATAGCCAGTAAGCAGTAGACTGAGATTTGAACCTGAGTCTGTCCAAGATCTTGAAGTTTAACATATTAAGGTGTAATTTCTAGAGATGTCAATCTAAGCCGTCACTTCAGAAAGGGGCCCTGCAAAAGAAGCAGGTTTCTGCATTCCAGGTGAGTGCTGGACAGTCGGGAGCAGACTAGGCACCACCTGCTCCTCAGGATTTTAGCTGGAGACACCCCCACAACCCTGTCAACGTGGTCCTGGGAGTGGGTTCATCCCTGACATGCGTCCCTGGTATTTTGAGCAGTTGTGAATTATTTAGGTGTTGTGGCAGACGTGCTTCCCTGCATTGAATTCTAACTGAAAACTGTGCTGAAATGAAAGCCAAGAGGTACAGCAGCTACTTCTTTATTTATTTATTTTCTGTTAATGAATGGGGGAGAAAAAACAACTCTGAAGCCATCAGCCAGATACTTCACCTTCTTGGCGCTCTTTCCTGGCTCTCCAAATGGCACCTTGGTGCTTGTGAGTATTTTTATTTTTATGGTATCATATTTTGCAAAATACCTGAGAGCCATTTTCAACACTCTGGCTACCCAGAGAGCACTTCGTTTGATCCATTTTCCTACCAGGAGGGCTTAAGTGGAAAGAAAGGAGAGGCCTAACAAGCACCCTGGGCTCAGCTAACTCCCTCCTTCTCAGCCTCCCCCCTTCTCTGGGCCCTCTCTGAGCTTCACTGCTTTCTCTCTGGCTGTTATGCTACTGGGGAAATCAACAGAACCTATTATTGTGAGTGTGTACAGTGCATTATATTTTGTAAAATGACTCAGGTTCTGTTTATTAGTCATTTCCTAAGTAAGTCACTAAATAGGGAAGTAGAACCTGGTAACATCCACCAGGCATAGATTAATGAGTTAGCCCTGGCCAGGGAAAAACTTCTCAAAGAGATCAAGTGCCTCTTCTTAAGGAAGGTTGGTGCTGTTGGGAGTCTGTGAGTGGGATCCTCCCACATCTCTTTTTTGAACAGCTTTATTGGGATCTAATACACGTAACGTACAATTCACCTAAAGTGTATAATTCCACGGTGGTTAGTATATTCACAGAATTGTGTATCCATCAACACAGTCAATTTTAGGACATTTCATCCTTCCAGAAGAAAACCCATATGGATCTTAATTGTCACTCCCTCCACCCTCTTCATTTCCCCCAATCCTAGGGGGAATTTACCTTATGTTACTGTAGATTTGTTTTTCTTGGACATTTCATGGAAACGGAATGATACAGTATGTGGTCTTTGGGATTGGCTTCTTCCATTTAGCATAGGATTTTCAAGGTTCACTCATGTTTAGTGTTTATCAGTATTTCCTTTCTTTTTATTGCCAAATACTATTTCGTTATATGGACGTACCGCAGTTAGTTGATCCATTCACTGGTCGATGGACATTTGAGTTGTTTCTACTTTTTGACTACTAGGAATAGTGCTGCTATGAGTATTTGTGTATGGGTTTTTGTGTGGACATATGCTTTCATTCTTCTAGGAGTGGAATTGCTGGGGCATGTGGTAACTCTATGTTTAACCTCTCGAGGAACTGCCAGACTGCTTTCTAGAGCAGCTGCACCATGTTACCTTACCCGCCAGCCATGCATAGGGATCCTGACATCTCCACATGCCCATCAGTAACACTGGTTATTATCTGACTTTTTGAGTGTAGTCATCCTAGTGGATTTGAAGTGGTAAAGTGGATTGGCATTGTGGTTTGGATTTGGCTTTCCCTGATAACTTCCATCTGCATCTTGACTATACATTTTTTCCTTAGGTAGCTGGGAGGTCTTTTAGGGGTTAACATTTGAACCGGTGAGAAGACTCTCTCTGGAGCCCTCCTCTTCCCAGGCTGCCTCAAGACTATGGGGCATCTTCATGCTGAAACCTCTTTCATCTGCGGGGCTGGGGGACACTGTGACCCAACCACTGCCCCGAACTTCACACCTTCAAGGTTGGCTTCCTGCTTTCCAGTGGCCTTTTTTAATTATTACACTATCTGTATGAAAAATGAAGATTTAAAGCAAATTGCTTTCAAAAGTCAGTTACAGATGTCATCCTCTGTTATATTTACAATCTAAGTCATGAAAGTTTCTAAGGTCACGAGCTTATTTTTTTTAAGACACTGTACACCAAGCCCACCACACAGAGAATGTGCGTTTTCCATCTTTTCTAGGCTCTCAAAGAATGATTACAGCCCAATCTTTGGAACTGTGTGTGTGTGTGTGTGTGCGCGCGCGTGTGCGTATTTTAATTAAACTGTATTTTGAGGTAATTGTAGATTCACATGCAGTAGTAAGAAGCAATGCCAAGAGATCCCATCCTTGGAACTGTTTTGTTGTGGGAGAAAGTGAAGACTTACTGAGGACTGCAAAATAACTCTGGGAGTGTGCCAGGAATCCAAACTATTTCTGTTGCCATCAGCTCCCTGCTTTTTCCCAGGATAAGGACCACAGGACGAAACAATTAAACGAGCTGCTCCTGGGGAGTGGTTTCTTATTGACAGCAGCTATTCAGCTTTGTGATTTATTTCAGCTTAAAGTAGACAAACCTAATAACGTTACCCATTCTCTTTCCTCCCCTTTTTGCTAATATTGCATCTTTTTGGCTGTGGCTACTGCTGCTGCTGCCATACCATTGAACTTTTGAAAGAAATTGAGCCTGCCAGAGATCTCGTTTGAATTTAAACCTAACCCATATTGAAAAAGTCTTCTAGATGTGGCAAAGAATGTAAATGAGCTAAAGATTGTAAAATAGGTCAGTGTAGCACCTGGTATAACATCTGAGTTTGCTGTGCTCATCAATTCAACACATAAGTGACTGAGTATCTGCTCTGTGTTAGGCACTGCTTGAGGTGCTAGGGATACAGCTACGGAAAAAACACACAGAAATTCCGGTCCTCATGGAGCTTACATTCTCCTGAAGGGAGGCAAAAATAAGTAAAATATTAAGTATGTCTGTTGTTGGTAAATGCTTTGAATAAAAGTTGGGGAGGAGGCAAGGAGGGGAGGGGGGGAAGGAAAGGCATTGGGGGTGATTCCAGTTTTAAATGAGGTGGTCAAGGAAGACTTCCCTGGGAATGGGATATTGGAGCAGGGGTTGGCAAGCTTTTTCTGTAACAGACCAGATAGTACACATTTTAGACTTGGCCAGCCAGCTACTCAACAAGTCATGTGGTGCAAAAGCAGCTGTAGACAGTGCACAAAGGAACAAGTGTGGCCGTATGCCTGTAAAACTTGATTTTCAGAAATAGGTGAAGGCTGGGATTGGGCACGTGCTGCAGTTTGTCACTCCCTGCATTAGAATAAAATGGCAAGGGAGGTGAGAAACCAGGCACTGTGGTGTCTCCTGGGGTGGGGGCAGGGAGAGCATTCCAAGCAGAAGAGACAGCCAGTGCAAAGGCCCTGAGCTGGCTTTGAGGCTGGCTTAAGAACAGGAAGAGAGTCAAGCATTAAACAGAGTAGAAGGACACAAGGTCAGAGAGATGATTAGGGCCAATTCTGTGGGAGTTTGTAGGCCAGTGTGCACTCACAAACCATTTGTTAACAATAGTCAAAAGAATAATCTATAAACTACTTTTTTTTCTAAACAGTCGAAGTAGGATGTGCATACAGTAAAGTATGCAAAGTTATATGTGTGCGTACAGCATGATGTTTTTATAAAGTGCATATTCTTGATGACAGCACCTAGCTCCAGAAACACAGCATGCCTAACACCCAGGCAGTCCCTGTTATGCCTCCTCACAGGCACCACTTCCTGAGAGTAACCACTGTCTTGGCTTCTGACATCATAGGTTAGTGCTTCCTGTTGTTGAACTTCATGTAATTTTACGTAAAAAGCATTGGGCAGTATATGCCTTTCTGTCTTCTCACATTTGGCTTCTTGCGCTCAGCATTATATTGGTGAGATTCATCCTTGTTGCTTATAGTTGTAATTCTTTAATTCTCACTGGTGTATGGGAGTAGATTCTATAAATGCAGTCAGGCACCAGACTGCATATAGGACACTGTACCGTTGTAGCTCAATGTGTTACTCACCTGGTGTTAAACCTATTGCACTGCCAGTCATACAAAATATAGCACATATAATTATGTACAGTACGTAGTACTTGATAATGATAATAAATGACTATGTTACTGGTTCATGTATTTAATATAAATACATATACTATAATATACTATACTTTTTCTTGTTATTTTGGAGTGTACTCCTTCTACTTATATACAAAATGTTAACTGTAAAACAGCCCCTGGGATGTCCTTCAGGAAATATTCCAGAAGATATATATATATATATATATATATATATATATATATATATATATATATGTATGTATATTTTTTTTTGTTTGAGACGGAGTTTCGCTGTGTCGCCCAGGCTGGAGTGCAGTGGCGCGATCATGGCTCACTGCAAGCTCTGCCTCCCAGGTTCATGCCATTCTCCTGCCTCAGCCTCCCAAGTAACTGGGACTACAGGCGCCCGCCACCACACCTGGCTAATTTTTTCTTTATTTTTTAGTAGAGACGGGGTTTCACCTTGTTAGCCAGGATGGTCTCGATCTCCTGACCTTGTGATCCACCCGCCTCGGCCTCCCAAAGTGCTGGGATTACAGGCGTGAGCCACCACACCCAGCCTTTTTTTTTTTTTTTTTTTGAGACGGAGTCTTGCTCTGTTGCCCAGGCTGGAGTTCAGTGGCACAATCTTGGCTCACTGAAACCTCTGCCTCCCAGGTTCAAGCAATTGTCCTGTCTCAGCCTCCTGAGTAGCTGGGATTACAGGCATGTGCCACCACACCCAGCTAATTTTTGTATTTTTAGTAGAGACGGGATTTCAGTTTCACCATGTTGGCCAGGCTGGTCTCGAACTCCTGACGTCAAGTGATCCACCCGCCTTGGCCTCCCAAAGTGCTGGGATTACAGGTGTGAGCCACTGCACCTGGTCGATATATTGTTATCATAGGAGATGACAACTTCATGCGTGTTATTGCCTCTGAAGGCCTTTCAGTGGGATAAAATATGGAGGTGCAAGACTAGTGATATTGACACTCTTGATCCTGTGTAGGCCTAGGCTAATGTGTCTGTGTCTTAGATTTTAATAAAAAAGTTTAAAAAGAAAAAAAGTTTAAAAATACAAAAATAGAACAAAGCTTATAGAATAAGGATATTAAGAAAATATTATGTGCAGCTGTACAATGTTTTTGTTTTAAGCTAAGTATTATTACAAAAGTCAAAAAGTTAAAAAGTTAAAAAGCTTATAAAGTAAAAATGTCACAGTAAGCTAAGGTTAATTTACTTTTGAAGAAAGAAAATTAAAAAATTAATTGAGTGTAGCCTAAGTGTACAGTGTTTATAAAGTCTACAGTGGTGTAGCGTAATGTCCTAGGCCTTCACACCCAGTCACCACGCACTCACCCAGAGCAACTTCCAGTCCTGCAAGCTCCATTCATGGTAAGTGCCCTAGATAGGGGAGCCATTTTAAGTCGATTTTTACTGTACCTTTTCTATGTTTAGATACACAAGTGCTTCCCATTGTGTTACAGTTGCCTACAGTATTCAGTACAGTCACATGCTATACAGATCTGTAGCCCAGGAGCAATAGGCTCTACCACATAGCACATAGCCTGGGTGCATAGTAGTCTGTACAGCTGGGTTTGTACAATGAAATTGCCTAACAACATATTTCTCAGAATGTAACCCCCTTGATAAATAACACATGACTGTATTCCATTATTTGGTTTCTTTAAAACATTATTGATAGACATTTAGGTTGCTTCTAGTTTTGGCTATTACAAACTACTTTGCTAGCTTTAACTTTAAAAAAAAATCATAAACTCTTATATGTACAGTGCCAGCCATATTTAGAGGCTTTGGGAATTTTTGAAAAATAACTGCAAATGTGTGAGAACAACCGACTCATCCAGGGATGAAGTTATCTACTCTTCCTACTGCAGCTCAAGAGTTCAGAGCTGACCAGCGCAGCTGACCAGCTGCGTGGTGGGTGTTCATGGGGCGTTGGTGCAGTTTGCACAAGTTCTTGTTGGGGGACTCCATCTTCCCTTTTGCATTTCTCTAGCAGATGATTGTCTGTTCCAGAATGAAGCTCCTAGGTGGAGGGGCCTCTGGACTCTCAAGAGCTCTTCTGCAGCCATGATCTCCGGGATCACGGAGGACCTTCATTCTCCAAATCTGTAAACATGCGATGCAGGAAAATTATGCTAAGGCCACAACACTTTCTTCCCTCATCCTAGGAGGGAACTTAATTATTTAGGCAGCTCAGGATGGAATCTACCTATAGAAGGGAAAACTGTGCTTGTGAATGTTCTTCATGAAGTGCTCAGGCAGCACCACGAGCAGGTCACTTTTTGATGATTTTGAAGCTGACCTTTTTGGAAACACAGTTGTTGTGCTGAACCTGCAGGCCAGGTGCACTTTGCAGCTGTAGAGTCAGGAGGTGGAAATCTGATCACTTTGTTAGGAGGACCTTGGTGGCTCTCCCCTTCCTCCCAGCTCTCTCAGGCCACCTGTCCTATCGCCTCTCTACTCAGCACCCCCATCTGTAAGTAATCCTCTTAGTAAACAAAACGGCCCCAGCTGCCAATCTGGTGGCCTCAGCACTTGGCTGATCTTAGAGGACTTGCCAACTGGGGCTTATGTAGCCTTCAGTGTCCTTCTCGAGCACTTTCAAGTAGATAAATACAGAAAATTAGTAGGCTGGCAAAAATAAGAGAGAAGTCAGCCTTTTGAGTAGCAGTTCTGAGCTCTCTCACCTGTTTACAGATTTATATTGTATTTTACAAGATTTCACATTAGAATGGATATTTCTAGACTGTTCCATTGCTTCTATGTGAATCATTGTAAAACACCCATTGATATTTTACCTGGTGCATTATTGTAGGAGGGGGACTTTCCTGCTGTGTGGAAGAAAATCTCATGACAGGCATAGACACATGGCACAGAGTAAATGCATGAACATTTTTTTTGCCATAAGAATGAATCAAGAAAGTAGCAACTCTGATACCTCACTATTTTGGGATCTTGAACCCAATATTGCGTGTTGTTTGATGTGAGCTGACCCAATCTGAGGACCCAACATCTCCCAGAAGATCTCCTGCCATTAATTCATTCATTTATCAATATTTACTGTGCAAGGTACCGTGAGAGGATGTTGAAATACAGATGTAAACAACACACATGCATGGAGCTTATATTCTAGTAGGGAGAGGCTGACAATAAGCAAACACTCATACAAATAAAAATTATCACAGGTGATGTGATGAGTTCTATGTAGAAAAATAAAGTTGAGTAAGGGGGATTAGAGGATGAAGAGGTAGGGAAGCGGTACTGTTCTTTATAGAGTGGTCAGGGAAGGTGTCCCTGATAAGGTGGTATTTGAGGAGAGGCCTGAAAGAAGTGGTGGGGGGGGAAGTCAAATGAATACCTGGGAGAAGAACATTTCAGAAAGAGAACAGATGTAAAGGTCTTGAGGCAGAAGGGAGCTTGGCGAGTGTGAGGAATGTGAGGGAGGAGGAGAGGACTGGGAAAGAAGCCAAGAGAGGGGGTGGCAGACAACCTGAGGGTCTTATAGGTCACTTGAAGAGCTTTGGAAGCCATTGGAAAGCTTTGGTAGAGAATGGCATGGTCTGTCTTGTGTTTTTAAAGAGGATCATGCACTTGCTCTGTTGAGAATAGGCCCTAGGGAGAGAAGAGCAAACACAGGGAGACCCATTAGGAGGTGAAAACTGTGCCCTTGGATAGTGAGAAGTTTTAGGAAGCCCAAGACCACTTGAATGTCTACAGTCATTGGTGGTGCTTTCCGTTTGTGTGAAAGTCAAGCTCAGGAGATGATAAGCACTGGCCTGGCCTTGAAGGGGAAGCTGGCAAGGGCTGATCCCTCTTCCTTTCCAAGGGCTATCACCACAGAGCAGTACAAACCCGAAGGCCATGTAGCATCTGGCTTCAGCAGCACTCAGTGCACACCCCAAACTGCAGCAGGATGCGGAGTGTATTCTCTTCCGTTACCACCTCCCCACTCCCGCCCTTGTCACCAGCTACAGAGCAGCTGGTTCCCCTGAGTTGCAGGAGAGTTCTAGCTAGTGTTAATCACACAGGACCTTCTCAAGCTATATCTTCCTTTTCCTTCTTGCACGAATGAGTTGTGCCTTTTCTGTCCATGATTTCAACTGTGGTGCTGCTTTCCTCAGGCTTCTCTGAATCTGGACTCATCTGGCCCACTTGGCTGGTGGAGATGTGGCCCTGGAGTGTTGGCCCTTCTGATCCAATGTCTAATTTACAGTGCTTCATGATCACCCTTTGGATTCTGCCTTGGTTATCTATTGCTGTGTAAGAAATGTCTGCGCACTCAGTGGCTTAAACCAACACCCACTTAGTTAGCTCTGTAGACCTAGACTGGTGTCTAGACCAGGATTCTGGGCAGGCTTGGCTGGGTTCTATACTCAGGGTATCACAAATCTGTACTCAAGGTGTCAGCAGAGCTGGGCTTTTCACTGAAAGCTGGGAGGCAGAATCTATTTCCAAGGTTGTTCAGGTTGGTGGTAGAATTCAGTTCTTTGCAGTTGTAGAACTGATGTCTCCATTTTCTTACTGGTTGTCAGCTTCTAGAGGTCACCACAGTCCTTATCACATGCCCCTCTCTAACATCAAGCCAGCAGCGATGCATGAAATCCGTCTTGTGCTTTGAATCTCTCTGAATTCTCTTCTGTCGTCAGCTGGAGAAAGCTCTCTGCTTTTAAGGACTATAGGGTATATGACCCACCAGGATAATGCAGATAATTTCCCTATCTGATGGCCAATTGTGCCATGTAACATAGCATAGTAACTGTGCCATGCAACATAGCACAATCATAGGATAGGTTCTGTCGTCATGTTGATAGGTTCTGGGGGTTAGGGCAGGACATCATTAAGGGGCCATTTTAGAAATTCTGCCCTTCCCAATAGTCTTTTGCAGCCAATATCAGTAGTATTAGCAGTACTACTGCTAATTACACTGTAGTAATTACCAAAGTAAATCAGTCATGAGGGCCTATCTTTGCCCTTATAGTAATTACTACAGTGTGCTTGTATTTCCAGAACCCCAGTTTCTCCTTTTCCAGAGAGGCAGTTGGCATTTTGAAGCCACATGGTGCACTGGAACCCAGCATAACCATCAGAAATCAGTGTTTAGTGTTTCTGTCTGACTCTGAATGGCAGAGGACAAAGGAAATGATGGCCTTTTATATCAATATATGATCATTAAAGCTTCTCATTAAAGCTAAAATTATGAGGGCCGAGATTTTCAAAGCATTTCTGTGGTTTGATTTGGAGTCCACTGAATCATGAAATTGGAGGTAACCTCTGCTGCCCTTTGCCTCTGCTTCTTCCCCTCACAGCAAGCTTCCGGGTACCATCCTGATTTGTCTGCCCACCTCTTCTGGAACACCTCACTTGACCTCTTCCATTCTTTAACAGGCCCATTTATTAAGAAATTCTTTCTTCTATTGGGCCCATGTAAGTTTCCTTCTGACTTTCGCACAGTGTACCTATTTATGGCTTATAGCTGTACCAAATAACTCATTTCTTTTCATAAAATATGGTGATTCAGATACTTAGAGGCAGATATCAAGTCTCAGAACATCTCTTCTACAAACTAAACTTTAGCTTTAGCAGGCACCTGGCACGTCACCTCTACTTCTGGTACTGGGAACATGCCTTTAGAATGTACCCTCCATCAAAAAGGCAGGAACCTTCTCTGTTGCACTCACCACTGTGTCCTTAGCTCCTAGCACACTACCCGGTACACAGCAGGGACCAGTGCATATTTATTAACTGGGATGCAATTGCCCTTTGGAACTGAATTCGAAGTGGCGCATGCTTAGGTATTTGCGTGTTCTCCCTAATTGGCACTGCCCAGTCTTGTGATCCACCCCAGGTCCATACCTAAAAACAGTTAATATTTTCTGTCTCACATTTGTTCCAGAACAAGACACATAACTAGATAAATAAAACAAGTTAATGATTCATGCACTTAAAGGAGTTGCTTCCATAAGTAACAAATTTTGGTGCTTGACTTAAATTGTACTTCATTTAGAGTTGCAGCAGAAAGGAGGAGGTAAATGCATTGCAGAGAAAAGAGGATATTAAACGTAGAGTTGGCTTTCCTTTTCCCTCTCTACTCAAATGCATGGAGTCACTTAATCAGATGCATCTCTTCATGTGAGCACTGGCTGCAGGGATGAAAATGAAGCCCTGCTAGCAATAAGAAATTCCTCTCAAGAACAAACAGGAGATGTGGTTGCCTTGCCGCTTGTTACATACCAATCATCTTGTTACCTAGAGGCAGCAAATACAGGTTTTCATGGTGTGCATTCGTTGTAATATTCTAATGTTCTGGCTCAGTTTAAAATGCATAGTTTTGTATAATGTAATTATCAACACATTTGTATCATTTTTGTGTGGGAAAAATGTAGGTAATTATATCTGTAAGAAATTACAAATTATATCCCCTGGCTTTGTAGCTCAGCTCTATAGCCTGAATGTATTATAGTGCTCTCATGGAAGAACACTCCGTGTTTATAAAAATTTCAGGATGTAGTCTGCTCTCTGAAAAATTATTGGGGTACCTTATATGTATATAAGGAGTCTTGCCCTGTCTTCTTGACATTTATCTTTCCTCCTTTCAACACATACTTACTGATTCCTGCTATATGCAAAGAAGTGTAGTTTTTTTTTTTGAGATGGAGTCTCGCTCTGTCACCCAGGCTGGAGTGCAGTGGCACCATCTCGGCTCACTGCAAGCTCCGCCTCCCGGGTTCATGCCATTCTCCTGCCTCAGCCTCCCGAGTAGCTGGGACTACAGAAGGAAGTGTAGTTTTTAAGTAGGATTTTCAAAGAAAAATCTCTAGTTGTATCATGTAAGATCTATAGAAAAGCAATTACAGAAGACAATTGTTTATTGACTTTTAACATTGATAAACATCAGAATAACTAAATTTCTTTGTTTTTGGCAACTTTGATTTGGACATAATGTATTTCGCATATATTATGCAAATTAATTTTTAAAGTAGAGCCAGCCCTTCTAGGCAGGGAATTTCAGTTAATTCTTTCTTTGTTACCTCTCCCAAGAGTGTGCCTAATAATTAACTGGCAGATGATTATATAAAGCATTAAACTGTAAGTTAGAAAATGCTGCAGAGAAGCTAACCCCTATTCTCCACTCTTTTCCTCGCCTCCAAACTCATATTTTGCTGTCTCTAGATATTTGCATCTTGTTAGAGTCCACAGGATGTATTAATTTGGCAACATTTTTTTGCATTGACTAATTGAATCTGTCATTCAGCAGATATGCATTGGGGCTCCCTGGTGTCTAGACTGGAGTGCTAGAGATGAAGAGAAGATAAAGCTCTAAAAGAGATAGAGGAGCCTTACCCTTAATGATCCTATAGACTGATGGTTCTCAAAGTGTGGCCACTCCTCAATATTGACATTGTGTGTGTGTGTGTGTGTGTGTGTGTGTGTGTGTGTGCGCGCATACACGCCAAGCACTCTATGCAGGCTTATAGCCCTGAAATATGTTAGAGTAGGAAATGGATATTCAAGATGATTAAAAAAATTAATACCATATGTTTAAGAGCAGTTGTAGGCATATAGAAAAATTAGGTATATAAGTATATGGAGAGTACAGAGGGTTCCCATCTACCCTCTCTCCTATTACTACCATCTTGTGTTAGTGTGATACATTTGTTGTAATTGACAAACTTTTATAAATACATGATTATTAACTAAAGTTCATAGCTTACATTAGGGTTCACTCTTGGTGGTGTACATTTCTGTGGGTTTTGACAAATGTAATATGTCCTGTATCCACCATTACAGGATTATACAGGATAGTTTCTCTGCCCTAAAAATTCTTAGTGCTCTACCTATTCATCCCTCCGTTCTTCTCCACTGACCCCTGGAAACCACTGATCTCTTTACTGTCACCATATTTTTGTATAATATATTGCTAGAATCAAAAGTTAGTCTTCTCAGACTAGTTTCTTTTATTTAGCAACACACATTTAAGGTTCCTCCAGGTCTTTTTGTGGCTTGATAACTCATTTCTTTTTATTGCTGAACAATATTCCATTGTCTGGATGTACCACAGTTTGTGTAACTATTCACCTATTAAAGGACAGCTTCATTGCTTCCAAGTTTTGACAATTATGAATAAGGCTTCTATAAACATTCATGTGTAGGTTTAAAAACCTTATGTGGACATACATTTTAATTCACTGCTGGATCATATGGTAAGACAATTTTTAGCTTGTAAGAAACAGCCAAACCATTTTACATTCCCACCAACAGTGAATGAAGCTTCTGCTGCTCCAGATCCTCACCAGAATTTGGTGGCGTCAGCATTCTGGGTTTTAGACAAAATGGTGTAAAATGGTATCTCATTGTAGGATGAATTTTTTTGTACTGTAGGATAATTTTACAAGTCAACTGAGGCACTTGAGCATCATAAATGCACTGCACAGGTAGGCAGGAGTGGAAAGTGATGGCATACTAATGCATTCTGTTTCTGGGTCCCACACGTTTCAGAAAATACTTTTCATCATCATTTTTACTCATTAAGTTAGATGTTTTCAGTCAAGAGTCAGACAGCTGATGAGGCCCCCTCATCAGCTGTCCTGTTCATATGGAGTTCTTTTTTCTACAGCCTCTCCTTCACAGCTCCTCCGTTTGAAAGCACTGGCCCTGTTGGAATTTTCATCTTCTTGTCAGTGTGGTGAGATTGCAGCTGATCTGCCCTCAGGGGAAAAACATCTGTCAGGTGTATCCTAGTGTCATTTTGGACAGTACTGCACCCAGAATTTTTGTTTACATAGACACTCCCGTGCCATTCTCTCAGTTGGGTTTGCTTGGGTGCCCTGGCCAGTCAGTGTCAGCAACAGTTATGATCATCAGCTTCACCAGCTTTTCCTGTTTCAGGAAGATTTTTGCATCTTGGTGACAAAACCCAAGGACCCAATACAAGGATATTGCCACGTTAGAGGTAACATACTCATTTTGCAAACATGCCTCATCTCGAAAGCCTGAAGAGCTATTATCATATGGTAGATCTTACAGTAAAGCCTTTCTTTATCTAGTAGATATTTCTCTCAAGTGTTGCTTTACTCAGTTTTAGCTCATTAATATTAATGATAATATTAGTTGGGAAAGAGGATGGAAGGTCTTGTCTAAGAGCTGTTTTGAGTGGAAAATACACTGTTTTTTCTTTGATTATATGTTTTCTTTTCTTTTTTTTAAAGGGGTGATAGCTTTGAGGGTAGATATTGAAAGGGTATTCTAAACTAGAGCTGTTCAGTAGAAATGTTCATGATGATGGAACTATTTTGCCCTGTTCAAGATGGTAGTCACCAGTCACACTTGTCTCTTGAACATATGAAATACAGCTAGTATGACTGAGGAAGTATTTTTTCATTTTATTTAGTTTAAATTAATTTTGATAGCCCCAGGTAGCCAGTGGCTGAGAAGTGTAGGGGAGCACATGAACTACTTGTTGACTGTGCATTAGTTCCTTTGGCAGAATGATAGAGATTTTATGGAAGGTGCTAAATTAAAGTGGATAAACCTTTGGCCTATTATCTTCTATCATGGAATTTGAGATGGTTCTTTAAAAATGTTTCTTGATTTGATTTTCTGTGTCAAGTTTGGTCTCTACATGAGTGGATATTATCTGGGCAAAGTCATTGAAGTAATTCCCTCTGCTCTGGAGAGACTTCTGAGTTGGAAACCAGAGAAGTCAAGTGATTGACAAGTGTACTAGTCAGGATTGCTTAGGTTATGCTGTGACAACAAATTTTTTTTTTTTTGGAGACGGAGTCTTGCTCTGTCTTCCAGGCGAGAGTGCAGTGGCACACTCTCAGCTCACTGCAGCCTCTGCCTCTGCTCACTGCAACCTCCACCTCCTGGGTTCAAGCGATTCTCCTGTCTCAGCCTCCCAAGGAGCTGGGATTACAGGTGCCCACCACCATGCCTGGCTAATTTTTGTATTTTTAGTAGAGACGAAGTTTCACCATGTTGACCAGGCTGGTCTCAAACTCCTGACCTCAGGTGATCCACCAGCCTTGGCCTCCCAAAGTGCTAGGATTACAGGCATGAGCTATCGCTCCTGGCCAAAAAATTCATCCTAAAATCTCAGCGTCTTAACACCCCAAAGTCTCCTCTGATGCAACCGGGCAACTGTGAAGAGCAGTTGTTCTCCAGGCAGTCACTCAGCTATCCTGGCTGTTTCCATCTTGTGTCTTCATGGAAGCCACCAAAGTCCCTACAAAAGAGAAGCAGAGAGTGGAAGGTTGCACACCAGCTCATAAATGTTTAGATCCAGAAATGACACAGTCCCTTCTGCTCACACCCCATTGGTTGTACATGACAGATGGCCCTGCCAACTGCAAGAAGGCTGGGCAATGTGGAGGAGCCCACGGGTATTTGGTAAGTAGTAAATGTCTTTTCCATACCCAATCCTTACACTCAAAAAATTTAAATACATTGGAATAATTTTGAAATTGTAAGCTATTTCCATTACGCCACTTAGAAGTAATTTGGGAGGCTTTGCAAAATATTTTATTTCTAGCTTTTAGTCTTACTTTGAAATTTAACCAGATACCCTATTTCTCAGTAATTTTCACTTCCATTTCATTTTGAACGTTTGGTGGTACAATGCTAATTTACCTTGAGATCTTTTGGGCACAGGTGCTCATAAATAAAAAAGTTATGGTAATAATTTCATTATCTAGCTGAACAATTTTTAGTTCACATCTTTTGGGATGTGAACTGAAACACAAATGGAAAGAGTATTGTGCATAATTCCCTTCAGCATGTACTGAATTTGGGTATTACTCTGACATTTTATTTATTTATTTACTTTTGAGACACAGTTTCACTCTTGTTGCCCAGGCTGGAGTGCAATGGTACAATCTTGGTTCACTGCAACCTCCACCTCCCAGGTTCGAGTGATTCTCCTGCCTCAGCCTCCTGAGTAGCAGGGATTACAGGTGCCCGCCACCACACCCGGCTAATTTTTGTATTTTTAGTAGAGATGGGGTTTCACCATGTTGGTCAGGCTGGTCTCGAACTTCTGACCTCAGGTAATCCGCCTGCCTCGGCCTCCCAAAGTGCTAGAATTACAGGTGTGAGCCACCGCACCCAGTCTACACTGACATTTTATAAGTACACTCATTTGTTTTGTTTGTTTTTAGTTTTGTAAAACCCTTGTGCTACAGACCCTGGGGAAACAACAGTGTTCATTCATAAGAACCAGATTTAAAGTGGCAAACATGGAGAAACCACCTATGTTTTCCTAAATCTCCTCTCTCATCAGCTATCATTTTTTTTTTAATCTGCTTTCAAGGGGAACTTACATGGATGTACTTTCTGTCATTATATCCCTGATTTCTCTAGTCCTAGAAATCACCAGGGCATTTATCAAAAGTGCAGATTTCTTGTTGCCAGCGGATCTGAGATAGGGTCTAAGAGTGTTTATTTTAGCAAATGCTCCTTGGTGATTTTTTAAAACATTGGGGTAGTTTGGGAACTTCATCTTATTTTAAGGTAATCAAGTTGGTTGAGTGATGGGGAGTAGGATTTTTGTCACATATGCAGGTTAATGATGAAACACCAGCTAGTGTCCTTGATGAAGAACAGTTGATGAACAAGGTTGTATTTCATCAGCTTCCCAAACTTCAGTTTTTACTCTTCCATTTTCACAATTTTTGCAATAGTCTCATACTATTTATACAGTTATTTATTTAGTATTTTTTCATTCACATAAATCAACTTATTTGAATTTGAAATATCATGTGAAATCATGCCTTTACCATTAAAAAATTTGTGTGTCACTTATAATAATTTTAGATACTTCTTGTGGAGCAGGCACCAGATTTGAGGCACATGGTGTAAAATAATTCATTATGCTAGTGTAAGAAGGTCTCATACTTCTAAAGTACTAGCTTATGGATTTGTTGACTGAACTGTGTGTGCCATGTAAGCTCGAGACAGGCAAACATGCTTGCCCAGATTCAAGAATTTACTTTCAATTTTCAGCCATTGGTAGTTTTAAATCAGAATGTTTTTGGTAATGGTAATAAATACTCAGACTTGATAATAAATTGTCATTCCAACCATAATTTGTGAATTTACTCATGTGTTAGTCCTGCCTTGAGCTGCATGCATCCATCTCTGTGTTTATGGTGACCACACAGAAAAAATACTGTTTCAAATAGCCATGTTGTTTTGGTCCTTTTTCATGAGTACTATGTCCATTCACCATGACTTTTGTCACAGAAAAGATGCTTACTATACCTATCATTAAGTACATGCAGGTACTATGTCCAGACAGGGAACATTTTCTGTGTTTTGTGGAAGCTTCAGTGAGGTAAATTTAAATGTATGCACTGTTGACATTTTTGTTAATTTGAAATAATACGTAATAACTCCAGCTTAGCTGACAGCTACCCCCTTTCTATTTTCTTGTATTTGCCGTTATTCTAACACCCTCCCTTGACCTTACTTTCCCCTCAGTTACCTCCAATTATAACAAAATTCCTTGACAGACGATTTCACTTCTCCTACATTTTATTAACCTGCTCCAGTCTGGCTCTGTCCCCTTACCAAGGGCACCAGCGACTTCCACTTTCTTCAATGCGGTGGTCAGTTCTTGGATCTCATCTTACTGACCCATGGCAGTTTTGGACACAGATGGCCACTTGCTCCTCCTGGAAACTTGTCCTCTTCTTGCTTCCAGGACCCTCCCCATTGCCTGAATTTCCTCCTCCCCTCTTTGTCCCCCAACTCTGCTTCCCAGCCTCTTTGTCTCTTCAGCTCCTTTTTGGGCTGGACTCAGAAAAAGAGAGTGCAATCATGACAAAGATAAATGTAGAGGGAGTTTTGTAGCCTAATTTATATAACTAAACAATTGGAAACAGTAGGAGAATGGTTAAGTAAATCATAAAAATGTTCATATGGTAGAATATTGTGCAACTGGTGAAATATATTTTCTAAGAAAAATTGATGACATTGGAAATATTTATGATCTTTTGTTTTATTAAAGTAGGGTATACAACTGTGTATACAATGATATGATTTTGTAAAATATCATATATATACACACGCACATGCGCGCGCGCACACACACACACACACACACACACATAAATGCACAGAAAAAACACCAGTATAAATGTAGCTGGGACTACAGGCACATGCCACTATGCCCAGCTAGTTAAAACATTTTTTTTGTTGTTGTTGAGACAGGGGTCTCACTATGTTGCCCAGGCTTGTCTTGAACTCCTGGGGTCAAGCAATCCTCCCCACCTTGGGTTCCCAAAGTGTTGGGATTACCAGTGTGAGCCATTGTGTCCAGCCAGATGTTAACTATTTTAAAACATTCTAAAAGGAACATGTGTCACTATTGTAAAGAAAATAATTTTTAAAAAGAATGAAAGCAAAACCTGCAAAAATCTGAGAAAGACCTCAGATGGGGTGGGTTTCCAGGGAAGAGTATGGCAGGGGGCCAGTGGGGGAAACATCCCAGATTTTTCTGAATCACATCTTTTAATTTAAAAAACAACCAAATTGGCATGAACTTCAAGCATATTATGCACATTTTCATTCTAATGTGAGAAGAAAAATCCATGTGGAAAAACTTCATTTTTCTGAGTATTCACTATCTTAGAATATTTTGCTCCATTTCATTAATGCAAGTAACTGTAAAGTACTATACCACCTCCACACACTGTGGAGAACAGAGAATGATGAAATGCATTCATCTCATCCGTTCTCCCACGTTTATGTGTTACTAGTGAGGCAGGAAGAATGAGGGTTGGCTTAGCCTTTCCCAGTTGCCCCCAGCTGACTGTCACACCCATTTCATTGTTGGCACTGCTACACCCATGGATTCTTCTACGGAGGAGGCTAGGATAGTGGCTATTTGGTTTTTCCAGCCTCCATAGTGGAAATGACAAGGGAAGAGTTGGAAGTGGCTTTTGGGTCAGCGGGTGATAAGTGTAGCGCATGAGATCTATGCAGCTGTACCTATGAGTTCACTAAGGCTGGTGGGAGGCGCCATCACAGCATGTGCTCCACAAAGGAGAGCATGACTGTGGCCTGGCCAGGAGGGGATGGGGAGGCTGGGTGCAAGGGTTCCTGAAGATTCCCTGAAGGGAGGGACTTGAGCTGCGTGTGAAGGGATTAATAGGACTGGGTAAGAGCTGCCTTTCCCAAGTCTGATCTATGCGATCTGATCCTTGAGATGTTTATGGGGGTTCTGTGAGCAATAAGTTTGAGAACTGCTGCCTGTCATATCCCTGTCTTGGAAACTCACAAGTCACGTTTACATCTTAAAGGCTCTGAGAAGTCCTGAAGTTAAAACAAACAAACAAAACCACCTATTTAGCTATCAACTGCTTAACTATGTTTTTAACTCGGAGCTTCCCAAAAGTATCTGGCCACTGGGGCCCTCTTCATAGGTATCAACTGTAAGGTTTCAGTGGAGCCAGTGCTTCGTGGAAGACATTTTGGGAAGCGCCAGGTTAGCTGGAGAGTAAAGGATGGCAGGGACTACAGGAATGCACAGATCACCTATTTCTCTGTATGACAATTTGCAAGTGAGATTCTGCCTTGTTTTCCTGCACCTGAATCTGGAGAACAAAGCTGAGGATAAAAGATATTGAGCTCCTCATTTCCTAAACTTGAGGAAGTTCTGGTGGAGGGGGCCAGCCACCTCCCTGCAGGTCTTACTGAAAAGTGTCAGTTTAGAAAAGGGGCCCTGCCACCAACATAGCCCCCAGTGCTCCCTCCTCCCTTCCAACTCCTGGGACTGTAAGGAGATGATGGAAAGAAGGTATGTGTGTGGGTTTTGTGTGTGAGGTCAGCGGCTTTTTGGGGAGGGGAGTGTTCACAGACACAGGGAGAGGCAGTGGGTGCTTCTCCTCCCCAAAGTCAAGGGAGGGATTCTAGAAGGATCATTTGTAAAGCTGGAGGCATCTGCAAGAGTGGCGACTGGTATTTCATTTTCCTGGAGAATGTCTCGGCCCCTGGACTTGCTGTCCCACTTCTCTGCTCCCTGAGTAGAGGAGAAGGGAATGGGAGATGGTGAAGAGGGGAGAGCTATGAGGACGAGCTTGACGAATTTTCCATCAACCCATACAGTGACTCTGAAGGTTGCTGAACTTGAGTGCATTGTTGCCACCCCACCAGAAGGCTGCTGGTGAGGCCAGGAGACCCATGCAAATTGTGAGTGGTGGAGGCTGAGGAACTGGGTCGAGGTGGACACAGCTGGAACTGAGTGGAGAGGAGACTCTGGCAGAACCCTTCAAGGACTGCATTAATGCTGAGAGTTGGGGCACCTGCCCCCCAGAGGCCCCGGTGGCCAGACAGGGTTAGGTGGATGAACAGTAGCCACTAAGAGAAAAGGGGCTGCAGTCCTGCTCCCCCGTTCCTCCTGCCTGCCCTGGCCCCAGGGGAGCACGGGCGGAAAGGAGGTGCAGGTGGGAAGGAAGCCTTCCATTCTGTGCTGCGACCATCCTGGGTGGTGGTGATGCAGTACATTTGGGGCCAGTTTTGGGGTAAAAAAAATTCCCCAAACTCGTGCCACATTTTTAGCCCAATAAGACGAGTTTTCTTTTTAAAAATAGCTCATAATGTTTTTGTTATGAATGAGATTTCTTAATGGACGTGCCTTATTGTCATCTCCATGCAGCACTTCTGCATCAGCCAGGCCTCGTGGTGTAGTTTAATCTTAATGCTGTCAACTCTATCAGTTTTAGGTTCTAGTGGAAAGAGGCTTTCATCAAATCATCCTCTGTTAGGACATTAATGAATGTAGGGCTGAAGTGTCCTGGAATGACCTATGGCATGACAGAAGGTCCTGATTCACTCTTAGTGTCTATGGGACTTTTTCCCTTGGGGGCCCAGGGTGTGTTGCACACACATTTTTACATTCAAAATTAGATTGTATATTTTACAAATAAAGACAAGAGTAGATAACAACAAACACCATGAACTGCCATCTGGCTTGGGAAGGAGTCCATTAACAAACACCATCAACAGCCCCCTGTGGACGCCTGTCTCTTCTCATTTCTTGTTTTCTCCTCCCCAGGGTTACTTGCTATCCTGAATTTGGTGCTGCAAATGCATATCACTGTAATACGCTTTGAGTAGGACAACTTTTCCAGGCAACTATGCCCAGTTAAATAGAAGAGAGCTCAAGATACCATTTCCTGACTGAGTGTAACATAATCCCTTTCCTACCAGAGGTCAGGTCAGGAGGCATCCGAGGTGGTTTTCCTGGCTAACCTTCCCTTTTTCCATCGTGCTGGCCCTGTGAGGATTTTTGTGGAAGGACAGGGTCACCAAAACCTGTGGAGTTGCTGATGTGGCAGAATCTTCCAGACAAGTGACTCTGGATGGCTCATCACAGACTTGAAGTGCCCTATGCTGACCCCTGGGCATGTGGCATCTCTCTCCCAGGTGGTCGAAAGGCTTGTGGCCTGCCTGTGTCCTGAGGATTCATTACTCAGGTAGGGCACAGCAAGGCTCAGGTATGTGCTGGAGGAGGCTCTCCAGTGTGCTCTGTGTCTCCAGGTCCCTGACAGAGAACATTAAGCACCCACGGAGTAAGAAAACTCGGCAAGCACTGTTTTTATATTGTCTCAAACACATTTATGATCTTTTCTTGATCAGGGCTCAATTTATTATTGCAACCCTTCCTTCTTACACACCCATAGTGGAACAGAAAACGAATTACTGAGTTTTCCTTTTATCTCAAGTTCTGATACTCAAATGTCGTAGTTGAGGTAGCTAAGAGGAGGCAGAGTGGGTGAAATTGCATTTCTGGAAGTGTTCTAGGTATTACACAGAAAAAGAGATTTTTATGGGAGACTCAGGGTTAAATAAACTCATTAACCACAACAACTGCAGGACTTCACAGAGACTTCAATAGGCTAATATTTATTGTGATTATCCTAGAGTGAAATATAAATGTGGTGGTTGTCAAAGTCATTTGACCATAGAAGTTTAAAAAATGAAGCATCTTATGAAACCTTGAGCTCAGGACATATTTTGGGATTGGCTGGATTAAAATATTTGATTTTCCTTACATTTTCACTTGTTATGTTAGCTTTCTAAATGGCTGCTATTGGCACTGACAAGGAATGGTGTGTGTGTGTGTGTGTGTGTGTGTGTGTGAGAGAGAGAGAGAGAGAGAGAGAGAGAGAGAGAGAAGAGAGTAAAAAACTGGATTTTTTATAAGCTATTTAATCTATCAGTCTGTATATTATAGAAAGCTCATTAAAGGCAATTTTCCCCCTAAAGTATTCTGTTTTTCTAGTATCCAAGTTTCCTACGAATCTTTTTTGTGCCAAATAGATTAAAAGTTAATTCCATTAAAGAATGTAGAACTACAGGCTGGGCACCATGGCTCATGTCTGTAATCCCAGCACTTTGGGAGGCCGAGGTGGGCAGATCACTTGAAGTCATGAGTTCAAAACCATCCTTGGCGAAATCCTGTCTCTACTAAAAATACAAAAAATTTGCCAGGTGTGGTGGTGGGCGCCTGTAATCCCAACTACTCAGGAGGCTAAGGCATGAGAATCACTTGAACCAGGAAGGCAGAGGTTTCAATGAGCTGAAAGTGCCATTGGCACTCCACCCTGGGTAATAAAGCAAGACTCTGTCCCCAAAAATAAAAAATTTTTAAAAAGAAAGAATGTAGGACTACAAAAGGAAGTTAGAAAAATGCCTGTTTGTTTTTCCATTGCAACCATCCCCAGGGGTGTCCATCTTTGAATGGACTCTTTTGCTAATGGTCTAGGGCTTTTGACAGATTTGTAGTTCTGTTTCTGAGATGAGCAAGCCATGGGAAAGTGCCTGTAATGACTGAGGGAAGGCACAACTAGCAGATAAAAAGCAAGGTGATAGAACAGAAAAGAGGGGCTGGGCGCCAGTGTATATTAAAGTTGGGGGAATTCAAGTTCTCTAGGGCAGGAAACACACATCACATTTATTAGGATTAGAATAAAACTTGGTTGCCCTCTTGTGTTTGAAATCTCAGTGACCTGGCCTACTGAGTGTGTGTGACCTTCGAGGCTGAACAAAAGTCATAGGTCCTTCATTTCTCTGTGTTTATCGTACTGGTTGCCATATTGATTGAGATTTTGCTTAGTGAATTACCTACTCTGATGATAATGGCAGGGAATAACAGCTATTAAACGTGATTTTTTCTACAGATATTTGAGGTTTGATTCAAAAAGAATAATCTTAAACGTTTTAAGTTCTTTGAGAAATCTTCGAACTGCTTTCCACAATGGCTGAACTAATTTGGATTCCCACCAGCAGTGTATAAGCATTCCCTTTACTCTACAGCCTTGCTAGCATCTGTTATTTTTTGATTTTTTAATAATAGCCATCTGACTGGTGTGAGATGGTATCCTCATTGTGGTTTTTATTTGCATTTCTCTGATAATTAGTGATGTTGAGCATTTTTTCACATGTTTGTCGGTTGCTTCTATGTTGTGTTTTGAAAACTGTCAGTTCATGTCCTTCATTCATTTTTTAATGGGGTTGTTTGTTTTTTGCTTGTTGAATTGTTTAAGTTCCTCATAGATTCCAGATATTAGGTCTTTGTCAGATGCATAGTTTGAGAATATTTTCTTCCACTCTGTAGGTTGTCTGTTTACTCTGTTGATAGTTTCTTTTGCTGTGAAAAAGCTCTTTAGTTTAATTAGGTCCCACTTGTCAATTTTGCTTGTGTTGCAATTGCTTTTAAAGATGTAGCCATAAATCTTTGATGTTTACCAAGGCTGATGTCAAGAAATGTATTTCCTAGATTTTCTTCTAGGATTTTTATAGTTTGAGGTCTTACATTGAAATATTTAATCCATATTGAATTCACTTTTGTATATGGTAAATAGATACCTCCTGTCATTTTAAACACACACATACACACATGTGTAGGTGCGCACACACAAGCACACACACACACACACACACACACACACACACACACACACACAAAGGTATAGGGGGCTAAGCTCCAGCTGAGGGGAAAATGGGAGACATTCTGATGACTTGACAATCAACTCAGCCTCTGGTAGCCTACTTAATTTATTTCCCCCATTTTCCTTGTCGTGTTTTCTTCATTATTTAATGTGGACAATGTCTAAAGTCATTTATCATTCATGCTCTTTAATTAATCAGTCAACATTTAATGGGGCGGTGTTGATGGTCCCAGTTAGGCCTGGGAACTTGGAAGGAGATTTGTCAATGAATGAGACAAGGTCCCTGCCCTTAAAAACCTCACCATTGAGTGGGTAAACTTGTGATTAGCCACGGAGGTCTTTGTGGAGAAAGTGAATTTTGAGTGTGAAATAAAGTGAGGAGAATAATTCAAATATTAGGAAAGTGGAAGTATTGGCATCTGATTTTTTAAAACGGGGTCCCCTTTTCTATATTGTAGGCATTCTGTTTATGACTTCATCTTTTGTAATCCCACCTGTCCTAATCCATAGTTTTAAGTAGTTGGGTGCTTCCTTTCACTGTTGATCAATTTTCACTCGAGTTTCATGACTAAATTTGCATTTAAAGATGGCTAAATCAATGGAACTGTGTGAGATTCACATGTTATCTCAGGACAAAATGCAGAGTGCAATGTTATAAAGGGGCTTTGAATAAAATGCTTATATTTTTGTCCTTCCTTTTTGTGCATTAGCGCATTACCTCTGAGGAACCAAGTTTGAAAGGAAGCATATCACTCAGATGTTGTGCATCCTCCATGACAACTATTTAGTTGTATATAAATTACATAGCCGTAATAGGATTGCAGACAAGCATTACTGGTTAAGTAATTTTTTTTTGAAAAGGAGGCCAAAGGAGTATATATGTTGATGTATCCAGATGTGATCCATAATAGGTGCAAATAGGAAAAACTGTAGGAGTTAAAAGCTTGGGGGGTCTATTTCTATTGTAGCTGTAACCCAAAATTGGTAAACGTGTAGTCTTTATTGTTCTTGCTTGGAAATTGAATGAAAATTTATTTTGAGCCAGGCTTAACATCACTGTGATGAACAGTTAACTTATGATAAGGTTCTGATTAAAGATATTTTGGAAAAATTTTATTATTTTGGGTTGTTGGATCCTTGAGTCTACCCCTCGTACCAAAATCCCAAGCCTATTCATCTTCTAAAGCCTTCTGATATGTAGTTAACCCTGGGACATCTTCTCAAATTTTCCTAAGCCTCTTCATTGTTCTCTCCTCTGTGCTAGTTCACATTTTCACTGTTGCATGTTCCACAGGGTAATATTTGGTTAAATCTCTTTCTTCCTCTCCAGGCTTATAAGGGCTCTCCTAGCATGTCTGCATCCCCAGGAACTGGCTAGGGCTGGCACTTTTTCAGTACTTAGTTAACATTTGTTATATTAAATCTGTTACTATTGTAGCATTTGAAGTTCACTAACTCTAGCAGTATCTTGGAGATCTGTTATTTCATCCCACCTATGGCTTCAGAAGACTTTTTAGCAGATATCTAAGATGAGGAAAAAGTGGTTCATATTAAAATAAAATTTCCCACAAGTAGAGAGAAATGTAATAAGAAAGTCTTAAGCTCTTTCTTATTCTGTGAGATAGGCTGTTTTTTGGGGGAGGGAAGAGAGGTGGTAAACTCTTGGTTTTCAGGAACAGGAGAAATATGAGAAATGCTTTTAACAAAGCCTGCCTGATTCACTTTGGAAGGTGGCTTTTCAGTGGCCTTTTATAATCTATTGCTAGTGGTATTTTTCCCACACAGGTTTGTGACTACTGGCATAAATTTTACTTCTTGATAATGATAACTTGGGTGACACCATTAATATTCTCTTCCTTGCTCTGCTGAAAACAAATAGCATGTCAAGTGAGATGAATGGCAGGGGTTACATGGGAAATAATGCTATTTGCCATACAAGCAGTATTACAAGAATCCTTGCTAACTAAATGCTTAGACAAAACATGCTTACAGCAGTTCATGGGAGAATATTCATAATCAGTTTATGGCTTCATGTTGATTCCAGATGTCACTGTTAATGCAGGAGTTTAATTTTTCATGTTATTAAACTGAGGTGTAGAGTTGAATATTCAGTCATTGCTATCAAAGGACTTAGTGGGGTATATGTGTGTGTGTGTGCACATTTGAATTGAAACATTAACTAATGTTCCCTTATGGAAAGGAACAGAATAAGCCCCATTATGTTACACATTTTCATGGCTTAGAAATAAAGTTATGGGCCAGTGGAACCAGGCCCATAGTTTCTTTTGTAATGAAAAAGCTGTTTAATTTAATTAGGTCCCCCTTGTCAATTTTTGTTTTTGTTGCAATTGCTTGTGAGGACTTAGCCATAAATCTTGGTCCAGGCTTATGTTGAGAAATGTATTTCCTAAGTTTTCTTCTAGGATTTTTATAGTTTGTGGTCTTACATTGAAATCTTTGATCTATCTTAAGTTCATTTTTGTTTATGGTGACCTCCTGTCATTTTAAAGATATAAACTAAATACATAAACTGATGTGATGGGCTGGGGAAGAGCTTGGCTATTTGAATGACAGGCCACCTAGAGTGCCATCTCTGGGAAAGTACATCTTGCTTTGCTGCCTGCTGGCTACCAAATGTATCTTCCAAGGGGCTATGGAGGCCCTGGTGGTCAAGTCCTAGGTGATTGTAATGTGGACAGCTTGGAAGAGATGCTTGGTGACAGTCATCCTTGGTGACGTCTCAGCATCATGAGTAGGCAAAGTAGGTTTTTATAGCTCCAATGATCTCAAATTTCAAAATTGTGCCTCTGAGTGGAATTCAGTGAATATATTCATAGGATATTATTCAATGTTGATCAACATAAATAAATATGTTCTTGAGCAAGGAGGTATTAATTCTCTGCTGCAGGATTGTTCATTAATATATTATATTACATATTAATGATACATCATAGTAGATGTATTATATATACATAGTATATGTATATAGATACATAATGTATATGATGTATGATATACAACATATACATTAATATATTAGAATCCTGTAAAATAGCTCTTTTTTTTCCTTAAATTTTTTTGAAGGTTTTTAAGAATCATTGACCTGGAAGAGAATTTCGAATTCTCTTTGTTAGGTTCACCTAATTTTTACAGATAAGCAATCTTCATGTGTGTGCATATATGTATGTGAATGACACAGTACATTAGTGACTGAATGGAGTTGAAAGTTGGGTCTTCAGATGTTTTGCCTAACATTCTTTCTACTGCTTCATACTAACCTGTTCCTTCTTTGCCCTTCTCTGGTTGACCTGAGTCATGTCTGGGTCATGGGAATCCTGGAAACAAACACTTAGTGATTCCAGACGGTAATTTCTCTCTGTCCCTGAAGTGGGGAATCAGTGCAGGTTGTACCAGAAACCCAAGGGGCTTGACAGGAAAGCCAGCTTTAGATGTGAGACATGATGTGTCTCTTGTTCAGAATTTAATGACCAGAAGAACTTAAATACTTGCAAATCATTTTTCTCAGTTTTAATGAAATCACTTAATTTAATTAAGTGCTATGCAGCAGGAAAGAACGATGCACTGTTTATAGATCTCTCATCTCCTTAAGATCAAAAAGGGACTGGAAAATCAGTCATGTGCTTGCTGAATTATTTACGAATTACTCTGAGGTCTAATGAGATGGATGCTCGTGTTGAAGGCAAACCAGCTGATTTTCCACATCAAATTACTGAAGGGCATTTCAACATCAGAATTATTAACTATAAGTACACGGAATTCTACATACCAGGGAGCCAATGAAATGAGCGTAACTCAGGTTTGTTGTCTGTATGGGCTTTCCCAGCCCCTCTGGTGTGGAATTTTGATTTGGGTTCATCTGTCTGGTGTTGTCTCTAAGAGAATTTATTAGTGAAAGGCCCAGATAGAGCTATCATCAATATTTGTTTCTCTGGCCGAGGCCTTTGGGACAGAATTACGATAGACCTCCAGTACACATGGAAGCTAAGGCATTGACATGTTTTTATTTAATATCCACAGAAGTGGACTTTCTATTATGTTTTCCTTTTTGACTATCACACTGTGTGTCTCTCTAGACTGATATGTCTATAAGATGGAGTGTTTCTCTATATTGTTTCCTTTTACAACTTCTTTGATTTTACTAGGATGCGGATAATATTGCCTAAGCTGGCATCATTTCTCTTTTGCTAGATTTGATACTCTTACATGTCTATTCATTGGTATTTCATTCCTCCTTAAAATTGGCAACACAGGCTGGGCACAGTGGCTCACACATGTAATCCCAGCACTTTGAGAGGCCAAGGTGGGCGGATCACTTGAGGCCGGGAGCTCGAGACCAGTCTGTCCAACATGGTGACACCCTGTCTCTACTAAAAATAAAAAATTTAGCCAGGTGTGATGGCGTGGGCCTGTAATCCCAGCTACTTGAGAGGCTGAGGCACGAGAATGGCTTGAACCTGAGGGGTGGAAGTTACAGAGAGCCGAGATCATGCCACTGCACTCCAGCCTGGGTGACAGAGTGAGACCCTGCCACACACACAAAAAGAAAAAAATTGACAGTATATTTGTAAAGTACCCATGTCTATGTAGGACTCACAATCTGTCTTCCCCGGCTCTTGCCACATTTCCCCTTAATTAATGGGGGAATTTGATAACTTAGAAAAAATTCTAGTACATATGTTGTATTCTATATATTGGCAAGGAATATTATTTAGAAACATGCTCAAATGTGTGCCCCAGACTTCCATAAGATCCCCTTATGGCTAGTGTGGAAACACATAATGAACACTTGATCTGAATAAACTCTTTAAAGAGATTGATAAAGGATGTCAGAGGAAAGGTTTGCACTGATTATTAAGTTGGCCTTTAAATGTATTCTTTTAAGGAATAAACACCTATCCTTAAGCTCTGAAATTTTTATCATAAATTTCCTCTCTCAGTGAGAAGAATTGAGCAAATTCTCTTTAGTGACTCAGAAGGCCTATTATGTATATATCCTTAGAATCAGAAGCTTTTCTTGAAACACTTTTCTCATGGCCCTTGAGGAAGAGTACAGGCTCAGAACATGCCCTTGGATTCCTTATAGCCAACACATTTTTATTTTATTTTTGAGATAAGATCTTGCTCTGTCACCCAGGCTGGAGTGCAGTGATATGATCACAGCACACTGCAGTCTCAACTTCTTGGGCTCAAGTGATCCTCCCACCTCAGCCTCTTGGGTAGCTAGGACTACAGGTGCATACCACCATGCCCAGCTAATTTTTCTAATTTTTTGTAGTGATGGGGTCCCAGTATGTTGCGCAGGCTGGTCTCAAACTCCTGGTCTCAAGCGATAACTCCCATCTTGGTCTCTCAAAGTGCCATATCCTCTCACTGTCCATGGTGCCACAAGTTACATTTGTATCAGATAAGGTTTTAGTTTCAGACGTTATAATCCACAATAGCTCATTTAAGCACACAAGGATTTAATCAGTGGTGTAGATAGCTGGCCATCTCACTGGCGGGGTGGAAAATGTAGATCCTGAGCTGAGCTCTAGGAATGACTCTGTTTTAGTTCATTCTCACACTGCTATAAAGAACTACCTGAGACTGAGTAATTTATGAAGAGAAGAGGTTGAATTGACTCACAATTCTGCAGGCTCTACAGGAAGCCTGGTTGGGAAGGCCTTAGGAAACTTACAGTCATGGCAGAAGGGCAAAGGGGAAGCAAATACCTTCACATGGCAGAGTAGGAGGAAAAGAGCAAAGGGGGAAGCGCTACACAATTTAAAAACAACCAGATCTTGTGAGAACTCATTCACTGTCACGAGAACAGCAAGGGGAAAGTCTGCCCCCATGATTCAATCACCTTTCACCAGACCCCTCCTCCAACACGTGGGGATTACAATTCAAATCACATTTGTGTGGGGACATAGAGCCAAACCATATCAGACTCCAAACCCACACCCCAGAACCAGATTACCCAAAGTGCTGCCACATCTGCCATCAAGGAGGTGGCTGCCATGCCAGGATGCCCCTGCAACAGCTCCTGGTCTGGAATCATACCTTCCTGCCACCTTCTAAACTTCCACTTCTTATATGGCTCCTGGGGGAGAGTGTAGGCTCAGTGTTCATGCCCGGATTCTTTGGCTCAGATTGGTTGTCTGGTGCCATCTGTGTTCCTTCCTGCCTGTATGTTTGTCATGCCCTTCTAGCTAACTGGAGCACCTTTATTTCTTCTCTTCTGGTTGAATTGCCATCATCTCTCCCTTGGCACATAGCCTAGGATGTCTTACTTCTTTCAAGAGTCTATCCTCAGCAGCTTCTGGCTTCAGGAATTTTCCTATTCTATAATGTCCTACCATCTTTATTGTGTATACCAATCATCGTCTTGTAATAATTTTAAAAATTTGCATTTCTTATCTTACTGACTAGCTTGTAATCCCACATTGTACACCTGTCTCCATCCCCTAAACCTAGCAGAATTTACTAGTAATGACTGACAGATATATTTGCTGTTAGTGATACAGAAATATAATGGCTAAAAGTGCAGAGTCTGATTTTTCTTGGAATATCCTAACAGCCCTCTCAGGCATTCTAAATAAATGTTTAATGGATGCTGTTGACCACCTGACAGACAGACTAGAGTACCAATCAATGTCTTCAAGAAAGAAAAACTCTTTTCCCGTTATTATTTTGTGAATTATACACAGTTTTTTGTCGAAATCATCTGGTAGGGAATTGAGCAAATAAATATTCTTCAAAGTTTTCAAACAGATGGGGTGCTACTTCCAAAAATGTACCCAGTAGGAGTTCGCTGTAAACGAACGCCTTCCTTGTGCACAAGCCTTGTTGGTGATGGCTGAGGACCAAGTAATCGTGGAGACAGCAAAGAGCCATAAAAGAAGATTTCCTGGCAAAGTAATTTGCTGTCTTTTGTTTTCTTTTGTTTTATGTCTAATTTGTTAGGCTTCCCTTTATTGGTCTTGTAAACTTACTTTGTTGTTGTTGCTGTTTTTTTTTTTTTTTGTTATGAAACAGCACTTTCTATGTGTACTTTGTAGGTAGGATGTTGGTTTTCTAGATGCTCAGTAAAAAAAGAGTTATGTGGTCAAGTACCTTTGGGAAACACTACAGTCCCCCTCTTGGTGATCACAGTGCACATTAGCATATGAGGAGCTCAGAGAAGCCCTGCTGGAAAGAAGAAACTAAAATAATTTTATTCAGCCTTCAGAGTTTCCCTTCCTTATTAGTTTGGTGACCCCTCTTTTCCATGTTACATTTGAATGTCCCATAGAATTATTCTTAAATTGAATACCCTGGAGATTTTGGGCAAATTAAAGTTTTACACATGCAATTTGGGTTTAAATAAACTATGGTACCATTTAGAAAATTTAAAATTGGACTCTTTCGAATGTGAGTAGTACCCTCTTCCATATTTTTTAAAATGTAGTTTATATGATCATATGTTAATCGTTCTTTCATGGTGCTATTGTAGTATTTGGTTTGCCTTTATGTGGATGATAGCCTTCTAAAAATCTTTGTAATCATCATTCTAAAAAGTTGGAAGCAGAATTTCTTTTATAGAGATATCTGTACTTTTGAAACAATCTACCTGGAGAAGTCATGTTCCTTCTTTATTTATTTTTCCCTAAAATCCCTCTAGCTACAAAACTGGATTAATCATAATCCTTAGTTCACGACACACTTGCATCATTGGAATATGCAAGGCCTCCCTTTTACTTATTTGTTTATAATAATGTAATAAACATCTAGAAACCTGCTGTCTAATATAAAAGCTGGGACCTTAACAGTAAAGTGACATCTAACTATATGTGCCCTTCACAATCCCATCTTCTTGCTTCCTTCTACCAGGGTACCATCAACCTGGATTCAGATAATTCAGAGTTCATCATTCCTTTGCTTTTCTTTCTATTTAATTTTCTTGCATCTATGTGTTTTCATGTAAAGCATTTAAAATATTTAGTTGTTTTTCAGTTTACAAAATGGCTATA
Organism: Homo sapiens; assembly: GCF_000001405.40. NCBI lineage: Eukaryota > Metazoa > Chordata > Mammalia > Primates > Hominidae > Homo > Homo sapiens. The sequence goes on along the minus strand of NC_000009.12, from coordinate 83,480,975 downwards.
TCCTGCTCTATGTAATCTTTTGGAACTTAACTTTTTTTCACTTAATATTACAGTTGTCCTTCAGCATCTGTGGCAGATTCGTTTCAGGACCTCTGAAGATACAAAATCCGAGGATGCTCAAGTCCCTTATATAAAATAGGTTGTATCTGCATATAACCTATGCACATTCTCCTGTATACTTTAAATCATCTCGTGGCTCATGCCTGTAATCCCAGCACTTTGTGAGGCCGAGGCAGGTGGATCACCTGAGGTTGGGAGCTTGAGACCAGCCTGACCAACATGGAGAAACCCTGTCTCTACTAAAAAGACAGAATTAGCTGGGTGTGGTGGCAGGTGCCTGTAATCCCAGCTACCTGGGAGTCTGAGGCAGGAGAATCACTTGAACCCGGGAGATGGAGGTTGTGGTGAGCTGAGATCACGCCATTGCACTCCAGCCTGGGCAACAAGAGCCAAACTCCATCTCAAAAAAAAAAAAAAAATCTCTAGTTTACTTATAAAACCTAATACAATGGAAATGCTATATAAATAGCTGTTACACTGTATTTTTTATTTATATATTTTTATTGTTATATTGTTATTTTTTGCTTTCCAGAATATCTTTGATTAGAGGTTGGTTGAATTCATGGATATGGAAACCAGGGATATGGAGGGCTGACTGTACAATATATTGTTACAATTCAGTCACAATGCTGCAGGTTGTTTTAGTTCATTTGTTTTGACTGCTGAATAATACTCTGTTATATGAATAGACTACAGTTTATTCATTTGCTGCCCTATTTATGGGCATCATGATTGTTTCTAGGATTTTACTGTATGAAAGTGATGCTATGAACATTTTTGTACATGTCTCCTATTGTATTTCAACAATAATTTCTTATGGCATATATCTAAGAATGGAATGGCATTGCTAGAGTGAAAATATTCTACTTTAGGAGATAATATCAAACCATTTCCTCAAAGGTTGCACTAATTTATATGCTTACCAGAAGCATGTAAAAGATCCTGTGGATCGACATCTCTCCAACACTTAGTATTGTGAGACTTTTGATATTTTTGCCTATTGAATCATTTAAAGTGATATCTCACTGTGGCCTTGACTTACATTTTCCTATTCACTACTGATTGCGATTAGCTTTTCATTTTCCCTTCCTTCCTTCCTTCCTTCCTTCCTTCCTTCCTTCCTTCCTTCCCTCCCTCCCTCCCTCCCTCCCTCCCTTCTTCTTCTCTTTTCTTTTTCTTTCTTTCCCTTTCTTTTCTTTCTTTCTTTCTTTCTTTCTTTCTTTCTTTCTTTCTTTCTTTCTTTCCTTCCTTCCTTCCTTCCTTCCTTCCTTCCTTCCTTCCTTCCTTCCTTTCTTCAGGGTCTTGCTATCCCTCAGGCTGGAGTACAGTGGCACAATCATAGCTATTTGCAGCCTCGAACCCCCAGGCTGAAAGATCCTCCTGCCTCAGCCTCCCAAGTTATCTGGGACTACAGGCATGTACCACCATGGATGGCTAACTTTTCCTTCCTTCCTTCCTCCCTCCCTCCCTCCCTTCCTTCCTTCTTTCCCTCCTTTCATCCTTCCCTCCCTCCCTCCTTTCTTCCTTTTTCTCCTCCTCCTCCTCTTCTTCTTCCTCCTCCTCCTCCTCCTTCTTCCTCTTCTTCCCCTTCTTCTCCTCCTTCTCCTTCTCCTTCTTCTTCTTCTTCTTTTAGAGACACAGTCTCACTTTGTTGCCCAGGCTGGTCTTAAACTCCTGGTTTCAAGAGATCCTCTCACCTCATTCTCCTAAAGTGCTCAGATTACAGGTGTGAGCCACTGCAACTGGCTAGCTTTTCTTTTTGCATTGGCCGTATTTGTTTCCTCTCCTGTGACATGCCTGTGTGTGCCTAGTTCCTAGTTTGGTACTGTGTTGTTTGTATTTTTCTTATTGATGTATAGTTTTTTATATAATTTTTAAATAATCTTAGTTTATTCATTCTTTTATTCAATTATTCATTTAATGACCATTGATTAAGCCATGTTCTAGGGACCCGTAGTGCATAGGTACAGTCTCTGTATTCCAGGGTTCACTTTCTAGTACAGACAAATAAATAATTACAACATAATATGCAGAAGCTCTGTCCAAGGAACTCTGGGAAACTGAGGGAGATGCCTTACTCTGCTTGAAGGCAATCCTGTTTAAAGCTGAATTATATTGCATTGTATGTGTATACCACATTTTGAAATTTATTTGCCAGTGGATATTTGTGTTGTTTCCACTTACTGGCTTTTCTGAATAATGTGGCTGTGAACACTCCTGTACACATATCTTTTCTAGTTCCACTGCTTAATTCTTTTGGGCATATACCCTGAAGTGGGATTGCTGGATCCTATGGTAATTCTGTGTTTAATTTTTTGAGGAAGTGCCATACTGTTTTCCACAGTGGCTGCACCATTTTACATTCCCATCAGCAATACACAATTTCTCCACACCCTTTCCAACACTTGTAGTTTTTGGCTGTTGTTGTTTTCATAATAGCTATCCTAATGGGGTGAAGTGGTATCTCATTATGGTTTTGATTTGCATTTTTCCAATTGATTAGTGATGTCGAGCATCATTTTATGTGTCTCAAGACTCTTGAAAATTATGGGTTTCTGGATAGAAGAGTATGCATATGTTCATTACATTTTGCATAACAACTAAGGGGAAGGCATCACAAACCCCTGAAGCCCATAGGAAAACAACTGAGTTAGGTTTAGAGCCCTTCTTATGGGAGGAACACTGTGGTTAGGTGGCTGTCTCCAAGCCATTGCTATAAAGAGAATGAACTGCATGGTTTTAACTTTTGTTAAGATGTGTGAGAAACTGACTGTTCTAAATTGAAATGCAAGTCTTTTGACACAGGAGCTTTTGTTCTTCATGATGTAGTTTTTGGGGTGAGAGACAAGAGACAGAAGGGAAGCCAGTCCTGGGAAAATGAGTAGGGCTCTAGTTCAATGGAAGTTTGTCTAAACAACAGAGAAGGGCAAATGTTTTGTATTTTAGGATGAACTCCTGTAAGGAGGTGAGAGTCTGCTGCCTTTTTTCAAACCAAGAGCTCAAGCCATACCGGGAAAGGACAAGTAATATGTGAATTCTTCTAAGGAAAGGTCCAAGCAAGGTCTAAGGCTTGGAATGTCTAAGCTGAGTGAGGAAAGTGTGGGTAGCCTGAAAACAGAGATGGGAAGCCCAGGCAACGGAGACTGGAGATTCAGTCAATTAGTCAATTAGTCAAGCAGCTAAGTGAGTCATGGAGGAGGTCTGGAAGCACTGGAGCAAGACAGAATACTCTTCCTCTCCAGGATCAATCAAATAATCCTAGGGGATGAGACAAAAAACCTTTTCTTCAGTAGTAATAGAACCTTGATTTGGGACGGCCTTGGTGATTGCAGGAGCTGGTTATCTGGGGAGGTGGTTCTCAACCTTGGGCGTACATTATAATTACCTGGGGAGCTTTGCAAATCCCAGTGGCCCAGACAGGCTGCAGACTCATTAAATCAGAATCTCTGTGGAGGGGAGGTGGGAACCAGGCATTAGTATTTTCTAAAGCTCTCCAGGTGACTCTGAAATGCAGCCAAAGTGAGAACCTCTGATTTAGGGGCAGACAGTCAGACAGTCATTATGCCATCCTGATTGGTTCTCAAATAATTCTGAATGTGGTTGAAACCAGGCTACTCAGTCGAATCATTTCTTGCATCTCTCTCCACTCATTCAGGGGAAGGCTTTCTTGGCCTAGTTGTCAAAAGTTCCTACACTGGGCCGGTGCTTTTCAAACTTTTATGTGCAGACGAAACATCTATGGGTTGTAATGTAGTAGGTCCAGCCTGATAATTGGCATTTCTCACAAGCACTCAGGTGATGCTGTTGCTGCTGCACCATACTGTGAGTAGCAGCATTCTAGACTCATAACCATTGAGTTGATTTTACTTATTGTTTTATTCATCAGATTATTGAAAGGTGCTTACTACCTGCAAGATACTGTGCTAGTTAGGTACTGGGGATGTGGTTATGGACACAAAAGAGACACCACCTGCCCTCAAGGATCATAAAATCTAGGAGAAAAGGCAATGAACCTATTATTTCACCAAAAAATTACCTAAATACAATTAGAGTAAGGGCCACAAAGGAAAAGTGTAGGCTGCTATGAAATCCTGTGATAAGGAGCCTTGATCTCGTTAGTAGGACATGATTACGACTCAAGGGATAAAGAAAGCCCCAGGAGACCCATGTTATGTTCTGATGCTCACTCTGGCTGTGGGAACCCATTGACTTCTTCCAGTTGCACTGGCTATATTTAGTTTATTGACCCTTCTTTCCTGCGGTACATTTTCCCATGGTGGCCTCAGCCATTCCTTGGCTTTATCTACCCGATCTCAACTTCTGCCTCTCCTCTGGGCTCTAGCTTTGGGTTTCTAATTATTGAGGCACATCTCCAACTAGTGGACATGCTAGCATCTAAAACCCAAACTATTCTGGGACAAACTCTTCACCTTCTTCACTAAACCAGCACTTCTTCAATATTTCTGACAGTGTCACCACCATTCTTTAAGCCAGTGAGGCAAAATTCAACATATCCTTTTTTTTTTTTTTTTGAGAGAGAGTCTTGCTCTGTCTCCTAGGCTGGAGTGTAATGGAGTGATCTTGGCTCACTGCAACCTCTGCTTCCCAGGTTCAAGCGATTCTCCTGCCTCAGCCTCCTGATTAGCTGGGATTACAGGTGTGCACCACCATGCTCGGCTAATTTTTGTATTTTTAGTAGGGACGGGGTTTTGCCATGTTGGCCAGGCTGGTCTCAAAATCCTGACCTCAGGTGACCCGCCTGCCTTGGCCTCCCAAAGTGCTGGGATTACAGGTGTGAGCCATGGTGCCTGGCCAACATATTCTTTTAACTATATACTTTACTATTGTCGGCCCAAGGATACAGCACTTATTTTTGATATGGGACCTGAAATAGATGTATATTGCATTTGCTTGATTCATAGGTGACTAAGTTGAATAAATAGCCCACTGTAGACACTCAGCAAATGTTATTTACGTAAGTGAGGCCTGGGGGGAGGAGGAAAGGGACCTAACACTCATTTTTTCCATGTATTCTTGCTAGATATTTTATGTATCTTCGCTCATTTATTCCTCCCAATAGCTTTCTAGAACTTTATTAAGTGAGGCTTGTAGAGTGTCCAGAGAGTGCGTGATAGCAGCATGTAAACGTAGTTTTTTTCAGTTTCAGAAAACATCATGTTCTTTTGCTAGGCTTCATACCTTGTACATGGTAAAGTGATCTCTAAACTCTTATTATTATAAATATGTTTTGAAAAATAAAAGCTCTTTCAAATATTAGCTATGAATTTTTTTCCTCAAATTTGGAAAATGTATTAATAAACTGTATCTGATGAAATGAAGCTTAGTTACTTTAAAACAACTGTGTCTAGCCTGCTTCATGTACTCAATACATATGAGTTCCCTTTCATAGATTCAAATACTCTGTTTTGGTTTTCTTTGTATTTTTCTGTCTTTTTCCTTTTCGTGTTTTACCCTGGGCATTTTCTATTGAACTATTATCTTCTAGATCACCAATTCTCTCTTCAGCTGGGTCTTTTTGCTGTAACCCATCTATAGCATTCTTAATTTCTTCTATTACATTGTATTTTTCAGTTCTAGAATTTCCATCTGACTCATATATATGAATATATATGTATTATATATATTCTAGTTCTTTGGTGAAATTGTCACCCATTTTCTTAAACATGTTAATTATTTTAAAGTCTATGCCTGATAATCCCAATATCTAGATCACCTGTGAATCTGTTTCTGTTGTCTGCTTTTTTTTCCTATTGGTTCTATCTCTTGGTATGCCCGGTAATTTTTAATTGAATGTTGGGCACTGTAAATAAAAAATGATGGAGGCTCTTGATGGTGTATTCTTCAACCGAGGAGTGTTCTTTTTGAGCTTCTGGTAGGCAGTTAAAATTTTTATAATCTCAACTCAATCTCCCTACCCAGGTGTAGCCTTTTAGGAGTCCCAAATGAAAGCCCAGATTAGATACCCAGGTCTGTCCACTTTGGTAGGCCCTGAACTCCAATTATTGTCTCTTCATCAGTGGGGACAGCTGTGCTTAGTTTATCATCCCTCTAGCAGCTGTTTTCTCCTTTGCTTCCCTTTCTGCTTGTGAAATTTACACATCAGTAAATACCTCAGTGGTGGTGGTGGGGAGAGAGTGTTGGGTGGCTTCTGTGTGTCCTTACTCTGGGAGTTTGGACTTTCAGGTTATGGTTGTCTTGGTAACACCTAGATGCCCTCAAAGAGATGTTAATGTTTAAATTTTATCCAGTTTTTAAAATATGCTTATCTATTATTGCTGGAATGAGACATGTATTCTCTGTTTTTTAGGCTTTAAAATTTAAGTAAGGAGACTTGCTTTTGATTCATCACAGTGCCCCAGAAACAGGTGTCATTTAAACGTGCAGGTGAGAGATCATTGTTTGCCTTGCAGTCTAGTCTGCTCCCTGCTCATCCCACAAGAACCTTTGATTTTTCATAACTTTTTGCTTTGCATTCTGAGGAAGAAACTTGACAATTAGTGAATTGAATATTATTGATGTTATCAGATGTAGAATGGTTGCTTTATTTAGCAGGGAACAGGGTTAAATAAATGATAGAGACAATAACTCAGGAGGCTCAGATCCCTATTTTCATCTTCCAGATAGTAAGAAAGAACAGTAATTCTTCCACAAAGGAAGTGAAGGCCATGATGATTTCTAGTGGCTTTGTCATGCTGATGTTTTTGCTATACTCTGTACTTTTGAGGGGTTGCAAATTTGAAGGATGCGGTAGTGATTTTTTGAAGTGTTTTTCATGTTACTTTTCTGCATTTATATATATGCATAGATAATGTGTATGTATATAAATGCACATACTGTACACAGCTCCTTGTTTTGTGTCCCCTTTTCTCAAAAAAGCATTGAATGCAAAAACATAAGTTCTCCTCAGTCACAACCTCTAAGAAAGGAAAGAAAATTTAGAGCCAGAAGTTGTTAACCTCAGCAGGAGTTTATGACTGTAAGATTTCATCACCTTACTGTCTTATCTGGTATAGTTACATCTGCCCCAATTTATTTATTTTCCTGCTTCCTTCTCTGCCAGTAATGAGCCTGGAACTTGAAGGAGGGCAAGGTACATTCCTTGTGGTATTTATGAGGGAGGAGACCCATGTCTTTGGAAAGTGGACGTTGGCATAAATGCTTTCCTTCATGGGGGGTGAATTTTCCTACTTAAGTTCACTAGCTAGCCCGTGCATTCGCCCTCTTCCTCCTCTCCATGTTATTCTTGTTGGCGAAAGTGTATGATGTACTTTCTGTTTCTAAGATAGAAAATATGATGTACTTTCTGTTTCTAAGATAGAAAGTGTATGATGTACTTTCTGTTTCTAAGATAGAAAGTGTATGATGTACTTTCTGTTTCTACGAAACTTGGAGTTTACTTGTGGGGAAAGTCAAAGACACATGAACATTGAAATATTAGTAGAAACAATTAAATAGCAACAGAAGTTAATAAAAGGCGAAGGGCTAAATGGAATGCACAGAACCTGCTGTGGAAGGTAGGTGAGGGGAGGACTGGACCGGAGTCATGTGGAATGATTCTGTGGACCTAAGTATTGGGAGTTCTTGTGGATTTAGAGTTGGCAAGAGTGGGTGGACAAACTTGGCAGGGAGACTGGTGTGCACAGAGGCAGGGGGTTGGGAAGAGGCAAGGTGGGCCAGGGGCTTGAGATGTCGGTGTAAGAGTCTAGGGGCTGGAGTCCTGTGGGAGAGAAAGCTCAAATGCCAGTAGCCAGGTTGAGTTTGGGTATTCCATATACAAAGGGGGAACATCTAAGTCTTTGAGGAATATAATAATGATTGATTTTGGAGGTTAAACTGGCAGGATGCAGAAAGCGTTGGAAGGGGAAATATTGTAAGCATGGAGCCTGGGAGGTTTCGCCACAATCCTGGTGAGTGTGGCAGGGTTGGTGGCTGTAGAAGGGAAATGAAGAGGCAGATTAGAGAATAGTTTTGAAAGAACACTCGTGACTTGACTGCCTATGAGGAAAGCCTACTGGCATTTTATGCAAGTATAAATTATGTGCATTTGAGGTAGTCCAGCATAAAACTATCGAAAAAGATATTTTATATGAGAAATTTAGAAATAACCCCAAATCCTTTCTTCTCATCGGTGGCAGAGTCAACTCTCATGGCACAGGTTTTCACACTTTGAAAAATTGATCCATTCACACAAAAAGTGATTCTTTCAGTAAGAAAATCTGACTTTTCTGTTGACAGTATGCTTTATAAAGGTAGAGATATGTTCTCATGAAATAAAAGTCACCGAATGGATATTGTGCTGGCCCCTAGTGAGGAGGAGCTGGGCTGGGCTGGTGTGGCGTTCCTTTGGGTGGTGTTCTACTTTCCTGGTAGCATTATCATTGTTTCTGGCTCCAGAATGTCTCCTCTGTCACCTAGGTAAACACCAGTCAGGAAATGTCAGATCCCATGGGGTGACTGGGTGAGCCACTCACTCCCATGTATTACTAACCTTTGTTCCTGATGAGCGTTTCCTGAACTCTTTGGGGGCATGTTTCACGTGTGTGTCATAACAGATGTTCCTTGAAGAATTATGCTTGAGAAATGCTGCAGGTTTTATTTCCCTCACCCTGATCTTCTCTGCAGCTCATAGCACACATCAGCTTATTTATGGCTCTTGGGCAAGTGAGCAAACTAGTTTGACGTTGTTGACTCCAGCTTTTCCTATACTTATTTGACCATGGACCACTATTTTTGCACTATGCTTACTAAAATCTGAGCGGTGAGTTCTGGGGAAAATAGGGCTGGGAATGGAGTTTTTCCCAGTGGCATCTCTGGTAGCACCCTAGTCCCTTCAATGAATGAGCAAATGAATGTTCACGAGGCCCTTGCTCTGTGTTGTCACTATACAAGGTGATTTGCTTGTATTCTCACATTCAAACCTCAACAAGCCTCTTAGGTGGATTTAAGGATACAAGGCTCACATGAGTTAGGACACTTGCCCAAAGTTACATAGTTAGGAAATGACAGGCCCAGAGCTGGAGTCCAGATCAACTCCAAGTCCAGTGTGGGACGCCATTGCTAGCTCCCTGGTGAGAATTTTGGGTTCAGTCAGTAAAACAGCAGCCATTTCATCACAGAGGTTTCATACTTCACCACTTAAACAAATACAAATGTTTCTGTTGGTAAAATAAACCTCCCAGGTCTTCTCAGAGACCATCTAGCCCATTGTGGTCAGAAAAGAAGCTTTGAACAAGGTGAATTTGCAATGATTGGTTTTTAGCCCTTTTCCAGGGAGAGGATGAGTCCCTGTTCTTCCTGATGCTCTCTCTTCCTTTGTGTGGAGCAGTACGGGCTTTCCTGGACCTGCTCATCCAGCCTTGCCTCCCTGCATTCAGTTTCCCAAGCCGGTGTCCCACCCACCCTCACTGACCTGCAACTGTGTCCTCATGCCCTTCCCTTGTGAATGATAGCTCAAAATGGTGAAAGAGGAACTCAGTCATCTGCTGAGCATTATTGTGTAACGCTAGATATTGATATGAGAAAATGGAGCAGAGCCGTGAAGATAGTTGCCTGTTTTTCCAGTTGCCTAATGGGTTGTTAGACTCCCTGATAGACCTAGGAATTTACAAGTTGCCCAGAATGTTTCAATTTCTTTTTCCTGCTTCATCTTTTCAGTATTTGTGCCAGTTTGACCAGCAGAGCAGAAGGCCAGAGCCGTTCTCTGTGCTGTCAAATCTGTTCTGAGTGTATCATCTTGAGGGAGTACGTGTTGGTCCATCTTTTATTCTCAATTTCCTCTCACCTGTCTAGAGGCAGAGGGATGTCACCTTCTCCCCCCTAAAACTGGAGTTTTATGAGACAGAGTTAGCTGTGAGCAGTTTTCCTCTAGTACTGAGGCAGGACCATTAAATTGTTCTCTACTGCTGTTTGCTTCTATGTTTTGTTAGTAACCATTAATTAGTTTTAAAGATTTAGAAACTAAAACAGATGGGGGAAAATGCTCCAGCTTGTGTAAGATCACATTCTTCAGTCACTTTTATTGCATGTGAAGAAAAAGGAGAATCACCCTAAAGTGAAATTCACAGGTTAACTCCAAGTCTTCTTTGAATAATCCAGCCTGCAAATATTCATTTATTATTCATCTGCAATGTGCAAGGCACCATGAAACATCTTTGACATCAAAAATCATTGTACCACATCCTACCAGATTAGCTTGTGTATTCTATTCATGAATCCAGACCTTCTGATCGGGACCCTTCTGGGACATCAAAGGTCAGCCTCAGGGTTAGGCACACATTGGTGTGCAGAGGATTGGAGAGCTATCACAAGGCAAGGGGATTTTTGAGGCTGACAATTCAAATCCAGTCTCTGGCAGCAGCATAGTCCCTTAAACAAATTAACAAATAAACGTTTACTAGGCCCCCTGCCCTGTGTGCCACTCTGCAAGCTGATTTACATGTGTTCTCTCTCAAATCTCAAAACAACCCTCTGAGAGAGATCTGAGGTAACTGAGGCTCAGATAAGTTAGGGAACTTGTCTAAGCTTATATAGAAAATGGCAGGGTGAGGACTGCAGCCCAGATCAACACTAAGTTCAGCGTGTAAGCCATCGCCCCCTCTCTAATGGGAAGTTTGGGTTCAGTTCAGTAAGTGCAGTGGGGTGAGGTCCAGAACCTTCTCTGGGCTTTTCTAAATGTGCTCCAGTGGAGAGGGAACTATAGATGGAACTTCAGAGCAGCTGGAATCTGGGGCTGTGGTGCTTAGGTGTTCCCTGAGTGGTAGAACCTCTCCTTATTTAAAAAAAATTCTTTTAAATTTGCTACATCAGTTTCTTCTGGAAAACTGGGAATGGTTATGAGTTCATAGCTCCTCTCAGCCAGATTTAATGGTTTCAACACACCGGATCAACTGTACTTTAAAAAGTACAAATGCCTGGGTCCTATCCCCAGAGCTCTTCAGCCTGGGAATCTCTACTTTTATACAGCTCTAGGGAATTCAAACGTGCGTAAGAGTTTGAGAACTAGTGGACCAGCAGCTGCTCCTGCGGGCTTTCTCCCCGCCCCCCATCTTAGTTTTCTGAGATCTCTCATTGGTGAGAAGACACTGGCTGCATGAGTTTTAATTATGTATGACCACGGAGCCTTTACCTGACAATAGCCGGTTTCTAATTCCCATCTGAGCTTTGAATTCAGGCATTTCCCTCTCCTCCAGTTTAATGTGTTTTTTTTTTCTCTTTGTCTCAAATAAAAAAGGACGTTGTTGCTCTTATTTAATTCCATGTTTTCCATGAGGTGGTTCATACATCCTTATCAATGACTTTGAAAAGGTGCAATTATTTGGTCTTAAGTTTCTCCTCCACAAGTGAGTGATAGCCTCATGAATAAGAGATGACTCCTTTTTCTCACCAGGCACTTCCCTGTTGCCCCTGTACTCTCTCATTTGACTTTGACATTTTGACAATTCGAATTCTCCCTGGCAGGTGTGAAATCATGAAGTTCCTTGACCTGTAGGTATACCATCTAATGATTGTCTACGAAGCATCTGACTTTCTTAGAAGTGGCTTTGTCAGGTTTTGAGTGGATCCCTACTGGATTGCTTTTGGCATAGTTGAGCTCTGTTAGAGTGACCTGAATAGCAGACCCTCAGCAGCGAACTGCTACTTACCACTCTGGGGATAAGATTTAATTTTTGTTTGCCTCTGTCTTTGATTTGGGTGGCTTTATTTGCTTGGCGATGGACTGTCTCCAGCCAGTGTAAGTCTTCATCCCTGCTCTCGTCTGTATCTTGCCTCATTTTAGTTTAACCTCATTTGAATGCTTTACTGTGTAGTTGGGCATTTGTAGAACATATTGGGGCAGCATGCCTGGATTAGCTTTCATGGTAGCTGCCTCCCAGCTCTGAGCATTCCAGTACTGATCCCTTTTATCTGACTGGAGTGTTTGGATACATTCATTTGGTCATGATACTGTCTGGGTTTCAAGGTGGAGCTGGAAGTCAAAGCCACGGCCATTATATGGCTAGCTGGCTGCTCTCATGGGCTTGGCCCCAAAGAGGAGCTTCCCTGCTCTTCTCCACCCTCCTCCCAGATCCCATGTTGCCAGGGCTGTCTAGTCCTCCCCTTCTCCAATAGCTGAGCAAAGGTCTATGGTGATAAATTGCTGTATTCTTCCTTTCTGTTAATTGCCATAAAGTTTCCACGGACACATTTACTAATCCTGCTATTGGGAAGGATGGGAGCAACTTACCAAGCCTCAAATATTCTGAGGAATCTGGGACAGTAGGGATTTACATAGCCAGTGACAGAGCTGAGAACTAAATCTAGCAGTACTTGACTTGTCTGGGCCATAAGCCTAATTAATTCCTTATTGTTAATAAAGAGAAGAAATGAACCGTTTAGGAACCTGAAGTTCTGTCCGACTCAATTGACCTCACTGTACTGCTCTTTGTGGTACTGCTCTCATGTGCTTCCAGAATCATTTGCTTCTGAAATCTGCCCACCTGAAATTCCTGGCTTGGTTACTTCTCTCCATATAGCAGGGATTCATTTAACATAATTTGAGAATGCAGCTTCAGGTGGTTGTTTTGGTTTTTGTGGGTGATATACCTAGAAAAGACATATAAATAGAATGACTTAAGTCACATCTATTTTCTTATACAGATAAAGTTTGTAAGAAAGGAATGGTTTCTGACCTTGAATCTATCTTTCAATTTCTTACAGAAATGATTTCAAATGAATATAAAACCTGTAATTTAATTTCTTATAGAATTGATTCAATCAACTTATATATCCATATTTAATCAATTGGGCTTAGCTCTATGCAGTGCCACTGTAGCCTGTTGTCTAACAAGATATGTTATGAACAATGAACTCATTTTTTGGCTGATGTCTTTATTCCCACTGATTTTTTTTTTTTAGAATTTTCCTAAGGATAGCTGGGAGTGAGGCCTAAGTATGATCCATCCCTGTCTGATGTTGTCTGATAGAGAAACAGAAAAGCTTGCATCTTAATATCCAGCAGGTTCTTGAACAATTAAAAGCATCTCATGTTTGTAACTTTTTTAAAAAACCATCAACCTATTTACTGTGACAGAAATTAGGAAATAGGATCTTGGTGGCAGCAAGATTTCTATAGGTAAACAATGCAGTATTCAAACTGCAGCGAGCTTAGATTGGAGCCCTAGAGCTCCCAGAGACAGAAGACGAGATGGCAGTATTTTAAGGCACTAGCAGATCACGGCACTGCAAATCCTTTTTGTCTTGGCAAGGCACAAGGAGACCTGCTTATGCAGCTTTCAAAGGTATGTGTCAGTCAGCTAAAATGTAATCAACTCAGGTACGCTTTTATTTAACATAATGCATGTCATGAGTTACTATGCAATGTTTTGAATTATTTTCACTGAAACAAATTAGAAGGGGATGTGAAATTCGGGAGGGTCTCTTTTGTAGAGCTTCTGACCAGTATCTTAGAGGAGCCTTTTAGTTCCACTTAATGGCCTTTCAAGAAACCAAACCAGAGCTCTCTGTTTTATTATCTTTCCCCTTAGAGGAACATTTCTCCAAATCCCTTTGGTAATAATGGTTCTGAAGGTGGTTCCTTTCCTGACCAAAGCACAGACAACAGCCCTCAACTCCTGGGCTTCCTGCTGAGGTCAAGATCAAGATGTAATTATTTAAAATTGGCCAGACAATGTATTTTGGTTTGGATAACACCTGCCATTTTCTCCATAATTTGTAAGAGAAATCTTTTTACCATGAATGTTTTCTGTTATCTGCATAGCAAATAGTTTGGTGGTTTTCCAAAGGATTAACAAATTTGAAATTCTTTTGATTGTTTTAAGAGCCTGCTCAATATTAAGATGCAAGGCTGACAGTTCCTCTGTCAGACCTAGGTCTGGGTGTCTGTTACTTATTTGCAGTGAGGGAAAAGGTAGGTGGAGCCTTGCCTGTCGATGTGCAATGTGATATTTCTAGCTCCTCTTGTTTATTTCGGCAGAACCAGCATCTTTTTGGGTGTTCCAGATTGTACTATTTTAAACATTCTCCCAAACATTCACCATCTTTGCCTTACTTACCGAGCAACTGGACCTTTTGTAGTTAACCTCCCACACATGACCTATACACAGGTGCAAGAAGGTAGAAAGATGTTGGAATTGCCGAATTCTAAACTGCTCACAGGGAATCACAGTTAAAGTTCAACATGGCAGAGGTCTGTTTTGAAATGATACACCTCCAGGCACTGTTTCCAGCTCTCATTATTTGCCTGCACCAGCTGGTACACATTTCCTTCACAGTCTTTTCTAGGGTACCTAGAAAGGTTGGCTCTGAGAGAGTGACTTGGTGGAATGCAGCGTCTGTTAGGCAAACGCTCAGCACATGGCGTTTAAATTTGCTATTTTTCCTGATGAACATACTGAGATTCCTTTCTTAGAAATGTGTAGCAAAAAAGGTGCAACTGAAACCTGGGACTTTGGGCTTAGCGAGATCGTGGAACTCGGCTTTCTAGCCTTTCTGTTTACAGCAGAAATTTGAAACAAAACAGTTTTCCCACCCTGGTAGGCAGTCTTTGTTGCCAGAAGAAGAGCATCATGTCTTTTTGATGTATTTGCCCTAAACCAAAATGCAAATTCTTGAAGAAGTAAAATGCAGAAAAACCTAACCCACCTCTACTGATCATGGTAATTTCCTAGACAGGAGTTCTGCTTCCCTCGGGGATCCCTTGGTAGTTACAGGGAAGGCTACTAGGGGCCAGACTGAATTCCAGAGTCCTGATAGCAATGCTTGTCTTCTCTTATTTTGTTCCTTTTTGTTCTCCCCTTGGACTGGATGCTCATGGTGCTCATGTTGTTATGGGGTATTGATGAACCCAGGTGCTGCAGGAAGCCCAGCTGTTGGTGGATGTGAACGGAGATGAGGAAATTCCAAGTGGTAACTACTTCTTGTTGAAAGTCCCAGAACAGTCTAAGTAGATGGGTCCTTGCAGGCACTTCCTGATTTATCTAAAGAGCCTAATTGTGAGTTTTGTTGTTGATCAGTTTAAAGCTCATGATTAAGACTTTCTCAAATTAAATTTTTTTTAATGAGTTGGATACAGCTCCAATTGATTCAATGGAAAATAAACAATAGTTTCTAGTACTTTCTTCCCTATTATCTACTGACTTTAAAGCTGAGAGATTTAATTTCAGTGCAGCGGACGTAGCTGGCTGGCAGGGTATAGCATGTATACCGGTCCCACTGTTAGGTTCTTATATGATTTTTATATCACCTTTATTTCTGTGAGTTATGTGCAGATTTGCCCTCTCCAAGAAATTCAGGCATATAGAGAATGTAAATTGTACAGAAATCTGGAAAAATGAAAAACAAAGGAAAATCAAAAGGCCTGGTGTTTTTCTGTACTTTGGAGAAGGATTTGTGTGGAATCTGTGCTGGAGAAGGAAGACAGAGGAAGGAAAGAAGGGGGACTGGAGTTTTGTTATTTATTTATTTATTAACAAGATACAGGGTCTCTCTGTGTTGCCCCAAGCTGGTCTCAAACTCCTGGGCTCAAGTGATCCTCCTGCCTCGGCCTCCCAAAATTCTGAGCTTACAGGCATGAGCCACTGCACCTGCCTGGGACTAGAGTTCTGGGAAGAGCACTGGGACCGGAGTCAGGACACGGCTGTCGTGGACTTGCTGCGCACTCCTGGGGTCATGACAGTTTCCTCATCTGTAAAATATGGTTCATCTCTGTGTTGCCCTGTGAACCTCACATATTGTTGGTGAGATCGAATGGATGATGTGTGTAAAATACAGAATGAAGGGCCAGTTCAGCTTAAAAGATTCCCTAGGAGCTGCTAGTTCCATCTCAAAGACATCTCATTAAGCTGCTGCTTCTTCTTCTTTTTTTTTTTTTTCTTTTTGAGACAGAGTTTCTCTCTGTTACCCAGGCTGGAGTGCAGTGGTGCAATATTGGCTCACTGCAACCTCAATCTCCTGGGTTCAAACAATTCTCCTGCCTCAGCCTCCCGAGTCGCTGGGATTACAGGTGCACACCACCAAGCCTGGCTAATTTTTTTATTTTTTAGTAGAGATCGGGTTTCGCTATGTTCGCCAGGCTGGTCTTGAATTCCTGACCTCAAGTGGTCCGCCCACCTTGGCGTCCCAAAGTGCTGGGATTACATGTGCAAGCCACTGTGCCTGGCCAGGAACCTCAATTATCTTTGACCAGTTTAAATGTCCAAGTGGGAGAGACCCTCTCACAGTGAATGAAAACCCACAACCCAGGAACGAGGTGTCCACCAGAAAGAGTTGTAGGTCATTAAATTGCCTCTCTGACACTGATCATGGGTTTCGATCAGATTGAGGTGTGTTTGGGGAGCTTGCTTCAACTTTTTGCATCTTCCCTCCTCAGGAAGTGCTAAGCACTGTGATTCGGGACCTTTTGGGAGAGTGAGAGGATTTGCTGTTAGAGCAAAGAGGGGTGATGGTGACCCTTACCATCGTCCACCATCTAATGGGACAGTGCATGAGCCAGAACCTAGCTGGCCCCCTTGGGATAGATTGCTGGTTCCTGAACCAGCAGCTGTGACCATGGATTTGGGCTTATATCTGGAGGCGACTGCTGGTACTCATAGAGAATTTGGAAGGCAGTGGGTGAATGAGTCCTGTTTGATCAGGACACTACAGCCTCTGATCAGAACACACCGTTCTTTGCCAGCCCAGATAAAGAAGCTGTTAAATAATTCATGAGGCTTACCGTCAGCATTAACAATGGGAATGCTCCAATATGAAGTTCAAAGAGTGGTGGCTGCTCCTGGCAAGGTGATGGCAGGAAGTCTGATGGCCTTTGTTGCCAGTGAATAATGATCATTCATGCAGGGGGTGTGTACAGTTAGAGTTGGGTACTTGGACAGATATGCCAAGTGTCAGGGAAAAGCTCAGGAATCCTGAAACAAGAGGGATGGCAGCAGGGCTGGGAGGAACAGGAGGAAGAGGCTGAATCAATTCTTATGAGATGTAGTGACCAGGAAGAGGTGTCTACATGTCAGATGACATGTTCTCTCCTTGCCCTGCCTGGCAGAAGGTAAAAATTCAGATGACACACTGGCCATCAATGGGCAAGGGCCCAATTTCTTTATGGGGTGGGCAGCAGGTAAGCATTCTACCAGAGATGAGCTGCTTTGTCAATAATGTTGCACTGATTCTGAATGTGGGGTGGGCAGAGCACTTTCTTTCTAGGCTGGAATAGATCTTCTTGGCAAGAGCAAAATGGTTATTATTATTACTGATATGGTTTGGCTGTGTCCCACCCAAATCTCATCTTGAATTGTAGTTCCCATAATCCCCATGTGTTGTGGGAGGGACCTGGTGGGAGGTAATTGAATCATGGGGGCGTTTACCCCTATGCTACTGTTCTCATGATAGTGAGTGAGTTCTCGTGAGATCTGATGGCTTTGTGAGGGGCTTTCCACCCTTTTACTCATTCTTTTTTCTGCCACTATGTGAAGAAGGATGTGTTTGCTTCCCCTTCTGCCATGATTATAAGTTTCCTGAGGCCTTCCCAGTCCTGTGGAACTGTGAGTCAATTAAACCTCTTTCCTTTATAAATTACCCAGTCTCACATATGTCTTTATTAGTAGCATGAGAATAGACTAATACAATCATTATTATCATTATTATTTTGAGAGACAGGGAGAAACTATTGTTTTACCAACAAGGAATCCTGAATATTTCAGTATGTAATGTTAACAACATCTTGAGCAAGATAGAAAAATCCTCAGAACAAAATGCTTGCTGATTGGCTCTGAGTCCCCCCATTCTGGTATTCTAATTTCCTTTCCTTCTCTTTGCTATCAGAGAATCCCCAGAACATCATGGTGCAATTTTTGCATCCTTCTTTTGCAATCTAGCAAGATTAGGGTATTTCTGTGGCTTGCCAACCACCAAGGAGACATGACCATGTGTTTGGATTATATAATACTGAGAGATTATTATTATTTTGGGGATAATATTTTTTAATGAAGTCAATTTTATGGCCATAAATGCTGAAGTAGTGTTGTTCCCTATTGAGGGAAAACAAAAAATTATCATCCCTGTTTCTGAAACATAGGTGTGCCAGGACAGTTCATTGAGATATTAATGAATAAACATGTGGTCTTCTTCTATTCCCTATTTTCCTCTCTGATCTGATTAGGGAGGCAGCCGAAATTGCTGGAAGATGGCAGCTCTTCCTTTCTTCTGTGAAAGGTGAAACTCTTAGAAAGAGATATCTCCAAGTGTTCCTGATGGATGGAAATAAGAGCCTTTGAGATGCAGAGGGGAGTAAGAGGAGGGAGATTCCAGGAACCTGGAAAGCGGTTACCATGGAAACAATGTACTAGGGATGTGGTGGTACCATGGAGGAGATGGCACCATAGTAATTCCACTGAGGATGGATCTAGGAATATGGACTCCCAGCCTTGCCACAGAGCATGGGACCCTAAAGGTATCAGAACCACTGGACCTGAGATGCCAGCTGGGAAAATGGGCATCTTAGCTGTAATCATTGAGGACTAGAGGATAAGACCCCCAGGGGCCTCCTTGATGCTTAGATGCTTCAGAGACCGTAGGACCTTGGCATAACCTTGGCCAAGGTACAGGGCATGTATATGCATCAGTAATAACTGAGATCAAATTTCCTTCCAGCCCGGTGGTATGGGGGACCAGAGCCAGATTTATATGGCAAAAATGAGAACTGTTGTATTTCTTGCACACCTGAGTTTATCTGCTAAGTAGTCATGGATAGGCTTATGGTTCACCTAATCTAACTTCCTTATTTCACAAATGAAGACAGACAAACCCAGGACTGTGTAACTTTTGCAGGTTTTTCAACTTCTCCAGGTCTTTTATTCAGGCTCTGTAAAATGAAGTGAGTTGGCTAATAGTATTCCTAAGAGAATCTTTGAGAAATTGCTGCCAGGCATTGGTGGCTTACTCCTGTAATTCCAGCACTTTGGGAGTCTGAGGTGGTTGGATAACTTGAAGTCAGGAGTTTGAGACCAGACTGTCCAACATGGCGAAACCCATCTCTACTAAAAATACAAAAATTAGCTGGGTGTGGTGGCAGGTGCCTGTAATCCCAGTTACTTGGGAGGCTGAGGCAGGAGAATTGCTTGAACCCTGAAGCAGAGGTTGCAATGAGCTGAGATCGTGCCACTGCGCTCCAGCATGGATGACAGAGTGAGACTCCATCTCAAAAAAAAAAAAAAAAAAAAAAAAAAAAAAAAAAAAAAAAAGGGAAATTCCTGAAGGAATTAAGATTTTTGCTGCTTTTAAATGCCTTGAACTTCCCTGAATACCACAAGGCCTTTTCATATGCTGCTTTTTCTTGGACCTCCCACCCCACAAACCCAGTTCATCCTTTAGGACTCAGCCAAATGTCATCTTCCCTGGGAAGCCTTCCCTGATACCCTGTGTTCCCTCAAGACTGGCATCCTGGGTTTATCCCATGTGTTAGTTTTACACTGATGCTGTAGCAAATTGCCATAAACTTAGTGGCTTGAAACTTAGTGGGTCTCAGTGGGCTAAAAATCACAGTGTCAATAGGGCTGTGTTCCTTCTGGAAGCTCTAGGGGAGAACCTCTTATCTTTTCCAGCTTCTAGAGGTTACTTGCATTCCTTGGCTTGTGGCCCCTGCCTCCATCTTCAAAGCCAGCATCTTCAAATTTTCCCTCTGATTGTGAACTCCTCTGTTCCCTTCTTCCACGTCTAAGGACCCTGTGATTACTTTGGGCCTATGTGTATGATCCATGGTAATTGGGTTAGTAACTTTAATCCCAGCTGCAACTTTCCTTCTCCTTTGGGCATTCATGAGTTGCAGGGATAAGGATATGGCCATCTTTGGGGCCATTGCTCTTCCTCTGACCCTATTGGTGCACTTGTCACACTGTGTGGTAAGTGCCTCTCACCCTGGCTGTCCCCACCTCTACACTCCAAGAGCTCAGGGGCTGTTTTTTTTTTTCCTGCTGCCTCCTCAGAAATGTGTACAGATGTGTCAAACTAGAAGCTCTAAGATGATGGTGTGATCTGTATTGTATAATAAATAGATTTAAATTAGTTACTAACATTTAAAAATTGGGATACTTTGCTTATATATTTTTAAGTGGAAGAATAAACAAAAAAATCTAATAAAGTTACCCATGAAGGGCAAGGGAAAAACAGATGGAAAGGATGGAAATTAGTCTTTTCTGAATGTACCTTTTTGGTATATTTGACTTTGAAACCATGTACATGTTTTACATCATTATAAAACAAAGTTAAGTTAAAATGAGACAAAATGAAAACGGATCCCTTATTCAATGAAAATAAAAAGTTCCCATTTTTAAATGAAAATTATGGAACTGGACACAGGACACAAGGGATCTTGCTCCGCTTGGCCCTGTACCCCCGACACATTAACTGCTTGGGACCTATGGGCATTTGCACTAGGATCTGGGCTTGTAATAGGAACCCAGTGAATGTATGTGTTGAATAACTTGATGGTGAACTTAAAGTATAGATGATAGGTGGGTTAAATTGGGAGAGGGTTGAGAACAGAAGATGAGCTTGGGGAGAGGGATTAGTATTAGATTGGCAGAGAACATCTGGCCAGGTGGCATCAGAGTACCATGTCAGGAGATGTGCTGTTTTAGCTGGGATCTTGAAAGCAGGGCCCAAGAAGAAGCCTTATGTGCAGGTGATTTATTTGGGAGGTGATTCCAGGAAGCAAGAGTGAGGGAGTGGGGATACTGAGGCAGGGAAAGAGTAGAACTGAGGCAGGGAAGGAGTAAGGATGCTGTTATGGACTAGATGTTTGTGTCCCCAGCAAACTGATATGTTGAGTCATAACTCCTCAATGTGGAGCCTCTAAGGAAGTAATTAAGGTTAAATGAGGTCCTGAGGGTGGGGCCCTGCCCGATGGAATTAATGTCCGCATAAGAAGAGACACCAGAGAGCTTGTCCTCTTTCTCTTCTCCAGTGCGCATGCACTGAGGCAAGGCTATGTGAGGACAGAGTGAGAAGGCAGCTGTCTGCAAGACAACCGAGGGCCCTGGCCAGGCCCCCATCCTACTGGCTCCTTGACCCTGGACTCCTAGTCTCCAGAACTGTGAGAAAGTAAATTTCTGCTGTTTGAGCCACCCAGTCTGTCATATTTTGTTATGGCAGCCTGAGCCGACTAAGACGGATGCATGGTTGAGGTCACTGCTGTGGGCCATGGCAGTTCAACCCAGCTGACTTCTGAGGAGGCTTCAGAATTGTCAGCCCTGAGGCCAGGAGGCCAGGGCAGCGTTTGCCATCAGTTTCTCTCCCCTGTTGGTTGAGTGTGGGCCCTGAGAGTGTTCATTCTCCTGCACTTGTGAACTGTGCATGTGCACAGGCCTAGGCATCTCTCAGTAGCCTCTGTGGTCTTGGGGACGCCCCTGGGGAGAACCGAGGCTGCGAGGTACATGTAAGATATTATCATCTTGAAGTGAGCTGAAACCTCCACACAATGGTCCACCCAGACATGGCTGAAATTAGGGGTGAGGCTGAGAGCATGTGAGTCATGGTAGCAGATGTGTCTGCTTGTGGATACCTGCTCCAGGTGGGGAGTCAGAATTCAGGAGGCCGGGCTAGGAAGTTGGAAGTGAACAAGCCAGATGCTTGGTGGGACGTTAAGGCCAGGTCAAATGGCCAGAGTTCTAGGGAGTGTCAGTGGAGTTAACAGCCACACAGGCTCTTAAGTGATGGACAAATGGAATCTATTGATTCTCTACAAGACTCAATTTCAGTTTTTCCTCTTCCTGCCTCTTGCATGATGTCACACAGCCTTTTACTGTTGTTACTTACATGAGTAAGATCAACTTCCAGGAGTTTTAATTTTTCTCTCTGTTTACTCTATTGGGTGGGTCCAATTAATGAACAATAAAATAACTTGATGAACAGGTGGCAGAAAGGTAGCTGAGTATAACAAAATGTCTAGAATAATAAACATGTATTAAGCAAATGAGTAATTAATTCATAAGTAGAAAATGGTGCTTGGCCAACTGACTACCTTCTTATTTTAGGTCTTCAGTTTTGTTTCTTTAATTTTTTTTCTGCACCAAGTCCCTTTTTTCATTTAGTGTCTGTTTTTTGGCTGATGGAATTTCTGTATTTGATAAAAATGACCATTATGCCTGTATCTTGATTTGGATATTTTCTGATGACTTGCATTTTGCTGGCTTTTGAGTTTGTAGATGTACTCTTCTTGTTTTCTGAATCTCCTTGCTTTTCATTTCTGTGGATGTACACCTCTGCAGGGCATCCTTAGGACCAGTCCGCCTGTCACAGGCTTTGTAGCTGATGATGTGGAAGGAAGCTCATTTAGTGGAGGTTTTCTCTTCGGCTTTATGGTAGGTGTAATTAGACATGCAATACCCAGTACCATTGCAAGGGTCTTGAGCTGAGTAAATTTCTTGTCCCACTGATTTTAATCCTCATCGGCCTTATTGATACCAGATTTCAGATTGTTTTGTCTCATCCCTCTCAGTCATGGTATGTGATCCAACAGATATGCCTGTCAATGGACTCTTTGGCCAGATCCTGGGGTTACAGTACCTTTACTTAATGCTTGTAGAAATCTCTGTTCTTTGGCTTCAGTGGTTACTGACCTTGTGTCCAGCTATAGCTTTGTGTCCAGCAAATGCATGTTAGAATGAAGGTGAGCGAAGCCCCTGTCCATTTTCATTCTTGGAAAAGCCACTTATCATCTATTAATCAGTAGTTCCAGTGGTGTCTTTCATCTGGGAAGGACCTTAAAAATCCACTTCAATCTTTTCATTTTAATAGACAAGGAGCCAGTGGCCAAGGGGCTCAAGCAACTTGACAGGATTCACTTGAGCCAAGCCCTGTTTCAGAATCTAGGTGACCCAGCTCCTGTTTTTTTTTTTTTTTTTTTTTTGAGAGGTAATATGCTCATTTTATTTTTTTCATGGTTACTTATTTTATTTACTTTTTCAGCTTTATTGAGGTATACTTGAGGAATAACAATTATATATGTTTGAAGTGTACAATGTGATGTTTTGATATATGTATACATGGTGAAGTGATTACCACAATAAAGATAACATACTCATCATCTCACATAGTTACAATTTTTTGTGGTGAGAACACTCAAGATCAGGTCTTAGGAAATTTCAAGAATACAGTTAGCCCTCCATACCCATGGGTTCTGCATCTGTGGAGCCAACCAACCACGGATAAAAAATACTCAGAAAAAAATTGCCTTTGTGGTGAACAGTACAGACTTTTTTCCTTGTCATTATTTCCTAAACAATGCTGTATAACAACTATTTACATAGCATTTACATTATATTAAGCACTATAAGGAATCTAGAGATGTTTTAAAGTCTGTGTGAGGATGTCCACAAATTATATGAAAATACTATGCCATCCTATGTCAGGTACATGAACAGTCATGGATCTTGGTATCCACAGGATCCACCCCCACTGTTGATGTGAAGGACAGGACAATCATGGGGTCAATGAGGGTGTGTGTGACATTGAGAAGAACCACTTTCTTTTACCCTTAATTTGCCCTTCATCTTCCTTTCTTCATCTTTTTCACCAGTTAAGTCCAGGAATGCTATACAGCCTAAATCAGCCACTCATCTATAGTGTTGATATTTCTGAGTAGTTGAACTTCAGACCAGTGCTGGATGGTTCTCTCTGTATGTGAGAACACGTCCTGAGTTTTTATAAAGTGTGTATGCGTGTCAACAATCTGAATTAGTTTATATAAGAGGTTGGGCAATATTGTAAGTAGATATTTGTCTTTATTGCCCAGATGAAGCTAATAAACCTCTTTATGGTATAGTGTCATGCCTTGAGTTTTATAGCACCTTCCTTTTAACAAACTCGGTGTTTCATTCTTTAAGCTTATTATATCTCTTAGTTTGCGTTGTTTTTATTAATTTTTTTTTGAGACAGGATCTTACTGTGATGCCCAGGCTGGAGTGTGGTGGCATGATCACAGCCCACTGCAGCCTCGACCTTCTGGGTCCAAGCAATCCTCCCACCTCAGCCTCTCGAGTAGCTGGGACTACAGGTATATGCCACCATGCCCAGCTAATTTTTGTATTTTTTGTAGAGACAGGGTCTTGCCATTTTGCCCAGGTTGGTCTCAAACTTCTGAGCTCAGGCTATCTGCCCACCTTGGCCTCCCAAAGTGCTGGGATTACAGGTGTGAGCCACTGTGCCCGGCCTGTATTGTTTTAAGTTACACTTATTCCTTTTAAAATTCAGAATTTGTTAAGCATTTAAAACAAATTCATAAATTAAAACCTCCTTGAGATACCATTTACCATGTAGTTTGATGAACATAATACATGGTGCATTACATTGGCAAAAGCAGTGGGGAAAAAGATGCTTTTATAAATGTCTGGTGGGAGTTAAATTGTGTAACTTCTATTACACTTTTGTAATAGCTACCAAAATATGTTATTTCTATCTACCTCTCTCTCTCTGACTCAACAGTTCCATTTCTAGGTTTTGTGTTGTGGATATTCTTGAACATTGTGAAATGTATACAGGGAGGCTTCACAGCAGCACTGTTTGTTTCAAATGATTTGAAAACAACCTCTCCATAAACGAAATAGGCTAAATCAAGCATGGCACACCTATACAATGGATGCGGCCATTAAAAAGAACAAGGCAGCTCATATGCATCAATATAAAAAGGTCTATAAACTATACTATCAAATGAAAATAGCAAGATGCTACCATTTATATTAAAAAGAGGACAAAATATTAATATATTCATGGTTGCTTGTCTATGTGGAATATTTCTGGATATATACATAAGAAGTTACATTGGTTACCTATGGGCAGGTTACTACTGGGTGGCTTGTGGGTGAGGGCAGGAGGAGGCTTACTTTCCATGGTAAACCTTTTTGTATATTTTGCAGCATTCAAAAATTCTAATTTAAAGTTTATTTTAGAAAAATGCCCCCATGTATACAAGTGATTTCCAAGTTCCTCCTTCAATATTTTTAATGATTATGGAACACACTGAACTTCTTTTTTATTATTCTAGCTGTGAACTCTATCTGCTGTCTACATGCACATATATAATCTATGCAATATTTAAATTTATATCCTTTATATGTCAGTTGGGTGGTGAGTAAAAGAAAAATATATTTTTATCAGCAAACTTGGTAAATTGTTGAGGTTTCTGATATAGTCAGAGGTAGTTGCTTATCACAACATTAGGTAAGTTTTTAAAAACACCTATTTAAAACACACTGATGTATATATATATTAGTCTGTTTTCATGCTGCTGATAAAGACATATCCAAGACTGGGAAGAAAAAGAGGTTTAATTGGGCTTATAGTTCCACATGGCTGGGGAGGCCTCAGAATCATTGCGGGAGGCAAAAGGCACTTCTTACATGGCAGTGGCAAGAGAAAAAATGAGGAAGAAGCAAAAGTGGCAACCCCTGATAAGCCCATCAGAGCACGTGAGACTTAATTCACTATCATGAGAATGGCACGGGAAAGACCAGCCCCCATGATTCAATTACCTCCCCCTGGGTACCTCCCACAACATGTGGGAATTCTGGGAGATACAATTCAAGTTGAGATTTGGGAGGGGACACAGCCAAACCATATCAATATACAATTTAAAAACATGTCAAGCCACATATTGCTTAGGGATATGTGGCTATGTAGTAAAAGTATAAAGAAGTGCACAGACCTAATACACATTAATTCAGTGGGGTCAAGGTGGGAAGAAATAGGATATGGAATTCAAGAGGGATGGGTACATGATTGTTTGTTACATTTTTCTTTATATCTTCTTGCATATTTCAAACATTGCATAATTAAAAAGTAAGTGTTACTAACTTGTCAGATATAGGCAGAGTTCTTTTAACAAACTCGGTATTTCTTTCTTTAGGCTTCTTATATCTCTTAGCTTGTATTGTTTTTATTAATTTTTTTTTGAGACAGGATCTTACTGTGATGCCTAAGCCTGAGTATGGTGGCATGATAAAAAGATGCAGAAACAATATAGGCATCAATGATCTGTATTTTCCTTGTTCTCTGTCACATTACACTAGTACCTAAAACAGAGCCTGACAGAGGGTGGGCCTTAAAAAATGTTTGCAAAGATGAATAGACAGGCATAAAAGCCCTGCAAGCTACTGAAGTGGTGGCTGGTGGGTTGTGTGATGTTCCAGTGTGCCATCTTGTATAATGGGACCCCAGGAGAAGAAGGGGACATACCTGATGATGTCTACAACCTTTCTGGTGGGTAAGAAAAAAGAACTTGGGAATTTCTCAACAACCAGAAATAAACATGAAATATAGAGATGTGATTGGGTCTATAATAAAATTCAGATGCTACCTGTACTCCAGAATACATCGTTTGCAAAAGGCCTTTTCATGGCTCTCAGTAAGGCTGGTATTTTGTCTTCATACGTCACACTCAATGGCCCCCTTTGTGAATATATTTGGTTAAGATGGCAAATGTGGGTGTAACTCTTGATTCCCCTTAGCATTGCTGTTGCTGCCTTTCATGTATCTGTGCCCAGCCAAGAGCCAGGTTGTATGGGAGTGATTGGAATGACTGGCATTTACTGCTGCCCACTGGCAGTGGTAGAATAAATCACCTTTGTTTCTTAGGATAGCCATCAGCCATTTGGTTTCTATATTTGTTTAATATTTAGACATAGAATGAAAGGAGTGTGGGAAAATAATTAACATTGTAATCCTACAATAGCTACAAAAGATGTACTAATATGTAATGACAATAAATGAATAACATGCTATTATTGTTAGTTACCCCACCATATTTAGCAAGCTAGAGCAGTGCTGTTGAATAAAATTATAACATAAGCCACATACATAATTTAATATTTTCTTGTAGCTACATTAAGACATTAAAAGAGCTGGGCGCGGTGGCTCACACCTGTAATCCCAGCACTTTAGTAGGCCGAGGCAGATGGATCACGAGGTCAGGAGATCGAGACCATCCTGGCTAACACGGCAAAACCCCGTCTCTACTAAAAATACAAAAAATTAGCCAGGCGTGGTGGCAGACGCCTGTAGTCCCAGCTACTTGGGAGGCTGAGGCAAGAGAATGGCGTGAACCTGGGAGGCAGAGCTTGCAGTGAGCCAAGATCATGCCACTGCACTCTAGCCTGTGTGACAAAGTGAGACTCCATCTCAAAAAAAAAAAAAAAAAAAAAATTAAAACAAACAGGAAACAGGTGGAAATTAATTTGAATTAACCCAATCTAAAAAATTTTCATTTTAATACATAACCAATGTTAAAAAATTATGAATGAGATTTTATATTCTTTTTATCTGGACTAAGTCTTTGAAATTCTGTGCATACTTTATATCTTCAGTAGGATGCTAAATTTTCATTAGAAATACTTTATCTGTATCTAGATTTTACAAAATTTACAGTTGAAAAAGTAGGTTAACATATCCCGTATCCAAACTATTCCATCATATGTGATAGTGGCTACCCTATTGGACAGGGCAGAGTTAGAACTTATCCATAAATTTCTATGTTAGATTTTTTTTAATGATTCTGAGCATCTGTTTGTCAGTATGCTTTTGAGGAGATATAATAAAGCGTAGACATAGTCTTGCACTTGAGAACCTTATAAACTAATATAACAAATGTATATCTTGCACTGTGTGAAGTTAGTTTTTTGAATGAGTGTTTCAGCCCTTTTGATGGACTTAATTTTGAGAACTCAAATTAAGATCTGAGATTTAAGGTAATAAAATTTTAGGCCAGGTGCAGTGGCTTACGCCTGTAATCCCAGCACTTTGGGAGGTTGAGGCAGGCAGATCACTTGAGGCCAGGAGTTTGAGACCAGCCTGACCAACATGGCGAAACCCCGTGTCTACTAAACAATACAAAAATTTACCAGGTGTGGTGGTGCATGACTGTAATCCCAGCTACTCAAGAGGCTGAGGCAAGAGAATCGCTTGAACCTGAGAGGCGGAGGCTGCAGTGAGCCGAGATTGCACCACTGCACTCCAGCCTGGGTGACAGGGCGAGACTCTGTCTCAAAAAAAAAAAAAAAAAAAAAAAAGGCAATAAAAATTTGGATAATTCTTTCACAAGTATTCTTAAGCTCTGGTTAAAAGATCTAAGAAGTAGGCCGGGCGTGGTGGCTCACGCCTGTAATCCTAGCACTTTGGGAGGCCGAGACGGGCGGATCATGAGGTCAGGAGATGGAGACCATCCTGGCTAACACGGTGAAACCCCGTCTCTACTAAAAATACAAAAAAATTAGCTGGGTGCGGTGGTGGGCGCCTGTAGTCCCAGCTGCTTGGGAGGCTGAGGCAGGAGAATGGCGTGAACCCGGGAGGCGGTGCTTGCAGTGAGCCGAGATCGCACCACTGCACTCCAGCCTGGGCGACGGAGCGAGACTCCGTCTCAAAAAAAACAACAACAACAAAAAAAACAACTCAAGCATTAGTTCATACGGGGATGAGTAATTTAATTACTGAACATAAACCAGGAGGATTTGAAATTAGACCAACTAATTTTTTTTCTTTTTTACGTCAGGTGATGCTGTGCCTACGTTGTAACAAGGTTTGAGGGAGGCACACCTCACACATGGGCTTGAGCACCCAATCACCATGCTTGTGAACTACAAAGAGATCGGGCCAACTCATTCTGAGTATAGATTTGGTTCCAGATTTTGACAGCTCCCATATCACACAGGAGGATATCAATAGTGTGTACATACGGAGCGTCTACCGCATCAAAGATTGAGTTAGCTAGAAGAGAACTGTTGGGGGAAGGCCACAGTTATTTGTTCCCCCATCAGCATGGCTGCTGGAAAGTTCTAAGAGCCCAGAAAAGGGGGCAAGGATTGATAGCCTGCCAGTCTCCCTCTGTTGACATCTTGTTAAGAGGAATCAAGTCCTGGGACTTGGGGTTTATATAGGAAATGGAATTAGTTCTTCCTCTTAAACTCACAAACCACCAAGTATCTACTGGGGATCCTTGACAGTTATGAATAATTTACAAATGTCTATTATGAACTATTAAATTATTAAATAGTTATTAGTTATAATAGTTATAAATTGTTAAATTGTTAGATTATTAATAGTTGTTAATAATTCATAAGCAGTTTTATCTATTAAGGTGAGAGGCAGAGAAGCGACCAAGTTCTGATTTGAGTGCTCTTGGCTGGGACTGGTCCTCTGGCCAGCTCATTTTGGGTGAGTGAGGGGATAACACTCTTCTCACCTCTCCCCTGACAGCTCCCACTTCACTTTCTTGCCTGGTCATACCTTCAGCCTGATGTCACAGCACATCCTGTAACAAGCTAGCCACGGGTATTCTGTGAAAAATTCATGCCAGCATCCCTGTCAGGCTATTTGGCCCCAGGCTAAACTGCAGTGTGGCAGTGTCACCTGAACAGTGTTTTGCAGACAATCGCCTGGGTAGGTAATCATTGCTGCCCATTAAAATAAAGACGGAATGGGAGGGACTAGTCAGTACTTCCGTGTGTGTGTGTGTGTGTGTGTGTGTGTGTGATGTATGTATTTGTGTGCTTGTGTGTGTGTGTGTGTGGAGTGGGGCAGTTTAACATTTCTATCTATTGCTCTTCTTCTTTTTTTAAATTTACCTGCTCCCAGCACTGATATCTATTGCTCTGAAAAGAAATTAAAAGCTACCTTTTCTAATAAGTACATGTGTAGTATGGAAAATACAATCTAACCTCGCTTAATCCCGCACCTCAGCATAATCACTGAAGTAGCATATTTCCCTTCAGTGTTTAAAAACTCTTTATGAAAAACTCTTTATGAAAAATTCCACTGACTTGGCTAAAAAAAGGTGTATTTTGTTTTTGTCATAAAAACAAATTGCTCGTGATTTAGGGAACTCGTGTTCGTTGCTCTCGGGTTGAAGGTAATTTTGCAGTGGATTGCTGATGCCTCAGAGCACCTATACATACTTCACATTTGGGGACTTATTAAACGGACATTCATTAAAGCCTCATTTCCTACATTTTATCCATTCAGAAAGCTCACCCTTCCTCCAATTTGGAATAGTGTGTTTCTCACACTGCTCCGACTTTGAGTTACTCCGTGAGTGCAGGCCCTCGGTGTCCCCGCTGCTACTCTGGCACTTGGCTTGCAGCACGGTATTTTTCTAGAGAGTTTAATGGTTTTGTTTTCCCTGCCCAGCCTTTGTGGTTGCCCATCAATACCTGGTGCGAGTGGCATGGAGACTCCAGCCCTGCCATCTTCCTGGAGTCAGAGCCTTCCCTTTCCAGGGAGCTGAGGGTCTTTGTTCCAGGCTGCCACGTGGGGACTCTGCTATTCCAAAGAGGAGGAGGAAGAAGGCTGATAATATGCATTTTGCCTTTCACTGCCTTTTGGGCAACAGTCTTGGAATGAAAACACTAAAAACAGATGTAAAAACTGAGGGTGGGAGATATACCTAATGCTAGATGACACATTAGTGGGTGCAGCACACCAGCATGGCACATGTATACATATGTAACTAACCTGCACAATGTGCACATGTACCCTAAAACTTAGAGTATAATAAAAAAAAAAAAAAAAAAAAAAACTGAGGGTGACAGTTGGGATCTCATTAACTTAGTGGCTGTCACAATATATCCAGGAAAGAGGCTTGTGTGCATGCGGCTGTGTCTGAGAAGCTGGAACTGCATGTGTGTGTGTGTGTCTGTGTGTGTGTGTGTGTGCGCGCACGGGTGCACACACACACATGCCTGTGCTCCTGGAGGTGGGGCAGGCATTCCAGGCTTTGCCGTCTAATTTTCTTGCTTAAGCTTTAAAAAACTGTCAGTTGGGTGGCGCAGGCTTGGTTATTTTTCTTTATGGGTGCTTCTGTAAATATCTTTAAATTTCAGCTTAGGCTTTTTAGAGGGGCATTCAATGTGAAGAATAAACAGATTATGGCTTTGCCTTTTTAAAAAAAAAGTTATTGAGGCATGAAATGCACCCAGTTAAGTGCTTCAAGTGCACTCTCTTAATCGAACAGCTGGATCAACATGAGAGTATTTCCATACATTACAGGGTACAGTGCCTCAATTTGATCATTTTGAAAATACATGAGTTTCCAATCTTAACATACTGCCCTTCCTTACCCTCAGTCCAACTTTCAATTCCTGAATCTTCATAGGAGCTTCTGAGATCAAGTCCATCACTTGGTTATAATGTCCAATCAACAAACATGAGTCTAGAGCTGAGATACCTCTGCATCTGTTTTCACCTCTGGCAAAGCTGAGCTTGGCAAACTGTGCAATGCCACAGACATCAGAAGGGCCTGAGCAGGGGTGCATCTGTGGCCTGAAGGTTCTCAGAGTGGGAGCCAGAGGCCTGGGTTCTGGACCCAGCTCTGTCACTAGCCTGCAGAAACCTCACTGTGATTTCTGAAGTCCTGTCCTCCAATTTGATGGCATTATGATTCTGGTGAAAATATGGCTCTTCATGTAAATACAATAAACCCCATGACCTCAGAGTTCAACCAGGAAGCTTATGTGATCCCAGGACCAGACCAGATGTCCTTCTTCTAAAAGATATTTTACAGCTGTTCACTGGCCTCATTCTGTCTTCCCGGAGGCAGTGGGCAGGCCTCTCAGCAGACCAGATGGAAGCTCGTAGAGCTGTTCGTGAGTTCTGTGTTAGGTTTTCAAAATTGTAAAATGTGGATAATAACATTACTTTCTCCATGGGCTGTTGGTGCGACATACCGGAGTCCAGACTGGTGGGGCAATCATTTTGATTTGGTGGTCCTCTCTTGCCTTCCTTTGTTGTTAAATATTTTGAATATCATCCCTGGCCCCTGAGAGCCTCCAGTGAGACCCCTAGGACATCCCCTCCGTGAATGCTGTTTTGCTTCCTGATCTCCTTGCCCTCTGCAATGGCTCAGCAAGCTGTCCACTCTCAAACACAGCATGTTTCATACAGATAAGACCCCCAAGGCCCATTTTGCTACATCACAGAGAGCTGAGCAAGGCCACAGGCTGAAGGAGGCCTGGGAATTTGCAATGAGGTTGCTGTCTAGGTATGCTCTGACTTGACTTCTTCCAACCGTAACAATAAAGCTGAAAAGCATTCGAAGAGGTAACTGTTGGTCACTGCTCTCCCCACTGCTGCCAAGGTAACGTGAAATTTGTGGAGGCTAGAGGCTTTGAAGGTTTGGCTAGCTTAAATCATCTTAGCGAAAGCAGAGTGGAAGCTTGAAAATCAGATCTGCTTTCAAGCATTTTTTTTTCCCGCTCTGTGGTCTTAGGGAGGGGAATGGAGAGTGGCTCAGAGGCCTTGATTTTCCTGAGTAATTGTTTCTCTTCTGAGATACAGTGGAGCTTTGGAAACCGAGCTGGTGCTGACTTGCTACCTGTATTGGCCACCCCTGGAAGACTGCAAATGCACCTCTATTTTCCCTCCCTACCTTGCCAAGGCTACCACTTGCCCGGTGCCACCTGAGGCCTTACCGCTGCTCTGCTGGGTTAGGCTCTGCTGCCACGGAACTATATTCAACCTCAGCAGTGGGGTAGTCCTCATGGAATCATAGCTGTATGATGCCATGATAGGGTTGGGATGGGCCATATGTGCTGTTGCTCTTCACCTCTATTTAGATAGGGCCAGGAGTGAGACAATAGGGAGCGGTGGGGACTGTGGCAGAGGTGGGTATGCCCCTCATCAAATATTATAATATTTTGAAGTAGGTAATATACTGTTTCTTAGAGAAGTGTATTTAAGAATGCCTATAGGAAGATTAGAAAGGCATGAAGGATGCAGCAGGGGAAGTAATGTTGAAATTGGACTCTCATACACTGAAGCACCAACTTTAGGTACTCAAACTAACAAAGAAAAGAAGAGAAGCAAAACAGATCTACATCTGGCATTTTATTTAGTTTGGGGCATGGAGCACTTGTGACTTCCAGTAGAGTCTTAAGAGAAAAAGACACATTTATGGAGCACCTGTTATGTGCCAGATAATGCATTGGCATTTTAATAAATAATATCTCATTTAATTCTCACAGCAATCCTGTGAACTGGGTCTCTTACTCTTATTTTTTAAATTAAGAAACTTGGGCACAATGAGGACAAATATTTTATTTGAGGTGACTCGGCCAGAACATGGTGGTGTTAGGATTTGACATCCTGACTTCTGTCTTTTAGTTCAGGAGCTCCTACCCTGTGCTGGAAAATCTATTGCTGGATTTTCTGGCCTCTGTGCCCTCTCTGGTCTCCTCCATTGCCGATGGTAACAAGTGCCCTCCCTGGGCCTGTCTGCCTGCTCTGGGCTGACCCTTGACCTCCTGTGCTTCAGGCTGTCATCGGTGGCCGGGTCGCTGCCAATTCTGACTGCAGGTCCCCTCACTGCCCCCATGACAGAACTCACCTGAGCCATCACAGTGCCTCGGGCCTACGGCTGGCCCGCATCCAGCCTGGCTCCTCTGAAAGGTCTGATTGCCTATTGTGTCTCATCGAGGTTTGGATTTATCTCTGGTTGGTGCTGGCTAGGGCCCCTGTCCCCAACAGGGCCACACTGGATGGGAGGGCAGTTTCCCTGCTGTCATTGCAGGAGCTCCTCAAACATGGGGACTTAGAAACCCTGATCTGGCCGGGCGCGGTGGCTCACGCCTGTAATCCCAGCACTTTGGGAGGCCGAGGTGGGCAGATCACAAGGTCAGGAGTGTGAGACCAGCCTAGCCAACATGATGAAACCCTGTCTCTACTAAAAATACAAAAAATTAGCTGTGCGTGGTGGCGCATGCCTGTAATCCCAGCTACTCGGGAGGCTGAGGCAGGAGAATCGCTTGAACCAGGGAGGCAGAGCTTGCAGTGAGCCGAGATGGCGCCACTGCAGCCCAGCCTGGGTGACAAGGCAAGACTCTGTCTCAAACAAAACAAAACAAAACAAAACAAAACAAAACAAAACAAAACAAAACAAAAACCCTGATCTGCTGTCTGTGAGGAGGAGGGCTTTGAGGTTGATGAGTGGTGTGGGAGGAAGGTGTAATTTGTTGTTGAGAGTTGCATTTTCTTCTCATTTCACATATACTCGATTATAAATAAATTAGAACATTTAGAATCCGTAAATTTAGCACCCCATACTCAAGTGCCCCAGAAACACTTTCATATATGCAGAGTAAAGGAAGAACAATTGGTGTAAAGTACAAGAAAAAGACTTTCCTACTTGGCAAATCTTTTCTTTTCTACTTGGCAAATCTCATCTTTTCTTCCGTGTGGACGTCGCAGCAGACAGAGGTTTCCTTTTTTTTTTTTTTTTTTTTTGAGACCGAGTCTTGCTCTGTCGCCCAGGCTGGAGTGCAGTGGCGCGATCTCGGCTCACTGCAAGCTCTGCCTCCCCGTTTCACGCCATTCTCCTGCCTCAGCCTCCCGAGTAGCTGGGACTACAGGCGCCCGCCACCGCGCCCGGCTAATTTTTTGTATTTTTAGTAGAGACGGGGTTTCACCGTGTTAGCCAGGATGGTCTTGATTTCCTGACCTTGTGATCCGCCCGCCTCGGCCTCCGAAAGTGCTGGGATTACATGCGTGAGCCACCGCGCCCGGCCAACAGAGGTTTTCATTTTCGAGTGTCAGTTATAGTTTTGTTTGGAGACCTGTTAGGGTTACCCAAAGGCAGACTGTGTGGTATGAAGGCCGCTGGGCTCTGGCAGAAGGGCTGCTGGAATCAGATCTCACACACTTCATCTCCCGGCAAGCTCGAGGCCGGGGGCTGGCCCGGCTGTTCTTTCTTGCTGTTGTGCTGCATACACACGATATGGATACGGCTCAGATTGGCCCTAGTGACCATGTTCTAATGGAAGGGATCTGTGTTTTTGTCTTCCCTCTGCCACTGAATAGTTGTGTACTCTTGGGACAAGTGACTAACCTCTCTGAGCCACAGTTCTCATATTTATGGAGTAAGGAGAATAACAGAAACATACAGGGTCATTCTGAAGATTAAATGAGATAATATCTGAAGAGAGCTCCTTGTGAACTCTGAAATGCTGTGAAGTGCTGGCTACTATACACAGCAAACCCTCACCACAGACTCTTAGGCTTTGGTTTGGGTGTTTATTCCAAATTGTGAAGTAGGTAGAGTGAATTCTGTTCTCACCCCTTTTCTTATATCAAGTAGCCTTTTCACTTACAAGCTTGCTTGTCTCAGAAAAGCAATTCCTCAAAGTGCAAACATTCCTAATCCTCAAACATTCCTTAAATCTTTCATCAAACTCAATTGTCCTTTCTCTTAGTGTCTATTTTCCTAAATCCACACCTGTGCTTAGCTATGTATGATTAAACAAGATCATAATAAACTTATTTGCAAGGATAAATAAGGAGGCATCCTTCCTAAGTATATTTGCTTTACTCCTAAGAATAGGAGAAAGCCAGTTTTGCTAGATGAATGAATTTAAAATGTGAGCTGTCATGCAGCTGAGACTAGAGTGTGGTGGGAAAAAGAGAGGCCCCTTCCGGTGCCCTTTGGAGCATATCTTCTGGATGGCATGCCTCTGGTGTGGCTGCTGTCAGCCAGCAGTATCTTATCTATCTGTCTATCTATCTATCTATCTATCTATCTATCTATCTATCTATTTATTTTTGAGATAGGGTCTAGCTCTGTCACCCAGGCTGGAGTGCAGTGGTGTGATCTCGGCTCACTGCAACCTCCGCCTCCTGGGTTCAAGCACCTGCCACCACACCCAGCTAATTTTTGTATTTTTAGTAGAGACGGGGTTTCACCATGTTGGCTAGGCTAGTCTTGAACTCCTGACTTCAAGTGATCTGACCTCTTTGGCCTCCCAAAGCATTGGGATTACAGGCGTGAGCCACTGTGCTCAGCCTTATTAATTTATATCTAATAGATTTTACACAGGATTTGAGTTGGCTAATAGGTGGTGCCGAGTAAAGTCTTAAGAAATAGTATAAAGTAAGAATAAGGGTAAATATAAAGTAAATGAAATGTTGAGACTACGGGAAAGAGCCAACCACAGGTATTGAGGCTGTATGACTTGGCATAGTTGTTGCAGGATCATGCATTTGGCTTTGAACTTCCTGGAAGCAACTTGAAAAGGGAAATGTAATTTATCCATGAGAGAGAAAATCCATCAGTTCCCGTGGAAGACAAGGATTTCTCAGTCTTAACTCCAACTTGGGGCTGCACAAGAAAATAGGTGATGGAAACAACAGCACCCTCAAGAGCATCTTACAGCAAAGGCAGAAGCAAATTTTTAGCCTGTTGTTGCTTTTCAGGTTCTTGCTTAAAGCTGAGGGCATAGGACCTCTAGAACCTGATGTTAGTGGTAGCCTGGTAGGTGATCACTTTGGGTCAATGTGATTCAAGTACACAGCATTCTGTGGCCATTTTCGTCCTGTTTTGGGACAGGGAGAACTAACTTCACTTCTGCAGAGCCAAAGGAAACATGAAATTTGAAGGAAACTCCGAAGATAGCACACATGCTTTCTATTTTGCCTGGAAAGATTTGAAGAGGAGGAGACTTAGCTTATTCCTGGCATGAATTTTCCAAGGCAATCTGGGCAGCCCCGACTGTCTGAGATAATCACCAGCCATTACTAGGGATGTGGGAACCAAGCCAGACCTAAGCTTGGTTTTATGTGTAAAAATGGCCACTTTGGGAAAGGGCGGGGTCAGGGAGGTCATTGGCTGGTCAGGAGGAGCTTGGCTGGGCCTGGCTCTGAGCCCAGGTCTAGCCCGCATCTCCCATGTGAACAGGTCTAATGGCCCTGCTTCTGGGTCTCCCTGTCTTGTGCTGGAGTCATGCTTG
Organism: Homo sapiens; assembly: GCF_000001405.40. Lineage (NCBI taxonomy): Eukaryota > Metazoa > Chordata > Mammalia > Primates > Hominidae > Homo > Homo sapiens. Next base: position 83,444,151 of record NC_000009.12, on the reverse strand, counting down.
TCATCACAGGCCCACTGTGGCTACAGTTGCCTGTTCACAATGTTGAAGGAACATCACCAGCACTAAGTGTGAAGTAGATGTTTTTTCTGTGCATTAATTGTAACATTTGAACATGTTAAAAAGGAAGCAAAAATAAAAGAAATATAATTGTAGTGACTGAATGACCCTTGTTTATTCTGGAAGCAATACATGCAAATATTGAAAAAAATTAAAAAGAGCACAGTGGTCTCCTTCCATGATTTTGAAAAATATCTAGTGTTTCCTGCTTGCCAAAGAAACATACTCTCACCACAATGAGATGCCATCTCACACCAGTTGGAATGGCGATCATTAAAAAGTCAGGAAACAACAGGTGCTGGAGAGGATGTGGAGAAATAGGAGCGCTTTTACACTGTTGGTGGGAGTGTAGACTGCTTCAACAATTGTGGGGGACAGTGTGGCGATTCCTCGAGGATCTGGAACTAGAAATACCATCTGACCCAGCGATCCCATTACTGGGTATATACCCAAAGGATTATAAATCATGCTACTATAAAGACACATGCACATGTATGTTTATTGCGGCACTATTCACAATAGCAAAGACTTGGAACCAACCCAAATGTCCATCAATGACAGACTGGATTAAGAAAATATGGCACATATGCACCATGGAATGCTATGCAGCCATAAAAAAGGATGAGTTCATGTCCTTTGTAGCGACATGGGTGAAGCTGGAAACCATCATTCTGAGCAAACTATCGCAAGGATGGAAAACCAAACACCGCATGTTCTCACTCATAGGTGGGAATTGAACAATGAGAACACTTCGATACAGGGCGGGGTACATCACATACTGGGGCCTGTTGTGGAGTGGGGGCGTAGGGGAGGGATAGCATTAGGAGAAATACCTAATGTAAATGACAAGTTAATGGGTGCTGCAAACCAACATGGCACATGTATGCATATGTAACAAACCTGCACATTGTGCACATGTATAGAACTTAAAGTATAATAAAAAAAGAAACATACTCTCACCAGATGCAATACAAAAAAAGTGAAAGATAATAAGAATCATTTATGATTCCCCATACAGTGATATTCATTGCTAACATTTCCTTCCACTATTTCTATATTTATATCTATACATACACATCTAAGGCCATATGTATTTTTATGTTGACATTCATATCTCCATAGATTAATGAAAAGTTTAGTATGAACATAAGACATAAGTATAGATTAGTATGAACATAAGACATGTTGCAGAAGTCTTTTTATGACTACTGAAGACTTTTGGTTTAGAAGGAATATCAAAGCATTTGGAAAAATGTGGAAATGTGAAAGGAACAGAATGAGATGGGGAGGAGAGGGGAGATGAAAGGGAGGTAACTCACACAGGATGTATGTGGACTCTGTGTGAGGGACTGTGCTGCTGTTTCACCCTGCACGCTGTGATTACTATTACCCCAAGAGGTGGTCTGGGGTTGGGGGTGGGGTGGTCGTGGAGGGGGAATGTACCCCCCCTCCACTGAGGATTCAGTGCTCAGGCTCAGGAGTCAGACAGATCCAATTTTATACGTTGGCTTTCCTCCCTATTAGTTTAGAACCTTATTTTTCTCCTGTGTAAGTTCCATGTGTAATCCCAGCACTTTGGGAGGCCGAGGTGGGTGGATCACTTGAGGTCAGGAGTTGGAGACCAGCCTGGCCAACATGGTGAAACCCCGTCTCTACTAAAAATACAAAAATTAGCCAGGTGTGCTGGTGTACACCTGTAGTCCCAGTTACTTGGGAGGCTGAGGCAGGAGAATTGCTTGAACCCAGGAGGTGGAGGCTGCAGTGAGCTGAGATCGCACCACTGCACTCCAGCCTGGGCAACAGAACAAGACTCTGTCTCAAAAAAAAAAAAAAAAAAAAAGATCTGTATAAACCACCCTTTATGTGGTTTTTGTAAGGACTTAAAGATTGAATGTACACAAAGCTCTTACATCTGGCACTAGTAGACTCTCACCAGTGGTAGCTGTTATTGTCAGTGTTATTCCAAATCTGAGCAAACTGAGTCTCAGAGAGGGTGACGCATCTAAGATCACTCGGCTGATAAGTGGTAAAGACAGGATTTGAATTCTATCAATTTGAAAGATGTGTCGGGCTTTAGTGCGCACGTTCTTTATGCTGTACTAGGTCAATGCCAAAGGAAACAGATTATATTTATTCAGTAGTCCGACATATTTCATTTTCTGCCTAAAATGTCTGTAAAGAAATGGATGCTGGTGCTTTGGAGTTCATACTGGCCTTTTTTTGGCAGTTTCAAGGAAAGCAAAGGATTCTGTTCTCTGTTTGTATGTAAAGGCAGGAAGAAAACATACCTCCCTTTCTGTCATGGCATCTAAAGCTGGTGGCGTCCGCAGATAACAACCGAGGGAGGGTTAATGTGTGTGTTTGTTTTTGCCCAGGAAAATGGCAATGAATTTCATGCTTGGGGGTGCTGCCTACTATTTAGCAATGAGGCTTTTTTCCACTAGATTAGGAAACAGATGTTTTCTAGTCCATTGAGGAGTTTTAAATGCTGGAAATACTTAAGAGTAATTTTCCAGGACTGTTGACCTGGATTCTTGGATTATGATCATTCTGGCTGGGGTCCAGTGCCCTTGAGCTTTTAATCTGTAGAGACTCTTTTGTGTATTTATCTACTTGGCTCAATGTGACTTTTTAAATCCTTAATTCATGGAGGCATCATTTAGATCCAGGAGCTGAGATTATTTATTTTTTCTCCTTTTAAGTCTAAATAACTAATGTGTCAGGATCCTCGACTGGTGAATTGCCTTGGGATCAACCTTGGGATCCGTTCAGTCGGAATCTGACTTCTCAGGCATTCCCACGTTCTTTTCAAAGGTGATATTTTGAAATAACAAAAACAAAATTCACATTATCTAGACTTCACTGGGTACTTAGTCTCTCGGTCAGCAGGGGATAGGTGATGCTGCAGTGACCAGAACCCCTCACAGCTCAGTAGCCGCATAGAACATTGATTTTCTTGTTCGGGCTGTAATGTTCCATGAGGGTCTGTTGGGGCATTCTTCTGATCGTGGTCACACAGTGACCCTGAATGATGGAGGCTTTATCTTGCATGCTACCATGACCACCACAGTAGAGGGAAGGGTGTGTGGTGAGTCTCTCACTGGCTCTTTAAGCTTCATTGGCCGAAACAAGTCTCATGGCCAAGACCTACTGCAAATGGAGCTGGAAAGCACAATTCCGTCCTGTGCCTGAAGGAGAGGAGAACCAGAATGCAGCCCTAATGGCCCCCACACCTCCTGGCGTCAGACTCTGCGTTACATGCCTCACATATACCATCTGTAATCTTTACCTCAATTATGCAAGGCACAGGCCCCTATTCCTATCTGATAGATAAGAAAACGGATTCAGAGAGGTCAGGCAAATTGCCCATGGAAACACAAGGCTCAGATTGGAATCCAGTCTGTCTGCTAACTAAATGAGTGTGCTTCCCTCTCTGTTACACTGCCTTTGATAGCGTAGGTGTTCCCTTTCTTCCCCAACTGAACAAATGAAGAATTGGATAGTAATGTTGCCCCTCGTCCTGTGATCATTTTTTATGCAGTGTTGTATATTGCCCTGGAGGCTGGGGGTGACAATTGCTGATGGCCCTGTGGGAGTGGTCCAGCTGGGAGCTGATCTATTGAGTCATGTCTTTAGGGATATGATATGGACAGTCCAGAGCCCAGAAGTGACAGAAGAAGAATTAGGGATCCACTGGACCAGTCAGAAACTGGACCATTACTCTCTTTGGACATTGGATTATAGGGACTACCACATGACTATTACACTGATCACTGATGTATTGATTACATTTGTATTTACAAGGGGAGCTTTGTGTTCTATTAATCTAAATGACAGTTTGGTCCAATAAGTGCCTTGAACATGACTTGGATTTCAGAATTAGAGTATAGGTGAAGTGCTCTTCTGACCTTAGAAATGACCCAGGCATAGGACCACTGGCTACAAAGAAATTGGGTCTGGTTTCCTCTGCTGGTAGAAACCAGAGAATCCTCTTGGGCAGCAGTCTGCACCAACAAACTTACTGATGCCCAAGACTTCTTCTGGTTTTTGTAATGGCTATTGTCAGGGAGGTAGTGCCACCAAGCTGGAAGTGTGTGTTTTGAGACCTTGAGATGGATCTTGGAAAGCAGTTCCCTGCTTGAAAAATTCCTGAATATAATGAAATATATTTAATATAGATTAGTATTATATCTAGTCTTTCTACCAGTTTCTCCTTATTTTATTTTATAACTGCTAGCATTATCTTTGTTTACTTACTGCTTACTGCTAACTTACTGTCACTCACTGGCTAAATATCTTCTGATGGCTTGTCATTGCCCACAGGGAAAGTTTAAACACTTTGGGCAAGGCACATAGCTCTTTGTGATCTTGTCTGTATCTACTAATAAAATAATCATAATATGTATCTAATGATGTGTTCAGGATGTTTCTGCAAACAGAGAACCCATTTTCAACTGCCTGCCAAATAGAAAGTGAGAATTTCTGCTAAAATGGGGTTTCGTCTTTCCTCTCCACTCAGCAATGTGCTGCTGCTGCATAAAGAAGCCAACTACAAGAAAGATGGCGGACATAGAAGGGTCACATTAGGAGGATAGGTGCTTTGGAGTTCTGTAACCATCCAGTTGGCTGTAACCAGTGAAGACTGAATGCTTTCCCTGGCCCATTGCAAGCCATCAGTAGGCTCCTCAGAGCAAACCAGTTGTGAAGAAGAAATGTTCCATGTGGTAACTGAGAGAAAAGGCTCCAGACTCAGTCATTATAGGGAGCTTCCCTTGGCCATTGGTCATGGGTTGTTACCATGTCCTCAAGGATGAAGAATTAGAAACCAATGTCCTAACTCTCTCTGGAGCCTGTATGGACCCTATCCATTTATGGACATTAAATGTTTTATGGCTTTCATGGCCCAAACAATATTTAACCATGTTCATCAAGTGTTAAGCGAAAGATAAATTATTATATGTAGTTTCCTGGGCTGGGTGTGGCCCCCATTTGGTGATGAGTGTCAAGACTCTGGGACTCAGAATAGGCATGTCCAGGTGAGCAGTGTCCCCTCACAGATGCCTTTTTAAAGGAACTTCACATGGGTATGGAGGTGCAGCTCCTGCAAAAGAGGTGAGGGTTTTCAGGCCTCTCCTTCCTTCCTCCAGAAGGGTTTTCTTTCTCTGGAGAGAGACCTACGGCAGCCATTTGTTTTGTGGGAGGAAGGCTATGCTGAGGTGCAGCACAGAGGTGGGAACAACTTCTCATGGCCCTCTCAGCTGTAGGACGCACAGAACACACACAGCAGGGAAGACTATTTCTACCTATTGCACCCAGCGAGGTTGTTTGGCCTAATTTAGGGGCTCTGCCCTGGGTCAGATCTGATCGTACATCTGTGTGGAGAAAATATTCTCTTTGCTGGATGCGGTGGCTCACGCCTGTAATCTCAGCACTTTGGGAGGCAGAGGCGGGTGGATCACCTGAGGTTAGGAGTTCGAGAACAGCCTGGCCAATATGGTGAAACCCTGTCTCTACTAAAAATACAAAAATTAGCTGGGCATGGTGACAGGCACCTGTAATCCCAGCTACTCGGGAGGCTGAGGCAAGAAAATGGCTTGTGGTGAGCCAAGATTGTGCCATTGCACTCCAGCCTGGGCGAGAGAGTAAGACTCCATCTCAAAACAAAACAAAACAAAACAAAAAAAAAACTCTCTTCTGAGACAGGTAGAGTGGGTAGAAAGAAAGAGTTTGTGACTCTCCCTAAATACCGTGTCGAGACCTATTTAGGACATCATCCGTAAGTCACAAGTATGATTTTCTCCAAATAGTTAGTGTTTATTTCAGCAATTTAAAAGCTGGAATTTCTGGGTTCTGTTTCTTTGGAGTAATGTTATATTCACTTCACTACCCCATATTTTTGTGGCTTGCTTCAGAAAATACATTTTCTTTTCTTTTTTTGGGGAAAATCCAATAAGGTATTTCCTTGAGTTAGATCCTTTCTTGGTATGCTTAATAGTAATTTAGCAGAAATTTTTAGCCTTTTACTGGCACTTCCAGCCTCCCTGGGAGTCTGCTTATAGCACCAAAACAGCCGGTGTGTGGGAGGGGAGGCTGATTCTGCAAAACTGAGTGTGTTTCCCGCACGTGCCCTCACATGCCCCCTTCTCTCTTTTTATCCTGCACTCTCTTTTGTGCTCTTGAGGATCCCCCTGCTTCGCTCACTTAGCTTTGCACTGTCACTGCCAGTGACGCGCATGTTCTTCTAATATGACAAGTCTCATACAAACTTTATGTCCTGGAGCAAAAGAGAAATCAAGTACTAGGATCAGGAAGGTGCACATGTGTCCCGTCTCTCTTTTCTTTGTATTTTGTTCTACTTCCATGGAAGACCCACGTCTGTGTGCCTGGTTTATAGGCTCAATCTCAGCTGGGTCAGAATGGTGGAATCTGCTTGGTATTGGTTGGAGGAAGAAGCACTGTGATTGTGGTCAGTAATGATGGATTAATGACAACTATATGAGCCAAATGGAACCTTCCTAGGCTTCGTGATATTTTGGAACTAATTTTAAAGCTCAGACTTCAGAGCAAGACAGGGAGATAGGTGGACTAAACGATAAAGAAAATCTCAAGGTGTAATTTTCAATAAATTAAAAGTATGACTCTCATACAAATATAGAATGAGCACGAGTCAAAAATTTATTTAACTCATCAATGAGGGAACTAGCAGGATGGCAAAGCTGGTTTATGGTAAGTCTATATAGTCAAAGAAACTAAACAATGCTGAGATAAAATTTGCTGAGACACAGCTGAGGTATATAATGGACATAAGGTGATAAAACCATAAATGTTGAGTTGCCTCCTCTATAGGACAGAAATTATTTGCAACTTACCAATCTTTTACAAGTTAGCATCTAATTTTACAGTCTAGACCTTTAAGATTAGCAAATATTAAGTCAAGCCGAGTTTGCCTCCCTAAAGCATCAGGTGACCCTTATGTGACTTTGATAGACAAGACTCCGTGTCACCTTGGAAGAGCACCTCATCGTCTTTTTGCCTTATTTCCAAATTTTGGATTTTACATGGTGGAACCATTGCAGATGAGGTTGCTGTGGTCAACATCTGAACAGTTTTCTGTTGTCTTGGCTGATGTTTACTCTGAAGGGTTATATATTTCAGGGGCATCTGTAGCTTGGGCACTGCCTCCATTTTGCTCTCACCTCTTTCTTTCCAGGGGGTATGCTGTGACTGTTTTCAGGGATATGGCTCCTAGGTAAATCATCTGGATTGGTATTCTTTTCCTGTCTAGCTGTCTTGTTTTTTTTTTTTTTTTTTTTCCCCTTGGTCCAGGTTGGAAAACTTCAGCCACAGAGTAAAAATGTATATCTTTAAATGGAATGGTTATTTTTGGGATGGCATAATTTAAAAGCAAAATTGTATTTTTGTCTAGGTCCAGGACAGAGTGTTAAATGAATCCAGTGAAGTAACTGGTTTCAATATAAGAAATGACTCTTTTATGTTTAAGTTTATAAGCAACATTTTTTTTTGAATTGCAATATTTCAAATGATCTCTTTATTGCTTCCTGAAGCAAGATTTTCTTTGCTAGTTGATCTCTTGTGCATGCAGACACACACACACACACACACACACACACACACATCTTATTAATTAAAATTTGGCAAAGGAAAAATGTGTGATTAATTTGGACACACTAGATTCTTATTTAGTAAAAAGCTAAAAATAGCAAAGCCCTTTGAGCCCTTTGTAAAGCCTGTCGTGCAGACAGTTTTATGTGTCAATGACTTTATTTAATTATGTTTCAGGAGCTATGATTTGACCCTTAGTGTGAGAGAACAACAAGTGGTTTTAATGGATTTCCACGGACATTTCTTTCTTTTGGAGCTGCTTTATCTCAAGGTGGATGCTGCAAAGTCAGAGTCCAAGATCAGAATCTCAGGAGAGGGATTGCCGGGATGAGGACAGGGTGAGCTGGAGTTAAGAGTGAAGGTAGGACTGTGGGTAGAGAGAATCAGTGTTGTGTGGGGCTGCTAGGGAGGCTTTGATGCACCATGATTTTCCTGCCTCTGATTCCTGAACATGTGCATATTCTGGGTTCTCTTTTTTAAATAATTAGTTTGTGGGGATTTAACTTTTGTCTCAAGCCAAATTAAGGTTCTGGGGATTTTTGGGTGGCATATCCTGATCCAATTTCTCTCTATTGTGGTCTTAGGACCATGTTAAAGTCACTAGGGCAGAGGGTTGATAGAAAAAGGTATATTCTTGGTTTCCACCTCATATTTACTGAATCAGAATCTGGGGATGGGTTAGGGAATCTCCATTTGAAACAAGCCCCTAAAAACATCTCAATTTTAAACAAAGTCATTCTCAAATCACCAAAATGGATTTGTCTTAATTCTAACGCCCCTTGCCCCTCAAACCCAAATAAAACTGGAACAAAACAAAAGGTTCTTTCATTACAATCAACATGGCTTCTTGTTAAGCTATCCAGGTTAAAATAATTCATGCCAAGAAGTAACTGGCTAAAAGACAGCCTTCTCGGTGGTGGCTGTGGTTTAGGGAAGGACTCTGTGCCTTCTCAACGACGGCTGTGGTTTAGGGTAGGACTCTGCCACTCCAGATGATGCCCTAGTGAGGCCAGTGGTCAGGGAGCTCTTGATCTGGAACCTTGAGCACTCCTTGCTGGCTTTCTGGTTTGTGGTGGCTTTAGAGCTCACTTTTGAAAGGCACAAACTTTCTCTTAAGCAGGATACCTGATTTCATGAGATCCTCCCTTTTCCAAACTAGGAGGGACCAAAGGATCTGCCAGGTGGGCCTGGATATTTGAATTCAGAAGCACACTGCACACTGTGTGTTGACTAAGAGGAAATCAAATGGAAGTCCATGTGTGTAGCAGAGTGGTTCCAGTTTCCATAAGGGTGGCTGCAGAGCTGGAGAAACACTGAGCAAGGAACACTAAATAAGGGGTTCCGGCCTGGTACGGTGGCTCACGCCTGTAATCCCAGCACTTTGGGAGGCTGAGGCAGGTGGATTGCTTGAGCTCAGGAGTTCGAGACCAGCCTGACCAACATGGTGAAACCCCATCTCTACAGAAAAAACCCGCAAAAATTAGCCTGCCGTGGTGGTGTGTGCTTGTGGTCAGCTACTCAGGAGGCTGAGGCAGGAGAATCACTTGAACCCAGGAGGCAGAGGCTGCAGTGAGCCGAGATCGTGCCACTGCACTCCAGCCTGGGTGACAGAGCCAGACCCTGTCTCAAAAAAAAAAAAAAAAAAAAAAAAAGCAGAGGGGTGGGGGAGGGGAGAGATTCAGATGTTGGCATCTTCTGTTAATTATAGTTTCCTCTTTAAAGGGGAGGCCATACATTTCTGATCATGTTACAACACTTCTTTTCTCCTTGACCTCCACTGGAAACCATGAGAATCCCAAGGCTTTAAGACATTGGGAGAGGACTGTTGATAAGCATGGGCTGTGTCTCCTTTGGTTTGAGCTAGTTTGCTTTTAAAAGCTTGTTAAAATGACTTAATGATTCAGAAAACCCATTGTTCTACTGCTGGGTAAGCAGGAAGGGATGGGTGAGTTTAGGTTTATTGGGCTTGTGAGTGCCATGGGCCAGGTAGGCTGCTGGGAGCTTTGTGTGCATCCTCTTGTTTAGTGTTGGACATTTGTCCCCATTCACAGTCAAGGAAACCAAGGTTCAGAGAGCCAAGTGGCCTTTCCCAGGTGACACAACCAGGAAGGGCCAGGGCCAGGATGTGAACTGAAGTCCCCCTGTGTCTAACTCCACTGCCTTGCAGAACAGGCCACATTCTTTTTCTTCTGCCTGTGGAGACCACGGCACAGTCTCCTAAAAGTGACCTCAAACTCCATCAGAGGCTCAGAGGACTGAGAGTCCAGTGGTCAAGGTACACCTAGCCAGGAGCAATCTTTATTTTTTAGTTTGGGGAGAATTTGATATTTACTAAGCAAACTGCCAAGCCTGTGAGCTTGAGGAAGGAAGTTTATGAAGAAACACTGTGCCTCCCTGCAGATGTCTTTCAGGCTTGGAGCTCCAGACAGGAAGCCCTCTGCTGCCCTAAAGAGGAGGTGGTCAAGAGGGAATTTGCAGAATAGAGCAAGATGGTGACTTTTGACACAAGTCCTTTAAGGCAGGGGTCCCCAGCCCCTGGGCCACAGACCAGTAGGAACCGGGCTGCACAGCAGGAGGTGAGTGGTGGGTGATCAAGTGAAGCTTCATCTGTATTTACAGCCACTCCCCATAGCTGGCATTACCACCTGAGCTCTGCCACCTGTCAGATCAGTGGTGACATTAGATTCTCATAGGGGTGCAGACCCTATTGTGGACTGTGCATACAAGGGATCTAGGTTGCACATTCCCTATGAGAATCTAATGCCTGATGATCTGTCACTGTCTCCCATCACCCTCAGATTGGACTGTCTAGTTGCAGGAAAACAAGCTCAGGGCTCCCACTGATTCTACATTGTGGTAAGTTGTATAATTATTTCATTATGTATTACAATGTAATAATAATAGAAATAAAGTGCACAATAAATGTGATGTGCTTGAGTCATCCTGAAACCACCCCACTTCCACCTTGATCCGTGGAAAAATTGTCTTCCATTAAACTGGTCCCTGGTGCCAAAAAGGTTGGGGACTGCTGCTTTGAAGAGTTTGCCTGTGAGGAAAACATGAGAGGGACAAGGCATAGTTCTGTGGGAAGGCCTAATCCCCCTTCTCTTTTTCTTATGGTGTCCTAACCTCCTGCTTCCGTTATGATCCCTGAGCATGCAGAATTTTATGATGTGGTGAAGTTTCACTTCCACCAATGTTCTTTATTAATATCATGAACTAAGCATGCATTAATTGCCTTCCTAGCCTCTTGAGATTTTTTTATAATAAGGAAACATTTTAAGAATGAAAAGCAATTGCAAAGATATGGAATCAACCTAATGCCCATCAACTGATGAATGCATTGATAAAGAAAATGTGGTATATATACACCAAGGAATACTACTCAGCCACTAAAAAGAAAAAAATGATGTCTTTTTTGGCAACTTGGATGGAACTAGAAGCCATAATTCTAAGTGAAGTAACTCAGGAATGGAAAACCAAAAACCTAGTTCTCACTTATAAGTGGAAGCTAAGCTATAGGTATGCAAAGGCATGCAGAGTTGTATAATGGACATTGGAGACTCAGAAGGAGGGTAAAGGATGAAAAACTACTTACTGGGTACAATGTACACTACTTGGGTGACAGGTGCAGTAAAATCCTACTTCAGCACTATATAATTTGTCCACATAACCAAAAATGCTTGTACCTCTAAAGCTATTGAAATTAAAATTTTTTTAAATCTGTTAAATCTATTTAAGAAAAAAAGGATAATGGAAGAATTCCTTTCATATTAAACTTATATTCCTTTTATATTGAACTTACAAACAGATATTTATTCAGGCATTGGATGAGTGATCTATGACCTTTGTTTTATAAGTTTAACCTGCTGGGCTCAAAGCTTTAAAAGTCCCGGAGGGCCTGAGGCAGTGGTGACATTTTCTGTGGTGGGGTGCTGGGCTTCATTGAAATGCACACATAAAACCTTGGAATGTGCGTGGACTGCTGGGGAGCAGAGGCTGGCCAGGCTGAGGGAGGGGGCCACACCACACAAAGGACACACAGTCACATTCCTCCCGGGCCACCCAGCAGCCTTGGTGGCTGCTTGCCATCTGGCAGTGCTCTCGGTATTTTCCTGGATTCCTTGGGGCAAAGGAAACATAGTGACCTGGCAGACTTGGCTCCTGGCTCAGTGGCAAGGCCAGAGCTGTAGAAGTGGTTTATGGAGGAGATTGCACTTAAAATATCACTCTAGCCCATCCTTCCCTGTCATCATACAAGTTAACCAGCATCCTGGGACAAGGCTAGGCATCCAGAGGGCCGGATGTGGGGAAGACTCTTGCAATGCCGTGTTTTAAGTCCATTGCTTCCAGGTGTGTGGCAGTGTCCTTTCCAGCCACTAGATTGGGAATGCAATGAGGGAAGGGAGTTGGGTGAAGAGTTTAGTTAATAAATATTGGGTACCTAATGAGGATTGTCTATGCCTCGAGCTGCCACGGGTTCCTTCTGAAGAGTGCTAGGGTTTCTCTGAAGAAGCCCAAGTCCCACATTGAACTAAGTGTCCTCTCTCTGCAGAGTGCTGTGCCAGCAGCTGGCAAGCAAGCATGTTTATGAGTTAGTGATCTTTTGATAAGAGCTCATTCCTGAAAGGCAAATGGAAACTTCCACCTAGAACTCAGGCCAGGTCAGGAGGTGAGAGTATGGAAAAATAACACCAAGTGCAGGCACAAAACTGGAGAAGACAAAATAGTAAGGGAGCTGCAATTGGGGAAGTTAAAAAGGGCCTCATGGTCAACAAATCAGAGACAAGAGAAGGACAAGTGACACTTTTGACACCTTTATACCTTCAGCAAAAGCTGATACTCTCAGAACCTAAAATAGCAGAGAAGTCAAATGTTTCATCTCATAAAAAAAAACGCTAAACTTAACCACAAAACTGTTTAAGATTATACCTTGTGAAATACAAAGTAAAAAGTTAGAATAGGGAAAAAAATCAGAATAGAATAAGGAAGGAAAGGCTAGAGTATTAATTAAGATAAATTAAAAATTTTAGATTTTAATTCAGTTTGTCCTAGCATTTTTAAGAAAACAAAGATGATTTTGGAGGGCATAACAAGTCATTCTAACTCATATCCCTGAAAATGTAGGAGAATAAATTATCCACATGGGAATAATGAGCATTTGGAAGCACATGTGGTGCTAGTTTCATTGTGCAAAACACGAAATACATTATACCAATGTCATATTCATTTATGGCAGGGAGACTAGTTAGATGAGGGAAGGCGTACATCTGAACTGGCTGATGTTCTCAAACATCCACGCTATTGGACATTCCCAAGAAGCTGGAAATGTACAATCTGAAATGAACGTGCTCCTTCCATGAGTTCAATAAAGGGCCAATGGATCTCACCTAAAAGGATGTTTTGCTCAGAATGAACTTGCTGGACATGCTTTGCCTATCACAGGGCTCTAATACCACGGAATTACAATAAGACCTCATTGTTTATATGAGGGGCCAAAGCATCAAATTCCTACAGGGGTCAGATAGGTGATCTAAAGGAACTAAGTGGTGCAGGCATGAATGTGGCCAGAGAGCAGGGTGGGTGGCCTGGCCACAGGGACAGCTGTTTGTTACTCCTCTCCAGCCAGCTCCCTGCACAGGGGTGATGCCATGCTGAGCCAGTGCCAAGTGGTCAGCTGAGTTTTCAAGAGGCCAGCTTTTCAGATTTTAGGGAAATCTGTAATTTTTAAACATCTGTTTTTAAACATCGAAGATATGGACGTGGGGCTACCAACGGCTTTAAACTTTAGAGTGAAAAAGATAGGTGAATGTTTGCTGGCTCGTTGGTGTGAAATGAAAGACATTTCTTAAAAAAAAGCAAGCCATTTTATGAAAAAAAAGTTTTTCTTTTATCATGGTCATTGTTTTATAATTTTAACAAGTTAAGGAACAAATATGTGGAGAGACTTATGATCTGCCAGCTTACTAATTACTCTTTTCTACTCTGAGCATTAGTCTGCCTTAGGTCTTTGTCATCTGCACGTGTCTAAACCCACATGATATACATTTACATGTACTTATACACATGTACAGGGATAAAAATTTCTCAATATGGTGGCTGGTACAGATCACTCAGCTTCCACCAAATGGAGCTTCTACCAAATGGAGCCAATCTTGGGGTTTTATTTGGAGGTTACAGGGGGCTGCAGAAGGAGGGGCCAGCGTGGGACAAGGGTTGTGTTTTAGGAAGGTCTCTCTGCATTGGCTTGTAGGACAAAGAGGAGGGAAGAGATACAGGAGCAGGGAAGGAGTTAGGCAGGTGTCTCTTGAAGTTGTTTCAACTAGAGGTGTTGAGACCAAGGCTAGGGATAAGGTATGATCAGAAAGGCCTTGATTCAAGCATTATGTATAATATAGAATAAGACAGCCTTTAGTAAGTGATTAGTGATGGGGGAACAAAGGAGTTCATGATGATTACGATATCCGAATTCTAAGAAACTGGCAATGGTGGTGGTGAGGAGAAGCAGTTGGTGAATAGTGGGTTCTCTGTGATCTGGGGTTGGCTTGGGACCTGCTGACTTATGCGTGAAGGGTTAAGTCTGGATATTGAGTTTGAGAATCATTCGCATCTCTGCATAGAGGTCAGAGTTGGAGCCAGGGGGCTGAATGAGATCCCTGAACAAATGGCAGAGACAAGAGACGAAGACCCAGGACCAGGATAAAGAATAAGGGGCAAAATGGAATCCAAGAGAGAGAGAAAAATTGTTAAGAAGGAGAAGACTAATAATCTCCCACTCAGCACCTGGCATCATGCACACATTCTCACAGAAGCCTCACGAAGGCCCAGGAAGAAGCATGATTATCTCAGTTTTGTAGATGAGGAAACAGGATTAAATGATGAGAAGGTGGCAAGGACGTGGGACCTTGGGACAGGCTGGGCTCCTTCTACAAGGTGGGCAGAGAAGGGAGTGGGAGAGAGAGCTTAGTGCATAAGAGCATATCAGAGTGAAAGCAAAGGGCATTTTTAAGGATGTCCTGGGGAGAATGTTTGTAAGCTGAGGAAAAAGATCAAAGGGAGAGGGAGAAACGGGCGATGAAAGCTGGAGATGGATTAATAATTGATAGGGCTGAGTTGCCAAGCAGGGGGCTGGAGCCAGGATCAAGATGGATCTTCCAAGTGACAGGAACCTGAAAGGAAGCTCTCATTGTACAGAGTACCTGAGCCCCAAGCAGTGGTGAGACATCACAGTAGGAGAGCTTCAGATGTGACGGGAGGCATCAGCTCTGGAAGCTGATGGCCACTTGCTATGGCATGACTACGAAGAGAAGTATTAACTGCTTATTTCCTCTTTATGTGAATATCTTCTATGGATCAGTCACGTTAATTCTCATGAATTATAGAACCTCAGCACAAATAAATTTAGCCTACATTCAATAGAGATTATTTTAATTAGCTTTCATTTTTTCCTAAGGAGGCCATGCCGTCCATTATTTGTTGCTATTACATATGAGTTGTGTGTGTGTGTGCGTGTGTGTTTTAGCTTCAATGAAGAGTAGATCTACATATCAAGGGCAAGGTTAGGAGGAATTAACTTGCTTTCATGCTTACATCATTATCAAGATAATGAGTAAAACATACATTATTGGGTTAAAGATCTTTCTGGAAAGAACTTGATATGGTAGGAAGAACTTGGGCTTTGGAGTTAATGGGTGCAAATCTGAGCTTCAGTATTTCCAAGTGGTGTGATTTTAGGCTAAAGGCATCACCCAACTTCATCTTCTCCAACTGCAGCGGAATGATTATACCTTACAAGGTTTTAATGATGATTAGAGATATGTAAAGAACACCCAGCACATGCCTTAATACATGGTATAAATAATGAAAATTATTATAATTACTAAATGAACTGAGGACTAAATATTTATAAAATACATCAGACCAACATGAGCACACATGTATATATATGTGTGTGTGTGTGTGGTTTATATGTGTGGATATGTATATATGTATATATGGAAGTATCCTTCCATTCTTTTGTCAATGGATGTGTGAATTGTTTCCAGTTTTATTCAATTACAAAGTATGCTACTATAAACATACTTTTTTTTTTTTGAGGCCGAGTCTCGCTCTGTTGTCCAGGCTGGAATACAATGGTGTGATCTCGGCTCACTGCAACTTCTGCCTCCCGGGTTCAAGCAATTCTTCTGCCTCAGCCTCCCAAGTAGCTGGGATTACAGGTGTGTACCACCATGCCCAGCTAATTTTTTGTATTTTTAGTACAGATGGGGTTTCACTATGTTGACCAGGCTAGTCTTGAACTCCTGACCTCAGGTGATCCACCTGCCTTGGCCTCCCAAAGTGCTGGGATTACAGGTGTGAGCCACCTCACCCGGCCTATAAACATTCTTATACATATTTTATAGTCATGTTTGCTACTCCTCTGGGGTTTCCATCTAGAAGCAGAAGTACTTACTATGTACATCATCACCTCTGCTAGGTAATGACAAGTTGTTTTCTAAACTGGTCGCGCTTACTTATGCTCCTGTTAGCAGTGTAGGACGCTGTCCAGTTTCTCTGCATCCCACCAAACCTTGGAAATGTCAGACTTTAAAAAGTTGGCCAAGCTCATGAATAGGAAATGTTTTTTAATTATTGTTTTCCCAATTACTGATCAGTTGAACATCTTTTCATATGCTTGCTGGCCTTTTAAGTTTTATCTTCTGTGAAATGCTTATTCATGCTTTTTGCTCATTTTTTTTTCTAGATTCATCTTTTTAAAAGGTATAAAGACACTGAGTTAGATATATACATATATTCATATATATATAAATACTTATATTTGTCAAAGTTCAAGAGTCAGTTCATACTAACATTAACTAATACTTTCATCTGTCAGAGAACTCAAGTTTTCTTGCTTGTACCTATTAGGTGCCTGTACCTAACAGGTACTGAATGATGAGTATTGAATGAATCAAATATGGAGAGAGGAACAAGTCTACCATTAAATATGTAAGACTAGCACATCAAGAATGACACCTTTCTAGGTCAGGTACCGAGCAAGACTGTTTTTCATGTTCTGTCCCCTAAGGGATGTGTGACCTGAACAACCTCTATAAAGAGCACATGGAGTGGAGTCAGCACCTTCCAACCTCTTGGGTTATTGTGACAGGGCCAGAGGGGAACCTATGACTTGCTGACCACCTACAGTGTTAGGAATCAGGTGCTCTCCATCCCTCACCCACAGACCCCAGGTTTCCTGATGTGTGGAATCACCCTGGCTGCTTCCCAAGCCTATACTCCTCAGGCCATTCTCATGGGTTTCTGATTCCACAGATTACACTTTGGTCTGGGAACCTGAATTTTGAACAAATGCTCCAGGTAATTCCTATACTTAGGTGCCTTTAAGAAACCCTGCCCAAGCCCTGTGCCTGGACTGAGATCGAGTAGTGAAGGTTCTTTGAGTGCTTTTCTTTTTACTCTTTGGCACAGATCTAGCTGGGAAGCAATGTCATTAAGGGGAAATAAGTTTGTTTGGTTTCACAAAACCAGCTAAGTTCCCTTCTCCAAGTTCTCAAGCCTGTGCCAGACAACTCTTGGCTCCCTCCAAACCGAAGCTTGTCTGGACCACCTGATCTCCTTGGTGTCCCTTCTGCCAAGTACAGTGATGTGTCTCAGGCCTGTAACTCAGAAGGTTCTACCTGGTCTTCCTCTCCACCCCTTCAAAGCTTCTCTGTTTACCACCTTGTGCCTGTTAGTCTGTGCTTCAGGCATGTTGATCTCTGCAAGCTGGGAATGTGCAACCATCCCTCTCACACCGGTCATTTTGCTTCTGCCATTTCCTGTCTTTTAAATGCCTCCTCCCACTTATCCTCCTTTGGCTAACTCATCTGAGGTGGGCCTGAGATTCTGCATTTCCAGCAAGCTTCCAGGTAATACAGGATGTTGCTAAGTCTGGAAACCACACTTTGTGCCAAAAGACACGATGACACAGAGCGTGCATCACCTGCTCCTCTTTTGTGCTCTTAGCACCGGGGCCGGCCTCTGCCATGCCTCTCACATTGTATCAGAATAACTGCCTTGTCTGTCCATATGTTTCTTGAGAACAGGAATTGTGCCTCGGTTATCTTTACATTTGCAGTGCCAACATGTAGGAGATGCTCAACAAATGACTGGAACAATCCAGACAGATTTTCGTCTGGCTGCATTTTGCTGTTGGTAACTGTTTCCCTATTGAGGACAATGGCTTGTTGCTTTTCCAGGTGGTGCCCTCTGGCCTGAAGGGCTGGTTCCACTTTCTATAATACCATGCAGTAGACCTTGCCAGGGGAGGAGCATGAGAGTTGGGGGTTAGTTTTGGCATAGGAAGAATTCAACTTTTTTTGTGTCTAATTTAGGTCAACATTAGCGGGTTTAAAATTAGCCCCAGATTCTGAATTTTCTTAGGATGGTTTGCTCACGCTTGTGAGCACATGTGCACACATTTCTTATGGACTAAGCCTGTGAGGTTTAATAATCTCTTCCTCTTCTAGCCCTGTTCTCCACGCAAGGGCCAGGAAGGTTGTTTTTTTTTTTTTTTTTTTTTGAGACGGAGTTTTACTCTTCTTGCCCAGGCTGGAGTGCAGTGGCATGATCTCGGCTCACTGCAACCTCTGCCTCCTGGGTTCAGGCAATTCTCCTGCCTCAGCCTCTCGAGTAGCTGGGATTACAGGCATGTGCCACCATGCCTGGCTAATTTTTGTATTTTTAGTAGAGATGGGGGTTTCATCATGTTGGCCAGGCTGGTCTCGAACTCCTGACCTCAAGTGATCCTCCCGCCTCGGCCTCCCATAGTGTGGGGATTGCAGGTGTGAGCCACTGCGCCCGGCCCATAGGAAGGTCTTTCTAAAATGCAAAGTTGGATTATGCCACTCATTTGGTGGCTTCCTCTCCTTTCAGAGAAAAATCCAACTCCCTAACATCAAGGCTTCTGAATAAGGTGCCTGCTGGACAGGTTTCCCCGGGCCAGTTCATGCATACTCCTGTTGTCTGTGAGTGCCCCCATTCACTCTCACAAGCTAGGATGATGAATGCTCTGATGGCCCCCACCTCTCCCCACAACCTCATGACTCACTTTTCAGCCAGGTTGCTTGGTTGTGAGAACATGCTCATACCAGTTGTCACGTCCCAGGTTGTACTCTGGCTGCTAATTCTCATGCAGGGGACCTTGTTACAAGCTCACTCTTGGATTTTTCTCTGGATGGTTATTCTATAATCTAGGATATATATCTACATTAACCCATAATTACTGTAAATCCTGTAAAACCCAGCAAGATTAAATAATGAACATACTGGTTTATGTTTTCCCTCAGTGCTTTTAGCAGAAATCTCTTAATGATAAGATTAATCTTTTAATGGACAGATGGGTGAGCCATTCCACTTGCAGGTGAGTAAACTGTAGCTAGCTGGGAGAAGAGGCTGCCAGTCTGCAATAGTTATTCTGCTTACAGGGTGTCATTGCCCTCTTCTCATCTACTTGTAAACTAGTTTTTCATACTAGTTGGAGCAGTAGCGCAGGACAATAAAACCAGTATGAGTTGCAAAGCCAGATAGAACTGGGTGAACCCCAGGCAGTTTCTTACTTCGTCTGAGAGTTGGTATTCACACCTGTAAAAATGAAAACAGTAAGACCTACTTTGTGTGGATAGTTATATGATTAATTGGGATCATTTGGAAATGTTAGGTTATGTACATCACAGATATATCTGTCTTCTTGTTTTTAAAGATGAAACCGTGTGAGTTATTTCTGTTTGGAAACTGTGGCAATGCTACAGATAGATTATTTGGTATATTTATCTGTGGGATTTTTTCTATTGTGATGCAATTTTCTGTTTTTAAGCTTGGAGAGCTTCTTTCTTCTTTTTCATTACTCTAAATATGTTGTACTAATGCAGCCACATTGAATTTTTGCACATGCCTGTTTCTCTTTAAGATACCATTGTGTCCGAATGTACAAGGGCTGCTCTTATCTTCTAGAAACACAGCTGCTTAAATTATACCGGGCAGGCTTTCTCTTAAGGAAATCTCCATTGCAGATAGTGTAGCGAAGATAGAGATTCAGTGGTCTGTATATTTTTGCTTCGAACCCTGAAATTTTTGAAAACCACATAGTGTAAGGGTGGAAGGGTAGACAAGGGAAAGTGATTCTGTATCGTCTAACATTCACTGTTTTATAGAACTGCAATTTGAATGTACAAGGTGCTCTTTGTGTAAGAGCAGGAGACATGTTTACCATTCAGCTCAAGGCCAGCGTTGAACAGGGTCATTGTGCCTCCTCCCTAGCCTCTCAGCAAGGGCCATGGCCACGACCGTCTGCATCCACCTGGAGCTTGTTAGAAATGCAGAGACTCAGGCCCCTCCCCAGACTACTCCATAAGAAGCTACATTTTAATAAGATCTTCAAGTGATTTAAAGGCACATTAACGTTCAAGAAGATTTACTCTTGACTGGCATGGTCCGATAGAACTTTCTGTGATGATAGAGATGTTCTGTATTTGCAACATCTGATAAGGTAGACACTAGCCATATGTGGCTGGGAACTTGAAACAGGGCTAGCAGAGCTCGGGGCCGCGGCTCATGCCTGTAATCCCAGCACTTTGGGAGGCAGCGGCAAGTGGATCACCTGAGGTCAGGAGTTTGAGACCAGCCTGGCCAACATGGTGAAACCCCAACTCTGCAAAAATACAAAAATTAGTTGGGCATGGTGACACAAGCCTGTAATTCCAGCTACGCAGGAGGCTGAGGCAGGAGAATCGCTTGAACCTGGCAGACGGAGGTTGCAGTGAGCTGAGATCACGCCACTGCACTCCAGCCTGAGCGATGCAAGCGAAACTCCATCTCAAAAAAAAAAAAAAAAAAAAAAAAAAAAGAAACAGGGCTAGTGCAACTAGGGAACTAAAGTTTAAATTAAAATTTAAATAGCTACATGTGGTTCGTGGCTACCAAATTGGGGCAGCACCATATGAGACTCTAGGAGGCTTTGCTTATAGGCTTTCTCCTGATGGCAGTGTTGGTGCCCCATCCCTGCCTGGAGGTAATCAGTCCTCCTTGCATGGCCCAGGGTTACCACCGCATGTTCTGGGGTCCTCATCTATGACTGTGGCTCTGTGCACAGTCCCTGGGATGAGTGCAAGAGCCTCAGCATTCCTGACACTCTTGCTTTCCTCTCTGGAGAATTTCAGCTGGTTGGCCTCAAAATTAGATAGGAAAATAAACTTAACAATGAAACACCTGCATTAAACAAATGCAAGACATTCAAAACTATCCTTGTGTAATTGTGTTATTATTCCACAACTTTCTGAAGATCAGAGTACATACTGCTCTACCTTGCTCCATCTATAATGTATATATCTTCAAAATATCGAAATTGGTGCTTTTTTATTGGCTTTACTCTTCTTTATATTACTCTGTCCCCATGGAGAACTCGAGTTCAAATAATTTTAGTTGCTGTTCCCTGAAGAGGCCTTGAGAAACTTTGGCTTCTAGGTCTTTGCTTAAGCATTCGTTCCCTGGCCTGGTGGCCTAAGCAATCCTCCATCGGAGGCTTCTGCTACCTAAACATCACCTTTGTTACTGTGATGGTTTAAGCAAGTTCTGTAACTTTAAGACTCCTTTATTTTTCGCCTCTTCATGCTGATCATCTCTAAACATTGTTCCAAACTTAAAATTCTTTTGATCAAATTTGGCAACACACAACACTTCCCAGCTGTTCCCTGGTGATACATGGCTAAGTGATGATGCAAACATCTGTTCTGGCTGGAGTCACTCTCATATTTTACCAAGCAGAGTTCTGTGATCATTTGTCCCTCCCTCCCACCATCTGATCCTGGGGTTCTGCTGAGGTGA
This sequence comes from Homo sapiens, assembly GCF_000001405.40. Taxonomy (NCBI): domain Eukaryota; kingdom Metazoa; phylum Chordata; class Mammalia; order Primates; family Hominidae; genus Homo; species Homo sapiens. The sequence continues at coordinate 83,422,608 of NC_000009.12, read as the reverse complement.
GGGAGATTGAAGAGCCATTTGGTGAAGGAAAATGAAGCTTGCTATGAGAGGAAAGAACGTTTATTCTAACATTAAACTATTTACTGACAAATGTCCATTTGCTTACACTTCAGAAATGTGTTTTCATCAGGTATAGCGGAGCTTGTCATCGCCTTATGTTTATTTTTGTCCTTAAATATTGCTGCTGATCAAGAGGCATCCACACTTAGACATAACCTAAGAGTGGGAAGGGGCTAGAGTGATCATTTCATCATATGGAGGAATGAAGAGCTTTCTGGGAATTGGTGGAAGAGTCAGGTTAGGAACTTGGATCTTTTGACTTATAGGTCTCTTGAGGGTCTTCAGGAGGCCCATGGGCCCCTGCGATTTTTTTGTTTTGTTTTTTTGAGACAGTCTCACTCTGCTGCCCAGGCTGGAGTGCAGTGGCACAATCTTGGCTCACTGCAGCCTCTGCCTCCCAGGATCCAGCGATTCTCCTGCCTCAGCCTCCCGAGTAGCTGGGATTACAGGCATGCACCACCACACCCAGCTAAATTTTGTATTTTTAGTCGAGACGGGGTTTCACCACGTTGGCCAGGCTGGTCTTGAACACCTGACCTCCGGTGATCCACTTGCCTCTGCCTCCCAAAGTGCTGGGATTACAGGCGTGAGCCACTGCACCTGGCTGGCCCCTAAAATTGCAGCAGTTTTGTGTGTATGTTCAGTGTAGAGAGAGTCCATTAGCATGTGTGAATTGCATGCTATCTATTCTTTTGAATTCCCCTGACTTTAGTGGTTAGTTTGACCTCCAACTCCTTACATTTAAGATAAGGCCTACAGAACATTTGCTGCATAATTATGCTACTCAGAAAAGTTAGATTTCCTGGGAAATAACTTTGTATCAAACCATTCTGCCATTGGCAACTGCTGGCTCCAGGGAGGAGAGGGCAAGAATGTTTACCTGACTGCCATCAGTTATTATAAGGGAAAATAACCCTCAGCTGCCATCTTATGAATCAGGGGATGGAAGGGCCATCTTCTTACTTGAAGTATGGCTCATTGCATGGTTTCTATGGGTTTTGGAGCCTGACGACCTATTCTGGGAGCTGTGCTCTGCTACCCCCTTTCTGTGTGACTGCTAGCAAATAATTTTTTCTGCATCTCAGTTTCTGCATATAAAAATATAAGGCTAATAATGCCTGTTTGCAAGGCCATGATGAGGATTCAATGCAAAAATGTGAATTGCAAGGCCATGATGAGGATTCAAGGCAAAAATGTGAATAGAGTGCAGGGCATACAGCACACCCTGTATACACGATTGCCTTAGTCTGGTTCCTGTTGCTATAAAGGAATACCTGAGGCTGGGTAATTTATGAAGAAAAGATGGCTCGGCCGGGCGCGGTGGCTCACGCCTGTAATCCCAGCACTTTGGGAGGCAGAGGCGGGCGGATCATGAGGTCAGGAGATCGAGACCATCCTGGCTAACACAGTGAAACCCCGCCTCTACTAAAAATACAAAAAATTAGCCGGGCGTGGTGGCGGGCGCCTGTAGTCCCAGCTACTCGGGAGGCTGAGGCAGGAGAATGGCGTGAACCTGGGAGGCGGAGCTTGCAGTGAGCCGAGATCGCGCCACTGCACTCCAGCCTGGGCGACAGAGCGAGACTCCGTCTCAAAAAAAAAAAAAAAAAAAAAGAAGAAAGAAAAAAGATGGCTCATGGTCTGTAGGCTGTACAGGAAGCATGGGACCAGTATTTGCTTCTGGTGAGGGCCTCAGGCTGCTTCCACTGACGGTGGAAAGTGAGAGGGAGCTGACATCACATGGTGAGACAGGAGGTGTGAGAGAGAGTGAAGGAGGTGCCGGGCTCTTTTTAACAATCAGATTTCACTGAAACTAACAGAGCAAGAACTCACTCATTATTGTTTACAAGGGATCTATCCCCATGACTCAAACATCTTCCACCAGGGCCCACCTCCAACACTGGGACTCATATTTCAACATGAGATCGGGAGGGTGAAATATCCAAACCATATCAATGATAATAAAAATTTTCATCACTCTCTGCCAACCATTTTAGAGCTGCTGAGGACCTGTGTCTTTCTAGATCCAAAGGTATCTTTTAGGTTTACTGTTGCCATTAGGAGAGGGGTGGGAATCACCATTCCTAGGAAAGCCTAGCACTGAGCTGATTTGGGAATGATCATGGGATATGTATATTTGTTAATCTGAATAATGTAGGAGGTATGAGTATAACTGTGTTTGTTTATAGTGTCTGATTCCTTGAAGTGTAAATCCTCTGACACCCACGTCCCTGAAGCCAACTGGTCCCCTTTTTGCTGTTCAGCCTTTTGAGGGAGTTCAGGATGATGTGGGGGATTATTCTCTTCTTCACTCACTTTCCCACTTTCTATCATCATCCATGAGGCTCTCCCATCTGCCTGCTAGAATCCCGTTTCTGCAGTAGAGTTTACAGGGTAACAGAGCACACGCTATTATAGGAAACTAAGTGCCAGCTGGACATATCATTTTGGGAACAGAGCCATGAAGGAACCATGTTTTTGGCAACTGCTGTCTGTTTTATAAAGAAAAATTGGAGATGTACATTTCCATCTTAGGCTACTGAGGAATCTTTACTTCCAGGCAACATGCAAGGTTTCTAGTCCGTGGTCTACCTGAGGTTGTTTTGTGGCATAGTTCAGCTCACTCTCCCACATCTCTGAAAGAGAATTGCCTCCAAGAGCTGTTGTAAAAGATGAATCTTTGCTTTAAAAGAATAATAATGACAATAATAACAACAACAATTGTAAAACAAACTCAGGTATAGAGTTAGGGTTGTTGATTTGGTTTTTGTTAGAATTAGGTGAACACAGAATAGAAGGTGTGCTTCCCAGCTCTTTCTTGTTCTGTACCCCAGTACATAGCACACACACACATCACACACACTCAACACACATAAACACACACACACTCAATACACATGAACACATATCACACACATTCAACGCACATGAACACACACATATCACACACGCAGCACACATGAACACATATCACACACATTCAACACACGTGAACACACACATATCACACACTCAGCACACATGAACACATATCACACACACTCAACACACATGAACACACACACTCTCAACACATGAACACACACACACACACACACACACTCTCTCACAGCAGCCCCTCAAGATCATGATGCCTATAATGACTTCTCCCCACCTAACTTGCTTTAGAGATTGGGGAACCATCATAATGCCTGATAAAACTGCTCCTAACAAATATTTTCTTTTTTTTATGGTTAATCTTATTTGGGCAAACCTTTAAAAAATTTTTTAATAGTTTTTGGGGTACAAGTGATTTTCGGTTATACAGATGAATTACATAGTGGTGAATTCTGAGATTTTAGTGCCCTGTAACTAGAGTAGTGTACATTGTACCAATATGTAGTTTTTAACCCCTGGCCCCCCTCCTACCCTTCCCCTTCCGAGTCTCTAAAGTCCATTATATCACTCTGTGTGCCTTTGTGTACTCATAGCTTAGCTCCCACTTACAAGTGAGAACATACGGTTTTTGATTTTCTACTCCTGTGTTACTTCACTTAGAATAATGGCCTCCAGCTCCATCCAAGTTGCTGCAAAAGACACTGTTTTCTTCCTTTTAATGGCTGAGTAGAATTCCATGGTGTATATATAAGAAAAACACATTTTATTTCTCCACTCATTAGTTGATGGGCACTTAGGTTGGTTCACAAAGGCTTCGCAATTGTGAACTGTGCAGCTATAAACATACATGTGCATGTCTTTTTCATATAATGACTTCTTTTCCTCTGGGTAGATACCCAGTAGTGGGATTGCTGGATCGAATGTTAGTTCTACTTTTAGTTCTTTAGGGAATTGTCACACTGTTTTCCATAGTGGTTGTACTAGTTTACATTCCCACCAGCAGTGTAACAGTGTTCCCTTTTCCCCATATTCACACCAAGATCTATTATTTTTTGACTTTTTAATAATGGCCATTCTTGCAGGAGTAAGGTAGTGGTATCTGATTGTGGTTTTAATCTGCATTCCCTGATGATTAGTGATGTTGAGCATTTTTTTCATACGTTTACTGGCTGTTTGCATATCTTCTTTTGAACAATGTCTATTCATAATATTTGCCCACTTTTTAATGGGATTATTTGTTTTTTTCTTGGTGATCTATTTGAGTTCCTTATAGATTCTGGACACTAGTCCTTCATTGGATACATAGTTTGCAATTTTCTCCCTTTCTGTGGGTTGTCTGTTTACTCTGCTGATTATTTCTTTTTCTGTGCAGAAGCTTTTTAGTTTAACTAGGTCCCATTTATTTATTTTTATTTTTGTTGCATTTGCTTTTGGGGTCTTAGTCATGAATTCTTTGCCGAGGTTGATGTCTAGAAGAGTTTTTCCAACACTGTCTGGCTTTTATCCCTTAGCTTCGTGAATATGTCCCCTTCTTTCTAATTTGAAATATCCCCCCCACCCCAGTGTCTCTCCCCCTTCTCCAGCGATTTTACTGGCTGCTCACTCCTTCCTTTCCCTGGCAAGCTCTTCAAAAGCACGGTGTTCACTTAATATCTCCCATTCATTTCTCAGTCATCTTCAACCTAGTTTCTCCCCATGTCAAATTATTAATGTAACTTCTCTAGGAAGCAGTGGTCACCAGATGTCCCTAACTGCCAGATCTAATGCATGCTTGCTGGCCTTATTTTTATTTACCTCTTTGTAATGTGAACACTATGACCCTTCTTGGAACTTCCTTCACTCCTCTCTTCCTTGGTTTTCTATATGTCTTGGTCTTCTTCCCCTGAACATTCCTTAAATGTTGGTGTTCCCCTGGGCATCCCACAGAAGATTCTTAAAATAATTTATGCACTTTCTTTGCAACATTTTATTCAGTCCATGGCTTCAGCTTGCTGACTCCCAGATTTGTGTTTCCATTCTAAATTTCTTCCTGGAGCTTCACATCTGTATATGTAAATGTCTGCTAGACACCTCCTCTTGGATATCTGCAGGCACTTCCAGGTAAGGGGTGCAAAGTCAGACTCACTGTTTTCACTCTCTATAGAACTGTTTCCATATAGGAAACATAGGAAAATATAGGACTAGCTTAGTAATTTTCAAGCTATGAGTCATCACTCATTAGTGAGTCTGGAAATAATTTAGAGGGTTGTGATAGCATTAAAACAAACAAGCAAATAAACAAAAAATAACACACACATAGACACACACATACAGGTGAGTTTACATTAGAATATAAGCTCCCTGAGAGCAGGCATGGTTTACTCTTTTATTTTGTTTACTGTTTTATTTTTAGCACCTAGAACAGTGCTTGGCACATATACTGGATCAACATATATTTGCTGAAAGAATGAATGTGTACTCATTTGGGAGGTAAAATGTATATCCTACTGTGGGTTGTGGTCAAGAAAGCTGTTGGACCAAAAGCTAATGATATTTTCAACTCAAAAAATTATAAATATATGATTGTGTTATATTTTTCAATGCTCTATTGTTCAAGTTTACTGGTGGTTAAGGTCTACGGCAGGACTCTTGATATTTTTGCTTGCGTGGTGAACATTGGAGAGGCCTGGGTGAAAGGAGAAAGGAGTGGAATTTGGTGAATGTGGTTGGGAATAAGCAGTGGGCTAGATGAAACAGTGTGCTCAGATGGATGCATGTGGACTCACTGTTGAGATGACTGGCTTAGCACAATATTGAGTTTGTGATGTGAAGCAACATAGTGAACACTATTCCTGCTGCTGGCCAGCCAGCTTTCAGAGAGAGTGAAAGAGTAAGAGAGAGAGAGAGTGAGAGAGAGAGAGAGAGAGAGAGAGAGAGAGAGAGAGAGAGACAGAGAGAAATGTTTTAGGGACATCCTGTAGTCTCTTTGTATCACAAGTGGACTTACTATAAAGCTGGCTGAATTAGAGAGGATGGCAGACTTAAGGCCAGGTGGTCCCAATGGAGAAGTCAAAGAAAGGAAGTCACATGAAGTTGCTTATTTATTTAGCATACATTTAGCCTATTAGGTGCCAAGCCCCTTTGCTGAGTTGTAAGGATATTTTCTGAACAAGACAGATAAGATCCCTGTTCACATGAGTCTTTGTTCTAGTGGGAGAGACAATAGGCAAATAAACTGATAAATATACGAGGTTATTATTTCAGATGCAGAGAAGGCCACTGCATAGAACAGCTTGGTTTTGATTTGTGCCATAATACAGAGAGGTTTGTAATAGGAAGCAAGTGAGTATTCAGTGTCCCAGCTCACCTTGTAGATGGAGGCTTGTGAAACGCAAGAATCCATAAGTGTGCTTCTTGATTGACACTTTTAAAACCTTTTAAGAAAATCAATGTAGACAACATCTTGGATCCTGCACTAATGGAAACCGTGGTTGAGAACTGAGTAAGGGTGAGTGACAAAGTGGAGAGAGTTGGCTCATGGCAATGGGCAGGGCAGCTCTGGAAGTGTGCTGTGCTGGAGGAGAAAGGAGAGGAGAGGCTGAAGGTCCCTTACAGGCTGTTCAGACCAAGAAGTACCTGTTGAAGAGGAGATTTACTTGCTATTTCTAGGGGAACATAACCTTTCCCAAGTGCCCAGATGCTGGTTCTGAAGGGAGTTTGTGGAGCAAGAAGAAGCCACATCATTTACTACTAAGGATGTCTAATTCACTTTTGGACAGGAGTCAGCACCATGTCCAATCAATAGAAAACAAATTATGCAGGGCATTATCTTGGTTGGATATAGGATAATGAACCACTACCTTTTCCTGTCTTCCTTCTGCTTCACAAATTACATATAAAAGGCTAATATAATGTCTCTGAAGAATTTCCTTTCTCGGCTGGGCGCAGTGGCTCACGCCTGTAATCCCAGCAATTTGGGAGGCCGAGGCAGGTGGATCACAAGGTCAGGAGACCGAGACCATCCTGGCTAACACAGTGAAACTCTGTCTCTAGTAAAAATCCAAAAAAAAAAAAAAAAAAAGAAAATTAGTCAGTCGTGGTGGTGGGCACCTGTAGTCCCAGCTACTCTGGAGGCTGAAGCAGGAGTATGGTGTGAACCCAGGAGGTGGAACTTGGAGTGAGCCGAGATCGCGCCACTGCACTCCAGCCTGGGTGACAGAGTGAGACTCTGTCTCAAAAAAAAAAAAAAAAAAGAATTTCCTTTCTCGGTCTCAGGAACATAGTTTTACTGGTTGTGGTACTTGTTCACTTATCTATTTCCTGCGTATTTTAAAAGGGATTCCAGGCAGCTTGCAATGGTGTTCCAGATCTCTTCCATTTGCTCCTCCAGAGCCACTCTCTGCCTTCTCTGCCCCAGATGGCTGACCTGATGGATGGCATTGAATAAGAGCTACCTTGTCCTTTGGCTTTCAGTCGGGTTCAACAATGGAAGCCCCAGCAAGGAGATCACAGGGAAGAGAGAGTGAGGCCTGAGTATTTCTCCCCTGGCTCCCCTGACCTGTGAGGTTGCCTCAGGCTGATTTTATTCCTGGCCCAGTGATCACTCCTCCAGAGGTAGCTTCTCTGCCTGACCCTCTCCAATGGGTTCCAGTACTGCCCCCATCCCATTGCACCTGGCTATTGAGGGGACTGACATTTCTGTTGCTTCTCATCTGGTTCTTGATCACCTCTGGTGGTTCCCCTCCATTTAACTCAGACCTTTATAAACAGTCCCTTTGGAAAGAAAACTTTCTTGAATTATTCTAAGTTGCACACACTGTCTTCCTTCTGTTGGGACTCTGGCAGATACAAATATCAAAACATACAACAAGGAGATAAAAACCATTAAACAAATCAGGAGGCATGAAGATACAGAACTAGAAATTGAGAGAGCTGTGACCATGATATTTGTGTAGTAAAAGGTACACACATTTATCAGCCAATTGGATAGCTATCTTTTGTGAACTACCTGTTCAAGTCTTTTGCTCATTTTTAAATTGGGTTGTTTGTCTTTCTGCTTATGTGTAGGAGTTTAAAAAAATATATATCCTGGACATGAGTCTTTTGTCAGATAAAAGTATTGCAAATATCTCTCCCCAGCTTGTAGCTTGGTTCTTCACTACCTTAATGATATTCTTTGTTTAACAGACATGATAATTTTAATTAAGTCCATTTTATCATTTTTTTTCTTATATAGTTAGTGCTTTCTGTGTTCCGTTTAAGGAATCCCTGTCTACTCCAAACTCATGATGATGTACTCTTATATTTTCTTCCAGTTTAATTGTTTTACCTTTCACATTGATGTCGATGATCTATCTTGGATTGATTTTTTTAAAAACAGCTTGATTGAAGTTTAATTTACATACCATTAAATTTACTCATTTAAGAATACAATTCAGTGATTTCCCAGTAAATTTACAGAGTTGTGCAACCATCTCGCCAATCTAATTTTAGAACATTTCCATCACCCAGGGAAAATAAACCTTGTGCCCATTTGCAGTCATTCCCCCTTCCTTTGCCCAGCCCCAGGCAACCACTAATCTACTTTCTGTCTCTATAGATTTGCCTCTCGAATTCGTGTGTGTGTGTGTGTGTTGCGTGAATTTTATTTGAACACAAGTGTTAACTCTAAGCTTTCTGGAAGCTGAAGCAAAAAGGGAATTTCAACACTTTGTATGGTCTCCCGGCTGGTTCCTGCTAGGACTACAATTCTATCATTTCTTGGAATAATTATTTGTATTCTTATAACATTGGGTAATATAATAGACAATGCCTGGCTACATTCTGGCAAGAGATATATAAATCTCTAATAGTTTTCTTTCTGTTGCTTCTTGCTAAGAGTTAAGAAATTATTTGTCATCTAGTTGAGTCTGTCATCTAGTTGAGATTAGTGAAGGCAGTTTTGTAAAAAGCTACAATATTAAGATTTATGCCCATGGATTTCTGATGATCTAAATTAATACAGTGGAAGAACATAAGAAAGCTACAGAATGGGCAGGCAGCATGGTTCTGTTAAATACCATGAATCTCAAGTGGGCTTTTGGCGAGTCCAGATTACAGTAATTTTCACAGTTGGATTCTCTGATGGGTGAGTGCCCAAAGTGCTGAAAAGCGATTATCCTTACTAAAAGTAGGATCCATGTGCTGTGTCTAGCCACCAGCCATACAGGTGAAAGAACTGACATATTGTTGTGACATTCAGGGGCCCGGGTGCATCCTTGTATTTCTGCCCATCTATGGCTGGCACATGACTCCCTCGTGTATGGATGCTGGGGGACAGTGAGAAGAGCCAACATGCCCCACTGACAGGACCTTCCATTCTGCTCAGGCACTTGGAAAAATAGACAGCTGATGGTTCTTTAGATTCTACACCATAAAGTTTGAGAGAAAATGATTTGGTGAGCCTACCTGATTTTGAGAGAGTGGTTACCACTTGGCCATCTCAAAAGATGAATTTAAACTTTGATGTACTTACAGGATCAGTTAACTTCAAAATATAGTTCAACATAGCAGAACGAATTGACTTGCTGGATAGAGTTACCTGTAGCCCACTAAATAGTGAAGAATATCTTCCAAATGCAATTATTTTATTAGAACCATATTTTTTTCTTTTTCTTATCTTTCTTTTCTGTTTTCTTTCTTTCTCTCCTTTTTTTATTTTTTTTGACAGAGTCTCACTCTGTTGCCCAGGCTAAATGCAGTGGCATGATCTCGGCTCACTGCAACCTCCATCTCCCGGGTTCGAGCGATTCTCCTGTCTCAGCCTCCTGAGTAGCTGGGATTACAGGTGTGTGCCACCATGCCCGGCTAATTTTTGTATTTTTGGTAGAGATGAGGTTTCACCATGTTGGCCAGACTGGTCTCGAACTCCTGACCTCAGGTTATCCACCCGCCTCTGCCTCCCAAAATGCTGGGATTACAGGCGTGAGCCACCGTGCCCGGCCAGGACCATATTTTGATGCAGAATTTTTAAAGCATCCTTTAGTCAACAATTTCAGCTGCTCACAAAGGCTACTCCTCTGGTTGGTTGCGGCAAAAGCCGTATCACTGGCATAAGGAAAGTTGCCCTTCTGTTTGTCTTAATAGTATTATAGTGGAATAGTATCCAGTTTATCCAAAAGTTATGTTAATTAAATGTTTTAAAAAGACTTTGATGCATTACTAGTGGAAGTGTAAATTTGTACAGCCACTATAGAAAATTATCTGGCAATATCTTCTGTAAAGAAACTCATACTATATATCTTAAAAATTCCACTTCTAGGCATATACCTAGTAGAAATACTTATATATGTTCACCAAAGGTATGTACAAATATGTTGTTAGCAGCTTTATTTGCAGTTACTAAAAACTGGAAACTACCCCACAGTAGAATGGACAAATGGACTGTATATTTATACAATGGTAATGCTACACAGCAATAATGTGACTAAATGACTGTTCACACAACAACACGTATGAATAGCAGAAATTATTTTAAACTAAAGAAGCAGGACACAAAGAGAACAACACTGTTGTTGATATTTAAGTGAAGGATTCCATTCAGTTAAATATCAGAAACAGGCAAAACTGTTTGATGACAAAAATCACAGTATGGGTACCTTCTGGGGAGGTAATAACTGAAAGGGATGGATGGTTTGTCTACTTTGCTGCCTGAATAATATAATTCCTTAAAAACAAGATGGGCAGCTAGAACATTTCTGCCTTATGTGTTGAGAATTATCTGATAAAAGTCCAATTCTATGCAGACTGATCCCAGAAATGGTGCAAATTTCGAAGAATCATGAATAACCAGAAATAAACTGTGAATGGATAGTTTGGCTCACTGGGACTTTCTGTGTATAAACTCAAAGTTTAACACAGATGAATGAATGAGGTGAAAAATTGCATACTTCAAAAATTTTCAGTCCTTTTCGATGAGATGAAATAATATATAATAGTGAACAGTAGTGAAATAGTTCTATCACTGCTTACTTCTCATCGAAGTTATTAAATGAAGAGACTCGGGTTTGTAGCCCCCACCCCACTACCACTGACAAGCAAGGGGGAATCCCCACTCCACTCACCTAGACAATTAGACACTCTAGTTTTACAAAGGAGTATCCAGCAGAGTCATGGTCTATGCTTTTGAGGACCTCCTCCCTTCTTTCTTCCCCCAAGGGATGGGTAGATAATACTTCAAACCATTGTTAGGGTGAACCAAGAGGTGGGACAGTCCTTCTTTAGAGTGAATCAGTTGGTGTGGATTGAGCTAAAACAATAGAATCTCCCCTCCTTTTCTCTCTAGCTATTGTCTCTCCACATCAGTAAGGACTGACTTACACATTAAGATATTTCAGAAGTTAGTTCAAGATGAGGATGAATACATTTTCATAGGGAAAATAGGCTAGCACCAAGAAGGTGAACTTCTAATATATTAACTGAAATTATATAGTTAGCCCCAACTTATCTACTCCCAAATGACTTTATGAAATGCCTGGGACAGGAAATGGCCTGCAGCCTTAGGCACAGAAGGAAATGGTCTGTTTAATACGCCACGTCTCTAAGGGGCAGGTGATGTTCCAGCCCTAGAGAAAGGTGAGAGATGAGGATCTTCGCTCTTGCCCCAAACATTCTGCGGCACTCTGGGAAGGAACTCTGTCATTCAGAGTCATGTCCCAAAACACCCTGAGGGACAGCAAAATGTACCATTTGCCTCTGAGGTACAGGGATGAGTGATTTCAGTTACTAAGCAACTCACCCTTCTGAGCTGGCCTGGCCTCATTCTGGTCTGTAGTTGAGGTGAGCCGGGACGAGTCAGAGCAAATATGTTGCTTTTAGAAAGAGAATTTAGGAGGTCAAAAACAACAGATGCTGGTGAGGCTGCAGAGAAAAGGGAACACTTATACACTGTTTCATGAGAATGTAAATTAGTTCAGCTGCGGTAGAAAGCAGTTTGGAGATTTCTTAAAGAACTTAAAACAGAACTACCATTCAACCCAGCAATCCCATTACTGGGTATGTATCCAAAAGAAAATAAATTATTCTACCAAAAAGACCCATAGACTTGTATGTTCATCACAGCACTATTCTCACAATAGCAAAGACATGGAATCAACCCAGGTGACCATCAGTGGTGGAGCGGATAAAGAAAATGTGGTACCTATACACAGTGGAATACTATTCAGTCATAAAAAATGAAATCATGTTCCTTGTGGCAACATGGGTGCAACTGGAGGCCATTATCTTAATAGAATTAATGCAGGAACAGAAAACCAAATTCTGCATGTTCGCATGTATAAGTGGCAGGTAAACATTGAGTACTTATGGACAGAATGATGGCAACAATGAAACTGGGGACTACTGTGGGGGAGGGAGGGACAAGGGCAAGGGTTGAAAAACTACTTATTGGGTACTATACTCAGTACCTGGGTGATGGGATCAGTCATACCCCAAACCTCAGCATCATGCGGTATTCCCGGGTAACAAACCCAGAATCTAAAATAAATGTGGAAATCATTTTTAAAAGTAAATTAATTAATTTAAAAAGAGAGAATTTAGGGTTTCCTGGTTCTTCCATGTGTGAAAGGAAGGATATTGCTAAAAAGCAGTAAGACACAGGGATGATTTTGCCCCTTGTCTGATGAAAGCAAGATTAGGAGTCGTCTGACCTGGAGGAAAGGCTGCTGGTAGAAATGGCATTGAGGGCTGGGCATGCATGTATCTGTCCATCAGTTTCACACTTGATCCAGGGAATGCTCAGGAAAACTGTGACAGACCGGTTGGTTGGAAAACGGAAGAGCTTATTGAAAAAGAAGTGTTCTCAGAGTATGCACACCAATGTTTGAGGACCAGTGACTTGGTGGAAAAGAGCAGAAGCTTTAAAGAGGCACAGAAGAGAGTTCATGTCCTGGGTCCAGCTCTTATTTGTTGCTTGAGCATACATTTTCCCATCTGCAAAGTGGGAATAATAATCTTACTATCTACCAGAGAGACTGTATTAACGAGCTAATATATGTAAATGGCTCAGCACAGTGTCTGGCACATAATATGTGCTAAAAATGTTTGCTCTTATTAAGAAATTTGGGTGGTTGTAATCATACACAAGCATTTGCTGTGGCCAATTTCCTCTGAAGAGTCTCACATTCTTTTTCAAAAGTTTTTGTCCATCCTCTGAACTAACGTGGGGAAAAGCTAGTCAAGGTTTCCCTGTGCTGATGGAGTGGTTTTTTGTTTGTTTGTTTTTGATGGAAGGCAGAAGTTGGGTTACAAGGCAGAGAGCCTCATCTGGAGAGCAATTAGGAGCTTAATAAATAAAAGACCAGTTTGATAAATGCTAGAAGGGAACTTGAAAGTTAAGGACGGGAAGAGTGGGGAGCTGATCCCATTTTTGAACAGTAACATGCAATATTGAGAGCGAGCATTCAGTTCAATGCGCCTGGCTTCCTTCTTGTCCTGAGTTTGATACTGTGTGCTTTTAACATCTTCATGAGCCTTCTGCATCACATCCCACCTCAAATGGGGCTGCATTCTGGGAACCTGGTGGAGAAAAGGTTGACCTCCATGCCTGGGGATGGACAACCTTTGCTTTCCCGAGTATGCTGCTGACCTGCATGGAACTGATTCTTTGGGGGCAATAGAGAGGTGTATGTAATTTATCGCAGCATTCTTTGAGCTGCCTGGGTAGACTTTCAGGACAATGGATTGCACACTATGTTGGCTCTGGCAGGGTTGCTGCTCTCTTCCTTCTCGCCTCTTTCTCAGGAGGGAATGGGAAATCCATTTCCAAATTGAGCTGTGTGTGGTCTCCCCACCATCTTCCCTGCACCTGAATGGTTAATCTTCCAGTTCACGTGTTTCTGCATGGATTGTGTCCGAGGGTGCCTGTGGTAGCAGCTTAACTCTGCTCTGGTAATTAGTGATGAAAGGAGAGGATGCAGAAGGCTCAACCTGAGAGGCAGAATGACTTCACTGAAGAGTCAAGTCAGAAGAAATAAAATTTAGGGGTTGACACCAAGGTCAGTTCCCAAACCCAGGCTGGAAGAGATACAGTAATCTATTTTCCATAAATCAACCTAGTTTTCATATCAAGCCCCTTTCCCCCTGGGGTAGCTGGAAACATTTTCATGTGTCTTTTCTGAACTTTCCCCCACCTGGGGGTTGTGCCTAGTTTCTGGAGTCTCACTGGGTGCCAAGAAATGGGAGGGAGGCATGTTCATTATTGGCTAGATGTCCACATCAGCCTGACCCTTGGGCCCAGTGGGGGTTCTTAGGACATGACAACCTGGTGAGGGCAGAAAGCCCCATGTTTGTGATATTTTTTTTTTCCTAGATAGACCATATTTTTCCTCCCGAATATCCTTGTGCCAACACAGAGCACATCCAGGGAGCAAGCTTGGTTCATACAGCTTGTTCCTTTCTTCGTTTTAATCTGAAAGAAGAATCTTTTATTCCCCTGTGGCACATTAAATAAAGATAGCCATACATTCTTTGCTTTCATCTCGTTGAGAGGACATGTTTAATTCCCTTTCCCTTGAATCCAGGTTGGCCATAGTGACTCACTTGTAATCAGTAGAATGCAGTGGAAGTGACAATGTGTGAAAAGCAACCTCTGCCTGGACCCTTTGGGAATGCTCATCTTGCAGGAGGCTGGCTGCTGATGGAGAAGTCTGGCTTCCTGGAGACTGCCATGGTGTAAGGAAGCCCAAGCTAGCTACACACATGGAGAGCTGCATGGAGAGAAAGAGAAAGAGAAAGGGGAGGGAGAGAGAAAGATGAGAGAGAGAGAGAGAGAGAGAGAGAAAGATGAGAGAGAGAGAGAGAGAGAGAGAGAGAGAGAGAGACTCAACAACCCCCCTCCTCTGCTGGCCAGACCAGTCTAGGCACCAGACATGTGAGTGAAGAAATCTTCAGTTGCTTCCACATCAGACTCCAGTAATATAGAGGAACCCAGACAAGATCCATCCAGTTGAGCTCAGTCAATACAAAGAACTGTGAGAGAATACTTATTGGTTTTTGCTCCTATGTTTTAGAGTGGCTTGTTACACAGGAACAGATAACTAGAACACTTCTCATATTCTATTCTCAGTGGATTTAGACATATGAAAACAAAATCCAAGAGGTCTCACCAGCTACTAATTTTCATTCTGCTACATATAGCCTCCAAGGAGGGTAGGGATTGTGGAGCCGAATGCCTTTTTAAAGTGGGAGTGGAGGCTGGGGGAAATACAGAGATTAAAAATTCCCTAAGTTATATCTACACAATTTTCTCCCATAATTTAGACTTCTAGTAGTATGCAATTCCACCATTATATCCTTGTTGGGGTTGGCCATTTTTAGAATTTTTGGATTTGGGAAGTGGATAGGTAAAAATGGTGCTTTGTTATGGTTTAATGAATATTTGTACCAAGTATTTACTGTGTGTACAAATTATCCTGTAAAGTACAATGAAAAACTTGATGAAAAATAAGTTCACTTGAGAAAAGGAAGCTTAAGATAAGTGATGAAACTGGAATTACACCATCATGAGAAATGACCGTGACAGTATTTCATCCATTTCCAAATGAGGTCAGAGGACAGAAAGGTCAGCGAGGGTGTGGGGAGTCTGTGAGGCCTCTCATGCAGAAGCAGGATCTGCAGCGAACTCTCTGCCAGGATCAGGTGAACACATCAGTGACAAAATTTTGATAGGTGGTGAGAAGG
This sequence comes from Homo sapiens, assembly GCF_000001405.40. Classification (NCBI taxonomy): domain Eukaryota; kingdom Metazoa; phylum Chordata; class Mammalia; order Primates; family Hominidae; genus Homo; species Homo sapiens. The sequence goes on along the minus strand of NC_000009.12, from coordinate 83,406,978 downwards.
GCTTTATTCACACAGGGGAATGGCAAGAGTGAAACCAACCATGGTGGTGGGGCATTTTGCGGAGTATTTGGAGTGATAAAATAAACTGGAGGAAAATATGGAAAATAAATTAAACAGAAAACAACAACAGGAACAACAACAAAATAAAACCCAGCAACTTGAAGAAGAGATACATACAGTTTACATTTCTGGATTTCTCTGCTCTCTTCTATGGGCTGTGTCCTCACCGATGCTGGCTAACATTTACTGACCACCAAATAAGGACCCGTTGACAACATGTCAATTGCCCAATGGCAAGGAACCAACTCTCTGAGATGATGCATATAACTTGGGGGAGCAGCACTCGTGGGTTGAAAGTTACGTTCTGATCTGGGAGGGTTATCATCAGGACCTTGTCTTGACTCACAAGAGAAAAAGCCATCCTTCCTTCCTTTCCTGAGCTCTTTAAAATTAACCAGTGAGTTACCTGTGGGAACTTTCCTCCATCCTAAGAGCCCTAGCTGGAATCTTTGGGCTGCTGTTTTTCTTTGTGTGCACAAAGCATATATGTATAAGTTCTGCAGTGGAGACCCGGAGTAAGGCTACCCAACTGGTCCTCCAGACACTGCAGTTCATTGTGAGGAATTCCTTGGCTCTAGTAGCCTTTGACTTTTCTCCTTCTCATCTTCTAACTTGTGGCCATGATGATGGGAAGAAAAGATTGGGAGGCCCTTCACAGAAGGAGATGGGAACTAGGAGGTGTGGGTGGACGGAGGGAGGGGAAAGCAGGGAAGATTGGTGTTAGTGACTGGAGGCAGAAGACTCAGAGGACTACTTTCTGTGCTCTGTGAGATCCGAAGACTCCTGCAGCTCCTTAGCAATGCTGTTTATCTGCTTTCTGATTTCCAACCCCAGCTGCCTTGCATTAGTGGCACAGCCAAATTCTCAGTATGTATGCTAGGGGGCAGTAGGAAGGGAGAATGGAATGTGATAGAATTGCTGGAAAAAAAAAAGAAATTGCCTATGTGAAATGAAACACAAGTTACTGTTTGCTTTAATCTGTGACCGAGTAAAATTGGCAGAATTTTCGTCAGGACGGAAAGTAAGAACCAATTATGCAGCTCAGCCCTACTCCAACAAACTGTCAAACTAAAAACCTCTGCCAGCTCTGGTCCCACCCTCACTGCAGGCATGGGCTTGGAGGGAGATGATGGACACTTTCTTTCTTTTTTTTTTTTTGACTGAGTTTCGCTCTTGTTGCCGAGGCTGGAGTGCAATGGCGCGATCTTGGCTCACCACAAGATCGGGTTCAAGCAATTCTCCTGCCTCAGCCTCCCAAGTAGCTGAGATTACAGGCATGTGCCACCATGCCCGGCTAATTTTTTTTTTTTTGCATTTTTAGTGGAGATGGGGTTTCTTCATGTTGGTCAGGCTGGTCTCGAACTCCCAACCTCAGGTGATCTACCTGCCTCGGCCTCCCAAAGTGCTGGGATTACAGGTGTGAGCCACTGTGCCCAGCTCTATGGATACTTTCAATCCTTCTCTCTGTATCCCAGAACCGCTCCTTCCTCATCCCATGATGCAACTTTTAGGGGACCCAGCTGATTGGGTTCAGATGTAAGTGGATCACTGTAAGCCCTGGGACAAAGCCAGGGTGGCGCTCTGCTAACATGGCATTGTGGAAACCCAGAACTGCCTCAGCTTGGGTCTGAGGCGGAGCTTCACCATTATCCAGTGCAGCCCACTGTTGCACACCTGGGCACTGGGAGGCCCAGAGAGGTTAATACATTGCCAAGGGCTATCAGTTGGCAGAGGCAGGGGACTCTACCATGCACTTGTGCTTAAAACTGCTGGGGTAATGTTTTAAAGGGGCCTCTACAAGGGGTCCCCGAAATGGAACTTTAAGATCAGAGATGGTCGGTCTTCACTCAGCCCATCGTCTCTTCCTTCTCTGCTCTCCAAAATGAAAAGGAAGCAGTACTTCTAGATAACATGAGAACTGGAATTCTGGTTTGTGAGTCTTAAGGATACCTCTAGTCCATCAGCCCTTGGGAATATAGGCTGTGTCCCTTCAGAGAGTAAACCAGTGTCCTGTGCCGTGAAAAAGAAACACATTACCTTTACACTGATAAGCAACCCAATGCTTGTTGTTTGTAGGAAAGCTAGAAAACGCAAATAAAAAGGCACAAAGCAAAAACTAAAAATAACTTAACTCTTAACTCTCACAAATATCCCCATCAACATTTAGCTTTTTAGCCTTCAAATCTTTACTTTTTGTCTGCATGTATATGTATGTATGTGTGTGTACATATAAATATACACACAAACATAAAACGTCTGAGTTTTACAAAAATGGTTTATTCTGTCTATTTTTTTTCATTTTATATTTGTCTTAAATGTATGTAACTTCTTACGAGTGCATCCCTGAGAGGGGCTCTGATTTTACACCCATTTTTAGCATGCATTTCTGCACATTCTTGTGGGTTTATGCAGTTCCATCAGGCTCTGCCATGATGCATTTCTAAACAATGGGTGAAAATGTTCTTTAGAAATAAAGAGCTGGTAGATTGGATGTGATATTTTCCTTCCTTCAGGAAGCTGCTGTCTGCCTCAAAGAGTTAAAAAAAAGGCAGAGGATGCTTAAAGAAGAAAGCTGGCTTGTAATAGCTGATAATGGCGATTAAAATTCACATCAATCTTCCTCTACATTTTTAGTTTCATAAAAATGAAACACCCTCAGCTTGAGTTGCTGTGTAGTCAGAAGAGATGTAAATATAACCAAGATGTTTTTCCTCCTTAGTGACTAATCGCTTGAAGAAAGGGGTAGGTGTGATAGCCGGGGAGCCCAGCCTACATCTTCCAGTCTTTAAATATTTGTGACAAATCGTTCTTGTGTGCGTGCCTGCTTGTGTGTGTGTGTGTGTGTGTGTGCGTGTGTATGCAGGAATTCCCACTGCACACAGAGCAGTTGTTTTAGGAATTCCAGGAGCTGTGTGGGTCACAGGCCTGCTAATTGCCTGACTACTGGGAACCTTCGGGTATGACACTATTGAAATGAGACATTAGACCTTCACAGGGTGGAGCTGTGGGCCATGCTGGGCTGGAAGTAAGGAGTAGGGTTTGAGAGGGGAAAAAAAGTAGCTTGGAGGAATTAGCAATAAAGGTGGGTGGAAGTCTTACATTTCTAGAAGGTCATTCGACCAAATAAGGCTGGTGCTAGGGTTGTTGGAAGGGTAAATGACATAATCTCTGTGCAGCACTTAGCACAGGCCCTCATTTATAGTTAGTGCTCAGTAATTTGCAGCTGTTATTCCTATTATTGTTATGGCCTCTGTCATATTACTTATGTGAAGTACACTAGACTGTAATTTCCTGTGGTGTGGCTGTGTCGAGCCACATGTATACCAATGAAGTGGAAGACATTCTGGAGCTAACTCCGTCTTCTCGTGGGGTCTCCTCTCTTCCTGCTCAGCCTGTTATACTCCCAGCCTCTCAACCTTCTCAGGATCCTACCTAGGCAAGCTACACCAAGTATAACTGAGATATGCTTTGAAGCACTGCAGAAGCCCCTTTAAAACATTATCCCAGCAGTTTCAAGCACACATGCGTGTTCGAGCCACCTTCTGCCTGTCTCCCATTTCTCTTTCCTCCCGTTTCTCTCTCCCAGAGAGGAAAGATGATTTCTTATTGCAAAAAATGCTACCATTAGGGAAGTTAGGGATGTGGAGAGAAAAGATAGTGCCTTATGGGTTTGGCCTGGGGGAGGGAATTTGGAGTTTTTGACAATTGAGAGTCTTGCTGAGCGTGGTGGCTCACGCCTGTAAGTCCAGCACTTTGGGAGGCTGAGGCAGGCGAATCACCTGAGGTCAGGAGTTCGAGACCAGCCTGGCCAATATGATGAAACCCCGTCTCTACTAAAAATACAAAAATTATCTGGGCATGGTAGCGGGTGCCTGTAATCTCAGCTACTCAGGAGGCTAAGACAGGAGAATCGCTTGAACCCGGGAGGCGGAGGTTGCAGTGAGCCAAGATCGCGCCATTGTACTACAGCCTGGGCAACAGAGTGAAACTCCATCTCAAAAAAAAAAAAAAAAAAAAAAAGAAAGAAAGAAGGAAAATTGAGAGTCTCTGTAGAATCTCAAGGCTATGAGAAAATTTGAATTGGCTAAAGAGCTTTTGGGGAGTGTTACTGTGGTTTAGACCGTAGGCTCTCTTTAATGTTTCTTGAAAACTAATAATGAAGATTTGAATTTCTTTTCAAGTATTTTTGCTACTGACCTGTTTCTCTTTAAAAATGTGTCTGAGCCCTGCTGAGGCTGATACATGTGGACTTCCATGGTTATATTAAGGCTGCATGTATATAATCTCCTTCTCTTATCTTCATTTCTCTGCCCTTTTTTAGTTTTCCTTTCTTATTAGCCTTGCATGAGGACATTTTCCCCCTACCCCAGCAAAGCCTAGCTAACTGTGTAAATGGTAATGCATTTCTAAATTTCTCCATAAACTATTCATCCATCCACTCTTGGTTAGGCTGCTTGGCCCCATCATCCTAGTGGGGCCAAGAGCTGTATTGTCAGATGATTCTCAGAAACTGGAGAATCCCTCAGCCCAAGGCTCTTGACAGACAGAGTGTGCAGAGGTTCTATGCTTAATTGGAGCCACAGGTTGGTTAGTTTGTTTTCCTTGACTGTTGAGTTCAGGGTAGCCATCTCGTATGCAATTTCAGGAGGAATTCTGTCTTCCTTGTTAGGCTCCTGGGGCGTTAAGAATTCCACAAGCAGAAACCATCTCTTTGCTCTCTGGGTGTGAATGTCAGCTCCTAATTGACTGTTGCTGTATTTTTCTTGGAGCTGTATACTCACAAATCATTTAAAAAATATGAGCCACAAGCAATTCCAATTAGACCATGAACTCTAAACTCATGGAATGCCTTAAAATGCACATAATAGTTTAAGATTTATTATAGAAATGCCTGAGGCATATTTGTATTGATTTTAAAATGGGTGACAATATTATTTTAGGTGCATATTTAAAAAACAGTCTTGTGGAGGGCCAATCCAGCTTGCTATGCTAATTAAACCCAGTGTTGGACTGAGCCCTAGTGTGATCGCTATTAGGATTATTTGTAAGCATTCTTTATTTCATCCTTTTAGGCACATGATGAAATTTTACTTTCTTACCTCTCTGAAGTTAGGCAAGATATGTATCTTATTTTGGCCAATAAACCGAAGTGATGCATGTCACTTCCAGGCAGAATGTTTAGAAGCTGGTGTGGGACTCACCACATTCCTTTCCTGCTGCTGTGTTGACTGTTGAAACAGCTGTTAAGAGGAATCCTTAATCCCTTCACATCTCAAAGAGATTAGGAGCAGAATTCTCCCCTGCTAATATTCATTGGCTGTGCATACTAAGTGAGAAATAAACCTCTGTGGTGTTAACTCACTGACCTTTTGGAATTCTTTGTTACTGCAGCTTAATCTAGCCTATCCTGACTGATATATCTTGGCTCCAGCTCTTGATTTGAAATCTTAATTCCAGCACTAATTTGTATTATTTCATCTAAAATTCTCTGGGTCTCAGTTTCCCCATTTCTGAGATGAAGAGTTTGGATAAGATTATCTCTATAGTACCTTCCAACTCCAACATTCTGTGATTCTACTTTTAAAAATCTGAACATTGTACTGCTCGCTAACGGTTAATAATTCTAGTCTTTTCTTTCTGGACTCTGAGAGACCTGAGTTCAAACCTGGCATTTTGCCATTTGCTTGCCATGTGACCTTGGTCAAGTTATTCAGCCACCCTAAGTTTTATCTTCCTCTTCTTGAAAATGGGAACGCAATTAGCTCCTGGGGCTTACGTGGATGAAATCCAATGAATAGTTGAGGTAATCTAAATATAGTACATAGAACCAGGCACTAAGGAAGTTCTAAGTGAATGCTTGTTAATTAGGAATCTGAGAAGAAGAGGAGGTGATGCTAGCATCTCCTGATGTGGCTCAAGGAGATGGTGAATCCCAGAGAGTTTGGCCTTTCTGTTTCACAAGGCTTGTTAGAGAAGCAAATATTCCAGATCACAGACTATACTAAGAAAAAGAAGCAGATATTAAATGAAGATGTACTTAAGTTCAGGAAGCATTGATTAATAAAGATAGCTCATTTCTGAAAGCACTTTGCTTAAAATCTTGTCTCAGCTACTGTGGTCAGGATAACTTAAAAATATATATTTTATCCTTTGGGGACTTTTTGTCAGAAATCAGTTGACTATATTTGTGTGAGTCTATTTCTGGGTTCTCTATTGTGTTTCATTTTTCTATTTGCCTATTATTTTGCTAATACCACATTGCCTTCATCACTGTAACTTTATAGTAAGTCTTGAAGCTGGGTAGCATCAGTCCTCTGACATTGTTTGTCATCAATACTGTGTTGGCCACTCTAAATCTTTTGCCTTTTCACAAAACATCAGAATCTGACTGTCAATATCCCACTGGGATTTTGATGGAGCTTGCATTGAATCTATAGAATAAATTGAAAAGAACTGACATCTTGACAATATTGAGTTTTTCTATTCTGTTCATGGGTACTAGAATATCCATTTATTTAGATCTTTTATTTCTTTCATCCAAATTTTGGTAGTTTTCCTGATATAGATTTTGTACATATTTTGTTAGAGTTATCCCTAAGTATTTCATTTTTTGGGGTGCTAATATAAATGGTCTTTTGTTTTTAATTTCAACTTTCAATTGTTCATTGCTGGTCTATAGGAAAACAATTTATTTTTGTATGTTAGCTTTATGTCCTGCAACATTGCATTTATTAGTTTATTAATTCTAGGAGTGGGTTTTTTTGGTAGATTCTTTGATATTTTTTACATAGACAATGAGAACATCTGATGTCATCTGCAGACAAAGAAATTTTTATTTCTTCCTTCCCAATCTGCATACCTTTTTCTTTTCTTTTCTCTCTTCTCCTCTCCTGTCTTTTCTTTTCTCTTCTTTTTTCTTTCTTGTCTTGTGTTACTGCATTAGCTAGGACTTCCAGTATGGTGTTGAAAAGAAGTGGTAAGAGAGGACATCTTTGCCTTGTTCCCTGTTTTAAGGGAAACACATCTAGTTTCTCACTATTAAGTATGATGTTAGCTGTATAGTTTTAATAGACATTCTTTATCAAGTTGAGGAAGTTATTTATTTCTTTTTAACAATTTTAAAATGTGGTAGACGTTCTTTATCAAGTTGAGGAAGTTATTTATTTCTTTTTAACAATTAAAAAATGTGGTTATAATAACCAAATATAGCAGTCCCAGGTTTAAATATTTACTCTGCCAGTTTCTAGCTCTGTTGACTTTGGATAAGTTAATTAGCTTCTTTGAGCCTTAGCCTTAGCATGAAGAAAAAAACTCACTTTGTTAAAATCATAGAAAAGATTCAACTTGTAAAATGTCTAGATTATTCTGATGTGAGTGCTTTGAAGAGCTGGACCTGGCACGAAAATCTGGAACAAGAAGAAGAAAAAGATGGAGAAGAAAGAACCTTTTGAGCACAGGCTGTGGCAAAAACTGCTAAGAAGAGCTGACAAATCAAATATGATTCCCTGAGCATTGGGATGGACCTGTGTGCCAGTCAGAACAGAAATGACCGAATGACTAGGAACAGATACACAAGGCATCTTTTAGAATGAAAGCCACAGTACGCAGTAGAGGTAATGGAGGCAGAAAACACCCAGAAGAGAAACAAAAAGAGGCAAACGTTACTAACTCCAAGCTACCTTGACTGATTATTCAACTGTGACACTCCTTCAGAAGACACTGTTTAGGATTCAGATGAAAAACTGACCAACGTATTCTGGCTGCTTCATCTTCTCCTGGATGCACTATTTCTTTGTCTTTCTTCCTTAGGACCCTTTTGACTTCTCTAGCTTTAATACTATTAAGCCTCTTGCTGTGATGTTGACTGTATGTCTATCTTCTCATAGTGTGTAGGGGCTACCATGGGCATTAGATAAGCAGTTGGGTTTTCATTCTCTACCATTGGGCCTGGCTGGGTAAGGTGGCTGTTTGTGTCTTGCCTTTGTTTTTGTATCCAGTGCTCACTTTCAGGCAACTATTGATTTTGTTTCCCTCATGGGTAGCTGGCCCTGGTATTGTTTTTGTTGTTATTTTCTGTTTTTTAGGTCACTACTATAGTCATAATCCTCCACCAACTTATGAATACTTACTGGGCACAAAAACGCCTTTAATAAAATTTGCCTGTATTTGCAATTATCTTAGCTTTAGCTACTAATTATTACTCTAAAACAGATATGTATTCAGAATTACATATTTCTTTCTTCTTTTAAAAATTTTATTATTATTATACTTTAAGTTTTAGGGTACATGTGCACAACGTGCAGGTTTGTTATGTATGTATACATGTGCCATGTTGGTGTGCTGCACCCATTAACTCGTCATTTAGCATTAGGCATATTTCATTTTTCCCAAATCTTGGGTTTATCTTCCATACATTTGAAAATATTTGGATAACACAAATCAAAGAAACTTTTAATTTCTGTGTGAGAACCACAGATTCAACCATGAGAGGTTCCTCTATTCTTGTTTTTCTTTACATTTATCTCCCATTTAAATAGCTTTAATATTTCTCTCATATTCTTGGGATGATGTAATTTTCTGAATATATATCACAGCGTAATATCTAATACTAGTTACTGTTTGCAATAGGAAGAATGCCAGTTACTGTTTGTAATAGTACCAGTTACTGTTAACAAAGCAATATATTACTTGCTGTTTAATAAAGGTTTTCTTATTAAAGAGATGCAGTTTTTGTTAAAGCTGTGGTCCCTAACATAACAAAATGTGTGAATTTACACAAATAGGCTTGAGTTTTTTTATAGCAGAATATTAACAGAGCACTTTTATGTTGTTCAATCAAGCTACAATCTTTCTTATATTAATAAATGCTTGTCCTTGACAATAAAAGCAGAACTATTTAGTTCACCAGTTTCTCATTACTATTCTGTATTCATCTGCCTATGAAGGTAAATGAATCAAGGCCCTTAATTCACCAGAGAAATGTATCCATCTGTCCCTAGAAGACATAATCCTAGCAGCAAACTGAGCATTTAGTTGCTGTTAAGGGCCTTGTAATTGGTTTGAAGCTCCTCATGGAGTTTCTGGGCATTCAGATGATTGGATTCTTCCTTCCAGGTAGAAGAATCACCAGAGACAATTCTGTTCTTTCCCAGATGTACATTTATGAAGGCTGTCCCTTCTCAAAAGCAACTTCTGCAGGCATAAGGTGCCAAGCAACAGAGCCCTTTGAACAAGAACCTCACAACCCTCATAATTAGGAAATGAGGCCTCACAGCTCCCACTTCTGTTTATCATAGAGGGGTCCTGGAGGAACAGTGCCAACCCCAGAGCAAACTGTTCCCACCATCCTGGGGCTGTGCTTCCAACTCCTCTGGCCCTTGCCTGCTTCCCTCATTCCAGCGAGCCTCTCCCATGTCTCTGTTCTGTATTAAGTTTTTCTTCCTCCATTGTGTCCTAGGACCCCAGTTGTTGGGCAGCTTTAGAGGGCAGCCCAAAGCTGTGTCCGCTGAGGATGTTTCCTGGCTCTGAGGATGTACTTCCAAGGAAAGCTCTTTCAAGGATCGCTTTCTGAGACCTCTGTTATTGCCTCAGATTAGGGATTGTAAACTCAAATACCTCCAGTGATCAGGGAATTGAGGGAAATGGAAGAAGCGGAAGACAACAGGGAAGGCGGAAATGTGGTGGACTGCAGAGTTCATTTTTCAGGGAAAGGAGAAGCCAACCAGACCTTTACGGTCCAGCTTCCACACCCTCCAGCTTTTCAAGGGCAGCTAGCATCCAGATTTTATGTGCAGTCTCCCCATTCAAAAACACCAAAACGCTATGCTGACTGATAGAACACAGCAGTCAATGGACTCTGCTCCTGGGCTCATCAGTCAGCCATGATCAGCTCAGTTAACACTATGCTGACTGAATAGAACACAGCAGAACAAAGAGTAGAGTCAATGGACTGCTCCCGGGCTCATCAGTCAGCCATCTCTGCAACTGTGTTTCACACCAGCATTACTGTTCTCTCTTAGCTCTTCTTGGCCTGAGGCATTGATTTACCTTCTCTCCGGAGTGAAAATGTTGGGTGCAACAAACAGAAAAGCCAATCTGTACTTGCTGAAATAATAAGGAATTTCATGGGCATCTCCAAGGAAATTCACATTAACTGATTGACAGTTTGCAGACACAGGCTCCATTTCTCTGTGAATATTTCGGCTTCATCCTCAATCCCACTGCACCTCTGTGTATGGTCCAGAGGGAAGGGCAAGTCTCTTCTCGAAGCTCTTTCAGAAGAGTAAATAAGAATTATCCCAGAAGCCCTCGTAAAGTATTCCTCATGTCTCATTGGCCTAAGCTGGGTCATGTGTCCTTTCCTGAACCAATCAGACAAGAGAGGTGGGGTTACCCTCATACCAACCAAGCTAGAGCCCTCAGATGCGATTGGGTCATAGTTCCTTGAGGCTTATGCCTGTACCATGTGTGTGCGTGCATGTGTGTACACGCATGTGCATACCTGAGGAAAATCTGGGTTCCTTTAAGAAAGATAAAGGGATGTATGGTTGCTAAGCAGTTAACCAATGAAGTCTATTATAATGTGCTTTGTATTTTATAAAACTGCCTTTTCCCAGCCTGGTGTTGTTGTGGGTAACCCAGTGCTCCTTCCTGCCAGTGTCCAAATTCTAGTAATTGGAGAACTTGACATTGCTTCCAAATCCTCATATTGTTGTTTTCCTCTCTCTCCACATAGAGAATGGGGACACATAGGCCAACTGAGTTCCTAGAACAGATTCAGCATAGGTGTCAGACCTCGGTTTGACAGCCCTGTAAACAAACACAGAATTTCTGAGTTCATTTTTCCTCATCTGTAACATGAGGAGAATATTAACTACCCCAATGGGTTGTCAAGAGATCAAATGCAAAATATGTAGCAAAGTTCTTGATATACAGTAAGTGTTAAATGAATAGTAGTTCTTATTACTATGTTCATACCTTCATCCCTAAAGGTAGCTATCCAAACTCTAAACTTGTTTAGCAATATATTCAGTATTTTGGGGTTGGTACTGTTTTTTCCACTTAACCAATGTCTAAAAGGCTGAACAAAACCTCGCTTGGAGTTTTAGGAATTGGGGACTGAAATCTGCCAGACTTTTTTTTTTTTTTAATTGAAGAAAAGCTATTGCTGACTTGGGCAATTGATTTCTTTGCTCTTTTTCTTTAAGCACAAATTTATTGTTGTTTTAATTTTACTGCTGAACTTGGGAGTTGAAGTAAATGCATCATCAGCAGTTGGCTGCAGAGAATCAAGGAAAGTTATCCTTAGCAAACTAAAGCAGGAACAGAAAACCAAATACCACCTGTTCTCACTTATAAGTGGGAGCTAAATGATGAGAACACATGGACACAAAGAGGGGAACAACAGACATGGAAACTTGTTGGGGGTGGAGAGTGGGAGGAGGGAGAGGATCAGAAAAAATTACTAATGGGTACTAGGCTTAATACCTGGGTGATGAGATAATCTGTACAACAAACCCCCATGACACAAGTTTACCTGTATAACGAACCTGCACATGTACCCATGAACGTAAAATAAAACTCAAATGAATAAAAAAAAGAATTGAGTTCTTTGTCTTTTTGTTCCCTTTTTTTTTTTTTTTTAAATCTATAGAGGACAGTTCTGGGAGGCAAATACTATTCCACTTAACTTCCTTATATCTAAAAGGATCTGTAAAATTGAGACAAAGATTTAAGATTAAGATTATTCTTAATATTATTAATAATGACATCTAACATTGGTATAATACTTTGCAGTTTACAAAATTCATTCACATTTTACAAAGGGCAGGATTTTAAGATCTGTGAGATGATAAATTTCTAGGTTTCACTCTTTGCTTATTTATAATCCCTATCTCAATGCCTGGTGCATAATAGGTGTTTAATAGATACATGAATGAGCCTTAGAATATCTAATTGGGGATACATCTGGAAGTTACCATCATTATTCTCCCATTATGGAAGGAGAAACAGTCTCAGAGGAATTTGGTGACTTTCTTAAGGCCACTTAGCTGATGAGTGGTGAAAACAAGATTAGAACACAGTGGCATCTTCTGTTTTCCTAGTACATACTTTGGGGTGGGGAGGAGAGGTGGACTTTTCTGACAAGTAGGCTAGTTTGTGATTGTAAAAATTAGGTTCCATAGGGTGTAAAGGGGTAAATCCAACCCGTTCTGTGAGAGAATGATAAGCTCTCCTGACATCTGTGTTTGGTGGGACTTACTACTGACTCTGGTCCACTCAGCAGCCTTTGAAGAGAAGGTACTGTGGGCATCAGAAGAAACAAAATCATCATATTACAAACAACAACAGTATATAGCTGTCATTTATTGAGCAGCTACTGTGTGTCCAACAAGATATTTACAAACATTGTCTTTAATACACAGGTTACCCATTAAAGACTGCATTATGTAGAGTTTACAGACCAGGAGATAGAGATTCAGAGTAACTAAATACTTTTTTTCACTCTCTCAAAAGGGTTAGCCCACTCTTACCCAGCCATCCCTAATCAGACATGTGATTGTTTCACACAAATTCTTTTGAAATAGATCCTAGTTTGCCATATCAGTGAGTCTGTAGCCCAGGGAGAGAATTTGCCTTTTGAGATGCCCAGAATTATGCCAAGTATCCTGCCATACCCAGGAGACTAACACTTTCCACCCTGAGGGAAGATGAGATTATTGCAGGGGGTTCAGCAATCCAACGCACACTAAAAATTGTCTGAAAAATGGGCAGAGAAGGTGAGAGAGAGGACACAACCCCTTTTACACTTTGGGGCTTGTGGACTAAAGAAATCCCAAACAGAACCCCCAAGCCTGGTGGCACAGTTTAGATCAGAGAGTCTCAAACTCTCAAACTCTCTGTGGGGAGACACAAGTACTAGATTTTTATTCCTCCAGTCTACTTTGGACCAATATTTGTAAAAAAAAACAACAACAACAAAAAAAAACAAAATCAAAAACACACACACAATAGAATTAAATTGATCTTAATTTCTGCACTTGTTTTTTGGAGTAGGGGATCCAATCCCCGGGCCTCAGAACTGAGCTGCATAGCAGTAGGTGAGCTGCGGGCAAGCAAGAAGCTTCATCTGTATTTACAGCTGCTCCCCATCCCTCGCAGTACTACCTGAGCTCCACCTCCTGTCAGATCAGCGGCAGCATTAGATTCTCATGGGAGTGCAAAGCTATTGTGAGCTGTGCAGGTGAGAGATCTAGGCTGCACACTCCTTATGAGAATCTAATGCCTGATGATCTGTCACTGTCTCCCACCACCCCCAGTTAGTTGCAGGAAAACAAGCTCAGGGCTCCCACCGCGTCTACATTATGGTAAATTGTATAATTATTTCCTTATATATTACAATATAATAATAATAGAAATAAAGTGCACAATAAATGTTAGGTGCCTGAATCATCCTGAAACCATCCCACCACCCTGTCGTTGGAAAAATTATCTTCCGTGAAACTGGTCCCTGGTTCCAAAAAGGATGGTGACTGCTGTCTTGGAGGACCAGTCATGCACTGTTCATGTTCTGGCATAGTCCATGGGTCACATCTTGGCTAGCATTGGCTTATAGATTTTAACACATTAAAAATATTGCAATTGTCTTCACATTATTTTAGTACAGTATTTATAAAAAGAATCAAGTCACAGTGTACTATAGATAATAAGGACCAGTATTGAGACACAAGTTAAGTTGTGTAGTTGAACAAATTCTTTCAACCCTGTCAGTGCATTTCTGAGACCATACAACCTCATTTAGAGACAGCATCAAAAGTCTATACTTATGCACATATGGATTTTAAGCACAGATTATCAAATCCTACTGATCTTTGTATTAGACCCTGCTCACGCATTTATATCTTACTACTTTTCACATGTATTAAATACTGTTGTGATTAATAAAACATAATTTAGGTAACAGCTCTGAAGAATTTAAATTAGCTGCTTGATTTTTTTTTCTCTGCTCAATCAGTACTGCACGTAGAGCTGCTATCCTGTGGGAGAATCAACAAAAGTCTGACATTAAAAAGAAATCCTTTTACTTGAAATCTTTGATAACCACTTCTGCACACAGACCTTGAGAGAGATGCATGAAAGTTGGCCAATTCCACTACATTTGTGGAACTGCCAATACCAGGATGCTATTGTCTCGCCCGGGGCTCTCTGTTAGTGCTGTGCGGGCTTGTGGAAAGTGCTTCCTTCTGTTCCCAGACCTCATGTTTTCCATGAGAAAAAAGGAAAGACTTCTTATTCATCTGGTAACATCCAGCATGCCAGGCACTGGTTTAGGCCGCAGGGAAGGAACCTCTATCTTCAGGAGGTTCAGGAGGAAGCATGTGGAAGGTTCAGGTCATAACCACTGTTTACTCCCCAGTCTCTCTTCTGATGTGAGGTATATGGGCAGTAGCTGGACTTCTGCCCCTCATGCACCTGACTCCTGAACCAGCTCTTCCAACCTTTGGTACTGGGCGTATGCAGGCTTTTGTTTAGTGCAAGAACTGAGCTTAAGGGACAAAAATGACAACAGTGGGAACTTAAATGGCTTACAGACTTCGGATTTCCAGGCGAAGAATGTGGGACTGTAAGCTGACTTCCTTGGCACCAAGCAGTGAGACATGGAGGGTCTCAGGGTGGTGAGGCTTGCTGGGCAACGTGCAGAGGCCAGGGCAGAACTGCAAAGGGCTATTGATGTCTCCTGACAATGGCAGAGGCAGCTTGTGTACCCAAGGCAGGAAAGGACTGATTTTTCTGAGTTAAGGAAGAGACAATTCTCAAGGAAAAGGGGCTTTTTTTTTTTTCTTTGTGGTGGTCCCTGGAGAAAGGAAAATTTTGTGCTTTTCCCATGTTGTGGAAATCCTCCTGGACCAATGCTTCTCAAACTTCAATGTGCATGCGAATTAACTGGGGATTTTGCCAAAATGCAGACCAGGTGCAGCAGGGCTAGAGCAGTGCCTGAGATTCTGTCTCCAACAGGCTCCCTCCTGGGTGAGACTGAGGCTGCTGCTCTGTGATAGTGTTGATCTGTAGGCTATACCTTCAGTAGCAAAGACCTAGAATCCACCTGGTGGTCTGGAACCATGGGAATTGGCCTGACCTGGTTTTTGGAAGGCATTGGCCCCTGTTTCAGCCACGGTTGCCTGCTCTAATCACTGCGTTGTCTGCAGCAGCATTTTCTTCTCTCAAGGGTCTTCAGTAGTCAATGGAGATCTTGCTGGAGGGTGTATATTGGTTGCTGTGTTTAATCCTTAAAAAAAATCTTTGTTGTGCTGTTGAGTACATCTTCTTTAGGGCAAAATGACAGCAGTATCTGTCATGAACAATCAAGGCCTGCTCAATCCCATATTATTACAATGCACTGCCTTGACCCACATATCTGGAATATGGTAGGGAATACTTCCCTATAGTACATCCTAATGAAGAGGGCTTTGCCATTCAATCATAAAATGATGAGCTCCTATGTTATGTTTGGTGAGGGGATAATGCTGCAACCTTTTAAAGATGATTGGATTACAGAGTATATGTGTAAAAGGAACTAAAGCCAATGATTATTTTCTGGGCATTGAATTCAGCTGTTAGGTATAGCTTTGTCATTTGAGACTCCTGGATTAAAAAACAATTACAGACATTTAAAAACAAATTCCATTTTTATGTTTTGTCTCTTTTGAGCTATATCAGATGGTTTCTCAGGAAGGAAGTTAAAAACTTGAAGCTTATTCAAAATCAAACTCAAAAGTGATTTCAGGAAAATGGAGGTTTCATATCACACTATGTGCTTATAAACCCCCGTCCTTCACTCAGTGCAGCGCATCCCAGGCTTTTTGGAAGGCATTGACCCCTGTTTCAGCCACGCTTGCATTGTCTAATCACTGCATTGTCTGCAGCAGCATTTTTTTCTCTCAAGGTCTTGAGTAGTCAATGGAGATCTTGCTGGAGGGTGTGGCTTTCCCATCCAACTTCCTGAGTTAATGGTAGTGGTCTTTAATGAAAAGATCATTATGTAACATAGACCAAACTGATCTTTCAAAATTATTTTTAGTGGATTGAAAAAGTAGCTCACTTAATGCCTCTAATTTCTTCATATATTTTAATAGGTCACATCTCTAAAACATTTCATGGGTCTGTCAGCGACTTTGATTGAAGCAGAAATTAATCTTATCAGATATCCTGATGAGGGCTTAGAAGGGTCTTTGCTCTGAAGAGATTTTTGTTGTAGTGGTATTTATGTTAATCAGATTTGGCTGTTACATCTTTCACTTGTAGAATTTTAGAAGGAAAAATAACCTAACTAACTTAGAAATAATCTAGTCCAACCACCTTATTTTACCGAAGTAGAAACAGCTAGGGGTTTACCCAAGGTCACACAGGCCTGTCTTTGGATCTTAGTCCTGGGCTCCCCTGAATCTCCCACACTGCCTTTCTGTGTTGGTTTATGGAAGGGATGCAGTGGCTCTGAGGACCAAGGAAGCAGGTTCCCTACCATTCCCGCTGAGAGCCAGGGAATTTAGTTACCACTCACAGCATTGCCACTCTCACCAGATGCTGCCTCCTGGCAGAGCTGCAGTGGACTCGTGATTGCTCCAGGGGGTCAAAGTGGCTTGGAAGGAGCCCACATACTGCAGCCAGTTGGCCTGGCTCAAATCCTGTCCTGCTCCATTCAAGTTGTGTGACTTTGGGCAAGTCACTGAACCTCTTTGTGGCTCAGTTTCCTCCGATATAAAATGAGAACCTTCCTGGTAGGATCATTGTGAGAACTGGATGAATGAATATGTACCGAGGAATTAGAAAAAGCAGTTAGGCCGTTGTATGTGTTACATGAGAGTTTCCAAATTGTGGACCTCCACAAGTTACTGTGTTGTGAAATTAGTACTCTGAGTCATAAATAGCATTAGACAAATTAAATGGCATATGGATTATTTTGACTGCTCTTTTTGGGGTCCTTTTGGTTCCGTGTGTGTGTGTGTGTTTGTGTGTGTGTAATGGCTCATGATGTAAAATGTATTTATCATTGAGGATTTGTGGTTAAAAGAGTTTGGAAGCCCCTTCTTCAGGGACTGGAGTGAGCACATTTATTTTTCAGAACATAGACCCATGGTGGTGAACAAGGCTCCCTGAGGACGTGAATGCACAAGGTGAGCTCTGGCTGAGACTTAAATGTGCTTCCTTTGCAGAGGGAAACCAAAGGGCAGTTTCTCATTGACCACATCTGCAACTACTACAGCCTGCTGGAGAAGGACTACTTTGGCATTCGCTATGTGGACCCAGAGAAGCAAAGGGTAAGAGCTGATTTCTATCTGGAGCCATTTTCAGGGAGTGACCCAGACTGTGGTGCACTGTGGGGGTTCCTCTCAAAGCCCTAGTGATGCCCTTGTTCTCATAGATTATTGGGCACATGAAACCCTGTGTGAGCAGAAGAGGCTGGCATTGTCCTCACTGGACTGGGTGGAGCAAGAGAAGGGAAAAGTTACCCTAGGCCTTTCCAGAAGGCTGCTCCCATCTGCTTAGAAGAGAGAATGTCCCTGTGCCCTTTGAACCCAGGGTTTCCCAAAGTCCCTCAAACAATGGCTACATAAAATTTCACTATGGAGAATATCACCCCTGCTCAACCCCACTCACTGTAAAAAGCTATTGAGGCTGGGCTCTGTGGCTCACATCTGTAATCCCAGCACTTTGGGAGGCCTAGATGAATGGACCACTTGAACCCAGGAGTTCAAGACCAGTGCTGGCAACATGGCAAAACTCCACCTCTACAAAAAATACAAAAATTAGCTGGGCATGGTGGCATGTGCCTGTCATCACAGCTACTTGGGAGGCTGAGGTGGGGCAGAATAGCTTGAGCCTGGGAGGTCAAGGCTGCAGTGATCTGTGATGGGGCTACTACACTCCAGCCTGGGTTACAGAGCAAGATCCTGTCTCAAAAAAAAAAAAAAAAAAAAAGCTATTGGTAGGAAGAGTAATTGAGAAATAACTGCTTAATGGGTATAGGGTTTTCTTTTCGAGGGATGAACATGTTTGAAACTTCATATTGATGGTGGTTGCCACCAAAATGTGCATTTTAAAGTGGTTAATTTCGTTATGTGAATTTCACCTCAGTTTTTTTCAACAAAGTTTTGACAGATGAAAGGTTTAAGTCACTTCAGAAGCAGCTCCTTGGGCACAACTAAACTTGAAAGCCCCTGTTTTATTCTTGCTCCTGGAGACACCTACCCTTTTTGGTATCTGTTGGTGGGGAAGAGTGAGCAGGAGTCTTACCTTTTGAGCTGGTATAGCAGCCTAGGTGTGTTCAGTGTAGCATATGCCAGAACCACGTGATGTGTGCCCTTCACATCCAAATGACCCCTGGGGATCTCCACCCCTGGCTCATGGGGTGGGTCCCAGCCATGGGCTCAGAGTTCCCAGCCATATGCTCAGAGGCTCAGTACACACTTGGGTCTCTGCTTCTTACTAGCAGGATAGTGTGTGAAGGGGTCACCTGGAGGTAGCCTGGAAGTGGGGATAGGACCCCTCTGCCTTCTTTAATTTGCTCTCCTCCTCCTCAATGTCCCTGATCTTCCTGTCTCCTCTTTCCACCCCCACACCTCACTTGGCTCTTAGTTTAGTGTTCACTGACCCAATACCATGAGGAGAGGCTCACAGAGTGTATTTCTGTAAATAAGAGGATATTTAAGGAATAGATTAGATTTGCATCTGATACATAGAGAATCTTATTTTGCTCTTGGAGTCCTAGGGACCCAAGTTTATATGAAGGGATGCAATGAAGTATTACAGCTCAGAAGGATTTTGGTTTCCTGTAGTACTCCCAGTAACCTTTGGATGGTCCAGGCATTTACCT
The DNA here is from genome assembly GCF_000001405.40 of Homo sapiens. Classification (NCBI taxonomy): domain Eukaryota; kingdom Metazoa; phylum Chordata; class Mammalia; order Primates; family Hominidae; genus Homo; species Homo sapiens. The sequence goes on along the minus strand of NC_000009.12, from coordinate 83,388,047 downwards.
GAGTGAGACGAAGGTGGCAGGGCAGTGGTGGGGATGTGGGGCTGACATGACGTCAGGGATGGGCGTGTGTGGTGTTTACTGAGTAACACTGGTTCCCAGACCTGGCCCTGCAAGAAAATCACCTTAGATGTTTGCGTAGTGTGAACCCTATTCCAGACCTCTTAAATCAGAATCCATGGGGTTAGGGCCAGCAACATGCACTTAGCCTATTCCTAATCTAATTTTGATGCAGCCAAGCCAGCTTTGGTCTGGGGACCATGATATAAAGACATTCATAGCCATAACTTTTTATAGCCTGTGAAGATATTCCACTCGTATAAGAGGGAAAGAAGCTCAAAGAAGTTGTTACTTGTCCCAGGTTTCACAGTTAATAAGTGGTAGAGTGAGTGTTTGAGTTTAGGATTATACATCAAAGTCCCTGTGGACCAAATAAACTCTGGACTCTATTAGTCCTCTAGTCACCACTGCAAACAGGTTATTTTGTGCAAAATTCAATTCTAAATGATAAATGGCCAGCCTGCAGACGTAATTCTAGCTACTATTTAGTTGAGCATCTATCATGTACCATGAGTGTTCTTCATTATAGCCTCGTCTTGCTGAAAAGCCTTTAAGGAAGGGGGAAACTAAGGCCCAGAGAGGGTCAGTGGCTTCCATAAGGCAAGACATTAAGGAACAACTGGTGTCACAAAATAACAATAGTATTGGATTATAACCCATAGAATGAAATAAATATCCATGAGTCCATCCTAATCTAAATAATTAATTAAACAAAAAATAAAGGGAAAACTTGGGTCAGCTCTTCCATACAGAAGAATTTTAATTAATAAATGTAGAAGGAATGACGGAAATAGAAAATCAGCATACACAATAATAATTATTGCAGGCAAGAGCTAAAATTAGTGTGCAAAAGTTTAAGGAGAAACAGGAAATTTGCAAAGTAACCCCTCCTTTCCAAGGCATTTTTTTTATTACAAAGGGAAAAATAATAACTCTATAGTGGAGAAACATGACAGATAGCACTTTAACCAAGATACCAAGATTAACATCACCAGTAAAAACACATGTTAACATCAGGTACCTCCTGATACCATGCACTGAGAAGTACACATCATCTCTGTGGCATTCTTCCCAATAATGCATAACCTTAATCAAATATTGAGAAAACATCAGGCAAATTCAATGTGAGGAACATTCTCCAAAATAACTGACCTTCAAAAGTGTGAGGTCATGAAAGACAAGGACAGACTGGATTCACAGTCAGAGATTGGAGAGACACGTCAACTCAAGGCAATGTGGGATCCTGAAACATAGACAAGTATAGTAGTGGGAAAACTGGGTGAACACAGAAAGTCTGTAGTTTAGTTAATGCTATGGTAGAATAGCATTAACTAAATTGGCTAATATTGGCTTCTCATTTTGATAGTTGTACTGTGATTACACAGGATGCTAACATTAGGGGAAGATGAGTGAAGGTTATACTTTATCATTTTTGCAACTTTTTTCATATGTCTAAAATTATTAAAATTTTAAACTAAAGTTATAAAAGAGAAGTCTTTAGGTTGTTTATTGTTCTTTATATTTTGACTCTATTTAACGTAACTTTTAATGCCCAGACTTGGGTAGTAGAGTAAAGGAAAGGATGGGGGCCACCCTCAAAACAAAACTGTCTTATCTCATGTAGCCACTAAATTGCTCAGAGGTGTTTCTGAATACTTCTCTCTGCATTATACAGCTGTTATAGCCTTTTGATTTTGAGGATACGATGTGAGTGTAGCTTTCACTTGGGTTGCAGGGTAGTTGCTGTGCACAACTGCAAGGACTTTGGACTCAGAAAGATATGAATTAAAAATCCCATCTCTCCTGATTAGTAAGCTGTGTGATCTTGACCAAGCTATGCAGCCTATCTGAGTCTCTGTCCTGATGGATAAAGCAAATAACAATACCAACCTGTAGGGTTGATATGAGAATGAAAGATAAGGTATATCAATGCTTAGCACATGGTACACCTTGAGTATCTGGTATGTGTTATTTTCACTCTTGGTTGTTATTATTATTCTTACAATTATTATGCATTGGCTAGGTCCAGGTGAGACATGAGGAAACACACTCATGATTAGTACCTCTAAAACCTAGAAATGTTTATAAGAACATCTTTTAAAGGCAGGGGGCACTACTATTAAGATCATTGGAGAGAGAAGGCGGAAAATGGGCCTTGGATAATTAGAAAAATGGACTCAAAGACATAAACAGAGACATGCTGGTATGGACATTTTAAACAGATATTAATTGACCAACATTTTTTTTTTTCACCAGCTCCTGTATTTTTCTGAATGGCAAGTAAAACTGATGAATTATTTGGATAGAAAGCTAATTAAATGAGAAAATCAAGTGAGTTAGAGAAGCTGAAGTGAAAGTTACCTTTGCCTTGGGGGCTGGTGGTTTGCCTACAACTCGATTTACAGTAAACCATTGTTGAATATTAAATATTTAGCACGATTGCATTTGGAACACCATATGTTTGGCAAGATGTCTCATGCCCCAGATGCTCTGGAAATGGGAAACACTGAGTCAGGAAATGATGACTATCTTTTGCTATTTTGATGTCCAGGGCCCAGCATTTCCATTATTATTTTTTAATTTGATATAGGGAAGGATAGGTTGAATACTGGCCAGTAAAAAATCTCCTCAGTTTCTACAACATTCATCTTCTAAGAAACTTGTATAATCTTAGTTGCCTAAGATTAGGGAAAAAGTGGGTGGTATTCTCTCCATTTTACTGATAGAGAAAACTGGGACAATAAGTCTAGAAGTAATTCTAGAAGAAGGTAGTACTTGGCTTAAGTTTAGATTTTTTTTTTTTTACTCCAGTATATTCTTTTTACCACTTCTGCTCAGGTATTTGGGTAACTTCCCTTTGGAAAGATGAAGTTTTGAAATAATTAGCTGGATTTCATAGCTCTAGTTTCCATAGCTATGGTTTTAGATGTCCATTGTCCTGGGTTTTCCCCTTATGTTCTTCTACCCTTTTTATTTCCCCAAATCCAGCTAAGGAAGTCTCCCCTCACCCCATGCCTTAGAGCTGAGTGCCCCAGCTCCCAGCTCAGCCAGAGGAAGAATTACACTAGGACTGGGTTGTAGGATGCTGCTTTATGGTCTGGAGGGAGGTAGTACTAAATGCTTTTGGTTTTAACTTTGGAATTGCTAATTATCTGTTTAACCCATTTCCATCAGTGTTGTTGACTTTTCTGATTTTGACTCACACCCAAATACACGGGATTTACTTTGGAAATCCACACTTTTGGGGTACACTCCTCAAGTGCCCAATGATAGGCCATTGTGTCTTAATGTCTACCAGATGCTAGAGGATTTAATAGGTTTTCTGATAGGAGGATGAGCTGGAAATCATGGATGCAAGGTCATGTTCAGTCCTGATCCCCCACCGTCACAACCCTAATATAATTACAGCCCCAAGGCTTTTATGTTGGTAGCCAGAAGGAACTAGAGAGCCTATCAGTAAGTTTTATTAATAACAGGAAAAGACCTTGTCTATGTTAGAGCAATTTGCTTTTTCTAGAGGCACCTTGGGGAGGACGTGGAATGGAATAAAAGCTGGCCCAGTGATTGGAGGTTTCACTCTGGGGATGGTGCCAGGAAGCCAGACAGCATTATGTCCCACCAGCTGCTCCTGCCATTGAGAGGCTGCTTCCTGCTTCTCGGGATAATTACTTCACAGCTGCTCATCACTAGGAGCAAGAGTGGTACCTAAGATTTAGGGCAGCCCTGCCCTGAAGAAAAGGGTTGTGCTGCTGCCTCAAGTCACTGATCACAAATTTGTCTGCTCAATGAGTCCTCTTTTGTTTACGTTTCAAAAGGTATTAAAGATCAAGACTTCTTGGGTGTCTGTGTGTGTGTGTCAGGGGCAGACAGGTACAAGTAACTTGGCTTTGTGGGAAAGGACTTTGACACTCAGGTTAAAAGGAAGACAGTACTATCGTGATAACTTGAAAATGGAATATATTGTCAGTGCTTCAATTGTGGCTCAAGGTATGAACACTGATGCATTTGGGGAAATTGTCAGATTGCTTCAGCAGAAAGCAGTACTTGGTCTTTAACTAAAAGGATGGCTCATAATTGACTCTGTTTACATCTGATATCCTCTCCTGAGGAGGGAAATGGATGCTTGATAAAATGTTGCCATCTAGAAGTCACTTAGCCAACGGAGATGTGCACATTATAGTGGAAGGGGAGGGGCAAACACATGACCTGGTTATCTCATTTGAGCCAGAAGGCAGGGGCTGGGAAAATGCCATTTTATCCTTGTTTGAGTCAGGAAAAATCAGGAAGCTATCCAAGGTAAGAAGTTTTTCCTGTGTTGGTGGTGGGACAGCCTGGGTAGAAATCAGTTAGGGAAACAGGTTTAAATGTGGTGGTTGAAGAGTAAAGTACTCACTGGAGGCTTCCAGCAGGCAAGAACAGCAGGGCTGACTAGAGACCAGCAGGTTTGGAAGTTTCAAATTAGTCTTAAAAATATCTTTAAGTCTAACTGGGAAGACTAGAATGTGGCTATGATGTATGACTTGGAGAAATAAAAACAGTATAGGTTAGAAAATGACTATTTTATTTCCTTCAAGGTTCAGTAGTAGTTGTCTGTTACATGTGTGGAGGTTAATGATGAGGATCTAGTAGTTCTCATTATCTATTGCTGTTTAATGAGCCTTCCCAAAAGTTTGTGCCTCAAAACAACATAATTTTATTATATCACAGCATTTTGTGGCTCAGGGATTTGAGCAGGGCTCAGCTGGGAGATTCTTCTGCCCCACATGGTGTTGACTGGATCACTCAGCGGTGTTTAGCTAGCAGCTAGTCCGATCTGGAGGATCCAAGACATCTTCATCCATATGCCTGGTGCCTTGATGCAGAGGGCTGGAAGGTAGGGCTCAGGGGTCCTCTCCCTCTGATGTAGTTTCAGGCCCTTTCCAGATGACCTCTCCAGCAGGGTGTTTGTACTTCTTACACGGCTGCTTAGAGCTCCAAGTATAGGTGGAGCCACTTACCAAATAAGTTGTACAGGAAAGAGAACAGGTTTTGGGGGAAAAGTGATAAGTTCTGAACGTTTTGAGTTGGGATGCATGAGAGAAGTTGAGGTGGAGATGTTTAGTGTATAGATGACAATATAGGTCTGAAGATTAAAGAGGAGGTTTGGGCCACAGATGGGGATTTGGGAGCCAGTGAAGTCTTTCATGACTTCAAAGCCCTGGGAAGAGATTCAAAACCAGCAAAGGAGATGGACAAAGATCAGACAGAGCAGAAAGAAAAGAATGTGCAGAGAGAAACATTCTGGGAGCAAGGATAGGTATAGACTCAATAAGAGGGAGTGAGCTGCAGTTCCAAGCAGGGAGGCAGGATCAAAGGACTGAGTCAGGAAATGATGACTATCTTTTGCTATTTTAGGAAATTGTTCAGGTGCTAAAAGCTTTGGCATCATGAAGACCAGGGCAAATCCTATCTCTGCCACCTGCTGGTTGTACCACTTTGAGCAGGTTCCTTACACCCTCTGTGTCTCAATTTCTTCATCTATTAAATAAGGATACTAATACTACTTATGCAATATAATTTTTTTAAATGAATTAACCATACTATCAATTTATGTAACTGGTCTTTTTACTCTTCCATGCTTTAAAGATGTTTAAAAGAGCTAAGTCACATGATTACCTATGTAACAATCCTGCACATTCTGCACATGTACCCTTGAACTTAAAATAAAAGTTGGAAATTTTAAAAAAGGCCCATGAATCTAGAGGCTAGCTGATCTTTGACTTTAGAACAATTTGGTGGCAATGTTGTTAAATTTATGTGGCATGACAGCAAATGCTACATGGTGGTAAATTCCACTGTAACAAGCTTGAAAAAAATTCCATAATTTCATTTCATAGATGATTGCATTTTAGTTACTAGCGTACTTTAAAATAAATAGTAATACATGTTTTTTTTTTACATCCTATGGCATTTTCAAACTATCATTTTTTTTTTGAGTGTCTATTAAAGATTTCTTGGGAGTAGGGACTGGCATGCAAGGGTCAGGATGGCTTTCCAACTGTTTTTGTAAATAAGGTTTTATTGGAACTCAGCTAATTCTGTTCATTTACATATTGTCTGCAGCTGCTTTCATGCTCCAATAGCAGGGTTGAGTAGTTGTGAAAGAGATCCATGTAGATCACAAAGCTTAAAATATTTACTATCTGGTCCTTTACAAAAAATAAAAATTTCCAAAATAGGGAAGGGAATGGAGGTTGCTTAATGGATGAAGGGACACAAATGCTTTTTTTTAAAGACTTCCTGGCCCCTCCCCTGATTTGCGCAGTGTTTCTTCTTCTGGCTGTTATCTCTCTTTTGCCCATCCCTGAGACCCTAGAATACAAAAACATCATGGCTAAAGGAGTGGAAAACACTACAGTGAAACAATGAAGATTTTCTTTTTTCTTTCTTTCTTTTCTTTTTTTTTTGCACTCTGCCACCCAGACTGGAGTGCAGTGGCAGGATCTAGGCTCACTGCAACCTCTGCCTCCCGGGTTCAAGCAATTCTCCTGCCTCAGCCTCCTGAGTAGCTGGGAATACAGGCGTGTGCCACCACACCCGGCTAATTTTTTGTATCTTTAGTAGAGACAGGGTTTCACCCTGTTAGCCAGGACAGTCTCGATCTCCTGACCTCAGGTGATCTGCCCACCTTGGCCTCCGAAAGTGCTGGGATTATAGGCATGAACCACTGTGCCCAGCGGATTTTCTTACATAGATTGATTTCCAAATGGAAAAACATTTTTGAGCGTTCGTGATCTACAGGTTTGTTGATGTTGTTGTTGCTGTTGTGTCATAGATCTTCTTGAAACTGGAATGGAAACCATGATTATTGGCAGCTAAATAACTAGGCCTCGCTATAGCCTTATAATCTGGAACACTGATAAGGCTACATTCATCAGATGGCATTCTTTTTTCCCCAGAAGAGGCCAGAGGGGCTAGGAATGACATAAATTGGCTGCATGATAACACAGAGACTAAGTTACTCTGGGGCTTTGTCTAGGTGGATGCAAGAAATCAGGCCATCTTTTTAGGGTCGTCATGGGAATTGCTCAAATTTTGGATCTGGTTACTATTGAGGTGAAAAACAATCTCTTGTCTGGGGAAGTGCATTCATTCTTTTTAAAAGCCCCCTGGGTTATTTAACATATTTCTCTGGGCTACAAATTACTCTGGCTTAGGGTACCAAGGGCTTTGAGAAAGTAAACAGAGAAGTGCGTAATTTATTCTGTAATCATACACTGAATCGATTTCAACAGAAGCCAAACATTTGAAGATAACTAAGTGCTATATTGTTTACTTTTAGATGCAATTTTTTTTGTCTTAGCAGTGGCCAAATTAAAAATCAATCTTCTTAGTCACAAAGTACCACCCCATACCCACCTTCTTTTTCCCCAACCAAGCCAAAATGAGAATATATGAAAGATATGCACCATTTGTATGATAAGGTAGAGGAAAATGATCTCTCAGGGCTAAGTGCAGTTGTGCCTCGCAAAATTAAAAAGAAAGAAACATTCATTGGCAATATCCTCATCCTTCAGGTTCATAGACTGTGGACTGTTAGAACAAGGAAACTCAGGAGTTCTGGAATCGGCCTCCCACCATCTCCACCAAGATCACAGATAAGGAAACCAAAACATAGGGTTAGGAATCTCTCTGCTTTTTCACCCCCTTTGTGTAGCTCATCTTCTTTCTCTTGAAACTGCTCTCAACCAAAATAAATTTGTTCTAAGAAAAGTCTTGAAATGTGGTCAGGTAGATTTCAACAATTCTGCAAACTGGGATCTTTCACAGGGGCTTTGCAGGTTTCCAGGGTTTAAGCTTAAGGCAAAGGGAATAAATACCCAGGGAAATGATTTTAAACACCATGGAAGACAGCTTTTAGTGGAGAGTTAGGGAGGCTGTTTTAGGTCTGGTTTGAAGAAGCAGACCTTGAGATAAAAATTTCTGTATAAGTGATTTGTTAGGAAGTGTTTCCAGGAAAAGACTTGTAGGGGAGTAGAGGATTACAGGAGGGAGGCGAAGGAGGCCAAGCAAGTGTGTAATGCTGGGCAAAGTCATGTAGAGGGTATTTTGGGCTCAATCTCATAGGGGAGTTCTGGAATCAGTGTAGGCCATGCCTTAGAGTTGTGCCATCCAAGGGGTGAGGGAGCAGAGGTATTTATACTACCACATCTGATAGTCATTAGTTAAGAGCTACCCTGGTTTGTGGAGGGTGAGGTGGGGTAGGAAGTTTCAATTCTCTACCCTGTGGTGGACTCCAGTAAACTGAGGGCATCCTTCCTAAAAAGCGTCAGGCTGCTGGGGCTTGACAGTATCTGCTGCAGATGCCTTCCTGGTACCTTCAAATCATACTAAGGGGTGAATCCACTGGTTCATCTTACTCCCCTAGTTCATTTTGTAGAATCAATGATGGGGTCTTAGCTTTCTTATAGCCTTTGGAAATTTTATTCTAAATGAGAGTTGAGGAAAAGAAGATTTCAGCTACAGTAAATTAGCCACAAATTCAGATATTTTGTTACCAGGTTCTCCTTTTTGCCTTTCTTAGGGAAACTCAGTTTCCAGTAAGGAAAAAGACTTAAAAATATCAGAACAGCATATATTCCAAGTAGCAATCAAAAGGAAAATAGCAATGCAATAAATGTTCTAAGACTTATATCTAATTACCAAGCATGCCACATCATGGTGGTTATTTTTTCCCTCAAGTGTAATCCATCTGTACCTCCAATAATAGCAGGAGTTATTGGTGTAGTCCAGACTCCACTTCACTGGCCAACTCATAACTCTAATTGGAAGAATGAGAAAAGAGAGGAGAGAGAGGAAGGGGATGAGGAGAGAGGCAAAGGGCTAACAGCTGGTATTGCAATTGTATAGATAATTAATCTCCTCATGTTGAACAGAAGGGAGAGTGAGATGAGGAGTCAGGGAGAAAGAGAAGGACAAAGTCAGGCTGGGCGTGGTGGCTCACACAGTTAATCACAGCACTTTGAGAGGCTGAGGCAGGTGGATCACTTGAGGTCAGGAGTTTGAGACCAGCCTGGCCTACATAGTGAAACCCCATCTGTACTAAAATATATATATATTTATATAAAATTTATATATATAGTGTATATATATTTATATAAAATTTATATATAGTATATATATTTATATAAAATTTATATATAGTATATATATAAATTATACATATATAATATATATTATATATAATATAAATTATATATTATATATAATATAAAGTATATATATTATATATAATATAAAGTATACATATTATATATAATATATAAATTATATATATAATATAAATTATACATATTATATATAATATATAAATTATATATATAAATTATGTATAATATATATAAATTTTATATGTATATTGTATATATAAATTTTATATGTATATTTTATATATATAAATTTTATATGTATATTATATATATAAATTTTATATGTATATTATATATATAAATTTTATATGTATATTATATATATAAATTTTATATGTATATTATATATATATATAAATTAGCCGGGCATGGTGGCTTGCACCTGTAGTCCCAGATACTCTGGAGGCTGAGGCGGGAGAATTGCTTGAACCCAGGAGGTGGAGGCTGCAGTGAGCTGAAGGCTGCTGTGAGCTGAGATTGTGCCACTGCACTCCAGCCTGGGTGACAGAGCAAGACTCTGTCTCAAAAAAAACAAAAAAAACAAAAAAGAAGGACACAGTTAGACTCATGGAAACTGCCATGGTACCAAGTGAGAAGTCTCTTTCATGGAGCCTAAAGATGGTAACAGCCAGTGCTTATTGAGCCTTCACGATGCACCAAGCTCTGTTTTAAGGCCTTCTTCATGAATTAACCCATTTAAACTTCTCCATGATGCTGTAAGTGAGGAAACCAGGGAACTCGCTCTAAGTCCACAGCTTGTCAGTGTTAGGGCTGGGATTTGAATCTAGGCCTGCTGGCTCCTAGGTCTGACCACAATGTCAACCCTGTGTGCTCAGCTGGGTTTGATATCTGCCTATCATGTATGAACTCATTCAGGCTAATTTACATGAAATCTACTTTCATCCTCTGAGTAGACATTAGCCGTCTTTTTTTAAAAAGTAGATTTTTAATTATTTGTGTAATGTACTGTGTTAGGCTGTTCCTGCATTGCTATGAAGAAATACCTGAGACTGGGTAATTTATAAGAAAACAGGTTTAGTTGGCTCATGGTTCTGAAGGCTGTACAGGAACCATGGTGCCAGCATCTGCTTCTGGGGAGGCATCAGGGAGCTTACAGTCATGGTGGACAGCAAAGGGCAAGCAGACATCTCACACAGTGGGAGCAGGAGCAGGAGAGAGGAGGAAGGTGCCACACACTTTTACATGACCAGATCTTGCAAGAACTCACTATCACAAGGACAGCACCAAGAGGAAGGTGCTAAACCATTAATGAGAAATCTGCTCCTGTGATCCAATCACTCCCCATCAGGCCCCACCTCCAACATTGGGGATTACGGTTCAACATGAGGTTTGGTTGGGGACACACATCCAAACTGTATCTTGCACCAGTACATGTAAAAAATTAAAGTTAAAACATCACGGAAAATACTGAAGTCATGGTTTTCTTTGGTTAACACTCCTAAATGTGTGTTTCCCTCTCCTATTATCCTTCCATTAGTCTCATTTTACTGTGTATCATTTCGGATCTTTACAAATATATTTAGATGCTTACATATATATTTTTTGAATGTATGATAATGTTTATATTTTTTATTTTGAAAGAAAACATATTAAAGATATGGTAAAGTAGTTCAAAGCCTCCCAAACTTTCCCAATTTCTGGCTGTCTCTTAGTATCTTAGTGATTATTTCATGGCCTCCATAGGCCAGGAGAATACCTAACAGTTTCATCTAATAAGAGTTAGATCCAAGCAAGTAGTTATGTCCTAAAATTTTAGTAGTTATGTAAGACATTATACATATAAATTGCAGAAAAAATAGTATTTTCATTTCATTCTTAAACAACCACAATTTCTTAATAACGGGTGCCGGTTGGGCACCCCTAGGATCATATTGGACACACTACCATGCTCATTGCTTGTTGCACACCTATTTCTATGTGGTACTTGCCTATTATCACAGCAACTGCTAGAAACCAAGCTTTGCAAAATATATGTATATATTTTATCAAATATACATATTTGATACCATATATACATATAATATCAAAAGGAATATAGCACAGCCAGGTGTGGTGGCTCATGCCTGTAATCCTAGCACTTTGGGAGACCAAGGTGGGAGGATTGCTTGAGCCCAGGCTTTTGAGACAAGCCTGGGCAACATAGAAAGCCCTGCCAAAAAAAAAAAAAAAAGGAATATAGCACAATCTAATGTTGGAACTGTGTACTCCTTTGAGTTCATAATTCACATGGCGCTGACTGATGTCTACTGTGGCTGTGTTTCTCTGGGGTGACTTAGTGCACAATTTGAGAACTGATTGCAGGTATAATGATAAATTTTTCAGTTCACTTTTTGTATCCCACAATATGCCTTAGAGATCTGTCCATGTTACACATAAAGATCTCCCTCATAGAAAACACTGCTGCAGAATCATCCAGAATATGAACAGATCACAGTCTATTTACCCATTTTCCTGATGATGGCCATTAATGTTATTTCTAATATTTTGTAATTTTATATAATATTGCAGTGAAGATTCTTGTTGGGTACCTCTTTGTCCACATGGGTAAGTTGGAGAATAAAGAACTTACTGGGCCATGGACCTGTCAGGTGGTTTTTTTTTTTAACTTTTTTTTTTTTTTTTAAACAGAATCTTGCTCTTGTGGCCCAGGCTGGAGTGCAATGGCGCCATCTTGGCTCACTGCAACCTTTGCCTCCTGGGTTCAAGCGATTCTCCTGTCTCAGCCTCCCGAGAAGCTGGGATTACAGGCACCTGCCACCACGCCAGGCTAATTTTTGTATTTTTAGTAGAGATGGGGTTTCACCATGTTGGCCAGGCTGGTCTCGAACTCCTGACCTCAGGCGGTCCACCCACCTTGGCCTCCCAAAATGTTGGGATTACAGGTGTGAGCCACTGCGCCCGGTCTTTTTTAACTTTTAAGTTAGGGGTACATGTGCAGGTTTGTTATATAGGTAAACTTTTGTCATAGGGGTTTGTTGTACAGATTATTTCATCACACAGGTATTAAGCCTAGTTCCCATTAGTTATTTTGCCTGATCCTGTCCCTCCTCCCACCCTCCACCCTCTGATAGGCCCCAGTGTGTGTTGTTCCCCTCTATGTGCCCATGTATTCTCATCATTAGCTCCCATTTATAAGTGAGAACATGTGGTATTGGTATTTGGTTTTCTGTTTCTGTGTTAGCAGTTTAATGAATACTAACAAGTTGAACTTGGCCCTCTTTGAAGAAATGATTTCCTGTAATTCCTTGAAACATTATTGCTGGCTTATTTTTCCTAGGACTGCATACCTCATGACTCTCCCTTTGGGGAAGAATAGCTGTTCTGGAAAAGTGTGTAGAGATCACCTTGTAGAAGTGGGTAACTGAGATACACCAGGCCTGAAAGGCAAATGTAGGGTGTGGTTAGGCTAAGAGGAAAAGGATGATAGAAACTGATCTGAAACTGCAAGGTGTGTTTCTTAGGACAATAAGGAGGCCAGTTTATTTAGAGTAAATAACTTATTTAGGACACAGATGGCAAATACCTTTCAGGCATGCCTTACATGTTCCCTGTCTCCTCCGTGGCAGACATCGCCAATCTATAGTGGCATGGCAGACATAGCCAATCCATCATGGCACTCATTCTCTCAGAGCCTGCACCTGGTTTTGGAATCCTCCTCACAGCCCTGGTGTGGGCACACAAAATGAAACTGACTTGTCACCCCTGGAGTCAGAGACAAGTTGGAGAAGCAGGATCAAGTTAGGCAAGAAAGGGCCGAGGAGTTGAAAGAATGCCAAACAAGGAGAATTTGGAAAACATATTTATATTTCAGACTTTATTAGCAAAATAACTGGTGATTCTCCTCTGCAAAACAATTGCAGTAAGTATTGATATTTTGCTGCTATTTGTTTTCTTACCTTAGTTCTAAATGATCCTATTTATTTATTTCTAGAAAAGTAATTTAACCACCAGGGGCCTCTTTTATTCTTCTTCTCCATGAAGCACATATATTGAAAGATGCGGTCTACCAATTAAACTGTACCTATTAAATAATAAGAACTGCATCGGCCAACAATCATTTTATTGAGTATTTTCACATTTCATGCACTGTGTATATTACATTTGTTAACTTTTTAAATCCTCGCAATGGCCCTAAGAGGTGGATGTGATTACTGTTCCCATTTTATAGTCGAGGAAACTGAGACACAGAGAGATTAAGCATCTTGTACAAGGTTTATAACTGGTAAGTGGTATAATCAATGTGTCTTCCACTGTTCAGTTATAGCTATATAACTTCTAATTAGAAGGCAATAACGAGGGTCCTCAAATGAGTTGATATAATTTTAGCCAGAAGCAAAAAGACTTGTTTTTTCAGTTTGTCTGTGCAACCTGGTCGGGGTAAATATATGTTTTTTTGTGTGTGTGACTTTCCATAATGTTGAAACTCTTATAAGACTCCCATTATTGTTTTTGAAGACTGCAGAGATTTGACACCCTCAGTGGTTTCTAGATTAGAAACCACTAATTTGACGATTCAGTTTTTCAGCTCCTGAGAAAGTAGGGAGTGCTCACCGAGAAGAATATGCATTTTAGAGCAAATGATCAGCCAGGAGGCCATACAGTTGAGAGGTTAAGGGCCCATGCACCAGAATCCTGCTGCATGGTTGGCTTCACTGTTTATCAGCAGAGTGACCTTAGTCAAGCTGTTTAACATCCTGAGCCCCAGGCTTCTTATTTGTAAGTGGAGTGGTAGGGAGGACTACATAAGATAGCACATGGAAATGTTTGAACGGCACTTGGCGTTTAGTAAGCGCTCAGCAAATGCCAGCTCTTATTATGGTTATGCATTTACATCAAAGAATATGGATAACACAGGACCTGAGGCTTACTGGATAACACAAAGGAGATAGAGTGAGGTGCAAGAGCTCAATGGACGGTAAATTTGCTCTTCTGATTTCCTCTCCGGCATCAAGCAGGTGGGATGCCTCCAGAAGGAGAGCTCCCTGACCTCAGGATGGGTACCCCAGGACACCCCCTGTATCATCTCTAAACTACAGGTGTATAAAGTGACTCTAAGTGACATTCCCTGAGCAGCTTCAGGGACCTCATGGTTAGTGATCTCAAAAGCTGCCCAGCTCTCAGCATGTCGAAGTGATCTTTGTATGTGCTGTAGAGAGGGCCAGCCACTGGGACCAGCGTGGTGCCTACTTCAAATGCCTGTCAGTAACATGGTTCTGAACTCCCCCAGTCTTTTGGCTTCTTTATTTTGTGATAGAGCTGATTTTTCTTCTTGATGACCTCAGGCCTCTGAAAATGAGATATTTAAGATCATTTACTCCTCCCTACTGTAAAGGAAGAATTGCCTCTGCATATGATAGGGCTAATGCTGGCTTGGCCCAATATTCCTCTTAAGGGAATTTGTCCCGGAAGCAGGACTGGATGCTGATGCTGCCTTGGACTGTGATTCTTTGAGGTCGTGGATGTCAAATGCTAAAAGTCTTTAGCCATATGCGGCTTTCACAGAACCATGCAGCTCAAAGAATCACCTAGGAGTCAATTAGGGGTACTAGAACATCCCATTTGAGAGCATATTCTCTCTCTTGTCCTTCTCTCCTAGCAACTGTCTGACTCACATATTACTTGGAAAATGTTAACTCTGTAATTTATATCCTTGTCTGCGCTATGATTATTGCCAAGTTGTTTATGTTGGTCTTCAGAGTGTGGAATTCTGGAGAGTATCTATGGAAACCGAGGCTGTACTTTGGAATTCCTTTTAGTTATTAGGTATTCGTTGTATGGTCCAGCAATTTGACCCCTGATCTCTGCTTTTTTTTTTTTCCTCCCTAGCACTGGCTTGAACCTAACAAGTCCATCTTCAAGCAAATGAAAAGTAAGTGTCAATCTGTGACTTTACTTTTGCTACAATGTGTCCAAAGATAGATACTGTTCCCTGACAAACTTTCTCCTGCCAGGGGAATAATAGAGTTGAAGAGGTGTTGGGGGGTGTGGGGGCTTCTCTCTCCCCAGGAGAGCTCTGTATTTTCTCCCCTCTTTTTCTATGACCCTCGTCTGCACCAGCATCCTATAGTCTCCTGGGCCTCTCTCCCTCCCCCCCATCTTGCCCTCATATTTGATATCTGAGCAGGGGCTTTGGAATTGGATGGTTAAATACCTCTTAAACACAGCCACCAGGTACCTGGTTCCTTTTGATTATGAGGGTTGCTGGTTAGTCATTAAGTGTGGGAGGGGGTGCAGTATTAAGGAAGATGGGAGAAGCAGATGTGTTTGGAAACTAAAATTTTACCAATGACTTTGCTGAAGACTGTATCATTATTTTCCATTCCTTGAACTCCCCAAAATGAAAAACAATTTTTTCTTCTAGGCAATTGTTTTAAATCTCCGATGTTCTGAACTTCTTTTTTTTTTTTTTTTCGTCTCTCTCTCTTTTTAACCAGTGAGCTCTTGGGGAAGTTGGCTTGGATAACAACATCTCTCTAGCACCCCCTGGTCATCCACCTGGGACCCTGTGAGGAGGGTGTTCACTGGTAGTCCTGGGTGACATGATGTTTTGTTCTGGTCACTCATGCCAGGCTGTAGCCAACCTGCTTTTATTTATGGTTTGGAGGAGAACTTCTGAAATGCACCTCAGAAACTTACTGCCTGCCCCCAAATCCACTTATCCCTCCACGTCCACTTTCCCAGGGCTCTGAAATGCAGGTGATGAATCAGTTTCTCGTCAGAGATTAGGTTAATGCATATTATGTCACTTGTCGTCATTCAAGGGATTCTTTCATTTTTTGAATATGAAGAAATTGTTCTGGGCAGGGTTTTCAGGTGAAAGAAGGAAGAAACTGAACATGGACGACAAACTAGCAGGCAGCGTATCTCTTCTTTAACTTTCTTCTTTTTCCCTGCCTCCCTGTCCCTTTCTCCCTCTCTTCCTCCCTTCCCATTCCTCCTTCCCTTGGTCCTTTTCTTTTCCTTCCCCTCCCTCTTCCATCCTTCAAGGGCAAACTCTGTCTGGTTAGTGAGGAAGGATGGTTCAGATTGCACAAGTGCAGCAGTGGGTGTGGAAAGTCCAGGGAGGCCAGGCTGCTGGAGCAAGGCTGGAACAGAGTTGGGGTGGGGCTGGAGCAGAATTGGGGCAAGAGCGGAAGAGAGTTGGGATGTGCATCCAGATAGAAATAATAGGACGGGCCAGGCTCACGCCTGTAATCCCAGCACTTTAGGAGGCGTGAGGCAGGCGGATCAGGAGGTCAAGAGATTGAGACCATCCTGGCCAACATGGTAAAACCCCGTCTTTACTAAAAATACAAAAATTAGCTGGGTGTGGTGGTGGTTGCCTGTAGTCCCAGCTACTCAGGAGGCTGAGGCAGGAGAATCGCTTGAACTCAGGAGGTAGAGGTTGCAGTGAGCAGAGATCATGCCACTGCATTCCAGCCTGGGCCACAGACCAGGACTCCGTTTAAAAAAAAAAAAAAGTAATAAGACAGGGGTCCCAGGAGGCTATATAGTATGATATGCAGGATAATGAGAATGAGCTAAAATGCCTGAGAAAAAAATTGCTGATTCCTAGCTTTTATTCCTTAACTACAAAATATTGATATTTTTGTTTATATATTTGAAAATATTTAGACTATTTTTCAGTATAACAAATGGTTCTTTGACTTTGGTTCTTATTAAATAAATGCCATGCAATATTTTCCTTTTGTTCTTAAGCCATACCCAGTTTTGAAATAGAAATTTATCTTTGAAGGCATTTCAATACTTAATAGAAGCAAAAAAATAAACTTTGTGAGAAGTTTAAAACTTGTGAGAAATTTAGCGTTTAAGAGCATTTTCTCTATAATACAGCAAATCTGAACAACCAACTAAAATGCATAATTTTTTTTTAAGACAGGGTCTCATTCTGTCACCAGGCTTTAGTGCAGTGGTGCAATCTTGGCTCACTGCAATCTCACCTCCCAGGTTCAAGTGATTCTTGTGCCTCAGCCTCCCAGATAGCTAGAACTACGGGCGTGCACTACCGTGCCTGGCTAATTTTTGTATTTTTAGTAGAGACCGGGTTTCACCATGTTGGCCAGGCTGGTCTCGAACTTCTGATCTTAGGTGATCTGCCTGCCTCTGCCTCCCAAAGTGTTGGGATTTCAGGAGTGAGCCACTGCACCCACCCTAAAACACATAATGTCTTATTAGAATGGTGTAAAGATTGGCATTTGACTACTGGCCAGTCTTAATCTAATGACAAATGAAATCTGAATCTGGAAAATAGAATTGTATAAAATTCAGTGTCTGAACCAGACAGGGAAACTCACTGATTCTAGGACTGCAAGGGTCTTACCCACCACCCAATCCCTGTTGTATTGCTAAAGACATTACCGAACAAAAAAATTATGTAATTTTCTCAAGATCACAAACCTAGTGTGATTGTTGTTGTTGATGATGTCTTTCAGTATGAAGAATTTCTGTGTTCTTGTACATATGCCCTAGAAATATTAACTTTACTGTAAATTAGAAAATTTTTAAACTATGGCTTTTATATTGTTAATCCAGAGAAACCAAGTCCAACCCTGGGGACTTGTCCATGAATTTATCGAAAGAGTCTGGTCACAGAGCCCCAGTGGCTTCATCCTTTTATGCTCGTATCACCTTTCAGTAGGCAATGGCTGCAGAATTCCTTGGAGGAACTGTTTCTTACTCACAGAGGATGATAGGCCTTCAGGTTCTTCTCTCTGACCCTATTAAGATCCTTCTGACTATGGATGTTCCCAGGAATGATGTTTCCCAGGGTTGGCTGAAGGTCAGCTATCCTGATTAACAAACATGGCGTTATTATTTTTCACTAGTTAAAAAAAAATCATGTTTGTGTTTTCTCAGTTTAGAAAGATTTAAAATGAAGACAAAAACTATTTCCTTGCTCCTCCCTCTATATCAAGCTCACCCCAAAGAAATAACAATTGCAAACAATATTTTGTATATCCTTCCAAGAATTTTTATGAATGTATATAAGCCCCCAACATATATAAGTCCTTTGATAAACAGCAGTGAGATCAATCTCTATATATTTTTCTTCATCTTGTTATTTTTTCTTGATTAATTTTAGAAATTTAAAAATATCCATAATTGATGATTGGCCTGATTTAAAAGGTGGTTTTCTGAGTTAATTGTATGTGTGTATTTTATTTATTTATTTATTTATTTATTTATTTATTTATTTATTTATTTTGAGACAGAGTCTCACTCTGTCATCCAGGCTACAGTGCCATCTTGTGATCTTGGCTCACTGCAACCTCTGCCTCCCTGGTTCAATCTCTTCTCCTGCCTCAGCCTCCCTGAGTAGCTGGGATTACAGGCACGTGCCACCGCACCCAGCTAATTTTTGTATTTTTAGTAGAGACAGGGTTTTGCCATATTGGCCAGGCTGGTCTTGAACTCCTGACCTCAGGTGATCCACCCATTTTGGCCTCCCAAAGAACTGGGATTACAGGTGTGAGCCACTGTGCCCGGCCTATAATGTATTTATTAAGGGAGATCAAGGTGGTTTTGGTGGCTTCTGGTATTTTGCTATTGTAAAGTGTACTGCAATAAACATGCTGTATACAGTACTGCATTTTGTGAAAGTACATCTGTGCTAAAAATTCCTAGAAATGGGCCAGGTGTCATGGCTCATGCCTGTAATCCCAGCACTTTGGGTGGCCGAAGTGGGTGCATTACGAGGTCAGGAGATCGAGACCATCCTGGCCAACATGGTGAAACCCTGTCTCTACTAATAATACAAAAATTAGCTGGGTGTGGTGGAACGTGCCTGTAATCCCAGCTCCTCGGGAGGCTGAGGCAGGAGAATCGCTTGAACCAGGGAGTTGGAGGTTGAAGTGAGCCGAGTTGGTGCCACTGCACTCCAGCCTGGGCAACAAAAACGAACTCTGTTTAAAAAAAAAATTCCTAGAAATAGAATAAGTAGATCTAAAGATATATACATTTTAAATTTCCTTGGTGATAAATATCTAGTCAAGGAGCTTTTAGCCATTTAAATCTAATGACACAAAATGTTACAAAAAATCTAATGACACAAGTGACACAATCTGACTCCCTCAAATGTTACGTGAGAATGCTTCTTTCCCCAAAACTTGTTGAAAATAGGGATAATTAAATTTATTTTTCAAGTTTATGAAGGAAGAGAAATGTCTGTTTAATTGAAAAGCTAATTAATTACACAGTTACTTAATTTGGTATACATTTTTACATTAAGATGTTTCTTAAATCAAAGTCTTATTTCTCCTCTGAACTTAGAAGAGATGCTAATATTTTAATTTTTAAATTAACATAGCCTGTAGTCCCAGCTACTCGGGAGGCTGAGGCAGGAGAATGGCGTGAACCCAGGAGGCGGAGCTTGCAGTGAGCCGAGATCGTGCCACTGCAGTCCAGCCTGGGTGACAGAGTGAGACTCTGTCTCAGAAAAATAATAAAATAAAATAAAATAAAAAATATATTAACATATGGTAAAATTGACTTGATTTTTGTGTGCAGTTCTGTGAGCCTTTGCTCATATAGATTTTCATGACCACAAACATAGACAGGATGCTGAACAGTGTCCTGGTTTTCATCACCCCAAAAACCTGCCTGTGCTGTGCCTTTGTGGTGACATCACTGCCTTCCAACAACTCGCAACCACTGGTCTGTTTCATGCCAGTATAGTTTTCTTTTTTCAATATCATACAGGATGTAATTTTTGAGATCAGCTTTTACTCAGGATAATAACTCTGAGATTCACCCAAGTTGCTGTGTTTATCAATATATAATAGAAGAACACAATGGAAGTAGAAGCTAGTCTTTGAAAATATCAAGAAAATTGATGAATTTTTAGCAAAATGGAGGAGAGGAAAAAAAGAGGGAGAAGACACAAATTACCAATATCAGGAGCAAATGAAGGGACATTACTACAGATCCTGCAGAACAACTCTAGGCACAGAAATTTGATTGCTTAGATGAAATAGATCTCTTCCTCAAAAGCCATGACTTACCAAAACTCACCCAAAATAAAATATATAACTTGAGTAGTATTATAACTATTAAATAAATTAGGCTTGAGATTTTCCAGAAAAGAAATCTCCAGCACATTTGCTGTTCCTACTGTTGCAGCCAGCACTTCCTTTTCTATTCCTCAAGCCTTAATTAGGAATATCTTCTGGAGTATTCTCTTTAGGAGCTGATGCTCACTTCCAGATGTCTCCTGGGTTCTGTCCAGAGGATACTGGAGGGAAAATCGTGGTGAATTTACCACTAGTTTAGCGGGGTCCTTTGCATTCTCATCTTCTTTTCCCATCTGCTTGCTACTATTTACTTTTCAGAGTCCTTAAATAGTTGCTGCATGTATTCTGCCAGGTTTTATAGCTGCATTCAGGGAAAGAGATGGGGTGGGTTGCAATTAACCCACTCTACCTGGAATTAGAACCTTAAAATCAAACTTTTAATTATTGCTTTTCTATTAGGTGAAAATGCAGGTGGGCTTCATGATTGGGCAGTGCTGAGGGAATACCCTTCTCATTTCCCTATGCCATTGCCATGTCCATAGGTACAAATGTGGACTGAGATGTTGATCCATTTTTTGTTTCTTTAAGAGTACTCGGATAACAGATTGCCTTCAAACAAAGTGTTAACTGAATTGCATATTTTTGAATGTTTGGTTTTGCAGAGTCCTTGCTTTTCATGAAGGAATGTTGCTATGCAACATAACAGTGACTTCTCACTTATAATTTTTTTTTTGTTTTTTGAGACAGAGCTTCATTCTGTCAACCAGGCTGGAGTGCAGTGGCATGATCTTGGCTCACTGCAACCTCCGCCTCCTGAGTTCAAGCGATTCTTGTGCCTCAGCCTCCTGAATAGCTGGGATTACAGGCACATGCTACCACACCCTGCTATCACTTAGAGTTTTTAGCCTTGACTACATAACTGTGGAATGTGGCCCAATGTGTATACATGAAGTGGCACACATCAAGAGGACAGATGTTGTATGTTCTACAGGATTTTTGTAGCTGCTCAAATTATATTAGCATGAAAAAACTTTTAAAGTTACACACTATGACTCAGATGTGCAGAAATGCAATATTATTTTCCTATGACTGAATTCAACTTGCTTGTGATTTTCTTCTTTCTTTGAGAGCAAAGCATTTAATCTTGTCACTTCAGGGTAACTCAGGATCTGCTAGTTTATTTTTTGTTTTTGTTTTTTGAGACAGAGATTTGCTCTTGTTGCCCAGGCTGGAGTACAATGGCACAATCTCAGCTCACTGCAACCTCCGCCTCCTGGGTTCAAGCAATTCTCCTGCCTCAGCTTCCTGAGTAGCTGGGATTACAGGCACCTGCCACCATGCCTGGATAACTTTTTTGTATTTTTAGTAGAGATGGGGTTTCATCATGTTGGTCAGGCTAGCCTTGAACTTCTGAACTCAGGTGATCCTCCCACCTCAGCCTCCCAAAGTGCTGGGATTACAGGCGAGAGCCACAGCACCTGGCCTAGGATCTCCTAGTGTTGAATTTGATCACTTTCAGAAAATCGCTCAGTCAATACATAATTTAAATGTAATTGCTTGAAAACCCATACTCCATACTGTTTTTTTTTCTTCCATATGAAGAGCTTTTCCCTTTCTCTCCACCCCAGAATGGCATCATAAGGCCAGAGAAACTTAAGTACTGTCTCGGTAGTGAGGGTGACCTCTCTCTCATGTACATTCCTTGAGTCTTCCTTGGTGTGTCTCAGGTTGTTGGCATCTTTCCCCACTGCATCCTGTCTGGACGAAACTGGTCCCACCTGACCTTTGAGTGGGGTTGGTGTGTGCTGCTGAGGCCAGTGGTTCCTGCCATGGCCTTAGGATGCAAGTCTCTAGACACTGTCCTCTTGTGGCCTCCACTCCAAGTCTCTTTCTCATTGGCACTCAGCACATCTGTATTCACCTCTGGGACAGGCAGGAACTGCTCAGCCTCAGGGAAACTTGTGTACGCTATCTAAGGCTTCCTCTCTGCCTAAACACACCATGCCACCATTTCTTCAGTACAAAAATGTCAGTAAAATTTTCAGAGTTCCACACAGAAGAGTTTCCTGCAACTACCCTGGGGTTCCTTTTATCTTGCCCCCTACACCTCACTGTGTTCAGCCAAGCCGGTAGTGTTGAGGGATGCTGGATCCTTCTCAGAGATCCAAATGGTGTCCTAAACTGGCTTTTGTCCTCTGTAAATCTCTCCACTTGCCTTCCCTAGCCATGCCCTATGCACAACGAATGCCTTTTCTCTTTGGATACGAGATTAATATCCTAAAACAATAGCTGCCTTATACACAAGCACTAACTGTTTTTCAAATGTAATGGGGAAAAAGTACTATTATTTACAGTAACAATAACAAGTAAAAATAAATGTCTTATAAATAAATGTTAACAGATTCATGCAAGATCAGTAGGACGAAAATGTGAAATCCTACTGTAGCATTGTTGTAGAGTAGATAAAAAAGAGCTCAAAAAATGAAGACATCTCATATTTTGGTTAATATTCTTAATAAAGTCAGTTCTTTGGAAATTAATATATACATTCAATAATTCTCAAATTAAAAATTCAATGAGATTCTTTACGGCATTTAACAATGTTCTTAAGACTCATTTGCAAAAGAAACATGCTCGATGCTATCCAGTAAATATATAAAAAGACCACTGGTGGGTCCTTGTTCTGTTGAATAGTATACCAAGGCCTGTGAGCTATAGCAATTAAAGGAGACATAGTAAGAGACACATATAGTAATTAAGATATAGAGCCAGAAATGTGAAAATAATCAGTGGAACAGAAAAAAGCAGTTCCCATTCCCCACGCCAATCCATTATTTATAGAATATGGGCTATGGTAAAGATTGTATTTCATACATACAAGGGGCAGATAAATTTTTATTCAAGGCATTCTTTTAAGGCATGATTTTTGGATTGTTTTCTTTCCACTTGTTGGCGGATGGGAAAAAGGACATCGCTCACACAATTCACAGGATTAATTCTAGATGTACTCAAAAGCCAAATATGTTTAACAATTTATAAAAGTTTTAGGTAAAAATTTAAGAATATGTTTTATAATCATGGGGTAGCCCAGGGCTTCCTGAGGAAAATATAAAACCCAGAAACAATGAAGCAAAATCCTGACAAATTTGTGCAAAAGCTAAACTTTTGAACTAGAATGCTTTGTTTGTTTGCACAGAGTTGATTTTTTTTTTTTTTTGGAGATGGGGTCTTGCTCTGTCACCAGGCTGGCGTGCAGTGGTGTGATCTTGGCTCACTGCAACCTCCGCCTCCAGGGTTCAAGCAATTCTCCTGCCTCAGCCTCCTGAGTAGCTGGGACTACAGGCGCGTGTACTGTGCCCAGCTAATTTTTGTATTTTTAGAAGATACGGGGTTTTGCCATGTAGGCCAGGATGGTCTCGATCTCTTGACCTTGTGACGCCCCCGCCTCAGTCTCCCAGAGTGCTGGGATTACAGGCGTGAGCCACCGTGCCCAGCCAGAGTAGATTCTTAGTAAATATTTGTTGAATGAATGACTGTAAAGCAAATTAAAGCACAGGGAAAATAATGGGAAGAACATTTGCCAAACATATAACGAGTAGTAATATGCAGAATGTATTATGTTTGATGCTACAAACCAACAGATGAACGGCTCAATATAAAAATATGCAAAAGACTCAGAGAAGGAATAAAAATAAATGACCAAGAAGCTCACAAACAGATGCTCAATATCATTAGCTACAAAGGAAATGCAAATTAGAATAAGATATTTTTATTTACTATACTGAGAAAATTGTAATTATTGATAATATCCAGGTGATGAGGATGAGGATAACACTTCTGGTGAGAGTGTGTAAACTGATAAAGCCACTTTGGAGAGTAATCTGGTTATATCTTTCAAGATTAAAAATGCCTATGTCTCAGCCGGGCGCAGTGACTCACGCCTGTAATCCCAGTACTTTGGGAGGCCAAGGTGGGCGGATCACGAGGTCAGGAGATCGAGACCATCCTGGCTAACATGGTGAAACCCCGTCTCTACTAAAAATACAAAAAATTAGCCGGGCGAGGTGGCGGGCGCCTGTAGTCCCAGCTACTCAGGAGGCTGAGGCAGGAGAATGGCGTGAACCCCGGGGGGCGGAGCCTGCAGTGAGCCAAGATCGCGCCACTGCACTCCAGCCTGGGCGACAGCGAGACTCCGTCTCAAAAAAAAAAAAAAAAAAAAGCCTATGTCTCTTGGTCCAGCAAATCAATTTCTACAAATCTATCTAGAGCAAAATTTATTCACGCACAGGTATATATTATGCAAGGGTGTTTATTACAGCATTGCTTATAACACTGAGAAAGCAATAAAAAGGCCAGTAATTTTTGCAAGGATAAATTATGTGTGTATACATAGTCATTAGAAAAACAGGCAGACATGTATTATTGACATGGAAAGACTTATAGACATATTGTTGAGTTTAAAAATCAGATTAAAAGACCACGTAAATAATGATACTTTTATATAAAAATAGAATTTTTTCATGTGACTATATAGCGTGTAGAAGAAGAACTGGAAAGATGTATACTTAACTGTGGTTACCTCTGGGGAAGAGAGCATAATATAGGGACATGAGGCTTTCGCATTTTATTATATGTAGTTATGTTACACTCATATCTTTTACCATGAGAATATATTCTTATATGACTTGGTAATAAAAATAAAATAAGCAAAAGGAGAGAAATCTTTATGCAAAACAAGGAAGGAAGGGAGGAAGGAGGGAAGGAAGTAGAGAAGGAAGGAAGAAAGGAAGGAAGGAGGGAGGAAAGGAAGGAAGGAAGAAAGAAAGCAAGGAAGTAGGGAGGAAAGGAAGGAAGGAGGAAAGAAAGGGAGGAAGGAGGGAAGGAAGGAGGGAGGGAAGGAAGGAGGGAGGGAAGGAAGGAGGGAGGGAAGGAAGGAGGGAGGGAAGGAAGGAGGGAGGGAAGGAAGGAAAAAGGAAGGAAGGAGGGAAGGAAATAAGGAAGGAAGGAGAGAAGGAAGGAAGGAGAGAAGGAAGGAAGGAAGCAGGATGCATATGCATTAAGCATGTTCTATAGAAACAGACTGAGATGAAAGAAAGCTCACTTACTCTTCTAAACAAGCTCTCCACTTAATCCTGGCTGGTGCCTGTCTGAGGCCTGATTAGCACAGCAAGGTAGTTAAGATCCTATTCTTGCCCTATTTACCAGAGACTGTGCTGCTCCCAAGCACCCTGAAGGGGCAGGGGTGCTTGGAAATGGCTTCTGCATGCAAATCAGGGTAGGCAGGAACCCCCAGCCTCTGCATAACACATGCATACAACTCAGCCATAATAGCAGTACTGAGTCAAGTTGTTGCTGGCTGATGACAGTGGTGCTCAGAAGTTGTGATGGCACTCCCTGGAAACCTGGGATGGTGTGGAATTCCTGACTTTGATGGTGATAGTCTTGGTACTTCATGTTTATGTCTCATTCATTAGCTTTCCAACATCCCCCTTGGGGCTAATCTAACAAATAGCTCTCTTGCTAATGAATGATTTTTTGTCAATAGGAAATTGAGATTGAGATTGAGAGAGAGAGAGAGAGAGAGAGAGAGAGAGAGAACCAACAGCATCGATTTTGCTCTGGTGTAAAGCCACAGGTCTCATACTCATGAGGCCAGCTTGGATGATTGACTCTCAACTCTACTTGTTCTTCCAGTTTTCCCCTTGCTGAGTGTGTTAGTTTCTCTGGGCATCCATAATAAATTATCACATACTGGGTGGCTTAAAACAATAGAAATCTACTTGCTCACAGTTCTGGAGGCCAGAAGTCTGAAACCAAGTTGTCAGCAGGGCCATGCTCCCTCCGAAGGCTCTAGGGAAGAATGCTTCCTGCCTTTTCTGGCTTCTGCTGGTTTCCTGCAGTCCTTGGCCTTCCTTGGCTTGTAGCTGCCTCACTCCACACTCTGCCTCCATCTTCACATGGTGCCTCCCTATGTTTCTCTGTGCCCTGTGTCAAAGTCTCACTCTCCTTTCTCTTATAAAGATATCAGTCAATGGATTTAGGGACCACCCTAACCTAATATGAATGCATTGTAATTAATTAATCAATTACATCTACAAAGACCCTATTTCCAAATAGGGTTCCATTCTGAGGTTCTAGGTGGACATGGGTTTTTTAGATCTCCAGTACTCTCAGCATTTTTCTTTAGCCTCTTTCTTTAGCTTACTACCTCTAGCCCCCTTTGTGTATGTTGTTCTGTTTTGCTGACCTTGGTCACATGCTTTTGACAGTAAAGCTTTGCACAATTCATTTCTTCCAATCCCTGTTGTGGCTGTAACCCTGCCTCCAGAGTGAGGGGCAGCCTATGCTATCATCCTCATTCGTATAACCTACTTGTCTAATCATAATCTCCAGCACTGGGTTTGGAAAATTTCTTCACCTGTTCCATGGCTTTGTATAAAATGTTATGCATGTTATTGATTCATAATAAATGCTTTCTGACTAGGATTAAAATGCTCTTTTTACAGCACAGGTGGAAGTTCAAATGCTATTTTTTTACAAAAAAAAGCAAAACATACAACTGAACACAGCTCATTACATAAATCAAAAAGTACAAAGTCCCCAAGTACTATGGTTTAGTTTTGGATGCCTTTGTTCTTCCCAGTTTTCTTCTTCCAAAGCTTCTTTCCAAGAAGAGCAGCTATGATTTTTGTTTCAGCCATGGAGTGTCTCCAGCGTTGGACACCTGTTTGCTTACCTTGTTCTAGAGACAGCTCATTAGGTTGGGCCAGGTATCTGTTATTCTACCAAGTTCAACTGTTCATCAAAATTTTTATATTTGATCCTTCTCCCAGAAAGTTAATGCAATTTGAGCCTATAAATGGTTTCCATGTTGTGCTCTTTCTTTGTTTCCCAATATGGAAGGAGAGGACAGTAACAATAGTAATGACAAAAACCCTTAATTTTATAGCATGCAGTTCTAAATGATGTGCACACTTGACAAGCCATAGATTTCTAATTTTTAACTTTATGCTTATGCAATGGTTGGTGGCAACACTGACATCATTTTGATTGGGTGCAGTAGTGTGTGCAGGGGTTTCAGGGAGTACCTAGCACTCCTCGTGGGAAGCGGGGTAGTGTGACAGGGGTAGTGGAGGAAGCAGAAGGAATAGGAGCCTCTCCTGGGGGAAGTCCTTATATCTCTGGGGCAGTACTTTCAGGGGCTTTCTTCTTCCTTCAGGAATGCCCGCATTCTTTCTTAGGGGCCCACACGACTCAAAACTACACATGCTGGCAGCATGAGTGTCTGAATGATAACCATGATGGGCAGGAGGTTCCATGCTCGGTATGTGAGTACTAGAGGTGGTTCAAGTGTGGGCCAAGTGGGTAGGAAGGCTTTGTTCATGTCTCCCTTTGGTGGGAGAGCCTTTATAATGCCTGATTTTTGGATGCAACTTTATAGTATCAAATCTCAATACCAAGTTATGTAAGTAGTTGAATTTTTCTGTTACAGTTGTTATTTCTACATATTGATTTACACCTATCAACATGACTCCAAGGGTCTGGCTAGTTATACAACATCAGCAGCAAACAGGTTCCTGGGTCTCTTGCCTTCAGTTTCATGTGTTCTTGCTAACCTTTTGGCTAAAATGTTTAGGTCATTGTACCCTCGGCTCAGGCAGCAAAGCTGTCCTTTAGATGCCAGGGCTGCCAAATATCTCTTCATATACACACCTGTCTCATGCCCACTTCTTCCTCACTCCTCCCTGAGAGATGACAGTGCCCCCTCACTCTTTCAACCCAGGTAAAAGGCAAGGTAACATTGAAGGACTTGACTTTAGCCATGTTGGTTTCTTCCCTGCACTTTAGAGTAACAATAATTCCTATGCATTCAGTCCACAGGTCTCAGCAGGCTGCGAAGTGCTTTGCAGTCATGAACTCATGTCATCCTCATTGTGGTCTCTACGCAGTCATGAACTCATGTCATCCTCATTGTGGTCTCTACGACGGGTCGCAGGCCACACCTAGTCACCACCTATGTTCATATGGCCTTTGGTCTAGGAATAGGTTTCACATTTTTAAATGGTTGAAAAAAACCAAAAGATATATAAGATTTTTGTGGCATACAAAAATGATACAAATTCAAACTTCAGTGTTTTATTGGAGCACAGCTATACACACTTGTTTATGTATTGGTGGTGGCTGCTTCTCTACTACAACAACTGGGTGGAGTCGTTGAGACAGAAAACTCGAGCCTTCCAAAGTTGAAAATATTTATTCTCTAGCCCTTTACAGAGAAAGTTTGATGCCCTGCTCTCTGTGGTTGGTTCCATTATTATTCCCATTTTACAGATGAGGAAATGGAGGCAGGGAGTTTTAAGTTTGGACGCAGCAATTTGTTCAAATGACAAACTTGAGGTTAGAAGTATGGGACCCCAAAGTCTCTTTTCAAGCTTCTCCTGAGCAGGCATAGGCAGGAAGAGAATTCAGAGACCAAGGATTTGTGAGGCAACCACTCAGCATTCCAATCTCCCTTAAGAGAGTTCTCTGAGTGACTGTAGTCAGTGCCTACGAGTGTGGGTGGGCATGCCTGTGTGTGATAAAAGCATAGGAGGGAACTGTAACGAGAGGAAGATGAATTAAACATGATTTTAAAAACCTGTCTCTGCTTTGGAAGCTGGGGAAACACAGTGATTATCATTTCAGTAAGAGTGGGGGAAGGATCATCACTGTTGCTGATGATGCTGATAGTAACAGTTGTTGTTTAATGATTATAATCATTTCCATGTAGAAGAGAGCAGTCATGAATGCAGCCTGCACTCTCTGTGGCTGGCTTATTTACACATATTTCTAGAGTCACAGTTGGAGAATGAGTGAGCAATGTTCTCCCCTTTAGGTGCTCAAGCGTCATTTTGCATATGTGCAGAGGTAGTTTGTGCTTTCGAACCATATCATTATTGAATGCAGCACAGTTGAATCCATTGGCATCACTGTGCATGGCATGTGCACAACAGGAATATAGGCAACAGTGACCAAGCTGAGAATAAAATCAAGAACTCAATCCCTTTCACAATAGCTACAAATAAATAAATAAATAAATAAATAAATAAATAAATAAATACTTAAGAATATACCTAACCAAGGAGGTGAAAGACCTCTACAAGGGAAACTACAAAACACTGCTGAAAGAAATCATAGACAACACAAACAAACGGAAACACATCCCATGCTCATGGATGGATGGAATCAATATTGTGAAAATGACCATACTGCCGAAGGCAATTTACAAATTCAGTGTAATTCCCGTCAAAATACCACCATCATTCTTCACATAACTAGAAAAAACAATTCTAAAAACCATATGGAACCAAAAAAGAGCCCACATAGACAAAGCAAGACTATGCAAAAAGAAAAAATCTGGAGGCATCACATTACCCGACTTCAAACTATATACTATAAGGTCATAGTCACCAAACAGCATGGTACTGGTATAAAAATAGGCACATAGACCAATGGAACAGAATAGAAAACCAAGAAATAAAGCCAAATACTTACAGCCAACTGATCAACAAAGCAAACAAAAACGTAAAGTGGGGAAAGGACACCCTGTTCAACAAATGGTTCTGGGATAATTGGCAAGCCACATATAGAAGAATGAAACTGGATCCTCATCTCTCACCTTATACAAAAATCAACTCAAGATGGATCAAAGACTTAAATCTAAGACCTGAAACCATTAAGATTCTAGAAGGTAGCATTGGATAACATGGGATAAACCCTTCTAGACATTGGGTTAGGCAAAGACTCCATGACCAAAAACCCAAAAGCAAGTGCAACAAAAACAAACATAAATATATGGGACTTAATTAAGCTGAAAAACTCCTGCACAAAAAATAAATAATCAGCAGAGTTAACAGACAACCCACAGAGTGGGAGACAATCTTCACAATCTATACATTTGACAAAGGACTAATATCCAGAATCTACAAAGAACTCCAACAAATCAGCAAGAAAAAAACAAGCAATCCCATCAAAAAGTGGGCTAAGGACATGAATAGACCATTCTCAAAAGAAGATATACAAATGGGCAACAAACATGTGAGAAAATGCTCAACATCACTAATGATCAGAGAAATGCAAATAAAAACCACAATGTGATACGTTACTACTGCAAGAATGGCCATAATTAAAAATAAAAAAATAATAAATGTTGGCATAGGTGTGGTGAAAAGGGAACACTTTTACACTATTGGTGGGGTTGTAAACTAGTACAACCACTATGGAAAACAGTGTGGAGATTCCTTAAAGTACTAAAAGTAGATCTACCATTTGATCCAGCAATTTCACTACTGGGTATCCAGTACCCAGAGAAAAAGAAGTCATTATACGAAAGAGATACTTGCACACGCATGTTTATAGCAGCACAATTTGCAATTGCAAAAATATGGAACCAGCCCAAATGCCCATCAGTCAATGAGTGGATAAAGAAAATGTTTTATATATATATATATATATATATATATATATATATATATATATATATATATGTATGTATTATATATATATAAAATATATATATTCCATGTATGTTATATATATACATAATATATATAATGTAATATATATATTCCATGTATGTTATATATATACATAATATATATAATGTAATATATATATTACCATGATGGATAGATATATATATACACCATGGAATACTACTCAGCCATAAAAAGGAATGAATTAATGGCATTTGCAGGAATTGAAGACTCTAATTGAGTATTTCAGGAATGGAAAACCAAACATCGCATGTTATCACTCGTATGTGGGAGCTAAGCTATGAGCTAAGCTACAAGGCATAAAAATGATATGACGGACTTTGGGGACTCGGGACAAAGGGTTGGGGGTGGTGAGGGATAACAGACTACACATTGGGTACAGTATATACCACTTGGGTGATGGGTGCACCCAAATCCCAGAAATCACCACTAAAGAACTTATTCATGTAACCAACACCACCTGTTTTCCCAAAAACCTATCGAAATAAAAAAAATTGTTAAAAAGGAAATTGGGGAGATTTTTCCTAGCTGTAAATCAGAATGTATATGAGAAACATTGTGAGTTTGTATGTATAGTCCTGAAATTACGCTTCTGATTTCCCCATGATTCTTTATGATGACTGGAGGAAAACGTTTGGTTTTAAGAAAAAAAAAAAGCTGCTGGCCGGGCGCGGTGGCTCACCCCTGTAATCCCAGCACTTTGGGAGGCCGAGGTGGGCGGATCACGAAGTCAGGAGATCGAGACCATCCTGGCTAACACGGTGAAACCCCGTCTCTACTAAAAATACAAAAAAATTAGCCGGAAGTGGTGGCGGGTGCCTGTAGTCCCAGCTACTTGGGAGGCCGAAGCAGGAGAATGGCGTGAACCCGGGAGGCGGAGCTTGCAGTGAGCCGAGATCGCGCCACTGCACTCCAGCCTGGGCGACAGAGCAAGACTCTGTCAAAAAAAAAAAAAAAAAAAAAAAATGCTGCTGAGTGATGCTTCTCTCTCAAAAAATCCTATCTGATCTTTAAAAGATTTGACTGAGGTTGTTGGTCAGAAATAGAAAGAAAGTCCCTTTTTCCCTTTCACCCAGGATCTTGCTCAATTTAATCGTTTCCTATCAACTCCATTTCTGGGCAATGGCTCAATGTGGAGATGAGAAATTCTGTCTCTGTTTTATAAACAGCTGTACCTCTCTCCATGTTCTCAGTGTTATCAAATCAGCAAAATGATGCTACCCTGGGATTTGCTGACACAAAAGGGGCCACTGAGCTGCCCCGAGGAGACACTTGGCTCCCCAGCCCTTGTCTGGCAGCTATCAGTTGGCTGTGAGAGAGGAGCCCTGCTGTTCTCAGTGCAATTACAAGCTCTTGGCATTTCAAAGTGGATTTCACTTTTTCCCCCTTCTCTGCTACTCTGGTGGTATGCTCTGTTTTTAGCACTTACATGGCTGAGTTAATGCTTTTCAGCTGTTGAGTTGAATTCAATTCAGTCTTCCCCATTCCCTCCCTCCTATTTCCACCTCCCATTTTCCTTCTCTTCTTCTGGTAGGAGTGTTTATCTCAACAGAACACAATCTCACATTTAGATAATGCCCTGTGTACACGTTCCAGGAGCCATTTGGATCCACCCAAACACATCTGGAAGGTAGACATGATGGCTGGCACTGGCACTGTGACCTCTGCAGAGCAGGAAAGAGAAATTAGGTGGCTTTCTCAAGATCACTGTTGGGACATCCTCTTCAAAACTCAGGGGCTCATCCTCTGGGGGATTTGGGGTTTTCACCACCCTGTGTACCCCTGTCAAGGGTGCTGAAGCCTGAGCACCACATTAGACAGGGCCAGGATGTCTTCTCCCATGGGGTGACCATGCTGCCCAGTCTAGTAAAGATGCACAGTGGCTGTTCATGATAATACTGTTGGGAGAGGGCTCCAATACAGGCTGTGGGTTTGCGCAGATAGCTCCTTCATCAGACATTTCCTGTACTGATTCTGCACCAAATGTTTGGCACAGAGAAGGATCTTTCTTTACGTCATTCCCCTTTCCCTGTAATTTAAGAATAAGAACACATGGAAGCTGGATTGCGTAGACACTTAGCAGCTTGGAGAAGGGGTTAGTCATCGCTGCACAAGGGGATTCAGGACCTTGGACATGTCCCAGGGAGTAAGTGGGGGCTTCCATGTTGCATCTGAGAAGGCTCCTTTTCCAGCAGTCATACAGCTGGTGTGGGTGCACCACAGTGCTCAAATGCTGGACTTCTGACCCCAAACCATTGCCACCACACTTGGGGTTAAAGATGACCCCCAACCTCCTTGTTCAATGACTTACAATTTTAAATGATTTGATTTTTGAGTGTTTTATTTTTTTTCAAGGTAGTAAAAAGAATTGCACGTACTTCATGGGTTTGATTGGAGTGGGGATGGGAAAAGGGAGCAGAGGTGGCAGTCTTCTCTCATCTGTTACATCTTCTTGGCTTTATTCTTTCCCATAGCACATATGACCTTCTACTGTCCTGGTATTTCACATATTTATTTTGATTTTTATACCTGTTTACCCCTACTGAATGTGTCCTCCATGAAGACAGAATTTCTTTTTAACTTTTATTTTAGATTCAGGGTTTACATGCACAGGTTTATTAGCTGGATATTTTTCATGATGCTGAGGTTTGGGGTATGAATGATCCTGTTACCCAGGTACTAAGCATAGTACCCAATAGTTTGTTGTTCAACACTTGCCCCCTTTACTTTCTTCTTCTAGTAGTCCCCAGCGTCTGTTGTTTCCATCTTTATGTCCATGAGTACCCAATGTTTCGCTCCCACTTCTAAGTGAGAACATGCAGTGTTTGTTTTTCTGCTCCTGTGTTAATTTGCCTAGGATAATGGCTTCCAGCTACATTCATGTTGCTGCAAAGGATGTGATTTTGTTCTTTTTATGGCTGCATAGTATTCCATGGTGTATATGTACCACATTTTCTTTATTCAGTCCACCATTGATGGGCACTTAGGTTGATTCCATAAGACAGAATTTTTGGCCAGGCACAGTGGCTCACACCTGCAATCCCAGCACTTTGGGAGGCCAAGGCAGGTGGATCACCTGAGGTCAGGAGTTCGAGACCAGCCTGGCCAACGTGGTGAAACCCTGTCTCTACTAAAAATACAAAAAATTAGCCAGGCATTGTGGTGGGTACCTGTATTCTCAGCTACTTGGGAGGCTGAGCCAGGAGAATTGCTTAAACCCAAGAGGCGGAGGTTGCAGTGAGCTGAGATCACGCCATTTCACTCTCAGACTGGGCAACAAGAGCCAAACTCTGTCTCAAGAAAAAAAAAAGACAAAATTTTTGTCTGTTCACAGCTGCTAACATTTGTGCAATGAATGTACAACATCTAAAACTGTGTCTGTTACCTATAACAATAGATCATTGCTGATTGAACTAATCAATCCTGCCTCTAGAAGTAGCTATCGTAACCAACTCCAGAGTCCCTGAATTTTATTCCAGATATTGAGTGGGAAGAACAGAAGCTGAGAAAAGAGGCTTTCAAAATGTAAATCTCAGGAATTGCTGTAGTGATCCAGATGACAAACTTTTCTAGATCTGTATTTTGATTCTGTCAGAGGGACCAAGGGATGAATGTGATGGCAGGGCCTCAGTGTTCCTCTAGACATCTGCCTCAGAGCCTGGGGTTTATCATTCACAAATTCATTTATCCACACACTCAGAAAATCAACCTTTTATCAATAATCAGCTCTGGGGATAAAAAGCTGAACAAGACATATTATTCTATACCCTCATGCATCTTGTCATCCATAACTAGATCAGCATTTTGGGGGAAATTATTTATCTTTTCAGCTTGTTCCAGCCCTGTGAAGGAACATTCTTTAGCAGTACTACTTTATAAAATAATAATATAATTTTTGCATCTATTAATAGAACCTTAAGTAAGTTTCTTAAAGAAAAAGTGCCCCCCCTCCCCCACCCCACTGCAGTGGCCTCGTCAGGCCTGGATGAAGACATTGACCTTCTCATCAGTTCAGGTCTCTGGCACTACTCCTGGATCACTGTGACAGAACTGAGTGGTTCTTCCAACTTACAGGGACACTCTTCTTTTATTGGTGACATGGGGTCAATGATGTTGGCTAGATATGAGAGAAAAACACAGTAGGGCATATATGATGGTAGAAAAAAAATAGAAAATGTTAAACTTGAAAAGTGCCTCCTCTTGTTTTTCCTGCCGCCAGCTCTCATCCCTTCTCTGCCAAGGGGTTCAATAGTGAGCATATCTTGAGCACCTTGTATTGATTTCTTCTGTGATCATATCCCAGCAAATGGAGGGAGATGTCAGGAACATAGTGGCTTGTTCTGTGTGACTCAGCAACAGCAGATATGA
Organism: Homo sapiens; assembly: GCF_000001405.40. NCBI lineage: Eukaryota > Metazoa > Chordata > Mammalia > Primates > Hominidae > Homo > Homo sapiens. The sequence continues at coordinate 83,352,869 of NC_000009.12, read as the reverse complement.
AAAGAATTAAGACTGTGGGCCTATTGTAAACTCAGGGTAAATCAACACTGAGAGGAGACCATTGACAGGAGACGACGATTATGTCCAGAATGAAGCTGGCAATCCTAGGGCCCCTGGCTTGAGGAAGCATAGAGCAGACAAGAATCTACTTAGGGTGGAGGGGCCGGCTGGTGAAGGCCACTCAGAACTGCTTCAAATGAAGAGGACCAGGATGTTTATTTTAGGGAAGACTCAGAAGGCCCACAAGTGTCATCTTCAGATGATGGAAGGACTCTTCATGTACGTGGGAGAAGCACTAGACCTTCCTGGAGCCTCAGAGCTTGAAGTGAGGAGAACTGGGTGGGAAGGCTTCCTACACTCAGACATAGTCAAGGAGAGCACTGGGGAGCAGTTCTGGGCCTCATTGCCTGATCCTTTGGAACAAGTGTGAGTCACTATTTGTATCTGAGGAGCTCCGATGCTTATTGAAGCCAACTTACGACACTAAGAAGTTAATGCTTCAGGAAGGAGAGAAAGGACAGCTCTCGTTTGGGGCCATTTTCTGTGATCTTCCTTTTTATAAATTGCTGATAGTCAGGGGACTTTATTTTTCTGCTCTCTTTAAAACATTTTCCCATACCTATTGATCCAACAATTCAACTTTTGAGAGTCTACATTATAGAAATAAAAATACAAGCATATAGCGATCTGTGCACAAGGATGGATATGGTTTGATGTAGAATAGTTTGAATTGCAAAAGTGTGAAAACAACCTAAATGACAATTAAAAGGGAATAATTGAGTACACTCTGGTGTATTCATAATATGAACTATTCTGTAGTTACTATAGACATTAAGTGAGATCTCTATCTACTGTCCTGGAGGGATGGGCAGGATATAGCGTTAAGTGAGGAAAGTGAGAGAAACATGTACAGTATGATCTTATTTTGTTAGAATAAATTAAAAATCTCTCCACATATATAATACAATCATGTTGGCATATATTTGTGTGAGGATGGCAAAAGGAGGGGAAGAATGTAGATGAAAGTTGTTAATATGGGTTGGAGAATTTGGGGTGTAATGAAGTTGGATAGGAACGAACCTGAGACAGATGGGGCAGGATTAGAGACAAAGTGAATAATGAAGCAGGATGGCATGTCTATCTATCTATCTATCTATCTATCTATCTATCTATCTATCTATCATGTAACTATCAATCATCTATCTACCTATCTCTATCTATCTCTATTAAAGATGGTACTTTAAACAAACTTAAAAGAAAGCTGGGAAATGTTTAAAGATAAATTATTTTGTATTAGAACTGAATTTCTAGATATCATTAAAGATGAATGATGTATTTTTCTAAGCTTTTTCTTTGCTATGTAGAAGGTATCTATTTTCTCCTAGTGCTTCAGGAAAAAAAAAAGGTTCTTTTCTTAAATCTTGGGAACATAGGATCAGGTTAGGAGCACTCATCTCAGTTAAGAATTTTGCTAGTTGTTGGTAGGGAAGTAGGGCGTTGAATGAAAAGAGTTCTAGTGTGTGTGTGTGTGTGTGTGTGTGTGTGTATGATCAGTTTTTCTCTGCTGAGATCATCAGCAAGATGCTGCTCTTTTTTTTTGTAATTTAGATGCTATCAAATCCTTTTTAATAATTGTTTTTCATATTAAATTATTCTTATTATACATTCATATTCAAGAACCCTGTGGCTCTTCTTATGTAAAGGATTCGTCTACATCTGGAGTAGTCCAGACAGTGTAGAATTGGATGGCAGTTTAACCCCTGCGTATCTTGAAAGATGAATTTGGGTAAAATAGGATGTTGTTTCATATTCACATTTGGATGTAGACTGAGAACTGATCCCAAGTAGCTTTACTGATACAGAAGCAAATGAGTGGTATGTCCAATCCATGGAAATAGTAATGCTAACTATTTTATTTCCTTGATTTAAGATGTTCATTTTATATGTTAACTGAAATCTGAATGCATCTCACTACACTGGTATGCATTTATCAGTGTAATATTACAAGTCGGTAGTGATCTTATAATGGAAGATCTTGGAAGTCCTGTAGAATCCCCATTGGTTGGGTGAGTTCTGGATATTTGAGGCAAATTAGAACACTCCAGAATCATGAACCTCAACCAGAATTGCAGCCTACATAGGATTTTCCCTTCAGGGAAACCAGAAAGTTATAAAATTGTTTTCTTTTCTTTTTTTTCTTTTTCTTCTTTCTTTTTCTTTTTCTTTCTTTCTTTTTTTTTTTTTTTGAGATGGAGTTTCACTCTTATTGCCCAGGCTGGAGTGCAATGGTGCAATGTCAGCTCACTGCAACCTCCGCCTCCTGGGTTCAAGCAATTCTCCTGCCTCAGCCTCCTGAGTAGCTGGGATTACAGGCATGTGCCACCACACCCAGCTAATTTTTTTTTTTTTGTATTTTTAGTAGAGATGGGGTTTCTCCATGTTGGTCAGGCTGGTCTGACCTCAGGTGATCTGCCTGCCTTGGCCTCCCAAAGTGCTGGGATTACAGGCGTGAGACACCACGACCAGCCGGCCAACAGTGTTTATTTTCATACAGGTGACTGCCTTTATAGATAGATAATACTAAAAATCTGCAAAGTAGGATCTCTGCATGGCTGACTCCATCTTTTAAACCTTAATTTTAATTCAGAGACACCATCATTTTGGGAAAACTAGTCATGTGCAGTGACATTTTTTTTTCCACCTCACAGGCTAAAAAAATCTTTTGTGAGCCCAGCAACTTGAATGGTGCTTATGTGCAATTTGTTTGTCACAAGGGGTGGGAAGAATCAGAAGAGAAGTGTTCTCTGGAGCTGTGTGCTGGAGAGAATGAAGGAATGAAGGCGAGCTGTGATGTGGAAAAATGAGCTCACTGACTGGGTTGCTGGTATTCTACATTTGCTCTGGGAGTCCTGTCAAGCATTTTCTTTGAGTTTTGTTGTTGCTGTCGCTTTGTTTTCTTGGGCATCATATCTGCTTCTTCCAAAACAATCACCCCCTCCTGGCCCCCACTCCCCAGGCTAGTCTGTCAGGCTGCACGGCTGCCTTTCCCGTGTGTGTTTGAGGCCATGGTCTTTTGCTGCTTTTCTCATGCCTTTTCTTTATGATGTTTCAGCTCATCCACCATACACCATGTGCTTTAGAGTGAAATTCTACCCACATGAACCCTTGAAGATTAAAGAAGAGCTCACAAGGTATTTTTTGTTTGTTTGTATGTTTAACGTGCACCTTTAACCAGCCAGAATCTCTTTGGTCTTGCAGGCTAGATGGGCCTCCTGTCTAGAGCTGACCGTCTCAGTGTTGCAAGCTTGGAATTCAGCGTTTTTGCTTGGAATGCTTCTCTTACACTGAATTGTTTTGGGATTTTTTAAAAAAACAATTGTCATTGAGAGTGTAATTAACTGCAGAAAAAAGCACTGGCTATGATGGGGGAGGTGTTCTCTGAAAACATCTGACAGTGGGGTGCTAAAAATAAATAGGAGGCGTCTGTCTTCGAGACATGGGCAAATTCATACCCAGTACAGTCCCTAGTCTATCTTTTGGATCTCAGCTTTTCTGGGAGGGAAAAGATCGCCTGGCAGAATGCATTGTCTGTCATCCTGCCTTCCGCTTGCTGAATGACCGACTGGGAGGCAGGCTTCCCTCCACTCAGACTCTTCTCAGCCCAACTCTCCGAATTTTTGAGTCCTTGGACCTCCTCCCTTCTCACCTCCCTCTGTTGGGGCTACAGCTTCAGCGTACCTTCTGGGGGTTTGGCTTCCTTGAATAACCTGGGCACATGTTGTGAGCAGGATTCTAGGAGGATGGGAGAGAGAGCGCTGCTGTGCGCTTAACTCTAGATGAGGCTCTGGCTTGGTGACCACAAAAATCACTTGCTATAATCATCTCTCAAAATAAGCTGCTTAGGTACAGATAGATGCAACAGAAAAGCAAGTGTAATCTGCTCTGATCATTGGCAGGGGGAGGTTTTGGGTTCTTGGATATTTTGCTTCCTTGTTATTATCCAGGGTCTCTGGTAAGCTTGACCATTAGTGGCATGGAGGTGACTTTGGGAGGGAGCAGGTGGTTCTGCTCTCTATTATTAATTTCCTCACAGTCATTTAGTAAGGTTTGTGCTGGGCGTGGGAGATGGGGAGAGAGGGTGTGTGTGTGTGGAAATGAGGGTAATAGATAATGGACGTTATAAGCAGTGGTTGGGATTTTGCAATCTGGCCTGGTTTTTTCTTTTCATTGAGGTAAAATTCACATGACATAAATGTATCTCACCATTTTAAAGTGTATAATGCAGTGGCATTCAGTACATTCACAGTGTTGGACAACCCTCCCCACCATCTAATTCTAGAAGTTTTCATCACCCTCAAAAGAAACCATGTACCCCATAGAAGTCACTCCCTATTCTCCACCCTAGTCCCCATCCAAGCCCCTGGCAACCACTAATCTACTTTTGGTTTCTATGGATTTACCCATTCTGGACATTTCATGTAAATGGAATGGTATAGTATGTAGCCTTGGTCTGATTTTGGATTGAAAATTTTAATTATTTATTTGATAAATTTGTTCTCACTTGCTGTTACTACCCAGGGGGCAGTGACTGAATTAGCTGCCAAAAAGAGAGAGAGAGAGAAGAGAGAGAGAGAGGAGAGAGCGAGCGAGCTATTTTTCCTGCCCTCAGGGTGCTAACAGTGTAATTAGGAAGATCAAATCAAATCCTAATGCCTCACTTTTGTCATTTGTTCTCTTTATAATTTTGTCTGGAGGATAAAAATTGAGTATGTGTCACAATATAAATTAAGGATGGACATTTTGTTGTTGAAAAAAGTCCTATTTGAAAGTAAAAGAGTACAGCATTTCAGTTAATAACCCTAGTTTCTCGCCCCTCTCAGTTGTATTTGCTAACATTTTCCTACGTTTGACTAAATAGCTCAGGTATGAATAGTGGAATATCGTGACCCTTTGAGTTTCCAAAGGTAATTAAGATGTTCCACTGCCCTTATACAAGTAGAAATGGACTTTTCTTAGTAAACACAGTCCTTAGAATTCTAAACGAATTGAGAAACTGTGGAATGCCCCAGGTACTTATGGTTTGAATTCTTATCTTGAAGGCATTTAGTTTTTCTTGTATGATAAATTGTTATTTTATTATAAGATTAATCTAAAGTTTGAGAAGAATTTAATATGTGAGAAGTTACGATCATATTCATGACCATGCTTAAGAGTAAAGAAATGTTAAGAAAAAGGCAAATTTAAAATCACAAAATAATAAAAATAACCACAAAAGTGATATTTGAAATCATTTTTTATCCTTTATCTCTCCATATAAGCAATCATCTTACAATCCTTTAGATTTCTGGGGCTTTTGTAAATGCTCTATACAATTGAATGTTACAAAAAGAATGTTGATTTTAATTTTTTTTAGAAGTAGCATCTTCCAATCCATGTAGAGATGCAATTTTATTAATGGCAGCACAATAATTTATGACTCAGACCCTCATGGGTTTTTGTTGCTTAATCTTTTTATGCAGGAATGACACTAAAGGGAGATGCATTATTTTTTGGTAGCTATTATATAAAAAAAATGAGCATCCTTAATGTGAAACCATTTACAAGACTCAGTGGATTATGTTGAATCCACAGTAATTCTTGATTATCTCCTGAGATCACTGATATGGGCACAGCCCCAAAGTCTGACGTGAAAGCTGCTTTTCTTTTCTCAGGAAGCTCTTGCCAAATTGATTTCTGAGTTATGGGATTACAACTCAAGCCTCTCATTTATCAATAAATAGTTATTTGAAACTATTTTTCATGGCCAAACTCATCAAAAAGTAGAAAGAAATGCTTTTATGTTTGATGCATACATTGAATACACAGAAAAGAAACTTCATGGTATTTGGCCTGGTAGTTTACAGTCCTTAAAAAGGGCTAAGATTTAATCATTTAAAGCATTTGTGTGACCTTGCTATTCTGAATAGTCTTGGGCCTGTCCTCAAAGTGAGGTCCCTGGGCCAGCAATGTCAGCATCCCCTGGGAACTTGTTATAAATGCAGATTCTTGGTGTCTGTCCAAGACCTACTGAATCAGAAACCTCCGGCAGTTGGGTCCAGCAATCTATTTTCATAAGCCCTCCAGGTAATTCTGAAGCATGCCAAATTTTGAGAACCACCACTCTAAGACAATTTGGATTTTCAAAATAGTTTATTTTGACAGATATTGAAGTGTACAGTTTAGTATGTGCACAGATTTGTGCCACTAACACCATGATCTGATTCCAAAACATTTTCATCACCCCAGTAGGAAATTTTGCACCCAAGTGGTCATCCAGTATTCTCTTTTCTCCCAAGTTCCTGGCAACCACTTATCTGTTTTCTGTCTCTATAGATTTGTCCATTCTGGTTGTTTCATATAAATCAAAGCATGCAATGTGTAGCCTTTTGGGTCTGGCGTCTTTTCACTTAGCATAATGCTTTCAAAGTTCATCCCTGTTGTAGCATCTTCAGCTTTTCATTTTTGTTATGGTTGGATGATATTCCAGTGTATGGAAATGCCACATTTCTTTTATGTATTCGTCAGCTGGGGGACATTTGGCTTGTTTGCACTTTTTTTTTTTTTTTTTTTTTTTTGAGATGGCGTCTTGCTCTGTCGCTCAGGCTGGAGTGCAGTGGTGTGATCTCTGCTCATTGCAGCTTCTGCCTCCTGGGTTCAAGCAATTTTCCTGCCTCAACCTCCCAAGTAGCTAGGATTACAGGCACAAGCCAGCACGCCTAGCTAATTTTTGTATTTTTAGTAGAGACTGGGTTTTGCCATGTTGGCCAGGCTGTTCTGGAACTCCTGACCTCAGGCTATCCGCCTGCCTCGGCCTCCCAAATGCTGGGAGTACAGACGTGAGCCTCTGTGCCCTGCCCTGTTTTCACTTTCTAGCTATAATGAATAGTGTTATTATGAACATTCACATACAAGTTTTGGTGAGGGCCTAGATTCTGATTTCATTGGGTCTGGGGTAGGATCCAGAAGCCCACTGGTTTAGAACCTTATTACTCAAAGTGTGGCTGATGGAGCTGCACCACAGCATCCCCTGGAACTTAATTAATTAATTAATTTCTTTATTTTTATTTATTTTTTGAGATGGAGTCTTGCTCTGTCACCCAGGCTGGAGTGCAGTGGTGCGATCTCGGCTCACTGTAACTTCTGCCTCCCAGGTTCAAGTGATTCTCCTGCCTCAGCCTCCCGAGTAGCTGGGATTATAGGCACCCACCACCACGCCCGACTAATTTTTTGTATTTTTAGTAGAGACGAGGTTTCACCATGTTAGCCAGGATGGTCTCCATCTGTTGACCTCGTGATCCACCCAACTCGGCCTCCCAAATTGCTGGGATTACAGGCTTGAGCCACCATGCCCGGCCCCCCTGGAGCTTATTAGAAATACAGAATCTCAAGCCCATCCAAGACCCTTTGAATCAGAATCAATTTTAACAAACTCTTCAAGTAATTCATGTGCACGTTAAAGTGTGAGAGGCACTAGATTAGGCAGCTAGTCTGAGTCCTTACCCAATGAGTATAATATTGTTCCTTTGACAGAATGCATAGCAACTCCAAATTAGAAACTTATTAGGGACTGCCTTTATCCTCTGCACACAATTTAATACTAAACTGGGGACAAAGATTGTCATTTGAGCCTCCACCATGCCCCCAGTGCCCACACAGCACAGTGCACAGCATAAAGCAGATGTTAGACAAAGATACAGTGAAGGAAAACATCAGTGAGCCACTGATTCCTTCAATGGATCCAGTGTGCTTTCAGTGAACCAATGGCTCAGAAACAGTGAGCTCCAGTGCTCTGGGGTTGACAGCGTCCCTGTGACCTTAGCACACTAATCACTCTCTCTGATTCTCTATTTCTTTGCCTTTAAAATGGGGATTACACATGTCGCTCTTCCTGTGGCTGAGTAAAGATTAAATTACTTGGGCGCTAGAGACGTTTATTAGTTGAGGTTCTCCAGAGAAATAGAACCAATAGGCTACACACACACACACACACACACACACACACACACTCACACATGCACGCATGCACACACACCCTTTCATACATAATGAGATTTATTATAAGGAATTGGCCCATGTGATTATGAGGGCTGAGGTATTCCATGATCTGCTGTCTGTAACCTGGAGACCCAGGAAAGCCAGTGGTGTAGTTCAAAGGCCTGAGAACCAGAGAGTCAATGGTGTAGATTCCAATCCAAGTCTGAAGGTCTGAGAACCAGGAACACTGAGGATAGAAGATTGATGTCCCAGCTTAAGCAGTCAGGCAGAGTGAATTCAGCTTCCTCTGCCTTTGTGTGCTATTCAGTCTCTCAATGGATTGCATGAGGTCCACTCACACTGGGGAGGGTCATCTGCTTTACTCAGTCCACCAAGTCAAATGCTAATCTCTTCCAGAATCACCCTCGTCCAGAAAAAATGTTGAACCAGATATCTGGGTATCCCATGGCTCAATCCAGTTGACACATAAAAAATTAACCTCACAAGGTGATAACTGGGACTGATTGAGAGATGCTCCCCACAAACCCCCAAGAAGTTGAGAAGGAGAAAAAACATTGGTTTTTGAGAGTTAAACTCTAAAGGAAGCACGGAAAGAATCTGCACACATCTGTAAAGTTACTCTGCTCAGAAACAACAGATCCCAGGCCTGAGCCTGGAATGAAAGAACCTTGAGAAGATGAGGAAATTGGAAGAGAGCTTGATCAGTGTGGAGTAACAGAAAGGACAGGGACAAAATGAGCCTGAGCCAGGGGTTGCAACCTGGCACACTGCTCTGCTGCCTGCCTCCCACCTTGCTATTTTTCTGGAAAAACTGGACAAAGTGCTTTTCTAGTGGCAGCACTAGGCTGGAGCTGTGCAGTGGCTGCCCCCTTTCTAGGGAGCTGCTGTGTCCCATCCTGCTTCCAGCACTTCTTGCACCAGCACAGGTGACTTGCCCGTGTCACAGGCCACTGTGTGCCTGGCCTCAATAGGCATCTGAGTGTGCCATCCCTGGAGTGGGGAGACTCTACACAGATGACAGCTCTAGTTGTGAATCAGTTAGTTGCCTTTCTGGCCTCATAATGACTGCGTCTGTCTGAGGTTGATTAATGTGTCTCTCTGCCCCTAAGAAATGATGAGGCTGGCCTTATGTATGGATTGAGTCCGTTTCCTGGCTCTCCGTTTGAAACAGAGCTTGGGCAGCATGTGCCTGAGATGCAGCTAGTGATGACGGTGGCCATGGCTGTCCTCGTGCGGGAGCTGCTGCCAGGAGCTCTGGCCACTGGGTCCTGTGGCTTTCCTCATTTCTTCTCGTGCCTCTTTGAAAAGGCCGAGCCTGCTCAGCTTTGGAGGCTGATAAGATCTGCTCGGCAGACACTTCTGATTTTCTGAATTCAGAGGGCCCCTCTCAGCTTTCCTCTGCTTGTTCTACAAAGGGCTGGGCATGTCTAAGCCAGTCTCTAGAGCTGGGAAAAGCTCTGGTCACCATGGGAGCTAAGCATGAACAATCCTACTTCTTCCAGACTTCAGCCAAAAGTTAGAGTGACCATTTCTCCTTTTGTATTGCAGATACCTTTTATACCTTCAGATTAAAAGGGACATTTTTCATGGCCGCCTGCTGTGCTCCTTTTCTGATGCTGCCTACCTGGGTGCCTGTATTGTTCAAGGTAAGTCTGGCCACAGCTCACCCACGCCACCTTTGCACTGTGGAGCTCTGGCTGTTTCAAGCCTCCCTTCTCTCCCACCCGTGGCCATCCTGCCTGTGTCTGTGGCTGGAGACCATGTAGGGCTGGGTACGTAGCAACAGAACCCCAACTCACCTTCCCTTCCAAGCCAGTGGGGTCCCGGTGAAAGGCTGGGCTGAGATGTTCACAGGAGCCTCTGCAAAAACAGAGTTGCTCAAGATCCCATGAGTCAGAGTCAAAAGCTCTCTTTCAAAGGGGCTGGAATGTGGAATGGGTGGGTTTATAAGAAGCTCTGAAGGGATGTGGGTATTGTATGTTCTCAGTTCCAAATGCTAGGTGAGAGGCCTAATGGACATATTGAGAGGGGAATCTGCATCTAGGAAGATAGGTGTTAAACAAAGGGGTCATCCCTGGAAGCATTTTTGTGTCTATCTAACTATCTATCTATCTATCTATCTATCTATCTATCTATCTATCTAATCTATCCATCCATCCATCCATCCATCCTATCTATTCGTGTGTGTATGTGTATACATACGTACATGTCTATCATGTCTAATTCCTCAGCTCTTCTAGCTGTGGGCATGGTGAGGAGAGCACAAGTCTCATAAACTGTCACACCACCATTTGAATCTTTCTTCCCATTTCCTGGATGGTTCACCATGGATAAGTTACCAAGTTACCTAAGCTCTTCAGGGTTCAGTTTCTTCATCTATTAAATGGGATAGTCATCCTCCCTTCCTTGCCATGTGATTTCAGAGACCACTCTGCACCAGGCCAGGGGTAGCGCAGGCCCATTAGAAGTGACTACTGTTCTTTTTCCAGTTGAACAAACCCTAGGGGAAATAGCTAATGTGTTGATGTCGGTTGGGTTCTGAATGTTTCCACCTAGTAAGGAAAGTGGTTTGAGGGAAGGAGGCCTCCAGGGCCTGAGGCACCATATGGCCACGGATGGGCCCAACACCCAAGTGAAAATGGCTCAGGTGTTCTGTTCCCCTGGGCCAGTTGAGAGGCAGCTGGAGGGACTCAGATGATCCAGCTGTTGGTAGCATGAACATTAATGACATGTTTATGAGAGAGAAGGCAGGCTGGGGGAAAGAGAGAGAGAGAGAGAGAGAGAGAGAGAGATGACTATGTCAATCTTCCAATGGATCTGGAATAACACAGGAGCTTCTGATGGGCCATTAGCTGGTCATCGGTTATGATCATCTGCCTACCACAACACTGAGCTTGTCACTGATTGAGAAACCTGTCATTCTCCTGGGGATTCCCCTGTGGCCCACCGCCCTCCCTGTGGGATGCTCTGTGCTGTGAAATAGTTCCTTTGATCCTGTTCTCAGTTGTGTTTGGTCTCTCTGAGAATTCCGAAATGGGTGTGTGTGTTGTTCTTCACCCCCTTCCCTGGGAACAGCTTCATCCTGGACAGCAGATTTTGGCAGAGGTGTTAAAACCCTTGGGTATTTTCCCATTTAAAGCACTATGGTTGATACTGTAATGGGAAACAGCCCCTTCACCGACACTGAAGTAGAGAATGTGTTTCTGAAAGCTGCCTCTCTTACCTTGGAGTGAAAGGACTGTAAATCCCATAGTTCCCTTCCTCCATGGTGAAGGCTGCACATCTTGAGTTAGGGTGCACTGTCTTAGGTAAGAGACAAGGGAATCGATACTAATCCAAGCAACAGACCAGCATATGAGGATTTCAGAATGCATTTAGGCATTAGTGAATTACCATCAATTCTCCAAGGACATGCTCAATATGGATCTATAATGGAAAGCTCGCCATCCTGTTTTCTGTTTGAAATAAAGCCACGGAGCCTCCATCCAGACGATCAGGGCCCTATTTTATCCCTCATTGCTATTATTACTGACCACACTCACACAGACACTGTGGAGAAAGTAGAGTGGGAAATGGACTGGCAGACCTCAAAAAGACCTTTTGGCTCTCAAATGCAGTGCTGTCTGTGGTCATTTATAGCAAATTCAGTAAAAGTGGTTCATAAAGGTCTGATTCTCGGGTGAGTACTTCGGCAGCACTGCAGGTCATTCACAAATACAGATATAGATGGGCATTTCAGAACTGCTTATTCTTACAGAGTAATAGGGAAGATGGAGTAAGTGATTAGCAATCTTATTCTTACAGAGTAATAGGGAAGATGGAGTAAGTGATTAGCAATCAGGAGGCACTGTCGCCCCTCATCGTCTTGTTTGCTAATGCTCTTTCAAGGAGTATGTTTTAAGCTTCAGTATATTCTGAGTTTATAAAAAACAGTCAATCAAGTTGGATGTGGTGGTGCACACCTGTAATTCCAGCTACTTGGGAGGCTGAGGCAGGAGGATTTCTTGAGGCCAGGAGTTTGATACTAGCCTGGGCAACATAGACAAGACCTTGTCTCCACAAGGAATACAAAACCAGTCAATCACCTGGAGTTTTGCTGCCTGTACATACTGAATCCAACGAGCATATTTAAGACATGCAATGCATTTTCTTTCATAATACAAATTGCAAAACAAACACAGAATCCTTGGGATCTATTTATATTCTTTCTTGGTAAAAATATCTTTCCTGTTCCTTTTACAAAACAACACCACAGAGGAATTCAACTTATCTCCTCTGCCTGGTATGTTCAACCCCTGTAGAAATCTTGACTCCTGCTGGATATTCAGAACTCAGTCCCGAAGTCACTTCCTCTGGTAAGTCTACCTGGACCACTCGAGCTAAAGCAGCTCCCTCCTGCACGTCATTCTTTCTCAGAGCCCTGTTGTGTTTTCTTGCAAACACTTAGATCTTGAGTTGTTTTTGGGCTTATTGTGCATTTCCTCTTATATAGAATCTAATTCCATGGGAGTAGGATCTGGGTGCTTTTTCACAGCACTCTTCCTGTGTCTGGCACACAGCAGGTTCTCCACTAAATATGTTAAATGAATCAGGGCACTTGCCTGAAATGAATCGGGGCACTTGCCTAAACTCCAGGTGATTGACAGGTTTTGTATTTTTTTGTAGGCAGGATCTCACTGTGTTACTCAGGGTGGTCTCAAACTCTGACCTCAAGCAATCCTCCTACCTCAGCCTCCCAAGTAACTGGGATTACAGGTGTGCACCACCACACCTGGCTTGATTGACTGTTTTTAATAAACTCAGAATATACTGAAGCTTCAAACTTGCCCTGATTAACCATGGTTAATTAAATTAGTCACAACCATTTAACGTTTAAATTTAACATTTCGTTAAATGACTGTGCCTGATTCATTTAACATTTAGTTAAATGATTGTGCCTGATTCATTTAACTATGGGAAAGACTGGTTGGCCGCCTGCTGGGATGGTATCACTACCTCATTCATTCATTTGTTCATGTGTTCTCCAAATACTTCCTGAGAAGTTGCTAGGGGGCCACATGGCAATACAAAGTTCCTGTGGGAAGATGGATAAGGAAACAGGCCATTGTGACCCTGCGTTGTTGGTTAGATGGAGGAACACACAGGCCCAGTCCCTGCTATGAGTGTCCCAGGAGGGCTCCTGACTTAGCAAGCATGGGTCAGGGAAAGCTCCTGAAGGAGTTGGCCCTGGAGCTAAAGGTCCTGCATCTCAAATTCTTTTGGAATGAGTCCTTTCCAAACCAGGGGAAAGCCTGTTGCTTTTTAGACTTACTGTTTCTGACCTTACTCACCCATTCACTTCAAACTCATTGGATTTTTCTCTTAGAATTGAATCCTTTTAGAAAAGTGCTAGAGCTGGTTTCAAACCGCAGGGCCTCCAGTTGTATGTCATTTGTCACGACTTCAACTTCCAAGTCATGAGCAGGAGGGAGAACCATGGCGGCTTACCCAACTCCTCTTGGTATGAATAGCTAGAAATCTTTATTCATTTTAAAAAACCTGCCTTCTGCTTAAGGAGAGGTCAGAGTTAAAGACAAGCTTTAGGGAATCAGAGCAGGGCCTGTGATGGGGACAGTGTTAATCTTGTCAGCAATCCGGTGCAGTCTTCACAGCATTTCTTCTCTAACTTTTCTAACATTTGCAGTGTGTAGCATTGCAAGTCTATAATATCTCACAAGATTTCCTGGAAAGAAAAGGGCACCCTGAAAAACGATGCCCTCCCTCACCAACCACTCTGCAAGCTGACATTTGCATTGAAGATGACCCAGTTTCATATTGGTGGTCCATTGTCCCATCACCTTTGGAAATTACCTATGGAAAATGGAAGCACTGGGATCGTCCATCTCCTAAATATTAATGCCTGTAGCTAGCTCACAGGGGCACAAGCGTGTATGTGTGTAAAGGTGGACATGTTACGTGTATTTCTTTTGGAACATAGGTTGAGTTAATCATCAGTTTATGGCCCACCTCTCATCATTGGTCCCTTTAGGCCCATGGATTGATTGATTGATTTCCCTTTTTCCATTATTCTCCATTTCCACTCCTAAGGGCAATGCTGGGTTCATATACATATCTTTGTCTTTGTATCCATCCTTATAAAATGATTAATATTGTTTTTTTGTGTCTATACTTCTAAATTTCATAAATTAAATGATGCTATAGAACTCATTGTATTCCCTCCTTCTTACGCTCAGAACACTGCTTTTGGGATCTGTCCATATTGCATACGTACATCTTATTTTGTTGATTTTAACTGTGACAGAGTGTCCCAAAGGGTGCGTCTTCCATGTTTTACTTATCTAGCTGTCCCACTAACAATAAACACCCAAGTTGCCTCCAACTTCTGACTATTATGATTAATGCTGTCATAAAAAAAACCTTGAACATATCCTTTTTTTGCACCTAGAGTTTTTCTAGGAAAAATGCCCAGAAATGGGATTGCTAGGTCATAATATTTGACTAAAAACTCCCACCTTGCTCTCTGGAGGAGCAACATGCATCTAGCACCCTTCAGCAGTGCACAAGTATTTTTGTTTTCTTGTGTCTCTGCCAACTTCCTAGTTTTATTGCCAATGTTATAGGTATAAAGTAACATCTTGTTTTGGTTTGCATATCTCTAATTATTCATGAGTTTGAGCATCTCTCCCTACACTGGCCCTTAGGGTTTCCCCTTCTTTGAATTGTCTGTTCATTATCCTTTGACCATTTCTCTATTGGTCTTCCTGTCCATTAAAAAATGATATGTAGGGATTTCTTCTTTATTCTAGATATTAGTCCTTGTCAGCTTTAGATTGTGAAGATATGTTCTTTCAAGTTGTCATCTCTCTATTACTTTGACTCTGATGTCCTTTATTAAACAGAAATAAATTTTAATTTTGGTATGATCAAATTAATCAATTTCCCCTTTGTGACTGAAAGTATTTTAGGTCTTATTTTAGAAGTCTTCCCTCGCTGTGGTATATGTTCTAGGTTGTTTTAAGAACTCTGTAATTTGAATTTTGTCCAGAAGCTTTAAAGAGCTTTGATTTCCTCCTGGTTATATACTTTTCCAGTCATTGGATGATGTGACAATGAAGGGACAGTGGATACAAATTACAGAGTTGGATGTAATTTTTCAGATGCACTCAAGGCATACTAATTTTTTTCTACTTCAAAGTCATATTGGTCATCAGGTTCTTCTAATACAATTTTCCCACTATCTTTAGTCTACTCTCCTGGGCCATATCTTTTGTTTCTTCCAGAGACACTTGCTTCTTCTGGCTCATATTCCTTAGCATGCTTGTGGAACCAATAGAAAGTATTCTTGATGCCAGACATCACCTTTGCCCCTCCATGCTGTGGTTCACACACCCATCTCTGCTTGGCCTTCTGGGTGCTCAGAGATGTGTAGGCATTTCTCTTTTTACCCTTGAAGATCCTCTGGAGGTGCCCTTTGTTAGTGTCAGCTGAAGAATCATGAAGTACATAAATTTGGAAAGAAGAGCTTTATTTCTCACAAAGGGTTGCAGCTTGCAGGGTGGCCATTCTGACAGGTGGGGAAACGTAGACTCTGGCCAGAAGCTGGAAACAAGCACTTCAAGGGTGGGAAGAATAAGACAAAGATTTATGCTGAATGGGGTGGCCAAGTATACGTATTCAACAGGTTATTATAGGGGCTGTGAATAGTCACAAAAGGAAGGCACAGGCATGCATAGTAGGCTAGCACATAAGCAACATGCATCCCATGTTCACTTTTGGGTGGAGACTTAACATTTAAATGTATTATCATTAGGGCCTATACAACAAAAGGTGAGGCAGAGGACACAAAGGCCCTCTGTGCACAGCCTCCATAGACTGGCCAGAACCACTTTGTAGTCAGTGGTCTCTTACCAGGAAGGAATGCTGATCAGTTACTGTGTCAAAACCACAAAAGGGAGGGGCAGCATCGGCAATTGGTTGATATCAGTGGTGCAGTCTTTCAGAAGGGCTGGTTTCTGTTTAACCCTTGGTGTAGGAAACCTAATAGCAATTAATGAGGGAGGGGGTATAATGAGGTCTGACCTCATCATGTCTGGGAACTCAGTTTTTAAGGGTTCTCTGGGGCCTCTTGGCCAAGTGGGGGCAATGTTCAGTCTGTTGGGGGGCTTAGGATTTTATTTTTATTTCTCATTAGACTCCAGCAACAACTTTAATCTAGTATGCTCTTCTGTTTTAGATGTATACTCCTTAATTTCAAGAGCAATCAATTTGTTTTTAAGTGCAATCCCGCTGGGTTCCTTCTAGTGATTTTTCAATGAATAAGCCACACCTGCATAAGCCTCAGAGCAGGCAGCTCCAGTCAGGGAATTCCTGACACAGAGAATATTAGCTGTGAATGGAACCCCGAGGAATGTCCACTGGTTTCCATCTAAAGGTGGTACCACCTCCTATCCTGGGGAGCATTTGGAAATACTGGGGCGGGGGCATTAAATTTTTAAAAAATGTAAAACATTTTAAATCAATAAACATTATATATATTTATGGTATACAACCTGATGTTTTGAAATATGTATGCATTGTGGAATGGCTAAACCGAGCTTTACATATACATTACCTCATATACTTATCATTTGTTTTGGTGGTGAGAACAATTAAAAGCTACCCTCTCAGGGATTTTTAAGTATACAATACGTTGTTTCTAATTATAGTCTCCATGTTGTACAATGCTCTCTTGAATGTATTCCTTCTATCTAACTGAAATCCTGTATTCTTTGACTAACTTCTGGGAGAGAGCAGTTTTGATGGTCACAGTGCCTGGGTCTGCTGCTAGCATCTAGTACCTGAAGGGTAGAGCTACTAAATGTCCTACAGTTCCTTAGAAAATCTGAAATAATAAAATTGTTCAGCCCTCAAAATGCCAATGGTGTCCCCACTGAAAAACAGTAATTTAAATCCTTTATTATACTGATAAAGAAGGCGAGACCCAGAGAAGATTCTCAAGATCCCAAGCTCACACAGCTCGATCTGAACTGGAATATGAGCCTCTAGACACTCAGGCTTTCTCTGGGTACAGATACATATTTTTGGGTGAGTTTATTCCAGCCTCTTCTTTTGGATGGCAGGAGGCACTCCATATGCACCCTGCTCATGTTATTGTTTTTAATCTTTCTCTGTCTCTTTATTTTTTCACTCATTACAGCTGAGCTTGGTGATTACGATCCTGATGAGCATCCTGAGAATTACATCAGTGAGTTTGAGATTTTCCCCAAGCAGTCACAGAAGCTGGAAAGAAAAATAGTGGAAATTCATAAAAATGAACTCAGGTAATTACTGAGTAGACATTTGTGAAAATGATAAAGGGGAGAAAATATTCTTACTGCAGGGAATGTGGAAATCACATCGTGAAGGAGGAATATTTGTAATGTATGGATAGGCTGTTTTGCGTGGCAGCGCAATTTTTCTGGGCACTGTCAAGGACACCCTGGTGTCCTCCGTCAATAACAATCTCAACAGTTTGGAGTCCTATGAGTGGCTGTTTATGATCCATCAGTAGTTATTAGATCCATGTATTTTCTTACACATATGGATTTCTAAACACCCTGAGCTTCTGAAAGTGGAATCTAAGGTAAATAAGTAAACCTTTCTGATTTGAATTTTGTGTTGCCTTTTTCCCACCGGTGGCCATAGCTGGAAGCATTGACTCCAAGTAGAATAGAATCCATTGGGAAGATTCCCTTTGCTGAGCTACTTTCAAGATGACAGATTTAGTGTCTGATCCTCTTTTTCTCACCTGCGATGCTTCAATGATAGCTGCACAGTAGCAGTGGTAGAAGCAAAATTGCATAGAGCATTCACCACGTTCCTAACACTGTTCTAAGCACTTTGCACATATTAACTCGTTTAATCTTCACAACAACCTAGGAGATAGGTTATTGTTATTCTCATATTACAGATGAGGGAACCGAGGCACAGAGAGGTTAAACAACCTACCCAAGGTCACGCAGCTAGTAAGTATCAGAGCTGGGATTTGAATTCTGGCAGTCTTGGTCTAGAGTCTGTGCCTTTATGCCCTGTGTGATGGTTACACTCTACATGGGCTGCTGGGAATCAAATGAAGTGTGTGTAGGGATCATTGCCAACTTGGAATTTAGGTAATTCAAGTAGTCTAGTCTGTAGCTAGAATTTAGATACTGTGCAAACTACAGAAAAAAAAATCATTTTGGTAATAGCAAGCATGGGCAGTGTTATGACAAGTGTTGATGAAAAACTGCAAGAACTGAGATGCTTCCATGTTCTAGGCCTCTGGTAAGTATAAAGAAAATTGCATCATTGGATTATGCATTCTGGAACAGACAACTGTCCCGGTGTGAGGAAATTGTTCTAGCTCCCTCCTTTATGCAGGCGCGCCCCCTACTGGTGAGTCTGGGAAGAGTATATGTGAGGGCATTCAAGGTGGCAGCTTATTTCAGCTGGGAAAATATGACGCTTAGTCTTAGAGATAAAGATGATTAGACATCAAAACATTGTACTACTTTCAGAAAGCAACAGGCCATCTATGTGGGTAATTTTAGAGTATTGTCTCCTAATGAAAAGCCTTGTTGAAGATACATGAAATTCTCACTACTCTTTTGCTATTTTGGAGACAAATGTACTAGAGGTAGAAATAAAGTTCGATATTTTTGTGGAGGGGTTTGTGGCAGAGCAGTGTTCCGGGGAGCACAGGGTGAGAATCCCTGGATGAAGGAGTTGCACCCACTGTTTGAATTGATAGGAGATGGGAATGGAAAGGTTTTCTATGCCCTGAATTTGCAGGGCCTCTAACGCTCAGAACATAGGATAATAATATACACTTATTGAGCATTTACTTACTAGATGCCAAAACATTGTGCTAAGAGCTTTAAGTGCATTATCCCACTCAGTTCTCCCAAACTCTATTAGATGGGCGCTATTGTTCTTTCTAGTGTGGGATGAGGAAAGTACAAGCTGAAGTGGTTAAAGGACTTGTGCTTTGTAAATAGTGGAGTCAGGACTTGAACCTTGGGTTACCTGGCTCAAGGTATGCCCATGCTCTTCTCCCTTTGTTGAGCGTTTAAAGGGAATCAGGTAGTCGGGTAGGTGTTTCACGGTGATCACCATGTCAGCGGTGCCTGAGGATGGAGAACCAGGGCAGGAGGGCCAGTTAGTAATTTCTGGTATTCAGACAAGAAACGGGAAGGACCTGAAAAAGAATAGGAGTAAAGGAAATTGAAAGAAGAGAGTCATGAGAGGCGTTGCAGCCAGACTTGGTGATCCACAATTTCATGAGAAAATGAGTGAATCACAGAAGATTCCAAGTTGTTTTATTAACATTCAGAAAGCTGTAGCTTGGACCCTGGGCCAGCACCTGAGCTTGTGGAGATCACTGAAAGTGGTCATCATGCACTCAGGGAAGACGGGGGTCATCAGTCACTCGCACTTTATAAATCTTGGAAGTAAGTTCTGTGGTTTGATCAAAGCTGCCATTCTATGGCACATGTGGTCCTGCACATTTGAAACATCCATTAAGCCTTTGTGAAGAGTTGGGAGTTGTATGCCTGAAGGATGAACCTGTCAGGAATCATATCACCTTGCAAGGACAGCTTCAGGGGCTATTTCCCTGTGTATTTTTGCTCATTCTAAGTAGTTCTGTATTTCATTCAGCATCAGTGCAGCAGAGAGATACTTTTGGTTTGGAGGGTAAGACAAGAAGAGCAGAAGAGGCTGACAGTGCAGAGGGAGAGGAGCTTTCTTGCGTCTGTTGGGAAACCTGCTACAGGGACTGAAGGTGCTCTGGGGGTGCCACCACCCCTTCATACACAGGTCAAGAAAGTGTTATCTGTCTTGTGTAAGGAATTGGGCCTTGGTTGAATTACTCTGCAAACCTGACCAAGCCAGGAAGGAGTCATGGATGGAGAAGACCTGTGCTTGGCTGCACCAAACCATGGCCATCCTGCTCTCCAGAGTCACCACAACACCCGTGACCCTCCCACTTAGCTAGGGATGGTGTGTGGCCATCGAACTGCTGTTCTGAAGACTTCCTGAGAGGATTCCAGTTGGCTTTTGTTGGGGTTTGAGGGACCCAATAAATAACCTCCTTCTTCCTTCCTGCTTTCTGAATCAGCTGAGAAATAAAACACAACAGGTGCTCAAATATTAGCAGAAATGATGATTTACAGGGAGATCAACATGTTTACCTCAGGAGGGGGTGGTTTCACAACCTTCTCCCAGCCTTTTTATTGATTAGGATTATTCTGCTCCTGTGATCTCTGAGAGAGGAAAAAAAGTCACCATTCTTGGCAGAAAATTAATGAGAGAGAAAAAAGAAATTTCCTCTCTGGGAGGCTACAGACTGCTTGAAGGTGGGACCAAGATGGCCTGATAGATAGGCAAGAATAACAGAGTTCTTTGGGGGATGGTGGGGGGAGAGAGAGAGAGAGAGAGAAAGAGAGAGAGAGAGACTGACTCTTCCTTGGAGTTTTAAGAAGACCAAGATTTTAAGAAGAATTTTCATGAACTAAATTAGATTGATGACTGAAGGTAAAAGTTCATGCTTGGATCAATGTTTCTTCTTCTGAGTCCTTCACTGTACTGGAGGATAGGGAGAAGCAACAGTCTTGCAAATATAGTAGCATGTTATAGTTATCGATCATCTCTATTTCAGTCAAGATCAGTTAGATTTTGCTGAGGAAACAAACACCCAATGCTCAGTGGCTTAGAGCAAGAAAGGCTTCTTCTTGACTCTGCTCTGTGCCCACCAGAGGCCAGCTGGGGGGCTCCGCCCACCATTGTCACTCAGGGAAGTCAGAAACTTGGATTTGCCAGATGTTGAGCCACAAGGAAAAGAGCCCTGGAAGGTCATGCTTCATTTCGGAAGTGATTCATAGCACTTCTGCTTACAACTCTCTGATCAGGACTCATCCCAAGATCTTACCCAGGATCAAGGAAATGCAATTCTATGGTGTTCAGAAGGTAATAGGAGCTGGAAACAGTGGGCACCCAGCCCTTAATGGCCCTCACAACTCATTGACTAATAGAGTTGTTTTTCTTTTTTTAATAGACTTTATTTTTTAAAAGAGATGTTTAGGTTTACAGCAAAATTGAAAGGAAGGCACAGAGATTTCCTCTATACCCCTTTCCCACACATGCATAGCCTCCCTCATTATCAATATCCTTCCTAGAGTGGTACATGTATTACAACCGATGAGCCTACATTGATACATTATAATCACTCATAGTTGATAGTTTACATTAGAGTTCACTCTTGGTGTACACTCTATGGGTTTGATGAATGTATAGTATCATTCCATTGCAATACCAATACCATTATAGTATCATACAGAGTAGTTTCCCTGTCCTAAAAATCATCCCTCCTTCTCCCCTAACCCCTGGCAACCGCTGATCTTTTTACTGTCTCTATAGCTTTTGCCTTACCCAGAATGTCATAGTTGGAATCATACAATGTGTAGTCTTTTCAGATTGGCTTCTTTCACTCAGTAATATGCATTTAAGTTTCCTCCATGTCTTTTCTTGGTTTAAGAGCTCATTTCCTTTTGGCATAAAATAATATTCCATTGTCTGTATGTATCATAATTTATCCATTTACCTGCTGAAAGACATCTTGGTTGCTTCCAAGTTTGAGCAATTATGAATAAGGCTGCTATAAATAACTGTGTGTAGGTTTTTGTGTAGACATAAGTTTTCAACTCATTTGGGTAAATACCAAACACCATGATTGCTCTATCATATGGTAAGAGTATGTTTAGTTTTATAAGAAACCACCACACTATTTTCCAAAGTGGCTGTAGCATTTCGCATTCCCACCAGCAGGGAATGAGAGTTCCTGTTGCTCCACATCCTTGCCAACATTTGGTGTTGTTAGTGTTCTGGATTTTGGTCATTCTAGCTAATAGAGTTGCATTTAGAAAGATTTTTATACAGGCATCTTTGGGCCTTTTAATATCATGTGAACTAGATGATATGGAGATGTGTCACTTACATAACCCACTGAGCCGAATGATTCTTCTAGGTAAGGGCTAGTTAAATATTTTTGGCTTTCTGGGTCATACGGTCTCTAGTGCAGTGACTCAGCTCTGTTTTGGTAAAGCAAAAGCAGATATAGACAATTCTTAAATGAGTGGGCCATGATTCAATAAAACTTTATTGACAACACAGGTGGCAGGCCACATTTGGCCTATGGGTCCTAGCTTGCTGACTCCTGTTCTAAACACATGGCAGACCAGGTATGGAATCAATTTCTACTTCACTCTCCTGCCTCTGTAGATAATTTTAAGTTATCAGGAGCCATATTTGTTTGTAAAACTATGTGTGAAAAATAATCTCTTGTAATTTTCAGACTTTAAGCTTGGTGTGCAGAGATGAGGACTGATTTAGAAATAGGTTATTCCTCCCTCTAGAGCCCTCTGGTGACTGGAGGAAGCCATTGCTGCAACCCCTGAGGACTTGATGGTCCTCTGTTTTTTTTGTTTTTTTTTTTTTGAGATGGAGTTTTGCGCACCGCAACCTCCACCTCCTGGGTTCAAGCAATTCTCCTGCCTCAGCCTCCGGAGTAGCTGGGACTACAGGCATGCGCCACCCTGCCGGGCTAATTTTGTATTTTTGGTAAAGACGGGGTTTCTCCATGTTGGTCAGGCTGGTCTCAAACTCCCAACCTCAGGTGATCCACCCGCCTCTGCCTCCCAAAGTGCTGGGATTATAGGTGTGAGCCACCATGCCTCGCCAGTCCTCTGTTCTTTTTGTCCCTCTTGGTTTCTGTTTTCCACAGCTTTAATCAAAGCCACCTGGGGTAAGAGGAAATACCCATTCCGTTAGTCCTGAGGGTGCTCGGAAGGGGTTTAAGATCAAGAATAAGATTGCTTTTACCATAAAGAACCCTGATAGACTTTGCTGGAGGTATTTCCTAGAGTTTCTACTCAGCTAGTCTTTTCTTCCTCTCATCACCAGTTCATCAGGTTTGTCATTAGAGACAGAGACATTTGCATTAACTTCAGTCATAGGTCATCAGCTTTTAAATATTCAAAAGGCTCAATTGGCAGTAAAGCAGTTTTGATGAAGTATATTCCTTGCCCTTGAAGAGCAGGAAAATCATCCAACTAGCCACACTATAATGATCCGGGGCAGTGAGGTTTGTGCTAGAAGCAAGAATGACACAGTGTGTTTTTTAAACAGAGTAATTATCTCTATTTCTTAAAGGTTATATTCTCTGTAAATCATGCGCCATGGCTATAGTTTAAAAAAATGGAGTTATCATTTTAAAAACGTCTAGGTTTCTAGAAACAAATACCCTGACATGAAAAATATCCTCTACCTTTGCTTCTGATGAATAGATCACAAGGGCCCTCTTAAGAAATGTTTTTGTCAGTTTTGAGAAGTGTGTTTATTGTGTAAAAAGAAGACAAGAAATAAATGTCTGGTTATTTTACAACCCCAATCTTTCTTAAGATGAGTTTTCTCTTTGTCATCGATCTCTCTCCCTGTATCATTTCCCTTCCCAAGTCCCTTCCAAACTCATAGAATCTCTCTCCCTGGTAGATTATCAAATCAATTTGCATTTTTTGTTGCTATTTGGTATAGCACCTTTCTTAGGAAGGGGGAAGATGGGATGATTTGGGATCAAATGCGTTCACTGTAAAAATGAAGTCCTGGCATTTTGTGGCCTAGGGTAAAGGACATTTCTAGGGAGGGATGGGCTGGGGCAAGTGGTGTGCATGTCCAAGCCATTCATGTTTTTTATACAGGTGAAATCTAGCTACGATGACCTTAAGGGGGAAAAAGCAATGTTACCAAAGTGCAATGTGGCCATGAAGAAGGAGAGAGGGTTATATTATTGAAAGTAGGAGTCAGCCATTACTTAATACATTGTCTGATTATATCTCACATGTGATTCTAACTTATGCATAGAGCTAAAGATTCTTTGAACTTTCAATGAGACTATAACAGTGAATTTATCCAGAGGATATTTATCCATCCTTCTATCCATTTATATTTCATCCATCCATCCATGCATCTTTCCATCCATCCATTCATACCACTAATATTTATCGAAGAGCAGCCTTTTGTGGGGCACTGTAGTAGTGTGGGATGGCCTAGCCCAGATTTTCGGCCATTTCATCCCCAAGCTGGGGTCTCCTTCATCATCCACACTCCCCTATGACCTCATGGTTTGAAAGATTTTATCTACAAAATAATTCATGAAGCAACAATTAATTTGCCTCCTAATTTTTATTAGTCAAAGACAGTTTTGACTATCATTTAGCGCCTTCGACTATCAAGAGGTCACTAGCCAACAGCAAAGAAATTTGACAGCCAATTTCTATGCTTAAGGGATCCTTGGAGTCCAAAGCAGTAGTTATAAAATGACAGTCCTTGGACTACACTGTGACCCAGATGTATGTAGTTTGAGCCAAATAATAGCTGTAAAAAATGGAACCAGTTGCCATAAAGTTCTGGCTTCAGTTGCGACTGGGGTTTTGGTCACATGGCTCCCTGACTTCTGTGTGGCAACACTCAGCAGCAGTGCCTCTTTAAAAGAATCCTTTGTCTCTGAATTGCCACCATCCCTGCTCTGCCAACTTACCTTCTCCTTCCATTGAGTTTGCAGCCACCATTTTTTTTTTTTTTTACAGATAAGGAAACAGAGTTCTGAGAAATTAACTTATCCAAGGCTACACAATTATGAAGCAATAGAACTTGACCTGAAATTTGAGTTTCCGTGCATTGTGCACTAATATCTTTCTAAGTTGCTGCTCTCCTATAAGCCTTGTCCCTGCATGGCCCCAGGGTGTTACCACTGTCTCTTTCATAGCGTGGCAGCTGTCCAAATTTGCAGCATTTTATCTAATGCTCTGCATAAAGATGGCTCCTAAAAGGATTTGCGAGAGATAATGTCCCTCTCTAAGTGAAAGATTGGAAATGACAGACTGGGAACTCTCATTTCCTTTCCATTTAGGATGTAGAAAGGCATGAGATATTGATCTCTCCTAACACCAAAATAACACCAACAAGCTGGCTAAATTACAAAATCATATTTTTTGAACCCATCTGAGAGCTGAAGATGCAAATCGATCTGAATGTATTAAAATCCAGAATGTCTTTCTTAGGAGAGTGGAAACGCATAGCTGCTTTCACTTCTGGTGGAGTGACAGGAAGAGAAGGATTACACCCTAGGTCAGGGCTAAGGGCAACTAGGCAAACTTTTAACCAGCATGAGAGCTGAGTGAAATCCCCTAGAGGCACTCCAGACCTTCAGCCTGGGTGGGGAAGCCCTTGCTGACGGCAGGAGGCAGGATGACAGGGAGGAGAAAAGTCTTCTAAAGTCCAGAGAGCCAGGGATGACACTGAAGAGCAAAGGAATCTCTCTCCAGCCCACATTCCACATGAATGCTATAAAGCATAGACAGCTCCCTGCAGTCGCTGAGTGCTAAAGTCCCAAGCCCTGCTGAAGGGCAAGTCTTGAGAGCACTCCCAAACATTTGAAGCCAGTGGTGTGGAAAATCTTTTATTCCAACAAAGCTAAATCTAAGTAAAGTTGCAACCAAGTTGCAGCAAAATGTAATCTAAGCCAAATTGAGAATTCTGTTTTTCAGAAGTAGAAGACCATTATGTTGGTCTTCTACACCATTACATTGCTCTTCTGCCCATAGGTTTCATTCTAGAGCTCCTAGGCTCAGATGGGTCAGAGGGAACCAGAACCACTCCCTTCCCTGCCAACTGTGTTCCAAGCAGTCCAGCTCATTGCTGGCAAGATCCACATCTTATTCCACAATTAATGTCCACTAATAATTGACATTTATTCCTGGGATGCTATCTGGTTTTGTACTGTATGTAATGGTATGCTAAAGGAGGATCAATAAAAGGGAAATTGTTCCTTTTTGTCTAAAAGTACTCAAAACTGGCAGAAGGGAGACATACAGCTAAATACACAATTACTTGACCTCATCTAATATATTAGAAAAGCCTATCTTTGGAGAATTGTTAGCTCTTTGAAAAGAAGTCAACTAATCACTGGTCTTTACCTTTAAATGTCTCATTAGAGACACTATTAATCTGAGTGGAACATTTCCTGATGCAATATTTGACGGACAGAAAATCATTATTTTCCATTACCAGAATTTTTGCCAGAAACAGATGCCCAGTGGGAGATTCAAGGAAAAAACCCCAACCTTTCTATTTAATTGATCTTAGTATCTTCCTGAAAAAATGGATCATTAAATGGTTTCTTCCTTGGTGAGTCTGGGCCTCAGGAGTCTCCAGTCCTATCAGGGTCCCTGCCTTTTCTCCTTTGGTTTTGATCTTTTTGCCTTCTCTGAGCATTTGCAGTTAGTTTTTCCCTGTGTATGACATTTTCAATTAAGTCTTTTAAATGCTTAGCCAGTGGAGATCTGAGGTTAAGCCCAAAGCAAATGATGCTTACTTGAGAATTATTTTAAAGATGGGCCTTTGGTTTGTTGTAAATATCTCGACATCCTGCTTGACATTCCCCTCAGCACAGTATTTCTGACTTCAGCCATATGTAGGGCTAGCAAGGGAGCACATGGTAGTCTGAGGGCAAGGACAGAACATACTGTGTGTTAAGCACTAGTGTAACAGATTCACATCTGTTACCTGCTTAATCTTTGCATCAAATCTTGGAGGTAGGTACTCTTTTTACAGAAACACCTTCATTTTTTAGAATCAAATAGACATGGCTTCCTGTGGTTTCACGTTCCTGTGTTCTGGACCCAGATCAGGGTTCAGAAAACCATTTTTTATACCCGGTCAACTAGCAAATATTTTAGGCTTTGTAGAACATACAGTCTTCATTGCAACTACTACTGTTGTAGCATGACAGCATGTGTAGACAATATGCAGATAAGTGGGTGTGATGATGTTCCAATAAAACTTTATTTATAGACACTGAAATTTGAATGTCATGTAATTGTCATGAGTCATGAAGTATTATTCTTTTGATTTATTTGAACTATGTAAGAATGTAAAACCCATTCTTAGTTTGAGGGCTGTACAAAATCAGGCGGCAGGCAGTCCAGATTTGGCCTGCAGGTTTTAGTTTCAGATTAAAATGGAGATATCACTATTCTCTAATCGGATCTGAGTATCAGTTACCTGGAGTGAATTGCCTTATCATTGATAAATGGCAATGTTTAGAATTTGAAAAAGTTGCAATTTAAATGAATTTTTTAGGTGGGTTGCAGTGGCTTACCCCTGTAATCTTTGCACTTTGGGAGGCTGAGGTGGGAGGATCACTTGAGCCCAGGAGTTCGAGACCAGCGTGGGCAACATGGTGAAATCCTGTCTCTACAAAAAATACAAAAATTAGCCAGATGTAGTGGCATGCTCCTGTAGTCCTAGCTATAGGAGGCTGAGGTGGGAGGATCACTTGATTCTGGGAGGTCGAGGCTGCAGTGAACTGAGATCGCATCACTGCACTCCAGCCTGGGCGATAGAGTGAGACCCTGCCTCAAATAAACGAATTAAATAAATAAATAAATTTAAAAATAGATTTATCAAGTATAAGTGTCATTTTGTTACATAGATATATTGCATAGTGGTGAAGTGTGGGCTTTTAGCGTAACCATCACTGGAATAGTGTACATTGTACCCATGAAGTAATTTCTCATCCCTCACCCGCTCCCACTCTGTCACCCTCTGAGTCTCCAGTGTCTATTATTCCACACTCTATGTCCATGTGACACATTATTTAGCTTCCACTTATCAATGAGAAGATGTAGTATTTGACTTTGTTTCTGTGTTATTAATGGCCTCCAGTTCCATCTGCCTTGCTTTTTTAAAACATAAAAGGTGGATAGAAATCATGTCATTTTGAAATGCTGTGCCATGGCACGCAGGAGAGCAGGCAGATGGCTCTTGACCATAAGATATTGGTGATGATGTTGGTACCAGCCCTGACAAGCACTTTAGAACCAGGTCAGCTTGCATTTGCATCCTGCGTTTGCCCATACATGACTAGTGAGGGCAAATGCCAATTGACCTTGAGCAATAATCTTGAGCAAGTTATTTTTCTCTTTGAATGTCAGAACTCTCATCCACAAAAGGGAAGATAAAGATTCCAAGTTTCTGAATAAGGGAAAAAATATGTATATGCCTGGCAATATAAAAAATGTTATGCTGCTTGGAATTGTGGAGTTTAGTACAAGATAGCTCTGCATATGTATCTATTATCCTCTTGATCAATAAATACCCTTTAGTTTGGGGGTCCTTGTGGACTGCGTAATATTTCATCCAATGATTTCTTTATTAAAAAGGCAGAAATTGTGTGTCTTTTCATCATTACAAAATGTATAATATGTAAAAGAGCATTTTCAGAGTATATACAATATGTGTGGGATTTAAAGAATAATTGAAAAAACATCCATGATCCCCTAACATTGCTTGTGAATGAGAACATCACCAGCTGTTCTGAAGTCTCCTATGTGCCCCTCCCAGACCACCTCCCTCTCTCCTCCCATAGGTACACTTTTCTGAATTTTGGGTTGCTTATTCTCTTGTTTTGCTTTTATAAATTTACTTTATACATATGTATTAGTCAATGATGTATTGCTTCAGTTTTGCCTATTTTCACTTTCATATAAATGGACTCATACTGTATTCTCGTGTCTCATTTCTTCCCTAGCAACATTGTATTTATGAGATTCTTCCACAGTGATACATACAGCCATAGGTCTTTATTTTCACTTCTGTGTAATTAATTTTCTATCATATGAACTTCCCATGTTTTATGTATCCATTCTCCTGTTGATGAACATTTGGGTTGCTTCCAGGTTTTTGCTATTGCAGACAGAGTTACTATGGCTTCTTAAATAATTCTCCTAAGGTACATGTACAGGACTCCCTAGTGTAAGTACAAGCCTAAGTGTGGAACTTGCCAGAGTTTGTACTTTAACTTTTCTAGGAAATGGCAGTTAGGTTGCTCTACCTTATGTTCACACCAACAATAGGTGAGAGTTCCCAGGGTTTCCAGTGACTTTTAACACATTAGTTTTGCTTTGCTCATTTTTGAAAGCCATAGAAATAGAATCATACAGTGTATATCCATTTATATCTGGTATTTTAGCCTGTTTTTTCTTGCTATAACTGAATACCAGAGGCTAGGTAATTTATAAAGAAAAGAAATTTATTTTTTACAGTTCTGGAGGCGTGGAAGTTTAAGGTCTGGGGACTGCATCTGGTGAGGGCCTTCATGCTGGTGGGGCTCTCTGCAGAGTCCTGAAGTGGTGCAAGGCAGCACATGAAGAGGGCATGAGCACGGCAAACTGAATATATTCATGAAGGCAAAACCCTCACGAAATCAATCACCTCTTAAAAGCCTCACCTCTTAATACTGTGACTTTGGGGATTAAGTTTCAACATGAGTTTTGGAGGGGACAAATATTTGAACTGTAGCATTTGGCTTCTTTTGTTCAATGTTATTTTTGTGATATTCATTCATCTCATAGCGTGTAGCTTTAAGTCAGCAATTTTCATGCCTGTATAGTATTCCATTGCCTATTCATTCTACTCTTGATAGACATTTGAGTTGTTTTCTAGTTTTTGCTATTACAAATAACACTACTATGAAAATTCTATCTATTTCTTGGTGCAACATGCACTAATTTCTGTTGTGTATATAACTATGAGTGGAATTGCTGTATTATAGGGTAAACATGTTCAACTTTAGTAGATAATGCCAAAGAGTTTTCCAGATTAGTTCCACCAAATTTCCACCAGAAGTACATGAGGGTTTCTTGTGCTGTACATTCTCACCAGTGCTTGCTTTTGTTAGTCTTTTTAACTGTAGCTACCAGATGGAGATGTTAGTGGTTTCTCATAGTTTTAATTTGCATTTACTGATAGCATAGAACATAGCTGACTAGATATAGGAGTATGTGCCTCCTTCACAGAGAGGAACCAGAGTAATAAGTAGATATATTTCAAACAGCTAGTCTAGGAGAGACTTCTGGGATTCACCAGAGAGGAGATGGGAAGCACTTGAAGTAAGGAGAGGGTTCGAGGCAGCTTGCCCAGCTGGGAACTGACTAATAGTCAGGAGAGGTTCCTGGGCATGGAGAAACAGTAAGAGAGAAACCTCCAGGGATCAGCTTTTATGATCTTGTGTATGAGAGAAACTCTTGACCCATTAGGGCCTAGGGCCTGACATGTGGAACTGCCTAAAGATTGCACATTCCTCTAGAAAGAGAACCCACATGGAATCCCACAGGCATCCAAGCCTACAGTGGCCTCTGCTGGGCAACATTTTGAGAGCCTAGATACTGGAGAGCTACAGACATGGTTGCTGCTGCAGAGCTGCTGCAAGGAGGGGAGAGGAGAATGGGTGCTCCTACATACCCCTAGGAGGATCCCTACTGCCTTGTTGTGAGCTGCTGTTGAGACTGAGATGTGAGTGGGCTGCACTCTCCACAGCTTCTCGTCCACACTGCTTGCCTGGGAGAGATCCCACCCTCCCTGTTCCTAGGCCCAAGGCATCATTTTGAGAGTTTAATGATGGACTGCCATTTGACCTTGGACTGTTTGGGTTGATGTGGTTGCAGTTGCCACCTGGCCAAGGAGGAACAGGGAAGCCAGGCTCTCCTACCATATATAGGACAATGCCCACTGCCCTGCAATGGGCTGCTGTGAGACTGAGATGTGAGTGGACATCCACATCTTCTTGTCCATACTTCCTGCCTGGGAAGGGCCCTGGTCTCCCTGGTCATAAGTCTTAGGTGTCATTTTAGAGAGTTTAACACTAGGCTGCACTCCACCGTGGGCCGAGTTCAAGTTGTCATGGCTGCAACCATGTCCAGTTGAGGAGGGACAAGGAAACTAGGCTCTCTTTTGCATACCCAGGACAATACCCACTGCTCTGCTAGGGGCTGCTGTGAGATAAAGACTCAAGTGAACTGACACTCAAGAGGATATAACAATTCTAGATATATATGCACCCAAAATCAGTGCACCCCCATTCAAAAAACAGATATTACTAGACCTAAAGAAAGAGACAGACAGAAATACAACAATAGTGGGAAGTTCAACACCCCACTCACAGTACTAGACAGATCATCAAGACAGAATATTAACAAAGAAACTTTGAACTGAAGTTGGACTTTAGACCATGTAGACTTAGACATTTACAGAATGTTCTACCCAATAGCTACAGAAAATACATTCTTTTCATCAGTACATGGAAAAAATCTCCAAGATAGACCATATAGTAGGCCACAGAAAATGTCTTAACAAATTTTTTAAAAATTGAAATTGTATTAAATATCTTCCCAGACCACAGCAGAATAAAGCTAGAAATCACTGCCAAGAGGAATGCTTGAAACTGTACAATACATATAAATTAAACGGCATGCTCCTGAATGATCACTGGATGAATAAGGAAATTAAGACAAATTTAAAAACTTTTTGAAATTAATGAAAATGAAAACACAATGTAACAAAACCTGTGGAATACAGCAAAAGCATTGCTAAGAGGGAAATTTATAGCATTAAACGCCTACATCAAAAAAGTAGAAAGATCACAAAATAACCTAACATTGTACTTGAAGTAACTAGAAAGACAAGAACAAACTAAACACACACTTAGCAGAAGAAAAGAAATAACAAAGATCAGAGCAGAACGAAATGGAGATAAAAAATTACAAAAGATCAACCAAACAAAAAGTTGGTTCTTTTGTTTTGAAAAAAGATAAACAGAATTGATAAACCATTATCTAGACTAACCAAGAAAAGGAGAAGATCCAAATAACACAATCAGAAGTGAAAAAGGAGACATTACAACTGATACCACAGAAATACAAAAGATCATCAGAGACTATTATGAACAGCTATATACTCACAAACCAGAAAACCTAGAGGAAATGTATAAATTCCAGCCTCACAAGATTGAACCAGGAAGAAATAAAACTTCTGAACTGACCAATAATGAGTAGTGAGACTGAGTCAGTAATAAAAAAATCTCTCAGCAACAACAACAACAAAACAACAAAACAACATCCATCCAGGATCAGATGGATTCACAGCTGAATTCTAGAGAACATGCAAAGAAGAACTAATACCAATCTTCCTGAAACTGTTCTAAAAAATAGAAGATGAGAGAGTTCTCCTTAACTCATTCTGCAAGGCCAGTATCACCCTGATACCCAAAACAGAGAAAGACACAACAAAAAAGAAAATTACAGATCAATATCCCTGATGAACATAAATGCAAAAATCTTCAGCAAAATACTAGCAAATCAGCAAATTTTATTTGCTGAAAATTGTATTTTCAGCAAATAAAAAGAAAATACACCATGATCAGGTGGGATTTATCCCAGGGATGCAATGATTGTTCAATATACATAAATCCATAAATGTGATACATCACATACAGAATTAAGGACAAAAACCACATGATCACCTCAATAGATGAAGAAAAAGTGTTTAATAAACTTCAGCATCTCTTCATGAGAAAATCCTCAACAACCCAGACATAGAAGGAACATATCTTAATATAGTCAAGGCAATATATGACAAACCCACAGCCAACATCATATTTAACAGGATAAAGTTCAAAGCATTCCCTCTGAGAACGGGAACAAGACAAAGATGCCCACTTTCATCACTCTTTTTCAACATAGTACTGGAAGTCCTTGCTAGAGCAATCAGACTAGAGAAAAAAAAAGACATCCAAGTTGGAAAAAAGGAAGTCAAATTTTCCCTGTTTGCTGATGGTATGGTTTCTATCTAGAAAACCCTAAAATCGCTACCAAAAGATTCTTAGATTTAATAAATGAATTCAGTAAAGTTTTGGAATACAAGATATATATGCAGAAATCGGTAGTATTATTATACATTGTATTAGTCAATTTTCACACTGCTGATAAAGACATATCCAAGACTGGGCAATTTACAAAAGAAAGAAGTTTATTTGATTTACAGTTCTACATGGCTTGGGAGGCCTCACAATTATGGTGGAAGGCAAGGAGGAGCAAGTCACATCTTACATGGATGGCAGCAGGCAAAGAGAGAGCTTGTGCAGAGAAACTCTCATTTTTAAAACCATTGGATCTCATGTGACCCATTCACTATCAAGAGAACAGCAAGGGAAAGACCCACCCCATGATTCAATCATCTCCCACTGGGTTGCTCCCACAACACATGGTCACTTGAGGTCAGGAGTTCAAGACCAGCATGGCCAACATGGTGAAACCCCATCTCTACTAAAAGTACAAAAATTAGCTGGACCTGGTGGCACATGCCTGTAATCCCAGCTACTCAGGAGGCTGAGGCAGGAGAATCCCTTGAACCTGGGAGGCAGAGGTTGCAGTGAGCCAAGATCATGCCACTGCATTTCAGCCTGGGTGACAGAGCAAGACTCCATTTAAATAAATAAATAAATAATCCTGGGAAAATTGATAGCTGCATGCAGAAGAGTGAAACTGGACCCATACATCTCACCATAAACAAAAATTAACTCAAGATGGATTAAAGACCTAAACATAAGACCTTGAACTATAAAAATCCTAGAAGAAAACCTAGGAAAAACTCTTCTGGACATTCACCAAAGAATTTGTGACCAATTCCTCAAATTAAAATGCAACAAAACAAAAATAGGCAAATGGGACTTAATTAAACTAAAATGCAGCAAAACAAAAATAGGCAAATGAGACATAATTAAACTAAAAAGCTTCTGCACAGCAAAAGAAATAATTAACAGAGTAAACAGACAACCTACAGAATGGGAAAAATACTTGCAAACTATGGGTCTGACAAAGGGCTAATATCTGGAATTTACATGGAACTCAAACAACTCAACAAGAAAAAAAACAACCCCCCTTAAAAAATGAGCAAAGAACATTGAAGGCCATTTTTCAAAAGAAGACATCCAAGTGGCCAAGAAACATGAAAAAAATGTTCAACATCACTAAACATCAGAGAAATGCAAATTAAAACCACAATGAGAGACCATCTTACACCAGTCAGAAAGACTATTACTAAAAAGTCAAAAAACAACAGATGTTGTCAAGGATGCAGAGAAAAGAAAACACTTATAACTGTTGGTAGGAATGTAAATTAAAACAACTTTTTGGGGGAACAGTGTGGAGATTTCTTAAAGAACTAAAAATAGAACTACTATTTGATCCAGCAATCTCACTATTTTCCCTTTGTGTATATATATCTACCCAAAGGAAAATAAATCATCATATCAAAGAGATACCGGCACTCATATGTTTATTACAGCACTATTCACCATGGCAAATATATGGAATCAGCTAAGTGTCCATCAATGGAGAACTGGACAAGGAAAATGTGATATATATATATACACACACACACACACATATTATATATAATATATATAGCATGGAATACTATTGAACCATAAAAGGAATGAGATCATGTCTTTTGCAGTAACATGGATAGAAGCAGAGGCTATTATCCTTAGTGAAATAACTCAGAAACAGAAAAGGCAAATACTGCATGTTCTCATTTATAAGTTGGAACTAAACAATGAAGACGCATGGGCATATAGAGGAGAGTAATAGACATTGGAAAGTACAAGATATGGGATGGTGGGAGGAGGTGAGGGTTACAGTGTTCACTATTTGGGTGATAGTTGCACTAAAAGCCCAGACTTTAACACTATGGAATATATGCACATAGGAAATCTGCACTTGTACCTCCTAAATATATAGAAAATAGACATTAAAAATTAAATAAAATAATTTACATTTTCTTGATCATAAGAAGCTAAGCACATTTTCATGTAGTTATTGGCTAGTTAGACGTCCTATTTGGTAAGTGCCTATTAAGTCTTTTGCTTATTGTGCAGAGGTTGGAGTCGTGGTTACTGGTTTTGAAACATATTTTGTTGCTCTTTATTGATTTACAGGAGTTTAAAAAATATTCCAGATAGGTGTCCTTTTTTGGTTGTACGTGTTGCTGACAGCTTTTCCCATACTGTAGCTTGCCTTTTTCCACCCTGGCTGGTATCTCCTGATGAACAGATGTCCTAGAGTTTAAGGGTGTGTCCTCAGGGGCTGTGTAGCACTGGTACCCTGCTGCCATCTGGGATTGGCTGTGATTGGAAATTAGATGCTCATCAGATTTAGGAAGGACAAGGAAGTGGTCAGAAAGAGACCACCTAGGCAAGGAAAAATTATTCACTTTTCAAAGTGAACATCCAAATGATAACCTTTCACAATTATCTTGTTCCTATATTGAAGAGGGTATGCTTTGAAAACAAACTTGAGTTTTATGAATAAATGACATGTAGCTTTTAGAAAGGTGGTGACAGTTCAATGAATAATGAGAATGGCTAGCTCTGTAGATCAGAGGAGTACTTATTAGTGGGTGGTAGAATGAGGGCCTTTCAAGTAAACTGGGAGGATCACCCCGAGCAAAGCTGATTGCCCAAGGCTATGGGAGGCACAGGGCTGCTTTGGCTCTGGTCCTGGTTCACTTTGGTCTTGGTCTGGGTCGTTAGGGTGAAGTTTTGCATTGAGGGCCAGAAGAGTGGGTTGCTGCTTAGTGACATGCTGGGTATTTTGACTGCTTTGTCCCTAGTTGGGAAGGTGAGATGAGTATACAAATGAGTGTGTGTGTGTGTGTGTGTGTGTGTGTGTGTGTATGCATGAGAGACGGCTCAATAATATGTGAATTCAATAAGTTTGTTTTCTGTATTTTTTTTTTAAGACAGGATCTTTCTTGCTCTGCCACCCAGGCTGAAGGACAGTGGCACGATCATAGTGCACAATATCTGGCTAATTTAAAAAAAAATTTTTTTAGAAGTGACCTTGCTACATTGCCAGGCTTGTTTTGAACTTCTGGGCTCAAGTGATCCTCCCACCTTAGCCTCCCAAAGTGTGGGGATAACAGGCATGAGCCACTGCACCAAGCCTGACTTCAATAATTTTCTGTATGGTTTATTTGTTGGTGGAGAGTAAGATATTACTTCAAGAACTTATGAGAGAGATGGAGAGAGAAATACCATATGGATTAAGAAAACCTTCCAGAGATCTCTTTTCCCATCCCTGTCAATATAGTTGTTAATTTTCCTGAGTCCATTGTTACTTTATCAAAAGGAAAAAATTATAATGACTGTGTCTTGAAAAGAAAAGAATCAAAGAAATGGCCCAAGATAGTAATTGCTGGATCGAAAGTGCCCACAAGTACTGATTGGGATGAATACATAAAGATATTCTCTATATACATATATCACAGTGAAATTTCAGAACACTAAAATGAATAAGGAAATCTTGAAAAGCTTTAGACTTTATTTTTCTAAAGCACAAATTTGACTTAATTCCTCAGGAGTATTCTGTAGATGGCTTTAAAAATGATCTTTTCTATTAAAAGAAAAAGGTGGCCAGGTGAAGTGGCTCATGCCTGCAATCCCAGCACTCTGGGAGGCTGAGGCAGGTGGATTGCTTGAGATCAGGACTTCAAGACTAGCCTGGCTAACATGTCGAAACCCCATCTCTACTAAAAACAAAAATTAGCTGGGTGTGGTGGCGGGCACCAGTAATCCCAGCTACTCCGGAGGTTGAGGCAGGAGAATCATTTGAACCTGGGAGGCAGAGGTTGCAGTGAGCTGAGATTGCACCACTGCACTCCAACCTGGGCAATAGAGTGAGACTCTGTCTCAAAAAAAAAAAAAAAGAAAAAAAAAAAAGAGAAAAAAGAATAAGGTGGCATATATGTCAATCTTCCTTTCCTTCACCGAGTCCTTATGGATAACAGGAAAAGCATTAGAAAAGGAATAGGAGAAAATATCATCTTTGGATCAGAAATCCTGCAACATCTGTGGAAGATAGGAAACAGAAGGGATCCAGGCCAGACACAGACTTAGAATAGCAGTGGTTCTGGGTTTCTGGGTGCCTCCAGGAATACACACAACAGCCATCACAGTGAGTGGGCAACTACATTTGAAGCAAGTGGACAACTTTGACCCCTCCCTCTGGTTGCTTTGTGCTGAGTCATGGGCAGCAGCAGGCTTGAGCGGAAGGTACCCGGTGTGCGTGCCTAGAACTAGAACCTTCGGCCCCCAGTCAAGTTACTGATACATGTTGTATTAGTTGTTCTTGCATTGCTATAAAGAACTACACAAGACTGGGTAATTAAGAGGTTTAATTGGCTCACAGTACCACAGGCTGAACAGGAAGCATGGCTGGAGAGTCCTCAGGAAACTTACAAACGTGGTGGAAGGCAAAGAGGAAGGAGGCACATCTTATGTGGCTGGAGCCTGAGGAAGAGAGAGCAGGGGGAGGTGCTACACACTTGTAAACAACCAGATCTTGTGAGGACTCACTATCCCGAGAACAGCAAGGGAGAAATCTGCCCCCATGATCCAATCACCTCCCGCCAGGCCCCTCCTCCAACGTTGGGGATTACAATTCGACATGAGATTTGGGTGGGGACACAAATCCAAATCATATCACATGCTGTTCCACACGGCACATCCCACTCTTCCCTCAACCTCTGGAGGCTGATACATCAAATATAAAAATGAGAGTCCAACAGGAATCACCAAACACTTAAGGAAACATCAGCTCCACAAATTACAGACTCTGAGTCAGCATACAAAATGACCTTCACCAAGAAAGCAGCATTAATGCAGCCAACAAGATTGGACCTTAATAGAAATGAAGTGGTACCCTCAGAGGGATAAGAGGAATTCATGATCATGAGCTGAGAACAGGCTGCTATTTGAAGATCCACATAGATATTACATTGGAAATGAAATATTTCATTGATATTTAAAAAAAAAACATATCAATGACAGAAGCAGCAGAATGTGCACAGCTGAAGAATAAATTAGCAGGCTGGACATTTGAATTAAGAAATAATTCAGAGCATAGTACCAAAAGACAGAGATATAAAGAATGAAACAAAGATTAAAAGACCTAGGACCTAGAAGTTTCAAGACCCATTTATTAGGGCCTCTCAAAGGAGATAAGAGAGAGAGTGGGAGAGAGAGAGAGTGGTGGAGGAAGTGGGGAAGGGAAGAAAAGAATCAAGAAATAGTCAAAGAAAGATATGCATTGTTGGATTAAAAGGATCTACACTGTGCGGATCATGATGAATAAATAAAGATGCTCCCTAGACATACCACAGTGACTTCAGACGTATCAGTGTAACTCCAGTGCACTAAAGGTAAAGAGATTGTGAAGGGCTCTAGGAATAAAGTAGATGGGATACTGTTTTGATTTAGAGGTATGATGACTCTTTGCTATCTTGAGGGGGTGGGGGGACAATCCGTCTTTGGGAAGGAAGTTAAGTGGAGATAGATTTAATATTGCAATATAATTTTACATTTTGAAAATAAAATGAATTCCTGTTGTTTTCTCTGCTTGGTTGCTAGAATTACATAAATATCCTTGGGGAATGATTGAGATTCTCTAAAATACATGTAGGATATTAATATTAGTCAAAGTGGGGTCTTTGAAATGTTGCATAGTCTTTCTTTAGATGTTAGCCCTGAAAGGGCTTCGCGGTCATCTATATTTGCAGCCCTTTTCTCCCTGAGGCCAAGACCTTGTTTACCACCTCGCAGGACAGTGCTAGGACTAGTGGTTGAGATTTCCTTTTGAAGTCCAGGGCTCTCTGTGGGATGGTTGACAATTCTTTTGGCCTTGATGGCTCTGTTTAGGCTTGTTGATGGGGTAACAGGATTGTGCATTTTTTTCCCTGAGCAAGAAGGCATGCCATTTAACCTGGATAATGTTTTTAAATTAGCAGAAAGAACAGATGATTAGTTTTATTTCGTATTAAGGTTGAATTTGCAAGGGCCTGCTTATTGGTAACTTGATAACCTTGATTAACTGTACGGATCACTGGAGCGCTCAGAGTGCGTGTGGGTTTGTTATGGAACAATTAACTAGAGAACACAAGCTCGGGTTCCTTAGTAAAGGACTCCTTGTGGTGAGAAATAATGATCAGTCTTACTGATTACTATTTATGTAAGGGTTTTTCTCTTTATTTAGCTTAGAACACCATACTTTATTGAATGAAGGGATTCCGAGTTTCTATTCTTTTCCATTTTAACTGCCTCAACTTTTCTTGTGTGATTTTAGGGGGCAGAGCCCACCAGTTGCTGAATTTAACTTGCTCCTGAAAGCTCACACTTTGGAAACCTACGGGGTGGATCCTCACCCATGCAAGGTAACTGCCCCTCACAGCAGGTCACCATATAATGGTTGTTTTGCCCAAAAGAGAGTTTATCTGTGCGCAGGCCTGGCAGAGCCTTGTTAAATCTTTCCCACAGCTTGGCCCACGGTCCCTCATTGGAAGGGACAACAGTGGGCTGCTGTTACATGTTTTGGCAGCTGATTTTCTCCATTGGAGTCTTCCAATTGTTCATTGATTGCCATGTAGTAGCCATATTTTCCTAAATTAACATCCATGGATTCACTCATCAAATGGATGGTTTGGCCCCTGAGGAGTTACAGGCTCCTGACACATTTACTTTCAAGGCCATTGCCAGCAAGAATGGAGTCTTTAAAAAATGGGAAAGTGGAAGGAAAAAAAAGAAAGATTTCAAGTTGCATTTTGGCATTAGGAACACTTGTTTTTATTTTTTCCTTTACTCATATTTGACAGTGTTTCTCTCAAGGATGAAACACAGACTACTTATATCAGAATCTCCTGGACCTCACCCCAGAGCTACTAAATCAGAATTCTGGGGGTACAACTGGGGAATCTGCCTTTTTAATCAAGCTCCCAAGGTGTGATACTTATAGATACATTTTCCAGAAATGTTTCACTGAAGCAACGTTCTTCTTTCCATATATTAGACTATGCATCAGCCAGACACTAGTCCTAATCCTAAACTAAGCATTTTATCAGTTAGGCTCTTAAGTATAAGTTTTGGAGTTTTAGTGGCAAATTTCTTTACCCAGATTGGACTGCCTAATCTTATTTGGCAAAGCATTAGTCCTATAGGTCTCAGCTTGGGCTGCTCATTAGAAACACCTGGAGAGCTTCATTAGCACCTGCTGACCAGAACACATCCCACACCAATTACGTCAGGATCTGCTGGGGAGGAGGGCGGGGCGGGGCGCAGGGCGGCGGAGGGGGAGTGGTGGGTGCGGCGACCAGGCTACCCAGGTGTTTCCAATGTGCAGCCAAGGCGGAGAGCCAGGGGTACTTGTCCATACTAGCATTTACATCCTCTTGTTCTGCCTACGCAAATGTTGGAATATTTACCAGCGGCTCTTTCCTAGAATGGTACTAATCAGTTTATTCATTTTAGTGAATTTTATGCAGAAATTTGAACTGTATTTTATTTATTTCTTGGAGACTGACTTGATCTTTGTGTTGTTATTCCTTTGCCTTCACTTATCTACAAGATGCTTAGTTTTCCTGGTCTAGGCTGGAAGCACAGTAAGCTTTTCTGGAGATATTTTTATACTGAAATTTCCAGAAATCCTGTGAGAGATTGAATCAAAATTAGATGCTCAGGGCTTTGGTTTCATCACGTTAGAGTGCTAATGGCAAGCAAGAACAGTTTTCTCACATTACAAAGCAGACCTAGAACACAGGCAGCCCCGGAAGACACTGGGAAGTAGACATAGTGATTTGGGACTAATTCATAT
The DNA here is from genome assembly GCF_000001405.40 of Homo sapiens. NCBI lineage: Eukaryota > Metazoa > Chordata > Mammalia > Primates > Hominidae > Homo > Homo sapiens. Next base: position 83,312,226 of record NC_000009.12, on the reverse strand, counting down.
TTTTCCAGGAGGTTCCTAGAGGGCAGAAGGTCCGCTCCTCAAAGGGAAAAGCTACATATTCCTGAACTTCACCCAGACTTTGAAAGGCCTGCTCTTAGAAGTTCCATCTCAGAAACTTAGTTTATTGCTACAATCATTGGGATTAGTCTAAAATTAACCTAGGGTGAGGATGAATAAATATATTGGTTATCATTTATTTTATTTTTCTCAATCTAAACAGATTTTTCTTTTTTCTTTTTTTTTTTTTTCAGGATTCAACAGGCACAACAACATTTTTAGGATTCACAGCTGCAGGCTTTGTGGTCTTTCAGGGAAATAAGAGAATCCATTTGATAAAATGGTAAGTGCCTCTTTGGAAAACTGGCTTTCCATTTTTCTTAATCTTGATTCCTCCGTCCCCTCCTTGGCTTCTCGGGCAAGTGTCAGGTAGAATGCCTGGTATCCATTTCCTTGCCTTGGAGCTTCATCATAAAGGGATGTAACATCTAGGTTGCCTTTGGTGGGGACTTGGATTTGCCAAGCTGAGGAGTCAACTTAGGAGGCGTGGGCTCAGGGGCTCTGCCTTCAAAGAGAAGGTATCCAGTGTTTCCTCACCAGTAGCTTCTACTGCTGTGGCCAAGGGGGGCACACGGATGGGTCAGGGCAGGGTAAAGGTGTGAGTTCCCATGAACAACTCAGGATCCACTCTCCCCAACTCACTTCTTTCCACTCTTCTCCTCTGTTGAGTCCTGGGTGCAAACTCACCCTTTGTTATCCAGTGTATCCGTGAAGATGCTTTTGGCAAAAGGTAGTAGGAATGTCTACTCATGATGGCTTACAAATAAGAGGACTAATCAGCTCACAGAGCAAACGTGGAGCAGTTCCCTGGTCTGTTAACTTAACTGCCTATTAACTTAAATGCCGGGAAGGATTTAGGTCTCTGTTTTTTTTTTTTTTTTTCTCTGCCATTCTCAGTCAGGCGCATTGGTCCTGAGGCTCCTGCTCCTGAGATGGGCATGTGCGGGACTGGCCTGCACATCTCCCCATGGCAATGCCCGGAGCCTGGAGGAGAGCAGCCCCTTCCATGTGTCTCCTTTTCAAACAAGGATAATTTTTTAGAAGCCCTGTAGGAGACTTCCTGTATACCTAATTGGACAGAATTGGGTCACATGTTTCTATTTAAACCGGTCCTTGCTGAAAAGAATGGGAACTCCAATATATAAGAACACAATTCTTTTGTAAACAGGGAAAACAGGAGTGAACATTTTGCAGTGCAGTGGATTTGCTTCTTGGAAATGGATGCAGAAGGAGGAGAAAGTCAGATACTGTGAATCCGCATCATTTCATTAACTGAATCTGAAATCACCACGTTCTTCCCACCTTGCTAAGTGGGCTGGGCAATTAATATTGTTCTGATCATTAATGTTCACGAACACTAGAGCTTCTTGGAAGAACGATGCAGCCTGACTGTAAATAATAGAATAAATAATTCTGAGCTCTGTGCGGATCCTCTCTTGGGAAGAGAATTGCTGTATAATTCACTCGAGGCTTTTCACTGCCCATTAGACCTTCACCAATGATAATACCTTGTTTCACTGCAATCTGCCTGGCATTTTTGAGTCAGATTCCTATGGGAAACCCAGGTACCTTGGTTAGCTGCCACTTTTTTTCTTCTTACCCAGAGATTTTCTTTTCTTAGGCCAGATGTCTGCAAATTGAAGTTTGAAGGGAAGACATTTTATGTGATTGGCACCCAGAAGGAGGTCAGATACTGCTTTTTTTTAACTGCCTGTTATTGTGTGTGCATGAGAGAGATTCAGGAGTAAAATATGCCTTTAGTATTGTAGTCGCCAAAGACCATGACTTTGAAGTGTATGGTGATAATGAAAGCTATATGCTAAAAATATTTTAGAGGCAAACAAATGAGTACTGGGTTTGTACATTGAACAATAAAGTCAGTAAGCAATGCTGATTGTACACCCCCATGTGCAAAACAGACTGGGATAGACTTTGGAAATAAAAGATGGAACCTCTCCCTACCTCTTTTTGCCAAGATACAGACATGTGAAACAAATAAAGAATACTTACAAAGCTAAATATTCAACAACCAGTGCTCATTAGAGTGTTATAAACAGAGCCTATTAGTCCAGAGAGTCTTAAAACAAGGGAGTTACTAGATATAGATTGTGGATTCACCAGGGAATGCATTTGTGCGGAGACCATTAACAAAATATTAAGCCTCAGAGGTAGCTCTAGAAATTTGCGGGTTTTCTTGTCATGAGTTTTCAGCCCAAGTACTAGTTCCTCAAGGATGGCAAATATGTTTTTAGGCTAATTCCAGTGTGACAGAGAGGTAGATGATGCCTGGAGTGTTGAGAAGCATTGTGAGGCTGATTTTGATCAGAAACAGGTCCTAGATACATTAGTGATATCTGCAAAGGGTGAGGGAGGGGTGAATACCATGTTAATAACACTGTAAATAACATAGCAATATGTTAAGTTACTTCAAGTCTGTGTAATAGGAGATAGGATACAAAGAGGTAAACACCTGAAAAAAAAAAACCCATGGAAAATGTAAATGGTATTTTACGTGCCTTTTCTTGTTTTGTTATTTTTTAATTAGAAAAAAGCCATGTTGGCATTCCATACTTCAACACCAGCTGCCTGCAAACATCTTTGGAAGTGTGGAGTGGAAAACCAGGCCTTTTATAAGTAAGTGGCTTTTATTCATTTAATTATAGCTTTTAAAAGCACCCATGGAATTCTTTATGTTTTGCAAATGGCTGCATATTTATTTCTTTTAATACAGTTTTAAAAGTTATATTTAAGTAAATTAAAATTTTGTGCATTGTTCAGGGTGACTCCCGGTGATTGTTGGCTTGTTGGCCTGACCGAGTTCTGAGCTCTATGTTGGATGTTTCCTGTGGAATGGCTGTGGGCCACTGTGTGTGTGTGTGTGTGTGTGTGTGTGTGTGTGTGTGTGTGTGTATTTCAAATAGCTATTTCCACAAAATATGTCACAGGATCAATTTTTGGTTGCCCTCCTCCCCCCACCCCCACAAAGCAGACCTTGAGATAGTTTGGTACAAGTAGCTTATTTGGGATGTAATCAATGGACATACCAGTAGGGGAGTGGTGGGGGGTGGTGAGATGGGGAAGCAATATAAGATGCATTATTGAGCAGGTCACTACTGTGGACAACTGGGCTCAGATCTTCTTAGGAACTCTGGGACATGGTATAATATGCCTCACAGTTCTCCTGCTGATGGGCAAAGAGGTGGGGCTGTTTATCTACCAATTCGCCATTTATTTTGGTTGAAGCCTGCTTTGGGGGCCAGAATTAATACTCTCTGATATTTCTGGCTTACTCTGAGTATGGGTTGGATGTGCTTTCACAACCAGAAAAAGAGACCTCTGGCAGAGAGTCACCTGTGTTCATAGTAAGAAGGCTTCAGTGTATTGAAAATAGAGCCAAAGGTTTATGGGTGGAATGCTGTCAGAGCCTAGGATCATAGAAAGTAGGTGCTGGACAAGACTTCAGAAACCATCTGTAAAGCTCTCAGGTTTCAAAAGAAGTTCAAACTGAGATCTGTGCATGGAGTTACACCTTCTTCTCTGAGAGACGCTTGCTGACTGGAAAGGCAGTGGTAGTGGATGCAACTAAGAACCTAGTCCAGCCCTGCTCAGGCCATCAGCACTGTACACCCCTGGACCTCATCCAGGTGGCTTTTGATCAGTCCCCCTGCCCCTTACAGTGAGATTCTGTCTTCCTGATTAGACTCATCTCCCTGAAAATGCTGTCTCTGAACCTCCTGGGCTTTGGCTGATGAGAACCATCAGGAGAATGATGGCTTGGATAATGATTTTGAAACCAGTTTCGGCCACAGAATACTTTTCCTTAATCTGAAGTATAGGCAAAGTCCAGCATGTAAAGGAGATAAAAAGAGAAGTTGTGGTGGTAGATGGGGCCTTGGATGGGATTGGAGATTGAAGGGTCTTTGCCCATTGTTCATTGCTTTTCAGGAGCTTGGGTGACCAGTTGTCCAGGTTGCCTATGCCTTTCCTAAGTTTAGCACTGACATCCCCATGTCCCAGGAAACCCATCAGCCCTGGGAAAACCCAGGAGCATAATTTGAACACCACTGGGTGAGATGACGCACAAAATGCTGTGCTAGGAATGATTGGAGAAGGTGATGTGTACCAGTAGACCTTCCTGTGACCACCACCACCTCAAGGTCTTTGTGTGCCTCCTGCATGTTTGGGGACTGATAAGGAAGGAGACCAGTTGGCCTTCGGAAAATCTACATGTCTAGAAGCCTTCACCCACATGAGAGTTCAGAGAGGGAAACACAGAGGGTTTGATGCTCTCAGTCTTTAGTTGGAGCCTTAGTGATTTTTTATTTTGTTTTAAAAAAAATTTTTTAAATGGAAATCTAATTTACATGCCGTAAAATTTACCCTTTTAAAGTATACAGTTTTGTGGTTTTTAGTGTAATTCACAAAGTGATATAGCCATTATCACTATCTAATTCCAGAATATTTTTATCCTTCCCAAAATAAACCTTATGCCAGTTAGCAGTCATTTCCCATTTCCTCCTCCCCCCAATCTCTGGCAACCACTAATCTACTTTCTGTTTTTATGGATTTACCTATTATAAGTTGTATATAAGTGGAATCATAAACGATGTGGCCATTTGTGCCTGTTGTCACAAAATGTGTCCAAAGTTCACCCATATTATAACATGTCTCAGTACTTTATTCCTGTTTATGATTGAATGACACTGCATTGTTTCAATAGACCACATTTGGTTTATCCATTCATCAGTTGATGCTCACTTGGGTTGTTACCTCTTTTTAGCTACTATGAGTAATGCTGCTACGAGCATTGGATACAAGTTTTTGTGTGGACAGTTCTCTTGGGCATATACCTAGGATGGAACTGCTGGGTCATAGGGTAACTCTATATTTAGCTTTTTGAGGACCTGACACATTGTTTTCAGTGCCTAAGCTTTTGGAACTCTTCTGTTCTTTCTTGAATGAAACCATCTGTTTCCTGTCAAAGGATAACTTACAGATGTTCAGTTAGTTATTTTCAGTGAATATTTTCTTGCATATGAGGGAATTAAAAATGGAGTGAAGAAACAAGGCAAAAACAAGATCTACCATGACATGATTTTATTACAGAATTTTATATATCTGTACTATGTATCTGTACTAGATCTGATTTCTATTTTTTTAACCTGTATTCATGATTTGTATTTAGGTTAAAGTCATGTAACATAAAATTAATTATTTTAAAGTGTACAATTCAGTGGCAGAGTATGTTTAAAATGTTGTCCAACCATCATTTCTATCTATTTCCAAACATTTTCATCAATCCCAGAAGGAAACTATATACTCACTGAGGAGTTACTCTCCCTTGTTCCTTTCTCCAAGACTTCTATTGGATTGTAGATTTTTCCATACCAACATGTCAGATCTGTAATCAGTTTGAACTCTCTGAGGGTAGGAACTTTTTCTGCTTTTTTTATTTCCTGAAGATCTCAGGCATTGAAAACACATTTACTAGCTCAGATTGATAAGGCATGATTCCTGTCCTCAGGAGATTGTTATTTCATGTAAGAGACCAAGGGGGAAATGAAAAAAAAAGAAAAAAGCTAGAGAGGAATCCAGAGGAGAGGGTGAATCTTGCTGCCAGGGGAGCTAGGAGGTAGAAGACCCTTTTAGGTGGAGGAAGGACATCCAAGCTCCCGTAGGGTACCATGGCAGGAATGTGGAGGATGCATTTTGTGGGACATGAGTGGCTACAAGGTTGGAGCAGAGGGTAGATGAGGTAGAAAAAGAGGTGATAAGGGACCAGGAGGTCTTGAGGCCAGACACGGATGGCTTGACCAGTGTGAAAGAGGCAACAGAGGTGCAGTAGGTGTGGTTGATCATTCTTTACGTGCAGACAGACCTATGGGAGGGGGTGATACAGGAGAACACCTAGCAGACAGGCCTTCCTTTAGAGCCACACAGCAAGTTTTGCTTGGAAGGACTTTGGCACAGCCTTGAAGATACTTTAGTGAAATCACTGGGTCCGTATCAAAGAATAACTTGGAGACATTCATTTGCTATTTCACGCACGTTGTTTTATCATATATGAGGAAGTCAGTTGGGAGACAGAGTTAAATAAAGGCAAAAACAAAATTGAGAGGAGAAAGGGAGAGAAAAAACCTGCAATATGGAAAATGTGTTTTACACATTTTGGGTAAGCAGATTAGCTGGCAGCTAGTAAGGAAGGTATTCTGGTAATTTTATCATGAACTAGGTAGGTCAACTTGGCATGTCAGAGAAGTCCCTTCCAGTCACTTGTGGATGCTTCAGAAGACTTGGAGGGTTTAGCTGTGAGCACAAGTGACAAACTGTATATGGTTGACCAGTCTTTGCATTGGCACTTTGGCTATAGTTAACCAAGCTACCCTCATCTCATTCGACTTCTAAACCTGAATATTTATAGCCGTCTGAGATTTGCCTGAACATTTTGTTCCTCCATTATCCCATAACCATCCTTGTTCCTGAGGAAGGAGGGGAAGTATCACTTGTTCTGGCCCAGCTGTGGGACCTTGGCCAGGTCACTTTAGTGCTGTCTGGTCTTAGCCTCCTCACCTGTAGAATGAATGGGCCTGGGACTGACCTGGGTGCATTTGCTTGTACCACTGGGGCATAGTGTAATGAGTGTGAGCTTTGGAAGTCAATGGGCTTGGTTCTAAGTCTTGACTCTGTCATTTATAGCAGTGTGGCCTGGAACAAAGCTGTTAATCTCTTGGAGCCTCATCTTTATTTTTCATCTGTGAAATGAGATTGAATTACCTGCCTTGCTGTGCTCAGTTCTGCCAGGCATATGAACCATTGATGAGCAGAAGCTGCTGCTGTATTACTGCCCCCTCTGCTAATGATGAGAGTATTTTGAGCAGCAGTTGGATGAAGAGCCCACTCCTTTTCATTGGGAAGACTCTGATTATGGTAACCTCAGGGGTATGCCTGCTTCCTTCACTGTGACCACCCTTCCCTGGGCAGAGGTCCTGGCCCTGCTTCTAGCTCTGTCCTGCTGGCCCTGCATTTTAATGGTTTCAGCTGGCAGAGCAAGGCCCTAATCTTGTTTCCTAGATGGTTTGTTCCTTCCATTTTTACTTCACCTGCATGGGAGCGGGGAGGCCCGGGGCCTCTGCTTGCGAATTCCCCAGTGTGCTTTTAGGACGCAAATGCGCTGCTGGTTGTCAGCTGGCCCAGGGCCACAGATCTGTTTTGAAAGCCCTGGCTCTGAGATCTGCCTGGGAATGGAGCCCAGACGCAGAAACTCTGATTTTTCCCGCCTACTCCAGACCCCAGGGGATCTCCAACACAGACTTATTCACCATTTAAGAGCTTCCTTTATACCATGTGTGGTCTGTCATGGTGCTGCCAACCCCAGAGCTCACTGTTTCTGGGTGCTGGTTCACTGAAAGCACACTGGACGCATTGAGGGATTCAGTGGCTCACTGATGTTTTCATTAACAGCATCTTTATCTCACAGTTTTTGCTGTGTACTGGATACATGGTTGAGGCTGTATGACACTGTGTTCCCAATTTGTTTTGGAATTGTGTGCAAGGGATAAAAGCAGTTCCTAATACATTTCTTATTCAGAGTTTGGTGTACATTTTGTCAAAGGAACAGTGTTATGCTTGGTAGGTAAGAACCCAGACTAGCTCCCTAAACAAGTGCCTCTCACACTTGAATGCACACATGAATGAGCTGGGGAGCTGGTTAAAATGTGCATTCTAATTCAAAAGGTCTGGGGTGGGCATGAGAGTCCATATTTTTAATAAATTCCAGGGGATACTGTGCGGTGGGTCCGTAGACCACACTCCAAGTAATAAGGTTCTAAATCAGCAGTTCTCAATCCTGACTACATTAACATCACCTGGAGGAGCTTTTAAAAACTATTAATACCAGTGCTATGGGTCCCTGCATCCTACCCCAGACCCAATTAAAGTGGAATCTGGGTCTTCATTAAAACTTGTGCACAAGCGTTCATAGCAGCATTAGTCGTAATAGCCAAAAAGTGGAAACAATCCAATGTCCATCAAATGATGAATGGATAAACAAAATGCGGTATATCCATACAATGGTATATCATTCAGCCATAGAAAGGAATGGAGAACTGATACTACAACTTGGATGAGCCTTGGAAACAGTATGCTAAGTGAAAGAAACCATTTACAAAGCACCACATATTGCATGAGTCCATTGAAATGAAATATCTAAAATGGCAAATATATAAACTAGATGAGCGGTTGCTTAGGGCTGGGAGTGGTGAGATGAGGAGGGGAATCAGGGAGTGACTGCCAATACCCATTGCAGTGACAGGTGGTTTCTTTTGGAGGTGATGAAAATGTTTTCGTATTAGATAGTGGTGATTGATTTTCGTAATTTCTTTTTTTAACTTCATGAATTATACTAAAACCCACCAAAGTGTACAATCTAAAAGGGTGAAATTTAAGGTATGTAAATTATATCTCGACAAAGCTGTTATTTTGAGAAATCTGAATCTGGGATGAGGAACCTAGGTGTTGGCAGTGCTAGAAGTTTCCCAGTTATTGCTAACATGCCATTGAGGGGTTAAGACATTGCTTTAGTTCAGTGATTCTCCCATCAGGTCCCTGGACCAGCATCATCACTCCCGGGATTTTTTGGAAATGCAGATTCTTGGGCTCTTCCCCAGATCTACTGAATCAGAGACAGGTGTTTTAAAAAGCCTTCCAGGTGATTTGTTGCTCACTAAAATTTGAGAGCCAGTACGACTAGAGCATGATTTTTTAAATACTGAAATCAGACAGACTAGGATTTATAGCCTGGTTCCTGCAGCTTCTATCATGGAACCATGGTAAAGTGATTAAACCTCTCTGTGCCTTATTTTCCTTATGTGAAAATGCGGATCCCTTCCTCCTGGTAGAGAGCCGTGAGGATAAAATGAATTGTATATTAAAGGTGCTTTGGATGGGGCATTGCCCATATTAAAGGCTCAGTAGTAAATGCTGTTATTGTTATGGTTACTCCAGGAACTCTAAATTATGACTTCAATGGGAAATAGTGTTGTTAATTCTAGAGGTGGCCTCTTGGAGCACCACCCAATGTCCCCCCAGTACCTATCCTGATCTTCAAGCCCCTGGAATAGCAGGGTTCAGAGGAGAAATTGCAGGTTGGGGAGAGGGGAGGTGTGCTCCTGCAGAGACGATCTGGATTTCTTTGTGAGGTCAGATGTTTGGGCATAGTCATACTTCTTGTGTTGGGACTTTGATGGGGAGTTGGAAGTTGAAGTGGGAGACGGCGGGTGGAAAGGAAGGCAGAAGGCTGTAGGAGAGCGAATTGCTGTTCCAATGAGGCTGTGAACTCATTGCTTTCTGTGGGAAGAATACTCTTCCCTGGGCTTGCTGTTGATGGGAGAGTCTGGTAAACAGAGTGCTCAGAACATTTTGGCTGGAGTTAGAGCTCTTTTATTTGCTTTCAGAGTGTTTAACATGGTTTTCTGGAACCTCCATAATTTAGAGGATTGGCTTTGGTAGCTTCATAGTGAGAAGGCGATGAAGAGGTTTGAGATTGATATTAGGGAGGGAGGAAGGTGGGAAGGGAGGAAGGGAAACTATTATATAATGAGCAGGTATGATGCTAGGTGCTTTCAAATCATTTACTCTTGTGTAACCCTCCTGAGAGTACTATGAAATATTATGACACCCTCCCCCTTTAATAATATGTAGAGAAACCGAGGCTCAGCAAAGCCACATGGCATGACCAAGGTCACAGAACCAGACGTGAATAGGAATCTGGACCACTGTTCTTTCAGGTGAAATGTCACCTCTTGGGTCATCCTAGGAGAATTTGGGGGTACAGAGTTTCTCCAATGTAAGTGGACTTCTTGGAATCCCCTTAAGGTGCTTGATTAAAGTCAAGCCCCTCTTCAGACCCACTGAATCAGAATCTCTCATGATCAAGCCTGAGAACCTGTGTTTTTTATACCTACTCCAGGTGTCTGATGCCCGGCCAGGTTTGGGATCTGGTACTCCGGATTCATGTACTTTAACCTGGCCACCATTCTTTCTCCTCTCTCCATTCCCCTCCCCTCTACAGCCTTGTTTCCCAATTCCCAGTGCATGGGTGTCATTTGAGCTCTCAGAATAAACTGCCTGTTAACGTTTCATTAAAAATCTCAGCTGAAACATTCTGGGAGTTCACCTGGACATTTGGGAGGGCAGGGGATTCGTGGGAATGCTCTGAGGCAACTGTCTCTGAGCAAATCAGATCACCTGCAGATACTCCTCCAGGGGAACCCGCAGCCAGAAAGACGCACAGTCTTTTCTCTCTGCTCATCCTGAGCATACAGCTACTGGCCATCTTTGTGAAATGTATCTTTTGACCTGCTTCTTTTGAGTCACTTTGAGGGTTTTTGGGAAGCAGTACTGAGACTGAGACTTCCCTCTAAGAGGCCAGTCTGGGTTCAAGCCGATGATAGTGGCTTCCTCCTGGGGCCTGGAAGGGCCAGAGCTAAGGCCAAACTAGTGAAAAAGAGCCACCTGAGTGGCCAGGAGGTTGACTCACACCTGCGCCGGCTTTGCCGGCTTCACGTGTCGCTTCTGTAGAATGGGCAAAGTGTTGAGTTTGAATTTTAAAAACCCAATTAAGAAACTCAATCTTTTTTTTTTTTTAAGCCAACCACTTTGTCCCAAGGATCTTTAGGAACTTGGAATTAAAAAAAAACACATACACAATAAAAAATAGAAGCTTCTTTAAAGCTTTCTCTTCTCCCAATCTTTGAGGACTTGGGAGCAACCCTTCCAAGAAGATGGGGAGAGGGCAGAGGTGATTGTCCTTTTCTCAGGCTCCAGTAGATAAAGTGTCAGGCCACAGCTCTGTAGGGCTAGTGGGGAGTTTTAGGGGGTGCAGATGGACCCAGAGCAGGCATGTCCTCATAGGAGGTGGAGGGCACAGCTGGGACCATCTCAATGCAGCTTGCTGGGGGTTTCTAGCCTCGTGAGTGGGTGTGGTCTGGAAGGAAGCTCCAGCCAGCACACTGCAGGGCCCCCCCCAGGGCCATGGCTCTCACGTGCCTCTGTGTGTCCTCAGGGGTCCTGTACCATTTTCTCTGGGCCCTGCCCTGACAGGATCCCCCTGCCAAGCCCTGTGCCCTCCCTTGCCCATCTTACTCTCCCTGCTTAATATTTGTGTCCAGTGCCCTTCTGTGTCATCTTTGGCTGTTTACACAGGTGGTGGGAAGGGGCTTCTTTGCAAAAGATTGTTCCTATGGCTTTCCATTGTTCTCTCGATAAAGACCAAGATCCTTAACAAGGACCACTTAAGGTCTGGTCCTGGGAAATTGGATTCTGGCTCTCTGTCCAAGTTTGCCTTATTCTCCTTCGTACATCTGTACATTCACTTATCTTTATTAGGAAAGGAAAAAAAATATGTGTGTGTGTAGTAATAATAACATGGGAAAATGTGCATTGAGTCTTTTAAAAATGTATTTTATATATTTTTAAAAAATTTCAATACCTTTTGGGGTACAAATGGTTTTCAATTACATGGATGAATTATATTGTGGTAAATTCTGAGATTTTGGAGCACCTGTCAATTAGTGTATATTGCACCTAATGTGTAGTTTTTATCCCTGGCCCCTACTACCCTCCCCTTCTGAGTCTATAAAGTCCATTATATCACTCTGTATGCCTTTGCATATGCATAGCTTAGCTCCCACTTAGAAGTGAGAATATAGAATTTTTGGTTTTCCATTCCTGAGTTGCTTAACTTAGAATAATTGAGTGTTTTGAGTTCTCTAGATGTTTAGGCTGATGGCTTTGCGCCTGCTGGCCCTCTGCTGGGTATATCCACCACCACTTGCACCGTGCCCTGGTTAACACCTTTCAGCCTCTGGATCTCAACTCAGATGTCCCTTCCTCAGGGCATCTTCTCTGGCCCCCAGGCTAGATCAGCCATGTGTCTTTCTTGTACTTACCTTGGTGTGTAGAGCAGGGATGGCACTCAGTTAATGATTGCTGAGTGAATAAAGGAAGCTTCAAGAGGCTCAAGGGTGGGGATCACTGCGCTGAAACTTCCCTGGCTCCGTGCATGTCTTTGCTCAGGATGCTACAGATCATATTGATTTTGTCTGTGTGTGTTTAAGATTTTGTGACTATCAATATTTTAAACGATGCTGAACTCTCTGAGACCTGTTCTTTCTAACTTGTTGGATTTAATTGTACAAGGCTTAACATGACTGCTGTAGAGCCATCCTCAGCTGTCACAGTAATTTAGTGCCCTGTGTGCAGCCTTCCGGCAGCCCAGGCTCTAGGCTGCTTTTCAGAGTGTTGTTGTTTTGCTCTTATTTACGAGTAGGGCTCAGAGGTGCTGAATCAGTTCTTGTCTGGGCAGCTTCTGCCTCGTGTATCTTAGTCATCTACCACTGTGGGTTCTTTTAAAGGGCACTGGGTCATGGTGACACAGAAGCCAGTGACCATTCCTGTGGTGATGCGGGACCCTTGTTCCCTCACTTGGGCAATGCACAGTGAGTTCTTCGTGGCATAGTCAGTGACCTCTGTTGCCAGGAAGCTGTTTTCTGCCTCACTGTGGATACAGGAATAGGCAGCAAAGTGCCCTAACAACCACGAACTTCCTGATGCCATGTCACAAAATTCCCTCTTCTCCATATCTTCAGATAGAAATTAGGGGAGAATTCCTTCTGATCATCACTGCCCAGTCCTTTTTGCAGGTTGTGACCCACTAATGAATTATGAAACCCAGTATGTGGGTCATGAATTTAAAAAGAATGAAAGGAAATAGCGTAGAAAATATTAGAATGCAATACACATAGTGAAAGTAACTATTCTTTTGTGAAGCTTTTCTTATATTTTGTGTGCACAATGCAGGCTGAGTCACAAGGTAAATTACATTTCTTTCTTGCAGTAAAAATACCCCATCACCACACCTCTATAGCATGTTGTAAGTGGACTTTCCAATGTCCTAACCACCTGTGCTTTGCTTTTTCTTAAAGGTATGCAAAATCCAGTCAGATCAAGACTGTATCAAGCAGCAAGATATTTTTTAAAGGAAGTAGATTTCGATATAGGTGGGTACCAATGGTTCCATTTCAGTGAGGGGGTGGGGATGGGCAGCCACTTAAATTTCAAAATTCTGCTTGCAAATAAGTGGCCTTTGGCTTGTGCCTCTGTTTGAGTCTTCCATTTCTACTCCATTGCTGTCTTATGCTCACAGGGCACCCTCAAATTCTACCGTAATTTTCCCCCTCATGATTTCTATAGCTGGGTCAGACACCTGTGAAGTTAACAAAAGGACACTTGTGCATATCCCTCCCATTCTTCTCTGACTATGTGTGCATACACATGTGTTTCTGTCTTTTGCAGTGGGAAAGTTGCCAAAGAGGTGGTGGAGGCCAGTTCCAAGATCCAGAGGGAGCCTCCTGAGGTGCACAGGTGAGTGGATGATCACTGTGGGTTCCAGGTGGCTTTAAAAGCTGGCTTTTCCAAATCCCCTATAACATCCCTTTGTGTAGTGACATACAGCATTAAAGAAGGACATTCTCACTTCCTTAGACATCTCACTCAGACAGATTTGCCTGGGCCATGGCATGAGCACAGCTGGGCTCCACTTTGAGTTATGTGCTCTCAGGAGAGTCATTGATTAGGTCTGGAGCGTCACCTTAACAAGCAGGATGCTGTGCCATTGCCTGGGCAAACTCTGTCATCTCATCCTTTTAATCACCTGGCCAAACTCTGTCATCTCATCCTCTTACAAGTTCTCTGTTCCTGCCTGTATTCATCATATTTGGCCCGTTCCCATTGGCCTGACTCCGGGCTGACCTTTCATGGGGCCATTACTCTCTAGGGCCATGCAGAGGAATGAAGGACTTAGTCATTGTTGGCTCAAGAGTACACACCTCCATTAAGGTGACGATATGCAGTCATTCTTAAGAATTAAATATTCTCTTGCCATGTTGGACTTCACACTACCACAATTTACACAAATCATTGCCCATCCTAAACCTCAAATATGCTGCATATCTAAAGCTCAGCATTCTCAACGTGTTGCCTCCCACTTTTTAAGGAAAGATCACCATGAGCTAAATTATTTAGGAAGTCCCCCTACACTGGTTTGCACCTGCCCTTTCTTTCCCATCTTTGAAACCCAGAGGTATTTCCTTTATGCTTGGATTTTCCAGTTTCCTCCATTTCCAGGGTGACTAAATGAGCTGGGTGCCTCTCCACCCTGTCCCTTGGGGTTGTTGGGCAGGAGGAGGCTGTGGTCCCACAGAAGTGTGGCTAAGCCAGCCTGGAGAAGCATCCAGATGGCATTTCTCTCCCACACCGGGGAGCAGAAGTGCAGTTGGCATGATATCCCATGTAGATGTGTACAGAAGAAAATTTGTTCCTGCTTTGGGGTGACTTGGTGAGGAGCTGTAATGTGAAAGTCTGCAAAACCAGGCTATCACACTGTAAGAAGCAGAAGACTACAGGATGAGAGAAGCTGGAGAATCTTGGCTCCAGGCATGTTGGTGCAGATCCTGAAAGTGCAGCCTGCCCACCAATGAGAAAAGTCTTTATGGTTCCCTCCTCTTCCCCAAATTGTACTTATTCAATGCAGCAGAAATGAAGAGGAAATGATAAAACATATCATTCATCTGTTTCAGAATCTTTGAACTGGAAATGACCTCAGGGATTGCCTAGTTTGATGCTTCTGTTTTGTAGACAAAGAAACTTGAGTCTCACACAAGTTAAGTCATTTATCCAAGGTCCTGACTTTTTTTGATGGCAGACCTAAGCCTAGAACTCCAGTGTCCTGCTTCTGTGTTCTCAGCTCTTTTCTCTGTAGCACCCTGAGAGCACCTGGCATTTTCTTAGAAGCTGGTAGTGGAGGTGGAACTACCCCAAGTGGTTCAGCATGCATTTTATTCTTCCAGGTTGAAGCTCAAATATTTGATCTTAAATACCTGATGCTGAGGGAGTTCTCCTGGTAGCACAAACACAAAGCAGGACACTTTTTTTGCAATATACTTTCAGAGATACATATTCCAAAAAATAAGGCTTTTTGAGTCTCAAAGTTACCATCTTTGGATGGTTAATGAGGTCAATAAAGAATTTTTTTAAATGCTTCTCTTGTAAATTTTGGTTTGAATAATTTATGGAAACCAAGGCTTTCTAGCTCAGGGTTTCTCAAATTGTAACTTGCACAGGGATCACCTCAGGATTCTGTTAAAATCAGATTCTGATTCAAGAAGCCTGGAGTGATGCTTGAGAGTCTGTGTTTCTAACATTTTCTCAGATGATGGTCACGCGGCTGGTCCATGGGCCATACTTTGAGTAGCCAGGCTCTTGGTAACAGGTGGTGGAAGGGTGAAGGGAGCAGGCTTGCTGGAGTGAAGCACTTTTCTTGGAGTAGACTGAACCCCAGAGTGCGAGGAAAGTGGATACATGCTGAGGCATCCACCAAATCATAGTTTCCCTTTTCTGGAATCTTCTAAAATCTCCCAAGATATTACTGCAAACAAGGACCTGGGGGCCCTTGAGACCTGCTTTGAATGCTCTTTCTGTTCCACCTCCCCCTGGGCATATGAAAGACTGTTGAGTTCACATCCTTAGGATGCCTCCATGGTTCTTTGCAGCATCTCTCAAATCTCTGACAACACCAGAAAGAATTTGATTAATGTAATGCTACAAAGCAACCTCTTGGAGGAAAGGACCGTGTCTATCTTGGTCATCTCCATGTCCCCCAGCACCTAACACAGTGCTTGCCACATAGTAGAGGTCAATATATAGCTGTTGAATGAATGCATGAGCTAGGAGTATGGGATGACAGCAGCACCTGTCATTTTCTTTGATGTGAGATCTGTCCAAGGTGCTGCCCCGGGGACCTCAATCTCCCCAGAGACAGCATTGTGGTCAAAGCCATAGTGATGTGTGAAACCTTCATTCAGGCAACTCCTCCTTCCATCCCAGTAGCTGGTTGTGTGGTAGAAAATTGTTCCTCTTGGACACTTGTTTGGTTTTCAAAGTATTTCAGCTTCTTTGAAGCTGCTGTCAAAAGTGAGAATGTAGTAATAAGCTCTCCTCTTGTGGTGGGCGTTCAGAGGTGATAGTCTACAATGGTGGTGATAATACTTTAATTAGTGAATTTTCTTCACATTCTGATATTCTACTCTTCAAATAATGCCAAGTTCACAGACTCCTACATCTGCTGAGGTGTGTGTGTTTATGTAGAGAAACAGAAGCAGACTGAGAACACTTTCTTGGAATTTTTCTTCTTCAAAAAGAGGAGCAGAAGCTAACTCTGATGTTTTCATGCTGATCATCATTGATGACAAGATACCCAAGCCAAACCCTCCTGAACTGGCCACTGGGTGACAATCATCTGCCTGTTCCAGAGGCCCAGTGAGAGGGCTGTAGCTTGGTGAGCCGAGGGCTGGTTGTGTGAGCCACCTGGGCATAGCAGCCACCACAGCAGACACTCTGAGGCAGCATTTTTACCGAACACAAGCACCTGTGTAGGGGTCACGAGTGGGTTCTAATCTTAGCTGTGTTGTTTGCCAACTGTATGGCCTTGGGTAAATCACTTCTCAGATCATCAGCGTACTCATCTATAACATGAGATTTACAACATCACTTTGCCCAACTTCTAGGCTTTGTTATGAGTATTAAAGTGCTTTAAAAATTCTAAAGTGCCATACAAATATGAGGTGTTGATAATATTACTACCATCTCTTATCCAAAAATGAAAAACTGGAATATGACAGATACATTCACATTAAAATCCCTCCAGGTGGAGTTTTTAGAGGCTGGCACTACTTCTTTTAATTTCAAGGAGGGATATAGGAACTCCAGGAGTCACTATTTTATGCTACCATTTTTGAGTCCTGAGTCTGCCTATATAAGCATCTTTTAGTTGAGTTACATAATGTCAGTTTCCTCACCTGTAAATATGGTATTTTTCTTGCCCATCTTACATGCACAATGAGAAAAACAAATGGGATAAATATATTCAAACCACATTTGCCCCAGTATTAGAATATAATTGTAGTTCCCAAAGGAAACCTTTCTATTTCAATAGAGTTCTTAATGACAACTTCATTTGGAGACCATTCTATGCTGGGAGTACATGCATGAGTGGGGCTGCAAAGCGGGCCAGATATTTTTGCAGAGTCATCTGATAGATGGATTCTGAGAGTGGAGAAACATGGCACGTATCCTAGCCTGGCCTGGAGGGACCTCAGGCATAAACACAGTTACCTCAGGAGTTCAGGTGGAAAGGCAGAGTGGAAGCTGACTGGGACATCTGCACATACTTCAGAAAGTGCCTGACACAGTGGGACCTCATGTAGCCAGAAACAGGAGGACAGTAGGGGTAGCAAGCAGAGTCTCCTTTGGGACATTGCAGGCCAAATCATGCAGAAAGGCAGTGTGCAGCATAGCAAAAGCCTTGGACCAGGAATCAGATTATCTGGCTTTGAGCTTTGAGTCCTAAGTTTGCCCATATAAGCGTCTTTAGTCACATTACATAAGCTCCCTGAGTCTCAGTTTTCTCATCTGCAAATATGACATTTACCTTGCCTGTCTTATAGGCAAGACGCACTAAGAGAAAAAGATGAGGTAAAGTTTATACAAACAACTTTGCAAATGAAAAGAAGATAGCCATTCAAATTTGCGTATTATATTTGTCATTAGTTCAATTGGGCTGGCGGGCTCTTGCTTTAAATGAAGCCAGGATCAGTTGGCACCTTTAAAAAGTTTAAAGAGAGAATTAGGTAAGAAGGTGTAATCTTTAGTTTAAAGGAGTTGGTAGATTTATTAGTCCAGTTGGGTTGCTATAACAAAATACCATAGACCAGGGTGGCTTATAGACAACAGAAATTTATTTCTCACAGTTTTAGAAGCTGGGAAGTCCAAGATCAAGACACCAGCAGATTGAGCATCTGGCAAACACCTGCTTCCTCATAGATGGTGCCTTCTTGCTGTGTCCTCACATGGCAGAAGGGGGAAACAAGCTCTCTCAGACCTCTTTTATAAGGATACTAATTCTATTCATGTGATCATGACCTAATCACCTCCTGAAGGCCCCACCTCTTAATACCATTACATTGGAGTTTAGGTTTCAACAAATGAATTTTAAGGAAACACAGACATTGAGGCCATCACAATAGCGAAAGGTGGGAGACTTGGCCTGTTGTTTTTTAATGTTGCTGACTCTTTCCCCCAGGCTGTCAAAGTGCCTCACATTGGGCTGGGAGCCCTGGATTCTTTGTGCTTCAGGGAAATCCCTAGTTGTATCCACCTTTGGGTTTATCTGAGTCTTATACTTATCAGGGAAGAAATGTTCTTCTCTGAGTCATATTATTGGAGAGTCTCAGGGTTGTAATCCACTGCAGGAGTCACCTGGTCTAATACAAGGCACGTCCTATATGCCCCTGTCCCTGGCCATGGGCCTCTGCTACACCAGAGAAACAGGAGCCTATGAATGTAGGGGCCGAGCTGGCATCCTCCTGGCCATCTAATGCCAAGGCAGGCTCATACCTGGGATATCAGCCTGGTGAGCCCAGCCTGTCTTAGAGCTAGGCAATTGTCTGGACATTGCAATGTTGTGGGTTGGGGGCAGCAGGATGCTTGGTATCTCCAGCTACAGAATGTTGGAAGGAGGTCTGATGGGGAGCAAAATAAGCTCATAAAGGCTCACCGAGGGCCCATCGTTGTAGCATAAGCAGTGATTCCTGGGGATAGGAACAGCAGCCAGTCCAGCTGGCATGGATGGTCAGAGGTGGAGTAGAGCAATTCAGAACTGCACGTGCAAGAATGGATGGATGGGCTTTTCAGAGGTCAGAAAGCTACACAGACCACACAGGAATGACAGTATGTTGTCCTTGCAGAGTTAGAATCATAGTCATGAGTGGCCATGACCAGAAGAAATCCCAGGAGAGCTCAAAAACTGAGAACCCTTCACAATAAAAGAAGAAACTGCTCATGGCGAATTTTTATCCCTCCCTTCCTCCCTCCCTCCCCTCCTTCCTTTTGTAAAGATTTCTCTATCTACGGTTCTTTCCCTGTAGAAAGCACTGTGCTCACCAGAACAGCTGCAGGCCTTGCCTCCCTTGGGAGATCACTCCTGGCTCTCTCCTCACTCACACCGGATTAGGTGCCCCTCCTTTGTGCTCCCATGGGACCCTGGCCATCAGTCACCTTCATGAGAGGCACGGTGTTCCAGCTGTGGCTACAGCACATAAAGGAGTCATGTGGCTGGGCGTGGTGGCTCACGCCTGTAATCCCAGCACTTTGGGAGGCTAAGGTGGGTGATCACCTTAGGTCAGGAGTTTGAGACCAGCCTGCCCAACATGGTGAAACAGTCTCTACTAAAAATACAAAAATTAGCTGGGCATGGTGGCAGATGCCTGTAATCCCAGCTACTCGGGAGGCTGAGGGAGGAGAATCACTTGAACCCAGGAGGTGGAGGTTGTAGTGAGCCGAGATCGTACCACTGCACTCCAGCCTAGGCGACAGAGTGAGACTCCGTCTCAAAAAAATAAAAAATAAAAAATACAAAGTTGGGGGTAGTTATGAAATAAAGTAGTGATCAAGACTGGGACTTAAAATGAACTAGAATTTTAAAATAGTGGATTATACATAGATATGTAACTATTGTTCCATAAGACATTAATTTCAGTTGTGCTTCTTCCTGTGTGTGTTTGGGTACAGGGAGATTATATAAAATGTGTTTCTTGGGGCTGGGCGTAGTGGCTCAAGCCTGTAATCCCAGCATTTTGGGAGGCCGAGATGGGCAGATCATGAGGTCAGAAGATGAAGACCATCATCCTGGTTAACACAGTGAACCCCGTCTCTACTAAAAATACAAAAATTTAGCTGGGTGTGGTGGCACACACCTGTAATCCCAGCTACTCGCGAGGCTGAGGCAGGAGAATTGCTTGAACCCAGGAGGCAGAGGTTGCAGTGAGCCGAGATTGCACCACTGCACTCCAGCCTAGGTGACAGAGCGAGACTCTGTCTCAAAAAAAAAAAAAAAGTATTTATTAATGTAGGTCTCAGACCAGAAAGCTTAAAAATTATGGTTCTAGACAGTGAGTTACTTAAGGTGAGGACTACAGTTCTCTGGAGCAAAGCAGAATGTCCAATTTGTATATATCAGCTGCAGAGTAAATGGCTGTAAAATGAAATAATGAAGAAAAGGACTCCATGGCTAAGCAAGTCCTCATAAATTTCCTTTCTAGCCCATGCCAGCCATGGGAGCTTTTAATTCAAGATGGTAGCAGGCATCTTGCTGTTCCCCACTCCTGCTGCCCAACAGAAACACTCAGGCTAGAAGGTAGTCCTGCAGCCGGTCTAGGGAACACTCTGACCAGGCTGAAATGGCAACATATGTCAAGCCAGGATTGCATTTGGTGCACTTTAGTTTCAAACCTGAACACATTTTCACAAGATGCCAAGTGAGATGCACAAGTATGGCTGGCTCAGTCTCTGCCCTTAAGGTGCTTATCTAGGTGGGGATGATCAGTACACCAATAACTAGACAGAGACAGAGGTGAAAATGCAGTGAGTTATGAAAGAAGAGAAAGTAGTCAAAGAGAGGGAGAGGAAGGGAGAGAGAGAGAGAGAGAGACTGTGTGCATTGGGAGGAGCAATCTGGGAAGGCTTCCAGGGGAAGGAAACATTTGACTCCTTTTTAAAGTATGCACTGGTTTTGGTTTTGACAGGAAGCATGGGGAGTGAGGAAGGGTGTGCAAACATCCACCTGCAGGCAGACTAGGGCAAGCAGCTAGTATCTCTGCAGCAGGTAGGGCAAGCGGGCTCCCCAGCTCCCAACCAATAGGCTTAATGAGATACCTGCACAGTTTCCTTGCCATCTGTTGCTAGTCTCAGCCAGACACACCTGCATGCTCCTTTCCAGAGGAGAAAACAGAGCCATGGCCAGTTAGTGAGTAGGGTGTAACTTTGAGAATATTAAACACTGATATTAAACATTGGACATCCAGCAACACAAAGATAGCTTATAGCTGTAGAACATCTGCATCATCTATCTGGCAGGGGTTTTTGTTTTTGTTTGTTGGTGGTTGTTAAATTTCTCTGAGCCATGCCCTTCATTCACTTTTCTACATATCTAGTTCAGTGCTAGCTACCTCCCATGTCTTTTTGTTTCTTCTTTCTTTTTTTTTAAAAAACGCCCAGGCTGTCACCTAGCATGCTCAGGGCTGGTGATGTATTGGGAACTGTATTTTCTTTCGTTGAGTTGCAGTAGAACATAGGGACATTTGGTCAGGACCTTAAGAGCAGAAAGGGCCATTTATCTTGAATGTTACGTCATCTTTACTACTGGCTCAATTCACTGTGTCTGGAGGTAGTTCCCTGTAGACACAAAATGGTAGCTTGGGCAGCCCGCTGAGATGGAGGGGCCAGCATTTGTGATGGAAACCAACTCTGTCTGGCTTGTGTCTGTTTTCAGAGCCAACATTACTCAGAGCCGCAGTTCCCACTCCTTGAACAAACAGCTCATCATTAACATGGAACCCCTGCAGCCCCTGCTTCCTTCCCCCAGCGAGCAAGAAGAAGAACTTCCTCTGGGTGAGGGTAAGTCTGTCTCTTCATCCCAAATGCTGGTGCTGCAGGCTTCCTCTGGAAAAAACAAGGGAGGCGCCAATTCTGCATATGATGGGTAATTGATTAGTGTATGGGGTGGAGTGGGCCATAAACTATGTTTTTAGTAAATAAGCTTTTTGCAGCTGGAAGGCTGTATTATACTGGGAGCTCTATTAGTTTCTCTTGGAGAGACTTCACTGGTATAAAGTATTTCTAAAATTATATATGAAAAGACTAATGGTGTTAGACCTACACCAGTCCAGTACACTAACCATTAGCCATGTGTGGCTGTATTAAACTAAGTTTAAATTCATTGTAATTAAAAATCCATTTCCTCAGTCACAATAGCCAGATTCTCAGTGCTCAATAGCCACATGTGGCTGGTGGCTGCCATATTGGACACTGAGACTGAGATAATTTCCTCTATCACTGAAACTTCTATTGGATGTTGATGTCTGCCACTGTAATCACAATTAAATTGGTGGCAATAAAGAGTTCTCCACAAGTATCTCTACACTCGTCATCCCATTTATTCCCCCAGGCTTCTTGTTCTTGATCCTTCATTTACATTGTCCAACAGTTTTGATACAAGCTAAAAAAAAGTGAAGTGTCCACTGCAACCCCCACATTTGTTATATTTTTAAAGATAATAATAATATGTGTGTTTCTAGGCATCTTTGTTTTTAAGGACTCTCCTTACTTCAGGGAAGAATCTCACCACAATGCTTGCTGCAAACACCTGCAGACATCTCACATTTTATTAATTTCAAAGATTTGTTTAAATTAAGTTGATGAAATTAATTAAATTGAAAACAAATGCACACAAAATAAACTTATTGGAACCTTTGAATACAAACATGCTTTTTCTTAACTTTGTGATTCTGGTTTCATCGTTGAAAATCTGGATACTGGGCAGTTTCAAGAGGGCAGATCACTCTGTCCCCAAAAGATCACCTTCACCTCCAGCTTCAAGTCAAGAATTTATTTCACAGGAGAAAACTTCTTAGTCTATAATAAGGATATGGCTTGGAATGCAGATACCCTTGAGATAGGTAGCAGCAACCAATTTGCAGTGACACATAAAAAATTCTAGTAAATCTTTTCCTGAAAGGCAGCTTTGATGGTTAGAAGGAGAACTAGGCAACTGGATGCCCAAAATTCCATGGGTGGAGGAAAAGTGTGCAAAGTATGAAAGATGGGATCTTAGAAGACACTACTTGTCTTCAACTGGGCTACAAGAGATGATGATAATGAGAACACTCTTGTTATAAATGGCTTTTGTTATCTATCTTAACAATGAACTCTGTAAGTTCCATGCCAAATGAATTTCCTTAGCCTAAGGGCCTCTGGGTCCATGTTGCTTGTCTGTGTTTTTCAGGAGATTATCTGTTTTTGTGTGTTTTGCAAATGAAAGAAAAGCAGTTTTAATTTCTGGTCACTAAGGGTTTTCTGAGTTTCTTCCTATATGCTTGGAATATTGCTTTGAGTGAAAATCATTTTTTCTGAAGGTCATGATTATCCCAAGTTTAAATGAAGGAGGGTGTGGCTAATAGAGAAGAAAAGAGAAGGGACATCTCACAACTGGAATTGTGACTGTACCTTGTCTGCAAAGATGGAAGCTTAGATGGGAATGCAATTTGGAGGCCCAGATGGGTTGAATGATTATTATGGGGAATACGGAACCCTAGGCCTGCTGCCTTATGATCCCCCAAGATGTGAAAGGGAACCTGGTCAAACTTTCTTCCATACTCTTCATCCCATTCAGTTAGGGACATCTGTTTTGCTCCATTTTCTATAATGAGGTTCCACTGCTAAATATTAGGTGTGTTTTTGACATAGCAACTGTATGGACAATAGACAAACCATTGTAATTAACTGCAAAATAATTTAAAGAATTTCATGACAGGATAGGAATGCATAAGCTACCTTTTCAATTTTCCCAGTTGTTTTAAAGAACCATCTTCAATTATTTTACCAGCTGTAAAGCCAAACTGATAGATCTCTCTCTTCGGAAGTCCACAATAGCTCTATCGATATCTAATAAAATTATTTTCTCCAGGAGATTTGTCCCCTGCTAGAACATCTTTGTGGGTTTTAAAGTTCAGACAAGTCATGACAACTTTCATGATATAGACTCAATTAAAAAGCAAGAGAAGTAGAAACAACAATATTGTTAATTTTTCAATAAATACAGTGATTCTCTCAATTTAGAGTAAGAGCAAAATTATCTTAGGTACCGTATGATATCCACTGGAGACATAGCTCTGTGTTCTGGATACCATTGTACCTCTGTTACTAGTCAAATTCTGCTCCATGGCCCTTGTCTTTGAATGTCAAGCAATGGGATTCAGGCATTTCATTAGATAGATACCTATTATATAGATTTACACTTCTCAGATTTATAAAGAGAAGAGAGACAGATTAGAGCTCTAAACAAAGAAGATGTTTTCATCTTTGTGAATGGGCCTTGTTTCTGGGCTTTTGAGTGCATGCACTATGAAGAATTTTGTTTCATCTCTATATTTTAATGTTTCATTTCTTTTTATTTCTGTGCTAGAGCCAAACTTAAAGAGGCTGGGAATTCATTCATTCCTTAATGCAACAATTGTGACAAATACAAGTTGTACACCCTGTAGACCACACTTACCATGTCCAAGTTCCTGTGGACTATAAAGATGAAGACATGAAGATGCTCTCTCTTCTGGAGGCTCACAGTCCACTGGGGAGATGGCAGTGGGATCACAGAGGCGATGACAAAGTTCTGCCTCTGCTGATTGAATTGTGTGCCCACTTTTCTGTGTGCCCTACTGGATATCAGTGCCTTGAGCTGCCTTGAGGGCATTTGTTCCTTTTTAGTCCCATTGGAGTGTCTGACATAAAATCAGTGGGCTAAGGAATAAATGGGAGAGATGGACAGGAAGAGTTGGTAACGGAGTGGTCTGTTTCACCTGCATGAGGTGTGAGTGTGGTTTCAGGGAAGAGGGTTCTGGGGGATGGTGAAGGTGAGGTAGAAAGGTAGGAGAGGGCCAGATTATGGGCCTCGTGTGATTTGCAGGAGAATTTAGACTTTAACCTGAGAGCAGCTAGGAGGCATTGAGGGATTTCAGGTATGGGAATGATATCAATGGCATGGGAGTTGTATTTTGTATCACTCTGGTGATGTGTAGAGAATGGATTAGAGGCAGATATGGCTGGAGCAGAGTTTTTCAACCTCAGAGCCACTGACCTCTTGAGCTAGACAGTTCTTTTTGTGGGATTCCTGTGCATTGTAGGATGTTTAGTAGCTTCCATGGCTTCTATCCAGTAGATGCCAGAAGGACCCCACTGGTCTTGACAACCAAAAATGTCTCCAGATACTGCTGAATTTCCCCTGGGGAGCAAAATAGTTCTCTGGTTAGAAACCACTGGGTTGGAGGCACAGACTACACAGGAACCACTGGAGGAGCCCAGGGAATAGATATGCAAGGGCTGAAGCAGGCAGAGAGAATGCAACTAGAGAGGAGGCAGTGCATACAAGGCATAGTAAAAGGCAGACTTGTGGAGACAGGGTCGCTGGTTACATGGTAGGGACACAGCCTGTGGATTCCTACCGTCCGGGTCCTGCTCTTATCTCGGAGACATTGAGTTGAAAACACTTCAACCTCTTTATGTTAAAGATGAGACTATAGAGACCCAGGAATGTTTCAGTGGTGTGTCAGCATCACACAGGGAGTCCATGGCCAGCATGATTTCGTTGAGTTGTTGGAGCCATTGAGAGAGTTACATAATACTGTTGCTTCTCAGAGCTTCAAACACAGAGTGGTGGAGACTCAGCATCACCACTTACCTTTGTTATCACTGTTCCCCATCTGGATATACTGGTTCAGATTCTTGTCTGGGGGTTTCAAATCACATATTTTGGAACTAGATTTGTAAACGGTTCAAGATCAGCAGCTTGAGCCCTGTTAAAAGTGTTGTCTAATGGCTGGGCGCAGTGGCTCACACCTGTAACCCCAGCACTTTCAGAGGCTGAGGCGGGTGGATCACCTGAGGTCAGGAGTTCGAGACTAGCCTGACCAACATGGTGAAACCCCTGTCTCTACTAAAAATACAAAATTAGCTGGGTGTGGTGGCATATGCCTGTAATCTCAGCTACTTGGGAGGCTGAAGCAGGAAAATTGCTTGAACCTGGGAGGTGGAGGTTGCAGTGAGCTGAGATCATGCCATTGCACTCCAGCCTGGGCAACAAGAGCGAAACTCTGTCTCAAAAAAAAAAAAAAGTGTTCTCTAATTAAAAATTTTTTAAAAATCAGATTGGGAGAAGAAAGTCTTAACTTATGGAATCTCTATTTCTGTGAGGTCATGGGAATGTCCTGTCACCTTGTCTTAAATGGTGTGACTAGTGGGGACATCTCTGCCACTGCCATGGCCCTCTGGGGTCATGACCACCCATTTATCAGACAAGCTTTTTCCATTCTTTTCAAGTTTCTCAAAGACAGCTGGGCAGAGTGTTATTGCCCAGATTAATGCAGTGGTGTTCTGGGAAAACGTGTGACCCCATTCAGCCATATGACAGCTGGAGGATTAGGTCTCAAGTTGGCTGTGTCAGGGTGGAGAAAAAACAAAATCAGTTCCTAGGCACCACTGGGCAACGGGAATGTTTTCAAAGCCCACCCAAAAGTTGCTTGGTTACAGGATCTGAGAGAACTAGTGCTGTGGAAAACTTCAGATGAGAATGGCAAACCATTTGAAGAGTGCCACTTAGAGCTTATGAGAATTTCTGCAGAAGAAAAAAATTACAGTGGGAATTGTTCTAGGTGAAAATGACATTTTAAGGAGTCATTAATCTGAATAAATTCACAAGCAAAATGGAGCAGGTTCCCCATAGTGGAGATAGCACCGTGCTTCTGTGTTTTATCAGTAGAGTATATGTTCTCATTATGGAAGAATGCTGGATTGTAGTAGAGAAGGGGAGTGAAATTAATCATGTGAGACTTGGTAACTGGCAATTACAGACACACAATGAAGATCACTGGTGTCTGCCATAGCAGTGGTGCAGGCTGGCATAAACATGGTAGAAAAGCCATGCTTGGTAGGTACAACTATAATAAATAAGAGTTGAAAATATTTGTTTTCCCCTTACTGGTAAAATGAAAGCACAATGGAGACACCAGAATTTTTATAAAGGAGGGTCTTGGGGGTGGCAATGGGTGTTAGATTAAAGGGTCATGTGAAGCTGCTTTTGCATATGATCGAGAAAGTATCTTTATTGAAGAATAGCTGGAAACTAAGAGAATGGTAAAACTAACTCTCACAAGCCACCCTGTAGCACCATCCCTGTAAATGTTTGTGTATGTGTTTGCGCGTGTTTGTGCCGAGTGTATATGTGAATGCATGTATGTGTTGTGCATGTGATGGCAAGTGTGTGTGGAAGGCAGAGGCAGGGGTGTTTAAAGGGTTGCTTACAGTGTCTTGCCCTAACCATAGATGGCTTAAGGTGGTTTCACTGAAATTCTAGAAAGTCTGTGTGTGAACACGCAAAGGCATTTCGTGCATGTAAAAAGAGTATTGTCCTCATCCATCAGGCATGCCATACTCTTGGTCCCACCCACCCTCCACCCGAACACATAACAGGTCACTGGTGGGGCTGCTGCATTGTCTATGCATATGTCTTTCATGCACTACACAGTTGCTCCGATTTGTCACTGGTGAAGTCTCTGACAGCCCAAGGCTGCTGTGGTTATACCATGGTGAGTTCCTTATCTTACCCTCTACCAGGTTTGGTCTTCCTCCCTGCCTGTCTGACGTGAACATTCTCCTCCCTCTTTTCTCCCTTTCTGTAGTTCCATGGTCATGGTTCAGACAAATTTACCCTATTCTTATGGCTTCGGTGTCTTTCTTCCCACCATTTTCCCCCAGATGCTAAGCCATTTCTTCCCTTTGGCTCAGATGTGTCAGGACATATGCATTAGCAGTGATGCACTGGGTTTTGTTTGTTTGTTTGTTTTGAGATGGAGTCTTGCTCTGTTGCCAGGCTGGAGTGCAGTGGCACAATCTCAGCTCACTGCAACCTCTGCCTCCTGGGTTCAAGCCATTCTCCTGCCTCAGCCTCCCAAGTAGCTGGGTCTACAGGCACACGCCACCATGCCCAGCTAATTTTTGTATTTTTGGTAGAGACGGGGTTTCACCACGTTGGCCAGGGTGGTCTTGATCTCTTCCCCTTGTGATCTGCCCGCCTCGGCCTCCCAAAGTGCTGGGATTACAGGAGTGAACCACCGTGCCTGGGCTGCAGTGGTGTTTTTGAAATTTCTTTTGTGTTACGTCCCATGAAACAGCAGAAGCTGTTTACGAATCCTGTGGAATCACCTTTCCCCTTATGGTTCCTGCTACCTGGTGATGACCAACCCCAGTTCTAATTAGACTTGTCCCTACCACAGGGTTTTGTGATTGCTGTTTGCCTTATTTTTCATTATAAAGCTAGTACATCAACTTCTAAAAAATTCAGAAATCACAAAAAAGCATAAATGAGCAAAAAAAAAAAAAAAAAAAAAAATAACATCCTAGCTTGCCCCCTCGTAGAGGAAATCAGTGTTAATGCATTAGCAATTTCTTCCCTATGCATTTTAATGCAGTTGCAGTTATCCAGTATACTAAATTCTTAAAATTCCTGCTTTGTTTGTTTAATGTGGAAAACACTGGTGCATGAAAACACATCAGAAGTTGAACTGGAGATCAAACAATGAATTGGGAACATATTTAACACAAATACAGACAAATGGGTTAAATGTCCTAAATTAGAAGGAACTCATAAAAAGTGCTGTTTTAAGCATCATTTTCGCATTGCACACGCTTGGACTATCCTGAACATTCTTATCTAATGGCATCTATAGTCTCCAGCTGCTGATAAGCACATAGTAGCTGGAGTTGCTTCTGCAGGAGCTAGGATGCCTCCACAGAACAGAAGGCAGCTCCTGTTTTTGTTTATAATTGCAGTATTGGATTAGCAAAATAAAAATTCAGAATTATCACAACTATTGGATTATTATTATTATTATTATTATTATTATTTTTTTTTTTTTTTTTTGAGATGGATTCTCGCTCTGTCGCCCAGGCTGGAGTGTAGTGGTGCGATCTCGGCTCACTGCAAGCTCCACCTCCTGGGTTCACGCCATTCTCCTGCCTCAGCCTCCTGAGTAGCTGGGATTACAGTCACCCGCCACCACGCCTGGCTAATTTTTTTGTATTTTTTGTAGAGACGGGGTTTCACCATGTTAGCCAGGATGGTCTCGATCTCCTGACCTCATGATCCACCCGCCTTGGCCTCCCAAAGTGCTGGGATTACAGGCGTGAACCACCGCGCCCGGCCAACACCTATTGGATTCTTGAAGACAGCATCACAGTTTGGGTCAGCAACTCCTCTAGGGTAGGAGATGCCAAGAACAGCTTGAGAACATAAAGGCCTGAGCATGCTCTGCAGATTCCTATTTTGCAGTCTTTTCAAAAGCTTTTTACCTTTTCTTTCATGTTTTTCTTTGGAGCTATTCTCGTCTTTAGAACTCTGGGTTTTTTCTTTTTCTTTTTTTTGTTTTTGTATTTACTGACAACTTAAGTACTCACGAGAAGTTTTTATCACTTGAAAGGGGACTTTGAAATTTTGAGTGTTTACTGTGTTGTAAGGAAGCTCAATGCCTTGTTCCTGATGCAAACTCAGTGCACCTTATCTTGCAAACATTTTGTATTTTACATCTTAAGACACCAATAGTGTGCATCATTTCAATTTTGTAGTTGGCTAATTCTCCACAAATAGTTCATTTTATGAAATACAGCATTCCGCAGTGGAAGCATAGCAGTGGTTCAGGTGGCTGCTGTCTTTCTGCATTAATGTCTCAGATGAAACCTGGTGTTGGCTCCTCTGCCAAGCAGCCAGGTGACCACAGACAAGACTATCCACCTTTCAGAGCTTCATTTTCCTCATCCACAAAACAAGAAGATTGGATTTGAGCACCACTCAAATGCTTTCTAGCTCTTAACTCTGATTCTTTTGCTGAATGTCAAGGTAAAAAAAAAAAAAAAAATCCAAGACTGTGGCTTGAGGTCTTTTTACTATGAGAATGGGAACTTGGGGACAGGAATATTTTTCATAGCTTTTGAGAGTTAAAGGGAATGTTGAGGAAGGTCTTGCACAAGGGTTAGCAATATATAGCCTGTGGCGGGCCCAGCACCACTTATTTCTGGCCTTCAAGTGAACAGTTACGTTTTAGACGATGATAAAAGTACCTATATAATATCCTCCATTTTGCCTCTTTTGAACCACCTTCAACTTTTAAGTTTTAAAATTTTGCCAGCAAAGCTTAAAACTTACAATCTAAGCCTTCGTAGAAAATGTTTGCTGGCCTCTGATCTAGCACATACCCTCAGGATTCTTCTACAAATGAGAAAGCCTAGAGAGATGAGAAAATTTGCCCAATGTTACATGGTTGGGTAAGTATTCTGGAAAGCTGGGATTACATCCTTATACTCACATTCCTGGCCCAGCTATCTTAGATGGCATTGAACACAGCTAAAATGACTCAACTCCTTCTTGCTGAAACAGAATGGGTAACTAAGAAACTACATCTATTTTTCAATTATAGCAAATGAATGATCAAAAGAGACAACATATTTTATTTAAGTATGGGTGACCTCTGTGGTTCAATGAGAAGAGCTCGTGTGTATACGGGACAGGGTGCAAGGCTTTGGTTTTCCAGCACAGCATGCCAGGACCTGCTGACTCCTCAGAGACTTCCATCACCCTAGAAGGAGTGGTGAGAAGGCTGGGGACCGAGTGTGTTGCAGCAAACAGAATTCTTAGTAGAGCCAGGCTGCAGGGGAAACAGACTTCCCACAGGAAGCTCGCTCCCTTCTGGGAATCATGTTCTGGTTTTAAAGTTGAATTCATTAAATAAGGAATGACTCATTCCAGGGCTGGTTCTAATTACTCATTTACTTACAGTCTGTGTTAAGAGTGGCTGTCTTCGTGGAAGCAATTCAGTAGCAGAGCTTCCCAAATCATTCCTCCTGTTCAGGTGAGCATTTTGCTACCCCACTTAATAATAATTAATTGCTTCAAAGGACTTGGCTAGGGTGAAAAAATGAGTCAGTCAAGTGTCCTAGGAAGTAGTCTAGTCATGTCCTTGAGGGCTGGGATTTGAGCCAGAGGAGAGTGTTGTGTGACCAGCTGTGACAGCCAGAGTGTGGTCTGCGGAGGGGAAGACATTTTGCTTGGCACTTAGATAAATAGACACTCTCACTACTTCCCTAAGAAACCACAGGAGAGGAAAGGTGAAAATATTACTAAACCTATTGTTGCTAGAAAGCAGAAGCTAGAATTTTCTGAGTTTTAGATGCATGGGGTTCTATTTTCTTGCATTTTTGTCAGTGGGTTGGTAGTGAGTGTTAAGTAGATGTTCTTTGCAATCCCCAAGCTTAAATTGAGACAGGATCTCAGAGCCTCTCCCTCCGTCTCCTCCCTTCTCTTAAGATCCAGTGCCACTTAAATAAGAGAAAGTGTTGGGCAGTGTGTGCTGGTTACCATTCTTTTAGGTGGGCTCTTTATAATAGATCTGAGGCAATACAGGCAAGGTTCAGAGAAGAGGCTCTGGTCAGCTGGCTCAAGGCTGAGTCTTGGGAGTGTACGCTCAATGCTGTAAACAGAGGAGTGCAGTCTCCTTCCTGGTTTGGCAGATGGTGAATTGGAGGTCCTAGAGCTGTGGCTTCCAGAGCAGGGTACATACAATGATCCACTGGGGTGGAGGAAGAAATTATTCAGACTTCTACTGATATTTTATTTTTATCACCTCTTCATAAAATTTCTGTTGTATAGGTTTTATAATGTGCATATATACAATGACAGATATACATGTATCTAATTTATAAATAAATATGCAATTATTTGTATGCACAAATATTTTTTCCCCAAAAGAAGATTTGGAAACAGCTGCTCTAGATCTTGAAGATGAGTCTACCAAAACGAAAAGGGGCGGGGGTGATATGTTTTTGAAACTCTGAAATCTCTGTTCATGCCAAAGCCCTAGATTCCAAAATAGATGTGAGAACTGTCTGCTCTAGTTATGGTGGTGACATGCCATTTTACATGCTTTTGGTCTATCACTCTGGTAAACCAGGGTGAGTCACCCAAACACAGTCAGGGCTTTTGCCAAGCTATTGGGTAGGTGCTGTGTCACTCTCATTTAAGCATCGTATGGTGACCCCTAAGTCTCCAATATACACAGGTGCTGGACTGCACTTGAGTGGACACCGAATACAATATTAGTGGGGATTCTCTGGTGGCGGGAAGAGCATTGGACAGAGAATGAGAGGGCCAAGCTTTGTTCATTCATTTGTTCACTTGATTAACATTTACTTCTTATCTGGCACGTGCTGGACATTGATATGACCTAGATCTTATTTTCTCTTCTGTAACACATGATGAGATTATTTCTGAGTTTCTTCTCCACTCTGATTGTTCTTTAATAATTCTTTCTCCAGATTGCTACTGCTCTTATTTACATGGTTTTAGATCATTGGTCATTGCTTTTGAAAGCAAAAGGTATAGCCATCTTCTTTCTTGCTTTTTATTCTATGAAAGACAGTTTTATTTTACTTTTTTAGAAAATTTTAAGTTCCAGGATACATGTACAGAACGTGCATGTTTGTTACATAGGTAGACGTGTGCCATGGTGGTTTGCTGCACCTATCATCTTATTACCTCACCTAGGTATTAAGCCCTACATACATTAGCTATTTATCCTGACGCTCTCCCTCCCCCGACCCCCTGCTGACAGGCCCCAGTGTGTGTTGTTCCCCTCTCTGTGTCCATGTGTTCTCATTGTTCAACTCCCACTTACAAGTGAGAACATTTGGTGTGTGGTTTTCTGTTCCCGTGTTAGTTTTCTGAAGCTAATGGCTTCCAGCTCCCTCCATGTCCCTCCAAAGGACATGATCTTGTTCTTTTTTATGGCTGCATAGTATTCCATGGTATATATGTACCACTTTTTTTAATCCAGTCTCTCATTGATGGGGATTTGGGTTGATTTTTTGCTATTGTGAATAGTGCCGCAATGAACACACACTTGCTTGTATCTTTATAATAGAATGATTTATATTCCTTTGGGCATATACCCAGTAATGAGATTCCTTGGACAAATGGTGCCATCTTCTTTTTAAATGTGGTAACTGAGACATGAAAAATGGGGAACAATGATATTTAAAATCAGGGTTTAACTTTTTTCCTTTCTTTTTGTGAGTTGCAAATTTCTAGCATAAAATTGAAAATTAATAACAGCTAGCTTAAAAGGTAATATAAAATGAGTTTTTCTTACTTGAAAGAGCCCTCACTTCCTTTAGAGGCATCCAATTGGGAACTTTCAAAATCCTCATATCTCCACTTCAACATTAGAAATGTGATAATGGGCAGATGCTTTGGGTGAAAGAGAAATAAACAGGGTTTTCAGAATGACTCACTTGATAATCGGAACATAGGCTGGAAATTTTGTTATTAAGGAAAGGGTTATCCATATTTAAAAAATAGAGCATCCCTTGTGATCTGTGGTCTTCTCAGTACCTGCCTAGCACCTTGGCCTAGCTGAACAAATTGGCCCCTAAATACAGGCTTGGCCCCACCCCAGCTCTAGGACCAATTGTACCCTTACTGGGGAGGGAACTGAGAAGCCCAAGCCCAGCCCTTTGGATGGGCCCTTAGTTTGCTCTCTCTGTTGCTCTGTCCTGCTCTCTGGCTCTCATGCCCACCTTCCCTTTCCTGAGTCCCTGCCCTGGTCCCCGCCCTGACCCCCAGCACTCTGCTCCCTCAGGACCTTGACAGCCCTTGTCTCTGGGGCTAGACCGGGCTTCTGACTCTGACCCTGTGGCTGGGGACGTGCCCCTGCTTGCTGATTGACAGTCCACGTGGGTCATCCTTCATGTCTTATGTCCCCTGGGGCCATGTTCTCTTTCCAGAACAGGCTCTTAGTAGAGTCAGACTTGTAAATGCTTGCCTTTCCCGTCAAACTTCTCCCATTGCCCAGTGGTCATAAGATATTGAATTGTCAAATTCATCTGTAAAATCCTAACCTTTTCAGTATAACCCAAATGTATTTCCATGGCCACCCAAGCCATGTGCAGCCCCTCATCTCTGTCTACTGGATGTGCAGTTATCGCCTGAGGGGTTCTCTGCTTCCACTCCTATCCCCATCCTCTCATCCATATTTTCCATACAGTAGCCAGGGGATTATTTTGGTAAGTGGAGCTCAGATCTACTTATGTTAAAATCTCAGCTCCTTCCTCTGGCCTATGAAGCCCTTCTTGCTTTGCCTCCTGCCCACCCCTCAGACTGTTTCCCGTTCTCCCTTGAATAGGCTGAGCTCATGGCAATCTCAAGGACCTTTGCAAGAGCTGTTTCCCCCACCCAGGAGGGTCTTCTCTCTGGTCTTTGTATGGCTGTTTCTTTTCTTTAAGTTTTAGCTCAAATTTCAGCTCCTTGGAAGGTCTTCCCTCAGTGCCTAATTCTGAGTAATTCCTCCAATCTACCTGTTTGCTCCCTCTCATGCTATCACCCTGTTTTATTTTCTTCAGAACACCTGACACTATCAAACACTGTCTCACTTGTTTGTCTTCCTGTTTGTTGACTGCCTTCCCTAACTAAAACACCAGCTCCAAAAGAGCAAGGACTTTACCTTGTTTCCCTCACTATTCCCAGCATTTAGGGATGTTCCGGTACAAAGTAAGAGCTAAACTAATATTTGCTGAATTAATGAACAAATGAATGAATGAATGTATGGATTCTAAATGCAACCAGGACAGCATTTATTTATATAAAAGAAAGCATACAAGTAGAATATTCTCCTGGGATTAGGGTTTGCCAGAAGTCAAGCATGCTCTCTTGTTATGTTTTTTAGTGTGAAATCAAAAGCAATACTAGACCAAGTGTGGTGGCTCATGCCTATACTCCTAGCACTTTGGGAGGCCAAGGCAGGAGTATCACTTGAGCTCAGGAGTTTGAGACCAGCCTGGGCAACACGGCAAAACTCTGTCTCTACCAAAAATAAAATTGCCAAGGGTAATGGCATGTGCCTGTAGGCCCAGCTACTCAAGAGGCTGAGGTGGAAGGATCACTTGAGCCTGGGAATTTGAGGCGACAGTAAGCCATGATCATACCATTACACTTCAGCCTGGGCATCAGAGTGAGACTCCATCTCTTAAAAAAAATACCATAGTCATTGTAGAAAATTTGGAAAATACAAAAACACAAATAAAATTTAAAAACCACCTGATACTAAAACTGTTATAAATGTGTAGAATCCATCTATATATTACTGACAATTTTTATAATTTTAACAAAAATATACTAGAGATGCTATTTTATAATCTGCTTTTTCATTTCACATGAATATTTCCCATTACATTAAATATTCTTCTATAATTTTATATTCAATGGACATACAATATTCTACCACATAAATATGCAAAAATATTTCTTACCATCTTTCCTCCACACATCCCACCAAACTGTATATGAGAATATCTCTCATTGTAGCCCTGCGAAAACTGGATATAACACTTTTAAAAAATATTTGATAATTTGGCTGGGTGCGGTGGCTCACGCCTGTAATCCCAGCACTTTTGGGTGGATCACCTGAAGTCAGGAGTTCGAGACCAGCTTGACTAACATGGTGAAACCCCATCTCTACTGAAAATGCAAAAATTAGCCATGCATGGTGGTGGGCACCTGTAATCCCAGCTACTCGGGAGGCTGAGGCATGAGAATCGCTTGAACCTGGGAGGTGGAGGTTGCAGTGAGCTGAAATCACACCATTGCACTGTAGCCTGGGCAACAAGAGTGAAACTCTGTCTCAGTATGTATACATATATTTGATAATTTGAAAGACAAAACCTATGGTGGTTGGCAACTTGTTTTGCATGTAGCGACCATTTGCTCTTCTCTTTTGGAGTCATAGCTAGATGCAAGAGAGAAAGATGCCCTTGGCTAGTGTTTTGGGTGTAAGGATTGGGTTCTGCTACCTCTAGCTTCTTGATTACATGACAGCAACACAAGGAGCCCACAGTTCCAGAAGAGCCTGGGTTTTTCCACAGGGAGACACAGATGCCCTGTTTCTTAATACCATCTGCAAAGCTGTTGAGAAATATGGAGAACAAAATTAAAGCTTCATTTATTTATGTAATATAATGTAATTTCCTTTACTCAGAGAAAAATGCATTATCTTTAATTATGACTTATGTCTGGAGGGAGTGAAATAATAAAGCAGAAGTGATGGAGAAACAAATTCATCCTGTATGGGGACAAAGGAAGTAGACTCTTTCTTGAGAGTATTACACAGGAACCAAAATAGGCTGTTCTAATTGGAGTCAGTAAGTTCAGTGTTGTTATCCATTTCCCCTCCAGGAAATCTTGGGAGACTACATTGGCATCTGATAAAAGTTTACCATCAATAGATTGCCTTAATGTATCCAAGTCATGGAACATCAAGGAATTCTTAAGCCCTAGGTTCAACCAAGATAAAGGAAAAACACTTTGTTTATATGAGTTATAGGTAGCCTTGGTCAGTGAGATAGTTTAATTAGCCAATAATTGTGCCTCGGATGAACCTCACTGGCTACAATACTGCCACTGTGCAAAGCTGAGATAATTTAAATTATACTACAAGAGAATTCCTCATGCATGTTTCTGAAGAACACATTATAGTTGTGAAATTCCCTGTCTGGCCTCTATGGGAGCTTTTCAGCTGGTTTCATCCATGGACAGCTATGGAAGGTTTCCCTTCATGTTACTCCCACCCCTATAGTTGGAGTAAACCATAGGTATTCAGGCCCTAGTTTTATTCATGAGGGTTTAGCGTACCATGGGCTGTTGAGTGTAAGGGTGTTTCTTATAGTAGGTAAATCAGAGAGGAGATGGACAATTATCTTACTGCACAATCTATGGGTGGCTTGTTGCATAATGATGTTCACAGTATATGGTGCTTGATCCTTAGAGGTTGGGGGTCCCTTACCTCACCATCTCCTCTACTTGTGGCTTCTTCACTTTTCCCTTCAGATTATTTTGTCCCATCTGCAGGTCGGGGAGGAGGTCTTTCTGCCTTGGAGCAATGACTTGTGAAATTAGTGATCAGCTATTCATGGTCATTGTTTTATTTTTGGGTGGGCTAGTTTTGCTGCCTAGGCTGGGGATCATTAGAAGGCCTTCAGGAATTTTGTAAGCACAGGTGGAAGGAGAAGCTCATTGATCAGTATTTCAAAATACTGTTTTTGTTCTTCATTGGTATTTGGAGAGAGACAAGGCAGAGAAGTGGAGAGAAGGAAGTCGGAATCCCAGGCATAGTGTTTTCACAGAGTAAAGTGATCCTGACCTCCTCTCCGTGATCCTGACCTCCATGCCGACGGCTCGGTCCCATGCTACTGCTCTGTGCTTTCAGCTGCTTATTGGACACCTCCACCTGGAGGGCACATAACAGCTCATATTTAACGCATCAAGCTTAATATGTTTACAACTCCACTCATGACTTCTTTTTTCTCCAAAACCCAGTCTCAAACCTGCTCCTGCTGACTTGGTTGATGACATCACTATGTACACAGCTGTCCCAGCAAGAGGCCTGGAAGCCACCCTTGCCTTGTTACCCTTCCCCACACTCCACGTCTACTGAGACACCAGAGTCCTATGAATTCTATCTCAGAAGAAGTCCTAACCACCTGTTCCCTGCTATCTCTTCTTCTCTTTCTTGGAACATTGCAACATCTTTCTTATTGATCTCCCTGTAGCCCATCCCCTGAACTCCTGCTACAGTCTTTGCTGGAAGTAGTTTCTAGAACCTGGCCATTGACTGCATGGAGAGTCCAGTCCCATACAGTGGGGCCAATGGTTCCTCACACACTGGCCTCCACCCTCCTCTCCAGCCTTAGTTCCCTGCAAGGCCTTTTGTCCCACCTGGACCCTCTTATCCTTCTCTCTCAGACAAAGCTTCTCCTTCCAGCACCACCTGTCTGTGCCAATTCCTTCCTTCTCGTGCTGGTTCCCTTGCTCTGGCTGTTCTTTTTTCTTTTCCTTGCTGCACCAGGTAAATTGATACTGATTTCTCAAGTGGCTCCTCCTCTATGACATATTTCTTGGCTCTTGACATGACATGGCATTAATAGTTTTCTCCTCTGTTTATTTCTTCCTCAGGGTACTTAAAACACCTCTTTCTGTCAGTTTAAATGTCTGGCCTAAGTGGTGCCCTGCCCTTGGGGACTGCTCAATAAGGGATAGATGACTGAAGGGAGAGGACTCAATCTAGCTGACTCTTCTGGTCCTGACCTGAAGCCCTAAGATTAAATAGAAGTCCTGTGTTGTAGAGTAAAACACAAAATCCAGAGTTCTAATTTGCTTCCACTGAGAACTCATAATAAGTGCTGTGCATATTTATAATGCATCAGGCTTTTTATATCATTTAAAAAGAACAAATGGGCCAGGCATGATGGCTCATGCCTGTAATCCTTAGTGCTTTTGGAGGCTGAGGTGGGAAGATCCCTGAGGCTAGGAGTTCAAGACCAGCCTGAGAAACCTAGTGAGATGCCGTCTCTATAAAAAAATGTAAAAAAATTATCCAAATTTGATGGCGTGTACTTACAGTCCTAGCTGCTTGGCAGGCTGAGGCAGGAGGATCACTTTGAAGCCCAGGAGGTCGAGGCTGCAGTGAGCTATGGATGGGCCACTGAACTCCAGCCTGGGTGACAGAGCAAGACCCTGTCTCAAAAAAAAGAAAAGAAAACACCAAGTGACTTTTTTGTATTTTTGTTCTAATTTTATTTTAAAGTGCATTTAAATGTTATCCTATTGGAGCAGAATATGATAATTTTAGACACTTTGTGCATAAATCTTAGTCAATTTCTTGGAGGGGGTGAGGAACTGTATGCATTCTTTGTAACAGGAGCAGTAACTTTTTTTTTTTTCCCCAGGTTTTTTTTTTTTTTTTTTAGTATTTATTGATCGGATTTGGCAGGGTCATAGGACAATAGTGGAGGGAAGGTCAGCAGATAAACAAGTGAACAAGGGTCTCTGGTTTTCCTAGGCAGAGGACCCTGCGGCCTTCCGCAGTGTTTGTGTCCCTGGGTACTTGAGATTAGGGAGTGCTGATGACTCTTAACCAGTATGCTGCCTTCAAGCATCTGTTTAACAAAGCACATCTTGCACCGCCCTTAATCCATTTAACCCTGAGTGGACACAGCACATGTTTCAGAGAGCACGGGGTTGGGGGTAAGGTTATAGATTAACAGCATCCCAAGGCAGAAGAAATTTTCTTAGTACAGAACAAAATGGAGTCTCCCATGTCTACTTCTTTCTACACAGACACAGCAACAATCTGATTTCTCTATCTTTTCCCCACATTTCCCCCTTTTCTATTCGACAAAACCACCATCGTCATCATGGCCCGTTCTCAATGAGCTGTTGGGTACACCTCCCAGATGGGGTGGCAGCCGGGCAGAGGGGCTCCTCACTTCCCAGAAGGGGTGGCCGGGCAGAGGCGCCCCCCCCCACCTCCCGGACGGGGCAGCTGGCTGGGTGGGGGCTGCCCCCCACCTCCCTCCCGGACGGGGCGGCTGCCGGGCGGAGATGCTCCTCACTTCCCAGACGGGGCGGCTGCCGGGCGGAGGGGCTCCTCACTTCTCAGACGGGGCGGCTGCCGGGCGGAGGGGCTCCTCACTTCTCGGACGGGGTGGCCGGGCAGAGACGCTCCTCACCTCCCAGATGGGGTCGTGGCCGGGCAGAGGCGCTCCTCACATCCCAGACGGGGCGGCGGGGCAGAGGCACTCCCCACATCTCAGATGATGGGCGGCCGGGCAGAGACGCTCCTCACTTCCTAGATGGGATGGCGGCCGGGAAGAGGCGCTCCTCACTTCCCAGACTGGGCAGCCGGGCAGAGGCGCTCCTCACTTACCAGACTGGGCAGCCGGGCAGAGGCGCTCCTCACTTCCCAGACTGGGCGGCCGGGCAGAGGGGCTCCTGACATCCCAGACGATGGGCGGCCAGGCAGAGATGCTCCTCACTTCCCAGAGGGGGTGGCGGCCGGGCAGAAGCTGCAATCTCGGCACTTTGGGAGGCCAAGGCAGGCGGCTGGGAGGTGGAGGTTGTAGCGAGCGGGGATCACGCCACTGCACTCCAGCCTGGGCAACATTGAGCACTGAGTGAACGAGACTCCGTCTGCAATCCCGGCACCTCGGGAGGCCAAGGCTGGCAGATCACTTGGGGTTAGGAGCTGGAGACCAGCCCGGCCAACACAGCGAAACCCCGTCTCCACCAAAAAAAAAAACGAAAACCAGTCAGGCGTGGCGGCGCCCGCCTGCAATCCCAGGCACTGGGCAGGCTGAGGCAGGAGAATCAGGCAGGGAGGTTGCAGTGAGCCAAGATGGCGGCAGTACAGTCCAGCTTCAGCTAGGCATCAGAGGGAGACCGTGGAGAGAGAGGGAGACAGAGGAGAGAGAGGGAGACAGAGATGGAGGGAGAGGGGGAGGGGGAGGGAGAGGGAGAGCAGGAGCAGTGACTTAACAAGAGCAACTATCTTGAGTCACAATCATGCTTGTTGGCTTTCCTTACCTAAGTTAACCGACTGCTTTGAATGATGTGCTCTTTTCCGTTTATAAATAAGTTGGAGAGTCAGGAAAATACAAGGAAGTAAGTCATGATAAGGAGGTCTTAGAGCTACTGAGAACAGTGGTGTTGAAGAATGCCCAGCTGTGCTGCTTGAACTATACTTTGTCTGCAACTGTATTCTCCAGAGGATTTTTATTGACCTTTCCCCAGACTCTACAAGGTGATGCTGGGCCCCAGAGAGCAGTTATCTCAGCTTACAGGCAGGAAACATTCAGTCTGATATGGGAAATCATAAGAGGAACAGTGTCTAATATGCCAAAGCATCTTATGCATTTCCAGGGTTTTGTTCATGTAAGTTATCATAATTTGACACTCATGACCATTTCTTTGAATTGGATAGAACAGATACTGTTGTCTCACTTTCCAAACAAGGAAATTAAGTTATACAAATGGTTGATTACCTGGCCATATGGTCCTTTCTCTCAGTCTCTCAGTGATGTTGGGAACAGCTTCCCTTTCTTTTTACTGTATACCCAAGAATATACCCCTCCTATCATAAATATATTATTAAAATTATTGTTTATATGTTTTATTAATACAATCTTTAAAAAGTCCTCTGAAGTATATGTTAGTCCCAAGGACTCTTTTTAATGGATACTTAATGTCTAACCTGATTACAAAGAACATTTAATGAATGTAATAATAATTTATTATCTTTCCACTTGGAGCTAGCAGTTAGCTAAAATTTCAGTGAATCTCTCAAACTATTTTAACTAATGGCTGACTCCACTATACTTGTCAAGTCTGTTGGTTTCTAATGTAGATAAATTGCATGATATTGATGATGATATAATTATAGTTAGTATTTATTAAATGCCTATTCCATGTCAGGAACCCAGTCATGTAAACACCCAGTATCCTCACCATTTTGCAGATAGAAAATTGCATTCAGCAGGCTTCTGTAGGTTTCCCAAGGTAATAGGCATGGCCGGGTTAACTCCTCACAACCAGCAATACTGCTACTATTGGGGAGGAGTAACTCGTAATAGTATGTTAAGACATATGGTTGACAGAAGGAAGAGAATCCAGGCTATTTAAAATCCTCACAGTCTTCCTCTTGAGCAGTTAAAAAGAGACCAAAAAAAAAAAAAATGACCATGTATTGAAAAAAAATCGCTAACATTTATTGAGTAAATTGCCGTGCAAGGCACTGATCTGAGAATGCCATGTGTATTAACTTGATTAATCCTCACAACCACCCCTTGGAGGTACACACTGCTTTTACATCTGTAAAATGAAAGCTTTTGTTACAGATGTGGAAACTGAGGCTCAGAGATGATAAACGATGCAGCCAGGATTGGAACCCAAGGACTGCTCCAAAGTCTGTGCTTTAAATCTTGCCTTCTACAATTGCTTAATAAGTTCTGGTTCATAGGAGCCAGCTCTATGTTAGGCACTTGATATGTATCTCTCATTTCCTTGTCATAACAACCATGAGAGGAGTTGTTGTCTCCATTTTACAGTCAAGGCACCAGGGCTCCCAGATGTCCAGTAACTTCTAGCCACTCACAAAGTAGAGGCAACTTTGTTGCCTTTCCCCGGATCTGTGTCCGGTGGTTTGTGCAGGAGCAGCCATGGAATTCAGGCTCATGAACAGTTCTTATCACTGAATGCCATTCTTCTTCTTTGGTTTCAGGCTGACTTAGCAAGCAGTGTTTCTGACATCTCATTATGGAAAATCGATTCTCCTCTTCACACATCTTCTGCTTTCTTTGGCCTCTTGTCACTGCCCAGACATGCATTCCCAATTCTCAGACAAACAAATGAATTGAAACAGGAACAGTATTCAAGGGCATCCAAATGTTGTGCTACTGATACTGTTCAGTTGAGCACAGTGGCCTGAACCAGAACAATGCTCACTGTGCAGGATCCTGCAGAATCTTTGGCTTGGTTCCATATTCCCACCTCTCTTTTCTTGTTCCTCTTGAAAGGTAGACACCCCTGTGGGCAGAGTCAGACAAGGTAGAGAGAAATGGCTGAGGCAATATAGAATGCTTGTCTTGCTAGCTTATCTTTCTCCATGAAAGGAGAAGATCCATAAAAAGCAAGAGTAAAGGAATCTACTTACGATCTCTGAAAAGTAGCGTAAAGAGTGAGAGCAGGTTTAAGAGGGGAAAAAGTGAAAAACATGTGAAATGCTAAATATTATGACTGGCTATAGTTAAAATAATAATAATACTTTTGTTTGTTTGTTTATAGTAAAATAATAATAATACTTTTGTTTTTTGAGACAGAGTCTCACTCTGTCTCCCAGGCTAGAGTGCGGCGGTGAGATCTCGGCTTGCTGCAACCTCCGCCTCCCGGGTTTATGCAATTCTCCTGCCTCAGCCTCCCGAGTACCTGGGATTACAGGTGCCCGCCACCACGCCTGGCTAATTTTTTTGTATTTTTAATAGAGATGGGGTTTCACCATGTTGGCCAGGCTTGTTTTGAACTCCTGATCTCAAGTGATCTGCCGGCCTCGGCCTCCCAAAGATAATAATACTTTTAAAATGAAAGGTAGGAAGGAGGCATTTGAAACAATGGTGAGATGTTAAGCTTGAGAATTATGGAGAATAACTATCCTGGTAGAAAAAAACAGAAATAAAATATGGTGATAGTTTTGTTTCAGGTTTTTTACTTGTTTTCTCTTTTGTCTTTGGAAGGTCTGTTTGTTTCAAGTGAGCTGTCAGGTCATATGTTGTTTTAACATGATGATAAACATAAAGATTTATCTATATTCCCTTCAGACAGGCCAAAGGGAGATTTCCTCAGTATTGAGCCATGGCCTACTGCCATGCAAATGAGCCCCGGTTAATCTATGAAATTCATCGTGTGTTACTGCAAAGTAGTGATTTATTGTGAACAGTGATTTTCAGATTTGTTCTTCAGTGTCCTAAAGATTTTTAGTAGTTCTTCAAGAACCATTGTTGGTGACTAGTGAGGGAGGTGTAGTAGGTACTAGTCCTGGGCCCCACCTTTGCGTCAGTCTATCTGTTTTAAACCTGGGGATTCTGCTCAGAATTATATAATCAGGGGGAATTGCAAAGGGTTGAAGATTTTGAGAACT
Organism: Homo sapiens; assembly: GCF_000001405.40. NCBI lineage: Eukaryota > Metazoa > Chordata > Mammalia > Primates > Hominidae > Homo > Homo sapiens. The sequence goes on along the minus strand of NC_000009.12, from coordinate 83,268,886 downwards.
TTTAGGGATATTTTCCTTTCAAGCTTCAGGGTTGAAAATTAACTAACTCCTGTGAGAGTAGGAACTCCTCTGCCACACTGGAGGCTGCTCACCCAGGAGAGGGGAGTGGGGGGCCCATTGAGGTCCCTGGAAATGGCCTGCCCCACCTCAGCCACAGTGCATGGCTGGCAACACCCTTTTTCCCTTCTGGGATTTACTGTCTGGTCTTACATTTATCCTGTGTGCAGTTTTACATAGTCGATGCCACACCATTTATATAAAGATGCTTTTTTCAGTTAGTAGTATATTGCAAGCATTTTCTCACATCATTAAATTCTTCTAAACATGAATTTTAATGTCTGTGCAATATTTCATCACATGTATTTAACCATTTTCCCACTGGAAATATAGGTTGACTTAAAAAACATTTTTGGCTATAATAAATGATACTCTGATGAACATCTTTGTCTTAAGATTTTTGTCAGCATTTCTGATTATTTTCTCAGGGTTAATTCTTAAAAGTGGAATTTCTGGTTCAAAGAATACCACAGCTATAAAAATCCATGTATTTTGCTAATTTTCTTTCCAGAAATGCTAAATCAATTTTATATTGATGCATAACAACATGGAATTTCAATTCCTGCTCTGAATAAACCTTTGTTTCATAGAGGATTATTAGAAAATCATCTTTTGGTGACAGATATTTAAAGTAGAAGAATGTATGCAGGCGTGTTGAAATTGTGTGAGGAAAATTTTTTCTTCTCATCCTTTTCATGAAAAGTCAGAATGTAGTGGTTGCATGGCACCTGCATTTAGAACACTAACTTTAGTCAGCCGATATTAATTGGAAGCCTAGGTTCAAATCATGGCTTTGCCACTTACTAACTTCGTGATTGTGGTCAGGTCAGTTACTCTCTCTAAGTTGTCGTTTCCTTATCTGTAAAGTGAAGAAAAGATTAGCATTGTTATGAGATGGAGATAAGGCATGTGAGGAATCCAGCACTTTGAAAAGAGCTGAGATTACCATGACAGCAACCATATATAGCTACTGAACACTTGAAATGGAGCTGGTTCGAATTGAGATGTGCTATACATGTGCAGTGTGCAACACACACTAATTCCAAAGGCTTCGTCCCAAAAAAGAATGCAAACTCTTTATTAATAAAAGAGTTGATTAATTATTAATAAATTTTGATATCATTACCTGTTGAGATACTATTTGAATATCTCGATTTCAAATAAAACACATTATTAAAATTAATTGTAATACATTTATTTTGCTTTTTAAATGCTTTTTTTCCCTCTTTGAAGTGGCTTGTGTTATAATCTTACTGGACAGTACTGCTGTAGAATATAATAAAGGCTGGAGGAGCAATTTTTAGAAGAAAAAGTGGGTTATTTCTCCATTATGGAATTATCCAGTTGTCATCTTATCTTTTGGGGACATTTGATTCTTAGGAAATGATGAGGCATTTGGACAGGGTCCTCTGTTTTGGTCCGGAAGGTTTAGAAAGGCTAGAGTAGGGATGATGCATAATCTTTCATTGTTTGTTAGAGGGGTGAGTGGAGAGTTTAAAAATAGCGTCCCCTCCCTCCTCCCCTCCCAATGCTGATCCCTCATGAGTTATTTCTGTTGGCCGCATTAGGAACCTGACATTTGATTCATTCAGTGGGTCCTGCCTAGGTCCTTTAAAACAGAATGGACTGTTAGGGAAAGGCTGCCCTGGGCCATGCAGGCCGAGGAGACCAAGGGGATTGGAATAACCAGTATGGCAAAATGCTTGGTCAAGATCCAGACTCGACGAAGCCTCCAATTGCACATGGTGAACCACTGCAACAGTAATGTGTTTGTTCGTCTGCTGAGACTCGGCTCCAAGGTCACAGCTCGTAACACTGGTATGTGTGGTGCCCTGGGCTGTCATCCTGTTCCTGAAGTGTGCGGGCTTCCAGCTTCCTGCTCACTGCTGGTGGAGAGAGGCCCAGGGTGAATTTGGTGTCAGAGGTTTTTGATAAGGATGAAAAGAGAGAGAGGAAGGGAGAAAAGCAGAGACGAGTGGGAAGGAGGGTGAGCAAGCCAGTGCAAAGGGGAAACAGGAGGGTGTGTTCCAAATGATATAAAGTTGTCATAAATACAAATTACACCCTAGTCAGCAGTGAGTCAGGAGGGAGAGGGAGGCAGTGGTGGTGTGTACCTCCAGATTGTTCCATAACATGAGAAGATTAGGGAGAAGGCAGAATGGATGATCACAACACGCTCCCCCTCCTTTCATTGTTGAAAGGGTCAGAGCTCAGATCTGCTTGCTTGCTGGGGTGAGGCGGAGCACCACTTTTATCCTCAAGGCAGAGCTTTACTCAAAATATTGGCCAAAGAATTGGAACTGACCTTCTGCCAATTTCCTTTTCATTGTAAATATATTTTGTTATTTTATGGTCCTTGAGGGAAATAGGAATTGAAATAGGAACTTAAAAAGTTAGAGCTTACAGCAAGAAAGAAGCTGTGGCTATATGTATAAATGTGGTTTTTACCAATTGATTAACACAAAATACAACCTGGAAAATGTCTGTAATTGGCTATATCTCATGCACATGTGTGAAACTGACTTCTAAGTGAATTGAGACGAAATTGATTATATTTGTATAATGACATAATACATGATGTGTTCTTGTATAAAAGAGTTTTTAAAAGAACAAATATATAGATGCTTTCCGTTAATACTCCCAATAGTTGATCTATGAATACTGCCACATGGGATATAGGATTTTTTTTTTTTATAAATGGGATTGTTCAAGATATATTATTGCAGAATTAGTTTTCTTACTTTATCATATGACTTGAAGGACTTTCCATATCCATACATATTAATATACATCCTTTTTATAAATGGCTGGATAATATTAGGTAATATAAAGATATCATAACTCAGTTATTTAATTACCAAATTATTGTTGGAAATGGTTATGGCTCGTTTTTTGGCTGTAACAGATGGTACTGCAATGCATATGTATACAGAGGCATTTCTCTTTAATAGATGCTTCAAAGTATAATTGTTGGGTTGAAGGATATACGAATTGTAACTTTTAATGGAAATGGGCAAATTATCCTCTAAAAGCAAATTCTAACAAGGTGAGTATGAGCTTGACTATTCCCCCACATAATCACTCACCCTGATATGGCCAGTTTCTTAAAAGTTTTGCAAAATGGTTGAAAGGAAAATGAGATTTCATTGTTTTAATTTGCATATCCCTTTTTATCAGTGAAGATGAGGATCTTTTCAAATAATTGTGTATTTTCATTTCTTCTTTGCAGAACTGCCTATTTGTTTACTTAGTACATTTCTATTGTGTTTTTGTCCTTTCCTTATAGATTGTAGTATTTCTTTTATAATGTGAATATTAATCCTTTATATTTTACAAATGTTAATGTTTTCTCTCCTAATTGGTTCTTGGCTTTCAACTTTTATTTAATGTTAACTTTATGACACAGGCACTTTTTTTTTTTTTTTTTTTTTTTTAAGAGTCTCGCTCTGTTGCCCAGGCTGGAGTGCAGTGGCACCATCTCGGCTCACTGCAAGCTCCACCTCCCGGGTTCACACCATTCTCCTGCCTCAGCCTCCCGAGTAGCTGATATTACAGGCGCCTGCCACCACGCCCGGCTAATTTTTTGTATTTTTAGTAGAGACGGGGTTTCACCGTGTTAGCCAGGATGATCCCAATCTCCTGACCTCGTGATCCGCCCGTCTTGGCCTCCTATAGTACTGGGATTACAGGCATGAGCCACCGCACCTGGCCGACACGGGCACTTTTTATATGCACAGAGAACTTCTGTATGTGCAAACTATTTGCTTTCTGTATATTTTAGGTTTCTGTTTTTATGTTAGTTTTCCCCATGCCAAGATTATAAAAGTGTTTCCTGTTTTTATTCTTCATAATTAATGCATTTACTTGAACTCTATGAAATTGCTGATAATAACTGCTTATGACCTTCAAAATTGGCAATTTCACGTGGTATCTAATTTTTTTTTTAGTTTAACCCTTTATCTTCTTAGGAATTTTTACACGTGCATGACATGGTATAGGGATATACCTTCCCCCCTCCCCCCACAATTGGTTAGCAACTTTTTGCAAAACTTTTTCATAAACAAATTTTCCATTATATTAAAGGGTATATTTCTGAATTATATCTTTTATTATTCCTGCTCCATTACTATACAGTATAGTTTTAATATCAGGTAGGTCAGGTTTCCCCTGCATTGCTTTTTTTCAAAGGAAGTTATACTTTTAGAATGATTTTTAGGTTCACAGTAAAATTAAAAGGAAGGCATAGAAATTTTCCACATATGGGGAATTTCCCTCACACATGCTCAGCCTCCCCCATCATCAACATCCCACACAAGAGAAGTACATTTGTTACACTTGATGAGCCTGCATTGAGACATCATGACTATTCAAAGTTGATCGTTTGCGTTAGGGTTCACCTTGGTGGTGTACATTCTGTGGGTTTGGACAAATGTTTAATGGCATGTATCTACCCCTGTTGTATCATACATAATAGTTTGACTGCCCTAAAAGTTCTGTGTTCCACCTATTTCTCTCTCTCTTCCCCTAATTCCTGGCAACCACTGGTCTTTTTATGATATTCATAATTTTGCCTTTTTCAGAATGTCAATTAGTTGGAATCATACAATATGCAGTCTTTTCAGACTGGCTTCTTTCACTGAATAATATGCATATAAGCTTCCTCTATAGCTTTTCATGGCATTTCTTAGCACTGAATAATATTCCATTGTCTGGATGTGCTCACTGATTTATTTTCCAGAAGTTTTTGATTATTAATGTGTACATTTACCATTTGTCTTTTTTGAAAGTGTGTTGGATTTTCTATTGAAATTGCATCAAATTTTAGATTAATGAGAGGAGAGCTGAATTTTCAATGTATCAAGGCCACTATTCAGGAACAATATTATGTTTTTCTATTTATTGAGATTTTCTTTTATGCTACTTTGTTATATTTTAACATTGTCCTCATGCAAGTTTTCCAGGCTTCTTGTTATGGATATTCCTGGATATATATGGATGTTTTAATTTGTGCATTTGGCTATTTTGAATGATACTTTCCATTATCATTTTTTATATTGTCTCTTCTGTATGCAGTAAACCACCTGCTTTAATATGTTGATCTTGCATTCCAACACCTTTTTAAACTCTTATTAATTGTCCTGTTTCATTTTCATCTCTTTTCTATGTAGATAATTCTATTATCTGGAACTAGAGTTTTGTGCCTTACTTTCCAATATTTACACTTCTTATTTTTTGTCTTCATCATATTGCATTAGCTAGGGCCAATACTGATGTGTGGTGATAATTCTTTGTAATGTTCCTGACTTTGGTGGGAATTCTTCCAACGTTTTGCTATTATATAATGTTTGCCATGACATGTAATGATTTCTACAATTCTCTAGTAGATATTTCAAGTCCCTTCCTTTCAGGAGATAAAATTTTAGTGGAAAAACCCATAATAAATCTGCAGCACAGTGTAATGACTGACTGTGAAGATAAAGAGATCCAGAAGATGGTATGACAGCTGCATCACTTAGGATGCCATCATCAGCAAGTAATGAGGAATTCTAATTAGCACTGGTTTAAATAATAAGGTGATTTATTATCCAAGACAAGTCCAGAGTCAGAGAGGATTCCAGGGTTGAGGACCAGTTTCATTTTATCTCTACATCACTCTTCTCAGTCAGCCAAGCTTCCCCTCATGCCGTTGCTGTCAGCACCATAGGACGGCTGCCAGTTTCTGCTGTTTCTTTCAGTTACAACAATGTCAACAGATAAGGAGTCTGTACCATTCCAGGATGATCTTCTTAGAAGTAAAAACCTTTCTCAAAAATCCATCCCCTCAGGCCCCCTCCCCTCTTCCCCTTTGATTTTTATTTTCAGGGTTGGCCCATATGCCCGTTTTAAAACCAAATGTGACCAAGAGACTGGAATTACCACGACTGGCTTAGACTAATCATTTGGAGAGAAATGGGCCATAAGGAGTCAACCATGAAAAGTACCAGATAAGTAGCATATATCTCAGTCCGGGAGTGGGGGATAGGAGAGCCTTCCCAGAGGACATAACACATAGGGTCTTAGAGGATGAGTAAGAGCTATCTGGGTGCAGAGGACATTCCAGGAAGAAGTAGCAGTCTGTGCAAAGACACAGAGGCATGACATAGCATGACACATATGGGAACCCCTCAATAGGTGGGCAGGGAGGAAGCGTATGTGGTAGAGTAATGCTTTTTGTACCAGGCTAAAGAGTTTAATTTAATATTTAACCTGAAAGGCTGAGAAACCTTTTAAGAAGAGGACTGATATAAATAATTAGGCATTTAAAAATGATTATTCTGGAAACAACTTACAATAAGCTGGACTGAAATCAAGGAAACCAGTTAGGAAGCCATTGCTATCATCCAGTTAAGAAGTGATAAGAATGGAGAGGCAGGGATAACTTTGAAAATGAAGAAGGTGGCAGAGTTTGCAGAAGTTAATGACAGATGTGAGCAGTGCATGAAAACAAGTAATTTTGGCCAATCCTTGGATTGCTGATATAAGAAACTGAAGAAAATATGGTGTCATTTACTACATAGTGTGTGTTATTGGAGGTAAAGAGTTGGGAGGGAGATGATGCATTTGGGTTTGGATGTATTGAAGTCGATGTTCCTATGTACAGTTGCCTGGTAAATCTCATTGGAGGGTTCTGAGTTGAGATAGACCAGAGATTCAGCAACATGGATTTTCCAAACTAAGTTGTGTTCTATGTTCTCTGGGAGAATTAATTTGAGAAATATTGAGTTACATGAAACTGATTTCTTCTATTCAGGACCTTGCAGACATTTTTATATACTAGTAGTAATATTATTGAGTGCTTACCAGTGTCAGGCACTTTGCATGTATTAACTCAGGTATTCCTCTCCACACAATATCTGCATGCAGTATGTGCTGAAATTTTCCCCATTTTACAGATGAGGAAACTGGGAATAGCACAATTAGGTAATTAAGAAACTGTCGGTGGCAATTAGTACAAAGCCAGGATTCGAACCCAGAAAGGTGACTTCAGAGTTTGGATTTTTAACCTTGATGGTAATATCCAAAAGAGTGATAGAGTGTGCAGTTTCCCAAACTTAGCTGACCATGGAACACTCTTTTCAAGGGACAGCTGGCAGAACCTTAAGGGACACTGGTGACCTGTAGTACCAGGTTGAACAATACTGTAGTAGCATATTGGAGCCATAAATATGGTTGAAACACCAAGAAAGAGGGTACAGAGCAAGAAGAGCAGAGAGTTTAGGCCCTCACAAGTAGTGAAGAGACTGTGAAGACAGAGGTAGCTTAGAATCATTGGATGGAAACCAAGAGAGTATGGAACCTCAGAGGTTGAGTGATCTGTAGGAGGACAGAAGAAAACACTCATTGGCTTTAGCAATATGGTGATCATTGGAGACTTTGTGAGAGCCATTTCAGCAGGTGGGGAGAGCAACTGACCATGGTGTCAAGATGGTCAGCAAAAGTAGAGGCATAACCAAGAGGCTGGCAAATGATGGCTACTTGGAGAAGAGAGAGTTTAGTCTGCAAGGATGAAGCCTAAGGATGGGGAAAGAAGAACAAGAAGAATGCCAGCCTATGCTGGCAGCCCTGAGTCCCAGGAGAAGATGTTTACATGAGAGGCAGTGTTCCAGATTTCAGCTGGGGAGCAGCGATGGGAGAGTATTAGGATCTGCTGTGTGTGTGTGTGTGTGTGTGTGTGTGTGTGTGTGTGTCTAAGTTTCCTTTTGTGGATACTTTCCTGAGTCACTGGAATGACTCTTCATAGGTTTTTAATAGAATGAATTGGTGACTCCCAAAGATATTCAGAGGCACCAGGAACATTTGTAGTATTAGATCTTCTGCAGTGTCCATTGCTGAAAGTAAAAACTCTCATCTGGAAAAGTAAATGTCATTCTTAGGATTTTTCTTTAAACCCATGGGACAGGAGTTTCGCTTGAAGTATTAAACTTTATCCTCCAAAAAGGAGCGATAAAGGAGTCACATGTGAGGTTAATGGTATACTATCTTACTAAATTTTAGAAGTCTGCATGCTGCTTATTGTGAATAGAAAACATTTGAGGGACTGATAGAACATGTAGAGAGTATAGTAATAAAGTTTATTTTATTTCTAACCTAAGTCATTAAGTCCCGCAACAGCCAGTGGTTTTTGTGTATGTGTGTGGCTTCTATCGTGGCTATGATACCATCACAGGAGAGCTTACTTATAATTAAGTTATCATAAAATTTATTTGAGAGTGAAAAGGGAATTTTAACAATACTGCCATACTGACACTATGACAGACATAGAGTGGGACTGTTCCAGGCAAATGGGGATGAATGGGCACCCTACATGTAAGGACACCATGGGTTCAGCAGATGAAATGGGGCCAGTAACAGAGAAGCTTCTTCCCCCTTAGTTAAGAAGTGAGAGTCTCTCTGGGCTTCTCAGATCTCCTTCTCTTCAGCCAACATGGTAAGTTTGGAGAAAGCATGGGCTTTGGAATCAGACAGGCATGGATACAAACCTCCGCTCTGTTGCTTCCTAATTTTGTGACCTTAACTTGCCTATGCCTCATTTTTCTCATGACTTATGAATATCACATGCTCATATATTTAAAGTATCCAGCCGAGTAGACATTTATTAAAAATCTTAGTGCCCCTGTCTCCTTTTCTCTTTCTACATATAACTTTAAGTAGGACAGTTTATGGACAGACATAGTCTAAGATGGAGCCACAGAATGCTGGACTGGGGAGGGTCTGGTCCATTTTGCAGGTAAAAAGTCCAAGACTATAGAACTGAAGTGGCATGCCTAATGTTGTTCAGATAGCCGTGGCTTAGCTGGGAACCTGAGTCCAGGTGTCTTAGGCCACTGCTCTTTTCACTCCATCATATTTTCCAGAAGTGGAGTGGTGATCTGCTCTTTTTTCCTCTCCCACTCTTCCTTCACCTTTCTCCTTTTTACCCTGAATTCAAGAGTACAGCATGCCTCCCAGAGCAAGTATTGCCAAGATGATCAACATTAGATCACTCAGTTTAGCCCACCTCAGGAGGAATGGGTCTGGTTAGTAACAACTATGAGACATCTATAGAGACCTGACAGTTTCACATGTGCTTGAGCTGTGGTTGTCATACTTTCAGGTCCAGTGTCCCCCTAAAAAACAAAAACCTTGTAATGTTCTCGCTACCATCCTGAGGTGTAACTTTTAGAAAACACAGTCTACCTACACTTAACTAAGTCAAAATAATGCTCTAACTGTAATATAAGGAGAAATTAGGAGAAAATTATTTATAATAAGAATTTCCAAAGGTTTTTCTCAAGCATGACTCACTAGAAGGCAGAATCAAAGTGTGAGATACTTTGAATAAGGGGAAAATGGGCATCAAGGGAACCACCCAACAGACGCAGGGTGGTGACATGTGCCATGAGGTAGGCAACTCAACTCCTTAGCATCCCTGATGATGATGTGATATTCTGAACTGCTAAATCCTCAGCAAAGATCTTCCCTGAATTTACCCAGAGGTTGTATTCCTGAAAAACTTAAAATATGTTAAAATTACACCCCAAATGCTTTTTGTTTAAATGTAAAACAGATCATTATAAATAGGTGTTCCATCTGTATGGATAATATCTGATATCTGACATTTGAAAGTTGTGTGGTATACAAAATAATTCTTCATTTTGTGAAATTCTCCTACACATTTCAGCATGTCTGGCATCCCCGACCCCTACCCATCAAATGACACTAGCCCCTCCAATCATTGTGGCATCTATAAAAGCCTCTATTATGTTCTAAAACACCTTCCTCCCAGCTGAATGGTGGTGCTTTCTTTATACCACTGCTCTGGAGGTTTAATGGGTATTCCATAGTTGTTTTAATGGGCATTCCATAGTTGGATGCCAGCATGGGCTGTCTCAGGGTGCCTCCAAGGGAACTAGTATGGTGGTTCCTAATGATGCCACCCACCAAAGCCTCCTAGCCTGAAGATAGGCTTCATGCTCACGGGGGAGAGAGCAGGAAGTAAGGCTGAAGAAATGTCTGCTGCAAAGTGAACCAGTTTGTTTTCAGCCAGATGACAGCAATGACAGTGGCAGATTTCACATAGGAAAGACATTGCCATGTGGGTTTAGAGTTACTCCAAGGCACCCAGACTCCAGTCTTTACTTAGGAGGTTAGCAAAGTTAAGTGCAAATTGCAGATGATTCATTATATTCTGATGTCACCATATTGTCCCCAAAGTGCTTTCTCTCAGTTCGATCCTTTCCACAGCCTTGTGAGATAGTTAAGTGTCATTAGTATCCTCATTTTAAGGCATTTGTTCTGCTGACGCCCAATATTGCATTGCTTCCATCATTAGAGATCATCACCCACAGGCAAACTAGACAAGGGCTGTTAGCCAGGCTCTTTAGCTGTTTTGTGCACGTACAAGTTGCTGGAAACCTCAGCTGTAGCATTTGGATTCTGTTGCAAATATGCTCAGAGTTAACAGAGAGGCTGGTTTCTGAATGTGAATGTGAGTGCTGCTCCTTCCATTTTCAGTTACAATTAATTTTACTGTGCACTGAAAAGGTCTCTATATTTTGCTTCAGTAATGAGATGAAGAACAGCTTTTCTAGTAATAGCATCTATCAGTAGCTGCTGAGTAGGTTGTGTTGTGATGCCTGACATATCTTTAGGGCATGCTGTTGTATTGGGGTTTTCATGAGTGGTGCAGATGGGAATGAGCAGTGTCCAACCTGCTTGACTGTACATGGCAGGCACTCTGTCATCAACGGGCAGTCTTTTCCATCAGTATTTTTTGATTATTGCAGTTTCATTTTATACAGTATTTCTTCAAATTAAATAATGCCAACAATGGTATAAAAACATAGTTATATTGCTACACTAAAAGGTAATATTAGTTAACATTATTGAGTGTTTTCTATGGGTGAGAAACTTTATAGCTATTATCTATTTTAATTGGGCTGTGTAATTATATAAATTTGAAAGCAATTTCCTTTTTCTAAATCATTGTCATTTCACTTCTAAAACAAAAAATTATTAAACTTATTAACTGAGCTTTCTGAATATATTCAGGAGGCTTCTCAGATGTGGATGAAGTAAATTAAATTTAGTGAAGCAGTGTAGACAATCTTACTAATTTAGTATTTTGGTGTCTTTGGAAATTCCTTTTTTTTTTAGAGAAAGAGAGAAGTTTGGCTTTAATTAATTTATACAGAATTAGCAACCAGAAAATATAAAAAGAAGACATTTTAATTTCAAAATACTTGCAAGGCTTGTGTTTTACAATTTACACTCAAGATTTTTTTTCCCCCTCAACTTTTAATTTCAAGGGTACGTGTGCAGGATGTGCAGGTTTGTTACATAGGTAAACGTGTGCCATGGTGGTTTGCTACACAGGTCATCCCATCACCTAGGGCTCAGCATCCATTCCTCCTGATGTTCTTCCTCCCCCAACCCCCTGCCGACAGGCCCCAGTGTGTGTTGTTCCTCCCAATATGTCCATGTGTTCTCATCATTCAGCTCCGACTTTTAAGTGAGAACATGCAGTGTTTGGTTTTCTGTTTCTGCATTAGTTTGCTGAGGATAATGACTTCCAACTCCATCCATGTCCCTGCAAAGGACATGATCTCGTTCCTTTTTATGGCTGCATAGTATTCCATGGTATATATGTACCACATTTTCTTTATCCAGCCTATCAGGGATGGGCATTTAGTTTGATTCCATGTCTTTGCTATTATGAATGGTGCTGCAGTGAACATATGCATGCATGTATCTTTATAATAGAATGATTTATATTCCTTTGGGTATAAACCCAGTAATGAGATTGCTGGGTCAAACAGTATTTCTGCCTCCAGGTCTTTAAGGAATCGCCACACTGTCTTCCACAATAGTTGAACCAATTTACCTTCCCACCAACAGTGTAAAAGTGCTCCTTTTTCTCTGCAACCTTGACAGCATTTGTCATTTTTTGACATTTTAATGATAACCATTCTGGCTGGTGTGAGATGATATCTCATATCTCATTGTGGTTTTGATTTGCATTTCTCTAATGATCAGGGATGTTGAGCTTTTTTTTTCATATGTTTGTTGGCCACATGCATGTCTTCTTTTGAGAAGTGTCTGTTTATATCCTTTGCCCACTTTTTAATGGGTTTTTTTTTCCCCTGATAAATTTGTTTAAGTTCCTTGTAGACTGTGGACATTAGACCTTTGTCAGATGGATAGATTGCAAAAATTTTCTCCCATTTTTTAGGTTATCTGTTTGCTCTGATGATGGTTTCTTTTGCTGTGCTCTTTAGTTTAATTAGATCCCATTTGTCAATTTTTGCTTTCGTTGCAATAGCTTTTGGCATTTTCGTCATGAAATCTTTGCCCATGCCTATGTCCTGGATGGTGTTGCCTAGATTTTCTTCTAGGGTTTTTATAGTTTTGGGTTTTACATTTAAGTCTTTAATCCATCTTAAGTTAGTTTTTGTACATGGTGTAAGGAAGGGGTCCATTCCAATTTTCTGCATATGTCTAGCCAGCACTTCCAGCACCATTTATCAAATAGGGAGTCCTTTCCTCATTGCTTGTTTTTGTCAAGTTTTTTGAAGATCAGGTGGTTGTTGGTGTGCAGTCTTATTTCTGAATTCTCTATTCTGTTCCATTGGTCTATGTGTCTGTTTTTATACCATTACTATGCTGTTTTGGTTACTGTAGCCTTGTAGTATAGTTTGAAGTCAGGTAGCATGATGCCTCCAGCTTTGTTCTTTTTGCTTAGGATTGTCTTGGTTATTTGGGCTCTTTTTGGTTCCATACGAATTTTAAAATATTTTTGTTTAATTCTGTGAAGAATCTGAATGGTAGTTCAATGGGAATAGCATTAAATCTCTAAATTACTTTGGGCAGTATGGCCATTTTCACAATATTGAGTCGTCCTATCCGTGAGCATGGAATGTTTTTCCATTTGTGTCATCTCTGATTTCTTTGAGCAGTGGTTTGTAGTTCTCCTTGAAGAGGTCCTTCACTTCCCTTGTTAGCTGTATTTCAAGGTATTTTATTCTTTTTGCAGCAATTTTGAATGGGAGGTTATTCACGATTTGGTTCTCTGCTTGCCTGTTGTTGGTGTATAGGAATGCTAGCTATTTTTGCACATTGATTTTATATCCTGAGACTTTGCTGAAGTTGCTTATCAGCTTAAGGAGATTTGGGGCTGAGACGATGGGGTTTTCTAGATATAGAATCATGTCAAATAAAGATAATTTGACTTCCTCTCTTCATACTTGAATACGCTTTATTTCTTTCTCTTGCCTGATTGCGCTGGCCAGAACTTCCAATACTCTGTCAAATGGGAGTGGTGAAAGAGGGCATCCTTGTCTTGTGCTGGTTTTCAGGGGGAATGCTTCCAGCTTTTGCCTATTTAGTATGATAGTGGCTGTGGGTTTATCACATATGGCTCTTATCATTTTGAGGTATGTTCCTTCATTACTTAGTTTATTGAGAGTTTTTAACATGAAGGGAAGTTGAATTTTATTGGAGGCCTTTACTGCATATATTGAGATAATCATGTGTCTTTTGTCTGTAGCTCTGTTTATGTGATGAATTACAGTTATTGATTTGTGTATGTTGAACCAACCTTGCATCCTGGGAATGAAACCAACTTGACTGTGGTGGATAAGCCTTTCGATATGCTGCTGGATTCAGTTTGCCAGTATTTTATTGAGGAGTTTTGCATCAATGTTCATCAAGGATATTGGCCCGAAGTTTACTTTTTTCGTTGTATCTCTGCCAGGTTTCGGTATAGGATGATGCTGCCCTCATAAAATGAGTTAGGTAAAAGTCCTTCCTTTTCATCTTTTAGGAATACTTTCAGTATAAATGGTACCAGCTTTTCTTTGTACCTCTGGTAGAATTCAGTTTCAGTTCTGAATCTGTCTTGTCCTGGGCTTTTTTATATTGGTAGGCTATTTATTACAGCCTCAATTTCAGAACCATTATTGATCTATTCAGATATTCAGTTTCTCTCTGTTCTGTCTTGGGAAGGTGTATGTGTCCAGGAATTTATCCATTTCTTCTAGATTTTCTAGTTCATGTGCATAGAGGTATTTGTAGTATTTTCTGATGGTTGTTTGTATTTCTGTGGGGTCAGTGGTGATATCCCCCTTACCATTTCAGATTGTGTTTATTTGACTCTTCTATTTTTTCTTTATTAGTCTAGCTAGTCTATCTAGTTTATTTTTTTCTAAAATTCAGCGTCTAGATTCATTGACTTTTTGAATTTTTTTTTTTATGCCTCTATCTCCTTCACTTCTCTCTGATCTTGGTTATTTCTTGTCTTCTGCTAGCTTTGGGGTTTGTTTGCACTTGGTTCTCTAGTTCTTTTAGTTGAGATGTTACCTTGTTAACTTGAGATCTTTCTAGCTTTTTGTTTTTTGTTTTTGTAAGTGAAAGGTATTTGGAATTTTATTGTGCAATTCTTACAACTTTATTATAAATTTGAAATATTTTTAAAATATTAAAAATATATTAAAAACCAGTGATTCCTCTCAGTTGTTTTTGAAAGTTTCTTTTATTATTTTTTTTATTATCATACTTTAAGTTCTAGGGTACGTGTGCACAACATGCAGGTTTGTTACATATGTATACATGTGCCATGTTGGTGTACTGCACCCATTAACTTGTCATTTACATTAGGTATATCTCCTAATGCTATCCCTCCCCCTTCCCCCTACCCCATGACAGGCCCCAGTGTGTGATGTTCCCCTTCCTGTGTTCAAGTGTTCTCATTGTTCAATTCCCACCTATGAGTGAGAACATGTGGTGTTTGGTTTTTTGTCCTTGTGATAGTTTGCTGAGAATGATGGTTTCCGGCTTCATCCATGTCCCTACAAAGGACATGAACTCATCATTTTTTATGGCTGCATAGTATTCCATGGTGTATATGTGCCACATTTTCTTAATCCAGTCTATCATTGATGGACATTTGGGTTGGTTCCAAGTCTTTGCCAGTGTGAATAGTGCCACAATAAACATATGTATGCATGTGTCTTTATAGCAGCATGATTTATAATCCTTTGGGTATATACCCAATAATGGGATGGCTGGGTCAAATGGTATTTCTAGTTCTAGATCCTTGAGGAATTGCCACACTGTCTTCCACAATGGTTGAATTAGCTTACAGTCCCACCAACAGTGTCAAAGTGTTCCTATTTCTCCACATCCTCTCCAGCACCTGTTGTTTCCTGACTTTTTAATGATCGCCATTCTAACTGGTGTGAGATGGTATCTCATTGTGGTTTTGATTTGCATTTCTCTGATGGCCAGTGACGATGAGCATTTTTTCATGTGTCTGTTGGCTGCATTAATGTCTTCTTTTGAGAAGTGTCTGTTCATATCTTTTGCCCACTTTTTGATGGGGTTGTTTGTTTTTGAGATCTTTCTAGCTTTTTGATGTGGGCATTATAAATTTCCTGCTTAATGCTGTTTTAGCTGTATCCCAGAGATTCTGGTACATTGTCTCTTTGTTCTCATTAGTTTCAAAGAACTTCTTGATTTCTGCCTTAATTTTATTATTTACCCAAGAGTCATTCAGTAACAGGTTGTTCAATTTCCATGTAGTTGTGTGGTTTTGAATGAATTTCTTAATCTTGAGTTTTAATTTGATTGCACTGTGGGCTGACAGACTGTTACGATTTCAGTTCTTTTGCATTTCTTGGAGAGTGTTTTACTTCCAATTATGTGATCAATTTTAGAGTAAGTCTCATGTGGCAATAAGAATATATCTTCTTTTTAATTTAGGTGGAGATTTCTGTAGATATCTACCATGTCCACTTGATCTGGAGCTGAGTTCAGGTCCTGAATATCTTTGTTAATTTTCTTTCTCCATGATCTATCTAATATTGTCAGTGGAGTGTTAAAGTCTCCCACTATTATTGTGTAGAGTCTAAGTCTCTAAGCACTTGCTTTTGTAGGTCTCATAAAGCACTTGCTTTATGAATCTGGGTGCTCCTGTATTGGGTGCATATATATTTAGGATAGTTAGCTCTTCCTGTTGAACTCTATCATTATGTAATGACCTCCTTTGTCTTTTTTGATCTTTGTTGGTTTAAAGTCTGTTTTGTCAGAATCTAGGATTGCAACCCCTGCTTTTTTTCTGTTTTCCATTTGCTTGGTACATTTTCCTTCATCCCTTTATTTTGAGCCTATGTGTGTCTTTGCACGTGAGATGGGTCTCTTGAAGACAGCATATTGATGGGTCTTGGCTCTTTTCCCAGTTTGCCATTCAGTTTCTTTTACTTGGGGCATTTAGCCCATTTACATTTAAGGTTAGTATTGTTATGTGTGAATTTGATCCTGTCATGATGCTAGTTGGTTATTTTGCAGACTTGTTTATATGGTTGGTTCACAGTATCACCAGTCTGTGTAGTTCAGTGTGTTTTTGTAGTGGCTGGAAATGGTTTTTCCTTTCCATATTTAGTACTTCCTTCAGGAGCTCTTGCAAGGCTGGTACAGTGGTGACAAATTCCCTCAGCATTTGCTTTTCTAAAAAGAATCTTGTTTTTCCTTCACTTATGAAGCTTAGTTTGGCCAAAGATGAAATTCTGGGTTGGAAGTTCTTTTCTTTAAGAATGTTGAATATTGGCCCCCAATCTCTTCTTGCTTGTAGGGTTTCTGCTGAGCTGCTGTTAGTCTGATGAGTTTCCCTTTGTAGATGACCTGGCCTTTCTCTCTGGTTGCCCTTAACATTTCTTCTTTCATTTCGAACTTGGAGAATCTGATGATTATATGTCTTGGGGATGATCTTCTTGTGGAGTAATGTACTGGGGTTCTCTGCATTTCCTGAGTTTGAATGGTGGCAGGTCTTGCTAGGTTGGGGAAGTTCTCCTGGATGATATCCTGAAGTATATTTTCTAACTTGGTTCCATTCTTCCTGTATCTTTCAGTTACCTCAGTCAGAATCAGGGATAGGTTCAGGCTCTTCACATAATCGCATATTTCTCAGAGGTTTTGTTCATTATTTTTTATTCCTTTTACTCTATTCTTGTCTGCCTGTCTTATTTCAGAAAGATAGTCTTCAAGCTCTAAGATTCTTTGCTCAACTTGGTCTATTCTGCTACTGATACTTGTGATTTCATTGTGAAGTTCTCGTGTTGTGTTTTTCAGCTCCATCAGGTCCATTATGTTCCTCTCTAACCTGGCTATTCTGGCTATCAGCCCCTGTATTGTATCATTGTGAGTCTTACCTTCTTTGCATTGGGTTAGAACATACTCCTTTAGCTCAGTGATGTTCGTTATTACCCACCTTCTGAAGCCTACTTCTGTCAATTCATCCATCTCAGCCTTAGCCCAGTTCTGTGCCCTTGCTAGAGAGATATTGTGGTCATTTGGATGAGAAGAGGCATTATGGTTTTTTCAGTTTTCAGTGTTTTTGCATTGATTGTTTTCATCTTTGTGGGCTTATCTATCTTCGATCTTTATGGTTGCTGACCTTTGAATGAAGTTTTTGTGGGGTCTTTTTTGTTGATGTTGTTGTTTTCTGTTTGTTTGTTTTTCTTTTAACAGTCAGGCCACTCTACTCTAGGGCTGCTGCAGTTTGCTGGTGCTGTGCTTCAGACTCCAGTTGCCTTAGTTTCTTCTATCCCTGTAGGTATCACCAGTGAAGGCTATGAAACAGCAAAGATGGCAGCCAGCTTCTTCCACTGGAAGCTCCATCCCAGGGGTGTACTGACTTGTTGCTGGCCTGCATGCACCTGTAGGAGGTGGCTGGAGACCACCTGTTGTGAGTTCCCACTCAGTCAGTAGGACTGGGCTCACAGACCCACCCAAAGAAGCAGTCTGACCTCTTTTTGGTAGAGCATGTGTGCTGCATTGGCCAGGATCCTTTCTCATTCACACTGCCTCTGTTTCCAAAGCAGGCAGACTGGAACAGCTGAGTGGACCAAACCACAGAAATGGTGGCTGCCCCTTCCCCTGGGAGCTCCATCTCAGGGAGAGATCAAAGCTCTGTCTGTAGAACCCTGGCTGGAATGGGTGAAGCCCCCACAAGGAAGTCCTATCCAGTGAGGAGAAATGGATTGGGGTCCCACTTAAGAAAGCTGTCCAGCCACAATCTGGCAAGACAGCTGTGCTACATTGTGGGGTACCCTTCCTCTTCTGGTCTATCTCTGTTCTCCACAGCCAGCAGGCTGGAGCAACTGAGTCAACTAAGCTGCATAGATGGTAGCCATCCCTTTCCCCAGGAACTTAGACCCACCTCAAGCAGACTCCAACCTACTGCCATTAGCTGGCTGGGATTCCAAGCCAGTGGGTCTTAACTTGTGAGGTGCCATGGAAGTGGGGCCCACAGAATGAGGCTACCTGGGTCCCTGGATTCAACCACCTTCCTAGGGATATGTACAGATAGATTTCCTGCCTTGCCAGGGATCCTGGGGCCAGAGTATGTAAAACTCCTGGGTCTCTGTGTGTGCCTGAGTGGCTGCTCTGCCGAGACTCCACACAGCTCTGTGTATCAGACCCAAGGCCCTGGTGGCCTGGGCTCATAAGGGCATCTCCTGATCCGCAGGTTGCAAAGATCCAAAGGAGAAGTGTGGTTTCCTGGGTGGGGTCACACAATCACTCAACACTGCACTTGGCTGGGGGTCGGGGTGGGGTCTCCTTTGCTTCTGTGCATCTTCCAGGTGGGCCATCACCCCCTCTTCTGCTTTTCTTTATTCTCTGTGGGTTGAGTTGTTTGCCCAGTCAGTCCCAATGCGAGAACCTGGGTATCTCAGTTTGAAGGTGCTGCATTTACTAGCCCCTTTTTATTCATCTCCATGAGTGCTGCAGACCACAGCTGCCTCTAATTGGCCAGCTTGGGTTCCAGCGTTCTGAGTACCTGTTTTTAAGTCTTTGGAGTATGTACCTGGGAGTGGTATTGCTGGGTCATCTGATAACTTTATGTTTGATTTTTTGAGGAACTGTCAATTTTTTTCTCACAATGGCCAGAACCAATTATAGTTTCACTGGCAATATGCAGGGTTCTAATGTCTTCACATCCTCACCAACACTTGTTATTTTCAGTTTTTAAAAAAGCTGTTGCCATCTGAGTAGGCATAAAGTAGCATCTTATTGTGGTTTTGACTTGCATTTCCCTAATGATTAATGATGTTCAGCATACTTTCATGTGCTTGTTGACCTTTTGTATATTTCTTGTATTTTTATGGTATTTTTCATTTGGACTTCTCAGTGCTATCAGACTAGAGCTATCATGAAATATCTGTTGATTTTTGAATGCTAAAACCAGTAAGTTATGCCTGTACACCTTGAAGAGAGAAAAATCACATAATAGATTCATTAAAAGCTGGTTTATGGTTCCCGAAATGCACCTGGCTGCCATTTTGATTGTATGGTAGATCCATCCTGGAGGACACTTCTTTGATGCTAACTTTATTTCCCACTATGGATCCAAGACTCAAAATTAGCAGAGTTAGCCCTAGGTCTGACCATAGGTAACTCGATTTCCCATCAGTAAAATGAGGCATTGAGAAACACCTCTCTCTCAATAAACATTAGAAAAAGTTCTTACCCTTTGATTAAGCAATTTCCCTTCTAGCATCTATCTATAGCAAATGAACTAAAACAAGAGGGGAAAAAAAGCTTTATATGTAAAGATGTCTCATAGCATTTTCTCCTTACAACTGCAAAGCAATCTAAATGTTTGACAATAGGCAACTAATTTATTGCATAACTAAATAAAAAATTTGGCAGCTTTTATAAATAATACCAATGGGAATTTGTTTAAACATAGAAAATATTTATGTTAAAATTTTAAATGCAAGGAGCATGATTTAAGCTTGGGTATATAATATGATTGCAAATATATAAAACTAGAACACAAAATTGTGTCTAGAATGAAGACTAGAAAGCAATACATCAGAATAATAAAGAGATTGTCATTGAATGACAGATTCTGTTGTTTTACTATAATATATCGGGTGATATTGTTGACCTCTAAAAAAACAGTGCTCATAATTATAATAGTGAATTTATTGTCATTTTATTCAAGCAAACATGGCCAAGGTTCAAGGTTTGCAGATCAAAATTGCACACCTAAATGTTGTAAATATTGCCAACCATTTGAGAAGTGTTGGTTAGTTTGAGTTTAGCATGTTGACCTTTGAACTTATGGTACAGGGTCTTTTACTATAATACGACTTTGTTACAACTTAGGATACCACAGAATAATTTCATAGATTGCTTGAATCCCATTAGTTTTTTGTTTTTCTGTTTCTTCCTGCAGATTTTTGTGGGAAAATCTGAAATTTTAAATTTAGAAAAAAAAATGTCTCTTTACAGGTGTTCCATTGCCTAAAGAGGAGAACATTTCTGCTCCCTTGATCTCCAGCTCCCCAGTGAAGGCAGCCCGGGAGTATGAAGATCCCCCTAGTGAAGAGGAAGATAAAATAAAAGAAGAACCTTTAACCATCTCTGAACTAGTGTACAACCCAAGTGCCAGCCTGCTCCCCACCCCTGTGGATGACGATGAGATTGACATGCTCTTTGACTGTCCTTCTAGGCTTGAGTTGGAAAGAGAAGACACAGATTCATTTGAGGATCTGGAAGCAGATGAAAACGCCTTTTTGATTGCTGAAGAAGAGGAGCTGAAGGAGGCTCGCCGTGCTTTGTCGTGGAGCTATGACATTCTGACTGGCCATATTCGGGTGAACCCACTGGTCAAGAGTTTTTCCAGGCTCCTTGTGGTGGGCCTGGGACTGCTGCTCTTTGTATTTCCCCTGCTCCTCCTCCTTTTGGAGTCAGGTATTGATCTCTCCTTCTTATGCGAAATCCGCCAGACACCAGAGTTTGAGCAGTTTCACTATGAATACTACTGTCCCCTCAAGGAGTGGGTGGCTGGGAAAGTCCACCTCATCCTCTACATGCTGGGTTGCTCATGAAGTTAATCTCTCACGTGACTAAGGGCTATATTCAATGCTAGTGATTTCTTTTTTTCAGCAAATGCCTGGTTCTGAAGGGTCACGGGGCTGTCAACAGGTGTTCCTTACTCATAATTGATTATTCAAACCTTTAAGTTAGCTTTCCATAATTCACTGCACTTAAATAAGTTTAAATCAAATACAGTTATTTTAGTTACAGGTTAGGAAGATGGTCTTTAAATAACCAAAAATATGTTTATTTTTTATTATAGTGTAGACATACCCTTCATCTATTATATCATAATACATGTTACATTGGACTGAATTAGATTTTCCCATTTCTAATAGTTGGCACCATTATAAGCTATAAGGTTCAGAATCAGAATTTTAGTAACAACTCAAGAGAAAGTTGTTGAATATAATCCTTAGTGAAAACAGTGTCCTCTAACCAATGCCTATACAACTAAATTTATGCTGGGTTTTTGGTTCTGTTTTTTTAAAAATATTTTTATGTGTTCAAACTATTTTGGTAAATTTTTAGCAAAAAAAAAAAAGAAGCCTCCTGGAGTTATTTACATGTACAGATTGTAAGACTAATGCACAAAAGGTATATCAGAATTTTTTTAATGTTTTGGCGCTACTTTGTTTTTAAAAATATTTTTGGCTGAACAATACCATAATTTGTTATGATCTGCATAGGAGATAGAAAATGGGTAGAAAGACACTATAGTAAGTAAGCTGCTAAAACAGAGGATGGAACTGGAGGATGTAGAAACTGAGAGCATCAAGTGGACTCAGGGTGGTCCATTTTTCAAAGTATTTGGACAAGAGGACTTGTTATTTTCATTTGTATTCTGTCCGTATATTTTGGCTGGAGAAGCAGATGTTTTAAAAAGAAAGTGAGAGTTTAAAGGAAAAAAGGTAACAGATGTGCTAGTCAGTTGCATATCAATGTACATTAACCCAAGAGTGAAGGCAGATAGGAACTGGAGAAATGGAAAGTGGCAAAAATGAGTTCTGGTGAGGCTGGCAGGCAAATGGTGACAGGCGAATGGTCTATTTTATGAAAGTGATGGTGATGCCAGCGTTCGATGATGTGAAGAGCAGTGCAGTCGCTGTCTGAGTTAACATGAACATGTTTAAGTGGATCTAAATAAAAGTGGAGAAACTTTAAGGTAAATATTTTGATCCCTCATGCCATTTGTTGTGATTCTGTAGAAGAAACTTCAAAAATGTGTTTGTATGTGAGTGTGCGTGTGTGTGTGTGTGAGAGAGAGAGAGAGAGAGAGAGAGAGAATATGAATGGCTTTTTGATACATGTCCATGATCATGTTTTGCGGTGGTCATTATACTCCTTTCCTTTCCCAGTTGTTTTAAAATTTGACTTCCATAGAGAAACTGGAGAGGCCTCATGAGATGACATACCAGTTCAGCCTGGGTAAAGTAGTGACATGACCCTAACCAGACTGTAGAGGGGACCAGTGCTCTAGTACCTTCCTTGATACCATTAAATCCATGATGGAAAGGATTTAATCCAACAATTTAATGGTATCAAGGAAGGTACTAGAGCATTGTACCATCAGCAACGTACTGATGCCTTCCCATGCAGACTACCTGCTGATACTGTGTTATGTGGGAGAAAGATAAGAGTCTAGAACTTATGCCATGGAGCATAGAGCTTCTCTGTGGATTGAAAACATTCCACTGCCCTAATGTACAAAGTTACAGGGCCCACTTGGAATCGCTCTCTCTAGCTAATGACATTCCAACCCTATCATTAGCATGATTTCTAAATTGGGCAATACATTTCCACTCACTCAGTGGAGCTCTGAGTACTTCACTGGACATTTAATTTTGGAAATGAGTTTTGAAACTCAGTTCGTGAAGCCTGCAGTCGAGCAAATGACTATATATTTGCCATTAAGTTTGAGGGGTTTCCTTTCCTATATGCTTTCAGTGATTTATTTTGCTTTTTAAATAAAGATTGTTTGTTTATTACCTGAAAGTTGATACTGATTTAGGAATATATTTTCTGTGATTGGAATCCTCAACAATTTATTTTGGAAGCTTGCAGATGGCTAGGTTTGAAATTGAAATTTGTGTTTTTCTCCTTCTTTTCTCATACGACTTCTAAGTCATCCTTTCTGACATAAGGCAACTTTAGTGTAGTCTGCACAAAATTAGTCCCCTTCTGATCATGCGTCATATAATTTTCTCTAAAGTTCTGACTATGACAAATCATCTGGCCCTCAGTCTTTCAAAATAATATTATATAATATTTTTTAAATTATGGAACTAATATATTTTCCATTGTAAAATACTTAAAAAATATGATAGTATAAATATCACATGTAATCCAACGATGCAGATTTATCTTAAGGAGTAATAAATATATTATTTTAACATTTCCAGCTAACATCTCTTTTCTCTTAGGTGGAAACTTCATTGTTGAATAGAAATGTTTTTAAGTGAAGAAGTTGACAGAATAGGGTCTGCTGAATTTAAACAGCCATCAAAAGTTAAACTGGAATCTTGAAATGCCATTTGCTCGGCATAGAATCAGAGCCTTTTAGAAACATCCATTTAAGTTTTGTTAGAAGATAGTCACCAGTTGCCTGAATCGAATGAGGAAAAGCCTGCTTCCAGAGATGGACAGTATATTATAGAGTGAGATATAGAGTTTAAAGCAAGTGTGTGAGTATATGTATATTCCATATTATTGGTATATGTGTGTTTATATATGAATCTGTATATATGTGTGTCTTTGAATAGACACAACATATATGCCCCTCATGCATAATTGTGCTTATTTTGCCCTAATTGAGGAATTTGAGATGTATTATTGGTTCTTCTCCCTCTCAGATACTATGGTGGGTAAAACCCACAGCCTGAAAGGGTTAAATTTTCCATAAATGCCACTGAGTGTACATTTGTGGATATAAATAAATATATATAATACACACACACATATGGCAAATACATATACACACACAATATTGCCTTTAGTGCTAATGCAAGTTGGATCATGAAAACAATGTAGGTAAAGTAAAGTATGTATTTGTCTGTGCTTGAAAAATATTGTAAAATGTTATGTATTTGGAATATATTTTGTGGTTTGTCTAATATTTATAAACACAACTCGGGGTGAATTCACAATGAGTTTATTTCATTGAAATACTAGAGATATGGGGGCCATGTTACTGTGATTGGAGCCTTACCTTTGTATAGTGAAATTTGCATTTCTATGTCAACATCCAGATTGTTTTATATGTTAATATGGTGGCAGGAATCCCTAATAAAAATACTCTGGGGTAAAATTTTTTGCAATCATTCAGTTTTATTTAAAGTAAAGTTGTATAGTCAGGTTGTTGGAAACTATAAAAGGATTCCCTCTAGGACCATGAAATGAGGTCAACATATAATGGTGATAGTATTAAAAAAAAAAATCCCAGGTAATAGATTAGATTAACCCTTTGCAGAAGTCATCCAGGCCCAAAGCAGGAATACTAGCACTGAAAATATGCTCAAACATAAAATAAACCTTGATCTAATTCATGATATTAAGTTAACCAGAGAAATAGAAAAGCACAGAAAAAATAATAGAAGAGGGGTATTCTGACTGACAGATAGGAGCATGGATTTCAGAGTGCTAGAAATTAATATGTTATCATCACTGGCCAGAAAAGGGTGCCTTCCCACGCCAGAGAGAGCTGCATGAGACTCAACTCTGTGACACTTGCCATTAAACTTCTCTATCTGTTCACGCACCTTGGAGGAATCTCACGATTCCACTTTTTTTTTTTTGAGATGATGATGGAGTTTTGCTCTTGTTGCCCAGGCTGGAGTGCAATGGCACGATCACGGCTCACCGCAACCTCCTCCTCCTGGGTTCAAGCAATTCTCCTGCCTCAGCTTCCTGAGTAGCTGGAATTACAGGCATGCACCACCACATCCAGCTAATTTTTTGTATTTTCAGTAGAGGTTGGGTTCCTCCGTGTTGGTCAGGCTGGTCATGATTCCACTTCTATCCTCCCCTCTGCCCAGCGTAGCCTTGACAGGTCTTCTGCTTAGGTTTGGCGCAAAGCTAACAACTCCATACCTAACAGTTAAACCAAAAGGTGTTACTTGGAATGAAACAAAAGGGGTAGGGGAGTTCTCTTAATTGCAGGAATACAATAGAAGTCAAGCAGAATTGGCCCTTAGCTATGGTGGCCTCATGCCTTATTCAGCAGTCCTTAGAAGTACAGGCTCTAGACTACAGGCAAGAAAAGGAATTCAGTGATTAGCATTCAGATGTGAGGAAGCTTACGGACCTATAGTTCTGACTCCAGCATCTCAAGCCAGTGCCTTTGGGTTAGTGTCTGCTGACCCAAAAGGCTCACACAAAATGGCGGTTGGCCACTTACTCACTGAGCAGTTCATTGAACTCCTGACCCATTGTCACTGCCTGGAGGAAACTCTTGCTTTATTCCTACATTTTCTCCTTAGCCAAATAGAGGAAGACTCTCCCACCAACATTCCCACCCTGGAGAAAAAGTACTGGGGAGAGTCTTCCACCCCTGGGGTGACTTCTGGGATGGTTGTGGTTGACAGGGCTTGAGTCCCTCTGGGCCACTCTCTACAGGGTGGAGACAATGTGCTGAAGGTCGCTGCTTACTTGTCCTCCTGCTTCTTTTCTCTCTCCCTCTCTCCTTTTCTCTTGGACCTGCATCTGGGCTTCCAGTCTCCATGCAGTAAACAGACCCAGCAGAACCTGCCCGTGGTGAGCTCAGCCAAGACTTGGCTCTCCATGTTCCAGCCTCCGTCTGTGACTGGGTGGGTAAGTTCGGTGGGCCCCACCCAGTGGGCTCGGCAGCCGTCACTTCACAGAAGAAGAAAGGAACCTTGCTTAGGCCTCAGATCCCAGCTGTGCTCTCCAATCCATTAATAAAGCTGCTTTTAACCCTCTCCTGGCCATTGTATCTATTATCTACTGGGAACTGGGGTGGCGGCAGGGATGGTGGTGAATATTTTGGATCTCGGCAACCTCCAATGTTACAAGCAAGGAGAGAGTGGAGAAGGATGCTCCTGGCTGAACCTCAGGCATCAGGGGATGGTCTGCCACTGACATCAGCCCTGAGAGTTCTTGCCAATGGGTGAGAGAGCTTATCCGTTATTATCAGTAAAGAACAGAAGGTTGGTTGGAATCACACATCCCTATTCTTTACCTTTAGTTGATGCTTATTCCAAATTTCTCTCTGGAAAGGGAACTGAGGCCATTTTCAATGTTATAAAGGAAAACTCTTAGTAGGACAAAAGTATGCTTTCTTTGGGTACCAAGTACTGAAACATGGCTTGCAAATTCCAGCAGCTTCTCCAGAAAAAACACCCATTGCCTGATTCCTCTCACCCACAGACTTATGATTATGATCATTGTCTTTCCACGGAGACCACCCTTCAAGGGTGAGAACACACAAACTAACATTAGTTTCTACTTCCCTTGGCAGCTACATTCTTCATAAGTTAGGAAGTTAGTGTTCTGATTTAAGCATCCGTCTCTTGGAATTTCCTTGGTTTGAATCAACTCCCATCCTCTCCTCAATCAGCCTGAGTTTCCTAACACCCTGATTTTCTGGTTCTGCAAGGTTGTGAACCAGACCCTGAAGAGGGGTGGCCACACAAAGGCACTGCTCCCAGCTCATAGGGTTACCATATAATTTATCATTCAAACCTGAACTCCTTTGGGAGTAAAAGGGGATGTTTTTAATGATGATGTCATAGCAACAGGTGTTACTAGGACTGTTCCAGGCACTCGACCTGTAAGACTTTGCCTGATTAACTAGATGCCTTCTCTCAAAAACTCCTGCAGTATGTTTCTCTATAGTGTTGACAAAATAAAATAGGGAAGAATTGTTGCTCTATAGTTGTTCTACTTCCCATCAAGAGTCAGATTAAAATTCACCAAAATTCATTACATCGTGTTTTGATGTGAGAGTATAAATTACAGAGAAGATCATTTTATGTGACCTTCTGGCATTAATGCTACATACCCAATTTGTTTGTTTGTTGTTGTTGTTTGTTTGTTTTTTGAGACAGTGTCTCACTCTGTTCTCCAGGCTGGAGTGCATTGGTGTGATCTTGGCTCACTGCAACCTCCGCCTCCCCAGTTCAAGCGATTCTCATGCCTCAGCCTCCCCAGTAGCTAGGATTACAGGCGTGCGCCACCATGCCCAGCTAATTTTAGTATTTTTAGTAGACGGGGATTTCACCATGCTGGCCAGGCTGGTCTCCAACTCCTGACCTCAAGTGAGCCGCCCACCTCGGCCTCTCAAAGTGCTGGGATTATAGGCATGAGCCACTGTGCCCGGACTCAATTTGTTTACCATTAATATTACTTAATTTCTTGTTTAATGTGAGGTAGGAAGACAGAATAATCTCAATGCTGTTTTTACGTTCATACTGCTCAATTTAACATTTATGATCTGCACATTCAGAACACTAACGATCAGTTTAACTGTGAGCAACTGACTCACACTAAATACACTGAAGACTTAGTTTCACAGAAAGCCAACTTGATCATTTATAATGAGAAGTGTCAGTTTTCTGGGCATTTGTTTGAAGCCAAATGTTCCATACACACTCTTCCCAGAACATAAGCTGTAATGTAAACCAAACACTATCAATGAGTACAAGGAATCACACCTAAAAAGCTGCCTTTCAGAAAGTCTGCCCCAACAGGCCAGATGTTCCCACATCTCTGCCTGTCTCAAGAGGCCCGGAGATACATTGTACACATTTTACTCCAAATCCCCCACTTTTGCAAATTTCTTATGGCAGAGGCTGGCAGCTAATCATCAAAACCATTTCCTCTTCTTCCTGCCATAAGATTAGACTACATTTCCTAGTTCTCCCCTACCCTATTTAGTTCAATGTGGCTATATCCCTGAGTCTTGGCCAATAGAATTTGAATAAGTAATTATATTGCTTCCAAGCCTTTGGCTAGTTGTCAGCCTCCATCTGTCACTAAATGTCCACACTTAAAGTGACCTTTAAGCTCCCAGTCGAGGATGTCAAAGCTGCCAGAAACTTAGAACCTTGAATGACTCTGTGGAGCAGAGCACTTACTTGTCTTAGTCCGTTTTGCGTTGCTATAACAGAATACCTGAGACTGGGTAATGTATAAAGAACAGAAATTTATTGGCTCATGGTTCCAGAGGCTGAACTCAGCAAACTGAATCCAGAAACACGTGGGAAGGATTATATACTATGATCAAATGGGAAGTTCAATATTGAGGGGACACATCTGTTGAGGGCCTTCTTGCTGCATCATAGCATGGTTGAAGGCATCACACAGATGAGAGACAGAGAAGGGAACAGGGCCAAAATCATCTTTTTATCAGGAAACCACTCCTTTGATAACAACATGATTATATTCCTGAGAACAGAGCCCTCAGGACCAAATCACATTTTAAAGGTTCCACCTCTCAATTTTGTTACATTGGGGATTAAGAGAATAGAAAAACAATAGGTAAAATCTATAAAACCAAAAGTTCGTTCTTTAAAATGAAAAATGCCAATAAAATGAACAAGCCTTTAGCTAGATTAACCAAGGTAAAAAGACAGTATTAAAATTACTAAAACCAGGAATGAAATAGAGGATGTCATTATGGACCTTCCAGAAATAAAAAGGAATATAAGGAAACACTATGAAAAGTTGTGTATTAACAATTTATCTAACCTAGACAAAACAGAAAAACTTCTTGAGGGACACAAACTAACTTACAAAGAGATGGAAAATTGCAATAGATCTATAACAAGTAAAAGATTGAATTAGTAATAAAAAATTATTTCTTCAATGAAAAGTGCAGGTGATGATAGCTACACTGGTCAATCATACCAAACTCTTAAAAAACAAACAGCACTTCACAAACTGCCAAAAAACAGAAGGGAGGGGGCAATTCCCCATGCTCTGAGGTCAGTATCATTCTGATGCCAAAACCAAAGACATTACAAGAAAACAAAAGTGCTGACAAATGTATCCTATGACTATAGATGAAAAAAATCCCTAACAACAAAAAAATTACAATTGAACTGAATCCAGCAACATATGGGAAGGATTATATACCTTGATCAAGTGGGATTTATCCCAGGAATGCAAGGTTGTTTAACACATGAAAGTCAATCAGTGAAATATACCATGTTAGTAGAATAAAGGACAGAAATTGCATGATCCTCTCAACAGACGCAGAGAATGCACTTGACAAAATCCAACACTCTTTCACAATTAAAAAAAAATGAACAATGAATAGAAAAAAATATCCTCAATCTAGTAAAGACTGAAAACTCCACAGCTATCATACTTGAATTCAACTGAGGGGCGTAAGACAGAGTGCGAGACTGAGCAAGATTTAGAGCAGGAGTGACAGTTTATTTAAAAGCTTTACAGCAGGAATGACAGGAAGTAAAGTACACTTGGAAGAGGGCCAAGCAGGGGACTTGAGAAATCAAGTGCACTGTTTGACCTTTTAACTTGGGGTTTTATACATTGGCATGCTTCCAGGGTCTTGCATTACTTCTCCCCTGGGTCTTCCCTTGGGCTGAGCTATCTGCATGCACAATGTGGCTGCATGTGCAATATGTTCACTGAAATTGCACACATGCTCACTTGAGGCATTCCCTTACCAGTTTGTAGAGGAAGGTCATGTACCAGTTAAACTCCACCATTTTGTCTCTTATTGTGCATGATTGAGCCCATTTGTCCAACTCCTGAGATCTTTTTGGGAAGCTGCTGATAGCCAGTTTCAGGTTTTTTCTCTCTATTGGGAGATTGTCTCTCCCTGGTGCTGGCTGTGACCGATTATTTTAGAAAGACAGTTAAGAACCGCCTGACCATCACCTGATGTTCGCCTGACATTCCTGGTGTTTCCTGCCCTGTTCATGTCTGACTAGCTACTGACTGTAACAAGACTTGTACATTGTGATCAACAAAACTTCACTGAAAAAAAGAAGACCTAAACAAATGAAAAGACATCACATGTTCGTGGATGGAAAACTTAATATTGTTAAGATAGCAATACTCCTGAAATTGATTTTCAGATTCAAGGCAATCCCTAGCAGATGTCAGCTTCCTGTTTTGTGGAAATTGACAAATTGGTCCTAAAATTTTATATGGAAATGTAAAAGGTACAGACTAACCAAAATAATATTGAAAAAGAACAAAGTTGAAGGACTCGCACTTCCCAATTTCAGAACCTAATGCAAAGCTGCAGTAATCATGACAGTGTGGTACCAACATCAGGATAGACATATACATCCGTAAAATAGAACTGAGAGTCCAGAAACAAAACTATGCATTTGTGAAAAATTGATTGTGAACAAGATGACAAGACAATTCTAAGGGGAAAGAATAGTCTTTTCAACAACTGATATCTAACAGCAAAATCATAAAATTGGACCAATTTCTCACACTGTATACACAAATTAGCACAAAATAAATCAGAGACCTTGTGTTTAATAAAATTTACAAAACTTTTAGAAGAAACATAAGATCAGATCTTTGTAACCTTTGATTAGAGAGGATGGTTTCTAAGGACAGCAAAAGCACTAGAGACAAAATAAAAAATAGGTAAATTAGATAGTAATAGATAAATTTAAAAACTTTTGTGCTTTAAAAGACACTGTCAAGAAAAGTGAAAAGACAAAACACTGAAGGGATGAAAATATTTTTAAATCATACATCCGATAATGAATTTGTACCCATAATACATAAAGAATACTTACAACTCAGTAATAAAAAACATAACCAATTTTTAAAGTAGGAAATGTTATCACAATAGACATTTTGGTAAAGGAAATATGCAAATGGATAGTAAGCACACGAAAAGATGTCCAATATCATTAGTCATTAAAGAAATGCAAATCAGTGCCACATTGAGATTCTACTTTACACCCACAAGAATGGCTATAATAAAAAGACAGGCCACGAAGTGTTGCTGAGGATGTGGATAAATTGAAACCCTCATATATTCCTGGTAAAAATGTAAAATTGTGCAGCTACTAGGCTGGGCGCGGTGGCTCACACCTGTAATTCCAGCACTTTGGGAGGCCGAGGCGGGCAGATCACGAGGTCAGGAGATCGAGATCATCCTGGCTAACACGGTGAAACCCCGTCTCTACTAAAAATACAAAAAATTAGCCGGGCGCTGTGGCGGGCGCCTGTAGTCCCAGCTACTCCGGAGGCTGAGGCAGGAGAATGGCGTGAACCCGGGAGGCAGAGCTTGCAGTGAGCCGAGATCGCGCCACTGCACTCCAACCTGGGCGAAAGAGCGGGACTCCGTCTAAAAAAAAAAAAAATTGTGCAGCTACTTTGGAAAACAGTTTCGTAGTTCTTCAAAAAGTTAAGCATAAGGTTACCATACAAGCCAGCAATTCCACTCTTAGGTATATACTCAAGAGAACAGAAAACATATATTTACACAAAAAAATGGGTAATTTTCATAGCAGCACTTTGCATAATAGCACAGAAGTGGAAACAACCCGTATGTCCATCGGTTCGTAAATTGCATAAACAAATGTAGTGTATCCATTCCATAAAAATGAATGAAGTATTGGTACACGCTACACCATGGATGAACTTTGAAAACATTATGCTAAGTAAAAGAAGCCAAAAGCAAAAGGCCATCTATTGCATGATTTGATTTATATAAAATGTCCAGAATAGGCAAATCTATAGAGACAGAAAGTAGATTAGTGATTTCCACGGGTAGGGAGAATGAAGAATGACTGCTAATAGGTACAGAGTTTCTTTTTTGGGTGATAAAATTTTTCTTTGAATTATGTAGTTGCGATGGTCGCATGACTCTGTGAACAAAGACCAATGAATTTTATGCATTATTTATGGTATGTTAATTATAGCTCAACAAAGCTGTTAGCAAAAATTATATTTGTTGTGGTTCACTATGTTATTTTTTAACATATTTTGTGAGGAGTACGAGTTGAGTAGCTTTATTATAACCAAGAACCTTTCCATTTCTATTTGTCAGCAAGTTTTGTCAGTACTTAATTCTATCAAAATGAAAAATAGATAATGCTGAACCCAGTTTCATTTTAGCGATAAGTAATATTTGTGCATAAAGATTAAATAATTTGATTTATACCATTGATATTTACTTCTAATAAATTTTTAACTTTTGTTCAATAGTTACTTAAGCTATTATGAAATAACTATTAATATTTTCTTATGAACTATGAATATTAATATTTTAATAGATTCTACAAAAACTATTAAAAACAAAAATTTTAATTTTTTTACACAAAATAATTTTGTGCATCATTATTAGTGCTTCTGTAAAAATGACAAAAGGCCAGAGTATAAAATTGCTGCCTAGGAGATACTGATATAAAGATAGAAGTAGCTGGCATATCTGGAACAGAAAGTCGGTGTAATATGATGGCTAAGAGCTCAGGCTCTCCAGCCAGATGGCCTCAGCTCTGGTCTCAGCTTTCCTGCTCTTCTTAGGTGTAACTTTAGGTAACTCATTTGATCTCTTGAATTCTTGGCATCCTCATCTTTAAAATTATGTTTAACTACAGCACTTATCTCAGAGCTGTTATGGAATTTAAAAATAAGTTAGAATTTGCAAATCCCTTAGCAAAGTCTTGGACATGTAGTAACTACTTGAGAAATGCTAGGAGTTAAGGCCCATAATCTGGCACCTCCAGGTCATTCTAGACTCATCGTAACCATTTCACTCTTTGAGGACATCCTGTTCTACTGAAGTAATAGCATCATGGTGGCAATGCATAACAAAATTGGATTTGGAAGTTTCAGAAGATATAACAAGAACCAGAATTTGCTTCTAAAAAACATCTATTTTTCTTCTACATTTATTTATAAACAAAACATCTCGTTGCCTATAACGTGGATACACATCCAAAATAGTAAGACATCAGAAAATAGAATACATCAAAATTCCTTTCAGGAGGAAACTGTGTTTGTAAGAAAGAAATGTTTTTTTCTAAGTTGTTCAAAGTAGGGAGTATATTGCAAATGTATAGTCAAGTTACAAATGCAAGGTCTCCTGATTTCTTTCTCTGCGTGACTTTCTTTTTTCTGGTCCTCTGTCCTGTGCTATTTACCTTTTGATAAATGTTCGATGTGGAAGTTGATTCTCAGAACCCTTGGCACAATAGCCTTGGTTACCCACATCCATTTCAAGAGCTCCTAACAGTTTGGAAACACTGGATCTTGCTTTGGGTGCAGTTGAATCTTCAACCCCTGTGGTGAGACCTATTTCTATGTAGATTAGAAAGAAACAATGATAGCACAGTGATTGCAAAGATGAAGAAACAGGATTTGAATTCATTTAATTTCACCATTCAGTGTGACTCAATCACAATTTAAAAATTTTTTAATTTAAAATTTAAAATGTTTGCCAACTATGAAGTGTAATATTTTTGTTTTATAAGTGCAAATTTTATTTCATACATATTTTCTGAATATGATAACATTTTAAAATTGCAATGTATTCTTTTTAATTGTTAATTATTTGTCTTCAAACAAAAGAACAAATAAGAAAACAAAATCTCACATTAGTAATTGCCTAAATTAGGTCGGGCGCAGTGGCTCATGCCTGTAATCCCAGCACTTTTGGAGGCCGAGGTGGGAGCATGGCTTGAGCTCAGGAGTTTGAGATCAGCCTGCGCATCATAGCAAGAGTCCATCTCATTTAAAAAAATTTAAAATGTAATTGCCTAAACTATACTTCTGCAGACATTTTAGTTTTATTTAAACCTAGTTATTGGACTGTCATTTACGTAAATATTAATATATCAGACTGTAACCAAAGGATCAAAGTTCAGCCATTTAGGTGGATATAAAAATTAATAAAAAATAGTTGTAGGCATTTCCTTTTATTTTAGAAACTTATATAATTATATATAAGATTATACATAGTTTAATAGAACATTTTCACTGCTTTGTTTTTCTGAGCATTATTTGTGTATATATATAATCCATAATTATGTATGATATTGTCAATTACACGTATTATAAAGACATAATTATCATCATACTCATGGCCATTATTGAAAATAATTTTGTTGTATAGAGAAGGGAGGTGTTAAAAAATGACTCCTCCGGGTGTCACATATATTAGATATTCCACAGGACACAGTCTTGATATCAGCATGGTTCCTGAGAAGATTGGAAAGCTTGGAGTAGGGTCAAACAGTGACTCAGCGACTGATAGAATTGGCATAGAGTCAGAGTGGGGGAGTCAAGTTTGATTTTTAAATGCCTAGTTTGGGTGAGTGGGAAAAGACAATGTCATTAGCCAGGCTCAGTTCCAATAGAGCCAGTGTTTTTTATTTATAATTATTTTTTTTAAAATTTTAATTAAAAAATACTGTTTTGGTACAAAGATAATGAGTTAGACTTGGATCTAGTGAGCCTGAAGTACCTGTGGGATGTTTAGTTGGTCTAGAAACTCAGGTGTGAAGTTAGGGCTGGATTCTGGATTATATGCATTTGAATTATAGGTGCTACTAAAAAAACACTGGCTGGATAGCATCAATTGCAGGGAAAATGTTTTAGGGCATAATGAAGAGAGATATTCAAGGATACCTTAAGGAAAAGAGATTTTAAAAGTGAGAGAGATGGTCCTTTTATCTTTTTCTGTTTCCTCTCTTTTTGCCACACTCTACACAGACACAAAGCAACAGCTATTTTATCTTTAAAATAGAGAATCAAGATGGAAATCAAGAAAATACAGAGGGATTTCTTTGCACTAAGACTCAGTTTCCAGAAGCAGAAGAGACTCAGTTTCAGAAAGCATTATGACTCGTTTTTAGGGAGTCAAGAAACTTCTCTTTCTTACGTTTAGGTTCATAGTCAAAGAAAGGCTGGATCCCTAAAGAGAATAAGTCAAAAGTTAAGAACAACAGTAAAGGCTGGATCCCTAAAGGGAGTAAGTCAAAAGTTAAGAACAACAGTAACATAAAAAGGCTGTCCTGAGCTTTTGCTATCATGCATATCCTTACAGGGCTCATCTGGAAGGCCCATTTGAGTATAACAGGGATGCTTTCTGGAGATCAGGTTGTTCCAGGTCAGCTGGCACCGGATTCCTGCTGCAGGGCTCCTCCTCTTAGCAACAGGCACATCTTTTAGCCTGCAGAGATGGTCCAGAGTTGCAGAGACTCAAAGCACAAATGTCCTGAGAGACAGTTACCCGGCAGTCAGTGTCACTGTGTGAAAATGAGTGAAAAGTACAAACAAAACAGATCAGAAGCTGGGCTACTGATCTCTCTCTCTTTCTCTCTCTCTCTCTCTCTCTCTCCATATATATATATATATATTCCCCATTGGGTGTAAAACATGTAACAGTGAATAAGCAGATAAAAATCCTAGCTATCATGGAGCTTAAATTCTAGTGGGAGGATACAGACAGTAACTAAATAAGAAATTCCTAAGAAAAGCATTACATAAAAAATACACAAGAAAAGTATCAGATAGTGATAAATGCAAAAGAGAAATAATAAGTGAGGATGGGGAAAAGAAGTGCTGGGGCATGTGATTGGGGAGGCCTCTCTTTTTCAGTGAGGTAGAGACCATGATTCTAAGTAAAATAACTCAGAAACAGAAAATCAAATACTGTATGTTCTCATTTGTAAATGGGAGCTAAACAATGGGTACATATGGACATAAAGTTGTAAACAATAGACACTGGGGATTCCAAAATGGGGGATGCCAGAAGTCAGGGGTGAGGGTTGAAAAATAACCTTGGGGGTGCGGGAGTTAACTGTGTGGGCATGTGGAGGATTGGCATCCAGGGTTGAGGGGGAGCATGATGGAATGCCTGAAGAACAGAAAGGGGCCATTGTGGACCGAACGCACAGGACAGCCCTCCTGGGCACAGAGTATGGAACAGCAGGAGGGAGCCCTAACAGAGGCAGAATGGACATCGGTGGTACTGGGGAAGCTGCAATAGCCAGATAGGCCTTCTGTCCACAGAGTAAGGGTCAATTAGGTAGTGGATTATGTGGGTAGGGGGGCAGAGAAGCCTTGTGCCCTCCAGTTTTCAGATCTATCCACTGGGACGCTGCTGCAGACCTTACCTGCTCTGGCCTTTAAATTGAGCTGCAGAGGAGAGGGGGAGTGGGGGTGGCAGAGCTATCTGAAGGAGGGGAGGAAGGCCCAAGCTAGGGCAGTAGTGGGGCAGGGACATACCAGTGATTCCTATTCCAGTGGCCGCCATGCTGCTGAGCATGTGGTCAGGATTGTTGGTAGAAGGCTAACCTGGGTCTCAGAGATTCAGTCAACTATGGGGCCTAGGAAAGATATTCTATAAAGGTGTCCCTGCCTTGAACAAGGAGCTTGGTAAACATATTCTTCGGTGGAGGAAGTGATTTTAAGCAGAAGGAATTATAGGGAAGGTTTTGGAAAAGGGAATGTACCAAAGGAGGGAATTTAGGGGGATAGAGAGCATAGTCAAATTTAGCTTCTGTGTCTTCCAGTGTGAGTTGGTTCCCATGAGTTGGAGAAGTGATATAGAAGACCATAGAATAGAAAACATAGCCAAGGCCATCTTCAAATATTTTTCCCTATTGGCACTTTTTCAGAGGGTTCAATCAGCCCTAAAACTTCCTTCCTCTTCCATGGGATAGTTTCTCCGGACTGTGCTAAGTCTTCCTGAAGTGGAATGTTCTTTGCCTTTCTGTTTTTCTCTCTTTCTATGTATGTGTGTACAGATACACACACACACACACACACACACACACACACACACAAAAGGCCAGACATTTCTATAACTTATTCTCTAAAATTCACTTCATTTGGGTCTTTCATTACAAAAAAGGCTCTGCCTTCTTTCCAATTAAAACAATTGATGATGAAAAGAATCCAGATCCATGGCAGTAGGCTTGATAAAGAATTGGTAAAGAAAGTTACAAAGAGCAAAATAAAAACCACCCATAATCTTACTCCCCAGGAATAACCAATGCTAACTTTGGATTTTAATTTTTCAGAATTGGAATAATGCTAAGTCCTTCAATGTGGGGCAGAAGGACTAAGCAGAGGGTCTCTCAGAGTGTTCTGCTTTATAGTTTTTCACAATGAAAATACACCTATCTGTCTTGATCCCAGGCTTTCTGCTGCTACCAAATGCCTACCTCTAACATCCCCTATGGCAGGAGAGGCTCTCATTTTAGGAAGACCCTATTTACTCTGGCACATGACTTCTCCATTCTACTATTTTATGTATCCTAGTTGGCTGCAAGCATCCAATTCTTCTGACGCACAGCCTCAGAATCTTGTCCCTGGGACCCAGCTGTTGGCCATCCCATTGGCCTCTTGGTGTGGCCCGTTGCTTTAGTTCCAACTGCAACAAAAGTCAGTTTCTCTTTTCAACTGCTGATTTTTGGCTTCTCTAAACAGCATGCCCATCATGTCTTGGGCCCCTAGCCCACAGGTCCTGCCAAAGGATTAAGTTTCCAAAAGTTTGGCTTGTTGTGTCCAGATCAAATTTAAGTTGGGTGCAAATTGCTCCCTTCATGGGAGTCCACATGGACTGCTCTACTCCTCCACCAGCAGCAGATCATCTAAATCCTTTTGCAGACATGCTAATTCTAGCTTGAAGGAAAGAGTCTACGTTCCTCCAGGGGGAGCTCCATAAATAGCTCCAAGGACAAGAGAAAGGCATGTGCCCTATCTTCCTCCAGGGGGAGCTCCATAAATAGCTCCAAGGACAAGAGAAAGGCATGTGCCCTATCTTCTTCTTAGACATTACTTTCTATTTAAGTAGGACTGGCTCCCTTTGATCTCTGCCTCTTTGCTTGCATACAGGTTTCCTTTACAGACATGCTTCATTCCACTGTGCTCTGCTTTATTGTGCTTTGCAGATATTGTTGTTTTTTACTTTGAAGGCACACCCTGCGTCAATAAGTCTGTCGGCGCCATTTTTCCAATAGCATGTGCTCACTTGGTGTCTTTGTGTCACATTTTGGTAATTCTCACAATATTTCAAATTTTCTCATTAGTATTGTATCTGTTATGGTTGTCTGTGATCGATGATCTTCGATGTTCCATTGTAGTTGTTTTGGGGAACCACGAACCAAACCCCCAGAAGACAGTGAACTTAATTAGTAAATGTTGTATGTGTCTTGACTGCCTCACTGACCAGCTGCCAGCTGTTCCCCCATCTTTCTCCTTTGCCCCAGGCCTCCCTATTCCCTGAGATACAGCAATATTGAAATTAGGCCAAGTAATTACCCTACAATGGCCTCTCTAAGTGTTCAAGTGTAAGGAAGAGTTACACATCTCTCACTTTAAAACAAAAGCTAGAAATGATTAGGCCTAGTGGTGAAGACATGTTGAAAACTGAGATAGGCCAATAGCTAGGCCTCTTGCACCAGTTAGCCAAGTTGTGAATGCACAGAAAAAGTTCTTAAAGAAAATTGCAAGTGCTACTCCAGTGAACATACTAATGATAAGAAAGCAAAACAGCCTTACTGCTGAGATGGAAAAAGTTTTAGTGTTTTGGATAGAAGGTCAAACCAGCCACAACATTCCCTTAAGCCAAAACCTGATCCAGAGCAAGGACCTAGATCTTCAAGTCTATGAAGGCTGAGAGGGGCGCAGAAGCTGAAGAAGAAAAGTTGAAAACTAACAATGGTTTGATTCATGAAGTTGAAGAAGCCGCCTCCATAACATAAATGTGCAAGGTGAAGCAGCAAGTGTTATTGATCTCTAGCTAAGGTCATTGATGAAGGTGGCTACACTAAACAACCAATTTTCAATGTAGACAAAACAGTCATCTATTGGAAGAAGATGCCATCTAGAACTTTCACAGGTAGAGAGGAGAAATCAATACCTGATTTCAAACCTTCAGAGGACAGGCTGACTCTCTTGTTAGGGGCTAATGCAGCTGGTGACCTTAAGTTGAATCCAATGTCTGTTTACCATTTAGAAAATCCTTAGAGCCCTTAAGAATTATGCTAAATTTGCTCTGCCTGTGCTTTATAAATGGAACAACAAAGCCTGGATGAGAGCACATCTGTTTTCATCATGTCTCACTGAATATTTTAAGCACACGGTTGAGACCTACTGCTCAGAAAAGAAGATTTCTTTAAAAAATATTACTGTTAATTGACAATGCACTTGGTCGCCCAAGAGCTCTGATGGAGATGTACAAGGAGATCAGTGTTGTTTTCTTGCCTGCTAACATCACATCCATTCTGTAGCCCATTGATTAAGGAGTAATTTTGAATTCCAAGTCTTATTATTTAATAAATAAACTTTGGAAGGCTATAGTTTCCATGGATAGTGATTCCACTGATGGATCTGGATAAATGGAAAAGCTTCTGGAAAGGATTTACCATTCTAGATGCCACTGAGAATATTTATGTTCATCAATAGCAAAGTCATGGAATCAACCTAAGTGTCCATCAATGTTTGATTGGATAAAGAAAATGTGGTATATAGAAACCATGGAATACTATACAGCTTTCTAAAAGAATGAACTTATGCCCTTTGCAGCAACATGGATGGAGCTGGAGGCCATTATCCTAGGTGAAATAACTCAGAAACAGAAAATCAAATACTGTGTCTTCTCACTTACAAGTGGGAGCTAAACAATGGGTACACATGCACATAAATTTGGAAACAACAAACACTAGGGTTTCCAAAATGGGGGAGGGTGGAAGAGGGGTTGGTGAGGGTTGATTTCATGGGTTATACCTATTGAGTAGAATGTTCAATATTTGGGTGATTTGTTCACTTGAAGCCCAAACTTCACCATTATACAATATATCCATGTAACAAACCTACACATGTACCCCTGAATCTAAAATAAAAATAATAACAAAAATGAACATTGTGACTCATGAAAGGAGATCAAATTGTCAACATTAACATAAATTTGGAAGACGTGGATTCCAATCATCCTGAATGACTTTGAGTTCAAGACTTCAGCGGGGACAAGCACTGCAGATGCGTTAGAAATAGCGAGGAAATGAAGATGGCCGAATAGGAACAGCTCCGGTCTACAGCTCCCAGCGTGAGCGACGCAGAAGAAGGGTGATTTCTGCATTTCCATCTGAGGTACCGGGTTCATCTCACTAGGGAGTGCCAGACAGTGGGCGCAGGTCAGTGGGTGCGCGCACCGTGCGTGAGCCGAAGCAGGGCGAGGCATTGCCTCACTTGGGAAGCGCAAGGGGTCAGGGAGTTCCCTTTCCGAGTCAAAGAAAGGGGTGACGGACGGCACCTGGAAAATCGGGTCGCTCCCACCTGAATACTGTGCTTTTCTGACCGGCTTAAAAAACAGCGCACCATGAGATTATATCCGGCACCTGGCTCGGAGGGTCCTACGCCCACGGAGTCTCGCTGATTGCTAGCACAGCAGTCTGAGATCAAACTGCAAGGTGGCAGCGAGGCTGGGGGAGGGGCGCCTGCCATTGCCCAGGCTTGCTCAGGTAAACAAAGCAGCTGGGAAGCTGGAACTGGGTGGAGCCCACCACAGCTCAAGGAGGCCTGCCTCCCTCTGTAGGCTCCACCTCTGGGGGCAGGGCACAGACAAACAAAAAGACAGCAGTAACCTCTGCAGACTTAAATGTCCCTGTCTGACAGCTTTGAAGAGAGCCATGGGTCTCCCAGCACGCAGCTGGAGATCTGAGAACCGGCAGACTGCCTCCTCAAGTGGGTCCCTGACCCCTGACCCCCGAGCAGCCTAACTGGGAGGCACCCCCCAGCAGGGGCACACTGACACCTCACAGGGCAGGGTATTCCAACAGACCTGCAGCTGAGGGTCCTGTCTGTTAGAAGGAAAACTAACAAACAGAAAGGACATCCACACCGAAAACCCATCTGTACATCACCATCATCAAAGACCAAAAGTAGATAA
Source organism: Homo sapiens (assembly GCF_000001405.40). Classification (NCBI taxonomy): domain Eukaryota; kingdom Metazoa; phylum Chordata; class Mammalia; order Primates; family Hominidae; genus Homo; species Homo sapiens. Next base: position 83,228,064 of record NC_000009.12, on the reverse strand, counting down.
AACCGCAAAGATGGGGAAAAAACAGAACAGAAAAACTGGAAACTCTAAAAAGCAGAGCACCTCTCCTCCTCCAAAGGAACGCAGTTCCTCACCAGCAAGGGAACAAAGCTGGATGGAGAATGACTTGGACGAGCTGAGAGAAGAAGGCTTCAGACGATCAAATTACTCTGAGCTACGGGAGGACATTCAGACCAAAGGCAAAGAAGTTGACAACTTTGAAAAAAATCTAGAAGAATGTATAACTAGAATAACCAATACAGAGAAGTGCTTAAAGGAGCTGATGGAGCTGAAAACCGAGGCTCGAGAACTATGTGAAGAATGCAGAAGCCTCAGGAGCTGATGCGATCAACTGGAAGAAAGGGTACCAGCAATGGAAGATGAAATGAATGAAATGAAGCGAGAAGGGAAGTTTAGAGAAAAAAGAATAAAAAGAAATGAGCAAAGCCTCCAAGAAATATGGGACTATGTGAAAAGACCAAATCTACGTCTGATTGGTGTACCTGAAAGTGATGGGGAGAATGGAACCAAGTTGGAAAACACTCTGCAGGATATTATCCAGGAGAACTTCCCCAATCTAGCAAGGCAGGCCAATGTTCAGATTCAGGAAATACAGAGAACACCACAAAGATACTCCTTGAGAAGAGCAACTCCAAGACACATAATTGTCAGATTCACCAAAGTAGAAATGAAGGAAAAAATGTTAAGGGCAGCCAGAGAGAAAGGTCGGATTACCCTCAAAGGGAAGCCCATCAGACTAACAGCGGATCTCTCAGCAGAAACCCTACAAGCCAGAAGAGAGTGGGGGCCAATATTCAACATTCTTAAAGACAAGAATTTTCACCCCAGAATTTCATATCCAGCCAAACTAAGCTTCATAAGTGAAGGAGAAATAAAATACTTTACAGACAAGCAAATGCTGAGAGATTTTGTCACCACCAGGCCTGCCCTAAAAGAGTTGCTGAAGGAAGCTCTAAACATGGAAAGGAACAACCAGTATCAGCCACTGCAAAATCATGCCAAAATGTAAAGACCATCGAGACTAGGAAGAAACTGCATCAACTAACAAGCAAAATAACCAGCTAACATCATAATGACAGGATCAGATTCACACATAACAATATTAACTTTAAATGGAAATGGACTAAATGCTCCAATTAAAAGACACAGACTGGCAAATTGGATAAAGAGTCAAGACCCATCAGTGTGCTGTATTCAGGAAACCCATCTCACGTGCAGAGACACACATAGGCTCAAAATAAAAGGATGGAGGAAGATCTACCAAGCAAATGGAAAACAAAAAAAGGCAGGGGTTGCAATCCTAGTCTCTGATAAAACAGACTTTAAACCAACAAAGATCAAAAGAGACAAAGAAGGCCATTACATAATGGTAAAGGGATCAATTCAACAACAAGAGCTAACTATCCTAAATATATATGCACCCAATACAGGAGCACCCAGATTCATAAAGCAAGTCCTGAGTGACCTACAAAGAGACTTAGACTCCCACACATTAATAATGGGAGACTTTAACACCCCACTGTCAACATTAGACAGATCAACGAGACAGAAAGTCAATAAGGATACCCAGGAATTGAACTCAGCTCTGCACCAAGCAGACCTAATAGACATCTACAGAACTCTCCACCCCAAATCAACAGAATATACATTTTTTTCAGCACCACACCACACCTATTCCAAAATTGACCACATACTTGGAAGTAAAGCTCTCCTCAGCAAATGTAAAAGAACAGAGATTATAACAAACTATCTCTCAGACCACAGTGCAATCAAACTAGAACTCAGGATTAAGAATCTCACTCAAAACCGCTCAACTACATGGAAACTGAACAACCTGCTCCTGAATGACTACTGGGTACATAACGAAATGAAGGCAGAAATAAAGATGTTCTTTGAAACCAACGAGAACAAAGGCACAACATACCAGAATCTCTGGGACGCATTCAAAGCAGTGTGTAGAGGGAAATTTATAGCACTAAATGCCCACAAGAGAAAGCAGGAAAGATCCAAAATTGACACCCTAACATCACCATTAAAAGAACTAGAAAAGCAAGAGCAAACACATTCAAAAGCTAGCAGAAGGCAAGAAATAACTAAAATCAGAGCAGAACTGAAGGAAATAGAGACACAAAAAACCCTTCAAAAAATTAATGAATCCAGGAGCTGGTTTTTTGAAAGGATCAACAAAATTGATAGACCGCTAGCAAGACTAATAAAGAAAAAAGAGAGAAGAATCAAATAGACACAATAAAAAATGATAAAGGGGATATCACCACCAATCCCACAGAAATACAAACTACCATCAGAGAATACTACAAACACCTCCGCGCAAATAAACTAGAAAATCTAGAAGAAATGGATAAATTCCTCGACACATACACTCTCCCAAGACTAAACCACGAAGAAGTTGAATCTCTGAATAGACCAATAACAGGAGCTGAAATTGTGGCAATAATCAATAGTTTACCAACCAAAAAGAGTCCAGGACCAGATGGATTCACAGCCGAATTCTACCGGAGGTACAAGGAGGAACTGGTACCATTCCTTCTGAAACTATTCCAATCAACAGAAAAAGAAGGAATCCTCCCTAACTCATTTTATGAGGCCAGCATCATTCTGATACCAAAGCCGGGCAGAGACACAACCAAAAAAGAGAATTTTAGACCAATATCCTTGATGAACATTGATGCAAAAATCCTCAATAAAATACTGGCAAAACGAATCCAGCAGCACACCAAAAAGCTTATCCACCATGATCAAGTGGGCTTCATCCCTGGGATGCAAGGCTGGTTCAATATACGCAAATCAATAAATGTACCAGCATATAAACAGAGCCAAAGACAAAAACCACATGATTATCTCAATAGATGCAGAAAAAGCCTTTGACAAAATTCAACAACGCTTCATGCTAAAAACTCTCAATAAATTAGGTATTGATGGGATGTATTTCAAAGTAATAAGAGCTATCTATGACAAACCCACAGCCAATATCATACTGAATGGGCAAAAACTGGAAGCATTCCCTTTGAAAACTGGCACAAGACAGGGATGCCCTCTCTCACCACTCCTATTCAACATAGTGTTGGAAGTTCTGGCCAGGGCAATTAGTCAGGAGAAGGAAATAAAGGGTATTCAATTAGAAAAAGAGGAAGTCAAATTGTCCCTGTTTGCAGACGACATGATTGTTTATCTAGAAAACCCCATTGTCTCAGCCCAAAATCTCCTTAAGCTGATAAGCAACTTCAGCAAAGTCTCAGGATACAAAATCAATGTACAAAAATCACAAGCATTCTTATACACCAACAACAGACAAACAGAGAGCCAAATCATGAGTGAACTCCCATTCACAATTGCTTCAAAGAGAATAAAATACCTAGGAATCCAACTTACAAGGGATGTGAAGGACCTCTTCAAGGAGAACTACAAACCACTGCTCAAGGAAATAAAAGAGGATACAAACAAACGGAAGAACATTCCATGCTTATGGGTAGGAAGAGTCAATATCGTGAAAATGGCCATACTGCCCAAGGTAATTTACAGATTCAATGCCATCCCCATCAAGCTACCAATGCCTTTCTTCACAGAATTGGAAACAACTATTTTAAAGTTCATATGGAACCAAAAAAGAGCCCGCACCGCCAAGTCAATCCTAAGCCAAAAGAACAAAGCTGGAGGCATCACACTACCTGACTTCAAACTATACTACAAGGCTACAGTAACCAAAACAGCATGGTACTGGTACCAAAACAGAGATATAGATCAATGGAACAGAACAGAGCCCTCAGAAAGAACGCCACATATCTACAACTATCTGATCTTTGACAAACCTGTGAAAAACAAGCAATGGGGAAAGGATTCCCTATTTAATAAATGGTGCTGGGAAAACTGGCTAGCCATATGTAGAAAGCTGAAACTGGATCCCTTCCTTACACCTTATACAAAAATCAATTCAAGGTGGATTAAAGACTTAAACGTTAGACCTAAAACCATAAAAACCCTAGAAGAAAACCTAGGCATTACCATTCAGGACATAGGCATGGGTAAGGACTTCATGTCTAAAATACCAAAAGCAATGGCAACAAAAGACAAAATTGACAAATGGGATCTAATTAAACTAAAGAGCTTCTGCACAGCAAAAGAAACTACCATCAGAGTGAACAGGCAACCTACAAAATGGGAGAAAATTTTCGCAACCTACTCATCTGACAAAGGGCTAATATCCAGAATCTACAATGAACTCAAACAGATTTACAAGAAAAAAACAAACAACCCCATCAAAAAATGGGCGAAGGACATGAACAGACACTTCTCAAAAGAAGACATTTATGCAGCCAAAAAACACATGAAAAAATGCTCATCATCACTGGCCATCAGAGAAATGCAAATCAAAACCACAATGAGATACCATCTCACACCAGTTAGAATGGCAATCATTAAAAAGTCAGGAAACAACAGGTGCTGGAGAGGATGTGGAGAAATAGGAACACTTTTACACTGTTGGTGGGACTGTAAACTAGTTCAACCATTGTGGAAGTCAGTGTGGCGATTCCTCAGGGATCTAGAACTAGAAATACCATTTGACCCAGCCATCCCATTACTGGGTATATACCCAAAGAACTGTAAATCATGCTGCTATAAAGACACATGCACACGTATGTTTATTGCGGCATTATTCACAATAGCAAAGACTTGGAACCAACCCAAATGCCCAACAATGATAGACTGGATTAAGAAAATGTGGCACATACACACCATGGAATACTATGCAGCCATAAAAAATGATGAGTTTATGTCCTTTGTAGGGACATGGATGAAATTGGAAAGCATCATTCTCAGTAAACTCGCAAGAACAAAAAACCAAACACCGCATATTGTCACTCATAGGTGGGAATTGAACAATGAGATCACATGGACACAGGAAGGGGAATATCACACTCTGGGGACTGTTGTGGGGTGGGGGGAGGGGGGAGGGATAGCATTGGGAGATATACCTAATGCTAGATGATGAGTTAGTGGGTGCAGTGCACCAGCATGGCACATGTATACATATGTGACTAACCTGCACAATGTGCACATGTACCCTAAAACTTAAAGTATAATAAAAATAAATAAATAAATAAATAAATAAATAAATAAATAAAAAAGAAAATTAACATCTCAAAATAAAATATTCAATTTTGCGACTAGAAAAAAAAAAAAGAAATAGCGAGGAAACTAGAATGACAAGCGGAACCTGAAGGTGCCACTGCATTGTGGCTATCTCATGATAAAACTTGAACAGACGAGGAGTTGCTTCTTATGTAGAAGCAAAGGAAATGGTTTGTTGAGATGGAATCCTGGTGAAGGTGCTGTGAACATTGTTGAAATGACAACAAACCTAATTGATCCGTCAGTGGCACGATTTGGGAGGACCGACTCCAATTTTAAAGAAGTTATACTGTGGGCAAAATGCTATCAAACAGAGAAATCTTTCATAAAAGGAAGAGTCAATAGCTGAAACAAACTTCATTGTTGTCTTATTTTAAGAAATTGCCACAGCTGCTCCAACTTCTAGCAACCACCACTCTGATAATTAGTTAGCCATCAATATTGTGGCAAGACCCTCCACCAGCAAAAAGATTATGACTCACTGAAAGCTCAGATGATCATTAGCATTTTTTAGCAAGAAATTACCTTTAAATTAAAGTATGTACTTTTTTTAAGACATAATGCTATTGCACACTTAAAAAAACTACAGTATCATGTAAATGTAACTTTTATATGCACTGGGGAACCATAACATTTGTGTGACTTGCTTTATTGTGACGGTCACTTTATTGCAGTGGTCTGGAACCTGAACCCACAACATCTTTGAGATATGTCTGTATTTGCAACTGAACTTCTAGCAAAACGAATTTCACAATTTTTCCTGACCATATATCTTTCAAAGAAGGATTATCCCCTGCCCATCATCAGAAGACGATACTGGGGACTTTCTTCTGCTCACTATTTGAGAGCAGACTACCCACTACTCTCACTCTTCATGAATTACTCAAGTGACCATGAAAACAAAATCAGTTCTTCCAGAGCCCCTGCTGGCTGCCCTGCTACTGGGCTTGGGTTCTTCACTGTACTATACTAAAGATTTGGCTCCAAATACCAGTGCTATCACTTCCTGGCTATGTGAGCTTGAAGGTGGCATTTGACTAATTCATGAATGTCAGTTTTGTTGCTTGTAAAGTGGGGATAACCGTATCCATTTGAGACAGCAATTTTGAGAATTAAATAATGTTGAGCATCTGAAACATAATGTAAGTTTGTCCTCCCTGCCAAATTAATTCTTTATCTACTCTGTTTCAAAAGGCTTCTCCCATCCCCCTCTTGAGGAAGACAGCCCAAAACTATTTTGCCACTTTGAAAAACCAGACGTGTCCAACAGCTGTCTACCATTCTACCTTACGGAGACCTCTTGGGGAGGTCATTGGTGTTCCAGTTTAGTGTTTTCCAAAGTATGTTCTGTGGAATAGTTGCTCTGCAAGTCATTGTACAAAAAAGTTTCACAGGAAATAAATGTGAGAAATGCTGTAAGTATAACTTTAACTTGAAGAGTCACAATATATATTTGCTTTCTAAAATTTCTGAAAAAAAGTCCTGCAGTAAAGAAATACATTTAATCAAGTATTTTACACACTTATTTGACCATGGGTCTCTTTCTTATGTAAAATGACATTTATTATCCCAAAGGATATACTGTGGTCTGCTCACTTGGCCCTAACCTTCTCAGCCCTTTCACCTCCTTTTAGCAATAATTCATGATTTGGAAGTTTGAATTGGAGGAAGTGCATTCTACGTGATGTAGAAAAAGCTGCTCTTATTTTATGTTGCTAAAATAGAGGTCATAAGCTGACAGAATGGACTCTTTGTGGTAATAAGATACCAAATTATAAACAAGACCTAAGGTGGTAGTAGGCAAGGGTTAAGTCCTACAGCCCCTACAGTTAAAGAATAAACTATTTTCTAACTGCCTCAAGGTTTTTCTTTTTCTCTATCAGCAAAACAAGCACTGGTCTCCAGATAAGCAATATTGAAACAATTGCAGCTCACTAACCACCAAACACTGACTAACTGACCTCGTGCTCCACAAGGCATAACTACAGCTCTGACTGGACAAGAGACTGATTTCAGTAACTTTCTTCTAAGAGACCACAGACCGGTTCTGGCTGATTCATAGAGGCTGAGCGTTGATTACTTTCATGTCCCTGCTTCACCTTTTAATGTGTGTGGCCTAAATTTGACTGTATCTTAATGTTGTCTCCACCCCAAAGTGAACATGTGTTGTATGTTACATACATGTTCATTCTGTGCATATGTATTGACTCATAAATATTCATAAGATTCTCCTATAACCTACTGAATATGTATGTATAGCTAATTTCCTTGGGCATAAATCTCAACCTCTCCCTTTTATCCTCTGAAGTGCCTGCTATTGGTCTCTGCCAGAGGCTAGCTTCTACC